>NC_000007.14:72506779-75006779 GCF_000001405.40 Homo sapiens
AAAATAAGCATCCCAAAATAGCCAGGAACCCAGCACAAAATGAAAACTATGAAGGGGACACAGCATGGGGGTTCACACCTGTAATCCCAGCACTTTGGGAGGCCAAGGCAGGAAGATCACTTGAGGCCAGGAGTTTGAGTCCAGCCTGGGCAACATAAAAAGACCTCATCTCTACAGTAAAAAAAAATTGCCAGGTGTGATGGCATGTGCCTATAGTCTCAGCTACTCAAAAGGCTGGGGCAGGAGGATCCCTTGAGCACAGGAAGTTGAGGCTGGAGTGAGCTATGATTCTACTTGCAGCGCTGCACTCCAAACTGGGCAATAGGGCAAGACTGTCTCCCAACAAAAACCCATGAGAGACAACTAGCCCTATTAGATAATACTTCAAAGCTTTGATAATTAAAATAGTGTGGTATTGGTACATGAATAGACAGATAGGTCAATGGAATAGAACAGAACATCCAGAAACAGATTCAAGTACATATGAGATTGTATTTTATTTACTCTTTTTTTTTTTTTTTTCAATAGGACTTTGTCACCTAGGCTGGAGTGCACTGGCACAATCTCGGCTCACTGCAACCTCTGCCTCCTGGGTTCAAATGAGAGGCTCATGCCTCAGTCTCCCAATTAGCTGCATGCCACCACGTCTGGCTAATTTTTTTGTATTTTTAGTAGAGACAGGGTTTCACCATGTTGGCCAGGCTGGTCTCAAATTGCTGGCCTCAAGTGATCCACCAGCCTCAGCCTCCCAAAGTGCTAGGATTGCAGGATTGAGCCACCGCATCCGGCCAGTAATTTTAGTGTATGATAAAGGTGACATCTCAAATCACTGGGACAAAAATGAACTTTTAAAATTAATTGTGCTAGAACAACTGGTTAGCTACTTTTAAAAAGATAACATTAGATCCATACTTCACACCATTTACAAAAATAAATTCCCAATGGATCTGGGATTTAGTTTTAACCTGTCTAGCTCCATTTAAAAAGCTTGTTGGCATTTTTCATTGGGATTGTATTGAATTTTTAAATTTGTGAGGGTGTATACATATATATGCATGTTAAGAAAGTGTTCAGTTCAGGTACAGTGGCTCACACCTATAATCCTAGCACTTCAGGTCGAGGCAGGAGGATCACTTGAGCCCAGGAGTTTGAGACCAACTTGGACAACATAGTGAGACTCAGTCTCTGCAAAAAACTTTTTATAATTAGCTGGGCATGGTGGCATACACCTGTTGTCCCAGCTACTTGAAGGGCTGAGGTGGGAGGATCACTTGAGCCCAGGAGGTTGAGGCTGCAATGAGCCATAATTGTATTACTGCACTCCAGCCTGAGCAACAGAGCAAGACCCTGTCTTGAAAAAAAAAAAAAAAAAAAAAAGCATCCATCAGTTTCTATTTTCTTGAGTGTATTTATATTTATTAGGAAAGGCTGTTAAGTGTTATTGAAAGTATTTCCAGCACCTATGGAGACGGTCATATGATATATCCTCTTCTATTTCTTGTGGAATATTTCGTGTGGATTTTAAATACTGAATTTGTATTCAGTTTTTGACTACAAATTTCTGGAATCCGTATTCAAATTTGTATTCCTGGAATAAATCATGCTTGGTCATGATGTATCATTTTCTTAATGCAGTATTGAATTCCATCTGCAAGTATTTTATAGAGTATTTAAATAAATATTCATAAGTGACACAGGTATATAATTTTCTTATTTGTACTGTCTTTAGCATGTTTTGGTGTCAATGTTACACTCGCTTCATAAGATTAATTAGAAAAGTGAAGGGAAAAACAGACAAATGACAAATGTGTTACCTAAATGCGTCTTTCTCTTTCTAGAATTCCTAATAGAAGGATATTGAACTTCCTAGATGGCCTCGTTAGGTGTGAAATGCATCTCATGTTTTTAATTCTCTCATTCCTCGCTTTTCTTGGCAGACTGTTTTAGTTCTATGTGCTTATTACATCTCCTCTAGTTTCTCTGATGATATTAATTAGAATTATATAATTTCTCCTTGCACTCAATTATTTATTTCTTCTGGATTTTCATGTTCTATTTATTCATTTTGATCCTTGTCTTTTACGCTATTGATTTTCTTCAAATATGTAGAGATTCTTAATAGTCATTAACATTTATAAAGAAAGGACTGGGTTGCTTGATCAAGGAAGCTGATCTCACTTCTCCAGGCATGTGTTGCAACAATCTATAAGTAAAAAGAAGGCCTTGAGCAAGGAAATGATATGGTTCCACTTACTTCCTAAAAAGTTCACTGGGACTGCTCTGCAGAAAAGTCCATTTCCAGGGCAAAGATGAAAAATGAAAACCAGGTAGCAATCTGACATACATGTTCTTTTCACGTTTTGTTTTGCTGTTTTGAGACGGACTCCTGCTGTGTCACCCAGGCTGGAGTGCAGTGGCGCGATCTTGGCTCAACTGCAACCTCTGCCTCCTGGGTTCAAGCAATTCTCCTGCCTCAACCTCCCAGGTAGCTGGGATTACAGGCACACACCACCACACCTGGTGGTGGGGTTTCACCATGTTGGCCAGGCTGGTCTCAAACTCCTGACCTCAGGTGATCCGCCCGCATCAGCCTCCCAAAGTGCTGCAATTACATACATGAACCACCGCGCCTGGCCTTATCCAGTCTATCATTGATGGTCATTTGTGTTGACGCCATGTCTTTGCTATTGTGAATACCCAGTAAGGGGATTGCTGGATAATTTCAGATTCTTGAAAAACCCTTTCCAAGTGTTTTGTGAACTGCTCTGCTCTGGACTGGTTTCCCTCCCCACCTGATGCACAGTTGTCAATGTCGGACCTCCCAGAACCATCTTCTGCAGAGTCTCTTCTCTCTCCTGTGGGATCCTCTGTTTCCTGGGTCCCATAGCTTCCTGCTTCTTGATTTTCTCCCCTATTTTGTTGAAGTGCATTCTCTGGTAGCACCTTAAAAGAGGGTGAATGAGCCTGTACTTTAAAAATGTTGCAGCCAGGTGCAGTGGCTCATGCCTGTAATCCCAGCACTTTGGGAGGCCAAGGCAGGAGGGTCATGAGGTCAGGATATCGAGACGATCCTGGCCAACATGGTGAAACCCGTCTCTACTAAAATACAAAAAAAAATTAGCTGGGCGTGGTGGCACATGCTTGTAGTCCCAGCTACTCGGGAGACTGAGGCAGGGGAATTGCTTGAACCCAGGAGGTGGAGGTTGCAGTGACCCGAGATCGTGCCACTGCACTCCAGCCTGGCGACAGAGGGAGACTCCATCTCAAAAAAAAAAAAAAAGAAAAAGAAGAAAAGAAAAGTTGCATGTCTGAAAATATTTTTATTAGCCTCTCACTTTAATTGGCTGCTTATGAAAAGCATGATCACTATTTTACAGTGTTGTGGAAGTTGTGACTCATGCAAAAAGGCTTGACACAGGTGCGGTGGCTCACGCCTGTAATCCCAGCACTTTGGGAGGCTGAGGCAGGCAGATCACTTGAGGCTAGGAGTTCAAGACCAGCCTGGCCAACGTGGTGAAACCCTGTCTCTGCTGAAAATACAAAAAATGAATTGGGTGTGGTGGCAGTCACCTGTAATCCCAGCTACTCGGGAGTCTGAGGCGAGAGAATTGCTTGAGCCCAGGAGGTGGAGATTGCGGTGAGCCAAGATCACACCACTGCACTCCAGCCTGGGCGACAGAGCAAGACTCCATCTAAAGATAAATAAATAAATAAATAAATAAGGCTTGACACAGATTCAAAATATATAACAGGAGTAGATAAAATAATAAATAGTTGCACATATTATATATCTTTAACCCATTTCCCGTCTGCCCCAAGAATACTACATGGAAGTGAACTGCACTTTTTTTTTTCTAAATGGGGAATGGATTAAATTCCAATGAAGCACTCTTTAGAAATTAAAAATAACAAAATTCTGTCATTTGTGGCACCATGGATGAGCTCGGAGGACATTGTGTTAAGTGAAATAAGCCAGGCACAGAAAGACAAATCCTGCATGGTCTCACTCCTATGTGGAAGCTAAAATAGTTGATCTCATAAAGTAAAGAGTATAATAGGGGTTACTAGAGGCTAGAAAGGGTGGGAGGAAGGAGGGATGGCCAGAGGTTGGTTAATGGATATGAAAGTACAGCAAAATAGAAGGAATAAGTGTTCTACAGCCCTATGGGTGACTATCATTATTTCATTTTATTTTATTTTATTTTTGAGACAGGGTCTGGCTCTGTCACCCAGGCTGGAGTACAGTGGCACAATCTCAGCTCACTGCAGCCTCGACCTCCCAGGCTCAAGCGATCCTCCCACCTCAGACTCCCAAGTAGCTGGGACCACAGGAGCACGCCTCCACGCCCAGCTGTTTGTATTTTTTTATAGAGATGGAGTTTCACCATGTTGCCCAGGCTGGCCTCAAACTCCTGAGCTCAGGCAATCTGCCCACCTCAGCCTCCCAAAGTGCTGGGATTACAGGCACAAGTCACATTGCCCAGCCAGGTGACTATAATTAAAACTATTTATTGTATATTTTCAAATAGCTTGAAGAGTGGATTTTGAATGTTCCCAACACCAAGAAATGGTAACGCTTTGAGGTGATGGACATGCTAATTACCGCGATTTGAGCACTATACATTGTATGCATATATTGAAACGTCACCCAGTGCCCCATAAATACACGCAGTTATGTATCAAGTTTTAAAATTTTGTTTAAAGTCCAAGTATGTCAAAATAAATCTTGCTACAAAATTCTGTTGGGAGTTAGGGACTGAATTGTGTTCCCCCAAAATCCATATGTTGAAGCTCTAACTCCCAATGTGACTTTACTTAGAGATAGAGCCTTTAAGGAGGTAATTAAGATTAAATGAGGTTATATAAGAATGAAGCCTAATCTCACAGGGCTGGTGCCCTTATAAAAAGAGGAAGAGGGCCGGGTGCGGTGGCTCACGCCTGTAATCCCAAGCACTTTGGGAGGCTGAGGCGGGCAGATCACGAGGTCAGGAGATCAAGACCAGCCTGGCCAGCATGGTGAAACCCATCTCTACTAAAAATACAAAAAATTAGCCAGGCATGGTGGTGCGTGCCTGTAGTCTCAGCTACTCGGGAGGCTGAGGCAGGAGAGTTGCTTGAACCCAGCAGGCAGAGGTTGCAGCAAGCCGAGATCATGCCACTGTACTCCAGCCTGGGCAACAGAGTGAGACTCCATCTCAAAAAAAATAAAAAAGAGGAAGAGGCCAGGCGTGGTGGCTCATGCCTGTAATCCCAGCACTTTGGGAGGCTGAGATGGGAAGATCGCTGGAGCCCAGAAGTTCCAGACCAGCCTGGGCAACATAGAAAGACCCCAACTCTACAAAAAATAAAAAAAATTAGCTGGGCATGGTGGCACACCCCTGTGGTCCCAGCTGCTCAGGAGGCTGAGGCAGGAGCATCACTTGAGCTCAGGAGTTGGAGGCTGCAGTGAGCTATGATCATGTCACTGCACTCCAGCCTGGGCAACAGGGCAAGACGCTGTCTCAAAAAAAAAAAAAAAAAGGAAGAGACACCAGATCTCTCCCTCTCTCTCTCTCTCTCTCTCTCTCTCTCTCTCTCTCTCCACTCACAGAGGAAGGGCCATATGGAGACACAGTGAGAAAGTCACCTTTGCAAGTCAAGGAAAGAAGCCTTGGGAGAAACTAATCTTGTGGGCCCCCTTGATCTTGGATTTCCAGCCTTCAGAACTTTGAGAAAACAGATGTCTATTGTTTAAGCCATCGGGTCTGTGGTATGTTATTATGGCAGCCCAAGCAAACTAATACAGGAAACATTTTCACTTTTCAAAGGCATTGTTCTATTTTCTTCCAGTAACCACTTTTACTATAGAAAAATCCACAGTCAGTTTTTTTTTTCTCTCTCTCTCTCTGAAAACCTCTAGGATCTTATTTTTACCTTCCCACATTCCAAAATTTCACAGTGAAAGGGTGGCCTTCCCTACCCACCCATCTAAAATGGCCACTCACTTCTTGCCATTTTTTAGCTCATTTTCCTGCTTAATTTTACTTGTTTTTTTGTTGTTGTTTCTTGTTTTGAAATGGAGTCTTGCTCTGTGGCCCAGGCTGGAGTGCAGTGGCACGATCTCAACTCACTGCAACCTCCCTCTCTCGAGTTCAAGTGATTCTCCTGCCTCAACCTCCTGAATAGCTGGGATTACAGGCACCCACCAACACACCCGGCTAATTTTTGTATTTTTAGTAGAGATGGGGTTTCGCCATGTTGGCCAGGCTGGTCTCGAACTCCTGACCTCAAGTGATTTGCCCGCCTTGGCCTTCCAAAGTGCTGGGATTAGAGGCGTGAGCCACCGTGCCCAGCCTAATTTTATCTTGTTGAGTTTTTTCTCCTTGGCTAGTCTGTGTCTTCCATGAAGGTGAGAACTTTGGTCTGCTTTTTAGCTGCTGTATTTCCGCAGCTGAACCAATGCCTGCTACAGAGCCAGGACTCAGTGAGCACCTGTAGCTAGAGAAATAGATGAAGGGTGATGGCGTGGGTCTATTTCCACGTATCTCCAGTTATGGAAAATGTTCTGGAATCGTTTCTTTTATGATATACCCCCTTATTGTTCTCTGTGCTTTATCTCTAGAACTTCCACGGTTTATTTGTTTGTTTGTTTGTTTGTTTGGAGACTGAGTCTCACCCAGGCTGGAGTGCAGTGGCACGATCTCAGCTCACTGTGATCTCCACCTCCCAGGTTCAAGTGATTCTCCTGCCTCAGCCTCCCGAGTAGCTGGGACTACAGGTGTGCGCCACCACACCCGGCTAATTTTTGTATTTTTAGTAGAGACGGGGTTTCACCGTGACAGCCAGGCTGGTCTCAAACTCCCAACCTCAGGTGATCCACCCCCCTCAGCCTCCCAAAGTGCTGGGATTCAAACAGGAGCCACCGCACCAGGCCCTAACTTCCATTGTTTGGATGCTGGCCCTCTTCAAGTCATTCTTGAATTTTCTTATCTTTTCTCTCTTACTTATCATCTCTTTTTGCTCGACGTTATGGGAAATGTCTTCAATTTTATCTTCCAAACATTTTATTCAGTTCTATATTTCTTCTATGAGGCTTTTAATTTATTTCTTCTATCATGCTTTTGATTTTCCGGGAGGTCCTTTCTATTCTATGAGTGCACCTGTTTTTATTTAAGAGCATCCTGTTTTGTTCTTTTTTATGAACGTATTATTCTCTCTTCTTTCTCTGAGATTATTCATGATCGTTCATTTCAAAAAGTTGTATTTTCCCTGAGTTATCTCTGTTTCCTCCCAGGTGGGTTGCTGTTTATTTGCATCATAATTTTTCCTGTTACAGCATTTTCTTACCCATCTAACTTTCCTTGATTTTCTAGTCATGTTTAGAAGTTAAGGGCTAAGAAGCCATCTGAAATCTATTAACCCGGCCTGGCGCAGTGGCTCACCCCTGTAATCCTAGCACTTTGGGAGGCCGAGGCAGGTGGATCACGAGGTCAGGAGTTCAAGACCAGCCTGGCCAAGATGGTGAAACCCCGTCTCTACCAAAAATACAAAAATTAGCCAGGTGCCATGGCAAGCGCCTATAATCCCAGCTACTCGGGAGGCTGAGGCAGGGGAATCGCTTGAACCCAGGGGAAAAAATATATATATATATATATGTGTGTGTGTGTGTGTGTGTGTGTGTATATATGTGTATGTGTGTGTGTATATGTGTGTGTGTGTGTGTGTATATATATATATATATACACACACACACACATAAACCCTTAGACTATGGCCTTGAATGGAAGGTGGTCTGACTGGGTCATTTCACTGGAAATACCCTTGTGGAAAGACCCTTAAGTCTTTTTCCTGGGCTGGTCAGGATCATTGGCAGAAGGTCGTCTGCAATAGTTTAGAAACAGAAGAGGGCTGGGGTGGATCACTGCTCTCAGAACATAAATGCGAGGCCAGGCACGGTGGCTCATGCCTGTAATCCCAGCACTTTGGGAGGCTGAGGCAGGCGGATCACCTGAGGTCAGGAGTTTGAGACCAGCCTAGTCAACATAGCGAAACCCCATCTCTACTAAAAATACAAAAAATTAGCTGGGCATGGTGGTGGGCGCCTGTAATCCCAGCTACTTGGGGTGCTGAAGCAGGAGACCTGCTTAAACCTGGGAGGTGGAGGTTGCGATGAGCCGAGATCACACCACTGCACTCCAGCCTGGGTGACAGAGCAAGACTCTATCTCAAAATAAATTAATTAATTAAAAATAAAAGAACTTAAATGCTTGTTTTCTTTCTTTCTTTCTTTCTTTTTTTTTTTTTAGACAGAGCTTTGCTCTTTACCTCAGCCTGGAGTGTAGTGGCACCATCTCAGCTCACTGCAACCTCCACCTTCTGGTTTCAAGTGATCCTCCTGCCGAGTAGCTGGGATTACAGGTGCCCACCAACATGCCCAGCTAATTTTTGTATTTTTAGTAGAGACGGGGTTTCACCATGTTGGCCAGGCTGGTCTCGAACTCCTGACCTCGTGATCCACCTGCCTCGGCCTCCCAAGGTGCTGGGATTACAGGCGTGAGCCACCGCACCCGGCCTGCTTGTTTTATTTCTATACAGCTCACCTGCCTTCAGATGGGCTAGTGTCCTCCACCCTCCACAACTTACACCCACTTTTCAGGTAATGCACCTCTAGTCTTCTGCAGGGTGGAGGAAGGAAGTTGTGAGATGTGCAGAGTGGGAGTCAGGAACTGAGTGTTCACTGACTTTATAATTTGTTTTAATTGTAATTTTGACATAATTTTAGACTTCATATGGAAGTTGCTAAAGTAAGTAGTGGATATTGACAAATTATAATTGCGATATGGTTTGGCTGTGTCCCCACCCAAATCTCACCTTGAATTGTAGCTCCCATAATTCCCACGTGTTGTAGGAGAAACCCAGTGGGAGATAATTGAATTATGTGGGGGGTGGGAGGTTCCCCCCATACAGTTCTCATGGTAGTGAGTAAGTCTCACAAGATCTGATGGTTTTATAAGGGGTTTCCCCTTCCACTTGGCTCTCATTCTCTCTTGTCTGCCACCATGTGAGACATACCTTTCGCCTTTCATCATGATTGTGAGGCCTCCTCAGCCACGTGGAACTGTGAGTCCATTAAACCTCTTTTTCTTTATAAATTACCCAGGTTCTGGTATGTCTTTATCAGCATCCTGAAAATGGACTAATACAAATTGTATATATTTATGGGGTACAAAATGATACTGTGAGAGTTGAATATGATATGGAATAATTAAATCAAGCTAATCAATGTATCCATCACCTGAAATACTTATCATTTATTCCTCTCGTCTGAGACTTTGAACCCTCTGACCATCCTCACCCTATTCTCCCCACTCCTATCTCTGGTAACCACCATTCTGTTCAATTGTTTTAGATTCCATGTATAAGGGAGAACATATGGTATTTGTCTTTCTGTGCCTGGCTTATTTCACTTAGCATAATGTCCTCCAGGTTCATCCACGTTGTCACAAATAACAAGATCTCCTTCCTTTTCAAGGCTGAATGGTACTCCATTGTGAATATAGATCACATTTTCTTTATTCATTCATCAGTTGATAGACACAGTTTGATTCCGTATCATCGCGACTGTGAATAGTGCGGCAATGAACATGGAGGTGCAGATATCTCTTGAACATACTCATTTCAATTCCTTTGGATATATTCCCAGAAGTAGGATTGCTGGATCGTATGGTAATTCTATTTTTAATTTTTTGAGAAACCCCTATACTGTTTTCCATAATGGTTACATTCATTTACATTCTCACCAACAGTGTACTAGCGTTCCCTTTTCTCCACATCCTCATCAGCACCTGTTAAATTTCATCTTTTGTTTTTGCTTTTTTTTGTTGTTTTTTTTTCTTTTTTGAAATGGAGTTTCACTCTTGTCGCCTAAGCTGGAGTGCAATGGTGCGATCTCAGCTCACTGCAACCTCTGCCTTCTGGATACAAGCGATTCTCCTGCCTCAGCCTCCTGAGTAGCTGGGATTACAGGTGTGTGCCACCACACCTGGCTAATTTTTTGTATTTTTTAGTAGAGATGGGGTTTTGCCATGTTGGCCAGGCTGGCCTGAAACTCCCAACCTCAGGTGATCTGCCCGTCTCGGCCTCCCAAAGTGCTAGGATTACAGGTGTGAGCCACCATGCCCGGCCAAATTTCATCTTTTAATGTAATAGCCATTCTAATAAGTGTGAGGTGATACCTCATTGTGGTTTTAATGTGCATTTGCCTAGTGATTAGTGATGTTGAGCATTTTTTCATATCTGTTGGCTATTCGCATGTCTTCTTTTGAGAAATGTCCTTTGCTCATTTTTTAAAGAGGTTACTTGTTTTCTTATGAGTTGAGTTCTTTATATATTTTAGATAATAACCTCTTGTCAGATATATGACTTGCAAATATGTTCTCCCATTTAGTAGGTTGCCTTTTCGCTCTGTTGTTTCTTTTGCTGTGCAGAAGCTTTTTCGTTTGTAAACTGAACTTTTTCGTTTGTAAGCTTTTTAGTTTATAATCCCATTTGTCTACTTTTGGTTTTGTTGCCTGAACTTTTGAGGTCAAATCTAAAAACTCATTGCCAGACCAGTATCATGGAGTTTTTCCCCTCTTGATGTGAAAGTTTAGATTATTGGTTTGAAATCTTTCACCTTTCCTGGTGTAACATTTCTCCCTATGAATTTCCTTCTATACTCTGCATGTATATTCACAAATGCTAATCTATTGTATTTTCATTATTAATTCAGTTCAAGATATTTTCCAATTTCTCTTTCCAATTTTCTTATTTGACCTGTGGATGATTTAGAAACATGTTAGTTTCCAGATATTTGGAGCTTTCCAGACATCTGAAATTTCTCATTTAATTCCCATTTAATCAGATGCTATTCTTTTAATGACTTGCATCTTTTTTGAATGTATTGAATCTTCTGGCCCAGAATATGGTCTATCCTGAAAAGGATATGGCTTTTCTGTTGTGAGATGGAATGCTCAATAAATATCAATTAAATCAAGTCGATTGATAATGTTAAATTCTTCTACATTCTTAACTGATTTTCTGTCTACTTGTTTTTTCAGTCAGGTTATTGAAAATTGAAATATTCAACTATAACTGTGGCTATAGTCATTTCTGCTTGTGTTGCTGTTAGTGTTTGCTTCGTATATCTGGAAGCTCTCTTTCTTTTATATATATATATATATTTTTTTTTTTTTGAGACAGAGTCTCTCTCTGTTGCCCAGGCTGGAGTGCAGTGGCACAATCTCGGCTCACTGCAAACTCTGCCTCCCAGGTTCAAGCAATTCTCCTGCCTCAGCCTCCCAAGTAGCTGGGATTACATGCATCACCGTGTCCGGCTAATTTTTGTATTTTTAGTGCAGACAGAGTTTCACCATGTTGGCCAGGCTGGTCTTGAACTCCCGACCTCAAGCTGTTCGCCCACCTCAGCTTCCTAAACTGCTGGAATTACAGGCATGAGCCATCGCACCCGGCCTAGAAGCTCTCCTTCTAGATGCATAAATATTTAGGATTGTTGTGTCCTCCTAAATAATTGAACTCTTTATCATTATGATAATGACCTTTATCCTGTCTGGTAATATTCTTTGCTCTGAATCTACTTTGTTTGATATAAATATAGCTACTACAGCTTTTTCTTTAAAGTTAGAATTGGCATGGTATATTTCTTTTCTTCTTTTTACTTCTTTTTTTTTTTTTTTTTTTTTTTTTGAGGCATAGTCTCACTCTGTCACCCAGGCTGGAGTGCAATGGCGCGATCTTGGCTCACCGCAACCTCCACCTCCCAGGTTAAAGCGATTCTCCTGCCTCAGTCTCCTGAGTAGCTGAGATTACAGGCTTGCACCACCACATCCAGCTAATTTTTTTGTATTTTTAGTAGAGATGGGGTTTCACCATGTTGGCTAGGCTGGTCTCGAACTCCTGACCTCAAGTGATCTGCCCACCTTGGCCTCCCAAAGTGCTGGGATTACAGGCGTGAGCACCACACCTGGCCTATATGGGCAAAACTTTCTAAGTATAAATAATGAAAGGAAGTAGAAATAAAACATTAGAAGACTAATTTTTTTTGTTTTTAATAAAGTTCCTATTTTGGAATAATTTTAGATTTTCATAGAAGTTGCAGAGATAGTACAGAGAGTTCCCATATGCCCCTCACCCATTCCCCTCAATGTTATCATTTTACATTACCATGGTAACTTCATCAAAACTGAGAAATCAACATTAGTGTGTTACTATTAACCTAATTCCACACTTTATCCCAATTTCCCCAGATTTGTTGCTAATGCCCCTTTTCTGTTCAAGATTTAACGTATCCAACCCAAGACATATTGCATTTAGAAGAGTTATATTTCGACTGTATAAAAATTACTTAATTACTTATTTGAAAATGCAAAAACAAAATAGGGGCCGGGCGCAGTGGCTCACACGTGTAATCCCAGCACTTTGGGAGACCAAGGCAGGTGGATCAACTGAGGTCAGGAGTTTGAAACCAGCCTGGCAAACATGGCAAAACCCCGTCTCTACTAAAAATACAAAAATTAGCTGGGTGTGGTGGCACATGCCTGTAATCCCAGCTACTTGGGAGGCTGAGACAGAAGAATCGCTTGAACCTGGGAGGTGGAGGTTGCAGTGAGCCGAGATTGCCCCACTGCACTCCAGCCTAGGTGACAGAGCGAGACTCTGTCTCAAAAAAATAAATAAAAATAAGAAACTAATAAACTGACAAAAAATAATAATAAATCTAGGGAACGTAAAGATCAACAGCCTAAATCAATTAGTTCTTAAAAACCAATACGTAAAATGCCAACCCACCCACAGAAAAATAGGCAAAGGACATAAATAGATAACTCAAAACATAAGAAATTTTATTAATAGGCTAATGAACATAAAGAACTTTGGGCCTTTACTAGTCCTCAAAGATTAATTTAACCTATCACACTGGTAACGATTTAAAAAATAATACTAGTCAGATGTCATTAGACAGGTCCCCTCATACGCTGATGGGGAGAGTATGTTACACAACTGTTCTGAAAAGCCTTAAAAATGCAGCTTCTTGCATCCCTAATCCATGTCTAATGCATGTCAGATTTCTTGGCCTGTTTTTGTTTGTTTTTTGTTTTTGTTTGTTGTTGTTGTTGTTGTTGTTGTTGTTGTTGTTGTTGTTGTTTTCAAGACAGAGTCTCGCTCTGTTGCCCAGGCTGGACTGCAGTGGTGCCATCTCGGCTCACTGCAACACCTGCCTCCCGTGTTCAAGAGATTCTCCTGCCTCAACCTCCTGAGTAGCTGGGATTATAGGTGCACACCACCACACCCGGCTAATTTTTGTATTTTTAGTAGAGACGGGGTTTCTACTAAACCCCGTTAGTAGCTGGTCTACTAATGGTTAGTAGTGGCTAACCATGTTAGCCAGGCTGGTCTTGAACTCCTGACCTCAGGTGATCTGCCTGCCTCGGCCTCCCAAAGTGCTGGGATTACAGGCATGAGCCACCGTGCCTGGCCCTTGGCGTGTATTAAAATTCAGATTCCCAGGCTCCCCCACCCAGAGATTCACCTTTGGTAGATCTGAGATGAGGCTCTGGAGTTTGGCCATATTCAGGAATTAATCAGAATGTTGGGCAAAAGTGGCTGAGCACACGGCCACCAATCATCCATGTGACAACCCAACTTTCTTGCCTGTTGCTACAGCCACTGGGGACACCCCACTAGTGCCTCCATCTCCCCTTGTTTGGCTTCCCCAAATTAAAAGAGAACACAGGAAGGAAAGAGAACATGAGAATAAAAGAGAAAATGGGAAATTTACATTTAAAAGAAAAAAGTCAGAAATAATCTAGATATTCACCAACAGGCAGATGTTAGATATATTATATATATATATCTCATGCAGTCATCAAAAATAGGCTTTGAAAGAATGTCTGCTGGCATAAAAAATTTCATAATAAATTTAAGTGGAAAATAGAGACTAAAAATTATCATTCCAATTTTTTAAGAGTTAAAAAGTATATGTTTGTGTAGGCATAGAAACTCTAAGCATAGTTATCTGAAGGTAATTGAATTTACTGACGTTTTTGTGTTTTTCCATATCACCTAAATATTCTACAAAAATACAACTTTAAAAACACTGAATATTTCCTTTTAACAAGTTCTAATTTCTGCATAACTTCCATGTGGCTTATGGGACTGGAAATATGTTTTTCTGGTTCAGTATCATGCTTTTGGTCCCAATGTTCCTGTCTTTCAGGAGCCTGCCTGCTGTGCAAATGATTAAGTACATAGATTTTATTTTGAACCAAAAAGAAAATGTTTTTGAAAGTTCTTAGGAGATCAATCCAGAAGAACTAAACTAATTCTCCAAAAGAAGAGCCTTCGGGGACCATCTGTGTTCAGTGGGCTCTTTCTCTCTTTCTTTCTCCCATGTCTCAGTCTTGGAACAAAGCTCAAAGCCAAGCCTGGCAGAGTAACCAGTTGACTTGTTTGGTGGGGAAAAGAATAAGCAGTGTCAAGGACACCCAGGGAATGGCAGGGAGGAATTTTTCGGAGCAATGAACAAGAGGAAGCAGGAGCAAGACCTCAGTGGGCCATCTGAGGACAACTGCTGTCCCAGGAATGGGGCTGGGCTGGACTCAGTCTTTATGAAAACCTGGAAAAGAGATTTTGCCATATACCACTTAAAGAGACATAAAGAGCCTTAAAGACACATAAAGAGCCTTTACAGGACAATTCAGGTAGTGACTGCAAAACCTACACTCCATATTCAAGGAAGCTTCTGTGTATATGTAGTAATAGTTGCTGGTTCTTTGTATCAGTGTTGCTCAAAGTGGCCTGCCGACCAATATGAGAAACCATTAGAATCTTCTGGATGGGGGACAGGCACGGTGGCTCACGCCTGTAATCCCAGCACTTTGGGAGGCCCAGGCGGGCAGATCACTTGAGGTCAGAAGTTTGAGGCCAGCCTGGCCAACATGGCAAAAACCCATTTCTACTAAAAGTACAAAAATTAGCCAGGTATGATGGTGCATGCCTGTAGTCCCAGCTATTCAGGAGACTGAAGCAGGAGAATCGCTTGAACCCAGGAGATGGAGGTTGCAGTGAGCCGATCGTGGATCATGCCACTGCACTCCAGCCTGGGTAAGAGAGAGACTCAGTCCAAAAAATAATAATAATTTTTAAAAAAAAGGGCTGGGCGCGGTGGCTCACACTTATAATTCCATCACTTTGGGGGGCCAAGGCAGGCAGATCACAGGGTCAGGAGTTTGAGACCAGCCTGCCCAACATGGTGAAACCCCATCTCTACTAAAAACACAAAAAATTAACCAGGCATGGTGGCAGGTGCCTGTAATCCCAGCTACTCGAGATGCTGAGGCAGGAGAATCGCTTGAACCCGGAAGGCGGAGGTTGCAGTGAGCCGAGATCGCGCCACTGCACTCCAGCCTGGGCAAAAAGAATGAAACTCTGTCTCAAAGAAAAAGAAAAAAAGAATCTTCCAGTGTTGCTAGTTCAAAATGCCAAACTCCAGAACCTCATCTCAGATCTACCAAAGGTGCATCTCCAGGTGGTGGAGCCTGGGAATCTGAATTTTAATACACACCAAGAAATCTAACATGCATTAGACACCAAGAATCATTTCTCCATATTCTGCTATTATTCATCAATGGAGGAAAATAGGCAAAGCTAATCAGATATGTAGAGAATTTTATTTTTTCATGCATCACTCAGTACAAATGTATAGTCACTACTATATATCAGGCAATGAGTCTAGTCCTGTTAGGTCACACTATAGGAGAAAATTAGGTCTCCTATAGGAGAAAATTGCATATCTGCTCATAGTTTGGAGCCATTAGCTTTGCTTGGGGAGGTTGTATTGGTGAAGATGTATTCAGCTGCAAGTTATGGAATATCCAACCAAAAGCAGCTTTAAATTACAGATATTTAATTGTCTATTAAATTAAAAAGTACAGCTGGATAGAGTTCTGGATTTGGTGAGCAGACCAACAGCAAGCCTCTAGCCACTTACTACCACCCTGCTTGCCATCCTCAGCAAGCTGCCAGAGTGGAGAAGATGTCACCTCCTTTGTCCTAGACATAGTATTTCTTTTAATTCAGCCTGAAGTCACATTGGCACTTTTTTCTTTTTTGGCAGCCACATCAATTCCAACTCATTTGGAGTCAACTAGTACTCTCAGTTTTTTTTAACATGCTGCTGCTGCTAAGCCACTTCCCACTGACGTGTATTTTGCACAGATTTTGCTTTATTTTGCTGTGTTGTTTTTGAGAGGTAACAATTTCCCTTGCATGGTAGCTTTGCAGAAAGGGAATCACTCTCCTGCAAAGGTGCACAAACTACAATCCAGTACAAATCCATCCTGTTCAGCCACAAGGCCTGGTTCTCAAGCCCCTAATTATGCCACAAAGGAGGAAGTGCTTCTTCAGCTATGAACTCTTACGCGGCAAATCCTGTAGATAATAATCCCAACCTACTGATTACGCCAGGGCAGGTGCTGATTCCTATTCCCCCCAAACACACATCTCAAGCTGGTAGGATGGGGCTGAACCTAAGATTCTGTCATGTCATATGGTTATTTTACCTTCTGACTACATAAAGTGCCTGTTGGGACCTAATTTTTTGTTTGTTTGTTTGTTTGTTTTGTTTTGTTTTGTTTTTTGAGACAGAGTCTCATTCTGTTCCCCAGGCTGGAGTGTAGTGGCATGATCTCAGCTCACTGCAACCCCCGCCTCCCAGGTTCAAGCAATTCTCCTGCCTCAGCCTCCCAAGTAGCTGGGACTACAGGCGGCACCACCACACCAGGCTAATTTTTGTATTTTTAGTAGAGACAGGGTTTCACTATGTTGGCCAGGCTGGTCTCGAACTCCTGACCTCAGGTGTTCCACATGCCTCAGCCTCCCAAAGTGCTGGGATTACAGGCATAAGCCACCAACCACAGCCCCTAATGTTTTTCTTATCATGCAGCTTGAAAGTCCCTCAGCTTGACAGTGTGGGGAGATGAAGGCAAACCCGCATACAGGAAAGGAGAGAGCTACACAGAGAGAGAACCCCAGAGAGCCTGATATGGTTTGGTTGTGTCCCCACCCAAATCTCATCTTGAACTGTAGCTCCCATAATTCCCATGTGTGTGGGAGGGACCCTGTGGGAGGTAATTGAATCATGGGGGCGAGCCTTTCCCCGCTGTTCTCGTGATAGTGAATAAGTCTCATGAGATCTGATGGTGTTGTTCCCCTACACAAGCTCTCTTGCCTGTCACCCCATAACACATGGTTTTGTTCCTCCTTCACCTTCTGCCATGATTGTGGAACTGTGAGTCAATTAAACGTCTTTCCTTTATAAATTACCCAACCTTGGATATGTCTTTATTAGCAGCTTGAGAACAGACTAATACAGAGCCAAAGAAAATCTCCCTAGAGAATTCACCCAAATATTGATTAGCACATCAGCATGATGAAAAGTGCCTAAGGCCAGGGGAGAAAAGCTGTCTGAAAGAAATAGATTGAACAGTGCCCAGCACTAACATAGGGCCTAGAAGGATGTCCGTTCCCATTAATCAGGCTGGAAAAAATTCATAATGCATGAGGCACTGGGTAGAGTATTAGGACAGGTCTTATCTTACACCACTCTGGTTCCACCTAAGAAATCGCTGTGTTTTTTAGGAAACAGAGTCTCACTCTGTCGCATAACCTTGGATCACTACAACCTCAGCCTCCCAGGTTCAAGCAATTCCCCGGCCTCAGCCTCCCAAGTAGCTGGGATTACAGACGCCTGCCACCACACCTGGCTAATTTTTGTTTTTTTGGTTTTTGGTGGGTTTTTTTTGTTTTTTGTTTTGTTTTGTTTGAGACAGAGTCTTACTCTGTCGCCAGGCTGAAGTGCAGGAGGTTGCTCACCGCAACCTCTGCCTCCTGAGTTCAAGCAATTCCCCTGCCTCAGCCTCCTGAGTAGCTGGGACTACAGGCGCCCACCACCACGCTCAGCTAATTTTTGTATTTTTAGTAGAGACATGTTGGCAAGGATGGTCTCGATCTCTTGACCTTGTGATCCGCCTGCCTTGGCCTCCCGAAGTGCTGGGATTACAGGCATGAGCCACCATGCCCGGCCTATATTCTTTAAGTTCAAAATGTTAAGTAGAGACATGGGAGATATTTTTTTAAGACTCTAGAGATGAAAACTACAATGTTTAAGTTGAAAAATACAATGGATGAGATTAATGGCAGATTAAACATGGCAGAAGAAAAGAGCAGTACATACACTTGAAGATTTAGCAAGAGAAATTATCCAAAATAAAACACACAGATTAAAAAACAGAATTTTAAAAAGCTAAGAGGCCGGGCATCGTGGCTCACGCTTGTAATCCCAGTACTTTGGGTGGCCAAGGCAGGTGGATCACCTGAGGTCAGGAGATTGAGACCAGCCTGGCCAACATGGTGAAACCCCATCTCTACTAAAAGTACAAAAATTAGCCGGGTGTGGTGGTGTGTGCCTGTAATCCCAGCTACCTGGGAGGCTGAGGCAGGAGAATTGCTTGAATCCGGGAGGCAGAGGTTGCAGTGAGCCGAGATTGCACCACTGCACTCCAGCCTGGGTGACAGAGCAAAACTCCATCTCAAAAAAACAAACACGAGGCTGGACGTGGTGGCTCACGCCTGTAATCCCAGCACTTTGGGAGGCCGAGGCGGGCAGATCACGAGGTCAGGAGATTGAGACCATCCTGGCTAACACGGTGAAACCCCATCTCTACTAAAAATACATAAAAATTAGCCAGGCATGGTGGCAGGTGCCTGTAGTCCCAGCTACTTGGGAGGCTGAGGCAGGAGAATTGCTTGAACCCGGGAGGCAGAGCTTGCAATGAACCGAGATCTTATCACTGCACTCCAGCCTGGGTGACAGAGCGAAACTCTGTCTCAAAAAAACAAAACCAAAAACAAAAAAACACCTGAAAACAATGTATTGTGAAGTTTACAGCATATGTAAAAGTAAAATATACGGCAGCAATCACATCAAAGTTGAGGGAGGAGAAAGAAAGTACACTATTGAAAGGTTCTTATCCTCTAAGTGAAGTTGTTTAATGTCACTTGATGTATTCAATAAACCCTGAAGCAACCACTAGAACTTTTTTAAAGTTTTACAGCTAATGAATGAGTCAATGAAGGAGGCTGAAATAGGATTATTCAAAAATACTCGTTAGGCCAAAAGAAGGCAGAAAAAATGAAAAAAAAAGAAAGGAACGAACAGTGGATAAGACAGATAGACAACACATAGCAATAGCATAGATATAAATCTAACTGAATTATCACATTAAATGTAAATTGCTCTAAGCCGGGTTTGGTGGCTCAGGCCTGTAATTCCAGCATTTTGGGAGGCCAAGGCGGGCAGATCACTTGAGGTCAGGAGTCCAGGACCAGCCTGGGAAACATGGTGAAACCCTGTCTTTACTAAAAATACAAAAATTAGCTGGGTGTGGTTGTGCACGCCTGTAATCCCAGCTACTCAGGTGGCTGAGGTGGGAGAATAGCTTGAACCAGGAAGGCAAAGTTTGCAGTGAGCCAAGATTGCACCACTGTACTCTAGCCTGAGCCACAGAGCAAGACTACATCTCAAAAAAAAAAAAAAAAAAAAAAAAAAAGTAAATTGCTCTAAATATCTCAAAAGGCAGAAGTAGTTAGACTGGTTAAAAAGAAATCAAAACCTAAAAAAAAAAAAAAACAAGACCTAATGATATGCTGCTATTAAATTGTACTTAAATATGAATAAATGAAGAGATATACTTTTTATAATAAGCAATTTGAAAATGTTGTATCATATAACAGTAGCAAAAAAAAAAATCTAAAATGGCTCTATTAATATTGGCAAAGATTTCAGAGCGAAGACTACCAAGAAGGTCTCATTATGATAAAAAGATCAATTAAGCAAGAGGACATAGCAATTCTTTTTTTTTTTTTTTTTTTTTTTTTTGAGACAGAGTCTCACTCTGGAGTGCAGTGGCGCAATCTCGGCTCACTGCAACCTCCACCTCCTGGGTTCAAGCGATTCTTCTGCCTCAGCCTCCCAAGTAGCTGAGACTACAGGCGCATGTTACCATGCCCAGCTTATTTTTGTATTTTTAGTAGAGACGGGGTTTCACCACATTGGCCAGGCTGGTCTCAAACTCCTGACCTTGTGATCCACCTGCCTCAGCCTCCCAAAATGCTACAATTACAGGTGTGAGCCACTGCGCCCGGTCAACACAGCAATTCTTAAATGAGAATATACCTAATCATAGAGCTTTAAAATACATGAGCAAAAACTGACAGATCACAAAGAGAAATCAGCAAATCCACAATTACAGTCAGAAAATTCCATGCCCTTTCTCTTAGTAACTGATAGAATAAGTAGACAGAAAATCAACAAAGACATAGTAGAGTTGAACAATATTAATTTAATCTGATTGGCATTTGTAGACCACATCATCCAACAATAGCAGACTGCATATTATTTTCAGGGGCACAGAGAACATTTAACGAGATAGACCATATTATGGGCCATAAAAACCCATCACAATAAATTAGAGGGACTGAAGTCATGAGGAGAAGGTATCAGAAATAAGTGAGGTTATATTACTACATATTCAACAGATATTACAAAGGTAATAAAGAAATATTAACAACTTCATGCTTATAAATGCAATCACCTAGACCAAACGGACAAATTCCTTGAAAATCACAAAGCTCACTCAGGAAAAATTGAGAACCTAAACTGTTTATATCAAAAAAATTAAATTTGTAGTTCAAAAACTTTACACAAAGAAACTGCTAGGCCCAGGTGGCTTTTCTGTTGAATTCTACAGAAATTTAATGAAGAAATAAAATCAATTCTACTCAATCTCAACCAGAAAATTTAACAAGAGGGAATAATTGTCAACTCATTCTATGAATTCAGCATTACTTTAATACCAAAATTAGATGAAGACACTAAAAGAAAATAAAACACAGCTCAGTATTTCTCATGAATATAGATGCAAAAACTTTTAACAAAGTTTAGAAAATTGTGTGATATAAAAAGGATATATCATGACCAAGTGAAGTTTAGCCCAGGAATGCAGGGCTGGTTTAGCATTTGAAAGCCAATCAGTGGAAATTACCATATTACAGACTAAAAAAGAGAAAACATACCATTATCCCAACAGATGCAGAAAAGCATGTGAACAATTCTAACGTCTATTCTTGATAAAAAGTCACAGCAAATTAGGCCTAGAAGGAAACTTCCTCAACCTGACCAAGAGTATCTACAAAATACCTGTAGTATTTTGCCTCTAGTATTGTATTTAAGAAATCTTTGTCTAACTCAAGGACACAGAGGTTTTTCTCCTTGTTTTCTCTTAGAGGTTTTATAGTTTGGGGTTTTATATTTAGGTCTCTGATCCATTTTGAATTAATTTTTACATATAGGGCTAGGTATGGATCAAACTCCACTTTCCTTTCTCTTTCTCTCTTTCCCTCACCACCTCTGCATATAAATATCCAATTGTTCCAGCAACATTTGTTGAAGAAGCCAGGCCCCCTACCCCCTGGCAAAACAAACAAACAAAAAAAACAAGAGTACATACTGTATGATTGATTCCATTTATGTAAAACTCCAGAAAATGCAAACTAATCTTTAGTGAAAGAAAGCAGATCACTGGATAGGGCAGGGGAGGGGGAATGAAAGGAGGAATTATAAAGGAACACAAAGAAATTTCACTGGTGGGGGTGATGCACCTGTCCACTATCTTGATTAGGGTGATAGTTTCATCAGTGTATACATATGTCAGATGTATCACTTTGCATTTTAAATATGTGCAATTGATTATAGGCCAGTTATATCTCAATAAATTCATTGGTAACAACAACAAAGTTCTCAGTCCAAAGTCTGGGGTCCTCTCCTGGAGTCTGAAGTACTCAGCAAGCCACTTGGCTATTAGCAAGTGGCTTCTTTCTGCATTGAGACATGAGAGAAGTTGTTGCTTGATTGGTGCAGAGTTCTGTGGCTTCCAAATAGGCTGCCCATCATGTTCTCAAAGTGGAGGGAGTGACAGACCTGCTCAGAAAACCTAGGCTCCTGGTTTTGCCTTAGACCTGATAAGCAGAATGTGCTAGAAATCCGAGGGATTTGAGCCTTTGTCACACAGATAATGATGGAAACAACTGGTATATGGGTTTGGAGAAGAGGGAACAGAAGCTCAGTAAGCAGTTTTAACTGACTCTATGCTCCCCATACCAGGACCAGGACATGCCGTAACCACCAAAACAGCCCAATTCAATTCAACTTTGTGTAATAAAATGGAGAGTTTTCTGTTGCCATGTACCTCCAAGTTAAAGGTCACATAATCTGAGCATGCCCAGACGAACCAACTGTGCAACCATGAGCAGAACCTAAGTGTCTGGCCCAAGGAATGAGGACTGAATTAAGAAATGGACATCACATGTCAGGATCCAATCAGATGAATCCCTGGCATCACCCCATGGCAGGATCCAGTCAGAGCACACCTCCCAGTATCACCTCATCACCTCATTTCAAGATCCAATCTGATCACACCTCACTACCCTACGCTTATAAAACCTATCCCAGCTCTCAGCTCAGGGAGACAGATCTGAACATTTCTTCCTATGTCCTTACCAGTCGACTTGCTTTTCTTTCCTCAAAAGCTTGTCCCATGGTATTGGCCACTCTGCACATCAGGAAACAAGCCCATTCATTGCCTAGCAACGATGGAAACTACTGGAAAAGATTTATTTCAAATCTTCAGTGATTTCATCTCTGTAAAGGTGTGCTCCCCTGAGTGTGGTAAGGTCCTCATCACTAGAAGTATTCAGTTATGAACTGGACAACCATCCGGTTAGGATTCTTTAGAAATAATTGAAACACTGGTTGGGTGTTTCTGGGATTTTGAAAATCTTTTCAAGCCATTGAAGTCTTTACTTTTCTACTTAAAACCTCTACACGTTTGTGTGCGTGTGGCTACTCACATGGAGGAAGGAGAATTTGCCTCTGAATTAATCCTCCCTTGAGCCTCATCCATATCAGATTTTTTTTTTTTTTTGAGATGGAGTCTTGCTCTGTCACCCAGGCTGGAGTGCAGTGGTACGATCTCAGCTCACTGCAACCTCTGCCTTCCGGGTTCAAGTGATTCTCCTGCCTCAGCCTCCTGAGTAGCTGGGATTACAGGTGTGCACCACCACACCTGGCTAATTTTTGTATTTTTAGTAGAGACGGGGTTTTACCATGTTGGCCCGGCTGGTCTCGATCCCCTAACCTTAGGTGATCCACTTGCCTCGGCCTCCCAGAGTGCTGGGATTACAGGCATGAGCCACTGCACCCGGCCCCATATCTGATTTAGAGGAGAGATGAGATTTTAGACTTCAGACATTTGAGTTGATGCTAGAATGAGTTATTAGGTTGGTGCAAAAGTAATTGAGGTTTTTGCCATTGAAAATAATAGCAAAATCTGCAATTATTTTTGCATCAACCTATAAGACTTTTGGGGCTATTAGGACGGAAGGAATGTATCTTGTAAACCTATTCCCTAATATGATAGTGGGCCTTTGGGAGACAATCACTGATTCACCAGAGAAACTTCCAGTCCTGCAAGCTCCATTCATGGCAAGTGCCTTAGACAGGTGTACCATTTTAATCTTTTTTTCTTTCTTTCTTTTTTGAGAGCAGGTCTCACTCTGTCACCCAGGCTGAGTACAGTGGCATAATCATGGCTCACTGCAGCCTCAGCCTCCCAGGTTCGAGTGACCCTCCCACCTCGGCCTCCTCAGTAGCTGGGACTACAGGTATGCACAAACATGCCCAGCTAATTTTTTTAAATTTTTTTTGTAGAAACAAGGTCTCACTGTGTTGCCTAGGCTGGTCTCAAACTCCTGGGTATCTCAAAGTGCTGGGATTACAAGCATGAGCCACCATGCCTGGCCCATTTTAATCTTTTATACCAAATTTTTACTGGACATTTTCTACGTTTTGTTTTTTGTTTTGTTTGTTTTGTTTTGGTTTGGTTTGGTTTTTGTTTTTTGAGACAGTTTTGCTCTTATTGCCCAGGCTGGTATGCAATGGTGTGATCTCAGCTCACTGCAACCTCTGCCTCCCCAGTCAAAGTGATTCTCCTGCCTCAGCCTCCTGAGTAGCTGAGACTAGAGGCGTGCACCACCACACCCGGCTAATTTTGTATTTTTAGTAGACACGGGGTTTCACCATGTTGGTCAGGCTGGTCTCAAATTCCTGACCTCAAGTGATCCACCCACCTTGCCTCCCAAAGTGTCGGGATTACAGGCGTGAGCCACCATGCCTGGACAACATTTTCTATGTTTAGATATGTTTAAATACACAAATATTTACCATTGTGTACAATTGCTTCCAGTGTTCAGTACAGTAACATGCTGTACAGGTTTGTAGCCTAGGAGCAGGAGGCTGTACCAAGCAGCCTGGGTGTGTAGTGTGCCATACATATGATCTATGTTTGTGTAAGTACACCCTGTGATGTTTGCACAATGATGAAATCACCTAACGACCCATTTCTCAGAACATAATCCAGTTGTTAAGTGATGCATGACCCTACTCAATGTGCTGAATACCTCACTCCAAACCATTTCAGAAAATTCAGATATTATCAACCCTCATTGCACTGCCTTCCATTAGAAACATGGGAAGTTGTTTTGGAAAAGATGTACCTGCCCCTCAACCAGGCCCAGGCGCCTGCTGAGCCTACGACAGAAGTTGCTACCCCTACCCCAGGTGAAAGTACAGCAGGACACTCTTTCCAAGTTTATCATGAGAAACTAAGCAAACCACCATCCGATACCCAACCCAGGCCCCTGTTCTACATAGAAGACAGATAGGAATATTCACTCAGATTGATAAGAAAAGCATCCTGCACATCTCAGGATGGTCAAACCTCCATGATTGCTATGACTCTTGAATGACACCTTCCCCCGGAGAAACAGACAAGAGGAAATGGATTGAAATTGATGATAGGCCGGGCATGGTGGCTCACGCCTGTAATCCCAGCACTTTGGGAGGCAGAGGCAGGAGGAGGATCACTTGAGGTCAGGAGTTCAAGATCACCCTGGCCAACATTGCAAAACCCCATCTCTACTAAAAATACAAAAATTAGCCGGGCGTGGTGGCACATGCCTATAATCCCAGCTACTCAGGAGGCTGAGGCAGGAGAACCGATTGAACCCAGGAGGTGGAGGTTGCAGTGAGCCCAGATGGAGTCACTGCACTCCAGCTTGGATGACAGAGTGAGACAGTCTCCAAAAAAAAAAAAGAAAAGAAAAGTTGATCATAAAAAGGAACACAATTCTCTTGGTTTTCCTTTAGAAATAACTCAATGCCTTTCAATTAATTTATAGAATCCATCTATTTATGACAAAATAGAGGAGACTCTCTCTCAAGGATGTGCTTCAGTTTCTGTGCAGAAAGGAAAGAGACCAAATCCCTCATTAATGTTTTCACATTTTGTTCTGTGGCAATGATGAGACGAGGAGATTCAGAGGCTGTCGGGACTCAAATCAGAAAAACATGAACTAATTCTAGGGCATGTTATTCCATCTAATTTCCATTTGTACCTGAACAAACATGGAATATTTTATCAGCCTGAGAGAGTGAAACCATCAGAGGAAGTTTCCAGAATCAGAGAGAGAAGTGAGTGGCTGCCCAAATCTAAGGGTGGCCGTGGAAGGGCCCTCCTAGGCTGGGGGCTTCTCCTCCCACGGTCCACAAGGACCTCGTGACAGCTGGGGCAGCGAGCTGGCTGGCCACCGGCGAGGCTGGAATAGGCATGTTGTACCAACACCTCTGTGCGTGGGCTTCTCGGGTGCCCCCTAAAGCTCAGTCAAAGGACTCTCCCGTCAGCATTGCCTAGCATGACAGTTCAGTGCAAATCTGCCATGCAAGTTTGACTTGTATGTGTTTTGAAGGTTTTTTGTTTTTTGTTTCTTTTTGAGATGGAATCTTGCTCTGTCACCCAGGCTGGAGTGCAGCAGCACGATCATGGCTCACTGAAGCCTCAACCTCCCAAACACAAGTGACCCTCCCACTGCATCCTCCCTAGTAGCTTGGACCACAAGAAAGTGCCACCATGCCTGGCTTATTATTTCTTTCTTTTAGGAGATGGGGTCTCACTATGTTGCCCAGTATGGTCTCAAATTCCTGAGCTCAAGTAATCCTTCCTCCTTGGCCTTCCACTGAGATTACAGATGTGAGCCACTGCACCAGGCTGAGAATTCTGCCTTGCAGAAGAGTACTCCAGACAGGTGCGATGGAAGTTCAGCCCTGCCTGCTAGAATGGGACCTCCCCTGCCTACCTCCTGGCACCCATTTCCCCTTTTTTTTTTTTTTTTTTTTTTTTTTTTGGAGGCAGAGTCTCCCTCTGTTTCCCAGGCTGGAGTGCAGTTGTGCGATCTTGGCTCACTGCAACCTCCGCCTCCCAGGTTCAAGCAATTATTCCCGCCTCAGCCTCCCAAGTAGTTGGGATTACAGCCACCTGCCATCACCCCCAGCTAATTTTTGTATTCTTAGTAGAGATGGGGTTTCACCGTGTTGGCCAAGCTGGTCTCAAACTCCTGACCTCAGATGATCTGCCTGCCTCAGACTCCCAAAGTGCTGGGATTACAGGCGTAAGGCACCGTGCCTGGCCCTGGCCCCCACTTTCTTTGGGGTTTGTTTTCTAACCCTCTCCTCCTGCTCCAGCTGCTGGTGAGAGTCTGGCTGAAAATGCATGACCCTCAGTGCACAACATCCAGGCCTCTGTCCTCTGAGGCTTCCATCCTCAGCTGTGTGTGCCCCCTGCCTCGTGGGGCCTGCTCAGATGCTGGGGAGTGGCCAAGCTCTGGCACTGCCATGCCTGCAGACTCCTGGGGGCCAGCCTCGGGTCTGCTTCTGGCTTCTCTCCCCAGCTGCAGGCCTATGTCACGGAGTCCCTCCTGTGGTGCCTTAAAGCCAAGCTTGCAAGAATAGGGTATGTGTGCAATGGCACAGGCACAAGTCACTTCAACCATCAGAATCAGGTGCAAGCATGGAAAGTTATAAGGCCGTTGATTTCCACAGCCCAGGATTGAAACTTCTTTCTTATTTATTTGTTTTTGAGAGGAAGTCTCACTCTGTTGCCCAGGCTGAAGTGCAGTGACACGATCTCGGCTCACAGCAACCTCCACCTCCCAGGTTCAAGCGACTCTCCTGACTCAGCCTCCTGAGTAGCTGGGATTACAGGTGCCCACCACCATGCCCAGCTAATTTTTGTATTTTTAGTAGAGATGGGGTTTCACCATGTTGGCTAGGCTGGTCTCAAACTCCCGACCTCAGGTGATCCACCTGCCTCGGACTCCCAAAGTGCTGGGATTACAGACGTGAGCCACCACACCCGGCCTGAATCTTCTCTTTTAAAATATCCAGGTATATCTCTTTAGTGAAACAAAAGCAATAACCAAAACCAAGACTTCCATGTAGGAAGGGAAGAATGAGAGATGCCAGCCCCTGGCAGAGACGTGGACTGTTTGCACTGGTTTCAATTTAACAACCTCAGAGCACACGTGATTCATCAGAATGCTGGGGGCTGGCCAGGTGCCGTGGCTGATTCCTGTAATCCCAACACTTTGGGAGGCCGAGGTGGGAGGATCGTTTGAGGCCAGGATTTCAAGGCCAGCCTGGGTTAACAAAACAAGACCCCATGTCTACAAAAAATATATAAAATAAAACATAAATTAGCCAGGGGTAGTGGCGTGCACCTGTAGTCCCAGCTACTTAGAAGGCTGGAGGCAGGAGGATTGCTTGAGCCCAGGAGTTGGAGGTTGCAGTTAACCATGATTGTGCCATGGCACTCCAGCCTGGGTGACAGAGTGAGACCTTGTCTTTAAGAAATTTTAAAAATAGACGGGCACAGTGGCTCACGCCTGTAGTCCCAGCACTTTGGGAGGCCGAGGCGGGTGGATCACCAGGTCAGGAGATCGAGACCATCCTGGCTAACACAGTGAAACCCCATCTCTACTAAAAATACAAAAAATTAGCCGGGCGTCGTGGTAGGTGCCTGTAGTCCCAGCTACTCAGGAGGCTGAGGCAGGAGAATAGTGTGAACCCGGGAGGCCGGAGCTTGCAGTGATCCGAGATCGCGCCATTGCACTCCAGCCTGGGTGACAGAGCGAGACTCCAACTCAAAAAAAAAAAAATTTATGAAAAATAACTTTTGCTGGGTTATGATGTCTGTCATGTC
The DNA here is from genome assembly GCF_000001405.40 of Homo sapiens. Taxonomy (NCBI): domain Eukaryota; kingdom Metazoa; phylum Chordata; class Mammalia; order Primates; family Hominidae; genus Homo; species Homo sapiens. Next base: position 72,535,024 of record NC_000007.14, read on the forward strand.
TCCTCACGTGTCATTGGCCACAGTAAGTCAAAAAGCCATCCCTTACACCAATGGGATGAGAAGAAAGTACACCACATTCTAGGGGAGGCAGCAGGGATGGCACAAGTGATTAGTCCAGAGAGGGGCAGTAAATATTTGGGACAAATTATCTAAACTACACTACTGCAGGCCGGGCACAGTGGCTCACACCTGTAATCCCAGCCCTTTGGAAGGCCGAGGCAGGAGGCTCACCTGAGGTCAGGAGTTCGAGACCAGCCTGGCCAACATGGCAAAACCTCGTCTCTACTACAAATACAAAAATTAACCAGGCATGGTGGTGAGTGCCTATAAACCCAGCTACCCGGGAGGCTGAGGCAGGAGAATTGCTGCAACCTGGGAGGCAAAGGCTGCAATGAGCCAAGATTGCACCACTCCACTCCAGCTTGGGCAACAGAGCGAGACTCCATCTCAAAAGATAAATAAATAAATAGCCAGGTATGGTGGTGCACCCCTGTAATCCCAGCTACTCAGGAGGCTGAGGCAAGAGAATCACTTGAATCAGGAGGCGGAGGTTGCAATGAGGTGAGATCACACCACTGCACTCCGGCCTGGGTGACAGAGTGAGACCCTGTCTCAAAAAAATAAAAATAAAAATAAAAATAAAAATAAGCTACACTACTGCAGATCCCAGGGAGCCTTAGACATCTGAAAGGGGGGCCCTGGTCTGCTGACATCACATCACAGACAAAAATATCAAAGATACAAAAATATTTTGAATCCGCTGGAAGAAAGCTGTGATATAGATATTATGACTCATTCCAAAATGTTCCCGTGGCAGATTAGTATACCTTAAAAGGATATATCAATCCTGCTCAAACTCAGAAAACCATTTAGGGCCTTTCAAAACCAAAGGAGGTGCCAAGGCATTTTGAAAGAGGCCATTAGTGAGAGACATGGCAAGTTACCTCTGACTTATTAAAAAAGCAAATGATTTTATAAATGAGCCCATTACAAAGTATTCATGAGATATTAGAGCTCTGAGAACTGGCTGAATAGGAGGGAATGGAGGATAATTAGGGCAGTTAGAAATCTGTTATTTTGGGAGTTTGCCAAAGGAAATAATTCCTACATTTGTTCTTGGGCAGATAGTTACGATGGCTTTGCAGAGGGCCTGAGTGACAAATCTGGCACTGGGAAAAAAAAAAAAAAAGGTGGTGATGACACCGTCCCTGACTCAGGGACTCACATCTGGGTTGGGGAGGGGAAGCAAATATTTACAGCAATAAACCACAATACCATGTGCTATGGTAATACTAGAAATATGGGCCAGGTGCAGTGGCTCATGCCTGGAATCTCAGCTCTTTTGGGAGGCCAAGACCAGCCTGGGCAACATAGCAAGGCCCCTATCTCTACAAAAGCCTACAAAAGTTAGCTGGGCATGGTGGTCTTCACCTGCAGTCTCAGTTACTCGGGAGGCTGAAGTGGGAGGATTGCTTGAGCCCAGGAATGGGAGGCTGCAGTTAGCTATAATCGCGCCACTGCACTCCAGCCTGGGTGACAGAGTGAGACCCTTTCTCTATAAAAAAAAACAAAAAAACAAAAAAACGGCCAGGCGTGGTGGCTCATGCCTGTAACACCTGTAATCCCAGCACTTTGGGAGGCCAAGGCAGGCAGATCAAGAGGTCAGGAGATCGAGACCATCCTGGCCAACATGGTGAAACCCTGTCTCTACTAAAAATACAAAAAATTAGCCGGGCATAGTGGTGTGCACCTATCATCTCAGCTACTCGGGAGGCTGAGGCAGGAGAATCGCTTGAACCCAGGAGGTGGAGGTTGCAGGAAACTGAGATCACCCCACTGCACTCCAGCCTGGAAAACAGAGCGAGACTCCATCTCAAAAAAAAAAAAAAAAAAAAAAAAAAAAAGCGGGTCACTCTGGCTGCAGGGAGGGTGTGGGAGGCTGAATACGATCCCCCCAAACACCCAGGTCCTAATCCTGGAAACCTGTGAATGCCACCTTACATTGCCAAAGGGGTTTTGCAGATGTGAGTACATTAGGGATCTTGAGATGGAGCAATCATCCCAGATAATCTGGCTGGGCCCAAAGTAATCACACATGTTCTTACGAGACGGGGGTAGAGAGAGATTCCATGACAGAAGAGGAAGGAGCTGACATGACAGTGCATGCAGAGAGATTTGAGGATGCTTTGCTGCTGGCTGTGAGGACAGAGGACAGGGCCCAGAGTTAAGGAGTGCAGCTCTAGAAACCAGAAAGGCAAAGAAATGGATTCTCCTCTGGACCCGCTAGGAGCATGGCCCTGAAATACCTTGGTTTGAGCCCCAGGAAACCACTTGCAACTTCTGACCTTCAGAAGGGTAGGAGGATAAATTTTTTGTCTTTTGTTTTGTTTTGTTTTGTTTGAGACAGCCTCACTCCATCACTCAGGCTGGAGTGAAGTGGCGCGATCTCGGCTCACTGCAACCTCCGCCTCCCAGATTCAAGCAATTCTTCTGCCTCAGCCTCTCAAGTAGTTGGGATTACAGGCGCCCACCATCACGTCTGGCTAATTTTTGTATTTTTAGTAGAGATGGGGTTTCACCATGTTGGCCAGCCTGGTCTCAAACTCCTGACCTCAGGTGATCCACCAGCCTCGGCCTCCCAAAGTGCTGGGATTACAGGCATGAGACACTGCACCCAGCCAAATTTTTGTTTTGTTTTTGTTTGATTTTTGTCTTTTGTTTGAGACAGAGTTTCATTCTTGTCACCCAGGCTAGAGTGCAATGGCGAGATCTCGTATCACTGCAACCTCCGCCTCCTGGGTTCAAGCGATTCTCCTGCCTCAGCCTCCCAAGTAGCTGGGACTACAGGTACCCACCACAATACCCAGCTAATTTTTGTATTTTTAGTAGAGATGGAGTTTCACCACGTTGCCCAGGCTGGCCTCCGACTCCTGGCCTCAGGCGATCTGCCCGTGTCAGCCTCCCAAATTGCTGGAATTATAGGCATGAGCCATCGTGCCCAGCCAAAAACATGGATTTTTATCCACCTCGTTTTGCATCATTTTACATGTCTATTTTGGTGAATGTTTTAGCGTACACTAGTAAAAAGTTGATGCATATGATGTATAAATACACATATATGTCCTTGGGAATGCCTCCTAGAATTTTTTTGTTTGTTTTGTGATAGGGGCGCATGATCAATAAACATGCAGAGGCCCCGGCTTAGAGGCAGGAAGAGCAATAGCAAGGCCTGCGAAGACCCAGACAGAGGAGCTAAGGGCTTGACCTGAAGGGGCGGCGGCAGCTGTCACAGACAAGTTTACCCGATCAGATCTGCTGAGCAGGAGGAGCCCGTGGGCGTCTACAGCAGTTGAATAAACAGGTTTGTGGTTCAGATGGGAAACAGGCTGGGAATATCCATTTGAGAGTGATCAGGGCCGGGTGCAGTGGCTCACACCAGTAATCCCAACACTCTGGGAGGCCAAGGAGGGCAGATCACTTGAGGTCAGGAGAGACCACCCTGGCCAACACGGTGAAACCCTGTTTCTACTAAAATACAAAAATTAGCTGGGTGTGGTGGTGTGCGCCTGTAATCCCAGCTACTCGGGAGGCTGAGGCCCGAGAATCGCTCAAACCCAGGAGGTGGAGGCTGCAGTGAGCTGAGCTTGCGCCACTGCAGTCCAGCCTGGGTGACAGTGCAAGTCTCCCTCTCAAAAAAAAAAAAGGGGGGGAGATAAATGCTACATCCATTATAAACACACCCTTTATTTTATTTGTAGCATGTTTGCGTCTGTTTCTCTGTGTGTCTATATAGCATTTTCTTATTTTCCAGTAAAATTAAATGAAGACTTATTAGCTTTAGTAAACAGAGCACAAATAAATTAGTGTGCAGGGATGAGAGGCTGTTTTAATGAAAAAGGTTTTCATCCTTCCTTTCATCCCCACTCTGCCCACTGCAGCCAGCACTGAGCTTCTACCTCCCACGGTCATCTCTGTAATATGGTGAATGACATCAGCGCCCCTTCTTCCTGGAACAATAGGCTGACTGTCTTGGAGGGGACACTGGGAAGAGTGGGACAGGATGCAATGGCCAAAGAAATGGCCAATTTGAGATTCTGAGTCATAAATTGTCATAATTAGAAGGCAGACAGAGTGTGTGGCTGTTGCTGTATTTGCTGCCTGTTCTCTGTAAAAAGCTTCGGGAATTAAAATAATAGGCTTTTAAAAGAAGCACCACGCAGGGCTTTACTTAATGGCCTGCACATGAAGCATTCGCTGCAGACAGACCCAGACAGACCGGTGGTCAGATTCAAATGTCAGCTCTGGTACTGGTCCCCACCCCTCAACCAGGGCAAAGAAGCAAATAGGGAACCCTCATTATTCACTAGAACAGGCTAGGAAAGAGTCCCCGGGAATCTGCCTGCAAGGGTTAAGGAATTAGGGTGACCTATTAAAGAAGTACAGCTTTGCAATGACAAAGTAAATCACTTGGCCGGGCACGGTGGCCCACACCTGTAATCCCAGCTCTTTGGGAGGCCGAGGCGGGCGGATCACGTGAGGTCAGGAGTTCGAGATCAGCCTGGCCAACATGGCGAAACTCTGTCTCTACCAAAAATACAAAAATTAGCCTGGTGTGTTGGCATGAGCCTGTAATCCCAGCTACTCAGGAGGCTGAGGTGGGAGGATCGCTTGAACCTGGGAGGCAGAGGCTGCAGTGAGTCAAGATCACGCCACTGCAATCTAGCCTGGAAGACGAAGCGAGACTCCATCCCAAAAAAAAATAAAAATAAAAATAAAAGAGTCCCAGGGAATCTACAAAGTAAAAGTAAATTGCTTGGTCAACGCATTGGCTCAGGCCTGTAATCCCAGTGCTTTGAGAGGCCAAGGTTAGAGGATCGACTAAAGCTAGGAGTCGAGACCAGCCTGGGCAACACAGCAAGACCCCAGCTCCACCAAAAGAAAAAAAGTCAATTACTCAAGGGCAATTACAAAGTACCCAATCCTAACCATCCATCTGTGACAGCAGGGCCTGGCAAAGACAAGGCCTTGGCAGGAGGTGGGAAGGCTCAGGAAGGAGAGAAACGGCTGAGGGGAGGGAAATTTCCTACTCTGCAAATCAGACTTCTCCATGACATTGGGAGATCCCTGTGGGGTCAGCCACACTCAGCATTCCTCATCTGCAAGAGCCTACCCTGGCTCAGCTTATCACAAGATCAGCATTTCATATTTGGATATCCCGAGAAGAGGAAGAAAAAGAAGGCAGGCTGGAGGGTGGGGGTAGGGGTAACGTCAAACCATCCTGCCTCTTAGGCCCACATGCAAATCCCCACTAAACAATCCAAGTCCTTTGATAGGCCCTGCGGTTGATCTTGCCAACCCGGTTTTCTAAGGAGTCACACTGGGTGACCCATCTCCTCTTGGCCACCCAGGGGACTTCCCCCCAGGGCATTAGAAAGTGCAAGTGAGGCCGGGTGCAGTGGCTCATGCCTGTAATCCTAGCTCTTTGGGAGGCCGAGGCAGGTGGATCACTTGAGGTCAGGAGTTCGAGACCAGCCTGGCCAGCATGGTGAAACCCCGTCTCTGCTAAAAATACAAAATCAGCCAGATGTGGCGGCACATGCCTGTAGCTACTCGGGAGGCTGAGGCAGGAGAATTGCTTGAACCCGGGAGGTGGAGGTTGCAGTGAGCCGAGATCACACCATTGCACTCCAGCCTGGGCAACAAGAGTGAAACTCCATCTCAAAAAAAAAAAAAAAAAAAAAAGTGCCAGTGAGCTCCACCTCTGAGCTGCATCCCTGCCTTCCTGCCAACTTTCCATACCTGTCACTTCTAGAATGAACCTTTGGAAGAAGAAAGAATAGAAGGGGCTGTCTTCTTGTCTGCTCATTGGTCTAAAAAGTCCTTGCCCAGTAGACATTGGCCTAGGGTGTTAGCCACTGAAGCTGTCTCCCCTTCCTCCTGATTCTGTTCAGGCACCAGGTGGAGTTCCAAACAACTCCCAGGTGGAGGATTTTTTGAGCTCAGGAATTCAAGATCAGCCTGGGCACCATAGTGAGACCCCATCTCTACAAAAAATAAAAACTGAGCCAGGCATGGCAGCACACACCTGTGGTCCCAGCTACTTGGGAGGCTGAAGTGGGAGGATCATTTGAGCCTAGGAAGTCAAGGCTGCAGTGAGTGAGCTAGGATCACGCCATTGCACTCCAGCCTGGGCAACAGAGTAAGATCCTGTCTGAAAATGAAACAAAACAAAACAAAACAAAAACGGAGCTTGCAGTGCTGCTGACATCTCTATTTTTTTTTTTTTTTTTTTTTTGAGACGGAGTTTCACTCTTTTGCCCAGGCTGGAGTGCAGTGGCATGATCTTGGCTCACTGTAACCTCTGCCTTCCAGGTTCAAGTGATTCTCCCGCCTCGGCCTCCTGAGTAGCTGGGATCACAGGCGCCCACCACTAATTTTTGTATTTTTAGTAGAGACGGGGTTTCTCCATGTTGGCCAGGCTGGTCTCGAACTCCTGACCTCATGATCTGCCCGCTTCAGTCTCCCAAAGTGCTGGCATTACAGGCGTGAGCCACCGCGCCCGGCCCGTTGCTGACATTTCTAAACAGCGAAACAAATGCAGAACAACCACCTCAGACTGGTTACCGTGTGAGAGGGTTCATTGTCTTTTGTGCTTAAGCCACTCTTGACATGGGGTTGTTACTTGTAGCCAAATGCACATGCCAAGACCTTTCTGGTCTTCATCGGTGTCGACTTGTCGGTGAGGGGGTGCACTCACTGAGTCCCCAGCCTGACGGTTCCACCTATGCCTCCTGGATCAGCCTGCTTTTTTTTTTTTGTTTGTTTTTTTTGCCAAGAGATAACACAATTTATTTAAATATATTCCAACTCAAGATGAAGGCAAGCGGTTTACCTAGAAAGGTTTACATATTTTAGCTATAGTTTTTCACTGAACCATTTTTTTTGAAATGCCATTCTTTTCATTCATGCTTCTTTTATTCTCTCTCTTTAGAAGTTCACAGTGTTATATAAGTCAAAAACAAGACAAAAACCACCCTAAACATATGGCTTTATGTACATAAAAAATTCAATAATGTTGCCATAACCCCTAATACAGTGCTGGATCAACCTGCTTTAAGAAGCAGGTGGCGGCAGGTCTCAGCATTGTAGAACCCCAATATTTAGGTCCATGTATCCGATTCACAGTAAGGCAAACATTGAAACATCAGCGCTCAGGAGCAGAGAAAGATACATTCAATTTGGCCAAAGCAAGAAGGCGGGAGACCTGAACTCTCACAACCGACTGACCTGAACTCTCACATAACTGGGGGCTTTCATGAGTGAGGTGGGTATCCGGGAGGTGACATCCCCAATGATCAACACTGTCTGCACCCCTCGGTCAAACTTCTGGATGCCATCAGGGAGGTCTGCATGACCTAAAGATCGTTGTTCTTTAGAAGAAAGACAAGTTCATTAATCATGCATGCAGCCCCTGGGGGTCAGGATATAAAATTTATCAGTGATTAGTGACTCCCCTCTACTGAAATGACTATGAAATGAATCATGCACAAAGAAACAAAAGGACAAAGAAAAAGGAAAATAAGTGAAACAAACACCTTATTTTTTTTGTTCGTTGGTTTTAAGTTCTAGGGTACATGTGCACAACGTGCAGGTTTGTTACATATATGTACATGTGCCATGTTGGTGTGCTGCACCCGTTAACTCGTCTTTTACATTAGGTATATCTCCTAATGCTATCCCTCCCCGCTCCCCCCACCCCCTGACAGGCCCTGGTGTGTGGTGTTCCCCACCCTGTGTCCAAGTGGGAACTGAACAATGTTTTTGTTTTTGTTTTTTTGACACGGAGTTTCTCTCTTGTCGCCCAGGCTAGAATGCAATGGCATGATCTTGCATCACTGCAACCTCCGCCTCCTGGGTTCAAGCAATTCTCCTGTCTCAGCCTCCTGAGTAGCTGGGATTACAGGCATCCACCACCAGGCCCAGCTAATTTTTGTATTTTTAGTAGAGACCGGGTTTCACCACGTTGGCCAGGCTGGTCTCGAACTCCTGGCCTCAGGTGATCAGCCCACCTCAGCCTCCCAAAGTGCTGGGATTACAGGCATGAGCCAATGCGCCCGGCCACCTTATGATTTTTATAACACAGGCTCGGTTGCAACAGGACTCAGACTCTGGAATGGCACTGGGAGGAACCGAACATCGTGGCAAGGCTAGCTGAGTCTGCTGGCAGGGACAGCACCCTAGGACTTCGGGTTCCAAACAGAACGTTAGTGAGAGGTTGCCACGGTGGCCCAAAGACATCCTGGCTCGAAGTCTCAATTAGTTTCCTGAATCCCCATAGCAAGGTAGAAACATCGGCTGACCCGGGGAAGTGGGGAGACTCAGGCCCTTTTCTTTTTTTTTTTTTTTCCTTTTGAGATAGAGTCTCGCTCTGTCACCCAGGCTGGAGTGCAATGGCGTGATCTTGGCTCACTTCAACCTCCGCCTCCCAGGTTCAAGCAATTCTCCTGCCTCAGCCTCCCGAGTAGCTGGGACTACAGGCGCGTGCCGTCGTGCCTGGGTAATTTTTTGTATTTTTAGTAGAGATGGGGTTTCACCATAACCAGGATGGTCTCAATCTCCTGACCTCGTGATCTGCCCGCCTTGGCCTCCCAAAGTGCTGGGATTACAGGCGTGAGCCACCACTTCCGGCTGACTCGGGCTCTTTTCTATGGAGCTAGCCAGGGACCAATGGGACAGCCCCCAAGGCAGCCCTCAGCAGGTGCACAGGTGATAAGAATGTTGTGGAAGTGGCAGCCGCCCCGTGGCTGGCATGGGGTCAGCCTCTGTATCTGAGGCACACAGTGATGCATGTTGTGACTTGAAGGGCCTCAGGAGCCCACTCCACCCCTAAGAAGTGCCCCACATAGGACAGTGCAGTGGCTCATGCCTGTAGTCCCAACACTTTGGGAGGCTGAGGCAAGAGGATTGCTGGAGGTCAGGAGATCAAGACCAGCCTGGACAGCATAGCAAGACTTCATCTTTATGAAAAAGTTTTAAAATTAGCCTGGCATGGTAGCACACACGTGTAGTCTCAGCTACTCAGGAGGCCAGGGTGGGAGAATTGCTTGAGCCCAGGAGTTTGAGGCTGCAATAACTTAAGATCACACATACCACTGCGCTCCAGCCTAGGAGACAGACCAAAACCTGGGGAGGGGAGGGGAGGGGAGGGAGAGGAGGGGAGGGGAGGGGATGGGGAAGGAAGGGGAGGGAAGAGAGAAGGAAAAAAAAAGGGGGGAGTCCCTAACCTGAAATTCCAGCACTAACAAATTATTTGATTTTAGACAATGGTCTCTTTCTGTGTCCCCTTTAAACTCTAAGTCCCCACAAAGGAACAGCATAATGAGTGTTCCGTTCCCTTAGAAGATTTGCGTGGAAGAGAAGTCACCAGAAAGCTGAAGGGAAAAGATAGGGCAAGGTCCCCAAACCTTTTCTGGAAAGGGTTGCGTGGTCTCTGGCCCACTATTCACTCTCTGCCATCACAGCATGAAAACAACCACAGACAATTCACAAATAAATGAGTGTGGCAGTGTTACAATAAGTCTTCAGTTACAGACACTGAAATCAATTTCATGTGATTATCACATGTCAGGAAATACTATGTTTCTAATTTTTTTCCAACCATTTAAACATGTAAAAGCAATTCTTAGCTCACAGTCACGAGGAAATAGGTTGCAGGATGAATCTGAATCATAGATGATAATTTACCAGTCCCCAGGACAGAAACATGCCTGTAATCCCAACACTTTGAAAGGCTGAGGGGGGAGGATCACTTGAGACCAGGAGTTTAAGACCAGCCTAGGCAACACAGCGATTTCTCATCTGTAGAAAAAAATTTAACAATTAAAATTAGCTGGGCATGATGACCTGTGCCTGTGGTCCCAGATACTTGGGAGGCTGAGGCAGGAGGATTGCTTGAGCCCAGGAGGTCAAAGCTTCAGTGAGCTATGATTGCGCCACTGCACTCCAGCCTGGCTAATGGAACAAGACCCTGTCTCGATTAAAAAAAAGAAGAAGAAGAAGAAGATAGAGAGAAAGGAAGGAAGGAAGAAAAGGAAGGGAGGGAGGGAGGAAGGAGGGAAGGAGGGAAGGAAGGAAGAAAGAAAGAAAAGGAAGAGAGGGAGGGAGGGAGGAAGGGGGGAGGGAGGGAAGGAAGGAAGGAAGGGGAGAAAGAAATGTGGAGCCGAATGATCATTTATCTAATACTAGGATAATCTTTTATTTATTTATTTATTTATTTATTTATTTATTTATTTATTTATTTGAGATGGAGTCTTGCTCTGTTGCCAGGCTGGAGTACAGTGGCATGATATCGGCTCACTGCAACCTCTGCCTCCTGGATTCAAGGGATTCCCCTGTGTCAGCCTCCCAAGTAGCTGGGACTATAGGTGCACGCCACCACACCCGGCTAATTTTTTGTATTTTAGTAGAGATGAGGTTTCACCATGTTGGACAGGATGTCTCGATCTCCTGAGCTCATGATCTACCTGCCTCGGCCTCCCAAAGTGCTGGGATTACAGCCGTGAGTGATAATAGGATAATCTTATTATGGGGGGCATAGACTCTTGGCTTCCTAAAGTTTCACTAAAAATCACTGACTTGAGGCAGTTTGATTAACAGGAGAAAAGACACACAAATTTATTTAACGTATATACAGGGGACCCTTCAAAAGGAAGACCCAATCTCCCAAGGAGTTACAGAAACTTAAATACCATCCTGATGCCACAGTAGAAAATGCAGACTCAGCCAGGCTCGGTGGCTCATGTCTGGAATCCCAGCACTTTGGGAGGCCAAGGCAGGTGGATCACCTGAGGTCCAGAGTTCAAGACCAGCCTGGCCAACATGGTGAAACCCCATCTCTACTAAACATACAAAAATTAACTGGGCATGGTAATCCCAGCGGGCGCCTGTAATCCCAGCTACTCAGGAGGCTGAGGCAGGAGAATTGCTTGAACCCGGGAGGCAGAGGTTGCAGTGAGCCAAGATAGTACCATTGCACTCCAGCCTCAGCAACAGAGCAAGATTCTATCTCAAAAAAAAAAAAAAAAATACACATGCAAATTTCCCCCAAAAAACAACTTTGCAAGGTCCCCACATCTCCCCCGACAACATTTTTTAGAGACAGGGTCTTGCTGTGTTGCCCAGGCTGCAGTGCTGTGTTGCCCAGGCTGCAGTGCTGTGGCACGATCATTATTCACTGCAGCCTCAAACTCCTGGGCTCAAGCGATCCTCCCACCTCAGCCTTCCAAGTAGCTGGGACCACAGGCATGTGATACCACACCCAGCTAATTTTTTAATTTTCTTTTTTAATAGAGATGGGATCTCACTTTTTGTCCAGGCTGATGTTGAACCCCTGGCCTCAAATGATCCTCCCACCTTGGCCTCCCAAAGTGCTGGGATTACAACTGACAGCCACTGTGCCCAGCCCAAGGCTACTTCTGTTTACTGGCGAAACAGCAGCCATTTCAAAATATGTGAAAAATATATATTTTGGGGTAAAATATGTTCATTTCCTTCACTGTTAAAAGCTCTGAAAAGCCCCAGCTGGGGCTGGCTGCCTGGTGAAGGAAACTCATCAATCCCACAGAGGTGGGAGAGGTGCTGATTTTGCCCGGCCTCGGTGCTCTGGCTCTGAGTCAGCTACTTAATGAGCTCCCTCGAGCTGACCCCGACCACAGCAGGAAGGTGTGAACACTCCCTCCCAAGAGAGTGAAAAGGTGGAGGGAGTTTTGTCACCTGCTGTAGGCTCCAGCTGCTCCCAGGGGTGATGGCCTGGGCGGCATTCACACCCCCACTTAGCTGTGGGCAGGAAACTCACAGCCAGGCTGCTGGGACGAGAAGAGCCATGTGACGGCTTGAAGTGAAAGAGAGCCAGAGGGATGTCTTTGGAGAGATGAGAAGAGACACACTAAAGCAGAATTCGCAAGGAATTATTTTCTTCCTCCTTCCAGACTCAGCAGGATGGAGGGAAAGTCTCACTGCAGACAGGGACACAGTCAGATGACGTGGCAGCCAGGCAGCAGACAGCTTTTGCTGATGATGAGCTACTACATTAGTCAAGACTTTATTGCAGGTGATAAAACCCACTTCCAATACACCCAAGTGAAAAAGAAGGTGATTTGTGTTTCCCATGACTGGGGTGTGTGGGGGCAAAGCTGTGCTCTGGAATGATTGGGACCTGACGGGATATGGGCTCCATCTCCAGATCAGCCTCTGCACACAGTCAGTGTGGACAAAAGGAGTCACACTGTAAAATATTTGAGGAGATTTATTATGAGCCAAATATGAGTGACCGTGGCCCATGATACAGCCTCAGGAGATTCTGAGACAAGTGCTCAAGGTGTTAGGCAACAGCTTGGTTTTATACATGTTAGGGAGACACAAGACATCAGTCAATACATGCAAGGTGTACATTGGTTCAACCTGGAAACGTGGGACAGCCTGAAGCAGGGGAAGCCGGGGAGGGGGGTGGGGTGATCTGAGGTCATAGGTGGATTCAGAGATTTTCTGATGGGCAATTGGTTGAAAGAGTTAAGTTATTATCAGGCCGGGCACGGTGGCTCACGCCTGTAATCCCAGCACTTTGGGAGGCCGAGGCGGGCGGATCATGAGGTCAGGAGATCGAGACCATCCTGGCTAACACGGTGAAACCCCGTCTCTACTAAAAATACAAAAAATTAGCCGGGCGTAGTGGCAGGCGCCTGTAGTCCCAGCTACTCGGGAGGCTGAGGCAGGAGAATGGCGTGAACCCGGGAGGCAGAGCTTGCAGTGAGCCGAAATAGCGCCACTGCACTCTGGCCTGGGTGAAAGAGCAAGACTCCGTATGTAAAGACCTGGAATCAATAGAAGGGAGATCTTTGATTTTTCCCAATATTGAACCCAGACAAGGGGCTGTAGAGACCAAGGATCTTATTATGTACATGAAGCCTCCCGGTAGCAGGCCTCAGAGAGAATGGATTGTAAATGTTTCTTATCAGACTTAATAAGGTGCCAGAGGCCAGGTGCAGTGGCTTGTGCCTGTAATCCCAGCACTTTGGGAGGAAGAGGCAGGCGGATCATGAGGTCAAGAGATAGAGGCCATCCTGGCCAACATGGTGAAAACTCATCCCTACTAAAAATACAAAACTGAGCTGGGCCTGACGGCACGCACCTGTAGTCCCAGCTACTCAGGAGGCTGAGGCAGGAGAATCGCTTGAACCCAGGAGGCGGAGGTTGCAGTGAGCCAAAATCGCACCACTGCACTCTAGCCTGGCGACAGAGCCAGACTCCATCTCAAAAAAAAAAAAAAAAAAAAAAAAATGGTGCCAGACTCTTAGTTAATTCTCTCCTGGATCAGGGAAAAGACCTGGAAAGGGAAGGGGATTCTGTACAGAATGTAGATTTTCCCCACAAGAGACAGCTTTGCAGGGCCGTTTCAAAATATGTCAAAGAAATATATTTTACGGTAAAATACTTCAATTTCTTTTGGGGGCTGCTATTTGTCATGTGACGCTATACTAGAGTCATGTTGGAATGTGATATCTTACTGCTCCAAAAAGTCTGTTTTGTCAGTCTTAAGATCTGTTTTAATGGTTAATGCAGGTCAGCTGTGTTGGAATTTCAAAGAGCTGAGAGTATAATGAGGTATGCCCACTTCCATCAAGATCTGAACTAGATTTTCAGGTTTACTTTGGAAAGCCTTTTGCCAAGGGCTGGTGGGGGAGGGTGGTCCATCAGTCAGTTGGGGGGCTTAGAATTTTATTTTTGGTTTATACCAGGGATAAGGGAATGGGCAGTTCTGACCTTTCATCCTTTCCAAAGAGGAAATAAAGCCCCTTTTTTCAGCGTGATTTGCAGAAATCCAGGTAGGTCCTCCAGTTGGTGCAGCGTGGGTCCTGCACACATCCAGACCATCACCATCTCCAGGGGCAGCTATAGCAGCTGACCCAAGTCACAGTGATGTGGCCAATCTCAGGGCCACGACGGTTAGGGAGGCTGAGCCCCCCAGCTTCAGTGAGTGAGTGTACCCCACAAAAGGGGATGCCATTGTAGGCGGAACAAAACAAATGCCCCGCACAGCACCCCATCCCTCCCACTATAATTCTGAAGGACATGACTGCCCTCCAAATGAAGAATCCCCACGTGGAATGAGCACAACATCTCCACTACTCTAAGAACAGCCAAAATAGGCAGTGAAGCTCGGCTTTCAGGAAGCGTTGCATTCATTCAGAGTGGGTGTGCTGATGGAGACGGGAGAAAACTCAAAAGGGGGTGGTGGTTATTGTCAAAAACAAAAGGCATTTTAAAAACTCTGGATATGCTCTTTCTACCCCTAGGCCTTAAATGGCCTTTCCTGTCTTCTTCATCTGGGAATCTCCTATGCGTCTGTTAAAACACTGCTCAAGGCCTGGTGCAGTGGCTCACACCTGTAATCCCAGCACTCTGGGAGGCCAAGGTGGGCAGATCACCTGAGGTCAGGAGTTCAAGACCAGCCTGGCCAACATGGTGAAACCCCACCTCTACTAAAATATACAAAAGTTAGCTGGGTGTGGTGGTGGGCACCTGTAATCCCAGCTACTCGGGAGACTGAGGCAGGAGAATCACTTGAGCCTGGAATGTCAAGGTTGCAGTGAGCCAAGATCGCACCACTGCACTCCAGCGTGGGTGATAGAGCAAGACTCCATCTCAAAAAAAAAAAAAAAAAGGCATTGCTCAACCATCGCCTCCTCCGTGAAGCCTGCCTTGGTTCTCCAGGACAAAGTTGGTATCTCACTGCTGCTCCAGATTCCAAGAGTAGTTTGCATTTACTTCACTGGTGTTTGTTTTTTGTTTGTTTGTTTGTTTGAGACAGGGTCTCACTCTGTGAGGCTGGAGTGCAGTGGCACCATCTCAGCTCACTGCAACCTCCACCTCCTGGATTCAAGCAATCCTCATGCCTCAGCCTCCTAAGTAGTTGGGGTTACAGGCACACACCACCACACCCGACTAATTTTTGTATTTTTAGTAGAGATGGAGTTTCGCCATGTTGGCCAGGCTGGTCTCGAACACCTGACTTCAAGTGATCTGCCCATCTCAGCCTCCCACAGTGCTGGGAATACAGGTAGAGCCGCCACGCCTGGCCTCTTCACTGGTTTTTAATCTCTGGCTCATGGGTACTGCCTCTCTCCTGGGTACTTCACTATGTGAAGTTTTTCTTCCAGCACCCCAAGCAGAAACCTAACCCTCAGCAGATGTTCCTGACCGGTTTGGTGGGTGGTTAAACTACACAGCAAGATGTATATTTCCTGTGACAGATGGTGTTCTTTACCACGTGGTTTTCTCCTAATAGAACCCACCTCCCATAATAGAGGCTGTAAATTCCACCAACTTCTGCTCCCAGCCTCCCTTGCAAATGGAGGTTGACAAGGGACTCATTTATGGTGAATAAGACTTAAGAAGTCTCCAAGGGGCTTTTCCCCCTCCTTGATATAAAGAGCACCTCAAAAGAGAGAAACTCTCTTGCCTGTCCTCTTCCTTCCTGTCTCTGAACACAACTGTGAGAGGATGTGATGCCTGGAGCTGCAGCAGTGATCTTGAGATGATGAGGCAACAGCTGTAGTGGCCATCTTGAGACCATGAGGCAACAGCTGTGGTGGCCATCTTGAGACCAGGAGGCAACAGCTGTGGTGGCCATCTTGAGACCATGAGGCAACAGCTGTGGTGGCCATCTTGAGACCATGAGGCAACAGCCTGGAGACAAAAGCCAACATGTTCAAAATGATGCAGTAGAAAGGTTGGAAGTGTGTCTTTGATTATTCATCCTTAGATTCAAGGTGGGTAACATACTTCCGTATTGCTTCAAAGAGAAAATAGAAACCTCTATTGTTTAAAGGCATTTTTAGTTAGTGATTCCATTACTGGAACCAGAGAGCATGCTAACTGACATATGCTTTCTTACTCATGGCAGCAGTTAGAGACTCCACAGTACAAACATCTTTTCCCATCTAGCACCAGTTTAGAAAAAGGAGGGCCAAAAACCACCTCAAAAATTAAAATTATGGCCAGGAGCACTGGCTCATGTCTGTAATCCCAGTACTTTGGGAGGCCGAATCAGGTGGATAACTTCTGATCAGGAGTTCAAGACCAGCCTGGCCAACATGGTGAAACCTTGTCTTTACTAAAAATACAAAAATTAGCCGGGCACAGTGGTGTACGTCTGTAATCCCAGCTACTCAGGAGGTTGAGGTAGAAGAATTGCTTGAACCCAGGAGATGAGAGATTGCAGTGAGCTGAGATCACACCATTGCACTCCAGCCTGGGCAAAAAAGTGAGCTATGATCATGTCTCAAAAAACGTATATATATATATTAAAATTATGGGTCATGTATTATGGCTCATACCTGTAATCCCAATGCTTTTGGAGGTTGAGGCAGGAAGATTGCTTGAGGCTAGGAGTTTGAGACCAGCCTGGGCAACATAAGACCCTATCTCTACCAAAAAATATTTAATAATTAAAAAAATTAAAATTATGAAGGTATTGTCCTTGTTTTGTTTCCAACTATCAATTTATTTGAAGTTAAACACTAAGTGAATAATAATGTTCTGTGGCTTGAGCATAAACTCAAAGATCGGACCTCCTGGTTGGTCACCTGAGTACATGTCTAAGTCACCTATCTATTCAGTCTTTCCCCTCATGTTTTTGTTTTGCTTTGTTTTGTTTTGTTTTTGAGATGGGGTCTCGCTCTGTTGCCCAGGCTGGAGTGCAGTGGCATGATCTCAGCTCACTGCAACCTCCACCTCCCAGGTTCAAGTGATTCTCCTGCCTCAGCCTCCCGAGTAGCTGGGATTAAAGGTGGCTGCCACCATGCCTAGCTAATTTTTGTATTTTTAGTAGAGATGGGGTTTCGCCATGTTGGCCAGGCTGGTCTCGAACTCCTGAGCTCAAGCGATCCGCCCGCCTCGGCCTCCCAAAGTGCTGGGATTACAGGCATGAGCCACACGACCTCCCCTCATGTTTGTGAAGCATCATGTCCCTCCCCAACCATCTGACCCTGAAGATGGCACCATGAATAAGGATGGTGTGCCACAAGGGTAATATTTCACTCAGTAATTTACTCAAAGCCTATGAAATATGCAAATATGCTGAAAAGCTATGTGCTGAGTTGCCTTAGGTGAAACAAAAATCAGGCAAATATGTACTTTAACCATCAAGCCAATGCAATAATCTGAATGTTAACTGCAAATCACAACTCAAAAGTTTGAGTTCAGAAGCTAAGCAGGAGCTGGTCAGGTGGATGGAGGTAGGGATGGGTATTATAGACTGAAACAGTGAGCGGTGGGGAACAGCCAAATGTCCTCAGGCTGATAAGCTATTCCACAGAACTCAGGAGTGAAATGTGTCAGAGCAAGAGGTCGGAGCATGTGGAGCCAGCCGACATGCTGAGGAGTTTGCACTTGCCCATAGGCTTGAAGGAGACATTGGAGGGTTTAGGTGGAAGAGACGTGGTCAAGTACGCATTTTAAAAGCCAGGTGCAGTGGTGCACACCTTTAATACTAGCACTGTGGGAGGCCAAGGCAGGAGGACCGCTTGAGGCAGGACTTCAAGACCAGCCTGGACAACACAGAGAGACCCAATTTCTACAAAAAAATTTGGCTCATGTCTGTAATCCCAGCACTCTGGGAGGCCAAGGTGGGCGGATCATGAGGTCAGGAGTTCGAGACCAGCCTGACCAACATGGTGAACCCTGTTTCTACTAAAAATACAAAAATTAGCCGGGCGTGGTGGCACATGCCTGTAATTCCAGCTACTCGGGAGGCTGAGGCAGGAGAATCGCTTGAACCTGGGAGGTGGAGGTTGCAGTGAGCTGAGATCACCCCACTGCACTCCAGCCTGGGCAACACAGCAAGACTCCATCTCAAAACAAACAAACAAAATATTAGTCAAGCGTGGTGGCATGTGCCTGTAGTCCTTGTTATTCTGGAGGCTGAGGTGGGAGGATCACTTGAGCTCACGAGTTTGAGGCTACAGTGAGCTATGATCATGCTTCTGAACTCCAGACTGGGTGGCAGACCCAGTTTCTTAAAAAACAAAACAAAACAAAAACAACATACACATTTATGCATTCTAGGATCATCACTCTGGAAGCTCTCTGGTGGCTGGACAGAAAAGAGGGAGATGGAATTTGGGTTTAGTCATAGAGTTATAGTTTGTTTTGGGATTTTTTGTTGTTGTGTGTTTGTTTTTTGAAACAGGATCTTGCTCTGTCACCCAGGCTGGAGTGCAGTGACACAATCACAGCTCACTGTAGCCTCAAATTCCTGGGCTCAAGTGATCCTCCCACCTCTGCCTCCTGAGTGTCTAGGACTACAGGCATGTGCCACCATGCCTTGCTAACTTTTTAACTTTTTGTAGAGACAGGGTTTTGCCATGTTGCCCAAGCTGGTCTCAAACTCCTGGCCTCTAGCAATCCTCCTGCCTTGGCCTCCCAAAGTGCTTGGATTACAGGCATGAGCCACTGCGCCTGGCTAAGTTATAGTTCTCACCAGTGTCTGCCATTTAAACCCTGAATCTAAAGCATGTGGGTCATGCACAGTGCCCGACATATAGGAAGGAGGAAGGGCTCAATAAGTAGCCACCGTTATTATTTCTATGATTATGTGTCCACCACCACCATCTGCAGAATGATGGCTAGATAAAACATATCAGCTAGAGGAGTAACTCAGCTAATACTGCAACCTCCACCTCCTGGGTTCAAGTGATTCTCCTGCCTCAGCCTCCTGAGTAGCTGGGATTACAGGCACCTGTCACGATGCCCAGTTAATTTTTTGTATTTTTGTAGAGACAGGGTTTCACCATGTTGGCCAAGTTGGTCTCGAACTCCTGACAAGTAATCCACCCACCTCAGCCTCCCAAAGTACTGGGATTACAGGCGTGAGCCACTGCGCCGCTGGCTGATACTGTTTCTATCAGCAACACCTAACACCACCAACCCCAATGACATGCCACACACACTTGCTGACGACCTGCTATGGCAGCCTTTCAACTGCGCCTTCATGCTCCATGTAGGCCCCTGTCTTTCACCACTCCACATTCTACCTGATTCACTAGGGCCTCACTTTTCACACTGAACCCCAGCTCTCCCCATCCTAACACTGGCAGTCAGAAGCTGGCTGTGTTATAGAGGAAGTGCTGTCTTCTTGTCCCTTGGGTAGGGTCTAGGTCAGAGATAAGTCATAGGATCCCAAGTCCCTAGGAAGAAATGTTTCAGGGGCCATGGGAGCCTTTCACCAGGAATTACCATTCTGTGTGTGGCAAACAAATGGTGAGAGTTCCCAGACCATCCTGTGCCCCTGCAGACATCACAAATCGATCACTGCACTCTTTCCTGCTAAACCAGATGTGCCTGAATGTCCTCCTCAACATGGTGCCCAGGCAATCATTAGTAGCAGGTCTAAGCGAGCACATGCTTTACTAGGGGCCTTAGTCTGTTTATGCTGCCGTAACAGGATACTTGAGACTGAGTGATTTATAATGAACAGAAATTTATTTTCTCGTTCTACAGGCTGAGAAGTCCAAGATCAAGGTGCTGGCATTTTGCCAGGGCCTTCTTGCTGTGTCACCACATCCATGGCTGAAGGTAGAAGGGTCAAGAGAGGGTGAGAAGCTGGGCACGGTGGTTCACGCCTGTAATCCCAGCACTTTGGGAGGCCAAGGTGGGTGGATTACTTGAGCTCAGGAGTTCAAGACCAGCCTGGACAATATGGTGAAACCCTGTCTCCACCAAAAATACAAAAAAAAATTAGCCAGGCATAGTGGCATGCAACTGTAGTCCCAGCTACTCAGGAGGCTGAGGTGGGAGGATTACTTGAGCCCAGGAGGAGGAGGCTGCAGTGAGTCAACGTTGCACCACTGCACTCCAGCCTGGGCAACAGAGTGTGACCCCATCTCAAAAAAAAAAAAAGAGAGAGAGAAGGAGAGAGGGCAAGAGAGAAAGTAAAAGAGAGCTGAACTCACCCTTTTATAACAAACCCACTCTAGCAATAACAACATTAATCCATTCACTGCACCCTCATGGCCTAATTGTCACAGGACAGACTCCAAAATTGGGGTTCATCTTGGAAGGCCACACGGATTTTTGGCTTTGTGCAGGAAGGAATTCAAGAGCAAGCCGACAGAGTGAAGTGAAAGCAAGTTTATTAAGAAAGTAAAGGAAGAAAAGGGTGGCTACTCCATAGGCAGAGCAGCCCTGAGGGCTTCTGGTTGGCTATTTTTATAGTTATTTCTTGATCATATGCTAAACAAGGGGTGGACTATTCATGAGTTTTCCAGGAAAAGAGGCAGGGAATTCCCAGAACTGAGAGTTCCTGTCACTTTCAGACCATATAAGATAACTTTTGGATGCTCCCATGGCATTTGTAAATTGTCATGGCGCTGGTGGGGCTTTCCTTTGGTATGCTAATATATTATAATTAGGGTGTAAAGAGCAGCGAGGATGACCAGAAGTTGCTATCATCACTATCTTGGTTTTGGTTGGCTTTTTTTTTTTTTTTTTCCCGAGACGAGCTCTTGCTTGCTCTGTCGCCCAGGCTGGAGTGTAGTGACGTAACTATAGATCACTGCAGCCTAGACCACCTGGGCTCAAGCAATCCTCCTGCCTCGGCCTCCCAAGTAGCTGGGACTACAGGCACATGCCACCACACCCAGCTATTTTTTTGTATTTTTAATAGAGGTGAGGTCTTGCTATGTTGCCCAGGCTGGGCTTGAACTTCTGAGCTCAAGCAATCCTCCAAGTTTGGCCTCCCAAAGTGCTGGGATTACAGGCATGAGCCACCGTACCTGGTCTTGGCAAGCTTCTTTACTGCACCCTGTTTTATCAGCAGTCTTTGTGATCTGTGTCTTGTGAAACCAGTCCTGGTGAACTCCTATCTCATAATCACGTCTCATTAGGCCCACCTACCAATACTGTTGCATTGGGGATTAACTTCCCATCACATGCTCTTTGGGGGATACTTTTTTTTTTTTTTGAGACGGAGTCTTGCTGTGACATCCAGGCTGGAGTGCAATGGCACAACCTCGGATCACTGCAAACTCTGCCTCCCGTTTTCAAGTGATTCTCCTGCCTCAGCCTCCTGAGTAGCTGGGACTACAGACATGCACCACCAAGCCCAGCTAGTTTTTGTATTTTTAATAGAGACGGGGTTTCACCATGTTGGCCAGGCTGGTCTCGAACTCCTGAGTTCAGGTGATCCGCCTGCCTCGGCCTCCCACAGTGCTTGGATTCCAGGCATGAACTGCCGTGCCCGGCCTAGGGGATACTTTCAAACCATAGCAGGGCTCTTATCTCCTATGCTCATGTTTTTCTGCTCCACTGCTCTGGAGTGAATTAGATTATGCTGACACTCCTGGGCCCTCGTCTCTATCCCCTCCTTAAGGGAGGAAGATGCTTCGTAGTGGTGAGAATGGCGTTTCCTAATCCCCATCTGATATGGTTTGAATATGTGTCTCCACCCAAATCTCATGTTGAAATGTAATCCCTGATGCTGGAGGCAGGTCTTGGTGGGAGGTGATTGGACCATGGGGGTAGTTTCTCATGGTTTAGTACCATCCCCCCTTGGTACTATACAGTAAGTTAGTTCTCATAAGACATGGTTGTTTAAAAGTGTGAGGCACCTCCCCTGTCTCTCTTCCTCCTGCTCCTGCCATGTAAGACGTGCCTCTCCTTTCTCTTCACCTTCTGCCACGATTGTAAGTTTCCCGAGGCCTCCTCAGCCGTGCTTCCTATACAGTCTGCAGAACCAGGAGCCAATTAAACCTCTTCCCTTTAAAAATTACCCAGTCTCAGGTATTTCTTTATAGCAATGTGAGAACAGACTAATACACTACCTGAGCAAGGGTTAATGTGTTGGCAGACAGCCCAAGCCCTCTGATTTACTGAGTCACAGCACAAAGGAACTGCAGGCTCCTCCCTGCAGGTGCGTAGAGGGACCCTCTCTCTTCCATCAGCATGCACACAAATCTTGCAGGGGAAGGGAGGCCCCAGTTGATTGAAAAAACTATTTTGACTTTTCAACAGTCCAAGTTATTTCATCCAACTTCTCCTAAGCCAATAATCAGAGTATAAATTTCTAGTAGTCCTCAGTAAGAGACAATTAATTAGCTACCCAGTTAATTAGCTTCCTCAGTAAGGGGGGAGGCAAAGACATTAACGGAGGCTTCAGTGTCTTTGATAAGTGTTTGCAAGTAGAATAAGCCCAGAGAATTGCAGAACGTTTGCCTGCTGCGATTTTTTTTTCTTTTTTTTTTTTTTCAGACAGAGTCTCGCGCTGTCGCCCAGGCTGGAGTGCAGTGGCGCAATCTCAGCTAGCTGCAAGCTCCGCCTCCCAAGTTCACGCCATTCTCCTGCCTCAGCCTCCCAAGTAGCTGGGACTACGGGGCCTGCCACCATGCCCAGCTAATTTTTTGTATTTTTAGTAGAGACGGGGTTTCACTGTGTTAGCCAGGATGGTCTCGATCTCCTGACCTCGTGATCCGCCCACCTCGGCCACCTAAAGTGCTGGGATTACAGGCATGAGCCACCGCGCCTGGACTGTGATTTTTTTTTTTTTTACAAAGATGCGCTGTCTTTGTTCCCCCAGAAATGTGTTGTTTCCCTGACAGTCAGATGCATCCCTGCCTGCCTTAAACAAACAAAGGTCTGTGATCACTTTCTTTAACATCAAGGCCAGAGTTCCTGAAATCAATGAGAAATTCTAAACATACCAGGATGGCTTCCAAACAGGTGGGCTTTTTGTTCTCCAGAAAATGCAATGAATTTAAAACATTGTACCAAACATCTTCAAAACCTAGTCATGAAAGTAACATGCTTTATTACATTAAATGAAATTAAATCAGTAGAGGACAAATGCACTAAGGAGGCTAATGGCCAACATGATTAGTCACTGCTAACTTGCATGAAATCAATAGTAACCAAGAGGAGTTCCATCAGTTTGCACTGAAACAAAACGTGAGAGAAGAATCCAGCATACTGGAAGAACAACGAAAAAGATGAAATAATCTTTTAGCTGGGAAAAATATGTTGTTTTGAATATTTTGAGTATATTTTAACTTCAACGATAAGCTTAATTCCAATTTCAGGATATTATT
The DNA here is from genome assembly GCF_000001405.40 of Homo sapiens. NCBI lineage: Eukaryota > Metazoa > Chordata > Mammalia > Primates > Hominidae > Homo > Homo sapiens. Next base: position 72,558,162 of record NC_000007.14, read on the forward strand.
TAAGGAAAAGCTTAGAAGTGTACTCCACAAAGAATTAAGAAACACAAGTCCTCATAACTTTTATTATGTTCTTTTGATTAAAATAATACATATTCATTCCTATATGCTCCTTCATATTACAAATGATTTTTACATCATGAAGATGATGCTATTCTGTGCTCTGTATTCTGTTTCAAACTTAGAATTATACTTCATAAACATCTTCTGTGACTAAAACTTCTCCAAAAACTTTCACTGGCAGCTGGCGTTCCACTAAAAGTGTCATCAATGACCCCATCAAAGGATATTTTTCTGTCATCCTCCCAGAATTCACTTCTCATTGGCATCTGGTCCTGTCAATTCGTCTTTTTTTTTTTTTTTTTTTTTTTTGAGATGGAGTCTTGCTCTGTCACCCAGGCTTGGAGTGCAGTGGTGCGATCTCACCTCACTGCAACCTCCGCCTCCCAGGCTTAAGCGATTCTCCTTCCTCAGCCTCCCAAGTAGCTGGGACTACAGGTGTGTGCCACCACCTCCAGCTAATTTTTTGTATCTTAGCAGAGACAAGGTTTCACCATGTTAGCTAGGCCAGGCTCAAACTCCTGGCCTCAAGTGATCTGCCTGCCTCAGCCTCTCAATGTGCTGGGATAACAGATATGAGCCACCGTGCCTGGCTGATTAGTCTTTTCTTGATCCACTCTTCCCACTGGATTTCTGTGACTCCATGGCCTGGTGTCCCTCCTAAAACTGTCTTTGCAAAAAATTATAACAGTAAGGAAATTACGACAGTGAAAGATTGGGTCTCACCAATCCCCATCTTGCCTTCAACATCCAAACTGCCTTTAATCATATCTGGGCTTGGGCCAAGCAAACTTTGGGAGACATTTAGTTTATAGTTTAAATGATAATATCCCTTCTCCAAAACTCAACCGCCTTCGTAAAGCTAATGAGAGACCGCCAGGCGAGGAGGATGAGAAGAGCCTGAATTCTGCTGAGATGTAGACTAAACGATTACCAGCCATTATTCCAGAGGTCACAAGATTTGCAACCCCCCAATAACTCCTACAGATTACGTCACTATTACAGAAACTAAGATTGGCCTTTTGAGATAAGGTTTCAGGTTTGTGCATTTCTGACAACCAACGGCTCCACTTGGACCCGCCAAACTCCCTCTGGCCCCACCCAGAAGTGAACTCGGCAGACAAGGACCATTTTTCACACCCCTATGATTGCATCCCCAACCAGTTAGCAGCACCCCTACCCTAGCCCCCTGCCCACCAAATTATCATTACCTCTGAATTCTCAGGGAGATCAAGTTGAGTAATAATAAAACTCCAGTCTCTCATTCAGCTGGCTGTATGTGAAGTAAGCTCTTTCTCTATTGCAATTGCCCTGTCTTGGTAAGTCAGCTCTCTCTGGACAGCCAGCAAAATGAACCCATTGCACACGGTTACAGTCTCATCTCTACCGGCTGTAGACTTGCCTCCTCTGTTGGAGCTCATCAAGGCTGGGTCTTTCCTGTTCTCATTTTATTCTCTCTCTTTAGGTGATCTCAGCCCTCCTCTAGGCTTCGATTATAACTTACAGGATTGTGATTCACACATTTCAGTTTCCACCACAGGCCCCTCCAGACATGTCCATCTGCCTGCTGTGTTGACTTTTCCCTTTGGAGTCTTGAGGCAGCTACAAGCTTACTGACCAGAAATGAACTCAAGCTCTCCCCGAAGCCTGGTCCTCTTCCAGGATCAGCCAGCCTGGAAGATGGCACTGTCATCCACCCTGTTCTCAGGCCTGCCACCCAGGAGTCAACCTTAGCCCCATCTAATTGTCAGAGGCATCTGAACCAGAGCAACTCCATCTTGAGTAGGGGATGGGTAAAATGAGGCTGAGACCTGCTGGGCTGCATTCCCAGACAGCCAAGGCATTAGCCACAGGATAAGATAGGAGGTCGGTACAAGACACAGGTCATAAAGACCTTGCTGATAAAACAGTTTGCAGTAAAGAAGCCAGCCAAAACCCACTAAAACCAAGATGGCAACGAGAGTGACCTCTGGTCGTCCTCACTGCTACCCTCCCACCAGCACCATGACAGTTTACAAATGCCATGGCAATGTCAGAAAGTTACCCTATAGGGTCTAAAAAGGGGAGGCATGAATAATCTACCCCTTGTTTAGCATATCATCAAGAAATAACCATAAAAATAGGCAACCAGCAGCCCTCAGGGATGCTCTGTCTATGGAGTAGCCATTCTTTTGTTCCTTTACTCTCTTAATAAACTTGCTTTCACTTTACTCTATGGACTCGCCCTGAATTCTCTCTTGTGCAAGATCCAAGAACCCTCTCTTGGGGTCTGGATCGGAACCCCTTTCCTGTAACATAATCAATTTGGTGCCAAATGCATGAAGTGTTATCTTCTAGGTCTCTCAAATCCATCCACTGTTCTCCATCCAGGAGAGTGTCACCAGGGCTGGCACAGATGGTTGCATACTGCAGAAAGGTCACCACGCAAGCCATTACCTCTCACCTGTTCCATGAAAATACCAACTCATCTCCTTCCCTTTTGGCCTCTCCAAGCCATATTCCAATCCACAGCTAAAACGATTTCATTAAAATGCAAATCTAATCCCGTTGTTCCTTTGCATAACTGCCCTGGGGAGAGGCCCGGCCTCTGTCTCCCCGAGTCATCACCCATTATGTGCCCCTGGTGTCCCCGTGTGGCCTGGCTCTTCCCTTCACTTCCCACATCGCCCTTCAGCTCCAGCCACTGTGGCCTTCCTGCAGCTGCCCAGGTGTGTCACGCTCCAGTATTTGTCCATTTTCACGCTGCTGATAAAGACATGCCCGAGACTGGGTAATTTATAAAGAAAAAGAGGTTTAATGGACTCACAGTTCCATGTGGCTGGAGAGGCCTCACAATCGTGGTGGAAGGCAAAAGCCATGTCTTACATGGCGGCAGACAAGAGAGAGAGTGAGAGCCAAGCAAAAGGGGAAATCCCTTTTAAAACCATCAGATCTCGTGAGACTTATTCACTACCATGAAGACAGTATGGGAGAAAGAGTCCCCATGATTCAATTACCTCCCACCAGGTCCCTCCCTAAACATGTGGGAATTATGGGAGCTATCATTCAAGATGAGATTTGGGTGGGGACACAGCCAAATCCTATCAGCCCCAACCCCTACCCCAGGAATTGGAAGAATTCTTCTCTTAGGCACCAGCACAATCAGTGCATGCCTCCTCCCACATCTCTGACTCCATCTCTCCAATGACACAATCACCCAGAGACTGTCCCTCTCTTTTGTGGCTCTTACCATCACTTGTGTTTGATGTATAATATTTATTTCTGTGGATCTTTGTCTTTGATGAATGTCTGGCACATCATAATGATAAGAAATATCCTTTCTTTTTCCTATCCTCCTTTCTTTTACTTATCAATAAATCCCCTGTAACTAGAACAAAATTGGTATTCAGTAAACATCTGTTGAATGACTTGAATTATCTAGACAATAGGGTGTACTGTAATGATTTTGCCATGCTTTCCAGAAATATTAAATGCCTCCTGTATTTTATTTCATTATTTATTTATTTATTTATTTATTTGAGACGGAGTTTCGCTCTTGTTGCCCAGAAGAGCAACAAGTTTGCTCTTGTTGAATTTCCCTTCAAAAGTTCAGCCTGTTAACTTCCTTGTTCTTTGTTCTCAAACCTAACTTTCTTGTTCTCCATGCCTCCTTGCCCCTAGTTACTGTAAACAACTTTTCGGTCAGCTCTAATCAATAACTCACATCTGTTCCCTTGGTTACTCCCTCTGCACCCATTCCACCCTTTGAAACCACACCTCCCACACATCCCACCATTGTAACTCACATCCCCCTTCCCCCTTCCTTATTTGGGAAAACTATTCAGAAATACCCAGTTGGGTCACTTTAGATTGTGTGGTCAAACCCCAGCCCATGGGGGAGTAACACAGAGGTAGGGATTGCGTTAAGAACAAAAACCCCCATTTTCCTTTGTTCCCTGTGCTCCTGCAATCATGATTGACGCAGGCAGCACCCTTCTGCAGAAGTAAATTGCCTTGCTGAGAAAACTTTTGCCTGAGTGAGAGTACTGGTTTCACTTTGTGGCACCAAGCATTTACTTCTAACATAAATATATTTAAATACATATATATATTTTTTTGGCCAGGCATGGTGGCTCACACCTGTAATCCCAGCACTTTGGAAGGCTGAGGCAGGCGGATCATGAGGTCAAGAGATCAAGACCATTCTGGCCTACATGGTGAAACCTCATCTCTACTAAAAATACAAAAATTAGCTGGATGTGGTAGCGTGCACCTGTAGTTCCAGCTACTCAGGAGGCTGAGGCAGGAGAACGGCTTGAACCTGGGAGGTGGAGGTTGCAGTGAGCTAAGATCATGCCACTGCACTCCAGCCTGGCAACACAGCAAGACTCCGTCTCAAAAAAAAAAATATATATATATATATATGTGTGTGTGTGTGTGTGTGTGTGTGTGTGTGTGTATGTGTGTACACACATATATATATATATATAATTTTTTTCTTTAAATCATTTAACCCAAAGGTAACGATAAAAGTTCTCGGTATGCATTGTCAAACTGCTTTTGAAAAATCTGTATCTGGGCAAGTGCGGTGGCTCATACCTATAATCCCAGCACTTTGGAAGGCCAAGGTGGTTGAATTGCTTGAGCCCAGGAGTTTGAGACCAGCCTGAGCAACAAAGTGAAACCCTGTCTTTACAAAAAAAATACAAAAATTAGCCAGGTGTTGTGGTGTGCACCTGTAATCCCAGCTACTTGAGAGGCTGAGGTGGGAGCATAGCTTGAGCCTGGGAGGTCAGCGTTGCAGTGAGCCATGCTCATGCCACTGTACTGGAGCCTGGGCAACAGAGTGAGACCAAGTCTCAAAAAGGAAGTCTATATTTTATTGTAATATAATAATTTTTAAAACTTTTGCTAATTTTGTAACTGCCTGATAGGTTCTTTCTGCCCACTGCACAAACAAAATAGACCATGGCATTGCAATAAAGAAAAACTTTAACTGACACGCCAGCCACATCACGTAGGAGACAAATTTACTACTCAAACCTATCTCCGTGAAGGCTCAGAGGTTAGGGGTTTTTCAAGGATGGTTTGGTGGAGGCTGGGCGCAGTGCCTCACGCCTGTAATCCCAGCACTTTGGAAGTCAAGGCAAGCAGATCACTTGAGGCCAGGAGTTTGAGACTAGCCTGGCCAACATGGTGAAACTCTGTCTCTACTAAAAACACAAAGATTAGCTGGGCGTGGTGGTGCAAGCCTGTAATCCCAGCTACTTGGGAGGCTGAGGCAGGAGAATTGCTTAAACCCAGGAGGTGGAGGTTGCAGTGAGCCAAGATCATGCCACTGCACTCCAGCCTGGGCGACAGAGACTGCAACTCAAAAAAAAAAAAAAAAGGTTTGGTGAGCTAGGGATAAGGGTGGCTAGGCAGTGGGTGCTTGCTGCCGATTGGTGGGTGAGAGAGAAAATCCTAGGGAGCTTGGCCAGACATGGTGGCTCATGTCTGTAATCCCAGCACTGTGGGAGGCCAAGGCAGGTGGATCATGAGGTCAGGAGATCGAGACCATCCTGGCTAACACGGTGAAACCCTGCCTCTACTAAAACTACAAAAATTAGCTGGGCGTGGTGGCGGGCGCCTGTAGTCCCAGCTACTCGGGAGGCTGAGGCAGGAGAATGGCATGAACCCGGGAGGCAGAGCTTGCAGCGAGTGGAGATCGTGCCACTGCACTGTAGCCTGGGCGACAGAGCAAAACTTTGTCTTGAAGAAAAAAAAAAAAAATTCCTAGGGAGCTGAAGCTATCTTCTTGTGCTGAGTCAATTCTGGGTGTGGCCACAGGAGCAGCTGGCAGGTCCAGGCAGAGCCAGGTGTGGAAAAGATATCTCAAAAGGTCAATCTTAGGTTCTACAATAATGATGTTACCTGCAGGAGTAATTGGAGAAATTGCATATCTTGTGACCTCCAGAATAATGGCTGGCAATTGTTTATATTTACAGATAGTAGAAATCAGGCTTCTCTGTCCTCCTCGCCTGATGGTCTCTCATTAGCTTTATGAAGGCAGTTGAGTTTGGGGAAGAGCTATTACCATTTAAACTATAAACTAAATGTCTCCCAAAGTCGGCCCAGTCTAATCCCAAGAATAATTAAGGCAGCTTGAAGGCTAAAGTCAAGAGGGGGGTTGGCTAGATCAGATCTCCCCTGCTGCCATAATTTTCTTGCTGATGTAATTTTTGCAAAGGTGGTTTCAATTTGATGAATAAAATATTCTTTTAATTTGCATTTCCTTGGAGAAAGTGAACAGTTCATATTTTGTAGCCATCTGTATGTCCTCACTGATAACACTTTATGTCCCATGTCCTTTGTTCATTCAGCCAGTCAAGTCTTAACATTTTTAAAATTCAACTATATGAGGTTTTTGAGGATTCATCTATCACACTTCATACAAATTATTTCTCCCAATCTTTGCCTTTTGAGTTTATGTGATGTTTGATATATCAAATGCTTAAACATATTCTACAGTCAAGGATTTTTCGACCTTTCCTTTATGAGTTCTTACACTGGCTTTAGACCAACAATGGTTCTGAAAGTGTGGTCTCTGGGCTAGCAGCATTAGCAGCATCTAATGAAACCACCTTTGCAAAATTATGACTGAGACAGTGAAAGAGATATAACTTCACTGACTCCATCTTGCTTGCCGTCCTTGTTCATTCCTGGGCATAGGCTGAACTAACTTTGGGAGAAACTTGGTTTATAGCTTAAACAAAGACGGTAACAGCCCTTTCCCAAAGCAAAACCCTTCTTGCCTGGGGACTAGAATGCCTTTGTAGGACTAACATTAACCACAACATTAGATATTATGGTTTAGGAGTCATGCTGCTGGAGGCTACAAGATTCTGACCCTCCCTAAATTGCTCCTTAGATCAGTGCTCCAGATATTTTGCAGACGCTGCACTTGATGGATCAGCTGGTGCCACCCAGATTGATAAACTGGCTCATCTGATCTTGTGGTTCCCACCCAGGAACTGACTGAGCACAAGAAGACAGCTCCGACTCCCTGTGATTTCATCTCTGACCAATCAGGATTCCTGGCTCACTGGCTTCCCCCCACCCATCAAGTTGTCGTTAAAAACTCTGCTCCCCAAATGCTCTGGGAGACTGATTTAATAATAAAACTCCAGTCCCCCGCACAGCCGGCTCTGTGTGAATTACTCTTTCTCTGTTGCAATTCCCCCATCTTGATGAATTGGCTCTGTCTAGGCAGTGGGCAAGGTGAACCCCTTAGGCGGTTACACTAGGAGCCTTTTAGAAATGCAAATTCTACTCACTGAAGACCTATGATATCAGGATATCAGATACTCTGGGGCTGACCCCAGTAATCTGTATTAACAAATTCTCCAGGAGATTTCTTATACAAAGGAAAGTTGTGGAAGCCACTAGTCAAGAAATGGCGTCCTTACGTAAGCTTTCTTCTGAGCATTTTGTTTCTCCTGATTCCTTTTGGTATATAATAGCACTAAATGTTTTTCTCCCAAACCCCCACCGATTTAGGATGCTTCCTTTATCTTAAGTTTTACAAACATTCAGATTTGCCTCTGTGCTTTCATTCTTTTTTAACAGCTTTATGAGATAAAATTCGCATACCATAAGATTCACCCATTTAAAGTATACAACAGTAAGGGGAGCCAGGCATGGTGGCTCATGCCTGTGAATCCCAGCACTTTGGGAGGCTGAGGGTGGATCACTTGAGTTCAGGAGTTCAAGACCAGTCTGGCCAACATGGTGAAACCCTGCCTCTACCAAAAATACAAAAACTAGCCAGGTGTGGTGGCGCACGCCTATAGTCCCAGCTACTCAGGAGGCTGAGTCATGAGAATCGTTTGAACCCGGGAGGTGGAGGTTGTAGTGAGCCAGATCTCACCACTGCACTCCAGCCTGGGTGACAGAGCCAGACTCCATCTCAAAAAAAAAAAAAAAAAAAGTGTACACAACAATTTGGGGACTTTCAGTATATTCAGACTCGTGCCAACATCACAGTGTTCCCACATTCTGATTTTAGTCATTTGCATCTTCTCTTTTGTTCCTGGTGAGTCTAACTAAAGGGTTGCCAATTTTGTTGATCTTTTCAAAGAACTAACTTACTATTTCACAGATTTTTCTCCACCGTTTCCTTTTCTGTATTTCATTTATTTCCACTCTAATGTTTATTATTTTCTTCATTCTGTTTGCTTTGAGTTTCATTTGCTCTTCTTTTTCTAGTTTCTTAAGGTAGAATGTTAGATTATTGATTTGAGATATATCTTCTTTTCAATGTAAGCATTAACTATAAATGTCCCTCTAAGCATTGATTTAGTAGTATTCCATAAATTTTGGTGTTTTTATTTTCATCCATCTCAAAGTATTTCCTACTTTCCCTGGATGATCTCTTTTTTTGACCTGTCGATTCTTTAGGATTTTTTAAAATGTTTACATATTTGTGAATTTCTTAAATTTTTTTCTGTGGTTGGTTTCTAATTTCCTCCCATTGGTTGCAGAACATAACTTGTATATTTTCAGTCTTTTTTAATTTACTGAGACTTATTTTATGGTCTAACATATAGTCTATCCTGGAATGTTCCATGTGCCCTTGAGAATAATGTATTGCTAAATGGAGTGTTCTGTCATGTCTATTAGGTGGAGTTAGTTTATAGTGTCACCCAAATCTTCCATTTCTTGCTGGTCTTCTGACTAATCCTTCTATCTATTATTGGAAGTGGGGTATGTAAGTCTCTATTATCGTGGTCTTTCTCATATACATTCTGTCAGGTTTCGCTTTATATATTTTGGGGCTCTATTGTTAGGTGCATGTATGTTTATAATCATTATATCTTTCTAGTAAATTGGTCCTCTTATCATTACAAAATGTTCTTTGTTTTTAGTAGCAATTTTATCTTAAAGTCTCTACATATTTTTTTCACGCCTGTAATCCCAGCACTTTGGGAGCCCAAGGCAGGTAGATCACGAGGTCAGGAGTAATGGTGACCAAGATGGTGGTCACCATCTGACCAAGATGGTGAAACCCTGTCTCTACTAAAAATACAAAAATTGGCTGGGTGTGGTGGCATGCACCTGTAATCCCAGCTACTTGGGAGGCTGAGGCAGGAGAATTGCTTGACCCGGGAGGTGGTGTTTGCAGTGAGCCAAGATCGTGCCACTGCACTCTAGCCTGGGTGACAGAATGAGACTCCATCTCAAAAAAAAAAAAGTCTCTACATATTTTTAATATTGCTGTAGCCACTCCAGCTCTCTTTTGGTTACTGCTTTCATGGGATATCTTTTTCCTTCCTTTAACTTTCCACCTATTTGTCTTTGAATCTAAAGTATGTCTCTTATAGACAGCATATAGTTGGATTTTTAAACAATTTTATTGTCTTTTTAAAATTTTAGATTCAGTGGGTACATGTGCAGGTTTGTTACAGGGGTATACAGCATGATGCTCAGGTTTGAGGTATGATTAAACCCATCACCCAAGTAGTGAGCATAGCACTCAACAGGTTTCTCTCAACCCTTGCTTCCCTTCCTCCCTCCCCAGTTTTGTAGTCCCCAGGGTCTATTGTCCCCATATTTATGTCCATTTGTACCGGTGAAAACAATGCAGTTATTGGTTTTCTGTCTCTGCATCATTTCACTGAGTAATGGCCTCCAGCTTCATTCATGTTGCTGCAAGGGACATGATTCCATTCTTTTTTTATGGCTATGGGGTATTCCATGGTATATATGTGCCACATTTTCTTTTTCTTTTTTTTTTTTTTTTGAGACTGACTTTTGCTCTTGTCAGCCAGGCTGCAGTGCAGTGGCATGATCTCAGCCCACTGCAATCTCCCACTCCCGGGTTCAAGCGATTTTCCGCCTTAGCTTCCTGAGTAGCTGGGATTACAGGTGCCTACCACCACGCCTGGTGAATTTTTGTATTTTTAGTAGAGATGCGGTTTTACCATGTTGGCCAGGTGGTCTTGAACTCCTGACCTCAGGTGATCCACCTGCCTCAGCCTCCCAAAGTGCTGGGATTACAGACATGAGCTACCATGCGTGGCCACCACATTTTCTTTATCCAATCCACTGTTGATGGGCATCTAGGCTAATTCCATGTGGTTTGCTATGGCAAATAGTGCTGCAATGAACATAGTTAATCCATTCTTCCATCTCTGTCTTTTGATTGGGGTGTTTAATCCATCCACATAGTACAGTTACCTATAAGGTAGAAGTAATCTCTGTAATTTTTGCTACTTCTTTTTTTAATGTCTTATGATTATGCTGTTCTATTCCTCCATTACTGTCATCTTTTGTATTCAAAAGATATTTTCCATTGTATCTTTTAAAATTCCTTTGTTATTTCCTTTACCATATGTATTTTAAATGTATTCTCTTAGTGGTTAGCCTGGGGATTACACTTAACATCTTAAAACAATCTCTTTTGGATTCATATCCACTTAATTTCAATAGTGGCAGTCAAGAGTCACTCCAATATACCTTTATTCTCTCCTCACTCCCTTGTGCTATTATTATCATACAAATTACATCTCCATATATTATAAGCCCATCAACACAGTTTTATAATTATTGCTTTAGGCAGCTGTCCTTTAAAACAGAAAAGTTACAAACAAAACTGTTTATATTGTCTTTCACCATACCTACATAGTTACCCTTACCTCTGCTCTTTATTTCTTCATCTGGATGCAAGTTAATGTCTGGTGTTCTGGTCGGGCGCAGTGGCTTATGCCTGTAATCCCAGCACTTGGGGAAGCCGAGTCAGGTGGGTCACCTGAGGTCAGCAGTTTGAGACCAGCCTGGCCAACATGCTGAAACCCTGTCTGTACTAAAAATACAAAAATTAGCCAGGCGTGGTGGTGTGTGCCTGTAATCCCAGCTACTCGGGAGGTTGAGGCAGGAGAATCGCTTGAACCCGGTAGGCAGAGGTTGCAGTGAGCCGAGGTCGCACCACTGCACTCCAGCCTGGGTGACAGAGCGAGACTCTGTCTCAAAAAAAAAAAAAAAAAAATCTGGTGTCCTTTCATTAAAGCCTGAAAAAACTCCCTTTAGTACTTGTTTGGGAAGGTCTGCTAATGACAAATTCTTTCTTTGTTTATCTGGCAATGTCTTCATTTCTCCATTAATTCTGAAAAAGGGTTTAACTAGATAGAACATTTTTGGCTAACCATCTATTTCATCCTATCTTCTGGCCTCCATGTTTTCTGCTGAGAAGTCAACTGCTAATTTTACTGAAGTTCATTCGATAGATGATTTTCAGTTTGTGGTGAAATTCCGGTTTATTATCAGAATTCTAAAATTGGTTTATTTTAGTTGTATTGCGCATATTTTCATTGTTTTAGAGGGAGACAGAGTTCACTGAGGCCCCCACTCTGCCATTTTGGAACTGATCTCATTTCATTTTAATTATTTAGGTAGCATATTTTAACATCTTATAAACCAACTTTCACTTAATAGTTATTTTTTCTAAAATTTCTTAACTATTGTCTGTTTGGCTAATTTTTCAGTTAGAATCATTTTCTTAAGCTCCAAAAAGAAATTCTGATAGAACTTGGGATGTTATTTTGCAAACAGATCACCTTCTTAGAACATTCAGGTTTCCCATTCTCTCCCACTTTTATACTGTTCAGCAAACTTAATGAATGTTTTCATGTAGATTGCACTGTATTTTCCTTAGACATTTCAAATGTTCTGTTGTGACTGTGAACTGGGCTTAAAGTGTTGTTATTTTAAATATGAATCAATACATCAATATTTTCTGGGATGAAAGAAAAACACTCATCTATTGATGAGTGTCAGGAGATTGAGATCATGAGGTCAGGAGATTGAGACCATCCTGGCTAACACGGTGAAACTCCGTCTCTACTAAAAATACAAAAAATTAGCCAGGCGTGGTGGCGGGCGCCTGTGGTCCCAGCTACTGGGGAGGCTGAGGCAGGACAATGGCGTGAACCTGGGAGGCAGAGCTTGCAGTGAGCTGAGATCGTGCCACTGCACTCCAGCCTGGGTGACACAGCGAGACTCTGTCTCAAAAAAAAAAAGTTAATGGAATCAGGAGGGTTCATTCTGTAGGTAAGAGGTTTGCTTTTTTTTTTCTTTGAAACAATAAAATATCTTTGTTCAATTTAAATCTTGAGGCCACGCATGGTGGCTCACACTTGTAATCATAGCACTTTGGGAGGCTGAGTTGGGCGGATCACTTGAGGTCAGGAATTCGAGACTAGCCTGGCCAACATGGTGATACCCCCCTCCCCCCATCTCTACTAAAAATACAAAAATTCACCAGGCATGGTGACTTGTGCCTGAAATCCCAGCTATCAGGAGGCTGAGGCAGAGAATCACTTGAACCCGGGATGCAGAGGTTGCAGTGAGCTGAGATCACACCACTGCACTCCAGCCTGGGTGGCAGAGCAAGACTGTCTCAAAAAAAAAAATCTTAAGCAGCACACCAATTCATAAAAAAGAAAAGCAGACCTGTGTGGTTGAAAAGAGGTTGAGGAGTAGCACAAAGTCCTGCATGCTCTGCCTCCTTCCTCGCTCCTTAGGGCAGCCTCCGAGGTGCTTTCCAACAACTGGATGCTTTGTTAACTCTCCTGTATAAGAGCCCATCTGTGGGCTCCTTAGCATAAGCTCTTACTTTCTAACATTTCATCCTACTTGAAAGACTTTTTCCATCTCTCTTCAATGACCACTAACACATCTGTGTCTCAGTGAGACCCTGCTTCACTGACTTGGACCACCTGGCCCTGTCTGTTGCATTAAATCAGCAGAACAGGGGACTGAACAGAAGCTGAAAGATGTGGCAGGGACCAGGCATGGTGGTTCACACCTATAGTCCCAGTGCTTTGGGAGTCTAAGATGGTAGAATTGTTTGAGGCCAGGAGTTCAAGACCAGATTGGGTAACACAGCAAGACCCCATCTCTACAAAAAATTGAAAATTAGACAGGCGTGGTGGCATGTGCTGGTGGTCCCAGCTACTCAAGAGACTGAGGTGGGAGGATTGTTTGAGCCCAGGAGTTTGAGGCTGTGGTGAGCAGTGATTGCACTGCTGCACTCCAGCCTGGGTGACAGAGTGAGACCCCATCTGTTAAATTTAAATTAAATTTAAAAACAAAAAATGTTCTTAAAGACCTGGTGACTTGGGCCAATCGCAGTGGCTCACACCTGTAATCCCAGCACTCTGGGAGGTCGAGGTGGGTGGATCACTTGAGGTCAGGAGTTCGAGGCCAGCCTGGCCAACATGGTGAAACCCCATCTCTACTAAAAATACAAAAATTAGCCAGGTGTTCGTGGCACATGCCTATAGTCCCAGCTACTCAGGAGGCTGAGGCAGGAGAATCACTTGAACCTGAAGGCAGAGGTTGCAGTGAGCCAAGATCTCACCACTACACTCCAGCCTGGGCAACAGAGTGAATGAAACTCCATCTCAAAAAAAAGACCCAGTGACTTCAAGAAAGATAACACTTCTGTGCTACTTTGTCACTATCCCATCTGTGACATAATTTTATATATTTGATATTTAGTCTCTGTCCTTGGTACCTGGCACAGAGCTCTTGAAACCCTTGTAATCTCCTGAGTGCACCCAGCACGGGTGCAGCTTTTATCCTCATATTTGCTTTTTGACCCAGCTCCTGCCATTGAGCTCCAAATCTCTTGGAATGTCCTGGGTTACAGGAGCATCTTTTGTTCTAATGAAGTGGGCTTGTTTTTTGGTGGGCTCCTGGATGGAGGCTGGCCACCAGAAGGACCGACATGATTAGAAGATTGGAACTTTCAGCCCCACCCCCAATCTGCTGGGGTGCCTACATGATGAAGCTTCCGTAACCACCACTAACTATGGCACATAGGGAGCTTCCAGACTGGTAAATACATCAACTTGCTGGGAGGGTGGCACAGCTCAACTCCCCAGGGACAGAAGCTTCTCTGCCCAGGATCTTCCCAGACCTTGCCCTCTGTATCCTTTCATCTGCCTGTTCATTTGTACCCTTTGAAATATCCTAATAAATTGGGCGCGGTGGCTCAAGCCTGTAATCCCAGCACTTTGGAAGGCTGAGGCAGGCGGATCACTTGAGGTCAGGAGTTCAAGACCAGCCTGACCAACATGGTGAACTCCTGTCTGTACTAAAAATACCAAAATTAGCCAGGCGTGGTGGTTCCTGCCTGTAATCCCAGCTACTTGGGAGGCTGAGGCACAAGAATCCCTTGAACCCAGGAGGCAGAGGTTGTACTGAGCTGAGATTGTACCACTGCACTCCTACATGGGCAATGGAGCAAGACTGTTTCAAAAAAAAAAAAAAAAATCCTAATAAATCAGCAATAGTAAGTGAATTGTTTTCTTGGGTTCTGTGGGCTACTCTAGCAAATTATTGAACCTAAGAATGGGGTTCCTCTGATTTACAGACAAAGAACCTCTGATTTATGGCCATGTCAAACAAGCTGTGGGTAACCTGGGGACCTCCTACCTGCAACTAGTGTCTGAAGTGAGGGGCAGTCTTGTGGGACTGGGCATTTTTTTTTTTTTTTTTTTTTTTTTTGAGACGGAGTCTTGCTTTGTCACCCAGGCTGGAGTGCAGCGGTGCGATCTCAGTTCACTGCAACCTCCGCCTCTTGGGTTCAAGCCATTCTCCTGCCTCAGCCTCCTGAGTAGCTGGGATTACAGGCGCACAACACCATGTCCGGCTAATTTTGGTAATTTTAGTAGAGACGGAGTTTCACCATGTTGGTCAGGCTGGTCTTGAACTCCTGACCTCAGGTAATCCGCCTGCCTCAGCCTCCCAAAGTGCTGGGATTACAGGCGTGAGCCAGGGTGCCCGGCGTTGGGACTGAGCTCTTAACTCAGGGAGTCTTTGTTAATTCATTAGCATCAGAATTGAACTGAACAGTAGGATGCCCGGCTGGTGTCAGAGAATTGATTGGTATAGCAAAAAGCCCCACAAATTTGGTGTCAGAAGTGAAGGATTGAGTGGTGTGAGTACAGAGGGAAAAACGACTGGTCTTTCCTGTATTCAATGATCCATGTAACAATACAGAAAAGTATTTTGATTCTACCATTTAGAAATAAGTATGGTGGGGTGGGTGCAGTGGCTCCCGGCTGTAATCCCAGCACTTTGGGAGGCCGAGGCGGGTGAATCACAAGGTCAGGAGTTTGAGACCAGCCTGGCCAATATGGTGAAACCCAGTCTCTACTAAAAATACAAAAATTAGCCAGGCGTGGTGGCGGGTGCCTGTAGTCCCAGCTACTCGGGAGGCTGAGGCAGGAGAATCGCTTGAACCTAGGAGGTGGAGGTTGCAGTGAGCCGCGATCACGCCACTGCACTCCAGCCTGGGTGACAGAGCAAGACTCCATCTCAAAAAAAAAAAAAAAAAGAGAAATAAGTACGGTGGCCAGGTGTAGTGTCTCATGCCTGTAATCCTAGCCACTATCGGAGGTTGAGGCGGGAGGATCTCCCAAGTTCCGGAGCTCAAGACCAGCCTGGGCAACATAGTGAGACCCTGTGTCTACGAAAAACATCAAAAAAATTTAGCTGAGCTTGGTGGTGTATGCCTGCAGTCCCAGCTATGCAGGAGGCTGAGGTGGGAGGACTGCTTGGGCCCAGGAGATTGAGGCTGCAGTGAGCCGTGATTGTGCTACTGCACTCCGGCTTCAGCAACACAGCGAGACCCTGTTGCCAAAAAAAAAAAAGAAAAAAAAAAGGTGTCCAGTTTTCAACTGGGTAGGTAGATTATATATCTATGAATTTTATTTCAGCACAGAATAGAGGATAGAGTTACAAAAGGTGGGTCTAACAGGGTTTAGGACTGCAGGAGTGGTGGCTCATGCCTGTAATCCTAGCACTTTGGGAAGTTGAGGCAGGAGGATCACCTGAGGTCAGGAGTTCGAGACCAGCCTGGCCAACATGGTGAAATCCCATCTCTACTAAAAATGCAAAAATTAGCCAGGCCTGGTGGTGCATGCCTGTAATCCCAGCTATTCGGGAGGCTGAGGCAGGAGAATCAGTTGAACCCGGGAGGCAGAGGTGACAGTGAGCCAAGATTACACCACTGCACTCCAGCCTGGGTGACAGTGAGACTCTGTCTCAAAATAAATAAATAAATAAAAATAAAAAATAACTAAAAGAGTATAATTGGATTGGTTTTAGCACAAAGGATAAATGCTTGTGGGGATGGAGACCCCATTCTCCATGATGTGATTATTACGCATTGCATGCTTGTATGAAAACATCCCATGTACCCCATATATATACCTAATATGGACCCACAATAATTAGAATAAAAATTTAAAAAAACTCATGCTGCAAGTCTTTACAAAATATTATTTTATTAATTCAATTTTTGCATAAAAGACTGTTAAAAGAATTTGCTAACTTGAAAACAATTTTGAGTATTTATGATCTTTCCAACTTGAAAACACCTGAACCTTATAGAACAGATTGTGTAAAGCAGCGAGGGCCACAGGAGTCAAAGAAGATGGAGACCCGCCGTCTGGTCGTGATATGAGAGGCCCGGACAGTGACCTCACGAACAAAAAGAAATGATCCTCTTCAGTCCAAAGTGTGTTTGTGAGACTAATGACTCCATGCCCTCACATGGCCACTCCTCTTACAGCAGACAGCTTCACTCCGCTCCAGCCCCGGTACTGCGGTCTGTGGTAATTTACATGGGAATGGGATGAGATCTAGTAGTTTTAGATCCGATGCAATTTTGGGAAGGGTTAGTAATAAACCAAAACTCAATCTATGCAGTATTTAAAAAATAATTGAGAGTTGTGACAACTTCGATTCTTTTCAGGAGGTGCTGTCTTAAGACAGAAGAAAGGGATCAAGCTCTTATCTTAGAAAGCACAGACACGTTTAGCTCAGGGTAGTGCAATTCAATGCTAAGTGGCTGCTCCATGAAATCCAAGGGCCAGGTGAGGGGAAGAGGCCCAGGGATTTCTTCCTTGTCTGACACTCTCAGGACTAGCATTCTGGCAGGTCTTAGAAGTTATAATACAAAACCATCAGTTAAATTCTAATCACGACTGTGTAGTTCCTCCCCAAAATAATTTTCCTCTTAGAAGTAAAATCAGGAAAGGGGCTGAGTTCTGAAAAGAAACATCGGGGCTGTGGCCCAGGCCCTCTGAGTGTGGACGCTGTCCCCCGTGTCTCCATGTTTACTGCCTTATCGTCTCCTTTGTATGAAAGTATAATTTACGTAATTCGTCCTTGGAGAATCAGAGTGGTGTTCAAGAACCTTTTGAGGCCATCCAAGTTTTTGTCCTTCAGTACCTTGAAATCAGATAATCTCAACATCCAGAAATAGCCTTTGATTTGTTCTTTCTCTGATGTCTTGTGTCCTTGGGATCAAAGCTTCTTTCATTGGCACCAAATAATGCCCAGTGAGGAGTTCTGGCCATATAATCCTTTGCGCTGAACGTTTTTGATCCACCACTATCTTCATATTCCTGGATGAGCTCCTGGAAGCGGTTATAATCGATCCATGTCCACCATTCACCACCAATTTTAAACTGGAAAGAAAAAAATGTGTCAAGTCAGAAGTAAAAACATCCCTAGAAAAAAAAAATGAATGTTTTTAAAAATCATGAACAAGTCTGATCTTTTCTCCCTATCACGCCAAGAAAACAAAAACAAAAACAAACACAAAAAAACCTCTTCCATGTTCCAGACATGACTTCCTATCAAAGCAAGATGCGCTACAATCACAGGAGAGCTTCCTTTCCCTTGGGCCTGCAGTTTTGCTGGGCCCGGAAGACAAGTCAAGTTTATCTCAAGCAGTCCCGCTGACACAGGGTTAAATGTTTCCGTGTTACCATGTGACTAATTCAAACTCATTCTAATTCCTGCTGTTGCCGCTTTTGATCGGTTACAAATTTTCAAGGCTGTGTTAACAGCATCTCGTGGAATCCTTTTTAGACTCAACTTGGCTTGAGTTATTAGTGAAGGTTTCATCAATAACTTCTAATTCAAACATGCTAACTAAATGACTCAAACTAGCTTTTCTGGCCTAACGTGGATACAATATCTCATTAGTGGAAAGCCTGAACAATTTCAATTCAGTAAGAGGGGATAATCCAATTTGTACTCTCTTAAGAAAATTGCTTCTCAAAAGTCACGGTAGAATAATGACCTGGAATGAAGAAAACAGAAAGAAAGTTGAAGAGGCTCAGAAGGAAATACTAATTGAACTGTGAAGGCTTTTAATTCAAAGCATTTGTTTGGCATTCATTTGTGTAAATGTATTAACTAATACGCTGATACCTGACTCATAAACAGACAAGTACTTGTCATGCCACTGTCTTTTTTTTTTTTTTTTTTTTTGAGACGGAGTCTCGCTCTGTAGCCCAGGCTGGAGTGTAGTGGCCTGATCTCGGCTCACTGCAAGCTCCGCCTCCTGCGTTCACGCCATTCTCCTGCCTCAGCCTCCTGAGTAGCTGGGACTCTTGGCTCCCGCTAGCACACCTGGCTAATTTTTTGTATTTTTAGTAAAGACGGGGTTTCACCGTGTTAGCCAGGATGGTCTCGATCTCCTAACCTCGTGATCCGCCGGCCTCGGCCTCCCAAAGTGCTGGGATTACAGGCGTGAGCCACCACACCCGGCCCATGCCACTATCTTTTAAAAAACTTCGACTAATGGCCGGGCATGGTGGCTCATGCCTGTCATCCCAGCACTTTCAAAGGCCGAGGCAGGTGGATCACCTGAGGTCGGGAGTTCAAGACTAGCCTGGCCAACATGGTAAAACCCCATCGCTACTAAAAATACAAAAATTAGCCAGGCGTGGTGGTGTGTGCATGTAATCCCAGCTACTTGGGAGGCTGAGGCAGGAGAATCACTTGAACCTGGGAGGTGGAGGTTGCAGTGAGCCAAGACCATGCCACTGCACTCTAGCCTCAGTGATGAGAGTGAAACTCTGTCTCAAAAATAAAAATAAGAAAACTCCGACTAACTAAATGAACTAAGGAAAAATTTCCTGTTCTAGCCACAAAAAAAAAAAAGAAAAGAAAATACATAGGTTCCTGAATTTAGAATATTAAAATATGTTGAATTTAAATGACATCTGATTTTTTACCCACTAGCTAAGAGCTTTCTAGGGGGAAAATGCTGAATATGCGGAAAAGTTTAATTACTCTATGAATTAGAGGAAATTTTCTTGTAATAAGACCATTCTTGGAAATGGTGCCTCAAGGGCCCTGTGAACTCTACAACCCAAGATGTAAAATTTATATCTCACCATCATTCTCTCTCCCAAGACAGACTGTCCCTGAAGTGTTGTCTACTGTTGTGGAAGCAATCACTGTCATTCCCAGGCACTGAGCCTCGAAACTGCAGAGTCAAAGGTGACCTCCTTTTCCCTGGCCCTTCACACCTCCATCGATTCTCCCTGGGCAGCACTTCTGCCGCCGGTGGCGTGACTTGGTCACGCAGGCCCTTCCTCTGGGCCGCAGCCACTGTCTTCCAGCCAATTGACCTTCTGATTCCAGCTGTGGCTTCTCTCAACTTCACACAGACGGCCTGAGACTGTGCCGACAGCAGAATTGATTCCTACGATCCTGAATGTAAAGTCTGAGTATCAAATCTGCATCTCTTGGTGAGCTGTGGTCCTCTCACGTGACGCCCAAGCTGTTCCCTCTGTCTAACTCACATGTCCTTCATCCTCTGCTCTGGGGAGTCTTCCTAAATCCTGTTAGTTCGGTTGCAGTGAGAGAGTTCCCATGTTAGACAGTTTCTGTCAGTTTTCTGGCCACAGGACCTCACTGTCCTGAACTTCCACAGACACTATAATGGCCCCTGCAGTTTCCTCCTGCATTCCACCCCACCAAGCCTGCTGGCTCTGTGAATATATGACCTTAACAACGTATGCCGTCACCCAGGACATGCGAGGGCCCAGCCTCTCTTCCTCACCATTTTTTTTTTTTTTTTTGAGACGGAGTCTCGCTCTGTCACCCAGGCTGGAGTGCAGTGGCGCAATCTCGGCTCACTGCAAGCTCTGCCTCCCGGGTTCTTGCCATTCTCCTGCCTCAGCCTCCCGAGTAGCTGGGACTACAGGCGACCACCACCACGCCTGGCTAATTTTTTTTGTATTTTTAATAGAGACGGGGTTTCACCGTGTTAGCCAGGATGGTCTCGATCTCCTGACCTCGTGATCCGCCTGTCTTGGCCTCCCAAAGTGCTGGGATAACAGGCATGAGCCACTGCACCCAGCCCTTCCTCACCTCTTAACAAAGCTAGAAGACCATACAAAGAATCAAAATTCCACCTGGTCTACTGACATCTTGAGACATGATGGGATTTTGCTGCTACTGGCTCCATAGAATAGAAGGGACTGCTTCACTGTGTATTCATGACAGAGGCATGACACTCACCCTTGACTGAGCCTGGGGTGACTGACATGACATTAACATGTAATTTAACATGCATGACAGTCAAATGAGGCCAAAAATCATGATCCATCCATCAACATGGGCCAACTGGGCCAACTATGGACTTGGCCCAGTTACATACATTTAGAAAATAATTATAATACAACATAGCGTGTATAGTGGGTGAGGTTATGTACAAGGCACTTGGGGAGTACAGGGACAGGTGTGATAAATCACAGAAGCTTGGCCCCGTAGAGGAGTCTTTTTCGGGATCCCAGTGTTGCTTGCTGAAAGACAGAGATGACCATTCTCTCTTCTTCCCTATTTGTGTCCCTTTGGTGTTTCGATTTCTAGGTCTGAAGTCTGACCCCTCTGGTTCATAATCCTGATGCTCCTTCACCCTCAAACTCTAACATAATTATTTGCCATGGGTGTTCTAAGAGAGAGTAAAGGATTGGTTTGAGCAATACAATGGACTTAATTTTTTTTTTTTTAACCATACTTACAGTCAAAAATATACTTTATATCTCAATCTAGTACACGCAAATATACACACACAAGCTGGGAATACAACTTTCACAAAACTGCAGGCAATGCACTTCATAAGAGAACTGCTGGCTGCAACTCACAAAACCAACTTCCTCACTTCTAATGCAGTTTGAAAACTTCTGCACTAAAAGATCTGGTTTCTTTTGACTCTAAAACTCTGCTCTGCTTTAAAATGGAAGAAATTTCTGTTGCACAGGTAGGACAACTGTAAGCTAAAATCTGATAACTGACTGCTCTGATTCCCAAAGTCTAAAAAAACTAACTGGAAGACCAAGTAAATGCAGGACAAAGTAGGAGTATTAGCTCAGGCTGCCGTAACAAAATGCCATAGTGTGGGGAACTGAAACAACAGAAAATTCTTTTCTCACAGTTCTGGAGGCTGGAATTCCAAGGTTCTGGCTCAGTTTCTGGTGAGGGCTCTCTTCCTGTCTTGCAGGTGGCTGCCTTCTTGCTTTGTCCCACATGGCCTTTTCTTGGTACATGTACACGGAAAGTGAGTGAGCAAGTGACTTGGGCCCTCTCATGTCTCTTCTTCTTCCTTTTTTTTAAGAGATAGGTTCTCACTCTGTCACCCAGGCTGGAGTGCAGTGGTGCAACTATTGCACATTGCAGCCTCAATCTTGTGGGCTCAAGCCATCCTCCCACCTCAGCCTCCTGCGTAGCTGAGACTACAGGTACATGTCACCATGCCCAACTAATTTTTAAATTTTCTGTAGAGA
Organism: Homo sapiens; assembly: GCF_000001405.40. NCBI lineage: Eukaryota > Metazoa > Chordata > Mammalia > Primates > Hominidae > Homo > Homo sapiens. The sequence goes on from NC_000007.14 coordinate 72,579,839, forward strand.
AAGGGTCTAGCTATTTTGCCCAGGCTGCTCTTGAACTCCTGGCCTCAAGTGATCCTCCCACCTTGATCTCCCAAAATGCTAGGATCATAGGCATGAGCCACCGCACCCAGCCCTGATGTCTCTTCTTACAAAAACACTGATCCTATTAGATCAGGGCTTACCCCTATAACCTCATTTAATCCCAGTTGCTTCCTTTGAAACCCCATCTCCAAATATAGCCACACTGGGAATTAGGACCTCAACCTATGAACTTGGGAGGGGAGGGGGGCCACAAACATTCAGTCCTTAAGAGTAAGTTATTCTGAAATGAACAGAGCCACTAGACCCAAAAGACAAAACTGAACCACATGTGCCACCTCTCAGGGCAATCGGAGACGAATCATACTGAATAATCACAGCTCAGAAAAAATCAAAGTGTTCCATGTAAAAGGCAGAAGCTGAAAGAGCAAAACTTGGTATGACTGACACACAAACAGCGCTGAGAGACAGCTGCATAAACAGAGGCATGAAACCCCAAATCGTAAAATCTGAGGTTAAGTATCCTGAGACACGAGGTCACCCTGCTAAAAGAATCCCTCGAATCCAACAGTAAGGGAAGAACGGAATCTATGCAGAATTACAAATAAACTCAAAAGGTCATAAATGATCTTAAAAACACACAAGCGCAATAAGATACAGCCTGACTTAATAAAGCCAGGCTGCTAAGGGTCTGTGGCCTTGCTGGCTAGATGAGGCAATGCAGGCTCCCACTCTCTGCAAGAATCAAACTGCTGTACAAAGGGGCCTTGTTCTCCTTATGTTCTCCTCTTTCACACAGGGAGAATTTCACTAAACAATAATAATGGCATAGGTTCTCTGTTAGTGTAAATGTTTAAAAAGATTCCATTAAAGATGGTAGATTAAACGCATGCATTTACTATTACTTCCTCTTGAAACCCCACTAAAATGACAGTAAGAACATTTAAAAAAGATATATAACATAAAAATAAAGCTACCAGGAGAGGAGAAAACAGTATTGGACTTTCAGAAGCTGAACAGATGATGGGTGAGCAAACTGGTTTAGCAGACCCAAGAGAGCTGAATCCTAAGCCAGCAAATAGAGAAATCCAAGATTCAGCCCAAATTATGCTTTAGAATTCCTCAAAGGCTCAGAAACTGGCTGCACTAGTTCCCCCGACAGGAAGCATGGATTGAGGAGGTACCAAACCCACTCCCCACCAAAAACCCAAAGGCAGGTTTATATTCTGTTTAAGACACGATTAGAATCTCAAGTTCCTGAGCCCCCTGCATATATTCACAGCTGAGCACCTGCCCACTCCATGCCCCGACAGATGCTTAGAGGTTTCTTCTCAGAAGACAATTCAGAAAGGATCTGTGGTCTGTGGGACAGCAGGTATAGCTGAGAGCAGGGCTGCCATAATAAAACTATTTCCTTTCCTGTTTCTGGACCACCAGGGACCATTGCAAGCTGCAGAAAATGAGAAGACCCTACTGACCAGCCCAAGAAGACAGATGACAAGATACTGAGGTTGGGATTCCCTAAGGAAATGATCCAGCAGATCACTCCAAGATAGAGTCAGCCCCATACCATAAGGGTGCTCTTTATTTTTTATTATCATTTTTATTTATTTATTTTTGAGACGGAGTCATGCTCTGTTGCCCAGGCTGGAGTGCAGTGGCGCAATCTCGGCTTCACTGCAACCTCCACCTCTCGGGTTCACGTGATTCTCCTGCCTCAGCCTCCTGAGTAGCTGGGATTACAGGTGTGCACCACCATACCCAGCTAATTTTTGTATTTTTTGAAGAGATGGAGTTGCACCATGTTGGCCAGGCTGGTCTTTAGTCTCCCACTCTCAAATACAAGCATATAACCAATGACCATCAGCCACCTCAGAAAAACTTCTAACATGATAGAGGGATAAAAATAAAAAGAGGCTGGGGGCAGTGGCCAGGCGCAGACACTCTGTCACCCAGGCTGGAGTGCAATGGCATGATCTCAGCTCACTGCAACCTCTACATCCCAGGTACAAGAGATTCTCCTGCCTCAGCCTCCAGGGTAGCTGGGACTACAGGCACACGCCACCACGCCCGGCTAATTTTTTGTATTTTTAGTAGAGATGGGGTTTCACCATGTTAGCCAGGCTGGTCTTGAACTCCTGACCTCAGGTGATTCACCTGCCTAGGCCTCCCAAAGTGCTGGGATAACACGTGTGAGCCACTGCACCTGGCAAAAAAGATTTTTTTTTTTTTTTAATATTAAAGAACTAGTCCATAAGACCCAATTTAAAACTTTTCTTTTTAGTAGTTCTAGACAGAAAGGAGAAAAAAAAAATAGAAGAGAGGATATATTCGTTGAAATAATTCTGGAAATGTTAAGAAGTGAAGGACATGAGTTTCCACATTAAAGGTGTCTACAATGGATAAAACCAGACACACCGTCTGAGGCACATTATAGCGAAATTTCAAAACAATGGAGACAAAGAGAAAATCGAATGAGAAAAACATGGTCATACACAGAGGATTAGGAATCTGAATGCCTTTTGAGTTCTCAATTACTGCAAGGAAAGCTGAAAGACAGTAGGTCCAACCTCAAAGGGGGAATAGTTTCCAGCCAAGAATTCTATATCCAAATCAAATGCATAGGGAGAATGAAAACACGTTTGGACATTAAAGGTCTCAAAAAGTTGTACTTTTTACATGCCAGTTTCTTAGGAATCTCCTAGAAGTTGCGTTTCCTGTGAATGAAAGAGTAATTTTAGGAAACACGGGATCCCAGAGACATTTCACTCAAGACAGAGCTGGTGATCTCAGGATAACAGCTGTGAACTAGGTGGTAGAGAGTGAACTGTCCAAGGTAGGTGGGTAAGTAAGTGTCCTGCAGAGACTTCTTCAAAAAGATGAACCTGATAGCAAATCCAACGCATCTGAAAGTCTGAGAGGCAATATATTTGAGATGGCAGAGAGTTTGAGAGTTGTTAACAAAAGAACACAGAAATCTAGATGAAGAAAATAATAAAAGTTAACCAAAGGTGGCACTGGAAACAAATAGCAATTGCAGGAGATGGCATGGCTTGACTGTGAACAGTGTTCACGTGGTTATAATAATGCAAAAAAAATCATCTAAACAAAAATCTGGTATGTGTATGTTAGGAGGGTGGGGGAATGGGAAAGGATATTCCAGGAGAAGGTAGAAGCAAGCTCGAGCCTCATCTTCCATGGTACACAATAAAGAGATAATAAGCGGCCAGGCATGGTGGCTCACACCTGTAATCCCAGCACTTTGGGAGGCCAAGGTGGGTGGATCATTTGAGGTCAGGAGTTCAAGACCAGCCTGGCCAACAAGGTGAAACCCCATCTCTACTAAAAATACAAAAACTGGCAGCCTCCTGCAGTCCCAGCTACTCGGGAGGCTGAAGCATGAGAACTGGTTGAACCCGGGAGGTGGAGGTTGCAGTGAGCCGAGATCGTGCCACTGCACTCCAGCCTGGGGGACAGAGCAAGACTCCGCCTCAAAAAAAGAAAGATAATTAGCAAAATGGCGGGTTGGGGGTGCAGGGGCGAGCAGCAATATAAGTATGCTATTTAGAGATACGGAGATAAATACCAAATGAATCACCTAGAAAATCTGAAAGTGGTTGTTGTTTGAGAGGGGGAAATGGAGGTGTGTTTGTGTTTGAGGAGGGTACAAGGAAATGCTGTTTTTTGTTTTTGTTTTGTTTTTTAATAAACTTGGACTTTTTAACTGTCCATGTAGAATTTTGACAAAACTAAAAATAAGGTTTAAAATAGTGGTGACTGTATCCATCCAAGAAAGGAAAAAGCACATCAACAACCTCAGCCAAAAAATGTAGGGCAGAGGAAAGGAGAGGACTGGCAGGCAAACAGTAGTGACAAATCCTTGTGAAGTGTCCTACTGGGTACTAGGTGCTATGTTTGGTTCTCTATCTTGTGTAATCCACATAATAAACATGTTGTAGTCACATTCCTATCTTTAGAATGAGAGCAAAAGTCCAAAAAAAGCTAAGTGATAGATGTGCTTAGGCCATATCCTCAGGAAGTAGAAGGGCCAAGATTCAAATTGGAGGGTGTTAAAGAGACCGTGGCCATTACATGATCCCATGTTACTGGTAGCTTTCAAACTGGAAAATGACAGAACTAATAGTCATGTCTTTCAAATATTTCTCAAGGAAACGGCAAAGAGAGGCTTTTTGTTTTGTTTTGTTTTAGAGACAGGGTCTTCCTCTGTCGCCCAGACTGGAGTGCAGTTGTGCAATCATAGCTCACTGCAGCCTCAACTTCTTTGGCTCAAGGATCCTCCCTCCTCAGTCTCTGGAAGAGCTGGGACTACAGTGCATGCCACCATATCCAGCCAATGTTTTAATGTTTTGTAGAGAGACAGTCTTGCTATGCAGCCCAGGATGGTCTTGAATTCCAGGGCTCATGCAATTCTCCCATTTCAGCCTCTTAAAATGCTGGCAATATGGGTGTGAGCCACCTCACCTGGCCAGAGCATTGTTTTTTGTTTGTTTGTTTGTTTTACCCCTTATTTGTGTGCAATATCCCTAAGTTAACTCCCTTTGTTTAACTTATCTAAAACTTACAGAAAACAGTGTATATTCCAATTTTTTTTTTTTTTTGAGATGGAGTCTCACTCTTGCCCAGGCTAGAGTGCAGTGGCACAATCTTGGCTCACTGAAACCTCTGCCTCCCAGGTTCAAGAGATTCTCCTGTCTCAGCCTCCCGAGTAGCTGGGATTACAGGCATGCCCAACCATGCCCAGCTAATTCTTGCATTTTTAGTAGAGATGGGGTTTCGCCACGTTGGCCTGGCTGGTCTCGAACTCCTGACCTCAGGTGATCTGCCTGCCTCAGCCTCCTGAAGTGCTAGGATTACAGGCATGAGCCACCGCACCCGGCCTATATTCCAAATTCTTAAGGTACTTCAACTTCTGTTGGCATTCAGTCTAAACAATGAGTGCACTAAAAAGCCTACTGTCTGTTAATTATTTCTCTACTCAAGTACAGCACAAGAGGCCTTAGGCAAACGAGGGGAGCCGAAAGCTTTTTATGCAGACCTCTAAAGTCAGTGTGCTCTGCCTTTGATTTGTTTGATTTTATTTACAAGCTTCCATCCCTTCTCAGAAAATAATAACCAAAAAAATAAAACTGCCACAGTGAAGTATATTCTCCTCCCATTACATGAACTAGTTCCTAACAGTTACAGGCAAGAGGTTGCAGATGAAGAACTGACTTCCCATCGGTTTCCCTTGTAACTTCTCCGTAGAGTCATCTATATGGGAGATCCAGTCACCTCAAACTCAAAATGTCACAAAGAAAAAACTTGTATCATTCAGCTGGCCCCCAGCCACTGTCTCAAACCAGGTTCTGCTAAAAGTTGTTCCAGCTTTTGTTACAAATACTGCAGAGTCACTGAAAAAAGTTCTAATCATACAAAGGTCTCATAGTTCTACACATTCAAGAGTTGAAATAAGAAGGAAATCTTATATATGAGCTGAAAAAAGAGTATCCCACAAGCTATTTATTAGCATCAACATTGGAGGTGGTTTGTATGACTATTCCTCCACGTAACACTATACCATTCTTTATTTAAAAAGCAAATGGTCAGAACCTTTAGGAAAAAGCCTTTATTAAGAAACTGCTTGATACAGTTTGGCTGTGTCTCCACCCAAATCTCATCTTGAATTATAGTTCCCACAATTCCCATGTGTTGTGGGAGGGACCAGGTGGGAGGTAATTGAATCATGGAGGAGGGCCTTTCCTGTGCTATTCTGGAGACAGTGAATAAATCTCACAAGATCTGATGGTTTTACGAAGGGGGGTTTCCCTGCACAAGTTCTCTTCTCTTGTCTGCCTCCATGTGAGACATGCCTTTCACCTTCTGCCATGATTGTGATGCCACCCCAGCCACGTGAACTGTGAGTCCATTAAACCTCTTTTTTCTTATAAATTACCCAATCTCAGGTATGTCTTTATCAGCAGCATGAGAAAAGACTAACACACTACTATAGGCAAGGCACAATTCTAGATGCTTTTTATACTTCACTTCATTTAGCCATCACAATCACCCCAGAAAACAGAGCTACTCCCATATTGCAGTTAAGAATGAGAAATTGTGAAACGAGGATTGGAAAACACATTCACCAGCGCAAAGTTCAGGGGCCCCCAAGACCACCTCCAGATTTAACAGTTCACTAGAAGGACCCACAGAACTCTCTGAAAGCTGTTATATTCATGTATGTTTTATTATAGCAGGAGGACACACATTAACGCTAACCGAGGGAACAGGCATGTGGGACCGAGTCTAGGAGAATTCCATGCTTGGAGCTTCCAGTTGTCCTATCGCAGAGGGGTTATAGACAGAGCTAACTTCTCCCAGCAGGGATGTGTGATGATATGCACAGAGTGCTGCCAACCTTGGAAATGCACCTGAGTCTTGGTGTCCAAAGATTTTACTGCAGCTCAGTCACCTAGACACAGTTGACTGCTACATGTCTGACCTTAATTTCCAGCCCCTCCAGAGGTTGAGCCAATAACTGCATGGCCCAAAGCCCCAACCATATGAAATCATTTGGTTGGCAGAGAATATCTGGTGTGGGGGCTGGGTTTGGTGGCTCACGCCTGTAATCCCAGCACTTTGGGCAGCTGAGGTGGGAGGATCACCTGAGGTCAGGAGTTTGAGACCAGCCTGGCCAACATGGTGAAACCCCGTCTCTACTAAAAATACAAAAATTAGCCAGGTGTGGTGGTGCATGCCCGTAATCCCAGCTACGTAGGAGGCTGAGGCAGGAGAATCACTTGAACCTGGGAGGCGGAGGTTGCTGTGAGCAGAGATCGTGCCACTGCATTCCAGCATGGGTGACAGAGTGAGACGCCCATCTCAAAATAATAATAATAATAATAATAATAATAGAATAGCTGGTGTGGCCTAAGGCCTACAAATAAAGAAAGGTACTCTATCAGGCAGGACATTCCAAGGGCTTAGAGGTCACCTCCTAGAAGCTGAGGGCAAAGGTCAGCCCTTTGTTTGGGTAAAATTCATCTATCTGCACAATCAGCATTTCAAAGGCCATATATAATAGACAAAACGGAATAAAACAAAAATAAAAAAGAACACTAATGCAAAACGAATCATTCATATTATTTTCATTTCTACACTCAAGGGCTTTTATGTAATCTTAGTGTCAATTATTATTTTCTAAATGGGTCTTCCAAACATACAATCATACTTACAAGCCACAGAGCAGGGGGAGTACTGATGAAAGAAGAGAGGCTACCGGACCTTCTCACAACTCAAAATTAATGTTAACTGCGTGGGAGTAGAGGAAGTCCAGGGGTCGTCTGAGGGAGAAGTGATTTTGGAATACTGAGGGGTGATTTTTAGACTACAAAAAAGAGTGTTACTGAAACCACCCAGTGGGTTCACCTTGCCCACTGCCTAGACAGAGCCAATTAATCAAGACAGGGGAACTGCAATGGAGAAAGAGTAATTCACACAGAGCCAGCTGTGCGGGAGACCGGAGTTTTATGATTACTCAAATCGGTGTCCCTGAGCATTCAGGGAGCAGAGTTTTTAAGGACAACTTGGTGGGTGGGGGGAAGCCAGTGAGCCAGGAGTGCTGATTGGTCAGAGATGACATCATTGGGAACTGAAGATGTCCTCTTGAGCTGAGTCAGTTCCTGGGTGGTGGCCACAAGATCAGATGAGCCAGTTTATCAAGCTGGGTGGTGCCAGCTGATCCATCAAGTGCAAGGTCTGCAAAATTTCTCAAGCACTCATCCTAGGGGCAGTTTAGGGAGGGTCAGAATCTTGTAGCCTCCAGCTGCATGACTCCTAAACACTAATTTCTAATCGTTTGGCTAATTTCTTAGTCCTACAAACGCCATCGGGTCCCTAGCAAGAAGGAGGTTTGTTTTAGGGAAGGGCTATTATCATCTTTGTTTTAAATTATAAACTATAAACTAAATTCCTCCCAAAGTTAGTTCAGTCTACACCCAAGAATGAAGAAGGACAGCTTGGGGGTTAGAAGCAAGATGCAGTCAGTTAGGTGAGATCTCTTTCTTTGTCTCAGTCATAATTTTGCAATGGTGGTTTCATTACAGTGGTATCTTTTGAACTTCCCAGATTTACCAAAATTTGTTCTTGCCGGTTGTAGCTACAACTGTATAGTTTCTTCTTTGGGTAAGAAGAGGCAGAGATCACAAGGGCAGACTTGTGATTGCCTGCAATAGTGGAATGCTGAGAGCTGTTGCCACCTTCTTCTGAGTTTACTGGTAATAAGTAGGATTCACATGGTAACAGTTGCCCGTGGAACCATTTTCACAGACAAAACTATAACCATAAGATTACATTCTTGACATAGCCAAGTGCAATTCTAAAAGTTTATCTGGAAACTCATTTTCTGAAGTTTCAACTTTAATCTCCAATTTTGTTGGAGTGGAGCTAAATCCTCTGATCAGCGTTACCAAAATGCCAATTTCCTCTGATACTTCTCTAAAAGCAACTGCTGCTGGGAGCAATCAGGCCTCTGATGAGGGTGAGTTCCACATGTACCACAGTCACTAGGTTTTGCTAAGAGAATACTGTGCAAAACCTAAATGGAGATACACAAGTCCCTTCTTATTCCAAGATGGGAGGGTGTGGGGGTGGTGATAGCTCTTCTTCCCCTCCCTTCACAGACTACAAGTTTTATTATCTCCAAGGAGGAGGTCCCTGTGATCAGTGCCTAATTATCTACAGGGTCTTAATTATGGCCAGACTCTCAGAGCTAATGATCATGGAGATCAAGGAGACTGCTGTTGGCTGTGCTGGGACAGGGACTCTGTCTCCTGTTTCCAAAGGACATTTCACCTTCCCTACCTTGTCTGTACAATGTACTTGTTCAAAGTAGACTTTGTATTTGGAAACACTTGGGATTGAATTCTAGTTGTGTCCTATTTGCCCTTGGACAAGACTTGCACTTTTTTTTTTTTTTGAGACAGAGTCTTGCTCTGTCATCCAGGCTGGAGTACAGTGGTGCAATCTTGGCTCACTGCAACCTCTGCCTCCTGGGTTCAAGTGATTTTCCTGCCTCAGCCTCCCAAGTAGCTAGGATTACAGGCAAGTGCCACCATGCCCACCTAATTTTTATATTTTCAGTAAAGATGGGGTTTTGCCATGTTGGCCAGGCTGGTCTTGAACCCCTGACCTCAGGTGATCCACCCGCCTCAGCCTCCCAAAGTGCTGGGATTACAGGCATGAGCCACTGCACCCAGCTAGACTTGTACTCGTTTAAGCCTCAGTTTCCTCCTTTGGAATATGAGAAAAAATAGTATCTATGATCCAATAGACTTCTGTAAGGATTAAATGAGTTATGGCATGTGTAGTGCTTACCACGGTAACCTTAATAAATGTTACTGGTTGCTGAATTTATCAGCAGACTCCAAAACTAAGGAATGACACCAGACATTTTCTTCGTGGTGATGAAAGACACTAGAAGATAATGAAATAATTTTGTGGGAAGGCAATAGAGGAATATCCTCAAAGTGCTAATAGGAAATACCTCGATTTAGAGTTTCTACTCTGATGATCTATTATTCAAGAAAGTGAAATAAAGATGTTTTGGGGAGAAAAAAGAAGGCTAAGTTTACCACTGAGTTCAGTAAGAAGTAAACTGTGCCAGCAGGAACAGCTGGGAGTGCCAGAAACAAAGGTGAACTGAGAAAGTGGTATGTATGAGGACACATCTAAACAAGTATCGGCCGGGCATGGTGGCTCACGCCTGTAATCCCAGCATGTTGGGAGGCCAAGGCAGGTGGATCACTTGAGGTCAGGAGTTCAAGACCGGCCTGACCAACATGGTGAAACCCCATCTCTACTAAAAATGCAAAATCAGTCAGTTGTGGTGGTGTACACCTGTAATCTCGGCTACTTGGGAGGCTGAGGCAGGAGAATCACTTGAACCCGGGAGGCGGAGGTTGCAGTGAGCTGAGATCGTGCCATTGCACTCCAGCCTGGGCAACCAGAGCGAAACTCTGTCTCAAAAATAAACAAACAAACAAACAAACAAGTATCAACTTGTTTAAAAGGAAACTTGTAGGAAAAAGCACAGGAAAGTCCTTGTGTTGTGCTGAAGGAGAATAGCAAAGTTAATTTACTTCAGAATTCAACTAAGTATAAATTTTAAAAATATCCAGGTAGAGGATTCTGGGAAGATGCTGGAGTAGAAAGCACGAGGAATACTTTACCCCACCCAGACAAAAATTACACTGGCAGAATTTGTCTGATGTAACTATTTTGGAACTCTGGAGTCTATTGAAGGCTTGTAACATTCAGGGGAAGGCTTGACAGTAAATTGCAGTTATTTTCAGTCAATCTCCGCTCTTAGCTCCAAAGCCACTACCAGTCCCTGACGACTCAGCCCCATGGCAGGCAGCTGTGTACATGTTATGGGAGCAGCTTGCATGTAGCTTCTAAGAGCCAGGATAGGCAATAAGAACACTGTCTTCAAAATATTAAGGATCTGTGTTCTTGTCATGGAAGGGCGGAATAGAGGCAGCCAGTCAGGGTGCCAAGCCCCTCCCCATCTAGCTTAAGTGACTCCCTGGGGACTTCAAGGGCCAGTGCTTCCCCCATCCCTACTCTTTCACTTTTCTCTTTCCCACCTTTGGGAGGTGTACATTAAAGACTAAGACATTAAAAAATAAACATATTTATAGGGAAATTATAGTTACCATGGATGCCCAGGGAAAGGTACAGTCTTCAAAGAGAACTGAAAAGACTAAGTTCATACCTCGGGCTGATCCTTGGCACAGAGACAGCCTTCAATAATCAAACAAAACAAAACAAAGCAAAACAAAACTCCAGAAAACACTGAGAGGCAAAGAATCTGATTCCCACGGTGGCCACATGATAGGATACAAATGTCCAGTTTTCAACAAGAAAATCACAAGGCACACAAAGAAACAGTGAAGTATGGTCCATCCAAAAGAAAACTACAAATCCAACAGAAACTGACCCTGAGAAAGGGTAGATGGCAGATCCACTAGAAACAGACTTTAAAACAGCCATCTTAAAGATGCTCTAAAAACTACAGGAATATGTGGGAAAAGTCAAGAAAAGGATATATGAACAAAACAGAAATATCAATAGGCATAGAAAACCTAAAAAGAAACCAAAAAGAAATTCTGGAACTAAAAAGTATAATAACTGAAATGAAAAATTCATTAGAAGAATTCAAAGGCATATTTCTACAGGCAGAAGGATTAGTGAACCTGAAAACAGGACAATGGAAATGATCACATCCGAATAGCAAAAAAAAAAGAAAGAAAAGAAAAAAAGTGAACAGAGATTAAGGGACCATGAACACCATCAAGTGAACTGACATTTGCACGTGGCAATCTCAGAAGGAGAGAGACAGAAGACGACAGAGAGAATGCTTGAAGAAATAATGGTCAAAATTTTCCCTAAATTTAATGAAAGACATAAATATAAACATTGAAGAAGTTCAAGGAACTCCAAGGATAATGAACTAAAAAAGACACACACCAAGACACATTATAATCAAACTGTCAAAAGTCAAAGACAGAGAATCTTGAAAGCAGCAAGAGAGCAGTGACTTGTCACACATACAGGGGATACTTAATATGGTCATAGAAGATTTCTAATCAGACATTTTGGAGCTCAGAAGGCTAATAATGTTTAAAGTGCTGAAAGAAAAAAAATGTCAACCAGGAATCCTATACTGGCAAAACACGAGGAAGGAAATAAGACATTTCCAAATAAACAAAAGCTGAGGTAGTTCATCACTCTACTAGATCTTCCCTGTAAGAAATGCTAAATGGAGTCCTACAGGTTGAAATGAAAGGGCACTAGACAGTAATTTGAAGCTGCATGAAGAAGTAAAGATCATAGTAAAGGTAAATATATGGGCAAATATAAAATTGATTGTTATAGCTTTGTTTTGTAACTCTATATATTTTTTCTTTTATTTTTATTTTTTTGAGATGGAGTCTCGCTCTGTTGCCCAGACTAGAGTGTGTGTAGTGGTGTGATCTCAGCTCACTGCAACTTCCATCTCCCAGGTTCAAGGAATTCTCGTGCCTCAGCCTCCCGAGTAGCTGGGAATACAGGCGCCCGCCACAATGCCTGGACAATTTTTGTATTTTTAGTAGAGATGGGGTTTTGCCATTTAGCCAGGCTGGTCTCGAACTCCTGACCTCAGATGATCTGCCCACCTCGGCCTCCCAAAGTGCTGGGATTACAGGCGTCAGCCACCACACCCAGCCTCTATGTTTTGTTTTCTATGTTAACACACTAATGTGTTAAAAAAAAAAAAAAAAAAAAAAAAAGACAAGTATTAGTTTATGTTTTGGGGCACACAATGTATCAAAAAGGTGTTATTCTGTGACATCAACAACTGAAATGAGTGGGGACAGAGCTGTAAAGGAATATAGTTTTGTATGCTGTTGAAGTTAAGCTGGTATAAATTAAAATTAGAGTATTAAAACTTTAGAATGTTAAATGCAATGTCCATTGTAAGCACAAGGAGAATAGCTACAGCATCTACACAAAAGGAAATGAAAAGGTAATTTAAATGTTTCACTGCAAAGAATCAACTCAACACAAAGAAGACAATATTCAGAAAATGAGACAAAAAAGCTGTAAGGCATATGAGAAATAACAAAATGACAGAAGTAAATCCCTCCATATCAGTCATTACTTTCGATGCCTATTAATTAAACCCTCCCATCCAAAGACAGAGATTGGTAGAATAAACAAAAAGATATGATCCCATTCTATGCTATCTACAATAGATTCGCTTTGAACCCAAAGATACAAGTGGATTGAAAGGGAAAGGATGGAAAAAGGTATTCCATGCAAACAGTAACCCAAAGACAGCAGGAGCGGCTCTACTAATATCAAAGAAAATACGACTTTGAATTAAAAAGGTTATGAAACAAAGAAAAATATTACATATTGATAAAAGGTTCAACAGAGCAAGAACATATAACTATTATAAACATTTAGGCACCTCATAACAGATAATCAACATATACAAAGCAGATACTGATATAATTGAAAGGAGAAATGACAATTCTACAACAATACTCAGAGACTTCAATACCTCATTCTTTTTCATAGATACAACAACCAGAGAAAGATAAGCAAGAAAATAAAGCACTTGGATGGGCACGGTGGCTCACACCTGTAATCCCAGCACTTTGGGAGGCCAAGGCAGGTGGATCACCTGAGGTCCCGAGTTCAAGACCAGCCTGACCAACCCCATCTCTACTAAAAATACAAAATTAGCTGGGCATGGTGGCACATGCCTGTAATCCCAGCTACTCGGGGGGCTGAGGCAGGAGAAATTGCTTGAACCTGGGAGGTGGAGGTTGTGGCGAGCCGAGATCACGCCACTGCACTCCAGCCTGGGCAACAAGAGCAAAACTCCATCTCAAAAAAAGAAAAAGAAAGAAAGAAAATAAAGCACTTGAAGGGCACAATAAGCCAACTTGATTTAACAGGCACACAGAACACTGTACCTAACAACAACAGAATACACATCCTTCCCAAGTACACATGGGACATTTTCCAGGAAAGGCGGTAAGTTAGGCTACCAATTAGGCCTAGATTCAAAAACATAGATATCATACAAAGCATATTCTCCAAGAACAATGGGATGAAGTTAAAAATCAATAAACGAGGCCAGGCGTGGTTGCTCAGGCCTGTAATCCCAGCACTTTGGGAAGCCAAGGCGGGCGGATCACAAGGTCAGGAGATCGAGACCATCCTGGCTAACACAGTGAAACCCCGTCTTTACTAAAAATACAAAAAATTAGCAGGGCATGGTGGCGGGCGCCTGTAGTCCCAGCTACTCGGGAGGCTGAGGCAGGAGAATGGCGTGAACCCGGGAGGCGGAGCTTGCAGTGAGCTGAGATCACGCCACTGCACTCCAGCCTGGGTGACAGAGCCAGACTCCATCTAAAAAAAAAAAAAAAAAAAAAAAAAAAAATCAATAGATGAATGAAACTAAAAAATTCACAAATTTGTAGAGATTAAGCAACACACCCCTAAATATTACCAATGGATCACAGAAGAAATCACAAGGGAAATTAGAAAATGCTTACAGACTAATGAAAATGAAACCACCACATATCAAAACGTATGGGACACAGTGAAAGCAATGCTAAGGTAAAAACTTATAGCTATAAACACTGATTTTTAAAAAAGAAGACCTCAAATCAACAACCTAACTTCAAAACTTCAGGAACTAAAAACAGGACAAACTGAACCAAAAGCTAGCAGAAGGAAATAATAAAGATTAGAGCAGAGATTAACAAAATAGAGAATAGAAAAAAACAAAACAAAACCCACAAAACCCAAAGCTGGTTCTTTTAAAAGATCAACAAAATTGACAAACCTTTAGCTGGATGAATTTTTAAAAAGAGAGAAATAAGACTTGAATTACCAAAATCAGAAATGATTTTGCTACCAATTCTGCATTAAAAAAAAAAAAAACTGTAAGAGTGTACTATAAACAATGGTACGCCAACAAATGGATAACCTAGATGAAATAGACAAATTCCTAGAAACATGAAATCTACCAAGACTAAGTCACAAAGAAACAGAAAATCTGATTAGACTCATAACTATTACGGAGATTAAATCAGTAATTTAAGATCTCCCTACGAAGAAAAGCCCTGGACCTGATGGCTTCACTTGTGAATTCTACAAAACATTTAAAAGAGAACTAACACCAATCTTTCTCAAACTTTTCCAAAACACTGAAGAGGAGGGAATACTTTCAACTCATTCAGTGAGGTCAGCATTATCCTGATACCAAAGCCAGACAAAGATCGTACTGGAAGAAAACTGTATATGAATATCACTTTTGAATACTGACACAAAAATCCTCAAAACACCAGCAAGCCAAATTCAGCAGCATATTAAAAGAATTATATGCCCTGGACAAGTGGGATTTATCCCTGGAATGCAAGGATGGATCCATGTAATATACCACATTAATAGAATGAAGGACAAAAACCACATGATCATCTCAATTAATGCAGGAAAGGCATCTGACAAAACAACACCCTTTCGTGTTTTTCATGATAAAAACACTCAACAAAGAAGGAACAGCTGGAAACTATCTTAACGTAATAAAAGCCACATATGAAAAAACCTACGGTGAGTATCATACTCAATAGTAAAACATTGAAAGCTTTTCCTCTAAAATAGAGCAAGGCAAGGATGACCATCTTCACTACTTTCCTTCAAAATAATAATGGAAGTTCTCACCACAGCAATTAGGTAAGAAGAAGAAATACAAGGTATCCAAATTGGAGAGGAAAAAGTAAAATAATTTTTGTTTTTAAATGATATGATGTTATATGTAGAAAATTATAAAGATTCAACCAAAAAACTGTTTAAACTAATAAAGGAATTCAGCAAAGTGGCAGGATACAAAGTTAACATGCAAAAATGAGCTGCATTTCCACATACTAATAATGAACAATCTGAAAAGAAAAAACAAAAACAAAAACAGGTTCATCAACAATAGCCACCATAGTGAGTGGTGGCTCATGCCTGTAATCCCAACACTTTGGAAGGCTGAGGTGGGCAGATTGCTTGAGCTCAGGAGTTTGAGGCAAGTCTGGTCAACATGGTAAAACCCTGTCTCTAAAAAAATACAAAAATTAGCCAGGTGTGATGGCATGCACTTGTAGTCCCAGCTACTCAGGAGGCTGAGGTGGGAGGATCTCTTGAGTCTCAGAGGTGGAAGTAGCACCAAGTTGAGACCGTGCCACTGCACTAGAGCCTGAGCAACAGGGCGAGACTCCATCTCAAAAAATAAATAAATAAATATAAATAAAACAAAATTAAAAATAAGATAGCATCAAAAATAATAAAATACTTCAAATTAAATTTAACCAAAGAGATGGAAGACTTGTACAATGAAAAGTATAAAACATTACTGAAAGTAAAGAACACATAAATAAATAGAAATACATCCCATGTTCATGGATTGAAAGACTTAATATTAAGATGTCAACACTGGCCGGGCACGGTGGCTCACACCTGTAATCCCAGCATTTTGGGAGGCCAAGGCAGGGAGATCACCTAAGGTCAGGAGTTCGAGACCAGCCTGGCCAACATGGTGAAATCCCATCTCTACTAAAAACACAAAAATTAGATGGGCATGGTGGCAGGTGCCTGTAATCCCAGCTACTTGGGAGGCTGAGGAAGGAGAATCACTTGAACCCGGGAGGCAGAGGTTGCAGTGAGCCAAGATCACATCATTGCACTCCATCCTGGGCAACAAGAGTGGAAAAACTCTGTCTCAAAAAAAAAAAAAAAAAAAAAAAAAGACATCAACACTACCCAAAGTTACCTACATATTCAATACAGTATCTATCAAAATAACAAAAACATTTTTTGTAGAAATAGAAATCTATCCTAAAATTCATATGGATTCTCATGGGACCCTTAATAGCCAAAACAATCTTGAGAAAGAACACAAAACTGGAGGACTCACACTCCCTGATTTCAAAACTTACAACAAAGCTATAATAATCAAAACAGTGTGATACTGGCATAAAGACAGATATGTAGAACAATGGAATAGAGAGCCCAGAAATAAACCCTAACAAATATAGTCAAATTATCTTTGACAAGGGTGCCAAGACTACTCAATGGGGAAAGGGCAGCGTCCTTAACAAATGGTGTTGGAAAAACACTACATGCAAAGCAATGAAGCTGGACCCTTATCTAACACCATATGCAAAAATTAACTCAAAATGGATCAAAGACCTAAACATAAGACTTAAAATTATAAGACTCTTAGAAGGAAACATATGGCAAAGCTTCATGACATTGAACATAGCAGTGATTTCGTGGGTATGGAGAATAGGCAAGAAAAGAAAGAGTAGACAAACTGGACCTTATGAAAAATTTTAAAAGGCATGCATCAAAAGGCAGTATCAACAGAGTAAAAAGGCAACTCAGAAAATGGGGAAAAAAATTGCAAATGATGTATCTGGTAAGGGATACTACCCAAAATATATAGAGAATGCCTAAAACTCAACAACAACAACAACAACAAAATCCCAATTCTTTTCCAAAGAAGATATAGAAATGGACAATAAGCACAGAAAAAAAGTGCTCAGCATCACTTATTAGGCAAATATAAGTCAAAACTACAATAAGAACTCAGAGTATTGATAAAATTATCTGCACACCAAGCCACATAACCAGTCTCAAAAAATACTCCAGATAAATATAAGGCAGACCACTACATATGAATAAAATGCAATAAAATTCAAATCAAAATAATGAAAAATATTCATATGACAGATTAAAAGATACTACTAAATAATTCATAGATTGAATAAGAAATCATGATGGAAATTGTAACAAACTTAGATCTCAATGACAAGAAAAGTTCTATAGGGGCAAAATTTGTGGGATGCAGCTAAAGTAGTACCTAAAGGGAAAGTTATGGCCCCAAATGTCCATGTTAGCTTAGAAAAAAAGAGGTAGAGTAAAATATTATGAGCAACGTAATCAACTCAAGATAGAAAAATAACAGAGTCATTTCAAAGAAAGTAGGAAGGAAAGAAACAATAAAAATAAAAAGCATTCTAGTGAAATAGCAAACAAGAGAAATAAGCAAAAATTCCAAATGCTGGTTCTTTGTAAACACACTGAAATAGACACACCTCGTCTATGGCGGTACCACCCTGAACGCACCCGATCTCGGCTGAACTAGACACACCTCTGGGCAAGACAATTAAGAAAAGATGAGATGAGACCAATAGTGACAATGATAGGATTACAGATTTGAAATTTTTTATCATAGAGAAAATCATAAGTAACTTTTGCCAAAATTTTGAGAACTTAGATGAAATGCACAATATTCTAGAAAAATACACATTACAAAAAATGATTCAAGGAGAAAAACTTGCATCATATTATATCCATTAAAGAAAAAAATTATCTATAGAAGGCAGCAGCCCTAGATGACTTCAAAGAACAAGCAACTTCAGGGAAAAGAAAGAAAACACTCCCTATCTCCTATTATGAGCTGAATATTACCTTAAGTCCAAGGTAGATAAGGACAGTACAGAAAGGAAAAAGAACAGATTAATCTCATGAGGACAGATTCGCACATGATGGTTAATATTGAGTGTCAACTTTGATTGTATTGAAGGACACAAAGTATTAATCCTGGGTGTTTCTGTATGGGTGTTGCCAAAAGAGATTAACATTTGAGTCAGTGGGCTGGGGAAGGCAGACCCACCCTTAATATGGTGGGCACAATTTAATCAGTTTCCAGTGAATATAAAGCAGGCAGAAAAACATGAAAAGGTGAGACGGGCCTAGCCTCCCACCCTACATCTCTCTCCCATGCTGGATGCTTCCTGCCCTCGAACATCGGACTCCAAGTTCTTCAGGTTTGGGACTCATACTGGCTCTCCTTGCTCCTCAGCTTGCAGACAGCTTATTGTGGGACCTTGTGATCGTGTAAGTTAGTACTTAATAAACTCCCCTATTAGTTCTATCCCTCTAACAGAACCCTGACTAATACACATACCAAGTAAAATATTACACAACAAAATCCAAAATATGCAGGAAAAGTTGTACAGAAAAGGGAGAGATGACAGGAAGAGTGGAGGTGTCTTGAGGCCAGAGCTCTCAATGAGGCTGAAAAGCAGGTTTATGTAGAAGAAGTTTTAAAAAGTAAATGAACTGGAAGAAACATGAAGAAAAATTCATTTTGTCCAGTAATGGCTTTAGTAAGTTTAATAGCCTGAGGAGTTATTACAAGTAAGAGTGGGCTACTCAACTGGATCAAAGGGAATGGGCTGTTAAGAGTTAAACTAGGTTAATTTTGTGTTGAGAATTTGGGACTTGTGACTGCGTCAAGTGGGGGTGGGTGCTTGAGCTAATCTGGGGCTACAGCAGGTGATTTGAAAAATTAAAATGCAAAAAGAGCCCAGAGAGGAAGGAGGAAGGGATAAACAGGTGGAGGAAGACAGACAGACAGGTGGAGGTGAGGAGTGGCCTGATAGTTTCCTAGTTCCTTGTCCTAGGTGGGTTCACTGGTGAATCCTACCAAACATTTAAGAAAGGAATAACATCCATTCTCTGCAGTATCTTCATGAAAACAGAAGCAGAGGAAACACTTCCTAACCCATTCTATGAGACTGGCATTACCCTGATACCAAAATGAGATAAAGATACTACAAGAAAGGAAAACCACAGAACAATAATTGCCATAAACACAGATGTAAAATCAATAAAATGTTAGCAAATCAAATCCAACAATGTATCAAAAGAATTATATGCCATGACCAAGTGGGACTTATTCCAGGTATGGAAGACTGGTTCAACATTCAAAAATCAATTAATGTAATCCATCATATCAATAGGCTAAAGAAAAAAAAAATCACATGATCTTATCAATAGTTGAAGAAAATCAATTTGACAAAATTGTAACTGATTTATGATTAAAAACCCTCAGCAAACTAGAAACAGAAGGGAACTTTCTCAACCTAATAAACAATATATACCAAAAAGCCTTCCGCTAAGATCATACTTAATGGTGAGAAGCTAGATATTCCCCCATTAAGATCTTAATAAGGCAAGGATGTCCCCTCTCACCATTCCTATTCAAGATTATACTGGAAGTCCTAGCTAATACAATAAGAAAAGGAAATAAAAGATATACAGATTAGGAAGGAGGAAATAAAACTCTCTGTGTACAGGTGACGTGATTATACATGTAGAAGATCCCAAAGAATCAATGAAAAACAAAACCCCCTAGGAACTAACAGGTGATTATAGCAAGGTTGTAAGACACAAAGTTAATATATATATAAAATTAATTGCTTTCCTATATACTAGCAAGGAACAACTGGAATTTGAAATTCAAAACAATCATGTTTACATTAGCATCAAAAAATTGAAATATAAATCTAACAAAACAGATACACGATATATATATGTAGAAAACAAAGTCTGATTAAAAAAAAATCAGGCATATTTCAGTAAATGGCAGGATATTCCATGTTCATGGATTAGAAGACTCAATACAGTTGTCAGTTTTTCCCAACTGTGTTTGTAGATTCAGGGCAATCCCAATCAAAATCCTAGAGAGTGATTTTGTAGACATTGACAAACTGATTCTGAGGTTTATATGGAAAGGGAAAGGATGTAGAATAGCCAACATAATAGTGAAGAAGAACAAGTTAGAAGAGTGACACTACTCAGCTTCAAAACTTACTATAAAGTTACAGAAATCAAGACTGCATGGTATTGGGGAAAGAACAGACACATAGATCAATGCAGTGGAATAGAAAGGCCAGAAATAGATTCACACAAATACAGTCAACTCATCTTTGACAAAGGAGCAAAGGTAATTTAATGAAGAAATGATAACCTTTTCAACAAATGGTACTTTAACAATTGGATGTCCTCATGCAAGAAAGATAAATCTAGATACAGATCTAACTTATCTCTTTCAAAATGGATCACAGACTTAACCATAAAACATAAAACTTCTAGAAAATAGCACGGGAGGAAATCTAGGTGACCTTGAATGTGGCAATGAATTTTTAGATACACCATCAAAAGTGGGATCCATGAAAAAAAATTAGTCAGTTGGACTTTATTAAAATTGAAAACATTTGCTCTGAGAAGGGCATAATTAAGAGAATGAAGAGTCAAACCACAGACTAAGAGAAAATATTTTCAAAATACATATCTGCTAAACAATTTGCATCCAAAATATATAAAGAACTCTTAAACTCGGCCATAAGAAAATAACCAACTACCAGCCTAGGCAACAAAATGAAACCCTGTCTCAACTAAAAATAAGCCAGGCACAGTGGCATGAACCTGTAGTCCCAGCTACTTAGGAGACTGAGGTGGGAGGATCCCCTGAGCCCAGGAATTAGAGGCTGCAGTGAGCCATGACTGTGTCATGGCACTCCAGCCTGGGCGACAGAGAGAGACCTTGTCTCTTAAAAAAAAAAGGGCCGGGCGTGGTGGCTCACAACTGTAATCCCAGCACTTTGGAGGCTGAGGAGGGCGAATCACCTGAGGTCAGGAGTTCGAGACCAGCCTGGCTAACATGGCGAAGCCCTGTTTCTACTAAAAATACAAAAAATTAGCTGGGTGTGGTGGCAGGCACCTGTAATCCCAGCTACTTGGGAGGCTGAGGCAGAAGAATCGTTTGAACCCAGTGAGCTGAGATCTCGCCATTGCACTCCAGCTTGGGCAACAAGAGCGAAACTCTGTCTCAAAATATAAAAAAAAAAAATAAAAATAAACCAACCTAATTAAAAAATGGGCACAAGATCTGAGCAGACACATCATAACACAAAATACACAGATGGCAAATAAGCATATGAAAAGATGCTCATCATTATTTGTCATCAGGAAATTTCAAATTAAAGCAACAGCGATATGCCACTACAAATCTATTAGAATAGCTAAACCTCAAAAAAAAAAACAAAAAAAACCTGATATACACCAAATTCTGGCAAGGATGTATAGCAACAGGAACAGCCATTCATCAATGGTGGGAATGCAAAATGGCACAGCTACTTTGGAAGACAGTTTTTTACAACACTTAACATAATCCTACCATATGATCCAGCAATTGCACTTAGATATTTACCCAACTAATTTGAAAACATATTCACACAAAAACCTGTGCATTAATGTTTAGAGCAGCTTTGTTCATAATTGTCCCAAACTGGAAGCAACCAAGATGTCCTTCAATAGGTGAATGAATAAACCAACTGTGGTACATCCACACAATGGGAGTTTTATTTGCCAATAAAAAAAAAAAATGAGCTATCAAGCCAGGAAAATGCACGAAAGAATCTTAAATGCATATTGCTAAGTGAAAAAAAAAAAAGGTTAAAAAAAAAAAAAGAAAGAAGCCAGTTTGATAAAACTACATAGTATATACTTCCCATTATATGACCTTTGGAAAAGGCACAACTATAAATATAGAACCATAATCAGTGGCTGCCAGTAGTTCCAAGTTTGGCAGGAGGGACGAAAAGAGGAAGTGCAGGGGCATTTTTAGGGCAGAAAATTATTCTAAGTGATACTGTCATGATAAATGTATGACATTATGCACTTGTCAAAATCTATAGCATTTTATAGCTGAAATGCTGAATCTTAATGTATGCAAATTTTTTTAAATGCAGAAGTTAGGAGATCCCAGGAAGGAGTGAAGACTGATAAGATAATGGAATTCTATTACAAATGTATGAAATAATCTTGCTGAAGGGCATAGAGGGGGAAAGACACTGACCTAAGTCATTTTGGAAACGGGTGGAGTCTGCAAGACTAGAGGCAAAAGGAACTGCACATAGCGCTGTGCTCCAGGGTTAACAACTCCAGCGCCGCTATATACACTGCAGTCGAATAGTGAAGTAAATGGATGGCTGAGGGTGGGAGCCAGGTCTCTCACTGTTGGGTTGGGAATTTACAGATGAGCAAGGGGAGGAGGCTAGAATGATCCATCGGGGGATGGATTAGAGACATCGGTGTGTTCACTTGAATATAGGTATAGACAGAAATATAGAAATGTGGATACACACATGTATTTCTCTGCTTTGTCAGCTGAGAGGGCCTAAAAAGACAGCCCAACAATGAGCATACCTTCCCCAGAGCTTGATTTCTAACACCATTCTCCAATAAACCATGGCTGAGGCAGAAAATACAGATGCTCCTCAACTTACAATGGGGTTATGTTCTGATAAACCCATAATAATTCAAAAACACGTGGCTGACTGACAGCTGCAGCTTACTGCCAGTGCCCAGCATGGCAGCATACATACAGTTTCCACTGAATTTGTATCGCTTTCACACTATCATAAAGTCAAAAGACTGTAAGTTGAACCACTGTAAGTTGGGACCATCTGTGTGTGAGATAATCCTGGAGAATCTTGTAGTGCCAGAAAGA
Source organism: Homo sapiens (assembly GCF_000001405.40). Classification (NCBI taxonomy): domain Eukaryota; kingdom Metazoa; phylum Chordata; class Mammalia; order Primates; family Hominidae; genus Homo; species Homo sapiens. The sequence continues at coordinate 72,602,823 of NC_000007.14, forward strand.
AAGTGCTCAAAACACACACACACACACACACACACACACACACACACACACACACACACACACAATGTTGATGGGGTTATGGCAAAGTAACACAGGAGCCAACTGAAAGAGATCCGAATGGCCAAAGCTGGGACAATTTGAGCAACAAAAGAAATAAGGTAGTACTGGATTATAACCCTAGGTAAAAAATAAATATTCATGCATTCACACTGATATAGACACATAGACAGACAGGCAAGCAGGCAGACACAGAAAGACAGACAGACAGATGATGGATGGATGGATGGATGGATGGATGGATGGATGGATGGATAGATGGATGGACAGATGGATAGATGATAGAAGATGGATGGATGGATAGATGGATGAACAGACAGACAGAGATTAGCTGGACAGATAGACACAGACAGATGATGGACGGACGGATGGATGGATGGATGGATGGACAGACAGACGACAGACAAACAGATGACAGATGATTGATGGATGGACAGATAGATGATGGATGGATGGATGGATGGATGGATGGATGGACGAATGGACGGATAGACAGATGATGGATGGATGGATGCACAGAAGGATGGAAAGACAGAGATGGTGATACAGATATATAACTGAATACATTAATAAATGAGGGAGAAGGGACAAGCCTTCGGTATGGAAGAATTCCAAATAACTTACATAGATACTCTGCCCTCAAGGACGGGGAGCCTAACACTGCGCCCCCTGGATATGGACCACACACGGTGATTTCCTCCCAAAGAGCACAGTATGAAAAGCAGGAGCAGAGGCAGTAATTTGACAGTGGAGAAACCTGACAAATACTGCCTCAGTTGGTGGATCGAGGTCAGCATTGTTAGTCATAAGCCATGCTGGCAGTAGGTGCGTGTCCTTGACATGATGTGATGAAAACGGCACTTCACCTCAGTGATCTTCCTCCTAAAAATTCATAACCCAAGTCTCATGAGAAAAACATCAGACAAATTTCAATAATAGGGCATTCCACAAAATCCCTCGAGTACCCCTCAAAGCTATCAAGGTCATCAAAAATAAGGAAAGTCTGAGAACTGCCACACCAAGAGGAGCCTAAAGAGAACTGACAACTAAATGTAATGGGATCCTAGAACAGAAAAAGGACATTAGGTAAAACCTAAGGAAATCTAAATAAACTGTGGACTTCAGTTAACAATCATAAATCAACACTGGCTCACGAATTGTAACACACGTACCACACCAACATAAGATGCTAATAGGACAAATCTAGGGTATATGGGAACTCTCTATAATACAGTCTCAATTTTTCTGTAAGTCAAAAACTTCTGTAAAACATAAAGTCTATTGAAAAAAATAATAATAATTGGCCAGGTGCAGTGCTCATGCCTGTGATCCCAGCAATTTGAGAGGCCAAGGTGGGTGGATCACTTGAGGTCAGGAGTTCAAGGCCAGACTAGCCAACATGGTGAAACCCTGTCTCTATTAAAAATACAAAAGTAGCCGGGCGTGGTGGCGTGCGCTTGTAATCCCAGCTACTCAGGAAGCTGAGGCAGGAGAATTGCTTGAACCCGGGAGATGGAGGTTGCAGCGAGCTGAGATCACGCCACTGCACTCCAATCTGGGCGACAGAGTGAGACTCTGTCTCAAAAAATAAAAAAATTTTTAAAAATTTTACAGGAAGAATGAAGTTTTGAAACACTGCTATGTGGATTCCGCAAGCCATATATATCACTTATCACTCAGCTTCCACTGGCTGTGACCCGCTGTACTAGGATATTGCCAATATGTGGAGGGAATTTCAGTGTTTCTGCACTAAAATTATCAAAGCTTGTTGGATTCTCATGGTCTAATTAATTTCTAGACTGATAGGACCAAGGTTACATTTAAGCTGCTAGGCTGAAAGCCCACAAACAGCTGACTGTACCACCTTGTGCCAGCCACCCCCTCCAAAGCACAGAGGCCCACCCTCCCCTGTAGGCAACTGTGGTCATCTCCTTGTCCCTCTAGCTTAACCCTGAAACTAAAACATGCAGGCTCATTTACCTGAACGTGAGTGGGATTTGTCTTTCCGCTGCTCAAAGCCAAGGTCATTGAGCTTTCTGCACCCTTCTATTACGTTGGTGCAAAAGTAATTGTGGTCTTTGCCATTGAGTCATACTTACTATCCTAGCCGCTAAGTAGCCTGCCTCTTATCAAATGCAGAAGCTCCACTCTCTAGACTCTGACATTATATCTACATGACAAAACTCAGAAGGATATTTAAATAAATCATCCATTTTCAAAAATATTTCACTACAATTAAGAAATGATTTGCATGTGGCATAGAATATGACAATGACAATATCACTGCACTGCAAACGACCACGAAGTATTCCAGGTATGAATAGGGTGATACAGATCATAAGACACTCTCCAGAGGCTATATCATGTTGTGAAAATCTTACAAATTTAATGCAGGATCTTTAAAGGTCATGTAAATGTAAATATTCAACTGATGTCTGGAATCCCTCTGGAATGTTGTGGTTTTTTTTTTGTTTGTTTTGTTTTTTTTTTTTGAGACAGCGTCTCACTCTGTTGCCCCGGCTAGAGTGCAGTGGCGCAATCTCGGCTCACTGCAATCTCCGCCTCCCTGGTTGAAGCGATTCTCCTGCCTCAGCCTCCTGAATAGCTGGGACTACAGGCACGTGCCACCACGCCTGGCTAATTTTTGTATTTATAGTAGAGATGGGGTTTCACCATATTGGCCAGGCTGGTCTCGAACTTCTGACCTCATGATCCGCCCACTTCGGCCTCCCAAAGTGCTGGGATTACAGGTGTGAGCCACCGTGCCTGGCCACATCTCTGCTTTTCAACACTAGTACCCTTAGAGTAAATTGCTAGCCATTTATTAAATGGGATCTGATGAGATCTGATTAGGATTAGGAAAAGATGTTTTCATGTAAGTGTCAGGAAATTCTTTCCAGTAACACTGCAACAGCAGCCATACAACCTTAACTGGACAACACCTTTCAATTAAATAAAGAAAATGAGTTCACCTGGAAATAATCTACCAATATCAAATAGTCCCATCTGGATTGGCATTACTGTTCACTAGGAGATGCGAACCCCAACTCTACAGTGGTATAATGTCTGGTTCTGGACAAGATGGAGTAGACGTGCCTCTCCCTATTCTGCCTGCTAAGTACAGCTAAAAACAGAGGATATTACATATAAGGCAAGCAAAAAGATTCTCAAAGGTAGAGATAAGAAGGCACACTGGCTAGGGGCCTTGGGATCTGAGGAACAACATGGTGGTGAGTTTCTTGAGTTTTATTTTTGGCTCAGATATCCTGGACTCGGCTGCAAGCCAGAAACACCAATGGCTGCAGACAACTATTGGATAAAAAAAAAAAGAGTCCCAAGTAAAGGCTGCTCTCTTAGGACAGCAGGAACAGGGCAGCCTAGGAAGACAGAAAACTTTTAGACAATAACCAACCTAGGCCATGAGAAAAACGGGCCTCATTCCCATCCGGTCAGCAAACACTGAGTGGGGAACCTAGACTCCCACCTTCACCTGGTTATAACGAGGCACCCCTCTTGACTCCTACTACCAGGGCGGTATCAGAGAAGGTGAGTGGGGAATCCTGCCCTCCTCCTCCCCTCCAGCTGTAATGTCATACAGACTACACAGAAAGCCTGGACTTTCACTCCACCTAGCAGTAACAAGGCACCTCTCCCCCATACACTCGAGTGGTGTCAGAAGAAGCTTAGTGGAGAACCAGGACTTCTGCCACCACCCAGCAGCAATAAGGCCCCCCCCCCGCCTCCATCCTATAATGTCAGTGGAGTCTAAGGGGGGAACAGTCACAAGATGGCTCTCCCTTCTTCATCAGAATGGTATAACAGGAGGCTGACGGGAGCCAGAATTTCTGCCTCTACTTGGCAGTAACAAGGCACCCTTCCTACAGTAGGTCAATAGAAGCTGAGAGGGGAACTGGACTTTTACCTCTCCCTGGAAGTAAGGAGGTAACACCCTCTCATGCCATCCCCACAGTGCAGTGTCAAAGGAGGCCGGCTAAGACAGAAGATTTATTAATAAATAAGATCCAGAGTCTCCTAACATAACACCTAAAATGTCTGAGAAACAACTGAAAATCACTTATCACACCTAGAAACAGGAAAATCTCAACTTGAATTAGAAAAGACAATCAAAAGATGCCAACGTGGTATGTGTGTTGGAATTATCTGATTAAGATTTTAAAGCAGCCATCACAAATGTGCTTCAATGGGCTATTAAAAACGGACACAATAAATAGAAAGTTGGCTGGGTGTGGTGGCTCATGCCTGTAATCCCAGGGAGGTGGAGATGGGTGGATCACTGGAAGCCAAGAGTTCAAGACCAGCCTGGCCAACATGGAGAAACCCCATCTCTAATAAAAATAAAAAAATTAGCTGGGTGTGGTGGTACACGCCTGTAATCCCAGCTACTCAGGAGGCTGAGGCAGGAGAATCACTTGAACTCAGAGATGGAGGTTGCAGTGAGCCAAGATTGTGCCACTGGATTCCAGCCTGGATGACAGAGTGAGATTCTGTCTCTCAAAAAAAAAAAAAAAAGAAAAGAAGAAGAAAGAAGAAAGAGGAGGAAGAAGAACAAGAACAAGAAGAAAGAAAAGAGAAGAAGGAAGAGAAGGAGAGAGGGAGGAAGGAAGGAAGGAAGGAGAAATAGTTAAATAGAAATAGGAAAATAATCAAATGGAAATTTTAGAACTGAAAAATACAATAACTAAAATAATAAATGGTTCAACAGAATGGAAGAGTAAAAAGACAGAATGAATCAATCTAAAGTTAGGACAAGAGTCTAAAAAACAGAGACTAAAAGAGAAACAAACAAAGCCTCAGATACCTGTGGGACCATAACAAAAAAAAAATCTAACATTTGTGTCATCAGAGATCTAAAAAGAGAAGAGAAATAAGATGAGGCTGAAAAAAGTATCTGGAGAACAACTAGAAATTTCCCCAATTTGTAAAGGGCATATACCTGCAGATTCAGGAAGCTGAGCATGCCTCCAAAACAACAGACCCAAAGAAATCCAGGCCAAGGCAACCTGTAATCAAACTTCTGAAAACTCAAGACCTGAATATTTTTAAAAATCTTGAAAGCAGGGAGAGAGAAATGTCTTACCTAAAGGAGAAAAACAATCAAATGACAAAGGATTTTTCATCAGATACCAGAGAAGTCAGAAAGAAAGAAAAGAGCTGTCAATCCAGAATACTTTACCTACCAAAAATATCCTTCAGGAATGGAGAGGAAACCAAGACAGTGGCAGATGAAGGAAAACTAAGAGGACTGGTTGCTATCACACTGGCTCTAAGAGAATTGCTAAAGGAAGTTCTTCAAACAGATGGGGAAGATTCCAAAGGAAACTTGGACCATCTGGAAGAAAGAAAGAACAACAGAAGGAGTAAGAATATGAGTAAATACAATAAACTCTTCTTCTCTTGAGTTTTCTAAGTTACCTTTGATAGTTGAAGCAAAAATTGTAATATGATGCCATGTGATTTTCACTGTGGGTGCAGGAAACACCTAAGACATTCTAAGCAAGGGAGGGAAAAGAGATTTAAGAGGGGTAAAGTTTCCACATTTCACTCAAACTGCTAACATGTTGACACCAGTAGACTGTGATATATTATATATGCATAATGTAATATGTAAATCAACCACTAAAAAGTCTATACGAAGAGATGCACTCAACAACAGTGCAGAGAAATAAAAATGGAATTCTAAAATAGATTGGCAGAGTAGACTAAAAAAGTATGACAACTGTATGTTGCCTATAAGAAACTCACTTCGAATATAATGATACACGCAGGTTGAAGGGCAAAGGACAGAAAAACATATACCATGCAAACACTGATCAAAAGAAAGTCGAAGTGGCTCTATTATTGTCAGATAGAGTAAACTTCTGTTTATATATCCTTCTTGCAATGAGAAAATTACAGAGATAGAGGAGATTAGCGGTTGCCAGAGGCTAGGGATAGTTGGTATCGGACTACAAAGGAATAGCATGAGAAAGATCTTTGTGGTGATAGAACAGTTTTCTATCTGGGTCGTGGTGATGGCTACATAAATCTACACACAAAACGGCACAGAACTAAACACACACATGTGAGTGCATTTAAAATTGGTGAAATCTGAATAAGGTCTATGGGTTGTACCAACGTCTATTTCCTGATTTTGATAACGTACTATGATCACGTAAGACGTTATCACTGGGGGAAACTACATGAAGGGTACCTGAGACCTTTCTGTACCATTTTGCAGCTTCCTGTGAATCTATAATTGTTTTAAAGTAAAGACTTGGTATTCAGTTTTCTTTTGTGGCTGTCTTGGTATAACAATAGGAAAGTAGTCCTTCATTCAACATGACTGCAGCAGCTTGCACTCTCTTTCAGAAGTCCCAGGATTATTAGTAGAAATTGAGGCTGGGCACGGTGGCTCATGTCTGTAATCCCAGCACTTTGGGAGGCCGAGGTGGGAGGGCTGCTTGAGCCCAGGAGTTTGACAGCAGCCTGGCCAACACAGTGGGACCCGATCTCAATAACAAATTTAAAAATTAGCTGGGCATGGTGGCTCATGCCTATAGTCCCAGCTACTCAAGAGGCTTAAGCAGGAGGACTGCTTGAGCCTGGGAGGTAGAGGTTGCAATGAGCCATGTTCACACCACTGCACTCCAGCCTGGGTGACAGAGTGAGATGAGACCCTGTCTCCAAAATAAAAAAAAATAAATAAATTGAGCAATCTCCTGAGAAAGCTGAGAATGATAAACAGGTATTTGATGATTTGGACCTCTCTGGTTTCAGGTCACCTGACCCAGCTCAGGAGCTTGAAGAAAGGGCCAATGGACCAGGCCTGAGAAGTGACTACTTCCTAAGAAATGGTACCATATTTTCATTTCTTTCACTAGACACTAGTATAAGAATAGAGAGGCCATGACTGGAAAATGACAAGATCTGCATACTCCGAGATCAACAACGAAAAGGAAAAGACGTGCCAGAAAACACATAATTGGAAGGAATCTAAATGAGCCTTGTTTTACTTTTTGGATGGGTTTCTGTATTATTTCCTCATGGCTGTGGTTCCCAAGCAGTGGGAACAGAGTACTCACTGGGACACTGAAGGGTATCTTGAATTTTAAAGAGGAGCGCAGTGACACTGGACATCTGTTGGGCATTTCAACAACTGCTAGCTTGAGATAGTTCCCAGTTTCAACGTTAGGCTGTGTCACACTTCTTTCAATGATGTCATAACAAATAGAACTGCTAGGTATCTCTTGACCTACAGGTCTTGTGAAAAAGCTATTGAGGCACTAGAGCACTATGAATGTGCAAGTTGGAAACCTCCACGTTAGGGTATATCTGGTGTTTAAGTAATTAATTTCAAGCATTTTGGATGCTTGACCATCTGTCTCACTCTGGGCATTCTAAGGACAACTTATAATCTGGACTCCATAATTCGATATCTATATCTTTGCTGGAATTTCTTCCTGACGTCACCGAGTCAACCCATTCACTCTCTACCTACATGAAAAATAAATATGCAAGTAACATCATCTCCATGGACGACACCATCACAATCACTCATTTCCCAGGTTAGAGGCCAGGGAGTCATGCCTGAACCTGCACACTCGTTAATGGTCCTCATTTAATACTTTGCCAGGTCTACCACTCACCACTCTCATTCATCACAGCCTTTGTCTCAGACCCCCATTTCACCCTCAGATTGCTAGACCTGAGGGTGAAACAGTTGCTGGACCTGAGGGTTATAACAGGTTTGTTGTTGTTGTTGTTGTTGTTGTTTTAGAAATGGAGGAGGGTCTCACTCTGTTGTCCAGGCTGAGCTAGAATTCCTGGACTCAAGTGAGTCTCCCGCCTCAGCCTCCCGAGTAGCCAAGACTACAGGCACACAACACCACAGCTGGCTATCGCAACAGTGTTTTAACTGGTTTCTCTGTCTTGCAGCTTTTCAATCCATCCCCTGTAATGCTGCCAGACAACTTTTTCTGAAACACAAATCTTCACTGTGGCACTCCCCTACCTAAAGCTCTTCAGTGCCTCCCCATGCCCTTTAGGGAAATAGGGAAAATGACATTTAGGATGCCATTCAATGCTATCTGTGATCTTAACCCTGCCTAATAATCTCCTTTCCCTGCAACCCTTCTCTTGACCTTCAGCCATCCCAAACTACTTGTGGTTCTCAATGTGCCATGTCTCCGTGCTTCTCCTTTGGACCTCTGCTTGTTCTGTTTCTGCTTAAATGTTTTTCCTACTTCAGCCATCATTTAAGATCCAGTTAAATGGCGCCTCCTCTGTGAAGCCTCTCCTGATGGGACCAAGTAGTCCTCAGAATGCACCCATTGAGCTCCATTCCATTCTTCCATCATAGCTCTGATTACACTTCTCAGCACTTTTTTTGTTGAGATATTTGTCTTTTTCTGTTAGCCCATTCTTGAAGGCAGGAACTGATATGGTTTGACTGTGTCCCCACCCAAATCTCACCTTGAATGGCAGTTCCCATAATTCCCACGTATTGTGGGAAGGACCTGGTGGGAGATAACTGAATCATGGGGTGGTTTCCCCCATGCTGTTCTTGTGATAGTGAATAAGGCTCATGAGATCCGATGGTTTTATAAGGAGTTTCCTCTTTCGCTTGGCCCTCTTTTCTCTCGTCTGCCACCATGTAAGACGTGCCTTCTACCATTATTGTGAGGCCTCCCCAGCCATGTGGAACTGTGAGTCCATTAAACCTCTTTTCCTTTATAAATTACCCAGTCTCGGGTATGTCTTTATCAGCAGCGTGAAAACGGACAAATACAGGGACCATTGTTTACTCATCTTTGTATTCTCAGAGTACCCAGCCCTCTGTATTCTCAGAATACCCATGTGCCTGACACACATGGGTATTCAACAAACATTATAGAGAATAATGAGGGTCTATCTCAGATTCTCTCCTTTGTCCTGGCGCACACTTGGTGCCATGTCTGCTTTTGCACTGATCACACTGATTTTCAGTCGTTTTCCCCACTAAACCACGAGCTCCTTGTGGGTGGGGAAAGACCAATAAAAGCAGCAGTAACAACTATTTATTAACTGCCTACTTCACTTCATGTTCCCTTCTAAGTTCTTTCTTTCTTCTTTTTCCTTCCTTCTTTCCTTCCATCCTCCCTCCCTCTCTTCTCTTCTTCTCTTTTTCTCTCTCTCTCTTTCTTTCTCGATGGGTTCTCGCTCTGTCGCCCAGGCTGGAATCCTTCTAGGTACTTTAAATATGTTACTTTTAATCTTGATAATGGCCTTGAAAGCAATACTATTAGTATCAATTTTGAATAAGGATAGGAGGGATTTAATTAGAGAGAACGAAGAGACAGAGAGAGAGGAACAGGGAGTCTAGAAGAGTGGTTTAAAATCAGTACAGTAATGAATAATGACCCACTGGGACAAAAAGTAGAATTCCTGAGTCCATACTGATAAATAAATATATAAATGGGAGGAAAGGGAGGGCTTTTGTTTACAATAGAATGCTGAAGGCAAATGTGGAAGGAGTGGTACACTTACAAAAATCACTATTTTACAATCAATAAAACATTTTATCAGGCAGGAACCATCAATAAGTGCTAAGTCAATGGGGAAACTTTGGTAAGAAGCGAGATACTGCATTGTCTTAAGGTACCTTTTCATAGATAGCTTATCAGGTGCAAAGGAGAGAAACAGAAGAACTGGGTCAAAGTAGTTGGCTGAACAAAATCATCACCACTAACGAGGGAGATGTGGACACCAGGTACCAAGTGTGAGACTCTGAAAAGGACACGTCGCCAACACAGTATTCCATCTGAGGACGTACAACCTCAATCTAGCCACAAGGAAAAATCAGGCAAATATAAAACAAAAACCATTTCTTTTATTTATTTATTTTTTTTTTTGAGATGGTCTCACTCTGTTGCCCAGAATAAAGTGCAATGGCATAATCACGGGTCACTGCAGCCTTGACCTCCTGGGCTCAGATGATCCTTCCACCTTAGCCCCCTAAGTAGCTGGGACTACAGGTTCGTGCCATCACACCCAGGAAATTTTTCTATTTTTAAATAGTGATGGAGTCTCACTATGTTGCCCAGAGTGGTCTTGAACTCCTGGGGTCAAGGGATCCACCTGCCTCGGTCTCCCAAAGTTCTAGGATTACAGGTGTAAGCCACTGCACCTCACCAAGAAACATTTCTATTAAAAGAAAGGGAAGGGGGGAACTGTATTCTTTTGAAATAGCAACATCATAAAAGACAAAGGAAGACTGTGGAAATGTTCCAAATTGAAGGTGACTACAGAGACTTGAGAAGAAAATATAGTATCTGCCTAGATTAGGGGTTGGGTAACTGTGGCTGGTAGGCCCAATCTGGCCACATTTAGCTCACAAACCTGTTTTAAGGACAGTCTTTGCATTTTTAAAAGGTTGTAAAATGAGTAAACAAGCAAAGAAGAATATCTGACAGAGGCTGTATGTGCCTTGCAAACCTCAAATATTTACTTTATATAAAAATTAAAATATTTACTTTATATCTTCTTTTTTTTTTTTTTTTTTTTTTTTGAGATGGAGTCTCACCCTTTCGCCCAGGCTGGAGTGCAGTCGTCCAGGCTTGACTCACTGCAACCTCCACCTCCCGGGTTCAAGAGATTCTCCTGCCTCAGCTTCCTGAGTACCTGAGATTACAGGCCCCCGCCACCACACCCAGCTAATTTTAGTATTTTTATTAGAGATGGAGTTTCACTATGTTGGCCAGGTTGGTCTCGAACTCCTGACCTCAAGTGATCTGCCCACCTCAGCCTTCCTCCCAAAGTGCTGGGATTACAGGCATGAGCCACTGCGCCGGGCCCATATTTTCTTTATAAACAAAGCTGGCTGACTCCTATAGAGTAGATCCTGAACTGGAGGGGGAAATGCTATAAAGGACATTACAAGCTGATCTGACAAAATTTGAATATGGATGGTAGATTAAAGTCATGTATCAGTTTACAATTTTGAAGTTGATAACTGTATCGTGGTTGTAAGAGAAAATATTCCTAGTTTTAAGAAATTCACACTGAAACATTTAGGGCAAAGGACCATGACCAATGCAACATTTCCTCAAATGGTTCAGAAAAGACGATGTGTGCACATGTATGCTGGGGGGGTGGGGGGCAGGGGTGGGGAAGGGAGGGAGAGAGAACGAGAGAGAACGGGAGCAAAAGAGAGAGAGCAAGAGAACAAGCAAATGGCAGAAAAATGGTAACAGGTGATTTTGCAAATCTGTGTCCTTTGTTCTATTTTTATCATTGCACTTTTTTGTAAATTTGAAATAATTTCCAAATTTAAAACAAAAGAAAAAGAAAGAAGGAAGGAAAGAAGGGAATACAGGCTCTGGAGTCAGATGCCAGGGCTTAAATCCCATTTCTACTCCTTACTGGCTGTTTCATCTTGAACAAGTTACTGAACCCCTTGATGTGTCAATTTCTCATCCATAAGACAGAGGTCAGACTGGGCATGGTGGCCCATGCCTGTAATCCCAGCACTTTGGGAGACTGAGACAGGCGTATCACTTGGGGTCAGGAGGTCGAAACCAGCCTGGCTAACATGGTGAAACCCTGTCTCTACTAAAAACACAAAAATTAAATGGGTGTGGTGGCTCACGCCTGTAGTCCCAGCTACTCAGGAGGCTAAGGCAGGAGAATCGCTTGAAGGGAGGAGGCAGAGGTTGCAGTGAGCCGAGGTTGCGTCACCACACTCCAGCCTGTGCAACAGAGCAAGACTCCATCTTAAAAAAAAAAAAAAAAGAAACACAGAGGTCTTGATAGTACCTACCTTGTAGGGATGCTGTGAGGATTTAAAAATACACTTGGCAGTGTCTGTCACATACTAAGCATTCACCAAATTAGGTGGTTTTATAAAAATAAAAATAACTGAAGCAGCAATAACTGAATCATGCTATGAGCCAGGTGCTGTGTTAACAATGTATTAACAAAGCTATGTTAACAAAGTGTTTCATAACAATGGCCTCGGCTAGCAATATACCCATTTTCCAGATGAAAAGCTAGACAGGGGCCAAGATTAAAGCCCTCTAATCAATCTGACTCCACTCATAATCTCTTCTCATTCATTACACTACAGAAAGATGAAAGGACTTGCACAAAGTCACCTAGTCAACAAGTGGCAGTGTAAGATTTGTGCCAAGTCTACTTTTCAATTAACCCTGTGGCTTTCCATTCTTCATGTCTGAGCACTGTGTCCCTTGCTGCACAGCCTGGTGTCCAGAACTCAGCAGGCATTCAATAAACACTTGAAGAACTGAATTGGCTTGAATGAGATGGTTTGCTATCTATTTCCTCTATCCTCATGGGAAAAGAGAAGAAATCTTACAGACTGAAGTAAAGGATTAGACTAAAATTAAATTGTCCTGTTTTAAATGTTCCTTTGAATACTGCCAATGGTTTTGAAAGATGCCTTGTAGTATAAAAAAGATCAATGGACTAGAGGGAGAGAAGGCTGTGATTCCAGTTTGACACAGCCATTTAAGCCAGTTTCTTCACCGTTCAGACCTCAGATTCCATACGGAAAAAGTGAGAGGGTTAAATCACATATCTAAAACACCTCAGAAGAGATCTTCTGATCCTAGGCTTGACTTGATTTCTAGAAATAATCTTCTAAATACAATGTACAGAATGCAATCACAGGTAACAACAAGGCACTGGAGAAGACAAGGCAACATGAATGAGAACCTGCAGAAATGACAGACAACAAACACACGCCCACAGGAACTTTAGTCATTGGAATTATCAGATACAAACCATAAAACAACTCACTTCCAGTACTCAAGAAGATAAAACCCAAGCTTGAAAACTTCGGCAGGGAAATAGAAATTATACAAAATAGCATTTTTGAAATAAACCAAGCAGAAATTATACAATTAAAAAAACATAAAATACAAAATTAAGAAATTAATGGTTGAATTTAATAGCACAGGAGACACAGCTGAAGCAAGACTTAGTGAACTGGAAGATGAATCAATAGAAACTACCCAAAATGAAATATGGAGAGATGGAGAGACAAAAGCACAAAAAATACAAATGAGAAGGCAAGAGATATAAAAAAATAAATATAATGACGTCTAACATATGTTTAATTGGAGTCCTAGAGGAGAACATATAATGAGAAAGAATAAGTATTTAAAGAAATAAAGACTAAGAAATTTTCCAGAACTTCTCTAGAAAATTAGCAAATTATTTTAGTGGCCCACCTCTATCAAGAACTGGATTTTTCCTTTGCTAGGAGTTATTTACTTAAGAAAGATACTAGATTCATATACTTGTTCTATCTAATAAAAGGACTAAAGGGGGAAAAATGGAAATAGTGTTATAAACTAAAATCCCAAACAAAATTCTCCAGATGCCAAGATTCAAGCAATCTAAAATTTGATAGATACCTCAATATTGCTTCTGACAGCTAGAAACCCATATGGGGACTATTTACTATTTTAGCTTTTCCCTGTCATTCCAGGAAAGGACTAGAGGTTATTACAAGGGCATTTTGCTTTTGTTTTGTTAGCATGCACCTTCTAAAATTGCAAACCAGAAAGTACTTCAAGGTGTCCAGAGGAGGGCTAAACAAGAAGCAATTTCACATGGAAAAGAGTTTATGAGCCCAGCAGACAGAATTTAGTGCTTTCTTATTTTTGTTTTGGGAAAGGTAGCAAGCACGCAGATCATCCCTATAACAACGTAAGAGGAAAATAAAGAGAGAAGAGAAGGAAAGAACAGCAGGGTCAGGGAACAGAAGATTCCATGTTTGAGTTATTCTTACCTTTCTGTGTGCTATCAGGAGGCAATTAGAGTGTTCGTGTTCACATGCAATTTCATATTCGGGGATCAGATCCACCAGCTCGCGGACAAACTGTACCACTTCCTCATGCCAGGGCACATGGGCCATGGTAAGACTGCTTGCTGAACTTTCTCTGCAGTAGGTAACGCCCTGTGGAAACAGTATAACCATCAGAGATGACTACAGACCTACCTGCATGTCATAGAAGACTTTCAGAGCCGGAAAGCCTTCTTGAGGTCAACCAATGCAATCCAGTCCGTATTTTACAGTGAAGGAAGTGAATATAGAGATGATAAAATCTGCCTAGGAGACCATACAAGTAGCTACTGACAAAGACAGCAGGCTGATGCTCTTGCTACTCTATGACATTGCTGGGGCTTAAGTACCTGCGCTTTCTACCGTTGTCACAATCTAGGCTGTCTGGTCACAATAATGTATTTGAATCAATAGCATGTCTTTTGATTCAGATTCATCTGTGCACTATAATTGAGGAATTATGAAGGGGTTATCACCCCTTAGGACAATAATGGGGGCATAGTGGACACTCATAAAAATTCACTGACCAAGTAATTGATTCACTGGGAAAATAAGCTGAGCTTCCATTTTCTAGTATAATTGAGATTGAAACTGGCAAACTTTTTCCTTAAAGTGACAGATAAGGATCCCTTTAAAATTATTACTATTATCATTATTTTTGAGACAGAGTCTTGCTCTGTCACCTAAGCTGGAGTGCAGTGGCACAATCGCGGCTCACCACAACCTCCACTTCCTGGTTCAAGAGAGTCTCGTGCCTCAGCCTTCCGAGTAGCTGGGATTACAGGCGCCTGCCACCACGCCTGGCTAATTTTTGTATTTTTAGTAGAGATGGGGTTTCGCCATGTTGACCAGGCTGGTCTTGAATTCCTGGCCTCAAGCAATCTACCTGCCCCGGCCTCCCAAAGTGCTGGGATCACAGGTGTGAGCCACTACACCTGGCCTAAAATTATTCTTTAAGGAGTTCATTTTGTAATGCACTTTGAATGTGGTTACATAAACAATCATGCCAAAAGGGAAATATATTTGTGCATGTACCTACATACCTTTACACACAACTACATATACACATGTATTTCACCAACACAGAAATTCTTAAGTACAACTGCAGAAAGTTAAATTATCTAACTCTTTTGGACTCTACCTAATAGCCAAGGCACACAAGACCCCAGAATTTCATAACTAAGTTCTTTATTTGGTAAATTACATAATGGTAAAATGATTAATTTTCTAATACTAAAAGATTTATCTTATTTCTTGAAATAAATCTTACCTCTGTGGGCTCTTCAAATACCCACAAATCAAACTTTTCTCAACAACTTGTTGAGAAAATCCCAGAAATGATTCCGCTAAGTGGGGAATAACTGGGAGGGAGTGGGGAGAAAGGCATGTGCACCTCTCATACACATTCACTCACAGACACACACACAAACACACACAAATACATATAAAGACAGGACACACACACACCACAGACAAATTGGAGAATGCAGAATGACACTGAATTTTTTTTTTTTTTTTTTTTTTTTTGTTGCCCAGGCTGGAGTGCAGTGGCCTGATCTCGGCTCACTGCAGCCTCCGCCTCCTGGGTTGAAGCGATTCTCCTGCCTTAGCCTCCCAAGTAGCTGGGAATACAGGCATGTGCCACCATGCCCAGCTAATTTTTGTATTTTTAGTAGAGATGGAGTTTCGCCATGTTGGCCAGGCTGGTCTTGAACTCCTGACCTCAAATGATCTGCCCATCTCGGCCTCCCATGTGCTGGGATTACAGGTGTGAGCCAACACGCCTGGCCAACACTTAATTTTTAAAAACCAACAAATGAGCAGAGTGACCCTGACCCTGATGACAGAGCTGGGACTTGGACGAAGACTCACATGAGCTTTGCCAAACACTCGACTCAAGACAGCTGTTCAAAAAGATGACTGGTGCACTAAACTGTGATGGCCTTTGTGGAATATAAACCACAGCCACCCAGCTTAATTACAATAAACAAGAGAATCTTCTCAGTTTGCCCAGTGATTTAGAGAATTCATTAAACGGAGTTGGAGCTGAAACTGTGCCCCACAGAGTTAAAGAAACCAACGACTAACAGAAATCCTTGTGTTTGCAGGATGGCAGTGTAAGAAAATAAACAACTTGCTAAAACTGCTGAAACTCCCTCTGCTTGTGAGATTTAAAAAAAATGGATGAAATTGGTTGGAACCAACATGGCCAATGGAGTCTGAGTAGAAAGAGCTTGCTGACGTCACAGCCCGAATTTCCACCACATTTCATACTAACTCCCCCTAAATTTGCATATGCAAACCACGAGCAAGGATGATCAAACAGACAACTGCGCATGTCCGAGGACTTTCCAGATCTCCCCTTTCCTTCCACCAATCACTTACTAATCTGAGAATCCATCCCCTAATAAAATCACTGCCTTAAAACCTGCACAGGAAGACAAATTTGAGCTGGACTTAGTGTCTCTTTATTAGTCGACTTGCAATAAAAAAGCTTTCTTTTCCCCCCTCAAAAACCCTATGTCAATTAGTATTGGCTTCCAGAGCATCAGGCAGTGAGCCCCTTTTGCTCAGTAACAGAGCTTAAGGTGAATAAAAAAGGAAAATAATGATATGGTTCAAGAAATCATTACGGGCCGGGCGCGGTGGCTCACGCCTGTAATCCCAGCACTTTGGGAGGCCGAGGCGGGTGGATCATGAGGTCAGGAGATCGAGACCATCCTGGCTAACAAGGTGAAACCCCGTCTCTACTAAAAATACAAAAAATTAGCCGGGCACGGTGGCGGGCGCCTGTAGTCCCAGCTACTCGGGAGGCTGAGGCAGGAGAATGGCGTGAACCCGGGAAGCGGAGCTTGCAGTGAGCCGAGATTGCGCCACTGCAGTCCGCAGTCTGGCCTGGGCGACAGAGCAAGACTCCGTCTCAAAAAAAAAAAAAAAAAAAGAAATCATTACGAAAGCATGGCTGAAAAACTGCTAGCCTTACCAAGTGCATAAAAAACATGAAAATTATTTATTGATAAGCATTAGTCATAAAAGTGTACTCTATCTCAATTTAAATACTGCTTATGTGTGGATTACACAAACAACCATGTATGCAGTAGCTACTTCAAAGGACTTTCTTTTTAATATTTAAAAAGTTAGTTCACTGAATCAGAGTTGTTAGATAAGATCTTGTCTTCGTGAGAACAGCTTTTGAAAATATTTTAATATTTTATTACTCAGCAAAAATAGCCATGAAACACTGAGGGGAGATTTAGTTTGGGAATGGAATGAGAGAATGCCTGCTGCGGTTCATTATCATGACTCCACCCATTCCTTACAACTCTATGATGCTTTATGGTATTTTCACATAAAAGTTCTCATTTTTGCCAGATAAAACCCTTTGAGGAGGCTAGGCACGGTGACTCATGCCTGTAATCCCAGCTCTTTGGGAGGCTGAGGCGGGCAGATCACTTGAGGTCAGGAATTCGAGACCAGCCTTGCCGACATGGTGAAACCCTGTCTCTATTAAAAATACAAAAATTGGCTGGGCGTGGTGGTGCCCGCCTGTAATCCCAGCTACTTGGGAGGCTGAGGCAGGAGAATCGCTCGAACCCAGTAGGCGGAGATTGCAGCAAGCTGAGATAGTGCCTCTCCACTCCAGCCTGGGCAACAGAGCAAGACTCTGTCTCAAAACAAAACAAAACAAAAACCAAACAACAACAACAAAACCCTCTGAGGGAAGCAGTCCTGGGTAACTTCCTGAGTCAACCGCAAAGCCAGAGGCTGCACCGTGACAGAAATGCTCTGGGCAGAAAATGTTCTTGGTGACTTAGACTGGGGGTCACCTCAGGGACCCCGAGCTCTCACTCAGAGCCCAATGGCTCTGTCTGGTTTTCTCTCTGCTGCGACTGCCCCACTTCATCCTACCCTCTAGTCTACTGATGGCTTGCCCTGACTTTATTCCTGAGCACAGAATTATCTAAAAAACTTTCCCTTCATATCACAGCTGTCTGCCACCTTCTCACCCACTCTCACCCTCACCCTCACCCTCACCCCCAACTCCATTTATCAGAAGCAGCAAGTTCTTCACCCAAAACTCTGAATAAAGAACAGTCTGAAGAAAATAGATGGGTACAGCGTGGTGATGGAAAAGCCAAGTCACTCACATCAGAATCTGCAGGCTGAGGAGTAACAAGCAGACCCCAAGAATGTTCGTGAAGAACAGGATCATTTATGCATCCTTGAGTTTGCAGTGAAAAGCATAACCCACACTTTTATAGCCTGGTAGCTTTTGGACCCACCCCCACTGCCCTAGGAGATGGGGGCTGCCATACTGTGGCTATCTGAGCGTTCAAACCTCATGCTGAAATGTGATCCCCAGTGTTGGGGGTGGAGCCCAATGGGAGGTGTTTGGGTCACAAGGACAATGTCCATCTGTCTGTCTCTCTGTCCGTCTGTCTGTCTCTCTTTCTCTGTCTTCTGCCATGACTGAAAGCAGCCTGTGGCCCTCACCACAAGCAGCTGTTGGCACCATGCTTCTTGTAGAGCCTGCAGAGCCATGAGCCAAACAAACCTCCTTTCTTCATAAATGATTTTTTTTTCCCCACAATAAACCCCAAATACTTCATTCCTTTATCCTAAAAATGCTTCAATAACTCCCCTTTAAACCAGCCTGAGCTTCTCACCACGGCACGAGGCCTTCCTCACCTGCCTCCGTAGCTTGCGCTAACAATGGACCATCAGCCATTCAAGCCCCTGTCTTTGGCCATATGCACAAGTAACTCTAGAGCTGGACTGCCCACTCAGCATCCTGTCTGCACCTGGCTAAACCGACCCATCATTTCTTTAACCTCCATTCAGGAACCTCTACGCTATCTGACCCTGATCTTATCATATCCTGTGTAGTTATCTGTTACCAGGTAACTGGTATAAAGAAGCGTCAAAACTCTGAGCCCTTTGAGGGCAGGGGCTGTGCCTTGCTCTTCTTGGCACCCCAAATCAATCTATGCTAAATGATCAAAAAATCAAGTCAGACATTCTCCTACGACATTAAACTCCACAACTCTTTTCTAATCCAATACAAAATTTCATTCACATGACTCAGGAGTTTTCTACTCTGTAACAGGTATGAACCAGCTGATAAACGCTGGTTAGGGACTGCTACGTATAAGAAAAACTGACAGTATTCCTCACCTTTGTGGGAGAGAGTGAGGCTATGCTAAGACAATCATTTTGCAGGGTGCATTCTGCAAGGATTGAGCACTACACACAGCTAGGGTGCCAACAGTAAGTAGTTTTAAATCATTTGACAACAAATAATTACTGAGCACGTCCTATTCTCAAGGTGTAATGCTAGGCAGAGAACACACAGACAGTATTTCATTTACAAATGGATTGTGTTACAAAAGTTTTCAGCAAGACAGATGGTTGTAACATGAAACCTTTTCACAAGCAAGCAAGCAAATAATGACAAGGAAGATTCTCAGGCTAGCAAATAAAGGCCTCTTTAAGCCTAATGAAGCTAAGATACATGCTAATTTACAAGGAATATAGCAGAAAAATATTTTACAAGACTGGTAAGGAAAGAAAAGAGGAAACCGATATGATAAAGCAGTAGCCTCTATTGATTTCGTTTAAATAAATGTGCTTAATGGAAAGTGATCTAAAAACTTACTGAATCTGGGCATACATTACCCCATTGAATTCTCAAAACAAACTTATTAAAGAGATATTCTTATGCTAATTTTAATATTGACAGAATTTAGGCTCAAGGAGGATGAATAACCTGTCCTAGGCTACATTGGCACATTTTACGTAGGTATCAAAACTGGGCACTGCCTCTCACCCCACATGAGACTCTAGTAAGTGCAGACTATGGGAGACCCCAGATCTGACACGCACACACGGACACACACAAACACAAACACACACACATACAGACACATACCACACACACATGCACATACACATAACACATACACATGCACACAACACACACATGCACACACACAACACACATACATGCACACATACAACACACACAAGTGCACACACCACACACATGCACGCACACAAAACACACATGCATAACACACACAACACACATGCACACACACTACACAAACACACCACACAAACACACCACGCACTCACACATGTCAGGGAGAAAAGATGCCGAGGGCATGCCTGGCCATGACGCCACTCCCGCATTTACAGTCGCCCTTCCTGACCCAAGGGTTGTTCATGCTACCACTTCTATGACCAAAGTTAAGATGATTTTTCCTTTGACTCACAAAAGAGAAACTGCACACAGGGTAGATAGAAAAAGGAAGGAAGAGTTTCCTAAATCCAATTAGGTTAGTGCTACAAGCAAAATGAGAAAAAGAAGTTGAATTGGGTGATACATACATGTTAGAAACCTTCCTCAAACTGGATTTAGAAATTTGTCAACAATTCAGTACAGTACTCTGAATGCACACACATACACATACGTGTGTGTTTCCATTTTAAAATCAAAGAACTTAATAACAAAAAGATAAGCAACTCAATTGAAATACAAAGGGTATGAACAGCATTGTGTCTGCATCTGCAGGGAGCTCCAGGCATATCTGTGAATCTAGGGCCAATTTGTATTATTGATTTCACATCTTGGGGGCATTTATATGACCTTGAGGTACCATAATACTAAATTTGAATTCCAAGGCCATTTGAGGGTAAGGCCCTGGAGAGACTTTTCCTTTTTACCAAGCGCACGGGTACAGAACAAGCCTTCCAAGTGTTACTGTGTCCGTGGGTAAGTTTTTCCCTAATCCATCCTTTCATTGAAGGTGAAAGGGCCTAGTCTTCTGTCCTTTAAACCCTAGTCCTGTCTACTAGGACCATGGAGTACTTCCAGAATGGTCTCTTTTCTTCCAGCTCCAAGAGTGTCTCCCTTACAGCCCTGACAGATATGCACCTTCCCAAACGTATGGTTTTCATAACAGATTCACTTCTAAGTGTTAATCCTTAGAGAGGTTTGAGGTTATAGCCTGCCATATTGCTAGTTCTTATCAAATGTTTTATGGAGAGGTCTTATTATTATTATTGCTGTTGTTATTTATTAATTTTTTTTTGAGATAGAGTCTTGCTCTTTTGACCAGGCTGGAGTACAGTGGCACGATCTCAGCTCACTGCAGCCTCTGCCTCCTGGATTCAAGTGATTCTCATGCCTCAGCCTCCTGAGTAGCTGGGATTATAGGCACCTGCCACCACACCCAGCTAATTTTTGTATTTTTAGTAGAGACAGGGTTTCACCATGTGGCCAGGCTGGTCTCGAACTCCTGACCTCAAGTGATCTGCCTGACTCGGCCTCCCAAAGTGCTGGGATTACAGGCATGAGCCACCAGGCCCAGCCAATGATTTTAAAAACTCCTCTATTTGAGAAATTTTTAACTTTAATTAATAAGACAACAATGACAAAAAGATGTATTTTCAGACATTCTGTAGTTTAATCCTATTGAACAGGAAAAGCATGCCTTCTCCATTTACTGATTTCATTTGTCTTTTGAATTACAAACCAATGCATGCTCGTTGTAATAATCCACACACTACATAATTACAAAAAGTAAAATTAATAAACATTTCCCTCCCCTTCTCCCAAATAGGTCACTGTAAACAATCTGACAGATATCCTTCCATACTTTTCTTACATAAATACATCTGAACATACAACATTGAAAATGTAATCAAGGATGTAAAATGCAAACTAAAATTTAAAAAATGGAACTGCATAATAAATATTATTCTAGAATTTGTTTTGCTTCTTAGTAGCAGTATGCTCTATTCTGTAAATATCCCTTTTGCGACTACAGCATCCAAGGAAGAATCTCATTAACTTGCTGGACAAATGACAGGTAAGTTCACAAAGCATGAGACTGACCTCCAGTGACCAGGCATTTGACATTCATTGCAGGACATTTCTCCCTGGGGTCTTTTATCAAAGATATGACATGACTGAATGTGCCTCCCTCTGAAGTAACATGAACTGTTATTTATTACATTATATTTTATCATCAAAATATTTATTTTAAGCCAGGCGTGGTGGCTCACGCCTGTAATCCCAACACTTTGGGAGGCCAAGGCGGGTGGATCACCTGAGCTCAGGAGTTCAAGACCAGCCTGGGCAACATGGCAAGACCCTGTCTCTACAAAAAAGTACAAAAATTGGCCAAGCGTGGTGGTGTACACCTGTAATCCCAGCTATTTGGGTGGCGGAGGCATGAGAATTGCTTGAACCCAGGAGGCGGAGGTTGCAGTGAACCGAGATTGTGCCAGTGCGCTCCAGCCTGGGAGACAGAGTAAGAACCTGTCTCAAAAAAAAAAAAAAAAATTTAATTGTGGTTATACATTTCTCCAAGAGTTTTCAATTATAAAATCTCTCAGAGTAGGTCATTTTACTTTTATAGATTTTTGCCTATTTTCAATAAAACATTCATTTCCCAAATAGCACATTCACATAAAATTTTTCATCTCCAGAGCTTTAACAAGGCCTATCACATGGAGAGAGCTCAAAAATATTGTTGAATGCAAGGACAAAATAGTAAAATGGAAATTTGGAAAGAAAACTCTGTTGTTAATAGCATCTTAGCTAGGCCAGGTGCAGTGGCTCACGTCTGTAATCCCAGCACTTTGGGAGGCTAACGTAGAAGGACTGCTTGAGGCCAGGAGTTCAAGACCAGCCTGGGCAACATAGTGAGACCCCATTTCTATAAATACAAAAATGTTTTAAATTAGCCAGGTGTGGTGGTGTGCGTCTGTCATCAAGCTACTTGGGAGGCTGAGGTGGGAGGATCACTTGAGCCCAGGAGCGGGAGGCTGAGGTGGGAGGATCACTTGAGCCCAGGAGCTGGAGGCTGCTGTGAGCCATGATTGCACCACTGCACTCCAGTCTGGGCAACCGAGCAAGACTGTCTCAGAAAAACAAAACAAAACAAAACAAAACATCTCAGCTATAGACAGAAGGCTTTATCTATTTCCTAGTGATGTTCATAGTTTGGTGAACCAAATAATACCCATCAGAGAATTATACTGTTTACCAAGTAGCTGTCTTTCTTTAAAAAATGTTGACTGATTTTTTTCAGATTTAAAATACCTGTTCTTTATAGAAAAACATGACTGCGAAAGTAAGAAAGGAGGGGGGAGAGGTGGGGCGGGGGGGGGGGAAGAAAGGAAGGAAATGAAAAAAGGGGAGATCCAGCCAAGCTGCTTTATTATAATAGAGGTTTTACTGCAACATAATTTGAGGCAGCATTCTTTAATAGCTAAATCATAAATTAAAACACCACTAATCTCTGATGTTGGCAAGGTTTGCTTAAGCTGATACATATATTTTCAGCTGCAGTTTGTATCTTTGCATCATTAGAGCTCCTGCCAAGAGTAGCCTTTTGAAATTAAGTGCAATTTCAAGAGTGTCTTCAGCCTGACCAGAGATAAAATGTTACGTACTCAGACAGCAGTATTTCATCTGTTCCCACCTCCCCACCCCTCTAGAGTAACACCAAAAGCTAAACTCACCAAAAGACAGCTGTAAAACCTCTGATATGACACAGACAGGGTTCAGTTTCAAAGCCATAAACGGAAATGAGCAGAGTTGGCTTTCCCAGACAGGGTACATTTTCTCATCACTTCTCTTGTCTTGTGGACTCTTAGTTGCCCAAAAAAGCCATTACTTCCAATCATTATTTCTAGCCCTATCTTATCCCTGAAACTTCGAGCTTATAAAACCTATGATCTATTTAAACTTCTACTTGGATATTTAAAAGATATCTCAAATTTAATGTTGCCAACAGGGAGCTCAACATTTCTCCCCAAATATGTCCCCTTTTCCCTCCTGGTTTCCTGTATCTCAGCAAACAGTTTCGCCATCCACGCAATGGCTTAAGCCAAAAACCCAGGTGCTATTCTTGATTCTTTTTTCGTTCAGCCCGTACCTATAACCTAGCAAAACGTTTTATTGGTTCTACTTCCAAAAGGAATCCTAAATGCACCCACTGCTCTCCAGCCCTAGTCCCACTGACCTTCCCCAAACCATCTCTTGCTTGGACTAACCACTCACTTTGTGACTGTTGTGCCTACTCTACTGCCCTCTATAACCAAGCCATGCTGCAGCAGTGGGGTGATCTTTTAAAATCACAAATCAGACTGCATCTCTCCCCAGCTTCACGCCCTTTCCTAGTGCACCTATATTTACAAAGCTTACCATCAAACTTAGTTTAAAATCCAATCCCCTTATCTTTGCTTGAAAGGCCTCATAAAAGCTGCCCCAGCCCACTGCTCTGATTCATCCTACGCCACTGCCAACCTCAGCCACTCCACTAGGATAGCACAGGACCTCCATGCACTAGCACCACCTGCCTGGAATGCCCTTACCCCAGGTTTCTGCTTACCATTTACGTATCAGTTTTTAAAATGTCATCTCAGGCCCGGCGCGGTAGTTCTAACCCTGTAATCTCAGCACTTTGGGAGGCTGAGGTGGGTGGATCACTCAAGGTCAGGAGTTCGAGAGCAGCCTGGCCAACATGGTGAAACCCCGTCTCTACTAAAAATAGAAAAATTAGCCAGGTGCGGTAGTGGGCAGCTGTAGCACCAGCTACTTGGGAGGCTGAGGGAGGAGAATCGCTTGAACCCGGGAGGCGGAGGTTTCAGTGAGCCGAGATCACGCCACTGTACTCCAGCCTGGGTGACAGAGTGAGACTTCATCTCAAAAAACAGTAACATAACATAACATAACATAACATAACATAACATAACATAACATAACATAACATAAATAAAATAAAATAAAATAAAATGTCATCTCAGAAAAGCTTCCCTAAAATAGTCAACCACCATATCTAGTAAAATAATATATGCATTTACCCTTTGACCCAGCAATACACTCATCGGAATCTATCCCAAAGAAACATTTGCAAAAATGTGAGAGGCAAGCAGACATTATGTGACTCCTGATTGGAGTATACAGGACCACCAGTGAAATATTCCTGAAATACAAACAAACCCACACACACATGCACCCCTGAATTTAATCAATCTTCTCTTGATCTAACTATAGGCACCAATCCACAGGACGCACAGAAACATGCAATCAACAAAATCTAAAATATAAACATAGGGCATCAGCCAAGATGCATGATCCATTTTCTACAGCAAAGTGATTTCTAAGAGGAAAAACAAAACACATGGAAGACGAAATTAAAATTTTTAGTTGAAAATTTTTAGGTATGAGCCCAGTACTCTGAATAACTGTTTCGAAAGAATACACATCAGCCGGGCACAGTGGCTCACACCTATAATCCCAGCACTCTGAGAGGCCGAGGCAGGAGGGTCGCTTGAGGCCAGGAGTTTGAGACCAGCCTGGGCAAAACAGTGAGACCTTCTCTCTACAAAAAATAGCCAGGCATAGTGGCGTGCACCTCTAGTCCCAGCTACTCAGGAGGCTGAGGCAGGAGGACTGCTGGAGCCCAAGAGTTGGAGGCTGCAGTAAGCTACGATCACAGCACTGCACTCCAACCTGGGTGACAAAGCGAGTCCTTGTCTCAAAATAAAATAAAATAAAATATGAAATAAAGTAAATAAAATAAGAGTAGAAATCTTTTAGGAATATATGCTGAAATAATTCTGGGTAAATGATATAATTTTGGTGGTTTGCTTTAAAATAATCTGGGCTAAGAGCAGAGAAAATGGGTAAAGGTATAATTGAAACAACTCTGGGTCATGAGTTGATCATTTTTGAAGGTGAGTGATGGGTGGATGGGAGTTCATTAGACCAATCTCTCTATTTCCGTCTATGTCTGAAATAAAGGTTTATGTAAAAGTCAACCAATTACTCACCACCACACTATTTTATTTCTCAGCATATTCATGTCACTACATGGTTTTTAATGACTCACTTTGTGTGGACTGTCCATCCTCCCACTAAAATACTAGCTTTATAAGAGCAAGAGCTTGGTCTTCTTGACTGCTATTATCCCCAAGGCCTAGAACAATTCCAGGTTCTTGATGAATATCGATCACGAAATGAATACATCAATAAAATTCCTGGGACCTCTAGAGTTTTACAAGGTTTTAACTCCACGATGGCCAACGAAGCACCACGATTCTTTGTCACTCCACCACGGCCACCAGAGTCAGCAGGGGCTTACCTTCACTTCGATGAAGTCAGGATTCCCCAGGGACACGAGCTGCGCGTAGGCCTGGAGCTCGTCCACGTTCCATGCTTTCACGAGCATCAGTCTGTAGACAGTTCGTTGTTGCTAAAACAAAGGAAAAGCCAACTTCGTTGTTATCTTGGTGGATGTCACCTCTTAACCTAGAGGGTTTCTCAAGCTTTTTCAACCCAGAGAACCCAGGGCAGGCAAAACTCATCATGAACTTTTGTAAACTGAAGCTATATTTTGAGGAAAGATGAAACAAAAATAAACACTATGATTCTAACATGCCTTATGGAAGGCACATGAGATACTGACATATTTCTTTTCTCTGCCCCACAACATTTAACATTATGCCAGGCACCCAGAGGTTTCTTGACACAGACACACTGAATTACATTTAGTAAGGAATGATAAACTGACCAAACAGTGTTAGGCCATAAAAAATTAATTGAAATGCCCTCTAGGCTTTCAGGTAATAATCACCCAAGTTGTTAGTGACAAGAATTGTTAGCAAGTCCTGTCTTCTTTCCTACTCCCTCATTATTTAATGATCTCTTGGCATTTCTTGCTGGCAGAAAAGGTACATGGATGGATTATCAATGTTGCCATTTGTGTGCCACATAACCACAAGAGGGACTGGCTTTCTTTCTTTTCTTCTTTATTTTTTTAGAGACAGAGTCTCGCTCTGTTGTCCAGGCTGGAGTGCAGTGGTGCAATCATAACTCACCACAGCCTCTATCTCCTGGACTCAAGTGATCCTCCTGCCTCAGCTTCCCAAGTAGCTGGGACTACAGGCACATATCATCATGCCCGGCTAAGTTTAAAAATTTTTTTAGAGATGGGGTCCTTGCTGTGTTATTCAGGCTGGTCTCGAACTCTCGGCCTTAAGTGACCCTCATGCCTGAGGCTTCCGAAGGGCTGGGATTATAGGCGCACACCGAGCCAAGCTAGATTTCTGAAAATGTAATTAGACAATAGGCATTAAAGCCTTTAAAAAGCTTACACTCTGACTTTGTAGCTCCCTTTTAGAACCCAAAACAAATGATTAAACATTCAAAAACACTAAAAAATCTCAGGACAACATTATTAATAATGGCTTAAGGCCAGGTGTGGTGGCTCATGCCTGTAATCCCAGCACTTTGGGAGGCCGAGGCAGGGGGATCACCTGAGGTAAGGAGTTTGAGACCAGCCTGGCCAACATGGTGAAACCCCACCTCTACTAAAAATACAAAAATGAGCCAGGCGTGGCGGCGTGCACCTGTAATCCCAGCTACTTGGGAGGCTGAGGCAGGAGACTCGTTTGAACCTGGGAGGTGAAGGTTGCAGTGAGCTGAGATCATGCCACTGCACTGAGACAGAGCAAGACTGTCTCAAAATAAATAAATAAATAAAAATAATAAGAAGAATGGCTTAAAATCTAAAGTGAGACCCACCCCTTGAGTAGGTGCAGGACCTGTGACTTGCCTATAACCAACAGACTATGGCAAAGGTGATGGGATGTATGTGGTTCTAGGTACATGATTACATGCATCTGTAGCAAATGCCCAGGTAACACTCAGGCTGCCAACCCTCAAACCACACCTTAAGTAGCAATGCTCAAAATACTCAAGAAAAAAAAAAACAGTAAAGTGAAAGGGATGCACAAAATGATACCAATCTTATTACTTTAGTCTATGTTTGAAGACTTCCAACATTAATAAAAAAGAAGAAACACTTGAAATCTTCATTGAAGGAAACTAAGAGGTCGTTAATAAGGAATATTAGGCAGCCACACCAGAAATTAATGTTTTCCAAGCATATTTACTCATGTGTACTCAAAAGTTCCTTCTAAAATGCAGTATATCATGCAAGGAAAGACAGAAATCTTCCAGATTCCCTTTATATACTTATAATTCAGAAATCTTCCAGATTCCCTTTACATACTTATAATCCTTCCAATGCCAAAAGCTAACAAAAATAGTAGAAAACTGCAGACCTATCTCACTCATACTTATATATGTAAAAATCTTATAGAAATTTTAGCAAGTAAAATTCAGCATTTTGTTAAAAATCCCGGGATTGCAAAAACAATTCAATATTAGGCTATACAGTAATATAATTCATTATACTAGTAGTTCAACACAGAAAAACCACATGATCATCTTCATAGATACCCAAAGGTATCTGATATAGTTTAAAAGCCATCCCTGCTTTTAAAACAAAACAGAATGAGCAAATCAAACGCCATTTGGTAAATTCAGTTAATTAAACACATCCTTAACATTAAAAAAAAAAAAATCCACAACATTCTCCAGTCAATAGTCAACACTATTCTTACTGGCTAAAAAAATAGAGGGGCCGGACGTGGTGGCTCACGCCTGTAATCCCAGCACTTTGGGAGGCCGAAGTGGGTCGCTCACTTGAGGTCAGGAGTTCGAGGCCAGCCTGGTCAACGTGGTGAAACCCCGTCTCCACTAAAAAATACAAAAATTAGCCAGGCATGGTGGCAGGCACCTGTAATCCAAGCTACTTGGGAAGCTGAGGCAAGAGAATTGCTTCAACCTGGGAAGCAGAGGTTGCAATGAGCCAAGATTGCACCACTGCACTCCAGCCTGGGCAACAGAGTGAGACTCTGTCTCAAATAAATAAATAAATAAATAAATGCATTTCTATTTAGTTGGACTAACAGAAGAATTTCTACTCTTTCTTAAAAAACACTTTTCTACAAGTTATAATCAAAGCAACAAGGCCAGGATAAGAATTACTGGAGAATATATGAAAAATAATTAATTGTAAATAATATGACTGGTTTCTTGGAAACCTAAGAGAATCAACTAAAAATGAGATTAGGCCAGTTACCAAAAAATATATATATATATAAACAAACAGCTTTCCAAGGATACAGTAGTGAGTTAAATGTGCACACAGGGGCCAGAATGAATCCCAACCCATGTACTAGGTATCATTACCTCTCTGTTCTTAGTTTCTACCTGAATGTAGCATTTAGCATGTGGAATCTAGAACCAAGCCTGGCAGCAGCGTATCATACCAAGTATTAGCTATTATATGCCAGCAATCAGCAATTACAAAATTCAAGAGAAAGCATATTCTACTTATAATTATGAAATGCCTAGTGTTTCAGCTGGGTGCACTGGCTCACGCCTGTAATCTCAGCACATTGGAAGGCCAAGATGGGAGGATTACTTGAGGCCAAGAATTCGAGACCAGCCTGGGCAACATAAAGAGACCCCATCACTACAAAAAATACAATAGCCGGGCATGGCTGAAGCAGGAGGATTGCTTGAACTTGGGAGGTGGAGGCTGCAGTGAGCCATGATCGTACCAACGCACTCCAGCCTGGGTGACAGAGCAAGACCCTGTCTCCAAAAAATATATATATATATATACGTGTATATATATATATACGTGTATATATATTATATATATTATATATATATACACGTATATATATTATATATATTATATATATACGCATATATATTATATATATACGTATATATATATAATATATATATACATATATATATAAAATATATATATACGTATATATATAAAATATATATATACATATATATATAAAATATATATATACACATATATACATATATATTATATATATTCCTAATGATTAAATTATGAAATAGCATGCAGGACAGTGAGTAAAATAAACTTTTCTAAGAGACCTAAACAAAAACCAATCTACATGGAGAGCCATGATGGATTTATAAATATAATGTAATTCCAATGAGAGTTTACAATTCATCTGAACAAATAAACTGGCAACAGTAACCATAAAAATAATAGCAGGAGTTTGCAATTACTCAGCCCTTACTATGTGGCAGCTGTTGTTATAAAGTGCTTTGTAGCTTGGCAAAGATTCCAATGTCTGTCTAATCTTTACAACAAATCTCACAAAATAGATTGGATTATTACCTTCACTTTACAGATATGAAGGTGAGGCTGACAGCTGTTAAGTAAATTGCCTGAAGTTACACAGCTGGAGGGCAGCAAAGCTGGGGTGTGAACCCAAGCAGTAGTGAGGTGGGAGACTGGCAGGACTTGTTTTCTGGTCACAACCCTGCTGACCAAAACAGGTCCAGACAGGATGAAGTGAAGAAACCAGCAGGAACCAGCAGATGGTCACTAAGGTGATCCCAAGATAGCCTTCTTGTGCATTAGCATAAGACACTCCCACCAGGGCCATGACAGTTTACAAATGCCATGCAACAACCCAGAAGTTACTGCCCCTTTCCTAGAAAGTTCTAAATAACACACCCCTTTATTTGCATTGGCCTGCCCCTTAATTTGCATGTAAATATGTGCATAAATACAGTTGCCAGGAGCCCATACAATGCCCATTCTGGGTGCGCTGCCTATGAGTTAGCCCTGCTCTGCAAGGAGCTGTACCCTTCAATAAAAGATTCCCGTCTAACACCACTGGCTTGCCCTTGAATTCTTTACTGGACAAAGCCAAAAACCCTCCCAAGCTAAGCCCCAGTTTTGGGGCTCACCTGTCATGCAACAGTAGGAACCAGAATAGGCTCTCTCTCACTTTGCTAAATCTTCTGAAACTGTGAGATGAAACACAAAGAGAAATGTACACAAAACATGAATGTATAACTCCAGGGATTATCACAAAATGCCCATCACCCAGACACCCTTCTGCTCCTCCCAGTGAATATCCACTCCCTTCACCTGACTAATATCTAATATCCTGACTTTAACATAATAGTCTAGTTTTTGCCTGTGTTTGGAATTTACGTCAGTGGAATCATACATTATTTTGTGTTTGGTGTCTATCACTCAACACTGTGTTTATAAAATTCACCTATGTTGCTCCATGTTTAGGTTTGTTCATTTTCATTATCTAGT
The DNA here is from genome assembly GCF_000001405.40 of Homo sapiens. Classification (NCBI taxonomy): domain Eukaryota; kingdom Metazoa; phylum Chordata; class Mammalia; order Primates; family Hominidae; genus Homo; species Homo sapiens. The sequence continues at coordinate 72,633,768 of NC_000007.14, forward strand.
ATTGGGTTGCATGAATATACAACAAGTTATTCAACCATTCCCTAAACATTTGGATTATGTCCAGGTTTTAGCTATTATAAAACAATGTGGTTATCTCTTTGAACACCAGAGTTTAGTTTTGCCTGTTTAAGGAAATTTTATAAAATGCTACTGGGACATACATTCTTTTGTGTCTGGCTTCTTTCAGTGAATTCGATGTTTGCAAGATTCATTCATGCTGTTGATGTAACTGGAGCTCCAGTGGCCCAGTAGAGTGCATGGTACTTATGTGTCACCATAAATACATCTTTATGGCCACATTGTATGAACACACTACTAGCGAACGATTTTAACCCCCTACTTTGGGTTTCTTAGAAAATGCTGCTGCCATGAGTGCTACTGTACTCATCTCTCTCTCCCTCTCCCCACCTCCTTTTTTTTTTCTGGCTTGAGATAGGGTCTGGCTCCACCACTCAGGCTGGAGTGCAGTGGCATAAGCACGGCCCACTACAGCCTCAACCTCCCAGTCTCAAGGGATCCTCCTGTCTCAGCCTCCTGAGTAGCTGGGACTACAGGCACATGCTGCCACTCCTAGCTTTTTTTTTTTTTCTTTTTTTTTTTCTGTAGAGACAGGCTCTCACTTTGTTGCCCAGGCTGGTCTCGAACTCTTGGGCTCAAGCAATCCTCTTGCCTTGGCCTCCCAAAGTGCTAGGATTACAGGCATGAGCCAACGTGCCCAGCTGTACTTGTCTCTTGATGCACAAGAACACACATTTTCTAGGATCTACCTAAATATGGACATGCTGGGTCATGGGGGATATGTATACATTCGACCTTAGCAGATATTGGCAATCTGATTGCCAAAGACATTTTGCCACACTTTCACCCACGTTGTATCAGAGTTTTGGTTGGTTGTTATCTTCAACAACACTTAGTGTTGCTAGTTTTCACCACTTTTGCATTGTTTTGGTTTTGCATCTGCCTGCAGATGTAAGCAAGCTGAGTTCATATGTTTTCTGGCTATCTGTATCTCTGTTTTTGTGAAGTACTGGTTCAAATGTCTTGAATATGTCTCTGTTGGAATATTTGTCTTTTTTCCAACTGATTTTCAATAAATTATTTGCATTTGCTGGAAAGAAAAGCTCTGTTATAAACGTATTAGAAATAATTTCATCCACTTTATGGCTTCCTTTTTTTCACAATGTCTTCTGATCAATAAGAATTCCTAACTTTCATACATTTCCACTTTCTTTCCTTATTAGCGTTTCTTTCATATTAGTGTTTCTTATGTCTCTTTAAAGGATCATTCCATGCTATCAAGAGCATGAAGATAAGCTCTTACATTTTTTTCTAAAGTTTTATCATATTGCCACTCACATTTGTGTCAAAAATCCACCAAAACTGACTTTTGCGTGTGGTGTTGAGAAGTTAAACTTATTTAACATATGGATAGTCCACTGTAATAAATATGATAGAATCATTGTCTATGCATGTGAGGGTCTCCTTCTGGTTTTTTCTATTCTGTTCCACTGATCTAATTGTTTCTCATTGTCTCAATATCACACTTTTAATTACTGTTGCTTTACACTAAGACTTGATATCCAATAGAGACGGTTCTCAACCAGGAGCGATTCTGCACCGCAGGGGACAATTAGCAACATCTTGAGAAAATTTTTTGGTTTTCACAAATGGGGGCTGCTACTGACATCTAGTGGGTAAAGGCCAGGGCTGCTGCTGAATATCCTACAATGCACGGGACAGTCTCCCCAACCCTTTTCCTGAAAAGAACTATCCAGTCTAAAATGTCGATGGTGCCAACGTTGAAAAATCCTACAGTGGAGCAAGTTCTCTTATGTCGTCCTTCTGAAAGAGTATGGTGGCCATTCTTGGCCCTTTGCATATCCATGTACATTTTAGAATCAGCTTACTAATTTCCATAAACGTATACAACCCTTTATGATTCTGCCTGATATGGCATTGAATCTATAAGCCAGTGTTGCTCAATAGAAATATAAGTTCACAGGTGAAATTTTTAAAAATGTATTTTAACTTAACATATCCTCAAAATTATCAACTCAAGAAGAAATCAATATTTAAATATTGGGATACCTGACATTCTTTTTACCAGACTAAGTCTTTGAATTCCATCTCTTCTTGGCCTTTTGGCTAAGATCAAGTGTAGTCTTTGAATTCCAATGCGCAGCACGGCTCAATTCAGGGTAGCCATGTTTCAAGTACTCAATGGTCACATGTAGCTAGTGGCTACCATAATTAAATATAATCAGTGTATGGAGAAATGATACTTTTACAACCCTGAATCTGCCAAAATAATTACCTTTATTTAGATCCTTTAAAATTTCTCTCAATGATATTTTATAGTTTTCAATATAAAGGTCAAAAACATATTTCCATAGATTTATTCCTAGGTAATATACTTTTGATGCTTTGTTATGGTACTATCTTTTCTATTTTTCCTCTTTTAACTAATATTTAACTGATATTTTAATAGCTGGTATACAGAAATATAACTGATTTTTGTAAGCTGACTGTGTATCTATATAGCAGTCTTGTAAAATACATTTATTAAAGCGAATAATTACAAATTTTGGAAAGGATTGTTTATGTACACATTTATTTACTAAAAATGACATCTTCCTTTCCAATCATAACTTTTTCCCCTTTTTCTTGTCTTTTAGCACCAGCCAGAACTTTGATTCCATGTTAAATGGAAGTGGTGACAAATATAGTGGGTATGCTTGTCTTATTCTGCACAGTAAGATTTTAAACATTTACTCAAGAAGTATGACTTTTATGGGTAAATATCTTTATCAGATTAGGAAGTTTCCTTCTAATCCTAATTGGCTACAAGATTTTAATCATAAATAAATATTGATTTCTGTCAAATTCTTTTTATGCATCTATTAACCTTATCCTACCAGCTTTCTTTTTTATTATGACATCATAAATAGGTTGATTTTTACACGTTAAACAAAACTCGCATTCTTAGAATAAAGCCAGTTTTTCATGGTTTTATAGACTGCTGTATTTAGTTTGCTGACCTTTTCTTTAAAATAGTTGCTTCTATGCTTATGAGTAAAAATCGCTTTTGTCTTATTCTTCTTAGAATTTGGTATAAATATTCTGAACTGGCTGGACGCAGTGGCTTATGCCTGTAATCCCAGCACTTTCGGAGGCTGAGGCAGGTGGATCACCTGAGGTTGGGAGTTTGAGACCAGCCTCACCAACATGGAGAAACCCCATCTCTACTAAAAATACAAAATTAGCTGGGCGTGATTGAGCCCAGGAGGTGGAGGTTGCAGTGAGCTGAGATCACGCCATCGCACTCCAGCCTGGGCAATAAGAGCAAAACTCCATCTCAAAAAAAAATTATTCTGAACTAATGAAGTGAGATGGAAAGTGCTACTATTCCTCTCTGGAATAGTTGTGTAGGGTTGGTGTTAGTTCTCCTGATGACTGGTATCATCAAGAATTGGTATAATTCAACGATGAAATCATCTGGGCCTGGAGTTTCCTTTGGACGAGGTTTTAAATTTAAAAAAGCAATTTATTTAACAATTATAAGTCCATGTAGATCATTTCATCTAGTATTAATTTTCTTAAGCTTCATTTTCTAGGAATTTGTGTATTTCATCTAAATTCCCAAATTAATTGGCATAAAGTAATTCAAAATATCCTATCTTTTTAATGTCTATAGGATCTATAGTGATGTTTCATTTTCATTTCTAACATTACTTATTTGTACCATCTCTCATTTTATTGATTAAACTTGCCAGGTAATCATCAGTTTTGTAAGATTTTTTGAATAACCAACTTTCGCTTTTTTATAATCCTATTTTATGGATATTTTTTATTTCCTTAATTTCTGCTCTTTTTGTTTCCTTCCAAGTACTTACTCTATGTTTAATCTACTGCTCTTTTCTTTTTAAAAAAAAAAAAAAACATTGTGGGTACCAATTAACTTCTTAATATATGCATTTAGCTTATTGATTTTTAACCTATTTCCTTTACTAAGTAGGCATTTTGTCTTCTTCAAAACTTTTTTTTTCTCCTTCACTCTTGAAAAATATTTTCATTGGGAACAGACTTCTAGATTGGCAGCTCTTGGCAAATTTCAGCCCTTTGAGGCTCCATGGTTTGTGCTCTCATTTCTGTTGTGCAATCAAGTACTGGCCTATTGTTGCTCTTTTGAAAGTAATCTCTCTTTATCTCTGCCTGCTTTTAAAAATTTCATAAAATGTTTTTATTTATCCTGTTTGGGTTTATGTTTTCCTGTATTGCCCCAAATTTCTACAGTAAATGAGTAAAACTTTTGTAATGGGGGAAAAAAACACATGCAGAAATGTTAATCTGATAAGCAGCATAATGGTAAATTCAGAATATCCCAAGAGCATAGGGGAAGGGGGTCCTAATGTGACAAATGTCCCAAACAGTCTAACTACAGACATCTTGGTTATCAAACAAAAGACCAGCACTGTGCAATAGAGCTTCTCACAGTTCTCCACTAAAATACTCCCAGGAAAACCATTTGCCATTTGTATGTAAGCAAACAAAATGGGTTGTTTGTCTGCAACCCACCTGTAGGTAAGGCTGATTCAACATTTGAAAATCAGTTAATGTAATCCATCACATCAACAAGATAAAGAAGGAAAATCACGTGATTATATCAATAGATGCCAAAAAGCATATGACACCATTCACCACCCATTCATAATAAAAACTCTCAGCAAACTAGGAAAATTTTCTCAACTTAATAAGGATATCTACAAAAAACCTACAGCTAACATCATACTTAATGGCAAGAACCTGGAAGCTTTCCCATTAATATCAGGAGCAAAGCAAGGATGTCTTCTCTCACCACTGCTTTTCAACATGGTACTGGAAGTCCTAATCAATGCAGTAAGACAAGACAGGGGAATACAAAGAAAACAGATTTGGAAGAAAGAAATAAAACGGTCTTTGTTTAGAGATAGCATGATTATCTATGTAGAAAATCCACTAATCAATCTTAACAACCAGATGTTGTGTGCCACTTGATTGATGCACTAGGGAACAGTACAGCAACAATTATTAAGTATTCTTGCCAAAAACTGAATATATCGTCAATCGAGCCTTTAGTTGTAACTACCATTTTACAGGAATTACAAAGAAACACAGACTATATTAAAAGATACCAAAAGGACTCAATCAGCCAAATTTGGGATGTTGCAAATTCTAACGACAAATGACCCACCTTCTTCCACAAATAAGTAGCACACAAGAAAGGGAAACAGGATTGGAGCAATCACATTACAAGAAGTATAAACAAAGTACAATGTGAGAATCTTGTTTAGATATTACTCTGAGAAAAAAAGTTATAAAAACACATTCTTTTGGAAACTATCAGAGAAAATGAGATACATTTGAATTTTCAGGAAATGCATTAAAATGCATTGTTAATTGTATTAGGAGTGATAATGGTATTGTGTTTATTTTTTTAAATTTTTTTTAAATTTTTTGTTTTTTTGAGACAGGGTTTCACTCTGTCACTCAGGCTGGAGTGCACTGGTGCATCACCATACCCAGTTAATTTTTTTACTTTTTGTAGAGACAGGGTCTCATTATGTTGCCCAGGCTGGTCTTGAACCCCTGGACTCAAGTGATCCTCCTACCTTGAACTCCCAAAGTGCTGGGATTACAGGTGTGAGCCACCACATCCAGCTTGTTTGTTTTTTAAAAAGTCCTTCAGCTGGAAGAAGAGACATAGGAAAGACTGAAGAGAAAATTTGTGGTTAAATCATGAATACCGACTGTATGAAACAAGAATGGTAAGGTCTTAGCTGGGCACAGTGGCTCATGCCTATAACCCCAGCACTCTGGGAGGCCGAGGTGAGCAGATCCCCTGAGGTCAGGAGTTCAAGACCAGCCTGGCCAACATGGTGAAATGCAGTTTCTACTAAAAATACAAAAAAAATAGCCAGGCGTGGTGGCACGCACCTGTAATCCCAGCTACTCGGGAGGCTCAGGCAGGAGAATCACTTGAACTCAGGAGGCAGAGGCTGCAGTGAGCTGAGATTGGGCCGCTGTACTCCAGCCTGGGCAACAGAGTGAGACTCCATCTCAAAAAAAAAAAAAAAAGAATGGTAAGGTCATGTGAGGTTCAAACAATATGCAAAAGTAAAATGTACAACAAAAACAGCATAAAAGTTGGGATGGAGTTAATGGAGTTAAGTATTCTAAGTGCTATTGCTTATAAAATGATATAAACGTTAATTTACATTGACTTTAATAAGTCAAGCATGCCTGCGTCAATCACGAGGGCAACAACTAAAAGAACAATAATAAAAAAATAAATATTAAAAACCAACAGAATGGAAAACTTATAATAAAATTCCTTAGTTAAAAACAAAAGAAAGCAAAAAAATAGAGAAAAAGACAGCTGAAAAGGGGAGGAAAATAATGCAAATAATTAGATGCTAAATTTAAATTCAACTATATCAATTATCGTATTTCATGCAAACAGATAAACACTCAAAAAGATGAAAATTTTCCAAATGTTTAAGAAAACAAACCCAATTACATGTTATTAAAAAGTCCTTCAGATGGAAGCAGAGACACACGAAAGACTAAAGAGAAAATTTTTGGGTAAATCATGAATACTGACTGCATGACACAAAAATGGTAATGTCTTGTGGAGATATAACTTAAATATAAAGATACAAAAAAGGCTGAAAATAAAAACAAAAAGAAAAAAGTTGTACTATGCAAGCACTGACCTAAAAAAAAAAACTAGTGTTGCTTTACTAGTATTAGACAGACTTTAAGATGAGAAGGTGAGAAGGGCATTATAAAAAGGCCGATTCACCAAAAATATGTAACAATTCTTAACTAGTATAAACAATATACTAGTACCTAACAATATAGCATCAATATGAAGTAACAATTGACATAACTAAAATGAGAAATTAACATAGCCATAGTCACAATGGAACATTTGTACACATCTCTCTCAGTAACCAATAACATAAGACAAAAGAACTTTCTCCGTAACTAACAATTAAAGACAAAGGAGTAAAAGCACAGAACATATGAACGACATGATTAACTTAACTCTCCTCCAAGACCTAGCAAAAGAAGAGTAAATTAAACCAACAGGGTTAGGAAAGAGAAACAAAGACTAGAACAGAGGTAAAAGAAATAGAGAACAGAAAAACAACTGGGGAGAACAAAGAAACCAAAAGTCTGTTCTATGAAAAGATCAACTAAATGGACCCTTAGCTAGACTAAGAAAAAGAAGACACAGATAACTAAAATCAGAAATGAAAGTGGAGATAATACTACTAACCTCACACAAATAAAAGGAATTATAAGAAAATACTATGAACAACTATATACCAAAAAAAGTGGATAACCTAAATTAAATGGACAAATTCTTAGAAATATGTAAATTACCAAAAATGACTCAAGGAGAAATGGACAATCGGAACAGACCTACAAGTCAAGAGATTGAACAATCAAAAAACTCCCAACAAATAAAAGCTTAAGAGCAGATGGCTTCATTGCCAAACATTTTAAGAAGAATATTCTCAAACTCTTCCAAAAAAAATAGAAGAGGAAACACTTCACACCTCCTTCTCCGAGGCCAGCATTATCTTCATAACAAACCAGAAAAAGACATCACCAGAAAAGAAAACTATAATCCAATCCCTTATGATGTAGAAATTCTCAGCAGAATACTACCAAACCAAATACAACATCATATTAAAATATTTTACATTATTACCAAGTGGGATTTATTCCAGGAATGAAAGCAAGTCACATAATACATGAATCCATTTATATGAAATTTCCAGAACAGCTATATCCATAGTAACAGAAAACAGATTGGTGGTTATAAGGGACTGGTTTACGAGGTATGGGGAGTAACTGCTTAATGGGTACAGGATTTATGTTGGAGTAATAAAAATGTTTAGGAACTAGATAAAGGTGATAATTACACAAGACTGTAAATGTATGAAATGCCACTTCGTTGTTCATGTTAAAACAGTTCATTTTATGTTACGTGAATGCTACCTCAATAAAAAATTTTAAATCCCTGTTAAAGTTCCAGCTGCCTGTTTTGCAGGCTTTAAAAGCTGATCCCAAAATGCATATGGAAATGCATAGGAACCCAAAGACCCAAAATAATTTGAAAAAGAAGAAAGAAGATTCAAACACTGTGATTTCAAAACGTACTCAAAGCTATGTTAATCAAGATTATGTGGTACCACCATAAGGATAAAAGTGAAGATCAAAGGAACAGAACTGGACAGTCCACAAATAAAACCCATACACTTAGCGGCCAATTGATTTTGACAAGGGTACAAAGACAATTCAATGGGGAAAAAATAGTCTTTTCAACACATGGTACTGAGACAACTAGTTATTCACAGGCAAATGAACCTCTCACATTGTCCACCAAAATTAACTCAAAACTGCTCAAAGAGCTAAAACAATAAAACTCTTGGATGAAAACATAAGGTAAATCTCTGTCACCTTGCATTAGGCAATTAGATATGACACCAAAAACATAAGCAACAGAAGGAGGAAAAAAAGATACAATGGACTTTTCAAAGTTAAAACTTTTTGTGCTTCAAGTTGGCAGCTCCTGAAAAAGTTAAATATAGAATTACTATATGACCCAGTAATTTTACTCGTAAGTGTGAACTGAAACATATATTCACACTAAAACCTGTGCATGAATATTCCCAGCAGTATTACTCATAACAGCCAAAAGCTGGAAACAATGCCAACGTCCATCAGCTGAAGAACGGACAAAGAAAATATAGTACATATCCATCCAAGAGAATAGTATTCAGCAAAAAAGCTGAAGTTCTAGGCTGGGCGCAGTGGCTCACGCCTGTAATCCCAGCACTTTGGGAGGCCAAGGCAGGTGGATCACAAGGTCAGCAGTTCGAGACCAGCCTGGCCAATATGGTGAAACTCCATCTCTACTAAAAATACAAAAATTAGCTCGGTGTGGTGGAGGGTGCCTGTAGTCCCAGCTACTCAGGAGGCTGAGGCAGGAGAATCATTTGAACCCGGGAGACAGAAGTTGCAGTGAGCCAAGATCACACCACTGCACTCCAGCCTGGGGAATAGAGCGAGACTCCGTCTCAAAAAAAAAGATGAAGTTCTGATTCATGCTATAACACGCGCTAACTTGGAAAACATTATACTAACTGTAAGAAGACAGACACTATTGGAAGTTCTGAAATTAAATAATCCACATGATCACACTGTTTTGTAAATAAACTAAAAGCCACTAAATTATATACTTTAAAAAGTCATTTTTATGCAAAGTAAATTATTTCTTAATTTTAAAATGGAAAGGATGAGCATCTATAATTTACTATGTACAAGATGTTAAAAAGTAAGCAATAATATAAATATAAGAAAAAAGGAAACAAAAGAACAGAAATTAATAGAAGAAATGCCATAAAATAAGGATGGCAAGTATTCCAAAAATTACTTGTAAAAAAATTTAACAAGAGTTACAAATTAATGGAAAGAATAAGAAACAGGCCGGCCACAGTGCTCACGGCTGTAATCCCAGCAGTTTGGGAGGCCGATGTGGGCGGATCACCTAAGGTCAGGAGTTCGAGACCAGCCTGATCAACACTGTGAAACCTCGTCTTTACTAAAAATTCAAAAATTAGCCAGGCATGGTGTTGCATGCCTGTAGTCCCAGCTACTCGGGAGGCTGAGGCAGGAGAACCGCTTGAACCTGGGAGGCGGAGGTGGCAGTCAGCCAAGATCGCAACACTGCACTCCAGCCTGGGCAACAGAGCCAGACTCCATCTTAAAAGAAAAAAAGAAAAAAAAAAGAATAAGAAATAAAAATATGCATACTATTATTAGGAATGAGGTACTATTTGGGCTTATCAAATTGGCATTTGATATTTGATATTTGGCATTTGAATATTAGGGGCAGTTACACAAAGTCATTTTGAAAATTTAAATGAAATGTACAAAGTCTTAAAGAAAACACAACTTAATAAAATTGATAAACAGAAAATCTAAATGGTCCTACAATTATTTATGGTGTTTGATTTGAAATACTAAACTCTTCCAGAGAACAGAAAAAGAGGCCCTATTCTCCTTACTCATTTTATGAGGTCACCATAATACTGATATTGAAACTTAAAGTCATTAAAAGAAAGAAAATGACAGTTCAGCATCTCTCATGAACAGAAATGGAAACATCTTTTAAATAATAGTATACAAAAGAATCCCAAGATACACAAAAAAGATAATACATAGTAACCAAGATGAGTTTACTGCATGAATAGAATTTGGTTTGTTATTTGAAAATCAACGCAATTCACCATATTAGCAGAATAAAGGAAATCATATAATCTCAATAGACGCAAAAAAATGATATGATAAAAACCCAATAGCCATTGATAATAGATAGTCACATAAAGCTAGGAATAAAAGGAAATTTCTTCAGTATGGTGGAGTATTTATAAAAAATCAACAGTAGGTAGGGGGCTGGGGCTCACACCTATAATCCCAACACTTTGGGAGGTTGACGTGGGCGGATCACAAGGTCAGGAGTTCGAGACCAGCCTGGCCAAGATGGTGAAGCCCTGTCTCTACTAAAAATACAAAAATGAGCTGGGCGTGGTGGTGGGTACCTATAATCCCAGCTACTTGGGAGGCTGAGGCAGAAGAATCGCTTGAACTCAGGAGGCAGAGGTTGCAGTAAAATGAGATCGTGCTACTGCACTCCAGCCCGGGCGACAGAGTGAGACTCCGTCTCAATCAATCAATAAATATAAATAAATAAAAACAAATAAAAACAGACCCAAACATGTAAGGATGCTTAATTTATGACAAAACTGACACTGCAGAACAGGGCAGGAAAGGATTCTTTTTTAAAAAAATAAACAGCATTGAATCAAATGGATACCCATTGCAGTGGGGAAAAAAATCCCCACTTTAATGACTTTAAAAAAATTACAGACTTCAAAATGTGAAAGGAAGGAAAAACAACACAATGTCTAGAAAATTACATAAGAAACTCTCTTCATGACTTTCCTTTTTTTTTTTTTTTTTTTTTGAGACAGAGTCTCTCTGTTACCCAGGCTGGAGTGCAGTGCCGCGATCTCGGCTCACTGCAACCTCTGCCTCCCGGGTTCAAGCGATTCTCCTGCCTCAGCCTCCCAAGTAGCTGGGACTACAGGCGTGTGCCACCAGGCCCGGCTAATTTTTTGTATTTTTAGTAGAGATGCGGTTTCACCGTGTTAGCCAGGATGGTCTTGATCTCCTGAACTCATGATCCACCCACCTCGGCCTCCCAAAGAGCTGGGATTACAGGCGTGAGCCGCCGCGCCCAGCCATGACTTTCTTAAACAGGATAAAATGCACTCACCAGATAAAGACACCTGATAAACTGACTACATTGAAATTGGCTACTTCTTATCAAAAGTCATGAGGCAATGGAGAGAGAAGATATAGAGCAGAAAGGGACATTTACTCCTATCTAGAATACATTTAAAAATCCTATAAACCAATAAGAAAAAGACAATGCAAAAGAAACATTGACCAAAGCCTTGAATGTTCTTATATGGCCTTGCGATTGTCTGGCACTATCTACTAATGATGACTGAACGCAGAACACCCAATGAGGCAGCAATTCCACTTCCAAATACACAGTGAACATCAGTTAGTCCATGTGTATATCAAAAAACATGTACAGAAAGGTTATTAGTGCAATTATTCATCATAGCCCCAACCAGGATGCAATGTGAATATCCCTCAATAGTGGAAGGAATAAATCGTGGCATACTCATACATTGACATATAGCAATGAAAATGGGTGAATTACAGCTGCACACATCATGGATGAATCTAACATACATAAAGAAAAAACACATATATTCACAAAAGAATTTAAATTGTTAGGATTCCACAACGTTCAAAACCAGGCAAATCTACCTTACGGTGTTAGCAATCAAAATAGCAATTATTTTTAGAGAGGGGAGGGGCTGATGACCAGGAAAGAACTCTGAAGGTGCTATTAACATTCTATTTCTTGAGCTATTTGCTGGCTGTGCTCATTTTGTAATAATTCATCCAGCAGCTCATGTAAGACCTGTGCCCTTTTCTGTGTGTATGGTATACTCCAATTAAAAAACTTATTAAAAATCATGTATATATGTATTATATATAATTATATATTATATATATTACATATGTTATATGTTATATATATTATATATATAAAGTACTGGGAGGAGGCATCCAAATTTTAAAAGTCTTTTCGTTTGTTTTTTGTTGAGAGGTTCACGCTCTGTCACACAGGCTGGAGAGCAGTGGCACAATCATAGCTCACTGTACCTGGAATTCAAACTCCTGGGCTCCTCAAAAGATTCTCCTACCTCAGCCTCCTGAGTAGCTGGGACTACAGGTGCACACCACCATGTCCAGCTTATTTTTTTATTTTTAATTTTTTTGTAGAGATGGGGTGTCGCTATATTGCCAGGCTGGTCTCAAACTCCTGGCCTCAAGTGATCCGCACACCTTGGCCTCCCAAAGTGTTGGGATTACAGGCATAAGCCACTGTGCCTGGCCTAAAAAGTCTTTATTTTATTTTATTTTTGAGACAGGGTCTCATTCTGTTGTGCAGGCTGGAGTGCAGTGGCACGATCTTGGCTCACTGCAGCCTTCACCTCCCTGGCTCAAGTGATCCTCCTGCCTCAGCCCCCCAAGCAGCTGGGACTACAGGTGTGTGCCACCGCACCTGGCTAATTTTTGTAATTTTTCTGTAGAGACGAGGTTTTGCTATGTTGCCCAGGCTGGTCTCAAATACCTGAGCTCAAGCGATCTGCCTGCCTCGGCCTCCCAGAGTGCTGGGATTACAGGTGTGAGCCACCACGCCTGGCCCTAAAAAGTCTTTATATGTTGTATACGGAAGTATTCACGGATAAAATGATATTATGTCTGTTATTAGATTTTAAATATTCCAATGCCTTCCCTACTGCCAAAACTGGGAAGATAGACAAAATCAGAACTGTAGAATGCTGATGGTTGTCAAAGCTAAGATGATGGCTACAAGGAATTGGTTATATTATTCTCTCTCCTCTTGAGTATTATAAAAATCCACAATAAAAAGTTTAAAAATATATAGTCATGAGTTAGAGTTCTGTTGCTTCTAATTAGGCAGCTTTCAGTGCTACATAGACTGGATGAGGTTATTATAACCCAGGACTACAGCTTTTAATTTCAATGATTTATCTTGACAGTTGCAATTCAAGACATACTGTAGTTGAGGCTGTGTCAAAACAAGATAAAATGGTCTCCTAAAATATGGTACTGACTTACTGGTAATCAAAGAAATGCAAATTGAAGCAGTAATGAGGTACTATTTGGGCTTATCAAATTGGCAAAGATTTTTTTTAAACAGCAATATTCAGTGCTGCCTAGAGTTTAGCACGACAGGCATATTTGTTCGTTGACGGTGGGAGTGTAATTCAGTACCAACGTTTAGAAAAGTAACATGGCAAGATGATTAAAGAATCTGAAAAATATTCAAATCTGTTGACCTAGTAATTGCATTTCTAAAAATGTAGCCTATGGACATGATGAAAATTATGAACAAAGACTGATGAATAAGCATGTTTATTCTAGCTTTATAATAATGAGACATTACAAACTCAAGATGATGACAAGATGTTCAATCCCAAGGAATGGCTAGATGATTTATGATATCACCCTTTAGCTAACACTAAAGATGTTATTTCAGAACAATGGTCACGAAACCCAACATATCTGAGGAACATCCTCCTAACAATAGCAGGGTCAATCTAGATGTGACTCTCAGAAAGAGGGAGACTTATGTTTTTGTACCTCGTTCCCATTGAGAATAACTGTTTTAGAGGAGTATTTGTTGACAAGGGGTAACTTTTTTTTTTTTTGAGACAGTTTTGCTCTGTCGCCCAGGCTGGAATGTAATGGTGCCATCATAGCTCACTGCAGCCTCGACTTCCCAGGCTCAAACCATCCTCCCACCTCAGCCTCCCGAGTAGCTGGAACTACAGGCACATGCCATCACATCCAGCCAATTTTTTTTGTATTTTTTAGTAGAGATGTTTCGCTATGTTGCCCAGGCTTGTCTCGAACTCCTGACCTCAAGTGATCCACCCACCTCGGCCTCCCAAAATGCTGGGATTACAGGCCTTAGCTACAACACCTGGCTGCAAGGAGTAATTTTTATGTTACAATGATGAATTTTTTAAAAGCTGAAAACAAACTTATACATGCAGCATGGCATTAATAATATAAATATATCTACACCAAAAAAATTAAGGTTTAGAAAGAAATACAACAAAAGTTTTGGGATCAGAAAACATGTATACATATACACTTTTTAATAGTATTGATACTTAAGATGAGATTGATTGGGTTTAACAGTCTCTTGATATGCCTGATCTCCGCTATCCATTACAGTAGATACTTAAAACTCCCCTGCTCTGCCAGGCGTGGTGGTTTACGCTTGTAATCCCAGCACTTTGGGGGACTAAGGTGGGCAGATCATCTGAGGTCAGGAGTTTGAGACCAGCCTGGCCAACATGGTGAAACCCCATCTCTACTAAAAATACAAAAATTAGCTGGACTTGGTAGCGCATGCCTGTAAACTCAGCTACTCGGAAGGCTGAGGCATGAGAATCACTTGAACCCAGGAGGCGGAGGTTGCAGAGAGCTGAGATCACACCACTGTACTCCAGCCTGAGCGACAGAGCAAGACTCTGTCTCAGAAAAAAAAAAAAAAAAAAAATTCTCCTGCTTAAAGATCAGAAATTTGGTAGAGAGTAGAAAAGACATGCCTTGAGTTCAGTAGAACCTAAGAAGATCATGCACATCAACTGAATCGTAGGACAGTGTGGCCAGAGTTTGAAGAGTCATGTACTCTACAGGTTACTTACAACAGGAAAGAGAAAAACAGAGCTTGACATCCACCCGGCAACTTGGTTAGTGTGCAGGAAGATATCACCTGTGTGAAGGAGTAAGCGGAGGGTGAAACCACAAGAAGAGATGAGTGCAAGAAAGCTGAGAGGCGCAAGATGCACACAGAAGAGGCTCAGAGCACTGGCAGCAGAATGTGAAAAAGAGGTACTGTAAGCAAAGTAACCATGTAATGGCAGAAATAAAATTCCCACTGGAATTTTAGTGTAAATACTACTGTGGTATTTACACTTTGGGAAAATCAAATGAGTAGTATGGAGCAATGTTTCCTCATCCTTTGGAGGTTGGGAGAAATTAGGTGAGGGTGCTTACTGACATTTTGAACAAGACAGTCCATAGTATGAAAATGACATGTGCCCTGAGAAGCAGAACGCAGAAATTTACAACATGGGAATTGTATGGAAAAGGACAAAGAAATGAGAATACTCAAAGAACGAATGACTAGTAAGGAATACAAAATGTAAAGAGCTGAAGACAAAATAGCTGAAAGAGAATAAATAAGTGGTAAGGTTTCTAGAGAAAGAAAGATGCAACTATAAAATCCTAAGGGCTACTCTATATACTTTCCATCTGAGAGAAGAGCTTTCTGAAAAATCTAAAACCACCACCACAAGATGAACAAGAGAGGTGCCCTATCTACAGAATACTAAACAGAAATAAGAGAAACAATGTCATAAAAATCAATCAGCAGAAGATCATGTTATTGCCTAAACCAGGATGTCATCTCAGACTCCCATGACTTCAAGCAACGTACTGACTTGGATGTCCGAGGATACTGACAAAAGTAAAATCTCTGGTAATGTTCCTGCACACAAAATCTATCCATCACTCCTGCATCAAATACAAATGAATAGAAATAATTGGACTCCATGTGTGCAGAAGACAGGGTATGAGAAGGATATTTAAGACAGCCAAATTATGCTTCACAAAACGACTGAGACAAAGTAAATTTTAAAGGAATATAGGGCAGCCCAAACTATACATCTCTAAAATCAATAAGCCCTAGAGCAGGTCTATTTCTCCAGAAATATTACTTGTACCAATCTACAAGTTCCCAAAGTCCCAAATATTACAGCAAATACTCCCTCCCTGGAAAATTAATCATTCAAATGCAAAAACTCTACAGTCCAGGGATGTTCAGAATTTTTATTTTTTGAGACAGAGTCTTGCTCTGTCGCCCAGACTGGAGTGCAGCGGTGCAATCTTGGCTCAGTGCAAGCTCTGCCTGCCAGGTTCATGCCATTCTCCTGCCTCAGCCTCATGAGTAGCTGGGACTACAGGCACCCGCCACCATGCCTGGCCAATTTTTTTTGTTGGTTTTTTTTTTTTTTTTTGGTATTTTTAATAAAGACGGGGTTTCACCGTGTTAGCCAGGATGGTCTCGATCTCCTGAACTCGTGATCCACCCACCTTGGCCTCCCAAAGTGCTGGGATTACAGGAGTGAGCCACCGCGCCTAGTCCAGAATGTTTTTAACCCATCAATTAACCTCCCTGTGCCGAAGCTTGGTCTTGCAAAACAACAAAAACAAAAACCAGACTCATTAGAAGGTGACTCAGTCTGTGAAGTAAGCCCATAAAGTTTCCTCCCTGGAAAGCTTATTAGTGACAAGATGTGCCTGGGGGTACAGCACTCTACTTTATGTCTGACACATAAGAAAGTGAATCTGGAATGATAGGAAGATGAGCCCAGAAAGAAGAGTAGACCACACTTACACTAACATTAGGATGCCAAAAATTAAGCCTTCCATGCAAAATCCTTCTTTATCTAATGTGCATTATTTACTAAATAATATATATATAATGGACACATGGTCAAATAAGTGCTATAAATTCATCTCCTGAGACATCCCCACTGCAACACAGATAAAATGAAAATCAAATAAAGCTGGTTAAAACATACAATGAAACAAGCTCCTGGCCAGGAATTGGACCTAGCTGCCTGTTAGAGCACACATGCATGCAAAAATAACACCTACTCAAGATGAGCCTGTAAACCAAAATTCCAAAAGATACGTGGTAATCTAACATTTCAGAAAGAGAGCCAACCTAATCTACAATTAGAACATAGGCTTTAGTGGAAGAAAATTAAAGTGACAGGACAGGCAATTTTAAAATAAATGGAAGACATGGCTTCATAAAGATGGCAACTTTTCCATATTAACCTACAAATTCAATGCATTCTAATCAATATCTCAAAGTCGTATGTGTGTGAAAACAAAAAACTGATTCTAAAATAAATATGAAAATGTAATTAAAGGCTAAGCACAGGCAAGACCATTTTGGAAAAAAACAATTTTGAAGAACATAGCATGTCTTTTATGCTAGAAAACAAGGCTTACTATAAAGCTATGCTAACTTAGTGAGGTAATGTGACAAGAGAGAAAAACTAACCGATATAACACAGTAGAAAGCTCAGAAATAGATTCATGCATATACGGAAACTTAATTATGAGAGGCAACCATTACAAATCATGGAAGTACAGAATGAATTATCCAACAAATGATGCTGGTTCAATCATTTATCCACTTGGGGAGGGTGAAATATCCCTGTGTCTTATCATACCTTAAAAAAGAAATAGAGAGGCCGGGCACAGTGGATCACGCCTGTAATCCCAGCACTCTGGGAGGCCGAGGTGGGCAGATCACTTGAGGTCAGGAGTTCGAAATCAGCCTGGCCAACATGGTGAAACCCCATCTCTACTAAAAGTACAAAAATTAGCTGGGCATGGCGGGCACCTATAATCCCAGCTACACAGGAGACTGAGGCAGGAGAATTGCTTGAACCCGGGAGGCAGAGGTGGCAGTGAGCCGAAATCGCATCACTGCACTCCAGCCTGGCCAACAGAGTGAGACTCCAACTCAAAAAAGTTAAAAAATTTAAAAATACATAGATAAATGTGTCTACATGTATATGTATATGTATATACATACCTTAAGTCCTTAAGTCCTTAATAAAACACGTTTGCAAGTCATAAAAAATCACAAACATCTCAAAAGAAAAAACTGGCAAGGAACCAAAACAGATACTTCAAAAAGAACAGAAATTGTTAACAAAAATATAAATTATTTCAATATCACAAATGATTAAACACATATTACAATAGACACATGTAATAAAAATATTCAGAGTTGCAATGTTCATAATAGACACAAATTGGAAACAATTTTAACTAATTAATTAAGAGATAGGGTCTTGCTCTGTGGCTCAGGTTGGAGTGCAGTGGTGCAATCACAGCTCACTGCAGCCTCAACCTCCTGGGCTCAAGAGATTCGCCCACCTCAGCCTCCCGGTAAGACTACAGGCAGCAGCCACCACCTCTGGCGCAACTTAAAAATGTTTGGGGCCGGGCGTGGTGGCTCATGCCTGTAATCCCAGCACTTTGGGAGGCTGAGGCAGGCGGATCACGAGGTCAGGAGATCGAGACCATCTGGCTAACACAGTGAAACCCCGCCTCTACTAAAAAAATAAAAAACATTAGCTGGGTGTGGTGGCAGGCGCCTGAAGTCCCAGCTACTTGGGAGGCTGAGGCAGGAGAATGGCATGAACCCGGGAGGCACAGCTTGCAGTGAGCCGAGATTGCACCACTGCACTCCAGCCTGGGCGACAGAGCAAGACTCTGTCTGAAAAAAAAAAAAAAAAAAAAAAAAAAAAATTTTTGTGACATTGTTACAATGGAATTCTTCAAAGCAATGAAAAAAATTAACTATTACTACATACAACATGGCTAAATGATAGACATAATGCTACTAAAGAAGCTAGTCAAAATAAAAGACTATATTGAATGATTGGGAATAGTGGCTACCTTTGGAGGTGGGGGATGACAGGGAAGAAACAGGAAAAATGCCTTTGGAGTGCTAGTTATACTGGTGAGTTGAACTTACAGAAAGTCAGCTGTACACTTTTTATACACCTTAGTGATATAGTATACTGTAAAACATTAACATTAAAAATCAGACTTATATATGTTATTGTTTATAAAGCTGATAATGATGAAATATTAACATGTGGAGTTGTACTTCATCATGTAAGAATGTGCAAAAATGACAAGACCATGAGATGTAACCTTACTAAAGGGCAAATTCGGAAATATCTGTTAAACTTTACAACTGTAGCCTCCTATCCCTGGAATTTGCCTTCCAGAATTTAAGTAAATGATCCGAAATATGTGCAAAGGTGTACATAAATTTTTGCAGTGCTATTTAATAGTAGATGGGTTAAGAAAATCATGACAAACCCAACTAATGAATATGCAGCAATTTAAACTTGAGGTAATATAATACTTAGACAAAGGATCATGATATATTACTAAGTGAAAAAAATCAGTAATCGAATCCTTCATTTTAGGAAAGTAGAAAAACAAGAGCAATTTAAGCTAAAGCGAGCAGAGGAAAAGAAATTATAAAAGTCAGAGCAGAAATCAATAAAATAGGTAAGAGAAAACCAAAAGAGAATAATCAACAAAACAAAAATTTGGCTCTGGAAAAATAAAATTACATTAACAAACTTCTAGCCGGGCTAATCAAGAAAAATGGAGAGAAGACACAAATTACCAATATCAAAAATGAAAAGAGGGCGGGCGCAGTGGCTCACGCCTGTAATCCCAGCACTTTGGGAGGCCGAGGCGGGCGGATCACGAGGTCAGGAGATCGAGACCATCCTGGCTAACACAGTGAAACCCCCGTCTCTTCTAAAAATACAAAAAATTAGCCAGGCGTGGTGGCGAGCACCTGTAGTCCCAGCTACATGGGAGGCTGAGGCAGGAGAATGGCGTGAACCTGGGAGGCGGAGCTTGCAGTGAGCCAAGATCATGCCACTGCACTCCAGCCTGGGCGACAGAGCGAGACTCCGTCTCAAAAAATAATAATAATAATATACCTGCTAACCAGCTGGGATTTATTCCAGGTATGCAAGGCTGGTTCAACATTCAAAATTCATTCAACATCACACATTGGCAGGCTAGTACAGAAAAATAATATGATCATATCAATTGACAATGAAAAGCATTTGACAAAAGCCAACGTCTATTCATGATAAAATCCTTAGCAGGCCAGGCGTGGTGGCTCACGCCTGTGATCCCAGCACTTTGGGAGGCCGAAGCGGGTGGATCACAAGGTCAGGAGTTTGAGACCAGCCCAACCAACATAGCTGAACCCTGTCTCTATTAAAAATACAAAAATTAGCCACATGTGGTGGCGCACACCTGCAATCTCAGCTACTCAGGAGGCGGAGGCAGGAGAATCACATGAACCCAGGAGGCGGAGGCTGCAGTGAGCTAAGAGCATGCCACTGCACTCCAGCCTGGGCGACAGAGCAAGGCTCCATCACAAAAAAGAAAAAAAAAAAAAAAAAATCCTCAGCAAACAAGGAATTAAGGGGAACTTCCCCAACATAATAAAGAATATCTACAGAAAACCTACAGCTAATAGCAAACTTAACAGTAAGAAACTGCATACTTTCCCCCTAAAACATAAGTCTTTACTAATCAAAATCACAGAACTTTATAGCACAAAGAATGAGCCTTAATATATACAAATTCTATTACAGCTCTCTGGTCTTCTCCCCAAAACACATAAGCACAATTTAATCATAAGAAAAGTATCAGAAAAATCCTAATCAAGGGACATTCTACAAAATACCTGACCAGTCCTGCTCAAAACTGTCAAGGTATCAAAGACAAGGGAAGTCTGAGAAACTGTCCAGCCTAGAGAAGCCTAAGGAAGTAAGTCCATTAAATGTAAGGTGCTATCCTGAATGGGATCCTGGAATATAAAAGGGGCATCCCTTCAGCCAAACCTAAAGAAATCTAAATAAAAGTATGAATTTTATGTATTAATACTGGTTATAGGCCGGGCACGGTGGCTCACGCCTGTAATCCCAGTACTTTGGGAGGTTGAGGCGAGTGGATCACCTGAGGTCAGGAGTTCAAGACCAGCCTGGCCAATACAGTGGAACCCCATCTCTACTGAAAATACAAACATTAGCCAGGCGTGGTGGTTGACACCTGCAATCCCAGCTACTTGGGAGGCTGAGGCAGGAGAATTGCTTGAACCCAGGAGGCAGAGGTTGCAGTGAGCCGAGATTGTGCCATTGCACTCCAGCCTGGGTGACAGAGAGAGACTCCATCTCAAAAAATAAACAACAAAAAATATTGGTTCATAAATTGTAACAAATGAACCGTAGTAATGTAAGACGTTAACAATAACAGAAACGGTGTGTGCTGGGAAAGGGGGTGTGCATGGGAATTCTGTACTATCTTTGTAATTTTTCTGTAAATCTAAAACTGTCATAGGAGATGTCATCAAGATGGTTGACTAGAGGCGCTTGGTACTCACCTCCTCCACAAAGAAGGACCAGAATAGCAAGTAGATAACCACACCTCGAAAAGAGCATCTAAGAGACAATATGGGATTTTTGGCAGGGAAGTGATTGGGAATGTCTAAGACACAGAAGGAGAGGGGAAAGGTAAGTGAGAGGTCCCCAGTGGCCCACATCCCCACCACTGACACCTGCAACCCTACCCCCAGAAGAGTCCCTCAGCTCTCACAAGCCCTAAGCCTGGTACAGGAGGCTTTCTGGAATCCACATGACTAACCGTTCCAGAGAGAGAATTCACACTGGGTCCCACTCACACCAGGAGCCCCAAGCAACTACATCACAGCACCGTATTGAGCTCAACCCCCACCAGACTGCATCCTGCCCTGGAGCCCAATAGCCCCTGCATCTCCACATCCCTGGAGCCCTGCTGGCATCCCCCATGTTCTTCCAGAAGGCTGTAGCAGCACAACGCCAGCCAGACCCAGTGATGTGGCCAGGTCCCCAGCACTCTAGTCCACCCCATGTCCTATACCTTGGGAAACAGATGGCCAACACACCAAGATGACTACTCCCAGGACAAAAAGAGCCAAAACATGTGTTCTCCAAAGCCTGGGAGCTACCTGCCTAGGGCCATAGTCACCGGTAGCAACCCCTGGCAGGGCCGCCAATGTACCTGCATACACCTTCAGGTGCCCTGAAAACGTGGTTTCTCTGGGCATGAAGATGTGTCTGCCCATCTGCACACACTGTCCAGGAGCCTGGGGATCAACCCACTCCACCTGTCACCGCCCACTGTCACCAACTGCATGTCTCCCAGGGGCCTGAGGATTGGTCCACTGCCACTACTGCTAGAGCCAGCGCCATGGCACACTGCCTGGGGCCTAAGAACCCACAGGCCCAGCCCATGACTGCCACCACTATTGCATGAGCATGCCACCTGGAGGCCCAAAGACTGGCCCGACCAGGACCCCACAGCCACTACTGGCATCTTTGTCTGCCATCCAGGGCCATGCTGCCACCACCACTGACTGGCGCCTTACAAATGATTGGGCTGATATCCCCTTCCCAGCAAAGCCCTACCACAGCCTCCACTAACAACCACAGCCTATGCCACTGAGAGGAACTCTCACACACCACTGACATTGATTACAATCCAAAAAGTCATAAAAAGACTACACTGCTGCACCCACCCAGAACTACTACCCAACCAACAGTATAAATACATCTACAGGAAAAAGTCTTTGCCTCTGAAAGCTAATCCATAAAATTGGAAGAAGGGATCATTAAACCAGGTGTAAGATATCAATGATAAGGACACAAGAATGATGAGGAAGCAAGAAAGCATGATACCTCTTGTGTTAGTCCATTTGCACCACTATAAAAGAATACTTAGCCGGGCTCAGTGGCTCATGCCTATAATCCCAGCACTTTGGGAAGCTGAGGCATGAGAGTCGCTTCAACCTGGGAGGTGGAGTTTGCAGTGAGCTGAGATCGAGATCGCGCCACTGCACTCCAGCCTGGGTGACAGAGCAACTCTGTCTCAAAAAAAAAAAGAAAAAAGAGAATACCTAAAGCTGGGTAATTTATGAAGAAAAGAGGTTTAATTAGCTCACAGTTTTGCAGGGTGTACAGGAAGCATGGTGCTGCGACCTGCTTCTGGTGAGGCCTCAGGAGGCATACACTCATGGTGGAAGGTGAAGGGGGAGCAGGTGCATCACATGGTGAGAGTGGGAGCAAGAGCAAAGGAGGAGAAAGGTGCCACACACTTTTACACAACCAGGTCTTGCAAGAACTCACTCGCTATCACAAGGACAGCACCAACTCATTCCTGAGGGATCTGTCTCCATGACCTAAACACCTTCCACCAGGCCCCACCTCCAACATTGGGGATCACATTTCAACATGAGATTTGGAGGGGACAAACAACCAAACAATATCTCCTCCAAAGGAAAATCGTAATTCTCCAGTAAAAGATCTCAAAGAAAAGGAAATTTATGAAATGCCTGAAAAGAATTCAAAATAATGATCTTGGGGAAACTCAGTGGATTATAACACAGATCAACAATACAAAGATACAGATATCCTAAAATAGAACCAAATCAGAAATCTTGGAACAGAAGAATTTAATGAATGAAATAAAAAATAAAATCAAGAGCTTCAACACGAGATTAGAGTGGAAGAAAGAACTTCTGAACTTGAAGACAAGGCTTTTGAAACAACTCAGATTTTTTTAAAAAAGATAATTTAAAAGTATATAGAAAGCCTATGTGACATGCAGGACACCATAAAGCAAACATATATTTGAATTTCAGGAGTTCCAGAAAGAGAAGAAATGGACAAAGGTATAAAAAACCTATTTAATAAAATAATAGTTTAAAATTTCTCCAAGTCTTGAGAGAGAGATATAGATAACCAGATACAGTAGGCTCAAAGATCCCCACATATATTCAATCCAAGAAGGTCTTCTCTAAGGCACACTATAGTCAAGCTGTCAAAAGTGAAAGAGAATTCTAAAAACAACAAGTGTCAAGTCATATATAAGGGAATCTCCATTAGACTAAGAGCAAATTTCTTAGCAGAACCCTTATAGAACAGGAGAGAATGGGATGATACAATCAAAGTACTGAAAGAAAAAAACTGCTTATCAAAAATACTACATCCAGCAAAACTATCCTTCAGAAATGAAGGAGAAATAAAGTCTTTCCCAGACTAGTAAAAACAGATAATTCTTCACCACTAGACTGACTGTACAAGAAATGTTTAAGGGAGTCCTATATCTGGAAGTGAAAGAATATCTACCATCATAAAACTGTTCCAAAATACAAGTTTATTGAAAAATAAAAGTATGCTCAACTGTTTATAATCACAGACAAATGGAAGTAACTATCACAAAGTCGTTAAATGGGCCAGGAGCGGTGGCTCGCACCTGTAATCCCAGCACTTTGGGAGGCCAAGGCAGGTGGATCATGAGGTCAGGAGATCAAGACCATCCTGGCTAACACAGTGAAACCCCGTCTCTACTAAAAAAATACAAAAAAATTAGCCAGGTGTGGTGGCGGGCGCCTGTAGTCCCAGCTACTTGGGAGGCTGAGAATGGTGTGAACCCACGAGGTGGAACTTGCAGTAAGCTGAGATCGCGCCACTGCGCTCCAGCCTGGGTGACAGAGCGAGACTCCGTCTCAATAAAAAAAAAAAAAAAGAAAGTCATTAAAATGAATGACATATCCATGGAATAAAATGCAACTAATTTAACACTGAGGTAAAACTGCTTGTATACAAAGAGGTAAAACACATTAAAAATATTGTTACACAAACAAAAAAAGCAACTTGTAGGCAGTATGCAAAGCACGATCCAATTTGTACTTTAAAAATTCAAGTATAGTTAGTATAAACTAAACACGTCAATAAAGATGGTTTCTAAATTATAAATAGATACTCCTTCTAGGGAATGAAACTTAAGCGGGAAGGAAATGGGGGTCCAACCAGGGTGGTTTTCATTTTTATATTTCTGTATATTTTATGAGAGCAAATTTGATAAAGTAATTATTTTCCTTAAAAAGAAACTACATTATACATATAGCATGATACATTAAAACAATATGGATATGTATGTACAAATATACATCTACATATATAAACATAAGACTATTTTGTATTGTTTTGTTTTTTGAGACTGTGTCTTGCTTTGTCACCCAGGCTGGAGTGCAGTGGCACAATCTCGGCTCACTGCAACCTCCACCTCCCGTGTTCAAGCGATTCTCCTGTCTCGGCCTCCCAAGCAGCTTGGATTATAGACGTGCACCACAACACCCAGCTAATTTTTGTATTTTTAGTAGAGATGGGGCTTTGCAATGTTGGCCAGGCTGGTCTTGAACTCCTGACCTCAAGTGATCTGCCCACCTTGGCCTCCCAAAGTGCCGGGATTACAGGCATGAGCCACCACACCCACCCATAAACATAAGATTTAAAAAGCATGCATTCAGCATGTATTACCTTAATCATTAGGAAGAAAGCCCAAGAAACCTAATATAAACATCATCTAGCAACTGTGAAGGCTGGGGCTAAATGTGACAAGAACAGAAAAATGACCTCCCACCCCCGGTGTGGTGTGACTGGAGAACTACACAGCTGGAGCTAGCAAGGAGGAAGGCAGGCTTCAGAACAGAGACAATAAGCTCAGTTGTGTTCCTTTAGATTCCAAGGTGCCAGCAAAAAACTGATGAATATGGCAGGGCGTGGTGGCTCACGCCTGCAATCCCAGCACTCTGGGAGGCCCAGGCAGGTGGATCACCAGAGGTCAGGAGTTCAAGACCAAACTGGCTAACATGGTGAAACCTGTCTCTACTAAAAATACAAAAATGAGCCAGGCGTGGTGGCCCACACCTGTAGTCCCAGCTACTAGGGAGGCTGAGGCAGGAGAATCACTTGAACCCGGGAGGCTGAGGGTACAGTGAGCCGAGATCATGCCACTGCACTCTAGCCTCGGTGACCGAAGGAGACTCTGTCTCAAAGAAAAGAAAAGAAAAAAACAAAAAACTGGTGAATATGTGTAAGAGGCAAGTTGAGGTCAAAATACGGAAACAGAACCTAGGTGTGCAAACCGGGTGGTGGGGTGAGGGAGGATACAATGATATGCTCAAGCAAGATTGTCAAAAGACGAGGGGAAGATGCCAGCAAAGAAGAAAAAAACAATGAGAGCAAAATCTTCTAAAACCCCCAAAGGAGAGAGTTTCAAGAGGCAACTGATGGTGAGCAAGGTGAAACAGCACTGCATTCAGGAGGATGAACGAGGAAGCCGTTATAGATATGGCA
This sequence comes from Homo sapiens, assembly GCF_000001405.40. Taxonomy (NCBI): domain Eukaryota; kingdom Metazoa; phylum Chordata; class Mammalia; order Primates; family Hominidae; genus Homo; species Homo sapiens. Next base: position 72,659,882 of record NC_000007.14, read on the forward strand.
ATTCATGAGTAAAGCCTTAGCAGAGCAGTTTCCGAGTATCCTAATGGTGAGTCTAATCCAGGGGTCAGTTAACTTTTTCTATAAATAACATGTGAACATAGTAAATATTTTAGGCTTTGAGAACCAAATGGTCTCTGTGGCAGCTACCCCACTCTGCCAGTGTGGCAGGAAAGCACCACAGACAATATGTAAACAAGAATCATGGCGACCAGGTGTGGCAGCTCACACCTACAATCCCAGCACTTTAAGAGGCCAAGGTGAGAAGATCACATGAGCCAGGAGTTCGAGACCTACCTGCACAACATAGCAAGACCTCATCTCTACTAAAATTAAATTTTAAAAATTAGCCAGGTGTGATGGTGCATGCCTGTGGTCCCAGCTACTGGGGAGGCTGAGGTGGGAGGATCGCTTGAGCCCAGGAGATCGAGGCTGCAGTGAGCTGTGATTGGGCCATTGCACTCCAGCCTGGTCAAAAGAGCAAGTCCCTGTCTCCAAACAAACAAACAAACAAACAAACAAAAAAAGGAGCAGCAGCATGGCTGTTCCAATAAAACTTTATTTATAAAAACAAGTCACGCCAGATTTGGGCCCTGAGCTGCAGTTTCCCAACCCCTCACACCAGTCTCTACCATTTCTGTTGAGAAAGAACTACTTTCAGATTCTGCCATCCGACACAATGATTCTTGTTTGAACACCAGTTTCCCGTTTGCAAAATCCTGCTACTGCTTATAGATATATTCCTCTATGTATTTTCCTTAACTGTGAAGATTTAAATGAAAATATATAAGAATTCTGAATCACTCCTAAAGGAGACATTAGGAAAGAGAAAGACCTAGGTATTGGTAAGAGAGAAAGGGATATAAAATAAAAGGCAGAGCAGTAGAAGGTTCTGGATTACAGTCACAAGTAAGAATTAAAAGACAAAACAAACCCAGGCCTTAAAAATGCACTTTAGAATTAGGTTCTAATGGTGAGCCAGGCACAGTGGCTCATGCCTGTAATCCCAACACTTTGGGAGGCTGAGGCGGGTGGATCACCTGAGGTCAGGAGTTCAAGACCAGCCTGGCCAACATGAAACCTCATCTCTACTAAAAATACAAAAGATTAGCTAGGCGTGGTGGCACGCACCTTTAATCCCAGCTATTCGGGAGGCTGAGGCAGGAGAATCGCTTGAACCCAGGAGGCGGAGGTTGCAGTGAGCCAAGATCTCGCCACTACACTTCAGTCTGGACATCAGAGTAAGACTCTGTCTCCAAAAAAAAAAAAGAAGAAGAAGAAGAATATAATGGGAGGAAAAGAATCAGCTGAATAATTGGAGCAGCTCTGCTGAATTCTAGGGAGGTCTGGTGGGGGGCGGGGGGGCACTATAGGTAACTAATGTGTTAGAAACTAAGTTTGAAATAGGATACATTAAATGGATTAAATAAAATTTACCCACAGGTTTTTAATTTCAAGCACGAAATTCTCTGGGTTTCTTGAGCCCAGTGGACCCTGAAAGTCAACAGCTCAGTCATGGGTCAGACAGGGGGGAAAAAAAAGACAAGGCCTGTATTTACTATGCACAAACACAGGACAAAACAAATTTATAATTATCACGTGGATGCTGTAGGAGAATCTGAAATTTTAGTTGCAAGAAAGAAACAGAAAAGTAGAAATTCATTGAATAGTACTCATTACTAATTAAAGGTGTATAAAATGTTACTAATATTCTCTATTCAACATTATTTCCTTGGTCCTTTTGCTAAATGAACATAATATTTAGAAGGGTTTTCACTGATTGCTACAATTCCCAACTTTGATTTAAATTTTGCTTTAAAGAGCTTAATTCTTCAAACTTGACTTCCCCTATCACACAGATGTTGTAGGATATAATCTTTGTGTTTGATAATGAAATGACTGTATTCAAACTGCACCTCCACTAAGAGATGGGCAGGTGGTAGTTTTTTTGTTTTGGGTTTTGTTTTGTTTTCCTGATCTGAGAATGACACCAAAGGTGGTAGGTTTGTGTTTGTTGTGGACTCTGCTTCTCTACTTCCCTATTTCCCTTTCAGAGATTATGAGGAAGTTCTAGAAAACTAGGCAGTCTCTAGCTTTCCTCTAATCCCTGTCCTCAGTCCTACCAAACCCAAAAAATGGCAACCAGAGTCCAAAAAGAATCACTGCCTTTACGCTAGGAGGAATGGTGAAGACATGGTCATGTCATAATGGGTTATAAACAGACAAATGGACCTACAACCTGGGAATTCTCCAGTGTTTTTCAGGGTCTACCAGATATTTTCAAAGAACATAAAGGCAAAAGATGGTAATTTGCTTTCATAAGCCAGGAGAAGAAAAGAAGGGAAATGTGCTTTCTGGTGATATAAATCTTTAAATAGTTAGCTTTGAAAGTCAATGGAGTCAACAGATAACAGTGAACAAAAATAAAATGAAGTGTTCCTTCAGCCACTGGACCAGGTCGGGGTCTCCCCACATCTCGTGATGTGGTTCACGTGTTAGGAGGAGAAATGAATGATGATATATCCCTTCAGGTTTTTAATATATATATATAGATAGATAGATAGATAGATAGATAGATAGATAGATAGATAGATAGATAAATTTTTTTCCTTTTTTCACAAGCTCCAAAGCTAGAAAAATATCACATCAGAAAGATTCTAAAACTGGTAGAGAAAAAGCTAACAAACTCTAAGAGCTGCTCAAATTTTATTTACATGATTTTTAACATTTCTAACAGGCAAAACACATTTTTCCCCCCAGTGTGTGGAAGGGAAGGTGCAAATGGCTGAATATAAATGGTATTTATTTCAATCCAATATCTCAGACTATGAAGGAACTAATGGCATAATTTTTTTTATTCCTATGAAAGTGGCAAATGAGTTTTTGCCATGTACATGAGTTTCTTATGGACCCACATCAGAAGAGCAAGCCATCTTCACACTGCCATAAATCAAATAGAACCCATATAGTTTCTATTATCTTCATTTCCCAAATGCACTAATAAAGGTTTTCAAATGTCAACTTGAGAAAGTGCTTCCTTCTTTCTAGTTTCAATGAGCAAAAGAAATTAGCTTCTGATCATTCTTTTTTATTTCCCTTTCCTGTAAATTCTTTTTTTCATAAATCAAACATGATGATTCTCATAAAAAGGTTCAACTCTAATCTCCAAAATGGCAATAGCCAGGCTAAAAATTTTTAAACAAGTGGTGAGATGAATGGCCGTGAATGATTCCATGTAGAAGAAATTAAGGAGGATGAAATCTACTTGGTAATGGGGTAAAATGCCACTGGTCTCTTAGTCAAGGCGGGGGGTTGTGGGGGGGTTGGCGGCACGATGACTTCTTTGTTATCTGTTTGTGGCAATGGGTCACCATCATTTTAAATCCCAAACCACTTTTGATAAACATGAAAATGTTCCTTCAATGCTATTTGAAATTTCAAAGTAAATATCATTAAAAACAAATTGAAAGCAATGGTTATTTTTTAAAATGTCAGTTCAAACCACCCGGGTGCTCTTGGAGTGCCCCCTCCCCCAGTTCTCTGCTAGGTGAAAATCCATGATCTATGTGACCTAAAACAAATAAAAATCACTTTCAAAAGCCGGGCACGGTGGCTCCCACCTGTAATCCCAGCACTTTGGGAGGCCGAAGCGGGCAGATCACGAGGTCAGGAGATCGAGACCATCCTGGCTAACACAGTGAAACCCCGTCTTTACTAAATATATATATATAAAAAATTAGCCGGGCGTGGTGGCAGGCGCCTGTAGTCCCAGCTACTAGGGAGGCTGAGGCAGGAGAATGGCGTGAACCCGGGGGGCGGAGCTTGCAGTGAGCCGAGATCACGCCACTGCACTCCAGCCTGGGAGACAGCAAGACTCCATCTCAAAAAAAAAAAAAAAAAAAAAAAATCACTTTCAAGTAAACCTTGTTAAGTGACCTTAGTTCCAACTTGGAGTCTCGGACTCATGTTAATTTTTTTTTTAATCTTACGACACTCTGTTGAACGAGTACAAACCATTTACACATATATCACAATAACTCAAGAATCCTGAGAAACAGGTGAAACCATTATTCTAGATATTAGAAATAAAATGTATCTCTACTGAGATATATAAACATCAACTCTCTTACATCTTCTTTTCTACCTACGTGTCCATGTTCAAGTCTCCCCACTTCAAACCAACAGACCAACAACCCTCCCCTCAAAGCACCCCCACAAACCCCAAAGCCTTCTGTGACCCTTCCTCCCAAGATGACCATCTATTCTCTTTCTTGCCAAACATTATGACAATCTGCCGTCCATCTCCACCAAACCATTGAGATTACTTTGGTAACAGGCATCAATAATCTCCGATTTGTCAAATATTTGGGTTTCTTTTTTTTTTCCAAATTAATTTATTTTTTCTTTTACCTTGATTCTTTCCTTCTTCCTAATTTCCATAGGCTTATTTTGCTGTTTCTTAGATTTAATGCTTAGCTTACTGAGGTAACTAGTAGATAACTAGTTGCCCACCAATCCCTATTCTCCCCTTTGTCCTTATAAGCAAAGTACCTTGCAGACATAAAAAAGAACAAGATCATGTCCTCTGCAGGGCCATTATCCTTAGCAAACTAACACAGGAATGGAAAACCAAATACCACATGCTCTCACTTATAAGTGGGAGCTAAATGATGAGAACACATGGACACATAGAGAGGAACAACACACACTGGGGCCTATCACAGAGTGGAGAATGGGAGGAAGGAGAGGATCAGGAAAAAAACAAATGGGTAGCAGGCTTAATACCTGGATGATGAGATAATCTGTACAACGAATTCCCACGACACAAGTTTATCTATGTAACCAATGTGCATATATACCTTTGAACTTAAGAGTTTAAAAAAAAAATACAGAGCATGCTTGAGCTACTTGGTCACAGCAATATATGATCTATGGGGGATTGGTTCCAGGAACCTCATGGACGGCAAAATCCATGGATGCTCCAGTTTCTTATATAAAATGATGTCATATTTGCATTTAATCTATGCACATTCTCCAATATACTTTAAATAATCTCTAGATTACTTACAATAGCTAATACAATGTAAACGCTAGGTAGTCTTTACACTGTATTTTTTTATTGTTGTATTGTTATTTTTTTCTGAATATTTTCAATGTGTGGTTGGTTGAATCTGCAAGGACACAGCCTGTGGATACAGAGGGCCGACTCTGCTCTGCTAAAAGAACCTATTTCCCAGTCTCCCTCTAGCAAGGGGTGGCTAAGACACCTAGTTCTGTCTAACAAGATGTAAATGGAAGAGTTATGCAAATAATTTTAAAAGAAAGAAGATGTGCCCTTCTTGTACACATCTTTGTACTGTCTACTCAAAATGAAGGCTGGAATGCCAACATGATGGCTGGAGCTCTAGCAACCATTATGAACCATGAAGTAAACTGCAGAATGAAAGTCGTCTGTTCAATGTCAAAGAAGACAGGAATCTGAGTCTCTGATGACACTGAGAAGCCACTGTATCAACCTCTGGTTCACCTACAATCAGGCTTCTGTGACATTAGGAGAAAAGATATTTCTAATTTGATTAACCCACCATCTGGGGATGTTATATGCAGCTGATCTGAATCCCAAGTGATATAATTCATGTTTGGTCCAATTCTGAATATTGTTATATAATATTCTTATTTTCACTATCTTACAAGTACCTGTAATTGTAGTTTTGAATTCCCTTTCACTTAATGAAAATTAAAAGTGATTCTTCTGAATTACCAAGTGGTTGCGCTTTGTTTACACTTTTGTTGGTCTTGCTCCATTGTGTTCAGTGGCAGTAGCCTATGTTATATTTTTGTTTATTTTTTGTCTCTCCTATCAGAAAACAGGGGCCTTATCTGCCTATTTGCTTGTCCTCAGAAGCTAGAAGAATCTTTACCAGATATTAAGCACTCAATAAATATTTGTTGAGTGAATGAATACAGTTTGGACAGTTCAGATCTTTTTAACATTTGTTTATGGTCTAGTATATTAAATGTTATGCAAACATAAGAAGGCATCATAAAAATAAAAATACAAGGGAAAATGGGTAAGTACTGGAGGAAGGCAATCTATCACTATGAAGAAATAGAGCAAGATTCTATCACAGGATGGAAAACTACTTATGTTACAAAGGAGATAAAGTTATGCACATAGTATGATTATAACTATGAACCCCAAACTTAAACTTACATCTAAATAAGTACCATAAAAATAATAAAAAAGAACAAAGGCCAGGCATGGTGGCTCACGCCTATAATCCCAGTACTTTGGGAGGTCCAGGTGGGCAGATTGCTTGAGCCCAGGAGTTCAAGACCAGCCTGGGCAACATGGCAAAACTCTGTCTCTAAAAAAAATAAATAAATAAAATAAAAATTTAGCTGAGCATGGTGGCACGCACCTGTAGTCCCAACTATTTGGGAGGCTGAGGTGGGAAGATTGCTTAAGCCCAGGAGGCGGAGGCTGCAGTGAGCTGTGATTGTGCAACTATGCTCCAGCCTGGGCAACAGAGCAAAACCCTGTCTCAAAAAAAACCCAAAGAAACAAAACATAAAAATGATAAGCTAAATACTATAAATTTGAAAAATGCTACTTGAAATACAGTGGGCAGCAGGAAGGCATTCAGAAAAAAATGACCATAGGAAATATATACCCAATACATTTAAAGAACCACCATATCACTGGCTGATCTAAGATGATGAAACAATAGTAACACAGGAATCTCCTAGTTGAGAGCACCAACCTGTTCCTGAAAATGCTAAATGAAGCATATTTCACACTATTTTAATTGGGAAAAATTAAAATGTGTTACACATCAACTCAAAATCTCCAGTTTTTAAAAATGAAACCAGTCGGGCGCGGTGGCTCACACCTGTAACCCCAGCACTTTGGGAGACCGAGGCGGGTGGATCACGAGGTCAGGAGATCAAGACCATCCTGGCTAACACAGTGAAACCCCATCTCTACTAAAAATACAAAAAAATTAGCCAGGCGTGGTGGCAGGCGCCTGTAGTCCCAGCTACTCAGGAGGCTGAGGCAGGAGAATGGCATGAACCTGGGAGGCGGAGCTTGCAGTGAGCCGAGATCGCGCCACTGCACTCCAGACTGGGAGAGAGAGCGAGACTCCGTCTCAAAAAAAAAAAAAAAAAAAAGAAACTAAAACAGGGTAAAATGCCCATATGTACAATAACCATTGTATTGGTCTGTAAAATATGTAGAAGACTGCTAACAACTGAAAACAAAAAAACAAGATTCACATCAACTGCTCAGGATGGGAAAGTGGCCTCTCTCAGTGCCAGCACCAGCAAGAAGCAAATTAGTAGGCCTTTCAAATCACCCACATCTGACTCTCATCATTGACTGATTATATTTGGAGCTGGCATTCTGGATTTTTCCTGCACATGTTTTTGTTTAAAATGCTGTATTAGTTTTTGGAAATAAATATAAATGTTGCCTTTGTAAGTATCAATTTAAAACGTTGTATTGAAAGACTGCTGTGCTGTAGGAAGTTTGGATATTAAAAACAAAGAGGAGGCCAGGCGCGGTGGCTCACGCCTGCAATCTCAGCACTTTGGGAGGCCAACCCGGGCAGATAGCTTCAGCTCAGAGTTCTAGAAGAGGCTGGGCAACACGGCAAAACCCTGTCTCTATAAAAAATACAAAAATTAGCCAGGTGTGGTGACACAGGCCTGTAGTCCCAGCTACTCGGAAGGCTGAGACAGGAGGATCGCTTGAGCCGGGAGGTGGAGGCTGCAGTGAGCTGAGATCATGCCACTGCACTCCAGCCTGGGTGGCAGAGCAAGACTCCAGCTCAAAAAAACAAAACAAAACAAAGAGATGTTGTAGTGGAAAACCAGCAACACAAAGAGGTGACCTGTAGGGTATGCCTGTATTTGGAAGAGATGTCTGTTCCTATACTCTTCAGGCAATCTGATGATATATGAATCAAAAGTCAAAGGGTAGAGAAAATTCTATTCCCTTGTGGCTAGCCAGATCTTTAAAACCATTTTTCTTATTTTTTAGGTAGTTGTGTGTCACTACTATTCAAGCCATAATTTACTCAAGGTTGACCTTAACACAGCTAGTGTCACATAAAAGATACTTTCTCAAATGAAAAAAGTCTTTAAGTCACCCTCCCATGACACACACTACCCATGTATTTGGTCATCTAGGCCTCGGAGTCCTAGAAATGTCTACTGAATTAATGATCCACTGCTACATTAATGACCTACATAAAATTTCATTAAACTTTTAAAGATAAAATACAAATTGTTTTTCTGTAATGTTATCATAGATTTTGTTTGTTTTCAGTGGAAACTGGAAAACAGGAGAAAATGTCATCCATGACTCAATACTTATACACTATTATAGATGTTTTTGTTCAACCGTTTTTAAGTCAAAAAAGTAGCTAATTAGCATATATATCAAAAAATGCTTTCTCAGCTTCTGTCAAATGATTACTTGAATGTTTTTAGAATCACAGAATTATTTAAACAGCCTTTTAAAAGCTCTCTCAGTGTGCTAGGCACTATCAGCTTGTGGACAGCTAGATCGTTAAGACCATTTCCCATTTTTGGAGTAGTGTAGATTTGTTTTTTAACATGAAGGCCGAGAAAACTCCTTCTCAACACCCCAGCTTATCCACTGTCATTCCACTCCCCATCCGACCCCATGCTCTTGGACTCTGGTGGAACTGAACTGCTCCACAAGCCACACGTGCTTTCCCAAATCGCCAAACTCTGCCTGCTTCCACAAACAGGAAGGCTCTTTAGTAATCAGTGGTGGCTCTTAAGGAACACAGAGCAGCTGGAGGTCAGAGTGGAGGGAAAGCTTACTTCTAACTCCCTATCAGTCTGTGACATTTTAAGTTTATGCCAGATGAATAAAGTATGCATTAAATAACGCTAGGTTTTAAGTCTCAGTTCCGCTATCACTTCTTGCAGAATGCCTTTTCTGATGTCAATGTCAGCATCTCTCCTCATGCTCCTTGTAGCCTAGCACTTGTCACCAAGTCCTGAAACTATCTGTCTCCCACACAAACAATTCCTCTAAGGCAAAGACCACATCCCAGTTGTAACTATATCCCCCTGCCTAGCACAGAACTTGAAATATACTACACACAAAGCAAGAGTTGGTGGAAATTATTATAGTATAAACAAAGTCTCCAAAATATTGACAGTCATTTATACACAAAAATTATTCTAAGAGGCAAACAACCACTATTTAATTTTAAACTTTTTTTTTTTTTTTTTTTTTTTTTTGAGATGGAGTTTTGCTCCTGTTGTTCCAGGCTGGAATGCAATGGCGCTATCTCGGCTCATTCCAACTTCCGCCTCCTGGGTTCAAGAGATTCTCCTGCCTCAGCCTCCCAAGTAGCTCAGATCACAGGCGCCTGCCACCACGCCCGGCTAATTTTTTGTGTTTTTAGTAGAGATGGGGTTTCACCATGTTGGCCAGGCTGCTCTTGAATTCCTGACCTCAGGTGATCCACCCACCTCAGCCTCCCAAAAATGTTGGGATTACAGGCATAAGCCACTGCACCTGGCCTAATTCTGAACTAATTTTATTAATAATAGCACTGGCTGGCCAGGCGCAGTGGCTCATGCCTATAATCCCAGCACTTTGGGAGGCCTAGGTGGGCAGATCATTTGAGGCCAGTTGTTCAAGACTAGCCTGGCCAACATGGCGAAACCCTGCCTCTTAAAAAAAAAAATCAGCCAGGCATGGTGGCATGGTGGCTTGTGCCTGTAGTCCCAGCTACTTGGGAAGCTGAGGCAGGAGAATTTCTTGAACCCGGGAGGCAGAGACTTCAGTGAGCTGAGATCACGCCACTGCACTCCAGACTGGGTGATAAAGCGAGGCTCTGTCTCGGAAAAAAAATAATAATAAATAAATAACAATAATAACAGCACTGGCTGGATGTGGTGATTCACATCTATAATCCCAGTGCCTTGGGAGGCCAAGGTAGGAAAACCACTTGAGGCCAGGAGCTGAAGACCAGCCTATGCAACACAGTGAGACCCCATTTCTACAAAATAAATAAATAAATAAATAAATAAATAAATAAATAAATAAATAAAGATTAGCTGGCTGTGGTGGCACATGCCTGTAGTCTCAGCTGCTCCGGCAGCTGAGGTGGGAGGATTGTTTGAGCCCAGGGGTTCAAGGCTGCTGCGAACCATGATTGTGCCACTGCACTCCAGCCTGGGTGACAGAATGAATCCCTGTCTCTAAATAGTAATAGCACTGACATTATTGAGCCCAGGTGCCAAGCAATGTATTCAGAGTTTTCATGTGTTATCTTTTTTTGAGACTGAGTTCCACTCTTGTTGCCCAGGCTGGAATGCAATGGCATGATCTTGGCTCACTGCAACCTCCGCCTCCAAGGTTCAAGCGATTCTCCTGCCTCAGCCTCCCGAGTAGCTGGGATTACAGGCGCCTACCACCACGCCCAACTAATTCTGTATTTTTAGTAGAGAGGGGGTTTCCCCATGTTGGTCAGGCTGGTCTCTAACTCTTGAACTCAAGTGATCCACCCGCCTTGGCCTCCCAAAGTGCCAGGATTACAGGTGTGAGCCACCACGTCTGGCCTCATGTGTTATCATTTAATTCCAATTAGGAAGTACTCTTAACCCCACTTTACAGTGAGGAAGTAAAGACTTCACAGAGGTTCGGTGGTTTGGCCAAGGTTGCATAGCTATTATAGCATGGTGCCCTGGGAGTCAAACACTCGCATTCTGCTCGCTTTCTGAGGAGTAGAAAGACCCCCATGGGCTTCCAGTGAAATATTTTGGCTAGACAAACACGAACTCTAAAAATGTCTGAACACTTCCAAAAGGCGGGGGAATAAATGGAGTATGAAAGGAAACACTCAGTGCTTTTCAGTAGCCACTGTACCAAATGGTGCTCAAACAACATATTCAAGTTGAGCCATTACTAGTCTAAGACTTGGAAAATTATTTTGCGTGTTGGTTAGAATATTTAGGGAAAATAAATATACACGATGTATTTTTATTTTTATGATGGCCTCTTAGGTTTGCATAAAGCTTAATATTCCAGTCTGTAAATAAATGTTAAAAAGAACTAAACTGCACAAACTGTATTGATTCACTCAGCAAATATTTATTGAACGTTTAATATCTGGTAAAAGTTCTTCTAGTTTCTGGGGACCAGTGACTAAGGCCAACAAGGGCCCTGTTCTCTGGTCAGAGAGACATAAAATAAATGAATAAACACTTATAGGCTATTTTTCCCCAGAAAAATAACCTACAAAATAGAAAATACTAGCTTTCTAGGTTATTATTCCTTAGAAAAATGATCTTCTTAGGGGTGGCTTCTGACAGTTGTCCTTTTTAAAAATAAGTAACACTCAGAAAAGGTACAAGGAAGAATACAGCCAAAGGTCTCCCTCCACCCCCAGACACTTGGGTCAAAACCAATTCAATGTGTGGTTGAACCATAACTTATTTTAACTGGCTCCTGACTGATGGATAGTTTGCTTCTAATCTTCTGCTATTAAAAATAATGTCACAATGAATAATCTTGTATATATTTTTCTTCACATGAATGTATGTCTCAGGGTAAATTACTAGATATGAACTGTTGACTCAAAGTGCACATTTTTATTTTAACAGCTACCATAAAAGTGACCTTCAAAGATGAAGCTGAAGCAATTTATAGTCTCACCAGGTGTATGAGAGTACTTACTTCTTCACTAATATTTTTATCTATATTTAAGGGCTGTGTGGATTTCATTAAAGGATTTCTTTTCCTTATTTTTCTATTTTCTTATTTTCTATTGGCTTATAGGTCTTTATTTAATGATTGGCAGTAGTATTTTCAGTATGTTTAGGACATTTTAGTACCAACTTTAAACTTTTTTTAAAAGTGTACCAACTTTATTCACTTTATTAACTTTAATTTCTTTTAAAATTGTATTTAAAAAGTCTTTTTTTTTTTTTTCAGAACTATTCAATCTCAAAACACACCATTATGTAAGTGAGAAAAATTCAAGGAAAGAATAGGAGGCTGGATAAATATTTTATAAAGTCTAAAGGCAAAGAACAAGGTGATATGGTTTGGCTGGGTCCCCACCCAAATCTCATCTTGAATTCCCACGTTGTGGGGGGACCTGGTAGGAGGTAACTGAATCATGGGGCAAGTGTTTCCCATGCTGTTCTCGTGATAGTGAATAAGTCTCATGAGAGCTGATGGTTTGAAAAAGTGGGGTTCCCCTGCACAAGTTCTCTCATTTTTTTGCCTGCCACCATCCACGTAATAAGACGTGACTTGCTCCTCCTTGCCTTCCATCATGATTGGGAGGCTTCTCCAGCCATGTGGAACTGTAAGTCCCATTAAACCTCTTTGTTTTGTGAATTGCTCAGTCTCGGGTGTGTCTTTATCAGCAGCATGAAAATGGACTAATACCCAAGGGATTCTGTTCCTCTTACATTAACAGAGCATGAAGCAAAATGATGATTCACAAAAAAAGATAATTTTAAGAGGGAAATCTTTTTTAAATATGGTGATCATTACAGTTTGAGGACCTGAATTTATTTGGGCATACACACACAAACACACACACACACACACACACACACACACACACACCTGTATACACAGGTATGTAATATGCAGTTAGCCTTCTATATTTCTGGGTTCCTTCAGCATCTGCAGATTCAACCAACTGCAAATAGAAAGGGCAGTACTCGAGGGATGTAGGAACCTCGAATAGAGAAGGCCAACTTTTCATATCTGTGGGTTCTGCAGGGTGAACTGCAGGACAGTAACTGTAGATTTTGGTATCCATGGGGGTCCTGGAACCAATCCTCTGCAGATACTGAGAGACAACAGTATATATGTACATATATACACATATGTGTGCATGCATATGTATGTGTGCATACACATGTGTGTACATTTTGTTTCAAAGATTACAAATACTTGCTCTATTTTAGAAACTCAAGATTTCAAAAGATCCATAAATAGGCCGGGCATGGTGGCTCATGCCTGTAATCCCAGCACTTTGGGAGGCCAAGGCGGGTGGATCACTTGAGGTCAGGAGTTGGAGACCAGCCTGGTCAACATAGTGAAACCCCATCTCTACTAAAAATACAAAAATTAGCCGGGTGTCGCGGCGTGCACCTGTAGTCCCAGTTACTTGGAGGCTGAGGCAGGAGAATTGCTTGAACCCAGGAGGTGGAGGCTGCAGTGAGCCGAGATCGGCCACTGCACTCCAGCCTGGGCGACAGAGCAAGACTCCGTCTCAATAAAATAAAAAGATCCACAAATAACTACAGGTTTTGAAGTAAGGCATTAGAGAAGTTTATATACTACATATATTTGTATCAAAACTCTTTTCAGATCAGTATATCGAACACGGAAGAGACATCTGCACTCCCATGTTTATTGCAACACTAGTCACAATGGCCAAGATTTGGAAGCAACCTAAGTATCCAATGGCAGATGAATGGATAAAGAAAATGTGGTATTTATATACAATGGAGTACTATTCACCCATAAAAAAAGAATGAGGTCCTGTCATCTGCAACATGGATGGAACTGCAGGTCATTATGCTAAGTGATATTAGCCAGGCACAGAAAGGCAAACATCACGTGTTCTCACTTAATTGTGGGATCGAAAAATCAAAACAATTCAACTCATGGAGACAGACAGTAGAAGGATGGTTACCAGAGGCTGGGAAGGGTAGTGGGGGTGTTGGGAGGAAGGTGGGATGGTTAATGGGTACAAAAAATAGAAAAAATGAATAAGACCTAGTCTTTGATAGCACAACAGGTTGACTATATAGTCAAACTTAATTTAATTGTACATTTAAAAGTGACTAAAGGAGTATAATCGGATTGTTTGTAACACAAAGGATAAATGCTGGAGAGGATAGATACCACATTTTCTATCACGTAATTATTACATATTATATGCCTGTATCAAAGTATCTCAGGTACCTTATAAATATATACACCTACTATGTACCCACAAAACTTAAATTTAAAAACAAAACTCTTTTTAGAACCCTCCTCCTTCATAGAGTTATTATTTTTTTAAAAAGGTAATTTCTGGTCTAGAGAATAAACACCTGAAGCAGAGAAACCAGGAGGACTACCAGTTCAATACCCACCATTCCCTGTGGGCATCATACAGATGGCTTGCTAGGACACTGCCTAGGCTTCATAGGGGATGGTACAACCCCACTCCTCTCCGTGAAGTGTGGAGTGTCAGCAAAGCAAGCCCTTAGCCACAAGGAGGTAGCTGGCCAGCCCATTCTCAGAAAGTCACTTTAAGCATTAACAAGAGCACAAGGCCTAGTCCAGATTGGCAGCAACCTCCCAGGTTTCTTAGTCCAAAAGTCTTTTTCGGTACCCTAGGATCAAGAGGAAGAAGTGCATGGTGTGACATTGTGGGCCTCTCTCTGCTGCTAAGATGAGGTTGTTTTCGGCAGTGGCTGTGATGTCTCCTTAGAGAAACACTTACTAAGCACCACAGAGATGAGAAAACCAGGCCCTTCAGACAGGATGTCTGATGCAGGGTGTCTTCATGGATTCCTCCTATAGGTTTCATTCCAACTCAAAGATTTTTTTTTTAATTAGGTCTTAATCCACACCTCCATACACACCAATCTTTCCATATAGAGAAGCTGTAATGCTCAGCCACGCAGACCAAGTCACCCAACCACGCCTCCCAGAGCCTTGTTTAAACTGGCCACATAGTGTTGAATCATTCCACTCCAACTAAGGTTGATTCCTGTGCTTAAAAGCATTTTACCCCACGGAATTGTTTCCTGTTAGGTAGGCTATCAAATATAATCTTTTAAAAAGCACAGTTTCAAATTTTCCTTTTCTCTCTTTTTTTTTTTTTTTTTTAAAGAGATGGGGTCTTGCCATGTTGCCCAGGCTAGTCTCAAACTCCTGGGCTCAAGAGTTCCTTCCACCTCGGCCTCCCAAAGTGCTGAGATTACAGGTGTGAGCCACCATGGCTGGCTTAAAATTTTCTATACTTGTCCTTAGAAACGGATTTCTAGCCTTAGAATAAAAAGAGTACCAAAAAATAAGGGATGACTTGCAAATAAGTGGGAATTCCAAGGACCTGCTTAGAATAACTTTTAGTTCTAGCATCTTTCTTTCTAGAAAGTGCTGGAGGAAGGAGTTTGCTTGAAACAACCGATTCCCAATGAAAAACCTGTAGGAAAATGACAAAACAAAGGCCAGGTGCGGTGGCTCACACCTGTAATCCCAGAACTTTGGGAGGCCGGGGTGGGTGGATCACCTGAGATCAGGAGTTTGAGACCAGCCTGGCCAACATGGTGAAACCCCGTCTCTACTAAAAACACAAAAATTAGCCGGGTGTGGTGGCAGGCACCTGTAATCCCAGCTACTCAGGAGGCTGAGGCAGGAGAATTGCTTGAACCCAGGAGGTGGAGGTTGCAGTGAGCCGAGACTGTGCCACTGTACTCCAGTCTGGGCAACAGAGTGAAATTCTGTCTCAAAAAAATTAAAAAAAGAAAACAGGAAAACTTGCAATTTTTTCCAATCACTAAGTCAACTGGAAAAGGACAACTACACATTATTAGTTTTGACAGTCAATAGTTTTAGTATTTTTATGTTGCCCTAATACAGTGATGTCAGTATATATATATATATATACACACATATATATATACACACACACATATATATATATACACACACACACATGCACTGTATATACACACACACATACTAATATATGGTATGTGGATCTACGCTTCATCAAATTACAAACACTACTCCACAGTCATCATAGTTCATCAGCTAACACTTTAAATGTCACATTATTAATTACAATGATTAAATACAAAACAATTTTCTTCTCATGTGAAAAAAAGCCAATTTATAATAGATTATTCAGATCAGATGAAATCTTCCTCTAGTACTAATAATACCTTGGCAACAGATCATTACAGAATAATGTAATAGTTTCATAACTATTACATAATATTTCATAACTGTAATAGTTTCATACGCTAACCCATGAAAATCTTAACATCACACTACATAACATGGAAACATACTATGCTGTTCTGGTTCAAAGAATAAATAAGAGAAGGAAAAATGATAACTTTAGGTAGCAGGACTAACTTCTGTGTTCTGGAAACGGTTATGGTTAACAAACTGAAGCTCTTTGGGGCTAAACAGGGGTTCAAATACCAGTTTGATTTTAGTGGCTGGTATTCAGGTTCCCAGAAACGATCACCTCCACTTTGGGCTATGTCAAATAAACAAGTGCTAAAAGATAATAAAAATATACCATGAAGCCAAACAGCTCTGTGACCTTC
This sequence comes from Homo sapiens, assembly GCF_000001405.40. Classification (NCBI taxonomy): domain Eukaryota; kingdom Metazoa; phylum Chordata; class Mammalia; order Primates; family Hominidae; genus Homo; species Homo sapiens. The sequence continues at coordinate 72,676,229 of NC_000007.14, forward strand.
AATTTCCTCGTCTGTAAAACAAGGTGAACAATATCTACGACTCATATAAAAGGTATGAAGATAAGATGATACGTACTCAGGATTAGCAGTACCAGAATTTAGTAAGAGGTTGTTTAACAGATGTTAGCTATTAGAGCTATGATTATTAAATAAAAGAACTTATGATAAGAATGTTCTCTGCAGGACCCAATGTCTGCTGTACACTATATTTAGTTCAATAATGAAACACAGCAGAGTCTCAACAGCAAACCCTGAGTGGTACAGTGACTGGCTTCCCAGGGCAGACACCAGGAACTGGTGGGGCTGCCATACCTGGGCAGGGTGGATTTGCTGGCCAGGTGCTGGAAGAGCAGCAGCCCTGGGAGTGAGCACATGCTTTATTTACAGAGAAACCCAGTTAGTTGGATGCTTCAGCATAAACCATAAAGGCTTTAAAAAAAAAAACTTTTGGCTGGACGTGGTGGCTCATGCCTATAATCTCAGCACTTTGGGAGGCCGAGGCGGTGGATTGCTTGAGGCCAGGAGTTCAAGACCAGCCTGGCCAATATGGGGAAACCCCATCTCTACTAAAATACAAAAAAATAGCCAGTGTGGTGGCATGTGCCTGTAATCTCAGATACTTGGGAAGCTGAGGTGGGAGGATCGCTTGAACCCAGGAGGCGGAGGTTGCAGTGTGCTAAGATCACGCCACTGTACTCCAGCCTGGGTGACAGAGCGAGAGACTGTCTCAAAAAAAAAACCAAACAAACCAAAAAACTGTTTTAACATCATATTCAAAAAGAAACTTGGTTGGGGTGATGACAATGTTCTCGAGTTAGGTAGTGATGATTTCACAAGCTTGTGAATATACTAAAAATCATACTTTAGAAGGGTGAACTTCTTCTTTCTCTCTCTCTGTATGTATGTATGCATGTATTCATTGATTCATTCATTCATTCGAGACAGGGTGTCACTCTGTCACCTAGGCTGGAGGGCAGTGACACAATCATAGCTCACTGCAGCCTCGGCCTCTTGAGCTCAACTGATCCTCCACCTCAGCCTCCTGAGTAGGTGGGACTACAAGAATGCCTTAGCACACCTGGTTGATTTTTTTTTTTTTGGTAGAGAAAGGGTCTTGCTATGTTGCTCAGGCTGGTCTCAAACTCCTGGGCTGAAGCAATCCTCCCACCTTGGCCTCCCAAAGTACTGGGATTACAGGCGTGAGCCACCACATCCTGAACTTTATGATATGTAAATTATACCTCAATTATAAAAAAACACATGGGCATGGAACATTTGTCTCCTGATTTCCAGGATTCTGAGTTTTTATACAGTTGAGGGAGGTTGGGAGCCCTTGGCGGAATGAAAAATGGCTACCTGTATCTTTGACAGCTTCCGCTTCCTGGCCTAGCAGAAACTTTTTCTGCTTTTCCCTGGGTTCTCCGACATGCACCCTGCTAAGGTTCACAGAGTTGTGTGGATATATGGTATCCTTTTATTTATCTTTTTTTTTGAGATGAAGTCTTGCTCTATCACCAGGCTGGAGTGCAGTAGCGTGATCTTGGCTCACTGCAACCTCCATCTCCCGGGTTCAAGTGATTCTCCTGCCTCAGCCTCCTGAGTAGCTGGAATTACAGGTGCCTGCCACCATGCCCGGCTAATTTTTGTATTTTTAGTACTGACAGGGTTTCACCATGTTGTCCAGGCTGGTCTTGAACTCCTGACCTCGAGTGATCCACCCACCTCAGTCTCCAAAAGCGCTGAGATTACAGGCGTGAGCCACCGCACCCAGCACCTTTTATTTATCTATTAGCACTTGTTTACTCCACCTAGCCCAAGGTGAAGGTAATCATTTCTGGGAACCTGAATACTAGGATGCATGAATTATTATATTAATTCTATTTTTATTAAATGCATACTACAGGCAAAGCACTATCCGGGGCACTGAGGATACTGCAGGGAATAAGAAAATGTCTCTGCTTTCACAGTTGAAAGGAAATAAAAACCAATAACATGCAAGTCTGGTGCTGATGCTGCTATGGAAAAAAACAATCAAAGAGGGATGGGCAGTGCTGCTGAGGAGGGATATTATTTTCCACAGGATGAGGAGGGGCTAACTCTCTGATAAGGTGATATTTGAGTGGAGTCCTGAAGGAAATGAGAAAACAAACCATATCAACATAGAGAAGCCCATTACAGGCAGAAAGAATGAATTCTAAGAGTCTAGACAAAGGCAAACAGCCAATGGAGAAATGGGCAAGGTATGGAAAGGCTATTAAAGACATGGCCAAACACAACAAAATGCTCACCCACTCCTGGGAGGATTATAAAATAAAACCTCAAATCAGACTGGCAAAACCTAAAACCCTGACAATGGCCAGGCATGGTGGCTCACACCTGTAATTCCAGCACTTTTTTTTTTTTTTTTTTTTTTTGAGATGGAAACTCGCTCAGCCGCCAAGTAGCTGGGACAACAGGCGCGCATCATCACGCCCAGCTAATTTTTGTATTTTTAGTAGAGACGGGGTTTCACCATGTTGGTCAGGATGGTCTCGATCTCTTGACTTCATGATCCGCCTGCCTCAGCCTCCCAAAGTGCTGGGGATTACAGGTATAAGCCAACGTGCCCGGACAATCCCAGCACTCTTGAAAGCCAAGGTAGGAGGATCACTTGAGGCCAGGAGTTTAAGACAAGCTGGGCAACATAGTGAGACTCCATCTGTACAAGTTAAAGAATCAAAAAAATTAGCCAGGCATGGTGGTGCATGGCTGTAGTCTGAGCTTCTTGGGGGACTGAGGTGGGAAGATTACTTGAGCCCAGGAGGTTGAGACTGCAGTGAGCCGTGATGGCACCACTGCATCCAGTCTGCCAATAGAGCAAGATCCTGTCTCAAAAAACAAATAAAATAGAATCAACAACTAACAAGACCAAGTATTCGTGAGGATAGAAAATAGAAATTTAATGCAGTAGTCTCATAAGTATAATCATGTAGGACAGGCTACGGCGACAAAAATCTAATCAAGTTCAAGTTTAAGATGTACATATCCTATGATCCAGCAACTTCCAACCACAGGTTAGTTCCGAAAGAAATTATTGCACATGTGCACAAAGAGACACTCTCAATAATGTTCACTGCAGAGTTAGAAACTGTGAAACAATCCAAATGCCCATCTGTAGGAGGATGAATTTCTCCTACATCAGGGAATATTTACAGGATAGAAGGCTACATAGCAGTTACAAAGTCTCAAAGGCTAAATATAACAATGTGAATACGTCACGAGCATAATATCAAACAAAAGAAAAACAGGTTGCAGGGAGGAAGAAATGAGGGAGGCTACTATTTAATGGGTATGAAGTTTCATAGTTTGGGGGAAACAATGGGGAGATGAAACAGCTCTGGAGATGGATGGTGGTAATAGTTGCATATAATATGAATGTACATGATACCACTGAACTGAATACTTTAACATGGTAAAAACGTAATTTTTTATTTTTAAAAAAATGGTCAAAAATTAAATCAAGTTGCATAAGGATACATATAGGGTTACATTATTATATAAAGTTTTAAAATATGGAAAACACTATGCTCTGTTACTTACGGAGTTATACATAAGAGTGAAGTATAAATATGGAATGATAGGCCAGGAGCAGTAGATCACCTCTGTAATCCCAGCACTTTGGGAGGCCAAAGCGAGAGGATCACTTGACGCCAGGAGTTCGAGACCAACCTGAGCAACACAGTGAGACCGTATCTCTACAAAATGCAAAAATTAGCCGGGCGCAGTGGCGGACACCTATTGTCTCTAGCTACTTGGGAGGCTGAAGTGGGAGGACTGCTTGAGTCCAGGAGTTCAAGGCTGTGGTGAGCCATGATCATACTGTGGCACTCCAGCCTGGGCAACAGAGCAAGACCCTGTGTGATGGTTAACACTGAGTGTCAACTTGATTGTATTAAAGGATGCAAAGTATTGCTCCTGGGTGTGTCTGTGAGGGTGTTGCCAAAGGAGATTAACATTTGAGTCAGTGGACTGGGAAAGGCAGATCCACCCCTCAATCTGGGTGGGCACCATCTAATCTACCCCTCAGTCTGGGTGGGCACCATCTAATCAGCTGCCAGTGCAGCCGGAATAAAAGCAGGCAGAAGAACATGGAAAAACTAGACTGGCTGAGTCTTCTGGCCTTCATCTTTCTCCCGTGCTGGATGCTTCCTGCCCTCGAACATCAAACTCCAAGATCTTCAGCTTTTGGACTCTTGGACTTACACCAGTGGTTTGCCAGGGGCTCTCAGGCCTTTTGGCCACAGACTGAAGGCTGCAATGTCAGCTTCCCTACTTCTGAGGTTTTGGGACTTGGAACGGCTTCCTGGCACCTCAGCTTGCAGACGACCTATTGTGGGACTTCACCTTGTGATAGTGCGAGTCAATTCTCCAATAAACTCCCCTTCATATGTACATCTACCCTATTAGTTCTGTCCCTCTAGAGAACCCTCATTAATACAATATGGAATGATAAACACCAAACATGAAATACTGAAGACGATATGGAACGATAAACACCAATTACAGGATACTGATTCCCTCTGAAAGAAAGAGAAGGAAAAAGAAGTATGATAGAAATGAGGTCCACAGAGACTGCAAATGAATTTGTAATATTTATTTCTTAAGCTAGACTATAGTTACAGTGGTACTTACTATCTTATTCACTGTATCTTTTCATATGTATAAAATATTTAATCATATACACAAAAATGATAGTAGAGGGCATCATTTTGTAAAATTCAAACAAAATTACCTACTGTAATGTTTCTAGGTGTTTTTGTCTAGACCCTATAAGGTAGGCACTGTTATTTACCCCATTTCACAGGTGAGAAAAGTGAGTCCCTTGCCCAAAATTACACACACAATAGGTGGCAGAGCCAGTATCCAAACCTTGGTAGCCTTGTTTCAGAGACCCAAGCTTTCAATTACTAAACCAAGCAGGTTGTTGGGAAATAACAGAATATACACCAAGAGGAGATCGGATAAATGCAATTTGCTCGTTCACCAAATACTTATGTGGCAATCATGTGTCAGTCACCGTGTTAAGGGCTTTGAATACCACAGTGAACAAAAAGGCATAACACACATCTTGCCTTCCCTAGGGGACCTTACAATTCAGAGCAAGGACGATTAAATAAGCAGTCACACCAACCCCTGCTGTCCTGGGTGGTAAAAGAAAGCACAAGTACCCTTCACCCAGAAGTGCCCAATGCAGACTGTGGGAGGGGAGGGAAGGAGTTAGGGAAGGCTGCCAAAGATAAGACTTGTGAGGCTATTTGTTAAATCCATATTAAAAAAATATTATCCAGACAGTAAGAAGAGTGTTGGAGTGTTATATTTACTTCTTTTTTTTTTTTTTTTTTTTTGAGTTAGAGTCTCGCTCTGTCGCCCAGGCTGGAGTGCAGGGGCACGATCCCCACTCACTGCAAGCTCCACCTCCCAGGTTCACATCATTCTCCTGCCTCAGCCTCCCGAGTAGCTGGGACCCACCACTATGCTCAGCTAATTTTTTGTATTTTTAGTAGAGACGGGGTTTCACCGTGTTAGCCAGGATGGTCTCGACCTCCTGAACTCGTGATCCACCCACCTCAGTCTCCCAAAGTGCCGGGATTCCAGAAGTGAGCCACCGCACCCGGCCGTCTGTTTTTTTAGATGGAGTCTCTCTCTGTCTCCCAAGCTGAAGTGCAGTGACGCAATCTCGGCTCACTGCAACCTCCGCCTCCCGGGTTCAGGTGATTCTCCTGCCTCAGCCTCCCGAGTAGCTGGGATTACAGGTACCCACCACCACACCCACCTGATTTTTGTATTTGTAGTAGAGATGGGGTTTCACTGTGTTGGCCAGGCTGGTCTCAAACTCCTGACCTCAGGTGATCCACCCACCTCAGCCTCCCAAAGTGCTGGAATTAAAGGCATGAGCCACCACACATAGCCTATAATTACTTATATAGAAAGATATGACACTCTGTTAACAAAAAAAAAAAAGTAGAAATCAACACACAGGGCATCTTCTGGGAATGGAACAGCACATATATCAAGTTTCAATACGTAGTAATGATAGCTTATCAAATCTGTACTTTAAAGATGGTTCATCAATAAATGGTACTTGGGAATGACATAAAAATGAATGCTAAGTTATATCCCAACTGGATTAAAGAGTTGAGATTTAAACAACTGGGCTAGGAAAGAACCAGAAAATATACATAAGAATTTTTATATCCTAAGGGTCTAAGCATGACACTAAAAGGAGAATTCACAAAGACAAAAATTACTAGGTCTTAAAGAAAAAAGCTGTGAGCCTTATACTATCAGATTTTACAACTTAAAATTAACCCCTACGAGCCTTCTAGTTTCCAATGCAGCAAGAAAGTTGCTTGGAAGTCATCACTGTGTCTTAACAAGTAAAAAGCTGAACAAATTGAAAAATCAACAACTGTTCTTAGATCCATCAGAGAAGTGAGGTCACAGGGCAAACCTGCTGTCCCCATAATTGGAGGGAAAAACAGGCAGGCACAGAGAATCACAACTTAACAGGAGCAGAAACCTCCACAGAGACCAGCGCCAACACAGGGAAACTGAACTGTAATTGACGAAGTGCTGGAGGCTCAGTGTGGACAAGTCTGACACATAAAAATTCCAGACAGATCCAGTCATTAGGGGCCCTACACTTTTGTGAGTTTTACCTACTGGAGCTCTGCCAGATTCTCACAGTGAATATACAGGGGGAAATCCCTTGTGCTTCTGGTAAGGGGAGGGAAACAGGAACCATTTGACATGTGTCAGAGCATTGTGTTGATAACAAGGTCTGCTCTCAGGAGAACCGATTTAACCAGAACCTAACTTGCTTGGTTTTATCAGAGCCTAACTAACCAAGTGGAAGAGAAATACCCAACTCCAGCCAGCGCCGGCCTTCCATGTAAGAAAAGGGAAATAGCCAACTGCAGCACACTCTAGCCAACCTGTCCCAACGGGGAAGAAAAAACTGAGAAGTATTTGTGAAGTTCACAGTCCAGGGGTACAGCCTCACTAAAAGACTGAGACCTAGACTGGGCGCAGTGGCTCACACCTGTAATCCCAGCACTTTGGGAGGCCAAGGCAAGTGGATCATTTGAGGTTAGGAGTTCAAGACTAGCCTGCCCAACATGGTAAAACCCCGTCTCTAGTAAAAATACAAAAATTAGTGGAGCATGGTGGCAGGTGCCTATAATCCTAGCTACTTGGAAGGCTGAGGCAGGAGAATTGCTTGAACCTGGGAGGCAGAAGTTGCAGTGAGCCGAGATCGTGCCACTGCACTCCAGCCTGAGTGACAGAGCAAGACTCCGACTCAAAACAAAACAAAACAAAACAAAACACTGAGACCTAATCATAAGACTACAGAATGCTTCCCTTCCCCATATACCATACCATCACATTATTAAAGGTCTAGTGAGAGCAGTTCCTTTTACCCAGGATATCACATTCAGTAACAAGAAGTTACAAGGCACACTAAAAGGCAAAAAGCAAAGTTTAAAGAGATAGCACAAGCATCCAAACCAGGCTCTGACACGGCAGGGATGTTGGGATAACCCGACCAGATGCAAAGGGCTCCAGTGGATAAAGTACACAGCACACAAGAACAGATGGACAATGTAAACAGAGATCAAAATCCTAAGAAAGAACAAAACCGAAATGCTGGAGCTCTAAAACACTCTAACTTTGGAAATGAAGAATGGCCTTGAGACTAGACATGGCTGAGGACGAAATCTCTGAGTTTAAGGATTCTCAACAGAAACCTCTAAAACTGAAAAGCAAAATGAAAAAAGACTGAAATAAACCAGAATGGAATATTCAGGAGCTGTGGGATAACTACAAAGGGTGTAATGTATGTGTAACAGGAATACCAAGAGGAAAACAAAGAGAGAAAAGAACAAAAGTAGTATTTGAACAAATAATGACTCAGGATTTCCCCATGTTAATGTCAGGCCCCAAACCACAGTTTGTCAGGAGGCTCCCACAACACCAAGTAGGATAAATGCCAGAAAAACTATAGATAAGCATGTAAGTTTCAAACCACAGAAAATCAAATATTTAACAAAATCCAGAAAGAAGACAGAGGGAAAAAAGCCTTATCTATAGAAAAGGAAAGAATGATTTCAACTTCTACCCAGAAACCATGCAAGCAAGGAGACGGCAGGGTGAAATATTTAAGTACTGAAAGAAAAAATCACCACCTAGAATCTGCACCCTATGAAAATGTCCTTCAACACTGAGAGAGAAATACTTTTTCAGACAACCGGAAACTGGGGGAATTTGTTGCCAGTAGATCTTCCTTGAAAGAAATGTTAAAAGAAGCTCTTCAGAGAAAAGGAAAATGATATAGGTCAGAAACTCAGATCTAAGAAAAGAAAGGAAGAACATCAGAGAAGGAGTAAAATAAAAATGTTTATTTTTCTTATTCTTAATTCATCTAACAGATAGCAATTTGGCCAAAATAATAAGATAGCAACAATATATTGATTATGCATGCCTATGTATAAGTAAAATGAGTGATGGCAATGATACAAGGACAGGAGGGAAGAATCAGGATTATTTTGTTATTGTAAGGAGGCTGGGCACAGTGGGTCAAGCCTATAATCCCAGCACTTTGGGAGGCCGAGGAAGGCGGATCACTTGAGGTCAGGAGTTCAATACCAGCCTGGCCAACATGGTAAAACCCTGTCTCTAATAAAAATTTAAAAAATTAGCCAAGTGTAATGGCGAGTGCCTGTAATCCCTGCTACTTGGGAGGCTGAGATAGGCAAATTGCTTGAACCTGGGAGGCGGAGGTTGCAGTGCGCCAAGATCAGGCCACTGAACTCCAGCCTGGATGACAGAGTGAGACTCAATCTCGAAAAAAAAAAAAAAAGAAAAAAGATTATTTTGTTATCATAAAGTACTTGTCCTACTCAGGAAGAAATATAGTGTTCTTTGAAAATGGACTTCAATTACTAGTAGACCTATATTACAAACTCTAGGGAAAACACTAAAAAAAAACAAGTGAAGTATGATTAATATGCTAAGAAAGGAGAGAAAATGGAATCATATTTAACATACTCAAAACCACAAAAGAAAAAATGTGGAATACAAAAATAGAAACAAAGAACAAGACCAACAAATAGAAAACATTAACAAATACAGTAGATGTTAATCCAACTATATCAGATCCCCTGAAATGTATGTGATATTGTTGCAAGAACAGACAAATAGACCAAAGGAACAGAATACAGCCCAGGAAAAGAGTCACACAAATGTAGTCAACTGATCTTTAGCAAAAGAGAAAAAAGTAATACAATGGGGAGAAGATAATTTTTTTCAACAAATAGTGCTGGAACTAGAAATCCACATGCAAAAAAAAAGAATCTAAACGAACACCTTATATCTCTCCCAAAAATTAACTCTAACTGGATTACAAAATTAAATGTAAAAGGCAAAACTGTAAGAGTTCTAGACGATAACACAGGAGAAAGTCTAGATGACCCTGGATTTGGAAATAACTTTTTAGATAGCAAACCAAAGGCATGACCCATGAGAGAAAAATTTAGTAAGTATTAAACATTTTTGCTCTGCAGAAGACACTGCCAAGAGATGAAAAGACAAGCTACAGACTGGGAGAAAATATTTGCAAAAGACGTATCTCATAAAGGACTCCAAAATATACAAAGAACTCTTAAATCTCAACAATAAGAAAATGAACAACCCAATTAAAAATGGGCCAAAGACCATAACAGACATCTCTTCAAAGATATATGAATGGCAAATAAGCATATGAAAAAATGTTCCACATCACCTGTCATCAGGGGAATGCAAAATGAAACAACAGTGACAGAAACTCTCATCCATTGCTCATGGGAATACAAAATGGTACAGCCACTTTGGAAGACAGTTTGGCAGTTTCTTAAAAAACTAAACAATACTCTTATGAAACTACCCAGCAACTACATTCTTTGGTGTTTACTCCAAGGAGCTGAAAATTTATATTCAAACACAAACTTGCACACAGATGTTTATAACAGCTGTGTTCAAAAATTGCCAAAACTTGGAAGAAACCAGGATGTCCTTCAGTAGGTGAATAAACTGTGGTACATCCAGACAATGGAATATTGTTTAGCTCTAAAAAGAGATGAACTATCCATGTGAAAACACATGGAAGGAACCTTAAATGCATATTGCTAAGTGAAAGAAGCAAATCTGAAAAGGCTACATACGGTATGATTCCAACTATATGACATTCTGGAAAAGGCAAAGCTACGCAGACAGTAAAAGATCCATCCATGGTTGCCAGGGATGAGGGAGGGAGAGATAAACAGGCAGAGTACAGGAGATTCTTAGGGCAGTGAAACTACCCCATATGACACTGTAATGGTGGATACATGTCACTATACATTTGTCCACACCCACAGAATGTACAACCACAACAATGAACCCTAATGTAAAATACAGACTGTGGCTGATAATGATGGATCCGTGTAGGTTCATCAGTTATAATAAATGTGCCACTCTTGTGGGTGATGTTGATAAGGAGGTAATGTATGCATGCATGGAATAGGGGGGATATGGAAAATCTCTGAACCCTCTGCTCAATTTTGTTTTGAGTCTAAAACTGCTCTAAAATATAAAGTCCATTAAAAAAAAATCCAGACCCCCTACCTTATGCAATACCCCAAATTAATCTCAGATGATTCACAGACCAAATTGAAAAATAATAATAACAACATTTCTGAAAGAGGAAAACATAAGAAACTATCTTCATGACCTTGGGGTGGGCAAAGATTTCACAAATAGGACAGGAAAAGCACTAAACATATGCTTTTTTAAAAGTGATAAACTAGACTTTGTTAAAATGAGGAGCTCTGTTTATCAAGCAATATTAAGAGTTTAAACTGGCAAAGACAGGCCAGGCACAGTGGCTCACGCCTGTAATCCCAGAACTTTGGGAGGGTAAGATGGGTGGATTACTTGAAATCAGGAGTTCGAGATCAGCCTGACCAAACTGGTGAAACCCCATCTCTACTAAAAATACAAAATTAGCTGGGCATGGTGGTGCATGCCTGTAATTCCAGCTACTTGGGAGCTGAGACAGGATAATCACTTGAAGCCAGGAGGCGGAGGGTGCAGTGAGCAAAGATCACACCATTGCACTCCAGCCTGGGCAACAAGAGTGAAACTCCACCTCAAAAAAATAAAATAAATAAACTGGTAAAGACAGACTGGGAGAAGATATATTCAGTACCTGTATCTGGACTTGTATTCAGAACCACTATTACTTGCAAAATCATGGAGGAATCTCTGAACACTATGTTGAATGTTATTATAATATTATAATTGAGTTATTATATTATAATGTTGAGAAATCAGACACAAAGGCATAAACAATCGTTTCATTTATATAAAGTTCAAAAACAAGCAAAACAAAAATAAATTCAAAAGTTCAATAATAGGCAAAATTAATCTACGATGATAAAAGTTGGCATAATTGTTCATAATATATAAACTATATAAAAATATAGTTGAAGGCCAGGCACAGTGGCTCATGCCTGTAATCCCAGCATTTTGGGAGGCCAAGGTAGGAGGATCACTTGAAACCAGGAATTCAAGACCAGCCTGGGCAACAAACAAGAACCCATCTCTCAAAAAAAAATTTTTTAGCCAGGTGTGGTGGAGCACATCTCTATCCCAATTACTAGGGAGGCTGAGGCAGGAGGATTGCTTGAGTCCAGGAGTTCAAGACCAGCTTGGGCAACAAAATGAAATCACCATCTCCACAAAAATAATAATAATTAATAACATATATATAGTTGCAAAAATATGTACAACATGATTTCAATTTTATAAGTGAAATATAGACACATATGTATGAACATGCATAAAAACTGTAGAAGATGTAATACAATATAGTAACTGTTTACCTTTGAATTCTGGTAAAGTATGAGTCATTTTCTTCAATATTTATTTTCTAAATGTAAAGTTTTTAGCAGATATGCTATGCAATTCTTTAAGCTGATGAAAGGAAATGCCTTTGACTTCTTTATTATTGATACTCTTGGTTCAAAAGGTCAGTATTCATTACATTCAGATCTATTATTTGCTCTCCCCATTTCCATCTTTCCCATTCATCCCTCCATACAATGGCTTCCACACAAAACACTGCACCATACTTTCTTTTTGACATAGTAATTAAAGACCAACTGGTAAAGCTGTTTTCTTTTTTGTCGTACCTTTACTTGGTAATCTTTCTGGAAACTCACTGTTTCCTTGAGTTGCATGGAATTGAACCAATATCTTTATCAAATTCTTCCCAGACTCACTCTCTATGTGCTTCACGTTGAAAGCTTCAACACTTTTGTTCCCGCAGGCTCCCTCTTTGCCTTCTTTAGGCACTTCTTGGGTCATCCCATCTGCTTACTTGCCTTTAACTACAATCCGTTGCTAAAGAGATGACTTTCCGATCTACCCCGGTATTCCTTCCCCAATGTTCTCCTGAGTCTCCAAACCCATAGAAGCTATTATCCACTAGACATTACCTGATGCCTCAACACGAACTTAAGATGCAATACACTTACATTTCTCTAAAACGATATTAGGTAAAAGGTCTGGAGGGAACCAGTTTACTAAGGAGTTAGCCAGCTTGCAGACACTGGCTTTAGACAACACATTTGCACAAATCAAGCACAGCAGTCTTGTCTGATTTCAGAAGTGGCTGAAAGCAGGATAACATTTTAGCTAAGCAGAGCAGGGTAAAATGGCATTAAATCCAAGCTGAATGGAATCAGCCCTGGGGGATCTATGCCTGTGGATAGGGGTCCCACGGTTTACATGAAAGTTAAAGCCTTCAAAAAAGTGGTAGGAAACAGATATCCAGATTAGCCAGATGGGTTAAGGCTCAAGAATAGACTTTGGCACCGATGATGAGAGGTGGAAATAAACCAAATAGGTCAATAAGAAGGGAAACTTGTCAGAACCATGAAACGGAGACGAGCTCATCCTAAAGGAAAGGAAAGAAGAAGATATATTTCATCGACTACAAGAAACTCTAGGATAAAGGCCATGCCATGATTTAATGTATCATTATCTTATTTTTCTCCTTTGTGAAAGTCTCAATGCCACCAATTAAATGCAACATGTCATTTCTGGCTGCATTCAATTTTCAAAATGTTCAAAAGTGACAAAATGTGCATGCTGCAACTTGGGAGTAGCTGAGACTTTGTCCTCAGTGTGCTAAGGACAGAAAATGTGACTGTCAGGCCTCTAGGATGGGAAGGATGCTGGGACATCACACACTCCTGCTGCTCCCTACTACTGGCCAACAAGCAGGAAACTGAGCAGGATGAATGACTACACTGTCTTTAACATGACAGTCATAGAGAAGTGTAATGACAAGGAAAAATACTTATGACACGATGTTAAACAAAAACAAAAGTAACATATAAGATGGAATTAAATTTGCAAAAAAGCATGCCCTCCCCCAGTGGATTAAGTAGAAGTACTTCAAATGTTAATTACTGTGTTAAGGTCCTGGAATTATAGGTATTTCTTTCCTTGCTTCTTTGTATTTCTCTTTACTTCCCCCAAATTTCCATAAGCAGCACATAATATTTTTATAATCTGATATAAGGTCAAATGTGAAATGTTTGTTTTTTAATTTGCAAATTGTGGGCCACACACATAAATTGGTTTATTTAAATATTAGATAGAGGGCTATCTCATTAATGTACAATAAGCCCTTCGTAACAATGGAACAACCATTATTCAAATAATGATGTCAGGTCAGAGTATCCTAACATCTGTAGAGAGAGGGCCAATGGTCATTGTTAAGGTGCAATGCAAGAAATTATGTTGGTCATTTTTCTTTTTTAAATATGAGGTTTCAAGAATGTTAATGCTATTACTTAAACAGAGAAAAGAATTAAATAGTTCAGTTTACTACTGGATCTTGACCTTGGCATAATCATAGTTCAGCAGAAACACATCTGGTCACATTGCTGATAAAAGTTTACTGCTAAAAGCTGGCAGTGTTTTCTTGTATAAGATATATTTCTCTTTTTTTAAAAAAAGGACTGTTTGACAAGTAGCTATCGTGGACGGAAATTGAAGCTAACACATTTTTTACTCTGGTATCTTGATGGAAGTGGTTTTTAGCCCACATACTCAAGTACCAATATATTTCTCTCCTCATATTGAAAAGGAACATTTTGACAAAGGATAAAGATCTGGAAATGTAAACACTGTACTTGCCAAGAGTTAAAAACAAAATATGCTACCTTCTTCTTTGGGTAGTACTAGATCAGAAATAGGCTGAAAATCTTGGGACAAATCAAAATTTTTTGTTTATAAAGTTTAAGAAATTCTCTTCAAATGCCTTTCCTTGCTCAGGCATAGTAAAAGTCTAATCAAATAACAGAAGATAACAGTATGGATGTTCTAATTAAAATATCTGAAATAACACTCTTATTTATAGTAATCTGGTATCATTTGAGTTTTTATTTTTTATTGTAATATATTTATTTTGAGACAGTCTCGCTCTTGTTGACCAGACTGGAGTTCAATGGTGTGATCTCGGCTCGCTACAACCTCCGCCTCCCGGGTTGAAGCAATTCTCCTGCCTCAGCCTCCCGAGTAGCTGGGATTACAGGTACCTGCCACCACTCCTGGCTAATTGTTTTTTTGTATCTGTAGTAGAGACGGGGTTTCACCATATTGGCCGGGCTGGTCTTCAACTCCTGACCTCAAGTGATCTGCCCGCCTCAGCCTCCCAAAGTGCTGGGAATACCGGCGTGAGCCACTGCGCCCAGCCAGCATTTGAGTTTTTATATGTTTGACCCTAGCTAACCCATATAACTACAAAATATATGTTTTAAGTGCTAAACAACAGTAAAACAAATCTTTCTTAATAGCATCTACTATGTCTTATAAGATCAGACATTCAGAAGGAAGTAACAGCTTGAGTCAATTTAAAGGAAAAGTTTTAAGAGCAGCATCCTGCCACACATCTTCTCTCACAAGGCAACAAAAACAATGCCAAGAACGAGAAACAACAACTCTAATTGCTACAAAATGCTCAGAAAGTCACTGCCCTAATGTGTGGGCAGTTTAAATTGCCCAAAGAAACATTCCAACAAGAATTACATAGAGACAATAATGACTTCTATTTAAGATGCTCCTGGGTTGAAATTATTTTCTAACTTTAAGTTACTGCATTACTGTCATGAGCAAACCCAGAGTGATTACAATTGAATTCATCACCCAAAGGCCAGTGACTTCAAGGTAAGAATTCAGTTTTTGGAACATTTTGACCAAAGACAGGAAGTAAACTATTAAGCTATTGTGTTAATGTTTCCTTGTCATTTTCCATACTCAAAGAACACAGCCTAGATAACAATGTCAGATGGGCCTGACTTTGCAAGCTCCTGCTGTTTACTCCCATTTAAATCCATTCTAATTTTTATGCTATGTAAATCCAAGACCGCTTAGAAACTAAAGAGGCCTTTTTGCATTTCTTAAATAACATCAGTATTAATAACCAAAGAAGGCATGGATTTAACTTCCCGGGCATAAAACAGCAAAAGAAACCCACAAAGACTTAATCGGCTGGACAACTGGTAAAACACATATAGTACTTTACAAATCTCTGTTGAGTTTCCACCCATTCATTCTTTTAAGAAACAGGCTGGGTGCAGTGGCTCACACCTGTAATCCCAGCACTTTGGGAGGTTGAGGCAGGCGGATCACTTGAGGTCAGGAGTTTGAGACCAGCCTGGCCAACATGGTGAAACCCCATCTCTACTAAAAATACAAAAACTAGCCGGGCATGGTGGTACGCACCTGTAATCCTAGCTACTGGGGAGTCTGAGGCATGAGAATCACTTGAACCCGGGAGGTAGATGTTGCAGTGAGCCAAGATCACGCCACCACACACCAGCCTAGGCAACAGAAAGAGACTCCATCTCAAAAAAAAAAAAAAAAAAAAAAAGAAGAAAGAAATAAAAAAAGAAACATTTATCAGGACTGGAGCAGTGGCTCATGCCTATAATCCCAACACTTCCAAGGCAGGAAGATTGCCTGAGGCCAGGAGTTTGAGACTGTCTCTACAAAAAAAAAATCAAAAAATTAACTAGGCATGGCAGCATGTGCCTGTGGTCCCAGTACTTGGGAGGCTGAGGCAGGAGGATCATTTGGGCCCAGGAGTTGGAGGCTCCAGTGAGCTATGATGGTGCCACTGTGTTCTAGCTTTGGTGACAGAGCAAGACCCAGTCTCCAAGAAAAAAATGGAAGCATTTATCAAATACCTTAAAGTGTACTATGCTAGACATTGTGCAGAATTCAGACATAAGGAAGGAATCCAGCTCAGGAGAGAGCAGCTAAGACAAAACAGAAGAAAAACAGTGTTTTTTAATAGATATAAAACTTAGGAAGGGAAAAAGGGGCAGCTAATTGTAATCAGAAAAGACTTTGCAGTAGTGGTAATCACAAAACTGGGTCCAGGAGGTGCACAGAATTTCTACAAGTCAAAGAATGGAAAGAAAGAACATTCCTTCCAAAATCTGGGGAGACAGTAACCGAAGACTCAGAAGGGAGAAGATGGTGGGCACGTGTGCAGAAATGGCAACGTAAGCAGGGAAGCATGGCCCTCCTGGGGAATAAGGTGAAAAATGAGCCAGGAAATGTACATCGAGGCCAGACAGTGATGGGTTAGGAATGTCAAAGTAAGCGCTGGGCACAGGAGAGAAAGGCAAGTTTTCTGGGACAGTGACTCCCATATCTGGCTGCATACCAAATGACGCCTGGGATGTCTAACAAGCAGATCTCAGATGCCATGAGGACCAGGAAACTGTCATTTTTTTAAGCTCCTGGGGTGATTCTCATTATCAGTCAGATGTCAAGAAGGCACAAAGAACGCTTAGAAAAGTGACAGAAAGGAAGCAAGGAAGGAAAGAAGGAGGATTAATGGAAAAGCAGAACCAGATGATTACTTTAGGTGAAAAAGAAAAGGAAGCTAAGTATGCCATATGAAAACACACAAGAAAGGCCAAATGTTTGCAGAAAATGACATTCAATGTGAACATTCTGAGGCTATTGATGGCTTAGGAAATTTGGTTCTAGAAATTCAGGAAAATTAACTTTATATTTAAACGTATACTATTTGCAGACATCTTTTTTTTTTTTTTTTTTTAGATAGGGGTCTCACTGTCACCCACACTGGAGTGCAGTGGCGCAATCTCGGCTCACTACAACCTCTGCCTCCCAGGCTCAAGTGATTCTCCCACCTTAGCCTCCTGAGTAGCTAGGACCACAGGTAATTTTTGTATTTTGTTTTTTGGTAGAGACGGGGTTTTGCCATGTTGCCCAGGCTGGTCTTGAACTCCTGACCTCAAGCGATCTGCCCACCTTGGCCTCTCAAAGTGCTGGGATTACAGGTGTGAGCTACCACACCTGGCCTGCAGACGCCTCTTTTAAGGTGGTTACGTACAGTCGGTCCTTCATATCTGTGGGCTCCATTTCCACACATTCAACCAACCATGGATGAAAAATATTTGGAAAAAATAAAACAATTAAAAATCACACAAATATTTAAAATGCAGTATAACAACCACTTACATGGCATTTACATTGTACTACATATTATAAGTAATGTAGAGATGATTTAAAGTATACAGGAAGATAAGTGTAGATTATGTGCAAATACTATGCCATTTTATTTTTATTATTTATTTATTTTTTTTGAGACAGAGTCTCACTCTGTCACCCAGGCTGCAGTGCAGTGGCATGATCTTGGCTCACTGCGGCCTCCACCTCCCAGGTTCAAGTGATTCTCCTGCCTCAGCCTCCCAAACAGCTGGGATAACAGGTGCATGCCATCACAACTGGCTAATTTTTTGGTATTTCTAGTAGAGATGGGGTCTGACCATGTTGGCCAGGCTGGTCTTGAACTCCTGACCTCAAGTGATCCGCCTGCCTCACCCTCCCAAAGTCCTGGGTTTGCAGGCAGGCGTGAACCACCATGCTTGGCCTATGCCATTTTATATAAACTTGAGCATCTGTGGATTTTGGTACCCATGGGGAGTCCTACAACCAATCTTCCATAGATTCCGGGTTGGGTATCTATGGGGAATTGGTTCTAGGACCAATTGTTATTAATTAACTTTGGGAGTATATATACCCCTCTCCTTAAATGAATGAAAGGCAAATGATACATACAAAGCATTGTGCTACAAACTTAAGAAGAACTCAATAATTATTTAACAAATAGTAAATGTTCAAAATTCCTTGAAGAAGTCTCTAAAAAGTTGAACGCTATATTTCATCTTTTTTTATTTTAAAGAGAAAAGAGGAAAAAGTACCTCTGTTCTTTTCTTCCATCTTTCTTTCTTCTTAACTTCAGTACACACCTGAGGGTTGTTTATTTATTTTTAAGATGTCATAATTCTTACCTTGACTGCCAAGGCTTTTAAACTGTCAAGGAATTGCTGCCAGAAATCCTTGAAGAGTGGGCGGTCGATTTTCTTCAGGCTGTCTTTGGTACTGGCATCCACACTGACATACAGCTGAGTAACTGGCTCGAGGTTCCTTAGTAATTTTTTTTTTTAAAGGAAGAAAGAAAAATTATTCCTCTATCAGGCTTTCCATGATATAAAACCTGTAATAGACATGGGTATTAAACACTTCACAGGGTCTAGAGACTTCCACTTCCCCCAAAAGACTGAACTAATGATTTTAATCATGTGACAAAATGGGACGGCCTCTGGTTGTTTTTTAAATGACTGGAAACCATCCCTAATACATTGAAAATATTGAATTACTTAAAATTGGCCCTTCTTCAAATACTAAGTTTGAATGGAAAATAAACAAAATGTGATCTAACTTCAGGTATGACAGCATCAGCCCAGCACAATTAGAGGGGCTCTCTGATCTAACTTTCCCACCCACACACTCTGCCGACCACATGGGGTCTGTGCTGCTGGGCCACCTCCCTCCATCAATCACTGACGGAAGTCTTCTAAGGAACAAGAAACAATCCCAAAAGCTCAGGCCTTATTCAAAGGACGCTGAGTCACACCTATGCTTCCATAAGCAGGACTGGGTTTCATGTCAAGCCTTGGGTGGGCAAACAATGATCCATCTGGGGAACTTTATGTAGTGCAGACCTAAAACAGTAGAAACCTCATACTTACACAGGAGCACAGCCCAGAAGAAAAAAATGAATTCTTATTTTCCTTGCCTTTACAATCAGTTTCCATGAATACCACTCATTCTCCGCTTCTCTCAAATTCACTGCCTCATTTCATAATTTCATTCCTACCTACTAGATTTCTAGTAGGTCCTTCTCCTACTAGGTCTTTTCCCCCGGCCCAGTCCCCAGACAGGATCTCATTCTCATCCAGGCTGGAGTGCAGTGGCACAATCACAGCTCACCGCAGTCTCAACCTCCCAGGTTCAAGTGACCCTCTTATCTCAGTGTCTCAAGTAGCTGGGACCACATGCATGTGCCACCACGCCCGGCTAATTTTTAAAATTTTTTTGTAGAGACAGGGGTCCCACTACGTTACCTAGGCTGGTCTGGAACTCCTGGGCTCAAGCGATCCACCCACCTCAGCCTCCCAAACTGTTAGAATTAGAGGCGTGAGCCACTGCACCCGACCCTACTAGATTTCTTGCAAGTTATACATTAAACCTAGACTATACTTTTTCTTTTCTTTTTTTTTTTTTTTTTGAGATGGAGTCTCCCTCTGCCATCCAGGCTAGAGTACAGTGGTGCAATCTCAGCTCACTGCAACCTCTGCCTCCAGGCTCAAGTGACTCTCCTGCCTCAGTCTCCTAAGTAGCTGGGATTACAGGTGTACCCTGCCACATCCGGCTAATTTTTGTATTTTTAGTAGAGAAGGGGTTTCACTATGTTGATCAGGCTGGTCTTGAACTCCTGACCTCAGGTGATCCACGCACCTTGGCCTCCCAAAGTGCTGGGATTACAGGCGTGAGCCACTGTGCCTGGCCTAGACTGTACTTTTTCTAAAGCCTCTCCCCTTCTCTCTTCAAATAGGTCTCATAATTCAATCTCTTCAGTAAATTTAGAACTAGAAAAAACAAATTCCCCCTTAATCATCTTCTGATCAAATTCTCCCAATATTCTTTTTCTATAAGGATTCCACAATTTATTCCACATTTCCACCTAGAAGTTTTATGCATTTTTTGTTTCAAAGTCCATGCATTTTTAAAAAATGAAAATATCATTCACATTCCATACAATTCACCACTTTAAAATGGTTTATGTGCTTTATATACGTATCAGTAGCAGCCTTATCAATCTTTGAGTGTAAGATCTTGAAGAGCAAGAATCCTGTTTTTCTTTTTATCCAGCCACACAGGCAGATATTAAAGCTACTTTTTAGGAGATATTGTTGATTTCAGCAGACAGAATTTTTAAGGGAATATAGGCCAAACAGATGCTTGCAATGATGTGGCTTAGTGATATATAGAAAAATCACAAGTGTCTAGACTTCTGTTCACTTCTGTTAAAAGTGGAGAGGCTCTGACCAAATGTAGGACAGAGGTGATTAAGATCCTGGCAGGCTCTCATTGCTTTAATGCCTCTGCAATACCGATGTACTAAGGGGATCCTTTGAAGTTCAGGTAATGTGTCACTACTGAGCAAAGCACGTTAATTACTGAAAATGTAAAACAAAAGCATCAGTAATAACAGCATTCTGTCTCATCACCCCTTTGCTGAGTGCCTCTTTAATAAAAGACAAGCTATGCTTCCTTAACTGGATTTCTACTTAAAAAAAAAAAAAAAAAAAAAAAAAAAAAAGGACTGTCTTAATGGTTACTGCTGGCTATCATCATCTGATAACTAACAGGACTTTGTCAAAAGCTTCCTGATGCAAAATGAGAACTGCCCTGACCTTTTCACTATGCTTCCATAACTACTTAAGATTATGAACAGTACATTCCAAAGGCCATACTCCTTTTACAAACCTCTATCATTTACAAAATAGGAAGGCCTGGACACTGATACTACTACTAAGGAATTCTAGCCTATACTAGATGTCTGAGATGCTACACCCAAGGAAGTCCAATAAGGAATTCTAGTCAATACCAGATGTCTGAGATGCTGCACTCAAGGAAGTCTACAGATCTCTCGTCAAGGAGCAGAGGAAGAATGGAGAAGAGGAAAAGGTCCCCAGGAATTACAGAGCTCATTTCTAAGGGGCTCAAAATTAGCAAAGAGACTTTTGGAGATGTTTTCTGAGCTTTAGGGATCTTATTTCTGCCTCACACTGGTCTCTATTCACCCAGAAGAGATAATGAGGCTCCCAGTAGAGTCACTTATCTGTCTCTATTCTATACAGGATAACAAATGTTCCCAAAAAGCAAAAAAGTCTTACATCATCAAAATCACCATAATAATTCCTGTATCTGAGAATCTCACAGCACTGCTGGGAGTAATTAAAAAGGATATCCTCTGCTCTCCCAAAAAAAGACAATATTTAAGATAGACAACCTTAAGCCCAATCCTCTGTACAAATGCCCCAGGATTCTTGATGTGAGTACTGTAAGGACCCTTCATCTTAATTTTAAATCTCTGAGTGAAGAATTATCATATATAAAAATGTGCTGATGAACATAAAAATCCCTCTCCCATGTTGCCTTTCTGTAGAGATTATCAGGCCTCTTTCTACCTTCCAAGGCTCAGAAGGTAGAATGAGGCCTGACATATCTGCAGGAAAAAAAAGGAGAGAGATTTATGTTTGTAAGAAATTCAAGTAAACAGTGACTTTGAAGCTCCTCCTTGGGATAAAAAAAAATAAGCAGAGTGACCCAAACAAGCAATGATATTAAAACCTAAATCTCTAAGACAATCTGGGGCTGTCAGAACAAGCCAAATAGCTCAGGAGGAAGAGAGGAGGAGGGTGAAAGAGAAGGAGAGAATTATTTACCACTCACCGAGCTGGCACACTCTGCCGTGTGCTTTACCCTTCTTGATCAGTTCACTGAATCCTCACAATAAAATGACCATGTAGTTGCTACTTATGCCCATTTTAGAGACGATGAAGCTGAGGTTCAAAAGGTTAAGTAACATGTGCAAGGATCTATAAAGAATAAGCATCAGGCCGGGCACAGTGGCTCATGCCTGTAATCCCAACACTTTGGGAGGCTGAGGCAGGAGGATCACCTGAGGTCAGGAGTTCGAGACCAGCCTGGCCAACATGGTGAAACCCCATCTCTACTAAAAAATACAAAAATTAGCCAGGCATGGTGGCGCATGCCTGTAATCCCAGCTACTCAGGAGGCTGAGGCACAAAAATCACTTAAACCCAGGAGGCGGAGGCTGCAGTGAGCCGAGATCACGCCACTGTACTCCAGCCTGGGCAACAGAGCAAGACTCCATCTCAAAAAAAAAAAAAAAGAAAGAAAGAAAGAAAAGAAAAACAGTAAGCATCAAGGAGATTCAAGTCCAGAGATGAACCCAGAGCCTTTCTCCTAACCCTGCACCATGATGGCAAAATCCACAGTGTGGCTCAGTGTTCAAGTCACAGCGGTTACATGTAACAAACAGTATTCCATAAATGAAAAATCCAAGAGAATACGGATGATCTGTGAAATGCAGATTCTGACTGCAAAGTCCTAAGAGAAGCCAAAACAACAAGTCCTCAGGAAGAAATTCTGAACTTAATTCTCTTCAGGGGCTTATGCACTTCATTCAACATTTATTCAGGGATTACTACGAACTGGACACTGAGGCCAAGAGGCTCAGCCCTTAATATTTACATTCTGGAGGGAACAGAAGATGGATGAGAGTCCCACCACGCAGCGCCATGACTAAGGTGGGGAAAATGTAATGGGTATAAATGGAGGAGTGAGTTGATTTTGCTTGGCAAAATCATACAAAAGACGTAACAAGGTCAAAGTCAAAGCTGATCTCTGAAGGACACAGAGTTCATCAGGAAGAGAATGAGATCATTTCCAGGGATGTCCAAAGAAGAAATGCAAAGGCCCGCAGCTGTGAGATGCAGCAGGATAAAGGAATCACAAACTATCCCCCCATGGCTCTAACATGGCAAATGGAATTGGGGGATGCCTGCAGCCAGGTCTCATGTCCTGCCAGGGTTAGGTTTGGCTTACTGAAGTTTTATGTAGCCAGTGACACAGTCAGATCAGTGCTGATGAAAGTCACGTGGCTCCAGTGTGATGGACGGATTAAAAAGCCAGCACAGTGCACCGTTCTGCATCTGGCTCCCCTGTGCCTCCCACTTATCACCAATCCAACAACCTCTTAACCACAATTTAAAAATCCAAAAAGCTCTAATAACCGAAAGGTTGCTTTTCTAAGTTGGGAGACATACTTACCTCAAAGTAGAATCTGACTTACAAAGCTGTTTGTATTCTTAATTTTTCTTTTCTTTTTTTTTTTTAAAGACAGAGTCTTGCTCTGTCACCCAGGCTGGAGTGCAGGGGCGTGATCTCGGCTCACCACAACCTCCACCTCCCGGGTTCAAGCAATTCTCCTACCTCAGCCTCCCAAGTAGCTGGTTCTACAGGCACGCACCACCACACCTGCCTAATTTTTGTATTTTTAGTGGAGATGGGGTTTCGCCATGTTGGCCAGGCTGGTCTTAAACTCTTGGCCTCAGGTGATCTGCCTGCCTCGGCCTCCCAAAGTACTGGGATTACAGGCGTGAGCCACTGTGCCTGGCCAAATTTTTCCATTTCTGTGACTAAGCATACTTTATTGTAGAACTAATTACATGTGTGTGGCTCTAGGGTGGTGGAGATATTCCATAAAATACAGTGGATAAACTGTATTGTCTTTCTAAAATTCTGAAACACTTTTGGGCACATGGGATAAGAGATTGTGAACTTGTAGAAATCATTCCATATCAATACATAAAGAGCTTTTACACTTTTTTTTTTTTTTTTTTTTTTTTTTTTTTTTTTTGTGAGACAGAGTCTCGCTCTGTCACCCAGGCTGGAGTGCAATGGCACAATCTTGGCCCACTGCAACCTCTGCCTCCCAGGTTCAACCGATTCTCCTGCCTCAGCCTCCGGAGTAGCTGGGATTATAGGCACCCACCACCACGCCCAGCTAATTTTTTGTATTTTTAGTAAAGACAGCGTTTCGCCACATTGGCCAGGCTGTTCTTGAATTGACTGCAGGTGATCCACCTGCCTCAGCCTCCCAAAGTGCTGGGATTACGGGTGTAAGCCACCACGCCTGGACCTTTCTTTGATTTTCTAACAACTACAAAGAATGCACTTTGTGATTTCTCTTTGATATCCTGGTTATTTAACAGTGTGTTGTTTAATTTCCACATATTTGTGAATTTCCCAAATTCTAGTTTGTGAAGTTCTTGGTCAGTATTTGTTCAAATATTCTTTCTTCTCATTTCTCTCTCTCCTGTCCTTCTGGAATTCCCTTTATAAATATGTTGGCATGCCTGAAGGTGCCCCATGGGTCTCTGAGAGACTTCAGTGATAGTCTATTTGATGAGTCATCATTTTCATACTTTTGTTTCTTTGAAAATGTTTTTCTGGCCAGGTGTGGTGGCTCATGCCTGTAATCCCACCACTTTGGGAGGGCGAGGGGGGCAGATCACTTGAGGTCAGGAGTTCAAGACCATCCTGGCCAACAAGATGAAATCCTGTCTTTTCTAAAAATACAAAAATTAGCCAGGAGTGCCACATGCCTCTAATCCCAGCTGCTCAGGAGGCTGAGGCAGGAGAATTGCTTGAATCGGGGAGGCGGAGGTTGCAGTGAGCTGAGATTGTGCCACTGCACTCTAGCCTGGGTGACAGAGCAAGATTCCATCTCAGAAAAAAAAAAAAAGAAAAGAAAATGCTTTCCTGTAGTTCTTTGAACACATTTAAAATAGCCAATGTCAAATCTTTGTCTAGTAAGTCCAACATCTAGGCTTCCTTGTAGATGGATTCTATTCTGTTTCCTTTCAACTGTATAGGACACATTCTTGTTTCTTTGTATATCTTGTCAGTTTCTTTAAACACTAGACATTTTCTTTTTATTTATTTTTTGCGACAAGGTCTCACTCTGTCCCCCAGGCTGGAGTGCAGTCGCATGATCATGGCTCACTGCAATCTTGAACTCCTGAGCTCAAGCAACCCTCCTGACTCAGCATCCTCAGTAGCTGGGACTACAGGCATGCACCAAAACACTTGGCTAATGTTTTAATTTTTTGTAGAGACAGGGTCTCACTATGTTGCCCAGGCCAGTCTCAAACTCCTGGCCTCAAACAACCCTCCCGTCCCAGCCTCCCGAAGTGCTGGGATGATAGACATGAGCCACCACGCCTGGCTATTGTTTTAAATATCATTAGTGGCAACTCCGGAAATCAGATACCTCTCAACCCAGGTTTGTTTGGTTTGGTTGGTTACTTTGGTTTTGGGCATATTGTTTCATTCATTTCTTGGTTTTCTTTTTTGCTGTTTGTTGTGTTTATTTTTGCTGAAATAATTTTGTAAATCCGATATTCATTGTTGTGTTTGGCCACTGAAGTCTCTGTTTGGTTAGCTTAGTGGTCAGCTCATTAATGGACAGAGATATCCTTAAATGCTTCCAACTGGTAAGCCTCCCAGCCTTTGTCAAGGGGCTCTGTGTTTTTGTTAGGGAATGTTCTCATCACCCAGGCAGGCAGTTTGCAACTCTGCCTTGGTTTTCGCTGCCTGCTTACTCGGTAAGAACCAAGAGCACAGGGCCTTCTCAAGTCTTCTCTGGCATGCCCACAGCCCTGATCGTGTGAGTGGGGTTGGAGATTCCCAGGAATACGATGGAGCTTTTCAAAGTCCCCTATGACATCTCATGGCCCAGCTTTTCCTTTTCCATTTATTGGTGAGCTTCTTGTTTGCCCTAGCTGTTAATGCCACTTGAGGCAGCTTTGTGAAGCTAAACAATTGTCTATAATTGTTTAGGAGAAACATCCAAAGGCTTTTTGCACCAGACAAACTTGAGTCACTTCAAATAAAGACAACCCCTGTGAGAGAAAGTTTCCAGGTTTGCCATACAAGTCATATATAATGACAATTTCCCAGGAATGAGACTTTGAAGGAGTTCCCACTCTGTTTTGCCCCCTCCCACAGCTGCCGGGCTGCTGGTTTTTACCGTGGTTGTGAGTTACTGGTTTTCTTTTTTATTTTCTTTTGAAAGGGAGTCTTGCTCTATCCCCCAGGCTGGGGTGGAATGGTGTGATTTCAGCTCACTGCAACCTCTGCCTCCTGGGTTCAAGCGATTCTCTTGCCTCAGCCTCCTCAGTAGCTGGGATTACAGGTGCCCGCCACCACACCCGGCTAATTTTTATATTTCAGTTGAGATGGGGTTTCACTATGTAGGTCAAGCTGGTCTTGAACTCCTGACCTCAAATGATCCGCCCACCTCAGCCTCCCAAAGAGCTGGGATTACAGGCATGAGCCACTGCTCCCAGCCGAGATACTGGTTTTCAAGGCTAGGGAAAGTGAGAATGGAATATAACAAGTTAACATCACAAAGCTCTTTTTTCTTGCTGAGATGCAACCATTTTTTCGTGAATATATGCTCCTCACATTGTTGCATGCCTTTGGTTAATTTCCACAGGTAAAAAAAAGTCGCTTGTGATCATTTTTGCCAGTATTCTCATTGTTTTCACAGAGAAACAAGATTTTTAAGGTCTGTGCTCTGCTATTTCTGCTGACATCCAACCCACATATTTTGTTTTCTTATCTATCATCATTCATCTATCTATCTATCTATATATATATATATATATATATATATATATATATATATATTTTTTTTTTTTTTTTGAGATGGAGTCTCGCTCTTTCTCCCAGGCCAGAGTGCAGTGGCACTATCTCGGCTCACTGCAAGCTCTGCCTCCCGGGTTCCCGCCATACTCCTGCCTCAGCCTCCCGAGTAGCTGGGACTACAGGCGCCCACCACTGCGCATGGCTAATTTTTTGTATTTTTAGTAGAGACAGGGTATCACCGTGTTAGCCAGGATAGTCTCGATCTCCTGACCTCATGATCTGCCCGCCTCGGCCTCCCAAAGTGCTGGGATTACAGGCGTGAGCCACCGCACCCAGCTTATCAGTATATTTTCTATTTCCACTGTAACTTCTTTTTGACCCACAAGTAAATAAGACGTGTGTTGCTTAAATTCCAGAATATTCTAATTATCTCTTGGTATTGGTTTCTAGTTTAATTCCATTGTGTTCAGATATCATGCTCTATACAATTTCGACCCTGTTTTGAAATGTCTATAATGTTCAGCAAATGGCCATTTGGTAATTTTTCTGTGAACAAGTTCTGTGCTCTTGAAAAGAATTTGTATTCAGACCAGACGCGGTGGCTCATGCCTGTAATCCCAGCACTTTGGGAGGCCAAGGCGGGCATATCAGCTGAGGTCAGGAGTTCGAGACCAGCCTAGCCAACATGGTGAAACCATGTTTCTCTCAGAAAATAAAAAAATTAGCTGGTGTGGTGGCGCGCGCCGGTAGTCCTAGCTACTGGGGATGGTGAGGTGGGAGAATCACTTGAATTCGAAAGGCAGAGGCTGCAGTGAGCCAAGATCTCACCACTGCACTCCAGGCTGGGTGACAGGGTGAGACCCTGTCTCAAAAAAAAAAAAAGAAAAGAAAAAGAAAAAAGAAAAAATCTGTATTCCAAAGTTTCTGGTTGGAATGCTCTATTTCTGTGATATAGGTTAAATTTGTTAACTCCATTGTTCAAATCTTCAATACTCTACTAATTTTATCAGTTTGAGAGAAATCAATTAAAAATCTACTACTGTTCCTCCCGCTTTGTAGTCTGTCATTCTTGAGACTATATTATTCAGTGTTAAAAATTTTGAGTTGTTATATGATTTTATGTTTCTGGTGGGCTTAACGTTTTATTATTAAGAAATGTCCATCTTGTCTGGGCGCAGTAGCTCATTCCTGTAATCCCAGCACTCTGGGAGGCCAAGGCAGGCAAATCACTTGAAGTCAGGCATTTGAGACCAGCCTGGCTAACATGGTGAAACCCTGTCTCTACTATAAAGACAAAAATTAGCTGGGCATGGTGGTGCATGCCTGTAATCCCAGATACTCGGGAGGCTGAGGCACGAGAATTGCTTGAACCTGGGAGGTGGAGGTTGTAGTGAGCCCAGATCGCACCACTGCACTCCAGCATAGGAGACAGAATGAGATTCTATCTTAAAAAAAAAAAAAAAAAAAAAAAAGTCCATCTTGGCCAGGCATGGTGGCTCCCACCTGTAATCCCAGCACTTTGGGAGGCCAGGGTGGGAGGATCACTTGAGCACAGGAGTTCAAGACCAGCCTGGCCAATATAATGGGACCCTGTCTCTGAAGAAAAAAAAAAAAAAAGTCAATCTTATCTCAAGTAATGGGTTTTGCCTTAAAGTATATTTTGACCAACATTACTTAGCCTGCCTTGCCAAAGGTGAAACTTCCGTGTTTCATGTCTTATCTCACATACTCGCAATGCCACCATAAGGTAGTCATTATTATTATTATTATCATTTTACAAATGAGGAAAGTGGGCACTGAAAAGTTATCCTCCAACGTCAGAAAGACACCAGGAGATCCAGTCAAGATTGAAACCTAGATCTTTTCTAGCCCAGAGCCCAAGCTTTTTGCCACCTCTCTGCACTTTCTCTCTCTCTCTTTAGCCCATCCAGACATGCATGTTTCAGAGAAATATTCCATGAATTCAAAGACAGGAGAGAAAATTAGATTTTAAACTTCATATGTTTAGTGCAAACAAGATAGGCTGGGGGGCGGGGAACTTCTATTGAAAGAATCAGGCCGTATTTACTTCTATTGAAAGAAACTTCTATTGAAAGACTCAGGCAGTATTTACCTCTATTGAAAGAAACTTCTATTGAAAGAATCAGGCAGTATTCAATCTTCGTTTCATTGTAGCTGTTTTCTGGAACCATTCTGAGCTAACTCATACAAGAAAACTGCATGTTTATTAAACTTCACTCATCTCTTCAAACATATACTATGCACCTAATACATAAAGAGACATCCAGTTTATAGAGGTTCTCTAAAAGATGGGGTGAATGTCTCAGCAAAAACTAGAGAAAAAACACAAAGCAAACAAAACAGAAATACAGAAGCAGCAGAGGAAAGAGAATAAAGTTCCTACATAGTTTCAATGAAAAGGTGTTCGAAAGTAAATGTACACAGGGATGAAATTTGGGAGCAGGAGGTGAGTCTGAGAAGTTAATCATGTCATAGTTAAATGCTGAACACAGCTCTGTCTTCTTATGATAAACCTGCTAGCAGCTAAAAAGCTTTAGATTTACAGTACTCACCAAAAAAGAGCTATGAGATTCTAAATGTAAATTTTAAAATAATGTAAAATAGATGATTATGATACATAACAGTTAACGTGGACTAAATATGAAGATAAGAGTTTGTGAGTCTACAAATGACTACAAATTTGACTCTGAACTCTGGCACACTCATGAAGTGGGAGATGCTGTTACAGGATTCAAATGTCCACAAGATAAGAACAAACCAGTTCTCTGAGGTTCCTCAGAGGGAAGAAGCTATTCAGTGTTGGGAAACATCCTCCTCAACAACTTCCTTGCCTTACAACACGATGCCATACAGAGATCTGCTTTTACAAGGTGTCGTCAGCATTACAGCGTGGAGCTATGTATAAGAAATGACTCCATGGAATCTTCCATCGCAGCAATAACATCAGCTATGATGCACCTCTCTAGGACTGCAAAGCTGAATGCACAGATGGTACAGTGTTCTGGAACAAAGTTCTAAACTCACATGTCTACAGGGACCAGGAAATAATGTGAGTCAAGTAAGCCACTTTTAAGAGGGAAAAGAATTCTTTGTGTATCAAAATGCGGATTGCATATGAAACACACATGAATATTCTCTCCGGCCAGGCACAGTGGCTCACACCTGTAATCCCAGCACTTTGGGAGGCCGAGGTGGGGAGATCACCTGAGGTCAGGAGTTTGATACCAGACTGACCAACATGGAGAAACCCGTCTCTACTAAAAATACAAAATTAGCCGGGTGTGGTGGCAAATGCCTGTAATCCCAGCTACCTGGGAGGCTGAGGCAGGAGAATCACTTGAACCCGGGAAGTGGAGGTTGTGGTGAGCCGAGATCGCACCAGTGTACTCCAGCCTGGGCAACAAGAGCGAAACTCCTCCATCTCCAAAAAAAAAAAAAAAAAAAAAAAGAATATTCTCTCCTCTCTCAAAAGTTCTTTGTGTACCAAAATGGAGACTGCATATGAAACACACAAGAATATTCTCTCCTTACTCAAAGTGATATGCTTTCTTCCATTGTTCTGGGACTATGTGGCCTCTCAGTCTACCTTTATTTCACTTTTTTAGAAATGGTGACAGGAATTTCTCTTATAAGAAAATCAACCGTGCAATTCCTCTGACAAATGGCAGATGACACTCAGCCTCAGGGCTGAAGAAACAGCAAGACAAGAGGAGTGTGGGAAACTGAAAACCACAGGGCTTCCTGGAAAAAATAACTACTCCTTGGATCTTGACAACTTTTGCCAGATCATCTTTTCAAAGTCAAAAGTCCAGATTTTATGTAAAACCTCTTGGTTTTTCAATGTTGGCTCCAAAAAAAAGTGATAAACAGGCTGTAGGAAAAGCAAAACCTACTTCTTACCAACTGAGGGTTTGAGACCTCTGGGCTTAAGGAGAAAATGGATTGCATATCATCTGGGCTATTCACATAATTATAATCATCAACTGAGTTTCTGAAGAATACTGAGCCCCAGTAGGTTCAAGGTTATACTCCTTGACAAGTGTGGTCTGTTGTGCTGTATGTAGACTGCAAATGTGGCCATCGACTCCTCCTGTCCCAGTACCCAAGTGCCCCTGCCCTGTAGATCTGAGTGCCTTCTCATTGACTTGAAGCTCCGCTGTGTGACTTGCTTTGGTCCATGGGAAGTGAGCAAAGGTGATACAAGCAAAGGCTTGAAAGATGCTCGCGCATTGGGGCTTGCCCCCATCGCTGCTCTTTGAAACCCTGCCACCCTGTGATAAAGTGCAGCATAGCTGCTGGGGGATGAGAGGTCATGTGAATAGAGGCCCCTGGGCCCCAGCCCAGCCCATCATCAACCAGCAAAGTCACCCAAGACCAAAAGACTTCCAGGCTGATCTGAAGAATTATGAGCTAAATAAATGATTGTTAGTTAGTTTGAGATGGGTGGTTGCAGCAAAAGAGAACTGACACATATTAAAATATATCAGTACCTTCCTATCAAGAAATGGCTTTTTTCTTGTCTAATCACCACCAGGCCTATTAACATGAAGTGTGTTACACATTCTTGTCACTTTTATTAACCTCTGTTTTGACAAACAAAAGCATAAAGCTACTCAGAGAGCAAAAGCTTTCTCATTTGCCTAAGGTGTTTGCTTCTACACAGCATCCACAACAAATACCTGGCTCTCCCAAAAGTCCTGGTGGACCACTCACTGTGAAAACTCCTCTAAGGGGCAGAACTGTCAGTAAAGAGTCTGATATAATTTGGCTCTGTCCCCACCCAAATCTCATGTTGAATTCGTAATGCTCAATGTTGGAGGAGGGGCCTGGTGGGAGATGGCTGGGTGATGGGGACTTCCCCCTTGCTGTTCTCGTGATAATGAGTAAGTTCTCACGAGATGTGGTTGTTTAAAAGTGTGCAACATTTCCCTTCCCCCTTCATTCTCTTCCTCCTGCTGTGTGAAGATGTGCCTGCTTTCCCCTTTGCCTTCCGCCATGATTGTAAGTTTCCTGAGGCCTCCCCTGCCGTGCTTCCTCTACAACCTGCAGAACTCTGACCCAATTAAACCTCTTTTCTTCACAAATTACCCAGTCTCAGTTAGTTCCTTATGGCAATGCGAGAACAGACTAATACACAGTTACATGCTTTGGAGCTGGAGGGAAGACTGAAACCCTTTTAGGGAAAGGTTTAGTACCCTGAAAAAGCCACTAGCCTGAATATAATACAGACTATTGACAAAGTCTAGATTCCCCTGAAAAGATACCAGAGTACAGGTGGTATTGCAGTTACTTAGAAAAAAAAATTCTAATTAAAAAACTAAAAAATACATAAGCCACCCAACCACAAGAGAACATTATTACTTCCTAGTGTATGTGTAAGGTCAAAAGCCCCTCCCAGGTTTAAAATAAACCTATTGACTGTCAAGCTGCCCTTCTTGTTTCTCTCTTCTTTAATTCTTACAGTGTGCTCAAAGATGAAATGGCTGCAAGAGGCTCAGCAAATAGCTGAACTTGCTGACTTGCTGTATGAGCTGACTTGCTGTATAGAATTAGCATTATCAACATTAAAGGAAACTTCCAAAATACATGGCCTCTGTGTCCTATTAGTTAATCTACAGCCTTATTTTTCTGAAAGAAACTGAGATACCAGAGACAGCTGGTATTTTGATTCCTCCTATCCACAGAAATAAGTAAGATTATCTCCTCTTAGAAAACTTTTTCTTTCTGTTTTCTCTTGGGATATCGGGGTTGGCAGGGAGCATCCTTAGTTTAATTCGGAGAGGCCTCAAGTCCTGAAAGAATTAGTTTAAAAGTAAAGGCTTTCTGAAGACTATCTTGTTGCACTACTCTATAGCCCAGAGTGTTTGAAACTTGTGGTTTTATGACACGTCATAATATCTAGCATGGCAATCCTAATCATTTTGTTTTTGAAATTTTTTCTAGATAATTCACATCTTTCATTGGAAAAATGTGGGGCTAGGAGGGTTGTCTTATACTTAGGACTTCCTAACATTTGGACACACATTATTCCCAAGCCAGGAGGACTGCTCTGTTTCAGAAAAAGGTAAGATGAAAGACTATGTCCTCAACCCATGTCTACCAGACTTCCATTATCAGAAATTCTTCCCATATCCTAGCAGTAATCTGCAGATCTCAGACTTGCTTTTGTTCTTCTCTTTCTAGATAGGTATTTCAATGGATAACAAAGACGTGCCCACTTTTTGAGATCTAAATCTAGAATGGCTACTTTCTACATATTCTGTCTTGTTCCAGGGAAGGACATACCCTAAAAAATGCAACACAATTTGCCTGCTTACTCCCTGAAGCACAGCACCCTTCATATTAGGAGCTTCAAGGATGCTTTAAAAATCCAAAAGCGTGGCCGAGCGTGGTGGCTCACGCCTGTAATCCCAGCACTTTGGGAGGCCAAGGCGGGCGGATCACAAGGTCAGGAGATCGAGACCATCCTGCTAACACGGTGAAACCCCTGTCTCTACTAAAAATACAAAAAATTAGCTGGGGGTGGTGGTGGGTGCCTGTAGTCCCAGCTACTCGGGAGGCTGAGGCAGGAGAATCACTTGAACCCTGGAGGCGGAGCTTGTAGTGAGCCGAGATGGCGCCATTGCACTCTAGCCTGGGTGACAGAGCGAGACTCCGTCTCAAAAACAAAAAAAAAAATTCCAAAAGCGTAACCTCTATTTCCTAAGCATTCCTTCTTTCTTGATGATTCCTGATAGAGTAAACCCATCCACTTTTTAAACTCTCATTTTCAGGATCGGAGAAATTTGCTAATCTTCCTATTAGCCCAATCCTGCCACCTTACTTCTTCCTTTTTGTCTCCCTCCTCATTTCCCAGTCAGGTTTAGTAAATGAAGAATTATTTCTTTGGAATCATATGCCATCCTATCTCATTTGTTTGTTGAAGATGGCAATCAAGGCTAGTACGAACATCTTGTCGTATTCCACGATCCCTCTGCAGGCCTGAGAAGACTCACCAGCAAGAGAGGGAAAGAGAGACTCGATAACATCTAACAAATGTGCCCGGCATTTTGCTGGACGTTTTCGGGTAAATATCTTATATCATACTCTATAATTTTCCTCAATCCATGATGGCATTCCCAGACAATTCCATTCATGATCAAACAATGAATCATCTTCTCTGGTTATCATTTTGCAAAAAATTACTATATCCTACTACTAACAGATTCCATTCTTTTTGGGGATATATGCCTTTAATTTAAGACAGACTCCCTTTCTTTATGCATATACCCCAAACACCACTCTATCCCAATGTCCCGCACATCAGCCATGTGAAAATTCAGGAATTTAAAACCCAACTAAAGTTTAAAAACAGAAATGGCAACCCTATGTAAAATAGACACATTGACTTTTAAAAAACATTTTAACTTCACCTTTTTATACAACTTCAAAAAGTAATAGCTTAGTTATCTTTATGACAATACACTGATTTTCATATTATTGCCTGGTAGCTAATAATTTTAATCAACTCTTCGATTTCCTATGACATTAAATTTCAGCCTGGGCTCGGTGGCTCACGCCTGTAATCCCAGCACTTTGGGAGGCCGAGGCGGGTGTATCACTTGAGGTCAGGAGTTTGAAACCAGCCTAACCAACATGGTGAAACCCTGTCTTTTAGCTGGTATGGTGGCGTGCGCCTGTAGTCCCAGCTACTGGGGAGACTGAGGCAGGAGAATCGCTTGAACCTGGGAAGCAGAGGTTGCAGTGAGCCAAGATTGTGCCACTGCACTCCAGCCTGGGAGACAAAGCTAGACTTTGTCTCAAAAATAAATAAACAAATATTTCAAGCTGACTCTGTGTGTGCGAATGTATGTGATCAATCTTTCTAGAAATAACCGTGGTCTTAATTTTTTGCAAATACTTTCACCTTTTTTCACATCTTTGACAGAGCAGGAGCACCGTCACCTCGGACAAACCCCGCCACTTTTAAGTTCCACCTCCCTTTCTAGCTTCATGCATTTCAAGGAAATCACTTCCAACTACAAGCAGCCAGAAACAGCAGACAGTAAAACACAGATAAGACCCCTGGGGCACAGAGGGAGGTGAGGGAAAAGTCTCTTGGGTAACTGCCAAACTTCACCCTCATACACTGGGCCCCAGTAAAACAGTGGGCCTTAATAAGCACATTCCTTTCCATTCAGGTGCACTAAGATAGGGAGGCTAAAAGCAGACTCGGGGCTATGCCTGCCGCGCAGAAAGATATATGGGAACAGACACACACCTCTCCCTCCCAGATAAGCATAAGCACCACAAAGAGACACAGAAGCAGTCCAGGCTTCTGATAAACTCTCCCGCCCTGAATCCTTGAAAACTCTTAGTCTGTAACAGAGTGTGGCTTCTGACCTAACTCAGTCAGAAGTCCCTCCCAGGTTCAGAATAAACCTGTTAACTGTTAAGCAGCCCTTCGTGTTTCTCTCCTCTTTAATTCTTTTTTTTTTTTTTTTTTTTTTTTTTTGCTCTGTAGCCCAGGCTGGGGTGCAGTGGCGTGATCTTGGCTCACTCCAAGCTCCGCCTCCCAGGTTCTCACCATTCTCCTGCCTCAGCCTCCCGACTAGCTGGGACTACAGACAACTGCCACCATGCCTGGCTTATTATTATTATTATTATTTGTATTTGTATTTTTAGTAGAGACGGGGTTTCACCATGTTAGCCAGGATGGTCTCAATCTCCTGACCTGGTGATCCGCCCGTCTCAGCCTCCCAAAGTGCTGGGATTACAGGCGTGAGTCACTGCGCCCTGCCCCTTTAATTCTTACAATCTTATACTTTATTGGCCAGTGTTTACGAAACAAACTTGAATTCAAAAAGATCTTTTTTTTTTCCTATTTCCCCAATATTTCACTACCCATGTACTGAGCACCTTTAGGGCACCAGGCAAAAAATGCACTGAGATAAATAAGCAGAGGTCTTGACCTCAAGGAACTTGCAGTCTAATCGGGGAAAACACCAATACATAACAGATGAGTAAATGTAATAATAGTTTTGGTGTTACAGCATGTGCCTAGTCCCAGTATGACACAAAAACAGATCATTTCCCCAGAGGCCCCAGGAGATGCCTTTGATCATCCCTATAAGGAGAGCCCTCCCTTAAGTCATCCAACCCAACCTCATCATCCTACCACCTAAACCTGACCCTTCCTTACAAGAGCCCTCTGCTGTTATGGGGCCCCATAATCCTAGCAATCAACATGGCTGGAACCCTCGGTGTAATTACCTAGTCCTCTTCTCCGCTAGCCTCTCAGAGCCATACAAGCAGTTTGCCAATCATACCTAGCAATCCTCCAATAGCATCTTTTTTTTTGAGTCAGAGTTTCACTCTTGTTGCCCAGGCTGGAGTGCAATGGTGCGATCTCGGCTCACCGAAACCTCCGCCTCCCGGGTTCAAGCGATTCTCCTGCCTCAGCCTCCCGAGTAGCTGGGATTACAGGCATGCACCATCATGCCCAGCTAATTTTGTATTTTTAGTAGAGATGGGGTTTCCCCATGTTGGTCAGGCTGGTCTGGAACTCTCAACCTCAGGTGATCCACCGGCCTCAGTCTCCAAAAGTGCTGGGATGACAGGCATGAGCCACCGCGCCTGGCTTAACAGCATCTTTTTTAAGACTCCCTCATTCACATTGACTTGCTTCCACCCTTATAACTCTGACCTAAGCAAACATCATCATCTCCTATCTAGGCTCCTGCTGCTTCTTGTCTCCCCAATTGCATACCATGCCAGCAGACTGCTCTGCAGGAAGCAAGATCTTTCCAAGGGACCGCATTTGAAGTCCTAGACCATCTAATCCCAACCTTTCTAACTTGACTTCCACCTGCCACTCTCTTTCACACATTCTGTGGTCTAAATAAACTACACTTACATAATGGTTATCACAAATACCCCAACTCCACGTCTTTCTCAGGAAGTTCCTTATTAACAACAATATAGTTTTCAACCTTCTCAAGTACCAATCCCAGACATAAAGATAAAAATTAGACCAGGCGCAGTGGCTCACACCTGTAATGCCAGCACTTTCAGAGGCTGAGGCGGGAGGATCACTTGAGGTCAGGAGTTCAAGACCAGTTTGGCCAACATGGTGAAAGCCCATCTCTATTAAAAAAAAAAAAAAATTAGCTGGGCATGGTGCCAGGCACCTGTAGACCCAGCTACTCAGGAGGCTGAGACAGGAGAATCACTTGAACCTAGGAGGCGGAGGTAGCAGTGAGCCATGATCACGCCACTGCACTCAAGCCGGGGAGACAGAGTGAGACTCCAACTCAAAAAAAAAAAAAAAAAAAAAAAAATCAAATGACAGCTTCTCTGGTAAGTTTTACCCTGCCTCTCCCATTTGGAAAAAAAAAATTCATTCTCTTTTCAATTCCCCTAGCGACATATCTGTGCCTCTAGTCTTTTTACTAATGTTGTTGTGCCTAATAGAACAGATTTTGAAGAGCAGGACCATCTTCACCTCCCAAAGCCCAACATTTGTATGTAGTAAGTAATCAATAAATCCTATTTGATTGCATTAATGCCTATTAGTTTTACTTTGCAGTGAAACATAGATTCAAGCAGCATCTCTCCATAGGCTGGAGAACTCACCTGATTTCCGCAGGAAATTGTGCATTTGTGACCAGGAAGCTGGAGATTTTACACTGGTGGAGTAGCTTCAAAAACCTGTTGATCTCTGGGTACATTATTGGTTCTCCCACGAGGGACAATGCACAGTGCTTTACCGTCATTCCTTCTTCAAAGCGTTCTGCTTTGACGCCCGGTACTCCTGGAGAATACAGTGAGAAGGACCCAGCTACATAAGGCACAGATAGAGGATGTCACGTTTTTCTTAATGATGCTTTGATTTTATAGAGCAAATTCATTTTTGATACCAAAGAATACAAAACAAAGGCTAAAGGGCAGGGCAGGACTAGAATTATTAAATCAGAAAAATCAGTCAGTAACCTCATTCTTAGTTTTGGTACCAGTTAAACTACATCAATACAAGCAGGCAAAACTAGCTTTGTTAGCTAATTATTTGGAATGCAGAATAAGTCCCTTTGCATAATTTGCTTAGCTTTGCATTCTTTCATGTTGATCTAAGAAAATGAACTCAGTATATCTGCATAAGAACAAGCTTCTTCTAGACCAATCATTCCTCAAGTATCCTGAACTGGGAAAGTAAATGTAGTTGGTCCAAAGCTGTACAGGAGAGAAAAAGAAGAGACCTAATCGTTCTTATCTTTGGCTTCATACTGGAATACTTCATAATTCATACTTCATACTGGAATCACCTGAGGAGCTTCAAAAAATACTTCTACAGGCCAGGCGCAGTAGCTCACACCTGTATTCCCAGCACTTTGGGAGGCCAAGGCAGGAGGATTGCTTCAGCCAAGGAGTTCAAAACTAGCCTGGGCAATATAGTGAGACCTTGCCTCTACTAAAAATTAAAAAAAAAAAAATAGCTGGGCATGGTGGCACATGTCTGTGGTCCCAACTACTTGGGAAGCTGAGGTGGGAAGATCACTTGAGTCTGGGAGATTGAGGCTGCAGTGAACCACTATCATGCCACTGCACTCCAGCCTGGATGACAGAGCAAGGCCTGTCTCAAAAAACAAAAATAGGCTGGGCGCAGTGGCTCACACCTGTAATCCCAGCACTTTGGGAGGCCAAGGTGGGCAGATCACTTGAGGTCAGGAGTTCAACACCAGCCTGGCAACATGGTGAAACCCTGTCTCTACTAAAAATGCCAAAATTAGCTGGGCGTAGTGGCGGATGCCAGTAATCCCAGCTACTCGGGAGGCTGAGGCAGGAGAATCGCTTGAACCCAGGAGGCACAGATTGCAGTGAGAGGAGACGGTGTCACCGCACTCCAGCCTGGGCAACAGAGTGAGACTCCGTCTCCAAAAAAAACCAAAAATACTGCCACCTAGGTCCACCTCTAAAGAGTCTGTTTCATCAGAGTGGGTGCAAGGCTGGGCAATAAGTTTTGTTAAAGCTTCTCAGATGGTTGTTATGTATAGCCAAGGCTAAAAGCCACTGCATGAAACCAGAGGGGCCCAACCTGTCTGCACATTGGAATCACCTTGGAATCTTAAAATTCCCACAATCCAGGCCACAGCTCAGATCAACTAAACGCCAATCTCTGGCGGAGGGGTGCAGGCAATTCGCAGTTTCTGAAGCCCCCCAGGTGATTCCAATGTGTAGACAAGTTTAGTAGCCACTAGCACACACCACTCGTTCTGAATCCTAGCTGGACACTGGGATTACCCAAAAAACATTTAAGAATCCCAATGTCCAGGCCATATCCCAAACATATTAAATCACGGTCTCTGGGGAGGGGCCTCGTGCATCAGGATTTCTAAAGGGCTCTCCGTGTGATTCCAGCATGCAGCTTGGTTTGTCAGGTACTGCTCTTGACTCAATGTAGAAGGCATTAAGAGATATGCTGTCCTAAAAGTCCTTCAGTCTAACAGAGAATGTGAAAGACTCGGAAAGAGTGTAAATAGGCAAAATTATGTATCCTAAGAACACATGAACACATAGAGGGGAATGACACACACTGGGGCCTATCAGAGGGTGGAGGGTGGGAGAAGGGAGAGGATCAGGAAAAACAACTAATGGGTACTGGGCTTAATACCTGGGTGATGAAATAATCTGTACAACAAACCCCCATGACACAAGTTTACCTATGTAACAAACCTGCACTTGTACCCCTGAACTTAAGAGTTAAAAAAAAAAACAAAGAAAAAATATATATCACCTTGACTCCTGATAGTTCTAAATCAATGATTTCTAGGTTCCTTTTGAAGAACATATTCTCTCTGCAGGATAGGGGTTCCTCATGGAGCTTGGGCCTAGGGGAGAAGCGTGTTCATGTGTCTTCTCCGACTCCTATTGGACATCTTTGTTTTGTTTGTTTGTTTGTTTGTTTTTGAGATGGAGTTGCGCTCCATCACCCAGGCTGGATTGCAGTGGCACAATCTCAGCTCACTGCAAGCTCCACCTCCTCGGTTCAAGCCATTCTCCTGCCTCAGCCTCCCGAGTAGCTGGGACTACACCGGGCTGGTGCCCACCACCATGCCCGGCTAATTTTTTGTATTTTTAGTAGAGATGGGGTTTCACCATGTTGGCCAGGATGGTCTCGATCTCCTGACCTCGTGATCTGCCCGCCTCGGCCTCCCAAAGTGCTGGGATTACAGGCGTGAGCCACCATGCCCAGCCATTATTGGCCATCTTTGAAACATAACTTTCTTAGCTGTGAATGGTAAGTACCTTGAAGAATTTTTGTTGGGATTAAATGAGATAATGCATGTAAAGGCCTTAGCGGAGTGTCTGGCACACAAGAAACGTTCATTAACAATTTGCTATTACCACCTTTATCCTAGTTTATGAAACTGATTCGATCCCAGTCACTGTCACCTTAACAACAGTAACAAAGAACGTGGGCGAAATAAAGTTAAATTTCACTGCTCAGTTGTGCCTCAGTTTTCAGAAAGTGATTTTATTTTAGACACACTGTTCCGCCAGACCCTGATTGACTTCAGTAGGGATAGCACCATGTGTGAGGGGCTGGCAAAGAGATGCAGAGCCAGTGAACGAGACATAGGGGCTGTGGCTGTTGTTGTTGTTGTTGTTGTTTTTGAGACAGAGTCTCGCCCTGTTGCCCAGGCAGGAGTGCAATGGCATGATCTCAGCTCACTGCAACCTCCGCCTCCCGGGTTCAAGCAATTCTCCTGCCTCAGCCTCCTCAGTATCTGGGACTACAGGCACACACCACCACGTCTGGCTAATTTTTTTTTTTTTTTTGTATTTTTAGTAGAGATGGGGTTTCACTATGTTGGCCCGCCTCAGCCTCCCAAAGTGCTGGGATTACAGGCGTGAGCCACCATGCCCAGCCAAGACATAGGGTTCATTGAAGGGACTCACAAACTCACAAACAGGGCAGTCCAGTGGCAGTGGGCTGGGCAGGAGAACCACAGTTGCTTGTAAAAAGCATGCAGTTTGGCTGGGCACGGCAGCTCATGCCTGTAATCCCAGCACTTAGTGATGCCGAGATGGGTGCATCAGTTGAAGTCAGGAGTTCAAGACCAGCTCGGCCAACATGGCAAAACCTCATCTCTACTAAAAATACAAAAATTAGCCAGGCGTGGTGGTGCATGCTCGTAGGCCCAGCTACTCAGGAGGCTGAGGCAGAAGAATCACTTGAACCCTGGAGGTGGAGGTTGCAGTGAGCTGAGACTGCGCCACTGCCCTCTAGCCTGGGCAACAGGGCAAGACCCTGTCTGGAAAAAAAAAAAAAAAAATCATGCAGTTTATACAGCATTTTCACTTAGTACCTCCCCCACCAGCAATCTCCACCAGGCACCACTTTATTTAACCCAAAACAACAGGCCTTGATCCCCTGTACAACCTGCATTCCACAGGAAGCGCTAGGGATTCAGATGTTCCTCATAGATAGAGAATGATCTGTCCAAAATAAAGCCTTCACAGAAAAAAACAAAGAGAATGAATCCCCGGGTTGGCCACTCCTGGATCTCCTAGTTCAGAGCTCAGAACACACATTCTTCTTAGAACATACAGTCATTCTCCGGGT
The DNA here is from genome assembly GCF_000001405.40 of Homo sapiens. Classification (NCBI taxonomy): domain Eukaryota; kingdom Metazoa; phylum Chordata; class Mammalia; order Primates; family Hominidae; genus Homo; species Homo sapiens. The sequence goes on from NC_000007.14 coordinate 72,717,609, forward strand.
ATGTTTAAGTTAAGGTATTGGTGTCAGCTGTGCTTGACACACACACACACACACACACACACACACACACTCTAATTCTCTCTCTCTCTTCCTCCTACACCTTAGAAATACGAAAGTGTAAGTTACGTGAAAAAAACACTCAGCATTACTAATAATCATTTGCAGAGAAATGCAAATTAAACTTACAATGGGATATCATCTCATACTAGTCAGAATGGCTATTATTAGAGCAAAACAACAGAATTGGCGTGGATTACACACTATTGGTGGGGATGTAAATTAGTTCAACCTCTATAGAGAGATTTCTCAAAGAACTAAAAATAGAACTACCATCCAACCTAGCAATCCCATTACTGGGTATCTAACCAAAGGAAAAGAAATCATTATATTAAAAAAAACCTGTACCCACTCGTATGTTCATCGCAGCACTATTCACAATAGCTAAAAGTCATGAAACCATGACCTAAGTGTCCATCAATGGTTGACTGGATAAAGAAAATATGGTACATATACACCATGGAATACTATGCAGCCATAAAAACGAACAAAATCATGTCCTTTACAGGAACATGGATGAAGCTGGAGGCCATCATCCTAGGTGAACTAAAAAACAGAACATCAAATATCACACGTTCTCACTTTTAAGTGGGAACTAACCAATGGGTACACACGGACCTAAAGATGGAAATAATAGAGACTAGAGACTCCAAAAGAGGATGGGACGGGGCGACAGTTGAAAAATTGCCTATCAGGTACAATGTTCACTATTTGAGTAATGGGTATGCAAGAAGCCTAATTCCTGCAGTACACAATACACCGATGTAAATAACATGCACATGTACCCCAATACAAAATAATAAATAAAATGAAACACAAAGTGCAAGTAAATCCCCAAGAGATCAAAGCAACAGAGTACAGACCAAAATGAGAACAATCTAAGCATGACAGGTGATGTCTTCTTTTATGACTATGTAACTGCAATTGTAAGAATGTATTTCGTGTCAGTATTTTTGGATGGATGAATAATTTTTTAGGTTATTGAAATCTAAGATCTTAACTCAAGTAAAACAAGGTTTTTAAATAAAATTTGATCCTTAAGCTCATTCTATGTTGCCAAGACAACTCAGCATTAAGCATAACATTTGCTTTTCAAAAAGCATATCATTAACTATAATCCCCACCATGAGCAGCTGAGTAGAAAGGCAGGTTGAACCTGAACTCCAAAACCAACCTAAAACTCAGAAAGTGGAAGGAGCATCGGCTAGGCCCTGGCCTCTGGGATTCAGATGCACCGGGTTCACACTCTAGCTCCACCGCGAAGGTAGTTTTATATCCTTGGTCAAGCCTCTCCCACCCTCTCCAAGCCCATTCCCTGATCTTTAAAATGGAGATTTTACACACACACATACAGCTATTATAACAATTAAATGAAATAAGCTACATGAAATACTTAATGGGGTGCCAGGCCCAGCACATACACATGCAAAACATGCTAGCTGCAAATATTTTTATTTTGTGAACTGAAAAATAAATTCAATTATTATTATTTTTTTTTTTTTAGACAAGGTCTGCCTCTGTCACCCAGGCTGGAGTGCAGTGATGTGATCAAGCTGACTGCAGCCTCAATCTCCTGGGCTCAGGTGACCCTCCCGCCTCTGCCTCCTCAGGTGCTAGGACCACAAGCATATGCCACCACACTTGGCTAATTTTTTTTAAATTTTTGGTAAAGACGAAGTTTTGGGCCGGGCGTGGTGGCTCACGCCTGTAATCTCAGCACTTTGGGAGGCTGAGGCGGGTGGATCATGAGGTTAGGGGTTCGAGACCAGCCTGACCAACATGGTGAAACCCCATCTCTACCAAAAATATAAAAACATTAGCCGGGCATGGTGGCAGGTGCCTGTAATCCTAGCTATTCGGGAGGCTGAGCCAGGAGAATTGCTTGAACCCAGGAGGCGGAGGTTGCAGTGAACCGAGATCTCACCACTGCACTCCAGCCTTGGCAGCAGGGTGAGATTCCGTCTCCAAAAAAAAAAAAAAAAAAAAAAGAAGGTGATAGGCACGTGGAGAAGAAAAGAAAGAGCAGGGCAATGAAGATGTGGGGTGCCAAGAGGAAAAAGAGGCAGGCTGACCTGTCAATCAGGCTGGTCAGGATAAGTCTTGCTGAAAAGGGGAGTGTAGCTGGAGGAGGTGAGGGAGTAGGCCAAGAGGGCAAAGACGGAAGAGCATTCCAGTCGGAGGAAAGACCCCAAGGTGGGAGCCTGCCTGATTATGTCTAGGGAACCTGAGTCACATGGGTAGCCAATGCAGGATTTTGAGAAGAGGGTGGCATAAACTAATTTTTGTTTTAAGTAGATCACATCGGGTTCTCCGTTGAGAACAGAGGGGCAAGGAGAGAGGATAATCTGCCGACAGACTATAATATAATACAAAAAGGAAATGGTGGCTTGGACCAAGGTGGTGACACTGGAGGTGGCACGATAGTGGAGGTGGCAAAGTCAATCAGCTGGCTCTACTTTCAAGGTATCATCAAGAGGGATTTTCAAATGGATTGGATGTAGGGTATGAGAGAGTGAGAGGGCTCAATGATTTCTACAAAGTGTTTGGCTCCAGCAACATGGCTGCCATCAACTCAGACAAAGCAAGCATTGGAGCTAACAGGACAGGGAGGAGGACCACGGACTGAGTCCTACAACACTCACAGTTCTGGGGAGAGGAAGAGGGATCAACAAAGGGTACTACCACAGAGCAGCCAGGGAGGACAGGAGGAAACCTAGAAGCAAAGACACCAAAGCCATCCTTTCCAGAAAGCTACAAATAAAAATATCATAATCATATTCCCCCATTTAGACAATCACAAAAACAAACAAAATACAAGACAAAAAAAATTCTTGATGATCAACTTTTTAAAGTAATGGATTCTTAGATTTTAAAGTTATCCTGATTCTTTCACAAGTAAGATATTGAGAAGCTTATGTAAAACCTTGGTTCTCTCCTTCCTAAGAGCATGTTTCTATTTCTTGCTCTCTGCCAGAGGCTGTTACACTGGTCCTCCCAAAAACAAAGCCTCAAGGACTCCACTTCATGTCTTCTTGCACTGGCCTCAAGGAAATATGACAGAAATTGAAACAGCCTCTAAATTTCTTTATTATTATTATTATACCTTAAGTTCTAGGGTACATGTGAGCAATGTGCAGGTTTGTTACATATGTAAACATGTGCCATGTTGGCGTGCTGCACCCGTTAACTCGTCATTTACATTAGGTGTATCTCCTAATGCTATCCCTCCCCCCTCCCCCCAACCCATGACAGGCCCCGATGTGTGATGTTCCCCTTCCTATGTCTAAGTGTTCTCATTGTTCAATTCCCACCTATGAGTGAGAACATGCGGTGTTTGGTTTTCTGTCCTTGCGATAGTTTGCTCAGAATGATGGTTTCCAGCTTCATCCATGTCCCTTAAAAAAACATGAATTCATCCTTTTTTGTGGCTGCATAGTATTCCATGGTGTATATGTGCCACATTTTCTTAATCCAGTCTATCATTGATGGACATTTGGGTTGGCCAAGTCTTTGCTATTGTGAATAGTGCTGCAACAAACATACGTGTACATGTGTCTTTATAACAGCATGATTTATAATCCTTTGGGTATACACCCAGTAATGGGATGGCTGGGTCAAATGGTATTTCTAGTTCTAGATCCTTGAGGAATCACTACACTGTCTTCCACAATGGTTGAACTAGTTTACAGTCCCATCAACGGTGTAAAAGTGTTCCTATTTCTCCACATCCTCTCCAGCACCTGTTGTTTCCTGACTTTTTAATGATCACCATTCCAACTGGTGTGAGATGGTATCTTATTGTGGTTTTGATTTGCATTTCTCTGGTAATAGCCTCTAAATTTCTAATGGAAAGGATTCCTGGAGAAGAAAGAAAGAGTCCACATGAGACACAGGACATTTCAACAGCAAATCGATAGTGCTGTTTCCCATTATCTCACACTCACACACACACACACATGCACACACACACACGCACACACACACAGGCACACATACACGCACATGCACACACACGATCTGTTCTCTTCATGGTGCCCAAATCTTAACCCTTTCACAACTAAACTCTGCTTTGTTATTCTAGTTCTTTGGGTTTTTTGGTTAAGCAAGTTTTCTGACATTTTTCTTATTCTGAACATCTTTCTGATCTTGGATAATCACAATTACAGTCAGCAGAGTAACTAACAAGCGGACTTCATCTCATTGAAAGATGACAAAGCCAGAACTTAAGATCCTAAAATTTTCATTCTAATGTCATAGCGATAAACCAAATAACACACAAATAAACATGATGTAATGCTCAGTATATTCCTATTTCTAAAGTTTGGGCCGATCAGAAATAAAACATTCTCTTCTTTCTTCTCATAACAATGCAGTTCCGGGCCAAAAATCTTCCCAACAACCTGTCCTGACTAAAAGTCATAAATAATACCTGTTTGATACAGATACTCCACTTGAGGTTTTTCATAAATTAGTTTCTGAAAACAATTAACAGGTGGTGTTCTCTTCCCCACCTTCACATTTTCTTTATGATGTGTATGTTAGCATACCTAGCTTGTGAAAACCATCTGTTGGAGATCTTTTATTTCTTGCAGTACTTTGCTTCTAGCCTAAAGTATAGATAAAAACACCTAGCAATAAATGAGGTCTTTTTCATCTTTGCAGCTTTAGTACTGAGGACGTTCCTGACAAAGACAGTGCAATCACTTGATGTTTGCTGAACGAGTGGAAAACTGAGCTAAAGAAACCTCAGCCCCATTTTCTGGGAACTATTTCTCCCTGCCATGGTAGTACTTAGAAGGGGGCAGGCAGCATTTTGAATAGACACTGAGTGGCACTGAAATTCTGACCCACTTTTAATCAATGCAAAGTTAATTTTGTATGTATATAAAAGGAACGCTAATAAAGGTCAGGAAAAGAAAGATATTTTTATAACTCAGTGAAATAACTGAAAAGACAATGATTGCCCTCAGAATTAAGAACACAAAAGACAAGCATTGAAAACATCAGGAATTATCTTCCAAAGCTGCTCAGGACTGGCCACTTAGCTCCAGTTGGGGAACTCAGACAATAAGCAACAATCCCCACAGCCAGTTCCACCTTTCACACAACTGAACCAGACCCAGGACAGACGGCAGGCGTTCTTTGTCATGGGGTGGGAACTCACACTAGAAAGCAAAGGACTCTCCAAGCCAGAGTGAGGTAAATAATTAATGAGCATTCCTGTCTCAAGGCCACACCTTCCACCTGCAGTGGAGTCTTCCACACCCAGCGCTTCGACCTTTACCAGCAGGCCTCCCCACCAGATGCCCTGCACTGGATACCTAAGCCTTGGGAATGGACACGGCCGCCACCTCGAAAAGGGCCCTCCCAAAAGGCAGAGGAGCCTGGGTCCCAAGGGGACAAGGAGCCTGGTTTGCCCCCACCCCACTGAGGGAGTTCCTCTTGCCCCCTACCCCCAGGGCTTGTATATAGATTATAAATATATAAGGGGGAAAGGGGTGGCGAGGGAGGGGTTGTGGGGCTGGGGCCTCACTTCCCCTCCTTCCCTTTCCCCTGGTCCCCTGTCCCTGGGGTTATTTGTTAAAAAAAGAGTAATAAAAGGATTTAAAAAATAATAATAATTAATGAGCTAAGAGTGGACCTCCAAAAAGAGGCCAAAGTGGAGATACCAGGAATATCACAAACTACGAAGGAAATGCCTTCAAGCCTTTGAAATTGACTATAATTGCCATTTATACAAGAAATCTGTTCGTAAGCATTTCTGTTTAAGCCTGAAATTTGTATTCCCATAGATACAATATTATTAAAATGAAAATTAAGGCCAGGTGCAGTGGTTCACACCTATAATCCCAACACTTTGGGAGACTGAGGCTGAAGGATTGCTTGAGCCCAGGAGTTCGAGATCAGACTGGGCAACGTAGTGAGACCCCCCATATCTACAAAAATGTTTTTTAAAATATTAGCTGAGTTTGGTAGCATGTGCCTGTAATCCCAGATATTTGAAAGGCTGAGACAGGAGGACTGCTTGAGCCCAGGAGGTTGAGGCTGCAGTGAGCTATGATCATGCCATTGCATTCCAGCCTGGGCAACAGAACAAGACCCTATCCCTTTATGGTCTTTTTCAGTTGAAATTACTTGCTGCCAAGAGAACAGAAAATATAATCAATATTCTGAAGTACTAAAATTCTATAATGCTGTCAAAGTTATCATTTTAAAAGAAATCACATAACATTTTTTTCTTTGAAGTGTTACAGACTACCACCAGTTTTCTAGAAGGGCTCTGGATTCTTACAAATTATGCACTTTACCCTTTACTAATTAGGGTTTTTTTTTCTTTTCTATTATCATAATTTTACAGCAAGATTTACTATGACTATTATAGCAATAAGATGGATTTTCAAAAATAATGGCTTGTTTAACCTAACTTAGAACACAGAAAAAAGCATTAAACAAATAGTCACCAGGGCTCCAAAATTACAAATTAAGGGATCTCTCATTCATTGTGAAAATGTAAAACAAATGAGAGCCAGGCACAGTGGCTCATGCCTGTAATCCCAGTACTTTGAGAGGCCCAGGCAGAAGGATCATTTGAGCCCAGGAGTTCAAGACCAGCCTGGGCAATATAGGGAGAACCCATCTCTATTAAAAATTTTTAAATTAGCTGAAGCGCGGTAGCATGCATCTGTAGTTCCGGCTACTTGGAAGGCTGAGGTGGGAGGATCACTTGAGCCCAGGAGGCAGAGGTTGCAGTGAGCCAAGATCGTGCCACTGCACTCCAGCCTGGGCAACAGAGTGAGACCCTGTCTCCAAGTAAATAAATAAAGTAAAATAAAATAAAAATAAAACAAATGAGGCTCTCTTATGCCTACGTGCTGACCCGTCTACACCCTCCACACCTTCAAACATGCACCTGTTTTCTACTAGCTTCAAGAAAAACTGCTTTGCTAACCTGAAGAGCATCAATGCACAAATATCAACCAGTTCCACTCTGAAAACCCTTCCAGCAAATTTGCTGCTGATTAAATACACTGATGTTTTCCTGACATGGTAACATGTTATCAAGTCAATCCATTCAGATATGAAAAAAAAATCCATTGTAGGAATTACCAGGGTAAAATAGATATTGTATAAATACCATTTTTAAGAATGAAATTGGTGGCAGTTGTTGAATTTCTGGGGATCATTCCTTCCGTCTTATGCATTCTAATGCCTACTCAGGATTCATGCATCCATAGACGTGCTCTATTCTTTCTCTCTGCTATCCTGCATCCTATCATCCCTCAAGAGAATCTAAATTTTAAAACTCTTTTGTTTTCCTCACATCGTAAGAACCCATAGACAAACCATTTGAGATGCCTGCTGATTAACGTTTAAGCCTAAGGTCACTACTGGACACCCCTTTCTGCACAGGACAAGACCCTCAACAGGCCCAGCAGACAATGAAAAACACGTGCTCACGGAACTCACCTAACACATTTTATTAACATCAACAAAGTCTACCTCATGGTTTATTCATTACATATTTCCATTTAAAGTGCATTTGCAAAAACGCTCCTGTCAGAAAAATTACTATCCAAACTCAGATCGTCATTCTGTAGGAAGGACATCCCAGCAGAAAGAAATGAAGGTGTCTATTCTTCAGGGCAGAGCTGATTCCTCCTCACACAAACTGCCCGAGACACAGTTCATTCAGGGAGACTCCAGGATGTCCAGGAAACACACATCCTCAGTCATCGTCCCATTAGCTCCTTAAGCACTAACTCAAAAATCAACTTCACATAAAAATAAAAGTACTGGCATTTCCTGCTTCTGATATTACTATCTGTGATGGTTAATTTTATGTGTCAACCTGTCTGGGTCACGGCGTCCAGATATTTGTTCAGCCATTATTCTGGATGTTTCTGTGGAGGTGTTTTGGATGAGATTAACATTTAAATTGCTGGGCTTTCAGTAAAGTAGATTGCCCGTCATAATGTGGATGGGCCTCATCCAATCATCTGAAGGCTTTAATATAAAAAGATTGACCTGTTCCAAGCAAGAAGGAATTCTGCCAGGAGAATGCCTTTGAACTTGAACTCCCACTCTTCCCTGAGTCTCCAACCTGCCAGTCAACTCAAGAGATGTTGAACTCACCAAGCCTCCACAAATACATTAGCCAACTCCTAAAAATGAACAAATGAATCTCAATCTCAGTCTCTCTGTCTCTCTCTCTCCCCTCACACACGCACACACATACACATACACGTACATACACACACACCCATTGGTTCTGTTTTTCTGGAGAAGCCTAACACACTCTCCAAAGGAAAATACGACTTTGCCTTGAAATTAAAAAGACACATAGCTTACTTGAAGATCAACAATCAATTATTAACTAAACCAACAATGAGTCTAGGAAAAGCCAGTCAAATTCCAGATGTGGAGCTTACTAGTTCTTTACCAACAGTTTCATTTAATTTTCCAAAACACTGGTAAGAGACACTGCTTTATCCAAGTATAAGAATGTAATTTGTACCCCTACCTCCCACCATCGAAAAATGCTTGAAACTAAAAATCAAGATGAGAAATTAAAATAATCATTAGCATCTTTGTAAATGTACAAAAAAAAGTCAGCCTACCTACAGATATACACAAATATGTACAGGTCAACTTTCCCTAGAAAATTCATAAAGAATAAAAGTATAATTATTGACTAATTTTTTTTGTTTTTTTTGAGATGGAGTCTCACTTTGTCACCCAGGCTGGAGTCCAGTGGCATGTGAACTCAGCTCACTGCAACCTCTGCCTCCCGGGTTCAAGCGATTCTCCTGCCTCAGCCCCCCGAGTAGCTGGGATTAAAAGGCCCACACCACCATGCCTGGCTAATTTTTGTATTTTTAGTAGAGATGGGGTTTCACCATGTTGGCCAGGCTGGTCTCAAACTCCTGACCTCAGGTGACCCGCCTACCTCAGCCTCTCAAAGTCCTGGGATTACAAGCGTGAGGCACCGTGCCGAGCCTACTGAATAATTATCTTTTATAAATTACTACTGATCTTGAACCATTATTTGCATGACTTTTCTCCATTTCTCATAAGAATGAGAAATAAGTATGAGCCCATTTTCATACTGCTATAAAGAACTGCCGGAGACGGGGTAATTTATAAAGGAAAAGAGGTTTGATTGACTCGCAGTTCAGCATGGCTGGGGAGGCCACAGGAAATTTACTATCACAGCGGAAGGCAAAGGGGAAGCAAGGCACCTCCTTCACAAGGCAGCAGGAAGGAGAAGTGCAGAGCAAAGGGGGAAGAGCCCCTCATAAAACCATCAGATCTCGTGAGAACTCACTCACTATCACGAGAACACCATGGGGGAAATGGCCCCCACGTTTCAATTACCTCCACCGGTCTCTCTCGACGCATAGGGATTATGGGGATTACGGAGATTACAATTCAAGATGAGATTTGGGTGAGGGGGACAAAGCCTAACCATATCAAGTGGTAAGGAGTATTATAATATTACGAATGAGTGGCCAGAACAGAACAAATTTCCTTACGTGAAAGAATCACCTGATCTTCAGAATGCTAATTACTGAGGTTTCTAAAGACTCCCATATGTGCTATTAATACCTTAAGAGTGTCTATATTAAAACAGTCTTGGCTGGGACTATTTTTTAATGGTTGCATATGACGGAAAAGAAGAATACAGGAGAGAAGGAGTCACCAGTGGTAGGTAGAGACCAGAGCATACAGATTCAACAGGGAACCTAACAAATTCCAATTCATCACCTACAGCTGTTGCTTTATGAAGCCATCACATGTACAGTAGTGGTTCTCAAAGCGTGGTCCCCAGTTGAATAACATCAACACCAACCAGAAACCTGTTAGAAATGCACATTCTCAGGTGGCTCACACCTGTAATCCCAGCACTTTGGGAGGCCAAAGCAGGCGGATGGCTTGAGTCTAAGAGTTTGAGACCAGCCTGGGCAACATGGCTAGACCCCATCTTCACAAAAAATTAGCCAGGCGTGGTGGCCAGCGCCTGTAGCCCCAGCTACTCAGGAGGTAAGGCTGAGGTGGGAGGATCATCTGAGCCTGGGAAGTGAAGGTTGCAGTGAGCCAAGATAGCACCACATACTCCAGCCTGGGTGACAGAGTGAGATCCGGTCCAAAAAAAAAAAAAAAAAAAAAAGAAGAAAGACAAAAAAGCATACTCTTGCGCTTACTGACCCAATCTCTGGGAAAGGAAACCAACAATCTGTGTTTTAACAAGCTCTCCAGATGATTCCGATGCATGATAAAGTTTGAGAACCCGTAACCTCCAGTGAAGTCAATATTTGTTAATATGAGACAGAATTAAATCAGGAAATTCAAAAAAATGGAGTGGCTGAATTTTTACCACATTACTGTGCATTAGATGGAAGAAACTGTTATTTATATTATCCCTCCTTTTTTTTAAATAAGGAATTCATTCAAAACCGTTTTTCCATCACTAACTAACATTATTTAAGACTTTCCACTAACCTAAAATTTCCAATCCATTCAAAAGGCTGCTCAGCTCAACGAGACAGAACAATAGCAAAGGTTTCTAGGAAGATTGATGGTACATTCCCAGGTAAATCTTTCAAGTTGAATGCAGCATATTATAAGTTGCTAAACTTTTTATTTATTTATTTATTTCTGAGATGGAGTTTCGCTCTTTTTGCCCAGGTTGGAGTGGAGTGGAGAGATCTCGGCTCACTGCAACCTCTGCCTCCCAGGTTCAAGCAATTCTCCTGCCTCAGCCTCCCAAGTAGCTGGGATTACAGGCAACCACCATCATGCCCAGTTAATTTTTGCATATTTAGTAGAGACGGGGTTTCACCATGTTAGCCAGGCTCATCTCGAACTCCTGACCTCAGGTGATCCGCCCGCCTCGGCCTCCCAAAGTGCTGGGATTAGACAGGCGTGAGCCATCACACCTGGCCAAGTTGCTACATTTTAAATTTTTAGTTCTTCCATCATATGGGAAGTAAAAGCTAAAAAGGCAAAATATATATAATATTCCTACGAAGTTTTCACTTCCTTAGAGGAAAATTTGCCAGTGGGGACAAAATCCTACCAAAGAGGCAATTCTTCTGCCAATCTGATTCAGACTATTAACAAGTATTAGCATTCCTCTGTAGAGGGAAGATAAATACCTTTAAACTGCTTAATCATGTTCTGATGGTTTTCAATGGCTTCCTTCAAGATCATTTCAGGCTGGTCCATCTTCCACAACCATTCAGTGCCCACAGGGTTGTTGTGGTGCCTAGGAACAAGACGCAAAGTTCTAAAAGACCCTTCTGTAATAAGATCTGGGCTAGTCATTTATGATGAAGTCGTCCATTTTTAAAAAATCACAAAATCAGGACTGGTTTCCTCCTCAGAGTTCAACCACGTATAGTGGTATTTTCCAACTTATTTTAAATCGTGACACCCAACAGAGAGGGGTGAATAGAGAAATCATTCAACTCTTCCCAGAGATGTTGGGCACCTAATTCACTCAATTCCAGTTACAGGTTGACAGAACACTCTCTGCTGCTTTAACCATGTTAACTATGAATGTACACAAACAAGGCAAACTGTCACCATCATGTTACTGTCATCTACGTCGACACTTCATAAAGTGAGTGAGGACAGCTGGAACACTTGCTTGGAAATCACACTGACAGGGCCTGAGAATGAGTTTCTCCTGATGCAGGCCTGGGGAAAGGACAAGAACCTCCACCTGGGACCCAAGCAGCTACAACACAATGTCATTTTGAGACCAAAACCACTGCTAGAGTGTATCCTGCCCTGGGAGCCAAAGCCCCTGTATCTCCATATTCCTGAGGTTCCACTGCCATCACTCCATGGCCATATAAAAGATTACAATGCCATAACCCAAGCTATAACTAGCAGTACAACCATATCCAAGCACCTGAGCCCATGCAGAACCTTGTAGTCCAAAAAAAACAGGCAGCACAGTACAGCAAGGAGACCACCCCCAAGACAGACACAATGCCAGAGCCCAAGGACCAGCTCCCCAGTGTCCACCACTGCCAACCATCTCACCCTCCCGACAGGCAGAACTACCGTGTGCCCTACAGGCCCCTCAAGGCCCAAGGACCATTCTGCCCAGAAACCAGCACCACTGAAGACACTACCCCCATAAGCAGCAGAGCTACCAGAAATAGCACAAGCTCCCCTAGGGTCTAAGAACCAGCAAGCCCAGCAACACCGACCCTAGCAAAGCCATGCCACTGCCTCCACAAACACCCACAGTCCAGGCCAGTGAGGCACTCACAGGAACCACAGGCACCGATTATGGCCAAAGAAATCACATGTACACTACTATACTACTACACTACTGTACCCGTCTAGAGGACAAGTCAAAGCACCCCATTCAACCAACACTATAAAATACTTCTCCAGGAAAGTCTTTCCCTATGAAAACTACTCCATAAAAATGGAAAGGGTGACTGTTATACCAGATGTGCAGATACCAATGTAGTAAAAAACAAAAACATGAACTAGCAAGAAAACATGACACTCCCAAAGAAACATGATTAGTTCTCCAGTAACAGACCTGAAAGAAAGGAAAATCAAGGCCTGTAACAGAATTTAAAATAATGATCTTAAGGAAACTCAAGAGAGATACAAGAGAATACACATAGACAATTCAATGAAATCAGGAAAAGAATTCATGATCTAAATGAGAAATTCAACAGAGATAGATATCACAAAAAAGAGCCAAACAGAAAACTTGAAGGTGAAGAATTCGATGAATGAAATAAATACAACTGAGAGTTTCAACAACATACTAGATCAAGGAGAACAAACAATGTCTGAATTTGAAGACAGGACTTTTGAAATGACCCAGTCAGACCAAAAAAAAAAGGAAGGAAGAAAAAGAAGAAAAGGAGAAAAGAAAAAGAAAAGGAAAAGAAGAAGGAGGAGGAAGAGGAGAAGAAGAGGAGAAAAAGAAAGAAGAAAAGAAGAAGAAGGGAGAAGGGAGAAGGAAGAAAGGATAGAGGAGAGAGGAGGAGGAAGAGCAGGAGGAGGAGCAGCAGCAGGAGGCGTAGGAAAAAAAGCCTACAGGAATGATGGGACACCATTACATGAACAAATGTTTGCATTTAGGAATTCCAGAAGGAGAACAGGTGGGAAAAGACATGGAAAAGTAAACAGGTTTTAATGAAATAAAAGCTGAAAACTTCCCACATTTTGGGAGAGATATGGACATTCAGATCAAGCAAGCTAAAAATTCCTAAAATGGATTAAATGCCAAAAAAAAAAAAAAAAGCCTCCTTGAGACACATTATAGTCAAACTGTCAAAAGACAATGACAAAGCAAATTCTAAAAACAGCAATTGAAAAGCATCACGTCACATGTAAGGAAACCTCCATAAGAATAACAGCAGATTTCTCAGCAGAAACCTCACAGGCCAGGAGAGAATGGGATGATATATTCTAAGGGCTGGAAAAAAAAAAAAAAAAAAAAAAGACCACCAAGCAAAACTATCCTCTGGAAATGAAGGAGAAATAAAGCCTGTCGCAGACAAGTAAAAATTGAGAGAATTCATCATACTAGACTGGCCTTACCAGAAAAGCTTAAGGAATCCTACATCAGGAAGTGATTATTACCATCATGAAAATATGCAAAAGTATAAACTCACTGGTAGGGCAGATATACAAATGAGATTAAAAAAAGTATTCAAATGTTACCACTATGGAAGACTACCAAACTGCAAAAAAAAAAAAAAAAAAAAAACAAGAGAGTAAGAAAGCAAAAACAATATACAAAACAACATGAGTAAGTTATCATCTACCATGAATAACCTTGAATGTAAATGGATTAAAGTCCCTTGTTAAAAGATATAAACTGGCTGAATGAATTTAAAAAAAAACACCCAACTATTTGTTGCCTACAAGAAACTCACTTCACCTGTAAAGATATACACAGACTGAAAGTGAATGGGATGGAAAAATACATACCACACAAACCAAAACCAAAAGCAGCTGGGTGTGGTGGCTCACACCTGTAATCCCAGCACTTTGGGAGGCTGAGGCAGGGGGATCACGAGGTCAGGAGTTCGAGACCAGCCTGGCCAACACGGTGAAACCACGTCTCTACTAAAAATACAAAAATTAGCCAGGCGTGGTGGTGGGCACCTGTAATCCCAGCTACTTAGGAGGATGAGGCAGGAGAATTGCTTGAACCTGAGGCGGAAGTTGCAGTGAACCGAGATTGTGCCACTGCACTCCAGCCTGGGCAACAGAGCAGGACTCCATCTCAAATAAAAAAATTAAAAAATTTAAAAAAAGCAAGCAAGAGTAGCTATCCTTGTATAAGATAAAATAGACTTTAAGTCAGAAACTGTAAAACAACACCAAGGAAAAGGTCATTGTGTAACGATAAAGGAATCACTGCAGCAAGATCTAACAACTGTAAATATTTATGTACCTAACACTGGAGCACTGAGATATAAAGCAAACATTATGAGATCTAATGGGAAAGATAGACTCTACTACCATAATAGTCGGGGGCATCAACATCACACTCTCTCAGAATTGGACAGATCACCTAGACAGAAAATCAGTAAAGAAACACCAGATTTAAACCATAGGACAAACTGACCTAACAGACACTGACAAAATATTTCATACTACACCTGCAGAATACACAATCTTCTTATCCATACATAAAATATTCTCCAGGGCAGACCATATTTTAGTCTCAAAAAATGTTAAAAAATCAAAATCCTATCAAGTATGTTTTTGGACAATGGAATAAAACAAGAAATCAGTCATAAAAGGAACTTTGGAACCTATACAAAGTAATGGAAACCAAATAGCACACTCTTGAACAGCCAATGAGTCAATGAAGAAAGCAAGAAGAAAATTTAAATATGTACTGAAACAAATGAAAGTAGAAGCAAATGTCAAAACTTAAGGGACAGAGCAAAAGCAGTACTAACAGGGAAGTTTATAATAATAAACAACTATATCAAAAATGTAGAATGATTTCAAATATCAATCTAACAATGCACTTCAGGGAACTAGAAAAGCAAAAACAAACCAAACCCAAAATTACTAGAACAGAAAAAAATAATAATCAGAGCAAAAATAAATGAAGTTGAGACTAAAAGAACACAAAAATCAACAAAACAGAAAGTTCATTTTTTAAAAAGATAAACATCGACAAACCATTAAACTAACCAAGAAAAAAAAAGATCCAAATAAATATATCAGAAACAAAAAAAGAGACATTACTACTGATACCACAGAAATACAAAGAATCATTAAAGACTGTTATAACCAACTGTACACCAACAAATTGGAAAACCTAGAGGAAACGTAGAAATTCCTGTACACACACAACCTACCAAGAATAAACCAGGAAGAAAGAGAAAACCTGAACAGATCATTAACAAGATTAAATCAATTATAAAGTCTTCCAACAAAGAAAAGTACACGGCCAGATGGCTTCCCTGGTAAATTCCACCAAACCTAAAACACACACACACACACACACACACACACACACACACACACCTCTCACACTAATACTTTTCAAACTATTTCAAAAAATTAAGGGGGAAGAAATTCTTAGAAACTCAGTATTATACGAGGCCAGTATTACCCTGAAAACAAAACAGGACAAAAACACAACAAAAAAGAAAAGGAAAATAGCATGCCAATATCCCCGATGAACAAAGGTATAAAAATCCTTGGCCGGGCGCGGTGGCTCACGCCTGTAATCCCAGCACTTTCGGAGGCCAAGGCGGGCGGATCATGAATTCAGGAGATCAAGACCATCCTGGCTAATACGGTGAAACCCTGTCTCTACTAAAAAAATACAAAAAATTAGCCGGGCATGGTGGCAGGCACCTGTAATCCCAGCTACTCAGAAGGCTGAGGCAGGGGAATCGCTTGAACCCAGGAGGTGGAGGTTGCAGTGAACTGAGATTGTGCCATTGCACTCCAGCCTGGGGGACAGAGCGAGACTCCGTCTCAAAGAAATAAGAAAGAAAAAAAAGAAAATTGCATATCACTGAGGAAAGAAATTGAAGAGAGCACACACACAAAAATGGAAAGACATCCCATGTCCATGGGTTGGAAGAATAAATATAGTTAAAGTTATCATACCACCCAAAGCAATTTACAGATTTGATGCAATCCCTATCAAACCACCAAAGACATTTTTCACAGAAATAGAAAACAATTCTAAAAATCACATGGAACCACTAAAATCCCCAAATAGCCAAAGAAATCCTATGCAGAATGAACACAGCTCAAGGCATCACAGTACATGACTTCAAAATATACTATAGCCAGATGCGGTGGCTCACACCTGTAATCCCAGCACTTTGGGAGGCCGAGGCAGGCAGATCACAAAGTCAGGAGTTCAAGACCAGCCTGGCCAACATAGTGAAACCCCATCTCTAATAAAAATACAAAAAATTGGCCAGGAGTGGTGGCAGGCACCTGTAATCCCTGCTACTTGGGAGGCTGAGGCAGGAGAATCCCTTGAACCAGGCAGGTGGAGGTTGCAGTGAGCTGAGATCACATCATTGCGCTCCAGCGCAGGCAACAGTTTAAAACTCCATCTCAAAAAAAAAAAACACAACAAAAAAACTATAAACCTATTGAAACCAAAGCAGCATGGTATTGATATAAGAACAGACACATCGACTCACAGAACAAAATAGAGAACCCAGAAATAAATCCAAATATTTACAGGAAACCAATTTTCGACAAAGGTGCCAAGGTCATGCAGTGGGGAAAGACAATATACAAAAATCAACTCAAAACAGATTAACAACATACACGTAAAACCTGAAACTGTGAAATTACCTACTGTGAAAACACAGAGGAAACACTTTAGGACATTGGTCTGGGCAATGATTTTATGAATAAAACTTCAAAATTACAGGCAACAAAAGTAAAAACAAATAAATAGGATGATATCAAACTAAAAAGCTGCTGCACTGCAAAGGAAACAATCAACAGGGTGAAGAGACAACCTGCAGAATGACAGAAGATATTTCCAAACCATTCATCAAACAAGGGATTAATATCCAGAATATACAAAAAATTCAAACAACCCAACAGCAAAAAAACCCACAAATAATCTGATTTTTAAAAGGTCGAATGATGTAAATAGACATTTCTCAAAAGAACATATACAAGTAGCAAACAAATACATTTTTAAATGCTCAACATCACTAATCATCAGAGAAATGCAAATCAAAACCGCAATGAAATTCCATCTCACCCAAGTTAAAATGACTATTATCAAATAATAACAAATGCTGACAAGGATGTGGAGAAAGGGAACTCTTATACACTGTTGCTGGCAATGTAAACTACCACAGTCATTAGGGAAAACAATATGGAGATTCCTCAAAAAACTAAAGCTAGAACTACCATATGATCCAGCAACCCCACTACTGAATATACATCCAAAGGAAAGGAAATCAGTATGTTGAAGAGACAGCTGCATTCTCATGCTTATTGCAGCACTATTCACAATCGCCAAGATACAGAACCAACCTAAGTGTCCGTCAGCAGATAAATGGATAAAGGAAATGTGATATATATTCACAATGGAATATTATTTAGCCCTATAAAAAAGAATGAGGCTGGGCATAGTGGGTCACGCCTGTAATCCCAGCACTTTGGGAGGCTGAGGCCAGTGGATCACTTGAGGTCAGGAGTTTGAAGCCAGCCTGGCC
Source organism: Homo sapiens (assembly GCF_000001405.40). Lineage (NCBI taxonomy): Eukaryota > Metazoa > Chordata > Mammalia > Primates > Hominidae > Homo > Homo sapiens. Next base: position 72,735,383 of record NC_000007.14, read on the forward strand.
AACTTGGTGAAATCCCGTCTCTACTAAAAATATAAAAAATTAAGCCAGGCGTGGTGGCACGAGCCTGTAATCCCACTTATTCAGGAGGCTGAGGCAAGAGAATCACTTGAACCTGGGAGGTGGAGGTTGCAGTGGGCCAAGATTGTGTCACTGCACTCCAGCCTGGGCAACAGCAAGACTCTGCCTTAAAAAAAAAAAAAAAAAAGGCCGAGTGCAGTGGCTCAAGCCTGTAATCCCAGGACTTTGGAAGGCCAAGGGAGGCAGATCACCTGAGGTCAGGAGTTCAAGATCAGTCTGGCCAACTTGGCAAAACTCCACCTCTACTAAAAATACAAAAATTATCCGGGCTTGGTGGCGTGTGCCTGTAATCCCAGCTACTTGGGAGGCTGAGGGACAAGAATCGCTTGAACCTGGGAGGCAGAGATTGCAGTGAGCTGAGATCAGGCCACTGCACTCCAGCCTGGGCAAAAGAGCGAGACTGTCTAAAAAAAAAAAAAAAATTCACATACCGTAACATTATCCTATTTAAGGTTTATAAATCATTGGCTTTTGCTATACTCACAGAGTTGCACATTGTTAGAAATGCTTGCTCCCCAGTGCTACAAAGAAATAGCAACTGAACAAAAATTTAATTTTCTCAGCAAGGCCATTTTTTTACTTTCTGCAGAAAGGGTACACTCGCCAGCACTTCTGCCACGAGAATACACTGAACAAAGGAGACAGGGACATTTATAACCTGACACATTCACCCTACTGCTGTTACCAGTTTCCATTGGCTGGAACAGGACCTCACATTCTGTATTTGTCCCAATTGGCTAGCAACTTAGAACTTTTCAAAAGAGGCAAAGGCAGAGAACAAAGGAAGGAGGAAGTAACTTGTGGAATGCTCAGAAAGGTAAAAACACCTCCAAAAAAGGAAGAGGAATAGGCTACGACCTAATGCTTGCTGGGACCAGTATAAGCATGCCAGGGCAAATATTTAGGCCAAATTGTGGGAGCTAAGAATACAAAGTACATTGATTTCTTTATTACGGCTAGCAGATATCTAAGAATGTTAGCACAGGTCTTTGAATAAATTTTGCTTCTAAGAGAAGTTACTATTTATTCTTAATTAGATGGGGAGGAAAATCTCTTTGAAGAGGAGCCTCTACTTCACTTTTTACATGCATCCATGACCAAAATCCATTTTAAACGTTTTGTCATTCCCAAAAAGAAACGCTATCCCCTCGGGTATTGCTCCTCAACTCCCATATTCCCTCCGGCCCTAGGCAACCACTAATCTACTTTCTGTCTCTACAGATTTGTCTATTCTAGGCAATGCACAGAAATGCAATCTTACTATAGATGCAGCCTGTTGTGATCGGCTTCTTTCACTTAGTATAATATTTTCAACATTAATCCATGCTGTAGCATGTATCAGTACTTAATTTCTTTTTATTGACAGATGACATTCCTTGGAATGGATACACCACATGTTGTTTCTCTGTTCATCAGTTAATGGACATCTGGAGTATATCTACTTTTTGGATATTATGAATATCTTTTTGAGGCACAAGAATCGCTTGAACCCAGGAGACAGAGGTTACAGTGAGCCAAGATCACACCACTGCGCTCCAGCCTGGGTGACAGAGCGAGACTCCGTCTCAAAAGAATAAAAAAAACCCCACTGTCATATACAGAACCTCACTCAAGCAATTAAGCCTTACAGCAACCCTGTAAGGAAGGTATGTTGTTTTATTCTACAGCTGAGAAACTGAGGCTCAGAGGCTATTTTAAGAATCCACTGCAAGAAAAGGACAATAACAAAAGCATTTATGTAACATTTAAATCAATTTTCAATGAACCTTTTCTGACATTCTTGTTATATATTTAATGGAAACAGATGGCAAATTCTAATTTTAAAAGCTCACATATTAGTCCTTCTTTACCAGAAGCCATGGTAAATGAAATATCTCCATTTAATTAGACCTTTCTAAAAATCTCATTAAGGAATGTGTTAATCATACTGTTTGCTTTCCAAAACTCTGGGTAAATGTACTGCTCAAGAAACTGAAAGACTGCATTGTTGGCTATGAACAGGAAATTAAGATTGAGGAGCACTACCCATTAGATCCTGTTATTTCTTTTGAATTTTGACCTGTAAAAAAACCAACTACTTATGCCAACAATCTTAAGAAGAGATTAGGATTTATACTTAGTGTAAACTGTGAAACAAGAAAAACTAGAACACAAAATACTTGATTATTTGTCCTACAACCTCAGTATGATGTGATCCCAATACTTCAGTCTACATAATCATATGGCTAACATACTTTTGTCTTGCAAGCGCTCACCTTATAATATCTCAAACTCTGTAAGCACATACTCTATTCCTAAAAAGTGGTTTTTTGGTCACATTTTACTTCTTTTTTTTTTTTTTTGAGATGGAGTAGCCCAGGTTGGAGTGCAGTGGCGTGATCTCGGCTCACTGCAAGCTCCACCTCCTGGGTTCACACCATTCTCCTGCCTCAGCCTCCTGAGTAGCTGGGACTACAGGTGCCCGCCACCAAGCCCGGCTAATTTTTTCTATTTTTAGTGGAGACGGAGTTTCACCGTGTTAGCCAGGATGGTCTCGATCTCCTGACCTTGTGATCTGCCCGCCTCAGCCTCCCAAAGTGCTGGGATTACAGGCGTGAGCCACCGCGCCTGGCCATATTTCTTTCTTTCTTTTTTTTTTTTTGAGGAGTCTCGCACAGTCACCCAGCCTGGAGTGCAGTGGCGTGATCTCAGCTCACTGCAACCTCCACCTCCTGGGTTCAAGCAGTTCTTCTGCCTCAGCCTCCCAAGTAGCTGGGATTACAGGCGCCTGCCACTAAGCCCAGCTAATTTTTTGTATTTTTTTAAGTAGAGACGGGGTTTCCCTCTGTTGGCCAGGCTGGTCTTGAACTCCTGACCTCGTGATCCGCCTGCCTCAGCCTCCCAAAGTGCTGGGATTACAGGCATGAGCCACTGCGCCCGGCCTGGTCACATTCTGTTTCAATGCTGCCATGTTTCAGCAATACCCTTCACTGAAATAGTGACTGTAGACCATGGCACACAGGTTATTTCAACCTCAGCACAATTGCCATTTTGGACTAGATAATCCTTTGTTGCGGAGCACTGTCCTATGCATTAGGGAATGCTTAGCAACATCCCCAGCCTCTACCCACCAGATACCAGCAGCACTCTCCTTGGTTCTAACAATAAAAAATATCTCGAGACATTGTCAAATGTTCCAAATCTCTGTGTGGGACAAGAAATAGCAATTTTGCCCCCAGCTGAGAACCACCGATTTAACAGGATGACCTAAGAGATACTTTTAGTGTTTTGTTTTTTGTTTGTTTTTACCACATCTCTAGATAACTAAAAGAGGAAATACATGTAAAAGAATATGGTATAGTAGCCCACGCCTATAATCTCAGCACTTTGGGAGGCTAAGAGGGGAGGATTGCTTCAGGCCAAGAGTTCGAGACCAGCTTGAGAAACATAGCGAGACCCTGTCTCTATCAAAAAAAAAAAAAAATAATAATAATAAACTGGATAGGCATTGTGGCACAAGCCTGTAGCTGGAGTTACTCAAGTGGCTGAGGCAGGAGGATCACGTGAGCCCATGGGTTCAAGGTACCAGTGAGCTATGATTGCACCACTGTACTCTAGCCTAGGTGACAGGGCTTAATATGGGATGATAGTATTGTGGCTATATTATTTTTTAACAGATCTTATTATTTACATTTTACATGATCTGTCAATTGAAGTATGTACAGATAAAACAATATGATGGCAAGGATTTGTATTAAAATAGGTAAATGGAATATGATTATCCATATGATGATAAACGTTCACCGAGGTTTAATATACTATTCTCTCTCTGCTTACGTTAAAAAAACTCTATAATAAGAATTTTTTTAAAGTGGGTAGAGAGGGGTCAGGCGCAGTGGCTCACTCCTGTAATCTCAGCACTTTGGGAGGCCAAGGAGGGCAGATCACGAGGTGAGGAGTTCAAGACCAGCCTGGCCAACATGGTGAAACCCTGTCTCTGGTAAAAGATACAAAAAATTAGCAGGGCATGGTGGCACGCACCTGTAATCCCAGCTATTCAGGAGGCTGAGGCAGGAGAATGGCGTGAACCCGGGAGGCGGAGGTTGCAGTGAGCCAAGATCATGCCATTGCACTCCAGCCTGGGTGACAGAGTGAGACTCCGTCTCCAAAAAAAAAAAAAAAAGTGGGTAGAGGGGTTAACAAAGGTCTCAGTAGGTACATGAACAACTTGCTGTTAAGAAAAAAATTATAGTTGAGGTAAACAATACACAGCTGAATGCCTGGGAAGAAGAGCTAGGCACCAAGGCTAATGTGGTGAACTGGAGCACTGAAAAGCACCTGCATGCGCCTGGGATTTAGAAAGGCACACTGGACAGGAGACATGCTAAGAAGCGGCCTAGGAAGAGTCTAAACTTTCACCTCTGCCCGATCTTTAGGCTCAGCACAAGCAGGAAGCAAAGGCTAAGGCAGAGTTGTAAATGGCCTGGCTAAACATTAAAAGAGTGTTCCAGGCCGGGTATGGTGGCTCAAGTCTGTAATCCCGGCACTTTGGAAGGCCAAGGCGGGTGGATCACTTGAGGCCAGGAGTTCGAGACCAGTCTGGCTAACACCGTGAAACCCCATCTCTACTAAAAACACAAAAAATTAGCCGGGTGTGGTGGCGGGCGCCTGCAATCCCAGCTACTCAGGAGGCTGAGGCAGGAGAATGGCATGAACCTGGGAGGTGGAGCTTGCAGTGAGCCGAGATTGCACCACTGCACTCCAGCCTGGGCGACAGAGTGAGACTCTGTCTCAAAAAAAAGAAAAAAAAATTAGCCAGGTGTAGTAGCACACACCTGTAATCCTAGCTACTCAGGAGGCTGAGGCATGAGAATTGCTTGAACCCAGGAAGTGGAGGTTGCAGTGGGCCAAGATTCCACCACTGTACTACAGCCTGGGTGACAGAGCAAGACCCTGTCTCAAAAGGAAAAAAAAAAAAGCGAAAGAAATGTTCCAAGACAGAGTCAATCTGCAAAGACTGGGAGAAGCTTTTTTTTTTTTTTTTTTCTCCAATTTTTTTCCTTTGGCTCCATGAGCTCAAGGAAATCTCTGTCAAATCATTAGCTGACCCCTGAGCTTAAGACACAGACTTCAGAGGTAATATAAAACAAAGAATAAAATCTTTACAAGCATAGTTTAGAAAACTCACTAAACAAACAAAACCCAGAGCAAGCAATAAAAAACAAACCCTGAAGAGTGAGAAAAATCTGACTTCCAGAGTTAACACATTCTAATAATCAAAATATGCAGTTTTCTTTTTTTTTTTTTTTGAGACGGAGTCTTGCTGTGTTGCCCAGGCTGGAGTGCAGTGGCGTGATCTCGGCTCACTGCAAGCTCCACCTCCCGAGCTCACGCCATTCTCCTGCCTCAGCCTCCCAAGTAGCTGGGACTACAGGTGCCCACCACCACGCCTGGCTAATTTTTTGTATTTTTAGTAGAGACAGGGTTTCACTGTGTTAGCCAGGATGGTCTCAATCTCCTGATCTCGTGAGCTGCCCACCTCGGCCTCCCAAAGTGCTGGAATTACAGGCATGAACCACCATGCCAGGCCAAAATATGCAGTTTTCAACAAAACATTTCTTTGCATACAAACCATGCAAAGAAACAAGTGTGGCCCATTCCCAGCATGTATTAGCAAAAACTCTCCCTGAGGAAGCATAGACATTAGACCAACTAAAAAAATACTTTAAGCCAACTATCTTAAACATGCTCAAAGAGCTAATGGAAACCATGTACAAAGAGATGAAGGAAACCAAGAAAACAATGTCTAAACAAATCCAGAATATCAATGAAGAGATACAAATGATAAGAAGGAACCAAACAGAAGATGTGAAAGAATAATAACTGAAATGAAGACTTCACTAGAGGGTTTCAACAGAAGATTTGAACAGGCAAAAGAAAAACCTCAGTGAAGTGGAAGACAAATCAATTTGGAATTATCTTGCCTAAGTAGAAAAAAAAAGTGTGAAGAAAATTGAACAGAGTCTTAGCACACCATCAGATTGAAAAGAGCTGGGGGACACCATCAAGCATACCAACATATGCATAATAAAAGTTCCAGAAGGAGATAAGAAGGAACAGAAAGAACATGTGAAGAAATAATTATTGAAAAATTCCCAAATTTGGTAGAAGACTTGAATTCACAGAACTAAGAAGCTCAACAAACTCTAAGTAGTACAAACACAAAGAGATCCATACCAAGATATGTTATAATCAAACTGCTGGAAGAATAAGACAAAGAAAGTAACTTGAAAGAAGCGAGAGAGAAGGCACTCATCACGTATAAGGGATCCTTAGTAAAATTAAAAGCCAATTTCTCAGCAGAAACCATGGAGGCCAGAAGGCAGTGGGAGAGTACATTTAAAATGTTACAAGAAAAAAACTGTCAGTCTAGATTTCTATATCTAGCAAAACAATTCTTCAAAACTGAAGGAGACATTAAGACACTGACAAATAAAGGCTGAGGGAGTTCACTGCTAACAGACCTGCCCTACGATAAATGCTAAAGGGAGTCCTTCAGACAAAAATGAAAGGACACTAAACAGACCCATATCATACAAATATACAAAGAACAACATAAAGGTAAAATACATAGGTAAATACAAAAGTCACCACTGTTGTATTTTTGGATTTTTATTTGTTTGTGTTTGTTTTTCATTTGTTTGTTTTGAGACAGGGTCTTGCTCTGCCACCCAGGCTGGAGTGCAGTGGCACAATCAAGGCTCATTGCAACCTCCACCTCCCAGGCTTATGATCACCCCCACCTCAGCCTTCTGGAGTAGCTGGGACCTCAGACATGCACCACCATGCCCAGCTAATTTTTGCATGTTTCGTAGAGACAAGGTTTCATCATGTTACCCAGACAGATCTTGAACCCCTGGGCTCAAGTGCTCCACCCACCCTGGCGTCCCAAGGTGCTAGTGTTACAGGCATAAGCCACTGCACCCGGCCAGTATTTTTGGATTGTAACTCCTCTATTTTTTCTCTTGATGACGTAAAAGACAAATGTATAAAACAGCAATTATAAATCTATGTTAATGGGCATACAGTATATAAAGTTGTAATTTGTGACAATGACATAAAGGAGGCGGGACAGAGCTGTTTATGGGCAAAGTTTTTGACTATTATTGAGTCAAATAATATCAATTCAAAATAGTGTTACTAATTCAAAATAGTCAATCCCATTAATAACTGATTTCATATTTGTAACATTGTCTACTTGCTAAAATTTATTTGTAATCCCCAATAATCATAACAAAATAACCCCCAAATCAAGTTATTATAAGCATTTATAATAATCAAAACAATATTTTTAATAACTGGAAAAAAAAAGAATTATAACTCTTGTGCCAATATGGAGATAAATTAAGAGATGACATTGACTAGAAAGTATTAAATCATTTTGGTTGCTAAAGGGAGAAATAATGAGAATCTGAAACATAATCAATAGAATTAGATAAGCAAATGGATATAGTGGGTTTGAGAAAAAGAGAAGAAATGTCTAGTCTGGGCCATTAGATGGCTAATAGTGCCATTACCCAAAACAGAACAAGTTAACACAAGCCTAATAAATTCCATGATAAATACATTAAGCTTGAAATGACTGTGGATGATCCAAGAGAAGATATGCAACAGGAAATTGGAAATGGAGAAGGAAAATTCAGAAAAGAGACTGAGACTGGAGATAAAGTATTTAAAGGTGTCAAACTACAGGTAAATGAAGCCACGGAAATGGTTTACTTCTCCTACCATCATAACACAGAGTCATAAAAGACGGCTGAAGGACAGAAGCAGAAAGAAGAGCTAACAGGGGAAACTGAAAAGAAACTGACAAAGGTGGGTGGGATACTAGAAGAGACTGGTATCTCTGAATCCAACAGAAGGAGTGGCGTCCCCCTTCTTTCCTAGCATGCCTCACTGGAGTTCAACTAAGATAAGAATTAAGTAGCTTCTATTAGATCTGATAGTAAGGAAGTCATTAGTGACCACAACAAAATGAGCTGCTATGAAGACATGAGTTGGCATAGAGAACTAGGAGTTGAAGAGTAAGCAGTTGTAAGTGAAGGAAAGAAATGGGTTAGTAGGCTGGGTGCAGTGGCTCACACCTGTAATCCCAGCACTTTGGGAGGCCGAGGTGGGCGGATCACCTGAGGTCAGGAGTTCAAAACCGGCCTGGCCAACATGGTGAAACCCCATCTCTACTAAAAATACAAAAATTAGCTGGGCGTGGTGATGCACACCTGTAGTCCCAGCTACTTGGGAGGCTGAGGCAGGAGAATCACTTGAACCTGGGAGGCAGAGGTTGCAGTGAGCCGAGATGACGCCACTGCCCTCCACCCTGGGCAACAAGAGCGAAACTCCATCTCAAAAAAAAAAAAAAAGAAAGAAAAGAAAAAGAAATGGGTTAGTAGCAAGCACCACCACCCCCAAAAAGAGAGAGGCAGAATTGTGCAATTTAGCCATTTTCTTTCACTTAAACTATTCCCAATTGCTGTAAAGACTCAATTCTGCATACAATGGGCTGTAACCAGCTGAAACACAACATTCACTGCTTGTATTTCCAGCAAGATAAACTGAAAAGCCTCCAATAACAAGACACCCAAGCTGATACCTTAGCATAAAACTAGTCGTAGATAGAAAAAAAAGAAAACAATGTAGGAGAGCAAGATAAACAGAAAGCACAAAAGGATAGAATAAAAATAAATTTTTATCACTAATGTATCACTATTTATCGATAATCACTATAAATAAGACAAACTAAACTCACCAGTTAAAAAAGACAAACTGTCCAAATGGATGTTTACAAATCCAGCAATTCCTCACAGTGTTTGTCCAAGAGAAACAAAAATATTTGTCTACAAAATTTTTATACACTAACATTCACAGTGAAAAAGATTAATCACCAAGACAGCAGAGCTCTTGGGTAAGTCTGAGTGTGAGCTGGGCAGATTGATTACCACAGCTCATTACATATTCGATCACCATGACCTTTCATTTTTACTTACCACCAACAGAAGACACATTTATTAGCACACGCCAAGCTCGGGGTGGTTTCCATGCAGCGATGGCTCTCATTCCATAGAATGTGTGTTTGTAACAAGCTCCTCTCCCTCGGAGCATCGACTATGACAAGTAAACAAATCACAATTTGAATAAAATCGTCAAAGCACAGAAACAAACCACCAAGGCATCATTTTTAAGAGAAACCATGTGTTTCGTAACCATGAATACTCCTACTAGTATCTGCATGACGCAGGAAATTCGCATCAGAGCATTTTAGTGTTTTGGCAGTGCTTTGGGTTTTTACTAAAGCCCAATGAAATAAACCTATGATTCATTAACTCTGAAAACTCTACAGGGAGAACCACTAATGCTTTCATTTTCAAATCCATCAGACTCCTTCAAATAATATTAGTACAATAGTATATAATGCTAGGAAACAGATAAAACAGACTCCTAAAAAATGGGGGCTGTCTGCCTATGCAAGCATATCCCTGCTCTGAGTAAAGAAGGATGGGTAAGGGAATGCATCCTGGAGTGTCGTTCTTTTGTTTGTTTTGTTTTGAGACAGGGTCTTGCTCTGTTCCTCAGGCTGCAGTGCAGTGGTGCAATCATAGCTCACTGCAACCTCCAACTCCTGGGTTCAAGCAATCCTCCTGCCTCAGACTCTCAAGTAGCTGGGACTATGGGTGTGAGCCACCATGCCTGGTTATTTTTTAATTTTTTGTAGAGATGAGGTCTCACTATGTTGCCCAGGCTGGTCTTGAACTCCTGGTCTCAAGCGATCCTCCCACCTCAGCCTCTCCAAATGCTAAGATTACAGTTGTGAGCAAACCACTGTGCCCAGCCCTGGAGCATACATATTTGAGACACTGTGGAAGCAAGCAGCAGGTATACAAGAAATACATTATTCCCATTTCCAAAAAGATCACTATTTGATGATGCAAGGGATAAAAACAAATATCACGAGTCATATAAGTTGGTACATGTAGTAAGTAGGTAATCTAAAGAAATATCTAGATCAACTAGGGATGGAATCAAGATAATATCAAGCTTTAAAAGGTAAAATCAGATCTGTCCAGAGCTCTGGGTAAGATGAGCTTGATTTCAGTACAAGTGAAAGCAGTGAAGCCTGGGAGGAGGTTATGTCAGACAGGTAATGATGACTTTCTCCTAAGGTCAGTGGAATGGGTAGGTTACTAAAGAAGTGAAATCAATGTCATTCCCCACTGAGGGGCAAAACAGAGGAAGTCATCCAAAATAACTGATTTTGAGGCCAAGTGACTGAAATAATATGGAATTAACAATACCAACAACGAACAAGCAGAAGGAAAGCAGAGACACGAATGAGTAGCCTTTACACGTGTATAGGGGTGTGTGTGTGTGTGTGTGTGTGTGTGTGTGTGTGTGTAGTCTCACTCTGTCACCTAGGCTGGAGTGCAGTAGTGTGATCTTGACTCACTGCACCCTCTGCCTCACAGTTCAAGTGATTCTCCTGCCTCAGTCTACCAAGTAGCTGGGATTATAGGCATATGGCACCACGTCCGGCTAGTATTTGTATTTTTTGTAGATACAGGGTTTTGCCATATTGGTCAGGCTGGTCTTGAACTCCTGACCTCAAGTGATCTGCCCGCCTCGACCTCCCAAGGTACTGTTATTAATATAAGCCTATCCACAGTGAAAGAACATTACATAAAAGTCTACTAGCTTATTTACTGTCAGTTGACCATGATGCCTTTTAACTATTTTTTGTTCTAATTTAAAAAAAAAAGTTTCCCTGTCCATCTTAGTACTGCATTTGAAAAAAAGGAGTGAAGGGAAAACCTGTGCCTACAAACCTCTTCCAAGTTCCTAATAAAATGTACAAGGCAGCAAACAAAACATTCAAATCTTGTAAATAGCACTGAAAACCGAAATGTCCAACAAATGCTAGTCACAGAGTAATTTCCACAAAATCTCATGCCACTAGAGAAACAAAGTTGAAGAAATGTACACTTCAATCACTATTGATTAAGAAGTTAATACGCTTTGTTCTGAACTGCCCTATGCTCCCCTGTCCCATTCAGGTTGAAGTCCTAAACCTCAATGCAATGCAATGGCATGTGGATATAGGCTCTTTAATGAGGTATTTAAGGTTAAGTGAGGTCAGGTGAGTGGGACCCGAATCTAACAGAACTACTGTCCTTATAAGAACAGGAAGAGAGACCAGAGATCTCTCTGCACGTGCACAGAGGACAGATCATGTAAGAACTAGAGCCCATAAGATGGAAGAGCAACCAAGGTAGCTTCGCGAAAGGACCAGTGAGAGCTTCCCAGAGGTGTGCGGTCCAAATCCAATACTGAAGGACTAAAAGGATTTTTCAAAAGGACTCTCTAAGACACAGGCAAAGAAGCATGTGAGAAGAGGATGGAATGTTTTTCGTTTTAAAAAATGATGTCTCCAAATGTTTAAGTCTGTGATCCATTTTGAATTAATTTTTATATAAGGTGTGAGGTTTAAGACACTCTTTTTTGTAATTTGTTGGGAGGAGCAGTATTTGGGTCTTTTATTTTTTTCTGTTGGTTTTGGCCTATGGATATCTAATTGCTCCACCAGCATTTGTTGAAAATTTCAACATGGAACTTGATATGGTTTGGCTGTGTCCCCACTCAAATCTCAACTTGAATTGTAGCTCCCAGAATTCCCACGTGTTGTGGGAGAGACCTGGGGAGGAACTGAATCACAGGTGCCGGTCTTTCCTGTACTATTCTTGTGATAGTGAATAAGTCTCAAAAGATCCGATGGGTTTATCAGGGGTTTCCACTTTTGCTTCTTCATTTTCTCTTGCCACCACCATGTAAAAAGTACCTTTTGCCTCCTGCCATGATTCTGAGGCCTCCCCAGCCATGTGAAACTGTAAGTCCAACTGAACCTCTTTTTCTTCCCAGTCTTGGGTATGTCTTTATCAGCAGCATGAAAACGGACTAATACAGAATTGCTTTTGCATTTTTGTAAAAAAAACAGTTAAACATATTTTGTGAGTCTATTTCTGGGATCTCTAGTCTCTCCCTTGATTTATGTCTATCTCTCTACCAGTAGTACCACACTGTCTTGAAAACTGTGACAGCACAGTAAGCTACAAGATCAGAGTGAACTATTCCTCCCAGTTCTTTCTTCTTTGTCAACATTGTTTAAGCTATTCTAGGGCCTGTGTCTTTCAAGTCTTGAGTAAGTTTGCCTATTTCTACAAAAGTCTTATTGGTATTTTTGTAAGAACTGCATTCAACCTACAGAATCAATTTGGGGAGAAATGACAGTTTATTATACTGAGTTTTCTAATCCATGAACATGCTATGTCTATTTGTTTAGATTTTCATTTATTTTTTTATCAGCATTTTTAAAATTTTCAGCATCCAGTCCTGTGTATGTTTTGTTAAATGTAAATCGAAGCATATTACTTTCGTTGGAGTGACTGTAAATGAAATTTTTAATTTTGGTTTTCACATGTTCATTGTTAATATGTAGAATACAGCCGGGCACAGTGGCTCACGCCTGTAATCCCAGCACTTTGGGAGGCCAAGGCGGGTGGATCACAAGGTCAGGAGATCGAGACCGTCCTGGCTAACATGGTGAAACCCCGTCTCTACTAAAAATACAAAAATTAGCCGGGCTTGGTGGCGGGCGCCTGTAGTCCCAGCTACTAGGGAGGCTCAGGCAGGAGAATGGCGGGAACCTGGAAGGCAGAGCTTGCAGTGAGCCGAGATGGCGCCACTGCACTCCAGCCTGGGTGACAGAGCGAGACTCCGCCTCAAAAAAAAAAATACAGAATACAATTGATTTTTGTGCTTTGCTATTGTATCCTGTGACCTTGCTGAACTCAGGTTCTAGGAAATTTATTTGTCATTTCCTTGAGATTTTCTACATAACAATCATGTCACCTGCAAAACAAGACAGCTTTATTTCTGCCTTTGCAACCTGTATGCATTTTCTTTTTCTTGACTAATTCCAGTGGCTAGAATTTACAATACTATGTAAAACAGGAGTGGTGAACGCAGACATACTTGTCTTGTTCCCAATCTAATGGGAAAAGCATTTACTCTCTCATATTAGGTATGATGTTAGCTGTAAGAATTTTGTAGAGGTTAATATTCCTCTATTTCTAACTTGCTAAGAGTTTTTAATGATGAAGGGTTAGACTCTGCCAAATGCTTTTTCAGAATCAATTGATATGACTGACTGATTTTTTTCTTCTTAGCATGTTTGATATGGTGGATTGCTTTGGTTTTTAAATGTTGAACCTGCCTTGCATACCTGGGAAAAATTCCACTTGGTTATGGCATATAATTCTTTCTATACTTGGCTGAATTCTATTTGCTCATATCTTGTTGAGGATTTCTACATCTAAATTCCTGAGAGATTAGTCTTTAGTCCTCTTTTAGTGCATTATCTTTGTCAGGTTTTATCAGGTTAATATTGGCCTCATAAAATGAGTTCAGAAATGTTCCCCACCTCTTGTATTTTGGGGAAGATATTAAGTAAAACTGGCATTAATTCTTCATTAAATATTTGGTAGAATTCTTCAGGAAAACCATTGAAAACTAAGATTTCACTTTGGGGAGGCTTTTAATTACAAAATCAGTTTCTTCAATGATTACAGGATTATTCCGATTATATATTTTGGTTGAGTTTTAATAAGTTATAGTTTTTGAGGAATAGATGTATTTCACCTAAGTTGCCAAATTTATCAACATAAAATTGTTTGCAGCACTCCCTTATCATCTTTTCAATGGCTGCAGGACCTGTAATAATATTGTTTCATTCCTGATATTGATGACTTGAGTTTTCTTTTTTTTGAGATGGTGTCTCGCTCTGTCACCCAGGCTGGAGTGCAGTGGCACGATCTCGGCTCACTGCAAGCTCTGCCTCTTGGGTTCACGCCATTCTCCTGCCTCAGCCTCCTGAGTAGCTGGGACTACAGGCACCCACCACCAAGCCCGGCTAATTTTTTGTATTTTTAGTAGAGACGGGGTTCACTGTATTAGCCAGGATGGTCTCTATCTCCCAACCTCGTGATCTGCCCACCCCGGCCTCCCAAAGTGCTGGGATTACAGGCGTGAGCCGCCGCACCCAGCCTCTTTCAAGTCTTAACTAAAGATTTATCAATTTTATTGATATTTTCAAAGAACTAGCTTTTTGTTTTATAGTGATTTTTTATTACACTATTTTCAGTTTCATTGATTTCTATTCTTCACTTCCTTCCATTTTCTTTTTTTTTTTTTACTTGGCTCTTCTTTTCTGTTTCTTGAGGTAGGAACTAGATTGCTGATTTGAGACCTTTCCTCATTTCTAATGTAAGAATTTAATGTTGTAAATTTTCTTCTGAGAACTGCTTGAGCTGCATCCTACAGATACGTTTAATTCTCATTTTCATTAATTCTATGTTGGTTTTTTTTGTTTTTTTTTTTTTTTTGAGACAAGGTCTCACTTTGTCACCCATCATAGCTCACTGTAGCCTCAAACTCCTGGACTCAAATGATCCTCCCTCACAGCCTCCCAAGTAGCTGGGACTACAAGACACGTGTCTGAACACCTGGTGGGGGGGTGGGTATGTGTATAATTTTTTTTTGAGATGGGGTCTTGCTATATTGCCCAGGCTGGTCTCAAACTCCTGACCTCAAGTAATTGGCCCACCTCAGCCTCCCAAAGTGCTGGGATTACAGGCGTGAGCCACTGCACCCAGCCCTGAATTCAGCTTGAAGAACTTTCTTTAGCCAATATTTAAGGGCATGTCTGCTAGCAACAAATTCTTTCCATTTTCCTTCATCTGATAATGCCATTATTCATCCTTCATCCTTAAACAATATTTTGCTGCATATGAAACTCAAAGTTCGTCGTTCTTTTCTTTCAACACTTGAAATCCTATTGTGCTACTCCCTTCTTGCTTCCATGGTTTCAGATGAGAAACGTGCTGTCATTCAAATTGGTGCTACCTTATAGGTAATAGATTGTTTCTCTCAAGGTGCTTTACATATTTTTTCCTTTTTCAGTTTTTAGATGATTAGTTATATAAAGTATTGGTATGGATTCTTTTGGTTTTATCCTGTTTGGGGTTCCCTCAAATTCATGAAGCTGTAGGTTGATGTCTTTCATCAAATTTGGGCTACTTTCAACCAATTATTTCTTCAAATACTCTTTCAGCACCACTCATGAAATTTCACTCTCCTTCTGCAACTCTGATGACATAAATATTGGATCTCTTACCACAAATTAAGCATCCCTTATCCAAAATGCTTGGGACCAGTAGTGTTTCAGATTTCAAATTTTTTCAGATATTCGAATATTTGCAATATACTTACTGGTTGTGCATCTTTAATCCAAAAATCCGACATCCAAAACATTCCAATGAGTATTTCCTTTGATCATCATGTCAGTGCTCAAAACATTTTTAATTTTGAAGCATTTCTGACTTCAGATGTTTAAATTAGGGATACTCAGCCTAAACTGCCACGCAATCTCTAAGGCTGTACTTAATGTTCTTTTCCAGTCTACTTTTGTCTATGTTGTTCAGATTGGGTAAATTCCCTTTTTTTTTTTTTTGAAACAGAGTCTAGCTCTGTCACCCAGGCTGAAGTGCGGTGGTATGATCTTGGCTCACTGCAACCTCCACCTCCTGGGTTCAAGCAATTCTCCTACCTCAGCCTCCCAAGTAGCTGGGATCACAGGTGTGCGTCAGCACACCCAGCTGATTTTTGTATTTTTAGTGGAGATGGGGTTTCACCATGTTGGCCAGGCTCGTCTTGAACTCCTGACCTCAGGTGATCCACCCGCCTCGGCCTCCTAAAGTGCTAGGACTACATGCGTGAGCCATCACACTCGGCACAGATTGGGTAAATTCTCTTGTTCTGTCCTGTTCACCAATCGTACTATTGATCTGTTAAGGTCACTGATTCTATCTTGTCATCTCCACTTGACTACTGAGCCAATCAATCAGAGATATCTTTATTTCTCTTACTGTACGTCTCAATTTTAAAATTCCCTCTTGTTTCTTTTATAACTTGTCTTTGCTGAGATTTCTTTTTCATTTGTTTCAAGACAATTTGTAACTGATGGCTGAAGCATTTTTATGACAGCTACTTTAAAATCCTTGTCAGTTAATTCCATCATTTGATTTATCTGGTGTTGCTGTCAGTTGATTATTCTTATTCAAGGTATGATTTTCTTGTTCCTTGGTATGGCAAGAGATGTTTTCTTGTGTCCTAGACATTCTGTCTATTATGTTGGAAATTCTAGACCCTGGTTCATTCATTCTTTTATTTCAGTACATTATTTCAATTTAGCATGCAGGTCCTGGCCTACTTCTATGTGCTATGGTTCCAATGGCAGTTTAATTTTCAGAACCTTTGCAGTGTAATTTTTCTTAGACTCCCACTGGTCCCTGCTGGAGCTATCTGAGGGGGAGGGAGGGGCTCCTCCAGACTGGCCCACTGGGAGTCTCTCAGTGGAGAAGGAGAATGTCAGGCCAGCTGACTTCCAAGGCCAGGCTGCTTTTGTGGCAGCTTGTCTGGCTTATGCCCTCTGGCAGCCCCAGTATCTCTGGGTAGAGAGGGAAGTCTCAGACCCACAAGGACAAAGAGGGTCCCCCAGCTGGGCCACTTGTGGTGGTGGGGCCCCTCTTGCTAGTGCCACCCAGCCAACATCATAACTCTTGGTGGGGAAGAGAGTCTCAGGCCCAGCAGGGATCGACAGCATTTCACAGGCCAGGCCACTTGAGGGGGCTGCAGGCTGGGGAGAAGGATCGTGTCTCTCTAATTAATATACAGTGACAGAAAGCAAATCAGTGGTTTCCAGGAAGGAAAGAGAAAATTTGGATTATAAACTAAGAACAAGGAAATTTTTGTATTTTGGAAATACAAAACATTCTGTATTAAGGAAATATTATCTTAACTATGGTGATAGTTTCACAGGCATATACATGTATAAAAACTTATCAGGCAGAGCAGGGTGGCTCAAGCCTGTAATCCCAACACTTTGGGAGCCCGAGGCAGGTGGATCACTTGAGGTGAAGAGTTCGAGACCACTCTGGCCAACATGGTGAAACCCTGTCTCTAATAAAAATAAAAAAATTAGCCGGGCATGGTGGCAGGAGCGTGTAATCCCAGCTACTCGGGAGGCTGAGGCAGGAGAATCTCTTGAACCTAGGAGACAAAGGTAGCAGTGAGCCAAGATTGCACCACCGCACTCCAGCCTGGGCGACAGAATGAGACTCCGTCTCAAAAACAAACAAACAAACAAACAAACAAAAAAACCTCATCAACTTGTACACTTTAAATATGTTCAATTTCTCATATGTCAATTATACAGCAATAAAACTGAAAACATTTTAAAATTTAAAAATAAGACACAGGAATCCGCTGAAAAATGTCCCACCAGCCAAAGTGTGAAAATTTGATGATCAAAACAGAAAATAACTGTAATGGATGGAGTTGATGAAAATGCATCATTACATTCAAAAACAAGGGGAAAAAGTCACCATTTGAAGCTTCAAGTAAAACAACTCCTACTTTGAAAATTGGTAATTTAAGAGAAAACAAATCAGGCATTTATCATGCCATATCAATATGAACTGTATTTCAGAGTAACTAAATATTCTTGGTTGATTAAAAAAAAAAAGAAAGAAGAGCTCGCCTTTACAGAATAATGCTAGCTAGTAAATGCAGAATAAATGACAGAATTAAAAATATGATTTTACAAACTCTAATTAGATATTATTTCAGGGAAGTATTAGTATTATCAACTGGTGGGATTTTTTTTTAAGACAAACATTCGCTTAATGGTTGACAGAAAACTAGATGTTATAATAATTCCATAATAAAGTTCTAAAGACATAGAAGAAAGCATAACTGAACAAAGGAAGCAGTAGAGTATCATTACCATGTTTCAACTGTCAATATTAGCATCGCAAATGGTGGGCTGACCAGCAAAAAGACTATGACTCGCTGAAGGCTCAGATGATCATTAGCAATTTTTTTTTTTTTTTTTTGAGACAGAATCTTGCTCTGTTGCCCAGCCTGGAGTGCAGTGGCACAATCTTGGCTCACTGCAACCTCTGCCACCCGGGTTCAAGTGATTCTCCTGCTTCAGCCTCCAGAGTAGCTGGGATTACAGGTGTGTGCCACCACGCCTGGCTAATTTTTGTATTTTTAGTAGAGACGGGGTTTCAGCACCTTGGCCAGGCTGGTCTTGAACTCCTGATCTCGTGATCCACCCATCTCAGCCTCCCAAAGTGCTGAGATTACAGGCGTGAGCCACTGCGTCCGGCCCAATCATTAGCAATTTTAGAAATAAAGTATATTTTAATTAATTATGTTTTTTAAATTACTTTTTTTTTAGACATAATGCTATTGCATACTTAACAGACTATGGTATAGTGCAAACATGACTTTTATAGGCAATGGGAAACCAAAACATTTGTGTGGCTCACTTTACTGTGATATTTGCTTCGTTGCAGTGGTCTGGAACGAAACCTGAAATATCTCCAAGGTACGCCTGTCATTTGTTGGCATGCTAGCCCTACTTCAACAAGGGTTATTTCCCTCTCTTATCACATATAAACAAGCCTGTCTTGATATTCTTGTAAAAAAATAATAACAATAACCGCTAGTCCCTCTACTTCTGTTGTTTGTTTTTTGTTTTGGTTTTGAGATGGAGTCTCGCTCTGTTGCCCAGGCTGGAGTGTGGTGGCACGATCTCGGCTCACTGCAACCTCCACCTCCCGGGTTCAAGCAATTCTTCTGCCTCAGCCTCCTGAGTGGCTGGGACTACAGGTGCCCGCTGCCACCACGTCTGGCTAATTCTTCTATTTTTAATAGAGACGGGGTTTTACCATATTGGCCAGGCTGGTCTCGAACTCCTGACTTCGGGATCTGCCCACCTCGGCCTCCCACAGTGCTGGGATTACAGGCACGAGCCACTGCACTAGGCCTGTTTTTTTTGTTTGAGACAGAATCTTGCTCTGTCGCCCAGGCTGGAATGCAGTGATGCAATCTTAGCTCACTGCTACCTCTGTCTCCCAGGTTCAAGCAATTCTCATGCCTCAGCCCCAACAAGTAGCCAAGACTACAAGCACATGCCACCATGTCTGGCTAATTTTTATGTTTTTTGAAGAGATGGGGTTTCATCATGTTTGCCAGGCTGGTCTCCAACTCCTGACCTCATGTAATCCACTTGCCTCGGCCTCCCCAAGTGCTGGGACTACAGGTGTGAGCCACTGCAGCCAGCCACTTTACCTCTGTTAAAGCTAAACTTACCCATTATAAGATGGTGCAAATAGCTAACTGCTTCCTGACACCTTCTAATGTAGTAATGCCAGACTATGTTTGTACAGAAATACATAATATTTAATATAAAGGACTTCCCTTTTTCTCTCATTATCTTATAGTTTGGGCAAAACACAAATTTTGTAAAATTATGTATGTGATATTATATTATCCGTAAATTTACTTTAACAATAGTATAGAGTATGGTATAAACAAAAGGCACTGAGTCTGATATTACTGAAAATCACTATATTGGAAAGAAGAAACTTGGGATATGCAAAGTATTAAAAATAAATAAAATAAAGTGACAGGGTTTAGCACACTGCTATCAAGAGTAGATGGAATAACAGAAGTGTCATCTGGCGGGGCACAGTGGCTCACACCTGTAATCTCAGCATTTAGAGAGGCCAAGGCAGGTGGATCACTTGAGTGCAGGAGTTCAAGACCAGCCTGAGCAACATAAGGAGACCCTGTCTCTACAGAAAAATTTAAAAATTAGCCAAACATCGTGGTGCGCACCTATAGTCCCAGCTACTCAGGAGGCTGAGTTGGGAGGATCACTTGAGCCAGGGAAGTCAAGGCTGCAGTGAGCCATGACTGCATTACTGCACTCCAGCCTGGCCGGGCGTGATGGCTCATGCCTGTAATCCCAGCACTTTGGGAGGCAAAGGTGGGCAGATCATGAGAGTCCAGGAGTTCAAGACCAGCCTGGGAGACATGGTGAAACCCCATCTCTATAAAAAATACAAATGTTAGCCAGGCGTGGTGGTGCATGCCTATAATCGCAGCTACTCCAGGTGGATCACTTAAGCCTGGGAGGCTGAGGCTGCAGTGAGCCGAGATCGTGCCACTGCACTCCGGCCTGGGCGACAGAGTGAGCCTGTCTCAAACTGAAAAAGAAGGGAAGCGTCATCTGTCAGAATATTCCTGCCCCATAGGATAAAGCCAGAGGAAAAGGAGTGAAAAACAGGAAGAAGAGTTTCTCAAATATCCACAAATAATAGCAACAGGCCTGTGGAGCAGATTGTACTAAAAAGATTCAACAGAGAAATCTGGAGAATGTTATTTTGACAATGGCAGAGGCCAAGAATCGGGTTCTTTATTAGGAAGGACCACCAAGGTAAATGAAGTATCAAGCAAAGATCAGGTGTGGATTGTGAAAACGGGCAGGGGCAGTCCAAGAGAAAAATAAAGACAAAGGGATGTTTCCTGCAAAGCCCAAGAGGGCACAATGGAAAAGGCTGGCACAGGGAGAGACAGGGCTCACACTAGAAGGAGCATGTAGAAATGGAGAGTGAAACATAGTCAGCAGAAGGGAACATAAGTATGAACCCAGGATAGAAATGTTTAAGAACAGTAATAAAGAATGTAAAAAGTCAAGCATGGTTGGAGAAGTTGGTTTAATTAGAACTGCCAGTTTATTATTTTTTTATTTTATTTTATTTTATTTTATTTTATTTTATTTTATTTTATTTTTTGAGAAGGAGCCTGGCTCTGTCGCCCAGTCTGGAATGCGGTGGCATGATCTCAGCTCACTGCAACCTCCGCCTCCCGGGTTCAAGCGATTCTCCCGCCTCAGCCTCCCAAGTAGCTGGGATTACAGGCATGCGCCACCATGCCCAGTTAATTTTTTTTTTTTTAGTAGAGACGGGATTTCACCACATTGGTGAGGCTGGTCTCGAACTCCTGACCTCAGGTGATCTGCCTGCCTCGGCCTCCCAAAGTGCTGGAATTACAGGTGTGAGCCACGACACCCGGCCTAGTACCGTCAGATTTGAGCTAACCAATATCAGTAAAGAGACTGAGTTTTGTATGGGGAATCTTGCTAGGGCAGAACAGGCTGAGAAAAGGTCTGGCAGACAGGACTGGAGGTGCTTCGTCACCAGGAACTGAGTTACTGGTAGCCTGCGGTCGCTCAGCTCCTGGAGATACAGCCACAAACAGTGACAAGAGATGCAAATCAGGTACCTGATAAAGAGCCCTTAGCCAGAATATATAAAGAACTTTTACAATCCAACAACAGACACATAATCCAATGTAAAAATGGGCCAAGGATTTGAAGAGACGTTTCTCTAAGGAAGATATACAAACATCCAATTTGCAAGTGAAAAGATGCTCAACATCACTGGTTGTTAGGAAGATGCAAACCTCTAAGAGATACCACCTGATACGCCCTAGGATGGCAATAATCAAAAAAATGAACAATAACAAATGCTGACAAGGCGGAGGAGAAATCGGAACCCTCATACACACAGGTAGGAAATGAATAAAAACGTATCTCCATGCGAAAATATGTACATATAACAATGTCGGCCAGGCATGGTGGCTCATGCCTGTAATCCTAGCACTTTGGGAGGTTCAGGTGGGCAGATCGCCTGAGGTCAGGAGTTCGAGACCAGCCTGACCAACATGGTGAAACCCTGTCTCTACTAAAAATACAAAAATTAGCCAGGCGTGGTAGCGCGCGCCTGTAATCCCAGCTACTCAGGAGGCTGAGGCAGGAGAATCGCTTGAACCTGGGAGGCGGAGGTTGCAGTGAGCCAAGATCGCACCACTGCACTACAGCCTGGGTGACAGAGCGAGACTCCGTCTATGGAAAAAAAAAAAAAAAACCAGAAATGCAAAGAATTAAGAAGAGTGGAAGTAATCTTGGCTATAAAAAAAAACAATGGAGAACTTATACTACATAATTTCAGACTGACTACAAAAGCTCACATAATCAAGACAATGTGGTATTGGCACAGGATAGACAAATACATCAGTGGCACAGAATTTGGAGAGACCAGAAATAGGCCTGCCCATATGATGGACTGACTGTCTACAATGGCCTAGAAAGCAATTCGATGGAGAAAGGAAAGTATGAAGTTATCAGAATCAATATGGAGTTACTGATGTTAAGAAAGCCCTGACAAACAGAGCTGGGGAAGGGCATGAAGAGAGGGCTATCATGCTTGTATGCCTGATAACAAAAAAAGATTCTACAAAAGCCACAACCTTGAACAAAGGCCATCACAACCTTACACAGAAATACTTCTGTAAGGACATCAGCCCAGCAACTGCCTGTCCAACCTTCAACAGCATCACCCTTGTTATTGATCTTTGTAGCTAAGAATAATGACTTCAAAACAATTCTGTAACACTCCTCATTTTTTCCTTTATAGCTGGGTGTAGGCCGGGCGTGGTGGCTCATGCCAGCACTTTGGGCAGCCGAGGTGGGCAGATCAGTTGAGGTCAGGAGTTCAAGACCAGCCTGGCCAACGTGGCGAAACCACATCTCTACTAAAAATACAAAAAAATTAGCCAGTCGTGGTGGCGTGCGCCTGTAATCCCAGTTACTAGGGAGGCCGAGGCAGGAGAATCCCTTAAACCCGGGAGGCAGAGGTTGCAGTGAGCCGAGATTGTGCCACTGTACTCCAGCCTGGGTGACAAAGGAAGACTCTCTAACAACAACAACAAAAAAGCTGGGTGTAGTAGGTACAATAGTTCCAGCTATTTGAGGGGACAAGGCAGGAGGATCACTTGAACTCAGGAGTTCAAGTGCAGCATAACAAGACCTGTCTCTTAAAAAACAAACAAACAAACAAAACCCATTGTCTTCCTGAAAGTGGACCTAATTTATTATGTTCCCATTGCTATGTTCTATTCCTAAATAAACATTTTTTTCTCTTAGAAAAAACATTTTTTTCTCTTAGAAAAAAATTTTTCTCTCTCTGTTTGTTATCTGGTTCACATAATTGGTGTCAGAAATGGGACCTGAAAGAGAGCACTAAGAATTGCTGATTCTTGGCACCACTGCAGTACTCACTTGAGCCCTTGAGCTCTCCACCACCATGATTCGCCTTTTCTGCCCTGGTATGTCTTCTCTCAGTCTGAGCCTCCTTCCTTTTAGTAGAGGCTTTTTTACTTTATTTGGAATGTGGTTTGGATAAGGCCACCTTAATAATGAATCACACATCCCTCTTGGGATGATAGACTTTTTACCTTTTCTGGAAAGTATTTTCTAGTATAAAGAAAAGTGTCTTTCTGGATTAAGTACTCTTGGTTTCTACAAAATCGACATTCTGTCTGGGAGGCATGACTTCTCTGGTTTGTGTGCCTCATTTAATATCTCATTTGATCTGCATGCCTAGGTTAAAATGTTTTTGAACACTCTTATCTTGGGTTATTTTCATTTGGTTTGACTCTTTTCCCATGCTTCTTTCGGAAAACTTTCTGAGACCAAAATAAATGTTCTGGATAATGGGCACAGAATGGCTAATTAAAAGCCACTAGGTGGCCAGGTGCGGTAGCTTATGCCTGTAATCCCAGCACCGTGCGAGGCCGAGGCAGGCAGATGACTTGAGCTCAGGAGTTCGAGACCAGCCTGAGCAACATGGCGAAACCTCGTATCTACCAAAAAATACAAACAATTAGCCAGGCGTGGTGGCACGCACACCTGTAGTCCCAACTACTCGGGAGGCTCAGGTGTGAAGATCGCTTGAGCCCGGGAGGTGGAGGCTGCAGTGAGGTGAGATTGCACCACCGTAATCCAGCCTGGGTGACAGAATGAGACTCCATCTCAAAATTTTAAAAAAGCTACTAGGGTGGTTGCCACCATCTGAAACAACAGTCTGAATTCCTCATGGAATTTACAGAATTTTCTTTGCTCTCGAGAGATTAATAAGAAATGGAATAAGATTCTCAAACATTTAGGCATGCCAGGTTTCCCAGGACTATAGAAGGCTATATATTATGGCCCATTCTTCTGCACATTTTTCAATTGATGGGCAAATTACAAGGAAAATTCAGAGCACTAAGGATCATTATTCAAAAAGACCTGCAACTATGGAGTTAACATGTTGAGTCTTCTAACTCACTATCTCTCTATTTGTTTTTCTGCCTATTTTAAATCTGCTGACTTTTCTATTGGTGTTGAGATGAAACTCACTGCTTATGGCATTCCAGCCAAGATATTCTTAAAAAGAGAGAGAGAAGTCTTTTAAAGGGCTTTCAAATTAATGCCTTTACGAATTACAACAGCTCCATGGTAACCAACAACTTTGACACCTTTTAGAAATATAAATTTAGGTTTGCCTAACTAGCAACTGTGTATGGTGATGAAACACTTAATTGAAAAATTAATCTCTAAAAGAAAAAGAACTAGATAGATGTTTATAATGCTAGACACTCAAGTCAAACAGGTCAAAATCTTGAGCTCAGAGCAATAATAAAAAGTATGTCTGTCCAGCATATACACACAAAAAAAATCTTGCTTTTTCCGGCACACAGAGGCAAAAAGAAAAAGCCAAAACAAAAAAACCCTGCTAAAGTTCTTCCCTGCCTATATTTGCTAATTAAGCAAACCAGACAGGCAAACAAAAGATAGATCTGTTACTAATCCAAGGCTACCTGGAGATTTTATTTTACTTATACAATTCAACCAGTCCTAGCTATTATGTAAATGTTGAAAATTTAAGCCTAAATTCATCTGAAACTACAAAAAAGTGGCAGGGGTTGGGGGATGGTATAAAAGATGTTTTAAAAATCAAAGTGCATGAAAACTGCTGTACCCAAAATTTTGGCCCATGGCCTTCATTAGATTAGCTATTGAGGCAAATAAAGTTTAGCCATATGAACAGGTTCCAGTTTTGCCAGAAATATAATTTGGATCCAACCGTCTTATAAACCAGTGAGTTTGTATTATAATCTCATGATGAAAATTCAAAAATGAAAACTATAAGATCTTTATTTGTGTGCATATTTATGTGTTTATACGTATGCACATGTATTGTATGTTGTGTCTACATTGTATAACTTGGCATAGTTAGTTGGCAAGAAGTCCCTTAAAGAGAAAGGAGTGCTCACATAAAATATATACTAATTAACCCAAATGCCTTTCAGTTCACATGACTTATGTAAATCTTTAATCAATAAGCTGGTTTTAAAGTTATTGGTAAAATAAAAATTAAAATATCTTCAAATTTGTCAGCAGGCATCTTTGCCTAGGTTTACTGCTCAGACAGTTTATATTTGTCTCTACTAGACATTTTAAGACATCAGGGTTTCACAACAAGGTTATAAAACTATAAACCCAGCCTACAACAGAATGATCTTCGTTTGTGTAATGTTTTGATACATAGGACTAAGTTATCACTGTTGGTTGAAAAAATAAAAACAGGTGTATATCCTGAATTATTGGACACCGGATATTCACAGGCTATAAAAATGATTAATAGAGAAATAACTTGAAATGACAACTAGCTTTGTCTAATATCTCAATTCTCATAAGAAATCTAGGTAAATTGTTAATAAATAAATTACACCAATGTAAATGGGATAAATGCTTATAAATGAATTTTTCAAGTAATTTGAAATCCTAAAGTTATGTTCAATTAAATAATAAATACTCATTAAATGTCTGGGTTATTTCCAACTAAGATTTTTAAAATTATGTTACAGGGAAAGAAACTTCTAAAAATTATAAAATGGTTCTCATCTATAAAACAGTTATAAGTGAAAAACAATTCAAGATCTTGCTTTCTAGGTTTTCACTAAAAGTAAAGGTTACGAACAGTTAAAAATTCTAATGAATATGTATAATTCTATATATAAAATGTGCCTAAAATATATAAGGTATGTTTTTAATAGGAAAAAAGTATAAGATGGGCATAAAAATGTGTTCCTTATTGAGAAAAGAATGATTTTGAGTCAGACATAGTGGCTCATACGAGGGAGGCTGAGGTAGAAGGATCACTTGAGGCCAGGAGTTTGAGGCTGCAGTGAGCTATGATTGTGCCACTGCACTCCAGTCTGGCTGACAGAGTGAGACCCTGTCTCAAAAAAAAAAAAATTAAAGTTTTTTTTAATTTAAAAATTTTTTAAAGAATAATTTTGTCTAACGTAGAGGTTATTTAAAGGCTATTTCAAAATATGGATATGGAAAGAAATAGAATACCGAAAGGGAGAGAGAGAGATGTGAAAAAAGTTATGGATATGAAGATATATTTTTTAAGAAAGGTTACAAAGAAAAGAATAACTTTGTATGAGAAAGAATCTCGTATGACACATTTTTGTTCTAAACTAAAATGACTGCTTATTTAAGTTAAGGAAGTGTAGGATAAAGCAGAAAGTCCCAGCACATCAACAATGATCTGAGAAAAGTCATGATAAGGTTCATGAAAACACAATTCATAAAAGGAATTCTGCACGTGATTAAGTTGGCTATAATTAAAAGAGATTGTTTATATTTAGTCTTTCTAAAAACTGATCTATTATGCTAAAAATACACTAATACAAAAATTTTAAAATTTGGTTACCTATATTAAAACAACATGGTTTACCTAAAGTATTTGCTTTTAATAAAATTGCAAGAGGTTTTGATTTTTAATTCTGAAATCTGTTTCTTTAACACTCATCTTCTAAACTATTTCTATTTCTTCCTGAGATGTAATTAATTTTCCTACTCTCAGGTTGGAGATGTAGTGTTTTTCATTTCACTTTGTGAGGAAAAGTTCTTTCTTTTTGAAATTTCTCAAATTTATATCAGAAGTTCAACCTTTGCTGTACCTCACTGCAAATGATTTGCAGGTCACACATCATTGCCTTCTGTTCTTTCTCCTCTTAAAAAGGTATATACCTTTTTGCTTGGCTGGGGTGATAACTCTCTCCTTCAACCTTTTTGTCAACTCCTGTAACTTTTGTTTTTCCTAGTTCTAACTCTGCTGTTAGGGCCTGAAACTAACATGTTTATCTTAAAAGCCTAGAAAGCAATGTTTTCCTTCAGTATAATTTGATTCTGTACTCTTGGCTTTTCTTGATATGTCTGAATTGTTCCCTGTAATGAGGAAACTTCCCATGCTGTTACTAAGAGTCATGTATTCCTCTACTCAAGGTACTAGGGTGTTTTTTGTTTTGTTTTTCTTTTTAGACAGTGTCCCACTCTGTCACCCAGGCTGGAGTGCAGTGGCATGATCTTGGCTCACTGCAACCTCCGCCTCCCTGGTTCAAGCAATTCTCCTGCCTCAGCCTCCTGAGTAGCTGGGACTACAGGCGCACCCCACCATGCCCGGCTAATTTTTGTATTTTTAGTAGAGATGGCATTTCACCATGTCGGCCAGGCTGGTCTTGAACTCTTGACCTCAAGTGATCCATCTGCCATGGCCTCCCAAAGTGCTGCGATTACAGGCGTGAGCCACCACACCCAGCCACAAGGTACTAGTTTTCTTTTACATTTCTCTATAATATAGTATACACTCATGACCCTCGATATACTCTTTCTGTTTCTGATTAAATTCAAGTACACTTTTAATCAGGTTTGTCTTCCAGGTTACCTAAATGGGTTTCCCATAAAGAGAGGCAATCACACCACAAAAAGTTTTCTTTGCATTTTTGGTAACTGGCCTTTAAAAAAAAAACCAAAAGATTTTATGTTTTATCAAGATAATTTCCTATGCTATCTTTATTAGATTTTTGATTACTTGGGAAAACTGAGCTTTAGAGGGTTAAGGTTTTGTTTTTTCTTTTCTTTTCTTTTTTTTTTTTTTTTTGAGATGGAGTCTTGCTCTTGTCACCTAGGCTGG
The DNA here is from genome assembly GCF_000001405.40 of Homo sapiens. Taxonomy (NCBI): domain Eukaryota; kingdom Metazoa; phylum Chordata; class Mammalia; order Primates; family Hominidae; genus Homo; species Homo sapiens. Next base: position 72,763,333 of record NC_000007.14, read on the forward strand.
AGTGCAGTGGCGTAGTCTCGGCTCACTGCAACCTCCGCCTCCTGGGTTCAAGCGATTCTCCTGCCTCAGCCTCCTGAGTAGCTGGGATTACAGGCGCCCACCACCACACTCGGCTAATTTTTTGTACTTTTAGTAGAGATGAGGTTTCACCATGTTGGCCAGGCTGGTCTCAAACTCCTGACCTTGTGATCCACCCGCCTCGGCCTCCCAAAGCACTGGGATTACAGGCGTAAGCCACCACACCCTGCCAGATTAAGGTTTTTCTATCTATGTGAATTTCCATATTGCTTTTGAAGTATTTTAATTATCACTCTGATTAAATGAGTAACTACTATTTATGAGTGACCTATGATTCTGTTTTGATCAAGTGTTTTGAACCTTTTGGCATCTCTGGCAGGTTTCCACAGAATCAAAATCCAAAATTGTTTCTGACCTAAAATTAACTTTGGCATTGTCCAGTTAGGCCCCTGAAAAGCTTCAAAGAATGTATGTCACATCTTACAGAGATATTAAATTATTTGTCTTACTTGGAAAATTATATGGAATGCATTGACAAATGGTAAGTGATATTAGATCTTCTTTCAGTTATTTCTGTGGGTATGTTATTGATATAAATATTCTAAAAAGTATATAAATTCATTAAAATATGTTATCAGTCATAATTGATTCTTTTTTAAAGTTATATTTGTATGGGGATATGTTATTAATGTGAATATTCAAAAGATTATATGAAATTTATAGAAGTCTGATGGCCCTATGATCCTGGTTGTTATCTTAAAATACTGCATGTAAGAAATAACTAAATTCCTTGTCAACTGGGAAATTTCATCGGATCTTAACCATGGCTTTCCTAAGTTGTTGTTGTGAACCACTGTTACTGTTCTGAATTATTCTCTGAAAACAACTGCAATCAGCTACATTCCAAAACTGCTTTTTATGAAAATGACTTCAACAAGTCCTTTTTTTTCTTTTAAGACAGACTCTCTGTCGCCCAGACTGGAGTGCAGTGGGGCGATCTCGGCTCACTGCAACCTCCGCCTCCCGGGTTTGAGCGATTCTTCTGCCTCAGCCTCCCGAGTAGCTGGGACTACAGGCGCCCGCCACCACGCCCAGCTAATTTTTGTATTTTTAGTACAGACAGGGTTTCACCATATTGGCCGGGCTGGTCTCAAACTCCTAACCTCGTCATCCGCCCACCTCGGCCTCCCGAAGTGCTGGAATTACAGGGGTGAGCCACCGCACCCAGCCCAACAAGTACTCTTGAACACATTTCTGATAATTTTAAGATCAATGGACTAAATGACAACTTCCAGAACTCTAATATATTAAAAAAACTGATTGGTGCATAAAACTGTTAATGGCCAACCTCACAGTACAACGGTACTGCGTCTGACTCCATAAAACTGCTAATCAAGATCAAGCAAAACTAAAATTTAATGACTTCAAATTAAGTAATTGATGATGATGATGTGTTTGTGACTTTTCATTTTTGGTTCTTTACTTAAATATTTTGTCTTACAGATTTAAGACATTTTTCTCACATAAGCTATCTATAGTATACAACAATTTGGTAAAGTATACTTTTGTGAACAAAGATGGAACCATTTGCTTTTCCTTCCTATTGGATTCCTCCCAAAATTCACAAACGTTACTATTCTTATTTTTATTTATATAAATTCAATAAAAATCTGCTCTCAAGTAGGATACAATTGGAAATATAAACATCGGTTATATACCACCAAGGCTTTGGCTGAAATGTCTTATTTGAAAATGTGCATTGAATGCCTGGCTTCCAGAGTTCCCAGACTTCCAGTGAGTCAGTAAAAATGGTCACTTCCTGGAAGGCTCACGATCCTTAAGATTGTACGTGAGATCTAAAATCTGCCCTGGTTTGGCTTCCTAGCTCAGGAGGTTTTTAAATCTGAGATTCCTGTGTGATCAATGTGGGAAGAAAAAGTTATGTCTCTATAGAAAAACTATAATATACCTATTCTTATTACAGATTGTAGCCCCATGCACTGTTTTAAAGTTCTTGTTATCTACGTGTAGACTGGACTAGATTCTGAATTCTTCTAATTTCCTCCAATACTTGGTCACAGTTCTCCAGCTGGCTTAAAAAGCTTTATTAGCTGAAACTAGATAATTTTTTTTGAGATGGAGTCTCACTCTGTCGACCAGGCTGGAGTGCAGTGGTGCGATCATGATTCACTGCAACCTCTACCTCCTAGGTTCAAATGATTCTCGTGCCTCAGCCTCTCGAGTAGCTGAGACTACAGGCACACACCACCACACCCATCTAACTTTTGTATTTTTAGTAGAGATGGGGTTTCACAATGTTGGCCAGGCTAGTCTTGAACTCCTGACCTCAAGTGATCTGCCAGCCTTGGCCTCTGAAAGTGCTGGGATTTCAGGTGTGACCAACTGGTACCTGGCTGAAACTGGATAAATTTTAAGAAACAAGCCTCATGTCTGATTTATGAACCACAAAAAAGGTTCACCCAACTGCCCAATGTCATGACCAAAGATATTCAAACTACAAACCGGAAGAAAAAGTTGCTATTTTCACACTGTAAACAACTTTCTCCAAGAGGTTGGAATAAGACTTCATATCATAATGAGACTTTTACTCCTCTTAATGCTACTTTTCTCACTTGGCAGACTTGTAATTGAAATTTTACAATCAACAGCCTCTGCTGGTAACTTAACAAAACCTAACTTAAGAAATACTTTTGTATCGATTCATTAAATAAGAAAATGTCTGCGTTATTTCTAATATTACAAGCTGTACACCTGGATAAATTCCTCTGGGAAAGCTGAAACCCATATACACAAAACAAAACAGCTCATAACGTTACAGCAGGTCTTACCTAATTCCCTGTGGTGATTTAACTTATTCAATTGGTTTTCTTTAAGCCTAGATTCACGACTCAAAGCCATTATGCAAACTGACATTGTCATATTAAGTTTACCTTTTATTTTCCCTTTTTAAACTTTGAATCTGGGCCAGGCGCGGTGGCTCACGCCTATAATCCCACCTTTGGGAGGCCAAGGCGGGTGGATCACTTGAGGTCAGGAGTTCGAGACCAGCCTGGCCAACGTGGCAAAACCCTGTCTCTACTGAAAATATAAAAATTAGTTGGGAGTGGTGGCACTTGCCTGTAATCCCAGCTACTCCGGAGGCTTAGGCAGGAGAATCACTTGAACCCAGAAGGCAGAGGTTGCCGTGAGCCAAGATCACGCCACTGTACACCAGCCTGGGCAACAGAGTGAGATTCAGTCTCAAAAAAAAAAAAAAAAAAAACATAACTACAGGGCCAGGCGCAGTGGCTCACACCTGTAATCCCAGAACTTTGGGAGGTCAAGGCAGGTGGATCACTTGAGATCAAGAGTTCAAGACCAGCCTGGCCAACAAGGTGAAACCCTGTCTCTACTAAAAATACAAAAATTACCCAGGCATGGTGGTGCATACCTGTAATCCCAGCTACTCAGGAGGCTGAGGCAGGAGAATTCCTTGAACCCAGGAGGCGGAGGTTGCAGAGAGCTGAGATCACACCGCTGCACTCCAGCCTGGGTGACAGAACAAGACTTTGTCTCAAAAAAATAAATAAATAAAAATAACTACAGGATAAATGATCAGTCATGCTTTCTGAAAAAGATCTTGATCAAAAGGAAGAAATGTAAAAGTTGTCAAAATCAAAATGGAGTCACTAATGTTAAGAAAAACAGAAGCAGGGAAGACCATGAGGAGAGTTATCTTGTGTGCCTGAAGACTCTACAAAATGAAAAAGACTCTACAAAAACCACAACCTTGCACAAAGGCTACCACAACCTTACACAAAAAAATGCTTCTCTGCCAACGTCATCTGCCCAGCAACTGCCAGCCTACCCTCGGACTGCCGTCACCCCTGTTATTGATCTTTGCAGCCAAGGATAATTATTTCAAAACAATTACATAATCCTCCTCAATTTTTCCTTTAAAAATCTTTGTCTTTGGCCAGGCACGGTGGCTCACATCTGTAATACCAGCACTTTGGGAGACCAAGATAGGTGGATCACGAGGTCAGGAGATCGAGACCATCCTGGCTAACATGGTGAAACCCATCTCTACTAAAAATACAAAAAAAAAAATTAGCCGGGTGTGGTGGCGGGCGCCTGTAGTCCCAGCTACTCAGGAGGCTGAGGCAGGAGAATGGTGTGAACCTGGGAGGCGGAGCCTGCAGTAAGCTGAGATCACACCACTGCACTCCAGCCTGGGTGACAGAGCAAGACCCCGTCTCAAAAAAATAATAAAAAAATAAAAAAATAAAAAAAACTTTGTCTTCATTGACTTATAGTAACTCATAAAAAATTAAAAAGTAAACTTTGTCTTCCTGTACCTCCCCAAAAACACAGTTTACTGTGGCTTGCATATTCACATTGCAGTGCTCTATTCCAAAATAACCATCATTTTCTTCTAGAGAGCCCCTCTCTGTTTGTTATTCAGGTTGACAAAAGTCTTCAACAAATGGTGCCAAAACAACTGGATATCCATATTGGCAGAGGTGGGATAAATCTTAACCTTTACCTCACACCATTCATAAAAATTAATTCAAGACGAATCACAGGCCCAAACATAAAAGTTAAAACTACATATGGGGCCAGGCACAGTGGCTCATGCCTATAATCCCAGCACTTTCAGAGGCCAAGGCAGGCAGATCACTTGAGTCCAAGAGTTCAAAACCAGCATGGGCAACATGATGAAACCCTGTCTCTACAAAAAATACAAAAAAAACTTTTGCCAGGCATGGTGGCACACTACTTGGGAGGCTGAGGAGAGAGGATCGCTTCAGCCCAGGAGGTGAGAGGCTGCAGTGAGCCGAAATTGCACCACTACACTATAGCCTGGATGACAGGGCAAGACCCTACCTCAAAAAAAAAAAAAATTTTAAAAAATGGCTTCTTCCATACAGGTTGCTTAGGAGGAATCCGCCCAAACAACTCTGTCCGCCCCCTCGGCCACTGACCCCCCGAAGAGCTCCTGCCACCGCTCTAGGAATACAGACATTGAAGTTTGGGGACAATATGTTTATCTAATTTCTGTATCAAAACTAAAGACCTGCTATGGCAGTGAAAAAAGAAACTGAATTTGTCATTTTCACCTAAAGAAAAACGACAGACAAAAATCAAACCTGTAGGCCAGGCGCGGTGGCTCACGCCTGTAATCCCAGCACTTTGGGAGGCCGAGGCGGGCGGATCACGAGGTCAGGAGATCGAGACCATCCTGGCTAATATGGTGAAACCCCGTCTCTACTAAAAATACAAAAAATTAGCCAGGCATGGTGGCGGGCGCCTGTAGTCCCAGCTACTTGGGAGGCTGAGGCAGAAGAATGGCATGAACCCGGGAGGCGGAGATTGCAGTGAGCCGAGATTGCGCCACTGCATTCCAGCCTGGGCAACAGAGCGAGACTCCATCTCAAAAAAAAAAAAAAAATCGAACCTGTGGTGCAGGACAGGATCCTGTGCCCTATATGACTTCTCTGATTCACAAACTCTAAGAATGGTTTACTGTGGAGCAGTTGGAAGACTATTTGAATTTTGCAAACCACCTCTTGTGGGTTTTTACACCATTAACACTTCTAATACTTCCTTACTTTACTATCTTTCTTCTCTACCTTACTATTATTTTCCTACACATTTATAAGAGAAAGAACGTATTAAAAGAAGCCTACTCTCATAATTTATGGGATGGTGCAAGGAACACGGAGGCTAGTCTGTGGGATGGGCATGCAGCAGTTTGGCATGGTAAGCGAGGATGCTTTCATCTCTGTGTTGCCATTCATGTGTGCTGCATTGGAACTGTGTTACCATGCCATTTTATTGACTGAGAAGATACTGAAAAATATAACAGAAGTGATATTTACTATTCCCTGTTATCTGTTTGCATGCATTGTGCATATGTATGTGTCTTCCTTAAAATGAGTTTTCCCACAGAGATTAGTTTCCATTAAACAGAGAACCACGCAGCACTGTAGACTATAAGCTGACATGTGAAAATGTATATTTAACACATCTAAAAGAGTAAGAGACTGATTAATTAAAACTATAGAAAACTGCTTTAAAAAATTAAAACTACATACAAAGCTTCTAGAAGAAAATCTAGAATATCTTTGTGACCTTGTGGTTGGCAGAATTCCTGTCCTGCACCACAGAAATACAAAAAACACTAACCATAAAAGAAAAATATGATATAGTGAACTGTATCCAAATTAAAATTTTCAAAAGATACCTTTATGGAAATAGAAAAGCCACAGTCTAGAGAAATATTCACAGTGCACATTCAACAAAAGATTCACATCCACAACATATAAAGAACTTCTAGAAATCAATAATATAGAGTCAAACAACTCAGTCTGAACAAAGATGTGAACAGACATTTCACAAGTATAAACAGCCAATACGCACAACACAAGATGTTCTTGGCTGGGCATGGTGGCTCACGCCTATAATCCCAGCACTTTGGGAGGCTGAGGCATGTGGATCACTTGAGGTCAGGAGTTTGAGACCAGCCTGGCCAACATAGTGAAACCCTGTCTCTACTAAAAATACACTAATTCAAAACTTAGCTGGGCGTGTTGGCACACGCTTGTAATCCCACTTACTCAGGAGACTGAGACATGATAATCACTTGAACCCGAGAGGTGCAGTGATACAAGATTGCACCACTGCACTCCAGCCTGGGTGAGACAGCGAGACTCTGTCTCGAAAAAAAAAAAAACAAAAAAAATGTTCCCAATCATCAACCATCACCAGCAAAATGTAAATTAAAACCACAATGAGGGCCAGGCACGGTGGCTCAAACCTGTAATCCCAGCACTTTGGGAGGCCTAGGTGGGCAGATCACGAGGTCAAGAGATCAAGACCATCCTGGCTAACATGGTGAAACCCCATCTCTACTAAAAATAGAAAAATTAGCTGGGTGTGGTGGTGCGCGCCTGTAGGCCCAGCTACTCGGGAGGCTGAGGCAGGAGAATCACTTGAACCCAGGAGGCAGAGGTTGCAGTGAGCCAAGATCATGCCACTGTACTCCAGGCTGGCAACAGAGTGAGACTCCGTCTCAAAAAAAAAAAAAAAAAAAGAAAAAAGAAAAAACACAATGAGGTACCACTTCACAACCATTTCACAACCATAAAAATGCCTAAAAGACAATACCACATGATGGTGAGAATGTGTAACAAATGAAACTTTCATAAATTGCTGAGCAAGTATAAAGTAGTACAACCACACTGACAACAGTTTGGGAGTTTCTTCTAAAGTTAAATATATACCTACTCTATGACTTAACAATTGCACTTCTAGGCATTTACCCAAGGAAAACTGAAATGTACATTCACAAAGTCTTGTGAAGAATGCACATAGTACTTTTTTTCATAATAGCCAAAAATTAAAAGCAGACCAAATGTCTATTTACAGCTCTTTAAAAACTGGTATATTCATACAATGGCATACTACTGAGCAATAAAAGTGAATGAACTACTGATGCATGTTACATGATATGACACGGATGCATCTCAAAAATAGGTTGAGTTTAAGAAGCCAGTTGCAAAAGACTGCACATTACATGATTCCACTCATATGAATTTCCTTTTTTTTTTTTTTTTTTTTTTTTTTGAGATGGAGTCTCACTCTTATCACCCAGGCTGGAGTGCAGTGGCACGATCTGGGCTCACTGAAACCTCTGCCTCCTGGGTTCAAGTGATTCTCCTGCCTCAGCCTCTCGAATAGCTGGGATTACAGACGCCCACCAGGACACCTGGCTAATTTTGATATTTTTAGTAGAAACGGGGTTTCACCATTTTGGCCAGGCTGGTCTCGAACTCCCGACCTCAAATGATCCGCCCACCTGGCCTCCCAAAGTGCTAGGATTACAGGCGTGAGCCACTGCATCTAGCCACTCATATAAAATTCTAAAAAGGCAAAACTAAGTAACAGTAATAGCAATTAGAACAAGAATTCCCTAGGGAAAAGGAGTTATTGACTAGAAATGGGCACAATAAATTCATTGGGGTGGGGATAATAACTTATATCTTAATTGGAGTTGGTGAATATAGGTTCTACATCTATCAAAATTTGCTGAACTCATTTTAAAGAATCATTTAAAAATCTGTGCATATTAAATGTAAATTATACCTCTAAATAGTAAATTTATTGACAGTGTATAATAATAGCTATTTAAAAGTTGCATGTAATAGACATACTGAATAAAAACAAACAAAAAAAACCTGCAAAGCTTCACCCCTGAGTGGCTCCCAATCAACTGATAACCTGAGTGGAAAAGCAGGGAACACAAAGTTGGACTGATCCAAAGCGTCATATCAAAAAGTGACATTAAAATTTAGCAAAATTTTTTTTTTTTGCTAAATTATTGCAGTCAACCAACCCATGGCTGGAAACATTAAAGATTTAATTCAGCAAGATGAGAAAACAATTTAAAATCTATATGTATCTAATAATATAGACTCAAAATACATAAAGAAATGATTTTTTTTTTTTTTTTAAAGACAGTCCCGCTCTGTCACCCAGGCTGGAGTGCAGTGTCTTGATCTCAGCTCACTGCAACCTCTGCCTCCCGGGTTTAAACGATTCTCATGCCTCAGACTCCCACGTAATTGGGACTACAGTTGTGCTTCACCCTGCCAGGCTGATTTTTTTGTATTTTCAGTAGGAATGGGGTTTCACCATGTTGGCCAGGCTGGTCTCGAACTCCTGTCCTCAAGTGATCCATCTACCTCCGCCTCCCAAAGTGCTGGCATTACAAGCGTGAGCCACCACACCCAATCATGAAACAATAAATTAATCCAAAAATTATACGAGGAGATTTTAACCTCTCTGTCTCTAACAGATCTCATAGGTAAAAACTCGGTAAAGCTCTAAAAGATGTAAGCAACACAACACATAAACTTGACCAAAAACACACAGAGCCCTGCACTCATCAACTACAGAATTTACATTCTTTTCATGGACCAGTGAAACATTTATAAAAATGAACGGTATGCTGGGCCATAAAACAAAAGTAATGATATATTTCAAATGAATGAATGGGGAGCTATCATCAGTAATCTTTGAAAGAAGATGAAGAACCAGATGTCAGTGGGAGATTAAAACAAAGTAATGTTGACCCAAAGAGAGAAAAATCCAATTCTAGGAACTACATCTTAAACGTGAATTCTCAGTAGCACTATAACCTGTCATTTCAAATTTTTGAGCTACATAGGACATGAAAAGCATGGAAAAAGCCAGGCCAAAGTAATCTCATTTCCTTTTTAAACAAACTAGTAGTACAAACAAGTAGTACATTCTGATTTCAGAAAGCATTCAATACCGTTTCTCATGAGGCTTCAGGTAATAAGCCACAATTATCATGAGTCACTCTCACAAAAAGACTCTTGCAGGCAAATAAGGCAAATGGAGAAATACAGTCTGGATGACAGCATAAGTGGATCAGTGGCTGGTTAAACATCCATATTCACACTGTGATGATTATTGGAGCAATGTCAATTTGGATTACAAGTCTCCAGAGGTAACATTTACAGGGCTTTGTCTTGTAACCTCTTCTGTATTTATGTAAACATCTTGCATATAAATAAACAAAGGACTGCTTATATATTCGAAGGTGGAACTGAGTCCAACTGAATAACTCATCTCTGATACCAAATATGCATTTAAAAGATCCCCAGAAGAAATTCTAGTTCCTCTCGTGGAATTCCATATTATACTGTTCATACTATCATAGAAATCATCCTCTATTAACTCTTTATATTTTTCTCTCCCAAGATACATAGGTTTCTATAAATTTTGCATTTAGGTAAAGAAAAAAACTGTACATTACAGAATGGAGAGATCTGTAGTTGACCACAGCACAAATATAAGCCAACAGTGTACAGTTGCTGAAAATCATAGTGTGGAATTCTGCTTCTAGCCAAGATGGAGTAACAGAGAGGATTTACAATCCTACTTGAAATACCAAAAAATGGACAAAATATATGAAACAACAGATTTCAGAACATGAGACATCAGGCAACAAAAGATGGTGATCCCATAGAGATAGGAAACACTTAAGGTGAGCCCTCCCATTACCTCAGCTTACTGTCTTGAAACCTTCCAGGCCATGTAGCAAAGAGAGACGACCCAAGCGAAGCCCAGTGGACTCTTGAGTTTGGAAAATGCAACAGAGCCTGGGGAGACAAAGGTGGCTACAGTTTGCAGGATTGAAAGCTAGAGAGATGAAACCTACAAAGAGACTCCAAGAGTCTACAGCGGATTTCTCTCAAGTATTTGCCCAAGTACTGTTCAGCACATTCACAAGAGAAACACTACCCAAGGATGGGAAAGAACCATTTTTGGAAGACTAGACATTTAGAGAAGAAACAATTACTGAACTTGAAGACACAGTGATAGAAACTATCCCAAATGGGATGGGCATGGTGGCTCACACCTGTAAATCCCAGCACTTTGGGAGGCCAAGGCGGGTGGATCACCTGAGGTCAGGAGTTCGAGAACAGTCTGACCAACATGGTGAAACCCTGTCTCTACTAAAAATACAAAAATTAGCCAGGTGTGGTGGCGCATGCGTGTAATCCCAGCTACTCGGGAGGCTGAGGCAGGAGAATCACTTGAACTCAGGAGGAGGAGGTGGTGAGCCAAGACCACACCACTGCACCCCAGACTGGGCAACAAGAGTGAAACTCCATCTCAAAAAAAAAAAAAAAAAAAGAAACAAAGAAACTATCCCAAATGAAAAGAGGGAGAGAGGAAGGGAAGGACTGAGGAAGGGAAGGACTGGGGGTAATGCCTGATGCTTACAGCAGGCTGAGAATTGTACCTGTTTCTGCCAGTCAGACTAGAAATCTAAAGATGCACAAGGCATTAGGTAGACTACATAGAAGTGTTTTGCCTCAACAGTGAAGAATAATTAGCCCTATACTGAGCCGGCTCTTGTCTCACCTAAGAAGCCATAAAAGTGAGATATAAAAGCTCATATTATTTCAAAGTAACTTAACCTTGTCCCAGGGGAAAAAAAAAAAAAAAAAAGCTTAAAACTGTTTATAAGAGTGTTTATATAAAAATATCCAGGCCAGGCACCGTGGCTCAAGTCTGTAATCCCAGCACTTTGGGAGGCCAAGGTGGGCAGATCAGGAGGTCAGGAGATAGAGACCATCCTGGCTAACACGGTAAAACCCCGTCTCTACTAAAAATACAAAAAATTAGCCAGGCGTGGTAGTGGCAGCCAGTTACTCAGGAGGCTGAGGCAGGTGAATTACTTGAGGCAGGAGAATCGCTTGAACCTGGGAGGCAGAGGTTGCAGTGAGCCAAGATCACGCCACTGCGCTCCGGCCTGGGCAACAGAGTGAGACTCCGTCTCAAAATAAATAAATAAATAATAAAAATAAAAATACCCAGTACCTAATAAGGTAAAATTAGGTCTGACATCCAATCAAAGATATGAAGCATGCAAACAGACAGGAAAACATGATGAATGAGGGAAAAAAATCCATTGATCCAAGCTGATCCAAAAATGACAAAGACATTAGCAGATTAGGACATTAAAACAGTTATAACTGTATTCTATAGGCTCAAAAAGGTAACAGATGTGGAAAATATAAAAAGACCCAAACTGAACTTCTAGAAATGAAAACTACAATGTCTAAGTTGAAAAACCTATTATATAGGATTAATGGAAGATGAGACATTACAGAAGAAAAGATAACTGAACTTGAAAACATAGCAATAGAAACTATCCAAAATGAAAAGTGAGACAGAAGAAAGAACTTTTTTTAAATGAATAGAACATGAGTGAGTTGTGGGTCAAATTCAAGCAGATTATTACATATATAACTGTAGTCTTCTAGGAAGCAAGTGGGTGGGTGGGGAGGAGAATATTTGAAGAAATAATGGCCAAAATTTGTCCGAATTTCATGAAGACCATAAATCCACAAAACCAAGACACTCGACAAAACCCAAATAAAAGAAACATGAAGAAAACTAAACTGAGGCACATTATAATTAAATTGCTCAAAATCAGCATTAAGAGAAAATCTTCCAAGTAGCAGGAGGTTGGGAGAAGGAGGATCCTATTTAAAGGAACAAACAAAAGGATGACTGCTGAACTCTAATCAGAAGCAATGTGAGCAAGAGGACAGTGCAGTAACATCTGTAAAGTACTGAAAGAAAAAACAGCTGTCAACCTACAATTCTATATCCAGCAAAAAATTACTGAACTTGAAGACACAGTGATAGAAAATGAAGGCAAAGTAAAGCCATTTTCAGATATACGAAAGCTGAAAGAATTCATCACCAACAAACCTGCACTATGAGAGATCTTCAAAAAGTCCTTGGAGTCGCCACAGGTAAGTTTAAATTAGAAAAAAAAAAAACAAAAAACAAGTAGTCCTTCAGGCAGATGGAAAAGGATACCAGACGGAACACAGACCTACATGAATAGAACATGGTAACTACATGAGTACTGAAAATGGTAACTACATAAAGTAAATATGTGAGATTCTAAGATTCTAAGTATATAAATCTTTAGTACATAATTAAATAGATGTTTTGATTGAGTTAGATATAAAAATAGATATTTTTGTTGAAGAAAAAATAATAATAAAGTGTAGGCTTTAGAGCATACGTAAAACACTCAGTGTGGTGGCTTACACCTGTAGTCTCAGCTATTCAGGGGGCTGAGGCAGGAGGATTCCTTGAGCCCAGGAGTTCAAGGCTACAGCGAGCCATGATCATACCACTGCACTCCAGCCTAGGCAAAAGAGCAAGACCCGACTCAACCAAAAAACAAAAGTAAAAGTAAAATGTGTGATAAAAATTACATACAGGTTAAGAAAGAAATAATGGAAGTATAGTACTGTACGGTTCTTCTACACATTAAGTGAGATAACATCACTCAAAGATATACTATGAAATGATAAAGTAGTATGGTGTAGGCCAGGTGCAGTGGCTCACACCTGTAATCCCAGCACTTTGGGAGGCTGAGGTGGCAGATCACTTGAGGCCAGGAGTTCAAGACCAGCATGGCCAACATGGCGAAAAAATTAGCTGAGCATGGTGACATATGTCTCTAGTCCCAGCTGCTCAGGAGGCTGAGGCAGGAGAATCACTTGAACCCAGGAGGCAGAGGTTACAGTGAGCCAAGATTATGCCACCGCACTCCAGACTGGGTGAGAGAGACTCTGTCTCAAAAAAAAAAAAAAAAAAAAAAAGAGGTATAGTGTAAAACCTTGGGCAACTATTAACAAAAATGTTATTGCTAGTAAGCAAACAAAATATAAAATAGAGCCACTTTTTAAAAATGAATTAATTTGAAAGAACACAGAAAAACAGGAAAAGGGAAATAAAAAAGCAGATGAAATAGAAAATAGCAAGATAAATTTAAATCTATAATGAAATCACATTAATATAATCTACCCTAATTAAAATATAGACATAGATATTAAAATACAAATATATATATATATTTCTCTAGTGTACCAGACCGACAGTTTCTTGAAGCAGATATAGTTTCCTGTGTTTCTCTGCATTGCCAGAACTGTCACGTAAAAGGCCTCTCATAAATATAGAGGGGAAGTGGGGAGGGGGAAGAAGGAAAGGAGGTCGGTCTACTGATTCCCATTTTACTACTCTTTCCTCCACAGGAAACTAATATTATTAATCATTCATGCAACTATAACCTCCTTAATAAGGTAAGACCACAAAAATCCAGATACGATACCTCTACATAAACACTTCTAATTAACCCAGTCTCATATCATATAAGCTTTTCTATGCATTTTTAATAGCTTTCCCAATGACAGCACTTTTGATCTGTGAACTTGACCCACACTGATAGTAATATCCCAATAAACCAAGAAAAAAGGTAACTCACTGGTGCAGGCAGCCAACAGAAGCGATCCACAGAAGTAAGAAGGTAAATCTTTAGACTGTTATATCTGCCACTATGAACAGCTGCTGAGCTAATTAGAGAGAGACTTCATTCTAGGTATCAAATGAGAATGCCTAAGACTATAGTCATATAACAACAATTCTTGAAGATTTTCACCTTGTTTAGTAAGGGCTTCTCGGAGAGCAGGAGTTATCATAGCTCTTCTTTCACCATCTTCATTCCTCCCCATGTTCCTGAACAAACCAGACTTCTCTTCCTGCTGTTCCTTTTCTCTCTGCATTAAAATAAAAGAATGAAATCCAGAATTGGCAATGTGCAATGTAAATAACAGCACAATCATGAACACCTAGCATCAATAAAAAGGTCCATTATGAGGCTGGGCATAGTGGCTCACGCCTGTAATCCCAGCATTTTAGAAGGCCAGGGTAGGCGGATCACCTGAGGTCAGGAGATCGAGACCAGCCCGGCCAACATGGCGAAACCTCATCTCTACTAAAAATACAAAAATTAGCCGGGGATGGTGGCTCACACCTGTAATCCCAGCTACTCAGGAGGCTGAGGCAGGAGAATCGCTTGAACCCGGAAGGCGAAAGTTGCAGTGAGCCAAGATCACACCACCATACTCCAGCCTGGGCAACAGAGAAAGACTCTGTCTCAAAAAATAAATAATTATAAATAATTTTTAAAAATTGTTTTAAAAAAGGGCTGTTATGAACCATGGCCCACAAAACCCATCCTCTGCAAAGTGAACACAATCCCAATGAGACAACAATCTAAAGACATGCCAGGATGCTCTTTTGTTAAGTAACTATATATTCAAACATACACATCCAAAAACCATAAATCTACAATTCACTTAACTAAGTGTCAAACATTTTCAGCAATCTGAGTACAGATAGCTGCCTAACTTTAGCAAGTTGTTTATTTTCTCTGAATTTCAATTTCCTCACCTGAAAAGGGGGAAAAATAATAATAGCAACAGAGAAGAAATATGTTGAAGGTTAAATGAAATAAAATCACAACACAACACCTGATGTACAATAGGCGTTCAACAAATTATAGCTGCTGCTGGTATTACATCTCTAAACCCCAAAAACAAATAAAAAAAGTAATCTAAGCCACCCTGAGAGCCATCAGCTCAGAGACCAAGTTACCCCACTACCACCAACAGCCATTCCAATGGTTCCCTCTCCCTTATTTTATTTTTTGAAACAGAGTCTCGCTTTGTCGCCCAGGCCAGAGTGCAGTGGCACGATCTTGGCTCACTGCAAACACCACCTCCCAGGTTCAAGCAATTCTCATGCCTCAGCCTCCCAAGTAGCTGGGACTACAGGCGTGCACCACCATGCCTGGCTAATTTTTTTGTATTTTTAGTAGAGACAGGGTTTCCCCATGTTGGCCAGGCTGGTCTGAAACTCCTGGCCAATGTCTACTTCTAGAAGATCCTATGCAGGATATTTTTCTTCAGTGATAGAAAAAGAAACACTTAAGAAATCCAAAGGATAATATAAAAATAATTGTGTTTCCTGTTGACTTTGGCCACCAGGAAATTTCACCAGCACACCTTTAATTACTGTTACAAAACCTTGCAGCATGCTGGTCTTCTATTCATTGTAACTGGCTTGATATGACAAGATGACCCTCATTCACTCTGTCCACTGATTTCTTCTTCTCTTTTTAAAAGTTTATTTGTGTATATTTTTAAGGATATCTCCCTATCTTTTTGGGAATGGCAGAGTGCTGAGTAATAATTTCAGAGACAACACACGAGATCTGTGTTACACTTTAGGGGAGATACTCATCAAATCTTACTGACAGCTGCAGAAATTCACAATAACTCATCCAGGCAGTGGCCCTACCACCAAGCCCCAGCCCACCCTTGGTCCCTGTCTATTTTAAATGTCCAGCCATCCAGCCCCCAGGTGAATAAGTGAATGGACTCACTGTAACACCATTTCTACTTTAACATGAGAATATCTCACAGATGAGGTCTGACATTTGCTTCAAACTAAAACAGAAAGGGGTATACAAAGGGTACCTAGGGGAGGATGGCCCATAAGTTGCTGGTTGATGAGGCCAGGCAATAGGTAATAAGAATTCACTATATCACTCTGTGTACTTTTGAGAACATTCGATGTCTCCCATATATAAAACAGATTAAAAATTTTAACACGTGGCCGGGCACGTTGGCTCACGCCTGTAATCCGAGCACTATGGGAGGCTGAGGCAACTGGATCACCTGAGGTCAGGAGTTTGAGACCAGCCTGGCTAACATGGTGAAACCCTGTCTCTACTAAAAATACAAAAATTAGTCAGGCATGGTGGCAGGCACCTATAATCCCAGCTACCAGGGAGGCTGAGGCAGGAAAATCGCTTGAACCCGGGAGGCGGAGGTTACGGTGAGCCAAGACTGTGCCACTGCACTCCAGCCTGGGCGACAGAGACTCTGCCTCAAAAAAAAAAAAAAAAAAAAATTAACACTCACAGAAAGTAAGTGAAATTTGGAGTCAATATCTCTACATTCTCTGTTACTTCAGGGACTTGCTCTGAAATAGGACATCAGTGAAAAAAGTACTTTAGAGAATCAAATGTACCAAATGAGAAAAAAAAAAAAAAAGCCGCATTAAGTCCTATCTGTCCTAAAAGTCAGCATTCCAAATTACTAAATATAATCAAAATGCAAGGCAAATGAACATTTTTGCTTCCAGTAATAGGGTTCTTAATTACACATTACTGGATGGAGCTGAAAAAATTCATAAACAAACATCAATCATTTGTTCTTATAATAAATGTAATTAGCTTAATGCTAGGCCTTTTATACAAATAAAAAGGCTCCAGTTATTATTTTGTTAAGATAGTTTAAAATAGAAGGAATCCTTTGCCTTTTGTTTTCTGAGATGAGGTCTCGCTATGTCGCCCAGGCTGGTCTCAAACTCCTGGGCTCAAGCGATCCTCCCGCCTCAGCTACCCAAGTAGTTTGCTTTGTTTTTTTTAATCTAAAAGCAAAGGTGTGAGCTTGATAAAGAAGTCTTGTGGTGAAGCAAAATGAACAAATCTCAACCTTGAAAGCATTTGAATTCTCTGAAGCAATTCTATATAGCGAGTCTCTATAATTCCTCTACAAATCATGTAAAAAATTGAAAAGACATGGCAGTATTTGCCCTCAAAAGCCTTGTCACCACAAAACATCACAAGCTTATTTGCTTAACCCAAAGGCCAGATAAATCCAAAACTGGACCGAGGTCCATGACACTGGCCTCTGACCACTATGCCCAAAGCTCCACAGACACCCTCTTGGGGTTTTAAACAGAGACTTCTGGCCCCTACAAAATGAACAGACTCCAAAGGACGGCCATGGAATACTGTCTCTGTCCCTTCACTAGAGAAAGTATCTATTATAAAATGTGAGTGTTGCAACCCCAGAGTCAGTCATAAGGGCTATGATTAAAGGTCTTGAGCACTCAGGACAAACAAAATTCATCACTCCTTCCCTCTAAGGCAGCTCACTCCTAACCTCCATATGCAGTAGTAATTTCGTTTCTGAAAAGAAATGTAATGGTTTATAACACTCCGCAAGGGAGTTTAATGCACCATTCAAATTCTAACTCTAATCTGCTAGGTGTAGACATTGTTTACTCTCTGCCCAGAATGTAACAATATAACAACCATGTAAGATCCATATATTTTTGTGTATTTATTCATTTATAGCTGTTACATGGCCTAAACAGAAATAAATAAGATCCCAGAATCAGCCAACCTTGATTTCTTCCTCTCCTGTACCATCCCATTTAAAGATGAGTGGCCAAGTTCTGTAACCACATAACTAGCCCAATCTGGTTCAATTATGTGCAGTAAACTAGTAAGTTGTATTTCAGTTGCCATGAACCCCCAGGTTGTAGGTCAGGTAACTCGAGCACAGATGAACCCAGTGTGCCCAACGCGTGATACCAGAGGCAATCAGAACTAAAAAGTCAACCACAAGCAGAACCAAAGGGCTCTGATCAGGGAAAAGAAAGAATTAAGAAGCAAGCCTCGGCATCACCTCAGGGCATGAGCCAATCAGATCATGTCTTGGCATCACCCCACGGCATGCTCCAATCAAATCACACCTCCTGGCGTCACTTCGTTGCAAGATCCAATCAGATCACACTTCACTAATTATATTGCCTCATGGTAATCCCTCTGCCTATAAAACCTGCCCCAGCCTCCAGCTCAGGGAGACAGATTTGAGTGTTTCTTCCTATCTCCTTGCCAGTCGACTCCCAGTAAAGCCTTTCTTTTTTCAAAAGCCAGTGCCACAGTATTGGCTTCTATATACATCCAGCAGTGAGCCCACTGCCCAGTAAAACAGTTCTAGGGTTTCATTTCCCAACATAACTGTTCTCTCCACCTACAATGCCACCGTTCTTGTCCACGGTCTTGCTTTCTCCTAAGGGACGACGGCAAAAGCCAAACTAAATGGCCTCCCTGTCTCCAACCTCTACTTCCACTCCTCCCATCTCCCATACCCATCACACTTGCGTTGAAAGAAAACTCATATCCTCGCCAAGCTGCAGTGGTCTGACATGCAAACAGGAAAGTCAATTATGAGCTAACTTCCTAAGCACTTATGAAAATGGCAATGAATACACAAAACATTCTTTATAAACTGACAGGACTACATGAATCTTATAGAATAACAGGTATAAAGCAGTGTTACTAATGTTTTTTATTTGTTTTTGTTTTAAATATCATATAATACTGGTTGGGTGCAGTGGCTCATGCCTGTAAACCCAGGACTTTGGGAGGCCAAGGCAGGAAGACTGGTTGAGCCGAGGAGTTGGAAACCAGCCTGGGCAACATAGTGAGATCCCAGCTCTACAAAAAAAAATTTTTTTTAATTAGCCAGGTGTGGTGGCACGTGCCTGTCATCCGAGCCACTTGGGAGGCTGAGGTGGCAGAATCACTTGAGCCCAGGAGTTCAAGGCTGTGGTGAGCTATGATCACACCACTGCACTCTAGCCTGGGTTACAAAGCAAGACCCTGTCTCTAAAAATAAAAAAATTTAAAAAAAATCATACAATACCACTTAATTCATTTTGATACCATCATCCCAGAAACCACAGTACCATCCAATTTTGCCTAGGATAAAAACAAGGCCGAAAACTGATTTGCTGAAGACTTTAAGGTAAAATGCTATACAGTCGGAAACTGATAAACAGGAGTTTTACAACAAACAAGCTTTTTCTTACCAAAACATACATTTCTCCTGGGAAAGAGTCTTTCTGATTGTTTGATCCTTTTTTACCATCAGGTGATTCCTTTTCTTATCAATTCCTATAGAAAAGGTTGACTAGGCCAGTTGTGGTGGCTCACGTCTGTAATCCTAGCACTTTGGGAGGTGGAGGTGGGTGGATCACCTGAGGTCAGGAGTTTGAGACCAGTCTGGCCAACATGGCAAAACCCCATTTCTACTAAAAATACAAAAATTAGCCAGGCATGGTGGCAAAGGCCTATAATTTCAGCTACTGGGGAGGCTGAGGCACAAGAATCACTTGAATCCAGGAGGCAGAGGTTGCAGTGAGCCGACATGGTGCCACTGCACTCCAGCCTGGGCAACAGACTCTGTCTCAAAGAAAAGAAAAAGAAAAGATTGGCTATAGAATGCCCAAATTCTCCAGAGGTCATTTTTCTAGACAGTTAACCTGGCTAGACCTGGAGCCATGCCAGCACAGGATGGGCATTCGGTAAATGTTGGCTGAATAAATGAAGAAATGCCTCAAAACTATCAGACAGCTATTTCTAGACCCAGACATTTAGACCACATTTCTTTCAGTAACTAATTCTAAACCTGGTAACTTTCAATATTAAAAACTCAGGTCGGACGTGGTGGCTCACGCCTGTAATCCCAGCACTTTGGGAGGCTGAGGCGGGCAGATCACTTGAGGTCAGGAGTTCGAGAACAGCCTGGCCAACATGATGAAACCCATCTCTTCTGAAAATACAAAAATTAGCCGGGCGTGGTGGCATGCGCTTGTGGTCCCAGCTATTCAGGAGGCTGAGGCAGAAGAATCACTTGAACCTAGCAGGCGGAGGTTGCAATGAGCCAAGATCACACCTGGGCAACAAAGCAAGACTTCATCTCAAAAAAAAAAAAAAAAAGAAACTTTTATTCATGTTTAATTATACATGAAGTAGAATTTTAATATTAATCTAAACTAATAAAAATCATATCACTGAAAAGGAGTCACGGTAAAAAAATTAAGTAAATTATTAATATTTAATAACTTTTGCTGCAATTTAACCCCACATTTAGATTCCTATTTCTTTAATAAATGAATCTCTAAGATATCACTCACTGGTCACCGTTCAGTTTTAAAATGACCAATTTTCACCATTACTCAAAGCTTTTGTATATACTGAGTTCTAAAAATGCCTTTTGAACTGGTGGAAAAGCAGCGTGCCCAAGCACGTCAAGAGCTTTACTCTGACACAGTAATTCTATTTTGGATAACCTACCTTAAGAAGACAACATGGGGACTCATTGTTAAGTGCTCCTAGCTACAGAGACCATGGTGAGTCAAGATGGTTTAAGGGCAGCGTATTGGGGTTGAAAGGATATCACCTCTTGTTTCTAGGTGAAGTAAACACTCCAAAGCCTTAAAAATAATTCTGAAACTAGCTTCCTGTTATTCCACTGCAATACCAACAGAACTTTATAATCAGAACTGGACATACTGAGATCCTTCTGCAATTTAAATAGCTGGCAAATGGAAATGTTTCTCCAGTGAGTAACTGTCAAGCATTTGCCATTTATTTCCAAAATTAATGATGCTGATGTTAGTCTTTGTCTGCTTAGCCAGAACATTGCTGTGGGGAGTATTTAGCAACATTTATTTACTGCAGAAAAAAAAAAAAGTAGCAATAGGCTTTACATTTACAAATCACAACATAAGAGAAAGAGAAAATAAACAATATAAAAATTATCAGGCTCCTCCTGACTCATGGTTCTCTAAACACTACAGCTTCTGAGAACCACTCCTCCCTGGGGAAGCAGCCAAGAGGAGTGACACAGACAGATGGAGTCCAGGCTTGAGGCTGTCAACTTACCAGCCATCTGATGATGGACAAATTGCTTAAACTAAGCCTCAGTTGCTATCTGTTAAATGGTAAATTGCAGATGATAATAGTTTGATCATCTCAAGGTCACTGTGAGGATTGAGTGAGATAATCTAGTTATGTATTTTGATTTCTCCTTTTTTCCTTTATTCTTTGAGACAGGGTTGTCTCAGGCTGTTGCCTAGGCTGGAGTACAGAGGCGCAATCTCGGCTCACTGAAACCTCCATCTCTCAGGCTCAAGCGATTCTCCTGCCTCAGTCTCCCGAGTAGCTGGGATTACAGGCATGTGCCACCACATCCCGCTAACTTTTGTATTTTTAGTAGAAATAAGGTTTCACCATGTTTGCCAGGCTGATCTTGAACTCCAGACCTCAGGTGATCCACCAGCCTCAGCCTCCCAAAGCACTGGGATTACAGGCATAAGCCACTGCGCCCGGCCTCCTAATATTTTAAACCTACACTGGAACTCTCCTCTCTCCCCACACCCCCTAACCCATTCTCCAATTCAATCAAATCACATTGCCTCCCACTGCCTTCAGGAGAAAGCTCAGCCCCCTCCACTGCAGGACTTGAGAAGCCTCTAGGATCCTACCCCATCTTCCTTCTCTATGTCACAGCTCCAAATATCCCTACCCCCCAGTCAACTCTAGGCACACCAAACTGTTTAGGGTTCCCCAAACATGCCACCCCTAACACCCCACTCCCCCCATATCTCCATCTGTCTCCCTAACATTCCAGTGTTTCAAACTTTAGTGCTCTAGTTCTTAGAAACCACTCTCATACTTCAAATTATCTTCAGTCCTAGAAGAAGTCTTAGATAGTACTACAGAGAGAGGGAGGTAGAATACCAAGGTGGTGTTTTGGTAGGACCAAATCTATCCTATTTGAAGACATATTCTTATATAAGTTAATTATTAATTATTATAGTTAATATATTCTAATTCTAATTATATTGGAATAGTTAATATATATTCTAATTCTAATTATATATATTAATATATAATTATATTAAATTAAAGTTATATTCTAATTCTAATTATATAATTCTAATATAATTATATAATTAATTCTAATATAATTAGAATTAGAATATACTATTATTTTATAAAAAATATATTAACTACTATACAAGAAAATACAGTGTGGCTGGATTAACTTCTTTAATCTACATAAGAACTTTATAAGGCAGATACCGTTATCTCTCACATTCCAAATGAGAAAACAGAAGCACAGAGGGGTAAAATAATTTGTCCAGATACACAAGCTGAGATGTATGACTCCATGAAAGTTAGTGAATATTACTCAAAAACCAGTCTTACAATGACAGTGCTTCGGCCCAACTCTTAAGCACTGGCACATACTACTTCCCTCGACAGTAACAACTAAGGCAATTTCATGTGGTGTGTCATGGATGATCATGCGGAAAGCACTCAGGGAATGTGTGAGCCAGCCCCAAAGAAAATGCCAGAAAAAGCCAGGCTTAGTGGCTCGCACCTGTAATCCCAGCACTTCGGGAGGCTGAGGCAGGTGGATCACCTGAGGTCAGGAGTTCAAGACCAGCCTGGCCAACATGGCGAGGCGCTGTCTCTACTAAAAATACAAAAATTAGCCGGGCGTGGTGGCGGGCGCTATAATCCCACCTACTCGGGAGGCTGAGGCAGAATTGCATGAACCCGGGAGGCGGGGGCTGCCATGAGATGATATTGTGCCACTGCACTCCAGCCTGGGCGACACAGCAAGACTGTCTAAAAAAAAAAGAGAAGAAAAAACAAAATGCCAGAAAAAGAAAAAGAAAAGCCAAACAGTAAAAACCTTCATTGCCAAGTTTAGTATCCCATATCCCCTAGAAATTGAAAACAAGATCTATTTGAACACTCTGCTGTAACCTAACAATCATGAAAAACGAAAACTGGTAGCTTATTTTTGTGTCATACTAAAATTGGGAAAAAATAGGTATCTTTCCCAAAGATCTGATGATTTTATGAGAGATTTTTATGAGAAAGCTGAAATATCATAAACCAGCTGCTTAAAGCTCATAAAGCCCAAAATCATTTCATTTCAAAAAAATAATGTACATGGATGTCTGAAATCTTCATTAGTGTTTTCTCCAGTGCCCTCTAATGGCCATAAGATGAAAAAGCAAAGAAAAATACATACCCACAAATTATCCCAAACTCTTCACCCACTATAAACAAAGTTTTTAAATTCTTTTTTCTTTTTTTTTTTTTTTTTTTTGAGATAGGGTCTCGCTCTGTCACCCAGGCTGGAGTGCAGTGGCGTGATCTCGGCTCACTACAACCTCCGTCTCCCGGGGTCAAGCAATCCTCCCACCTTAGCCTCCTAGCAGCTGGGATTATAGGCACGCACCATCACGCCAAGCTAATTTTTGTATTTTTTGTAGAGACAGGGTTTCGTCATATTGCCCAGGCTGGTCTCGAACTCCTGAGCTCAAGCGATCCACCTGCCTAGGCTTCCCAAAGTGCTGGGATTACAGGCATGAGCCACTGCGCCCTGCTAAACAAAGCTTTTAAATAAAGCTTAACCTGGTAGAAAATACAAAAATCTCTCAATCAGCTATCACATGCATCATTTTCAGACAATTTCACCAATGAAAATTACTCAGATTTTTAATTAAGAGTCATAACATTACACATTCACGTTGACCCAGTATATCAATATGGGGAATGTGTAAATGTAGGAAAACATTCATACATTTTTCAAAAGTAAGAAAGGTCTCAGACCAGTGTTAATTATAAGAGCAGAAAACTTGAAAGCACATCAAATGACCAACTCTAAGAAAATGTATAAGCAAATTTAAAATGTCTAAGCAAGACCAGGCCCGGTGGCTATCCTAGCACTTTGGGAGGCCAAGGTGGGTGGATCACTTGAGATCAGGAGTTCAAAATCACCCTGGCCAACATGGTAAAAACCCCGTCTCTACAAAAAATACAAAAATTAGGCAGGCATGGTAGCACATGCCTGTAATCCTAGCTACTCGGGAGGCTGGGATGGGAGAACTGCTTGAACCCAGGAGGCAGAGGTTGCAGTGAGCCAAGATTGCACCACTGCACTCCAGCCTGGGCGACACAGTGAGACTCCATCTCAAAAAAAAAATAGGCGAGGCATGGTGGCTCACGTTTGTAATCCCAGGACTTTGGGAGGCCAAGGCAGGTGGATCACAAGGTCAGTGGATCACAAGGTCAATGGATCAAGACCATCCTGGCCAACACGGTGAAACCCTGTCTATACTAAAAATACAAAACTTAGCTGGTCGTGGTGGCGCGTACCTGCAGTCCCAGCTACTCGGGAGGCTGAGGCAGAACAATCACTTGAAAGAGGGAGGTAGAGGCTGCAGTGAGCCAAGATCGTGCCACTGCACCCCAGCCTGATGACAGAGTGAGACTCCATCTCCAAAAAAAAGAAAAAGTAATTAAAAAATAATAAAATGCTCATTTCAATGTCTGTCCGGCTTTTCAAGATTATAAAGCACTTTCATATACAACAACTCTATGTTCCTCAGGAAAGGAGATTAAAGCTAGGGAAGGTTAAACTGTACATTTAGATCACCAAGTTATAATCTCGCTGGACCAGACCTTGTACCCATATTCCATCTACTTGTCATTCTTTTTTTCTTTTTGAGATGGAGTCTCACACTGTCGCCCAGGCTGGAGTGCAGTGGCACGATCTCGGCTCACTGCAAGCTCCACCTCCTGGGTTCACGCCATTCTTCTGCCTCAGGCTCCCGAGTAGCTGGGACTATAGGCGCCTGCCACCACACCTGGCTAATATTTTTGTATTTTTTAGTAGAGATGGGGTTTCATTGTGTTAGCCAGGATGGTCTCGATCTCCTGACCTCATGATCTGCCCATCTCAGCCTCCCAAAGGATTGGGATTACAGGAGTGAGCCACTGCACCCGGCCTCCTTGTCATTCTTAATAGCTCCTCTTCCCGGGCTTCAAAATACAAAAGCTACTAAAAATGACAAAGACCACATGGCCACATGGAAGTACAAGTTGAGTAGCTTTAGCTGAAATGCTTAGGGGATCAGAAGTTTTTCAGATTTCAGAATTTTTTTTAGATTTTCAAATACTTGCATTATGCTTACCAGTTGAGCATCCCAAATCTTCGAAGCCAAAATCTGAACTGCTCCAATGAGTATTTCCTTTGTTTTGTTTGTTTTGTTTTGTTTTTGAGATGGGAGTCTTGCTGTGTTGCCCAGGCTGGAGTGCAGTGGCACAATCTTGGCTCACTGCAACCTCCGCTTCCGGGGTTCAAGCGATTCTCCTGTCTCAACCTCCCAAGTGGCTGGGACTACAGGCATGCGCCACCATACCCGGCTAATTTTTGTATTTTTAGTAGAGACGGGGTTTCGCCATGTTGGCCAGGTTGGTTTCAAACTCCTGACCTCAGGTGATCTGCCTGCCTCAGCCTCCCAAAGTGCTGGGATTACAGGTGTGAGCCATCATGCCCGGCCACATGTTTGTATTTTTGAGACAAGGTTTTACTCTGTTGTCCAGGCTGGAGTGCAGTGCTGTGATCATAGCTCACTGCAGCCTTGACCTCCCAGGCTCAAACAATCCTCCCACCTCAGCCTCCCAAGTAGCTGGGACCACAGGTACCAGCTACCACGCCCAGCTAACTTTTTATGTTTTGTAGAGACAAGGGTCTCACTATGTTGCCCAGGCTGGTCTCAAACTCCAGGGGTCAAGAGATCCACCCACCTCAGCCTCCCAAAGTGCTGAGATTACAGGAATGAGCCACCAAGCCCGGCCTGGTGCAGACGTGAATTTATTTTGAGACAGTCTCACTCTGTCACCCAGGCTGGAGTGCAGTGGCGTAATCTAGGCTCACTGCAACCTCCGCCTCCCGAGTTCAAGCGATTCTCCTGTCTCAGCCTCCTGAGTAGTTGGGACTACATGCATGTGCCACCACGCCAGGCTAATTTTTATATTTTTTTAGTAGAGACAGGGTTTCACCATGTTAGCCAGGCTGGTCTCGAACTCCTGACCTCAGGTGATCTGCCCGCCTCGGCCTCCCAAACTACTGGGATGATAGGCATGAGCCACCAAGCCCGGCCCGAGTATTTCCTTTGAATGTCATATCAGGACTCAAAAAGTTTCATATTTTGAAGCATTTTGGATTTCAGACTTTTGGATTAAGGACACATGACATGTATTAGGAAGTAAGTAACAAAATGCTAAAACAAGAGAAAGATGCTAATTTTAAATTTAGAAAATAACTATAATGTTATAGTTAGAGTATTATATTCATCACAGTATTTTTTTAATTTTTTTTATTAATAGAGACAGAGTGTTGCTATGTTGCCGAGGCTGGTCTCAAATTCCCGGGCTCAAGCAGTCCTCCCACCTCAGGCTCCCAAAGTGCTGGGATTACAGGCAGAGCCACCACACCCAGCCTGGAATTTTTTTTTATGATAAGCTTTACAAAAGAAACCAAATAATCCAATATAAAAATAGATGAAACACAGTGTACAATAAAGAATAAGATGTCTAGCCTTTGTCCCCAGCTCCTGGAAAATTAACCTCTAAATCCTTGAACATTCTCAAGTGATAGGATTATCTTTTTTTTTTTTTTTTTTTTTTTTTGAGACAGAGTTTCACTCTTGTTGCCCAGGCTGGAGTGCAATGGTGCAATCTTGGCTCACTGCAACCTCCACCTTCTGGGTTCAAGGGATTCTCCTGCCTTAGTCTCCCAAGTAGCTGGGATTACAGGCATGCACCACCACGCCTGGCTAATTTTTTTTTTTTTATTTAGTAGAAACGGGGTTTCACCATGGTGGTCAGGCTGGTCTCCTGACCTCAGGTGATCCACCTGCCTCGGCCTCCCAAAATGCTGGGATGACAGGTGTGAGCCACTGTGCCCGGCCAGGAGTATCTTTGTTACTCATGGTGAGCCCTTCAGACTACATCTGATGTTTTATGCTAATTAGGTGTCTCATGGCGGACCCATAGGGCAATGTGGTATCAGCCCAAAATTCAGGAGGAAGAGGGGGTGCTCAAGACTGAGCCCTACCACAGAGGCAATCAATTAATCAATCATGCCTAGCTAATGATAGCTCAATAAAAACTGGGCCAGGCACAGTGGCTGACGTCTGTCACCAGCTGCTGGTCTGCCCCACTGGGTCTGGCAGCCCTCCCAGGATGGGCCCACACCCTCCTCCTCCAGTCCCTGCCCAGCAGCTGCACTTGATCCCTCTGTAGTCTCTTTGCTTCTGGCTGGTAAATGATGTCAACCTGCTGCCTTGGCTGCCAGACCCTGTACACAACTCAACTTCTGTTGTGTGACCAGTTCATGGTTTATTCTCTATTTGTCTCTCATGTCTTCCTTTTCCCCTGAAGAATCCTGTCTTCTCTTTGGCCATCTCAAATTGAAATCCTAAACTATTCCTGCAGAACTGCCTGGCTGGCACCCACAAGCAATACCTCTTGTTCCAGCACGACCAAGGGAGCCAGCCTCCAGTGAGTGACTCCAGCAAGTGCGGTCACCTCTCCCTTGAGGGTCTGGGAGCCCGGCCCCAGCAAGGGGCCCTCCTGACCTCTGGCTCTAGTGAAGCTGAATGTCCTCACTTTATGGGTCACACTCTTTCCATTTCTGTAAAGAATCTTGGCATACCTGGGGCTTACCAGTGGCCCAGGTGATTTTTGTTTCATGGACTATGGACTGTTTCAAAGGGATCTGATCCTTTTGAATTTTGCACAGCCCTAGATATAATCTCTTTTGATAAAAGGGTCTTTGCTTCTGATTAGAGGAGCGCTATGGAACGTCTGTAAACATGTTTTTATAATCCCATGTATAATTGGTATGCACTCACATAATACCAGTCCCCAGCAGCCGCTCTTCTCTGTATAGGGCCATAATAGGATTCCGAAGAAACCTTGGGGAGGGAGGGGGAGTTGGAACAAATGTCTATTCCCTGGAGCCCAGTCTGGCGCTCAGACCTTTAGACTCATTATAAGTTGCCACTGCCAACATGACACCAAAGTGTGTGAGTTGTCAATGCAGCGCGACAGCATTAAAGACTGATGCTAAACCTCAAAAAAAAAAAAAAAAAAGGAAATATCAAAACTATTCTGACCTGAGGACAATGGGAGCCTTGGACTTAAGAACAATAGAACAGGACGGGCACAGTGGCTCACGCCTGTAATCCCAGCACTTTGGGAGGCCAAGGTGGGCGGATCATAAGATCAGGAAATCGGGACCATCCTGGCTAACATGGTGAAACCTCGTCTCTACTAAAAACACAAAAAATTAGCTGGGCATGGTGGCATGCACCTGTAGTCCCAGCTACTCGGGAGGCTAAAGCAGGAGAATCGCTTGAACCTGGAAGGTGGAGGTTGCAGTGAGCGAGATGGCGCCACTGCACTCTGGCCTGGGCAACAGAGAAAGACTCCGTCTTAAACAAACAAACAAAAAGAACAATGGAACTTCCCAGGCATTGCCTTGTGCATGTCTTCCCTTAGCTGATTTTCTGTATCCTTTCCTCTATACCCTTGAGTATAAAAGCTTTCAGGGAGCTCTGTGCGTTTTTCTAGCAAATTATCAACCTGAGGATGGTCTAAGGACCGCAACAAATCTGTAGCTGGTGTCAAAAATGGGAGCAGTCTTGGAGACTGTGGTCTCAAACCTTGCAGTTTGTCTAATTTCAGGCAGACAGAAAGAAATGATTCAGGCCAGGCGCAGTGGCTCACGCTTGTAATCCCAACACTTTGGGAGACCGAGGCGGGTGATCATTTGAGGCCAGGAGTTTGAGATCAACCTGGCCAACATGGTGAAACCCCATCTCTACAAAAAATACAAACTAGTTGCGCATGGTGGCATGCACCTGTAATCCCAGCTACTCGGGAGGATGAGGCAGGAGAATCACTTGAAACTGGGAGGCGGAAGTTGCAGTGGGCCGAGATCACACTACTACACTCCAGCCTGGGCAACAGAGCAAGACTCCATCTCAAAAAAAAAAAGAAAGAAATGTTTCACAGGAAAAGAAAAAAGAAAGAAAAAATGCAAATGAACAATAAACACAAAATGCATCCAATCTCACTCAAAATTTTAAAAATGCAAATTAACACAAAGCTACTGTTTTTCAGATTGACAAGATTTGAAAGATTGGTAACATCTCAGATGTAGAGAACAAGTACTCTCATTTCTCTTCTACAATGGAAACAGAAGGGAAACTTTTTGCAACTTTTACAAGGCGATTTGGAAATATCAAAACTACAAACTCCCTTAGATGCCGGAATTTCAATTTTAGGAATTTATTCTTCAGATAAGTTTATATCAGCCACAAAAAATATGAGCAAGAGTATCCATTACCAAAATGAGAAAACACCTGAATGTTAATGAACAAGAGCCAAATAAATTGTGGGACATCATTATGAACTACCTTAAAATGAACCTTACATTGAATTCATCTAATATGACAGGACCAGAAAGTTGTCATGTTAAAGCGAAAGAAAAGCAGTCTGTAGACCAGGAGTACAAAATGATCCCATTTGTGTAGCCAAAAAACAAAATTATACCAAAACAAATGTGTTTATAAAAGGCAATAAAATACCTGCAAGAATATTGTCAAACTGAAAACTGTGGTTACTATGAAAAGCGGATCCAGGAAAAACAGGAACAGAGGACTGCTGTCTGTGAAATTTTAAAACACATGTCAACAGGGTTTTAAATTAAAGGAGGCCAGGCACGGTGGCTCTCAACTGTAATCCCAGCACTTTGGGAGGCCAAGGCAGGTGGATATCTTGAGGCCAGGAATTTGACATCAGCCCAGCCAACATGGCAAAACCCCGTCTATACTAAAAAAATACAATAGCCAGGTGTGGTGGCACACATCTGTAATCCCAGCTACTCGGGAGGCTGAGGCAGGAGAATTGCTTGAACCCAGAAGGAGGAGGTTGCAGTGAGCTGAGATCGCATCACTGCACTCCAGCCTGGGCAACAGAGCAAGACTCCATCTCAAAAAAAAATAAAAAATAAAAATAAATTAATTAATTAAATGAAACTACAAAGAGAGGATCAGATCAAGTTAAAAATTTTCGAAGAAATATCTGAGAAACAGTTTTACAACATTAAAAATGGCTCCCCTGGCCGGGAACGGTGGCTCACGCCTGTAATCCCAGCACTTTGGGAGGCCGAGGTGGGCAGATCACAAGGTCAGGAGTTCAAGACCAGCCTGGCCAAGATGGTGAAACCCCGTCTCTACTAAATCTCTACTAAACATACAAAAATTAGCCAGGCATGGTTGCAGGCGCCTGTAATCCCAGCTACTCGGGAGGCTGAGGCAGAGAATTGCTTGAATCCCAGAGACGGAGGTCGTATTGAGCCAAGATCACACCACTGCACTCCAGCCTTGGCGACAGAACGAGACTCCGTCTCAAAAAAAAAAAAAAAAATGCTCCCGCAGATCACAGAGATGAAAGAGTAGAGAGCATGGAGGTAATGAGAGAGGGTTTTTGAAGACTTCTCTAGAGAATGTTGGTAAGGTACTTTAAGTTCTCTCCACTCCCTCAAAAAGAGAGAGGCTAGAGGGAGCTGTCAGCCTCTTACCTCTAGCCCCACAAGAAAACTGCCAATCCAGCCTCTCAAAGAAGTTGCGCTGTATCCCCCGCCCTCAGAGGATTACAGATTGACGTACGGCTGCTGCCTAGGAAATTCAGAAGCAAACGGATCAGCTACTTGCATTAGCAAGTGAGCACTGCTGCTAGGTAGGAATTGGCCTGTCCCCTCCAAATAAAGAACTCAGGCGTGTTCCCCTGACAGCAGGATGGGGGCAAGGGAGATCTCAGATCTTGACCCATTGGTCAAGTAGAGCAGAGAGCAGGTGACAGACTTCAAAAGAGAAGCCAGAGGGACAGGGCACAGAGGAGGAACTAAGCAGCCATCAGTATACTTCTTGGCCAGGTGCAGTGGCTCACGCCTGGAATCCCAACACTTTGGGAGGCTCAGGCAGGAGGATCGCCTGAGGTAAGGAGTTCAAGACCAGCCTGGCCAACATGGTGAAACCCCATCTCTACTAAAATTACAAAAATTAGCCGGGCGTGGTGGTACGCACCTGTAATCGCAGCTACTCAGGAGGCTTACACAGGAGAATCGCTTGAACCTGGGAGGCAGAGGTTGCAGTGAGCTGAGATTGTGCCACTGCACCCCAGCCTGGATGAGACAGCGAGATTCTGTCTCAAAAAAAAAAAAGGTATACTTCTCTGCTGCCGGAAAATGGGCTCAAAAAAGAAGGAAAAAGAAAGACAAAGTACACTTCTCAGCTTCTCAGAGTACATTTTGCTCAGCGCAAGGGACTTGCCAGGGAGATGGTCATGGAAGATATCTCCAAAGAAGCCATGAAAACATTCCCTGGAAAGAGAGTCAACTCAAAACACATGACTAGGAGAGTGAGCACAAAGACCTCTATGACAGCAGTGATCAAGTAACAACTTCCCCACTTTTCTTTTTTTTTTTTTTTGAGACAGGGTCTAACTCCCGTCGCCCAGACTAGAGTGCAGTGACACGATCTCGGCTCACTGCAACCTCTGAATCCCAGGCTCAAGCGATTCTCCTACCTCAGCCTCCCAGTAGCTGGGATTACAGGCGCCATCACACCTGGCTAATTTTTGTTTTTGTATTTTTGGTAGAGACAGGGTTTTGCCATGTTGCCCAGGCTGGTCTCAAACCCCTGAGTTTAAGTGATCCATCCATCTCGGCCTCCCAAAGTGCTGGGATTACATGTGCAATTCAGCATGCCCGGCCTCCTACTTCTGTTTATCTGTCCTGCCTCCCCCCAGCTGCTCCCAAACCCTACGGAGATCCAAAACAGCAGCTAACAAATAGGCTGGGTGACAGAGTGAGACCCTGTCTCCAAAAAAAATAAAATAAAAATAAAACAAAAAAATCCACTGCAAATTTCCCAAAATGTCCAGACAATGGTCTTTTCTCTTTGATCCAAGACTAAAATTTACAAAATGCTTTTGGATTTTCTCATCGTCTCTTTTAATCCTAGAATGGTTATCGCCTCACCATGTTTTTTTGTTGTTATTGTTTATGATATTGACATTTACAAAGTCTAAAAGGCTTGTGGCAAATACTGGATTTGTCTCATTGTTTCCCCATGATGAGATTCAAGCTAAACATTTTTTGACGCGAAACTACAGAGATGATGTGTATGTGTCTTGCTATACATCTTATCAGCAGGAACATGGGTCACATTTTAGTAGAAATGATGATGCTAAATTTGGTTGGTTGGTGTAGGTGGGAATCACCTGATCTCTCCATTTGTAAAGGCACATTGTTCCCTCTGTAATTAGAAACTAATATGTGGGGGGTTTTCCCCACTCATTCCTCATTTCTAGTTGGTTTAGTTTGTGGGATGATATTTTGAGACACTGAGTATCTATTCCCCAAAGACATTTCACACAATCCTTGCTTAAACCAATTTGTTTTGTTTTGTTTTGTTTTTGAGAAGGAATCTTGCTCTGTTGCCCAGGGTGGAGTGCAATGGTGCAATCTCAGCTCACTGCAACCTCCGCCTTCCAGGTTCAAGTGACTCTCCTGCCTCAGCCTCCCCAGTAGCTGGGACTACAGGTGTGTGCCAACACGCCTGGCTAATTTTTGTATTTTTAGTAGAGACGGGGTTTCACTATGTTGGCCAGACTGGTCTCGAACTCCCGACCACAGGTGATCCGCCCACCTCGGCCTCCCAAAGTACTGGGATTACAGGCGTGAGCCACCATACCCGGCTGAATCCTTGCTTAAATCAATTATTACACTAGGAATTGCAAACAGCTGATTTTCTAATTCTCTCATGCCTTACATAGTTAGTATCTAGAAGCCTTCTCCTACACAACACGCCTCCTGTTTGAGCCGCACACAGACTGATTTTTTTTTTTTTTTTTGAGATGGAGTCTCGCTCTGTCGCCTAGGCTGGAGTGCAATGGCGCAATCTCAGCTCACTGCAAGCTCCGCCTCCCGGGTTCAAGTGATTCTCCTGCCTCAGCCTCCCGAGTAGCTGGGATTACAGGTATGCGCCACCACGCCCAGCTAATTTTTAGTCGAGACAGGGTTTCACCATGTTGGCCAGGTTGGTCTTGAACTCCTGACCTCAGGTGATCCACCCACCTCGGTCTCCCAAAGTGCTGGGATTACAGGCATGAGCCACCGCGCCAGGCCAACTAATTTTTTTTTTAATTTGATGTAATATAATCTATTACGTTCATTAATCTTTTTGAAGCTCAAATTGTTCCAAGTTTGGCCTGTAAGAAACCCTTCGAGTTGGTTCCTACGTCTTTTTGGCAGGTGTCCATAAGTCTCTGAGGCCCCACTTGTTCAGTAAGATGTCCCAGGGCTCATCTGTTACCCTTCTTTCACCAGTCCTGAAACCAGCCCTTTATCATAAGGAATGCTATTCAGAAAAACAAGATCTGAGTGCTTAGTACATTGATTATTTCTGGGTCTGCGGCACAATAAAGAATATATCTGGGCCAGTCATGGTACAATGGTGCAATCTCGGCTCACTGCAACCTCCACCTCCTGGGTCAAGCGATTCTCCCGCCTCAGCCTCCTGAGTAGCTGGGATTACAGGCACGTACCACTATGCCCAGCTAATTTTTGTATTTTTTTTAATAGAGATGGGGTTTCATCGTGTTGGTTAGGCTGGTCTCGAACTCCTGACTTCAGGTGATCCGCCTGCCTCAGCCTCCCAAAGTGCTGGGATTACAGGCATGAGCCACCACACCCAGCCATATATATCTGGTCTTTGACCCTGGTTCTTGGTACACAGCTTCAAAAAACCTTGGCATTTCCTAAGTAATAGATTCAGGATGAAAGCTGATCACCAGAAAGAAACCATGTGATTAGAGGATTAGAATTTAGGGCCAGCCTGACCTTTGAGGAAAAGAAGTATACTGGAGATTGAGCTTAATCAACTGCCCAATGATTTAACCCAATAGTGCTTGCATGATGGGATACCAATAAAAACCCTGGACACTGAAGCTCAGTGGGGCTTCCTGGTTGAGGAACACACTGATGTGCCTGGATTCCAAGAGGACAGGACACAGAAGCTCTGTGTCTCTCCCTCATGCCCACTCCCCAGAGTATCTCTTCCATTTGACCGTTTCTGATCTGTGGCCTTTATAATAAAACTGCAACCTAGATCAGCCTGGGCAACATGGTGAGACCTTGTCTCTAGAAAGAAATTTAAAATGACCTTTGCATGGTGGTGTATGTCCATAGTCCCAGCTACTCAGGAGGCCAAGATGGGAGGATCCCTTGAGCCCAGGAGTTCAAGGTTGCAGTGAGCTGTGATCACACCACTGCACTTCAGTCTGGATGAAGGAGTGAGACCCTGTCTCAAAAACATCAAAAAACAAAAAACAAACCTGCAATCTTAACTATAGTGCTTTCAGGGAGTTCTGTGAGTCATTCCGGCAGAAAAGTAGGTAGCCGTGAGACTTCCAGCAGGTATCTGAAGTCAGGGCAGTCTTCTATAGGACTCTGCCCTAAACATGTCCAGTCAGACACTAACTCTGGGTAGGACATATCAGAATTGAATTGAACTACAGGATACCCATTTGGTGCCACAGATCGATGTCAGAACATGCAAAGTCTTTCAGTGAACCCAGCTAGAAAATACTATTTATATATATACACACACACACACACACACACACACACGCACACACATATATACATGCATATTTAAACTAAGTTTGCAAATATAAACGCACATTTTTTTAAATCTTAAGTCCGTCTCAGCCGGCCGGGCGCGGTGGCTCATGCCTGTAATCCCAGTACTTTGGGAGGCCGAGGCGGGCAGATCACGAGGTCAGGAGATCGAGACCACGGTGAAACCCCGTCTCTACCAAAAATACAAAAAATTAGCTGGGTGCAGTGGCAGGCGCCTGTAGTCCCAGCTACTCGGGAGGCTGAGGCAGGAGAACGGCGTGAACCCAGGAGGCAGAGCTTGCAGTGAGCCGAGATCGCGCCACTGCACTCCAGCCTGGGCGACAGAGCAAGACTCCGTCTCAAAAAAAAAAAATAAGTCGATATCAGCCTCCAAATAAAATCCAACACCACTTGGAAATCACATTAATGCATATCAATCCACCATAGTATTATTCAGAGCCACACAACAATATTCCATTGTGTGGATATACCATGCTTTTTTCAACCAGTATTCGACAGAGTTGTTTGCTATGTATGCTGCAATGCATAAGCCTGTGGAAATGCTGTTTTGCATTAATGAAGCTGTATCTTTAAGGCAAATTCATACAACTGGGCCTGCTGGATCATGGATAAATGCATATGTGATTTTGGTAAAAACTGTCAAAAGCCCTTCCATACAGGCTAGACCATCCTGGACTCCCACCTGCAAGGTATGAGTGCCTGTTTACTCAGAGCCTCGCCTAACTGAGTATGTCATCCAGCTTTGGAGTTTTGTTATTATATTCTGAAAGGTGAGAAATGTTTATCAGTGTAGTTTTCATTTGTATTTCTCTTATTATGAGTAAAGTTAAGCATCTTTTCATGTTTAAATCTCTCTGTAGAGCCATTTGTGAGAAATTCTTATTCATGTGTTTTGCCAACTTTTTCTACTAGGTTTTTGGTCAGCTGGAATTACAGGCATGCACCACCACACCCAGCTAATTTTGCATTTTCAGAAAAGATGGGGTTTCACCATGTTGGTCAGGCTGGTCTCGAACTCCTGACCTCAAGTGATCCACCTGCCTTGGCCTCTCAAAGGGTTGGGATTACAGGCATGAGCCACGGCAACTGACCGGGTCTGCCTTTTTTTTTTTTTTTTTTTTTTTTTGAGACAGAGTCTTGCTCTGTTGCCCAGGCTTGAATGCAGCGGCATGATCTCGGCTGACTGCAACCTCTGCCGCCAGGGTTCAAAAGATTCTCGTGCCTCAGCCTCCCAAGTAGCTGGGACTACAGGTTTGCGCCACTATGCCCGGCTAATTTTTTTTGTATTTTTTAGTAGAGATGGGGTTTCACCATGTTGGCCAGGCTGGTCTCGAGCTCCTGACCTCAAGCGATGCACCCACCTCGGCCTCCCAAAGTGCTGGGATTACAAGCATGAGTCACCACATCCAGTCAGGTCTGCCTTTTTTTCTTTTGAGACGGAGTCTCGCTCTGTCACCCAGGCTGGAGTGCAGTGGCGCGATCTCGGCTCACTACAAGCTCTGCCTCCCAGGTTCACGCCATTCTCTTGCCTCAGCCTCCCAAGTAGCTGGGACTACAGACGCCCACCACCACACCTGGCTAATTTTTTGTATTTTTAGTAGAGACGGGGTTTCACCGTGTTAGCCAGGATGATCTCGATCACCTGACCTCGTGATCTGCCTGCCTCGACCTCCCAAAGTGCTGGGATTACAGGCATGAGCCACCGCACCTGCAGGTCTGCCTTTTTTTTAAAAGAGTTCATTGTATAGTAAAAAGATTAACACCTTGTCTGAGATATAAGGGGCAAATAGTTCCTCCTGTTTTGCCTTTTGATTTTCCTTATGGCCATATAAAACACTTTAAAGTCATTCATAAATTTAATATTTTTTCATTGCTTCTAGATTTTGAATCATACAGAAAAGCTTTCTCCAGGTTATACAATAATCCATCTGATTCTACTATGGCCATGTAAAACACTTTAAAATCATTCATAAATTTAATATTTTTTATTGCTTCTAGATTTTG
This sequence comes from Homo sapiens, assembly GCF_000001405.40. Taxonomy (NCBI): domain Eukaryota; kingdom Metazoa; phylum Chordata; class Mammalia; order Primates; family Hominidae; genus Homo; species Homo sapiens. The sequence goes on from NC_000007.14 coordinate 72,800,055, forward strand.
AATCATATAGAAAAGCTTTCTCCAGGTTATACAATAATCCATCTGATTCTACTATCTATATAATTTTTTCAACATTCAGCATTTAGCTCGCTCATCCATTTGGAAATTATTCTGACATATATACAAGCTAACAGATGTTTCACATCTTTTTTTTTTTTTTTGAAACAAGGTCTCCCAATGTCATGCAGGCCGGGGTGCCGTGACATGATCACAGCTCACTGCAGCCTCAAACTCCCAGGTCCAAGCAATCCTTCCACCTCAGCCTCCCAAGCAGTTGTGACTACGGGCACATGCCACTACATCTAGCTAAATTTTTTTATTTCTTGTAGAGATGGGGTTTCACTATGTTGCTGAGCCTGGTCCCAAACTTCTGGCCTCAAGAAATCCTCCCATCACGTCAGCCTCCCAAAGTGCTGGGATTACAGGGTGAGCCACCGCACTCAGCCAACATAATTTATTTTTAGAGTCCCTTTTAAACTCCAGGTCTTCAGAGTCCACTTTTAATATATATGAAATTCCTACATATTCTTAGAATTTTATTCTGTTGCAAGGGTCTTTGTCTCATCATGAGCCAGTACTACAGTTTTAATTAGAGATACCTTGTGGTATGTTTCAATATGTGGGAGTCTTGACAGAGCAAGACTCGAAAAGTCAAAAAAAAAAAAAAAAAAAGGCAGACCTGGCTGGGTGTGGCGGCTCATCCTTCTCATCACTACTTTCACCAGGGTTTTCATAACTATTATTCCATGTTTATTTTTTCCACATGACTAGATCAATCTAGATCTAGGAGGCTAGAGGACCTACTAGAATTTTTATTGGGATTCCATCAAACTTATATATTAAGAGAACTGATATGTTTACCATTGAGTCACTCTACCTAAAACAAGGAATGTCTTTCCATTTGTTCGAGTCCACTTTGATATCATTCAGGAATGTTTTAAAGTTTTCCAACGTAGGTTTAAGACATTTCTTTTTAAATTAATCTGTAGGTAGGCCAGGTGTGGTAACTCATGTGTGTAATCCCAGCACCACAGGAGGCCAAGGCGGGCAGATCACCTGAGGTCAGGAGTTCGAGACCAGCCTGGCCAACATGGTGAAATCCCGTCTCTACTAAAAATACAAAAATTAGCTCAGCGTGGTGGTGTGCACCTGTAGTCCCGGCTACTCGGGAGGCTGAGGCAGGAGAATCACTTGAACCCAGGAGGCAGAGGTTGCAGTGAGCCGAGATCCCACCACTGCGCTCCAGCCTGGGTGACAGAATGAGACTCCATTTCAAAAAAATAAAAAATAAATTAATCGGTAGGTAATTATTGATCCTTTATGTAGCTAGTCTAAATGAGGTGTTCTCTTTTACTATAGCTTCTAACTGGTTATTGTTTGGAAATATAAAGTCTATTGACTTTCTACATTGTGATATCCTGCTAACCTTACTGAGTTCATTTGAATTTGTATAGGTTTTAGCATTGATTTTCTTGGATTTTCTAGTAGCTTTTTTTTTTTAAGGCTTATGGACTACATATAATTTTAATTTAGGGGAGTCTCATTTTCCAAAACTCACAGTTAAATTGAGGCTGTTATTTTTATAGTATAGTATGTACAATATTACTTCAATTTTAGATCACTGGAATCTGCATGAAATCCTACTGCATCGTACATTCTCACATTCATCTAGTCACTGAAACAGTCACATCCCAGATTGGTATTTCCTGGATTCCTAGGGGCCCCACTCATGCTGATCTCCACACCCACAGACCAGGCTGCCATCCTTAAGCCCCAACACCACTTAGTCTATACAGCAGAGAAGCAAATTTACACTGGAGTTTCACTTGGAATCTCAACCATAATAAATCCTATCATGCTGTTCATCTTCAAATAGCCCTGAATAAAATCTTTCTAACCATCTACAACAAGCTTGTCCAACCCACAGCCCACTGGCCCAACACAAATTTATAAGCTTTCTTAAAACATTATGAGATGTATTTTGCGATTTTTTTTTTTTTTAGCTCATCAGCTATCATTAGTGTATTTTATGTGCGGCCCAAGACATTTTTTCTACCAATGTGGCCCACGAAAGCCAAAAGATTGGACACCCCCGATCTACAATGTCCTCAGTCCTTGTTCTCAAATCTCCTGCTTATCCTCTGATGAGCTGACTTTCACAGGCCTGAGAGGGGAGATGCTCACCACGCTCATGAAAAATGGCAAAAAAATTATAAAACTCTCAAGACAGAAGCTAGAGAAATGAAACTCCTCTGTGAGCTCAGATGGACTACACAGTAATAAAGAAATACTAAATGTTAACCAACTGCGGGAGCCAAGTGCAACATTTCCCAAAGTAATGGTACCTTTTCTTTCTTCACGTGATCCATAATTTTGCCCAAATCTTCAACATCAACAATGGAATTTAGGCTCTGATGGTCCTCACCACCAAACTCTTCTTCACTGGAGCTCTCGAAGGGTTCTTCCTCCTGGAAGAGAAATGCTTCAGAAATACATTGTTCAAAGGGGCAAAGGCAAAGTTCTCTCACCCTCCCTCCCACACTGAGAATTCACTATGTCTCTAAATTCTTTTTTTTTTTTCTTTGAGACAGGGTCTCGCTCTGTCGCCCAGGCTGGAGCGCAGTGGCGTCATCTCGGCTCACTGCAACCTCCACCTCTCAGGTTCAAGCGATTCTCCTGCCTCAGCCTCCCAAGTAGCTAGGATCACAGGCGCCTACCACCACGCCTGGCTAATTTTTGTAGTTTTAGTAGAGACAGGGTTTCACCATGTTGGCCAGGCTGGTCTCGAACCCCTGACCTCAGGTAATCCACCCACCTCAGCCTCCCAAAGTGCTGAGATTACAGGCGTCAACAACAGCGCTCGGCTGTCTATAAATTCTTACTTTAAAAATAAAATCTAGGCTGGGCATGGTGGCTCACACCCATAATCCCAGCACTTTGTGAAGCCAAGATGGGAGGACTTTGAAACCTCAGGAGTTTGAAACCAGCCTGGGGAACATAGCAAGACCACATTGCTACAAAAAATGTATACAATTAGCCAGATGTGGTAGCACATGCCTATAATCCCAACTACTTAGGAGGCTGACGCAGGAGTGTCACTTGAAGCCAGGAGTTCAAGACCAGCCTGGGCAACATAGTGAAACCCTCATCTCTACAAAAACAACAACAACAATGAAGAAATAAATCTTAAGTCTTTAGCATCAGACTAACAACTGTGAAAGGGCATGACGGAGTGGGAACAACTAACACTTCACCTGCCCTCTCACGTCACAGTGACATGAGCTGGGCTCAGGGGAACGAGACACATGCCAAGCAGAAGTAGAGGAAATGTGACATCACTGGGAAGACACATTTGCTGAGTATCTACTACGTACCCCAACACAATGTTCATATACCCATTCATTTCATCCTTAACTACTTATGATGTAGACAGGTTCAACATCATCTCATAGATGAGGAAATTAAAGGTAGAGAAGTTAAGAAATCACGGCTAATACGTGGCAGCCTTCATCCCTTTCTCCAATGAAGGATAAGGCAGAATCAAACGTTAGAGAGATTTTTTTGTTTGTTCTTTGTTGTTGTTGAGTCTCGTTCTGTCACCCAGGCTGGAGTGCAGTGGCGTGATCTTGGCTCACTGCAACCTCCACCTCCTTGGTTCAAGCAATTCTCATGCCTCAGCCTCCAGAGTAGCTGGGACTACAGGCATGCACCATCACACCCGGCTAATTTTTGTATTTTTAGTAGAGAGAGGGTTTCACCATGTCAGCCAGGCTGGTCTCAGACTCCTGACCTCAGGTGATCCGCCCGCCTCAGCCTCCCAAATTGCTGGGGTTACAAATGTGAGCCACCGTGCCCAGCTGATAAAGAGATTTTTAAGAGGTGAAGTAGTTGTTTGTTTTCAACAGCAGGTACTTTCTCAGTAACTCAAGGGTCACTTTAAAAGAAACAGGCTGGACACAGTGGCTCACTCCTGTAATCCCAGCACTTTGGGAGGCCGAGGCAGATGGATCACCTGAGGTCAAGAGTTTGAGACCAGCCTGATCAACATGGTGAAACTCTGTCTCTACTAAAAATACAAAAATTAACCGGGCGTGGTGGCGTGCGCCTGTAGTCCCAGCTACTCCAAAGGCTGAGACAGGAGAATTGCTTGAACCCAGGAGGTGGAGGTTGCAGTGAGCTGAGATCGTGACCCTGCACTCCAGCCTTGGCAACAGAGCAAGACTCCATCTCAAAAAAAAAAAAAAAGAAAAAAATTAAATTAAAACAAACAAAGTGTCAATAACCATATGCTGGCCAATATGCCCCACAGTATAGCAGAGAGATGTCATATAATCAGATGCTGCTGATCAAGTGTTCAATACAAAATAAAACAGCCCCTCTTAGGCGAGGTCATGCCTGTCCTGCGCCAGATGATAGGATTATCACGGACAGCTATGACAATACATAAATGAATGAGCATGGCCATGCTCCCAAAACTTTTATTTTAAAAAATTAAAAAACAAGCTGGGTGCAGTGGCTCACACTTATAATCCCAACACTTTGGGAGGCCAAGGCAGGAGGATCACTTGAGCTCAGGAGTTTGAGATCAGCCTGGGCAACACAGTGGGACCTCATCTCTACAAAAAATTTAAAAAACTTAGCTGGGCATGATGGTGCATGCCTGTAGGCCCAGCTACTCAGGAGGCTGAGATAGGAGGATCACTTGAGCCCAGGAGTTAGAGGCTGCAGTGAGCTATGCACTACTGCACTCCAGCCTGGGGGACAGACTAGCCCGTCTCAAAAAAAACAGGCAATAAGCTGGATCTGGCCAGTGAGCCTGTTTGCTGATCCCTGTCCTAGACTCTCCTTGATAACTTCTCCTTAGACTCAAGTTTCTAATGGAAAGACTCATGTTGAGAATTTACTTTTTCCAAAAGGAACCTATTTCGTCTTCACATCAAATCAAATCAAAACTGCTAACTTGGTTCTGCGACCTTGGGAAACTTCAAAAGTTATCTTGAACACTGCATATACTCATGGTAGCCAGTACTGCTTGAAAATTAATTCGACACATTCCTCTGGTCCTCACAAAGATGCCAATCCAGTAAGAGACACACAGATACTACATCAAAAGGGGCAATGCTTTAATGAAAGGGTTTAGGAATACGAAAAGGAGCCATGCAGTGGGCTCCAAATCCACGGGTGGCTGCCTGAATGATCTACCCGCCTCAGCCTCCCAAAGTGCTGGGATTACAGGCGTGAGCCACCACGCCCGGCCAGATCAAAAGAATTTTAAAGGCCAGGCACAGTTGCTCATGCCTATGATCCCAGCATTTTGGGAGGCCGGGCCAGTGGATCACTTGAGCCCAAGTGTTCAAAACCAGCCTGGGCAACATGGTGAAACTCCATCTCTGCAAAAAATAGACAAATTAGCTAGGCATGGTGGCACATGCCTATAATCCCAGCTACTTGGGAGGCTGAAGTGGGAGGATCACCACTGCCTGGGGAGGTTGAGGCTGCAGTGAGCCATGATCATACCGTTGTACTCTGACTGGGGGTGACAGAATGAGACCCTTTCTCAAAAAAAAAAAAAAGGAGTGTTGTTAAAGTAGAGGCCACAGAATGAGGTCATAGTAAGCATGAGAGGAACTTGAATTTCAGATGTGCCTATGTAAGGGAGAGACCAAGGTCAGTGGAGAAATGGTTGCTGGAGGTGTGAAGGCCAAGAAACTGCAGGCCAGGGTGCTAGACAGATCATCCGCAAGGATGCCACAGCCCCAAAGAATAATGATAGGAACAGGGATGGAGAGAGAAACAATGAGTCAGAATGTAAAGTTGCTGCTGAATTATGCAACTGACCAGGTGGCCAAAAGATAACAGCTGTGAAGATGACAGGAGTGTTACAGCCTGAAGACAGGAGCTTCAAAGGAATTGGGGTATTTAAAGAAGGAAGCAAGAGAAATGCTCAGAATGTGAGGGAAAAAGCGGAATCTAGGATGACTTGCAGCCTTCAGTTTGAGTGACTAATGGAGTCATTGAAGTCAGGAGGTATGTGTGATCTCAGGATAATGAGACGTGAGCTCAGGCTGGGACAAATTTAACTTCTCTGTGGCTCCGTTTCGCAACTTGCAAAATGTGGTAAAAATCTACTTGACTCTAACAATGCAAGGATTAAAGAAGACGTTTTGGTTGTGTGTGTGTGGGTTTTTTTTTTTTTTTTGAGACTGAGTCTCACTCTGTCACCCAGGCTGGAGTGCAGTCGCGTGATCTCAGATCACTGTGACCTCCACCTCCCGGGTTCAAGCGATTCTCATGCCTCAGCCTCCCGAGTAGCTGGGATTACAGGTGCCCGCCACCACACCTGGCTAATCTTTGTATTTTTAGTAGAGGTGGGGTTTCGCCATGTTGGCCAGCATGGTCTCGAACTCTTGACTTCAAGTGATCCACCCACCTTGGCCTCCCAAAAGTGCTGGGATTACAAGCGTGAGCCACCGTGCCCGGCCTAAAGAAGAGATTCTGGAAAGCATCTAGCACGATATGGCTTAATTCCTAAGGCCTCTCTCTCTCTCTGAAACACCACCACATGAGTTTCACATCTTCCTTCTTTTTTTGTTATTTTTTCTGTCTTTGTTTTTGGGGCAGGGTCTCACTCTGCTGCCCAGGCTGGAGGGCAGTGGCATGATCACAGCTCACTGCAGTCTCAAATTCCTGGGCTCAAGCAATCCTCCCAACTCCACCTCCTACGTAGCTGAGACAACAGGCATGCACCACCATGCCTTGCTAAATTTAAAATTATTGTGGTAAAGATAGGGTATTGCTATGTTGCCCAGGCTGGTCTTGAACTCCTGGACTCAAGCAATACCCCCACCTTGGCCTCCCAAAGTGTGGGGATTACAAGTGCGAGCCACTGCACTCAGCCAGATCTTCCTTCTAACCAGAAGCCAACGAGATGGTTTATTGAGGAAGAGCTCAAGCTCGAGATCTCCAAGCAGAGGGGGAAAGCATCAAGAGATGAACACACAGGCGGTATACCTTGGTGTCTCTGTGATGCAATTCGTCCTGCTCTTGAGATCCTTCCTCCCTCTCCTCTGAGCCATGTTGGTGAGATTCACATTTGCCTTTCTTGCAGTGGCCGCCACAGGACTTCTTTCTCTCCCCTTTCTGAAGTGCCTGCAGCTGGGAGATGAACTTGGTCTTCCATGCTCTGAAGTTGGCCTCAATGCTGCCGTGCTTGCTTTTAACCACGTCGCAGTCGCCCTCCCCTCGACTCATCACACGATGCACGCCAAGCATCCAGAGCCACTTGTCAACATTTTTGCCAACCTGCGAGGAAAAGATAGATAGGCTAAAAGCACGGTTCTCTAAATCAGGGTTTTCCAGACTGCTCTGCAAAAGCCCAAAGTCCTTCTGGGGCCCCTGGTCATGGGCTACCACTAAGAAAGAGGAAATTGCTGGCAAAATGACCTTCAAGCCTTCAAGCTCCAGCCTTGACCCAGAAGAGGGTCATTTTATGTATTCTACTTTTCTGCCTTAGATTTATTGTTTTAAACAAAAGGACAAACAAACCCCCTTTATCAAATGAAGGGTTAATGACTAAAAAAAAATTTGAAACCTACCATTCTATATCATGATAAGAACAAAACAGGAGTTAACAAAATAAATGAGTTCCAAAAATGTAACAAAGCCTATGGGGCCTAAGCCTATTCCGTTATAAAATGAAAATATAATCAATTTGGCAAGATTCGTAATTTCCTAAACTCAGTAATTTATTTCACTGTGATATGAAGCAATTAAGCTGAGGAACAGGGGTTATCAGAGGCATAGTTAAGAGTTCAAAAACTTAATAAGCTTCCTGAGTGGCAAGGCATTAAACAAAATATTTACATATCTACGCCAGGCGAAGTGTCTCACGTCTGTAATCCCAGCACTTTGGGAGGCTGAGGCAGGCAGATTGTTTGAGGCCAGGAGTTCAAGAGAATTCCTTGAACCCTGGAGGCAGAAGTTGCAATGAGCCGAGATTGTGCCATTGCACTCCAGCCTGGGCAAGAGAGTGACTCTGTCTCAAAAAAAAAAAAAAAAAATTTACATATCTGAATTTTCCCATTCATAGTCTAATTTATTTGAAAATATGGGGAGAGGCCAGATGCAGTGGCTCACGCCTATAATTCCAGCACCTTGGGAGACCGGAGTGAGAAGAATGCTCAAGCCCAAGTTCAACACCAGCCTGGGCACCAAAGTAAAACCCCATCTCTACAAAAAATACAAAAACTAGCTGGATGTGTGGTGGGCGCCTGTGGTCCCAGCTACTCAGTAGGCTAAGGTGGGAGGATCACCTGAGCCCAGGGAGGTCGAGGCTGCAGCAAGCCACTGAACTCCAACCTAGGCAACACGGTGAGACCCTGTCTCAAAAAACACATAATCAAAAATGTTTTTAATGAAAATATGGAGCAAAATCTACACAACAATAGAATGAAAACAGCTTTTATTTTATTTTACTTTTTTTTTTTTTTTGAGACGGAGTTTCACTCTTGTTACCCAGGCTGGAGTGCAATGGCACGACCTCGGCTCACTGCAACCTCTACCTCCCGGGTTCAAGTGATTCTCCTGCCTCAGCCTCCCAAGTAGTTGGGACTACAGGCATGCGCCACCATGCCCGGCTAATTTTGTATTTTTAGTACAGACAGGGTTTCTCCATGTTGGTCAGGCTGGGGTCGAACTCCCGACCTCAGGTGATCCGCCCGCCTCTGCCTCCCAAAGTGCTGGCATTACAGGCTTGTGCCACTGCACCCGGCCGTAAACAGCTTTTAAAGAAAATTCCCCACCTCCACCGTCACTCACACTCCACCAGAGACAGACAGCTAGGCAGGGCCCATCCCTAGGAAGAGGTACACAATGCAAATGACCAAGAAACTGAGAGGCTCCATCGTTTCATTTTTTCAAGTGTAGAGAACAGGATGAAAAAGGAGCCAAGTTAATTTTTTCCTCCATTTCCCTTGAAAAATTCATGATTTTTTTTTTTTTTTTTTTGAGATGGAGTCTCACTCTGTCGCCCAGGCTAGAGTGCAGTGGTGAGATCTCGGCTCACTGCAATCTCCGCCTCCCAAGTTCACGCCATTCTCCTGCCTCAGCCTCCCGAGTAGCTGGGACTACAGGCGCCCGTCACCACACCTAGCTAATTTTTTTGTATTTTTAGTAGAGACAGGGTTTCACCATGTTAGCCACGATGATCTCGATCTCCTGACCTCGTGATCCGCCTGCCTCGGCCTCCCAAAGTGCTGGGATTACAGGCGTTTGAGCCACCAGGCCCAGCCGAAAAATTCATTTTTTAAAACTGAGCTCAGGCTGGACACATTCATGCCTGTAATCCCAGAAATTTGGGAGGCTGAGGTGGGTAGGACTGCTTGAGGCCAGGAGTTTGAACCAAGCCTGGGCAACACAGTGAGACCCTCATCTCTAAAAAAATTGAAAGATTAGCCAGGGGTAGTGGTGCACGCCTATAGTTCCAGCTACTAGGGAGGCTGACTTGGGAGGATCCCTTCAGCCTAGGACTTCAAGGTTCAGAGAATGCTGATCAGGTCACTGCATTCCAGCCTGGATGACAAAGCAAGACCCTGTTCTGAAAAAAATAAACATAATTAAAAAAAAATTTTTTTTAAGAGTTCACCTGCATAAAGAGCTTGGGCAGGCTGGGCATGATGGCTCACACCTGTAATCCCAGCACTCTGGGAGGCCGAGGTGGGTGGATCACCTGAGGTCAGGAGTTCAAACAGCTTGGCCAACATGGTGAAACCCTGTCTCTACTAAAAATACAAAAAAATTAGCCAGGCATGGTGGTGGGTGCCTGTAATCCCAGCTACTCGGGAGGCTGATAAATGAGAATCACTTGAACGCAGGAGGCGGAGGTTGCAGTCAGCTGAGATCACGCCACTGCACTCCAGCTGGGGGATAGAGCAAGACTCTGTTTCCAAAAAAAAAAAAAAAAACACAGAAGAGGCTGGGCACAGTGGCTCACTTTGGGCAGATCACATGAGGCCAGGAGTTCACAACTAGCCTGGCTGGCATGGTGAAACCCCGTCTCTAGTAAAAATACAAAAATTGGCCAAGCGTGGTGGCACATGCCTGTAATCCCAGCTACTCGGGAGGTTGAGGCAGGAGAATCACTTGAACCCGGGAGCTAGAAGTTGCAGTGAGCTGAGATGGTGCCACTGCACTCCAGCCTGGGTGACAGAGCAAAACTCTATCTCAATCAATCAATAAATAAAATAATAGAAGAAATGTATTTATTACTAGCTACCAAAGTTTGTGGATTATTTCACATACATGTGTGTTTATGTGTGTGTACGTGTGTGCACGTGTGTTTGTGTGTGTGTACGTGTGTGTGCGTGTGTGTGTGTGTTTATGGGGAGAATTTATTCCTATAATTCAATATAGACCTACCTTGTTGAAGTGGCTAGCATAGGCAGAATTTCCCAGGCCAAATACCGCATCTCTCATACCCTTCAGGTAAGTTTTGCCAAATCGAAAATCAATGGATGCTTCCTCTAACCATTTGCAGAACCACTCTGCACTTTCGGTTGGTAGGCCGTCAGTGTATGTCGCAACCAGGAAGACACAGACATTTTTACTAGTCACCTAACCAAGAAAGTAATTGTTTCAGTGGAACATACAAGGCATAAATTATCTCAACGAAGAAAATCCTTTGAAAAAAAGCATACTCATCTCAAAGAACAAAGGGTACCTTCATAAACATGGCTCATTTTCGAAAGTGAAGGGCCTGACTAAGAAACACAGCAAGAACAGCTTGCACGGGGGAGAAAACCCAGTCCCTTGCTCCTGCCAATATACCTCCTGGTATATTTCATCATATACGCCATTCCATTATCCAGACTATACATTCTCATCATTGCTGATTTGCCACAGTGGAAACAAAATCCAAATCAATCAAGAAAAAATACAGGCCGGGTGCGGTGGCTCAAGCCTGTAATCCCAGCACTTTGGGAGGCTGAGGCGGGCGGATCACAAGGTCAGGAGATCGAGACCATCCTGGCTAACACGGTGAAACCCGGTCTTTACTAAAAATACAAAAAATTAGACAGGCGTGGTGGTGGGCGCCTGTAGTCCCAGCTACTCAGGAGGCTAAGCCAAGAGAATGGCGTGAACCCAGGAGGCAGAGCTTGTAGTGAGCCGAGATCGCGCCACTGCACTCCAGCCTGGGCGACAGAGCAAGACTCCATCTCAAAAAAAAAAAAAAAAGAAAGAAAGAAAAAAGAAAAAAGAAAAGAAAAAATGCAGAGAGATGGCCAGGCACGGTGGCTACTAATGGAAGAACACACCTGGGGAAAATAAGGCACCTGAGTTTCAAACCTGAAGAGAAAACAACAGCTCACGTTACTGCTTCCTTAGAGTGGAAGCTGCTCTGTGGTGTCAGAAAGACGAGGAATGTGGTGACCTTGCTTATCCAATAAGAGTTGTATTTGGTGTTTGAGATTGTTTTAAATCTCTGAAATCTCCAAAGAATAGGGGAACCATGTTCTCGGTTCATTACCATCTCCTCAGGCAGGAAGCTGTGAATATCCATATCAAGGCAGTGGATGTTGGCTGGGCCCAGTGGCTCATACCTGTAATCCCAGGACTTTGGGAGGCTGAGGCGGGTGGATCACTTGAGGTCAGGAGTTCAAGACCAGCCTAAGCAACAGAGTGAAACCCCGTCTCTACTAAAAATACAAAAACTAGGCAGGCGTGGTAGTGGGTGCCTGTAGTTCCAGCTACTCGGGAGGCTGAGGCAGGAAAACTGCTTTAGCCCAGGAGGCAGAGGCTGCAGTGGGCCACAATCACACCCCTGCACACTGCACTCCAGCCTGGGCAACGAAGCGAAGACTCCATCTCAAAAAAAAAAAAAAAAGGAAAAGAAAAGAAAAAATACAGAGAGATCTCTAAAAAATTATCTAATAAATTAAAGCAATAAAAATTTTTAAACATTAAGTAATTTAACACTTGGCACCATTATCTAAACAGAACTGTTGCAAATCCCAGGGAAACAAAATACAGGCTGGGTATCCATTATCCAGAATGTTTGGGATGGGAAGTGTTTTGGATTTTAGAGGTGTTTTTTTTTTTTAAATCTGCATATACATAATGATGTACCTTGGGGATGTATCAAGTCTAAACACAAAATTCCTTTGTTTCATATACACCTTACACACATAGCCTGTAGATAACTTTATACAATATTTTTGACAATTTCATATATGAAACAAAGTTTCGACTGCGTTTTGACCTTGACCCATCACAGGAGGTCAGGTGCGAAATTTTCCACTTGTGGCCTCCTGTCAGCGCTCCAGAAGTGTAGATTTTAAAGCATTTCCAATTTGCGGTTCAGGGATTCTCAACCTGTGTATCCTTAGTCTTGATAGCCTGGTGTTTGAATTCATCTTAAGAGTTCCAAGTCATGAGGTAAGTTACAAGTAATCTCTTAGTTACAAGTATCAAAGTTTGCTAATAATTTTTCACAAATAATTTAGAGCACATTCAAGCTCACTCATGTGCACACCAATACATTTTCTTGGGGGACAAAGAAATGGACAGAGTTAAAGCTAGATATTTAACCACTAAGACAGGGCCGGTAAACTACAATCCACGAGCCACATCTTGCTTGCTGCCTTTTGGGGTTTTTTTTTTTTTTTTGAGACAGAGTCTCACTCACCCAGGCTGGAGTGCAGTGGCATGATCTCAGCTCACTGCAACCTCCACCTCCCGAGTTTAAGCAATTCTCATGCCTCAGCCTCCCAAGTAGCTGGGACTACAGGCGTGCACCACCATGGCTAATTTTTCTATTTTTAATAGAGACAGGGTTTCACCACATTGCCCAGGCTGCTCTCATATGCCTGAGCTCAAGCGATCCACCAGCCTTGACCTCTCAACTTGCTGGGATTATATAGGCAAGAGCCACCCCACCTGGCCTCTGTTTTTTTTAAAGAAAGTTTTAGTGGAACACAGCCATATTCATTCATTTACATATTATCTATGGCTGTTTTGTGCCTCAGTGGCAAAACTGAGTAGCTGCCCAGCCCACAAAGGTGAAGATACTACCTGGCCCTTTACGTGAAAGTTTGTCAACCCCAGCTCTACATACTTCTTCTTTTTTTTTTTTTTTTTTTTTGAGACAGAGATTTGCTTTTGTCGCCCAGGCTAGAGGGCAATGGCGCAATCTCGGCTCACTGCGACCTCCACCTCCCAGGTTCAAGCAATTCTCCTGCCTCAGCCTCCCGAGTAGTTGGGATTACAGGCACCCACCACCAAGCCCAGCTAATTTTTGTATTTTTAGTAAAGACGTGGTTTCACCATGTTGGCCAGGCTGGTCTCGAACTCCTGACCACAGGTGATCCACCTACCTCGGACTCCCAAAGTGTTGGGATTACAGGCGTGGGCCACCACGCCCAGCCTCTAACTGCTTCTCTAACTCTACCTGCGTCAGCATCACCAGGAGCATTGTTTAAGCTCTACAGTGCAGCCAGGCTAAGACCTGAGATTCTGCATTTCTAGCAAGTTCACAGGAGATGCTGATGCTGCTGGCTCAGGGGCCACACTTTGAGAACCACTGCTGTAGGGTGAAATCCCCTAACTGGGCATGACTGGAGAAAAAAGGGGAGGAATATTTTTCAGATGAAGAAATTAAATCTTCATAGATATTAAGTAATGCGCCCAGGCACAGTGGCTCATGCCTGTAATCCCAGCACTATGGGAGGCCGAGGCAAATAAATCACCTGATGTCAGGAGTTCGACACAAGCATGGCCAATATAATGAAACCCCATGTCTGTTAAAAATACAAAAATTAGCCAGGTGTGGTGGTGGGCACCTGTAATCCCAGCTACTCAGGAGGCTGAGGCAGGAGAATCACTTAAACCCTGGAGCTGGAGGTTGCAGTGAGCCAAGATCACACCATTGCACTCCAGCCTGGGCAACAAGAGCAAAACTCCATTAAAAAAAAAAAAAAAAGATATTAACCAATGCATTGAGGTCACACAGCTAATAAGAGATTTCTCTGATTCCGAAACCCATACTCTCTGCTCTTGACCTTTTGGTTGGATCGCCCATGGCCTACCAGCATAGCACACTGCCATCAATAACAACCCTTCCTTGATTAAGAGATTCGAAATACGGGGGAAGGCTGGGCATATCTGTAATCCTAGTACTTTGGGAGACTGAGGCCAGGAGTTCCAGACCCGCCTGGGCAACACAGTGAGACCGTATCTCTATAAAAAATCTTTTGGCCGGGCACGGTGGCTCATGCCTATAATCCTAGCACTTTGGGAGGCCGAGGCGGGCGGATCACGAGGTCAGGAGATCGAGACCATCCTGGCTAACACGGTGAAACCCCATCTCTACTAAAACTACAAAAAATTAGCCGGGCGTGGTGGCGTGTGCCTGTAGTCCCAGCTACTCAGGAGACTGAGGCAGGAGAATGGTGTGAACCCGGGAGGCGGAGCTTGCAGTGAGCCGAGATCGCGCCACTGCACTCCAGCCTGGGTGACAGAGCGAGACTCCGTCTCAAAAAAAAAACAAAAAAAACTTTTAAAATTAGCAGGGCATGGCAGCACATGCCTATAGTCTCAGCTACTTTAGGAGGCTGAGGAAAGAGGATCACTTGAGCCCGGGAGGTTGAAATTGCACCACTGCACTCCAGAGCCTGGGTGAGAGAATGAGAGCCTGTCTCAATAAAATAAATTCAAAAAAAATAAAAATAGTAGGGGTCAGGCACAGTCGCTCACGCCTATAATCCCAGCACTTTGGGAGGCCAAGGCAGGTGGATCACTTGAGGCCAGGAATTTGAGACCAGCCTGGCCAACATGGTGAAACCTCAACTCTAGCAAAAAAAAAAAAAAAAATTAGCTGGGCATGGTGACACATGCCTGTAAATCCCAGCTACTTGGGAGGCTGAGGCAGGAGAATCACTTGAACCTGGAGACGGACACTGCACTGAACTGAGATTGCACGACTACACTCCAGCCTGGGTGACACAGTGAGACTCCATCTCAAAAAAAAAAAAAAAAAAAAAAGAAAATTGTGGGAAGGAGTGAACTTCCAACCACCCAAGCTTTCTCACCTCTAGTCCTGCCCCAGGAGAATTTAACACACCTGAAGAACAAGCCCCACACCACGTGAGAATCAGTGAACCTCACCCCACATTCAGTTCTCTGATTCACACTGGAATTCAACTAACTGAAATCCCTTAGCACGAAAATTAAATTTATTCTGAAGATTCTAGTTATCTAATTAAATTTACTGTGAAGATTGCAGATCAGTTAAATTTGAGAGTTTTGATTGAAGAAAAAGACAATTACCAACCTCTTCTATCAGATGATCATCTGGATCATATTCTTTTAGATTAATAATGGCCACAGGCAGATCCAGGGACGTAACTGCTTCAGCAAGAACTGTTGCAAATCCCTAATAGGACAAAAAAAAACTTCAAATAAAGTCTTCAATGAGCCAAATATAGCCCTCATTTACCCCTGTTGGCACAAGAATGTGGCATTCCTCATGAAAAATGTTTTCAGTGACTGATATGAACCCAAATTCTATCCGCACTCTTACCATTTTCTTGGGCACCATTACCGAGATCATTCAATTGTGTTGTTCTCACCCGATCAGGGTTTACGTAGGACTGAATCTAATTTGGCTTTGGATGATCAATCTGCCTTGCCCTACTAGAATAAACATATCAGCCAGGCAAGATGGCTCATGCCTGTAATCCCAGCACTTTGGGAGGCTGAAGTGGGAGGACCACTTGAGGCCAAGCCTGGGCAACAAAGTGAGACCTCATCTTTATAAAAAAAATTTAAAAATTAGCCAGGTGTGATGGTACACACCTGTAGTCCCAGCTACTCAAGAGGCTGAGAAGGAAGGATCCCCTGAGCCCAGGGGTTAGAGGATACAGTGAGCTATGATCACACCAATGCACTCTAGCCTGGGCCACAGACTGAGATCCTGTCTCATAAAGAAAATAACATATTAAAAAACAATAAACACAGAGAAGTGCAAAAAGAAATAGTGAAGAATGGGCTGGGCACAGTGGCTCACAACTGTAATCCCAGTACCTTGGGAGGCCGATGCGGCTGGATCACTTGAAGTCAGGAATTCGAGACCAGCCTGACCAACATGGTAAAACCCCGTCTCTACTAAAAATACAAAATTAGCCAAGCGTGGTGGCACACACCTATAATCCCAGCTACTCGGGAGGCTGAGGCAGGAGAATCACTTGAATCCAGGAGGCAGAGGTTGCAGTGAGCCAAGATTGCACCATTGCACTCCAGCCTGGGCAACAAAACTCCATCTCCAAAATAAATAAATAAATAAAATAAAAGAAAGAGTGAAGAGTGAAAAGAATGGGAAACATGAAAAGAAGACGGTTGACAGACAGGAAAAAGCCCTAGGGAAGAGTTCACAGGGCTGTCAGAACCCCAGAGAAGCTCTGGGTTGGGAGCAGCCACTACAACAAAAGATGGAATGAATATCTTTTGTACGCTAATGAGATGACTTACTGGGGTGAGGCCTCAGGTAGCTTCAGGACAGAGGCTCATTGCCAGAGAAACTGATGAGAGGTTAAACTCAGCACCTCCTACCCCAGCCCCAACAGAGAACACTAAGGAAAGAAGAGGGGCTGGAGATTGAGCTTAATCACCAAGGCCAATGATTTAATCAATAGTGCCTATGTAATGGAGCCTCCAAGAAAAACCCCTGAACAATGGAGACTGTTGACTTGGTGAACATACCAACGTGCTGGGGAGAAGACACGGCCAGAAACGGCCTGGAAGCCCTGCTCAACCCCCACCCCTCCATAGCTGGCCCTGTGCAGCTCTTCCATTCGGCCGTTCCTGAGTTGCATCCTTTATAATAAACCAGTAAACATAAGTCAAGCAACTTCCTGAGGTCTGTGAGTCATCCTATAGAACCTGAGGAGGCAGTGGTGTGGAACCCTAAATTTAAAGCTGGGACTTGTGACTGGTGTCTGAAGTGGGGGCAGTCTTGTGGGCTAATGATAACTCCCAATAGTAAGCATGAGAACTGGTATAGAAAAAGGACAGGTTGGCCGGGCGTGGTGGCTCACACCTGTAATCCCAACACTTTGGGAAGCCAAGGCAGACAGATCACCTGAGGTCAGGAGTTCGAGACCGGCCTGACCAACATGGTGAAACCCCATCTCTACTAAAAATACAAAAATTAGCCGGGAGTGGTGGTGGGCACCTGTAATCCCAGCTACCTACCTGGGAGGCTGAGGGAGGAGAACTGCTCGAACCCAGGAGGCGGAGGTTGCAGTGAGCCGAGATCGTACCACTGCACTCCAGCCTAGACAACAGAGCGAGACTCCATTTCAAAAAAAAAGAAAAAAGGTATTTGGGGGTCAGAAAACAGTACTGCAGCAGGCCTCAAGGACTGATATGGTTTGGATATTCGTCCCCTCCAAATATCATTAACACGTAATCTCCAATGTTGGAAGTGAGCTCGAATAGGAGGTGTTTGGGTCATGGGGGTGGGTCCCTCATGAGTGGCTTTGTTACCAGTGGAGGGTCTTGACTAGGAGTTGTCCAGGTTCTTCACATGTTGAACAAAGAATTGAAAAAAATGCACAAGTGAAGCAACAAAAACACAGATTTATTGATGGGAAGGTACACTCTACAGAGAGGAGGCAGGCTTGAGCAAGTGGCTCAAGAGCTCCAGTTGTAATGTTCCTTGGGTTTTTATTAAGCTAGAAGAATTTGGTAACACCCCCAGGTACCCTTTGGAGGCTTCCAATTGGTTACACCCTATGCAAATGAAGAATTGGCTCATGGCCAATCAGAGGCTGCAGTGGAGTTACACCCTCTGCAAATAAAGAATTAGCCCACAGCCAATCAGAGGCTAAAGCTTTCCTTTCAGTTTAATTCAAGGAAGTCAGCCACAGGTTGGCCTTAGGCTCTGTCTCCAGACTCTACTTTCCTACCTCAGCTTGCCGCCCTCCCCTTGGTGTTGAGTTCTTGCCCTATCAGTTCATAGCTGGCTGTTAAAAAAAAAAAAAAAGCCTCACATCTCTCCCTACTCCTTTGCTCCCTCTCTCACCATGTGGTACCTATTCCTCCATGGGTGGAAGCTTCCTGAAGCTTTGCCAGAAGCCAAGTGGATGTTGGCACCATGCTTGTACAGTCTGCAGAACCATGAACCAAATAAACCTCTTTTCTTTATAAATCACAGTATTAGTCCATTCTTGCATTGCTATTAAAAAATACCCGGCCGGGCATGGTGGCTCATGCCTGTAATCCCAGCACTTTGGGAGGCTGAGGCGGGTGGATCACTTGAGGTCAGGAGTTCGAGACCAGCCTGGGCATGGTGAAACCCCATCTCTACCAAAAATACAAAAAATTAGCTGGGTGTGGTGGCATATACCTGTGGTCCAGCTACTTGGGAGGCTGAGGTGGAAGGATCGCTTGAGCCTGGGAGGCAGAGGCTGCAGTGAGCCGAGACCACACCACTGTACTCCAGCCTGGGCAACTAAGCGAGACTCCATCTCAAAAAAAAAAAAAAAAAAAAAAAGGAAAAAAGAAATACTTGAGACTGGGCAATTTATTAAAAAAAAGACGTTTAATTGGCTCACAGTTCTGCAGACTGTACAGGAAGTGTAACGACATCTGCTTCTGAAGAGGCCTCAGGGAGCTTCCAATCTTGGTGGAAGGCAAAGGAGGAGCAGGCACATGACATGGCAGGAACAAGAGAGAGAAGGAGGAGGTGCCACACACTTTTAAACAGCCAGATCTCATGAGAACTCACTCACTGTCACGAGGACGGTACAAGGGAGATGGTGCTAAACCACTCATGCGAAATCTGCCCTCAAGATCTAAGCACCTCCCGCCAAGCCCCACCTCCAACACTGGGGACTACGATTCGACATCAGATTTGGTGGGGACACAGATCCAAACCATATCAATTACCCAGCTGCAGGTATTCCTTTATGGCAATGCAAAAGAGACTAACACAAGGATAAAGTGAGATTTGAGCCAAAGCTGAAGGAACTGGGAAAACCATGAGGTTATCCCAGGCGGCAGGAACAGTGAACTGCAAAGGCCCAGTGGAGGTTATTAAGACTGAAAAAAAGGGAACCAAGGAGATGGGGTAAGAGAGTTAACAAAGAGCCACACGTGTAGGATCTCTGGGCCACTGTGAGGACTCAAGCATTGACTCTTGAATGAAGGGGTCAGCGCAGGGTTTTAAGCAGAGGGATGACATGATTTCACCTAACTTTTCAAACAGTCACTGAGGTTGCTGAGTTGAGAGTATACTGGAGTCAGAAGAGGGCCGAGTGGTACTGAATCAGAAAGACTGTCTTAGTCCATTTTGCTATAAAGGAGTACCTGAGACTGGGTAATCTATGTCTTTTATTTTTTTGAGAGAAGGTCTCACTCTGTCGCCCAGGCTGAAGTGCAGTGGCACAGTCACGGCTTACTGCAGCCTTGACCTCCTGGGCTCAAGCAATCCTCCCACCTCAGCCACCCGAGTAGCTAGGACTACAGGCACACGCCACCATGCCTGACTAATTTTTGAATTTTTTGTAGAGATAGAGTTTTGCCGTGTTGCACAGGTTGGTCTCGAACTCCTGGGCTCAAGTGATCCACCTGCCTTGGCCTCCCAAAGTGCTGGGATTATAGGCGTGAGCCACTGTGCCTAGCCCAATCTATGTTTTAAAAAGGTTTATTTAATGCAGAGAACCCCAGTGAGATATTACATAAGATGGCCATCCCCAAGACACAAAATCATCAGATTCTCCAAAGTCGAAATGAAAGAAAAAATGTTAAAGGCAACTAGAGAGAAGGGGCAGGTCAGCTACATAGGGAATCCCATCAGGGTAACAGTGGACCTGTCAGCAGAAACCCTACAATCCAGAAGAGATTGGGGCCTATATTGAGCATTCTTAAAGAAAAGAAATTTCAAGCAGGGCATGGTGGCTCACATCTGTAATCCCAGCACTTCGGGAGGCCAAGATGGGTGGATTACCTGAGGTCAGGAGTTTGCGACCAGCCTGACCAACATGGTGAAACCCCATCTCTACTAAAAATGCAAAAATTAGCCAGGTGTGGTGGCGCACACCTGTAGTCCCAGCTACTCGGGAGGCTGAGGCAAGAGAATCACTTGAACCCAGGAGGCGAAGGTTGCAGTGAGCTGAGATCGCACCACTGCACTCCAGCCTGGATGACAGAGAAAGACTCTGTCTCAAAAAAGAAAACAAGAAATTTCAACCAAGAATTTCATATCCAGCCAAATTAAGCTTCATAAGCGAAGGAGAAACAAGATCCTTTCAGGCAAACAAATGCTAAGGGAATTTATTACAACCAGACCTGCCTTACAAGAGGTCCTTAAGGAAGTGCTAACTATGTAAAGGAAAAACTGTTATGGGCCACCATAAAAAGGTTTATTTGGTTCACAATTCTGATATCTGAAAAAGTTCAAGATTGGACATCTACATCTGGTGAGGGCTCCAGGCTGCTTCTACTCCTGGCAGAGTAGAAGTGAAAGGGAGCTGGCGAGCACAAAGATCACATAGCAAGAGAGGAAACAAGAGTGCAGGAGAGGTTCCAGGCTCTTCTTACCAACAAGCTCTCTTGGGAACTAAGACAGCAAGAACTCACTCACCCCTCCCCCAGGGATTCATCTATTCAGGAGGGATCTGCCCCCAGGACCCAAACACCTCCCATTAGGCCCATCACCAATGTGAGGGATCAAATTTCAACATCAGTTTTGGGGGAACAAACAACAAATTATAGCAGAAGTCAATGGTGAGATGACTGTCCAAATCCAGACAAAATATCATGGCGGTGTCAAAGCTGTGAGAATCAACAACATGGAGTTACTTATGCGAAAATATCCCTGACAGTAAGAGCTACGGAAGACAAAGAATTCGCACACTTAGATTTTTTTTGTTGTTGTTGTTGAGACAAGGTTTCACTCTGTCCCCCAGGCTGGAGTGCAGTGGCGCCATCTTGGCTCACTGCAACCTCTGCCTCCCGGGTTCAAGTGATTCTCGTGCCTTAGCCTCCCATGTAGCTGGGATTACAGGCATGTGCCACCACACCAGGCTAATTTTTGTATTTTTTAGTACAAATGGGGTTTTGCCATGTTGGCCAGGCTAATCTCAAACTCCTGACCTCAAGTGACCCACCTGCCTCAGCCTCCTAAACTGCTGGGATTACAGGCATGAGCCATCACACCTGTCCTCACACTCAAATTCCTGATAATGAGAAAGATTCTACAAAAAATACAACCTTGCACAAAAACCACTGCAACCTTACACAAAAAATACTACTGCAAGGACATCTGCCCAGCAACTTCATGTCCAACCTTGGATTGTGTCACCTTTGTTATTAACCTTTGTAGGCAAGAATAATTATTTCAAAACAATTCTGTAATCCTCATTTTTTCCCTTAAAAATCTTTGCCTTCCTTTACTTCCCTGAATACATGCAGTTTACTATGGCAATTGTATCCCCATTGCAATGTACGTGCTATTCCCAAACAAACATCTTTTCTTTTGGAGAGCCTCTCTATGGTATTTAGGTTGACAATGGCATGGACCAGGGGAGTAGCAGTGAAGGTGGTAAGAAGTGATTGGAAACTGAATCTATTCTTAAAGTAGAACAAACAGAATCTGCTGACAAACTGGACATGGGTTGTATAAAAAGAAGTCAAAAGGTGTTTTGGACCAAGCAACTGGAAGGATAAAGTTGTCATTTACTGAAATTGTAAGGATTACAAGTAGAGCAGGCTTGGGCAGAAAATTGGGAGTTCAGTTTTGAGCAAACTGATGTTAAGATGCTTACTAGACATTCATATGATGCTCTAAGAAAGGTAACTCGATATGAAAGTCTGGAGTTGAGAGAAACAGTTAAGATTAGAAACAGAAATTTAGGGCCAGGCACGTGGCTCAAGCCTGTAATCCTAACACTTTCAGTAGCCGAGGCGGGTGAATCACTTGAGGCTAGGAGTTTGAGACCAGACTGGCCAACATGCAGAAACCCCATCTCCCCTAAAAATACAAAAATCCCAGCACTTTGGGAGGCCAATGCCACTGCACTCCAGCCTGGGTGACAGAGTAAGACCCTGTCTCAAAAAAAAAAAAAAAAAAAAAAGAAGAAGAAGAAAAAAGAAGAATAAAAAGAAAAAGTTACAAAAATATAAGAGAAAAGATCTGAGACACAGAAGACGATCCAAAAGGTAGAACATCCCACAGGAATCCCAGAAAAAAAGAAATGAAAAGGGAAAAAAAATTCATCCAAGAAATATTAACAGAACTAATGCACACAAATCGTCAAAATGCATACAAATCGTCAAAACAAAAAAATTCAAGTATACAGAACAATAGCTGAAAAAGATCCAAATAGTCACCTTCCCATAAAATTTCCAGAAATCAAGGACAAAGAAATGATCCGAAAATCTTCCAGAAACAAAATAATCAAGTCATCTACAAATTTGCCTTCTCATTAGCAATACTAACATGCTGGAAGACAATGAAGCTACGCCTTCTGAGGCAAAAGTTTTTAATAGTCTTCTATACATGACCAAATCCGAATCAATCAAATCCAACAGCAGAATGAAGAAATATTGAGATGGGCTGGGCACAGTGGCTCACACCTGTAATCCTATCCTGTAATCCTAGCCCAATATTGAGATGGGCTGGGCATGGTGATTCATGCCTCTAACCCTAGACAGAAGGATCGCTTGAGGCCAGGAGTCAAGACCAGCCTGGGCAACATAAGGAGACCCCATCTCTACAAAAAAAATTTTTTTAATTAGCCCAGCATGGTGGCACAAGCCCATATTCTCATCTACCCAGGAGGGTGGGTCAGGAGAATTGCTGAAGCCCAAGAGGTCGAGGCTGCAGTGAACTAAAATCATGCCACTGCACTCCAGCTTGGGTGACAGAGCAAGACCCTATCTCTTTTTTTCTTCTTTCCTTTTTTTTTTTTGTTTGAGACAGGTTCTCACTCTGCCACCCAGGCTGGAGTGCAGTGGTGCAATCTAGGCTCACTGCAACCTCCACCTCCCAGATGCAAGCAATTCTCCTGCCTCAGCCTCCCAAGTAGCTGGAATTACAGGCGTGCACCACCACGCCCAGCTAATTTTTTGTATTTTTAGTAGAAATGGGGTTTTGCTTTGTTGCCGAGGCTGGTCTTGAACTCCTGGCCTCAAGTGGTCTGCCCACCTCGGCCTCCCAAAGTGCTGAGATTACAGGCGTGAGCCACCACGCCGGGCCAAGACCTTGTCTCTTAAAAAATAAAAATAAAGGCCGGGCACGGTGGCTCACGCCTGTAATCCCAACACTTTGGGAGGCCAAGGCGGGCAGATCACGAGGTCAGGAGTTCGAGACCAGTCAGACCACCATGGTGAAACCCCATCTCTTCTAAAAATACAAAAACTAGCTGGGCGTAGTGGTGGGCGCCTATAGTCCCAGCTACTCAGGAGGCTGAGGCAGAAGAATCGCTTGAACCCGGGAAGCAGAGGTTGCAGTGAGCCGAGATCGCGCCACTGCACTCCAGCCTGGCGACACAGGGAGACTCCATCTCAAAAAAATAAATAAATAAAAAATAAATGAAATAAAATAAAATAAATAAAAATAAATTCAGATGGCGCAGCTTTAAGATGGAAGATGGCTATCTACCCCAAAATCAACTATGATATGGACAGCAACATTAAGCCACTGAGACTTGAGGGCTGTTTGTATAAACTAATTAATATAGTCAATAACTTTTATGTAATGTTGATAAATCTAGAAACACAGCATAAGCATCAGAGGAACTAAAAATAGAAATAGTTACAAGGTTTCTGGAGAGTACATTTCATTATTAACTTTCTGTACACCTGGATTTGTTACCATCTGCAAGTATTCGTTTGATCTTTTTGATCATTTTTTTTTAAAAAGGTAAAAACATGCATAAAGAGGCTCTGAAAAAGGTTTTTTATAAGTAACATTAAAAGGACTTTGCTTTGGCTGCTCAGACACCTTTTTGCTTTTTTTCAGGTTTCCCACCTCCACTGCTTAAGGTTTAACTTAACAACTGACCTTCGACTGTAAAATGAAGCAAAGTATCTGCACTCAAGTAGTGAAAACCTAAGAAGTACTATTCTGCGCAACTTCCACAAGAGGGCAGTAGAACCCTCTGAAGTAGTCCACAAAAATAACAGACCTTGATTTTTCCTCTAATTTATTTTCATGCTAGCCTTCCTTAAAATCTTTTCCTAGAAAGCACTAACTACCTGTGACCTGGCTAGGCCTGGTGGCTCATGCCTATCATCTCAGCACTTTGAGGGCCAAGGTGGGTGAATATCTTGAAGCCAGGAATTCAAGACCAGCCTGGACAAGATTGCAAGATCTTGTCTCTACAAAAAAATTAAATAAATTTTTTGGCTGGGAGCGGTGCCTCACGCCTGTAATCCCAGCACTTTAGGAGGCTGAGGCGGGTGACTCATCTGAGGTCAGGAGTTCGAGAGCAGCCTGGCCAATATGGTGAAACCTCGTCTCTACTAAAAATACAAAAATTAACCAGATGTGATGGCAGGCACCTGTAATCCCAGCTACTAGGGAGGCTGAGGCAGGAGAATTGCTCGAACCCAGGAGGCGGAGGTTGTGGTGAGCCGAGATCACACCACTGCACTCCAGGCTGGGGGACAGAGTGAGATACCATCTCAAAAATAAAATAAATTTTTTTTAAATAGCTGTGACCTTGTAACACAGAAACAGGTAGCATCTAGATATAATTAGAGAATGGGACTGGGCACGGTGGCTCACGACTGTAATCCCAACACTTTAGGAGGCCAGGTGGGCAGATTGCTTGAGCCCAAGAGTTTAAGACCAGCCTGGGCAACATGGCAAAACCCCATCTCTACAAAAAATACAAAAATTAGCTGGGTATGGTGGCATGCACCTATAGTCCCAGATACTCAGGAGGCTGAGGTGGGAGGATGCCTTGAGCCCGAGAGGCAGAGGTTGCAGTGAGTGAAGATGGCACAACTGCACTCCAGCCTGGGCAACAGAGAGACCCTGTCTCCAAAAAAAAAAAAAAAAGCAAAAAGGAGAAATCAAAGTACATACCAGATAATCTCACTAAATCCTCACAGTGACCCTGAGATAACCACACTATTACCATCTGCAATTTACCATTTCACAGATAAGCAACTGAAGCTTAGATGGCACTACAGCCAGACACTGTTCCCCCCCAAAAAAGAGAGAATGGGAAGCATCTTTCAACTAGATATCAGCTGTATTTACTTTAGTGTCTACCTTTAACACTTTTAGCACTATTAGAAATCAAAACAAGTTTCATTACATAGATGTGTGACGTGAGGCCAGGTGCAGTGGCTCACGCCTGTAATCCCAGCACTTTGGGAGGCCGAGGCAGGCGCATCACCTGAGCCCAGGAGTTTGAGAGCAGCCCAGCCAACGTGGCAAAACCCCATCTCTACTAAAAATACAAAGATTAGCCAGAGCGTGGTAGCAGGCACCTATAATCCCAGCTACTCGGGAGGCTGAGGCAGGAGAATTGCTTGAGGTGGAGGTGGAGGTTGCAGTGAGCCGAGATCGTGCCACTGCACTCCAGCCTGGGTGACAGAGTGAGACTCTGTCTCAAAAAACAAAATAAAAAATAAACATAGATGTGTGATGTGAAAGTCAGGCCCATATTGGAACTATTGGTGCCATCCTTTTTTCCCTATTCCCTACTTCCATACCCATGGGCATCGATAATGGACTCACAACTTTCTCTAGCCTGCTGAGGCAGAAGCAAGCTTCAGAACAAAGGCCCCCTCAAGACAGTGACCATCAGACACCACCAGTCAGCTCTAACTGGGCACAGGAGATGAAACCCGCCTACCATCGCAGAAAGGAAAAATATTTGAGGGGAAAAGGCTGGGAGAAAGAATAAAGAAGGTTAGATGACCAATTCAGTTCACTGCTAAAGGACAGTTCACTGCTAAAGTTCACTGCTAAAGGGATTTTCTTAAAATGTCAGGAAACCAAAGGAAAAGCATCATATAAACTTCTTAACTTTGCTGTTCCAGTCTGAGAACCATAAAAAATCTTCACTCCAGACACAAAGATGTCTTTCTCTCGAAGGGAGACATAACCATTTGTCATCAAATCCTGAGCTGCTTTTGGAACAGATTTTTCCTGTAAGTTCCTGCCCTTGAAGACAAATAATTACACAAAATCCATCAAGCCTAAATCGTTTCCCAACTTCAGCAGGGATGAAAGGTAGCACAGATACTGACACACTTTATTTTTCTCTTAATCTGACACACCTGTATTTTTCTCTTAAATCTTTCTGGTTGTATTCCTCAAATATTAGCCCCTTGGTATAATAAGGTCCTTTAATAGGCAGGACCCACATTTTTAAGGCTCATGATTTCCATTCCCTCCAAGAAAAAACTTTACATACTTTTATCCTATAAGGTATTTTAGTAGAATAATAGTAGGAACTTATTTTCTGATCCTTAATTAATGGAAAGAGAGGACTACTGACCCTTAAAGGTATAAAACAAATTTGTTTTTCATATAAAAGGTTCACTTTTCATTACAAAAATCTTCCTGTATCTTAAAAATGAGACACACCTATCAAAGAAAAAGTAAGTAACTTAATCCAAGATAACTTAGTCTCCAAAAACTTAGAGAAGAAATTTATTTTAGGCATTTCATTAAAATGTCTAAAGACCAAACACAAAAGTAATTAAAGGTTCCTTTTAGTGTTTAAATCCTCTATAAAATCTGATGCCTAAATACTCTATTAAAAAAAATAACTCCACTTACCTGCATCTCGATGACAATCTGGACACAAATCCAAAGGCTAATGCTAACAGCAAAGCCCAGATAAATGTAAAACCTGTTTATCCATAATGATATTAAAGGTGAGGAGAGGTCCCATGTATCCGCAGAAGGATCTAAATTTAAAATGACACACACAGATAATTTCATTTAAAGCTACATATACAAAGATATCCTTCCCGATTTTAAGAAGAAAATAAAACCAACCTTACATTCAACAACCCAGCTAAGAAATCTAATTTAAAAATCAACTGTTGGCCGGGCACAGTGGCTCATGCCTGTAATCCCAGCACTTTGGGTGGCTGAGGCGGGCAGATCACCTGAGGTCAGGAGTTCGAGACCAGCCTGGCCAACATGGTGAAACCCCGCCTCTACTAAAAATACAAAAATTAGCCGGGCATGGTGGCGCGCGCCTGTAATCCCAGCTACTCGGGAGGCTGAGGCAGGAGAACTGCTTGCACCTGGGAGGCAGAGGTTGCAGTGAGCCAAGATTGCGCCACCGCACTCCAGCCTGGGCGACAGAGCAAGGCTCCATCTCGTGGGGGGGGCGGGGGAATCAACTGTAATAAAAATAACACACTATGTAGTAACGTAATAAAATTATCATACTGTTAACACTAACTCAAAGAAAAAACAGAATATAAAACTGTATCTTCACTTCGAAATGAGCATTTAGAAGCAAGAGAAGGAACATAAAGTAAAAATACTTCATGTGAAATTAAGTTAATTGTTTTGTTGTGCTTGCTCCATAAAAAAAGCTTAAGTAGTAAAAGTATTCTTTTTACTAACTGTACTTTCAAAGGCTCACGGTTAAACTTGTAAAAGATTCTCAAGTAACTGACCTTACGTCTCATTTTTTTTTTTAAGAGAGATATGGAAGGACCTGGCTTCAAACGTTCAACCTGGCAGCAATTTCAAAAGTCGAAGCCTGAAATTTAGGCTTTACAGGTGCAAAAGTCCTAATACACGTGGGTAAAGTGGGAGGGGTAGTTTTCTGTCTAACCCCCTAGCCTCAAAAGGCAAAAGCCAGGTCAAAAGTAGGGATCGGTCCTCCTTGCTCTCAGCGGCGGCTAGCCGGTGCTGTCAAGTGCAACAGTCTCCGAAGGAAGGGGACCGAGGACGCCACTCCGCCCGGAGAGGGTCTCAGTAAAACGTTTACCTCCCCTGCCGCCCCAGGGTCCTTGCCCGCCGAGTGCCCTTACCCATCCTCCTCAGAGCCGACAGGAGACTAGGATCTCGGACCTGGAGAGCCCAAAGGTTCGCACTGGTACTGCGAGACGCACCGAGCTACCTCGCGGCGTTAGCGCCGTAC
This sequence comes from Homo sapiens, assembly GCF_000001405.40. Lineage (NCBI taxonomy): Eukaryota > Metazoa > Chordata > Mammalia > Primates > Hominidae > Homo > Homo sapiens. Next base: position 72,828,182 of record NC_000007.14, read on the forward strand.
CGAGTGGCTGCAGAACTGTGGGCAGCTACGACGCTGCCAGGCCCGTCCTGATTGGTTCAGAGGACGAAGAGGTGGGCCCAGAGGAAAGCCCGGAGCTCCGGGAAAGGAAGCCAGTGCCCGGTGCGCTCTCGGCCCTGCTCCGATTGGCTCAGAGGGGAAAGGGGGCGTGTCCAGAAATAAGCACCGCCCGGAGTTCCGGGCGATGAGGGCGGAGCGCTTCCGCCTCCGTTTGGATTGGCTCAGACTGGGAAAAGGCGGGTCCAGAGAGAAATGATTGGCATGGGAAAATTAAAAGAGGAAAGGAGTGGGGAGCGGGGGAAATGCTATGTGGGCCTGTTTGGATCTTAATTGAAATAAACCGACTGTAGAAAGGCATTATTTTTGGGAAACCCCGAGGGTAAACCCCGAGGATGACTTAATATCATCTAATAGATGATATTAAGGAATTGTAGTTAATCTCGTCGCGTGTATCTGTTAAGGGCTATAGGCTGAAGTATTTAATGCTGAAACCATATGATGCTTTCTTTAAAATACCCCCAACCGGCCGGGCGCTGTGACTCAAACCTGTAATCCCAGCACTTTGGGAAGCCGAAGCGGGAGGATCGCTTGAGCCCAGGAGTTCGAGACCAGCCTGAGCAACATAGTGAGACCTCGTCTGTACAAAAAATTTTTTTAATTATTTATTTAATTAAATTAGCTTGGCGTGGCCGCTCACACCTGTAGTCCCAGCTACTTGGGAAGCTAACGCTGGAAGATCGCTCGAACCCAGGAGGTCGAAGCTGCAGTGGGGCCATGACCCTGCCACTGCACTCCAGCCTGGGTGACAGAGTGAGACTGACTTTAAAAAAAAAAAGTAAATAAAAAAGCAACAAAAAAAATGAAAAAAGAATAAAACAAGGATGGCAAAATGTTGATAGCGCGGTGATGGGTACATGGAAGGTTCATTACACTTTTTTGTCTACATTTTATGTTAAAATATTTCTATTATAAAAGGGTGAGTAAATAAAAATATTTATCATAAAATAATTCCATTATAAAAAAATTTCTATTATAAAGTGGGTCTGGCCCTTGAATTCCGCGGAACGAGGTGGTGCCAACGCTGTGTTTCAACCCGGTCACTAAACATCCGCGAGCATCCTGTCAGAGCTCTCAGCTCATTGGCGAAAGTAAAACGCCAAGGAAAAGCACCTCCCTTTTTGGGCGTGGAAAGATGGCGGTAAAAGCCACAATGCGCAGGCGTCATCGCTCACTTCTCCCCTCCCGGCTTCTGCTCCACCTGACGCCTGCGCAGTAAGTAAGCCTGCCAGACACGCTGTGGCGGCTGCCTGAAGCTAGTGAGTCGCGGCGCCGCGCACTTGTGGTTGGGTCAGTGCCGCGCGCCGCTCGGTCGTTACCGCGAGGCGCTGGTGGCCTTCAGGCTGGACGGCGCGGGTCAGCCCTGGTTTGCCGGCTTCTGGGTCTTTGAACAGCCGCGATGTCGATCTTCACCCCCACCAACCAGATCCGCCTAACCAATGTGGCCGTGGTACGGATGAAGCGCGCCAGGAAGCGCTTCGAAATCGCCTGCTACAAAAACAAGGTCGTCGGCTGGCGGAGCGGCTTGTGAGTAGCCCCCTCCCTCGGGCCTGGGCCTGGGCCTGAGCCGTCACCTCCGAGGCGGCCTGTCTCTGCCCAAGTCGAGTGAATGGGCCAGGCTGGGGTGTTTGTTGGCCCGGGAGGAAATGGAACATTCCTGCTGTGAGCATGAGACGTCGCTGTCCGAGCTTGGCGCCTAAGCCAAGGGTTTCTTTATTTGGTTGGTTCCGATTGGGTTGTTGGTTTGGGGTTTTGTTTTGTTGGTGTCATAAAAGCTGCAGCCAAGAAATCTCATAATTGTGGTCCTTTTCCTAGAATAATGATGGCTGAGAACCTAGTGTTCCGAATACTGTCATAGATCTCAGTAGCCCTAGCAGTTTAAAGTGCGTAGTGTCTTCACTGCTGCCATCTAGGGACTGGCATTCCGTGGCAGCAGCTGTCTGCACCCCACCCTTGTGTTTCTTACGTCCTCCCATGACATTTTTCTCCAGTGAGCAAATGGTAGGGCAAATACAGTTCTGAGTTTTGAAAATGTTCCCTCAGGCCGATGCGGGCAGATCACTTGAGGCCAGGAGTTCGAGGCCAGCCTGGCCAACATGAAACACCATCTCTACTAAAAATACAAAATTAGCCGGGTGTGGTGGCGCATGCCTGTAATCCCAGCTACTCAGGAGGCTGAGGCAGGAGAATCACTTGAACCCGGGAGGCGGACGTTGCAGTGAGCCGAGATCGCGCCATTGCACTCCAGCCTGGGCAAAAACAGTGAAATTCCATCTAAGGGCGGGGGGGGAAGAAAACTGCCCTCTACACTAAAGGTCATCAGGGGGATTTGTTGTGTCTTGCCGTTCATGTTGTTGCCATCTCGTATTTAAATGTAAATGCATGTCCAAGTTTCAAGTATATTCACATAGGACTTTCTCTCCTGCCCTCACAAGGGAAAAAGACCTTGATGAAGTTCTGCAGACCCACTCAGTGTTTGTAAATGTTTCCTAAGGTCAGGTTGCCAAGAAGGAAGATCTCATCAGTGCGTTTGGAACAGATGACCAAACTGAAATCTGTAAGCAGGCGGGTAACAGCTGCAGCATAGCTAACCCTAATAACCATTTATAACGTATTTGTAGATATATTAAACATTAAAGGCTGTTTTTCTGGAGGAAAGACTAACCAAGCAATAATGTGAACTGCACAATATCACTTCTAATAATAAAGAACTTGGTGGTTTTGTTTTTTTGTGTTTTTTTTTTTTGCCAAAACCTCCTGAAATCAGATTTTCTACTAAATTACCTCATTTTTCTATAAATTACCTCATTTATAGAATGTGGTATACCTGAAAACTGAATTTGTTTTCAAGTATTTCATCTTTCAGACCCTTTTATTTTTTTGGCAGGGGACAGAGTCTTGCTCTGTTGCCCTTGGCTGGAGTGCAGTGCACTTCACTGCACTCAGCTCACTGCAACCTCTGCCTCCTGGGTTCAAGCGATTCTCTTGCCTCAGCTTCCAGGGTAGCTGGGATTACAGGTGCCCACCACCCTGCCCGGCTAATTTTTGGATTTTTAGTAGAGATGGGGTTTCACTATGTTGGCCGGGTTGGTCTCAAACTCCTGACCTTGGGTGATATGCCCACCTCAGCCACCCAAAGTGCTGGGATTACAGATGTGAGCCACTGCGCCCAGCCAAAAGATTCTTGCATCTTTTGGGCAAAGCTCAAACCATTACTTACATATTAATAGCTGGAGAGGATGAAATTTAATTTTCTCCCCAGTTACTCATTTTTTGTCGTTAGTTAATAAATAGTGTGTGATAGAGAAAGATAGTGATTTCTTAACTGTGTTGGCATTTTTTTAGATTTTGACTAAAGGAGAAGTTCAAGTATCAGATAAAGACACACACAACTGGAGCAGATGTTTAGGGACATTGCAATTATTGTGGCAGACAAATGTGTGACTCCTGAAACAAAGAGACCATACACCGTGATCCTTATTGAGAGAGCCATGAAGGACATCCACTATTTGGTGAAAACCAACAGGAGTACAAAACAGCAGGTGAGTGGTCTCTCATGTCATCAAAATATAGCCATGGAAATCAGTTTTCTCTGAAGAAATCATTAAAATAATGGGTCTGGGGCCAGGCACAATGGTTCATACCCGTAATCCTAGCACTTTGGGAGCCAAGATGGGAGGATTGCTTGAGGCCTGGAAACAGCCTGGGAAACATAGGGACGCCCCATCTCTAAATTTTTTTGTTTATTGTTGTTTTTTTGTTTGAGACAGAGTCGCACTGTGTTGCCCAGGCTGGAGTGCAGTGGCACGATCTCGGCTCACTTACAATCTCCACCTCCCGCGTTCAAGCAAGTCTCCTGCCTCAGCCTCCCAAGTAGCTGGGATTATAGGCACGCGCCACCACACCCAGCTAATTTTGTTATTTTTAGTAGAGTTGAGGTTTTACCATGTTGGCCAGGCTGGTCTTGAACTCCTGACCTCAGGTGATCCGTCCGCCTTGGCCTCCCAAAGTGCTGGGATTACAGGCATCAGCTACCGTACCCTACCTCTAATTTTTTTAATATAAAAAATTAAATTTAAAAAAATGGGTTTGCATGGAAGCAAGTGGGTAGAAGTTTTGTGGAAGAGATGGAGGAAAAGGACGGGGTTGTAAAGATAGGTAGTTTTTTTTTCAAGTAAACACAAATATGTATATAGGACTTTCTTCTTCCTATCCAAATCAAACTTTTAAAAACAAAACTTGAGTTTTTAAAGGGTCATTTTAACACCTCTTTTTGAATTTTTCAATTTACATATAATTCACATACAATAAATTTCACACTCATAAAGTGTGTACACTTTAAGTGGTATATTAACAAAGTTTGGGAACCTTCCCTGCTACCTGGTTTGAGAACATTTTCATCACCACAAAAAGAAAGTCAGTATCCATTAGTAGCTATCCCCCATTTTCCCCCCACAGGCCCTTCCCAACCACTAATCTCCTGTCGTTATGGACTTGTCAATTCTGGACATTTCATATAAATGGAATCATACAATATATGGCCTTTTCAGGGTTCATACATGTTGTAACCTGCATCAGCATGTCATTTCTTTTTTATGCCGGAATAATAGCCCGCTGTACAGAAAAAAACATATTTTGTTCATTCATTTATCAGTTGATAGACATTGGGTTGCTTTCACTTTTGAGCTATGATGAGCAATGCTGCTATAAAATTTCTTGTATGTTTTTGTGTAGACATATATTTTCATTTCTGTATACCTGGGGACTACCAAACCTATTTCTAAAACAGCTGCACCATTTTACATTACCACCAACAGCGTTTAAGAGTTCAGTTTCTCCACATCCTCAGTAATACTTGTCATTGTCTGTCTTTTTGATGATGGCCATCCTGGTGGTATCTTGTCGTCGTTTTGATTTGCATTTCCTTAATAATGATTTGAGCATATTTCCATGTGCTTATTGGTGCCTCGTCTGTCTGCTTTTGAGAAATCTCTGTTCAGGTTCTTTGCCCCCTTTTTATTCTCGCTCTGTCACCCAGACTAGAGTGCAGTGGCGCGATCTCGGCTCATTGCAAACTCTGCCTCCCGGATTCAAGCAATTCTCCTGCCTCAGCCTCTTGAGTAGCTGGTACTACAGGCGTGTGCTACCACACCCGGCTAATTTTTCTTTTTTTGTATTTTTAGTAGAGACGGGGTTTCACCATGTTGGCCAGGCTGGTCTCGAATTTCTGACCTTGTGATGCACCCGCCTCGGCCTCCCAAAGTGCTGGGATTAGAGGCGTGAGCCACCACACCTGGCCTTCACTTTCTTCATAATTTTTTGAAACACAAAAGCTTTTCTTCTTGATAAGTCCAATTTTTCTATTTTTTTTTAACGGTCACTTATGTTCTTAATGTTATACCTAAGAAACCATTACCTAATCCAACTACATGGAAACTACTTTGTTTTTGAAAACCTTATGAAATAATATAGTAGAAGAAATTGCATTCTCGATTTTGTCTTGGTAGGCTTTGGAAGTGATAAAGCAGTTAAAAGAGAAAATGAAGATAGAACGTGCTCACATGAGGCTTCAGTTCATCCTTCCAGTGAATGAAGGCAAGAAGCTGAAAGAAAAGCTCAAGCCACTGATCAAGGTCATAGAAAGTAAAGATTATGGCCAACAGTTAGAAATCGTAAGAGTCAAATATTTTCTTTGCTTCATGTTACCTAAATATTGTATTCTCTAGTAATAAATTTGTAGCAAACATTCAGACATTGTAAACAGTCAGATATTTTCTTTTCTTTTTTTTTTTCTTTTTTTTTTTTTTTTTGAGATGGAGTCTCGCTCTGTTGCCCAGGCTGGAGTGCAGTGGCGCAATCTCAGCTCACTGCAAGCTTCGCTTCCCGGGTTCATGCCATTCTCCTGCCTCAGCCTCCCGTGTAGCTGGGACTACAGGCGCCCGCCACCACGCCTGGCTAATTTTTCGTACTTTTTAGTAGAGATGGGGTTTCACCGTGTTAGCCAGGATGGTCTTGATCTCCTGACCTCATGATCCACCCGCCTCGGCCTCCCAAAGTGCAGGGATTACGGGCGTGAGCCACTGTGCCCAGCCAGATATTTTCTTAAGACTAAAGGTTGGTCAGCCTTGTTTACCACAAATCCTTTTATTTTTTTCCCAGCATTTATTTTTGTCATATATTATGCATAGTGTTTTAGATACATGATTTTAGCAAATTTAGCAACTATTTAAAATAAGCCACTTAAAAATTGCTATTTTAGTGGAAGATTGATAATTCCAATTACCTGAAAAATTTTGCAAAAATTAGTACAAAGCACACTATGGGAATTTATATTGAGTTTTCAGAGATAGCTCAATTGCGTGCTTTACTCCAGTGCTGATCATAATCCTAAAAGACAATCCCAAATACCACAATCCCAATGTTGAAATCATAAAAAAATCAAAATCTCTAAAGTCCAAAGCCTGAACTTCTAATATCTTGAAAATCACAGTTCCAAAAGATTGAATCCTGGCTCGGCGCAGTGGCTCACGCCTGTAATCCCAACACTTTGGGAGGCTGAGGCAGGCGGATCACCTGAGGTCGGGAATTCGAGACCAGCCTGACCAACATGGAGAAACCCTGTCTCTACTAAAAATACAAAATAGTCAGGCGTGGTGGCACATCCCTGTAATCCCAGCTACTTGGGAGGCTGAGTCAGAAGAATCATTTGAACATGGGAGGCAGAGGTTGTGGTGAGCCAAGATTGCACCATTGTACTCCAGCCTGGGCAACAAGAGCGAAACTCCATCTCAAAAAAAAAAAAAAAAGATTGAATCCTGAATGATGAAATTCTGAAAGCTGAATTCTGGCAAAAGGATTAGCACTCTTTGAGTTGTATGCAGGATAGTCGCGTCTGGTTAATTGCATCATGTGAGGAAAAGCTAGGACCTTGTTATTGTCTTCATTTGAAAATTAAAAATGGTTTAAAGAGATGAGTCTGGGTGCCAAGTTGATAAGGGGTGGAATTGTGGATGTAATTTTAGGTGTCAACTTGACTGGAAAGGAATCCCTAGAAGCCTGATAAAGGATTATTTGGGGTATGTCTGTGAGGGTGTTTCCAGAGGATATTAGTGTGTGAACCTGGTGACACTAAACACAGAACATTTTAAAGAAGCAGCGAAACCATTATGTCCTTATGACCTCACCCCACAGCTTCAAACACAGTGTAAATTCAGCTGTCTACAAATTCATGTTTTCAAGGCTTTGCAGCTTATTTATTTATTTATTCATTTATTTTTGAGACAGAGTTTCACTCTCGTTGCCCAGGCTAGAGTGCAATGGTGTGATCTCAGCTCACTGCAACCTCTGCCTCCCGGGTTCAAGCGATTCTCCTGCCTCAGCCTCCCGAGTAGCTGGGATTACAGGCATGTGCCACCTCGCCCAGCTAATTTTGTATTTTTGGTAGAGACAGGGTTTCTCCATGTTGGTCAGGCTGGTCTCGAACTCCTGACCTCAGGTGATCCACCAGCCTCGGCCTCCCAAAGTGCTGGGATTACAGGCGTGAGCCACTGCGCCCTGTCTGCAGCTTCTTTTTAAAAGTAAATGACCTGTAGAGAAGTGTTGAGTATGTGAGTATCCACTGTAGATGTGAACTAACCCATCTGACACTACTTGAAGTTCTAAAATCTTTGCAAAACTGTACACGTGGGCCAGGCACAGTGGCTCATACCTGTAATCCCAGCACTTTGGGAGGCCGAGGCGAGCAGATAACACGGTGAAACCCTGTCTCTACTAAAAATACAAAAAATAAGCCAGGTGTGGTGGTGGGCGTCTGTAATCCCAGTGTCTTGGGAGGCCGAGGCAGGAGAATCACTTGAACCTGGGAGGTGGAGGCTGCAGTGAGCCAAGATCACACCACTGCACTCTATCTCAAAAAAAAAATAAAACAAAAACATACACATGGTGTCTACGTAAGTCTTCACATTGCTTTTTCTCCTTCATACGTGGAGGTGACTTTACTGAGCTATAAAATGTAATGCTAAATTTTAGTATGAGAAGAATCAGAGTTTTCTAGTTTGTCCCTTCCATTTACAGCGGAAGAATCAGAATAAGTGTTTAAACATAGGGATTAATGCCTTGTCACAGGGGGCTACATGGATACTTGAGGGCAGAGGCTGAACTGGAACCCAGTGTGCCGCCCTACCCATTGTCTTATCTATTGCACCATAGAACTGTGGTATTAGAGATCTGGACAGCATTGTGCTTGCCTCAAAGTTAAAGCTGAGTTTATTCTGTGTCTTGCTCATCCTCATTTGGTAAACTGCTACGTTAAATGTTTCAGGTATGTCTGATTGACCTGGGCTGCTTCCGAGAAATTGATGAGCTAATAAAAAAGGAAACCAAAGGCAAAGGTTCTTTGGAAGTACTCAATCTGAAAGATTTGAAGAAGGAGATGAGAAATTTGAATGACACCCATCAGTCTCTTCACCTCTAAAACACTAAAGTGTTTTCGTTTCCAACAGCACTGTTTCATGTCTGTGGTCTGCCAAATACTTGCTCAAACTATTTGACATTTTCTATCTTTGTGTTAACAGTGGACACAGCAAGGCTTTCCTACATAAGTATAATAATGTGGGAATGATTTGGTTTTAATTATAAACTGGGGTCTAAATCCTAAAGCAAAATTGAAACTCCAGGATGCAAAATCCAGAGTGGCATTTTGCTACTCTGTCTCATGCCTTGATAGCTTTCCAAAATGAAAGTTACTTGAGGCAGCTCTTGTGGGTGAAAAGTTTTTTGTACAGTAGAGTAAGATTATTAGGGGTATGTCTATACGACAAAAGGGGGGTCTTTCCTAAAAAAGAAAACATGATGCTTCATTTCTACTTAATGGAACTTGTGTTCTGAGGGTCATTATGGTATCGTAATATAAAGCTTGGATGATGTTCCTGATTATCTGAGAAACAGATATAGAAAAATTGTGTCGGACTTAAATAATTTTCGTTGAACATGCTGCCATAACTTAGATTATTCTTGGTTAAAAAATAAAAGTCACTTATTTCTAATTCTTAAAGTTTATAATATATATTAATATAGCTAAAATTGTATGTAATCAATAAAACCACTCTTATGTTTATTAAACTATGGCTTGTGTTTCTAGACAACTTCCTAACTCCCTTTCTTTTCTCTGCCTGTGTCTGTGGTAGGGTTAGGGAGTTGTTAGGAGAACTAAATAAGTCCATATGAAGAGTGCTTAGAACAGGGCCTGTACTTGTAAACGCCTGAAAAATTTTTGCTAACACTTGGGATGTAACTGAAGTATTATTTTAGTATTTAAACACGTAAATGGACAAGGTGCAAGCTTTTAAAAATCTACTTCAAGGCCAGGGAGGTGACTCACACCTGTAATCCCAGCACTTTGGGAGGCTGAGGCAGGCGGATCACCTGAGGTCAGGAGTTCGAGACCAGCCTAGGCAACACAGTGAAACCCCGTCTCTACTAAAAATACAAAAATTAGCCAGGCATAGTGGTGCATGCCTGTAGTCCCAGCTACTCGGGAGGCTGAAGCAGGAGAATCGCTTGAACCCAGGAGGCAGAGGTTGCAATGAGCTGAGAACGTGCCGCTGCACTCCAGCCTGGGTGACAAGAGTGAAATTTGGCTCCAAAAAAAAAAAAAAAAATCTATTTCAAAAGAGATACATTCTAGAATATAAATCAAATTCACTCAAAATAAATATACAGATGTATTTCTGGACAGCAGTTTTTATTTTAACTGAAAACAGGCTTCTTGACTTGAAAAGGTACTGATTGGTTTATAAGCACACAGAACTCCCTGCTAATACAAGCTCTCAGAAATGTCCCTTTAGTTCAAAATAATTGAGATTATAAAGTCAAAATTTTTTCTTACAGTGTTAACAAAATATATTCTTGTTTGATAACATGGGAATGAACTCTTTTTCTGTTAATGCTAAAGCTAGGCTGCTGTTTTGATACAGCTACTTGTTCAATATATCAATAGCTCTATCTTTCTTAGTAAGAAAATATAAACATTTAATGAAACATTTCCTTAAGATTTTCTGGGGCCAGGCGCAGTGGCTCACACCGGTAATCCCAGCAATTTGGGAGGCCAAGGCGGGTGAATCACTTGAGCTCAGGAGTTCAAGACCAGCCTGGGCAACACAGTGAAACCCCATCTCTACCAAAAATACAAAAAATTAGGCACGGTAGTGTGCACCTATGGTCCCAACTACTTGGGAGGCTGAGGCAGGAGGACCACTTGAGCCCGGGAGGCGGAGGTTGCAGTGAGCTAAAATCACCCCACTGCACTCCAACCTGGGCAACAGAGCCAGACCCCATCTCAAAACAAAGATTTTCTGATTCTGAATATTCATTTTTTTCTAAAAAGCTGGAACTTCAAGAAATGTCAAATGTAGATCACATCTGAGTCATCATCTAAACTTATTTTTTTAATTTTATACTAATTTCATTATCAAAGAACTTAACATTTTTGGTTCATGATCATCTTCCCAGTACCACAGCCATAATGGATTATTTTAACGATTGATTGATTGGACTTTTTCAGTGCAAGCTGATGGTGTGTGCATTTGGTCACAATGACATTTCAGACTTAGGCCTCTTCTTTTACCACAGTTCTTTTCTCTGAAGCTTCCCTTGTACCCCATACAGAAGTATTTGCTCCAGTTGCTGGAACCCAGTACTCTACTTAAATTCCTTCATGGGTCTAGATTTATTCAAACTTGTATTAGAGCTGCTTAATTATCTGCCTTCAGGCTAGACTGTGAGCTCCTTAAGGGCAAGGGAGTTAGCAATGTGTGTGTATATCCCACCATGCTTTGGACCTAGTAGATGTGGAGTAAATGTCTGAAATAATAAACATGTGGGCCAGACACAGTGGCTCACGCCTGTAATCCCAGCACTTTGGGAGGCCAAAGCTGGTGGATCACTTTAAGTCAGGAGTTCAATACCAGCCTGGGCAACATGGTAAAACCCTGTCTTTACTAAAAATATAAAAAAAAAAAAAAATTATCTGAGCATGGTGGCACGCGCCTGTAATCCCAGCTACTCAGGAGGCTGAGGCAGTAGAATCATTTGAACCTGCAAAGTGGAGGCTGCAGTGAGATGAGATCATGCCACTGCACTCCAGCCTGGGTGACAGAGCGAGACTCCGTCTCAAAAAAAAAAAAATTCAAAAATCAAAATGCTCAGGGACCATTTCCTTTGAGCATTATGTTTCTAATTTGGGGGTTTTTCGGATTAAGGATACTCAACCTGTAGTTAAATGAATTGTAACATCTCCTTATTGTGGATTTTTCTTTTTTTTGAGATGGAGTCTCGCCCTGTTGCCCAGGTTGGAGTGCAGTGGTGCAATCTTAGCTCACTGCAACCTCCAACTCCCGAATTCAAGCGATTTTCGTGCCTCAGCCTCCTGAATAGTAGGGACTACAGGTGCGCACCACCATGCCTGGCTAATTTTTGTATTTTTAGTAAAGACAGGGTTTCCCTATTTGGGCCAGGCTAGTTTTGAACTCCTGACCTCAGGTGATCCACCTGTCTCAGCCTCCCAAAAGTGCTGGGATTACAGGTGTGGGCAACTGCACCCAGCCTATTGTGGAATATTAAGTATATTTTAACAAATGAGACATCTTCCCGTATGTCCTATAGCGATGTCCATGGTAATAAGTGGAGGAGGGGTAGAGACGGAAGAGGGAATAAAACTACGGAGGAATGTATTATGGTGTGATCCCATTTTTGTCACTTTTTTGGAGGAAAAACCCTAAATATGTGTGTACAGGTTTATATACGGTTGAAAGAGCATAGAAATTCTGTGGAAAAATACACATGTAACCTACACAAGCATATTACAACCAGCATGATTAGTTTTGAAATAAAGTTTTCAGCCAGTCACGGAGGCTCACACCTGCAATCCCAGCACTTTGGGAGGCAGAGGTAGGCAGATTACCTGAGGTCAGGAGTTCGAGACCAGCCTGGCCAATGTGGTGAAACCCCATCTCTACTGAAAATATAAAAATTAGGCCAGGCGCAGTGCCTCATGCCTATAATCCCATCCTTCTGGGATGCCAAGGCTGGTGGATCACTTGAGGACAGGAGTTCAAGACCAGCCTGGCCAACATGATGAAACCCCATATCCACTAAAACACAAAAAATCAGCTGGATGTGGTGGCGGGCACCTGTAATCCCAGGTACTTGGGAGGCTGAGGCAGGAGAATCACTTGAACCAGGGAGGTGGAGGTTGCAGTGAGCCAAGATTGCGCCATCGCACTCCAGCCTGGGCAACAAGAGCAAAACTAGCGAAATCTGTCTCAAAAAAAAAAAAAATACAAAAATTAGCTGGGCATGGTGGTGGTGCCACCTGTAATCCCAGCTACTCAGGAGGCTGAGGCAGGAGAATCGCTTGAGCCTGAAAGGCAGAGGTTGCAGTGAGTCGAGAGCACGCCACTGCACTCCAACCTGGGTGACAGAGTGAGACTCTGTCTCTAAATAAATAAATAAATAAATAAATAAATAAAGTTTTCAAAAGCACATGAAAATACTAATTTAATAAGCTTTTTGGAAAATTTAAAGTGAAACTGCATTTTTATACTCATTCAGATTCACTTTCAAAGATCTCTTCTGCCCTGCCCTTTAGAAATTGTGAGAGGCTTCCCTGGGTCTTGGAAGTTGAAATCTTGAACTTTTTCCCTAGCATGACCAGTGCTGTTGCCAAAATGCCGGGGATTTGGTGTAGGTCCTGCCGCTTGCTGCACAGAAAGCCAATCAGTAGTGCCAGGGAAGAAGGCTTTAATTGGGTGCTCCAGCCAAGGAGATGGGAGATCAGTTTCAAATTCGTCTCCCTGACCAACTAAAATTAGAGGTTTATACAGGAAGGAAGAAATGTAACTACATGCAGTAAGACAGGAATTAGGGAGGGGTAAGGAAGAGGAGTTGATCAACAGGCAGCAGGTGGTCTGTTAGGCCATTATGACAGATGAGGGGTCCCGCATCTCCTTGTCCAAATGCAGTGATCTGGTAAGTTTCAGTTCCTTGATACCATCTGGGAGGCCTGATGGTTGATTTCCTGAGAAAGGAACTCAGATAAGGCAAATGTCACTTTCTCAAATTTCAAGACTGGAAAGGTCAATTTGTTTCTCTTTTCGCTTTTGCTTTTGCTTTTGTTTTGTTTTGAGACAGGGTCTCACTATGTTGCCCAGGCTGAAGTGCAGTGGCTGTTCACAGGCGTGATGCCACTACTCATCAGCATGGGAGTTTTGACCTGCTCAGTCTCTGACCTGAGCTGGTTAACCCCTCCTTAAGCAACCTGGTGGTCCCCCACTCCCAGGAAGTGGATGCTAAATTTAGTGCAGACACCTGACTGGCATAGCACACTACAGCCCAGAACTCCTGGGCTCAAGGGATCCTCCCACCTCAGCCTCCCAAGTAGCTGGGAATACAGGCACACTCCACCACACCAGGCTAGAAGGATCAATTTCTATGTTTATTCAAAAGAAACCATAAACATCTGCTCTGTGAAAGAACTGAGTCAGTTTCAGTACCTTAGCAGGTGACACAGACTCTGTTGTGAGAACGGAAAGCCCAGGAAAGAATTGCAGATTACTGGTTTCAAGCTGTCTTATACCTACACCTCAGGCACTAGGAGCCATGGAGAGTTCGCAAGAAGTGATGAGGAGATTTAAAAAGAAAAGGCAGAAGAGATGGAGAGTGGATGGAAAGCTCCCAATAAAGAGAGGCTGGCCGGGCATGGTGGCTCATGCCTATAATCCCAGCATTTTCGAAGGCTGAGGCAGGCGGATCACCCAAGGTCAGGAGTTCGAGGCCAGCCTGGCCAAAACGGTGAAATCCCTTCTCTACTAAAAATACAAAAAATTAGCTGGGAGTGGTGGTAGGTACCTGTAATCCCAGCTACTAGGGAGACTGAGGCAGGAGAATCACATGAACCCAGGAGGCACAGGTTGCAGTGAGCCGAGATCGCACCACTGCACTCCAGCCTGAGCGACAGAGTGAGACGAGAGAGAGAGAATAGGAATGTTTTGAGCAGAGCAGTTACTTCTTGCTGCAGTTCCTTTTCCCCAGAACAGTCAAAATGTGCTGGCCCTTACTTTTCTTCATGTCCCTCTCCTCCTAGGCTGGGATCCAGCAGCCCCAGGACTTCGTGCCACTAAAATAACTGCCGCATTTTTTTTTGTCCTTGAGTTTCATGGCATGGATCGCAGATTTCAGCTTTGAATCTTTGAATGTTTTGAATGTTTCAGCTTTCAAATGTTTTGCTTTTCTCCAAATAGCCTAGGCTATAGTGAACCATAGAAGGGCAAATGAGCAAGCCATCATCCCCAAACATTTCTAAATCAATCCATTTTCCATCATGACTCAGTACATGTATACATCTGTAACAGAGTGCAGTGGCGCAATCATAGCTCTCTGCAGCCTAGAACTCTTAGGTTCAATCAATCCTCCTGCCTCAGCCTCCAGAGTTGCTGGAACTACAGGCTTGTGCCACCACGCCTAGCTAATTATTTTAATTTTTTATAGGGACAGGGTCTTGCTATGTTGCCCAAACTTAATCTACTATTTTGTTTGTTTGTTTGAGACAGAGTCTCGCTCTGTTGCCCAGGCTGGAGTGCAGTGGGACGATCTCTCCTCACTGCAATCTCCGCCTCCTGGGTTCAAGCGATTCTCCTGCCTCAGCCTCCCAAGTAGCTGAGATTACAGGCGCCCCCTGCCATGCCCGGCTAATTTTTTTTTTTTTTTTTTTAGTAGAGACGGGGTTTCACCACAGTGGCCACGCTGGTCTCGAACCCTTGAACCCAGGTGATCCACCCCCCTCAGCCTCCCAAAGTGCTAGGATTACAGGCGTGAGCCACTGTGCACGGCCTTAATCTACTATTTTTTGTGGCAATAATTAGATGCTTAATTCTCTAAGTAAAAATTAAATTCAATTCCAAGGTTTGCAAAGCATGCTAAGTATACCCAAACATCTTCAGAGAAACTATGCTGAGCAATTTCTTTACCGTATTTTGCCCAAACACAGTAATGAATACAGCTGAATATTCCCTGCATGTTTTGCTAATTTCATACTTTCCGTCAGTACACAGAACATGGCAACTGTGTGTCTCAAGTGTTTTTCAGACATCATCTGACTTACCGTAACTGTCTGCATAGTAGACCTGGTATTATGCATCTTACACAGATGGAGAATTTGAAGTTAAATACGGGCCCAGGTGCACAATTACATTTCAGGGCCCAGAATTTAGGTATAAATGTTGGACTTAAAGAGTGCTGTTTTATTTTTAGAACACTAATTCAGTAAATAAAGCAGCAGACATGGGCTTATGATTCATTCACCTTATTTGTGAAAAGAAAAACCTAATAACCTCAGCTTCTTTGTCAAGTGGTTTAGCAAGTCACATAAAGAGAAAAGGAAAGCGCTGGGTGCGGTGGCTCATGCCTGTGATCTCAGCACTTGGGAGGCTGAGGCAGGCATATCACTTGAGGTCAGGAGTTCGAGACCAGCCTTGCCAACATGGTGAAATGTCGTCTCTACTAAAAATACAAAAATTAGCCAGGCGTGCTGGCAGGCGCCTGTAATCCCAGCTACTTGGGAGGCTGAGGCAAGAGAATCGCTTGAACCTGAGAGGTGGAGGTTGGAGTGAGCCAAGATTTTATCACTGCACTCCAGCCTCGGTAACAAAGCAAGACTCGGTCTCAATTAAAAAAAAAAAATTTAAAAATAATTATTTTTAAAAAAAGAAAAGAAGCGGGAAAAAATTAAATGAGACCGTAAAAGTTACTAAAAATTAGCCCAAACCTTTTAACAAAAGAAGCTTTGAGGCCAGGCGGTGGCTCAGGCCTGTAATCCCAGCAAGTTGGGAGGCCAAGGCGGGCGGATCACCTGAGGTCAGGAGTTCGAGACCAGCCTGACCAACATGGAGAAACCCTGTCTCTACCAAAAATACAAAATTAGCTGGGCATGGTGGCGCATGCCTGTAATTCCAGCTACTCGGGAACCTGCTCTGCTCACTGCAACCTGCTCTGCTCACTGCAACCTCTGCCTCCCGGGTTCAAGTGATTCTCCCGCCTTAGCCTCCTGAGTAGCTGGGATTACAGGTGCCTGCCACCACGCCCGGCTAATTTTTGTGTGTTTAGTAGAGACCGTGTTTCGCCCTGTTGCACAGGCTGGTCTCGAACTCCTGACCTCAAGTGATCTGCCCGCCTCAGCCTCCCAAAGTGCTACGATTGCAGGTGTGAGCCACTGCGGCTGACCAGTCCAGAGTCTATTTGTAACAGAGTTGGAAAGACAGGAATTTAAACCTTACTAGTTGTGTAAAGTTGGTATGCAGCAGGCACATTTTAGGGTATCTGCCCAGCCCACGATTCTTCCATTTCTTCTCTAGAATCTCTGTCTCTCAACACAAGGGGGAAGAAAGAGAGAGACAGACAGACAGACACTTATGCAACCACATAAAACGAATAACCTTTGCTAAGAAGATACAATTGTCTAAGGAGTTTAGAATATGGACAGAACAATAATCATGGATTTTCGCAGATGGCTGAACCTGTCTTCTGTGACTCCAGGAGTTGTGGGGCAGCCATGCTTCTCTACAAGGATACAGATGCCAAGAGAAAGAACACATTCTGCACGTGGAGAAAAAGAGGACTCTGGGGTCTGTTACCTGAGTTTCCAGCTCTCTCCTGAGCCAGGTTCAGCACCTTCCTCTGTCTCGTAGCAAATCAGCCCCTGGATTCAGTGAGATATCCTGAGAGCCTACAACTAACTTTGGCTGCCCACCTGTATTCTTTTTCTTATTTGTTATTATTATTTTAATTTATTTAGAGACAGAGTCTTGCTCTGTCGCCCAGGCTGGGGTGCAATGGCGTGATCTCGGCTCACTGCAATCTCCACCTACCCGGTTCAAGCAATTCTCCTGCCTCAGCTTCCTGAGTAGCTGGGACTACAGGGGCCCGTCACCACGCCTGGCTAATTTTTGTATTTTTAGTAGAGACAGGGTTTCACCATGTTGGCCTGGTTGGTCTCAAACTCCTGACTTCAGGTGACCCGCCTGCCTTAGCCTTCCAAAGTGCTGGGATTACAGGCATGAGCCACTGCGTCTGGCCTAATTTTAGTATTTTTAGTAGAGATGGGGTTTTGCCATGTTTCCCAGGCTGGTCTCAAACTCCTGACCTCAAGCAATCCACCCACCTTGGCCTCCCAAAGTACTAGGATTACAGGTGTGAGCCACTGTGTCCAGCCCCACCTAACAAATCATAAAAGCAAGGATCAAAATGTTTCCAAGTTACTTAGCTGTATTCCACAAGAAATGTCATGAATATAGGATTACAAAAAATCCGGCATTTAGGCCGGGCACGGTGGCTCACGCTTGTAATCCCAGCACTTTGGGAGGCCCAGGCGGGTGGATCATGAGGTCAGGAGATCGAGACCATCCTGGCTAACACGGTGAAACCCCGTCTCTACTAAAAATACAAAAAATTAGCCGGGCGTGGTGGCGGGGGCCTGTAGTCCCAGCTACTCGGGAGGCTGAGGCAGGAGAATGGCGTGAACCTGGGAGGCGGAGCTTACAGTGAGCCGAGATCGTGCCACTGCACTCCAGCCTGGGCAACAGAGCAAGACACCGTCTCAAAAAAAACAAACCCGGCATTCAATAAGATAAAATGTACAATGTCTTGCAGCCAATCAAAGAATAGAAAGCTTGCAAAGAAGCAGGAAAACAGAACCCATCATGAGAAGAAAAGCCAGTCAATTGAAAATGACCCAGAACTGACAAATATATTCAAATTAGCAGATGGGGACTTTAAAATATTTATTATAATTATATTCTTTTTATTGTTGTTGTTGTTGTTGTTGTTGTTGTTGCTGTTTCTGAGACAGACTCTTGCTCTGTCTCCCAGGCTGGAGTGCAGTGGCACGATCTCAGCTCCCTGCAGCCTCCACTTCTCAGATTCAAGCAATTCTCCTGCCTCAGCCTCCTAAATAGCTGGGACTACAGGCACCCCACCACACCCAGTTAATTTTTTCTATTTTCAGAAGAGAAGGGGTTTTGCCATGTTGGCCAGGCTGGTCTCAAACTCCTGGTCCCAAGTGATCCACCTACTTCGGTCTCCCAAAGTGCTGAGATTACAGACAAGAGCCACCACGCCTGGCATTTTTTCCTTTTTTCCTTTTTTTGAGACAGGGTCTCACTCTGTTACCCAGGCTGGAGTGCAGTGGCGTGATCGTGGCTCACTGCAACCTCCACCTCCCTGGGCTCAAGCAATCCTCCCACCTCACCCCCATAAGGGACTACAGTGGGACTACAGGTACATGCCACCATGCCTGGTTATTTTTTGTATTATTTTGTAGACACGCAGTCTTGCCCCGTTACCCAGGCTGGTCTTGAACTCCTGGCCTCAAGTGATCCACCTGCCTGAGCCTCCCAAAGTGCTGGGATTACAGACATGAGCCACCATGCCCGGCCTATATTCTTTAAGTTCAAAATGTTAAGTAGAGACATGGGAGATATTTTGTTAAGACTCTAGAGATAAAAACTACAATGTTTAAGATGAAAAATACAATGGATGAGATTAATGGCAGATTAAACACGGCAGAAGAAAAGAGCAATACATATACTTGAAGATTTAGCAAGAGAAATTATCCAAAATAAAACACACAGATTAAAAAAAAGAATTTTAAAAAGCTAAGAGGCCGGGCATGGTGGCTCATGCTTGTAATCCCAGTAGTTTGGGTGGCCAAGGCAGGTGGATCACCTGAGGTCAGGAGATTGAGATCAACCTGGCAAACATGGTGAAACCCCATCTCTACTAAAAGTACAAAAATTAGCCGGGTGTGGTGGTGTGTGCCTGTAATCCCAGCTACCTGGGAGGCTGAGGCAGGAGAATTGCTCGAACCCGGGAGGCAGAGGTTGCAGTGAGCCGAGATTGCACCATTGCACTCCAGCCTGGGTGACAGAGCGAAACTCCATCTCAAAAAAACAAACACGAGGCCAGGCGCGGTGGCTCACGCCTGTAATCCCAGCACTTTGGGAGGCCGAGGCGGGCAGATCACGAGGTCAGGAGATTGAGACCATCCTGGCTAACACGGTGAAACCCCATCTCTACTAAAAATACAAAAAAATTAGCCAGGCATGGTGGCAGGCGCCTGTAGTCCCAGCTACTTGGGAGGCTGAGGCAGCAGAATTGCTTGAACCCAGGAGGCAGAGCTTGCTATGAACCGAGATCTTATCACTGCACTCCAGCCTGGGCGACAGAGTGAAACTGTCTCAAAAAAACAAAACCAAAAACAAAAAAACACCTGAAAACAATGTATTGTGAAGTTTATAGCATATGTAAAAGTAAAATATAGGGCAGCAATCACATCAAAGTTGAGGGAGGAGAAATGAAAGTACACTATTGAAAGGTTCTTATCCTCTATGTGAAGTTGTATAATGTCACTTGATGTATTCAATAAACCCTGAAGCAACCACTAGAACTTTTTTAAAGTTTTAGAGCTAATGAGTCAATGAAGGAGGCTGAAATAGGATTATTCAAAAATACTCATTAGGCCAAAAGAAGGCAGAAAAAATGAAAAAAAAAAATAAAGGAACAAAGAGTGGATAAGACAGATAGACAACACATAGCAATAGTATAGATATAAACCTAACTAAATTATCACATTAAATGTAAATTGCTCTAAGCCAGGTTTGCTGGCTCAGGCCTGTAATTCCAGCATTTTGGGAGGCCAAGGCGGGCAGATCACTTGAGGTCAGGAGTCCAGGACCAGCCTGGGAAACATGGTGAAATCCTGTCTTTACTAAAAATACAAAAATTAGCTGGGTGTGGTTGTGCACGCCTGTAATCCCAGCTACTCAGGTGGCTGAGGTGGGAGAATAGCTTGAACCAGGAAGGCAAAGTTTGCAGTGAGCCAAGATTGCACCACTGTACTCTAGCCTGAGCCACAGAGCAAGACTACATCTCAAAAAAAAAAAAAAAAAAAAAAAGTAAATTGCTCTAAATATCTCAAAAGGCAGAAGTAGTTAGACTGGTTAAAAAGAAATCAAAACCTAAAAAAAAAAAAACAAAAAAAAACAAGACCTAATGATATGCTGCTATTAAATTGTACTTAAATATGAATAAATGAAGAGATATACTTTTTATAATAAGCAATTTGAAAATGTTGTATCATATAACAGTAGCAAAAAAAAAATCTAAAATGGCTCTATTAATATTGGCAAAGTAGATTTCAGAGCGAAGATTACCAAGAAGGTCTCATTATGATAAAAAGATCAATTAAGCAAGAGGACATAGCAATTCTTTTTTTTTTTTTTTTTTTTTTTTTTTGAGACAGAGTCTCACTCTGGAGTGCAGTGGCGCAATCTCGGCTCACTGCAACCTCCACCTCCTGGGTTCAAGCGATTCTTCTGCCTCAGCCTCCCAAGTAGCTGAGACTACAGGCGCATGTTACCATGCCCAGCTTATTTTTGTATTTTTAGTAGAGACGGGGTTTCACCACATTGGCCAGGCTGGTCTCAAACTCCTGACCTTGTGATCCACCTGCCTCAGCCTCCCAAAATGCTACAATTACAGGTGTGAGCCACTGCACCCGGTCAACACAGCAATTCTTAAATGAGAATATACCTAATCATAGAGCTTTAAAATACATGAGCAAAAACTGACAGATCACAAAGAGAAATCAGCAAATCCACAATTACAGTCAGAAAATTCCATGCCCTTTCTCTTAGTAACTGATAGAATAAGTAGACAGAAAATCAACAAAGACATAGTAGAGTTGAACAATATTAATTTAATCTGATTGGCATTTGTAGACCACATCATCCAACAATAGCAGACTGCATATTATTTTCAGGGGCACAGAGAACATTTGTCGAGATAGACCATATTATGGGCCATAAAAACCCATCACAATAAATTAGAGGGACTGAAGTCATGAGGAGAAGGTATCAGAAATAAGTGAGGTTATATTACTACATATTCAACAGATATTACAAAGGTAATAAAGAAATATTAACAACTTCATGCTTATAAATGCAATCACCTAGATCAAACGGACAAATTCCTTGAAAATCAAAAAGCTCACTCAGGAAAAATTGAGAACCTAAACTGTTTATATCAAAAAAATTAAATTTGTAGTTCAAAAACTTTACACAAAGAAACTGCTAGGCCCAGGTGGCTTTTCTGTTGAATTCTACAGAAATTTAATGAAGAAATAAAATCAATTCTACTCAATCTCAACCAGAAAATTTAACAAGAGGGAATAATTGTCAACTCATTCTATGAATTCAGCATTACTTTAATACCAAAATTAGATGAAGACACTAAAAGAAAATAAAACACAGCTCAGTATTTCTCATGAATATAGATGCAAAAATTTTTAACAAAGTTTAGAAAATTGTGTGATATAAAAAGGATATATCATGACCAAGTGAAGTTTAGCCCAGGAATGCAGGGCTGGTTTAGCATTTGAAAGCCAATCAGTGGAAATTACCATATTTACAGACTAAAAAAGAGAAAACATACCATTATCCCAACAGATGCAGAAAAGCATGTGAACAATTCTAACGTCTATTCTTGATAAAAAGTCACAGCAAATTAGGCCTAGAAGGAAACTTCCTCAACCTGACCAAGAGTATCTACAAAATACCTGTAGTATTTTGCCTCTAGTATTGTATTTAAGAAATCTTTGTCTAACTCAAGGACACAGAGGTTTTTCTCCTTGTTTTCTCTTAGAGGTTTTATAGTTTGGGGTTTTATATTTAGGTCTCTGATCCATTTTGAATTAATTTTTACATATAGGGCTAGGTATGGATCAAACTCCACTTTCCTTTCTCGTTCTCTCTTTCCCTCACCACCTCTGCATATAAATATCCAATTGTTCCAGCATCATTTGTTGAAGAAGCCAGGCCCCCTACCCCCTGGCAAAACAAACAAACAAAAAAAACAAGAGTACATACTGTATGATTGATTCCATTTATGTAAAACTCCAGAAAATGCAAACTAATCTTTAGTGAAAGAAAGCAGATCACTGGATAGGGCAGGGGAGGGGGAATGAAAGGAGGAATTATAAAGGAACACAAAGAAATTTCACTGGTGGGGGTGATGCACCTGTCCACTATCTTGATTAGGGTGATAGTTTCACCAGTGTATACATATGTCAGATGTATCACTTTGCATTTTAAATATGTGCAATTGATTATAGGCCAGTTATATCTCAATAAATTCATTGGTAACAACAACAAAGTTCTCAGTCCAAAGTCTGGGGTCCTCTCCTGGAGTCTGAAGTACTCAGCAAGCCACTTGGCTATTAGCAAGTGGCTTCTTTCTGCATTGAGACATGAGAGAAGTTGTTGCTTGATTGGTGCAGAGTTCTGTGGCTTCCAAATAGGCTGCCCATCATGTTCTCAAAGTGGAGGGAGTGACAGACCTGCTCAGAAAACCTAGGCTCCTGGTTTTGCCTTAGACCTGATAAGCAGAATGTGCCAGAAATCCAAGGGATTTGAGCCTTTGTCACACAGATAATGATGGAAACAACTGGTATATGGGTTTGGAGAAGAGGGAACAGAAGCTCAGTAAGCAGTTTTAACTGACTCTATGCTCCCCATACCAGGACCAGGACATGCCATAACCACCAAAACAGCCCAATTCAATTCAACTTTGTGTAATAAAATGGAGAGTTTTCCGTTGCCATGTACCTCCGGGTTAAAGGTCACATAATCTGAGCATGCCCAGACGAACCAACTGTGCAACCATGAGCAGAACCTAAGTGTCTGGCCCAAGGAATGAGGACTGAATTAAGAAATGGACATCACATGTCAGGATCCAATCAGATGAATCCTTGGCATCACCCCATGGCAGGATCCAGTCAGAGCACACCTCCCGGTATCACCTTATCACCTCATTTCAAGATCCAATCTGATCACACCTCACTACCCTACGCTTATAAAACCTATCCCAGCTCTCAGCTCAGGGAGACAGATCTGAACATTTCTTCCTATGCCCTTACCAGTCGACTTGCTTTTCTTTCCTCAAAAGCTTGTCCCATGGTATTGGCCACTCTGCACATCAGGAAACAAGCCCATTCATTGCCTAGCAACGATGGAAACTACTGGAAAAGATTTATTTCAAATCTTCAGTGATTTCATCTCTGTAAAGGTGTGCTCCCCTGAGTGTGGTAAGGTCCTCATCACTAGAAGTATTCAGTTATGAACTGGACAACCATCCGGTTAGGATTCTTTAGAAATAATTGAAACACTGGTTGGGTGTTTCTGGGATTTTGAAAATCTTTTCAAGCCATTGAAGTCTTTACTTTTCTACTTAAAACCTCTACACGTTTGTGTGCGTGTGGCTACTCACATGGAGGAAGGAGAATTTGCCTCTGAATTAATCCTCCCTTGAGCCTCATCCATATCAGATTTTTTTTTTTTTTTGAGATGGAGTCTTGCTCTGTCACCCAGGCTGGAGTGCAGTGGTACGATCTCAGCTCACTGCAACCTCTGCCTTCCGGGTTCAAGTGATTCTCCTGCCTCAGCCTCCTGAGTAGCTGGGATTACAGGTGTGCACCACCACACCTGGCTAATTTTTGTATTTTTAGTAGAGACGGGGTTTTACCATGTTGGCCCGGCTGGTCTCGATCCCCTAACCTTAGGTGATCCACTTGCCTCGGCCTCCCAGAGTGCTGGGATTACAGGCATGAGCCACTGCACCCGGCCCCATATCTGATTTAGAGGAGAGATGAGATTTTAGACTTCAGACATTTGAGTTGATGCTAGAATGAGTTATTAGGTTGGTGCAAAAGTAATTGAGGTTTTTGCCATTGAAAATAATAGCAAAATCTGCAATTATTTTTGCATCAACCTATAAGACTTTTGGGGCTATTAGGACGGAAGGAATGTATCTTGTAAACCTATTCCCTAATATGATAGTGGGCCTTTGGGAGACAATCACTGATTCACCAGAGAAACTTCCAGTCCTGCAAGCTCCATTCATGGCAAGTGCCCTAGACAGGTGTACCATTTTAATCTTTTTTTCTTTCTTTCTTTTTTGAGAGCAGGTCTCACTCTGTCACCCAGGCTGAGTACAGTGGCATAATCATGGCTCACTGCAGCCTCAGCCTCCCAGGTTCAAGTGACCCTCCCACCTCGGCCTCCTCAGTAGCTGGGACTACAGGTATGCACAAACACGCCCAGCTAATTTTTTTAAATTTTTTTTGTAGAAACAAGGTCTCACTGTGTTGCCTAGGCTGGTCTCAAACTCCTGGGTATCTCAAAGTGCTGGGATTACAAGCATGAGCCACCATGCCTGGCCCATTTTAATCTTTTATACCAAATTTTTACTGGACATTTTCTACGTTTTGTTTTTTGTTTTGTTTGTTTTGGTTTGGTTTGGTTTGGTTTGGTTTGGTTTGGTTTGGTTTGGTTTGGTTTGGTTTTTGTTTTTTGAGACAGTTTTGCTCTTATTGCCCAGGCTGGTATGCAATGGTGTGATCTCAGCTCACTGCAACCTCCGCCTCCCCAGTCCAAGTGATTCTCCTGCCTCAGCCTCCTGAGTAGCTGAGACTAGAGGCGTGCACCACCACACCCGGCTAATTTTGTATTTTTAGTAGACACGGGGTTTCACCATGTTGGTCAGGCTGGTCTCAAATTCCTGACCTCAAGTGATCCACCCACCTTGCCTCCCAAAGTGTTGGGATTACAGGCGTGAGCCACCATGCCTGGACAACATTTTCTATGTTTAGATATGTTTAAATACACAAATATTTACCATTGTGTACAATTGCTTCCAGTGTTCAGTACAGTAACATGCTGTACAGGTTTGTAGCCTAGGAGCAGGAGGCTGTACCAAGCAGCCTGGGTGTGTAGTGTGCCATACATATGATCTATGTTTGTGTAAGTACACCCTGTGATGTTTGCACAATGATGAAATCACCTAACGACCCATTTCTCAGAACATAATCCAGTTGTTAAGTGATGCATGACCCTACTCAATGTGCTGAATACCTCACTCCAAACCATTTCAGAAAATTCAGATATTATCAACCCTCACTGCACTGCCTTCCATTAGAAACATGGGAAGTTGTTTTGGAAAAGATGTAGCTGCCCCTCAACCAGGCCCAGGCGCCTGCTGAGCCTACGACAGAAGTTGCTACCCCTACCCCAGGTGAAAGTACAGCAGGACACTCTTTCCAAGTTTATCATGAGAAACTAAGCAAACCACCATCCGATACCCAACCCAGGCCCCTGTTCTACATAGAAGACAGATAGGAATATTCACTCAGATTGATAAGAAAAGCATCCTGCACATCTCAGGATGGTCAAACCTCCATGATTGCTATGAATCTTGAATGACACCTTCCCCCGGAGAAACAGACAAGAGGAAATGGATTGAAATTGATGATAGGCCGGGCATGGTGGCTCACGCCTGTAATCCCAGCACTTTGGGAGGCAGAGGCAGGAGGAGGATCACTTGAGGTCAGGAGTTCAAGATCACCCTGGCCAACATTGCAAAACCCCATCTCTACTAAAAATACAAAAATTAGCCGGGCGTGGTGGCACATGCCTATAATCCCAGCTACTCAGGAGGCTGAGGCAGGAGAACCGATTGAACCCAGGAGGTGGAGGTTGCAGTGAGCCCAGATGGAGTCACTGCACTCCAACTTGGATGACAGAGCGAGACTGTCTCCAAAAAAAAAAAGAAAAGCAAAGTTGATCATAAAAAGGAACACAATTCTCTTGGTTTTCCTTTAGAAATAACTCAATGCCTTTCAATTAATTTATAGAATCCATCTATTTATGACAAAATAGAGGAGACTCTCTCTCAAGGATGTGCTTCGGTTTCTGTGCAGAAAGGAAAGAGACCAAATCCCTCATTAATGTTTTCACATTTTGTTCTGTGGCAATGATGAGACGATGAGATTCAGAGGCTGTCGGGACTCAAATCAGAAAAACATGAACTAATTCTAGGGCATGTTATTCCATCTAATTTCCATTTGTACCTGAACAAACATGGAACATTTTATCAGCCTGAGAGAGTGAAACCATCAGAGGAAGTTTCCAGAATCAGAGAGAGAAGTGAGTGGCTGCCCAAATCTAAGGGTGGCCGTGGAAGGGCCCTCCTAGGCTGGGGGCTTCTCCTCCCACGGTCCACAAGGACCTCATGACAGCTGGGGCAGCGAGCTGGCTGGCCACCGGCGAGGCTGGAATAGGCATGTTGTACCAACACCTCTGTGCGTGGGCTTCTCGGGTGCCCCCTAAAGCTCAGTCAAAGGACTCTCCCGTCAGCATTGCCTAGCATGACAGTTCAGTGCAAATCTGCCATGCAAGTTTGACTTGTATGTGTTTTGAAGGTTTTTTGTTTGTTTGTTTTTTGTTTCTTTTTGAGATGGAATCTTGCTCTGTCACCCAGGCTGGAGTGCAGCAGCACGATCATGGCTCACTGAAGCCTCAACCTCCCAAACACAAGTGACCCTCCCACTGCATCCTCCCTAGTAGCTTGGACCACAAGAAAGTGCCACCATGCTTGGCTTATTATTTCTTTCTTTTAGGAGATGGGGTCTCACTATGTTGCCCAGTATGGTCTCAAATTCCTGAGCTCAAGTAATCCTTCCTCCTTGGCCTTCCACTGAGATTACAGATGTGAGCCACTGCACCAGGCTGAGAATTCTGCCTTGCAGAAGAGTACTCCAGGCAGGTGCGATGGAAGTTCAGCCCTGCCTGCTAGAATGGGACCTCCCCTGCCTACCTCCTGGCACCCATTTCCCCTTTTCTTTCTTTCTTTATTTCTTTTTTTTTTTTTTGAGGCAGAGTCTCCCTCTGTTTCCCAGGCTGGAGTGCAGTTGTGCGATCTTGGCTCACTGCAACCTCCGCCTCCCAGGTTCAAGCAATTATTCCTGCCTCAGCCTCCCAAGTAGTTGGGATTACAGGCACCTGCCATCACCCCCAGCTAATTTTTGTATTCTTAGTAGAGATGGGGTTTCACCGTGTTGGCCAAGCTGGTCTCAAACTCCTGACCTCAGATGATCTGCCTGCCTCAGCCTCCCAAAGTGCTGGGAATACAGGCGTAAGCCACCGCGCCTGGCCCAGGCACCCACTTTCTTTGGGATTTGTTTTCCAACCCTCTCCTCCTGCTCCAGCTGCTGGTGAGAGTCTGGCTGAAAATGCATGACCCTCAGTGCACAACATCCAGGCCTCTGTCCTCTGAGGCTTCCGTCCTCAGCTGTGTGTGCCCCCTGCCTCGTGGGGCCTGCTCAGATGCTGGGGAGTGGCCAAGCTCTGGCACTGCCATGCCTGCAGACTCCTGGGGGCCAGCCTTGGGTCTGCTTCTGGCTTCTCTCCCCAGCTGCAGGCCCATGTCACGGAGTCCCTCCTGTGGTGCCTCAAAGCCAAGCTTGCAAGAATAGGGTATGTGTGCAATGGCACAGGCACAAGTCACTTCAACCATCAGAATCAGGTGCAAGCATGGAAAGTTATAAGGCCGTTGATTTCCACAGCCCAGGATTGAAACTTCTTTCTTATTTATTTGTTTTTGAGAGGAAGTCTCACTCTGTTGCCCAGGCTGAAGTGCAGTGACACGATCTCGGCTCACAGCAACCTGCACCTCCTGGGTTCAAGCGACTCTCCTGCCTCAGCCTCCTGAGTAGCTGGGATTACAGGTGCCCACCACCACGCCCAGCTAATTTTTGTATTTTTAGTAGAGACGGGGTTTCACCATGTTGGCCAGGCTGGTCTCAAACTCCCGACCTCAGGTGATCCACCTGCCTCGGACTCCCAAAGCGCTGGGATTACAGACGCGAGCCATCACACCTGGCCTGAATCTTCTCTTTTAAAATATCCAGGTATATCTCTTTAGTGAAACAAAAACAATAACCAAAACCAAGACTTCCATGTAAG
Source organism: Homo sapiens (assembly GCF_000001405.40). Classification (NCBI taxonomy): domain Eukaryota; kingdom Metazoa; phylum Chordata; class Mammalia; order Primates; family Hominidae; genus Homo; species Homo sapiens. Next base: position 72,856,162 of record NC_000007.14, read on the forward strand.
AAGGGAAGAATGAGAGATGCCAGCCCCTGGCAGAGACGTGGACTGTTTGCACTGGTTTTAATTTAACAACCTCAGAGCACACGTGATTCATCAGAATGCTGGGGGCTGGCCAGGTGCCGTGGCTGATTCCTGTAATCCCAACACTTTGGGAGGCCCAGGTGGGAGGATCATTTGAGGCCAGGAGTTCAAGGCCAGCCTGGGTTAACAAAACAAGACCCCATGTCTACAAAAAATATATAAAATAAAACATAAATTAGCCAGAGGTAGTGGCGTGCACCTGTAGTCCCAGCTTCTTGGAAGGCTGGAGGCAGGAGGATTGCTTGAGCCCAGGAGTTGGAGGTTGCAGTTAACCATGATTGTGCCATGGCACTCCAGCCTGGGTGACAGAGTGAGACCTTGTCTTTAAAAAATTTTAAAAATAGATGGGCACAGTGGCTCACGCCTGTAGTCCCAGCACTTTGGGAGGCCGAGGCGGGTGGATCACCAGGTCAGGAGATCGAGACCATCCTGGCTAACACAGTGAAACCCCATCTCTACTAAAAATACAAAAAATTAGCCGGGCGTGGTGGTGGGCGCCTGTAGTCCCAGCTACTCAGGAGGCTGAGGCAGGAGAATAGCGTGAACCCGGAAGGCCAGAGCTTGCAGTGATCCGAGATTGCACCACTGCACTCCAGCCTGGGCGACAGAGTGAGACTCCATCTCAAAAAAAAAAAATTTTAAAAAATAACTTTTGCTGGGTTATGATGTCTGTCATGTCGCCTCACGTGCCATTGGCCATTGGCAAGTCAAAAAGCCATCCCTTATACCAATGGGATGAGAAGAAAGTACACCACATTCTAGGGGAGGCAGCAGGGATGGCACAAGTGATTAGTCCAGAGAGGGGCAGTGAATATTTGGGACAAATTATCTAAACTACACTACTGCAGGCCGGGCACAGTGGCTCACACCTGTAATCCCAGCCCTTTGGGAGGCCGAGGCAGGAGGCTCACCTGAGGTCAGGAGTTCGAGACCAGCCTGGCCAACATGGCAAAACCTCGTCTCTACTACAAATACAAAAATTAGCTGGGTGTGGTGGTGAGTGCCTATAAACCCAGCTACCTGGGAGGCTGAGGCAGGAGAATTGCTGCAACCTGGGAGCCAAAGGCTGCAATGAGCCAAGATTGCACCACTCCACTCCAGCTTGGGCAACAGAGTGAGACTCCATCTCAAAAAATAAATAAATAAATAGCCAGGTATGGTGGTGCACCCCTGTAATCCCAGCCACTCAGGAGGCTGAGGCAAGAAAATCACTTGAATCAGGAGGCGGAGGTTGCAATGAGGTGAGATCACACCACTGCACTCCGGCCTGGGTGACAGAGTGAGACCCTGTCTCAAAAAAATAAAAATAAAAATAAAAATAAGCTACACTACTGCAGATCCCGGGGAGCCTTAGACATCTGAAAGGGGGGCCCTGGTCTGCTGACATCACATCACAGACAAAAATATCAAAGATACAAAAATAATTTGAATCCGCTGGAAGAAAGCTGTGATATAGATATTATGACTCATTCCAAAATGTTCTCGTGGCAGATTAGTATACCTTAAAAGGATAAATCAATCCTGCTCAAACTCAGAAAACCATTTAGGGCCTTTCAAAACCAAAGGAGGTGCCAAGGCATTTTGAAAGAGACCATTAGTGAGAGACATGGCAAGTTACCTCTGACTTATTAAAAAAGCAAATGATTTTATAAATGAGCCCATTACAAAGTATTCATGAGATATTAGAGCTCTGAGAACTGGCTGAATAGGAGGGAATGGAGGATAATTAGGGTAGTTAGAAATCTGTTATTTTGGGAGTTTGCCAAAGGAAATAATTCCTACATTTGTTCTTGGGCAGATAGTTATGATGGCTTTGCAGAGGGCCTGAGTGACAAATCTGGCACTGAAAGAAAAAAAAAAGTGGTGATGACACCGTCCCTGACTCAGGGACTCACATCTGGGTTGGGGAAGGGAAGCAAATATTTACAGCAGTAAACCACAATACCATGTTCTATGGTAATACTAGAAATATGGGCCAGGTGCAGTGGCTCATGCCTGGAATCTCAGCTCTTTTGGGAGGCCAAGACCAGCCTGGGCAACATAACAAGGCCCCCATCTCTACAAAAGCCTACAAAAGTTAGCTGGGCGTGGTGGTGTTCACCTGCAGTCCCAGTTACTCAGGAGGCTGAGGTGGGAGGATTGCTTGAGCCCAGGAATTGGAGGCTTCAGTGAGCTATGATCGCGCCACTGCACTCCAGCCTGGGTGACAGAGTGACACCCTTTCTCTATTAAAAAAAAAAAAAAAGGCCAGGCGTGGTGGCTCATGCCTGTAACACCTGTAATCCCACCACTTTGGGAGGCCAAGGCAGGCAGATCAAGAGGTCGGGAGATCGAGACCATCCTGGCCAACATGGTGAAACCCTGTCTCCACTAAAAATACAAAAAATTAGCCAGGCATAGTGGTATGCACCTATAATCTCAGCTACTCGAGAGGCTGAGGCACGATAATCGTTTGAACCTGGGAGGAGGAGGTGGCAGTGAGCTGAGATCGTGCCATTGCACTCCAGCGTGGGCAACAAGAGCGAAACATCATCTCGAAAAATAAAGAAGTCCGGGCGTGATGGCTCACACCTGTAATCCCAGCACTTTGGGAGGCCAAGACGGGTGGATCATGAGGTCAGGAGTTCAAGACCAGCCTGGCCTAGATGGTGAAACCCTGTCTCTACTAAAAATACAAATATTAGCTGGGCATGGTGGCACACACCTGTAATCTCAGCTACTCAGAAGTCTGATGCAGGAGAATTGCTAAAACCCGGGAGGGAGAGGTTGCAGTGAGGTGAGATCACGCCACTGCACTCTAGCCTGGGTGACAGAGCAAGACTCCGTCTCGAAAGAAAGAAAGAGAAAGTAAATTCCCCAGGGAAGTACCTCGGCTTATTTCATGAAGAGGTACTGAAGGAAGCAGAGGCATGTAGAGGACTTCCCCACCTCGTGCAGCTATTTGGGCCATGGCATCTGAAATTTATTATTTCAGAGTCACCTCTTTGATGACCTTGGCAGTGGACTGCAGTCATCTGTTTAGGCCTTTCCATGGCCCACGTCAATGCCGGTATTTCTGTCTGTTGCACATTTGATTTCCTTGCTGTTGGCATTTAGAAGGCCCCCTGTTTCCCAGATCACACCACGGGCATGGACTGCAGAGATTGCATCTTGGGAGTCTGTAGAAACGGTCAAGTCCTTGTCCTGTCTTAGGTCCAGAGCTCAGGTTAATGCAGATTTTCCCGGCCTTCTGTGCTGAAGTCCCTGCAGGGAGGCTCCTGGCTGGTTTCCCGTAGGTAGACAGCTACACATCCTTGCCCTTCATTGGCGTCTTTTCATGAAGCTCCTGCCGTCTACAAAACATGTCTCCCTTTTCTTCTTGAATCACATCTCTGTTATTGAAACTCTAGAAGTCGACTGGGCATGGTGGCTATGCCTATAATCCCAGCACTTTGGGATGCCAAGGCAGGCGGATCACCTGAGGTCAGGAGTTCTAGACCAGCCTGGCCAACATGGCGAAACCCCGTCTCTTATACAAATACAAAAATTAGCCAAGCATGGTGGCCACTGTACTCCAGCCTGGGCAACAGAGCAAGACTCCGTCTCAGAAAAAAAAAAGAAAGAAAGAAAGAAAGAAAGTATCATGCTTTTCTGCATTCTGTGAATTGTTTTAGTGAGTTATCGAACTTGAGGGCATGGTGGGAACCTCCAAATTTGCAGCCGGTTGGTGAGAAGTACATGTGGTCTGAGGACACCCAAGCCTGCAGCTGTGTCTAAAGCGAGGGCAGCCTAGTGGGGGCTGGTGGCCTTAACCTGTGGCATTTGAGGTAACATCAGGGAGTTGACATCAGAATTGCATCACACAGGCTGGGCGCGGTGGCTCACGCCTGTAATCCTAGCACTTTGGGAGGCCGAGGCGGGCAGATCACGAGGTCAGGAGATTGAGACCATCCTGGCTAACACAGTGAAACCCCGTCTCTACTAAAAATACAAAAAATTAGCTGGGCATGGTGACGGGCGCCTGTAGTCCCAGCTACTCAGGAGTCTGAGGCAGGAGAATGGCGTGAACCCAGGAGGCGGAGCTTGCAGTGAGCCAAGATCGCACCACCACACTCCAGCCTGGGTGACAGAGCGAGACTCCATCCCAAAAAAAAAAAAAGACAAAAAAACAGAATTGTGTCACACAGGCCAGATGCAGTGGCTCATGCTTATAATCCCAGCAATTTGAAAGGCAAGGTAAGAGGATCGCTTGAGCTTGAGTCTGAGGCCGCAGTGAGCTATGACCACACCACTGCACCCCAGTCTGGGTGACAGCACAAGACCCCAACTCCAAAAATAAAAAAGAAAAATCACAAAGAATTGCATGGCAGAGTGCCTGTCTTTCACAGCTTTAACTGCTGCAGGAACTTTCTTTTTTTTTTTTGAGAGGGGGTGAGGAGACACAATCTCTGCTAGTGATTCTCCTGCCTCAGCCTCCCAAATAGCTGGGATTATAGGCTTGCACCACCACACCTGCCTAATTTTTGTATTTTTAGTAGAGACAGGGTTTCACCACGTTGGCCAGGCTGGTCTCAAACTCCTGCTGGGATCATGGGCGTGAGCCACCACGCCCGGCCACCTTTAGAGTTTTCTTACCACCTGGTTTTCCTCTCTCAATATCTTTCTCTCATTTCCTGCCTTAAAACTCTAGCTTGGCATCTGGGCGCAGTAGCTCGTGCCTGTAATCCCAGCACTTTGGGAGGCCGAGGTGGGTGGATCACTCGAAGTCAGGAGTTCGAGACCAGCCTGGCCAACATGGTGAAACCTTGTCTCTACTATTTTTACAAGTTAGTCGGACATACAGACTGGTGCCGGTAGTCCCAGCTACTTGGGAGGCTGAGGCAGGAGAATTTGTTTGAACCCCGAGGTGAAAGTTGCAGGGAGCCGAGGTTGTGCCACTGCACTCCAGCCTGGGAGACAGAGCAAGACTCTGTCTCCAAAACAAACAAACAAACAAAAAAACCCTGTAGCTTGGGATCAGCCTTCTCTTCTATTGTTTTTCTTTAAAAAATAAAAATTAAAAATAGATGTAGATGCTATGTTGCTGAGGCTGGCCTCAAACTCCTGGCCTCAGGTGATCCTCCTGCCATGACCTCCAAAACTGCAGGGATTGTAGGTGTGAGCACTGCACCCAGCCTTATGTTTTTTTCTACATAAAAAACAGCACAGGATTATCTTCCAGAGCTAATAAATATGTTCAAATAACCACAACCCGATTAAGGAAAAATATCACTGGGCAGCAAATAATCAATCCAGACCAATATGATCACAATTGCTGTGAAGGTGAGAAAAGTTCATTTTTATTATGTTTCCCCAAGAGACGCACTCTATTGTTCTCTTGAAAACACACAGCTCATGTCCTCCTTTAGCACACACATCCTCTTTAAAGTAACATACAAACATGCCAAAACAAGGTAAAAAATTACATCTGTATTCTCACATTTCAGACATATATGAAATATCAAATAAAAATTTATTTTTACAAGAATTTAAGGGAACTACTACATAGCTATAAATGTAATATATATGTTAACTAAGTATCATAGATAAAAACCATGCTCCCTTCAGCAGCATGTGTAATAATAGATACAAAGATTGAAAGGTAAAAGATTTAGGATGAAAAGAATCCTCTCTTAAAAAGGAAAACAAAATTATATGTATGTGTATATAACAGTTATAACACCCATCACACAGCTTTATAGAAACAGCATCTATTCAAAAATACCAGTATTTCCAAAATATTTAAAATAATATTTAAAGTAGTAATAATATTTAAATAAATAAATATATTTAATAAATAAATAAATAAAATAATATTTAAATAATTCTATACCCATGTTTTTCAAAATAAACCAATAAAATAGATAGTATATATTAGACATGTTAGTATATATATCTGAGACATGTTAAAAATCACAACTGAATTCTCACAATTCAGTCACAAACCTAAATAGCAAATAAAAATTTCAATCACCAGAATTATGTTTTTTTCTGGTAGGGAACTACCAATAGCTATAAATAGAAGAGATTATTATGGAAGTATCATAGATAAAAAGAGTGCTCGCTTCAGGAGCACATATAATAATACAGGAACAAATTTAAAGATAATAAAATATTTAGGATAAAAAGAATTGTCTCTTAAAAATGAAAAGAAAATTATCTTTATGTATATATAACAACTATAACTCTCATCAAAAAACTACAGGAACAGCATGTTTTCAAAGGTACAACAATTTCCAAACTATTTGAAATAAATCTATGAATAATTCAATGGCCAACATTTTCCAAACAAACCAATAAAATGCAGAGTGTGCATGAAGCTATCTGTTACAATCTGTGGCACTGATATTTCACAAAAGAATTCTGTGCCAATCTGAGCCCCTGCATTGTGCCTTCAAATGCTCCTGGACTGTGGCAACCAAGTCCGTAAGAAATAGGACCTCCAGGTTCCGCCCCAGGGAGGTTGGAATTCAGCAATATAAAAAGGGTGGTGGTGCCGCAGGAAAGGGTGGAACTGGAAACACTCCTGGTTTCTTACTTTTCTCCAAGGACTCCTAGAAGGACCCCACCCCCCTCCCCCTGCTCCTAGGTAGGACAACATGATCACTGTATTCAGCTCCATCAAGAATGGTCCAGGTTCTTCTAGATGATCTGCACAAATGGTTCCTCTCCTTCTTCCTGGTGTCTGCCATTAGCATTGGAATAAAGTTCCTGCTGAAAATCCACATCTCCCCTGGGTCCGGTGTTCTGGAAGTGAGAGAGACGATGTCACACTTCAAGGAGGCAGCTCTCTAGACAGGAAGGTTATTCACGTCCCATGTGAAGTCTAGAGTTCAGAGCAATTGAGAAATGCAATTGTATCTCCTGCCTTTCATTCTATACCCTGCTTCTGAACCATCGTGTTCAACTGTGAAACTCACACTTTGGTGACCATGACTCCAAAACTCACTTAATACACCCAAGGTCAGCCCCAGTGATGTGCTTCATAGCAAGGACTTTGGGTGGGTTTGCCTAGGGAGTAGGGCACCCTCAGAGAATGTGGCTTTGGACTTCATCACAGCTGGGGCCTTTTGTGTCACTTAAGATCTAAACTTGTAACCATGCTAGATGTGTTTTTAATGTGACAACATCACGAACCACGAGTCCAGAAGCCTGATCCTTAATCCTACCTCCTCATGATGAAGTCTCATGCTCTGTGCTCACCGTGGTTAGCTGCACAAGATGTAAACCAAAGCTTCACTGAACCCTCGACCCAAATCGGTAACTCAAGTGCGTCAATCATAATGAACCTCCCCAAACTCAGTATTTATGATTATTTTTGAGGCAGGGTCTCACTCTGTCGCCCAGACTGGAGTGCAGTGGCAGGATCAGGGCTCCGTGCAGCCCCGACCTTCCAGGCTCCAGTGATCCTCCCGCCTCAGCCTCCTGAGTAGTTGGGAGTAGAGATGCGTCCCACATCACCTGGCTAATTTTTGTATTTTTGTGGAGAGGGGATCTCGCCACGTTGCCCAGGCTTGAAGCCAGATCAAGCAATTGGGTTCCTCGGATTTCCAAAATAGACCCCAATATTCTGCCTTTACCCCGGAGGATGCAGAGGTACCTTCTCTCAGGCCGATGACCTCAGGCCTCCACGGTCCCTGGAGCTCTAGGAAAGGCGAGCGCGATCTCGCGCCCACACCCAGTGCTCTGGGTCATAAGCCTGGATCTGGAAAAACAAACGCCCTTTGAGAAGATGGGGACTCGCCAGGATACCCCTCTCTCCCCTCATCCAGCCTCCAGCCCACCCGATTCCTCCCCACATCCTCCACCTCCCCAGGCCCCACTCACCTCCTCCAACTCCTCCGGGGAAACCCAAGCCCTGCAGCTCATGGAACAGAAGAACTGGAACCGAAGTTTCTGGAACAGGACTATCTGAGAGCGGTTCTTCCTGGCCCTCGGGTTCATGCAACGGCATAACTGGAACCGACGCTTACGGAGCAAGGGTATGCGAGAGCGGGTCTTCCCATACAGGAAGTAGAAGATGTTTTGTTTGGGGTCCTCGTCGTCCTCCTCCATGTCATTGGCCAGGTAGCTGAGGACAGAAATCAGGTTGCTGCTCAGGGGCACCACCAAGAGAGGCCTCCGGCTGAGGTCAGCTTCCCAGAGAGGAAGGTAAGGGACCGTCCCTAGCTCAGGACTGGCACCCACCCTGCAGAGAGCCACGCCTTCCTCAGGAGGGCTCTGCTGGACAGAGACCTGATCAAGGGTGTCTCCCACTCCTTCAGGATGGAGACAAAAACCCAACTGGTGGCCGAGAGTGGTGGCTTACGCCTGGAATCCCAGCACATTGGGAGGCCAAAGCAGGAGGATCACTTGAGGCCAGGAGTTTGAGACGGGCCTGGGCAACATAGCAAGACCCTCATCTCTATTAAAAATATAAGAAATATGCCAGACGCGGTGGCTCATGCCTGTAATCCCAGCACTTTAGAAGACTGAAGCAGGTGGATTGCTTGAGACCAGGAGTTGGAGACCAGCCTGGTCAACACGGAGAAACCCCATCTCTACTAAAAATACAAAAATCAGCCTGGTGCGGTGGCACACCCATTAGTCCTAGCTACTCAAGAGGCTGAAGCATAAGAATTGTGTGAACCCAGGAGGCGGAGGTTGCAGTGAGTCGAGATTGGGCCACTCCATTCCAGCCTGAGAGGCAGAGCAAGACTCTGTCTCAATAAACAAACAAACAAACAAACAAACTGTCCAGGTGTGGTGGCACAGCCCTGTAGTCGGAGCTAATAAAGAAGCTGAGGTGGGAGGATCGCTTGAGCCCAGGATATGGAGGCTGCGGTGAGCTATGATCTCACCACTGCACTCCAGCTTGGGGGACAGGGCAAGTCTGTCTCAAAAAAATAAAAGAAATTGAATACATTGATATTTTGCCAGGACCCTGCCTTCTACAGGCATCTAGTCTAATGGGACTGGGAGTAATCAAGGCAGATGACCTAATCCCAGTGTCCAGGATGTAACTAGAGAGCTACGGGCATGCAGAAGTTGGAAGATGAGGGAAGGCATCACAGAGGCTGTGGGGTGAACTGACTTCAAGGAATGGGTCCTTCCCTTCAGAGCCACATGTGTGCGGGACACCCAGACAAAAACACAAACACAAAGTCGAGTGGAGGGCATTTGGAAGGAGCAGTGAAGCCAAGCCAGGAAATACCAAGATGGCGAGCCAGTGTGGTTGTAGAGATTGTAGAGAGGGTAGAATTGGCACTGTGGACCCTGGCCTCGATAGAGAAAGGCATCAGCTAAGGAAGTTGTTCAGGTGGGCAGTGAGGTTGTCGTGCTTTGGAAAGATGTTCAGGCTGCACTAGGAAGCCCCCTGGCTTGGGGAGAGACTCCAGGAAACCCCAGCAGGGAGCATTTGACAGTGGATTCGAGTGATGCGAGGGGGACCTGAACTGTGGCCTCTGTCATGGGAACCCAGAGGAGGTCGATGGCGTTTGTGGTTGATGTGGGAAGGAGAGAGAGAGAAGAACCAGAAACGTCTGCTTGCTGGAGGAAGCGGCATGTCCGCTCCTCCACTCCTTTTCTTTTCCCCTTAGGAGCGGTTTATGGTTCCTTTTGTTTTATTCTTTTATTTGTACACTGGCATTGGAGTTTGTTTTTTTGGCTTTTTTTTTTTTTTTTGAGAAAAAGTCTTACTCTGTCACCCAGGCTGGAGTGCAGTGGCTCGACCTTAGCTTACTGCAACCTCCACCTCCTGGGTTCAAAGGGTTCTCTTGCCTCAGCCTCCCGAGTAGCTGGGATTACAGGTGCACACCACAACGCCCAGCTAATTTTTCTAGTTTTAGTAGAGACGGGGTTTGACCATGTTGGCCAGGCTGGTCTCGAACTGCTGACCTCAGGTGATCCGCCTGCCTCGGCCTCCCAAAGTGCTGGGATTACAGGCGTATGCCACTGTGCCCAGCCTGAGTTTCTTTTTAGAAACAACAGTCTATGATAGTATAATCCTCTCTTTTTTGTACACAGAGTAAAGAGGACAAATAGGTAAAAGAATAAATGAAAGGCTGGAATCCCACTTCCCCCGCTGTCCCAGGGCATTGGATATCGATGGATAGGAGGCAGCAAACCACTCACAGAGCCAGGAAGAAATGAATGCATTGGTATTGCCAGGAGGGGAGGCCGGCCCGGCTGAAATACACTATGACCATAGCCAGGAGATACTGATGGAGAGAAAGGAACACAGAGAGGGAGAGGTCACATCTTGGAAGAGGAAGATTGTGGAGAGGGGGAATGAGGGTCTGGGGAGGGGCTGCCCATCAGAGAAGGGACCTCAGTGTTGGGGTGACTGTACTCATTTGGAAATTGCGGGATGGAGGGGTATTCGAAGGTCGGATGCAAATCCGAGAAGCCAGAGGAAGGGTTTTGGGTGATGCTCCCAGGATGGTGGGCTCCGATGGGATCTTTGGAGGGGGTGTGTCTAGGTCGGCTGGTGTCAGGAGGGTCTTTTGTGTGCCAGGCAGAGAACTGTCCGAAGAGCTGAGAGTAGAGGGGCCAGAAGCTTCAGGGCTGTGGCCAGACTGTGGCCCAGAGCTCAGATCCCAAAGGACCCATAGGAGAGGCAGGGGCCACTCATTCACTCTGCAAGAGACCAGCAGAATCCTGAGGGAGATGCTGACAAATCATAAAAAGACCAAGAATAGCTCGGAGTGGCGGCCCAAGCCTGTGATCCCATTACTTTGAGAGGTGGAGACAGGAGGATCACGTGAGCCCAACAGTTTGAGAACAACCTGGGCAACTAGTGAGACCCTGTTTCTACGAAGATTTCAAAAATTAGTTGAGCATGGTGGCATGTGCCTAGTCCCAGCTCCTCAGGAGGCTGAGGAAAGAAGATTGCTTGAGCCCAGGAATTAGAGGGTGCAATGAGCTATGATCATGCCACTGCAGTCCATCCTGGGGAAAAGAGCTAGACTCTGTCTCAGAAAAAAAAATTTGTGGGTGCCAAGACTCAAGACCATGGGAGCTGGTCGGGCACAGTGGCTGACGTCTATAATCTCAGCATTCTGGGATGCCAAGGCGGGTGGATCGTCTGAGGTCAGGTGCTCAGGACCAACCTGGCCAGCATGGCAAAACCCTGTTTCTACTAAAAACACAAAAATTAGCCAGGCGTGGTTGTTCATGTCTGTAATCCCAGCTGCTTGGAGGCTGAGGCAGGAGAATCACTTGAACCCGGGAGGCATCGGCTGCAGTGAGTCAAGATCGAGACACTGCCCTCCAGCCTGGGCAACAGAGCAAGACTCTGTCTCAAAAAAAAAAAAAAAAAAAAAAAAAGACTGTAGGAGCATCTGGTGGGAGGTAGTGGAGGGAGAACTGTGGGTTTGGAAGCTGCGCCCTCCCCCCAGCCATGCGTTGGAACAGGAACAGTTACATGGAGAACAACCTTACCTTGTCCGACACCCTCAGACCTTTGTCCCAGGCCAGGAATCTTTTAATGACAGGATCCTCTGTGATTAGAGATCAGATGTCAGTGTGAGAAGCAGGACAGGGTTTCCATGGGAGCAGCAGGGCAGAAAGGAGAAGTGTGCCTCCCGGGGGGAAGTCTCAGGATTGTGGCCGCGGGTGAGGTGGATGGGAGAGGGGAGAATGACTTTCACTGGGCAAGGGAGAGAGGCTCCTGCTCTGAGACTCCCCTGAGAAGAGGCCGAAGGAGGCCCTGGGTGTGAGAATCTACAGGATGTAGAGCTGGGAATCAGCCAGGACCCCCTCCAGCAGACACGGAGGGACCACTGCAGAGTCATAAAGGAATTCCCATCATTTCCTCATGAGACAGTCACATCAGGGTGTGACCATGGCCTTGGTATCCCCCACTATGGATGGAAACACTTAGGTTTAGAAAAGTCAGTAAGAAACATTAAGTTTCAGAGGGCACAGCTGAAACCACTTTTTTGATTTTTGATTTTGTTTTTCTTTATTTGATTTTTATTTTTATTTATTTATTAATTTATTTTGAGACAGAGTCTTGCTCTGTGGGCCAGGCTGGAATGCAGTGGCCTGATATTGGCTCACTGCAACCTCTGCCCCCCGGGTTTAAGCAATTCTCCTGTCTCAGCCTCCCGAGTAGCTGGGATTACATGCATGAGCTACTGTGCCCAGCCTTGGTTTTTCTTTTGAGATAGGGTTTTGCTCTGTCACCCGGGCTGGAGTGCAGTGATGTAGTCATAGCTCACTGCAGCCTCAAAGTCCTGAGTTCAAGCAATCCTCTTGCCTCAGCCTCCCAACGTGCTGGGATCTCAGGCGGGAGCCACCGCGCCTGGCCCGAAACTAAGCTTTCTTATCCCAAGCGCCGAACTTTATCAAGTCGACCCAATCCTTTATCATCTCCTAAGTGTCCCTCATGAGTGATCACTTCACAGTCCTCCCACATGGAGAGCTCACCCACTGGGGCATATTTTTCCCATTGGAAAAGTGTGGTTATTGGAAGTTTCCTCTTTTTAGAAAGAACAGGATTGGAGGTGCTCTCTGGGGTGTCCTCCTACCAAGCAGCCTGTTGAAGGCCTCGTGGTGCTCAGGGAGCACGAGCGACACTCGCCGTCGCTTCAGCTTCATCTTGAGGCCACACAGCATCTCCGCCACCCAGATCTCCTCAGGCTCAGGGGCGAGCACCTTCCGTGGCTCCTCCTCCAACGACTCCTCAGATTTGTCCCACCACTCCATCTTCCTTTTCCAGCAAAAGGACCTATGCGGGGGGCTGGGATCTACCCCAGGGGCTGAGTAAAGAAACCAGGCCACGGTGTAATGCTTCTGCAGTTGATCACACTAGAGCCCGACCCAAAACCCCAAATCACTCTCCATCCTCCCCAGCCTCCCAGACTGCTGGCTTCTCCAAGCCATCTTTCCTTCTGTCTGTCTCCTCTGCTGAGCTCCATGTGCCGCTCCTTCTCCTCCCCATTCTCCCGTTTCTCTGTCCTCAGAACACTTCCTCATATCCTTCCCTGGTCCCTGGCTTTCTGAGTCCCTTCTTTTTTTTTTTGTTGTTGTTGTTGTTGTTGAGAAACAGTCTTGCTTTGTGGCCTAGGCTGGAGTGTAGTGGTGCGATCTCGGCTCACTGCAACCTCCGCCTCCTGGGTTCCAGTGATTCTCCTGCCTAAGCCTCCCAAGTAGCTGGGATTACAGGTGCCCACCAGAACACCCAGCTCATTTTTGTCCTTCAAGAAGAGACAGGGTTTCACCATGTTGGCCAGGCTGGTCTCCAACTCCTGGCCTCAAGTGATCTGCCTGCCTGGCCTCCCAAAGTGCTGGGATTACAGGTGTGAGCCAGTGCACCCTGCCTCAGTACCTCCATTCTTCCCACACACCCTCCTCACGTGCTCCTTCCTGACTTCTGGGCCCTTCCTTCCTTCTTTTTTTTTTTTTTTTTTTTTTTTGAGACAGCGTCTCACTCTCTTACCCAGAATGGAATGCAGTGGCGCTATCTTGGCTCAAAGCAACCTCTTCCACCTGGGTTCAAGCGATTATCCTGTCTCAGCCTCCCGAGTAGCTGGGATAACAGGCATGCCTGGCTAATTTTTGTATTGTTAATATAAATGAGGTTTCGCTATATTGGTCTGGTTGGTCTTGAACAACTGACCTCAAGTGATCCACCCATCTCAGCCTCCCAAAGTAATGGGATTACAGGCATGAGCTACCACACCCGGCCTTCGTTTTTCTTTTGACTCAGGGTTTTGCTCTGTCACCCAGGCTGGAGTGCAGTGGTGCAGTCATAGCTCACTGCAGCCTCAAAGTCCTGAGTTCAAGCAATCCTCTTGCCTCAGCCTCCCAACGTGCTAGGATCTCAGGCATGAGCCACTGCACCTGGCCCGAAACCAAGCTTTCTCATGCCAAGCGCCAACCTTTATCAAGTCTAGCCTAGTCCTCTATCGTCTCCTAAGTGTCCCTCATGAGTGATCACTTCTGAGTCCTCCTGCATGGAGAGCTCACCCACTGGGGGCGTATCTTTCCCATTGGAAAAGTGTGGTTATTGGAAGTTTCCTCTTTTTAGAAAGAACAGGATTGGAGGTGCTCTCTGGGGTGTCCTCCTACCAAGCTGACTGTTGAAGTCCTTGTGGTGCTCAGGGAGGATGGGTGACACTCGCTGTTGCTTCAGCTTCATCTTGAGCCCACACAGCGTCTCCACTACCCAGGTCTCCTCAGGCTCAGGGGCGAGCTCCTACATGGGGGGCTGGGATCTACCCCAGGGGCTGAGTAAAGAAACCAGGCCACCGTGTAATGCTTCTGCATCTGATCACCTTAGACCCCGACCCAAAACCCCAAACCACTCTCCATCCTCCCCAGACTCGCAGACTGCTGGCTTCTCCAAGCCATCTTTCTGACTTTCTCCTCTGCTCAACCCCATGTGCCACTCCTTCCCCTCCCCATTCTTCTCTCTCTCTGTTCTCGGAACACTGCTTCATGTCCTTCCCTGGTCCCTGGCTCTCTGAGTCCCTCCTTTTTTGTTTTGTTTTGTTTTGACACAGAATCTTGCTTTGTCACCCAGGCTGGAGTGTAGTGGTGCAATCTCAGCTCACTGCAACATCCATCTCCTGGATTCCATTTATTCTTCTGCCTCAGCCTCTCAGGTAGCTGGGATTACAGGTGCCTGCCATAATGCCCAGCTCAATTTTGTACTTTTAGTAGAGACAGGGTTTCACCATGTTGGCCAGGCTGGTCTCAAACTCCTGGCCTCAAGTGATCCGCCTGCCTTGGCCTCCCAAAGTTCTGGGATTACAGGTGTGAGCCACTGCACCCAGCCTGAATTTCTCCATTCTTCCCACACACCCTCCTCAGGTTCTCCTTCCTGACCGCTGACCCTTCTTTTCTTTTTTCTTTTTTTTTTTTTTTTTGGAGTGCAGTAGCGTGATCTCAGCTCACTGCAACCTCTTCCTCCCAGTCTCAAGTGATTCTCCTGTCTCAGCCTCCTGAGTAGCTGGGATTATAGGTGTGCACCACTACCACTTGGCTAATTTTTATACTTTTAGTAGAGATGGGGTTTCACCATATTGGCCAGGCTGGCCTTGAACTCCTGACCTCAGGTGATCCGCCCGCCTCGGCCTCCCAAAGTGCTGGGGTTACAGGCGTGAGCCACCACACCCGGCCCCCTTCCTTCGTCTTAGTCAATCCTATCCCACCTCTTCTTCCACCAGTCCCCTCATCTGATGGTCCCAACACTTCATCATCCACCACCTCCTGGAGGGGGTACCCCGAGGTGCTCCGCTGGGGACTCTGCTCATTCTGGGGGTGCGGTTGACGGCTGGTCGTGATCTTTCCCGTAATCTGTCCCCTCTTACGGAACCTAGTCTCCGTTCTGTCCATGGCCTTCTTCTGGACACTGCTAGGATCCAGAAGAGTATGTTATCAATTCTCAAGCCTAGGAGCAGTCAGGAGTGGAGAACAGCTCTGAGAAGATACTATTGTCCAACTGATCTCCAGGCACCACGGAGTCCGGTCCCTCCAATCAGGAAGGTCGGAATCTCTGATGTCATCGTTCATGCCAACCTGGCAACCAGTTTGAAAAAAAAACACGTGTAACTGCCAGGCTGATCTCTTGTACTGGAGATCCTGGGTGAATGGTATCTCCTGCCACTGTCCCAACCTCAGACCATTGTCCAAAAGCATCTTCAGGGACTCCACATCCCTCTGTTCCCTGTCCCAGCAGAGGCTGTGTCCTCTCCACTCAAAGCCTGAAGCATATTGGGGTCTCTTCGTCTCTGTACATGCCCATTTCAGTGTCCAGTCTGGTGGGAGAGGGAACAGAGTGGGAAAGAAAACTAGGGTAAGCAGAAACGATGAAACCTTATAAGAGTGAGATTATCATGTACAAGAGTGAGATTATCATGTACAAGAGATCCCAAGAATACTGACTTGATGAAAAAGTCACATCAGAGCACTCAGTTTGGCAGAGCTTTTCTGCCGAATGTTTACTCACATTCACTCTCTGAGATTCTATACTGGGGGTACACACGTCCTCTGCCCTAAGGCAATTTTGAGTCCAAGAGACATTTTGAGGCCTAAAAATCATAGGAAACTGCCCCTGAGCTCACACATATTTCCAATGGTGTCCCCAATTTCAGGGAATCCATGGATTACCTAAGCCAGCCTCTCCAGTTCGGCTAAGAAACTCTAGTCTATATATCAAGTTTTGTATCATATGTATTGCTCTGAACTCAGAAATTTCCCTTCCATTTATGGATTCTATGAATAAAATATCACATGTACAAAAAGACTAAGTCGAAAAATTTCAGCTGTGCACAGTGGCTCATGCTTGTAATCCCAGCACTTTGGGTGGCCAAGGGAGGAAGATTGCCTGAGGCCAGCAGTTCAAGACCAGTATAGGCAACATAGCAAGAGCCCATCTCTAAAAAAACAAAACCAAACCAAATTAGCCAGGTGTGGTGGCTGGCACCTGTGTTCCAACTACTTGGGAGACTCATGTGACAGGAAGATCACTTGAGCCCAGGAGTTAGAAGCTGCAGTGAGCCATGATCTTGCCACTGCACTCCAGTCTGGGCAACACAGCAAGATATTGTGTCAAAAAAATTTTTTTTGATAAAAAATAAAAGAGTTACATGACATTCAGAGACCATCCAAAAAACCTGTGGGTTCCCAGCTTGGCTCAGTGGCTCATGCCTGTAATCCCAGCACTTTGGGAGGCCAAAGTGGGTGGATCACTTGAGGTCAGGAGTTTGAGACCAGCCTGGACAACATGGTGAAACCCCATCTCTACTAAAAATACAAAAAATTAGCCAGGCATGGTGGTGGATGCCTGTAATCGCAGCTACTCAGGAGAGGGCACTGGAGAATCACTTGAACTCATGGTGCGCAGGTTGCAGGGAGCCAAGATCGCACCATTGTGCTCCAGCCTGGGCAACAAGAGCAAAACTCCATCTCAAAAAAAATAAAGAACCTGCGAATGAGTTCCCACACGTTTTCCTAATGGGCTGCTGCTTTCCTAGGAGTCTCTCGCTCACAGAAAAGGCACACACTGAAAGAGGAAGCAGATCCCATTGCTGTGGAAGTCCCATTGTTAGGAAGCTCTGCTTTTCTGGAGTTCAAATTCGCATTCATGACGCTTTAAACCGTCAGAGCTGGGTGGGTCCTCCTACAACAAAATCGTTCGCTCTCTCTCTCCTAGTTAACAGGCTTTCAAATATTAGAAGATCAATGTTCTGACCCCATTAAAATTTCTCTTTTGTGGAATGAAAAGCTCTGATTTAACCCATCTTCAAGCCTGGTTTGCATATTCCTCTCTCTTCCGGCCACCTTGTCTAGACACACTACACTGAGGCCATGCCCATCGTAAATGATGTTGATATGTTGTCAAAAAATTGGCAAACCAGGCGCGGTGGCTCGTGCCTGTAATCCTACCACTTTAAGAAGCAGAGGCAGACAGATCACCAGAGGTCAGAAGTTCGAGACCAGCCTGTCCAACATGTTTAAATCCGTCTCTACTAAAAATACAGAAAAAATGAGCTGGGCGTGGGGGTGCACATCTGTAATCCCAGCTACTTGGGAGGCCGAGGCAGGAGAATCGCTTGAACCTGGAAGGCAGAGGTTGCAGTGAGCCGAGATTGCATCACTGCACTCCAGCCTGGGTGACAGAGCGAGACACCATCGCAAAAAAAAAAAAAAAAAAAAAAAAAAAAAAAAAAAAAAAAAAAAAATGGCTAAATAGCCCAGGTTTGGTCTGATATGTTCAGAAAAAAGCAAAACAGTCACCTCTCACCTTTTCTTTTCCCACAGTGATGCAGTTGAATACAACAATGGCTGTAGGTATGCTGCAGAAATATCATTCAAGTGAAACAGAAGGGCTTTCCTGGCCAGACACAGTGGTCACTCCTGCAATCCCAACACTTTGGTTGGCTAAGGTGGGAGGATTTCTTGCGGCCAGGGGTTCAAGGCTGCAGTGAGCTGTGATCCACCACTGCATTCCAGGCTGGGCATCAGAGTGAGGCCTCTCTCTAAAAAAAAAACCACTCCCCAAAAAAAGGGATTTGCAAATACCAGCCTTTCAGCATGAGGATCACATGGAGGAACATTAAGATACAGATGCTGCGACCCAGCCCTATTGATTGTAATTCAAAAACTAAGGTGGGGCCTGATTTAGCTCCATCATTGGAATCCATTCCGATTTGAAACTCTCTGGGTTGGACAGTTCAAGAGAGATCCTAAAGAAAGCAAAATCACTGTGGACTGAAATGAGCAGACAAGGTTTTCTGAGCATGGTGAAATATGATCTGGGCCTCGCTTGGGAGGGCTGTGGCCAGGCCTTGAGTCCTTGGCTCAGTGGGACCTTCTGAAACAGCCTCCAAGCTGCGCCCCTGCTTCCTTTGCTTTTGGATGACCCCCTCCAGCAGCTTTGGTGCTGATGGGAATAAGTCGACCTGCAGCGGAAGTTCAGCCCAAGTCTCAGCCCAGCAGCCTCCCCAAACCTGGCCAGGGTCTGGTCATGCTGCCGTCTCTGCGGTTCTCTGTGGAGTTGTGGTTTCTGTACCTTGAAGAGAACTTCCCCTTCTGGGACCCAGAAACCCAGTGAACCCTCAGGAAAAAAGGGAATGAAATTACTGAAGACAACTCTGTGGCAGGGAGAGGGAAAAGAGGCTCTTTGTTTTTGTTTTTTATTTTTTATTTTTTTATTTTTTGAGACAGAGCTTCACTCTTGTTGCCCAGACTGGATTGTAATGGCTCAATCTCGGCTCACTGCAACCTCTGCCTCCCATGTTCAAGCACTTCTCGTGCCTCCGCCTCCAGAGTAGCTGGGACAATAGGCACACACCACCACACCCAGCTAATTTTTGTATTTGTAGTAGAGATGGGGTTTCGCCATGTTGCCCAGGCTGGTCTCGAACTCCTGGCCTCAAGTAATCCACCTGCCTTGGCCTCCCAAAGTGCTGGGACTACAGATGTGGGCCACCATGCCCAGCCCTCACTGTATGGATTTTCTAAAAAAAAAAAAAAAAAGATTACATTTGTCTTACTTGCCAAAAGGGAAATTAACCTTATCTCCTCTCCTTTTTAAAGAGTATTTCCTTGATAAACCTTGTAATATAAATAACTTCTTTTGTGCCTTTGATATGTACCTAAATCTTTTAAAAAGGTAAATGAACTTCTTGCCAACATTACAACCCAGGAATTTTTTTTTTTTTTTTTTTTTTTTTTTTGGAGACAGAATCTCGCTGTCACCCAGGCTGGAGTGCAGGGGTATAATCTCGGCTCACTGCAACCTCCACTTCCCGGGTTCAAGCAATTCTCCCATCTCAACCTCCTGAGTAGCTGAGACTACAGGCGTCTGCCACCACGCCTGGCTAATTTTTGTATTTTTAGTAGAGACAGGGTTTCACCTTGTTGGTCTGGCTGGTCTTGAACTCCTGACCTCAGGTGATCCACCAGCCTCGGCCTCCCAATGTGCTGGGATTATGGGCGTGAGCCACCGTGCCTGGTCACAATCCAGGAATTTTTTTCTTAAGAGCCTAAGAGTCTTGTCTTTGAAATGTAAACCTGGAGGAAAATAGTGTCCCTATCTTCCTGTTGCCTAGGGAGTTTAGCCTAGGCAACTTGAGCTGTTACTACCTGCTTGTCAAGGAGATGTGAGAAGTTTTATTTTTTCATTGGATATAGGTAATTAACTAGCATGGATGGCCACGTTGATTTCCAGGTGAATTTAGGATGAGTGTTTAAGAATGCATAGCAGGCCAGGCACGGTGGCTCACACCTGTAATCCCAGCACTCTGGGGGAGGCTGAGACGGGCGGATCACTTGAAGCCACACAGAAATCGAAAGAAGGAGTTTGAGTCCAGCCTGGCCAGTATGGCGAAACTCTGTCTATACTAAAATACAAATATTAGCTGGGCATGATGGCACATGTCTGTAATTCCAGCTACTTGGGAGGCTTAGGCACGAGAATCACTTGAACCCAGGAGATGGAGGTTACAGTGAGCCAAGAAGATCACACCACTACACTCCAGCCTGGATGACAGAATGAGACCCTGTCTCAAAAAAAACAAAACAAAAAAAACTGCATAGCAAGTCCTTTTGCATGAGGATGAGTTACTATTTATCTTGAGAGCATGTATGCAATGGATTGTATCTGCCAGGCTATATAAAAAGGACACTTTGGCCGGGTGCAATAGCTCACGCCTATAATCCCAGCACTTTGGGAGGCCTAGGTGGGCGAATTATGAGGTCAGGATTTCGAGACCATCCTAGCTAACATAACGAAACCCCATCTCTACTAAAAATACAAAAAATTAGCCAGGTGTGGTGGCACGCACCTGTAGTCTCAGTTACTTGAGAGGCTGAGGCAGGAGAATCGCTTAAACTGGGGAGGCAGAGGTTGCAGTGAGCCGAGATCGCACCACTGCACTCCAGCCTGGGCGATAGAGCAAGATTTTGTCTCAAAAAAAAAAAAAAAAAAAAAAGGAGGGTTTATTTCTCTTTGCATCTCATTAATGGATCACCTGTGATGGGCATCACAGTCTGGTTTAATGCTTATTCAATAATAAAATTGTTTTCTTTATTTTCTGAATTTGTGGAGAGAATATTCTAGGTTAACAGAATAATCTATTTATTTACTTATTTATCTTGAGATGGAGTCTTGCTCTGTCTCCCAGGCTGGAGTGCAGTGGCCTGATCTCGGCTCACTGCAATCTCTGCCTCCCAGGTTCAAGTGATTCCCCTGCCTCAGCCTCCCAAGTATCTGGGACTACAGGCACGCACCACCGCACCCAGCTAATTTTTTGTGTTTTAGTAGAGACGGGGTTTCACCATGTTGGCCAGGATAGTCTTGATTTCCTGACCTCATGATCCGCCGGCCTCGGCCTCCCAAAGTGCTGGGATTACAGGCGTGAGCCACTGCACCTGGCCTCAGAAGTATTTATTTTTAGTCTTTTCCTTACCAGTTTTTATGAAACAACTGGGCAAGAACACTGTTAGATTTCACCAAAAAATTGTGATGAATCATTGTCTTTATGATCCCATTTTTGAAAACTGACATTTTAATTGTAAACCAAAAATAAAATTCTAAGCCCCCACAACTGACTCAGTGGACTCCCCTGTTGGCCAACAGGATCCAAAATAAACATGGAAAACTAATTTAGGTCATGATGGGAAGGAGGGGGTTGGACATGCCTTGTCATAATTCTCCTCCCGTCAGAGTTTAGGCACAGCTGACCAACATTATGATCTCTATTAGAATAGAGATCATAGGACTGACAAAACAGGCTCTTTTTATCAGTAAGATACCCATCTCCAACCAGACTCTGACATAGCATCACATGACAGATAGCAGTCCCTGAAGTAAATCACAGTATTTTACCCCATAACATATTTTCTTTGACAAATTTTAAAATAGTCCTGCAAAGCCATCTCTTTGGGGGAAATTTGCATTCTGTAGAGAATCTCTTTCCCTTACAGAAAAGACTCCAGGTCTTTTCTGGAGAGTCTGACACCTTTTAAGATCCAATAAGAGATATTTATCATCTATTCTCTCTGAAGCCTGTTCTGAGGCTTCACCTACATAACAAGAACCTTGGTTTCCACAATCCCCCTTATCTTAACTCAAACTTTTCTTTCTTTTTTTTCCCTCCCTCTTTCTTTTCCTTCCTTCCTTCCTCTCTCTCTTTTTCTCTCTCTCTCTTTCTTCTCTGTTGCCCAAGCTGGAATGCAGTGGTGCCATCATGGCTCACTGTAGCCTCAACTTCCCAGGCTCAAGCGATCCTCCCACCTCAGCCTTCTGAGTAGCTGAGTCTACAGGCATGCACCACCACACCTGGTTAATTATTTTTTTTTGTAGAAGTGGGGGGTCTCACTGTGTTGCCCAGGCTGTCCTTGAACTCCTGGCCTCAAGGGATCCTCCCAGCTCACCCTCCCAAAATGCTGGGATTATAGGCATGAGCCACCGCAATAGCCCATTTCTTTATGTAGTCTTCCAGCTGTTCAGCCAACACTTAACTCTGAACCAACTGCCAATCTTTCAATCTACTAGTGACCTGAAAGCCTTTCCTGGCTGACCCAACATATACTTCCCGTGTATTGATTTATGTCTTTGCCTGTAACTACTGTCTCCCTAAGATGCATAAAACCAAGCTGTAACCCAATCACTTTGGGCTCACGTTCTGAGGACCCCCTGAGGCTGTGTCACCAGCCATGGTCACTCAAATAGGAGGCCCAGAATAAAACTCTTTACAGACTTTGACTCTTTTTGGTCAACATAACCTAACCCTAAACATAATCCTCCTGGGGAAGGTAAGATCACAGGTATCTCTTCTTCGTTCAGTTTGTGTGTGTATGTCCTTATTTCTCTACAGTTTTTAGGCATTCGCTGTGTGATCTAGAAAAGCTATGGAGTCTCGCTTTGTCGCCAGGATGGAATGCAGTGGTGTGATCTCGGCTCACTGCAACCTCCACCTCCCAGGTTCAAGTGATTCTCCTGCCTTAGCCTCCCGAGTAGCTGGGATTACAGGCACACGCCACCACGCCCAGCTAATTTTTGTATTTTTAGTAGAGACAGGGTTTCATCATGTTGGCCAGGATGATCTCTATCTCTTGACCTCGCGATCTGCCCGCCTCGGCCTCCCAAAGTGCTGGGATTACAGGCTTGAGCCACCACACCCAGCTACAAATTCTATTTTCTTTTTGTTCCTTGGAAAGCATCGCTGGGCATTTATCCTGTCCCAGTATTTGAGTGAAACTTCTCAGCATTTCAGAGCAGTGACCATGATACACCCTTTCCTTTCCTTCTCCTTATGGGAAACTTGGTTCTAACCCAGAGGACTTGGGCTCCAGGACCCAGTAACGCAGCCCTGGACTTGACCCTAAAAGGGAGTAAAGACAAAGGTGAAGTTCAGTCTGGGGTTCAGGGCTGCCAAAGCTCATAGCCTGGAGCTTCTTAACCTTTAGGCGGGGTAGAGACATTTAAGACGGCCCCTAAACTTGGGGAGCGCGTAGGCTCATAGGAAATAGAGTCCGTTACTTGTCCTGGGAACGGCGGTGGGTGTCCCAGGAGGCGGACTTCCGGTGCACTCCTGCGCGTGTGCACCTCTCCCTGCGTGCGTGTTCGCGCGTGCGTGCTCGCACATGCGCGCCACCTCCGCACTGCCCTCGCTTCCTGCGCCTCTTCAGGTCACCGCTTGCTCTAGTTCCCAGGCTTTGGCCTCTAGTGGATGAGAATCACCGAGTCTGCGGGGCTGGACGCTGACCGCCCGGGCCAGCACCTAGGCGGGCGGGAGCTGTGCGGCCCAGGGTTCGCGCGGGCCGGGTAGAGGCTCGAGCCGGGACCCCCGAGCGTGAACCCCGGAGCCAGCGGCGCTGGGGCCAGAGGGGCCAGGCGGGAGGTGGTGGCGGAGGCGAAGGGGCGACGGGACCTGGGCCTGGCCCGTGTGTGTCCTCGGCGGCCTGGCGCCGGCCGTCGCTGTACGGTGAGCCCCAGGGAGGCGGATCTGGGCCCCGAGAAGGACACCCGCCTGGATTTGCCCCGTAGGCCCGGCCCGGGCCCCTCGGGAGCAGAACAGCCTTGGTGAGGTGGACGGGAGGGGACTTCGCGAGCAGACGCGCGCGCCAGCGACAGCAGCCCGCCCCGGCCTCTCGGGAGCCGTGGGGCAGAGGCTGCAGAGCCCCAGGAGGGTAAGTCTTGGGTTTTCGGGCCCGGAGCGAGAAGGGCCTGAGTGAAGTCACCGTGTGTTGGGGACCTTAGAGTGTGGGGCAGAGGGAGCGTCCCGATTGCTTGCCGGAGAGACATGTGTTGGGTTTGAGGGCAAGGTCCGGCTGCACCGAACAGGCGCTGCATGGGAAGATCTGGGAGGACAAGGCTTACGGAAGCGTGGAGGGTGTCACCACCCTCAGCTGCGGACGTCATCTCCACTCCCCGCTAACCCCTAACAGTCCTTCCTCCTCCTCTCTGTGCTCCAGATTTCGACCGCCTCTAAACGTCCGTCAGCACTTCTATTCTCTCACTTAAGTGTCTGCTGATCACCCCCTTATATCTGCCCTGGGAGAATCGTAGTAATGCAGGAACAGTCTGCAGGGATTCTCTGCTGCTGCCTCAGTTGCTAGGGGAAGAGACTGGGCCTTAGCAGGTGGGTGACTTGACCAGGTCACCGGCTTTGTGGGTAGAGCTGCTCATAGTAGAACCCAGGAGACTTATCTTCCAGGCCAGTGTTCTTTCTCCCGTATCCTAGTTTTCTTAATAGAAGATTATTAGGTGCAGCAATAACCAACTTCAGTTAGATAATTTAGAAACAAAACCATATTTTATACACATTCATTTCATTTCTGAGAGCTCACATACTCAATTCCTATGGCTTATTTTATTTTAAGCAGTTTAAAGAGACAATAAGAAAATGCGGGCGGGATGCAGTGGCTCACACCTGTAATCCGAGCACTTTGCGGGGCTAGGGCAAGAGTATCTCTTGAGACCAGGAGTTAGAGACCAGCCTAGACAACATGGGGAGACCCTGACTACAAAAAATACAAAAGTCGCCAGGCATGCTGGGATGCATCTGTGGTCCCAGCTACTCAGGAGGCTGAAGTGGGAGGATGGATGGAGCCCAGGAGGTCGAGGCTGCAGAGAGCCGTGAATGCACCACTGCACTCCAGCCTGGGTGGCAGATTGAGACCCTGTCTCAACCAACAAACCACAAAAAACATGAGCCGTATAATGGGAATTTTTTTTTCTTTTTGCACCTTGTATTTGATGATGATGGCAGACTATTTGTAAAAGGAGTCGTGCTACCCATGAGAGTCTAACTCATCTAATTACTACCTGATTATCTTAGAGTTACAGGCGCATGCTTCCCCTATCACTCTTTTTTTTTTTTTTTTTTTTTTGAGACAGTGTCTCTCACCCAGTCTGGAATGCAACAGCGTGGTCTCGGCTCACTGCAACTTCCACCTCCCAGGTTCAAAGGATTCTTGTGCCTCAGCCTCCTGAGTAGCTGGGACTACAGGCATGTGACACTATGCCTGGCTAATTTTTTTGTTATTTTTAAGTAGAGACGGGGTTTTGCCATGTTGGCCCAGGCAGGCGGATCACTTGAGGCCAGAATTTGAGACCAGCCTGGCCAACATGGCGAAACCCTGTATCACTCTTTTAGACCCTTCTGAGTGTTTGCAGGTTGAGTGTTCACAGGGTGTTAGCCTATTGAGCTTTCTTTTGCGGTTCTTATGCAGGTGATTTCTGCCTTTGCAGGCCGGAGCCCTCATGACTTCAGTGACCTGCTTCTGCCCCTCTAGGTCTATCAGCCACAGTCTCTGCAAGTTTCCAAGAGCAGCAGAAAATGAACACATTGCAGGTGAGTTTTCCTGCTTGTGTATATGTTCCTCAATTTTATTTTATGATGCATTTTAAGAGGTTTGTAAGGATTCATACTTTTTTTTTCTTTTTTTTGAGATGGAGTCTTGCTCTGTTGCCGAGGCTGCAGTGCAGTGGCATGATCTCGCTTCACTGCAGCCTTCACCTCCTGGGTTCAAGTGATTGTCCTGCCTCAGCCTCCTGAGTAGCAGGGATTACAGGCGTGCGCCACCATGCCCAGCTAATTTTTTGTATTTTTAGAAGAGATGGGGTTTCACTATGTTGGCCAGGCTGGTCTCAAACTCCTGACCTCAGGTGATCCTCCTGCCTCAGCCTCCCAAAGTGCTGGGATTACAGGCATGAGCCACCGAGCCCAGCCAGGATTCATACTTTAAAATGGGAAAGTGGAAATAGACATTATCCTGTAAAATACAGTTAGTGTGGCAGATCAGCACCAAAAATGATTTGTGAAGCTTGTATGTATGGGTAGTATATTTTAAGGCTGTTGAAATTGAGCCGCACCAAGGACTGATATTCTTGGCAGTCATCACAAAAGGAAAATGCCATCTGTATTAGTCCATTCTCACACTGCTATAGAGAAATAACCAAGACTGGGTAATTTATAAAGAAAAGAGGTTTAATTGGCTCACGTCTGCAGGCTCTATCATAGGAAGCATGGCTGAGGGGGCCTCAGGAAACTTACAGTCAGGTGAAAGGTGAAGGGAAAGTGGGTGCATCTTCCATCACCAGAGCAGAAGGAAGAGGGAACATTGGGGATTACAATTGGACATGAGATTTGGGAGGCGACACACACCGAAACCATATCACCATCCATGACATCGTTTGCATTGATTATAAGGAGAAACCAGTTTTGTTACTTGTGGATTTAAAAGATTTTCTAGGACTTTGAAAAATTTCTTCATTCAAGTTGGTATAATTGTGGATAGCTTTCCTAACAACAACCATTAAATTGCTGACTTATGGCTTATTCTTGGTGCTTATGTAAGCAGAGGGCCTGCTGCCCAAGGAGAACTTGGTGCATATAATTTTTCCAGGGACGGAAATATCGTGATCCAAGTAAACAATTCTGTTTTTACTGTTGAGTCCTAGATCATGGGGGGAATGAATGACGTGATCATCCGTCAAATATTTGTTCGTCTTTTTGTTCGGGTTGCACAGCAAACAATACAAACAGTTACTCTCTTGTGAAGATTTCCTCATTTCTGTTTCTCATTTCACTTCTCAGTGTTTTCGTTTTGTCCTTTTCACTTTGCTAAGTCAGTCAGTAAAGGTGACCAGTGATTTAATTGCAGTCAAATCCAGCGGGCATTTCCTAGCCCCTTCCTCACAGGACCCTTTGTCTGCCTTTGACATCCGTTACTTCCAAACTGATATTTTCTCCATGGAGTCTCTCTTTTCTTGGCTTTTAAAAAGATTCATCTGTAAGTATTTGTTTGTCTTTAAATGGTGAAGTCTGTTTTGTTTTGTTTCTTTTTTTCTTTTTTTGAGATAGGGTCTTGCTCTGTCACCCAGGCTGGAATGTAGAGACGTGATCACAACTCACTGCAACCTCAATCTCCTGGGCCCACACGATCCTCTTGCCTCAGCCTCCTGCGTAGCTGGGACTACAGGTGCATGCTGCCACACCTCGCTAATTTTTTTTGTATTTTAGTAGAGACTGGCTTTCACCGTGTCATGCATGTCGAACTCCTGAGCTCAGGCAGTCTGCCCGCCTCGGCGTCCCAAAGTGCTAGGATTACAGGCGTGAGCCACTGCTCCCGGCCTAGAAATGTATTCTCACTGTATTGCTCAGGCTGGTCTCAAACTCCTGGCCTCAAGCAGTCCTTTCACTTTGGCCTCCCAAAGTGGTAGGATTACAGGTGTAAGCCACCACACCTGGCCAATAAGGAATCTTTTTAAAAGGGGCTAGGAATAACCCATAATACTCTCTTTCTTAATACATGTGGCAGTTGGGTTAAATCTTTTAATAGTTCCCATAGTATGTCTCCTGCGTGCTCATTGTTTTGAAGAAACTGGGTTGGTTATCCTCAGTTTGGATTGTGTTACCCTTGTTTCACCTTTAGCACATTTTTTAAAAATATCTTGTATGCCTTGGTAAAATTGGTAGTTTGATCTGGAAGTCTAATCAGGTTTATGTTCAGTTCTTTTCACACAACTATACCATACGTGGCATTTGTCTACTTCTGGAGGCACGTGTTACCTTCTTTGTTTTTGTGAAGTTAAGAACTATTGACTGTTGATTATTGCTGTGATTTACTATTGCTGTGATTTGCCTTCATTAGGGGAGGCAAAATGGTGATCTGCTAATTCTACCATTTCTTCTTTATTTACTAGCCAACATACTTTTCTTTTCTTTTTTTGGAGACAGAGTCTCACTCTGTCACCCAGGCTGGCACATTTATGGCTCACTGCAGCCTCAAACTCCTGTGCTCAAGTGATCCTCCCACTTCAGCCTCCCAAGTAGCTGGGAGTATAGTCATATGCCACAATGCCCAGCGGATTTTTTAATTTTTATTAGAGACAGGTTTCTCTATGTTGCCCAGGCTGGTCTTGAACTGGGCTCAAGTGATCCTCTTCTTTGACCTCCCAGTGTTGGGATTATAGGCATGAGCCACCACGGCTGGCCTAGAATACTTTTCTAAAGATAAATTTCTATTCTCTATTTGTTTATGTAATTCATGCAGGAAAGACAGTTTCTAAAATATTGAGTAGGCTTTTAAGCAGGAGGGTATTTTGTTTTGTTACCATCATGAGCTCATGGGTTTAAACAGATAGTAAATGTTTCAGTACATAGAAGTTGTGATTCTTTTTGAAAATTAAGTGGTTCCATCTTTGGCCAGACGGAATCCCTTTAAGTTGGTTTCTGAGTCCTTTTGAAATATATTTGATATATATGATAGCAAATATATACATATAATATATATTTGATAGCAAATATATACATATAATATATATTTGATAGCAAATATATACATATAATATATATTTGATAGCAAATATATACATATATTTGATAGCATTATTTTCTATTTAGCATTTTATTTTGAAATCATTTCAGATTTTCAGAAAAATTGCAAGGATTTTACAAAGAAATCCCAGATACTTCCTTTTGTTCAGATACTTCATTCTTAACATTTTCCCACATTAATCATTTATATGCCTATATACGTGTGTGTATATATATATTTATATATATATATTTTTTTTCTGAACTATTTGAGAGTGGGTATAACGTGTCATGCCTCTTTACCCTATAAAGTTTTAGATTGTAGCTCATAAAATCAAGAATATTCTATTAAATATCCATAGCACAGTAATTGAATTCAGGAAATTTATCATTGATTTAATACTTTTATCTAAACTATAGTTCATTTTCCAGTTTTGCCAATTTTCCAATAATTTCCTTTATAGCAATTTTTAATTTTTGGTAGAAGATTCAGTCTAGGACTGTTAATTGCCTTTAGTTTTCATGCTTTTTAAGTCTGTTTAATACGGATTTGTTCCGCAGTGCCATTATAACATTTGAAGAATACAGGCCAATGATTTTATAGAAGTCTTTAAATTTAGGTTTCCCTGATCTTTCTTCATGATTAGATTTAGACTGTGAATTTTTGTCTGGAATGCTACATGGAACCTCTTAAATTTATGGCTCAGAACAGGATCTGTCTTGGGAAAATTCTGTGCATGCCTGAGAAGATGGCTTGTTCTGCTCTGGTTGGGTGGAGTGTTTGATAAATGTTAATGAGATCAAGTTGGTTGGTTGTGTTGTTCAGGTGTACTATATCCTTGTTGATTGTGTGCCCACTTGTATCAATTGTGGGGGAGAGGGGATTGAAATCTGCTGCAGTTGTGGTTCTGTTTCTCTTTGCAATTTTACCACTTTTTGCTTTATGTGTTATGTTAGATACATAAATGTTCAAGGTTATTACGTCCTGTTGATTAATTAACCACTTTGTAAAATGGCCTTCCTTATCCCTGCTAATATTCCAGGCTGTGAAATGTACTTTGTTATTTATGTAGCATTCTTTTGAGTAATACATGCATGGTATATCTTATTCCATCCTTTTACTTTTAACCTATTTGCATCTTTATATCTAAAGTATTATTTCTTACAGGCAGCAAAATTTGGATCTTGCTTGTTTTCATCAGTCTATTTCTGTCTCATAATTGGGGATGTATAAACCGTTTACATGTAATGTGATTATTGATAAAACGAGTTAGGTTATAGTCCGTTGTCTTTGCTTTCTTTTAGTCTCATCTTCTTTGTTTCTTTTTAAAATGTCTCTGTTTGTCTTCCTTCCTTTTGATTAGTTGAGAATTTTTTATGATTCTACTTTATATCTTTTGTTGAGTTTTTAGCTATCACACTGTTTTGTTATTTTAGTGAGTTAGAATTTATAGTATGCAACTTTAATTGTCATAGTTTATTCTTAAGTAATATCCATTTTTCTTAGAATAAGAGAAGCTTACAATAGGACACTTCCATTTCTCTCCTCTTGGTCTTTACACCGTTGTTCATTTTATTTTTACAGGTGGTATCAGTGCCACACACTATCTATTACGTTGTTGTTAATTAAACAGTATTTATTTATTTATTTATTTATTTATTTATTTATTTTGAGACAGAGTCTCACTCTGTCCCCCAGGCTGGAGTGCAGGGGTGCTATCTTGGCCCACTGCAACCTCTGCCTCCCTGGTTCAAGTGATTCTCCTGCCTCAGCCTCCTGGGTAGCTGGGATTACAGACACCCACCATCACGCCCGGCTAATTTTTGTATTTTTAGTAGAGACGAGGTTTCGCCATGTTGGCCAGGCTGGTCTCGAACTCCTGACCTCAGGTCACCCATCTGCCTCAGCCGCCCAAAGTGCTGGGATTACAAGTGTGAGCCAACACACTTGGCCCAGGTATCTTTTAAAGAGATTTAAGTAATGAGAGAAAATACACAGTTACCATTTCTGGTACTCCTCATTCCTTTGTGTAAATCTAAATTTTTATTTGCTGTCATTTTACTTCTGCCTGAAGGAGTTTCTTTAACATTTCTTCTAGTTGATGATGAATTATTATATGTCTGCAAATGTCTTCATTGTGTCTTTGCTTTTAAAGGTGTTTTTGCTGGATTTTTCTCCACAGTGCTTTAAATATGTTTCTCTGTTGTCTTCCTGCTTACATTTTTTTCTAAGAGAAATCTGATCTCATACTCATGTTTGTTCCCCTATATATAACATGTCTTTTTTTCTTCCCCCCTTATTGTTTTAAACTTTTTATCACTAGTTTTGGACAATTTGATTGCAATATGTCATGGTATCATTTTTTTCATGTTTCTGTTTTGGGGATCATTGAACTTCTTGGATCTTGGGTTTATGGTGTCATCACTTGGGGGAACATTTTTATCATTATCTCTTCAAGTACCCGCCACCTCCCCTCCATTGATTCTTGTTGCCTGTATATTAGGCCACTTGAAATTTTCCCACAACACACTGTTGCTCTTTATTTGCTTTTAATTCTTTTTTCTCTGTTTCATTTTATGTAACTTCTGTTGCTGTCTTTATATTCACTAATCTCTTTTTTCCACGATACTGTTCATCTTTTCCAGTATAATTTTCATCTCAGATATTGTACTATCTGTAGAAGGTTAGCGTGGGTCTTTTTTACATCTTGCCTGTCTTGATTTTTTTGAACATTTGGAATAGAACGATGAACTCTCTCAGTGCTCTGTGCCGGTTGTGAACTCTGTGTCAATTCTGGGCCAGTTTTGATGGACTGATTCTTTTCTTCCTTATGGGTTGTAATTTCCTGCCCATTTTCCCATCCCACAACTCTTTCTCCTCACATCTGCCTCGGTTCTTCTTCTCTGCTCCATGGCCTGGAAACGCTCAAGGCAGAAGTTGATTGGTTCACCTTGTTTATTTCCCATCACTCATAGATAACTCTACTGCCTGATAATCAGTGCCTTGGAAACCACTGCTTCAGCCCAGGCATGGTGGCTTATACCTGTAATCACAGCAACAACAACAACAAGGCTAAGGCGGGCAGATCACGAGGTCAGGAGTTCAAGACCAGCCTGGCCAACATGGTGAAACCCCATCTCTACTAAAAATATAAAAATTAGCTGGGCATGCTGGTGCACGCCTGTAATCCCAGCTACTCGGGAGGCTGAGGCAGAAGAATTGCTGGATCCCGGGAGACAGAGGTTGCAGTGAGCCGAGATTGTGCCATTGCACTCCAGCCTGGAAGACAAGAGCGAGACTTCATCTCAAAAAACAAAAAACAAAAACAAAAACAAAAAAACAAATCATTGCTTCGTATATGTTCTTGTTTTATTTTTCTTTCTGTTTTTGATTTTGTTTTTCTTTGGTGTGTGCTGTTTCAGGTTGGAGGGTATATCCAGTACTTGTTAATTTATCACACCTGAGGGCAGAAGTCCTCATGTCTCTGTCTATATGTTTTTTCTAATATATATATTTTTTTCTTTGTAGAGACAGGGTCTTGCTATGTTGCCAAGGCTGGTCTCAAGCTCCTGGCCTCAAGCAATCCTTCTGCCTCAGCTTTCCAGAGTGCTGGGATTACAGGCATGAGCCACCACACCTGGCCTGGATCCAGTTTTATCCATGTCCAAATTTTTTTTTCCCTGAGCTGTTTTTGATTTTCTTCCACCTCATATGAACTGTAGTGTCAGCTTATCTAGTTCCAGGAAAAAGCTTTTTGGTATTTTTATTGGGATTGCATATTTATAAAGTAATTTAGGGAAACTGGTATCTCTGTATTATTAAGTTGACCTTAATAATACAACTAATTTTGTCGTTGTTTTTGGATTTTTAGTAGAGATGGGGTTTCACCATGTTGACCAGGCTGGTCTTGAACTCCTGACCTCAGGTGATCTGCCCACCTTGGCCTTCCAAAGTGTTGGGATTACAGGCGTGAGCCACTGTGCCCAAGCACTTTTACTTTTTCTTAGTTATATTCCTCTAATTGTTTTCTCTTCTCTAATTGTAGATAATGAGCATTTTATTAATACCTTGTTCTTGATCTTAGTGGGAAGATATGTAGTTTTTCCCTGTTAAGTAAAATCCTGACTTTCGGACCGAGAAGACTGAGGCATAAGAGTGTGTGTGTGTGTGTGTGTGTGTGTGTATACACACAAACTGTATATATGTGCTTGTGTGTAATTGAAATACATATGTCACATATCATACGTACTATGGCATATTAGGGTGTAATATTTATATTTGTGTATATAATAATATTGATGTTAATGAAGTATCCATCAGTTTCTATTTTCTTTAGTTTGTTTTTTTAAATCAGCTTTTTCTGTCAAGCTTTTTCAAGTATCTTCATGGATACAAGATTTTTCTTCTTTGCTGTGTTATAGTGGCTTATCATATTAATAGATTTCCAAGTATTAAACTAGTCTATATTATTGGAATAAGTCCTATTTGTCTGTTGTATATTATGTTTTTAATCTGGTACTGGATTTTGTTTGGTTATGTTTCATTTTGGGTATTTGTATTGATGTAAGTGGTATTGACATGTAATTTTATGTTATTTATTGGTCCATCAGTCTTCTAACCCCTACCACCTCCTTGCTTTCTGGACTAACTTAACCCAGAAAGTTATTACTCTCTCTTGGTGATTTTATCAGCTCCTTTGGCCTGCCTGTGGATAAGCTTGGATGTTCTGCTTTAGTTTCTCAGCCCACCAGCCTAGCGGCTCTGCCTCTGCTATCTCTTGGGATCTACATGGTCCTAGCTGTATCACTGGGTTTGAACCCCTTGTTGATATGTTCTTTATAAATAACAGGATAATGCAACATGCTTATTGGGCACTTCCTTTTTCTAAACTACAAGTTTGGGCGGGGCATGCTGGCTCAAGCCTGTAATCCCAATACTTTGGGAGGCCAAGGCAGGTGGATTGCTGGAGCCCAGGAGCTTTGCATTTTTCTTTTTTTTTTTTTTGAGACAAGGTCTCGCTCTGTTGCCTAGGCTGGAGTGCAGTGTTGCATTCACAGCTCACTGTAGCCTTGACCTCCCAGGCTCAAGCCATCCTCCTGCCTTAGCTTCCCAAGTAGCTGGAACTACAGGCATGTGCCATGATGCCCAGCCAATTTTTAAAAAAATTTTTATTTTTAGCAGAGATAAGGTTCTTACTATGTTGCCCAACCTGGTCTCGAACTCCTGAGCTCAAACGATCTTCCCATCTCGGCCTCCCAAAGTGCTAGGATTATAGGCATGAGCCACCATGCCCAGCCCCAACCTCTTAAAAATTGAAGCTGCTTCATGTTTGCCATTGGTACTTTTACACCTCATCATATTCTTCCTCCCCTTCATCCCATAGAATACACAATTCATCTTTAAGGACTTCAAGTTAACTGAGTCTGTGAAGCCTAATCTGATGGCATAAAGTTAAACTAATTTGATCCTCTTTTGTTAAATCATTCTGCACCTTGTCTGCATTACTCTAATAACAGCTTTGGGCATTCATTCATTTAACGAATATTTATTGCTGTGAGATTGAGATGTTTGAGATAAAATCAGTCATGCAGATAGCCAGAGGCCACTGGCTATGAGAATAAAAGAGCCAAAAGAACAAGGAGCTGAAACTAGGTGAGAGCCCCAGAGCAGTGAGTTAGGAAGAAGAAGACCAGGAACTGAGTGGTGGGCACTCCAACATGAGGAGGTCCCGGAGAAGGGGAGCGCCTGGCAGCAAAGAAGACTAAAAGAAGTGACAAGGAGTAAAATGCTTGTGTTTGTTTACATGTTTATCTCCTTATTAGGTTGTCTGCTTTCTGAGAGCAGGCATGGTGTTTCACTCATCTCATATCCCCAAAACACAGTTCAGTTGCAAAATAGGAGCTCAGTTGTGTTTTGGGTTTTTATTTTTGTATATATATAAAGGACCCCAAAGGATATGTGTTTCCAATATGATTTCCCTTCCATAATCTGTAACATAAAATAAGGTATACAATGTTCATGGTTAACTTCACCAGTGAGCTTTGTAAAATGTTATCCCCCTATCCCTTTTCCATATCTCCCAATTCTGATCATGTTGCCATTACAGGGGCCAGTGTCATTCAAAGATGTGGCTGTGGATTTCACCCAGGAGGAGTGGTGGCAACTGGACCCTGATGAGAAGATAACATACGGGGATGTGATGTTGGAGAACTACAGCCATCTAGTTTCCCTGGGTGAGGATAGCTTGCTTTCTGAATGCTCTCAGTTGAATGGGGTTTTATGCTTGAGTTTGAAGAAATAAGTGACAACACCATTTAATTCCTTGTGGGCACTAGCTGCAGTGTTTATATTATTCTTCATTGAAAGGTTCTAACTTTGATAAGGTAAAAAATGGAGCATTTCTGTTATGCAGCTTATGAGGTGGCAACATCTTGTACTTCGGAGATCTGAAGCCGAGCAACTTGCCCAAGTCCTTCTTCTTTTCCCATTAACAAGATATGATATCACCAAGCCAAACGTCATCATTAAGTTGGAGCAGGGAGAGGAGCTGTGGATAACGGGAGGTGAATTTCCATGTCAACATAGTCCAGGTAAGTTAGTAGAGTATCAAATGTTAAAAAATGCTCATCCCAGACCTTTGGGAGTGACTAAAGAGTTGTTTATATGTATTCGGTACCCTCAGTAACACCTCCCAACCCCCAAATATCACTTTCCTTCCTGCACACATACATGAACTCTTTTGTTTATTTTATATTTGATTTACATTGGTAGGGATTTTTTCATTCTAACCTATACTGGGGACCCATTCACTTCCTCTTCCTCCAGCATTATCGGTCACTTATTTACTCCCTCACCATTAGAGAATTGTTGTGGGCTGTTTGTTTGTTTTTTTGTTTGGTTTTTGGAGACGGAGTCTTGTTCTGTCACCCAGGCTGGTGTGCACTGGTATGATCTCAGCTCACTGCAACCATCACCTCCCAGGTTCAAGCGATTCTCCTTCCTCAGCCTCCTGAGTAGCTGGGATTTCAGGCACATGCCACCAAGCCTGGCTAATTTTTGTATTTTTAGTAGAGACAGGGTTTCACCATGTTGGCCATGCTGGTCTTGAACTCCTGGTCTCAAGTGATCCGCCCACCTCAGCTTCCCCAAGTGCTGAGATTACAGTCCTGAGCCACTGCTCCCAGCCTTACAGAATTGTTTCATTCTGGGGCATTCAGAAGTCTGACATAAAAATTAACTTGAGACTTTTATGTTCATTCTTTTTATCTTCCAGTTTCTTTCCTTCCTTGCTTTAAAAATACCTTGGACTTATTTTCTGCCCTCGATTTTATTTATTTCTTTAGGCATTCAGATACCAAAACCTTGTCCTCCACCTGTGCTTGTGAATTGAGTCACAGCTTGTGGTGTACGTTATTTCCCCAAGTCCATGCTCAGTTGATGTGATGATGTAGCGCTCCCTCAGCTTTCCCCTCTTTCCCCAATGCTCATTTATGACCTGTCTGTGTGTTCATTTCCCCTTCCCCATAACTGGAATCATGCTCTGTCCATAGTAGACATTCAGGAAGTGTGAATTTCATAAGTGAATGTCGGTTCCTTTTCTTGCCTTTTCAGGAGTGTCCTCTTAGAACCCATTTTCCACTTTTTTGGTTTTCTTTGTATCCCGTAAAAGAGTTTATCTAATCTCAACTTCTAAGACCTTTTTTCTTGTGTATTTTTGCAGCTTGCCTCCAAATTGATATGTCTGACACTTTTAACCTAGTTGAATATTTTACTTGACAATATAGCAGTACCAGTGAGATAGTTCACTTCCTTCTTTCTCAGAATGTCTGATGATAAACTGTGCATGTTCCAAAATCATGAATTCTGTCTACCTTCCTCACCTCCCAGTATTTGATTGTGCTAGTCTTCTCTCCATGGTTTGTGTTCTTTGTCTTCTGTGAAATGCCTTGCAGATCGTCAGCACATTCTGTTTCTTTTGACATTAGTGTTCAGTATTCTCCCATACCTGGATTACAGTGGATCCATCTTCCATTCAAATGATCATTGTCCTTTTCCTTCATCTGCATTTCACTTGCCGAGATAATACATATTTTCCCTTCCTTTCTTCCTCTCTTCCCTCCCTCCCTTCCTCCCTCCCTCCCTTCCTTCCTTCCTTCCATTTTGAGATAGTGTCTCGCTCTTGTCGCCCAGGCTGGAGTGCAATGGCATGATCTCGGCTCACTGCAGCCTCCCCCTCCCAGGTTCAAGCGATTCTCCTGCCTCAGCCTCCCAAAGTAGCTGGGATTACAGGTGCACACCACCATGCCTGGCTAATTTTTATATTTTTAGTAGAGACGGGGTTTCACCATATTGGTCAGGCTGGTCTCTAACTCCTGACCTTGTGATCCACCTGCCTCGGCCTCTCAAAGTGCTAGGATTACAGGCCTGAGCCACTGTGCCCAGCCTACTTATTTATTGAGACAGAGTCTCACTCTGTCACTGAGGCTGGAGTGCAGTGGCACAATCTTGGCTCACGATAACCTCTGCCTCCCAGGTTCAAGTGATTCTTGTGCTCAGCCTCCCGAGTAGCTGAGATTACAGGCGTGCACCATCACGCCCGGCCTATTTTTGTATTTTTAGTAGAGACGGGGTTTCAGTCTGTTGGCCAGGAGTTCTCTGTTGAACTCTTGGCCTTGTGATCTGCCCACCTCAGCTTTCCAAAGTGCTGGGATTACAGGCGTGAGCCACTGCACCCAGCCCCCTTCATTTAATTTTAAATTGTGGTTAAAAACCACGTAACATGGCCAGGCACGGTGGCTCATGCCTGTAATCCCAGCACTTTGGGAGGCCGAGGCGGGCGGATCACGAGGTCAGGAGATCGAGACCATCCTGGCAAACACGGTGAAACCCCGTCTCTACTAAAAATACAAAAAAATTAGCCGGGCGTGGTGGCGGGCGCCTGCAGTCCCAGCTACTTGGGAGGCTGAGGCAAGAGAATGGCCTGAACCCGGGAGGCAGAGCTTGCAGTGAGCGGAGATCACACCGCTGCACTCCAGCCTGGGCGACAGAGCCAGACTCCATCTCAAAAAACAAAAACGTAACATACGATTTACCGTCTTAACCATTTTTAAGTGTACGGTAATGTTAACTGTATTTGCATTGTTGAGCAATAAACTTTAGCATTGTGCGTTGTGTGCCGGGTTTTGTCAAGCACGTGACAGCACGTAGTAGGTGTGGAGTGTGGCTCGTCAGCAAGCGCTCTGGCAGGTGGTGCTTTCGCCATCTTCATCCCTACTTACTGTGCTTCCGCTCCCTTGGGTCCCAGGATCCCACTCCTTCGATGAAACTCAGTCTTCCATCTCTGCCTGGTGCTTCTGCCCTGGTTTCTGCTCAACTCGGCGCCGTGTCTCTGTTCCCCAAAGTTCTGTTTCTGTTCTGTGCTGCCCCCTCCCCCTGCCCCCGTTTTCTCTTTTTTAAGAGACAAGGTCTCGGCCGGGCATGATGGCTCACACCTGTAATCCCAGCACTTGGGGAGGCTGAGGCGGGTGGATCACTGGAGGTCAGGAGTTCCAGACCAACCTGGCCAACAGAATGAGACTACGAAAAATACAAAAATTACCTGGGCGTGGTGACACGCGCCTGTAGTCCCAGATATTTGGAGGCTGAGGCACAAGAATTGCTTGAACCCGGGAGGCAGCAGTTGTGGTGAGGAGAGAACGCACCACTGCACTCTGGTGCAGAGCCTGGGCGACAGAGCGAGACTCTGTCTTAAAGAAATAAATAAATAAAGACTCTAGGCCAGGCATGGTGGCTCACGCCTGTAATCCCAGCACTTTGGGAGACCAAGGTGGGTGGATCACCTGAGGTCAGAAGTTCAAGACCAGCCTGGTCAACATGGTGAAACCCCGTCTCTACTAAATATACAAAAATTAGCTGGGCGTGGTGGCAGGCGCCTGTAATCCCAGCTAGTCAGGAGGCTGAGGCAGGAGAATCGCTTGAACCTGGGAGGCGGAGGTTGCAGTGAGCTGAGATCGTGCCATTGCACTCCAGCCTGGGCAACAAGAGTGAAACTTCATTAAAAAAAAAAAAAAACTCTTTCTAGAGAGAGAGAGAGATGAGAGAGAGAGGAGAGAGAGAGAGAGAGAGAGAGAGAGAGAGAGAGAGAGAGAGAGAGAGAGAGAGATCTCCGTCCCTGTCGCCCAGGCTGGGAGTGCGGAGGTGCTATCATGGCTTACTGCAGCCTCCAACTCCTGGACTCAAGAGATCCTCCACCCCACCTTCCAAGTAGCTGGCACTACAGGTGCGCACAGCTGACCATGCCTGGCTAATTTTAAAAGTTTTAGGTAAAAATGGGGTGTCCCTATGTTGCCCAGGCTGGAGTGCTGTGGTGTGATCATAGCTCATGGCAGCTTTGAACTCCTGGGCTCGAGCAACCCTCCCACCTCAGCTTCCACATAGCTGGGACTACAGGCCTGCCCACCACGCCCAGCTAATTTTTAAAAATTTTCTATAGAAGTGGAGTCTTGCTGTGTTGCTCAGGCTGGTCTCCAACTCCAGACCTCAAGCCGTCCTCCCACCTCCACCTTCCAAAGTGTTGGGATGACAGGCATGAGCCACAGCACCCGGCCTGTCTGTTCTGGACACACTTGGAGCACTTCTTGCTCTTCCACACCATCTCAATGACCAGGGTTGTCCAGATGGCTCCTAAAGGCTCCCAACAGGGCATATCATGTGAGGACTGCATTTCATCTGTTTGTAGGACAGTTGTATGTACCTTTTTCATACCTCAGACCCTGTCTAAATCTGAAGTGGTGGTATTTGCTTCCTCTCCCAGCCTTTCACCTCCTGTGCGTTCACTAAATTCACCAGTCACTAAGGCATGAAACTGACAGATTTTACTCTGAACGTCCTTTTCCTTCTGGGAGATGCCAGGTCCTAGACAGCTGTCTCCATTTTTCTGTTCTTTGCATTCTCACTGCTCTTCCCTGGCCCCTCCTTCTGTACTTTAAGTATTAGCTTGACTATTGCAGCAGTCTTCTCTTTGATATTCCTGATTGCCATCTCCTTCTGTCATCGTTCAGTCTACCCATTCTCTTGAGACTAATCTTCCTAAAGCATGGATCTAAATATATCATTTAGGCCGGGCGCAGTGGCTCACACCTGTAATCCCAGCACTGTGGGAGGTGGAGGCAGGTGGATTACCTGAGGTCAGGAGTTCGAGACCACCCTGGCCAACCCGTCTCTACTAAATATAGAAAAATTAGCCAGGCGTGGTGGTGCACGCCTGTAATCCCAGCTACTCCAGAGGCTGAGGCAGGAGAATCACTTGAACCCAGGAGGCAGAGGCTGCAGTGAGCTGAGATCGCGCCACTATACTCCAGCCTGGGTGACAGAGCAAGACTGTCTCAAAATGAATAAATCAATCAAATCTATCATTTACCTGCTCAAAAACTTTCAGTGGCTCCCAACTGTGGTCGGTTTAGATGCTTAGCTCATTAGAATGCCATCCAAGCTCTAGATCTGTGGCTTTCAAGCTGGGCTTTGAGACGCATCATGAGTTCAAAGGGGAGAGTAAGGGGAAGAAGCTGAATTGGGGATTTCTGGTTTTCTAGCCCGTTGTCAATCTTTGGGTTTTATTCCTTTTTCAGATTGTGCTTCCATTTAAAAAAATGAGTTCCAGTTTAAAAATATATATATATGCTGGACTGGGCATGGTGGCTTATGCCTGTAATCCCAGCACTTTCGGTGGTCAAGGTGGGCAGATCACTTGAGCCCAGGGGTTCGAGGTCAGCCTGGGCAACATAAGGAGACCTCATTTCTACAAAAAAATTTAAAAATTAGCCAGAAGTGGTGGCATGCACTTGTAGTCCCAGCTATTCAGGAGGCTGAGGTGGGAGGATTGCTTGAGCCCAGGAGGTCAAGGCTGCAGTGGGCTGTGATAGTGCCACTGCACTCCAGCCTGGGTGACAGGGTGAGACCCTTTCTCAAAAAAAAGAAAAAAAGTTAAATTAGCTGGGCATGGTGGCACGCACCTGTAGTCCCAGCTACTTGGGAATGTTGAGGTAAAAGAGGATTGCTTGAGCTCAGAGTTCTCAGGTTGCAGTGAGCTGTGATTGTACCACTGCACTCCAGCCTGGGCAAGAGTGATACCCTGATTCTGTAAAAAAAGAAAGAAAGAAAAGTGCTTGAAAACCATTGCAGTAAATGATCCATTCTAAACTATTTTTGGCCATGACTCCCACTGTTTACCCATCCCACGAAGTGTTCATTTCCTACTTCTATTAGAACATGTCACATTCATTCACAAAATATGTACTGATCATTAACTATTTGCCTGCCACTGTTAAGCACTGGGAATAAGACAGTGAACTGAACACGTTACCCTAATAATTATACACTTTATTGCAGGAAAAGATGGACACTAAAATATATGTGTCAAGGCCGGGCGTGGTGGCTCATGCCTGTAACCCTAGCACTTTGGGAGGCCGAGGTCAGGAGTTCGAGACCAGCCTGGGTAACATGGCGAAACCCCATCTCTACTAAAAATACAAAAATTAGCCAGAAATCGCTTGAACCTGGGAGTCTAAGGTTGCAGTGAGCCGAGATCGTGCCACTGTACTCCAGCCTGGGCAACAGAGCAAGACTCTGTCTCAAAAAATAATAATAATAAACAAAATAAAATATATGTGTCAAATGGTGACAATTACTGTGACGGGAAAAAAGTTCCTTGGGAGTGAGAAGTGATTACTTTTTATAAGGTGGTTGAGAAAGGCCTCACTGATAAGATACTTAGAGAGCTGAAGGAGGTGGAGAGAGAGCCATGCTTACCTCCAAAGGAACAGCATTCCAGAGAGGAATATGCATGGCATGTTTAGAACAGCAGAAAAAGCCAATGAGGCTGGAGTGAAGTTCAGCAAAGGCAAAGGTGGAGAGAGTTGAGATCCAAGAGGGAGCAGGGAGTCATGTCACGCCCTGGTGAGGATCATAAGGATTGTCTTTTACTCTGAATAAAATGGGAATCTTTGCAGGTTGAACAGAGGAC
Source organism: Homo sapiens (assembly GCF_000001405.40). Lineage (NCBI taxonomy): Eukaryota > Metazoa > Chordata > Mammalia > Primates > Hominidae > Homo > Homo sapiens. The sequence continues at coordinate 72,897,542 of NC_000007.14, forward strand.
TAATGAGATTCAACTTAGTGTTTTTAAAAAGATCTCTCTGGCCTCTCTGTTGAGAACAGTTCATAGGAGAACTCTGGTCAAAACAGGGGTCCTGGTTATAAGGCAGCACTCCAGGCAAAACAAGCCAGAGGTATGGATGAGAGAGGCAGCTGCAGATAGAAGTGGTCACATGCAGGATGTATTTTGAAAGCAGACCTGGCCAGGTGTGGTGGCTCAGGCCTGTAATTCCAGCACTTTGGGAGGCCAAGGCAGGAGGATCACTTGAGCCCAGGAGTTCAAGGCTAGCCTGGGAAACATAGCAAGACTCTGTCTCTAAAAAAATAAAAAATTAGCTGGGTTTGGTGGTGCGTGCCTGTAGTCCCAGGGACTTGGGAGGCTGAGGTGAGAGAATCGCTTTAGCCTGGGAAGTCATGGCTGCAGTGAGCTGTGATCACGCCACTGCACTCCAGCCTGGGCAACAGAGCAAGACCCTGTCTAGGAAAAAAAGAAAGAAAGTAGACCCAAAAGATTTGCAGATGCTTTGCATGCAGTGTGTAAGAGAAAGAGAGGAGTCAAGGATGACTCCAGGATTTTTGTTAGGTGAACTTTAAGAATGGAGTTGTTATTTATTGAGTTGGCAAAGACTGTGGGAGAAACCAGTTTGGTGGGAGAGTGCGAAATTGGGAATTTGGTCTTGCACGTGTCAGGTTTATTTTTTTCTTTAAAAACAATTTTTAATGTTTTGAAAATAAATAGACAGATGGAGTCTCACTAAGTTGCCCAGGCTGGTCTCAAACTCCTGGGCTCAAGCGATCCTCCCGTCTTGACCTCCCAAAGTGTTGGGATTATAGGCATGACCCACTGCACCTGGCTTTGCACATGTTTAGTTTGAGGTGTTAGTTAGATATCCAAATGGAAACATCAAGTAGGCAGTTGCATATGTTGGTTTTGAGTTTAGGGATGAGATTGAGATGAAGATAAAAATGCTGGAGTCAGTCAGGCGTGTTGGCTCACGCCTGTAATCCCAACACTTTGGGAGGCCAAGGTGGGTGGATCACCTGCGGTCGGGAGTGTGAGCCCAGCCTGGCCAACATGGCGAAATCCTGTCTCTACTAAAAATACAAAAAATTAGCCAGGTGTGGTGGTGGGCGCCTGTAATCCCAGGTACTCGGTAGGCTGAGGCAGGAGAATCACTTGAACCTGGGAGGTAGAGGTTGCAGTGAGCCGAGATTGCACCACTGCACTCCAGCCTGGGTGACAGAGTGAGACTGTCTCAAAAAAAAAAAAAAAAAAAAAATGCTGGAGTCTTCAATGTGGCAACAGAATTTGGACTTAAGAAACGGGATGAGATACCTGGGAAGGCGTTGTATAGTTTGTCTCCGACTGGCGAGGGTGAGTTCTTTGAGAGGAGAGGCTCTGTTTTATTTTGTGTTTCTGTGTTTCTTTTTCTTTTCTTTTCTTTTTTTTTTTTTTTTTTTTTTTTTTAGACAGAGTCTCTGTTGCCCAGGTTGGGGTGGAGTTGTGCCATCTCAGCTCACTGCAACTTCTGCCTCCTCAGTTCAAGCAATTCTCTGGCCTCAGCCCCTGAGTAGCTGGGGATTATAGGCACTGACCACTACACCTGGCTAATTTTTTTGTATTTTTAGTAGAGATGGGGTTTCATCATGTTGGTCAGGCTGGTCTCAAACTCCTGACCGCAGGTGTTCTGCCCACCTTGGCCTTCCAAAGTGCTGGGAGTACAGGCGTGAGCCACAGTGCCCGGCCTATTTTGTGTGTTTCTGATACCCGCAGCACATTTCCTCACACATAGGTAGGTGCTCAATGAGTGCTTATTACACTGAGCAGGGACTTTGTGATGCAAATGACTGTATCCCCAATACCTAGCACAGAGTGGTACCCAGCAAATATTTGACAAATAAATGTGTATTTGAATAAAGTGGAAAAATGTTAACTGCCATGGGAAATGTCGGAGACGGGTGTTCCAGATCATGATTTCTCTCAAGAGCATTCACCCGGTCACCATCACAGGATTTATTCTGCCTGCTTGATATTACATTTTTTTTTTTTTTTTTTTTTGAGACAGAATCTCGCTCTGTCGCCCAGGCTGGAGTGCAGTGGCGCACTCTCGGCTCACTGCAAGCTCCGCCTCCAGGGTTCACACCATTCTCCTGCCTCAGCCTCCCAAGTAGCTGGGACTACAGGCATGTGCCACCACGCCCGGCTAATTTTTTTCTATTTTTAGTAGAGATGGGGTTTCACTGTGTTAGCCAGGATGGTCTCAATCTCCTGAACTCGTGATCCACCCACCTCGGCCTCCCAAAGTGCTGGGATTACAGGCGTGAGCCACCACGCCTGGTGCTTTATATTAAATTTAAACGTACTTGAGCACCAGATTTTTATGATTTTCTCTACAGTCGTCATATGAGTGAAGGTGGTAATGTGGGACACAGCATTTTCTAAACCTGGCCAAGCAAGAGAACCATCTTTTGAGCTTTTGGCATTTTCAGAATATTAGGCATCACTCCAAAACCTACTGAATCAGAATCTCAGGGGTTGTGCCCTGTAGAATTATTTTTTAAAAGCTCACTAGGTGCTTCTGATTTAGCTCGTTTTCTGATGGCATTTGGATAATCAGTCCTAAGGCCCCAGGCCCTGCTCTGTCATTGACTGTCATTTTGAGTGAGTCATTTGATCTCTGGGTCTTTTTCCCACTTATAAAAAATGAGGGTGGGAGCTGGGTGCCTAGATTTGTTTGTAATATTTAATCTCATTTTGATGCATGCAGGGTCTGTGCTAATAGCCTCCCTTTTATTCCTGATGCTGGTCATTTGCATCCTCTCTTTTTGCTTTTTTTTTTTTCTTTGATTAGTCTGGCTAGGGATTTCTTATTTTTAATTGATCTTTTCGAAGAGCCAACATTTGGTTTAATTGATTTTTTAAATGTTTCTATTTTAACTTCACTGATTTCTACTCTTACATTTTTATTTTAATTTTTATTTTTTGAGATGGAGTCTTGCTCTGTCACCCAGGCTGGAGTGCAGTGGCGCAATCTTGGCTCACTGCAACCTCCACCTCCTGGGTTCAAGCGATTCTCTTACCTCAGCTTGGGAGTAGCTAGGATTACAGGCACATGCAATCACGCCTGGCTAATTTTTGTATTTTTAGTAGAGATGGAGTTTTACCATGTTGGCCAGGCTGGTGTTGAACTCCTGGCCTTAAGAGATCTGCCTGCCTCAGCCTCCCAAAGTGTTGGGACTAGAGGTGTGAGCCACCCCTCCCAGCCTGCTCTTATATTAATTCTATTTCCTTCTTTCTGTTTGTTTTGTGGTTATTTTGCTCTTTTTCTAGTTTCTTAAAATGGAAGCTCAGATTCTTAAGTTTTTTTTTTTTTATTATTGCTTCTTCTGTAAGCATTTAGGGCTATGAATTTACCTAAAGTTTACTTTGGCTGCATCTCACAGAATTTGGCGTTTTTTTTTTTAAGAGATGGCATCTCCCTTTATTGCCCAGGTCAGACTGCAGTGGTGTAATCATAGCTCATTGAAGCCTCAAACTCCTGAGCTCCAGGAATCCTCCCACCACAGTCTCTCAAATACTTGGGACTACAGGTATGCGCCACCATGCCCTGCTGACAGGTTTTTATATGTTTTATTTTTTTTAATTGAGGTGAAAGTCACGCACCTTTTTTTCTTTTTTTCTTTTTTTTTTTTTTGAGACAGGGTCTCACTCTGTTGCCTGTGCTGGAGTGCAGTGGTGTGATTATAGCTCTCTGCAGCCTTTAATTCCTGGGCTGAAGCAATCCTCCCACCTTATCCTGAGTAGCTAGGACTCAGGCTAATTTTTTTTTTTTTTGAGACAGAGTCTTGCTCTGTGGCCCAGGCTGGAGTGCAGTGGTGTGATCTCGGCTCACTGCAACCTCCACCTCCTGGGTTCAAGCGATTCTCCTGCCTCAGCCTCCAGAGTAGCTGGGATTACAGGCGCCCGCCACCGTGCCTGGCTAATTTTTGTCTTTTCAGTAGAGACGGAGTTTCACCATTTTGGCTAGGCTGGTTTCGAACTCCTGACCTCATGATCCACCTGCCTCGGCCTCCCAAAGTGCTGGGATTACAGGCATGAGCCACTGTGCCTGGCCCGACTCAGGCTAATTTTTTATTTTTAGTTTTTGTAGAGATGGGATCTCACTGTGTTGCCAGGCTGGTCTTGAACTCCTGGTCTCAAGCGATCCTCCTACCTCAGCCTTCCAAGGTGCTGGGATTACAGGCATGAGCCACCACACCCAGTCCATATACCATTTTAAAGCATACAATTCAGGCTGGGCACGGTGGCTCACATCTATAATCCCAGCACTTTGGGAGGCCGAGGCGAGCAGATCACCTGAGGTCAGGAGTTCAAGACCAGCCTGGCCAACATGGTGAAACCCCATCTCTACTAAAAATACAAAATTAGCCGGGCATGGTGGCGCATGCCTGTAATCCCAGCTACTTGAGAGTCTGAGGCAGGAGAATCACTTGAACCCAGTAGGCAGAGGTTTCAGTGAGCCGAGATCGCGCCATTGCACTCAAGCTTAGGCAACAAGAGTGAAACTCATGAAAAAAAAAACAAAAAACAAAAAACTGTGGACAGGATAGTTTCATCTACCTGTCTTCATGTGTTCAGTGGTTTCCATCTGCTCAAATGAATTCAAAATAGTCTGGTGAATTTTTCATTTCCATTTTTATACTTTTCTTTTTCTTTCTTTTTTTTTTTTTTTTTTTGAGATGGAGTTTCGTTCTTGTCTTGTCACCCAGGCTGGAGTGCAATGGTGCGATCTTGGCTCACTGCAACCTCTGCCTCCTGGGTTCAAGCAATACTCCTGTCTCAGCCTCCTGAGTAGCTGGGATTATAGGCACCCACCACCATGCCTGGCTAATTTTTGTATACTTTTCAGCTTCAGACTTTGATTCCTTTCAATAATTTCTATTTTTTTCCTTTTTTATTTTTTTCTATAAGCTTTAGTTTGTCTATAATACATTCTTTTCTTTTTTTTGAGACAGGGTCTCACTCTGTCACCCAGGCTGGAGTGCAGTGGTGCAATCTTGGCTCACTGCAGGCTTGACTTCTCACACTCAGGCAATTCTCCCACCTCAGCCTCCCAAGTAGCTGGGACTACAGGCGCATTCTACCACACTTGGCTAATTGTTTGTATTTTTTGTAGAGAGGGGGTTTCACCATGTTGCTGAGGCTGGTCTTGAAATCCTGGCCTCAGGTGATCTGCCTGCCTCAACCTCCCAAAGTGCTGGAATTACAGGCATGAGCCACTGCCCCTCACCTGTCTATGATATTTTCTATTTCTGTATCGATGTTCTGCATTTTGTTGAGACATTGTTCTCCTTGTATCCTTTAACTCTTTATTCATCGTTTCTTTTAGCTTTTTGAGCAGATTTCAGACAGCTGATTTAAAGTCTTTGTCTAGTACTTTCAATGTCTGTGCTTCCTTAAAGACAATTTGTTTCTTTTGTGAATGGGCTGTACTCTCTTATGTCACTGCATGGTTTGTAATTTTTTTTTGAAAATTGGAGTCAGGCACAGTGATTCACATCTATAATACCTTTTCCCCCCAAAAAGAAAAAAGTAAAATTAAAAAGAAAAAAAGAGGCCAGGCATAGTGCCTCACGCCTGTAATCTCAGCACTTTGGGAGGCCAAGGTGGGCAGATTGCCTGAGGTCTGGAGTTCAAGACCAGTCTGGCCAACATGGTGAAACCCCATCTCTACTAAAAATCCCAAAACTTAGCCGGACATGGTGGTATGCGCCTATAATCCCAGCTATTTGGGAGGTTAAGGAAGAGGAACTGCTTGAACCAGGGAGGTAGAGGTTGCAATGAGTGGAGATCACACCACTGCACTCCAGTCTGGACGACAGAGCGAAGACTCCGTCTCAAAAAAGAAAATCAGATATTTTGAGTATTATAATGGGGTAACTGGAAATTATTTTATCCTCCCCACCATCCCTGGGTTTGCTTTTGCTGTGGGCTGTAGCTGTTTGTTCAGTGACTTTCTAAACCATTTTTGCAAAGTTTGTCTTCTTTTACATGTGCAATCTCTGAAAGTCTCTCTGCCATTAGCTTGTGTTCAACTAGTGTTTTAACAGAGATTTCCTTGAATGCCAGGAGCCAAAAACGAGAAAAAAAAAGAAAAACCCAGCTCTTTCCCTCTTTGTGGATTGCCACTGTGCTGGGGCACTGGAGCAGTCCTTCAGGGCTTAGCCAGTCTGTGTACAACTTTTTATTTATTTATTTTTTAAGATAGAGTCTTGCCCTGTCACCTAGGCTTGAGTGCAGTGGCACGATCTCGGCTCACTGCAGCCTCTGCCTCCCAGGTTCAAGTGATTCTCTGCCTGAGCATCCTGAGTAGCAGGGATTACAGGCTTGTGCCGCCACACCTGGCTAATTTTCCACCACACCTGGCTAATTTTTGTATTTTTTAGTAGAGACGGGGGTTTCACCATGTTGGCCAGGCTGGTCTCGAACTCCTGGCCTCAAGTGATCTGCCCGCCTCGGCTTCCCAAAGTGCTAGGATTACAGGCATGAGCCACTGCACCCGGCCCAGTCTGTGTACAGCTTTGCCCTAGGCTTTACTCCCTGCCTGCAGGGAGGATGGAGAGGAGCCACAGATGAAAGCTCAGCATCCTTTCTCAGGTCTATTCTGAGAATGTGCTCTGCACTCAGCATGTGCATGGCTACTGAAATTCCATAGTACACATGGGCAGGTCTGAATTTCAGTACCCGAATTTCCCATAGAAACTCTCCACAACTTCTCCCATGCTGTTAGCACGCCTCTAGTTTGCCTCAACTGTAATCTTTTGCCTAGGCATCAGTGGGGTATGCATTTGATTTACAGTGTTTTCAAGGAATACCCTCTGTGTGGCCACTTTTCTGCCCTACGTGAGTTCTGGGTTAGGTGAAACAAAGGCAGATCAGTCCTTTTGGCAGCCCTCGGGCAGCTGAGAACAGGAAAACACAATGCTTTGAGAATAAGGTCTGCTCTGTTGCCTTCAATACCAGAAACCACGCTGGGAATGTGGGCTGCCATCTTCAAGGCTCCCACTGAACTATGGAAGGTTGTGGGGCAAGGGCAAGTAAAAAAACCCAGTTTTCCTACCATTTTGAAGTTGCTTTTTTCTTGATTCAGTGTTCATTTGGAGTATTAGTCAGTTTTCACACTGCTGGAAAGAATTGCCTGAGCCTGGGTAATTTATAAAGAAAGGAGGTTTAATTGATTCACAGTTCCACTTGGCTGGGGAGGTCTCAGGACACTTACAATCATGGTGGAAAGCTAACAAGAAGCAAGTACCCTCTTCACTGGCTGGCAGGAGAGAGGAGAGAGTGCAGGGGAAACTGCCACTTAAAAACCATCAGATCTCGTGAGAACTCCCTCGCTATCACGAGAACACCATGGGGTGAACCGCGCCCGTGATCCAATCACCTTCCACCAGGTCCCTCCTTGACCCCTGGGGATTACAATTCAGGATGAGATGTGTGTGGGGACAAAGAGCCACATCAGATGATTTGGTTATTGTAAACCTTTGATTATTTTTCTACAGTTCTCATGAAGTTGATTCAGGCAGTTTTGCTTGGTTTATCAATGTTTCTGTGGGGGGATGGGGACTTGGAGATACCTACTCTGCCATTTTTGCTGATATCAGTCAACACGTTATATTTTCACTTTTAAATAATTCAATATGTTTTCCAGTTTCCCTTGCGACTTACTCTTTGACCCATGAATTATTTAAAAGTGTATTTAATTTCCATGTGTTTAGAGATTTTCTGGTTTCTTTTTTAAATTGATTTAGTTTAATTCTTTTACGGTCACAGAACATATTTTGTATGATTTCAGTTATTTTACATTTCTTAAGATTTGTTTTGGCTGGGCATGGTGGCTCACACCTGTAATCCCATCACTTTGGGAGGCTGAGGTGGGCAGATCACCTGAGGTCAGGAGTTTGAGACCAGCCTGGCCAACATGGCAAAACCCCGTCTCAAAAACAAAAAAATTCACCAGGCATGGTGGTGCATGCCTGTAATCCCAGCTACTCAGGAAGCTGAGGCAGGAAAATTTCTTGAACCCAGGAGGCGGAGGTTGCAGTAAGCCAAGATTGCACCTCTGCACTCCAGCCTGGGCGACAGAGCGAGATTCCATCTCAAAAAAAAGATTTATTTTATGACCCAGGTTCTGGTAAATCTTGCTGAATCTTCTATGGGCGAAGAATGTGTACCCTGCTATTGCTGTGTGAAGTCTCCTGTAAATGTCAGTTAGGTTCCATTGGTCGATGATGGTGTTCAGTTACTGTATTGTTTGCTGATTTTCTTTGCTGTTTTTTTCCTGTAATGGTCTAAGCTTCCGTATATCCTGTTTCTTTGTATATTTTATAGTTTTTTGTTGAGAACGTTGCATTTTAAGTGTTACAATGTAATGACCCTCAAAATGTGATTCTCTCAGTCACCTGGGATTGCTGGGTTTTGCTTGTTGAGGTCTGGAGCTCTCGGTTTGTTACTTTTCCAAACTATTTTTGCAAAGCGTTTCTTCCTTGTGTTTGTGTGGTCACTGAAATTTCTGTGTCATTATCTCTGCAGTCAGCCAGCCACCTAACATCGATTTCCTTAAATAGGGGGCTTTAAATGGGGTGAGGCAGAGGAGGATTTTGTCTCTTTAATAAAATCTTCTGAAGGATGTCCCTGGGGAAGCCACTGTTGCTGAGAGGGCCAAATAAACCAAGGCAAGCATCCGGGCTGGTCCTCAGAGACCCATCGGACCCACCAAGGTGCAGAACCCACGGTTTTGGAGGACAGAGTTCCGCTGCTCGCCCTGGCATCAGCCAGCTGCTTCGGGAACTCAGGCTCAGGAATTGGGGAGTGTTGGCTGGTTGGCACATGCCACTCACTGGTGAAGATCAGCAGCCTCTCCCTTCATTGTTTAAGTATGTCTCTGGTTGTTAGGAGTTTCTGGTCATGTTTCAGAGTTCCAAAAGAGCTGATTCCAATCACTCTTTCTAGCTCAGTGGTTGCTTCAGTGAAGGGACTGATCTCTACACTACAGCTTCCTACTCTGCCATCTTATGTGACTATTGATATTTATTTATTTATTTATTGAGACAGAGTCTTACTCTGTTGGCTGGAGTGCAGTGGTGCAGTCACGGCTTACTGCAGCCTTGACCTCCTGGGCTTGAGTGGTTCTCTCACCTCAGCCTCCCGAGTAGCTGGGACTATAGGTATGTGCCCCCATGCCTGGCTAATCTTTTTTTTTTTCTTTTTGTAGAGATGGGGTCTCACTATCATGCCCAGGCTGGTCTCAAACTCCTGAGCTCAAGTGATTCCCCCCGCCTCGGCCCCCTAATGTACTGGGATTACAGGCATAAGCTACCACACTTGGCCATGAGTCATTTTTAAAAAAACAGATTCCAACAACCTTTTTGATTGCTGTGTTTAGAAGATTTATACTTAATTTTAGATGGGTTTTTATTATCTCTTTTCTAAGTTGTTCCCTCTGGGTTTTTTTATACCTGTTTGCCTTTTCTTGCCTTTTTATGGGGTATTTAGACATTTCTTAGTATGCCATTTAACTTCATATGCCGTGCTAAATCAATTCAGTATGCCATTTAGTATATATTTTTGTATAGGATTTTATAGGTGGCTGTAGAGATTATATTATACATACTTATGATTGTTGGCTAGTATCAACCTTTTACCAGTTCAAGTGGAATGTAGAAACTCTACTTCTTTCTAGGCCCCTTTGCCCTTTTTTATGGTATTGTTGTCTTGAATATCACCTCTACATATGTTGAGAACCACGTGAGATAATGTTATGATTTTGCTTTCGCCCATCAAATATAATTTTTAAACTCAAGAAATTATATTCACCCAGATATTTACCGTCTTATTGCTTTTTTAAATTTCTTTTTTAAAATTTAATTTGTATACTTTTTCTTCTGAAAAAAAATCTTTCTGGATTTTTCTTCATTGCTTTTTTTTTTTGAGACAGAGTCTCACTCTGTCGCCCAGGCTGGAGTGCACTGGTGTGATCTCAGCTCACTGCAACCTCCACCTCCCTGGTTCAAGTGATTCTCCTGCTTCAGCCTGTTGAGTAGCTGGGATTGCAGGCATGCACCGCCACGCCTGGCTAATTTTTATATTTTTAGTAGAGATGGGGTTTCACCATGTTGGCCAGGCTGGTCTTGAGCTCCTGACCTCAAGTGATCCTCCTGCCTTAGCCTCCCAAAGTGCTGATATTACAGGCGTGAGCCACCGCGCCCAGCCTCTTCAGATGTTTTTTGGGCACTGCACTCTTTCCTCTCCTTCTGGGAATTCAGTGACATGAATGTGAGAGCGTTTGCTGTTGTCCCATTGTTCTTTTTTTGTGTGTGTGTTTGTTTTCTCTCTGTTGGTCAAATGGGATTATTTCTATGTAATTTTTTTTCTTATGGCAAGATTGTTATGATACAGATTGGATCATTTCTGCTGCTCTATCATCAAGGTCACCAATTTTTTTCTCTGTTGTATCTCCATTCTGCTATTGAGTTCACCCATTGAGTTTTTTACTTAGTTATTGTAATTTCTAGTTCTGAAATTACAACGTAGTTCTTCTACATATCTTCAATGATGTCGGGGGAACCCGCCCCTGATAATTCAACGTGAGTCCTTTTCTATTTTCCCTAAGTGTCAGCCAGTCTGAGAAATAAAGGGAAAGAGTACAAAGAGAGAAATTTTTAAAGCTGGGTGTCCGGGGGAGACATCACATGTCGGCAGGTTCCGTGATGCCCCCAAAGCTGCAAAACCAGCAAGTTTTTATTAGTAATTTTCAAAAGGGGAGGGAGTCTATGACTAGGGTGTGGGTCACAGAAATCACATGCTTCACAAGGTAATAAAATATTACAAGGCAAATGGAGGCAGGGCGAGATCACAGGACCAGGGCAAAATTAAAATTGCTAATGAAGTTTTGGGCATGCATTGTCATTGATAACATCAGGAGACAGGTTTGAGAGCAGACAACCGGTTTGACCAAAATTTATTAGGCGGGAATTTCCTCGTCCTAATATGCCTGGGAGTGCTATGGGAAACGGGAACTTATTTCCTCCCTTATCTGCAACCGTAAAAGACAGACGTTCCCAGAGCGGCCATTTTAGAGCCCTCCCCCTAGGAACGCATTCTCTTTCTCAGGGCTGTTCCTTGCTGAGAAAAAGAATTCAGCGTTATTTCTCCTATTTGCTTTTGAAAGAAGAGAAATATGGCTCTGTTCCACCCAGCTCTCAGGCAGCCAGACCTAATGGTTATCTCCCTTGTTCCCTGAACATTACTGTTATCCTGTTCTTTTTTCAAGGTGCCCAGATTTCATATTGTTTAAACAATTTGTGCAGTTAACGTAATCATCACAGGGTCCTGAGGCGACATACATCCTCAGTTTACGAAGATGATGGGATTAAGAGATTAAAGACAGGCATAGAAAATCACAAAAATATTGATTGGGGAAGTGATAAATGTCCATGAAATCTTCACAATTTATGTTCAGAGATTGCAGTAAAGACAGGTGTAAGAAATTATAAAAGTATTAATTTAGGGAACTAATAAATGTCTATGAAATCTTCACAATTTATGTTCTTCTGCCATGGCTTTAGCTGTTCCCTCTGTTCGGGGTCCCTGACTTCCTGCAACACAGTGAGACTTTATATTTTTCAGTGTGTTTCGAGAGTGTTCATAATTACTTCTTGGGCCATTTATAAGATAGCTCATCTAAAATCCCTATGCAATAATTCCAACATCTTTGTCATCTTAGTGTTACCATCTGTTGATTGTCTTTCCTCATTCAGATTTTTTCTGGTTTTTAGTATGAGGAGTAATTTTTCTGGGTTCAGATTTTTCTGGTTCTTAGTATGAGGAATAAGTTTTAACTTTATCCTGGACACTTTGAGTGTTATGTTATGAGGCTGTATGTAGTTCCTGTATAAATATTCTATATTAGCAGGCACTCAACCTGTTTAGATTCGGGTTGCACTTTCTGTGGCCAGCAGGGCTCTGGTTCTAAGATCAATTTAGTTTTCTAAGTTTTTGCAGAGCTCTTCTGGCCTCCCACACCTGTGTGCAACCCAGAGGCCAATTTGTTTTTTTGTTGTTGTTTGGAGACAGTGTCTTGCTCTGTTGCCCTGGCTGGAGTGCAATGGCCCAGTCATAGCTCACTGCAGCTGTAACCTCCCAGACTCAGTCACTCCTTCTTCTCAACCTCCTGAGTAGCTGGGACCAGCGGTACACACTACCATGCCCAGCTAATTTTTTATATTTAGTAGAGACAAGGTCTCACTCTGTTGCCCAGGCTGATCTTGAACTCCTGGGCTCAAGTGTTCCTCCCATCTCGGCCTCCCACAGTGTTGGGATTACAGGCATGAGCCACTGCACCCAGCCCTGGAGGCCAGTTTGAAACCTCAGAGTATTCCACATTGCCGTTGAGCTCTCAAAGCTTTTGCTGTGTTGATCCTGGTTGTTTTCACACATGGGCACTTCGAGGGCATGGCCAGGACTTCTACACATATTTAACCCATTTCCCATTTAGGAAAAAAAAAGTGCAGCTTGCTGCTAGCGTTCATTTAATTTTGCATAAACACACTTTTGAGACTGAAGTAAATCTGACTGATTTTCAATGCGAAAATAAAATATGAAAACTGGGTTTGGCCTTCTTCCAAGTGTACTTTCCTTCCCTTCCTTCCTTTCTTTACTGCTTTAAAGCTTTTTAATATACTTTCACTCCTGTTCTAAAAGAAAAAAATATATATCAACTGTTCTTGGAGTTATTATTAAACAGAACTTGTCTTTAATCCGAATGTAACAGAAATGTACACGACGTTATATTAGGATTAGAGAGGAATATTCTGCGGTGGGTGGGACGGGGAACGGGAAATGGGTTGGAGAATCCTTGCTTCTAGCTCCTCACTGTCTTTGAGAGAGGATGGGGTGCCACCTTGTTACTGTGGTTCAGTCTTGTGCAGGTTGTGGATGGTCAGCAGGGCCCTTCCACACAGTCTTTCCAGTGCTTGGTGGAGAGGGGAGAGATGCCACCTCTGCTTGTGTTGGCCCAAGGTGGGGAGGGTCAACAGGTCTTTGTTCCACAGTGTCTACAGTATCTGGGGCAGGGGAAGGTGCAGCTTTTTTCAGGCTGTTTTCCTAGAGTAGGGTGTGTGTAGTCAAAAGGGCACTGTCCCGCAGGGCCGCCCTCTTCGCTGTCATTTGGCTCGAAAGATGAGGCTCCTTTTGCGGGGGTTAGGGGATGAAGGGGGCACTGGGATTTCCTGGTTGTAGACTCTGCTCTAACAGATAAGACAGGGTATATAGGAGGCCAAAGAACAAACCATCAAACCACCCCAGGAACTCACCACTGGGTCAGCCCTTCTCTTCTCTACCTTTCCAGAATTTGTTGGTTTGATTGATTGGATCGTTGCTTCATGTATTTATTTATTTGTTTTTAATTGAGATAGTCTGGCTATGTCCGCCAGGTTGGAGTACAATAGCGCAATCTTAGCTCACTGCATTCTCCACCTCCTGGGTTGAAGCAGTTCTGCCTCAGCCTCCCTAGTAGCTGGGATTACTGGCGCTCGCCACCACGCCCAGCTCATGTTTGTATTATTAGTAGAGATGGAGTTTCACCATTTTGGCCAGGCTGGTCTCAAACTCCTGACCTCAGGTGATCTGCCTGCCTCGGCCTCCCAGAGTGCTGGGATTACAGGCATGAGCCACCGTGCCCAGCTGCTTCATGTATTTTGAACAGGGGTTTTAGTTGTAATTAGAAGAGAAATGTAATGGGTGTGCTTATTCCATCTCCTATGGAACTGGAAACAACATTTGGCATTGAAAATTGTTGTCTTGATAACCTTCAGGGTGTTACTTCTCATTTTAGCGGCAATACATTTTGCTTCCGTGTGATGAAACATCCTACCCATTTGCATGTTGATTGTGTCTCATGTCCCATCTCGCAACAGGCAGTAAAACCCCATCTCCAGCCCAAAGCACCTTGCTAAAGAGCCTGCACCGCAGTCACTGTGCCTTTGCGCTCTGGCTCGTGCGACCTCTCCAGATCTTCTTCCTCATTTCGTCTGTTCACTGGGGCCCTCTTCTCCCTGTGACTCGCCTCAGCCTTTTCACTCCTTGCTGGACATGGAGTAGGACTATTGGGAGGATGAAATAGACGAATGCGTGGCAAGCATGTAGGAGAGCCTGTGGCACAGAAGCAGCACTCGGTACATGGTGCTTGTTGTTATATCCCTAGTTTTGACATAACCTCAGCCTCAAGTAAAAGATAACCCAAACTCCCACCAAAGTACAAGAGTCAGATTCCTGTTCACTTCTGTTTATAAATGAACTTTCTATTTTTTTAAGAGCAGGGTTGCACTCTGTCACCCAGGCTGGAGTGCAGTGGAGCGATCATACCTCACTGCAGCGTTGACTTCCTGGGTTCAAGGGATCCTCCTGCCTCAGCCTCCTGAGTAGCTGGGACTACAGGTTCACGCTACCATGCCCAGCTAGTTGTTGTTGTTTTGGTACAGATGAGATCTCTGCTATGTTGCCCAGGCTAGTCTTGAACTCTTGGGCTCAAGCAGTCCTCCCTCTTTGGCCTCCCAAAGTGCTGGGAGTACAGGCATGAGCCACTGCGCCTGGCCTGGATGAAGTTTTTCCTCATGCAGTACTCTGCACACCTTTAGTGAGTGCTCGCCACGCACCATATCCTATGTGAGGGATCAAAAGATAGGCGAGATACAGCCCATGTCTTCAAAGAGCCCACAGGCCAGAGTGGGAGAAATAAGACACGCAGCACAGTGCAGTAAACTGATAGGAATGTAATGAAAAGAGACACGGGAGAGAGGGGACCCCAAAGGGAGGGTGGCCATATGTTTGGGACTGAGGACAGGTTCCCAGAGGTGGTGACAGTTGGGCTGAATCTTAAAAGATAAGTGGGTTTTCTGGCCGGGCGTGGTGGCTCACACCTGTAATCCTAGCACTTTGGGAGGCCGAAGCAGGTGGATCATGAAGTCAGGAGATCGAGACCATCCTGGCCAACATGGTGAAACCCCGTATCTACTAAAACGCGCACACAAAATTAGCCAGGCATGGTGGTGCATGCCTGTGGTCCCAGCTACTTGGGAGGCTGAGGCAGGGGAATCGCTTGAACCCGGGAGGCAGAGGTTGCAGTGAGCCGAGATCGCGCCACTGTACTCCAGCCTGGCAACAGAGCAAGACTCCGTTTCAAAACAAGATCTAAGTGGGTTTTCCCAAGTTGAGTCAGGGCATTTCCCGCAGAAGCAGAATGAGCAAAACTTGAGAGCCACAGACCAGCACGGCGGGTAATTCAGTGTCCGCGTCATCAGTGGTACATGCCTACAGCCATGTCGAAATTGTGTCTGGAGAAGCACATGACGCAGACTCTCCCTGATTTACAAGGCTCTTCATCATCAGGTCCCTACTTAACTCTAATTTCATCTCTTGTCTTATCTATTATTTAGTCTGATATCATGCATTAATTATATATACTGTACATTGATACACAGCATTTATTTGAAAGATAAACCTCTTGGATGTGACTCTGGAGACAAGACCAGCAGCTCGAGACCATTCAATCCAAGGTATAAAATGGGAGAAAATCAGCTCCATCATGGTCTGAATTGAGGATGAGGCAGAAGAGCAGAGAATAGCGGATGCCCAGGTGGCAGCAACTTAACTCTTTTCCTGTGGACTTGCGGGGTCTCCCCACCTCCACTGCGTCGGGACATGCCGTGTGCCGTCTCTTTATCCATAGCTGCCTCCGGCATCAGCAGAGAAAGTCATGGGCAGATGGAGCCGTGGATTAGTTCTTTTTTCCAGTCTTCCTTTACTTTATCTGGATAAGATTGGGCAGATTGAATTTGATCTTCTATACTGGGGCCAGGGAGCAGGGTGGATCTAGACCATGCAGCTTTTCCCCACTGTCACCAGTTTGGGAGCAGGGATTGGCTGCCATTGTCCTGTCTAGCCTCCGTGTTCCTGGGACACCGCTGACTGGAGGCTGCTCCTCTTCTAAGGGAGTCTGGCATAGAAGACACGACCCAGAGCACATGGCACCTTCTCTCTTCTCCTGCACCAGTCTCCTTGCCCCTCTGTATTGTCATCATACTGAAGCAAACCATCCAACTCACCAGCGTCTCTGGACTCGTTTCATTGATTCCTCTCCCTGAAACTCTTCCTCATTCTCCTTTTAGCCCTTCACATCCTCAGCCGAAGATCTCACTTCCTCCCAGAGGCCTTTGCTGACTGACCCCTCAGGTAGGCTAAATCCCCATCCTGCGCTTCCATGACAGCCTGTAGCAGATGCTGTTTTCTGCAGGTGGCCACAGCCCTATCTCCCATCCCACACACTCCTCTCATAACATGACCGTGTCACTTCTTCCATCGCGTGGTCGGGGTTATGTCTCTTTTCTTTGAGCCTATGCACATCTTTGTGATTGCCCTGACCAATAAATAAAGTAGGACAGAAGCGACGCTATGAGATTGCCAAACTTCACTGTAAAAATGCCATGCCCTTCTGCTGTGTTGTCGTGGAATGCTTGCCCTTAGAAGTAAGCTGCCGGACTGTGATGAAGCCCAAACCAGCCCAAATGGGGAGACTGCAAGGAGGGGCCACATGGACAGGTTCTACATAGGTCAGTTGAAGTCCTGGCTGACAGCCAGTATCAGCTCCTGGTTTTGTGAATGAAGATGCCTCTAAATGATTCCAGCCCCCTCCCACTGATCACACTTAAGACTCCATGTCTTCCCAGCTGAGGCCCCACATGTCGTGGACCAGAGACAAGCCAGGCCTGTTGGAATCACAGAATCCCGGATGATAATGATTGTTTTTTGCCACTATGTTTTGGATTGGTTTCTGGTGCAATTAGTAACTGAAACAGACTTCACTTCTTTATACTCATTAAGGAATGAGACTGTGTCTTTTTTTTTTTTTTTTTAACTTTTTGTAGAGATAGGGTCTCGCTGTAGAGATAGGGTCTCGCTGTAGAGATAGGGTCTCGCCGTATTGCTGAGGATGGTCTTGAACTTCTGGCCTCAAGCGATCCTCCTACCTCAGCCTCCCAAAGTGCTGGGAGCACAGGCGTGAGCCACCATGCCTGGCCTGACACTGTCTCCAGTGTTTATTGGTGTTTCCTGTGTTGCACAAAGCAGGTGGTGGTAGGTGCACTGTCAATAGTGAGTTTGTGAGTAGAAGGTGTGTGTTTCTCCTTTTCGTGTGGGTGTCACACAGTTGGTGTCTGTGTGCCTGGAAGCACACACCTGTTTCTGCTTCCAGAGTTGTCTCTGGCCTGCAGTTCTGTGCTTCCCAGCTTGATCCGTTCCTCTCCAGGAATCTCCTCTCCCTCCCCACCCTGACCCACCTGTTGGTGAGATGCAACTGACTTTCTGCCACATTTTTTACTTACAGGTGGTACCTGTATTATTCCCTCCACCTCTGCAGGGAAGAGGGTGAAGAAATGAGAGGCTTAGGGGCTCCAAACACAAACTTGACCAGTTTTACAATTTTGTTAGCAACAATCTTGAGAGAATCAATACAAACTTTAGGTAGCTTGGTACTTTGCCCTTCAGGACAGTTCTTCCCTGGTAATGTTAGATTGTTGGGGTTAACCATTACTGTGCCATTACAGATGAGCTTCGGCTGCCCTCTAGTGGCAGCAGCAACCTGGATCTCAGGAACAAAGATCATTCTAGCATTGGGACCAGCTCTGCGTCATGAGTATGTCATCAGTGCCTAGCATATTACCTGGCATCTATTCAGAGCTAATAACTAACTAATATTGATTAACAAACTAGCCAACATGCACTGCTTTTTGTTTGTTTTTGAGACGAGTCTCACTCACCTAGGCTGGAGTACAGTGGCACGATCTCGGCTCCTCCTCCGCCTCGCACCTCCCAGGTTCAAGCAATTCTTCTGCCTCATCCTCCCTAGTAGCTGGGATTACAGGTGTGCACTACTACACCCGGCTAAATTTTTTGTATTTTTAATAGAGACAGGGTTTCCCCATGTTGGCCAGGCTGGTCTTGAACTCCTGACCTCAGGTGATCCACTTGCTTTGGCCTCCCAAAGCACTGGGATTACAAGTATGAGCCACTGCGCCCAAGCTTTTTGTTTGTGTTTTGAGACAGAGTCTCACTGTGTTGCCCAGGCTGGAGTGCAGTGGCGTGATCCAGGCTCACTGCAACCTCCGCCTCCTGGGTTCAAGAGATTCTCCTGCCTCAGCCTCCCAAGTAGCTGAGATTATAGGCGCCCACCACCATGCCAGGCTAATTTTTGTGTTTTTAGTAGAGTAATTTAGTAATTTTTGTATTTTTAGTCTTGAACTCCTGAGCTCAGGTGATCCACCCACCTTGGCCTCCCAAAGTGTTGGGATTACAGGCGTGAGCCACCGTGCCTGGCCCTTTGCCCACTTTTTGATGGGGTTGTTTGTTTTTTCCTTGTAAATTTGTTTAAGTTCCTTGTAGTTTCTGGATCTACAAGAATCTACAAGATCTGGACCTGACCTTTGTCAGATGGGTAGGTTGCAAAAATTTTCTCCCGTTCTGTAGGTTGCCTGTTCACTCTGATGCTAGTTTCTTTTGCTATACAGAAGCTCTTTAGTTTAGTTAGATCCCATTTGTCAATTTTGGCTTTTGTTGCAATTGCTTTTGGTGTTTTAGTCATGAAGTCTTTGCCCATGCCTATGTCCTGAATGGTATTGCCTAGGTTTTCTTCTAGGATTTTTATGGTTTTGGATTTTACATTTAAGTCTTTAATCCATCTTGAGTTAGTTTTTTATAAGGTGTAAGGACAGGGTCCAGTTTCAGCTTTCTGTATATGGCTAGCCAGTCTTCCCAGCACCATTAAATAGAGAATCCTTACCCCATTGCTTGTTTTTGTCAGGTTTGTCGAAGATCAGATGGTTGTAGATGTGTGGTGTTATTTCTGAGGTCTCTATTCTGTTCCATTGGTCTATGTATCTGTTTTGGTACCAGTACCATGCTGTTTTGGTTACTGTAGCCTTGTAGTATAGTTTGAAGTCAGGTAGCGTGATGCCTACAGCTTTGTTCTTTTTGCTTAGTATTGTCTTGGCTATACAGGCTCGTTTTTGGTTCCATATGAAATTTAAAGTAGTTTTTCTAGTTCTGTGAAGAAAGTCAGTGGTAGCTTGTTGGAAATAGCATTGACTCTGTAAATTATTTTGGGTAGTATAGCCATTTTCACAATATTGATTCTTCCTATCTATGAGCATGGAATGTGTTTCCATTTGTTTGTGTACTCTCTTATTTCCTTGAGCAGTGGTTTGTAGTTCTCCTTGAAGAGGTACTTCATGATTTATGAGAGTTTTTAAAAAGTTTTTGTCTGCTAAGTCCAACGTCTGGGCTTCCTAAGGGCTGATTTCCATCAATTTATTTTGTTATTTTGGATACGTTCCTTTGTCTTGGCATGATTTGTGACTGTCATTGAAACATGGACATTTGAATATTGCAAGGTAGTAACTCTGGCATTTAGATGATACTTCTCATTGTTTGCTATGTGTCTGTGAGTGAGTGTGTTTTTAATCATTGAAGGCTGTAGTAGTACATACATTTAGTGACTTCCAAACTATTTTTGCAAAGATTTATCATTTTCATGTGTGGTCACTGAAGTCTCTGATTCTTTTAGCTTGTGTTCAGCTCACATTTTGATAGAGATTTCCTTGAATACTAGGAGCTAAAAATGGAAGAAAACACCTCTCCCAGTCTTTGAAGTTTGCCTTTGCACCACAGCTTTTCTTCAGCACTTAGCTGGGCCTGCACTGACCCTCGTAATCAGGCCAAGGTGAAAGCTTAGGTCTTTCTGAGCGAGCATCCTGCCCTGGACAAAGCCCGTGTAACACCTGAGTGCTTGTGACTGCCCTGCTTTCCCAGAGGAATTCTCCCCAGCTTTTCTGCTTTCCCAGAGGAATTCTCCCCAGCTTTTCTGCTTTCCCAGAGGAATTCTCCCCAGCTTTCCTTCTCGGATTTAGGAAGTCTGTATTAGTTTGCTAGGGCTACCATCACGAAATGCCACAGACCATGTGGTTTCAACAGCTGGAAGTTATTTTCTCACAGTTCTAGAGGCCAGAAGTCAAAGATCAAGGTGCCAGCTGCAGGGACCAGCCCCACAGGGTCGGTGGGCTTCTCCCTGTGTGCAGCGATGAGAGAGTGTAGAAAGAAAGACACAAGACAAAGAGATAAAAGAAAAGACAGCTGGGCCCGGGGGACCACTACCACCAATGCGCAGAGACCGGTAGTGGCCCTGAATGTCTGGCTGCGCTGTTATTTATTGGATACAAAGCAAAAGGGGCAGGGTAAAGAGTGAGTCATCTCCAATGATAGGTAAGGTCACGTGGGTCACATGTCCACTGGACAGGGGGCCCTTCCCTGCCTGGCAGCCGAGTCAGAGAGAGAGAGAGAGGAGACAAAGAGAAAGATAGCTTACGCCATTATTTCTGCATATCAGAGACTTTTAGTACTTTCACTAATTTACTACTGCTATCTAGAAGGCAGAGCCAGGTGTACAAGATGGAACATGAAGGTGGACTAGGAGTGTGACCACTGAAGTACAGCATCACGGAGACAATTAGGCCTCCAGATAACTGCGGGCAAGCCTGACTGATGTCAGGCCCTCCACAAGAGGTGGAGGAGCAGAGTCTTCTCTAAACTCCCCCGGGGAAAGGGAGACTCCCTTTCCCGGTCTGCTAAGTAGCCGGTGTTTTTCCTTGACACTTTTCGGTACCGCTAGACCACGGTCTGCCTGGCAACAGGCGTCTTCCCAGATGCTGGCGTCACTGCTAGACCAAGGAGCCCTTCTGGTGGCCGTGTCTGGGCATAACAGAAGGCTCACACTCTTGTCTTCTGGTCACTTCTCACTGTGTCTCCTCAGCTCCTATCTCTGTATGGCCTGGTTTTTCCTAGGTTATGATTGTAGAGCGAGGATTATTATAATATTGGAATAAAGAGTAATTGCTACAAACTAATGATTAATGATATTCATATATAATCATGTCTGTGCTCAAGATCTAGTATAACTCTTGTTGTTTTATATATTTTATTATACTGGAACAGCTCGTGCCCTCGGTCTCTTGCCTCGGCACCTGGATGGCTTACTGCCCACACCAGCAGGGCTGACTTCTTCAGGGTCTTCTCTCGTTGGCTTGCAGATAGCTGCCTTCTTGCTGTGTCCTCATGTGACCTTTTCTCTGCACGTCTCTGGCATTTCTGCTTGTTTCTTCCGTGTTTTTTTGAGATGGAGTTGTCACTCTGTCTCCAGGCTGGAGTGCAGTGGCGCGATCTCGGCTCACTGCAACCTCCACCTTCCGGGTTCAAGCGATTCTCCTGCCTCAGCCTCCCTAGTAGCTGGGATGACAGGCACCCGCCACCACACCCGGCTAATTTTTTGTATTTTTTTGGTAGAGACAGGGTTTCACCGTGTTAACCAGGATGGTCTCGATCTCCTGACCTTGTGATCTGCCTGCCTCGGCCTCCCAAAGTGCTAGGCTAATTTTTTATTTTTAGTAGAGGTGGGGTTTCACCATGTTGGTCAGTCTGATCTAGAACTCCTGACCTCAGGTGATTCACCCGCCTTAGCCTCCCAAAGTGCTGGGATTACAGGCGTAAGCCACCATGCCCAGCCTTTTTTTTTTTTTTTTTTTTTTAATATGTTTCTGTTGGGTGATGGGAGCTTGGAGCTGTCTTACTCTGCCCTTTTGCTGATATCATTCCTCAATTATATTTTAAAGAGATTTAAAAAGGAAAAACAGGCATATATATTTACTCAGGTAGTTACCATTTTCAATGCCTGTCATTCCTTTCATTCCTTTGTGTAGATCCAGATTTCCATCTGGTATTTTTCTTCTGCCTGAAAGACATCCCTTAACATTTCTTATAGTGTTTGTTGGTGATGAATTCTTTCAGCTTTTTATTTATTGTTTGAGAGTCTTGCTCTGTCACCCAGGCTGGAGTGCAATGACACAATTATGGCTCACTGGAGCCTTGACCTTCCAGGCTCAAGCAAACCTCCCAGGCTCAGCCTCCCAAGTAACTGAGACTCCAGGCGTGTGCCACTATGCTTGGCTATTTTTGTATTTTTTTTAGAGACAGGTTCTTACTATGTTGCCCGGGCTGGTCTCGAACTCTGAGGCTCAAGCGATCTGCCCACCTCAGCCTTAAAGTGTCTTCCAGCTTTTATGTGTCTGAAAATATCTTTATTTCACTTCGCTAAAATATATTTTCATCACACATAAAATTCTAGGTTTGCAGTTTTTGCCTTCAGCACTTTAAAGATCAAGTTGCACTGCTGTCTTCTCACTTGCACTATTTCTGACAAGAAATTTGGTATCATTCTTATCTTTGTTCCTGTGTAAATAACATGTACTGTTTTCCCAGCTGCCTTCAGGATTTGATCTATATCATTGGTTTTGAGCAATTTGATTATGTGACTTGTTACAGTTTTCTTTGTATTTCTTGTACTTGATGTTGAGCTTTGGGTCTGTGGGTTTATATTTTTCATTATGTTTGGAAAATGTTTGGCCATTATTTCTTCTAATATTTTTCTATGTCTCAGCTTTGTAAACATGTGGGATATAGTTAAAATTAATGTTAATGTCTTTCTCTGCTTATTTTAATATGTGTCAGTTTGGGGTTAGTTTGGATCAAAATAAGGATTGATTGGTTGTTCTTATTATGGGCTGTGTTTTCTTGCTTATTTATATGCCTAGTAATACGATGTCAGGATGCCACACATTGGAAATTTTACCTTGTTTGAGTAATGGTCTTTTTTTTTTTTTTTTTTTTTTAGTTGGAGTCTGGCTCTGTCACCCAGGCTGGAGTGGAGTGGCGCAATCTCGGCTCACTGCAAGCTCCACCTCCTGGGTTCACGCCATTCTCCTGCCTCAGCCTCCCGAGTAGCTGGGACTACAGGCACCAGTCACCATCACCACGCCCAGCTGATTTTTTGTATTTTTAGTAGAGACGGGGTTTCACCATGTTAGCCAGGATGGTCTTGATCTCCTGACCTCATGATCCGCCCGCCTTGGCCTCCCAAAGTGCTGGGATTACAGGCGTGAGCCACCGTGCCCAGCCAATTTTTTATTCCTATATACATTTTCTTGAGCTTTGTTTTGGGATGTATTTAAGATCATTGGAAAGTTGGATCCTTTCAGGTCTTGTTTTTATGATTCATTAGGTGGGTCCAGAGCAGTGCTCAATCTAAGACTGATTCTTTCCCATTCCTGCGGTGCTTGAGTACTCCACACAGAGCCCTATAAATTGTGAGTTTTTCCAGTCTGACTTGTGGTGGCCCCCATCTCTACAAAAATTAAAGAGGCTGGGCACAGTGGCTCATGCCTGTAATCCTAGCAGGTCTTTGAGAGGCCGAGGTGGGCAGATCACCTGAGGTCAGCAGTTTGAGACCAGCCTGGCCAACATGGTGAAACCCAGTCTCTACTAAAAATACAAAAAAGTAGCCGAGTGTGGTGGCGGGTGCCTGTAATACCAGCTACTCTGCTGAGGCTCAGGCAGGAGAATCGCTTGAACCTGGGAGGCGGAGGTTGCAGTGAGCCGAGATCGCGCCACTGCACTCCAACCTGGGCAACGAGCAACAGGCCATCTCAAAAAATAAAAATCAGTAAATAAATAAAGAAAAGACTACCTCATCCAGAAATGCCTTTATAGACACACCCATAAATAAATGTTCAACCAAGTATCTGTGCACCCCATGGTCCCTTCAAGTTGACACTTGAAATTACCCATCACTCCAGCCTTCAGCCGTGGGTTTGTTTCATATATAGATTTCTAGAACTCCCTCTTTGCATAGTGCCCTCCTTTCTTTTTTCTGCCCCATTTCTCTGCCATTTCAGCCATCTCAGCCTGATCTCTGCCTCCTCAGCCCGGTGGGATCTCCCTACTGTGCTCAGACTCCAGCTCTCTGCACTGCAGTTGGGAAATTATCCCCAGGTAGAGGAACTAGGTGACTTTGGGGCTCATCTCACAAGTTTCCTTACACTTAGGGATCAGTCTTTTGCTTCCTGTTGTCCTCTGCCTGAAAGTAGTTGCCAAGTTGTACTGTTTTATATATCCACAACAGCATGCGTTAAACCAAAGTCTGGATCAGCAGACTGCCAGATTTTTTTAACAGCTTTATTAATCAATACATTTTGTCCATGTCTACAGTTGTTTATGGTAGGAGGACTAACCTATAGCTGGAAAGATTAATTTTCAGCTGCTTTATAGTATTTTATTATATGAATTATACCAGTTTGCCCATCCTTGTGTTGATAAACATTACCCATGAAGTGTGTTCGAATTGTCTGTGATACAAATAATGCTTCAGTGACTATCTACCCAGAATGGGATTGTGGGTTTATAGGATACATACTTCTTCACCCTTATTTTTTACTAGATATTGCCAAATTGCTTTCCAAATTGTGCTGTTTCATATATCCACAACGGCATGAGTTCTGTTTGTTCCACATCCATACCAAGACTTGATCTTGTTAAATTAATTTTTCTAGTGTGTAAATGAGTGCAAAATCCTGTTACTTTAGTCTTTACTAGATTACTAGTGAGGTTAAATGTATATGTGTATGTATATATATGCACATATGTGTATATTATTAGGTATTTGTGTTTCCCATTCAATAGCTTTTTTGTATCAATTGTCCTTTTTAAAAATTGGGTTATCTTTTTGTTATTGATTCTTTGGAGTTCTTTTTAAATTCTACTTACTAATCCCCTTTTGGTTATATGTATTAGAGTTGTTTTTCCCAGTCTTGGCTTGTCTTTTAGATGCATATCTTGTCTTTTCCCATATAGAAGTATTAACTTTTTTTGGGGGGATGGAGTCTCACTCTGTTGCCCAGGCTGGAGTGCAGTGGTGCGATCTCGGCTCACTGCAACCTCTGCCTTCTGGGTTCAAGCGATTCTCCAGCCTCAGCCTCCTGAGTAGTTGGTACTACAGGCACGTGGCACCAGGCAAATTTTT
This sequence comes from Homo sapiens, assembly GCF_000001405.40. Classification (NCBI taxonomy): domain Eukaryota; kingdom Metazoa; phylum Chordata; class Mammalia; order Primates; family Hominidae; genus Homo; species Homo sapiens. The sequence goes on from NC_000007.14 coordinate 72,922,554, forward strand.
GTGTTTTTTTTTTTTTTATCAGAGACTGGGTTCTATCATGTTGCCTAGGCTGGTCTCGAACTCCTGAGCTCAAAGCGATCCGCCCACCTTGGCCTCCAAATGTGCTAGATTATGTGTAAGCCACCATGCCCGGCCCAGAAGTGCTAACTTTTAATGTAGTCATATTTATCTATATTTTCCTAAATGATTTGTGCCCTTTGTGTGTTCATCTCTTGAACTCTAAACACAGGAGTGCCCCGAGGGCTCAGGCTATGGACCTCTCTATTTACATTAATTCTCAGTCATCTTGCTTGGTTTCAGGACATCTGTACCCTGACGGCTTTTATGTGTAGCTCCTCCACTTAACTCCAGCCACACACAATAGTTTAAAGAGCCCCTACTGACCTAGACACTATGTTTCTTCTTCCCCTGTTACCCAGGTTTCTTGAGTAGGGAGTCTGCAGTCACTGCCTCCATTTCTTCACCTTCCAGTCACTGTTCAACCCAGGGCAGCCTGGCTTTTGTCCCACTAGTCTACTGATACTGAGATTTTTTTCTTAAGCAACACAGCTCCCCCCCAACCCCCCCCCCCTTTTTTTTTCAAGTTAAGTCTTATGTGAAATCGCAGTATATTAAATAGAAGCAGAATTGCTTTGGGACTGGGTTGGGGAGGATCTGGAACCCAAACTGCACTTTCTTCTCATCTCTCTGTGTTGCCCCAGAGGCATCTATACCTTTCCAACTTTTCTATCCCCCTAAACACCCTAATCTCCAGCGATACTGAACAATTCCATCTCTGGACTTCTGCACAGTGCTCCTTCATCTGCCTTGAACCTGCCAGACCTCTCAGCTCCAGGAGCACTTCCCTGTCTACCTTCCCCTTTATCATAACTTTTTTTTTTGAGACGGAGTCTTGCTCTGTCGACAGCCCAGGCTGGAGTGTGCAGTGGCACGATCTCGGCTCACTGCAACCTCCACCTCCCAGGTTCAAGCAATTCTCCTGCCTCAGCCTCCCGAGTAGCTGGGACTACAGGCAGGCGCCACCACGCCCGGCTAATTTTTTTTTTTTTTTTTTTTTTTTTTTTGAGACGGAGTCTCGCTCTGTCGCCCAGGCTGGAGTGCAGTGGCGGGATCTCGGCTCACTGCAAGCTCCGCCTCCCGGGTTCACGCCATTCTCCTGCCTCAGCCTCCCAAGTAGCTGGGACTACAGGCGCCCGCCACTACGCCCGGCTAATTTTTTGTATTTTTAGTAGAGACGGAGTTTCACCATATTGGTCAGGCTGGTCTCAAACTCCTGACCTCAGATGATCCGCCCACCTCGGCCTTCCAAAGTGCTGGAATTCAGGCACGAGCCACCGCGCCTGGCCTTCTTATTTTTTTTTCCTGTTATCACACTGATAACACTGAATTGCAATTTTTTTTTCTTTTTTTGAGACGGAGTCTCGGTCTGTCGCCCAGGTTGGAGTGCAGTGGCGCAATCTCGGCTCACTGCAACCTCCGCCTCCCGAGTTCACGCCATTCTCCTGCCTCAGCCTCCCAAGTTGCTGGGACTACAGGCGGCACGCCCGGCTAAGTTTTTTTTTTTTGGTATTTTTATTAGAGACGGGGTTTCACCATGTTAGCCAGGATGGTCTCGATCTCCTGACCTTGTGATCCGCCCACCCCGGCCTCCCAAAGTGCTGGGATTACAGGCGTGAGCCACCGCGCCCGGCCTGAATTGCAATCTTCTACTTACACATCTTCCTAACTAAACAGTTTCTAAAGATCAGAGATCCTATATTTTCCCCCTTAATCTCTTTAATGTACATAAACAATGGAATGAATAAATCAATGAATGAATGGCTGAGGAAACTGAACTACACCAAAGTGTATTGGCAGACTACCAGACTTTTTAAACAGCTTTATTAAGATATAATTCACATACCATGCAAATCATAGGGTGGTGCAATCACCACCACAATCTAATTTTAAACTATCTTTATGGTGCTACAAAAAAGCCTATAACCATGACCAGTCACTTTCTATTCCCCACCCCCAAACCCACTCCCTAGCCCTAGGCAACCACTAATCTACCTTCTCAGACCGTTAACTTTAGCATAGGTATAAGTCGATCACAGAGCCACAAAATCCACCCGATATCTGGGCCATGATGTGAAATTTGGTAGGTAATCGTCCCACGTTTTCAATTTGTAACATAGAAATGGAGGGGGGAGGGACTCACAACCGCTAGTAGCGTTTGTGAAAAGTACCTGGTAACAGGCTGTGCTGGAGGGGAATTCAGCCCCCATAAAAGATCACGGATTAGGAATTACGTAAGCATAGGTCTCGGGCCCTTTTATCTTGGACGCGATCCTTCCACGGGATCGCCTCCGGATGGATGTGGCGCTGGGAGCCACGCGGAAAACCTCAAGAGTCAGAAACAGGCGTTAAAGGCAGGCGGCATTTTCCAAACCAGTTGGGTCTCGGGCGCTGCCGGGCGGTAGCGTCTCCCGGAGTCGCGCGCGCATGACGTAGAGGGCGCGCGATGACGCGACGCGCGGCGCGGTGCACGCTGGGATATTTAAGTCTCCTCCGCGGCGCGGAGCCGCGATGTCTCCGGCGGCTGCGGCGGCTGGAGCAGGCGAGCGGCGGCGGCCCATAGCGAGTGTCAGGGACGGCCGGGGCCGGGGCTGCGGCGGGCCGGCCAGGGCGGTGCTCCTGGGCCTGTCGCTGGTTGGCCTCTTACTGTACCTCGTGCCGGCTGCGGCTGCACTGGCCTGGCTGACCGTGGGGGCTACCGCGGCCTGGTGGGGACTGAGCCGCGAGCCCCGAGGTTCGCGCCCCTTGTCCTCCTTCGTTCGGAAGGCGCGTCATCGGCGCCCCTTGTCCTCCTTCGTTCGGAAGGCGCGTCATCGGCGAACACTGTTCGCTTCGCCTCTGGCCAAGTCGACAGCCAACGGAAACCTCCTAGAGCCGCGGACCCTGCTCGAAGGACCTGACCCTGCGGAACTGCTACTCATGGGCAGTTACCTGGGCAAGCCCGGGCCGCCGCAGCCCGCCGCCGCTCCGGAGGGCCAGGACCTGCGGGATAGGCCTGGCCGCCGCCCACCTGCCCGCCCGGCGCCGCGCTCCCCACCGCCGCGCTCCCCACCGCCGCGCTCCCCCCCGCCCTCCCCGCCGACCCATCGCGCTCACCACGTTTACCCCTCTCTGCCCACTCCTCTTCTCCGACCCTCCAGGAGGCCTTCCCCACGGTAAGATGCGCTGATTTTGTCAGATCATCCTCTGGCTCGGCTGGCTTGAAATCGAGGACTTGACTTTTAAATCCGATTTGCTTTTTCATCAAGTCCCAAGGGGATTGTGTGTGGTTTTGCCCTCCTTAACACCTTGGTGTGTGCCAGCTGTCTCCTGGCCTCTGACTCTTGGAATGAGATGTTGTGTTGCCAAAACGATTCTCTTCTTTCCAGTTCTAAAAACTCCTCGAATTTTAGTGCAGCCTAGATGTAGTCTAGATTTAGATTTTCCCTCTCAAACTGTTGAAATCCATTGTTGAGACAGCTGTTAAGCAGCTGTCACTCTCTGGCCTTAGATGGAATAAGGGAAAGTTGCCATAAAAACACCGTGTTCTGTGTTGCTTAGAAAGAGACTTAAGTTCTTTGGAAAATGTCTGAACTGGTGGGTTTTTAACCGTTTAAAAATTTGACATTCTTTTTTGCTTTGGTTCCGTGATTTGTCTCGCATTCTCTGCAGGGATTGTGGGACTTTACCAAATCGGTTTGTAATAACACCTAGAAGACGCTATCCGATCCATCAGGCCCAGTATTCCTGTCTGGGGGTACTTCCCACCGTGTGCTGGAATGGTTATCACAAGAAGGCTGTGCTGTCCCCTCGCAACTCCAGGATGGTGTGTAGCCCAGTGACTGTGAGGATCGCCCCTCCTGACAGAAGATTTTCGCGTTCTGCGATGTGAGTATTATCGTTGGAAGAATACTCTCCCTTTTCGTGTCCACTTTATTCTTCTCCAGTTGTTCCTATGACATGACTACAACGCAGAAAAGAAAGGACGAAGCTGCTTATTTGATGAGAAATACCAAATTCTAGTAAACCCTTTTGTTTTTCACTTTTTGCTCTTAACGAAAAAGTAGCTTTACTTGCTAACGGGAACTGCTGTGAGTGTATAAATTATACTTTGGCCTGTTGGTTAGCTTCTGATTTCTTGTTTCTGAAGTCTGTGCTATATGGCATGGGAATTAAAATATCTTACAGCTAGAATCTTGTCTTTCATTGTAGACCAGAGCAGATAATCAGCTCAACACTGTCCTCACCATCAAGTAACGCCCCAGACCCATGTGCAAAGGAGACAGTACTGAGTGCCCTCAAAGAGAAGGAGAAGAAAAGGACAGTGGAGGAAGAAGACCAAATATTCCTTGATGGCCAGGAAAATAAAAGAAGGTAACAGGCTCAGGAGAGTACTAAGCCGGTTTCGCGCTTGGACTCCTATGGGATGAGATGTAGACATTCCCATATAGATACAGAGGCCATCTCCAGTTTATGAGCCTTCGTAGGCCCCCTTCTTTGGCTTACATGGAGGAATCTAATAACAAGGGTTTTAATGCTGCTCTTTTCAAGGCACAGGTTAGATCGATGTTGTAATTTACCTTTTCCGTGAGTAGTAGAGATAAGCTGACTGCTATTAGCCACGCTACCCTCATACTTTTGTAGAAATGTGTTAAAGTTTATTTTCAAGAAAGAAGGCTCTAAGTCTTCCCGTCGGAATTTTGTGGTGTTCAGTTACTTGGGTAACCACCAGTTCCATGTTCCAGTGTCTTAATTGTGCTGAAGGAAATGCTTGTGAAAGAAAAATGAAAACTAGAGTTTGGTAGATTTATCAGTAATGAGGTTAAAACCAATTTCCTGGCAGGGCAAGGTGGCTCAGGCCTGTAATCTCAGCACTTTGAGAGGCCGACACGGGTGGATCACCTGAGGTCAGGAGTTCGAGACCAGCCTGGCCAACATGGTGAAACCCCATCTCTACTAAAAATTCAAAAATTAGCTGGATGTGGTGGTGGGCGCCTGTGATCCCAGCTACTCGGAAGGCTGAGACAGGAGAATTGCTTGAACCCAGGAGGCGGAGGTTGCAGTGAGCTGAGACTGCCACCATACTCCAGCCTGGGTGACAAAGCGAGACTGTCTCCAAAAAAAAAAAATCCTTATGTGGTTTATAGAATAAGCTAATGAAAATGGAATAAATAAATAGTTTTCTAAGTATAGAAAGAAAGGAAGTTGAAGTGGCTGAGCATTTATTGAGCACCCACTGTGTATGGGACCCTACTCCAAGTGCTATGGATAGAGCGGTGGACAAGACAAAATCCCTGCTCTCATGGGACTCTTGAGGGAAACACCATTTTATAAGGCTGGGTGTGGTGCTGCACGCTTGTACTCCTAACACTTTGACAGGCCAAGATGGGAGGATCGCTGGAGCCCAGTTGCTCAAGACCAGCCTGGGCAACATAGTGAGACCTCGCCTCTACAAAAAATTAAGAAATTAGCCAGGTGTGGTGGTGCATACCTGTAGTCCCAGCTACTCTGGAGGCTGAGGCAGGAGAATCGCTTGAACCCAGGAGGCAGAGGTTTGTTGCAGTGAGCCAAGATCGTGCTATTGCACTCCAGCCTGGGCAACAAGAGCGAAACTCTGTCTGAAAAAAAAAAAATTTACCTTTCAGAAGCTTAGGGATTTTAAACAACCATTTTCTGGTCTATCATGGAATCTGTGCTCCATAGAGATAGTATAAGGTCCCAGAAATATGAGAATACACTTTAAAGGGACAAAAAAAGTCATGTCATTTCATTGAGACTTTTTTGATTTGTCGCAGGCGCCATGATAGCAGTGGCAGTGGACATTCAGCATTTGAGCCCCTGGTGGCCAATGGAGTCCCCGCTTCTTTTGTGCCTAAGTAAGTGGGAGTCCATCCGGATGAAATACCAACTGTTTGGAAAAAGGCCTGATCAGAGCTGTTGCCCTATAGATTTTCCTCTTTGTTTTTTGCATTGCTTAATTGGTTCAGGTTCACGTCTTTGAAATTAGGAACGTTTTGAGTAACTTGCCACAGTTAACTGCCTTCTGTCTAATTCCTTTTAATGTTCTTGCATTAATATGGATGAAATATGCTGAGACTTAAGAGGTTTTATAAATATATTTAATAACCAAGCACATACACAGAAGGATTGCAAAGTTTGTGCAGTGGATAAAACAGTATGAAACCTAAATGTTAAATTTCTACATGTCAGTTTAAAAACAAATTGGAGGAAGAATTGGGTGGAAAGGAAAGTGGCTCAAAAGTATGTGTGGAAAGACTTAGGATACCTTAGGTACCTCATCTGAGTCAGCAGTGTGATGTGGCCGCCAGGAAAGCTAAAGTGCTCCTGGTCTGTGCTGTTAGAAGAAAGACTAGAATGAGGCAGGTGGATGGTATTCCTGCCTTCCGTAGTTCTGCTCACTGTCCGTGGAGCACTGTGGTCAGATCAGTGTACTGCACTGCGAGGGAGGATGTACACAAACGGAAATTCATTCCCAGTGAAGCAATGAAGATGTTAAGGAGATTTGCAACAGCCCAAAGGGGTGGTGGTGGATGTTGGGGTTTTGGAGGTATGGAAGTATTAGCCCAGAGGAGAAAAGTCTCAGGGGGAATAAAGAAATAAGTGAGGGAAGGACAATGGTCTCCAAAAAACCAAAGGACTGTCCCTTGAAAGAAGCAAAATAACTTGCTCTGTTTGACTTCAAATAGGATCCGTGGGTGAAAGAGGAAATACACTGTAATCCACTGTAAGAATAAACTGGTTCATGGTTGACGTGGGTCACTCTAGGAGAGAGTTGTCTATATTGTAACAGGTTGGATGACTGTCCTACAGAAAAGATGCGTAGGAGATTTCTGTTTCCATTGGAGGTTTAGTAAAATGATGGGTTCCTCTTAACTCTGATTTTTTTTTAATAGCTTTGTTGAGATATAATTGACATAAAATAGACCGTACTTGTTTAAAGCATGTGACATTTTGACACACATACACCTGTGGAACCATCCCACCACTAAGATAATGAACATCCTTCACCTCCAAAAGTTCCCACATGCCTGTAATCCCTCTCTTTACTTCCACCCCTGTTCCCAGGCATCCACTGATCTGTCTTCTGTCACTGTAGATAGGTATGCATTTTCCAGAATATTCTATAAATGGAAATCATACATTTAAGTTTTAAATATTTGGCTTTTCTTACTGACTTTGTCAGATAGATTTGGCCAGATTGTTAGCAGTAAAAATTAAAAGCATTATTCTCTTCCCTTCATGTTATTAAGAAAGATGTCATGACCGTGGATGAAATCGTAAAAGAATTTTGCCTTCAATAAAGCATCTAACTGTCTTCTCTTTTATTAGGCCTGGGTCTCTGAAGAGAGGCCTCAATTCTCAGAGCTCAGATGACCACTTGAATAAGAGATCCCGAAGCTCTTCCATGAGCTCCTTGACAGGCGCTTACGCAAGTGGCATCCCTAGCTCCAGCCGCAATGCCATTACCAGTTCCTACAGCTCCACTCGAGGCATCTCACAGGTACAAGTACAGCTCTTTTAATGTGGGGGACATGAATTCCCAGCGTTCATTCATTGACTAGGGCCAGACATGGTAGCTTAGCCATGTAATCCCAGCACTTTGGAAGGCCAAAGCGGGAGGATTGCTTGAGCCCAGGAGTTCAAAACCAGCCTGGGCAATATAGTGAAACCTTGTCTGTACAAAAGAATTTTTAAAGAAAATTTTTTAAATAAAGTAATTGATTAGCAAAGGTTTACTGATCACCTTCTATCTGTCAGACATTAGAATTGTCTTTAAGCTAATAGAAAATACAGATCATTGAGTGATCAATATAGGCCAGCGGAATGGAGTAGAAAGCCCAGAATGTACAGCAGTGCATGTGTGCGAGCTGATTCGAGACAGAGCTGTGTTGTAGATAAACGGACAGAGGGTGATTCGAAAGGTAGACTGAGTCCAGCTTGTATTGGGTCGTAAAAGAGATTTATCTTATAGGCGTTTAGAATTGAAAGCGGGGTTTTTAAACAAGTGGTCATGATTTTTTGGAAAAGGGATTATCGCATAGTATAGGGAACAGGGCAGGCTTTGCTGCTGGACAGACTTAGATTCAAATCTTGGCTCTGAGGCTGGGCGGGATGGCTCATGCCTGTAATCCCATCACTTTGGGAGGTCAAGGTGGGAGAACCTCTTGAGTCCAGGAGTTCAAGACTAGCCTGTGCAACAGAGCAAGACTGTGTCTCAAAGAAAAGGAAAAAAATGCTTGGCTCTGACATCTAGTAGCTATAAGGTCTTGGGCAGACAATCACATAACATCTCTTTTTCTTATCTCTGAAGTGCTGTTGCAGTGATTGAGGGTAATATTTAAAAAGCACCTATTACAGTGGCTGTCAGTAAGTGGGTACCCAGTATACAGCAGCCAGACAAAAAGATGTAAAGCATGTATGGAGAAATGTTTTTGAGAGGAGGAAGATTTTGAGACGAGTTCATCAGCCCAGAAGGCTCTGACAGTCATATAAATGAACATTAATGACCGTAATATCATTATCCCTCTTAATAATTTAAGAGGGATAATTAATATTATTTAATATCTAGTTATTATTTTTGATATGCAAACTTTTCCAGCTTTGGACTATGGGTTCCAAACTGGCTCCTGTATCCTTTATTTTGATCCCAGCAGTCTTCGACAGATAGCTTCATTGCTTTTTGCCCACCTTCCCAAAGTCCATTTTTAGCCTATACCGAAGTTGGGTGTTTCTTCAGAAAGCTTTGGTTTCTTCCAGTTAGAACTGTAGAGACTACAGTCTAAGTTTTAGGAGAGATAAGATAGACAGATCCTCTAGAAAGGGGAATATAAATAATTCATAATATTCCAAATTCAAATTTATGATAGTAGGATTTTTTATGTAATTTATTTGATTTTATATTTTTATGTATTACACCAAAAATGTCGGTTTATAATTACTTTGATCCTAGTAACACGCAATTTCTTTTTTTTTTTTTTTGCCGGAGTCTTACTCTTGTCGCCCAGGCTGGAGCACAGTGGTGCGACCTTGACTCACTGCAATCTCCGCTTCCTGAGTTCAAGCGATTCTCCTGCCTCAGCCTCCCAAGTAGTTGAGACTATAGGTGCCCGCCACCATGCCCAGCTAATTTTTGTATTTTTAGTAGAGACGAGATTTCACCATGTTGGCCAGGCTGGCATCGAACTCGTGACCTCAGGTGATCCACCCACCTTGGCCTCCCAAAGTGCTGGGATTACAGGCATGAGCCACCACGCCTGGCCCATGCAATTTCAAAATAGCGGTATCAGTGTCATTGTTAACACTGTCATTATTAAGACGGCTGAAGTCAGTTTAAGAATTGTGATTCATTTGTCTTTATATCCCTGTGTGAATGCTACGGACATGTAATCAATATATCGTGTTTTAAAGTAATGTTAATTGTCCTTTGGGTACACCAACTTTATATACAGTGAGGTTCGTTTGTTCAGTATGTTTGAAAGTTACAGGGATTTCTGTGTTTTCCTTTTTGAAATAGTTCTGTTTTAAATTATGTAAAATCTTTGAAACAATAAGTTGTTTCAAAAAAAATACACTAAAACAAGATACACTCAAAAATTCAGTTTCCATCCCTTTCCACTCTACATTTTTCCTTCCTCTCCATTTTTATTTTTTGATTATCCTTTATTGTTTTTTAAACGGTATGCATATCAGTGTATCTGAAAACCGCCACCTTCTAACATTTAAGGTAGTAGACAGTATATACAGATTTGAACCTTGCTTTTTCACATAATAGATAGTTGAGGTCATTCCATAGCAGTACACAGAAACTCATCTTTGGTCTTAAAACTGCATAGGTACTTTAGTCCTCTGTTGACAAATGTTGGGTTGTTTCAGTCTTCTGCTATCACAAATAATGCTGCAAAGAATACATTTGTTCATATGTCATTTCATCCTTGGCAATTTTGCCTCTGGAAAGTTCCTAGAAGTCAGATTCCCAGGTCAAAGGTTAAATGCGCATGTAATTTTGCTGGATATTGTTAAATCCCCCTACAGAGCATGCACCACTCAGCATTCCCCTCAGCGTTGTATGAGAGGGACCATTTCTCCATGGCCTCACCAGCAGATTTGGTTATTGTAGCTCTGGGCTTTTACCAATTTCACAGGTTAAAAATAGTATCTAAGACAGGCGTGGCAGCTCATGCCTGTAATCCCAGCACTTTGAGAGGCCGAGGAAGGCAGATCACTGGAGGTCAGGAGTTCGAGATCATCCTAGCCAACATGGTGAAATCCTGTCTCTACTAAAAACATAAAAATTAGCTGGGCATGGTGGCACATGCCTGTAATCCCAGCTACTCAGGAGGCTGAGGAAGGAGAATATCAGGAACCTGGGAGGCAGGGGTTGCAGTGAGCAGAGATAGCGCCACTCCACTCCAGCCTGGGCGACAGAGTGAGACTCTGTCTCAAAAAAAAAAAAAAAGCCAGCCGAGCTTGGTGGCTTACACCTGTAATCCCAGCACTTTGGGAGGCTGAGGCAGGTGGATCACCTGAAATCCGGAGTTTGAGACCAGCCTGGCCAACGTGGCAAAAACCGGTTGCTACTAAAAATACAAAAAATTTAGCCAGGCGTGGTCGTGTGTGCCTGTAATCCCAGTTACTTGGGAGGCTGAGGCAGGAGAACTGCTTGACCCTGAAAGGCAGAGGTCAAGTGAGCCGAGCTCACGCCACTGCCCTCCAGCCTGGACGACAGAGTGAGATTCTGTCTCAAAGAAAAAAAGGTATCTAATTTTTGTCTCTTATGAGTAGTTTGATCATCTGTTCATATGTTGAATGATTATTTTCAGTTCTGTTTCCATGAGTCTTAGTTCATATCCTTTACCCATTTTTCTGAAGGGCTACCAGCCAAATCTCATGTTCAAGAGTTTTTCCTATAGTAGAGAAACCTATTCCAAATGAAGCAAAGTTTTGAACGTAAAATAGAAACCATAGAAGTGCAGTGTTAGAAGAAACAGGCTCCTCACGCGTTGCTGGTGGGAGTGTCAGTTGGTACAGCTCTCTAGAGGGCTTTGTGACAGGAATTGTCCACATAAGAGATACATGCACCCTTTGATCAAGCAGCTTTACCTTTAGGAAGTTATCCTACACACATACTGGGAAATGGATACAAGGATTTAATGTAACATTGTTTTAATAATAGCAGCTTGGAAACAATGTACATGTTATCTTTTCAGGGAGCTGACTGAATAACTTACAGTATTGGTGTAAGTTGGAATATACTATGTAACTATGAAAAAGAATAAGGCAACTGAAGAAGTACTCATGAGAATGATCTCAAAAAGCAATTACATAAAAACAAGGCTCAGAACTGTATAGTATCCTCTATTATTCGGGCTTTTAAAAATCTTTTAATATGCATAAAATAATTCTTACAGGATATATTAAAAACTGGCAATCATTACTGAGATAAAAAGGAAATTTACTTTTTACTGTACAGTCTTTTTTTTTTTCTTTCTTTTGAGACAGAGTCTCGCACTGTCGCCCGGGCTGGAGTGCAGTGCTGTGACCTTGGCTCACTGCAACCTCCACCTCCTGGGTTCAAGCAATTCCCCAGTCTCAGCCTCCCAAGTAGCTGGGATTACAGGCACCCACCACCATGCCCGGCTAATTTTTGTATTTTTAGTAGAGATGGGTTTTCACCATGTTGGCTAGGATGGTCTCGAACTCGTGACCTCAGGTGATCCGTCCGCCTTGGCCTCCCGAAGTGCTGGGATTACAGGCGTGAGCCACCACACCTGGCCCCAAGTTGTTGTCTTTTTCTTAGAGATTTGAATACGCTCTTTATATGTTCTAGATACAAGCTGTCTGTCATGTATGTGTTGCAACAAAAAAGTGTCCTGCTCTTGCCATTCTACTTCCTTGTGGTTAGCATACTTTGTGTAGTATTCAGGAAATCTTTGCCTACCTAACCTAAGGTCATGATAATTTTCTTCTGTGCTACCTTCTAGAAGCTTTATTATTTTATTATTACTTTTATATGTAAATCCATAAACCACCTGAAATTAATTTTTGTATATGGTGTGAGGTTGGAATCAAAATTAGTTTTTTTTGTGTTTGGTGGTGTTGGTGGTTTTTGTTGTTGTTGTTGTTGTTTTTTACTGTAGAAATACCCATTTCTCTTAGCAACATTTATTGAAAGGACCATCCTTATTTCTCTGCAGCACCGTCTTTGTCTAATTTAAGTGTCTGTATATATGTGGGTCCATTTCTAGACTCTGTTTTGTTCCATTGGTCTATTTTTCTACCTACCCTTGTGCCAGTCTTTGTTTTACCCCTAGCCTTATACTTTAAGTCTTGATAGAGTCAGTCATCCCACTTTCTCATTTCTCTTCAGGACTGTCTTGTATCTTGGCCTTTTGCATTTTCATATAATTTTTAGATCAACTTGTCAATTTCCACAAAAAAAAAAAAAAGTTCTGAGATACTGATTGGGATTGCCTTTCATCTACTGATTACTTTGGATGGAATTAACATTGTTACAATATTGACCTTGTTTACTTCTAATCTATGAACATGGAATGTCGTTATTTATTTATTTAACTTTTGAGACAAGGGGTCTTGCTCTGTGGCCCAGGCTGGAGTGCAGTGACATGATCATAGCTCACTACTGCCTTGAACTCCCAGGCTCAAGCGATTCTCCTGCCTCAGCCTCTTGAGTAGCTGGGACCACAGGCATGCATCACCACACCTAGCTAATTTTTAAAAACTTATAATAGAGACACAGTCTCACTATGTTGCCTAGGCTGGTCTCAAACTCCTGAGCTCAAGCAATCTTCCCACCTTGGCCTCCCTGAGTGCTGGGATTGTAGGCGTGAGCCACCATGTCCTGCCTCCTTCATTTATTTACATCATCTCTATTTCTTCTCTGTAGAGGTTTTACTTCTTTTTTATTAGATTTACAATCTCGGCTCACTGCAGCCTCCACCTGCTGGGTTCAAGTGATTCTCCAGCCTCAGACTTCCGAGTAGCTGAGATTACAGGCACGTGCCACCACACCTGGCGAATTTTTGTAGTTTTAGTAGAGACAGGGTTTCACCTTGTTGGCCAGGCTGATCTCAAACTCCTGACCTCAGGTGATCCACCTGCCTCTGCCTCCCAAAGTGCTGAGATTACAGGCGTGAGCCACGGCGCCTGGCCCTAGGTATATGCTATTCTAAATAGTGCCTTCATATATGCTATTCTAAATAGTGCCTTCAAAATGTGATTGGCTGTGCTGGTGTGTAGAAATACAACTGATTTTGTATTCAGAAAGTTTGCTAAATCTGTATGTTCTTTAGGATTTTAGTACATACACTCAGGTCTATGATAATGAGTTTTTCCTTTCCTCTGCAATCTTATTCTGTTTATGTCTTGCTGCACTTGGCTAGGACTTTAAGTTGAATAGACATGATAATAAACATCCTTGTCTTGTTAGATCTGAAATGAGTGTGTATGTACAGTCAATGAAGTAGAGGAGTAATACTTTTTTCCCCTAATTGTTAAACCAGTTGTTCAGTTGTCTTCCAGTCCTAGCTAATCATTACAGTCTCCTTTGGCATTTCTGTTTTTTCTTTATTTTTTCTTGGTAGAGATGAGACTTCACTATGTTACCTAGGCTGGTCTCAAAACTCTTGGGCTCAAGTGATCCTCCCACCTTGGCCTCCCAAAGTGTTGGGATTACAGGCATGCACCACCACACCTGGCTAATTTTTGTATTCCTTTTTTTTTTTGAGACGGAGTCTTGCTCTGTCTCCCAGCCATTCTCCTGCCTCAGACTCCCAAGTAGCTGGGACTACAGGCACCTGCCACCACACCCGGCTAATTTTTTGTATTTTTAGTAGAGACGGGGTTTCACCATGTTAGCCAGGATGGTCTCAATCTCCTGACCTCGTGATCCGCCCACCTTGGCCTCCCAAAGTGGTGGGATTACAGGCGTCAGCCACCGTGCCCAGCTTGTTTTTGTATTTCTAGAAGAGATGAGGTTTCACCATGTTGGCCATGCTGGTCTGGAATTCCTGACCTCAGGTGATCCTCCTGCCTCAGCCTCCTGAAGTGCTAGGATTACAGGTGTGAGCCACCTCGTCTGGCCCCTTTGGCATTTCTGACCCTTGCTTGCTCAGTGATGTGTATCCCTCAGTGTCTGGAGCACATTGTGAAGAAAAATGCAAGGTTTATGGTTTTTATTGTTTTAATTTTATTACTTTAACTACAGGTAAGGTCTTGCTATGTTGCCCAGGCTGGTCCGAAACTCCTGGGCTCAAGCAGTTCTCCTGCCTCAGTTCTGAAAGTGCTAGGATTACAGGTGTGAGCCACCGCACTCGGCCATCTATGTGCTTTTAAAGTTCCACAGGTGGCTAGGTGTGGTGGCTCACGCCTGTAATCCCAGCACTTTTGGAGGCCAAGGCAGGCAGATCACGAGGTCAAGAGATCAAGACCATCCTGGCCAACATGGTGAAACCCTGTCTCTACTAAAGATACAAAAATTAGCTGGGTGTGGTGGCATGTTCCTGTAGTCCCAGCTACTCGGGAGGCTGAGGCAGGAGAATCGCTTGAACCAGGGAGGCGGAGGTTGCAGTGAGCTGAGATCGCGCCACTGCACTCCAGCCTGGTAACAGAGCAAGGCTCCGTCTCAAAAAAAAAAAAAGTTCCACAGGTGACTGAGCCGTCCTTTGAGAACCAGTGAGGTAGTGTCAGGGATCTGAAGTGATTGAAAATGCCGCTTATATATTCAATCCTTGGATCCCTTTGATGAATTTTTGTATTCTGCTCTTTTATATGCCTGTAATCCCATGTTTTTTAAACCATTGTGCTCTGGCCTTTCTTGCTGTTTGAGCGTAACTTCAACTGTTATTGCCGTGAGCAGTCTTCTCAAGCTCCTCCTGGGCCCGGCTTCCTGATGGTGGCCTCACTGAACTGTTCTGCTGCTTACCACTTGTCTGAAGCTTCCTCTTTTCCCTTTTTGAACTCTTATTAAGCATTGCTGGCTTCCTGTTTGTACTTATATGATGTAGCTGGTACTGGGTAAGAAATCACTAGCAGCTTTTCAAGTAGGAAAGACGGTCTGAGGTGACAGTTTAGTGGCTTTGTAATTAGGCTCAGCACTTACGAGACTATTTGCAGTGTCCGCTCTGTGCCATCTACTTTGCTGCTGGTCTGTGGAGGAAGCAGAGATGAAAACACCGTCTTTGCTGTCAAGAACTCACCTGGTGGAAGAGGCAGATGTATGGATAATCATCACATGATGATAAATGCCATCGTTGTTGCAAAAGTCATAAACGTTACGACAGCATATTTTTAAAATGAAGTTAGTAAATTAAAATAGAAAATTTAATAGAAGCAAGACTAAATTAGTTTACTGGGTTATCTTCTTTAATTTACTTCTATCCTCTCCGTAGACAGTCTGGCACAGGTTTGAATGTGTCCTGGCTCTTCATTACTGAGGCTAACGTTCCACCTAATATATGCAAAAGTGTGTCCATCCCTTCTACCTTTATTCGCATTCCATTACTTTTATAGACTTTTCTTCTTTTGCTTTCATAATTAATACTGGCAGTTGACTTTCTTTTCAGGGGTCTTTCTTCACAAACAAATTTTTTTCATTTTCTTTTCTTTTTTTTTTTTTGAGACAGGGTCTCACTCTGTCACCCAGGCTGGAGTGCAGTGGGGCAATCTCAGCTCACTGCAGCATCCTGAGTAGTTGGGACCACAGATGCAAACCACCACACCCAACTGATTTTTCAGTTTTTTTGTAGAGACAGGGGTCTCGCTATGTTACCCAGGCTGGGCTCAAATTCCTGGGCTCAAGCGATCCTCCCACCTTGGCCTCCCAGCATGCTGGGATTACAGGCATGACTAACCATTTAACCATAAAGAATGTTTTTTTAGTCACTTGAAAAGAGACTTTGTCGTGTTGAGGGTCAGATGCTAAGTTATCAGCAGGCTCAGTCATGTCCCTCTTGATTTTTAGCTCTGGAAGAGAAATGGCCCCAGTTCATCACCCTTCTCTAGCCCAGCCTCCTCCCGCTCCCAGACACCGGAGAGGCCAGCAAAGAAAATAAGGTACTTGGCATTCTCCTGCAGTTTTCATTTGCTGCGTGGACAGGCGGGGGTGAGGAAAGGTGGGAAACGAACCTGGCTCTTAGGCTTTGTGCTGCTGTGACTTGGAGAATCAAAGAAACTTAAGTCCCTGAGAGGTACAATGCAGTACCCACCCGAAGTGCTGTCATCCCTACAGTCTTGGATACTGACTCCAGTGGCCTCTGGCTGTCGCCTCCCACTCCAGCATGAGGGATCGGGTGCAAGCACAGAGGCCATGCAGAGTGGAGAGCAGAGAGAGTCAAGTCAGCGGGCAGTCGCCTTCAGGTTCTTGACTCGAGCTGACCCCCTAGGTGCTTGCAGTTGGCTGGAATGCCACTCCCTCAGGGATCACATCTGTGTCTAGAACTCCCAGGGACTTGATAGGTTGTAAGTAAGGTTTGAAGATTATTGTTTTGTGCTTGTTTTAAGACAAAAGCTGTCTTCATGGCCTCTGTGAACAGCCTCCCTTCATTCTGTTGGAATTTCCTGTTGACTTTTTTTATCCTGGCATACTGAGATCTTAAATGATGGTTGTTTTAGACATTGGCCACTTGGTAGTTAGGAGGGTGTGAGAAATTATTTAATACTTCAGCCAAGAAGCCTTTCTAGACTAAATTGTTCCTTTTTTCCTGACAGAGAAGAGGAGCTGTGTCATCATTCCAGTTCTTCAACTCCATTGGCAGCAGACAGGGAGTCCCAGGGAGAAAAGGGTAGGTTGCTGAGCCAGGAGGAGGGGCTGCTGTTGGTGGTGGAGGTGTTTGTGGAGGATGTAGAGATTAATACCTATTGAAAAAAGGTCTTGAGCATTGCTATGTCTAAGGCATGTTAGATACAAAGAGAGAGATTTCCTCTCCTTCAGAAGTTTATAGTCTGATGAGGGAGAAAGGCTACAGACAGGGACTAACGATTGGATAGAGGTAAGCTCAGTTTGAGTCACCTGTGGGTGATCCCAGTAATTACTGCACAGTAAGCGGTTTGTGTGCGCGCCTTAATCTTGCAAACACCATCCAAGCAACCAAACCATAGAAGATTGAATCTTTTCAGAGATACCCATTGAAAACTCAATGTGAAATGCGAAGTGGGTAGACACAACCATCCATTTCTGGAAGAGGGAAGGAAGCAAACGAGTCTTGATTTCTTTCTTTAGCTGCAGATACAACCCCAAGGAAGAAACAAAACTCGAATTCTCAGTCTACACCTGGCAGCTCTGGGCAGCGTAAGCGGAAAGTTCAGCTGCTGCCTTCTCGGCGAGGGGAACAGCTGACCTTGGTATGGTCTTGTCCATCTACTCCTGCCCTCCCCGGCTTAGCTCTCCTAAGTATTAGGAACGCTAAGGACAAGTTTCTTCTGATTTTTTTTCTAATTTATTTTTGTTTTTGTTTTTTGAGACAACATCCCTCTGTCACCCAGGCTGGAGTGCAGTGGCTCGATTTTGGCTAACCGTAACCTCTGCCTCCTGAGTTCAAGCAATTCTCCTGCCTCAGCCTCCCAAGTAGCTGGGATTACAGGTGCTTGCTACCACGCCTGGTTGATTTTTTGTGTTTTTAGTAGAGATGGGGTTTCACCATGTTGGCCAGGCCGGCCTCAAACTCCTGACCTCAAGTGATCCAGCTGGCTTGGCCTCCCAAAGTGCTGAGATTACCGGTGTGAGCCACCATGCCTAGCCTTCCCGTTTTTTCTGATTGGCCTGACTTCTTCTTTTTCACTTTGGTAGCCTCCACCTCCCCAGCTTGGCTATTCGATCACTGCCGAGGACCTAGACTTAGAGAAGAAGGCTTCATTACAGTGGTTCAACCAGGCCTTGGAGGACAAGAGCGGTAAGGAGCACAGATTGTTGCACACTGGAGAGGTTTCAGGTGTCTGTTTTCTTTGGTTTTATTTTGGTGTTTGAAAAAATGGGTTTCTCTGGGAAAATCCCAAGTAGGGTTCCATGTTTTCTTGTGGTCTTTCTCACCTGAGATATCCGTGTTGGTCTTCACGGGAACTGGACAGCAGGGACCACTGCAATTGAGGGCAGGCATTCCTCCATGAGCTGTGCTGAGAGCCTGCTCTCCGACAGGCATGTGGAAAGAAGTCCCAGACAAGCCAGGACTGCTTCACCTTTCTTTCTTTCTTAGATGCTGCCTCGAACTCTGTCACTGAGACCCCACCTATCACTCAGCCTTCATTTACCTTTACCCTGCCTGCTGCTGCACCTGCCTCCCCACCCACCTCCCTCCTGGCCCCAAGCACCAACCCACTGTTAGAGAGCTTGAAGAAGATGCAGACTCCCCCGAGCCTGCCACCCTGCCCAGGTGAGCTGGAGTGGGGCCGTGGATCCAGCCTTCTGAGCAGCATCCCCGGCTTGAGTTGGAATAAGGGCGTCGTGCCTGTCAGTCGCTGGAGATTGCTCTGCAGGCCGAACGCACCCTGGCTCAGCACACCGGAGCGGGCCCACGTTTAACAGCGCCAGAGCCCGCATCAGGAAGTGTTAGAGAAGGGGTGCTGCGACGCTCAGGATCTGAAGCCTGGCTCGTAGCTGCCCTGAGCCTCGCCTTCCTCATCTGTCAGATGAGAATGATCTTCCCTGTGCGGCACCTCTGAAGTGTGAATGTGGTGGCGTGGTCAGGATATCCTTGCCTGTCAGAACCACTGGTCCAGAACAGCACTGCTTCCTTTCCCTCCAGCACTTCGAGGGCTGCTGGTGTTCCCGGCCCAGGCCTTCACGGCACTGCGCGCGCACACCTCTTTATCAGACGGTAACCTGGGGTTCGTACGCACCCTCCCTGCTCAAGGGCAGAGACTTCCCCATTCATAGTTGTGTGCTCTTAGCGCCTGGCAGGTGAGCTTAGTAGGCAAATAAAGTATATCTAGATTCATACGTGAACTTCAGAGTTCAGACAATTGGACTGTCTTAGTCTCTACACATTAGGCCCCCATTTAGGCCCCATTTTATCCCCTTCTGTCTGATGATCTGTGAGGTAGAAATAACACTTCCTTGATTTACTGTACAGGCCTGTAGTGTAGACTTAGCTGAGTTTATTGACTGACTCTTGGATCCCAGGCTCTGTGGTAGGCGTGGGGAGGACACTGAAATACTGAATACCATCATCTTTGAAGTGTTTATTCCAATTTCACATTTTCTATTCTTCTTCCAGAATCTGCTGGAGCAGCAACCACTGAGGCCCTCTCACCTCCAAAGACACCCAGCCTCCTACCCCCGCTGGGTTTATCACAGTCAGGGCCGCCAGGGCTGCTCCCCAGCCCCTCCTTTGACTCCAAACCCCCGACCACTTTGCTGGGGCTGATCCCTGCTCCATCCATGGTACCAGCCACTGACACCAAGGCACCTCCAACCCTTCAGGCAGAGACGGCTACCAAACCCCAAGCCACATCTGCCCCGTCCCCCGCCCCCAAGCAAAGCTTCCTGTTTGGAACACAGAACACCTCACCTTCCAGCCCTGCCGCCCCTGCTGCATCTTCAGCACCTCCCATGTTCAAGCCCATTTTCACGGCTCCACCCAAGAGTGAGAAGGAAGGCCCCACACCGCCTGGCCCTTCAGTCACAGCCACAGCGCCCTCCAGCTCCTCCCTCCCCACGACCACCAGCACCACAGCCCCGACCTTCCAGCCTGTCTTTAGCAGCATGGGGCCACCTGCATCTGTGCCCTTGCCTGCTCCCTTCTTCAAGCAGACAACTACTCCCGCCACTGCTCCCACCACAACTGCCCCGCTCTTCACTGGCCTGGCCAGCGCCACCTCTGCTGTGGCTCCCATCACCTCTGCCAGTCCATCCACAGACTCTGCTTCGAAGCCTGCGTTTGGCTTTGGCATAAACAGTGTGAGCAGCAGCAGTGTGAGTACCACGACCAGCACCGCCACTGCCGCCTCACAGCCTTTCCTCTTCGGGGCGCCCCAGGCCTCTGCTGCCAGCTTCACCCCGGCCATGGGCTCCATATTCCAGTTTGGCAAACCTCCTGCCTTGCCCACAACCACCACAGTCACCACCTTCAGCCAGTCCCTGCACACTGCCGTGCCAACGGCCACCAGCAGCAGCGCTGCCGACTTTAGTGGTTTTGGCAGCACCCTCGCCACCTCCGCCCCGGCCACCAGCAGCCAGCCCACTCTGACGTTCAGTAACACGAGCACCCCCACGTTCAACATTCCCTTTGGCTCAAGCGCCAAGTCCCCGCTCCCATCATATCCGGGAGCCAACCCCCAGCCCGCATTTGGGGCCGCTGAGGGGCAGCCACCGGGGGCCGCCAAGCCGGCCCTTGCCCCCAGCTTTGGCAGCTCTTTCACTTTTGGAAACTCTGCAGCCCCGGCTGCTGCACCCACACCTGCACCTCCGTCCATGATCAAGGTCGTGCCTGCGTACGTGCCTACGCCCATCCATCCTATCTTTGGCGGTGCCACGCACTCGGCGTTTGGGTTGAAAGCCACGGCTTCGGCCTTCGGCGCTCCCGCCAGCTCACAGCCCGCCTTTGGCGGCTCCACTGCTGTCTTCTTCGGTGCAGCCACCAGCTCCGGCTTTGGAGCCACCACCCAGACCGCCAGCAGCGGGAGCAGCAGCTCGGTGTTTGGCAGCACAACACCATCACCCTTCACGTTTGGGGGTTCGGCAGCCCCCGCTGGCAGTGGGAGCTTTGGGATCAATGTGGCCACCCCAGGCTCCAGCACCACCACCGGAGCTTTCAGCTTTGGAGCAGGACAGAGTGGGAGCACAGCCACCTCCACCCCCTTCGCAGGGGGCTTAGGTCAGAACGCCCTGGGCACCACCGGCCAGAGCACACCGTTTGCCTTCAACGTGAGCAGCACAACTGAGAGCAAACCTGTGTTTGGAGGTAAGGAGGGGCGTGGACTTGGGCTACCGGGCCGGACACTGAAAAGCTGTGCCTGCGAAGCCTGTGGTCTCGGGGAGCTTATGCTGTGGCAGTGAAGAGACAGGCACTGAATATAGAACTCAGTGAGATGCCAGGGAACGATACATGTTTTGCTAACGTAGTAATGACTGGAGGAGCCATTGTGGATTTAACTGGTCAAAGGCCTTCTGAGTAGTTAACAATTGTAAGCTGAAGGTTGGGCGCAGTGGCTCACGCTTGTAATCCCAATATTTTGGGAGGCCAAGGAGGGTGCATCACTTGAGGCCAGGAGTTCAAGACTAGCCTGGACAACTTGGCGAAACCCTGTCTCTACTAAAAATACCAAAAAATTAGCCGGGCGTGGTGGTACCCACCTGTAATCCCAGCTACTCAGGAGGCTGAGGCACAAGAATGGTTTGAACCCAGGAGTTGGAGGTTGCAGTGAGCCAAGATCATGCCACTGTACTCCGGCCTGGGTGACAGAGCAAGACTCTGTCTCAAAAAACAAACCGTAAGCTGAATATGGGGGTGGGCACAGCACAAGTGGACATGCCTTTCAGGCCCAGGATGGCGCATGCAAAGGCCCAGAGGCAGAAACATGTTTGGTATGTTGAAGAGCAGAACAAAGACAAGCATGGCAGGAGGGCAGGAGCTAAAGCAGTGGTGTGGAAGGAGGCCAAGAGGCAAGGATTGTTTGTGGCCAGGGTTGGGTGTTTGGGTCTTAAGTGTTCAGGAAAACCATTGCAGAATCAGGCAGAAGGATGCAGTGATGGTTCCTCCCATGTGGAAGATGAATGTAGATCCCATGGCTTCTGTTTGCTTCGTGAAGTAGAGAAAATCTGGGAGAGAGAGGGTCAGGATAAAGTGTATAAAAAAAGGGGTCTTTTGAAATAGTCATTTTGGACAGTGGGGGAAAGGAACATCATATTAAAAAGTGTGATCAGTTTCCAGGCAGTTTGTGGGCTGGAAAATTGTGATTGTGAAGTTAAAGTGAGGCCAGTTAGCATGGCATGTGTTTCCCAGCGACACTGTGGGTGTAGACCTAAGGTCAGCGGACAGCTGGTGCCACCCGGCCATGGAGACCCCAGCAAGCACAGCAGGAGGGGCAGCGGGTCAGTGCCCCGATGCAGCTCAGGGGGTGCAGGAGTGGAGAGCGGGTGAAGTCAGCTGCAGGAGGGGTGGTGCCTACAGGAGATTCGGGAGCCGGAGCAGTTGTGGTGACAGTGTGGCTGCAGGAGTGGTGGCAGGGGTCGGGGAGAGGAGGTCATGGGGGTGGCAGGGTTGAGGGGCTGAGAGGACCATCAGTCAGCCTCACAGGGCGAAGTCACCGTGAGTGGTGATGGGAAGGAAGCCAGTGAGCCAAGGGTCCTCTGTGAATCAGGGAGTGACCTGGCAGTTGACAGGTGACATGAGGACATGGCAGATTAAAGTGATCTGAACTTGAGTTACGGTATTTAGGGAAGGAAGAGAAACAGTGTGGAAGCAGCGTGGGAGCACAGGGAGCTTCCTCTTGTCCGGGCCGGAGGCCAAGCCCTGAGAGCAGCCATCCCTGCAGAGGGGCTGCCAGAGAGGGCCTCGGGCAGGCAGCCAGAGCCAGTCAGGGCAAGGCCGGGGAAGGGAGGGGACCACGGGGCATCACAAAAGACGCGGGACGGACAAACCAGGCTTCAGAGGGGAGGGGACGGTGGCTGGGGGAAAAGGCCTGAACAGAGGAGGTAGCCAACCCAGGTACGCTAGGAGGCGGGGGCCCCAGAGTACTCCCCTCTGCAGCGATGGTCAGGAGGCCCACGAGGTGGCTGCGGGGCAGGGGGGCTTTTTCTCTGCCCTGGCGTGGCCATTAGCGGGTGGGAGAAGCAGGCTGAGCTGGGGCACCAGGCATGAAGACTCGGTTGTCTGGCTCAGCTGCTGATGGAGGAGTGCCCCAGAAGCAGAAGTGGGGCTGAGGGTCCCGTGGGAAGTGCCCTGCGGAGCACAGGCTCCTGCCCGGCTCCTCGCTTGCCTCTGCCCTCTGCTCACTGGCCAGCTCTCTGTTCTCTTCATTCCAGGCACCGCCACCCCCACCTTTGGTCTGAACACCCCTGCGCCTGGAGTGGGCACATCAGGCAGCAGCCTCTCCTTTGGGGCATCCTCAGCACCCGCCCAAGGCTTTGTTGGTGTTGCACCTTTCGGTAAGCAGCAAGCCACCCTGTGGCCCTGCTCATCTGTCTGAGGAGGGGTTGGGCGGGGTGGCAGGTTCCTGGTCCTCTGAGGCCCGGTGAAGATCAGGTTCAGCACAGGAAAGACATTTCGGGTTAGGAGTCCAGCACAACCCAGGGATGGGAGTTGGATGGCAGAGATCAGAGAGGAGCTGTCCGGGGTGGAAGTTTGCCTCCCATGGGAAGCCAGGTAAAAATGGATTCTTGGGCCTCGCTCTGAGACTCTCTGGGAGTTTGCATTTCAGGAGGCTTCTCCCGTACAGTGTTTCTGATGCAGCGGGGAAAGCCCTATTGAGGCACCCTGTGTTTTATTACTGGCCTGGCCTTCCAGAGATTTGGGCACCCAGAGTCAGAGTCTCAGGTAGCAGCTGCCCTGATGAGGTCTTGTTGAATCTTTCCAGGATCGGCGGCCCTTTCATTTTCCATTGGTGCGGGATCCAAGACCCCAGGGGCTCGACAGCGACTGCAGGCCCGAAGGCAGCACACCCGCAAAAAGTAGCCTTTGTCCCCTGTCCCTGTTCCCCCCACCCCTTCCCTAAATCTGGACCTTGGCACCTGCTAGGAAGAGCCTTGGACCCTTCCAGTTGCGTAAAGCAAACCTACCCCGGATCTCTGGCTTCAGCCGCCAGGGGGCAGTGGCAGCCCTGGGGCCCTTTCCCTTCTGGAGGAAGCACAAGCCTCAGGGAAGGGGAAGCAGGATGCGGAGGGCCAAAGCCCGGGACCTCTACTTGAACAGTTCTACTGGGGAGGCTGGAGAACTAAGGAAACACCTGTACATAGTGTCCGCTGCCCTGACTCCCGCTTAGCACACCCTTAGGCAGGCGCCCCTTCCACCTTTCCCCGAGACCGTCGTCGCTGGAGGGGGCAGGGTCCAGCCCGCCTGGATCGGTGGTGTGCACCTGATGGGATTTGGGAAATGGGCTATCCGTAAAGCTTTATCTTGCTTGGCTTAGCTGTGAGAAGTGGTTCTCTTCCTCTGGTCCCTTCTGGGGACTCTGTTTCCCCATTTCTTGCTGCTGTGTCCCTCACCAGTTCCTTGCAGGATTCCTTCGTTTTTAAATGCCCTTGAATCTAGCTTTGCCTTGGAGACCCCAGTGGGTGCTGCTCCTGCCGTTTTCTTCCTGCCAAGCCTGAATCAATGTTTCATCTCCAACCCTCTGCCAGTTTGGCCCCTCAGAGCTTGGTGGCTCAAGACTGTTAGCCTGGCAGAGCCAGGGGTGAAGGGAGAAGCTCTTGGAGCAGGCAGGATGCCCACCGCTGCTTCAGCTGCCTCCTCGCCCAGCTACCCTTTGGCCCCATTGGGCCCTCGTCTGCCTCTCCAGGATTGTATGTTTCAAGCCTTGTCCTGTGTTCCTTTGTCTGATGCTCTGTGTATTGCTCTTTGAATCGAGTTTGGAGGAAGAGTTGAGTTGTATGAGTGGCGGCATGTTGGTAGTGCCGGACTTCCTGTTTCAAGTTTTCTGGGGCCTCGCTAATTGAATGTGGAAAGTAGCACCACTTGACGGCTACAAGTGCCGACTCCTGAATTTTCCCATGGTGTTCTGACTTCAAGGGCTGGCAGCCAGGGAGAATGGGCCCAGGGGAAGCAAAGACCTCTTCCCTCTGCCGTTTCTGTCCCACTTAACTGACCTCACTGGAGGCTACATCACCCAAAGTAGATGTTAGAAAACCTAAATTAATGAACCATATTTTTAAAATCCTATTTTTCCCAAACAGGGCCCTCTGCAGCCCATCCTTTCCTTCCGTCCTTCTGAAACCACATACCCCAGGCCCAAGCGCCTTGCTGCCACGCCCAACCTCTTTGGGAGAAGTATGAATGCGTGTGTCTAAATTAAAAGAAAAAAATATTTAAACGTTTTTTAACAAAAATTTATTTTTGTATTTAAGCTAAATTGCCTTTTAAATTCCTTCAAGCTTGGTTCATTGAGGTGGTTAAGTATAAATGCTATTAACTAGGAATTAGCTGTATAGTTAAGTTATGCCTGTGCAAAGAAGAGGCTCAAATGCTGTCCCCGGCAGCTTTCCTGGGGGACTAGAGCTCCTTCTGGCCATGTTATATGAAATGTAATTCTTATTTTATAAATAATGTGATGTAAATGTAACTGGTGCCCCCTCCCCGATGTGACTGAGGGTGAGTGAGTGGTGGCGGGGCTGCTCCTTCCCACCCCTCAGAACAGCTCTGATCCTCGTTAATACCTGGCTGCGTGTGCAGCTGAGGAGGGAGTGAACCTCAAGCCTAAATACCTGTTAGGATTGGAGGGTCTGGGTGGGCCTGGGCCTAGCAATCAAGCTTCTACCTGTACCTTATGTAAGGTAGACCCTCCTAGTGTCAGTACCTGAGCTAGTTTACCTCAGTTCCGCAGGCAGGACAGCCGGTCCGGGAACCCTGAGTGAGAATGAGTGTGGATGTGTACAGTACACGCACTGGACGGCAGCGGGAGGCTGGGACTTTCCATTACAAATAGAGACTTCATTCCTGTTGAGTCTAGTTGGAATTTTTAGTATGAATGTGAGATTTTTCTCCTGCTTGTGACATTAAGAATAAAAAACTGTGATCTATCGTAGAGTACGTTCTGCATTTTATTTCTGCAGGCAACACTTTTGCTCACCAGCAAGAACACAGCCCGAGGAAGGGACCCAATAACCTTTCAAAACGCAAACTGCTGCCTGCGGTGAGGGCCCAGGGTCTTCCACGGAGAGGACAGGCATCTTCCTTTCCCACCAGGAAGGAGTGAGCCCGGAGCCTCTGCTATGTGCAAGGCGGTGTGCAAGCACCGGCTGCAGCTTTTTGCTCTCTTCTTTCTCTTTGGGGCTGGGCTGGGTGTGCGTTCTGGTGCTGATGCTTTGGCCTGTGAGGCTGAGCTAGAGAAATGTAGATGTTAGATGTGCCAGTACCATCCTGCGCCTCCCAAGCATGCCCCCACTCACTCACGTCGGCATCTCGACCCGTTCAATTACAGCAACGAAGAAGCCACCGCTAAGCGTGGTCTTGGGGGAAGCCCGGAGGCAGTGCTCGGCACCCGGGAACGTGCTCAGGCCTCGGTGGGGCCGGGCAGGCAGGGCGGGAGCTAGCCTGCAAGAGAAACAGCCCCAATGCTGGGTAAGAGAGCAGTTCACCCCATCCCCCCCTCCACGACCCTGGCGCACGCCCTGTACCTGAAGGCGCCCGGGTTCTGCTGCAGCGCATCTTGTACCATGTCTTCATTCTCCTCCTGGCAGAGGGAGCACATGGAGTAGACGAGCCGCTGCAGGGAAGGGAAAGTGAGCGCGTGGCACAGGGCTCGCTGCTGGAACCCTGCCAGGGCATGCAGACGCACCGGGCTAGGTGTCCCTGCCCCGGGCTCCTCCAGCTGTCTGCTCGGCATACCTAAGGAAAAGCGTGTCTCGGTTACACAGCTTCACAGGCTGCCTCAGTCCTGAAATCCTCGCTCCTGAAATCCTCGCTTCACAGAGGAGAACTTTTGCTCCAGGGTCCCAAGCCCATTAAAGTGTCAGAACTAAGACCAAAACAGATGACTCCAGGTCTAAGCTGCTGTGGACCTCTGAGTCCCTCAGCCACGCCTTCTCACCATCTCACCCGAGCCACTGCAGGAAGGATCCAGCAGGACATAGTGGACCTCACGATAGCGCGGATCTAAGGGGGAGACCGCCAGGAAGTCCTCCTCAGCCAGCTCACAGCAGGAGACGCCAGCCCAGGCCAGCAGCGTGGCCATGGATGCCAGCCGCCTGGCATCCAGGTCAAAGGCAAAGATCTTCCTAGGGCAGAGGGCAGAGCAGGGGTGAGCTGAGCATGCATGGAGCAGCTAAGGGCCTGTCACAGCTGACACAGACAACCAGAACATGCAGGTTAAGCCAGGACACACAATATTGAAACAGCCTATATTTAAAGGGCCCAGGGTCAGAGGTAACTGGCCTGGGGTCTCTGCCCCAAGGGCTAAGGGATCCACATCTCACACCTGCAGTGGGGAAAGCTTAGCTTGGGGCAAATACCGTGAACTACTTTGGTGCAGCAGGAAAGAGTTAAGCGAAAGTCATCCTTTCAGCCTTCATTACCCACTGAAAGGCACAAAATCAAACCCCATGTCCTCCTCCTCCTCCTGTGGCACTCACCCTTGGTTCTTCAGAAGAGCAGCCAAGTGACTGGTCTTTATTGCCTGGGGTGGCACAGGCATCCATGACATGGGAGCCTGGCGGGGGTCCAGCAGCATGGCTGGGAGACAGCTGGCCTGGCAGGCAGAACACAGGGGCCGGGTAAACAGAGACCCCAGGCTAGGCCCTTCCCGTGCCTACACATTCTTCCCTTTTCTATTCCTCTTGCCTACCCTGTCCTGCAGAATGAGGTGTCCGGCCCGGTACAGTGGGTGTTCATGCAGATCTGTCTGGGCGGGAAACACCAGCAGCTCCGGCATCAAGGGGTCCAGGAGAAAATGCTTCCCCTTGAGGGCTCGTAAGTCATCGAGGCTGCCAGGGAAGAACCATTCATTCATCATTTCCTGAATTTCTCCCTGCCAGGCCCTATTTCAACGGTCCATTCATGCAACAAATGTTACCACAGCTATGGAGAAATCAACAGGGTGATAAGGGAATCCGGGATCCGCAGTTGAGGGAATGGGTTGTCAAGCCAGACTTATGGGTCAGGAGCCCCCTCTACTGTTTACCAGCAGTGGGAGCCTGGGCAAGTGATTCAATCTCAAGCCCCACTGGCATCTCTGTAAAATAGTAGGTGTGAGGATTCAATGAGCCAATATATCCAAGATACTTACGTGCCACAATTTAATAAATGTTAGCTATTCCTGTTGAAGCATAACCTTGGAGAAAGGTTACTTTACAGGGGGGTGAGGAGTGGGGAAGTGAGAGCTGAGCTCATTCTTGATGGATGAGGAGTTAGTCATGTGAGGCGCTTAGGTTAAAACTACATTCACTATAACTCAGTAAAGCAGTCCCGCCCACTCTCCGACCCATGCAGAAATAGGCCTAGGGAGTCACATGTCTCAGTTCAGAAATCTATCGAAGTGGCAGAGCTGGAATTCAAACACAAGCAGCCGTTCTCTGCTATTCCACCCTGGTGTCCAAGCAACATGGTAGGGCAGAAGGAAGAGGATCTTACAAAGAGTAAGGGAAAGGGAGAGGGGCAGAGGCTGCTTCTCAGAGCCACCAAAGGACAAAATAAGACAGGTGTGAGCCCAGTGGAGGAGGCACGGGGCAGAGACCAGCCACTGTTGCTGGCACGCTGGTGCACGTAGCACTGTGGCAGATGGACCTGGAGAGGAAGCAGGAGGGACAGCACAATGGAGCCAAGAAAGGACTTAGCATGGCCGGGCGCGGTGGTTCATGCCTGTAATCCCAGCATTTTGGGAGGCCAAGGTGGGCAGATCACCTGAGGTCAGGAGTTTGAGACCAGCCTGGCCAACATGGAGAAATCCCGTCTCTACTAAAAATACAAAATTAGCCAGGCATGGTGCTGCATGCCTGCAATCCTGTAGGGAAAAGAAAGAGAGATCAGACTGTTACTGTGTCTGTGTAGAAAGGGAAGACATAAGAAATTCCATTTTGACCTGTACCTTGAACAATTGGTTGGCTGAGATGCTGTTAATTTGTGACTTTGCCCCAAATTTGAGCTCACAAAAACATGTGTTGTATGGAATCAAGGTTTAAAGGATCTAGGGCTGTGCAGGACATGCCTTGTTAATAAAACGTTTACAAGCAGTATGCTTGGTAAAAGTCTTCGCCGTTCTCTAGTCTCAATAAACCAGAGGCACAATGTACTGTGAAAAGCTGCAGGGACCTCTGCCCTGGAAAGCCAGGTATTGTCCAAGGTTCTCCCCATGTGATAGTCTGAAATATAGCCTCATGGGATGAGAGGCTGTGCCCCAGCCCGACACCCGTAAAGGGTCTGTGCTGAGGTGGATTAGTAAAAGAGGAAAGCCTTGCAGTTGAGATAGAGGAAGGGCACTGTCTCCTGCCTGCCCCTGGGAACTGAATGTCTCGGTATAAAACCCGATTGTACATTTGTTCAATTCTGAGATAGGAGAAAAACCACCCTATGGCGGGAGGCGAGACATGTTGGCAGCAATGCTGCCTTGTTATGCTTTACTCCACAGATGTTTGGGCGGAGGGAAACATAAATCTGGCCTACGTGCACATCCAGGCATAGTACCTCCCTTTGAACTTAATTATGACACAGATTCCTTTGCTCACAGGTTTTTTTGCTGACCTTCTCCTTATTATCACCCTGCTCTCCTACCGCATTCCTTGTGCTGAGATAATGAAAATAATAATCAATAAAAACTGAGGGAACTCGGAGACCAGTGCTGGTGCAGGTCCTTGGTATGCTAAGTGCCAGTCTCCTGGGCCCACTGTTGTTTCTCTATACTTTGTCTCTGTGTCTTATTTCTTTTCTCAGTCTCTTGTCCCACCTGATGAGATATCCCACAGATGTGGAGGGGCAGGCCACCCCTTCATAATCCCAGCTGCTCAGAAGGCTGAAGCAGGAGAATCGCTTGAACCCAGGAGGCAGAGGTTGCGGTGAGCCGAGATCGCGCCAGGGCACTCCATCCAGCCTGGGAAACAAGAGCAAAACTCTCTCAAAAAAAAAAAAAAAAAAAAAAGGCTTAGCAGAGGAGTAATGCATCAGATCTGCCTTTAGAGCTTCCTACAGTCAACCTCAAGGAAAATGCAGTGAGACAGTCTGGAAGCAGAGAGACCAGTCTGGGAAGTTCTTGTGGTCATCCCAATAAGAAATGAGTGCTTAACCTAGGCAGTGTCCGGGGGAATTAAGAGAAAGGAGTGGAGGCCGGGCACTGTGGCTCACGCCTGTAATCCCAGCACTGTGGGAGGCCAAGATGGGCAGATCACCTGACGTCAGGAGTTTGAGACCAGCCTGGTCAACATGGTGAAACCTCATCTCTACTAAAAATACAATAATTAGCTGGACATGGTGGTGGGAGCCTCTAATCCCAGCTACGCAGGAGGCTGAGGAAGGAGCATTGCATGAACCTTGGAGGTAGTGAACCAAGATCATGCCACTGCACTCCAGCCTCGGTGAGAGTGACAGAGCGAGACTCAGTCCTAAAAAAAAAAAAAAAAAAAGGAGTGGAGCTGAGAAAGATGCTCAAGGTGGAGGAGTAAATGATTGGAGGGAGGGGAAGGAAGCACCTAGGATGACTCGGTTTCTGGCTTGACCAAATGGGTGGAAAACGGTGACATCTGTTAGATTAAACTGGGGATGTACTAAGTGTAAAGTCTGAGAGGAAAGATGAATGCAGCGACTGTGGCATCTGTGGTGCATTCATGTGAACCTAAGGAGGGAAGAATGCAAAAGGGAAGTCTACACTGGGCGGTGAGAATCACCAGGTGGGAGGCAGGAGCTAAAGTTAGAGAAAAAACGGAGAGCTCCGGAAGAATGTAGGATGGGGCTCCTAGGAGTTCGATGTTTAAGGGATGCGAGGAAAACAAACCTTGGAGATGGAGAAACTGCTGGAAAGGTAGGAACAAAGCCCAGAGAGCAAAGTCACAACTATCCAACCACTTCTCTTCCCAGTACCCCAGACACCTCCCTAGATGAGGACAGCCAGGGCTCTAAGCTCTCACCTGGAAGCCCGACCCTGATAGGAGAAACCTTGTCTCTTGAAATAACTACATAAACGGAGCAGGTCTTGAGAGTGTTCACACGCACAAATCGAGGCAGCTGGGAGGCTAGGTAGGACGCAATGAGCAGTGAGTAGGCAGGAGCAAAGTTCCCCACCTCCCCCGCCCCTCAACTCCTTCCAGCTCACCTGGACCAGGCCTGGATCCCACTTCCAACAGGTCCTCATGCCAGCTCACACCCCGAAGAACCTTGAGCCGAGCCAACTCAACACCTCGCCTGGTGCCGTCCCAACAGAGCCTTCCATTGGCCCCCACCCCCTCGAAAGCCCTTTCCCAACAACTCATACACTAGCACCTGGGGATGAGGGATCAAAGACAGAAACGCCCTAAGCAAGAAGTATGAATGCCTTAGAACTAACTCTAATAGAGCCCGGGCACTGGAATGGCTAAAGAGATCACCTGACTAGATGGTTACAGATAAAGGTGGGGTACCTTACTCAAGACCACACCAGAAATTAACTACACAACAGGATCGGAACCTGGCGTCTCGCTTCCCAGCCTTAGACCCTTTCCCCACAGATGTTCACCAGTAGACCTCTGCACCCAACTTCTTGCCAACATTACCCTTTCGTGGGTGTGGGTTTGGGGTTTTTGTTTTTTTTTAGAATGGGGTCTAGATCTGTCGCCCAGGCTGAAGTGCAGTGGCCACATCACAGCTCACTGCAGCTTCGAACTCCTGGGCTCAAGTGATCCTCCCCCCTCAGCCTTCCGAGTAGCTGGGACCACAGGTGCGCGCCGCCACGCCCGACTTCCTTACTGTCTCCGCTACTACTACTTTGTACTTCGGTTATTTAATCCTTCAAAACACTCGAAGTTAAAGCATTTTCATCCCATCTCAATTCGTAACCCAGGGAAGGTCTGCTCATACTCATTTCAGGTGAGCGACTTGCTCCAGTCCCGCCGTGCACGGCAGCGGGGCTGAAACCAGATGACAAAGCGCTGACCGTCGGGGTTCACTTCCCCGCCCCGCCCCTACCCTTGGCCAGGTGCGGCTGCAGCTTCTTCGCACTGAGGAGGCCGGCGCTGGAGATCACGGCATCCAGCACGGCGGAGTAGCGCTGCGTTTCGCACACCAGCGCGTACAGCTGCTTCACGTTCTGTGTGGCCGAGGGAGACAAGCTGGGTCGGGGGCTCCCCCGGCCCTCCTCGCCGGGCCCCACCTCCCGACCCCATCCGGGCCCGTCCCACCCCACCCCGGGTTCCTCACCCCCCACCCCTACTTGTGGCGCGCGGGCCCGCTACCTGGAAGTTGCTGGAGTACACCAGCCCCTTGATAGAGCCCTGGCGGCTCTCCACGCCGGCCAGCACGCCTGCCACCGCAGCGTACAGCCCCATGTTCCCGCGCGCCTTTACGGCTCTGTCGCAAAGCGCACCCGGCTCTGCCCCCGCCCGGACTTCCGGGGTCCAAGGGCATGCCCTTCCGGGACCGGAAGTGCCGGTCGAAGTCCCCCTGCAGGGTGTGTGTGTGATCGCGCACCTGCCGGGCTAGGGAGTGCGACGCTGCGGGCGCACCTGCTGGGGTAGGGAATGCGACGCTGCGAGCCCGTTTCGCCACTTCTTCTCCAGTTCTTCAGTCTTTGTCAATCTGATGGATAAATAATGGGATTTTACTGCTGTTTAACCGCAGTTATTGCGTTGAATATGTTCACATGTGTATTGGTCATTTCATATATATATGTGTGTGTGTATTATGTGTGTATGTGTGTATATATATATATATATATATATATTTTTTTTTTTTTCAGACAAAAAGACTCACTCTGTCGCGCAGTGTCGCGATCTTGGCTCACTGCAACCTCCGCCTCCCAGGTTCAAGCAATTCTCCTGCCTCACCCTCTGGAGTAGCTAGGACTACAGGCCCGTGCCACCACGCCCGGCTAATTTTTGTATTTTTAGTAGAGACGGGGTTTCACCATGTTGGCCAGGCTGGCCTCGAACTCCTGACCTTAGGTGATCTGCCCACCTCGGCCTCCCAAAGTTTTGGGATTACAGGCGTGAGCCCCCACGCTGGCCATAATTATGTGTCTCTGTTTATTGTCTTATCTTCCTCTGCCATGTGTCCTCCAATGGCTGTGTTCTCAGGGAGGATTTTTCTGTGTAATGGCAGAAAAGGTCCTAGCAACTCCAGGTCCACAATGTGGTTCATGATACCTGCCACTCACCCTGCACCAGTAACCACATTAGTCCCAGAGCCAAGCAAGAAAGCACACGGGGTATTTGGGTACCTGAAATGGGCCGGTTTGGCCAAATTAAATGATGTAGTTATGATCCAGGCCTCAAAGCCACAATAACGGTTTTGTTTTTGCTTTTGATGAGGTCCCACTCCGTCACCCAGGCTGGAGTGCAGTGGCACCGTCATAGCTCACTGCAGCCTCGAACTCCAGGGCTCAAGTGATCCTCCCACTTCACCCTCCAAGTAGCTGGGACTACAGACGTGCACCACCACACCCAGCTAATTTTATCTTTTGTAGAAATGCGGTCTCACCATGTTGCCCATGGATGGTCTCGAACTCCTGGCCTAAAGTGATCTTCCCACCTCGGCTTCCCAAAGCAGTGATTACAGGCATGAACCACTGTGCCCAGCGAGGATTTTGTTCTTTCATCTTGAGATAAATGGTAGTCCTCTTAAGGGTTTTAAGTCATGGAGTGCTGTGTTCATGTATACTTCTTTAAAGATCAGTCTGGCCAGGTGCGGTGGCTCACACCTGTAATCCTAGCACTTTGGGAGGCCAAGGCAGGTGGATCACTTGAGGTCAGGAGTTTGAGACCAGCCTGGCCAACATGACAAAACCCGTCTCTACTAAAAATACAAAGATTAGCCAGGCATTGTGGCAGACACCTGTAATCTCAGCTACTTGGGAGGCTGAGGCAGAATCGTTTGAACCTGGGAGGCGGAGGTTGCAGTAAGCTGAGATTGTGCCACCGCACTCCAGCCTGGGGGATAGAGCAAGCTTCTTTCCCCAAAAAATAAATAAATAAATAAATAATCAGTCTGGTTACAGTGTGGGGATATAGGATGGAGGGGACAGAGTTGAGGCAGGGAGAGACCAATGGGGGTCATGGCAGTCACCTAAACAAGAACTGGTGGCCTGGACTGAGTTGGTGGCAGTGGAGTTCGGTTGAAGTTGGCAGTGTGACCGCTAAGTTAAATCCACAGAACTTGCTCAGGAAAAAGGACAGGTCGAGAATAACTCATAGGTTTTCAGTTTGGGCAGTTGACACAATGCTGCTGTGTCTTTTGGTAGGATGGGGAAACCTGGGGTGGTGGAGTGAACAACGGCCACCCAGAGAGAGCAGGTCCTAATTCCTAGAGCCTGGAAATGTCACCTTCTATGGAAGAGATCTGTAGGAGTGATCAGGGGAAGGATTTGGAGAGAAGGTTATCCTGGATTATCTGGGCAGGTCCTGCATGGCATCACAAGTATCCCTATAAGAGAGAGGCAGAGGAAGGCCTCTCTTATAGGGAGAAGCGCAGTGGGTCACACCTGTAATCCCAGCACTTTGGGAGACTGAGGCTGGTGGATCCCTTGAGCCCAGGAGTTCACAACCAGCCTAGCCAACATGGTGAAACCACGTCTCTACTAAAAATACAAAAATTTGCTGAGTG
The DNA here is from genome assembly GCF_000001405.40 of Homo sapiens. NCBI lineage: Eukaryota > Metazoa > Chordata > Mammalia > Primates > Hominidae > Homo > Homo sapiens. The sequence continues at coordinate 72,956,990 of NC_000007.14, forward strand.
CACGCCTGTAATCCCAGCTACTCAGGGGGCTAAGTTAAGGGAATTGCTTGAACCTGGGAAGTGGCGGTTGCAGTGAGCCGAGATCACACCACTGCACTCCAGCCTGGGCAACAGAGTGAGACTCTGTCTCAAAAAACAAAAAATAAGAGAGAAGCAGAGGAAGATTAGACCGGCACATACAGAAAAGGCCACGTGAAGATGGAGGCAGAGATTGGAATGATGCGGTCACAGGCCAGGAAACACCAGGGCATGGCAGCCACCACCTGAAGCTGAAGAGGAAAGGGGCAGGTTTTCCCCGACAGTCTCCAGAGGGAGCGCGGCCTTGCCATCATCGTGATCTTGGACATCTGGCCTTCAGAACCATGAGAGATTAAATTTGTTTGAAGCCACCAAGTTTGTGGTCATTTGTTACAGTAGCCACAGGACACCACAGCCACAGGATAAATCTCAGGGATGGGGGAGTAGGAAGATCATGAGCGCGGTTTTGGACATGCCCTTGACGTCCAGGCGGAGCTGCTGAATGGCTGGAGCGCTACTGGATGTGGCCTGTAAGGGACGGGTCTCCCGGAGAGGGAACTTCTGAGTCATCCCTGTGGAAGTGATGACTGGAGCTATGGGTGTGGAGGGGTAGACAGCCAGAAGAGGAGCCTGGAGGCCCTCAGACCATAAGTGGTGAGGACGAGAGGCTGAATCCTCAAAGGAGACCGAGGAGAGGCAGGAGGAGAGGCAGGGCTGTGGGGAGGCTGAGGGTTGCTGTTCACCCCTGCTAGGCTCCCTCATGCCCTCTCACTGGTCTGTGCACCCAGTTTGACTTCCAGTGGCCCGAGCCAGCATCTTGGTTAGAAGGCTACCCCGGAGCTTCCAGGACCCACTTAGCCTATGAGTATCGTGAATCAAAGGGTTATGGGAGGCTAAGCACAGTGGCTCACACCTATAATCCCAACACTTTGGGAGGCCAAGGTGGGAGGATTGCTTGAGGCCCAGACCAGCCTGGGTAACATAGCAAGATCCCATCTCTACTAAAAATTTAAATATTAGCTGGGTATGGTAGCAGACACTTGTCGTCCCAGCTACTCAGGAGGCTGAGGCAGGAGGATCACTTGAGCCTGGGAGGTCAAGGCTGCAGTGAGCTACAGTTGCACCACTGCGCTCCAGCCTGGGTGACAGAGCAAGATCCTGTCTCTAAAAATAAAGACTCAAGGCTGGGCACGGTGGCTCACGCCTGTAATCCCAGCACTTTGGGAGGCCGAGGCAGGCGAATCATTTGAGGTCAGGAGTTCGAGACCAGCATGGTCAACATGGCAAAACCCCATCTATATTAAAAATAAAAAAATTAGCTGAGCATGGGGTGCACACCTGTAATCCCAGCTACTCGGGAGGCTGAGGCAGGAGATCACTTGAACCTGAGAGGTGTAGGTTGCAGTGAGCTGAGATCGTGCCACTGCACTCCAGCCTGGGTGACAGAGCGAGACTCCATCTCAAAAAAAAAAAAAAAAAAAGCAGACTTGAGCATAAAGTGCTGGGATTATAGGCATGAGCCACCATGCCCGGACTTTTTTTTTTCTTGTTTTCTTTTCTTTTTTTTTTGAGATGGAGTCTTGCTCTGTCACCCAGGCTGGAGTGCAGTGGAGCAATCTCAGCTCACTGCAACCTCCACCTCCCAGGTTCAAGAGATTCTTGTGCCTCAGCCTCCCGAGTAGCTGGGATTACAGGTATGTGCCACCACACCCAGCTAATTTTTGTATTTTTCATAGAGACAGGGTTTCACCATGTTGGCCAGGCTGGTCTTGATCTCCTGACCTCAAGTCATCCTTCTGCCTTGGCCTTCCAAAGTGCTGGGATTACAGGTGTAAGCTGCTGTGCCCAGGCTCTGTGCCTTCATTTAAACCCATGTCTCCTGACCAAATTGTCTCTAAGACTAAAAGAAATGTGAGAAACAAGGAGTCTCCCATAAACAGGGAGTGAGGAAGGCTTGGGAACTGCACGTGTTCGTTTGTTGGGTCTAGAACATGGATCCGCTCTCTTCCCACAATCTGCAGAGCAAGTTTCAGGCAGGGCTGATACTGCCTGCTGCGCAAGGGTGAGGACGGTAAGCAAGGGATGCCTGGTGCTCCTGGATGTTGCTTCTGGCCATTTCCCACCTCTCCCAGCTCCCACTCCTCCTGATATCCTGCCTTACATCCAGCCACCCTGAACTTCTCATAACCAGAGTCCGCACGCCACTCCCCCTTTTACAGGACTGTTCCCTCGGCTTGCCTGGCAAACTCGGGTCCTGGGCCCTTCTCAGCCATCAGGCGTGTGCCCCTCTGCCAGGCCTCCCAGACACCTGCTCCTCCTCTAGTGTTTTGTTTTCTGAGACAGGGTCTCGCTCTGTCACCCAGGCTGGATCATGCAGTAGCATGATCATGACTCACTGCAGCATCAAACTTTGGGCTCAAGCAATCCTCCCACCTCAGCCTTATGAGTAGCAGGGACTATAGGCGCATGCCACCATGCCCAACTAATTTTTTTATTTTTGTATTTTTTGTAGAGACGGGGGTGTTACTACATTGGCCAGGCTGGTCTCGAACTCCCGGCCTCCAGCAATACTCCTGCCTTGGCCTCCCAAAGTACTGGGATTGCAGGCATGAGCTACCCTCCTCTAGTATTTCTGTAGCTTGAGTGAACTTCTGCTGTTCTAGGTACCCACAGTTCACCATCTGCCTCCCCACCTGTCTGCGAGACCCTTGAAGGCAGGGACGTGACTTTCCTCTATCTTCCCCAGGCTCAGTTATAGAGCCAGCTATAGGCAGCTGCTTGGGAGGCGCTGGTTAAGCTGAATGGAGGAACCAGTGGAGCTGAGATGCCCGTGCCCGCAGCCACCAGACCCTGGCTGAGCTCTCTCCAAGGTTATTACCTGGAGGCCATGGAGTGGAACTTCTGGAAGGCAAGAGAGAGGGAGGTTAAGGCTAGAAGGTGGGAAGCCAGGGCACTGTTGGGAAGGGGAAGGCCCTGGCGGGTATGGGGATGGGACGCCTCCCTGTCCACTCACCCAGATGAACTCATGGTGGTCCTCATTTCCGAACTGTTCCAGCACACACTCGGCTTGGGCCAGCCGCTCCCGGGTTCCCTGGGCCTGCTCCAGCTGCATGTCCAGGGAGGCCACCAGGCCACGGGTGTGACCCCCTATCCCCTCCAGGCAGCGGGCCTTCTCCTCGTCCACCGGGTGGCGCAGCTCCTGGAACTCGCGGCGGATCACCCAGCTGAAGACATCCGACTCATTCTGGGACAGGGAGGGCTGCTCACTGCAGAGTCACAGCCGAGCTGCCAGGCTCTGTCTGGCTGGCCTCGGTGTCCCCAGGGCCTTCCTGACCGGGTTGGTCCTGGGACCTGAGTCTCAGGGGAGGCTGCATGGCCTGGCGCCGGGCAGGGAGTTCACCCCATGCATGGGGAGCCCTGGCGGTGGCCGTGGGGAGGGTGGCCCCAGCTCCCATTTCAAATGGAGAGGCTCTGCTTTGGCCTGTTTTAATTTTTAATTTTTTTTTTAACAGACAGGGTCTCACTCTGTTGCCCAGGCTGGAGCGCAGTGGCACGATCATAGCTCACTGTAGCCTTGACCTCCCAGCCTCAAGCAATCCTCCCGCCTCAGCCTCCCGAGTTGCTGGGATTACAGATGCACGCCACCACACCCCACTTTGCCTATTTCAGCTATTAAATGTGCATATCCCAGAGTTCCACAACTGAAGGAAAGCAGGAAGGCCCTGGGCGAGCGGGCTTTGCTGTGAGGGAGCCAGAACTCCCTGCAGAACCCTGAGCTCCGCCTCCACCAGGCAGGGCTGATACCGCCTGCCGCGCAAGGGTGAGGAGGGTAAATGAGGGAGGCCAAGTGCTTCTGGATCTTGCTCGGCTCCTGTTTCTGTTTCACAGCCACCTCCAGGGCCGGGGCACTATGCGTCCCAGCCCCATGTGCCTCTCAGTTCAGGAGATCAGCCAGGGCCCAGGGCTGCCAGCCTCTCCACGCCTGCGCACCCAGGTACTGGGAGGGCACCATGACAGGCTGGCAAGGTCAAGCAGACACAGGTGGCACAGGGGCGGAGGAGTCACGCCCATGCTTTCAGCTGTTTACCCCCGAGACTCAAGTCCTGGGTTATCTCAGTCTCAAGGACACAGAGGGCAAAAGCCAACTTGGAGCCAGTCCTAACGACAACTGGGTTGAATTCCCCTGAGAGGATTTGCGCTTTCCCCACCCCGCCCCGGAATGCTTTGAGTTCTGGCTTTATATGGAAGGCATGGTTTTCTGTAAAGGACCAATGAGAACTGAGCTCTACAGGAAAGTGAAGGTGGCCGGTCCCAGGCAGGGGCAGAGGGAAGGGGCACTCACGACGATTCGGGTCCGGTTTTTCACCAGTTTGGCGATGAGCTCATCCACCTTCTTCTGCTCCTGCTTCAGCTCAGAGAAGAGGGCTGCGAGCTCCTCCTGGAGGCAACAGGCCATGGCCCCATGAGCAGCTGATCCCTCCCCTTCTCAGCTCCTTGGATCACCTTCTTGGGAGTATCCCAATGGCCACAAGCACTCCCAGGGAAACCAGGGCGGGAACCAGAGCCACCCAGGTACCCTTGAGTCCAAAACAGGTTAAATTGTTCAAGAATAGTCTGGGCGCAGTAGCTCACGCCTGTAATTCCAGCACTTTGGGAGACTGAGGTGGGACTTCACTTGAGGTCAGGAGTTTGAGACTAGCCTGGCCAACATGGTGAAACCCCATTTCTATTGAAAATACAAAAATTAGCCAGGTGTGGTGGCACACACCTGTAGTCCCAGCTACTTGGGAGGCTGAGGCACGAGAATCGCTTGAACCTGGGAGATTGATGTTGCAGTGAGCTGAGATCATGCCATTGCACTCCAGCCTGGGTGTCACAGTGAGACTCTGTCTCAAAAAATAAAAATAAAAAATAAGATAATTCAAGAATATTCTAAGGGCCGGGCGCGGTGGCTCACGCCTGTAATCCCAGCACTTTGGGAGGCCGAGGCTGGCTGATCACGAGGTCAGGAGATCGAGACCATCCTGGCTAACACAGTGAAACCCTGTCTCTACTAAAAATACAAAAAAAATTAGCCGGGCATGGTGGCGGGCACCTGTAGTCCCAGCTACTCCGGAGGCTGAGTCAGGAGAATGGCATGAACTTGGGAGGAGGAGGTTGCAGTGAGCCGAGATTGCGCCACAGCACTCCAGCCTGGGCAACAGAGCAAGACTCCATCTCAAGAAAAAAAAAAAAGAATATTCTAGGCTGGGCACAGTGGCTCATGCCTGTAATCCCAGCACTTTAGGAGGCCAAGATGGGAGGATCACTTGAGGCTAGGAATTTGAGACCAGACTGGGCAACACAGTGAAATCCCATCTCTAATGTTTTTTTTTTCTTCAAAGAATATTCTGGGCCGGGCGCGGTGGCTCACGCCTGTAATCCCAACACTCTGGGAGGCTGAGGCGGGCGGATCACGAGGTCAGGAGATCGAAACCATCCTGGCTAACACAGTGAAACCCTGTCTCTACTAAAAATACAAAAAATTAGCCGGGCGTGGTAGCGGGCGCCTGTAGTCCCAGCTACTCGGGAGGCTGAGGCAGGAGAATGGCGTGAACCTGGGAGGCGGAGCTTGCAGTGAGCCGAGATCGCCCACTGCACTCCAGCCTGGGCGACAGAGCGAGACTCCGTCTCAAAAAAAAAAAAAAAAAAAGAGAATATTCTGCATTGACAGCAGGAACTTCCCAGGCATAAGAGGGTCTCGATGTCACCCCTGTGCATGACATGGAGACAGTCACTAAATGTTACAGCTACCAGAAGTCACCATGTGATGCTGGCACTTCCTGGATTGAATGCTGCCTGTAGGGGACCCATCAGGTGAACTCTGTGGTCACCAGCAGATCCAGAATTAGTGGGTATTTAATCAGGAGCCATCACAAAAAGGCCGGCGCCAGGTGAGGCTAATTCTAGGGCCAGTGGTGCTCACACGGGCCTGGGTTTAACCTGGTGAATCCCCACACCTATAAACACCTGAATCCATTCCTGGTGGGCTTGGACACAGCACGGATTTGCGACCTCCCCAAGCTGACATAAATGCACTTCTCCTGGACTGCCCGGGCCCCAAATCTGACCTAGCCTTGGGGGTGCCAACCAGGACTCCTGGACCACCATCTACTCCATGACTTGACCAGAGCCCCCGTCGGTTTATACCCATGCAATGTACAGAATTTTTGGCTTGGATCGTGCCCAAGCACCAGAGAGCTGCAAGGGGCTTTCAGGAAGGGAGTTGGGTAAAGAATCAAGCACTTGCTGGCATAAACGGACAGAGTCCTTGCTCTGGAGAATGAGGCATCAGAACATCTCACAGAGGCCTAAGAACAGCATTCCAATGTCACCCTCCCCAGGCAGACAGACGGGACTCATTCCTTCCCCGTGAGAAGAACTAAGTTATGCAAATCAATGCACCCATCAATCGAGCATCTCAAGATCTCAATAAACAGGAGGCAACGGGAACACCTTAAAGAGGGCAATAAAGGAGTGCAATTTAGTTGTATTCTGTGTTGCAACAGAGAAGAGCCTCGGGATCATCAAAACCCAAATCTGGCCGGGAACAGTGGCTCATGCCTGGAATCCCAGCACTTTGGGAGGCCGAGACGGGAGGATCACTTGAGGCCAGGAGTTTGAGTCCAGCCTGGACAAAATAGTGAGACCCTGTCTCTACCAAAAAAAAAAAAATTAAGCCCAAATCTAAAACAGGGACCCAAGCTGAGCTGCTGGATCCTAACTACAAAGGACAGACAATCTCCCAGCCTGTTCCCTCCCTCCTTCCCATCAACTAATAAAACATAAACTCGGCTTCCTCACCTGCAGTTGGCTTCCACCTTCCATACTCCCCTAAACCTGCTCTTGCCAAGATAATCAGTTCTTACTGCTACATTTAACACTTTTCAGTCCTCAGAGACATTTCACACACGTGATCTCCTCCTTCAGTCTGTCTCTCTGATTTCCGGGAGGCCACACTCAGCCGGTGTTCCTGCTCTGAGGATTCTTTCTATTCCTTTTTCAGGGCTCTCTCTCTCTCAATCCAGATTTTAAGCCTGGTACCCCTTGGGGTCATCATCAGTGTCTTCCCTTATCACTATGTAGACTCTCCTGGGTTGGTCTTCTCCACCAAAGGGGACTTCAGTGACCACCAAGAGGAAGGACCCTCCACACCTCTTGCCCTGAGCCCCACCGCTGTCCTGGTCTGCACACCCCTCAACCCGACTGCACATCCCCAGGCACCTCCCGCTCCACCTGCCCACGCCGGATCCTCCCCTGCGATCACTTCCTCTGTGCAAGGGGGAATTACAGAGCTGGAGTCAACCTCCCCATCCCTCACCCTCCTTGCCACACACAGTTGTCAGGGTTTTTTTCTGTTTGAAATTTGTCTTTGGTCTGCCCCAGGCCTTTGTCCCAGTTCCCACCAACTTAGGTCCTGGCACCTTCATCTCTCACTGTCCTTTTGCCTCACCCTCAAAGCTCCCCTCTGCCAGAGAGATCTGAGCATGTCATCACTGGCTTAAAACACTCCAGCCCCCGCCTTTCTCCCTCATCCTGTGAATAAACTCCAAATCCATTCCCGGGTCACACTGGCCTCTCCATGCCCCAGCCGCAGCTTACCTCGCTGGCCCTATCTCGCCCCCACCCATGCTCCCTCCAGCTTTATGCTGGGATTACAGGAGTGGCCACTGCGCCTGGCCAACCAGGCTAATTTTGAAACTTTTGTAGAGGCAGGGTCTCACTATGTTGCCCAGGCTGGTCTCAAACTCCTGGACTCAAGTGATCCACCCACCTCGGCCTCCCAAAGTGCTGTTATTATAGGCATAAGCCACCCAGTCACGTGTTTTATAACAGGTGTTTTATATATATAACACCCAGTCAGGTATTATTATTACTCATCTTAAAGAATGATCTGCTAGGTTTGGTGATGGCCTATAAAGGCAGGAATTCACTGATTCAGCATTTTGGACATTTACAATGTGCCAGGCATGGCTCCAGGCACTGAAATACACCAGGGGACAAAATGAAGTCCCCACTCTCATGCACCAGAGAGTGCAAACAGGGGAGTGTCCAGACACAAACAAGGGGCGTAGGGCAGTGGTGCATGCCTATAATTCCAGCACTTTGGGAGGCCCAGGCAGGAAGATCGTTGGAGGCCAAGGAATTCAACACCAGCCTGGGCAACATAACCAGACCCCATTTCTACAAAATATAAAAAATGAGCTGGGCATGGTGGTGTGCACCTGTAGTCCCAGCTGCTCGGGAGGCTGAGGTGGGTGGATTGCTTGAGCCTAGGAGTTGGAGGCTGCAGTGAGCCATGATCACACCACTGCACTCCAGCCTGGGCAACAGAGTGAGACGCTGTCTCCAAAAAGAAAGAAGAAAAAGAAAGGGGGGGCGGGCGAGGGAGGGGGAGAGAGAGAGAGAGGAAGGGAAGGGGGCGGGAGAGAGAGAAAGAAAAAAAGAAAAAGAAACAAACCAGAACTGCAAACAAAAAACAGGAAGGGGTGAGCACGTGACACCAGGGAGCTCCCATCCTGTGCGTGTAGCTTCAATCCCCAGCACCTGGGTTTAGCTGCCGCTCAAACACTAAGGAATGAATGCGCCAGGGCAGGGCTGCAGGGAAATCGAGGATAGCTGGATCCGTTTTGGTGCCAGTTGATAGCGCCAGAGAGCACAGGATCCAGTCCCCGCGGGCCCCGCCGCCCCGCCTGCACCCTCACTCCCCACCTTCATGCGGCTGCAGACGGTGGAGACGGGCGTGACCGGGTGGTGTTGGTGGGAGCCCAGCAGACCGCAGAGGCCACAGATGAGCTCCTGGTCCTTCTCGCAGAAAAGGCTGAGCGGGTTCCGGTGGTGCACGCAGACCTTGGGCTCCGGGTCCCCAGGGAGCCTCAGGGCTTCGATCACCCAGGCCAGGGAGACGTTGGGCAAGGAGCTGCTGCCGTCCACCACCTGCCAGCACATGGGGCAGCGCACCTTGGTGTCCAGGTGGTAGGACAGGGAAACCAGGCAGCCCTTGCAGTAGGAGTGGCCGCACTGTAGCATTAGGGACTCCTTGAAGACCTCCAGGCAGATGGGACACTGAAGCCAGTCCTCCAGCTCCAGCAGGCTCACCTGCCAAGCCATCCACACTCACTGCCCGGGCTGAAACACAGGCATCCGACCTCAGTCCTGTCCACTCCCCTCCCCCTGTCCAGCACTCACCCACCACCCTCAACCCTAAGGAGCACCAGAATTTTATAAGAAACACTTTGAGTCCTGGATCCCAGTCCTAACCCACATGACCTTGGGCCTCAGTTTCCACAGCTGTAAAACAAAAGACTGCAGTGAAAAAACTGGTCCCTTGAAGATACGTGTGTGTGTGTGTGTGTGTGTGTGTGTGTGTGTGTCTACATTTTTTACTCAAATTTGGAGACAAGCATGAAAGGGGCCATCTGCAGGGTCATTTGCAGTGACACTAATAATGCAAGGTCCAGCCCCAGCATGCATCCGGACCTAGAACTGAACAGCAAAACCTAGGCAAGCTCCCCACCTTCTAGATCAGTTCCCAAACTTTCAGGAAACTGTTGAAAGCATAGGTGTAATAGAGATTCTAGAGGCCCACCTTCAAAGGATCTGCTTCAGGGGGTCTCCAGTGAGACCCAGAACTCTACACTTATAGGTGACACTCCCAGGTAATTCTAGAGAGCCTGGAACCTACAAGGCCTCTACCCTGATCTCCCACCTGCTCCCCTATGAAAGCTTGTCAGTGAGACAGAAGAAGCACCAGAAGCCCCCAGCGAGAGCCCGACATTGGAATACCTAGCTTCTCAGGATCCACTGGGCCTCCCACTATGGCCTCAAGCCAGCATCACTGGCTTTTCTTCTTCCCAGCAGGGAACAGCAGGCACAGAGTCAGAAGTGGGAAGTGCAGCTGGACGCCTGCACCACTGCCTGGTCTCTGCCCCTTCTCTCCTCCCCTTCCCCAGCAACACCCCTGTGTCCCCAAGGTCACCAGAATCAGGTGGAAACTGGGTTACATCACAGGACTGGGGAGGCAGCCTTTGTTGGGCCTGCTCTGATAACATTCAAGTGCTGGCCTTGGCCACTGTGGAGGAGGGGCAGAAACAGAGGGACTAGGCACACTGTCCACACCTCACGACCCCGACAGGAGCAGACAGGTGCTGGGAAACAGTTCTTTCTGAATCTCAATCTCTTGCTCTTATATCCTTTTTTGGGGGGGGTGGGGGGCTGGGGGGCAGGGGAAGACAGTGTCTTGCTCTGTTGCCCAGGCTGGAGTGCAGTGGCGTGGTCACAGCTCACTGCAGCCTCCAACTCCTAGGCTCAAGCCATCCTCCTACCTTAGCTGCCTGAGTAGCTGGGACTACAGGCACGTGCCACCATGCCAAGCTAATTTTTAAAATTTTTTTTGTAGATACCGGGTCTTGCTTTGTTGCCCAGGCTGGTCTTCAACTTCTGGGCTCAAGCAATCCTCCCACCTTGGCCTCCCAAAGTGCTGGGATTACAGGCATGAGCCTTATTGCACGCAGTCTTCCTTCTCTCTCTCTTTTTTTCTAATACAAACTGGCAGATGATGGTTCGATCTCTCGAATTTTTTTTTTTATTTTATTGTTTTATTTACTTTAGTAGAGACAGGGGTCTCACTTTGTTGCCTGGGCTGGTTTTGAACTCCTGGCCTCAAGCAATCCTCCTACCTCAGCCTCCCAAAGTGCTGGGATTACAGGTGTGAGCCGCCGAACCTGGCCTCTTTTTTTTTTTTTTTTTAAAGATTTGAAGGTATCTTTATTTACTTATTTAGATTTTTTAAATCGAGGTATAACATATACAAGTGTGCAAATCTTAACCACACAGCTTGATAAACACTTGATGTATATACGTGCACTCTCAAGAGCAAGATGTACAGTGTTTCCAGAAAGCTCCCTCCTGCCTCCTTCCAGTCATAACTCCTAACAAGGACAGCCACTGTCCTTATTACCATGTTGTCATGTGGCCTGTTTTTGAATGTCACATAAACAGCATCATATAGAATGTACCCTTTTGTGTCTGGTTTCTTTCACTCAATAATATTAAATTGTGAGTTTTTTTTTAATGTGAAGTCTTTCAACGTTTAGAAATTCAATGACACTCTGTTATACAGGTTTTGTTTGTTTGTTTGTTTATTGAGACAGAGTTTTGCTCTTGTTGCCCAGGCTGGAGTGCAGTGGTGCAATCAGGCTCACTGCCACCTCCACCTCCCGGATTCAAGTGATTCTCCTGCCTCAGCCTCCCAAGTAGCTGAGGTTACAGGCGCCTGCCACCACACCGGCTAATTTTTTGTATTTTTAGTAGAGAGGCGGTTTCATCATGTGGGCCAGGCTGGTCTCAAACTCCTGACCTCGAGTGATCTACCCACTCTGGTCTCCCAAAGTGCTGGGATTACAGGTGTGAGCCACCGCGCCCAGCCTGTTACACAGTTAATGAATATTATGGTCATAATATACTGCTGTGGTTTGAATGTATCCTCCTAATTTCATGTGTTGGAAACGTAACCCCCAATGGGGCAGTATTGAAAGTTGGCTGTAGCCTACGCCTATAATCCCAGCACTTTGGGAGGTCAAGACTGGAGGATCGCTTGAAGCCAGGAGTTCAAGACCAGCCTAGGCAACAAAGCTACAAACCATCTTACCAGCAAATTAAAAACTAAAAAATAAATTAGCTGGGCCTGGTGGTGCACGTCTGTAATCCCAGCTACTTGGGAGGCCGAGGCAGGAGGATCTCTTGAGCCCAGGAGGTGGCGGCTGCAGTGAGCTGAGATCCATCACTGAACTCCAGCCTGGGCTCAGAGCGAGCCTCTGTCAATCGATCAATCAATCAATCAATCAGTGTCTTGTCTGGGCCTAAATTCTCTAGAATACAATGGAAGAGGGAAAGTGAAAGAAGGTGGAAGTAACCCACAGCTGGGAGCCCTGAACCCTGCTGGTGGCAGGTGGCTCTCGTGTCCTCACCAGGTTGCCCTGCAATCACATGCTGCATCCTTTTTCCTGAACCTGCCCCACGTGCCCCACCACGCAGCCACTCCGAGGGCTCCTTCAAGGGCGGCAGCCCTGTCACTCACGTGTTCCAAAAGTGCTTCCCCTGTGCCCTGACGGCCTCGCCATGTGTCCCATCATGCCCCACGCGCTCCCACTGTGCGCCCCACCTCGCACCCGTGCCCCATCATGCTCTGCGTGCTCGTTAGGTGCCCCATCATTTCCCGCTCGCTCTCATTACGTACCCAGCCTCCGGCCCCTGTAAGTGCCCCATCGTGCTCTCTGTCGCTCCAGTTAGATGCCCCATCCTGCCCCGCGAGCTCCAATTACGTGCCCCACCTAACCCCCCATGTCCGTGCCCCATCATGCCCCGCACGCTCTGGTTACATGCCCCGCCTGGCGCTCCCGCACATGCCCCATCATGCTCAGCGCGCTCCCATTACGTGCCGCCACCTCGCGCCCCTGCAAGTGCCCAATGTGCCCTGTGTGGTCCCGTTACGTGTCCCATCATGTTTTGTGCGCTCCGATTACGGGCCACACCTGGCAACTCACCGTGCGACCTCTGTAGTTCCAGAGCTCGCGAGGGCCAGGGCCGTTGGCGGCGGTTGGAACGAAACGATGAGTGCCTCCTCGTGGCCCCAGAATGGAATGCCGCCGTCGGTAGGGGTCTGCCGGGCATAAAGGGGCCTTCGGAACCCCACCAGAGTCACAGCCAGGAAGGGCAGCGGGGCGCACCAGGCCGAAGGCTCACGCCACAGGGAGGGCAGCTAGGACATGGGGGGAAGCGCGTTAAACCAGGGAGTCCTGGAAGGGGACGACGCCCCCGGCCAGGTGAGGGCCCAGACGTGGGGGCGTAGACGCTGAGGGGTGGCCGGGTGGGTCTGCGGCTCTGAGGCCTGGCTTTCATTCTCCATCAGTCCCTGTACGAGCGGTTAAGTCAGAGGATGCTGGACATCTCGGGGGACCGGGGCGTGCTGAAGGACGTCATCCGAGAAGGAGCTGGAGACCTAGTGGCGCCTGATGCTTCGGTGCTAGGTACGCCCTGGGGCGGTTTGTCCGCAGGATCCATGTCATCGCACTCTGTTGGGAAGAGAGAGGCCTCATTTTCAAAAAGCATTTAATGGGGTTGGAAATGCTTTGTTTGAAGTGGATTTTTGTTTTTGAAACGGGGTCTCGCTCAGTTCCCCAGGCTGGAGTGCAGTGGTGCGAACATAGCTCACTGCAGCCTCTGCTTCCTGGGCTCAAGTGATTCTCCAGCCTCAGCCTCCCAAATAAGAGATTTACAGGCGCAATCCACCATGCCCGGCTAATTTTTAATATTTTTGTAGAGATGGGGCACTTTCTATGTTGCCCAGGCTGGTCTCAGACTCCTGGTCCCAAGTGATCCTCCCACCTCAGCCTCCCCAGTAGCTGGGATTACAAGCGTGAGCCGCTGCTTCTGCCATGAATTAGTTTTTTTAAGAGGAAAGCTAAGGACCCCTATGTCCCCTTTGCGTGATGCTTCCATGAAGCTCTTGAACCTCTGAGCCGAAGGGCAGGCTCCTAAAATGCAGAGAGATTTATTCCTGTACCTCGTGGTGTCGGGCAGCTTAAGCTCATCTGATCGCATTGTTTCTGTGTGATCATGAGAGACTCGATATTATGGAGGCGTGGGTGTTTTGGGTCCATTTTCCTTACATTCTTTCCTCTATTCTAGTGAAATAGTATGGATACCTGGAACACTTGGACAGACCCTTCGATTCTAATTACTTTAGGAAAACTCCTCGGCTAATGAAACTTGGAGAGGGTAAATTCAGAGTAGGAGCTGGAGAAGAAGGGATTGTTTAGGAGCGAGATGAGGCACCATGCCTCAGGCTGGGAAGACTGCTCAGAGCGCAGGTTCTTTGAATTGACTTTGCTGAGGCTGGGTTTTGGTAAAACAGCCATGTTCTCTCCCCTTGAGACCTAGGCATTTGGGAGATGGCTTAATGGGCAAGGTATAATCTTTGCACTCTGACTTAACTCACCACTGGGAATGTTTCTTTGTTCATTTATTAAGTAAAAATCGACGAATGCTTACTTCCCACAATACATGGTGAAAAGAGAGGTTGTACTCAGAAGATTAGAACATCTCCACCCTTAAGGACCTCACAATGTAGTAGAGGAGACTGACCTGCACTCAGCTCACTTGGTAGAATCGGATGAGTGCCTGGGAGGTGAAAGCAGTGTTGTGGGTGTGCTTAATGAAGGCATGATTAATTCTAGCTGGGAAGTTCAGGGAAGGCTTCCTGGAAGAGGGGGCATTTGAACTGAGCCCAGAAGTTTGAATAAAATTTCTATCACTAGAAGCTGGGCACAGGCTCAGGAGGAAGACATTGCAGGAAGAGGGAACTGTGTGAGGGAGACATGGAGGCCAGAGTACTGCTGACTTAGAGGGGGAAGAAACTGATAGCATTAAGCAGGATACTGAGCAAGCTTCACCCACCTTCTTTGTCCCTTCTTACAGATATTACATTGTGGGGCATGGAGCTGGGCCTTCTGAGCATGCAGAGAGGAGAGCTGGCCAGGTTTCTGTTCAAACCGAACTACGCCTATGGAACGCTGGGCTCCCCTCCCTTGATCCCCCCAAACACCACTGTCCTGTTCAAGATTGAGCTGCTTGACTTCCTAGACTGTGCTGAGTCAGACAAGTTTTGTGCTCTCTCAGCTGTACGTTGCAGAGCACAAATGTCAGCACTTTATAGAGAGACAAATGGGTTGGTGTTTTTGGTAATTCTTCTAGATGGCCTGCCCTGAGGCTGATCGTCCGCCACTGCACTCCAGCATGGGCAACAGAGCAAGACTCCATCTCAAAAAAAAAAAAAAAGCCAGCTGGGATTTTTTTTTTGAGACATGACCTTGCACTGTTGCCCAGGCCGGAGAGCAGTGATGTGATCATAGCCCACTGCAGCCTCAAACTCCTGGGCTCAAGCGATCCTCCTTCCTCAGCCTCCTGGGTAGCTGGGACTACAGGCTGGCACCACAACGCCTGGCTAATTTCTATATTTTTTGTAGAGATCATGTTGCCAGGCTGGTCTCAAATTTCTCGGCTCAAGCAATCCTCCCACCTTGGCTCTTGAAGTGCCAGGATTACAGAAGTGAGCCGCCACACCCAGCCACAGCTGGGATTTTGATAGGGATTGTGTTGAATCTGTAGATCACTTCTGAAGTAATGAAATTTTAATAATATTAAGTCTTTTAATCCATGAACATGATTTCCTTCCATTTATTTAGGTCTTCTTTAGTTTCTTTCAATGATGTTTATAGTTTCTTTTTCTTTTGGAGATGGAGTCTTGCTCTGTCACCCAGGCTGGAGTGCAGTGGCATGATCTCGGCTCACTGTAACCTCTGCCTCTCGGGTTCAAGTGATCCTTGTGCCTCAGCCTCCCGAGTAGCTGGGATTACAGGTGCACTGTACCCGGCTAATATTTGTATTTTTAGTAGAGAAGGGGTTTCACCATATTGACCAGGCTGGTCTCGAACTCCTGACCACAGATGATCCGCCCACCTCGGCCTCCCAAAGCGCTTGGTTTACAGGCGTGAGCCACTGCGCCCAGCCTTATCTTTTCTTCCACACAGATGCTTCGTCTTGGGTAAACTCCTCGACTCCCAAGGCCCCAGCCTCCATCTTTACCTCAGAGCCTCCTGAACCTCCTCCTCCAGCCTCACCTTCCTCCAGCCTCACCACTCCTCCCTGGACCTGCAGCTCCGCACCCCCGGGGGCCTCAGAACTACCCCTTCCAGGGCCTCAGAACTACCCCTACGGTTTCTCCTGCGTAACCTTCTGCCTACCTTCCTGAGAGTGGTTGGTGACAGCAGCCGGGGCTAGAAACCTCGAGGCGACTGTGCTTGAGTCCTCTCTTGCTCTTTACATCCCAAATCCCATCAATTGTCACGCCTTGTGCCTTCCGCCTCTCAAATATTCAGAAAGCAGATGTATGCTGGGCACGGTGGTGACTCAAGCCTATAATCCCAGCACTTCGGAAGGCGGAGGCAGGAGGATCGCTTGAGGCCAGGAATTTTAGACCAGCCGGGGCAACATAGTGAAACCCCATCTCTACAAAATAAAAATAAAAATTAGCTGGGCGTGGTGGCGTGTGCCTGTAGTTTCAGCTACTGGAGAGGCTGAAGCGGGAGGATCACTTGAGCCCGGAGTTCAAGGCTGCAGTGGGCTATAGTCGTGCCACTTCACTCCAGTCTGGGCAACAGAGCAAGATCCTGTTTAAAAAAAAAAAAAAAGCAGATCTAAAGAGGGGCCTGGCGTGGTGGCTCACGCCTGTAATTCCAGCACTTTGGGAGGACAAGGCGGGCAAATCACCTGAGGTCAGGAGTTCAAGACCAACCTGGCCAACATGGTGAAACCCCATCTCTACTAAAAAATACAAAAATTAGCCAGGCGTGGTGGTGGATTCCTGTAACCCCAGCTACTCGGGAGGCTGAGGCAGGGAGAATCGCTTGAACCCAGGAGGCAGAGGTTGCAGTGAGCCAAGATCGTGCCACTGCATTCCAGCCTGGGCAACAGATTTGAGACTCCGTCTCAAAAAATAATAATAATTGGCCAGGCGCAGTGGCTCATGCCTGTAATCCCAGCACTTTGGGAGGCCAAGGCGGGCAGATCACCTGAGGTCAGGAGTTGGAGAGCAGCCTGACCAACATGGAGAAACCCCGTCTCTATTAAAAATACAAAATTAGCCAGGCGTGGTGGCACATGCCTGTAATCCAAGTTACTCGGGAGGCTGAGGCAGGACAATCGCTTGAACCTGGGAGGCAGAGGTTGCGGTGAGCCGAGATTGTGCCATTGCACTCCAGCCTGAGCAACAAGAACAAAACTCCGTCTCAAATAATAATAATAATTTAAAAATTTTAAAAATAGGTATAGAGCAGGCTCGTGCCTCCAGCACCCAATTCTGCACACTGGGTAACAAGATGGGTGGCAGCCACCCAGCCCTAAGCATCGGGAGCTCAGGTGTCAACACCTGAGGCAGGTGCAGGACCAGGGCAGGAGAAGGGGCTTCTACAGAAAGCGCCTAGGGGAGGTGGCACACACTGAGCTGGTCTGAATCAGCAGAGGAGAGAAGGAAGCATTTGAGTCACACTGCACGGTGAAGATGCCCAAGTGCAGAGGTCAGGAACAGTCAGTCCTCGGGGGAAGAGGGAGAGCAGGGGAGTGAAGGTGAGAGTGGGGGGTGGAGTCAGATGAGGGGCTCAAGTTCATTCTCATCCCCCACTGCCTGCGTGACGTGGGGTACAGTACTTCCTACTGAAGCCTCGGTTTCCTTATCCGAAACCTGGGGTGTGGTGGGGTCACCTCCATTCATGCTTGTGAAAGTCCTTTGTAAATGAAATGTACAGGACAAGCTTAAGGGGGGCCCAAGGAGGGGAACGCATCTTACACCTTGCAAAGGCCACCAATACCAAGCCCAAGTGCCCAGGCTTTATTTTTCAGATGGGGTGACCTTCACTGCATGAAGGTATTCGGTGGGACTTCTTTTTTTTTTTTTTTTTTTTAGACAGGGTCTTGCTCTGTCACCCAGGCTGGAGTACAGTGGTGCCATCATAGGTCACTGCAGCCTCCACTTCCTGGGCTCAAGCAATCCTCCCACCTCAGCCTCCCCAGTAGCTGGGACCACAGGCACGCACCACCACACCTAGCTAGTTTTTTTTCTTTTCGTAAAGACAGCGTCTTGATAGGTTGCCCAGGCTGCTCTGGGACTCTTGGCCTCAAGCAATCTTCCTACCTCCACCTCCCCAGTTGTTGCGCCATGGTGCCTAGCCAAGATGAGACTCTCATTCAAACAGTCAAAAACCCGACTTAAAGTAGCTCAGACACGCATAGAATGGATTGGCTGCTGTTGTGGACTCTCCGAGGGTGGCTCCATCTGCAGGCACTGTTGGAACCAGTACCCAAGGATGATGTCCCAGCATCTGTCTCTCCGGGATCTCACCTTTGTACCCTGCCCTCACTGGCTGCGTCTCATTTCTGCTTCCCTCTGTGTGGCTTCCTGTTGGTGGCAGGGTGAGGCCCCCAGGACAGCAGGCAGCCTCAGCCTCACCCTTTCCCAGTACTGAGACCCAGAATCTCACTGCGGACTCCTTGAGACAATCCCAGGGAAGGCTTTGATTGGCTTAGCTTGAGGCATCACTGCTCATCCCTGGACCATTCAGAACCTCGGTGGTGCTCCCTGATTGACCACCTGGTTTAGTGCCGCTTCTGTGCTGGAGGTAGGAGCCATGTGAGGAAGTCCTGGAATTGGGCAAGCACGGTCTTGGGAGGCCAGGCTGGGACCTCCTTCCCTAGGGAGTCCTGGGGATTCTGAACAGAGTGATGAATCCTCTGTGAGGGGCAGGGAGCCACAGATGGAGAGGGATGATGGGGGTGGATCTGGGCTGTGCCCGGAGAGGGGACCCTGCCAGGAGTGAGTGTCTTATGGAGGCAGAACGGGCTCCTGCAGTTCCCAAGGTGCCCTTAGGCCCCAACAAGCCCCTGTCCCCAGCCTTACACAGAGTCCTGAGACTTCGGGGAAATGACTTCACTGTGCCCGTTTCACCGGTGAGGTTCAACGACTTTCCCAACATGATGGGAGTCAGAGGCCCCAGGTCGCAAATCACTAGAGCACCCAGCCGCCACTCAGTCCAGGGGGACTTCCACGGGAAACCAGCACTGGGTGTCCAGGGCCAGTGGCAGAACCATGGGCCCTTCCTTCATCGAACCAATACGTTTGGGTGGGGGCGAGCTCCTCTCGCCCTAGTTGGTGGCGGGGCTGCAGGAGAGGCACAGACCTTGCAGGGGGTGGGGGAATTGGGGCCAACAGGGGCCGCGAGGAAGGCCCAGGGGTATTGCCTGTGGGAGTCCAGCGGAACCTGGGCAGGCTTCCCAGAGGAGGCGGCCTCCGAGCCCCTGGGCACCCGTGATCCGCCAGGGCCTGGAAGAAAACGGACGGAGCAGGAGCAGAGGGAGGGGAGACGGGCAGTGGTGCGGCCCCCACCCGGGGGCTCGGGGCGCACAGGGGTCCCCGCCGCCCACCCGGCCGCCCCGCGATTCCTGCACGTCAGCAGAGCGGAAACGCGGAGCAGCGCCAGCCGGGGCGGGCTGGATGGGGCCTGGCAGCGCGGCCGGCGCTCCGCGGGTTCGGTTCCGCCCGCGTTTGTGTTGGCAGCGGCCCGCGGCTCGCGGCCGGGCGCATGAAAGGGGCCTCTGTCTGCGCCCCAGCCGCCCCGCTTGCCTTTCACTCTTAATATAATCTTCATTTTTAACCCAGCGGAGGTTCTCTTGGAATTTTTCCCCTTCTTCCAAAAATACATGTGCGTGCGTGTGTGTTTGCAAAAGGCCTTGACGGTGAAGGTCGGGATTGTCCCCGGGAAGGGAAGGGAAGGGCGAAACCTGAGGCGGGGAGGGAGACAGAAATATCTTTCTTTCTTCCTGTGCCCAGGCCTCCTCGGGGTCGCCACCGCTGCTAAGGGTCCCCCATCCTGCGCCCCCCCGGGGACTGGGGGTGCAGGACAGGATGGGGGGGTCCTCCTCCGACCACCCCCACACCCCCAACCCCGGGATGAATGAATGGGCTTTTTGGAAATTGGGGTCAGCAGGGAGGGGTGGGCGCCTCCTCCAGGGGTCCCTCCCCGGAGCTGGTCAGAGAATGGTGTCACCAGGTGTGGCCAGCGGGGGCTGTCCTCCCAGAGCGGGTAGGAAGGGAGACAGGACATCAGTCCTGCTAGGAAAGACCCTACTCTTTTTTATTTTTATTTTTTTTCTCTGAGACAGGGTCTTGGTCTGTCACCCACGCTGGAGTGCAGTGGTGCAATCATAGCTCACTGCAGCCTCTACCTCCTAGGCTCAGATGATCCTCCTGCCTCAGCCTCCCAAGTAACTAGGACTCCAGGCAGTGCCACCATGCCCAGCTAATTTTTTTTTTTTTTTTTTTTTTTTAGAGATGGGGTCTCACTATGTTGCCCAGGCTGGTCTTGAACTCCCAGCCTTAAGCAATCCTCCTGCCTTGGCCTCCCAAATTGCTGGGATTACAGGCATGAGCCACTGTGCCCAGCCCTAGACCCTACTCTGTGTTGATGCTTGCTTGCAGGCTTAAATAGCCTGCGACAGTGTCCAGAAACTGTCACCAGTCAGCCCTTTGTTCACTTGCTGGGCAGAGGAGCGTTACACCTGAGGGAATTTTCCAGATTATGCCCACAGTGGCTGTTTGGAGAGTTCTCACTTCAAACATCTCAGGGCTCATCACAGAGCTTTCCATGCATGTTCCCAGGCAAGTCTCTTGTGGTCAGGGAAGTCAAGTAAGATTATCCCCGCAGAAGGGAAAAAGAAGGCTCAGAGAAAACAACTAACTTGTCCCCAAGTTGTGGAGCATGAGGGAGCTAGGGTGGGAATGAAAAAGCGGGTGATGGGAAGCCCAGGTTCTCCCTGCTGGATGCCTGGTTTTCAAACTGTTTTCTGCAGAGCTTCTGTTCATATTGGGGGTCTTGGAAATGTATGATTCTAATTATTTAAATATATATATTTAGGCCAGACACAGTGGCTCATGCTGGTAATCCCAGCACTTTGGGAGGTCCAGGTGGGAGGACTGCTCGAGCCCAGGAGTTTGAGACCAGCCTGGCAACATAGTGAGACCCCATCTACAAAAGTAACCTTCTGCCGAGTGCAGTGGCTCACACCTGTAATGCCAGCACTTTGGGAGACTCAGGCAGCCAGATCACCTGAGGTCAGGAGTTTGAGACCAGCCTGGCCAACATGGTGAAACCCCATCTCTACTAAAAATACAAAAATTAGCCTGGCGTGGTGGCACACCTGTAATCACAACTACTCAGGAGTGTGAGGCAGGAGAATCGCTTGAACCTGGGAAGAGGAGGTTGCAGTAGCTGAGATCGGCACAGCAGTCTGGGTAACAGAGTGAGACTTGGTCTCAGAAAAAAAAAAAAAAAAGACTTATTAAAAAAAAAAAAAATAGCTGGGCATGGCCATGGTGGCACATGCTTGTAGTCCCAGCTACTCGGGAGACTGAGGCAAGAGGATCCCTTGAGCCCAGAAATTGGAGGAGGCAGTGAGCTATGATTGTGCCACTGCACTCCATCCTGGGTGACAAAGCAAGACTCCATCTCAAAAAAATATATCTAATTTGTGTGTATATTTGGACTTCTGGTGTGAGCAATATAGTAGTAAATTTGATAGCCTGAAAACCATCCTACTCTAAACGTCTTGGTTACAAAACACCAACCACATCCTGTTTTTTGTTTTAATTCCAGAGTCGGGGTCTTGGTCTGTTACCCAGGCTGGTCTCCAACCTTTTTTTTTTTTTTTTGAGACGAAGTCTCGCTCTGTCGCCCAGGCTGGAATGCAGTGGCGCGAACTCGGCTCACTGCAAGCTCTGCCTCCCGGGTTCACGCCATTCTCCTGCCTCAGCCTCCCGAGTAGCTGGGATTACAGGCGCCTGCCACCACGCCCGGCTAATTTTTGTATTTTTAGTAGAGATGGGGTTTCACCATGTTGGCCAGGCTGGTCTCGAACTCCTGACCTCAGGTGATCGCCCACCTCCGCCTCCCAAAGTGCTAGGATTACAGGCGTGAGCCACCGCACCCGGCCTGTTATTGTTTGTTGACACAGAGTCTTGCTCTGTTGCCCAGGCTGGAGTGCAGTGGAGCCATCTCAGCTCACTGCAGCCTCCGTCTCCCCAGCTCGTGATCCTCCCACCTCAGCCTCCTGAGTAGCTGGGACTACAGCCTCCACCACCACACCCAGCTTATTTATTTATTTATTTATTTATTTATTTATTTAGTATTTTTAGTAGAGATGGGGTTTCACCATGTTAGCCAGGCTGGTCTCAAACTCCTGACTTCAGGTAATCCACCCACCTCAGGCTCCTAAAGTGCTGGGATTACAGGCATGAGCCACCTCACCCAGCAGTCAGGTGGTTGGTAACTGTCTCTCTTAAAATAATAATTGGTTGCAACCAACACCAGGGAAAGGCCGTTTCCCAATAGATAGAAAGCACCTGGAACTGGTGATCAGCAGCTTCCCGATAAGATCTCAGGAGCTGGGCGAGTGGGCTCAAGCATGTGCACTAAGAGGCAACATGGTGGAGTTTAACTGGCATATGACCTGGGAGCATTTGACTGGTAAAGGAAGAATGCCTCAAGTGAGCATGCGCACTTCAGTAAACACGCTGCGCATGAGGCCCCTCCGGAGCGCTGGCAGGCCACTGCGCATGCGGACAGACCACCCCAAGGGAAGAACCAGGGGAAAGTTAACGCAAGCCCCGGAAGGATGCCAACCTATCAAACCCCAAGTCCAAGATCAAACAGTGCACTTGACTCTCTCAAGTCACCTGCTTGACCCTCTTCCAAGTGTACTTTACCTCCTTTCCTTACTGCCCTAAAACTTTTTCTTTGTTTGGTTGGTTTTGTTTTTGTTTTGAGATGGAGTCTTGCTCTGTTGCCCAGGTTGGAGTGCAGTGTTGTGATCTCGGCTGACTGCAACCTCCACCTCCCGGGTTCAAGCAATTCTCCCACCTCAGCCTCCCCAGTAGCTGGGATTATAGGCATGTGCCACTATGTCTGGCTAATTTTTGTATTTTTAGTAGAGACAGGGTTTGGCCATGTTGGCCAGGCTGGTCTCAAACTCCTGACCTCAACTGATCCAACCACCTCGGCCTCCCAAAGTGCTGGGATTACAGGCGTGAGCTACCGTGCCCAGCACCTGCCCCAAAACATTTTAATAAACTTTCACTCCTGCTCTAAAACTTGCCTCGGTCCCTCACTCTGCCTCATGCCCCTTGGTGGAATTCTTTCTTCTGAGGAGGCAAGGACTGAGGTGAATCCATATGGATTCACCACCACTAACACTTCCCCCATATATCTCCCCACTGCTGGGCCCTGCTCACCTCAGTCCCCAAGGCCTCAGTGTGAGTGAGTTTATCAGATGCATTCACGAGTGGCAGGTGTCTGGGAGCCGATTCTGATGAGGGAAGAGAAAGAGAGGGGCTTTGAATTTGAGGTTCACACTTTCTTCAAGGAACAGGTTTAGCTGGACATAATGGTATACCTGTAATCCCAGTACTTTGGGAGGCCGAGGCAGGAGGATCACTTGAGGCCAGGAGTTTGAGACCAGCCTGGGCAACATAGAGAGACCCCCATCTCTACCAAAAAAAAAAAGAAAAATAAGCCAGGCACAGTGGTGTGTTCCTGTAGTCCCAGCTACTCTGGAGGCTGAGGCGGGAGGATCACTTGAGCCCAGGAGTTTGAGGCTGCAGTGAGCTATGATAGCACCACGGCACTCCAGCCTGGGCCACAGGGTGAGACCCTGGCTCTAAAATAAATAAATAAATAAATAAATAGATAAATAAATAAATAAAGTATCCCATGTGGGTTGATGTGGGTGAAATTCAGGCCAGGCTGGACAGACAAGGGCGATTTTCAGGGCAGGCAGCCACTGTCAAACATCACCCTCTCCTCTGAGGATCCCTGGTCCCTCCTCCATGAAGTGGGGGGCACAAGCAGCTGGAAACAGGTCCCCACCACTGCTCTGCCCCGGAAGGAAGGCTGGGCTGCTTCCCTTTGAGCTCCCCGGGCACTCAGTTCCTTTGCTCAATTCAATGCAGCATCCAGTCCAGAGAAGTGGGTCTTCCAATTTGGCTGAAAGGCCGGGAAAGGTCCCTCATAGACACTCGAAGCTTCCAGGGGCCTCAGGGTTCATCTGATTGTACCCGTCAGCCACTGCCCCAGTGAGGCTGCCTAACACACCACCCCAAAACCCAGAAGCTTAAAACAAGCATTTATCACTGGGCGAATTGGCTCATGCCTGTACTTTGGGAGGCCGAGCCGGGTGGATCACTTGAGGTCAGCAGTTTGAGACCAGCCTGGCCAACGTGGTGAAACCTCATCTCTACTAAAAATACAAAAATTACCTGGTCGTGGTGGTTCGCACCTGTAGTCCCAGCTACTTGGGAGGCTGAAGCAGGAGAATAGCTTGAACCTGGGAGGTGGAGGTTGCAATGAGCTGAGATTGTGCCACACTGCACTCCAGCCTGGGCGATAGAGCGAGACTTAGTCTCAAACAAAAAGACCAAGCATTTATCTCTCGCTCAAGCTTCCAGGCTTGCTCCCAGCCACGGCTGGGTCCAGGACTGTGCCACATGCCTCTCATTCTCCCCAGGGCCAGAGGGCTAAGGAGGGGCTGGGGAGTGTGCTTCCCCTGGCTAAAGGCAGGAGCCCCGGAGGACCAGCACCAAGCACAAGCCCACTGCAAATCTCTGCTCACCTTGTCAGTTACATTCTATTGGCCAAAGCGATTCACCTGGCCAAGCCTAACAGGAATGGGTGGGGAGGTACATTCCTCCTAGAGAGGGGAGTTTGTGGGAAAGGAGTGGTTACTGCTGAGCAATAATCTAGTCTTCTAATAATCGAACTAACTGATTTTTCCTTTTTTCTTTCTTTTTGTGTTTTGTTTTGTTTTGTTTTTTGAGACAGTTTCACTCTTGTTGCGCAGGCTGGAGTGCAATGCTGCAGTCTCGGCTCACTGCAAGCTCCACCTCCCAGGTTCACGCCATTCTCCTGCCTCAGCCTCCAGAGTAGCTGGGATTACAGGTGCCCATCACCACGCCCGGCTAATTTTTTGTATTTTTAGTAGAGACGGGGTTTCACTGTGCTGGCCAGGCTGGTCTCCAACTCCTGGCCTCAGGTGATCTGCCCGCCTCAGCCTCCCAAAGTGCTGGGATTACAGACATGAGCCACTGCACCCAGCTGAACTAACTGATTTTTCAATTGCTCCCTGCACAATGGCAGAAATTCCTGGAGATTCTCTGAAAGGGGAGGGAGAAGGGGCAGGGAGGGCTTGATGTCTCCATTGAGAGCCAGAGCGCTTTTGGTTTTAAGGTGGGGAGTGAGTTGGGTGCAATGGCTTACGCCTGTAATCCCAGCACTTTGGGAGGCCAAAGCAGGTGGATCACTTGAGGTCAGGAGTTCGAGACCAGCCTGGCCAACATGGCAAAACCCCATCTCTACTAAAAATAAATAAATAAATAAGAAAATTAGCCAGGTGTGGTGGCGGGGACCTGTAATCCCAGCTACTCAGGAGGCTACGGCAGGAGAATCGCTTGAACCCAGGAGGCAGAGGTTGCAGTGAGCCAAGATCGCACCACTGTACTCCAGCCTGGGCAACAGAGCGAGACTCAGTCTCAAAAAAAAAAAAAAAAAAGTGGGGAGCGAAGGGAAGACGCCTAATGATTCATGATTCATGATGTTTCATGATGACTCTTTTGCACTTCGAAGCCATGCCCTTCGCCTTGTCAGCCTGGAGAAGACTGCGATTTGCTACAGAGGGAACACAAAGAAAAAGAGACAATTGTGGATTTCTGACATTCAAATGTACAATTTCGCCTCCTTGATAAAGAATGGACTTAACACCAATACCTCCCACTTTCTTTCTTTTCCTTTTTAAATTCTTTCATAAAGACAGGGTCTCGCTATGTTGCCCAGGCTGGTCTCAGACTCCTGGCCTCAAGCGATCCTCCTGCCTCAGCCTCCCAAAGTGCTAGGCTTACAGGCATGAGCCACTGTGCCTGGGCCAGTATCTCACACTTTGACTCAGGTCCAGGCTTCATGAACTGGAGTAGACCATAGGGTTTTCCAGAGTTTATTTATTTATTTATTTATTTGTTTATTTAGTCAGTTTGTCACCCAGGCTAGAGTGCAGTGGCGTGATCTTGGCTCACTGCAGCCTCAACCTTCCAGGCTCAGGCCAGGCGCGGTGGCTTATGCCTGTAATCCCAGCACTTTGAGAGGCCAAGGTGGCAGGATCACCTGAGGTCAGGAGATCGAGACCAGCCTGACCAACATGGAGAAACCCTGTCTCTACTAAAAATACAAAATTAGCTGGGCATGGTGGCACATGCCTGTAATCCCAGCTACTCGGGGGGCTGAAGCGGGAGAATCGCCTGAACCCGGGAGGAGGAGGTTGTGGTGAGCTGAGATCTCACCATTGCACTCCAGCCTGGGCAACAAGAGCAAAACTCCGTTTAAAAAAACAGACAAACAAAAAAACACCAAAAAAAAAAAAACCTTCCAGGCTCAAGAGATCCTCCTACCTCAGCCTCCCAAGTAGCTGGGACTACAGGTTGTACCTCCATGCCTGGCTAATTTTTGCTTCTTTTTTTTTTTTTTTTTGGTAGAGATGGGATTTCACCACATTGCCCAGGCTGGTCTCGAACTCCTGGGCTCGAGTGATCCGCCCACCTTGGCCTCCTACAGCACTGGGACTAGAGGCATGAGCCACTGTGACCTGCCTATTTATTTAATTTGTGTTTGGCTCGTCCAGTGAAGCAGTGGGAGTGGAGAAGGAACAAAAAAATCTGTAAGTCGTTGTGATCAATTAACTGTAACCACCACTGCACTCGGGCCAGCTCCATCGAGTTCATTATGAGGAAGGAGAGAAGAGGGGAGAACCTTCTACTTTCTAGACCCTGGGGTTTGTGGGGAGAGGAAGGCCGAGGGAGGAGAGGAAGAGATTGGATCCGGCGCCCTGCTATGGGTGTCTCCATCTGGGCTGCTGCTAGAAGGGGCAGTTGTTCTCTTTTTTTTCTTTTTTAGACGGAGTTTTTTTGCTCTGTCACCCAGGCTGGAGTGCAGTGGCATGATCTCAACTCACTGCAACCTCCGCCTCCCAGGTTCAAGCGATTCTCCTGCCTCAGCCTCCTGAGTAGCTGGGACTACAGGTGCCCACCACCAAGCCCAGCTAATGTTTGTATTTTTAATAGAGATGGGGTTTCACCATGTTGACCAGGCTGGTCTCGAACTCCTGACCTTAAGTGATCCGCCCGCCTTGGCCTCCCAAAATGCTGGAATTACAGGCGTGAGCCACTGCGCCTAGCCAGTTGTTCTCTTAAGAGGGGCAGGATTCTCTGGCCCTGCTGCCCTGGGGACCCATGGAGGAGACCCTTGCAGGCTGCTGCACCATCCTGGGCTGAGAAGCATCAAAGCAGATGTGGGGCCAGCATGCTTACAGCGGGGACACCACTTCCCAACAGCCTGAAAAACTCCCATTTCACCTTAAAAACTCATCAGACCTGGCTGGGTGTGGTGGCTCACGCCTGTAATCCCAGCACTTTGGGAGGCTGAGTCAGGCGGATCACGAGGTCAGGAGTTCAAGACCAGCCTGGCCAACATGGTGAAACCCCGTTTCTACTAAAAATACAAAAATTAGCCAGGTGTGGTGGCAGGCGCCTGTAATCCCAGCTACTTGGGAGGCTGAGGCAGGAGAATTGCTTGAAACTGGAAGGCCGAGGTTGCTGTGAGCAGAGATCCAGCCACTGCACTCCAGCCTGGGCGAAAGAGTGAAACTCTGTCTCAAAACAAAAATAATAAAAAAAAACTCTTCAGACATCTTTTCTGCAAGGCCCCGCTCCCCAAACTCTCATAGACAGAGCTAGCTGCTCCCCATTGTGGGTCCCCTACTCCACTGTCAGAGTCATTGAAAGGCCTGTCCCTCCAGCCAAGCAAACGCAGGGCAGGCAAGGGGGTCACACCCTAGGCTGTGCCACATGGTGTGGGGCTGTGAGAGCCCCAGGCGGAGACTCCGCGGTCTCCTTAGGGAGCCTCTGGGAAGAGGTTCTGGACAGAGAAGACGAAGGGGCTGTGGTGGTGTCAGGGCTGGGGAGGAGAGGGAAGGGCTGCACCAGGGAAGTGCCAACTCCTCTCCCTAGAACCTTCCACCGCCCACCCCTGGGCAGACACAGTCCAGGCATCATTGCTGCAGCTGTAGGAAGGACCTGCTAGGTAAGCTTATCTCTCTGAGCACTGACTGGCAAGGGAGCCCCGTTCGTAGCTAGTGTTCCTCTGAAACAGCGATGCTATCAGAGGGCTGGCTTCAAGTCCCTGGGGCCTCACCCTTCCTGGGCACTTGCTGTTTCCCCGCCTCCTCTTTCTCTGTGTGTCCAGAGAGGAGGAACCCCTGCCTTGAGGACTGGCCCCTTGCACTGCAGGGAGAGGAGTAGGGCCCTGACACCAATGGCGGGCACCTGGTGTCTGGCCTCAGGGATCCACATGTTTTGAGAACAGATATGGTCCCAACTTCAGACTGAGCCCTGCTGTTCTAAGCATATCCATATGTGGCTGGGTTGAAGTCAATATTCCAGAGAAAAAATCCATCTGTCCCTAAAATTTCGGTTTGTTTGTTGGTTTGTTTGTTTGTTTGTTTTTGAAATGGAGTCTTGCTCTGTTGCCCAGGCTGGAGCGCAGTGGCACGATCTCGGCTCACTGCAACCTCCACCTCCCGGGTTCAGGCGATTCTCCTGCCTCAGCCTCCCTGAGTAGCTGAGATTACAGGCATGCACCACCACGCCCAGCTAATTTTTGTTTTTTGGTGTTTTTTTTTTTTGGAGACGAAGTTTCACTTTTGTTGCCCAGGCTGGAGTGCAATGGCGCAATCTCCAGTCACCGCAACCTCTGCCTCCCGGGTTCAAGCAATTCTCCTGCTTCAGCCTCCCAAGTAGCTGGGATGACAGGTATGCGCCACCATGCCTGACTAATTTTGTATTTTTAGTAGAGACAGGGTTTCACCATGTTGGTCAGGCTGGTTGCGAACTCCCAACCTCTGGCGATCTGCCCGCCTCGGCCTCCCAACGTGCTGGGATTACAGGTGTGAGCCACTGCACCTGGCCACCTTTTTCCTTTTCTTTTTTTTTTTTTTTGAGACAGAGTCTTGCTCTGTCACCAGGCTGGAGTACAGTGGCACGATCTCGGCTCACTGCAACCTCCACCTCCCAGGTTCAAGCAATTCTCCTGCCTCAGCCTCCCAAGTAGCTGGGACTAAAGGCATGCGCCACCATGCTCAGCTAATTTTTGTACTTTTAGTAGAGACGGGGTTTCACCATGTTGGCCAGAATGGTCTTGATCTCTTGACCTCGTGATCCACCCACCTTGGTCTCCCAAAGTACTCAGATTACGGGCCTGAGCCACCGTGCCCGGCCAATCTCTTTTATCTTGTTTCCAAACCAAATCATACCTGAAGACAACTTCATTCTCTTGGACAAAAGAGCACCGATCTCCAGCTGATCCTAACTCACACCTCCCACCTTCTCCATGGCTCCTGCTTAGACACCAGGACACTCAAAGCTGTGGATGCCTCGGGCCCTCCCCCATCTGCCTTTCCTGAGACTTTCAGAACCCCCAGGTCAAATTGACACCCTTACCCCCACCCCAACATAGCCCACTGGCATCAGACATGCTTTGCTGTAGTGTACACTTCTTTTTTCTTTTTCTTTTTTTTTTTTTTGAGACAGAGCCTGGCTCTGTCCCCCAGGCTTGAGTGCAGTGGCACAATCTCATCTCACTGCCACCTCTGCCACCCAGGTTCAAGTGGTTCTCCTGCCTCAGCCTCCCGAGTAGCAGGAGGGATTACAGGCGTCCACCACCACGCTCGGCTAACTTTTTGTATTTTTAGTAGAGATGGGGTTTCACCATGTTGGTCAGGCTGGTCTCAAACTCCTGACCTCAAATGATCCACCTGCCTTGGCCTCCCAAAGTGCTGGGATTACAGGAGTGAGCCACTGTGCCCAGCTATACACTTCTTTTAAAGAAATAAAAATGATCAGAAACCATAAATAGGCCTGGCTTGGTGGCTCATGCTTGTAATCCCAGCACTTTGGGAGGCTGACGAGGGAGAATCCCTTGAGGCCAAGAGTCTGAGACCAGCCTGGGCAACATAGTGAGACCCTGTCTCTACAAAAAATAATAACGATAAACTAGCTAGGCATGATGGCACATGCCTGTAGTCCCAGCTACTCAGGCATGGAAGGAGGATCGCTTGAGCCCAGAAGTTCGGGCTGCAGTGAGCTATGACTAAACTGCTGCACTCTAGACTGGGCAACAGAGTGAGACCTCATCTCAAAAAAAAAAAAAATTAAAGCCTTAGTTTACAGGCATATATTATCATTGCAAAGGATGACTGCAAAAGAGAGTTCTCACTGTGACCAGTCATGGGATCTTTAAAAGTTGTCATTGATAAAAGATGACAGAGTGGGAGGAAAGAAAAAGGAAAGGAGGCTGGGCGCAGTGGCTCACGCCTGTAACCCCAGCACTTTTGGAGGCCGAGGTGGGCGGATCACTTGAGGTCAGGAATTGGAGACCAGCCTGACCAACATGGTGAAACCCCCTCTCTACTAAAAATACAAAAATTAGCTGGGCGTGGTGGCTGGTACCTGTAATCCCAGCTACCTCGGAGGCTGAGGCAGAAGAATCACTTGAACCTGGGAGGCAGATGTTGCAGTGAGCCGAGATTATGCCACTGCACTCCAGCCTGGCGACAGAGCGAGACTCTGTATCAAAAAAAAAAAAAAAAAAAAAAAAAAATATATATATATATATACACACACATATACACACACATATGTATATATATACACATATATACATATATATATATAATGAAAGAAAAGAAAAAGGAGCAGCGGGGTAGGCAGTGGGGGGGTTGGCGGGGGGTTCACCATGTTAGCCAGGCTGGTCTCGAACTCCTGACCTCAGGAGATCCACCTGCCTCGGCCTCTCAAAGTGCTGGGATTACAGGCATGAGCCACCGCGCCTGGCTGAACAAGTTATTGTTGAAATAAAAATGAAAATTTCAAATCCTCAAGGAATTTGAAGATCTCTCCAAATGCATTTTCACGTCCCTGTTTTGAGAGCCATCCCTGGGAAATCACCCCCGCCCACACACAGCAAGACCCCAGGGTCCAGGGCCACCTCATTGTATAACGTCCAGGACAGAGCAAGCACTTGGTAAATGCTAACAGGTGATTAAGTGAAGGAAGGAAAGATCTGGAGTGCAAGCAGGGGATGAAGACACATGCAAAACGTTGGTTCAGAAGGTGCCCCTTCCCACAGTGGAGTGGAGGAATCTCCAAGGCAGGGGTCCATGGTCCCCAGCTGGTCCGTGACTTGTTAGGAATCAGGTTGTGCAGCAGGAGGTGAGTGGCAGGTGAGGGAGCATTACCGCCGGAGCTCCGTCTCTTGTCAGATCAGCGGTGGCATCAGATTCTCATGGGAGCGTGAACTCTATTGTGAACTGCGCACGTAAGGGATCTAGGTTGCATGTTCCTAATGAGAATCTAATGCCTGATGATCTGACATGGAACAGTTTCATCCCCAGACCATCTGGCTAACTCCTACCCCCAACCCCACCCCCATTCGTTGAAAAATTGTCTTTTTTGAAACTGATCCCTGGTGTCAAAAAGGTTGGGGGTGCTGGGCACAGTGGCTCACACCTGTAATCCCAGCACTTTGGGAGGCTGAGGTGGGTAGATCACTTGAGGTCAGGAGTTCAAGATTAGCCTGGCAAATATGGCAAAACCCTGTCTCTACTAAAAATACAAAAATTGGCCGGGCATGGTGGCTCACGCTTGTAATCCCAGCACTTTGGGAGGCCGAGGCAGGCGGATCACGAGGTCAGGAGATCGAGACCATCCTGGCTAACACGGTGAAGCCCTGTCTCTACTAAAAATACAAAAAATTAGCCAGGCGTGGCAGCGGGTGCCTGTAGTCCCAGCTACTCGGGAGGCTGAGGCAGGAGAATGGCGTGAACCTGGGAGGCGGAGCTTGCAGTGAGCCGAGATCTCGCCACTGCACTCCAGCCTGGGAGACAGTAAGACTCCATCTCAAAATAAAAAAAAAAAATAATAATAATAATAAAATTAGCTGGGCGTGGTGGCACATGCCTGTAATTCCGGCTACTCAGGAGGCTGAGGCAGGAGAATCACTTGAACCTCAGAGGCAGAGGCTGCAGTTAGTTGAGACTGCGCCACTGCACTCCAGCCTAGGCAAGACAGCAAGACTCCATCTAAAAAAAAAAAAAAAGAAAAAAAAAATGGGGACCACTGTTCTACGGGATAGAGGACAGGGAGGTGGAAGAAAGAAAGGGAGAAGTGTGAGGGGCATTTTGTCTGCCCTGAGCTCTCTCATACCCACAGCCCAGGGCAGGCAGGGCTGGGCTTGGAGGGTGGAATGGTCTGGGCAGAGGTCAGTCCGAAACTTCAGCCCTGGAGGGAGCTGGAGCTGGGGCTTTATCTTGCTCTCTTTCCTTATTTTAACTTAATCTTGTCTTTATTAGTTTTATAGAGATAGGGTCTCACTATGTTGCCCAGGCTGGTCTTGAACTCCTGGGCTCAGGAAATCCTTTCACCTCAGCCTCACAAAGTGCTGTGATTACAGGTATGAGCCACTGCACCCAGCTCTTTCCTCCTTTTAAAAACAAGAAACCTGGCCAGGCACGGTGGCTCATGCCTATAATCTCAATACCTTGGGAAGCTGAGGCAGGCTGATCACTTGAGGCCAGGAGTTCGAGACCAGCCTGGCCAACATGGTGAAACCCTGTCTCTACTAAAAATTCAAAAATTAGCTGGGCATAGTGGCACATGCCTGTAATCACAGCTACTCAGGAGGCTGAGGCAGAAGAATCGCTTGAATCCAGGAGGTGGAGATTGCAGTGAGTCAGGGTCATGCCACTGCACTCCAGCCTGGGTGACAGAGTGAGACCCTGTCTCAAAAAAAAAAAAAAAGAAAGAAAGAAAGAAAGAAAGCCTGAGTCACAGGGAGAGGCTTCTCCCCAGCCCCTGGGAAGCCGAAGAAGCCCTGGCCAGGCCGGCTCCCAAACTCAGGGGTCCTGCTAGGCACCTGCTGTCACTCTCACTACCGACCTGGGAGAAGGCAATGGCCCATTTATGACACTGGAGGCGAGGGCCATGCACCCCCTAAGCAGGCAGCACCTCTGGAGCCATTCTGCAGCTGGAGGTTCATTTCCTTCCTGATGTCATAGTGCTCCAAGGTGGCACAGCCAGGACGGGAGCCTAGGGAATTGTCATCCACCCTGGAGCCCTTTCTGTCTCTCAGCGGCTGTCCCAGCCCTGCACTCAGGCAATTCCTGCAGGAATCGGTGGCCCCTGGGCGTCCTGGATGGGGAACCACAGCCCCTGAGGCAGAGCGGCACAAACCCTCCAGTGGATCCTGTTCTCTTCTCCCAGGGATCAATGAAGCCCAGGGTGTGGGAGCTCAGCCTTGGTGTCCCGGTCCCTGTGGTCACACAGCAGCTATTGCTATGGGGTTGGGATGCAGGGAGGAAAAGCCCAGCATCCCCCTTTCCACCCCAGGCCCCAACTTCTCTGTATTTGTTTATTTACCTTGGAAAAGGCCCCACGGCCCAGGCAGGAAATGGGCCAATTCCAGGAGGCCAAGGCGGGGAACAAGGAGCTACATTGTGCTCGGGCGGTGGCTCCCCACCCGGGCCTACTGGGAGCCCAGAAGGTGGGGGGGTCTGCATGGGGACCGGGCGGGAAGGAGGCGTGGGGCTGAGGGGCTGCCAGTGCTCCCAGCCAGCCGGCCGGCCTGTCAAAAGGCTTCTGTGCTGGGGGTGGGATGGGGGCTGTGGCTCCCTGTCCCACCTGGGAATGAACAGAGGCTGGGCAGTGGGGGAGGCAGACGCTGGGCTGGGGCTGGCCCCCAGTGGTGACCCAGGGCCCACCTGGCACCCATCTGCCTGCCCAAGGCAGACCCTGGCCTGGGAACCCCATCTCCTTGGGCTGAGATCCCACCCTGGGGCTGGGGAATGTTCCTGCCCTCCACCTTCCTTCTGGGGTCTCAACTCCTGCCAGGCAGCTGGCCTGACCTCAGATTTCCCCTAGCCCAAGGCTATGTCATCATGGGGGCGGCCTGAGGAGGGCTGAGCTCTCCCTGACCCTAGACTCTTCTTTACTGACAGGCTAGTGTCCATATGGATGGATCATTCATTCACTCATTCATTTATTTAATACACTCCCTGTCTGTTCGATGCACACTCCCCTTCTCTCCACTTCTGGCCCCGTTTCCTCTAATCCTTCATTCCTTGGTTCCCAGAGGGTTAAATGTAGATCGATATGTCACCTCTGGCTCCAAAGGTCTCTGAAGGGCCAGGTGCGGTGGCTCAAGCCTATAATCCTAGCACTTTGGGAGGCCGAGGTGGGTGGATCACCTGAGGTAAGGAGTTCGAGACCAGCCTGGCCAACAAGGTGAAACCCCATCTCTACTAAAAACACAAAAATTAGCCGGACTTGGTGGTGGGCGCCTGTAATCCCAGCTACTCAGGAGGCTGAGGCAGGAGAATCACTTGAACCTGGGAGGCAGAGGTTGCAGTGAGCCAAGATCACACCACTGCACTCCAGCCTGGGCAACAAGAGGGAAACAAAAAAACAAAAAACAAAACAAACAAAAATAAATAATTTAAAAATAAGGGTCTCTGAAGACTTCCTGCTACTTTCTGGGTCCATGCCCCTCCTCTCCGTCCTCCACTTCCCACCGGGCTCTTCAGGCTCCAGCCTAGATAACACCAGGTTAAATTTTGATCTCCCGGGGACTGGGTGTCGGGAGGGAAAGGCGGGGGGAGTGTCAGAGAGGGGATGGATTTCTCCCACCACACTTGGGGAGGCCTCCGGATGGATATGTCCTTCCAGCTGATGGACCTCAGGATTGGGAGAAAGATCGGGGACAAGAGACGGGCACAACAGTCACCTGGTTTCTTTTTCTTCCTTTATTTTTTGAGACTGAGTCTCGCTTTATCACCTAGGCTAGAGTGCAGTGACACGATCTTGGCTCACTGCAACCTCCACTTCCCAGGTTCAAATGATTCTCCTGCCTCAGCCTTCCGAGTATCTGGGATTACAGGCGTGCACTGCCATACCCGACTAATTTTTGGATTTTAGTAGAGATGGGGTTTTGCCATGTTGGCCAGGCTGGTCTTGAACTCCTGACCTCAAGTGATCTGCCCACCTTGGCCTCCCAACGTGTTGGGATTACAGGTGTGAGCCACCGTGCCCAGCCACATGGTGTCTTCCATGACAGCTCCCTCTCTGCTGAAATAGCATTTCCCACCCCCACCCATGGCATCACTCTTCTGCTGCCATTTTCATCAAAGACTGATGTCACTTGGCATGTTTTTAGGTTTTTTTCTGGTGGCTTTTATTTTTTTAATTTTAGAGATGAGGTCTCACTATGTTGCCCAGCCTAGTCTCAAATTCCTAAGCTCAAGGGATCCACCTGCCTCTATCTCCCAAAGTGCTGGGGTTACAGGCATGCACCACCACGCCTGGACCACATTGCATGCATTTTATTTAAATTTTTTTTTTTTTTTTTTTAAGACGGAGTCTCATTCTGTCACCCAGGCTGAAGTGTAGTGGTGCGATCTTGGCTCACTGCAATCCCGGGTTCAAGCAATTCTCCTGCCTCAGCCTCCCGAGTAGCTGGGATTACAGGCGTGAGCCACTGTGCCCGGCCTTTATTTAAGATTTGCCTCCTTAACCATTACACCTGTAATCCCAGCCCTTTGGGAGGCTGAGGTGGGCAGATCACCTGAGTTCAGGTGTTCAAGACCAGCCAGGCCAAGATGGTGAAACCACATCTCTACTAAAAATTCCAAAATTAGCCAGGCGTGGTGGCAGGCACCTGTAGTCCCAGCTAATCAGAAGGCTGAGGCAGGGGAATTGCTTGAACCTGGGAGGTGGAGGTTGCAGTGAGCCAAGATTGCACCACTGCACTCCAGCCTGGGCAGCAGAGTGAGACTGTCTCACAAAAAAAAAAAAAAAGAAGTGTCAGGTGCTGGCAGAGACACTGCTTTTCCCTAATTGACCCGTTTGGTCCTCACATTAACCATATTTTACAGCTACTCTCATTTACAGATAAGGAAACTGGGCCAATGAGGAGGTGAGAAATCGCTCAAGGCTGCCAGGTACAGTGGCTCATCCCTGTAATCCCAGCACTTTGGGAGGCCAAGGGAGGAGGATTAATTGAGGCCAGGAGTTTGAGACCAGCCTAGGCAACATAATGAGACTCTGTCTCTACAAAAAATTTAAAAATTAGTGGGGTGTGGTGATGCATGTGTAGTCCCAGCTACTCCGGAGGCTGAGGTGGGAGGATCGCTTGATCCCAGGTGTCTGAGACAGTAGTGAGCTACGACTGCACCACTGCACTACAACCTCGGTGATGCAATGAGATGCTGTCTCAAAAAAAAAACACACACACACACAAAACAACAAAAAAACAAATTGTTCAAGGCGAGCCTGGTGTGCCAAGCCCTTGTTCTGGGCACTTGGCTTATATTATCTCCCTTAATCCTTCCCACCACCCCAAGTGCTAGATACTGGGATTAATTTAGTTGAGCTGTAATACATCAATACTGTGTGAAATGCTATGCAACATCTAAAAGGAAGACAGGTGGAGCTTTTATTTATTTTTTATTTTATTTATTTTTTGAGACACAGTCTCGCTGCATTACCCAACCTGGAGTGCAGTGGCACAATCACAGCTCACTGTAGCCTCAACCTCCTGGGTTCAAACAATCCTCCCACCTCAGCCTCTCAAGTAGCTGGGACTACAGGCTTACACCACCAAGCTTGGCTAATTTTTTTTTTTTTTTAAGAGATGGTGTTTTGCTAAGTTGCCCACACTGATCTCAAAATCCTTTTGTTTTTGCTTTGGAATGGTCTGGAACTCCTGAGCTCAAGTGATCCTCCCACCTTGGCCTCCCAAAGGCCTGGGATTACACGTATGAGCCACCGCACCAAGCCCAGGTTGAGCTTTTAAGGTATTAAAGATCCACTAGGTGAAAAAAAAGAGTGAAAGATACATATGCCATTTAAGGGAAGCACAGGAAAACTCCTATTTTGTTTATATGTGAATAGAGGCGCATAGATGCCTAGAAAAGTGTCTGGGAGGGAATGAAACCAGATTGGCCACAAAAATCACCTCTGGAAAAAGGAAAAGAATGGGGACTTTCACTTTTTGCTTCATATGTTTCATGCACCTTTTTTTTTTTTTTTTTTTGAGATGGAGTTTCACTCTTATTGCCCAGGCTGGGGTGCAGTGGTGCAATCTCAGCTCACTGCAACCTCTGCCTCCTAGGTTCAAGCGATTCTCCTGCCTCAGCCTCCCGAGTAGCTGGGATTACAGGCATGCGCCACCACGCCCGGCTAATTTTTTGTGTTTTTAGTAGAGACGAGGTTTCTCCATGTTGGTCAGGCTGGTCTCGAACTCCTGACATCAGGTGATCCGCCCACCTTGGCCTCCCAAAGTGCTGGGATTACAGGCGTGAGCCACCGCGCCCAGCCGCTTTTTCTTTTTAAAAAGTAAAATATAACAGAGAAAACTGCACAAAACAGAAGTGTTCAAATTAAATTTTTTTTTTTTGAGACAGGGTCTTGCCCTGTTGCCCAGGCTGGAGTGCAGTGGCTCATTCATAGCTCACTGCAGCCTCAAACTCCTGGGTTCAAGCGATCCTCCCACCCCAGCCTCCTGAGTGGCTGGAAGGCGAAGGGAGGATCGCTTGAGCCCAGGAGTTTGAGGCTGTGCCACCACACGCAGCTGGGTTTTTTTTTTTTTTTTTAATTTTTTGTAGAGACAGGGTCTCGCTATGTCACCCACGCTGGTCTCAAACTCACGGGCTCAAGCAATCCTCCCATCTTTGGCCTCCCAAAGTACTGAGACTACAAACATGAGCCATCTTGCCCAGCCCCTAGAACGTGTTATCAAATAAACACCGATGCAACCCTCACTCAGCCGAGAAGTAAAACATTGCCAGCCAATCCCTAAATGCTTCTGCTTGCCGCTTCCCAATCCTAACCAATGCCTTCTCCTGACAATTATGATGGTCATGTCTTTGCATTTCTCTAATGTTTCCCATCACGATCAAACTAGTTTTGTTTTGCCTGTGTCCAAACTTTGCATAAATGAGCAGCATGTGTCTGGTGGACCTGGCTTCTTCCACTCAACATTATGATAAGAAGATTGACCATTTGGTGCCCATAGCTATTGCTCTTGCATTTTCATTGCTCTATAGATTCTTACTCAACATACCTTAAAATTTTTTTTATTCTGAAATAAGAGCGGGATGCTATTAAAAAAAGAAAAAAGAAGAGAACAAAAAAGTCCTCCAGTAAATTTAAAATATGGTAGTCAAGGCCGGGCACGGTGGCTCACACCTGTAATCCCAGCACTTTGGGAGGCTGAGGTGGGTGGATCACCCGAGGTCAGGAGTTCGAGACCAGCCCGGCCAACATGGCAAAACCCTGTCTCTACGAAAAAAATACATAAATCAGCCAGGTGTGGTGGTGTGCACCCGTAATCCCAGCTACTTGGGAGGCTGAGACATGAGAATTGCTTGAGCCCGGGAGGCAGAGGTTTCGGTGAGCTGAGAACTGCCACTGCACTCCAGCCTGGGTGACAGAATGAGACTATAAAAGAAAGAAAGAGAGAAAGAGAGAGAGAAAGGAAGGAGAGAAGGGAAGGGAGGGGAGGAGAGGGGAAGGGAGGGGAGGGGAGGGGAGAGAAGGGGAAGGGAAGGGAAGGAGAAGGGAAAGGGAAGGGAAGAAAATTAGAGATTAATTCAGGAGATTCAACATCCGCCTAATAGAAATTCTAGAAAGAGGAAGTAGAGAATAGAGAGGCCAGGTGCAGTGGCTCACACCTATAATCTCAGCACTTTGGGAGGCTGAAGTAGGAGGATTGCTTAAGGCCAGGAGTTTGAGGCTGCAGTGAGCTATGATTGAGCCACTGTACTCCAGCCTGGAAAACAAAGCAAGACCTCGTCTCTAAAAGTAATAATACGCCGGGACGGTGGCTCCCCACACTTTGGGAGCCTAAGGTGGGCGGATCACTTGAGGTCAGGCTTTCGAGATCAGCCTGGCCAACATGATGAAACCCAATCTCCACTAAAAATAAAAAAATTAGCCAGGTGTGGTGCTGCACACCTGTAACCCCAGCTACCTGGAGGAGACAGGAGAATTGCTTGAACCCGGGAGATGGAGGTTGCATGAGGCGAGATTGCCTCATTGCACTCCAGCCTGGGTGATAGAATGAGACTCTGTCTCAAAATAATAATAATAATAATAATAATAAAGTTAAATATAAATAAATAAAAGCAAATGAATATAATGAGTTTTATTCATTTGTTTTGCTGTTGTTATTGTTTTGGAGACAGAGTTTTGTTCTTGTCGCCCAGGCTGGAGTACAATGATGCGATCTGGTCTCACTGCAACCTTCGCTTCCTGGGTTCAAGCGATTCTCCTGCCTTAGTCTCCTGAGTAGCTGGGATTAGAGGCGTGTGACACCACGCCCGGGTAATTTTTGTATTTTTAGTAGAGATGGGGTTTCACCATGTTGGCCAGGCTGGTCTCGAACTCCTGACCTCAGGTGATCCACCAACCTGGGCCTCCCAAAGTGCTGGGATTACAGGTATGAGCTATCATGCCTGGCCCCATTTCTTTTAAAATCAGAAGGAAAAAATATATATAACTTTTAGGCCAAAAATGTCTTCACGTATATTAATAGATTGATCTTTTCCCAATGCAACCATAAATATCATTTTTTAAAATTATTATTATTTTAGAAACAGGGTCTCACTCTGACGCCCAGGCTGAAGTGCAGTGGTATGATCTTAGCTCACTGCAGCCTCCAATTCCTGGGCTCAAGCGATCCTCCCACATCAGCTTCTTGAATGTGACCTCAGGCAGAAGTCACCGTGCCTGGCTAATTTTTAATGTAATTTTATTTTTTTGGTAAAGATGGGTTCTCATTATGTTGCCCAGGCCAGTCTTGAACTCCTGGCCTCAAGTGATCCTCCTGCCTTGGCCTCCTAAGGTGCTGGTATTATAGGATTGAGCCACCAAGCCCGGCCCGAATATAATTTTTAATTTTTTTTTTAAGACAGAGTTTCACTCTTGTTGCCTAGGCTGGAGTGCAGTGGCATGATCTCGGCTGACCGCAACCTCCACCTCCCGGGTTCAAGCGATTCTCCTGCCTCAGCCTCCTGAGTAGCTGGGATTACAGGCATGCACCACCACACCCAAATAATTTTCTATTTTTAGTAGGGACGGGGTTTCTCCACATTGGTCAGGCTGGTCTTGAACTCCCGACCTCAGGTGATCCTCCCACCTCGGCCTCATAAAGTGCTGGGATTACAGGCATGTGCCACCACGCCCGGCCTAATTTTCTAATTTTTTTTTTTAACTGAAGAAGGACCCCAGGAAGTCAAAAGTGCCTATAACCCATGAAAGTCTAAATGAGGACAACGGAGGCTGGGCATGGTGGCTCACTCCTGTAATCCCAGCACTTTGGGAGGCCAAGGTGGGCGGATCACCTGAGGTCAGGAGTTTGAGACCAGCCTGGCCAACATAGTGAAACCCTGTCTCTACTAAAAAACACAAAAATTAGTCGGGTGTGGTGGCGGGCACCTATGATCACAGCTACTCAGGAGGGTGAGGCAGGAGAATCGCTTGAACCTAGGAGGCGGAGGCTGCAGTGGGCTGAGATCGCACCACTGCACTCCAGCCTGGGGGACAGAGCGAGACCCCGTCTCAAACAAACAAAACAAAACAAAATGAGGACAATGGGGCTTCCAATGGCAACTCGAGACGTTAGTTTACTCCAGAGTCATGGAGACAGAGAATGGAGTGTGTGTGTGTGTGTGTGTGTGTGTGTGTGTGCGTGTGCGTGAGTGAGAGAGAGAGAGAGGAAGAAGGGAGGGAGGGAGGGTTACAGGAGTGTGGGAAAGTCAACAGGAAAAGGAGGGAAGGTTCGCTGTGAACTGACAGTAACTGTGACATCACAGGCATGTGCGGAGTCCCCGCCCCCCCAGGCACTGTGCCAAGGCCAGTACCTTCATGTCATGAGACCCTCTCAGCAACTCTGTAACCTTGTCCCCACCAGAATATTCCTTTCACAGCTGAGAAAACAACAGCACAGAGAGGATGAATTAAAAATTGTCTAACATGCTGGGCGCAGTGGCTCACGCCTGTAATCCCAGCACTTTGGGATGATGAGGCAGGTGGATCACAAGGTCAAGAGATCAAGACCATCCTGGCTAACACGGTGAAAACCCGTCTCTACTAAAAATACAAAAAAGTTAGCCAGGCGTGGTGGCGGGCGCCTGTAGTCCCAGCTGCTCGGGAGGCTGAGGCAGGAGTTGCTGGGCACTGGACACAAGGATTTCTATCAGTGTGCTCTCCTGCACATCACCCAGGTCTGGAGTGCCAGGAGGATCAAAAACATAGAATCAAAGATTAGCCACCTTCCAACTCCAAGTTTCCCCCACCCCATGCCACCGTTCCTGCCTTGTACAAGTGAAGCAAGCAATCTCTCCTGGTTTCACCCTAGGAGGTGGAAGGTCCCTGGCCCTGGCTCCATGTGGCACGTGCTCTGGTCCTTCTCCAGCAGCAGGCTTGTCAGACCCTCCCAGTCCTTCAGCTGAGTCCCTGCACAGTCCCACAGGTTGTCTACTAAGTAAGCAGCGTGGTCGTGGAGCTGGGGAAGGAGGTGCATGGGGATTTAGTGATGGCATGTTAAAATACCCTAGGAAGTGGTTACTGATTAAATATCGCTCTCCTTCCTACAGTGTACACCCCCATCCTTCTCCATCTGTCTTTTTTTTTTTTTTTTTTTTTTGGTAGAGACAGGGTCTCACTATGTTGCCCAAGCTGGTCTCAAACTCCTGGGCTCAAAGGATCCTCCCACCTCAGCCTCCCAAAGTGTTGGGCTTACAGGCGTGAACCACCAACCCCAGCCCACTTGTAGGTCCTATGCACAACAGCCAGAGTTATCTCTGTGTATGTCACCTTGCTCTCCACAAAGAAGGACAGCAGAAGCTGGAAGAAAGTCCTCTGGGCACCTGGGCTCTGGCGTTGCTCTCTTCCACCCATCGTTCTTATCTCGCACTCAGGGTAGAAAAGTCTGGTGGAATGGACACAAGGAAAGGGCTCAGCACAGGAGGAAACAAGGAGGTGTAATGATGACCACAGAGGGAGGAGATGGCCCAAGGAGATGATAAAGGAAAAGGA
Organism: Homo sapiens; assembly: GCF_000001405.40. NCBI lineage: Eukaryota > Metazoa > Chordata > Mammalia > Primates > Hominidae > Homo > Homo sapiens. Next base: position 72,998,898 of record NC_000007.14, read on the forward strand.
GGTGCAGAGCTAAGGAAAGCCCCAAGGAGCTGAGAGAGGAAAAGAGACAGCAGAGAGACTTCCACGGAGATGGGGAGGCCTTAAGTAGGGCAGCAGCACATGTGGGAGAGAAACCGAGAGGGTGGTGTTAAAGAAACGTAAAAGGAGCCCCACTCACTTCCAGTACAGAAATTCACCCACAGCAGAGGCCAGGCCTCAATTAGAGGCCTACACAATGGGGTAGACGCTCTCACAGTCCACGTCCATCAGCACCCCTTCCATGTTCCTGCCCACAGAAAAGCAGAAAGAGTGTGTGAATAGGGACATTGTCTTCTGGCACAATCAAGGCTAGAAAGAAAAAGAGGCAAAAGCAACAAGGACATAACTCACAAAAAACTCCTAAATGGAGAGTGGAAGACAAGGGAGTATGGGGAGTTAGAGAAGACAGAAATATTACCCTCTCAACATACTGCAACTCAGGAATGACCTCAGTCAACCTGCACAGATGGAAGAGTCAGCTGTGACAGGTGGAGGGAGATGACCCTGGAAGGGCAAAGGTCTGAGACACTGGCCTCCCCTCTTCCCAGGACTCACTTAAGGATAAGTATCAGTAATCTGACGGCCTCCACTGCCACACTGTACTCTCTGTCCATGATCATGGAAACCATCCAGTCCTGCAGAAAGGAGAAAGTCACTCAATATCTCATTACGCCCATTCCAAATATTCTGTTCTCTTAGAATCAGAGCCTCCTAAAGAGAGTGCCTACGTAGAGGCAGATGCTGGGATAGCCAAGACATCTTAGAGCATGAAGGGTAGAAAGATACAAGGTGGGGAAACGGGAACCACGACAAAGAGCCAAGCCAAGGAGCACCACCCGTCTCACCTTGAAGCGGCCAGTGAAGAGCTCCAGGCGTGCGGTCAGGTCCCGGTTACCGTACAGCCCTTTCAGAGCCTTCACGCACTTCACGCGGACTTCTCGGTGCTGGTGAGGAGGGAAAACCAAGAGAATGGAAATAAGACCAACCACACTCTACTCGCCCCTACTGAGCGTCCAGACTCCCCTCTCCGATCCCTCATTCTAGCTTGGGTGTCCCCTCTACTGAGGACTCTAAGATGTCAGAAACAATGAACAGCTGTCTTCATACTTAAAAAAAAAAAAGGATCACAGCAGTACTCATGATGAGAAGGATCCTTTGGCTGCCCCTTAGCACCTGCATTACCATCCATCAATAACTGTCTTCCATTGTAAAGTCTCTCTCCCCGTACCTCATGTTTTGAGTCATTTCATCTCCTGGGTATGTCTCTCTCTACCTTATCCTACCCTCCCCAGTGCTAGCGGAGTTTCAAGGTTCAGCGCCTTGATGGGTTAATCATTGGTCACTAGGTAAAATATCTCAGTGGCAGGCCCAGGAAAAGGTGAAGTGTCCTAGGACAGGAAAAAGATGAAGGAAACGGAAAGGGAAACTGACTCGAATCCCACCTTATCATGCAGAGTCCAACCAATATATTTTAAATAGCTGTCGGTGAGGAAAGACGTGCTGTAGCTTTGCATCCAACACCCAATTTCCTCAATGCAGATAGCACGGATCTCAGGAAGGACATCCCTAGACACAGACAGATAAGTTGACTCTTAGAGCCACCCTCTCTCCAAACTCACTTTCCATCCTACCAGTTAACTCCCTCTCATGGAAGAATTTATTTTCTTGAAATGCCATGTACCCCATGCCTTTCATTTCTTCCTCCCGATGTAAATACTATATATATAGTAAAATACATGTAAATATTTTTTCTCTTTTTTTTAAGGGATGGGGTCTCTTGCTGTGTTGCCCAAGCTGGCCTTGAACTCCTGGGTTCAAGTCATCTTCCCACTTTGGCCTCTCAAGTAGCTAGGACTACAAAAATGTGCCATACCCAGTTAGTAAATATTTTCTTTCTGTTACCAAACCATAAAATAGTTAAACACCAGCCTTGTACAGCCTAATTCTCCACTCCACCTGTTGCCCAGGCTGGAGTGCAGCGGCACAATCTCAGCTCACTGCAACCTCTACCTCTCGGGTTCAAGTGATTCTCCTGCTTCAGCCTCCTGAGTAGCTGGGATTACAGGTGCACCACCACGCCCAGCTACCTTTTTGTATTTTTAGTAGAGATGGGGTTTCACCATGTTGGCCAGGCTGGTCTCGAACTTCTGACCTCAAGTGATCTGCCCGTCTTGGCCTCCCAAAGTGCTGGAGTTACAGGTGTGAGCCACTGCACCCGGCCTCCATACCTCTTTTAAAAACCAATTTTGAAAGTTCATTCAGGCTGGGCATGGTGGCCAAAAATTAGCCAAGCATGGTGGCGGGTGCCTGTAGTCCCAGCTACTTGGCAGGCTGAGGCAGGAGAATCGCCTGAACCCGGGAGGCGGAGGTGCAGTGAGCCAAGATCGCGTCACTGCACTCCAGCCTGGTGACAGAGCAAGACTCCGTTTCAAATAAAAAACTAACACACTGTACAACTGCATGTAAGGTGGAAAAGACAACTGGAATTAAAATGTGCTCAGGTCCTTGTAGAAGATAAGAAATCCAGAGGAAAGCAAGCAAAGGGGGAAAAAGAAACAGAAAAGATAAAATGATTGTGCCAACTCAATACTAGGCCATAAGGCTAAGTCTCCATAAATTTTTTTTTTTTTTTTTTTTTTTTTGAGACAGAGTATCACTCTGTCACCCAGGCTGGAGTGCCGTGGCACAATCTCAGCTCACTGCAACCTCCACCTCCTGGGTTCAAGCAATTCTCATGCCTCAGCCTCCCAAGTGGCTGGGATTACAGACAAATGCCACCACATGCAGCTAATTTGTGTATTTTTAGTAGAGATGGGGTTTCGCCATGTTGGCCAGGCTGGTCTCGAACTCCTGGCCTCAAGTGATCTGCCTGCCTCAGCCTCCCCAAGTGCTGGGATCACAGATGTGAGCCACTGTGCCCAGCCCCCACATAAATTTCAAACACCACATTCCCTGACTACAACACAATAAAGTTAGAAATCAAATAACGAAAATATAACTAGCAAAATTCTGTATGTTTGAAAATTTTAAATATTTTCCCAGAAACTATAAAACTACATGTTAATGTGGATAAATCTCAAACAATCTTAACTGAAATAATTAAATCACAGAAGCCTGAATAATGGATTCATTTACATAATTAAAGAACACATTCATAGTGGTAACACTATAATGAAAGATGAGAAAGATTAACGCAAAGTTCACCCTAGTGTTTACCTATGGGTAATAAGGGGACTGTGAGGTAGGGTAGAAAGAAGGTACACAAAGGATCTCTACAGCACTATTAATGTTTCATTTCTTGAGCTGGGGCTAGAGATCTGGGTGATATCTCATTTTTATTTTTTAAACTACATATACGCTTTGTACACTTTCAGATATTAGAACTTCAATAAAATTATAAAAAAAGAAACAGGGAAAAAATAATTAAGTATAATTGTCAAGATGGAGCTAAAAAATAACACGGGTGAACAAGGTGCCACCCACATCTAAGCTTCCTTCCCATGTCATGCAATGCCTCTCCTCATCTGCTCCATCAATCAATAAAGGCATAATCACTCCTGTGATACCTTTAAGAAAAGAACACGCTTTAAGAAAAGAAACGCTCTCTCGAAGCCGGGTGCGGTGGCTCACACCTGTAATCCCAGCACTTTGGGAGGCCGAGGCAGGCGGATCACCTGAGGTCAGGAGTTGGAGACCAGCCTGGCCGACATGGCGAAACCCCATCTCTACTAAAAATACAAAAATTAGCTAGGCATGGTGGCACATGCCTGTAAGCCCAGCTACTTGGGAGGCCTCAGCCTCCCAAGACCATGAGAATCGCTTGAACCCAGGAGGCAGAGGCTGCAGTGAGCTGAGACTGTGCCACTGCACTCCAGCCTGGGCAACAGAAAGAGACTGTCTCAAAAAAAAAAAAAAAAAAAAAAAGAACATGCTCTCTTATTCAAGGTTACCCTTCTATCACTCCAAGGATTCACCCCATAATCTTATCTTTCTTGATATGTTACACTCACTAAAATGTTCACATCAAATCAAGTTTGTAGACACTTGTCCTTACCACCTTACAAAAAGTGAGATGGTATCAACAGAGGTAAGACACTGCTTTTACCTGCATGTCACTTTTGGCAGCTTTCGCAGCATTGAAAAGATCATTGGCTGGTGGCTCTGACTGTTTCCGGCTATGACGATGTACCGCTTGGGACCCTTTCTTTGGATATTTTGCCACCTGATACACATAAAAAGATCAGAAATATGAAAAAAAGGTAACAGTGACATTAACACTTGGTTTCATCATTATCACACAAGTAGGCTTACGCTGCCAATTCCACAGCAGTCTGAGTTAGACTCAGTCCTGAAATAATTGATTTTTATATTATGAAGTTTATTAACTTTTTTCCCTTTAAAAAAAAAATTCCTTGAGTCTCCTTCCCGTATCTCTATAACCAAACATCCTTTTCTTTTCTTTTCGAAATTTCTCTTCTTCCTATTTCCGTCCCTTAATACTTTGTAAATCTTGTCCTTTTTTGAACCATATCACCTGAACCTCTTAGGTTTTCTCTTTTTTTTGAGACGGAGTCTCGCTCTGTCGCCCAGGCTGGCGTGCAGTGGCGTGATCTCGGCTCACTGCCAGCTCTGCCCCCGGGGTTCGTGCCATTCTCCTGCCTCAGCCTCCCGAATAGCTGGGCTGCTTCCCCCACAAGATTCAAAAACAAAAGAAAACTGGCTGACTCACCGGCGTTGTTTTCAGTGGTCGTTTTGCTGCTTTCTTCTTCACACCGCGATTGAAGCTGTCCTCAAATCATTTTCTTGTCTTCTTGTCTATTTGTATGAATTACTGAGTTACATTCTCATTGCTACTTATTTAAGCAAAGTATTCTTAGTTTGTTAAGAACAAAGAACTACAAATTGTGTTCATTTTCTGTCCTTTCCTGTTCTTAGACTAAATTACCTGAAATACATCAAAATATATGCTGTATGCTTACCTATATCAAAACTATGTTGTTTAGGTGCCGGGCACAGTGGCTCACACCTGTAATCCAGCACTTTGGGAGTTCAAGGCGGGCGGATCGCCTGAGGTCAGGAGTTCAAGACCAGCCTGGTCAACATGGCAAAACCCCGTCTCTACTAAAAATACAAAAATTAGCCAGGTGCAGTGGACAGTGCCTGTAATCTCAGCTACTCATGAGGCTGAGGCCTGAGAATTGCTTGAACCCAGGAGGCCAAGGTGGCAGTGAGCTGAGATCATGCCACTGCACTCCAGCCTGGGTGACAGAGTGAAACTCCGTCTGAAAAAAACAAAACAAACAAACAAACAAAAAACCAGACCATATTGTTTAGGGATACTTAGCTGACAAAATAATAGAGACAAGCATGACATAATTACCATAAAAATCAGGCCCTGGGGTGCTGGTGGGGAAGGTTTAAGTGGAAAGAATGGAGCGGTGACAATGTGTGTCAACCTGGGAGGTGGTGACCCTGGGGTTCGCTTTGTAATTCCTCAAAATGAGCATTTATGTGCTATTCACTTTTCAGAGGATAGAATTCTGAACTAAAATGTTTAAGCAGCCATACGCAAAAAAAGAAAAAATATGGATAGATTTTTATTTTAATTAAAACATTTAAAAAATAGAGACAAGGCAGCTGGGCGTGGTGGCTCACGCCTGTAATCCCAGCAATTTGGGAGGCCGAGGCAGGCGAATCACGAGGTCAAGAGATCGAGACCATCCTGGCTAACACGGTGAAACCAAGTCTCTACTAAAAATACAAAATAAAGTTAGCCAGGCGTGGTGGCGGGCGCCTGTAGTCCCAGCTACTGGGGAGGCTGAGGCAGGAGAATGGCGTGAACCCGGGAGGTGGAGCTTGCAGTGAGTCGAGATCAGGCCACTGCATTCCAGCCTGGGCGACAGAGCAAGACTCCAACTCAAAAAAAAAAAAAAAACATAGAGACAAGGGTCTTGCTATGTTGCTCAGGGTGGTCTCAAACTCTCCGGGCTCAAGCAATCCTCCCGCTTCGGTCTCCCAAAGCGCTGAGATTCCAGGCGTGAACCACCGCGCTCGACCAGGAAAAAAATATATATATATATAATATACAATATATTTTATAATATATTATGTCATATATTACACATAATATACAATATGTATAATACGCATAATAAAGGTATATTTAATATATATAAAGATATATATGTATATAATAATTTTTTTTTTTGAGACGGAGTTTCACTCTTGCTGCCCAGGCTCGAGTGCAATGGCTCGATCTCAGCTCACTGCAAGCTCCGCCTCCAGGGTTCAAACCATTCTCCTGCCTCAGCCTCCCGAGTAGCTGCGATTACAGGCGCCCGACACACGCCCGGCTAATTTTTGCATTTTTAGTAGACACGGGGTTTCACCATGTTGGCCAGACTGGTCTCGAACTCCTGATCTCAGGTGATCCGCCCGCCTCGGCCTCCCAAAGTGCCGGGATTACAGGCGTGAGCCACGGCGCCCGGCCTGAATAAATCTTTTAAAACATAAAAATCTGGGTGAGCCCCTGGCCGGCCGGCACAGATGCCGGGGTGGGGCCGCGAATCGGTTGGGACGCACTCTATCCGGCCTAGGGGCACCCGGGCCAGCACCCGGCCGCCGCGCGTGCGCAGTGGGCGGGGTGCCCCGCGCTCCTACCTGCAAGTGGCCAGTGCCAAGTGCTGGGCCGCCGCTCCTGCCGTGCATGTTGGGGAGCCAGTACATGCAGGTGGGCTCCACACGGAGAGGGGCGCAGACCCGGTGATAGGGCTTTACCTGGTACATCGGCATGGCGCAACCAAAGCAAGAGAGGGTGGCGCGTGCCAGACACCAACGGTCGGAAACCGCCAGACACCAACGGTCGGAAACCGCCAAGACACCAACGCTCGGAAACCGCCAGACACCAACGCTCGGAAACCGCCAGACACCAAGGCTCGGAATACACGCCAGACCACGACGGAGGGCGACCACCTCCCTTCTGACCCTGCTGCGGGCGTTCGGAAAAAAAACGCAGTCCGGTGTGCTCTGATTGGTCCAGGCTCTTTGACGTCACGGACTCGACCTTTGACAGAGCCACTAGGCGAAAAGGAGAGACGGGAAGTATTTTTTCCGCCCCGCCCGGAAAGGGTGGAGCACAACGTCGAAAGCAGCCAATGGGAGCCCAGGAGGCGGGGCGCCTGTGGGAGCCGTTGAGGGCACTTTCCCAGTCCCCGAGGCGGATCCGGTGTTGCATCCTTGGAGAGAGCTGAGAGCTCGAGGTGAGCTGGGCTCGCGGTCGCCCCTCTCGCTCGCCCTCTTTGAGAACCACGGCTTCCGACCTCCCTGGAAATGGGGGGAACATGGCCGAGGCGCGTGGGAGGCCGCCTCGTGGAGGCCCCGGAGCGGCATCCTCAGCGCCCCAGCGATCCGGTGCCCATTAGGTGCGCCTTGAAGCCGAGGCAAGCTCCTTCGGGGTGCTGGGCTGCGGGCAAAGAATTCGGCCCTGTGAAGAGTTGGGTTCGGCCTGTCTCAGGCCCTGCCCACATCCCATCACAGGGCCGTGGACTTGAAGCCGGAACGTGAAATCCCCATAGACTGAATGCATTTCCTTTCTACCTGTTCTCTCTCCCCTTTTATTTTTATTTTTATATTATTTTATTTTTAATTTTTATTTTATTTTTTTGTAGAGACGGGGATTTCGCTATGTTGCCCAAGCTGGTCTGGAACTCCGGAGCTCAAGCAGTCCGCCCGCCTTGGCCCCCCAAAGCTCTGGAATTACAGGCGTAATGCACTGTGCCTGGCCTTTTAAAAAAAAATTGAGGTTATTTTGGGGACAGTAGAGCGTCCAGACACATCCTAATTTGCGTAGCTGCTCAGTTTTAAAAAATGCAATGCATTTTTACCTCTTAGGGTATGTGATTTCTGGCTGGTAAGCTACACCGAATCTTGGCTAGCACAGTTGAATTCCATGTCAGATTTGTAAACGCAAATTTGCTCTCTGCATTTAAATATATTAGATATATTTAGGTAACTACATTTAAATGTATTGAGACATTTAAATACACTTGCCGTCTGTATCTAAATATCTGAAGTGGACCAGGTGCGGTGGCTCACACCTATAATCCCATCACTTTGGGAGGCCAAGGCAAGTGGATCATGAGGTCAGGAGTTCACGACCAGCCTGGCCAACATGGTGAAATCCCATTTCTACTAAAAATACAAAAATTAGCTGGGCGTGGTGGCAGGCGCCTGTAATCCTAGCTACTTGGGAGGCTGAGGCAGGAGAATCGCTGGAACCCAGGAGACAGAGGTTGCAGTGAGCTGAGATTGCACCACTGCAGTCTAGCCTGGGTGACACAGCAAGACTCCATCTCAAAAAAAAAAAGAAAAAAAATCAGAAGTGAACCTGTAGCCTGTAGTGTGTTGCCAAATAAACTTATTTTTAGAGATACTTCTTTCCATTTTCTGTGAGGTCATCTGCAGTTTCACATGGTAGACAGACTTAGGTGAGATTCTTAGCAACATAGAATGAACAGTAAAGAGGTTTGTTTATTTCACAAGGGTTTATTGAAGGCCTACGATGTGTTAAATGCTGTAGGAAATACCCACTGATTTCTCTTTTCATGGAGGTTTCCCGCCTTCTCTTAACGAGTGATCAATTAAACTGTTTACTGGGAACTTGCTAAGTTAATGAACACACGGGATACATTCTTTGGATGAGCAGACATTGGGCAGAGGGGCAAGAGGAGAGCAGTTTAGACAGAGACCTGCTTATACACTGTAGTGTCTAAGAGAGCTTGTGATGTTCAGGAAACAGTTGTTCACTGTGCTGCAATATAGGGGACGGCCAGTTGCGGTGGCTCACACCTGTAATCCTAGTGCTTTGGAAGGCCAAGGCGGGCAGATCACCTGAGGTCAGGAGTTAGAAACCAGCCTGGCCAACATGGTGAAACCCCATCTCTACTAAAAACACAAAAATTAGCTGAGTGTAATGGTGGATGCCTATAATCCCAGCAACTTGGGAGGCTGAGACAGGAGAATCACTTGAACTTGGGAGGTGGAGGTTGCAGTGAGCCGAGATCATGCCATTGCACTCTAGCCCAGGTGACAGGGTGAGACTCTGTCTCAAATAATAATAATAATAATAATAATAATAATAATAATAATAATAATAATGTAGGGGACTTGATGAAGGGAAAGGATCAGAGAGATTCTGAAAAGAAGGTAGTTTGGGGCCCAGTGATGACTAGATTTTAAGTTTCATATAGTAGGAAGTGGGGCACTAGTAATTTTTCAAGCAGAAAAATTATTTGACCAGATTCGTGATTTCAAAAATAGCTCTGGTGATAGAGTGGAGGATGGGTTGGAGCAGGGAATAAGGGGAAATGAAACTGTTATAAAACTCTTAAAGTGGGCTGGGCATGGTGGCTCACGCCTGTAATCCCAGCACTTTGGGAGGCTGAGGCGGGCGGATCACGAAGTCAAGAGATCGAGACCATCCTGGCTAAAACGGTGGAACCCTGTCTCTACTAAAAATACAAAAAATTAGCTGGGCATGGTGGTGGGCGCCTGTAGTCCCAGCCACTCAGGAGGCTGAGGCAGGAGAATGGTGTGAACCCGGGAGGCAGAGCTTGCAGTGAGCTAAGATCGTGCCACTGCACTCCAGCCTGGGCGACAGGGCGACAGAGCAAGAATCCGTCTCAAAAAAAAAAAAAAAAAAAAAAAAAACCTCTTAAAACAAGTACAGCAAGAACTTTGAGGGTCTTTGCTAAGACAGCAGCTGGCAGCTTCAATTTGGAGTAGGGTATCAAAGGCAACTGTGTATAAGGAATAGTTATATAACTGGTATCCAATTTCTGAGATGATTTTGACTTAAACATTGTGTATTTCCCAGCATACTGTTGGTTTTTCTAATTATGTGGGAAATTATGTTGCTTTTACTTTTTTTTTTGCTCATTGCCCAGCCTAGGGTGCAATGCTGCAATCTCAGCTCACTGCAACCTCCGCCTCCCAGGTTTAAGTGATTCTTCTGCCTCAGCCTCCCAAGTAGCTGGGATTACAGGCGCCCACCACCATGCCTGGCTAATTTTTTGTATTTTTGGTAGAGACAGGGTTTCACGACGTTGGCCAGGCTGGTCTCAAACTCCTGATCTCAAGTGATCCACCTGCCTCTGTGTCCCAAATTGCTGGGATTACAGGCATGAGCCACCGCACCGGCCATGCTTTCAGTTTTCAAGAAAGAAGACACCATTATTGCCAAAGATTTTGGTAATTTGAGAGATACAATGTATGTTTTCTCCATGTGGATACTAGATAGTAAGGATGTGTTGAATTTGAAGTGTCTATCCAGAAGTATTTTGGGTACTTGTTTAAGGATTGTAAAACAATGTTTCCATTTCTGGATATAATAAATGTATTTGTTAATATAATAAATGAATAGATTAGACCCATAAACTATTTGCAGTGTTGAGTCATTTCCCACAGTTAAAATCAGGATGAAAATATATAGCTGAATACTTGCTTTGTTTCTTGTAACTGATTTCTTTAGTACAGAACCTGCTAAGGCCATCAAACCTATTGATCGGAAGTCAGTCCATCAGATTTGCTCTGGGCCGGTGGTACTGAGTCTAAGCACTGCGGTGAAGAAGATAGTAGGAAACAGTCTGGATGCTGGTGCCACTAATATTGGTAAGTTTGGGAGAGTTTTAAGCCACAAGAAATGATCAGTGAATGTTGTTGTAGTCAAGAAACATTTGTTATTGAAATAAGACTATCAAGTGTTGATGTAGTAATAAACTATTATTTTTAAGTTAAAGTTAGCACCTATTATGTGCCTAGTACTTAGCTAGGTAGTAATAATAATAACGACAGCTTTTCTTGTGTTCTTATGGTGTGCCAGGCAGGTGTTATGCTAAGAATTGCACAGAAATATCTCATTTAATTTGCAGAATAGCTGGGCGTGGTGTCTGACGCCTGTAATCCTAGCCCTTTGAGAGGCTGAGGTGGGGGGATTGCTTGAAGCCAAGAGTTCAAGACCAACCTGGCCAACATGGGGAGACCTCGTCTCTATTAAAAAATAAAGCAGGCCGGGTGTGGTGGCTCACGCCTGTAATCCCAGCACTTTGGGAGGCCAAGGCGGGTGGATACCTGAGGTCAGGAATTCGAGACCAGCCTGTCCAAAATGGTGAAACTCTGTCTCTACTAAAAATACAAAAATTAGCCAGACCTGGTGGCAGAAGCCTGTAATCCCAGCTACTGGGGAGGCTCAGGAATGAGAATTGTTTAAATTTGGGAGGTGGAGGTTGCAGTGAACCGAGATGGTGCCACTGCACGCCAGCCTGGGGACAGAGCAAGACTCTGTCTCAAAAAAATAAAATAAAATAAAATAAAATAAATCCTGGAGTAGTGGCTCACATCTGTAATCCCAGCACTTTGGGAGGCTGAGGGGGGCTGATGCTTTGAGGTCAGGAGTTCAAGACCAGCCTAACCAACGTGGTAAAACCCTGTCTCTACTAAAAATACAAAAATTAGCCAGATGTGATGGTGCATGGCTGTAATCTCAGCTCCTCAGAAGGCTGAGGGAGGAGAATTGCTTAAACCTGGGAGGTGGAGGTTGCAGTGAGCCAAGATCGATTGTGCCACTGCATTCCAGCCTGGGTGACAAGAGCAAAAGTCCATCTCAAAAAATTAAAAAAAAAAAAAAAAAAAGGAAAGAAAAAAAAGAAAATGACAAAATTAAAAAAAAATTATTAATCTGCCAAATAACTTTATGAGATAGAACTTATTACCTCCATTTTACAGTTGAGGAAATTAAGGGACAGTAAATTTCCTTTTTTTGAGATTATAAAGCTAATAAAATAGAATCTAGGAAGTCTGATTCCAGAACCAGTTCTGTTTTTTTTTCTTTTTTTTTTTTTTGAGATAGAGTTTTGCTCTTGTTGCCGAGGCTGCGGTGCAATGGCACGATCTCAACTCACTGCAACCTCCACCTCCCAGGTTCAAGCGATTCTCCTGCCTCAGCCTCACAAGTAGCTGGGATTACAGGCATGCACCACCACGCCTGGCTAATTTTGTATTTTTAGTAGAGATAGAGTTTCTCTACGTTGGTCAGGCTGGTCTCGAACTACTGACCTCAGGTGATCCGCTCGCTTTGGTCTCCCAAAGTGCTGGGATTACAGGCATGAACCACTGCGCCCGGCCCCCGTTCTCCTTACTGGGTATGTTAAAATTATTTCTTTCAAAGGAAAAGGCTGGTCAAAGTGCAACGGTCTTTACAACTAATTGATCACAACCAGTTACAGATTTTTTTGTTCCTTCTCCACTCCAACTGCTTCACTTGACTAGTGTAAGGAAAAAAAAAAGAGGAAAGAAAGAAAATGCTAAACTATTTAATCTGGGCTAGTAAATGGCCAGAAAGAACTTTATAAAAATGAAATATACAAAATGACACTAGTATGTTTAACTAAAGGTATAGTTACGACACTTAAATTTGCACGTTATAAATAATATCAATATAAAAGCTGATAGCGTGGGTCCATTTTTAATAAATATATAAATATTTTAAACTTTCTAGATCTAAAGCTTAAGGACTATGGAATGGATCTCATTGAAGTTTCAGGCAATGGATGTGGGGTAGAAGAAGAAAACTTCGAAGGCTTAAGTAAGTTAACTTTCTAATCCTATTACAAAATAATTGGGCCACATGTCTTAGAATTTTGAGTAACACTGTCTTGGGAAACACAAAAACAGTTTTTTAAAGCCAGTTACTAGATATCATGTATATTTGTTGTTATAGCACTTGAGATATCTTAGTCCTTACTTTACAGTCTCTTTCAGCTCTGAAACATCACACATCTAAGATTCAAGAGTTTGCCGACCTAACTCGGGTTGAAACTTTTGGCTTTCGGGGGAAAGCTCTGAGCTCACTTTGTGCACTGAGGTGAGAAAATATTTTTATCCATTCACTTGACCCCTTAGAAAAACCTCTCTGAAAATTAATTGGAATCATTATTATTTACAATTTTCTATCTCAATATCTCAGCTTCTAGCTTCTGAATTCTGTTTTGTCTCACTGCCAATCTAAGTCCTAGTACTTCTGAAATGTGAGCAATAAATGAATGAAATGAAGCAAATAGTATTGTTTAAAAAATTGGTTACCCTTATTAAAACAGTAACTTCTCAATTTGAACATAACATATAGATAATAAATGATAGTTACCATTGGTTTTCATTATCAATTTTTAGGGAAACATTTCACCAAAGCACTATTTAATTACAGCACAGATACTAAATTTTTATAAATAATTACATGCACACACACATATATATACATATATATACATATATATACATATATACATATATATATACATATATATACATATATACATAAATATATACATATATATACATATATACATATATACATATATATACATATATATATACATATATATACATATATATATATATATATATTTTTTTTTTTTTTTTTTAGACAGAGTCGCACTCTGTCACCCAGGCTGGAGTGCAGTGGCACAGTCTCAGCTCACTGCAGTCTCTGCCTCCCAGGTTCAAGTGACTTTCGTGACTCAGCCTCCTGAAGAGCTGGGACTATAGCGTGCACCACCACTCCTGGCTAATTTTTATATTTTTAGTAGAGATGGGGTTTTGCCATGTTGCCCAGGCTGGTCTGGAACTCCAGGCCTCAAGTGATCTGCCCTCCTTGGCCTCCCAAAGTGCTGGAATTACAGGCACGAGCCACCGTACCCTGCCCTACATATACATTTTAATTATAATATCTTTTGGATTCTTTAAAAAAAATTTTAAAAATTTTAAAAAATTCTTTAAAAAAATTCTTTTAAAAAATTTTGTTTGAAGAGTAATAACAAAACAAATCTCTATTTGAGAATCAATAAATCTTGAGATCATTTATGGTTTTGCAATTCAACCTGAAAAATGAAGTCAAAGCTTTTATCAAAACAAAGCATGTTTAGTGCTCTCTGTCTCACTGTCTTTTAGATGCCAGACCTTAGATTTTGTGATGACTCCTCAACCGTTTAGATCTCGGTTATCTCAGAGGGATCATCAGCTTTTTAAGAAAATTTTGAGAGAAAAGCAAGTGAAGAAAAGAGTAGTCAGTGCCCAACATCATGGATCTCTCACTGAACACACCATGCCTGGTATTCTCTCACAGTGATGTCACCATTTCTACCTGCCACGTATCGGCGAAGGTTGGGACTCGACTGGTGTTTTTGATCACGATGGGAAAATCATCCAGAAAACCCCCTACCCCCACCCCAGAGGGACCACAGTCAGCGTGAAGCAGTTATTTTCTACGCTACCTGTGCGCCATAAGGAATTTCAAAGGAATATTAAGAAGGTACAGTAAATTAATCCTGGTTTTCAAGAGTATTGGTTAATGCACATGAGCAAAAGATTTACTAAAGATGTTTATTCTTCAGTTGATTCTCTTCCCATAATTTATTGAGAAATGCTTTATTTGCATTTCTCATTAAAGACTTAACTTCAGGATGATTTACTTTTTTCTTTTTATCACATAATGTTTATTAGGACTGGGAAACATAGTGAGACTCTGTCTCTATGAAAAATTAAAAAAAAAATTGACTGGGCATGGTGGCATGCACCTGTAGTTCCAGCTACTTGGGAGGCTGAAGTGGGAGGATCACCTGAGCCCAGGAACTTGAGACTGCAGTGAGCTATGATTGCGTCACTACACTTCAGACTGTGAGACAGAGTAAGACCCTGTCTGGAAAAATATATATACATATATATACATTTTTTTTATTTTTTATTTTTATCTTTTTTTGAGATGGAGTCTCACTTTGGCACCCTGGCTGCAGTGCAGTGGCGCGATCTCAGTTCACTGCAACCTCCACCTGCCAAGTTCAAGCGATTCTCCTGCTTCAGCCTTCTGAGTAGCTACCATTACAGGCGCGCGCCACCACGCCCGGCTAATTTTTGTATTTTCAGTGGAGACGGGGTTCCACCATGTTGTCCAGGCTGGCCAGGCTGGTCTTGAATTCCTGCCCTCAGGTGATCCGCCCACCTCGGCCTCTCAAAGTGCTGGGATTACAGGCGTGAGCCACCATGCCTGACCTTATGTACTTATATTTTTATGAGAATATTTCTCTTGGTTTTCTGATAAATGAGTTACTGGAACCCTTATGAATTTGAATGCAAATGAAACAGCTAAATGTTATATAATTGTTGTGTTTAAAAAGCAGATTATAAAACTGTCTGTATTATATGATTACAGTTTTATAAAAACAAAACAGGCCTAAATGTGTATAGTATAAAGACTGAAGAGTCAGCACTTCCATGTTCTCAGCGGTTATCCTTGGATGTGAGATCTCATGCACTTTTTGCTCTCTTCTTTGTGCCTTTCCATTTTGCATGCGTATTTCTTATAATCTAAAAAGTTACTTAAACATATGCAGCTAAAAACTTTTTTTACTTGTAAAGCGTTTGGTGCTAATTTTAACTTTTTTTTTTAGACGGAGTCTTCTCACTCTGTCGCCCAGGCTGGAGTGCAGTGGTGTGATCTTGGCTCACTGCAACCTCCGCCTCCTGGGTTCAAGTGATTCTCCTACCTCAGCCTCCCAAGTAGCTGGGATTATAGGTGTGTGTCACCACACCCAGCTAATTTTTGTATTTTTAGTAGAGATGGGGTTTCACCATGTTGGCCAGGCTGGTCTTGCACCCCTGACCTCAAGTGATCTGCCCACCTCAGCCTCCCAAAGTGCTGGGATTACAGGCGTGAGCCACCACGCCTGGCTTTTTTTTTTTAAAGCTTTTTTGTAAGTCAGCCAGCAAGAACACAGGAGGAAGTACTCAAATCTCCCTTACACAGCTGGGGGCTGTGTCAGGTTTTATAAGCATAGGGTAATGAGGTGTGATTTGATTGGATCTTGCAATAAAGTAATGCTGGGAGGTGTGATCTGACTGGATCCTGCCATGGGGTGACACCAAAACTCAATCTGATTGGATCCTGGCTCCTGCCTGGGGGTGTCTGGTTCTTAAATCGGTCCGGGCTCTTCAGGCTGAGCTCTTAGGTTCCACTCCACGGTGGCACGCGTGGTTAACCTGGGCATGCACAGGGTACATGACCTTCAACCTGCAGGTCGATGGCAATTGGAAAACAACTGACAACTTCATTACATAAAAGTTGAACTGATTCGGGTGCGGTGACTCACGCCTGTAATCCCAGCACTTTGGGAGGCCAAGGCAGGTGGATCACCTGAGGTCGAGGAGTTCAAGACCAGCCTGGCCAAAATGGTGAAACCCCGTCTCTACTAAAAATATAAATATTAGCCAGGCGTGGTGGCGCACCCTTGTAATCCCAGCTACCCCAGAGGCTGAGGCAGCAGAATGCTTGAACCTAGGACGTGGAGGTTGCAGTGAGCTGAGATCGTGCCATTGCACTCCAGCCTGGGTGACAAGAGTGAAACTCCATCAAAAAAAAAAAAAGTTGAACTAGATTTGGTCTGATGCAGTTACAGATTTACAAACCGCGTCCCACCCTCCTGCCAACACCTTCCACTCCTCATTCTTGAGGGATTAGGGATGGAGGTCATGCTTCTGTATCGACTTCATGCTGACCAGGGGCACTTAGTCCCCTAAAGTGAGAGGAATGAAACTCTTGGGCTTCTGAGTTCAGATGAGTTCTGGGGTCACCCGGAGTAGCTTGAAAGGCTGGTATTGTTGTAATACAAGCTGAAGGTGGAAGTGTTGGATCCTGGAGGACAAACAGCTCACCATCCATTTAAATAAATAGGACCAAAAAGTAACAGAACAGTGGCCACGAGGGGCCCCAACAGAGGAAGAAACCAGGTGAGGTGTGGTATAGTGGACTCGACTGCCTTCTAAATCTCAGTGGTTGTCCGGGTGCGGTGGCTCACGCCTGTAATTCCAGCAAAAGAAGAGCCGAGGCAGGGTGATCACGAGGTCAGGAGTTCAAGACCAGCCGGGCAAACATGGTGAAACCCCGTCTCTACTGAAAATACAAAAATTAGCCAGGTGTGGTGGCGTGTGCTGTAGTCCCAGCTACTAGGGAGGCTGAGGCAGGAGAATTGCTTGAACCTGGGAGGCGGAGGTTGCAGTGAGCCGAGATTGTGCCACTGCACTCCAGCCTAGGTAACAGAGCAGGACCCCATCTCAGTCAATCAATCAATCTCAGTGGTTGAACTACCCTTGATATGGTTCAGCTCTGTATCCCCAACCAAATCTCATGTCCAATTGCAATTCCCAGTGTTGAGGGAGGGACCTGGTGGGAGATGATTGGCTCATGGCGGCTGACGTCCCCCTTGCTGGTCTCGTGATAGTGAGTGAGCGCTCATGGGATCTGGTTGTTTAGAAGCATGCAGCACCTCCTGCTTCACTCTCTCTGTCTCTCCTGCTCCACCATGGCCAGAAACGTGCCTGCTTCCCCTTCGCCTTCTGCCGTGATTGTCAGTTTCTTGAGGGCTCCCCAGCCATGCTTCCTGTACAGCCTGCAAAACTGTGAGTCAACTAAACCTCTTTTCTTCATAAATTCCCCAGTTTCCAGTAGTTCTTTATAGCAGTGTGAAAACAGACTAATGGACCCTTCTGGTTGAAGGAATGTAGCCATTCTGCTTGTTTAAGTATTTCCTTTCTATTCATCTCTATTTCCCGGGAGGTGTTTATCCAAGTGCAATAGGAGATATTGGTGACTGCAGAGTCCCCTCAGTGTTCTGCTAGTAAATAGTTGAAGGTTGATCAGTGATCTCCAGCATTTTCAGTCTGGCATGGAAAAGCCCCCATGTAACTGGTAAAGGTATCAGTAAGCACCAGGAGGTATCTAAATCCACCAGGAGCCATAGGCATCATGTTGATGTCCATTTACCAGTCTTCCCTGGCAAGATTCTCTGAATTGTACTGCCTTGGCCAAAAGAGGTATGGGAGGGGCTGGGCACAGTGGCTCACGCCTGTAATCCCAGCATTTTGGGAGACCAATTCGGGTAGATCATTAGAGGTCAGGGGTTCAAGACCATCCTGGCCAACATGGTGACATTCCATCTCTACTAAAAATACAAAAAGTCAGCGGGGTTTGGTGTTGGGTGCCTGTAATCCCAGCTACTCGGGAGGCTGAGGCAGGATAATCACTTGAACCTGGGAGGAGGAGGAGGTGGCAGTGAGCTGAGATCTCGCCATTGCACTCCAGCCTGGGCAACAAGAGCGAAACTTCATCTCAAAAAATAAAAAAAGAAGTCTGGGTGTGGTGGCTCGTGCCTGTAATCCCAGGACTTTGGGAGGCCAAGATGGGTGGATCATGAGGTCAGGAGTTCAAGACCAGCCTGGCCTAGATGGTGAAACCCTGTCTCGAGTGAAAATACAAATATTAGCTGGGCATGGTGGCACACACCTGTAATCTCAGCTACTCAGAAGTCTGAGACAGAAGAATTGCCAAAACCCGGGAGGGAGAGGTTGCAGTGAGCCGAGATCGCGCCACTGCACTCTAGCCTGGGCGACAGAGCAAGACTCCGTCTCGAAAGAAAGAAAGAGAAAGGAAATTCCCCAGGGAAGTACCTCGGCTTATTTCATGAAGAGGTACTGAAGGAAGCAGAGGCATGTGGAGGACTTCCCCACCTCGTGCAGCTATTTGGGCCGTGGCGTCTGAAATTTCTTATTTCAGAGTCACCCCTTTGATGACCTTGGCAGTGGACTGCAGTCATCTGTTTAGGCCTCTCCATGGCCCGTGTCAATGCCGATATTTCTGTCTGTTGCACATTTGATTTCCTTGTTGTTGGCATTTAGAAGGCCCCCTGTTTCCCAGATCACACCACGGGCATGGACCGCAGAGATTGCATCTTGTGAGTCTGTAGAAACAGTCAAGGCCTTGTCCTCTCTTAGGTCCAGAGCTCAGGTGAATGCAGATTTTCCCGGCCATCTGTGCTGAAGTCCCTGTGGGGAGGCTCCTGGCTGGTTTCCTGTAGGTAGACAGCTACACATCCTGCCCTTCATTGGCTTCTTTTCATGAAGCTCCTGCTGTCTACAAAACATGTCTCCCTTTTCTTCTTGAACCACATCTCTGTTATTGAAACTCTAGAAGTCAGCCAGGCACAGTGGCTATGCCTGTAATCCCAGCACTTTGGGAGGCCAAGGTGGGTGGATCACCTGAGGTCAGGAGTTCAAGACCAGCCTGGCCAACATGGCGAAACCCTGTCTCTAATACAAATACTAAAATTAGCCAAGCATGGTGGCCACTGCACTCCAGCCTGGGTGACAGAGCAAGACTCTGTCTCAAATAAAGAAAGAGAAAGTATCATGCTTTTCAGAGTTCTGTGGGTTGTTATGGTGAATTATCAAACCTGAGGACGTGGTGGGAACCTCCAAATTTGCAGCCAGTTGGTGAGAAGTACATGCGGTCTGTGGACACCCAAGCTTGCAGCTGCATCTGAAGCGAGGGCAGCCTAGCGGGGGCTGGTGGCCTTAACCTGTGGCATTTGATGTAACATCAGGGAGTTGACATCAGAATTACGTCACACAGGCCAGGTGCAGTGGCTCATGCTTATAATCCCAGCAATTAGAAAGGCAAGATAAGAAGATTGCTTGAGCTTGAGTCTGAGCCCACAGTGAGCTATGACCGCACCACTGCACCCCAGTCTGGGTGACAGCACAAGACCCCGACTCCAAAAATAAAAAAGAAAAATCACAAAGAATTGCATGGCAGAGTGCCTGTCTTTCACAGCTTGAACTGTTGCAGGAACTTTCTTTTTTTTTTTTTCTTTTGTGATGGAGTCTCGCGCTTTCACCCAGGCTGGAGTGCAGTGGCGCGATCTCTGCTCACTGCAGGCTCCGCCTCCTGGGTTCACACCATTCTCCTGCCTCAGCCTCCGGAGTAGCTGGGACTACAGGCGCCTGCCACCGCGCCCAGCTAATTTTTTGTATTTTTAGCAGAGATGGGGTTTCACCGTATTAGCCAGGATGGTCTTGATCTCCTGACCTCATGATCCACCCACCTCAGCCTCCCAAAGTGCTGGGATTACAGTCCTGAGCCACCGCGCCTGGACTTTTTTTTTTTTTTTTGAGAGGGGTTGGGGAGACATATTCTCTGCTAGTGATTCTCCTGCCTGGTCTCGAACTCCTGCTGGGATCACAGGCGTGAGCCACCACGCCCAGCCACCTTTAGAGTTTTCTTACCACCTGGTTTTCCTCTCTCAATATCTTTCTCTCATTTCCTGCTTTAAAACTCTAGCTTGGGGTCTGGGCACAGTAGCTCATGCCTATAATCCCAGCACTTTGGGAGACTGAGGCGGGTGGATCACTTGAGGTCAGGAGTTTGAGACCAGCCTGGCCAACATGGTGAAACCTTGTCTCTACTATTTTTACAAAAGTTAGTCAGACGTACAGGCGGATGCCTGTAGTCCCAGCTACTTGGGAGGCTGAGGCAGGAGAATTTGCTTGAACGCGGAGGTGAAAGTTGCAGGGAGCCGAGGTTGTGCCACTGCACTCCAGCCTGGGAGACAGAGCGAGACTGTCTCCAAAACAAACAAACAAACAAACAAACAAAAAAACCCTGTAGCTTGGGATCAGCCTTCTCTTCTGTTGTTTTTCTTTAAAAAATAAAAATTAAAAATAGGCTTCAAGTGATCCTCCCGCCATGACCTCCAAAACTGCTGGGATTGTAGGTGTGAGCACTGCACCCAGCCGTATGTTTTTTTCTACATAAAAAACAGCACAGGATTATCTTCCAAAGCTAATAAATATGTTCAAATAACCACAACCCCATTAAGGAAAAATGTCACTTGACAGCAAATAATCAATCCAGACCACAATATGATCACACTCACTGTGAAGGTGAGAAAAGTTCATCTTTATTATGTTTCCCCAAGAGATGCACTGCACTGTTCTCTTGAAAACACACAGCTCATGTCCTCCTTTAGAACACACATCCTCTTTAAAGTAACATACAAACATGCCAAAACAAGATAAAAAATTCCATCTGAATTCTCACATTTCAAACATACACTAAATATCAAATAAAAATTTATTTTTACAAGAATTTAGGGGAACTACCACATAGCTATAAATGTAATATATATGTTAACTAAGTATCATAGATAAAAACCATGCTCCCTTCAGCAGCACGTGTAATAATAGATACAAAGATTGAAAGGTAAAAGATTTAGGATGAAAAGAATCCTCTCTTAAAAAGGAAAACAAAATTATATGTATGTGTATACAACAGTTATAATACCCATCACACAGCTTTATAGAAACAGCATCTATTCAAAAATACCAGTATTTCCAAAATATTTAAAATAATATTTAAAGTAATAATAATATTTAAATAAATAAATATATTTAATAAATATTTCAGTAAATAAAATAATATTTAAATAATTCTATACCCATGTTTTTCAAAATAAACCAATAAAATAGATAGTATATATTAGACGTGTTAGTATATATATCTGAGACATGTTAAAAATCACAACTGAATTCTCACAAGTCAGTCACAAACCTAAACAGCAAATAAAAATTTCTATCACCAGAATTATGTTTTTTTCTGGTGGGGAACTACCAATAGCTATAAATAGAAGAGATTATTATGGAAGTATCATAGATAAAAAGAGTGCTCGCTTCAGGAGCACATATAATAATACAGAAAAAAAATTAAAGATAATAAAAGATTTAGGATAAAAAGAATTCTCACTTAAAAATGAAAAGAAAATTATCTTTAGGTATATATAACAACTATAACTCTCATCAAAAAACTCTACAGGAACAGCATGTTTTCAAAAGTACAACAATTTCCAAACTATTTGAAATAAACCTATTAATAATTCAATGGCCAACATTTTCCAAACAAACCAATAAAATGCATAGTGTGCATGAAGCTATCTGTTACAGTCTGTGGCACTCATATTTCACAAAGAATTCTGTGCCAATCTGAGCCCCTGCACTGTGCCTTCAAATGCTCCTGGACTGTGACAACCAAGTCCATAAGAAACAGGACCTCCAGGTTCCGCCCCAGGGAGGTTGGCATTCAGCAATATAAAAAGGGAGGTGGTGCCGCAGGAAAGGGTGGAACTGGAAACACTCCTGGTTTCTTACTTTTCTCCAAGGACTCCTAGAAGTACCCCACCCCACCCCTGCTCCTTGGAGGACAACGTGATCACTGTATTCAGCTCTGTCAAGAATGGTCCAGGTTCTTCTAGATGATCTGCACAAATGGTTCCTCTCCTCCTTCCTGATGTCTGCCATTAGCATTGGAATAAAGTTCCTGCTGAAAATCCACATCTCCCCTGGGTCCGGTGTTCTGGAAGTGAGAGAGACAATGTCACACTTCAAGGAGGCAGCTCTCTAGACAGGAAGGTTATTCACGTCCCATGTCAAGTCTAGCTAGAGTTCAGAGCAATTGAGAAGTGCAATTTTATCTCCTGCCTTTCATTCTATACCCTGCTTCTGAACCATCGTGTTCAACTGTGAAACTCACACTTTGGTGACCCTGACTCCAAAACTTAATACACCCAAGGTCAGCCCCAGTGATCTGCTTCATAGCCAGGACTTTGGGTGGGTCTTCCCAGGGAGTAGGGCACCCTCAGAGAATGTGGCTTTGGACTTCATCACAGCTGGGGCCTTTTGTGTCACTTCAGATCTAAACTTGTAACCGTGCTAGATCTGTTTCTAACGTGACAACATCACGAACCACGAGTCCAGAAGCCTAATCCATAATCCTCCCTCCTCATGACGAAGTCTCATGCTCTGTGCTCAACATGGTTAGCTGCACAAGATGTAAACCAAAGCTTCACTGAACCCTCGACCCAAATCGGTAACTCAAGTGCATCAATCATAATGAACCTCCCCGAACTCAGTATTTATGATTATTTTTGAGGCAGGGTCTCACTCTGTCGCCCGGGCTGGAGTGCAGTGGCAGGATCAGGGCTCCCTGCAGCCCCGACCTCCCAGGCTCCAGCGATCCTCCCGCCTCAGCCTCCTGAGTAGTTGGGAGTAGAGATGCCTCCCACATCGCCTGGCTAATTTTTGTATTTTTGTGGAGAGGGGATCTCGCCACGTTGCCCAGGCTTGAAGCCAGATCAAGCAATTGGGTTCCTTGGATTTCCGAAATAGACCCCAATATTCTGCCTTTACCCCGGAGGATGCAGATGTACCTTCTCTCAGGCCGATGACCTCAGGCCTCCACGGTCCCTGGAGCTCTAGGAAAGGTGGGCGCGATCTCGCGCCCACACCCAGTGCTCTGGGTCATAAGCCTGGATCTGGAAAAACAAACGCGCTTTGAGAAGACGGGGACTCCCCAGGATACCCCTCTCTCCCCTCGTCCAGCCTCCAGCCCACCCGATTCCTCCCCACATCCTCCACGTCCCCAGGCCCCACCCACCTCTTCCAACTCCTCCAGGGAAACCCAAGCCCTGCAGCGCATGGAACAAAAGAAGTGGAACCGATACTTCCGGAACAAGGCTATCTGAGAGCAGTTCTTCCTGGCCCTCGGGTTCATGTAACGGCATAACTGGAACCAAAGCTCACTGAGCAAGGGTATATGAGAGCGGGTCTCCTCGTACAGGAAGTAGAAGATGTTTTGTTTGGGGGCCTCGTCGTCCTCCTCCATGTCATTGGCCAGATAGCTGAGGACAGAAATCAGGTTGCTGCTCAGGGGCACCACCAGGAGAGACCTCCGGCTGAGGTCAGCTTCTCAGAGAGGAAGGTAAGGGACCGTCCCTAGCTCAGGACTGGCACCCACCCTGCAGAGAGCCACGCCTTCCTCAGGAGGGCTCTGCTGGACAGAGACCTGATCAAGGGCGTCTCCCACTCCTTCAGGATGGAGACAAAAACCCAACTGGTGACCAAGAGTGGTGGCTTATGCCTGGAATCCCAGCACACTGGGAGGCCGAAGCAGGAGGATCACTTGAGGCCAGGAGTTTGAGACAGGCCTGGGCAACATAGCAAGACCCTCGTCTCTATTAAAAATATAAAAAATACGCCAGACGTGGTGGCTCATGCCTGTAATCCCAGCGCTTTGGAAGGCTGAAGCAGGTGGATTGCTTGAGACCAGGAGTTTGAGACCAGCCTGGTCAACACAGAGAAACCCCATCTATACTAAAAATACAAAAATCAGCCTGGTGCGGTGGCACACCCATTAGTCCTAGCTACTCAGGAGGCTGAAGCATAAGAATTGTGTGAACCCAGGAGGCGGAGGTTGCAGTGAGCCAAGATTGGGCCCCTCCATTCCAGCCTGAGAGACACAGCAACACTCTTGTCTTGATAAATAAATAAATAAATAAATAACTGTCCAGGTGTGGTGGTACAGCCCTGTAGTCGGAGCTAATCAAGAGGCTGAGGTGGGAGGATCGCTTGAGCCCAGGATATGGAGGCTGCGGTGAGCTATGATCTCACCACTGCACTCCAGCTTAGGGGACAGGGCAAGTCTGTCTCAAAAAAAAAAAAAAAGCAATTGAATACACTGATATTTTGCCAGGACCCTGCCTTCTACAGGCATCTAGTCTAATGGGACTGGGAGTAATCAGGGGAGATGACCTAATCCCAATGTCACATTATAATAGGATGTAACTGGAGAGCTACGGGCATGCAGAAGTTGGAAGACGAGGGAAGGCATCACAGAGGCTGTGGGGTGAACCGACTTCAAGGAATGGGTCCTTCCCTTCAGAACCACATGTGTGCGGGACACCCAGACAGAAAACACAAATGCAAAGTCAAGTGGAGGGCATTTGGAAGGAGCAGTGAAGCCAAGCCAGGAAACACCAAGATGGCGAGCCAGTGTGGTTGTAGAGATTGTAGAGAGGGTGGAATTGGCACTGTGGACCCTGGCCTCGATAGAGAAAGACATCAGCTAAGGAAGTTGTTCAGGTGGGCAGTGAGGTTGTCGTGCTTTGGAAAGATGTTCAGGCTGCACTAGGAAGCCCCCTGGCTTGGGGAGAGACTCCAGGAAACCCCAGCAGGGAGCATTTGACAGTGGATTCGAGTGATGCAAGGGGGACCTGGACTGTGACCTCTGTCACGGGAACCCGGAGGAGGCTGATGGCTTTTGCGGTTGATGTGGGAAGGAGAGAGAACAACCGGAAACGTCTGCTTGCTGGGGGAAGTGTCATGTCCGCTCCTCCGCTCCTTTTCTTCTCCCCTTAGGAGCGGTTCATGGTTCCTTTTGTTTTTTGTTCTTTTTTTTTTTTTTTTTTGAGACTATAATCCTGTCTTTTTTGTACACAGAGTAAAGAGGACAAATAGGTGAAAGAATAAATGAAAGGCTGGAATCCCACTTCCCCCGCTGTCCCAGGGCATTGGATATTGATGGATAGGAGGCAGCAAACCACTCACAGAGCCAGGAAGAAATGAATGCGTTGGTATTGCCAGGAGGGGAGGCCGGCCCGGCTGAAATACGCTATGACCATAGCCAGGAGATACTGATGGAGAGAAAGGAACACAGAGAGGGAGAGGTCACATCTTGGGAGAGGAAGATTGTGGATATAGTGGAATGGGGGTCTGGGGAGGGGTTGCCCATCAGAGAAGGGACCTCAGTGTTGGGGTGACTGTGCTCATGTGGAAATTGCGGGGTGGAGGGGTATTCGAAGGTCGGATGCAAATCCGAGAAGCCGGAGGAAGGGTTTTTGGTGATGCTCCCAGGATGGTGGGCTCCGATGGGATCTTTGGAGGGGGTGTGTCTAGGTCGGCTGGTGTCAGGAGGGTCTTTTGTGTGCCAGGCAGAGAACTGTCCCAAGGAGCTGAGAGTAGAGGGCCCAGGAGCTTCAGGGCTGCAGCCAGACTGTGGCCCAGGGCTCAGATCCCAAAGGACCCATAGGAGAGGCAGGGGCCACTCATTCACTCTGCAAGAGACCAGCAGAATCCTGACGGAGATGCTGACAAATCATAAAAAGACAAAGAATAGCCGGGAGTGGCAGCTCAAGCCTGTGATCCCAGTACTTTTTGAGAGGTGGAGACAGGAGGATCATGTGAGCCCAACAGTTGGAGAACAACCTGGGCAACACAGCGAGACCCTGTTTCTAAGAAGATTTCAAAAATTAGTTGAGCATGGTAGCATGTGCCTAGTCCCAGCTCCTCAGGAGGCTAAGGAAAGAGGATTGCTTGAGCCCAGGAATTAGAGTGAGCTATGATCATGCCACTGTACTCCATCCTGGGGAGCAGAGCTGGACTCTGTCTCAGAAAAAAAAATGTGTGGGTGCCAAGACTCAAGACCATGGGAGCTGGTCAGACACAGTGCTGACGTCTGTAATCTCAGCACTTTGGGAGGCCAAGGCGGGTGGATCACCTGAGGTCAGGTGTTCGGGACCAATCTGGCCAACATGGCAAAACCCCGTCTCTACTAAAAACACAAAAATTAGCCAGGCGTGGTGGTTCATGTTTGTAATCCCAGCTGCTTGGAGGCTGAGGTGGGAGAATCGCTTGAACCCAGGAGGCATCAGCTGCAGTGAGTCAAGATCGAGACACTGCCCTCCAGCCTGGGCAGCAGAGCAAGACTGTGTCTCACAAAAAAAAACAAAAACAAAAACAAAAAAAAACTGTAGGAGCATCTGGTGGGAGGTGGTGGACGGAGAACTGTGGGTTTGGAAGCTGCGCCCTCCCCCTGGCCGTGCGTTAGAACAGGAACACAGTTACATAGAGAACAAC
Source organism: Homo sapiens (assembly GCF_000001405.40). Classification (NCBI taxonomy): domain Eukaryota; kingdom Metazoa; phylum Chordata; class Mammalia; order Primates; family Hominidae; genus Homo; species Homo sapiens. The sequence continues at coordinate 73,025,538 of NC_000007.14, forward strand.
CTTACCTTGTCCGACACCCTCAGATCTTTGTCCCAGGCCAGGAGTCTTTTAATGACAGGATCCTCTGTGATTAGAGAGCAGATGTCAGTGTGAGAAGCAGGACAGGGTTTCCGTGAGAGCAGCAGGGCAGCGAGGAGAAGTGTGCCTCCCGGGGGAAAGTCTCAGGATTGTGGCCGCGGGTGAGGTGGATGAGAGAGGGGAGAATGACTTTCACTGGGCAAGGGAGAGAGGCTCCTGCTCTGAGACTCCCCTGAGAAGAGGCCGAAGGAGGCCCTGGGTGTGAGAATCTACAGGATGTAGAGCTGGGAATCAGCCAGGACCCCCTCCAGCAGACACGGAGGGACCACTGCAGAGTCATAAAGGAATTCCCATCATTTCCTCATGAGACAGTCACACATCAGGGTGTGACCATGGCCTTGGGATCCCCCACTATGGATGGAGACACTTAGGTTTAGCAAAGTCAGTAAGAAACATTAAGTTTCAGAGGGCACAGCTGAAACCACTTTTTTGATTTTTGATTTTGTTTTTCTTTATTTGATTTTTATTTTTATTTATTTATTAATTTATTTTGAGACAGAGTCTTGCTCTGTGGGCCAGGCTGGAATGCATTGGCCTGATCTTGGCTCACTGCAACCTCTGCCTCCTGGGTTTAAGCAGTTCTCCTGTCTCAGCCTCCCGAGTAGCTGGAACTACAGGGATGAGCTACTGTGCCCAGCCTTGGTTTTTCTTTTGACGCAGAGTTTTGCTCTGTCACCCAGGCTGGAGTGCAGTGGTGCAGTCATAGCTCACTGCAGCCTCAAAGTCCTGAGTTCAAGCAATCCTCTTGCCTCAGCCTCCCAACGTGCTGGGATCTCAGGCGGGAGCCACAGCGCCTGGCCCAAAACCAAGCTTTCTTATCCCAAGCACCGACCTTTATCAAGTCTACCTAATCCTCTGTTGTCTCCTTAAGTGTCCCTCATGAGTGATCACTTCAGAGTCCTCCCGCATGGAGAGCTCACCCACTGGGGCATATTTTTCCCATTGGAAAAGTGTGGTTATTGGAAGTTTCCTCTTTAGAAAGAACAGGATTGGAGGTGCTCTCTGGGGTGTCCTCCTACCAAGCAGCCTGTTGAAGGCCTCGTAGTACTCAGGGAGCACGAGCGACACTCGCCGTCGCTTCGCCTTCATCTTGAGGCCACACAGCGTCTCCGCCACCCAGGTCTCCTCAGGCTCAGGGGCGAGCTCCTTCTCTGGCTCATCATCAGATTCATCCAAACATTCCCTCTTCCTTTTCCAGCCAAGGGACCTACGTGGGGGGCTGGGATCTACCCCAGGGGCTGAGTAAAGAAACCAGGCCACCGTGTAATGCTTCTGCAACTGATCACGTTAGACCCCGACCCCAAACCCCAAACCACTCTCCATCCTCCCCAGCCTCGCAGACTGCTGGCTTCTCCAAGCCACCTTTCTGACTTTCTCCTCTGCTCAACCCCATGTGCCACTCCTTCCCCTCCCCATTCTTCCCTCTCTCTGTCCTCAGAACACTGCCTCATATCCTTCCCTGGTCCCTGGCTCTCTGAGTCCCTCTTTTTTTTTTTTTTTTTTTGTTTCGAGACAGAATCTTGCTTTGTCACCCAGGCTGGAGTGTAGTGGTGCAATCTCAGCTCACTGCAACATGCATCTCCCGGATTCCAGTTATTCTCCTGCCTCAGCCTCTCAGGTAGCTGGGATTACAGGTGCCTGCCATAATGCCCAGCTCCATTTTGTACTTTTAATAGAGACAGGGTTTCACCATGTTGGCCAGGCTGGTCTCAAACCCCTGGCCTCAAGTGATCCGCCTGCCTTGGCTTCCCAAAGTGCTGGGATTACAAGTGTGAGCCACTGCACCCAGCCTGAATTTCTCCATTCTTCCCACACACCCTCCCCAGGTTCTCCTTCCTGACCTCTGACCCTTCTTTTTTTTTTTTTTTTTTTTTTTTTTTTTGAGATAGCATCTCACTCTGTCACCCAGACTGGAGTGCAGTAGCACGATCTCGGCTCACTGCAACCTCTTCCTCCCAGGCTCAAGTGATTCTCCTGTCTTAGCCTCCCAAGTAGCTGGGATTGTAGGCACACACCACTACCGCCTGGCTAATTTTTGTACTTTTAGTAGAGATGGGGTTTCACCATGTTGGCCAGGCTGGTCTTGAACTCCTGACCTCAGGTGATCTGCCCGCCTCAGCCTCCCAAAGTGTTGGGGTTACAGGGGTGAGCCACCACGCCTGGCCCCCTTCCTTCATCTTAGTCAATCCTATGCCACCTCTTCTTCCTCCAGTCCCCTCACCTGATGGTCCCGACACTTCATCATCCACCACCTCCTGGAGGGGGTACCCTGAGGTGCTCCGCTGGGGGCTCCGCTCTTCCTGGGGCTGCGGTTGATGGCTCATCATGATCTTTCCCAAAATCTGTCCCATCTCACCAAACCTAGTCTCTGTTCTGTCCTTGGTCTTCTTCTGGACACTGCTGGGATCCAGAAGAGTGTGTTATCAATTCTCGAGGCTGGGAGAAGTCAGGAGTGGAGAACAGCTCTGAGAAGTTACTGTTGTCCAACTGAACTCCCAGGTGCCGACAGAGTCCGGTCCCTCCAATCAGGAAGGTCGGAATCTCTGATGTCATCGCTCATGCCAACCTGGCAACCAGTTTGAAAAAAAACACATGTAACTGCCAGGCTGATCTCTTGTCCTGGAGATCCTGGGTGAATGGTATCTCCTGCCACTGTCCCAACCTCAGACCACTGTCCAAAAGCATCTTCAGGGTCTCCGCATCCCTCTGTTCCCTGTCCCAGCAGAGGCTGTGTCCTCTCCACTCAAAGCTTGAAGCGTGTTGGGGTCTCCTCTTCTCTGTACATGCCCGTTTCAGAGTCCAGTCTGGTGGGAGAGGGATCAGGATGGGAAAGAAAAGTAGGGTAAGCAGAAACGATGAAACCTTACAAGAGTGAGATTATCATGTACAAGAGATCCCAGGAACATTGACTTGATGAAAAAGTCACATCAGAGCACTCAATTTGGCAGAGGTTTTCTGCCGAGTGTCTACTGACATTCACTGTCCGAGATTCTGTACTGGGGGTACACGCGTCCTCTGCCCTAAGGCATCTTTGAGTCCAAGAGATATTTTGAGGACTGGAAATCATAGGAAACTGCCCATGAGTTCACACATATTTCCAATGGTGTCCCCAATTTCAGGGAGTCCACGGATCACCTAAAGCCAGCCCCTCCAGTTTGGCTAAGAAACTCTATATATCAAGTTTTGTATCATATGTATTGCTCTTAACTCAGAAAATTCCACCATTTATAGCAGTGGTTTATTTATTTATACCATTGAAGGAAATGGTTTATTTATGAATCTATATTATGGATATTCTATAAGATACTGGGTGTACAAAAAGACTAAGTCGAAAAATCTCAGCTGTGCACAGTGGCTCATGCTTGTAATCCCATCTCTTTGGGTGGCCAAGGGAGGAAGACTGCCTGAGGCCAGCAGTTCAAGACCAGTATAGGCAACATAGCAAGAGCCCATCTCTAAAACAAAACAAAACAAAACAAAACAAAATTAGCCAGGTGTCGTGGCTGGCACCTGTGTTCCAACAACTTGAGAGACTGAGGTGGCAGGAGGATTGCTTGAGCCTAGGAGTTAGGGGCTGCAGTGAGCTGTGATCGTGACACCGCACTCCAGTCTGGGCAACACAGCAAGACCTTGTGTCAAAAAAATTTTTTTAATTAAATATAAAAGAGTTTCATGACATTCAGAGACCATCCAAAGAACCTGTGGGTTCCGGCCAGGCACAGTGGCTCACGCCTGTAATCCCAGCGCTTTGGGAGGCCATAGCAGGTGGATCGCTTGAGGTCAGGAGTTTAAGAGCAGCCTGGCCAACATGGTGAAACCCCATCTCTTCTAAAAATACAAAAAATTAGTCAGGCATGGTGGTGGGTGCCTGTAATCCCAGCCACTCAGGAGGCGGGGACAGCAGAATGGCTTAAACTTGGGAGGCGGAGGTTGCAGTGAGCCAAGGTCACACCATTGCACTCCAGCCTGGGCAACAAGAGCAAAACTACATCTCAAAAAAAAAAAAAAAACAAAAAAAACAAAAAGAACCTGTGGATGAGTTCCCACATGGCTTCCTAACGGGCTGCGGCTCTCCTAGGAGTCTCTCGCTCATGGGAAAGGCACAAACTGAATGCGGAAGGAAATCCCATTGCTGTGGAAGTCCCATTGTTAGGAAGCTCTGCTTTTCTGGAGTTCAAATTTGCATTCATGACGCTTTAAACCGTCAGAGCTGGGTGTGTCCTCCTACAACAAATCACTTTACTCTCTCTCCTAGTTAACAGGCTTTCAAATATTAGAACATCCATGTTCTGACCTCATTAAAATTGCTCTTTTGTGGAATGAAAAGCTCTGATTTAACCCGTCTTTAAGCCTGGTATGCATATTCCTCTCTGTTCCGGCCACCTTGTCTAGACACACTACACTGAGGCAGTGCCCATCTTAGATGATGTTGATACATTGTCAAAAAATGGGCAAACCAGGTGCGGCGGCTCACACTTGTAATCCCAGCACTTTTGGAAGCTGATGCCGACAGATAACCAGAGGTGAGGAGGTTGAGATCAGCCTGGCCAACATGGTGAAACCTGTCTGTTTTTCTGTAAAAATACAGAAACAATGAGCTGGGCGTGGGAGTGCACTTCTGTAATCCCAGCTACTTGTGGGGCTGAGGCAGGAGAATCACTTGAACCGGGAAGGTGGAGGTTCCAGTGAGCCGAGATCACGACACTACACTCCAGCCTGGGCGACAGAGTGAGACTCCGACTCAAAAAAAAAAAAAAAAAAAGTGCCAGACAGCCCAGGTTTGGTCTGATATGTTCAGAAAAAAGCAAAACAGTCACCTCTCACCTTTTCTTTTCCTGCAATGATGCCGTTTAATACAACAATGGCTGTAGGTCTGCGGCAGAAATATCATTCAAGTGAAACAGAAGGGCTTTCCTGGCTGGACACAGTGGTCACTCCTGCAATCCCAACACTTTGGTTGGCTAAGGTGGGAGGATTTCTTGCGGCCAGGAGTTCGAGGCTGCAGTGAGCTGTGATCCACCACTGCATTCCAGGCTGGGCATCAGAGTGAGGCCTGTCTCTAAAAAAACCCTTCACTCCCCAAAAAAAGGGATTTTCAAATACCAGCCTTTCAGCATGAGGATCACATGGAGGAACATTAAGACACAGATGCTGGGACCCAGCCCTATTGATTGTAATTAAAAAACTGAGGTGAGGCCTGATTTAGCTCCATCATTGGAATCCATTCAGATTTGAAATTCTCTGAGTTGGACAGTGCAAGAGAGATCCTAAAGAAAGCAAAGTCACTGTGGACTGAAATGAGCTGGCAAGGTTTTCTGAGCGTGGTGAAATATGATCTGGGCCTCGCTTGGGAGGGCTGTGGCCAGGCCTTGAGTCCGTGGCTCAGTGGGACCTTCTGAAACAGCCTCCAATCCGTGCCCCCACTTCATTTGCTAGTGGATGACCCCCTCCAGCGGCTTTGGTGCTGATGGGAATAAGTCAACCTGCAGCGGAAGTTCAGCCCAAGTTTCAGCCCAGCAGCTTCTACACACCTGTCCGTGGTCTGGTCATGCTGCCATCTCTGCGATTCTCTGCGGTTCTCTGCGGAGTCGTGGTTTCTGTACCTTGAAGAGAACTTCCCCTCTGGGACCCAGAAACCCAGTGAATCCTCAGGAAAAAAGGGAATGAAATTACTGAAGACAACTCTGTGGCGGGGAGATGGAAAAGAGGCTCTCTCTCTTTTTTTTTCCTAATATTTTGAGACAGAGTTTCGCTCTTGTCACCCAGGCTGCAGTGCAGTGGCTCCATCTCGGCTCACTGCAACCTCTGCCTCCCAGGTTCAAGCGATTCTCCTGCCTCAGCCTCCCGAGTAGCTGAGATTACAGGCACCCACCACCACTCCCGGCTAATTTTTGTATTTTAGGGTTTCGTCATGTTTGCCAGGCTGGTCTTGAACACCTGACTTCAAATGATCCACCCGCCTCTGCCTCTCAAAGTGCTGGGAATACAGGCATAAGACACTGCACCCGGCCTGTTTTTGTTTTTTAGAGACAAGGTCTCTGTTGCCTTGGCTGGGGTGCAGTGGTACAATCAGCTCTCTGTTGCCTCGGCTGGGGTGCAGTGGTACAATCAGCTCTCTGTTGCCTCCTGGGCTCAAGCAATCCTCTTCTCTCAGCCTCCCAAGTAGCTGAGACTACAGGTGCATGCCTGTAGTAGATATAGCATCTTGCTCTGTTGCCCAGACTGGTCTTGAACTCTTGGTCACAAGCGATCCTCTTGCCTTGGCCTCTCAAAGTGCTGGAATTACACGCGTGAGCCATTGAGCCCAACCAGATAAGATGATCTTTAAGGGCCCTTCCCATGGCACCATAATCCAAGTCAGCGAGACTGTGGCTATAGCAAGTTTAACATAACCAGATACGCTAGTATTATGGGCTGCATGGTGTGCCCCCCACCCCTAATTCATGTATTGAAGCCATGACCCTCCAGACCTTAGAGGTGACCTTATTGGAACCAGAGTCTTTACAGAGGTGATCAAGTTAAAATGAGGTCACTAGAGGCCAGGCACTGTGGCTCACACCTGTAATCCCAGCACTTCGGGAGGCCGAGGCAGGCAGATAATGAGCCCAAGAGACCGAGACCATGATGTCCAACATGGTGAAACCCTGTCTCTACTAAAAATACAAAAATTAGCCAGGCGTGGTGGTGTGGGCCTGTAGTCCCAGCTACTCAGGAGGCTGAGGCAAGAGAATCGCTTGAACCCGGAAGGCAGAGATTGCAGTCAGCCAAGATCATGCCACTACACTCCAGCCTGGGTGACAGAGTGAGACTCTATCTCAAAAAAATAAAAATTAAAAAACTAAAAACCTACAGTACCGCCTTTTACATAATGCAATGGTTTGGTAAGCACATGCACCCCAGGGAGGTAGTGGCAGATTCAGTCAACCTTCCCAGCAGCGTGGAGACGCAGTCAGGCATAGCAGGTGTTGATGTGGTTTGAACCCACAGCTTGGCTCAAATCCACACTCCCCTACTTAGTACCGAGTGAAGCCACTTACCCTCTAAGTGCCTTACTTTTCTTTTCTTTTCTTTTTTCTTTTTTCGAGACAGAGTCTCGCTCTGTCACCCAGGCTGGAGTGCAGTGGCATGATCTTGGCTCACTGCAAACTTCGCCTTCCAGGTTCAAGCAATTCTCCTGCCTCAGCCTCCCAAGTAGCTGGGATTACAGGCGCCCACCACCATGCCGGGCTAATATTTGTATTTTTGATAGAGATGGGGTTTCACCATATTGCCCAGGCTGGTCTCGAACTCCTGACCTCAAGTGATCTGTCTGCCTCGGCCTCCCAAAGTACTAGGATTAGAGGCATGAGCCACCACACCTGGCCACTTTTCTTATCTATATTTGTTATGTGGATGACTTGTGTTAACGCAAATAAGATGCTGCTCGTCATCTTTAAAGAAAATAGGTGGCAACCTGTTATAGCAAGTCCTGTTTTTATTTGTACTTATGAGGCTTTAATTAAACGCTAAGAATTAAAATGCACATAATAATAGACTTTACCTCACAAACTGGCTTCAAATATTCGATGAGACTTACATGTATTACTTAAATGAGGTTAAATTTAACCTTTTAAAAATGATTTATTGTGGCTGGGCACAGTGGCTCACACCTGTAATCCCAGCACTTTGGGAGGCCAAGGCAGACGGATCACTTGAGGCCAGGAGTTGAAGACCAGCCTGACCAACACGGCAAAACCCCATCTCCGCTAAAAATACAAAAATTAGCCAGGCATGGTGGTGCACACCTGTAATCCTAGCTACTCAGGAGGCTGAGACACAAGAATCGCTTGAACCCGGGAGGCAGAGGTTGCAAGGAGGTGAGATCACACCACTGCACTCCAGCCTGGGCAATAGAGTGAGGCTCTGCCTTAAAACAAAGAAAAATGATTTTGGGGGATGATGGGGTGTCACTGTGTTGACCAGGCTTGTCTCAAACTCCTTGCCTCAAGCAATCCACCCACCTCAGCCTCCCAAGTAGCTGGAACTACAGGCGCATGCCACCACGCCTGGCTAATGTGTGTGTGTGTGTGTGTGTGTGTGTGTGTGTAGAAACAAGGTCTTACTGTGTTGTTTAAGCTGCTCTCAAACTCCTGGGCTCAAGTGATCCTCCCACCTCGGCCTCCCAAAGCATTGGAATTACAGGTGTGAGCCACCTCACTGAGCCCTCCACCTTTCAGCTGAACGCAGAAAAGTACAATCTTTTAACCCAAAGCGTTCCTCACACTTAGGGTCAGGAAGAGCCCTTCATGCCCTGGAGGCAACTACTAACCCTCTGCTAAACACTCTGACTCTGGGTGTGAGAAACACACCTACTGTGCCCCACATATTTTTCCAAATACAACTTAATTTAGCCTTCACGACAACCCTGGAGTGAAGGATCATTAACTTTATTTCATAGATGTGGAAACTGAGACTCAGAGGCAGGAAATGACCTCCTTCTGGAGGCTGCAAATTCTTTGATGCTCCTTTGATCAACAGGTGGGAGCTGGCCAGAGGTGGTGGCTCACACCTATAATCCCAGCACTTTGGGAGGCCAAGGTGGGAGGATTGACTGAGGCCAGGAGTTTGAAACTAGCCTGGGCAACATAGCAAGACCTCATCTCTACAAAAAATACACAAATTAGCAGGGTGTGGTGGTGCACACCTGTAGTCGCAGCCACTCGGGAGGCTGAAGTGGTAGCATTGCTTGAGCCCAGGAGGTTGAGGCTGGAGTGAGCCATGATCAAGCCACTGCACTCCAGCCGAGGAGATGGAGATAGACCCTGTCTCAAACAACAACAAAAAAATAGGTGAGGATCAGCCAGGCATGGTGGCTCACGCCTGTAATCCTAGAACTTTGGGAGGCCAAGGTGGGAGGATTGCTTGAGGCCAGGACTTCAAGACCAGCCTGGGCAGCCTAGCAAGATCCCATCCCTTAAAAAAAAGTTTTTAGGCTGGGCATGGTCACTCATGCCTGTAATCCTAGCACTTTGGGAGGCCAAGGCAGGCGGGTTGCCTGAGCTGAGGAGTTTGAGACCAGCCTGGGCAACATGGTGAAATCCTGTCTCTACTAAAATACAAAAAATTAGCCAGGTGTGGTGTTGGGCACCTGTAATCCCAGGTACTCAGGAGGCTGAGGCAGGAGAATTGCTTGAACCCAGGAGGCAGAGGTTGCAGTGAGCCGAGAGCGCACCACTCCACTCCAGCCTGGACAACAGAGCGAGACTCCGTCTCAACAAAAAAATGTTTTTAATTAGCCAGCTGTGATGATGCATGCCCATGTCCCAGCTACTTGGGAGGCTGAAGCAGGAGGATTGCTTGAGCCTGGGAGGTCAAGGCTGCAGTGAGCTATGATTGCGCCCCTGCACTCCAGCCTGGACAGCGGAGGGAGACCCTGTCTGAAAATAAAAAAAGAGGTGGGGGCCTATGACCCCCCCTTTAATTTTGGCCCAACCTTAGTAACAGGATAGTCATTGAGTAGGGCAAAAGTGATGTTATGATGTTTTTCAGCCTCCAATTTACAGTCTAAAACATGTCTTGGGTAAACACAGCAAGACTCCATCTCAAAAAAAAAAAAGAAAAAAAATCAGAAGTGAACCTGTAGCCTGTAGTGTGTTGCCAAATAAACTTATTTTTAGAGATACTTCTTTCCATTTTCTGTGAGGTCATCTGCAGTTTCACATGGTAGACAGACTTAGGTGAGATTCTTAGCAACATAGAATGAAGAGTAAAGAGGTTTGTTTATTTCACAAGGGTTTATTGAAGGCCTACGATGTGTTAAATGCTGTAGGAAATACCCACTGATTTCTCTTTTCATGGAGGTTTCCCGCCTTCTCTTAACGAGTGATCAATTAAACTGTTTACTGGGAACTTGCTAAGTTAATGAACACACGGGATACATTCTTTGGATGAGCAGACATTGGTTGGGCAGAGGGGCAAGAGGAGAGCAGTTTAGACAGAGACCTGCTTATACACTGTAGTGTCTAAGAGAGCTTGTGATGTTCAGGAAACAGTTGTTCACTGTGCTGCAATATAGGGGACGGCCAGTTGCGGTGGCTCACACCTGTAATCCTAGTGCTTTGGAAGGCCAAGGCGGGCAGATCACCTGAGGTCAGGAGTTAGAAACCAGCCTGGCCAACATGGTGAAACCCCATCTCTACTAAAAACACAAAAATTAGCTGAGTGTAATGGTGGATGCCTATAATCCCAGCAACTTGGGAGGCTGAGACAGGAGAATCACTTGAACTTGGGAGGTGGAGGTTGCAGTGAGCCGAGATCATGCCATTGCACTCTAGCCCAGGTGACAGGGTGAGACTCTGTCTCAAATAATAATAATAATAATAATAATAATAATAATAATAATAATAATAATAATAATGTAGGGGACTTGATGAAGGGAAAGGATCAGAGAGATTCTGAAAAGAAGGTAGTTTGGGGCCCAGTGATGACTAGATTTTAAGTTTCATATAGTAGGAAGTGGGGCACTAGTAATTTTTCAAGCAGAAAAATTATTTGACCAGATTCGTGATTTCAAAAATAGCTCTGGTGATAGAGTGGAGGATGGGTTGGAGCAGGGAATAAGGGGAAATGAAACCGTTATAAAACTCTTAAAGTGGGCTGGGCATGGTGGCTCACGCCTGTAATCCCAGCACTTTGGGAGGCTGAGGCGGGCGGATCACAAAGTCAGGAGATCGAGACCATCCTGGCTAAAACGGTGGAACCCTGTCTCTACTAAAAATACAAAAAATTAGCTGGGCATGGTGGTGGGCGCCTGTAGTCCCAGCCACTCAGGAGGCTGAGGCAGGAGAATGGTGTGAACCCGGGAGGCAGAGCTTGCAGTGAGCTAAGATCGTGCCACTGCACTCCAGCCTGGGCGACAGGGCGACAGAGCAAGAATCCGTCTCAAAAAAAAAAAAAAAAAAAAAAAAAAAACCTCTTAAAACAAGTACAGCAAGAACTTTGAGGGTCTTTGCTAAGACAGCAGCTGGCAGCTTCAATTTGGAGTAGGGTATCAAAGGCAACTGTGTATAAGGAATAGTTATATAACTGGTATCCAATTTCTGAGATGATTTTGACTTAAACATTGTGTATTTCCCAGCATACTGTTGGTTTTTCTAATTATGTGGGAAATTATGTTGCTTTTACTTTTTTTTTTGCTCATTGCCCAGCCTAGGGTGCAATGCTGCAATCTCAGCTCACTGCAACCTCCGCCTCCCAGGTTTAAGTGATTCTTCTGCCTCAGCCTCCCAAGTAGCTGGGATTACAGGCGCCCACCACCATGCCTGGCTAATTTTTTGTATTTTTGGTAGAGACAGGGTTTCACGACGTTGGCCAGGCTGGTCTCAAACTCCTGATCTCAAGTGATCCACCTGCCTCTGTGTCCCAAATTGCTGGGATTACAGGCATGAGCCACCGCACCGGCCATGCTTTCAGTTTTCAAGAAAGAAGACACCATTATTGCCAAAGATTTTGGTAATTTGAGAGATACAATGTATGTTTTCTCCATGTGGATACTAGATAGTAAGGATGTGTTGAATTTGAAGTGTCTATCCAGAAGTATTTTGGGTACTTGTTTAAGGATTGTAAAACAATGTTTCCATTTCTGGATATAATAAATGTATTTGTTAATATAATAAATGAATAGATTAGACCCATAAACTATTTGCAGTGTTGAGTCATTTCCCACAGTTAAAATCAGGATGAAAATATATAGCTGAATACCTGCTTTGTTTCTTGTAACTGATTTCTTTAGTACAGAACCTGCTAAGGCCATCAAACCTATTGATCGGAAGTCAGTCCATCAGATTTGCTCTGGGCCGGTGGTACTGAGTCTAAGCACTGCGGTGAAGAAGATAGTAGGAAACAGTCTGGATGCTGGTGCCACTAATATTGGTAAGTTTGGGAGAGTTTTAAGCCACAAGAAATGATCAGTGAATGTTGTTGTAGTCAAGAAACATTTGTTATTGAAATAAGACTATCAAGTGTTGATGTAGTAATAAACTATTATTTTTAAGTTAAAGTTAGCACCTATTATGTGCCTAGTACTTAGCTAGGTAGTAATAATAATAACGACAGCTTTTCTTGTGTTCTTATGGTGTGCCAGGCAGGTGTTATGCTAAGAATTGCACAGAAATATCTCATTTAATTTGCAGAATAGCTGGGCGTGGTGTCTGACGCCTGTAATCCTAGCCCTTTGAGAGGCTGAGGTGGGGGGATTGCTTGAAGCCAAGAGTTCAAGACCAACCTGGCCAACATGGGGAGACCTCGTCTCTATTAAAAAATAAAGCAGGCCGGGTGTGGTGGCTCACGCCTGTAATCCCAGCACTTTGGGAGGCCAAGGCGGGTGGATACCTGAGGTCAGGAATTCGAGACCAGCCTGTCCAAAATGGTGAAACTCTGTCTCTACTAAAAATACAAAAATTAGCCAGACCTGGTGGCAGAAGCCTGTAATCCCAGCTACTGGGGAGGCTCAGGAATGAGAATTGTTTAAATTTGGGAGGTGGAGGTTGCAGTGAACCGAGATTGTGCCACTGCACGCCAGCCTGGGGACAGAGCAAGACTCTGTCTCAAAAAAATAAAATAAAATAAAATAAAATAAATCCTGGAGTAGTGGCTCACATCTGTAATCCCAGCACTTTGGGAGGCTGAGGGGGGCTGATGCTTTGAGGTCAGGAGTTCAAGACCAGCCTAACCAACGTGGTAAAACCCTGTCTCTACTAAAAATACAAAAATTAGCCAGATGTGATGGTGCATGGCTGTAATCTCAGCTCCTCAGAAGGCTGAGGGAGGAGAATTGCTTAAACCTGGGAGGTGGAGGTTGCAGTGAGCCAAGATCGATTGTGCCACTGCATTCCAGCCTGGGTGACAAGAGCAAAAGTCCATCTCAAAAAATTAAAAAAAAAAAAAAAAAAGGAAAGAAAAAAAAGAAAATGACAAAATTAAAAAAAAATTATTAATCTGCCAAATAACTTTATGAGATAGAACTTATTACCTCCATTTTACAGTTGAGGAAATTAAGGGACAGTAAATTTCCTTTTTTTGAGATTATAAAGCTAATAAAATAGAATCTAGGAAGTCTGATTCCAGAACCAGTTCTGTTTTTTTTTCTTTTTTTTTTTTTTGAGATAGAGTTTTGCTCTTGTTGCCGAGGCTGCGGTGCAATGGCACGATCTCAACTCACTGCAACCTCCACCTCCCAGGTTCAAGCGATTCTCCTGCCTCAGCCTCACAAGTAGCTGGGATTACAGGCATGCACCACCACGCCTGGCTAATTTTGTATTTTTAGTAGAGATAGAGTTTCTCTACGTTGGTCAGGCTGGTCTCGAACTACTGACCTCAGGTGATCCGCTCGCTTTGGTCTCCCAAAGTGCTGGGATTACAGGCATGAACCACTGCGCCCGGCCCCCGTTCTCCTTACTGGGTATGTTAAAATTATTTCTTTCAAAGGAAAAGGCTGGTCAAAGTGCAACGGTCTTTACAACTAATTGATCACAACCAGTTACAGATTTTTTTGTTCCTTCTCCACTCCAACTGCTTCACTTGACTAGTGTAAGGAAAAAAAAAAAAAAAAGAGGAAAGAAAGAAAATGCTAAACTATTTAATCTGGGCTAGTAAATGGCCAGAAAGAACTTTATAAAAATGAAATATACAAAATGACACTAGTATGTTTAACTAAAGGTATAGTTACGACACTTAAATTTGCACGTTATAAATAATATCAATATAAAAACTGATAGCGTGGGTCCATTTTTAATAAATATATAAATATTTTAAACTTTCTAGATCTAAAGCTTAAGGACTATGGAATGGATCTCATTGAAGTTTCAGGCAATGGATGTGGGGTAGAAGAAGAAAACTTCGAAGGCTTAAGTAAGTTAACTTTCTAATCCTATTACAAAATAATTGGGCCACATGTCTTAGAATTTTGAGTAACACTGTCTTGGGAAACACAAAAACAGTTTTTTAAAGCCAGTTACTAGATATCATGTATATTTGTTGTTATAGCACTTGAGATATCTTAGTCCTTACTTTACAGTCTCTTTCAGCTCTGAAACATCACACATCTAAGATTCGAGAGTTTGCCGACCTAACTCGGGTTGAAACTTTTGGCTTTCGGGGGAAAGCTCTGAGCTCACTTTGTGCACTGAGGTGAGAAAATATTTTTATCCATTCACTTGACCCCTTAGAAAAACCTCTCTGAAAATTAATTGGAATCATTATTATTTACAATTTTCTATCTCAATATCTCAGCTTCTAGCTTCTGAATTCTGTTTTGTCTCACTGCCAATCTAAGTCCTAGTACTTCTGAAATGTGAGCAATAAATGAATGAAATGAAGCAAATAGTATTGTTTAAAAAATTGGTTACCCTTATTAAAACAGTAACTTCTCAATTTGAACATAACATATAGATAATAAATGATAGTTACCATTGGTTTTCATTATCAATTTTTAGGGAAACATTTCACCAAAGCACTATTTAATTACAGCACAGATACTAAATTTTTATAAATAATTACATGCACACACACATATATATACATATATATACATATATATACATATATATACATGTATATACATATATATACATATATACATATATATACATATATACATATATACATATATATATATACACATATATATATACATATATATACATATATACATATATACATATATATATACATATATATACATATATACATATATACATATATATATACATATATACATATATACATATATATACACATATATACATATATACATATATATACATATATATACATATATATATACATATATATACATATATATATACATATATATATACGTATATATATATACATATATATACATATATATATATATATATATATATATATTTTTTTTTTTTTTTAGACAGAGTCGCACTCTGTCACCCAGGCTGGAGTGCAGTGGCACAGTCTCAGCTCACTGCAGTCTCTGCCTCCCAGGTTCAAGTGACTTTCGTGACTCAGCCTCCTGAAGAGCTGGGACTATAGCGTGCACCACCACTCCTGGCTAATTTTTGTATTTTTAGTAGAGATGGGGTTTTGCCATGTTGCCCAGGCTGGTCTGGAACTCCAGGCCTCAAGTGATCTGCCCTCCTTGGCCTCCCAAAGTGCTGGAATTACAGGCACGAGCCACCGCACCCTGCCCTACATATACATTTTAATTATAATATCTTTTGGATTCTTTAAAAAAAATTTTAAAAATTTTAAAAAATTCTTTAAAAAAATTCTTTTAAAAAATTTTGTTTGAAGAGTAATAACAAAACAAATCTCTATTTGAGAATCAATAAATCTTGAGATCATTTATGGTTTTGCAATTCAACCTGAAAAATGAAGTCAAAGCTTTTATCAAAACAAAGCATGTTTAGTGCTCTCTGTCTCACTGTCTTTTAGATGCCAGACCTTAGATTTTGTGATGACTCCTCAACCGTTTAGATCTCGGTTATCTCAGAGGGATCATCAGCTTTTTAAGAAAATTTTGAGAGAAAAGCAAGTGAAGAAAAGAGTAGTCAGTGCCCAACATCATGGATCTCTCACTGAACACACCATGCCTGGTATTCTCTCACAGTGATGTCACCATTTCTACCTGCCACGTATCGGCGAAGGTTGGGACTCGACTGGTGTTTGATCACGATGGGAAAATCATCCAGAAAACCCCCTACCCCCACCCCAGAGGGACCACAGTCAGCGTGAAGCAGTTATTTTCTACGCTACCTGTGCGCCATAAGGAATTTCAAAGGAATATTAAGAAGGTACAGTAAATTAATCCTGGTTTTCAAGAGTATTGGTTAATGCACGTGAGCAAAAGATTTACTAAAGATGTTTATTCTTCAGTTGATTCTCTTCCCATAATTTATTGAGAAATGCTTTATTTGCATTTCTCATTAAAGACTTAACTTCAGGATGATTTACTTTTTTCTTTTTATCACATAATGTTTATTAGGACTGGGAAACATAGTGAGACTCTGTCTCTATGAAAAATTAAAAAAAAAATTGACTGGGCATGGTGGCATGCACCTGTAGTTCCAGCTACTTGGGAGGCTGAAGTGGGAGGATCACCTGAGCCCAGGAACTTGAGACTGCAGTGAGCTATGATTGCGTCACTACACTTCAGACTGTGAGACAGAGTAAGACCCTGTCTGGAAAAATATATATACATATATATACATTTTTTTTATTTTTTATTTTTATCTTTTTTTGAGATGGAGTCTCACTTTGGCGCCCTGGCTGCAGTGCAGTGGCGCGATCTCAGTTCACTGCAACCTCCACCTGCCAAGTTCAAGCGATTCTCCTGCTTCAGCCTTCTGAGTAGCTACCATTACAGGCGCGCGCCACCACGCCCGGCTAATTTTTGTATTTTCAGTGGAGACGGGGTTCCACCATGTTGTCCAGGCTGGCCAGGCTGGTCTTGAATTCCTGCCCTCAGGTGATCCGCCCACCTCGGCCTCTCAAAGTGCTGGGATTACAGGCGTGAGCCACCATGCCTGACCTTATGTACTTATATTTTTATGAGAATATTTCTCTTGGTTTTCTGATAAATGAGTTACTGGAACCCTTATGAATTTGAATGCAAATGAAACAGCTAAATGTTATATAATTGTTGTGTTTAAAAAGCAGATTATAAAACTGTCTGTATTATATGATTACAGTTTTATAAAAACAAAACAGGCCTAAATGTGTATAGTATAAAGACTGAAGAGTCAGCACTTCCATGTTCTCAGCGGTTATCCTTGGATGTGAGATCTCATGCACTTTTTGCTCTCTTCTTTGTGCCTTTCCATTTTGCATGCGTATTTCTTATAATCTAAAAAGTTACTTAAACATATGCAGCTAAAAACTTTTTTTACTTGTAAAGCGTTTGGTGCTAATTTTAACTTTTTTTTTTAGACGGAGTCTTCTCACTCTGTCGCCCAGGCTGGAGTGCAGTGGTGTGATCTTGGCTCACTGCAACCTCCGCCTCCTGGGTTCAAGTGATTCTCCTACCTCAGCCTCCCAAGTAGCTGGGATTATAGGTGTGTGTCACCACACCCAGCTAATTTTTGTATTTTTAGTAGAGATGGGGTTTCACCATGTTGGCCAGGCTGGTCTTGCACCCCTGACCTCAAGTGATCTGCCCACCTCAGCCTCCCAAAGTGCTGGGATTACAGGCGTGAGCCACCACGCCTGGCTTTTTTTTTTAAAGCTTTTTTGTAAGTCAGCCAGCAAGAACACAGGAGGAAGTACTCAAATCTCCCTTACACAGCTGGGGGCTGTGTCAGGTTTTATAAGCATAGGGTAATGAGGTGTGATTTGATTGGATCTTGCAATAAAGTAATGCTGGGAGGTGTGATCTGACTGGATCCTGCCATGGGGTGACACCAAAACTCAATCTGATTGGATCCTGGCTCCTGCCTGGGGGTGTCTGGTTCTTAAATCGGTCCGAGCTCTTCAGGCTGAGCTCTTAGGTTCCACTCCACGGTGGCACGCGTGGTTAACCTGGGCATGCACAGGGTACATGACCTTCAACCTGCAGGTCGATGGCAATTGGAAAACAACTGACAACTTCATTACATAAAAGTTGAACTGATTCGGGTGCGGTGACTCACGCCTGTAATCCCAGCACTTTGGGAGGCCAAGGCAGGTGGATCACCTGAGGTCGAGGAGTTCAAGACCAGCCTGGCCAAAATGGTGAAACCCCGTCTCTACTAAAAATATAAATATTAGCCAGGCGTGGTGGCGCACCCTTGTAATCCCAGCTACCCCAGAGGCTGAGGCAGCAGAATGCTTGAACCTAGGACGTGGAGGTTGCAGTGAGCTGAGATCGTGCCATTGCACTCCAGCCTGGGTGACAAGAGTGAAACTCCATCAAAAAAAAAAAAAGTTGAACTAGATTTGGTCTGATGCAGTTACAGATTTACAAACCGCGTCCCACCCTCCTGCCAACACCTTCCACTCCTCATTCTTGAGGGATTAGGGATGGAGGTCATGCTTCTGTATCGACTTCATGCTGACCAGGGGCACTTAGTCCCCTAAAGTGAGAGGAATGAAACTCTTGGGCTTCTGAGTTCAGATGAGTTCTGGGGTCACCCGGAGTAGCTTGAAAGGCTGGTATTGTTGTAATACAAGCTGAAGGTGGAAGTGTTGGATCCTGGAGGACAAACAGCTCACCATCCATTTAAATAAATAGGACCAAAAAGTAACAGAACAGTGGCCACGAGGGGCCCCAACAGAGGAAGAAACCAGGTGAGGTGTGGTATAGTGGACTCGACTGCCTTCTAAATCTCAGTGGTTGTCCGGGTGCGGTGGCTCACGCCTGTAATTCCAGCAAAAGAAGAGCCGAGGCAGGGTGATCACGAGGTCAGGAGTTCAAGACCAGCCGGGCAAACATGGTGAAACCCCGTCTCTACTGAAAATACAAAAATTAGCCAGGTGTGGTGGCGTGTGCTGTAGTCCCAGCTACTAGGGAGGCTGAGGCAGGAGAATTGCTTGAACCTGGGAGGCGGAGGTTGCAGTGAGCCGAGATTGTGCCACTGCACTCCAGCCTAGGTAACAGAGCAGGACCCCATCTCAGTCAATCAATCAATCTCAGTGGTTGAACTACCCTTGATATGGTTCAGCTCTGTATCCCCAACCAAATCTCATGTCCAATTGCAATTCCCAGTGTTGAGGGAGGGACCTGGTGGGAGATGATTGGCTCATGGCGGCTGACGTCCCCCTTGCTGGTCTCGTGATAGTGAGTGAGCGCTCATGGGATCTGGTTGTTTAGAAGCATGCAGCACCTCCTGCTTCACTCTCTCTGTCTCTCCTGCTCCACCATGGCCAGAAACGTGCCTGCTTCCCCTTCGCCTTCTGCCGTGATTGTCAGTTTCTTGAGGGCTCCCCAGCCATGCTTCCTGTACAGCCTGCAAAACTGTGAGTCAATTAAACCTCTTTTCTTCATAAATTCCCCAGTTTCCAGTAGTTCTTTATAGCAGTGTGAAAACAGACTAATGGACCCTTCTGGTTGAAGGAATGTAGCCATTCTGCTTGTTTAAGTATTTCCTTTCTATTCATCTCTATTTCCCGGGAGGTGTTTATCCAAGTGCAATAGGAGATATTGGTGACTGCAGAGTCCCCTCAGTGTTCTGCTAGTAAATAGTTGAAGGTTGATCAGTGATCTCCAGCATTTTCAGTCTGGCATGGAAAAGCCCCCATGTAACTGGTAAAGGTATCAGTAAGCACCAGGAGGTATCTAAATCCACCAGGAGCCATAGGCATCATGTTGATGTCCATTTACCAGTCTTCCCTGGCAAGATTCTCTGAATTGTACTGCCTTGGCCAAAAGAGGTATGGGAGGGGCTGGGCACAGTGGCTCACGCCTGTAATCCCAGCATTTTGGGAGACCAATTCGGGTAGATCATTAGAGGTCAGGGGTTCAAGACCATCCTGGCCAACATGGTGACATTCCATCTCTACTAAAAATACAAAAAGTCAGCGGGGTTTGGTGTTGGGTGCCTGTAATCCCAGCTACTCGGGAGGCTGAGGCAGGATAATCACTTGAACCTGGGAGGAGGAGGAGGTGGCAGTGAGCTGAGATCTCGCCATTGCACTCCAGCCTGGGCAACAAGAGCGAAACTTCATCTCAAAAAATAAAAAAAGAAGTCTGGGTGTGGTGGCTCGTGCCTGTAATCCCAGGACTTTGGGAGGCCAAGATGGGTGGATCATGAGGTCAGGAGTTCAAGACCAGCCTGGCCTAGATGGTGAAACCCTGTCTCGAGTGAAAATACCAATATTAGCTGGGCATGGTGGCACACACCTGTAATCTCAGCTACTCAGAAGTCTGAGACAGAAGAATTGCCAAAACCCGGGAGGGAGAGGTTGCAGTGAGCCGAGATCGCGCCACTGCACTCTAGCCTGGGCGACAGAGCAAGACTCCGTCTCGAAAGAAAGAAAGAGAAAGGAAATTCCCCAGGGAAGTACCTCGGCTTATTTCATGAAGAGGTACTGAAGGAAGCAGAGGCATGTGGAGGACTTCCCCACCTCGTGCAGCTATTTGGGCCGTGGCGTCTGAAATTTCTTATTTCAGAGTCACCCCTTTGATGACCTTGGCAGTGGACTGCAGTCATCTGTTTAGGCCTCTCCATGGCCCGTGTCAATGCCGATATTTCTGTCTGTTGCACATTTGATTTCCTTGTTGTTGGCATTTAGAAGGCCCCCTGTTTCCCAGATCACACCACGGGCATGGACCGCAGAGATTGCAT
This sequence comes from Homo sapiens, assembly GCF_000001405.40. Lineage (NCBI taxonomy): Eukaryota > Metazoa > Chordata > Mammalia > Primates > Hominidae > Homo > Homo sapiens. The sequence goes on from NC_000007.14 coordinate 73,045,889, forward strand.
CTTGTGAGTCTGTAGAAACAGTCAAGGCCTTGTCCTCTCTTAGGTCCAGAGCTCAGGTGAATGCAGATTTTCCCGGCCATCTGTGCTGAAGTCCCTGTGGGGAGGCTCCTGGCTGGTTTCCTGTAGGTAGACAGCTACACATCCTGCCCTTCATTGGCTTCTTTTCATGAAGCTCCTGCTGTCTACAAAACATGTCTCCCTTTTCTTCTTGAACCACATCTCTGTTATTGAAACTCTAGAAGTCAGCCAGGCACAGTGGCTATGCCTGTAATCCCAGCACTTTGGGAGGCCAAGGTGGGTGGATCACCTGAGGTCAGGAGTTCAAGACCAGCCTGGCCAACATGGCGAAACCCTGTCTCTAATACAAATACTAAAATTAGCCAAGCATGGTGGCCACTGCACTCCAGCCTGGGTGACAGAGCAAGACTCTGTCTCAAATAAAGAAAGAGAAAGTATCATGCTTTTCAGAGTTCTGTGGGTTGTTATGGTGAATTATCAAACCTGAGGACGTGGTGGGAACCTCCAAATTTGCAGCCAGTTGGTGAGAAGTACATGCGGTCTGTGGACACCCAAGCTTGCAGCTGCATCTGAAGCGAGGGCAGCCTAGCGGGGGCTGGTGGCCTTAACCTGTGGCATTTGATGTAACATCAGGGAGTTGACATCAGAATTACGTCACACAGGCCAGGTGCAGTGGCTCATGCTTATAATCCCAGCAATTAGAAAGGCAAGATAAGAAGATTGCTTGAGCTTGAGTCTGAGCCCACAGTGAGCTATGACCGCACCACTGCACCCCAGTCTGGGTGACAGCACAAGACCCCGACTCCAAAAAGAAAAAAGAAAAATCACAAAGAATTGCATGGCAGAGTGCCTGTCTTTCACAGCTTGAACTGTTGCAGGAACTTTCTTTTTTTTTTTTTCTTTTGTGATGGAGTCTCGCGCTTTCACCCAGGCTGGAGTGCAGTGGCGCGATCTCTGCTCACTGCAGGCTCCGCCTCCTGGGTTCACACCATTCTCCTGCCTCAGCCTCCGGAGTAGCTGGGACTACAGGCGCCTGCCACCGCGCCCAGCTAATTTTTTGTATTTTTAGCAGAGATGGGGTTTCACCGTATTAGCCAGGATGGTCTTGATCTCCTGACCTCATGATCCACCCACCTCAGCCTCCCAAAGTGCTGGGATTACAGTCCTGAGCCACCGCGCCTGGACTTTTTTTTTTTTTTTTGAGAGGGGTTGGGGAGACATATTCTCTGCTAGTGATTCTCCTGCCTGGTCTCGAACTCCTGCTGGGATCACAGGCGTGAGCCACCACGCCCAGCCACCTTTAGAGTTTTCTTACCACCTGGTTTTCCTCTCTCAATATCTTTCTCTCATTTCCTGCTTTAAAACTCTAGCTTGGGGTCTGGGCACAGTAGCTCATGCCTATAATCCCAGCACTTTGGGAGACTGAGGCGGGTGGATCACTTGAGGTCAGGAGTTTGAGACCAGCCTGGCCAACATGGTGAAACCTTGTCTCTACTATTTTTACAAAAGTTAGTCAGACGTACAGGCGGATGCCTGTAGTCCCAGCTACTTGGGAGGCTGAGGCAGGAGAATTTGCTTGAACGCGGAGGTGAAAGTTGCAGGGAGCCGAGGTTGTGCCACTGCACTCCAGCCTGGGAGACAGAGCGAGACTGTCTCCAAAACAAACAAACAAACAAACAAACAAAAAAACCCTGTAGCTTGGGATCAGCCTTCTCTTCTGTTGTTTTTCTTTAAAAAATAAAAATTAAAAATAGGCTTCAAGTGATCCTCCCGCCATGACCTCCAAAACTGCTGGGATTGTAGGTGTGAGCACTGCACCCAGCCGTATGTTTTTTTCTACATAAAAAACAGCACAGGATTATCTTCCAAAGCTAATAAATATGTTCAAATAACCACAACCCCATTAAGGAAAAATGTCACTTGACAGCAAATAATCAATCCAGACCACAATATGATCACACTCACTGTGAAGGTGAGAAAAGTTCATCTTTATTATGTTTCCCCAAGAGATGCACTGCACTGTTCTCTTGAAAACACACAGCTCATGTCCTCCTTTAGAACACACATCCTCTTTAAAGTAACATACAAACATGCCAAAACAAGATAAAAAATTCCATCTGAATTCTCACATTTCAAACATACACTAAATATCAAATAAAAATTTATTTTTACAAGAATTTAGGGGAACTACCACATAGCTATAAATGTAATATATATGTTAACTAAGTATCATAGATAAAAACCATGCTCCCTTCAGCAGCACGTGTAATAATAGATACAAAGATTGAAAGGTAAAAGATTTAGGATGAAAAGAATCCTCTCTTAAAAAGGAAAACAAAATTATATGTATGTGTATACAACAGTTATAATACCCATCACACAGCTTTATAGAAACAGCATCTATTCAAAAATACCAGTATTTCCAAAATATTTAAAATAATATTTAAAGTAATAATAATATTTAAATAAATAAATATATTTAATAAATATTTCAGTAAATAAAATAATATTTAAATAATTCTATACCCATGTTTTTCAAAATAAACCAATAAAATAGATAGTATATATTAGACGTGTTAGTATATATATCTGAGACATGTTAAAAATCACAACTGAATTCTCACAAGTCAGTCACAAACCTAAACAGCAAATAAAAATTTCTATCACCAGAATTATGTTTTTTTCTGGTGGGGAACTACCAATAGCTATAAATAGAAGAGATTATTATGGAAGTATCATAGATAAAAAGAGTGCTCGCTTCAGGAGCACATATAATAATACAGAAAAAAAATTAAAGATAATAAAAGATTTAGGATAAAAAGAATTCTCACTTAAAAATGAAAAGAAAATTATCTTTAGGTATATATAACAACTATAACTCTCATCAAAAAACTCTACAGGAACAGCATGTTTTCAAAAGTACAACAATTTCCAAACTATTTGAAATAAACCTATTAATAATTCAATGGCCAACATTTTCCAAACAAACCAATAAAATGCATAGTGTGCATGAAGCTATCTGTTACAGTCTGTGGCACTCATATTTCACAAAGAATTCTGTGCCAATCTGAGCCCCTGCACTGTGCCTTCAAATGCTCCTGGACTGTGACAACCAAGTCCATAAGAAACAGGACCTCCAGGTTCCGCCCCAGGGAGGTTGGCATTCAGCAATATAAAAAGGGAGGTGGTGCCGCAGGAAAGGGTGGAACTGGAAACACTCCTGGTTTCTTACTTTTCTCCAAGGACTCCTAGAAGTACCCCACCCCACCCCTGCTCCTTGGAGGACAACGTGATCACTGTATTCAGCTCTGTCAAGAATGGTCCAGGTTCTTCTAGATGATCTGCACAAATGGTTCCTCTCCTCCTTCCTGATGTCTGCCATTAGCATTGGAATAAAGTTCCTGCTGAAAATCCACATCTCCCCTGGGTCCGGTGTTCTGGAAGTGAGAGAGACAATGTCACACTTCAAGGAGGCAGCTCTCTAGACAGGAAGGTTATTCACGTCCCATGTCAAGTCTAGCTAGAGTTCAGAGCAATTGAGAAGTGCAATTTTATCTCCTGCCTTTCATTCTATACCCTGCTTCTGAACCATCGTGTTCAACTGTGAAACTCACACTTTGGTGACCCTGACTCCAAAACTTAATACACCCAAGGTCAGCCCCAGTGATCTGCTTCATAGCCAGGACTTTGGGTGGGTCTTCCCAGGGAGTAGGGCACCCTCAGAGAATGTGGCTTTGGACTTCATCACAGCTGGGGCCTTTTGTGTCACTTCAGATCTAAACTTGTAACCGTGCTAGATCTGTTTCTAACGTGACAACATCACGAACCACGAGTCCAGAAGCCTAATCCATAATCCTCCCTCCTCATGACGAAGTCTCATGCTCTGTGCTCAACATGGTTAGCTGCACAAGATGTAAACCAAAGCTTCACTGAACCCTCGACCCAAATCGGTAACTCAAGTGCATCAATCATAATGAACCTCCCCGAACTCAGTATTTATGATTATTTTTGAGGCAGGGTCTCACTCTGTCGCCCGGGCTGGAGTGCAGTGGCAGGATCAGGGCTCCCTGCAGCACCGACCTCCCAGGCTCCAGCGATCCTCCCGCCTCAGCCTCCTGAGTAGTTGGGAGTAGAGATGCCTCCCACATCGCCTGGCTAATTTTTGTATTTTTGTGGAGAGGGGATCTCGCCACGTTGCCCAGGCTTGAAGCCAGATCAAGCAATTGGGTTCCTTGGATTTCCGAAATAGACCCCAATATTCTGCCTTTACCCCGGAGGATGCAGATGTACCTTCTCTCAGGCCGATGACCTCAGGCCTCCACGGTCCCTGGAGCTCTAGGAAAGGTGGGCGCGATCTCGCGCCCACACCCAGTGCTCTGGGTCATAAGCCTGGATCTGGAAAAACAAACGCGCTTTGAGAAGACGGGGACTCCCCAGGATACCCCTCTCTCCCCTCGTCCAGCCTCCAGCCCACCCGATTCCTCCCCACATCCTCCACGTCCCCAGGCCCCACCCACCTCTTCCAACTCCTCCAGGGAAACCCAAGCCCTGCAGCGCATGGAACAAAAGAAGTGGAACCGATACTTCCGGAACAAGGCTATCTGAGAGCAGTTCTTCCTGGCCCTCGGGTTCATGTAACGGCATAACTGGAACCAAAGCTCACTGAGCAAGGGTATATGAGAGCGGGTCTCCTCGTACAGGAAGTAGAAGATGTTTTGTTTGGGGGCCTCGTCGTCCTCCTCCATGTCATTGGCCAGATAGCTGAGGACAGAAATCAGGTTGCTGCTCAGGGGCACCACCAGGAGAGACCTCCGGCTGAGGTCAGCTTCTCAGAGAGGAAGGTAAGGGACCGTCCCTAGCTCAGGACTGGCACCCACCCTGCAGAGAGCCACGCCTTCCTCAGGAGGGCTCTGCTGGACAGAGACCTGATCAAGGGCGTCTCCCACTCCTTCAGGATGGAGACAAAAACCCAACTGGTGACCAAGAGTGGTGGCTTATGCCTGGAATCCCAGCACACTGGGAGGCCGAAGCAGGAGGATCACTTGAGGCCAGGAGTTTGAGACAGGCCTGGGCAACATAGCAAGACCCTCGTCTCTATTAAAAATATAAAAAATACGCCAGACGTGGTGGCTCATGCCTGTAATCCCAGCGCTTTGGAAGGCTGAAGCAGGTGGATTGCTTGAGACCAGGAGTTTGAGACCAGCCTGGTCAACACAGAGAAACCCCATCTATACTAAAAATACAAAAATCAGCCTGGTGCGGTGGCACACCCATTAGTCCTAGCTACTCAGGAGGCTGAAGCATAAGAATTGTGTGAACCCAGGAGGCGGAGGTTGCAGTGAGCCAAGATTGGGCCCCTCCATTCCAGCCTGAGAGACACAGCAACACTCTTGTCTTGATAAATAAATAAATAAATAAATAACTGTCCAGGTGTGGTGGTACAGCCCTGTAGTCGGAGCTAATCAAGAGGCTGAGGTGGGAGGATCGCTTGAGCCCAGGATATGGAGGCTGCGGTGAGCTATGATCTCACCACTGCACTCCAGCTTAGGGGACAGGGCAAGTCTGTCTCAAAAAAAAAAAAAAAGCAATTGAATACACTGATATTTTGCCAGGACCCTGCCTTCTACAGGCATCTAGTCTAATGGGACTGGGAGTAATCAGGGGAGATGACCTAATCCCAATGTCACATTATAATAGGATGTAACTGGAGAGCTACGGGCATGCAGAAGTTGGAAGACGAGGGAAGGCATCACAGAGGCTGTGGGGTGAACCGACTTCAAGGAATGGGTCCTTCCCTTCAGAACCACATGTGTGCGGGACACCCAGACAGAAAACACAAATGCAAAGTCAAGTGGAGGGCATTTGGAAGGAGCAGTGAAGCCAAGCCAGGAAACACCAAGATGGCGAGCCAGTGTGGTTGTAGAGATTGTAGAGAGGGTGGAATTGGCACTGTGGACCCTGGCCTCGATAGAGAAAGACATCAGCTAAGGAAGTTGTTCAGGTGGGCAGTGAGGTTGTCGTGCTTTGGAAAGATGTTCAGGCTGCACTAGGAAGCCCCCTGGCTTGGGGAGAGACTCCAGGAAACCCCAGCAGGGAGCATTTGACAGTGGATTCGAGTGATGCAAGGGGGACCTGGACTGTGACCTCTGTCACGGGAACCCGGAGGAGGCTGATGGCTTTTGCGGTTGATGTGGGAAGGAGAGAGAACAACCGGAAACGTCTGCTTGCTGGGGGAAGTGTCATGTCCGCTCCTCCGCTCCTTTTCTTCTCCCCTTAGGAGCGGTTCATGGTTCCTTTTGTTTTTTGTTCTTTTTTTTTTTTTTGAGACTATAATCCTGTCTTTTTTGTACACAGAGTAAAGAGGACAAATAGGTGAAAGAATAAATGAAAGGCTGGAATCCCACTTCCCCCGCTGTCCCAGGGCATTGGATATTGATGGATAGGAGGCAGCAAACCACTCACAGAGCCAGGAAGAAATGAATGCGTTGGTATTGCCAGGAGGGGAGGCCGGCCCGGCTGAAATACGCTATGACCATAGCCAGGAGATACTGATGGAGAGAAAGGAACACAGAGAGGGAGAGGTCACATCTTGGGAGAGGAAGATTGTGGATATAGTGGAATGGGGGTCTGGGGAGGGGTTGCCCATCAGAGAAGGGACCTCAGTGTTGGGGTGACTGTGCTCATGTGGAAATTGCGGGGTGGAGGGGTATTCGAAGGTCGGATGCAAATCCGAGAAGCCGGAGGAAGGGTTTTTGGTGATGCTCCCAGGATGGTGGGCTCCGATGGGATCTTTGGAGGGGGTGTGTCTAGGTCGGCTGGTGTCAGGAGGGTCTTTTGTGTGCCAGGCAGAGAACTGTCCCAAGGAGCTGAGAGTAGAGGGCCCAGGAGCTTCAGGGCTGCAGCCAGACTGTGGCCCAGGGCTCAGATCCCAAAGGACCCATAGGAGAGGCAGGGGCCACTCATTCACTCTGCAAGAGACCAGCAGAATCCTGACGGAGATGCTGACAAATCATAAAAAGACAAAGAATAGCCGGGAGTGGCAGCTCAAGCCTGTGATCCCAGTACTTTTTGAGAGGTGGAGACAGGAGGATCATGTGAGCCCAACAGTTGGAGAACAACCTGGGCAACACAGCGAGACCCTGTTTCTAAGAAGATTTCAAAAATTAGTTGAGCATGGTAGCATGTGCCTAGTCCCAGCTCCTCAGGAGGCTAAGGAAAGAGGATTGCTTGAGCCCAGGAATTAGAGTGAGCTATGATCATGCCACTGTACTCCATCCTGGGGAGCAGAGCTGGACTCTGTCTCAGAAAAAAAAATGTGTGGGTGCCAAGACTCAAGACCATGGGAGCTGGTCAGACACAGTGCTGACGTCTGTAATCTCAGCACTTTGGGAGGCCAAGGCGGGTGGATCACCTGAGGTCAGGTGTTCGGGACCAATCTGGCCAACATGGCAAAACCCCGTCTCTACTAAAAACACAAAAATTAGCCAGGCGTGGTGGTTCATGTTTGTAATCCCAGCTGCTTGGAGGCTGAGGTGGGAGAATCGCTTGAACCCAGGAGGCATCAGCTGCAGTGAGTCAAGATCGAGACACTGCCCTCCAGCCTGGGCAGCAGAGCAAGACTGTGTCTCACAAAAAAAAACAAAAACAAAAACAAAAAAAAACTGTAGGAGCATCTGGTGGGAGGTGGTGGACGGAGAACTGTGGGTTTGGAAGCTGCGCCCTCCCCCTGGCCGTGCGTTAGAACAGGAACACAGTTACATAGAGAACAACCTTACCTTGTCCGACACCCTCAGATCTTTGTCCCAGGCCAGGAGTCTTTTAATGACAGGATCCTCTGTGATTAGAGAGCAGATGTCAGTGTGAGAAGCAGGACAGGGTTTCCGTGAGAGCAGCAGGGCAGCGAGGAGAAGTGTGCCTCCCGGGGGAAAGTCTCAGGATTGTGGCCGCGGGTGAGGTGGATGAGAGAGGGGAGAATGACTTTCACTGGGCAAGGGAGAGAGGCTCCTGCTCTGAGACTCCCCTGAGAAGAGGCCGAAGGAGGCCCTGGGTGTGAGAATCTACAGGATGTAGAGCTGGGAATCAGCCAGGACCCCCTCCAGCAGACACGGAGGGACCACTGCAGAGTCATAAAGGAATTCCCATCATTTCCTCATGAGACAGTCACACATCAGGGTGTGACCATGGCCTTGGGATCCCCCACTATGGATGGAGACACTTAGGTTTAGCAAAGTCAGTAAGAAACATTAAGTTTCAGAGGGCACAGCTGAAACCACTTTTTTGATTTTTGATTTTGTTTTTCTTTATTTGATTTTTATTTTTATTTATTTATTAATTTATTTTGAGACAGAGTCTTGCTCTGTGGGCCAGGCTGGAATGCATTGGCCTGATCTTGGCTCACTGCAACCTCTGCCTCCTGGGTTTAAGCAGTTCTCCTGTCTCAGCCTCCCGAGTAGCTGGAACTACAGGGATGAGCTACTGTGCCCAGCCTTGGTTTTTCTTTTGACGCAGAGTTTTGCTCTGTCACCCAGGCTGGAGTGCAGTGGTGCAGTCATAGCTCACTGCAGCCTCAAAGTCCTGAGTTCAAGCAATCCTCTTGCCTCAGCCTCCCAACGTGCTGGGATCTCAGGCGGGAGCCACAGCGCCTGGCCCAAAACCAAGCTTTCTTATCCCAAGCACCGACCTTTATCAAGTCTACCTAATCCTCTGTTGTCTCCTTAAGTGTCCCTCATGAGTGATCACTTCAGAGTCCTCCCGCATGGAGAGCTCACCCACTGGGGCATATTTTTCCCATTGGAAAAGTGTGGTTATTGGAAGTTTCCTCTTTAGAAAGAACAGGATTGGAGGTGCTCTCTGGGGTGTCCTCCTACCAAGCAGCCTGTTGAAGGCCTCGTAGTACTCAGGGAGCACGAGCGACACTCGCCGTCGCTTCGCCTTCATCTTGAGGCCACACAGCGTCTCCGCCACCCAGGTCTCCTCAGGCTCAGGGGCGAGCTCCTTCTCTGGCTCATCATCAGATTCATCCAAACATTCCCTCTTCCTTTTCCAGCCAAGGGACCTACGTGGGGGGCTGGGATCTACCCCAGGGGCTGAGTAAAGAAACCAGGCCACCGTGTAATGCTTCTGCAACTGATCACGTTAGACCCCGACCCCAAACCCCAAACCACTCTCCATCCTCCCCAGCCTCGCAGACTGCTGGCTTCTCCAAGCCACCTTTCTGACTTTCTCCTCTGCTCAACCCCATGTGCCACTCCTTCCCCTCCCCATTCTTCCCTCTCTCTGTCCTCAGAACACTGCCTCATATCCTTCCCTGGTCCCTGGCTCTCTGAGTCCCTCTTTTTTTTTTTTTTTTTTTGTTTCGAGACAGAATCTTGCTTTGTCACCCAGGCTGGAGTGTAGTGGTGCAATCTCAGCTCACTGCAACATGCATCTCCCGGATTCCAGTTATTCTCCTGCCTCAGCCTCTCAGGTAGCTGGGATTACAGGTGCCTGCCATAATGCCCAGCTCCATTTTGTACTTTTAATAGAGACAGGGTTTCACCATGTTGGCCAGGCTGGTCTCAAACTCCTGGCCTCAAGTGATCCGCCTGCCTTGGCTTCCCAAAGTGCTGGGATTACAAGTGTGAGCCACTGCACCCAGCCTGAATTTCTCCATTCTTCCCACACACCCTCCCCAGGTTCTCCTTCCTGACCTCTGACCCTTCTTTTTTTTCTTCTTTTTTTTTTTTTTTTTTTTTTTGAGATAGCATCTCACTCTGTCACCCAGACTGGAGTGCAGTAGCACGATCTTGGCTCACTGCAACCTCTTCCTCCCAGGCTCAAGTGATTCTCCTGTCTTAGCCTCCCAAGTAGCTGGGATTGTAGGCACACACCACTACCGCCTGGCTAATTTTTGTACTTTTAGTAGAGATGGGGTTTCACCATGTTGGCCAGGCTGGTCTTGAACTCCTGACCTCAGGTGATCTGCCCGCCTCAGCCTCCCAAAGTGTTGGGGTTACAGGGGTGAGCCACCACGCCTGGCCCCCTTCCTTCATCTTAGTCAATCCTATGCCACCTCTTCTTCCTCCAGTCCCCTCACCTGATGGTCCCGACACTTCATCATCCACCACCTCCTGGAGGGGGTACCCTGAGGTGCTCCGCTGGGGGCTCCGCTCTTCCTGGGGCTGCGGTTGATGGCTCATCATGATCTTTCCCAAAATCTGTCCCATCTCACCAAACCTAGTCTCTGTTCTGTCCTTGGTCTTCTTCTGGACACTGCTGGGATCCAGAAGAGTGTGTTATCAATTCTCGAGGCTGGGAGAAGTCAGGAGTGGAGAACAGCTCTGAGAAGTTACTGTTGTCCAACTGAACTCCCAGGTGCCGACAGAGTCCGGTCCCTCCAATCAGGAAGGTCGGAATCTCTGATGTCATCGCTCATGCCAACCTGGCAACCAGTTTGAAAAAAAACACATGTAACTGCCAGGCTGATCTCTTGTCCTGGAGATCCTGGGTGAATGGTATCTCCTGCCACTGTCCCAACCTCAGACCACTGTCCAAAAGCATCTTCAGGGTCTCCGCATCCCTCTGTTCCCTGTCCCAGCAGAGGCTGTGTCCTCTCCACTCAAAGCTTGAAGCGTGTTGGGGTCTCCTCTTCTCTGTACATGCCCGTTTCAGAGTCCAGTCTGGTGGGAGAGGGATCAGGATGGGAAAGAAAAGTAGGGTAAGCAGAAACGATGAAACCTTACAAGAGTGAGATTATCATGTACAAGAGATCCCAGGAACATTGACTTGATGAAAAAGTCACATCAGAGCACTCAATTTGGCAGAGGTTTTCTGCCGAGTGTCTACTGACATTCACTGTCCGAGATTCTGTACTGGGGGTACACGCGTCCTCTGCCCTAAGGCATCTTTGAGTCCAAGAGATATTTTGAGGACTGGAAATCATAGGAAACTGCCCATGAGTTCACACATATTTCCAATGGTGTCCCCAATTTCAGGGAGTCCACGGATCACCTAAAGCCAGCCCCTCCAGTTTGGCTAAGAAACTCTATATATCAAGTTTTGTATCATATGTATTGCTCTTAACTCAGAAAATTCCACCATTTATAGCAGTGGTTTATTTATTTATACCATTGAAGGAAATGGTTTATTTATGAATCTATATTATGGATATTCTATAAGATACTGGGTGTACAAAAAGACTAAGTCGAAAAATCTCAGCTGTGCACAGTGGCTCATGCTTGTAATCCCATCTCTTTGGGTGGCCAAGGGAGGAAGACTGCCTGAGGCCAGCAGTTCAAGACCAGTATAGGCAACATAGCAAGAGCCCATCTCTAAAACAAAACAAAACAAAACAAAACAAAATTAGCCAGGTGTCGTGGCTGGCACCTGTGTTCCAACAACTTGAGAGACTGAGGTGGCAGGAGGATTGCTTGAGCCTAGGAGTTAGGGGCTGCAGTGAGCTGTGATCGTGACACCGCACTCCAGTCTGGGCAACACAGCAAGACCTTGTGTCAAAAAAATTTTTTTAATTAAATATAAAAGAGTTTCATGACATTCAGAGACCATCCAAAGAACCTGTGGGTTCCGGCCAGGCACAGTGGCTCACGCCTGTAATCCCAGCGCTTTGGGAGGCCATAGCAGGTGGATCGCTTGAGGTCAGGAGTTTAAGAGCAGCCTGGCCAACATGGTGAAACCCCATCTCTTCTAAAAATACAAAAAATTAGTCAGGCATGGTGGTGGGTGCCTGTAATCCCAGCCACTCAGGAGGCGGGGACAGCAGAATGGCTTAAACTTGGGAGGCGGAGGTTGCAGTGAGCCAAGGTCACACCATTGCACTCCAGCCTGGGCAACAAGAGCAAAACTACATCTCAAAAAAAAAAAAAAAACAAAAAAAACAAAAAGAACCTGTGGATGAGTTCCCACATGGCTTCCTAACGGGCTGCGGCTCTCCTAGGAGTCTCTCGCTCATGGGAAAGGCACAAACTGAATGCGGAAGGAAATCCCATTGCTGTGGAAGTCCCATTGTTAGGAAGCTCTGCTTTTCTGGAGTTCAAATTTGCATTCATGACGCTTTAAACCGTCAGAGCTGGGTGTGTCCTCCTACAACAAATCACTTTACTCTCTCTCCTAGTTAACAGGCTTTCAAATATTAGAACATCCATGTTCTGACCTCATTAAAATTGCTCTTTTGTGGAATGAAAAGCTCTGATTTAACCCGTCTTTAAGCCTGGTATGCATATTCCTCTCTGTTCCGGCCACCTTGTCTAGACACACTACACTGAGGCAGTGCCCATCTTAGATGATGTTGATACATTGTCAAAAAATGGGCAAACCAGGTGCGGCGGCTCACACTTGTAATCCCAGCACTTTTGGAAGCTGATGCCGACAGATAACCAGAGGTGAGGAGGTTGAGATCAGCCTGGCCAACATGGTGAAACCTGTCTGTTTTTCTGTAAAAATACAGAAACAATGAGCTGGGCGTGGGAGTGCACTTCTGTAATCCCAGCTACTTGTGGGGCTGAGGCAGGAGAATCACTTGAACCGGGAAGGTGGAGGTTCCAGTGAGCCGAGATCACGACACTACACTCCAGCCTGGGCGACAGAGTGAGACTCCGACTCAAAAAAAAAAAAAAAAAAAGTGCCAGACAGCCCAGGTTTGGTCTGATATGTTCAGAAAAAAGCAAAACAGTCACCTCTCACCTTTTCTTTTCCTGCAATGATGCCGTTTAATACAACAATGGCTGTAGGTCTGCGGCAGAAATATCATTCAAGTGAAACAGAAGGGCTTTCCTGGCTGGACACAGTGGTCACTCCTGCAATCCCAACACTTTGGTTGGCTAAGGTGGGAGGATTTCTTGCGGCCAGGAGTTCGAGGCTGCAGTGAGCTGTGATCCACCACTGCATTCCAGGCTGGGCATCAGAGTGAGGCCTGTCTCTAAAAAAACCCTTCACTCCCCAAAAAAAGGGATTTTCAAATACCAGCCTTTCAGCATGAGGATCACATGGAGGAACATTAAGACACAGATGCTGGGACCCAGCCCTATTGATTGTAATTAAAAAACTGAGGTGAGGCCTGATTTAGCTCCATCATTGGAATCCATTCAGATTTGAAATTCTCTGAGTTGGACAGTGCAAGAGAGATCCTAAAGAAAGCAAAGTCACTGTGGACTGAAATGAGCTGGCAAGGTTTTCTGAGCGTGGTGAAATATGATCTGGGCCTCGCTTGGGAGGGCTGTGGCCAGGCCTTGAGTCCGTGGCTCAGTGGGACCTTCTGAAACAGCCTCCAATCCGTGCCCCCACTTCATTTGCTAGTGGATGACCCCCTCCAGCGGCTTTGGTGCTGATGGGAATAAGTCAACCTGCAGCGGAAGTTCAGCCCAAGTTTCAGCCCAGCAGCTTCTACACACCTGTCCGTGGTCTGGTCATGCTGCCATCTCTGCGATTCTCTGCGGTTCTCTGCGGAGTCGTGGTTTCTGTACCTTGAAGAGAACTTCCCCTCTGGGACCCAGAAACCCAGTGAATCCTCAGGAAAAAAGGGAATGAAATTACTGAAGACAACTCTGTGGCGGGGAGATGGAAAAGAGGCTCTCTCTCTTTTTTTTTCCTAATATTTTGAGACAGAGTTTCGCTCTTGTCACCCAGGCTGCAGTGCAGTGGCTCCATCTCGGCTCACTGCAACCTCTGCCTCCCAGGTTCAAGCGATTCTCCTGCCTCAGCCTCCCGAGTAGCTGAGATTACAGGCACCCACCACCACTCCCGGCTAATTTTTGTATTTTAGGGTTTCGTCATGTTTGCCAGGCTGGTCTTGAACACCTGACTTCAAATGATCCACCCGCCTCTGCCTCTCAAAGTGCTGGGAATACAGGCATAAGACACTGCACCCGGCCTGTTTTTGTTTTTTAGAGACAAGGTCTCTGTTGCCTTGGCTGGGGTGCAGTGGTACAATCAGCTCTCTGTTGCCTCGGCTGGGGTGCAGTGGTACAATCAGCTCTCTGTTGCCTCCTGGGCTCAAGCAATCCTCTTCTCTCAGCCTCCCAAGTAGCTGAGACTACAGGTGCATGCCTGTAGTAGATATAGCATCTTGCTCTGTTGCCCAGACTGGTCTTGAACTCTTGGTCACAAGCGATCCTCTTGCCTTGGCCTCTCAAAGTGCTGGAATTACACGCGTGAGCCATTGAGCCCAACCAGATAAGATGATCTTTAAGGGCCCTTCCCATGGCACCATAATCCAAGTCAGCGAGACTGTGGCTATAGCAAGTTTAACATAACCAGATACGCTAGTATTATGGGCTGCATGGTGTGCCCCCCACCCCTAATTCATGTATTGAAGCCATGACCCTCCAGACCTTAGAGGTGACCTTATTGGAACCAGAGTCTTTACAGAGGTGATCAAGTTAAAATGAGGTCACTAGAGGCCAGGCACTGTGGCTCACACCTGTAATCCCAGCACTTCGGGAGGCCGAGGCAGGCAGATAATGAGCCCAAGAGACCGAGACCATGATGTCCAACATGGTGAAACCCTGTCTCTACTAAAAATACAAAAATTAGCCAGGCGTGGTGGTGTGGGCCTGTAGTCCCAGCTACTCAGGAGGCTGAGGCAAGAGAATCGCTTGAACCCGGAAGGCAGAGATTGCAGTCAGCCAAGATCATGCCACTACACTCCAGCCTGGGTGACAGAGTGAGACTCTATCTCAAAAAAATAAAAATTAAAAAACTAAAAACCTACAGTACCGCCTTTTACATAATGCAATGGTTTGGTAAGCACATGCACCCCAGGGAGGTAGTGGCAGATTCAGTCAACCTTCCCAGCAGCGTGGAGACGCAGTCAGGCATAGCAGGTGTTGATGTGGTTTGAACCCACAGCTTGGCTCAAATCCACACTCCCCTACTTAGTACCGAGTGAAGCCACTTACCCTCTAAGTGCCTTACTTTTCTTTTCTTTTCTTTTTTCTTTTTTCGAGACAGAGTCTCGCTCTGTCACCCAGGCTGGAGTGCAGTGGCATGATCTTGGCTCACTGCAAACTTCGCCTTCCAGGTTCAAGCAATTCTCCTGCCTCAGCCTCCCAAGTAGCTGGGATTACAGGCGCCCACCACCATGCCGGGCTAATATTTGTATTTTTGATAGAGATGGGGTTTCACCATATTGCCCAGGCTGGTCTCGAACTCCTGACCTCAAGTGATCTGTCTGCCTCGGCCTCCCAAAGTACTAGGATTAGAGGCATGAGCCACCACACCTGGCCACTTTTCTTATCTATATTTGTTATGTGGATGACTTGTGTTAACGCAAATAAGATGCTGCTCGTCATCTTTAAAGAAAATAGGTGGCAACCTGTTATAGCAAGTCCTGTTTTTATTTGTACTTATGAGGCTTTAATTAAACGCTAAGAATTAAAATGCACATAATAATAGACTTTACCTCACAAACTGGCTTCAAATATTCGATGAGACTTACATGTATTACTTAAATGAGGTTAAATTTAACCTTTTAAAAATGATTTATTGTGGCTGGGCACAGTGGCTCACACCTGTAATCCCAGCACTTTGGGAGGCCAAGGCAGACGGATCACTTGAGGCCAGGAGTTGAAGACCAGCCTGACCAACACGGCAAAACCCCATCTCCGCTAAAAATACAAAAATTAGCCAGGCATGGTGGTGCACACCTGTAATCCTAGCTACTCAGGAGGCTGAGACACAAGAATCGCTTGAACCCGGGAGGCAGAGGTTGCAAGGAGGTGAGATCACACCACTGCACTCCAGCCTGGGCAATAGAGTGAGGCTCTGCCTTAAAACAAAGAAAAATGATTTTGGGGGATGATGGGGTGTCACTGTGTTGACCAGGCTTGTCTCAAACTCCTTGCCTCAAGCAATCCACCCACCTCAGCCTCCCAAGTAGCTGGAACTACAGGCGCATGCCACCACGCCTGGCTAATGTGTGTGTGTGTGTGTGTGTGTGTGTGTGTGTAGAAACAAGGTCTTACTGTGTTGTTTAAGCTGCTCTCAAACTCCTGGGCTCAAGTGATCCTCCCACCTCGGCCTCCCAAAGCATTGGAATTACAGGTGTGAGCCACCTCACTGAGCCCTCCACCTTTCAGCTGAACGCAGAAAAGTACAATCTTTTAACCCAAAGCGTTCCTCACACTTAGGGTCAGGAAGAGCCCTTCATGCCCTGGAGGCAACTACTAACCCTCTGCTAAACACTCTGACTCTGGGTGTGAGAAACACACCTACTGTGCCCCACATATTTTTCCAAATACAACTTAATTTAGCCTTCACGACAACCCTGGAGTGAAGGATCATTAACTTTATTTCATAGATGTGGAAACTGAGACTCAGAGGCAGGAAATGACCTCCTTCTGGAGGCTGCAAATTCTTTGATGCTCCTTTGATCAACAGGTGGGAGCTGGCCAGAGGTGGTGGCTCACACCTATAATCCCAGCACTTTGGGAGGCCAAGGTGGGAGGATTGACTGAGGCCAGGAGTTTGAAACTAGCCTGGGCAACATAGCAAGACCTCATCTCTACAAAAAATACACAAATTAGCAGGGTGTGGTGGTGCACACCTGTAGTCGCAGCCACTCGGGAGGCTGAAGTGGTAGCATTGCTTGAGCCCAGGAGGTTGAGGCTGGAGTGAGCCATGATCAAGCCACTGCACTCCAGCCGAGGAGATGGAGATAGACCCTGTCTCAAACAACAACAAAAAAATAGGTGAGGATCAGCCAGGCATGGTGGCTCACGCCTGTAATCCTAGAACTTTGGGAGGCCAAGGTGGGAGGATTGCTTGAGGCCAGGACTTCAAGACCAGCCTGGGCAGCCTAGCAAGATCCCATCCCTTAAAAAAAAGTTTTTAGGCTGGGCATGGTCACTCATGCCTGTAATCCTAGCACTTTGGGAGGCCAAGGCAGGCGGGTTGCCTGAGCTGAGGAGTTTGAGACCAGCCTGGGCAACATGGTGAAATCCTGTCTCTACTAAAATACAAAAAATTAGCCAGGTGTGGTGTTGGGCACCTGTAATCCCAGGTACTCAGGAGGCTGAGGCAGGAGAATTGCTTGAACCCAGGAGGCAGAGGTTGCAGTGAGCCGAGAGCGCACCACTCCACTCCAGCCTGGACAACAGAGCGAGACTCCGTCTCAACAAAAAAATGTTTTTAATTAGCCAGCTGTGATGATGCATGCCCATGTCCCAGCTACTTGGGAGGCTGAAGCAGGAGGATTGCTTGAGCCTGGGAGGTCAAGGCTGCAGTGAGCTATGATTGCGCCCCTGCACTCCAGCCTGGACAGCGGAGGGAGACCCTGTCTGAAAATAAAAAAAGAGGTGGGGGCCTATGACCCCCCCTTTAATTTTGGCCCAACCTTAGTAACAGGATAGTCATTGAGTAGGGCAAAAGTGATGTTATGATGTTTTTCAGCCTCCAATTTACAGTCTAAAACATGTCTTGGGTAAACACAGCAAGACTCCATCTCAAAAAAAAAAAAGAAAAAAAATCAGAAGTGAACCTGTAGCCTGTAGTGTGTTGCCAAATAAACTTATTTTTAGAGATACTTCTTTCCATTTTCTGTGAGGTCATCTGCAGTTTCACATGGTAGACAGACTTAGGTGAGATTCTTAGCAACATAGAATGAAGAGTAAAGAGGTTTGTTTATTTCACAAGGGTTTATTGAAGGCCTACGATGTGTTAAATGCTGTAGGAAATACCCACTGATTTCTCTTTTCATGGAGGTTTCCCGCCTTCTCTTAACGAGTGATCAATTAAACTGTTTACTGGGAACTTGCTAAGTTAATGAACACACGGGATACATTCTTTGGATGAGCAGACATTGGTTGGGCAGAGGGGCAAGAGGAGAGCAGTTTAGACAGAGACCTGCTTATACACTGTAGTGTCTAAGAGAGCTTGTGATGTTCAGGAAACAGTTGTTCACTGTGCTGCAATATAGGGGACGGCCAGTTGCGGTGGCTCACACCTGTAATCCTAGTGCTTTGGAAGGCCAAGGCGGGCAGATCACCTGAGGTCAGGAGTTAGAAACCAGCCTGGCCAACATGGTGAAACCCCATCTCTACTAAAAACACAAAAATTAGCTGAGTGTAATGGTGGATGCCTATAATCCCAGCAACTTGGGAGGCTGAGACAGGAGAATCACTTGAACTTGGGAGGTGGAGGTTGCAGTGAGCCGAGATCATGCCATTGCACTCTAGCCCAGGTGACAGGGTGAGACTCTGTCTCAAATAATAATAATAATAATAATAATAATAATAATAATAATAATAATAATAATAATGTAGGGGACTTGATGAAGGGAAAGGATCAGAGAGATTCTGAAAAGAAGGTAGTTTGGGGCCCAGTGATGACTAGATTTTAAGTTTCATATAGTAGGAAGTGGGGCACTAGTAATTTTTCAAGCAGAAAAATTATTTGACCAGATTCGTGATTTCAAAAATAGCTCTGGTGATAGAGTGGAGGATGGGTTGGAGCAGGGAATAAGGGGAAATGAAACCGTTATAAAACTCTTAAAGTGGGCTGGGCATGGTGGCTCACGCCTGTAATCCCAGCACTTTGGGAGGCTGAGGCGGGCGGATCACAAAGTCAGGAGATCGAGACCATCCTGGCTAAAACGGTGGAACCCTGTCTCTACTAAAAATACAAAAAATTAGCTGGGCATGGTGGTGGGCGCCTGTAGTCCCAGCCACTCAGGAGGCTGAGGCAGGAGAATGGTGTGAACCCGGGAGGCAGAGCTTGCAGTGAGCTAAGATCGTGCCACTGCACTCCAGCCTGGGCGACAGGGCGACAGAGCAAGAATCCGTCTCAAAAAAAAAAAAAAAAAAAAAAAAAAAACCTCTTAAAACAAGTACAGCAAGAACTTTGAGGGTCTTTGCTAAGACAGCAGCTGGCAGCTTCAATTTGGAGTAGGGTATCAAAGGCAACTGTGTATAAGGAATAGTTATATAACTGGTATCCAATTTCTGAGATGATTTTGACTTAAACATTGTGTATTTCCCAGCATACTGTTGGTTTTTCTAATTATGTGGGAAATTATGTTGCTTTTACTTTTTTTTTTGCTCATTGCCCAGCCTAGGGTGCAATGCTGCAATCTCAGCTCACTGCAACCTCCGCCTCCCAGGTTTAAGTGATTCTTCTGCCTCAGCCTCCCAAGTAGCTGGGATTACAGGCGCCCACCACCATGCCTGGCTAATTTTTTGTATTTTTGGTAGAGACAGGGTTTCACGACGTTGGCCAGGCTGGTCTCAAACTCCTGATCTCAAGTGATCCACCTGCCTCTGTGTCCCAAATTGCTGGGATTACAGGCATGAGCCACCGCACCGGCCATGCTTTCAGTTTTCAAGAAAGAAGACACCATTATTGCCAAAGATTTTGGTAATTTGAGAGATACAATGTATGTTTTCTCCATGTGGATACTAGATAGTAAGGATGTGTTGAATTTGAAGTGTCTATCCAGAAGTATTTTGGGTACTTGTTTAAGGATTGTAAAACAATGTTTCCATTTCTGGATATAATAAATGTATTTGTTAATATAATAAATGAATAGATTAGACCCATAAACTATTTGCAGTGTTGAGTCATTTCCCACAGTTAAAATCAGGATGAAAATATATAGCTGAATACCTGCTTTGTTTCTTGTAACTGATTTCTTTAGTACAGAACCTGCTAAGGCCATCAAACCTATTGATCGGAAGTCAGTCCATCAGATTTGCTCTGGGCCGGTGGTACTGAGTCTAAGCACTGCGGTGAAGAAGATAGTAGGAAACAGTCTGGATGCTGGTGCCACTAATATTGGTAAGTTTGGGAGAGTTTTAAGCCACAAGAAATGATCAGTGAATGTTGTTGTAGTCAAGAAACATTTGTTATTGAAATAAGACTATCAAGTGTTGATGTAGTAATAAACTATTATTTTTAAGTTAAAGTTAGCACCTATTATGTGCCTAGTACTTAGCTAGGTAGTAATAATAATAACGACAGCTTTTCTTGTGTTCTTATGGTGTGCCAGGCAGGTGTTATGCTAAGAATTGCACAGAAATATCTCATTTAATTTGCAGAATAGCTGGGCGTGGTGTCTGACGCCTGTAATCCTAGCCCTTTGAGAGGCTGAGGTGGGGGGATTGCTTGAAGCCAAGAGTTCAAGACCAACCTGGCCAACATGGGGAGACCTCGTCTCTATTAAAAAATAAAGCAGGCCGGGTGTGGTGGCTCACGCCTGTAATCCCAGCACTTTGGGAGGCCAAGGCGGGTGGATACCTGAGGTCAGGAATTCGAGACCAGCCTGTCCAAAATGGTGAAACTCTGTCTCTACTAAAAATACAAAAATTAGCCAGACCTGGTGGCAGAAGCCTGTAATCCCAGCTACTGGGGAGGCTCAGGAATGAGAATTGTTTAAATTTGGGAGGTGGAGGTTGCAGTGAACCGAGATTGTGCCACTGCACGCCAGCCTGGGGACAGAGCAAGACTCTGTCTCAAAAAAATAAAATAAAATAAAATAAAATAAATCCTGGAGTAGTGGCTCACATCTGTAATCCCAGCACTTTGGGAGGCTGAGGGGGGCTGATGCTTTGAGGTCAGGAGTTCAAGACCAGCCTAACCAACGTGGTAAAACCCTGTCTCTACTAAAAATACAAAAATTAGCCAGATGTGATGGTGCATGGCTGTAATCTCAGCTCCTCAGAAGGCTGAGGGAGGAGAATTGCTTAAACCTGGGAGGTGGAGGTTGCAGTGAGCCAAGATCGATTGTGCCACTGCATTCCAGCCTGGGTGACAAGAGCAAAAGTCCATCTCAAAAAATTAAAAAAAAAAAAAAAAAAAGGAAAGAAAAAAAAGAAAATGACAAAATTAAAAAAAAATTATTAATCTGCCAAATAACTTTATGAGATAGAACTTATTACCTCCATTTTACAGTTGAGGAAATTAAGGGACAGTAAATTTCCTTTTTTTGAGATTATAAAGCTAATAAAATAGAATCTAGGAAGTCTGATTCCAGAACCAGTTCTGTTTTTTTTTCTTTTTTTTTTTTTTGAGATAGAGTTTTGCTCTTGTTGCCGAGGCTGCGGTGCAATGGCACGATCTCAACTCACTGCAACCTCCACCTCCCAGGTTCAAGCGATTCTCCTGCCTCAGCCTCACAAGTAGCTGGGATTACAGGCATGCACCACCACGCCTGGCTAATTTTGTATTTTTAGTAGAGATAGAGTTTCTCTACGTTGGTCAGGCTGGTCTCGAACTACTGACCTCAGGTGATCCGCTCGCTTTGGTCTCCCAAAGTGCTGGGATTACAGGCATGAACCACTGCGCCCGGCCCCCGTTCTCCTTACTGGGTATGTTAAAATTATTTCTTTCAAAGGAAAAGGCTGGTCAAAGTGCAACGGTCTTTACAACTAATTGATCACAACCAGTTACAGATTTTTTTGTTCCTTCTCCACTCCAACTGCTTCACTTGACTAGTGTAAGGAAAAAAAAAAAAAAAAGAGGAAAGAAAGAAAATGCTAAACTATTTAATCTGGGCTAGTAAATGGCCAGAAAGAACTTTATAAAAATGAAATATACAAAATGACACTAGTATGTTTAACTAAAGGTATAGTTACGACACTTAAATTTGCACGTTATAAATAATATCAATATAAAAACTGATAGCGTGGGTCCATTTTTAATAAATATATAAATATTTTAAACTTTCTAGATCTAAAGCTTAAGGACTATGGAATGGATCTCATTGAAGTTTCAGGCAATGGATGTGGGGTAGAAGAAGAAAACTTCGAAGGCTTAAGTAAGTTAACTTTCTAATCCTATTACAAAATAATTGGGCCACATGTCTTAGAATTTTGAGTAACACTGTCTTGGGAAACACAAAAACAGTTTTTTAAAGCCAGTTACTAGATATCATGTATATTTGTTGTTATAGCACTTGAGATATCTTAGTCCTTACTTTACAGTCTCTTTCAGCTCTGAAACATCACACATCTAAGATTCGAGAGTTTGCCGACCTAACTCGGGTTGAAACTTTTGGCTTTCGGGGGAAAGCTCTGAGCTCACTTTGTGCACTGAGGTGAGAAAATATTTTTATCCATTCACTTGACCCCTTAGAAAAACCTCTCTGAAAATTAATTGGAATCATTATTATTTACAATTTTCTATCTCAATATCTCAGCTTCTAGCTTCTGAATTCTGTTTTGTCTCACTGCCAATCTAAGTCCTAGTACTTCTGAAATGTGAGCAATAAATGAATGAAATGAAGCAAATAGTATTGTTTAAAAAATTGGTTACCCTTATTAAAACAGTAACTTCTCAATTTGAACATAACATATAGATAATAAATGATAGTTACCATTGGTTTTCATTATCAATTTTTAGGGAAACATTTCACCAAAGCACTATTTAATTACAGCACAGATACTAAATTTTTATAAATAATTACATGCACACACACATATATATACATATATATACATATATATACATATATATACATGTATATACATATATATACATATATACATATATATACATATATACATATATACATATATATATATATACATATATATATACATATATATACATATATACATATATACATATATATATACATATATACATATATACATATATATACACATATATACATATATACATATATATACATATATATACATATATATACATATATATATACATATATATATACATATATATATACATATATATATACGTATATATATATACATATATATACATATATATATATATATATTTTTTTTTTTTTTTAGACAGAGTCGCACTCTGTCACCCAGGCTGGAGTGCAGTGGCACAGTCTCAGCTCACTGCAGTCTCTGCCTCCCAGGTTCAAGTGACTTTCGTGACTCAGCCTCCTGAAGAGCTGGGACTATAGCGTGCACCACCACTCCTGGCTAATTTTTGTATTTTTAGTAGAGATGGGGTTTTGCCATGTTGCCCAGGCTGGTCTGGAACTCCAGGCCTCAAGTGATCTGCCCTCCTTGGCCTCCCAAAGTGCTGGAATTACAGGCACGAGCCACCGCACCCTGCCCTACATATACATTTTAATTATAATATCTTTTGGATTCTTTAAAAAAAATTTTAAAAATTTTAAAAAATTCTTTAAAAAAATTCTTTTAAAAAATTTTGTTTGAAGAGTAATAACAAAACAAATCTCTATTTGAGAATCAATAAATCTTGAGATCATTTATGGTTTTGCAATTCAACCTGAAAAATGAAGTCAAAGCTTTTATCAAAACAAAGCATGTTTAGTGCTCTCTGTCTCACTGTCTTTTAGATGCCAGACCTTAGATTTTGTGATGACTCCTCAACCGTTTAGATCTCGGTTATCTCAGAGGGATCATCAGCTTTTTAAGAAAATTTTGAGAGAAAAGCAAGTGAAGAAAAGAGTAGTCAGTGCCCAACATCATGGATCTCTCACTGAACACACCATGCCTGGTATTCTCTCACAGTGATGTCACCATTTCTACCTGCCACGTATCGGCGAAGGTTGGGACTCGACTGGTGTTTGATCACGATGGGAAAATCATCCAGAAAACCCCCTACCCCCACCCCAGAGGGACCACAGTCAGCGTGAAGCAGTTATTTTCTACGCTACCTGTGCGCCATAAGGAATTTCAAAGGAATATTAAGAAGGTACAGTAAATTAATCCTGGTTTTCAAGAGTATTGGTTAATGCACGTGAGCAAAAGATTTACTAAAGATGTTTATTCTTCAGTTGATTCTCTTCCCATAATTTATTGAGAAATGCTTTATTTGCATTTCTCATTAAAGACTTAACTTCAGGATGATTTACTTTTTTCTTTTTATCACATAATGTTTATTAGGACTGGGAAACATAGTGAGACTCTGTCTCTATGAAAAATTAAAAAAAAAATTGACTGGGCATGGTGGCATGCACCTGTAGTTCCAGCTACTTGGGAGGCTGAAGTGGGAGGATCACCTGAGCCCAGGAACTTGAGACTGCAGTGAGCTATGATTGCGTCACTACACTTCAGACTGTGAGACAGAGTAAGACCCTGTCTGGAAAAATATATATACATATATATACATTTTTTTTATTTTTTATTTTTATCTTTTTTTGAGATGGAGTCTCACTTTGGCGCCCTGGCTGCAGTGCAGTGGCGCGATCTCAGTTCACTGCAACCTCCACCTGCCAAGTTCAAGCGATTCTCCTGCTTCAGCCTTCTGAGTAGCTACCATTACAGGCGCGCGCCACCACGCCCGGCTAATTTTTGTATTTTCAGTGGAGACGGGGTTCCACCATGTTGTCCAGGCTGGCCAGGCTGGTCTTGAATTCCTGCCCTCAGGTGATCCGCCCACCTCGGCCTCTCAAAGTGCTGGGATTACAGGCGTGAGCCACCATGCCTGACCTTATGTACTTATATTTTTATGAGAATATTTCTCTTGGTTTTCTGATAAATGAGTTACTGGAACCCTTATGAATTTGAATGCAAATGAAACAGCTAAATGTTATATAATTGTTGTGTTTAAAAAGCAGATTATAAAACTGTCTGTATTATATGATTACAGTTTTATAAAAACAAAACAGGCCTAAATGTGTATAGTATAAAGACTGAAGAGTCAGCACTTCCATGTTCTCAGCGGTTATCCTTGGATGTGAGATCTCATGCACTTTTTGCTCTCTTCTTTGTGCCTTTCCATTTTGCATGCGTATTTCTTATAATCTAAAAAGTTACTTAAACATATGCAGCTAAAAACTTTTTTTACTTGTAAAGCGTTTGGTGCTAATTTTAACTTTTTTTTTTAGACGGAGTCTTCTCACTCTGTCGCCCAGGCTGGAGTGCAGTGGTGTGATCTTGGCTCACTGCAACCTCCGCCTCCTGGGTTCAAGTGATTCTCCTACCTCAGCCTCCCAAGTAGCTGGGATTATAGGTGTGTGTCACCACACCCAGCTAATTTTTGTATTTTTAGTAGAGATGGGGTTTCACCATGTTGGCCAGGCTGGTCTTGCACCCCTGACCTCAAGTGATCTGCCCACCTCAGCCTCCCAAAGTGCTGGGATTACAGGCGTGAGCCACCACGCCTGGCTTTTTTTTTTAAAGCTTTTTTGTAAGTCAGCCAGCAAGAACACAGGAGGAAGTACTCAAATCTCCCTTACACAGCTGGGGGCTGTGTCAGGTTTTATAAGCATAGGGTAATGAGGTGTGATTTGATTGGATCTTGCAATAAAGTAATGCTGGGAGGTGTGATCTGACTGGATCCTGCCATGGGGTGACACCAAAACTCAATCTGATTGGATCCTGGCTCCTGCCTGGGGGTGTCTGGTTCTTAAATCGGTCCGAGCTCTTCAGGCTGAGCTCTTAGGTTCCACTCCACGGTGGCACGCGTGGTTAACCTGGGCATGCACAGGGTACATGACCTTCAACCTGCAGGTCGATGGCAATTGGAAAACAACTGACAACTTCATTACATAAAAGTTGAACTGATTCGGGTGCGGTGACTCACGCCTGTAATCCCAGCACTTTGGGAGGCCAAGGCAGGTGGATCACCTGAGGTCGAGGAGTTCAAGACCAGCCTGGCCAAAATGGTGAAACCCCGTCTCTACTAAAAATATAAATATTAGCCAGGCGTGGTGGCGCACCCTTGTAATCCCAGCTACCCCAGAGGCTGAGGCAGCAGAATGCTTGAACCTAGGACGTGGAGGTTGCAGTGAGCTGAGATCGTGCCATTGCACTCCAGCCTGGGTGACAAGAGTGAAACTCCATCAAAAAAAAAAAAAGTTGAACTAGATTTGGTCTGATGCAGTTACAGATTTACAAACCGCGTCCCACCCTCCTGCCAACACCTTCCACTCCTCATTCTTGAGGGATTAGGGATGGAGGTCATGCTTCTGTATCGACTTCATGCTGACCAGGGGCACTTAGTCCCCTAAAGTGAGAGGAATGAAACTCTTGGGCTTCTGAGTTCAGATGAGTTCTGGGGTCACCCGGAGTAGCTTGAAAGGCTGGTATTGTTGTAATACAAGCTGAAGGTGGAAGTGTTGGATCCTGGAGGACAAACAGCTCACCATCCATTTAAATAAATAGGACCAAAAAGTAACAGAACAGTGGCCACGAGGGGCCCCAACAGAGGAAGAAACCAGGTGAGGTGTGGTATAGTGGACTCGACTGCCTTCTAAATCTCAGTGGTTGTCCGGGTGCGGTGGCTCACGCCTGTAATTCCAGCAAAAGAAGAGCCGAGGCAGGGTGATCACGAGGTCAGGAGTTCAAGACCAGCCGGGCAAACATGGTGAAACCCCGTCTCTACTGAAAATACAAAAATTAGCCAGGTGTGGTGGCGTGTGCTGTAGTCCCAGCTACTAGGGAGGCTGAGGCAGGAGAATTGCTTGAACCTGGGAGGCGGAGGTTGCAGTGAGCCGAGATTGTGCCACTGCACTCCAGCCTAGGTAACAGAGCAGGACCCCATCTCAGTCAATCAATCAATCTCAGTGGTTGAACTACCCTTGATATGGTTCAGCTCTGTATCCCCAACCAAATCTCATGTCCAATTGCAATTCCCAGTGTTGAGGGAGGGACCTGGTGGGAGATGATTGGCTCATGGCGGCTGACGTCCCCCTTGCTGGTCTCGTGATAGTGAGTGAGCGCTCATGGGATCTGGTTGTTTAGAAGCATGCAGCACCTCCTGCTTCACTCTCTCTGTCTCTCCTGCTCCACCATGGCCAGAAACGTGCCTGCTTCCCCTTCGCCTTCTGCCGTGATTGTCAGTTTCTTGAGGGCTCCCCAGCCATGCTTCCTGTACAGCCTGCAAAACTGTGAGTCAATTAAACCTCTTTTCTTCATAAATTCCCCAGTTTCCAGTAGTTCTTTATAGCAGTGTGAAAACAGACTAATGGACCCTTCTGGTTGAAGGAATGTAGCCATTCTGCTTGTTTAAGTATTTCCTTTCTATTCATCTCTATTTCCCGGGAGGTGTTTATCCAAGTGCAATAGGAGATATTGGTGACTGCAGAGTCCCCTCAGTGTTCTGCTAGTAAATAGTTGAAGGTTGATCAGTGATCTCCAGCATTTTCAGTCTGGCATGGAAAAGCCCCCATGTAACTGGTAAAGGTATCAGTAAGCACCAGGAGGTATCTAAATCCACCAGGAGCCATAGGCATCATGTTGATGTCCATTTACCAGTCTTCCCTGGCAAGATTCTCTGAATTGTACTGCCTTGGCCAAAAGAGGTATGGGAGGGGCTGGGCACAGTGGCTCACGCCTGTAATCCCAGCATTTTGGGAGACCAATTCGGGTAGATCATTAGAGGTCAGGGGTTCAAGACCATCCTGGCCAACATGGTGACATTCCATCTCTACTAAAAATACAAAAAGTCAGCGGGGTTTGGTGTTGGGTGCCTGTAATCCCAGCTACTCGGGAGGCTGAGGCAGGATAATCACTTGAACCTGGGAGGAGGAGGAGGTGGCAGTGAGCTGAGATCTCGCCATTGCACTCCAGCCTGGGCAACAAGAGCGAAACTTCATCTCAAAAAATAAAAAAAGAAGTCTGGGTGTGGTGGCTCGTGCCTGTAATCCCAGGACTTTGGGAGGCCAAGATGGGTGGATCATGAGGTCAGGAGTTCAAGACCAGCCTGGCCTAGATGGTGAAACCCTGTCTCGAGTGAAAATACAAATATTAGCTGGGCATGGTGGCACACACCTGTAATCTCAGCTACTCAGAAGTCTGAGACAGAAGAATTGCCAAAACCCGGGAGGGAGAGGTTGCAGTGAGCCGAGATCGCGCCACTGCACTCTAGCCTGGGCGACAGAGCAAGACTCCGTCTCGAAAGAAAGAAAGAGAAAGGAAATTCCCCAGGGAAGTACCTCGGCTTATTTCATGAAGAGGTACTGAAGGAAGCAGAGGCATGTGGAGGACTTCCCCACCTCGTGCAGCTATTTGGGCCGTGGCGTCTGAAATTTCTTATTTCAGAGTCACCCCTTTGATGACCTTGGCAGTGGACTGCAGTCATCTGTTTAGGCCTCTCCATGGCCCGTGTCAATGCCGATATTTCTGTCTGTTGCACATTTGATTTCCTTGTTGTTGGCATTTAGAAGGCCCCCTGTTTCCCAGATCACACCACGGGCATGGACCGCAGAGATTGCATCTTGTGAGTCTGTAGAAACAGTCAAGGCCTTGTCCTCTCTTAGGTCCAGAGCTCAGGTGAATGCAGATTTTCCCGGCCATCTGTGCTGAAGTCCCTGTGGGGAGGCTCCTGGCTGGTTTCCTGTAGGTAGACAGCTACACATCCTGCCCTTCATTGGCTTCTTTTCATGAAGCTCCTGCTGTCTACAAAACATGTCTCCCTTTTCTTCTTGAACCACATCTCTGTTATTGAAACTCTAGAAGTCAGCCAGGCACAGTGGCTATGCCTGTAATCCCAGCACTTTGGGAGGCCAAGGTGGGTGGATCACCTGAGGTCAGGAGTTCAAGACCAGCCTGGCCAACATGGCGAAACCCTGTCTCTAATACAAATACTAAAATTAGCCAAGCATGGTGGCCACTGCACTCCAGCCTGGGTGACAGAGCAAGACTCTGTCTCAAATAAAGAAAGAGAAAGTATCATGCTTTTCAGAGTTCTGTGGGTTGTTATGGTGAATTATCAAACCTGAGGACGTGGTGGGAACCTCCAAATTTGCAGCCAGTTGGTGAGAAGTACATGCGGTCTGTGGACACCCAAGCTTGCAGCTGCATCTGAAGCGAGGGCAGCCTAGCGGGGGCTGGTGGCCTTAACCTGTGGCATTTGATGTAACATCAGGGAGTTGACATCAGAATTACGTCACACAGGCCAGGTGCAGTGGCTCATGCTTATAATCCCAGCAATTAGAAAGGCAAGATAAGAAGATTGCTTGAGCTTGAGTCTGAGCCCACAGTGAGCTATGACCGCACCACTGCACCCCAGTCTGGGTGACAGCACAAGACCCCGACTCCAAAAATAAAAAAGAAAAATCACAAAGAATTGCATGGCAGAGTGCCTGTCTTTCACAGCTTGAACTGTTGCAGGAACTTTCTTTTTTTTTTTTTCTTTTGTGATGGAGTCTCGCGCTTTCACCCAGGCTGGAGTGCAGTGGCGCGATCTCTGCTCACTGCAGGCTCCGCCTCCTGGGTTCACACCATTCTCCTGCCTCAGCCTCCGGAGTAGCTGGGACTACAGGCGCCTGCCACCGCGCCCAGCTAATTTTTTGTATTTTTAGCAGAGATGGGGTTTCACCGTATTAGCCAGGATGGTCTTGATCTCCTGACCTCATGATCCACCCACCTCAGCCTCCCAAAGTGCTGGGATTACAGTCCTGAGCCACCGCGCCTGGACTTTTTTTTTTTTTTTTGAGAGGGGTTGGGGAGACATATTCTCTGCTAGTGATTCTCCTGCCTGGTCTCGAACTCCTGCTGGGATCACAGGCGTGAGCCACCACGCCCAGCCACCTTTAGAGTTTTCTTACCACCTGGTTTTCCTCTCTCAATATCTTTCTCTCATTTCCTGCTTTAAAACTCTAGCTTGGGGTCTGGGCACAGTAGCTCATGCCTATAATCCCAGCACTTTGGGAGACTGAGGCGGGTGGATCACTTGAGGTCAGGAGTTTGAGACCAGCCTGGCCAACATGGTGAAACCTTGTCTCTACTATTTTTACAAAAGTTAGTCAGACGTACAGGCGGATGCCTGTAGTCCCAGCTACTTGGGAGGCTGAGGCAGGAGAATTTGCTTGAACGCGGAGGTGAAAGTTGCAGGGAGCCGAGGTTGTGCCACTGCACTCCAGCCTGGGAGACAGAGCGAGACTGTCTCCAAAACAAACAAACAAACAAACAAACAAAAAAACCCTGTAGCTTGGGATCAGCCTTCTCTTCTGTTGTTTTTCTTTAAAAAATAAAAATTAAAAATAGGCTTCAAGTGATCCTCCCGCCATGACCTCCAAAACTGCTGGGATTGTAGGTGTGAGCACTGCACCCAGCCGTATGTTTTTTTCTACATAAAAAACAGCACAGGATTATCTTCCAAAGCTAATAAATATGTTCAAATAACCACAACCCCATTAAGGAAAAATGTCACTTGACAGCAAATAATCAATCCAGACCACAATATGATCACACTCACTGTGAAGGTGAGAAAAGTTCATCTTTATTATGTTTCCCCAAGAGATGCACTGCACTGTTCTCTTGAAAACACACAGCTCATGTCCTCCTTTAGAACACACATCCTCTTTAAAGTAACATACAAACATGCCAAAACAAGATAAAAAATTCCATCTGAATTCTCACATTTCAAACATACACTAAATATCAAATAAAAATTTATTTTTACAAGAATTTAGGGGAACTACCACATAGCTATAAATGTAATATATATGTTAACTAAGTATCATAGATAAAAACCATGCTCCCTTCAGCAGCACGTGTAATAATAGATACAAAGATTGAAAGGTAAAAGATTTAGGATGAAAAGAATCCTCTCTTAAAAAGGAAAACAAAATTATATGTATGTGTATACAACAGTTATAATACCCATCACACAGCTTTATAGAAACAGCATCTATTCAAAAATACCAGTATTTCCAAAATATTTAAAATAATATTTAAAGTAATAATAATATTTAAATAAATAAATATATTTAATAAATATTTCAGTAAATAAAATAATATTTAAATAATTCTATACCCATGTTTTTCAAAATAAACCAATAAAATAGATAGTATATATTAGACGTGTTAGTATATATATCTGAGACATGTTAAAAATCACAACTGAATTCTCACAAGTCAGTCACAAACCTAAACAGCAAATAAAAATTTCTATCACCAGAATTATGTTTTTTTCTGGTGGGGAACTACCAATAGCTATAAATAGAAGAGATTATTATGGAAGTATCATAGATAAAAAGAGTGCTCGCTTCAGGAGCACATATAATAATACAGAAAAAAAATTAAAGATAATAAAAGATTTAGGATAAAAAGAATTCTCACTTAAAAATGAAAAGAAAATTATCTTTAGGTATATATAACAACTATAACTCTCATCAAAAAACTCTACAGGAACAGCATGTTTTCAAAAGTACAACAATTTCCAAACTATTTGAAATAAACCTATTAATAATTCAATGGCCAACATTTTCCAAACAAACCAATAAAATGCATAGTGTGCATGAAGCTATCTGTTACAGTCTGTGGCACTCATATTTCACAAAGAATTCTGTGCCAATCTGAGCCCCTGCACTGTGCCTTCAAATGCTCCTGGACTGTGACAACCAAGTCCATAAGAAACAGGACCTCCAGGTTCCGCCCCAGGGAGGTTGGCATTCAGCAATATAAAAAGGGAGGTGGTGCCGCAGGAAAGGGTGGAACTGGAAACACTCCTGGTTTCTTACTTTTCTCCAAGGACTCCTAGAAGTACCCCACCCCACCCCTGCTCCTTGGAGGACAACGTGATCACTGTATTCAGCTCTGTCAAGAATGGTCCAGGTTCTTCTAGATGATCTGCACAAATGGTTCCTCTCCTCCTTCCTGATGTCTGCCATTAGCATTGGAATAAAGTTCCTGCTGAAAATCCACATCTCCCCTGGGTCCGGTGTTCTGGAAGTGAGAGAGACAATGTCACACTTCAAGGAGGCAGCTCTCTAGACAGGAAGGTTATTCACGTCCCATGTCAAGTCTAGCTAGAGTTCAGAGCAATTGAGAAGTGCAATTTTATCTCCTGCCTTTCATTCTATACCCTGCTTCTGAACCATCGTGTTCAACTGTGAAACTCACACTTTGGTGACCCTGACTCCAAAACTTAATACACCCAAGGTCAGCCCCAGTGATCTGCTTCATAGCCAGGACTTTGGGTGGGTCTTCCCAGGGAGTAGGGCACCCTCAGAGAATGTGGCTTTGGACTTCATCACAGCTGGGGCCTTTTGTGTCACTTCAGATCTAAACTTGTAACCGTGCTAGATCTGTTTCTAACGTGACAACATCACGAACCACGAGTCCAGAAGCCTAATCCATAATCCTCCCTCCTCATGACGAAGTCTCATGCTCTGTGCTCAACATGGTTAGCTGCACAAGATGTAAACCAAAGCTTCACTGAACCCTCGACCCAAATCGGTAACTCAAGTGCATCAATCATAATGAACCTCCCCGAACTCAGTATTTATGATTATTTTTGAGGCAGGGTCTCACTCTGTCGCCCGGGCTGGAGTGCAGTGGCAGGATCAGGGCTCCCTGCAGCCCCGACCTCCCAGGCTCCAGCGATCCTCCCGCCTCAGCCTCCTGAGTAGTTGGGAGTAGAGATGCCTCCCACATCGCCTGGCTAATTTTTGTATTTTTGTGGAGAGGGGATCTCGCCACGTTGCCCAGGCTTGAAGCCAGATCAAGCAATTGGGTTCCTTGGATTTCCGAAATAGACCCCAATATTCTGCCTTTACCCCGGAGGATGCAGATGTACCTTCTCTCAGGCCGATGACCTCAGGCCTCCACGGTCCCTGGAGCTCTAGGAAAGGTGGGCGCGATCTCGCGCCCACACCCAGTGCTCTGGGTCATAAGCCTGGATCTGGAAAAACAAACGCGCTTTGAGAAGACGGGGACTCCCCAGGATACCCCTCTCTCCCCTCGTCCAGCCTCCAGCCCACCCGATTCCTCCCCACATCCTCCACGTCCCCAGGCCCCACCCACCTCTTCCAACTCCTCCAGGGAAACCCAAGCCCTGCAGCGCATGGAACAAAAGAAGTGGAACCGATACTTCCGGAACAAGGCTATCTGAGAGCAGTTCTTCCTGGCCCTCGGGTTCATGTAACGGCATAACTGGAACCAAAGCTCACTGAGCAAGGGTATATGAGAGCGGGTCTCCTCGTACAGGAAGTAGAAGATGTTTTGTTTGGGGGCCTCGTCGTCCTCCTCCATGTCATTGGCCAGATAGCTGAGGACAGAAATCAGGTTGCTGCTCAGGGGCACCACCAGGAGAGACCTCCGGCTGAGGTCAGCTTCTCAGAGAGGAAGGTAAGGGACCGTCCCTAGCTCAGGACTGGCACCCACCCTGCAGAGAGCCACGCCTTCCTCAGGAGGGCTCTGCTGGACAGAGACCTGATCAAGGGCGTCTCCCACTCCTTCAGGATGGAGACAAAAACCCAACTGGTGACCAAGAGTGGTGGCTTATGCCTGGAATCCCAGCACACTGGGAGGCCGAAGCAGGAGGATCACTTGAGGCCAGGAGTTTGAGACAGGCCTGGGCAACATAGCAAGACCCTCGTCTCTATTAAAAATATAAAAAATACGCCAGACGTGGTGGCTCATGCCTGTAATCCCAGCGCTTTGGAAGGCTGAAGCAGGTGGATTGCTTGAGACCAGGAGTTTGAGACCAGCCTGGTCAACACAGAGAAACCCCATCTATACTAAAAATACAAAAATCAGCCTGGTGCGGTGGCACACCCATTAGTCCTAGCTACTCAGGAGGCTGAAGCATAAGAATTGTGTGAACCCAGGAGGCGGAGGTTGCAGTGAGCCAAGATTGGGCCCCTCCATTCCAGCCTGAGAGACACAGCAACACTCTTGTCTTGATAAATAAATAAATAAATAAATAACTGTCCAGGTGTGGTGGTACAGCCCTGTAGTCGGAGCTAATCAAGAGGCTGAGGTGGGAGGATCGCTTGAGCCCAGGATATGGAGGCTGCGGTGAGCTATGATCTCACCACTGCACTCCAGCTTAGGGGACAGGGCAAGTCTGTCTCAAAAAAAAAAAAAAAGCAATTGAATACACTGATATTTTGCCAGGACCCTGCCTTCTACAGGCATCTAGTCTAATGGGACTGGGAGTAATCAGGGGAGATGACCTAATCCCAATGTCACATTATAATAGGATGTAACTGGAGAGCTACGGGCATGCAGAAGTTGGAAGACGAGGGAAGGCATCACAGAGGCTGTGGGGTGAACCGACTTCAAGGAATGGGTCCTTCCCTTCAGAACCACATGTGTGCGGGACACCCAGACAGAAAACACAAATGCAAAGTCAAGTGGAGGGCATTTGGAAGGAGCAGTGAAGCCAAGCCAGGAAACACCAAGATGGCGAGCCAGTGTGGTTGTAGAGATTGTAGAGAGGGTGGAATTGGCACTGTGGACCCTGGCCTCGATAGAGAAAGACATCAGCTAAGGAAGTTGTTCAGGTGGGCAGTGAGGTTGTCGTGCTTTGGAAAGATGTTCAGGCTGCACTAGGAAGCCCCCTGGCTTGGGGAGAGACTCCAGGAAACCCCAGCAGGGAGCATTTGACAGTGGATTCGAGTGATGCAAGGGGGACCTGGACTGTGACCTCTGTCACGGGAACCCGGAGGAGGCTGATGGCTTTTGCGGTTGATGTGGGAAGGAGAGAGAACAACCGGAAACGTCTGCTTGCTGGGGGAAGTGTCATGTCCGCTCCTCCGCTCCTTTTCTTCTCCCCTTAGGAGCGGTTCATGGTTCCTTTTGTTTTTTGTTCTTTTTTTTTTTTTTTTTTGAGACTATAATCCTGTCTTTTTTGTACACAGAGTAAAGAGGACAAATAGGTGAAAGAATAAATGAAAGGCTGGAATCCCACTTCCCCCGCTGTCCCAGGGCATTGGATATTGACGGATAGGAGGCAGCAAACCACTCACAGAGCCAGGAAGAAATGAATGCGTTGGTATTGCCAGGAGGGGAGGCCGGCCCGGCTGAAATACGCTATGACCATAGCCAGGAGATACTGATGGAGAGAAAGGAACACAGAGAGGGAGAGGTCACATCTTGGGAGAGGAAGATTGTGGATATAGTGGAATGGGGGTCTGGGGAGGGGTTGCCCATCAGAGAAGGGACCTCAGTGTTGGGGTGACTGTGCTCATGTGGAAATTGCGGGGTGGAGGGGTATTCGAAGGTCGGATGCAAATCCGAGAAGCCGGAGGAAGGGTTTTTGGTGATGCTCCCAGGATGGTGGGCTCCGATGGGATCTTTGGAGGGGGTGTGTCTAGGTCGGCTGGTGTCAGGAGGGTCTTTTGTGTGCCAGGCAGAGAACTGTCCCAAGGAGCTGAGAGTAGAGGGCCCAGGAGCTTCAGGGCTGCAGCCAGACTGTGGCCCAGGGCTCAGATCCCAAAGGACCCATAGGAGAGGCAGGGGCCACTCATTCACTCTGCAAGAGACCAGCAGAATCCTGACGGAGATGCTGACAAATCATAAAAAGACAAAGAATAGCCGGGAGTGGCAGCTCAAGCCTGTGATCCCAGTACTTTTTGAGAGGTGGAGACAGGAGGATCATGTGAGCCCAACAGTTGGAGAACAACCTGGGCAACACAGCGAGACCCTGTTTCTAAGAAGATTTCAAAAATTAGTTGAGCATGGTAGCATGTGCCTAGTCCCAGCTCCTCAGGAGGCTAAGGAAAGAGGATTGCTTGAGCCCAGGAATTAGAGTGAGCTATGATCATGCCACTGTACTCCATCCTGGGGAGCAGAGCTGGACTCTGTCTCAGAAAAAAAAATGTGTGGGTGCCAAGACTCAAGACCATGGGAGCTGGTCAGACACAGTGCTGACGTCTGTAATCTCAGCACTTTGGGAGGCCAAGGCGGGTGGATCACCTGAGGTCAGGTGTTCGGGACCAATCTGGCCAACATGGCAAAACCCCGTCTCTACTAAAAACACAAAAATTAGCCAGGCGTGGTGGTTCATGTTTGTAATCCCAGCTGCTTGGAGGCTGAGGTGGGAGAATCGCTTGAACCCAGGAGGCATCAGCTGCAGTGAGTCAAGATCGAGACACTGCCCTCCAGCCTGGGCAGCAGAGCAAGACTGTGTCTCACAAAAAAAAACAAAAACAAAAACAAAAAAAAACTGTAGGAGCATCTGGTGGGAGGTGGTGGACGGAGAACTGTGGGTTTGGAAGCTGCGCCCTCCCCCTGGCCGTGCGTTAGAACAGGAACACAGTTACATAGAGAACAACCTTACCTTGTCCGACACCCTCAGATCTTTGTCCCAGGCCAGGAGTCTTTTAATGACAGGATCCTCTGTGATTAGAGAGCAGATGTCAGTGTGAGAAGCAGGACAGGGTTTCCGTGAGAGCAGCAGGGCAGCGAGGAGAAGTGTGCCTCCCGGGGGAAAGTCTCAGGATTGTGGCCGCGGGTGAGGTGGATGAGAGAGGGGAGAATGACTTTCACTGGGCAAGGGAGAGAGGCTCCTGCTCTGAGACTCCCCTGAGAAGAGGCCGAAGGAGGCCCTGGGTGTGAGAATCTACAGGATGTAGAGCTGGGAATCAGCCAGGACCCCCTCCAGCAGACACGGAGGGACCACTGCAGAGTCATAAAGGAATTCCCATCATTTCCTCATGAGACAGTCACACATCAGGGTGTGACCATGGCCTTGGGATCCCCCACTATGGATGGAGACACTTAGGTTTAGCAAAGTCAGTAAGAAACATTAAGTTTCAGAGGGCACAGCTGAAACCACTTTTTTGATTTTTGATTTTGTTTTTCTTTATTTGATTTTTATTTTTATTTATTTATTAATTTATTTTGAGACAGAGTCTTGCTCTGTGGGCCAGGCTGGAATGCATTGGCCTGATCTTGGCTCACTGCAACCTCTGCCTCCTGGGTTTAAGCAGTTCTCCTGTCTCAGCCTCCCGAGTAGCTGGAACTACAGGGATGAGCTACTGTGCCCAGCCTTGGTTTTTCTTTTGACGCAGAGTTTTGCTCTGTCACCCAGGCTGGAGTGCAGTGGTGCAGTCATAGCTCACTGCAGCCTCAAAGTCCTGAGTTCAAGCAATCCTCTTGCCTCAGCCTCCCAACGTGCTGGGATCTCAGGCGGGAGCCACAGCGCCTGGCCCAAAACCAAGCTTTCTTATCCCAAGCACCGACCTTTATCAAGTCTACCTAATCCTCTGTTGTCTCCTTAAGTGTCCCTCATGAGTGATCACTTCAGAGTCCTCCCGCATGGAGAGCTCACCCACTGGGGCATATTTTTCCCATTGGAAAAGTGTGGTTATTGGAAGTTTCCTCTTTAGAAAGAACAGGATTGGAGGTGCTCTCTGGGGTGTCCTCCTACCAAGCAGCCTGTTGAAGGCCTCGTAGTACTCAGGGAGCACGAGCGACACTCGCCGTCGCTTCGCCTTCATCTTGAGGCCACACAGCGTCTCCGCCACCCAGGTCTCCTCAGGCTCAGGGGCGAGCTCCTTCTCTGGCTCATCATCAGATTCATCCAAACATTCCCTCTTCCTTTTCCAGCCAAGGGACCTACGTGGGGGGCTGGGATCTACCCCAGGGGCTGAGTAAAGAAACCAGGCCACCGTGTAATGCTTCTGCAACTGATCACGTTAGACCCCGACCCCAAACCCCAAACCACTCTCCATCCTCCCCAGCCTCGCAGACTGCTGGCTTCTCCAAGCCACCTTTCTGACTTTCTCCTCTGCTCAACCCCATGTGCCACTCCTTCCCCTCCCCATTCTTCCCTCTCTCTGTCCTCAGAACACTGCCTCATATCCTTCCCTGGTCCCTGGCTCTCTGAGTCCCTCTTTTTTTTTTTTTTTTTTTTGTTTCGAGACAGAATCTTGCTTTGTCACCCAGGCTGGAGTGTAGTGGTGCAATCTCAGCTCACTGCAACATGCATCTCCCGGATTCCAGTTATTCTCCTGCCTCAGCCTCTCAGGTAGCTG
Organism: Homo sapiens; assembly: GCF_000001405.40. Taxonomy (NCBI): domain Eukaryota; kingdom Metazoa; phylum Chordata; class Mammalia; order Primates; family Hominidae; genus Homo; species Homo sapiens. The sequence goes on from NC_000007.14 coordinate 73,083,495, forward strand.
GGATTACAGGTGCCTGCCATAATGCCCAGCTCCATTTTGTACTTTTAATAGAGACAGGGTTTCACCATGTTGGCCAGGCTGGTCTCAAACTCCTGGCCTCAAGTGATCCGCCTGCCTTGGCTTCCCAAAGTGCTGGGATTACAAGTGTGAGCCACTGCACCCAGCCTGAATTTCTCCATTCTTCCCACACACCCTCCCCAGGTTCTCCTTCCTGACCTCTGACCCTTCTTTTTTTTCTTCTTTTTTTTTTTTTTTTTTTTTTTTTTTTTTTTTTTGAGATAGCATCTCACTCTGTCACCCAGACTGGAGTGCAGTAGCACGATCTCGGCTCACTGCAACCTCTTCCTCCCAGGCTCAAGTGATTCTCCTGTCTTAGCCTCCCAAGTAGCTGGGATTATAGGCACACACCACTACCGCCTGGCTAATTTTTGTACTTTTAGTAGAGATGGGGTTTCACCATGTTGGCCAGGCTGGTCTTGAACTCCTGACCTCAGGTGATCTGCCCGCCTCAGCCTCCCAAAGTGTTGGGGTTACAGGGGTGAGCCACCACGCCTGGCCCCCTTCCTTCATCTTAGTCAATCCTATGCCACCTCTTCTTCCTCCAGTCCCCTCACCTGATGGTCCCGACACTTCATCATCCACCACCTCCTGGAGGGGGTACCCTGAGGTGCTCCGCTGGGGGCTCCGCTCTTCCTGGGGCTGCGGTTGATGGCTCATCATGATCTTTCCCAAAATCTGTCCCATCTCACCAAACCTAGTCTCTGTTCTGTCCTTGGTCTTCTTCTGGACACTGCTGGGATCCAGAAGAGTGTGTTATCAATTCTCGAGGCTGGGAGAAGTCAGGAGTGGAGAACAGCTCTGAGAAGTTACTGTTGTCCAACTGAACTCCCAGGTGCCGACAGAGTCCGGTCCCTCCAATCAGGAAGGTCGGAATCTCTGATGTCATCGCTCATGCCAACCTGGCAACCAGTTTGAAAAAAAACACATGTAACTGCCAGGCTGATCTCTTGTCCTGGAGATCCTGGGTGAATGGTATCTCCTGCCACTGTCCCAACCTCAGACCACTGTCCAAAAGCATCTTCAGGGTCTCCGCATCCCTCTGTTCCCTGTCCCAGCAGAGGCTGTGTCCTCTCCACTCAAAGCTTGAAGCGTGTTGGGGTCTCCTCTTCTCTGTACATGCCCGTTTCAGAGTCCAGTCTGGTGGGAGAGGGATCAGGATGGGAAAGAAAAGTAGGGTAAGCAGAAACGATGAAACCTTACAAGAGTGAGATTATCATGTACAAGAGATCCCAGGAACATTGACTTGATGAAAAAGTCACATCAGAGCACTCAATTTGGCAGAGGTTTTCTGCCGAGTGTCTACTGACATTCACTGTCCGAGATTCTGTACTGGGGGTACACGCGTCCTCTGCCCTAAGGCATCTTTGAGTCCAAGAGATATTTTGAGGACTGGAAATCATAGGAAACTGCCCATGAGTTCACACATATTTCCAATGGTGTCCCCAATTTCAGGGAGTCCACGGATCACCTAAAGCCAGCCCCTCCAGTTTGGCTAAGAAACTCTATATATCAAGTTTTGTATCATATGTATTGCTCTTAACTCAGAAAATTCCACCATTTATAGCAGTGGTTTATTTATTTATACCATTGAAGGAAATGGTTTATTTATGAATCTATATTATGGATATTCTATAAGATACTGGGTGTACAAAAAGACTAAGTCGAAAAATCTCAGCTGTGCACAGTGGCTCATGCTTGTAATCCCATCTCTTTGGGTGGCCAAGGGAGGAAGACTGCCTGAGGCCAGCAGTTCAAGACCAGTATAGGCAACATAGCAAGAGCCCATCTCTAAAACAAAACAAAACAAAACAAAACAAAATTAGCCAGGTGTCGTGGCTGGCACCTGTGTTCCAACAACTTGAGAGACTGAGGTGGCAGGAGGATTGCTTGAGCCTAGGAGTTAGGGGCTGCAGTGAGCTGTGATCGTGACACCGCACTCCAGTCTGGGCAACACAGCAAGACCTTGTGTCAAAAAAATTTTTTTAATTAAATATAAAAGAGTTTCATGACATTCAGAGACCATCCAAAGAACCTGTGGGTTCCGGCCAGGCACAGTGGCTCACGCCTGTAATCCCAGCGCTTTGGGAGGCCATAGCAGGTGGATCGCTTGAGGTCAGGAGTTTAAGAGCAGCCTGGCCAACATGGTGAAACCCCATCTCTTCTAAAAATACAAAAAATTAGTCAGGCATGGTGGTGGGTGCCTGTAATCCCAGCCACTCAGGAGGCGGGGACAGCAGAATGGCTTAAACTTGGGAGGCGGAGGTTGCAGTGAGCCAAGGTCACACCATTGCACTCCAGCCTGGGCAACAAGAGCAAAACTACATCTCAAAAAAAAAAAAAAAACAAAAAAAACAAAAAGAACCTGTGGATGAGTTCCCACATGGCTTCCTAACGGGCTGCGGCTCTCCTAGGAGTCTCTCGCTCATGGGAAAGGCACAAACTGAATGCGGAAGGAAATCCCATTGCTGTGGAAGTCCCATTGTTAGGAAGCTCTGCTTTTCTGGAGTTCAAATTTGCATTCATGACGCTTTAAACCGTCAGAGCTGGGTGTGTCCTCCTACAACAAATCACTTTACTCTCTCTCCTGGTTAACAGGCTTTCAAATATTAGAACATCCATGTTCTGACCTCATTAAAATTGCTCTTTTGTGGAATGAAAAGCTCTGATTTAACCCGTCTTTAAGCCTGGTATGCATATTCCTCTCTGTTCCGGCCACCTTGTCTAGACACACTACACTGAGGCAGTGCCCATCTTAGATGATGTTGATACATTGTCAAAAAATGGGCAAACCAGGTGCGGCGGCTCACACTTGTAATCCCAGCACTTTTGGAAGCTGATGCCGACAGATAACCAGAGGTGAGGAGGTTGAGATCAGCCTGGCCAACATGGTGAAACCTGTCTGTTTTTCTGTAAAAATACAGAAACAATGAGCTGGGCGTGGGAGTGCACTTCTGTAATCCCAGCTACTTGTGGGGCTGAGGCAGGAGAATCACTTGAACCGGGAAGGTGGAGGTTCCAGTGAGCCGAGATCACGACACTACACTCCAGCCTGGGCGACAGAGTGAGACTCCGACTCAAAAAAAAAAAAAAAAAAAGTGCCAGACAGCCCAGGTTTGGTCTGATATGTTCAGAAAAAAGCAAAACAGTCACCTCTCACCTTTTCTTTTCCTGCAATGATGCCGTTTAATACAACAATGGCTGTAGGTCTGCGGCAGAAATATCATTCAAGTGAAACAGAAGGGCTTTCCTGGCTGGACACAGTGGTCACTCCTGCAATCCCAACACTTTGGTTGGCTAAGGTGGGAGGATTTCTTGCGGCCAGGAGTTCGAGGCTGCAGTGAGCTGTGATCCACCACTGCATTCCAGGCTGGGCATCAGAGTGAGGCCTGTCTCTAAAAAAACCCTTCACTCCCCAAAAAAAGGGATTTTCAAATACCAGCCTTTCAGCATGAGGATCACATGGAGGAACATTAAGACACAGATGCTGGGACCCAGCCCTATTGATTGTAATTAAAAAACTGAGGTGAGGCCTGATTTAGCTCCATCATTGGAATCCATTCAGATTTGAAATTCTCTGAGTTGGACAGTGCAAGAGAGATCCTAAAGAAAGCAAAGTCACTGTGGACTGAAATGAGCTGGCAAGGTTTTCTGAGCGTGGTGAAATATGATCTGGGCCTCGCTTGGGAGGGCTGTGGCCAGGCCTTGAGTCCGTGGCTCAGTGGGACCTTCTGAAACAGCCTCCAATCCGTGCCCCCACTTCATTTGCTAGTGGATGACCCCCTCCAGCGGCTTTGGTGCTGATGGGAATAAGTCAACCTGCAGCGGAAGTTCAGCCCAAGTTTCAGCCCAGCAGCTTCTACACACCTGTCCGTGGTCTGGTCATGCTGCCATCTCTGCGGTTCTCTGCGGTTCTCTGCGGAGTCGTGGTTTCTGTACCTTGAAGAGAACTTCCCCTCTGGGACCCAGAAACCCAGTGAATCCTCAGGAAAAAAGGGAATGAAATTACTGAAGACAACTCTGTGGCGGGGAGATGGAAAAGAGGCTCTCTCTCTTTTTTTTTCCTAATATTTTGAGACAGAGTTTCGCTCTTGTCACCCAGGCTGCAGTGCAGTGGCTCCATCTCGGCTCACTGCAACCTCTGCCTCCCAGGTTCAAGCGATTCTCCTGCCTCAGCCTCCCGAGTAGCTGAGATTACAGGCACCCACCACCACTCCCGGCTAATTTTTGTATTTTAGGGTTTCGTCATGTTTGCCAGGCTGGTCTTGAACACCTGACTTCAAATGATCCACCCGCCTCTGCCTCTCAAAGTGCTGGGAATACAGGCATAAGACACTGCACCCGGCCTGTTTTTGTTTTTTAGAGACAAGGTCTCTGTTGCCTTGGCTGGGGTGCAGTGGTACAATCAGCTCTCTGTTGCCTCGGCTGGGGTGCAGTGGTACAATCAGCTCTCTGTTGCCTCCTGGGCTCAAGCAATCCTCTTCTCTCAGCCTCCCAAGTAGCTGAGACTACAGGTGCATGCCTGTAGTAGATATAGCATCTTGCTCTGTTGCCCAGACTGGTCTTGAACTCTTGGTCACAAGCGATCCTCTTGCCTTGGCCTCTCAAAGTGCTGGAATTACACGCGTGAGCCATTGAGCCCAACCAGATAAGATGATCTTTAAGGGCCCTTCCCATGGCACCATAATCCAAGTCAGCGAGACTGTGGCTATAGCAAGTTTAACATAACCAGATACGCTAGTATTATGGGCTGCATGGTGTGCCCCCCACCCCTAATTCATGTATTGAAGCCATGACCCTCCAGACCTTAGAGGTGACCTTATTGGAACCAGAGTCTTTACAGAGGTGATCAAGTTAAAATGAGGTCACTAGAGGCCAGGCACTGTGGCTCACACCTGTAATCCCAGCACTTCGGGAGGCCGAGGCAGGCAGATAATGAGCCCAAGAGACCGAGACCATGATGTCCAACATGGTGAAACCCTGTCTCTACTAAAAATACAAAAATTAGCCAGGCGTGGTGGTGTGGGCCTGTAGTCCCAGCTACTCAGGAGGCTGAGGCAAGAGAATCGCTTGAACCCGGAAGGCAGAGATTGCAGTCAGCCAAGATCATGCCACTACACTCCAGCCTGGGTGACAGAGTGAGACTCTATCTCAAAAAAATAAAAATTAAAAAACTAAAAACCTACAGTACCGCCTTTTACATAATGCAATGGTTTGGTAAGCACATGCACCCCAGGGAGGTAGTGGCAGATTCAGTCAACCTTCCCAGCAGCGTGGAGACGCAGTCAGGCATAGCAGGTGTTGATGTGGTTTGAACCCACAGCTTGGCTCAAATCCACACTCCCCTACTTAGTACCGAGTGAAGCCACTTACCCTCTAAGTGCCTTACTTTTCTTTTCTTTTCTTTTTTCTTTTTTCGAGACAGAGTCTCGCTCTGTCACCCAGGCTGGAGTGCAGTGGCATGATCTTGGCTCACTGCAAACTTCGCCTTCCAGGTTCAAGCAATTCTCCTGCCTCAGCCTCCCAAGTAGCTGGGATTACAGGCGCCCACCACCATGCCGGGCTAATATTTGTATTTTTGATAGAGATGGGGTTTCACCATATTGCCCAGGCTGGTCTCGAACTCCTGACCTCAAGTGATCTGTCTGCCTCGGCCTCCCAAAGTACTAGGATTAGAGGCATGAGCCACCACACCTGGCCACTTTTCTTATCTATATTTGTTATGTGGATGACTTGTGTTAACGCAAATAAGATGCTGCTCGTCATCTTTAAAGAAAATAGGTGGCAACCTGTTATAGCAAGTCCTGTTTTTATTTGTACTTATGAGGCTTTAATTAAACGCTAAGAATTAAAATGCACATAATAATAGACTTTACCTCACAAACTGGCTTCAAATATTCGATGAGACTTACATGTATTACTTAAATGAGGTTAAATTTAACCTTTTAAAAATGATTTATTGTGGCTGGGCACAGTGGCTCACACCTGTAATCCCAGCACTTTGGGAGGCCAAGGCAGACGGATCACTTGAGGCCAGGAGTTGAAGACCAGCCTGACCAACACGGCAAAACCCCATCTCCGCTAAAAATACAAAAATTAGCCAGGCATGGTGGTGCACACCTGTAATCCTAGCTACTCAGGAGGCTGAGACACAAGAATCGCTTGAACCCGGGAGGCAGAGGTTGCAAGGAGGTGAGATCACACCACTGCACTCCAGCCTGGGCAATAGAGTGAGGCTCTGCCTTAAAACAAAGAAAAATGATTTTGGGGGATGATGGGGTGTCACTGTGTTGACCAGGCTTGTCTCAAACTCCTTGCCTCAAGCAATCCACCCACCTCAGCCTCCCAAGTAGCTGGAACTACAGGCGCATGCCACCACGCCTGGCTAATGTGTGTGTGTGTGTGTGTGTGTGTGTGTGTGTGTGTAGAAACAAGGTCTTACTGTGTTGTTTAAGCTGCTCTCAAACTCCTGGGCTCAAGTGATCCTCCCACCTCGGCCTCCCAAAGCATTGGAATTACAGGTGTGAGCCACCTCACTGAGCCCTCCACCTTTCAGCTGAACGCAGAAAAGTACAATCTTTTAACCCAAAGCGTTCCTCACACTTAGGGTCAGGAAGAGCCCTTCATGCCCTGGAGGCAACTACTAACCCTCTGCTAAACACTCTGACTCTGGGTGTGAGAAACACACCTACTGTGCCCCACATATTTTTCCAAATACAACTTAATTTAGCCTTCACGACAACCCTGGAGTGAAGGATCATTAACTTTATTTCATAGATGTGGAAACTGAGACTCAGAGGCAGGAAATGACCTCCTTCTGGAGGCTGCAAATTCTTTGATGCTCCTTTGATCAACAGGTGGGAGCTGGCCAGAGGTGGTGGCTCACACCTATAATCCCAGCACTTTGGGAGGCCAAGGTGGGAGGATTGACTGAGGCCAGGAGTTTGAAACTAGCCTGGGCAACATAGCAAGACCTCATCTCTACAAAAAATACACAAATTAGCAGGGTGTGGTGGTGCACACCTGTAGTCGCAGCCACTCGGGAGGCTGAAGTGGTAGCATTGCTTGAGCCCAGGAGGTTGAGGCTGGAGTGAGCCATGATCAAGCCACTGCACTCCAGCCGAGGAGATGGAGATAGACCCTGTCTCAAACAACAACAAAAAAATAGGTGAGGATCAGCCAGGCATGGTGGCTCACGCCTGTAATCCTAGAACTTTGGGAGGCCAAGGTGGGAGGATTGCTTGAGGCCAGGACTTCAAGACCAGCCTGGGCAGCCTAGCAAGATCCCATCCCTTAAAAAAAAGTTTTTAGGCTGGGCATGGTCACTCATGCCTGTAATCCTAGCACTTTGGGAGGCCAAGGCAGGCGGGTTGCCTGAGCTGAGGAGTTTGAGACCAGCCTGGGCAACATGGTGAAATCCTGTCTCTACTAAAATACAAAAAATTAGCCAGGTGTGGTGTTGGGCACCTGTAATCCCAGGTACTCAGGAGGCTGAGGCAGGAGAATTGCTTGAACCCAGGAGGCAGAGGTTGCAGTGAGCCGAGAGCGCACCACTCCACTCCAGCCTGGACAACAGAGCGAGACTCCGTCTCAACAAAAAAATGTTTTTAATTAGCCAGCTGTGATGATGCATGCCCATGTCCCAGCTACTTGGGAGGCTGAAGCAGGAGGATTGCTTGAGCCTGGGAGGTCAAGGCTGCAGTGAGCTATGATTGCGCCCCTGCACTCCAGCCTGGACAGCGGAGGGAGACCCTGTCTGAAAATAAAAAAAGAGGTGGGGGCCTATGACCCCCCCTTTAATTTTGGCCCAACCTTAGTAACAGGATAGTCATTGAGTAGGGCAAAAGTGATGTTATGATGTTTTTCAGCCTCCAATTTACAGTCTAAAACATGTCTTGGGTAAACACAGCAAGACTCCATCTCAAAAAAAAAAAAAGAAAAAAAATCAGAAGTGAACCTGTAGCCTGTAGTGTGTTGCCAAATAAACTTATTTTTAGAGATACTTCTTTCCATTTTCTGTGAGGTCATCTGCAGTTTCACATGGTAGACAGACTTAGGTGAGATTCTTAGCAACATAGAATGAAGAGTAAAGAGGTTTGTTTATTTCACAAGGGTTTATTGAAGGCCTACGATGTGTTAAATGCTGTAGGAAATACCCACTGATTTCTCTTTTCATGGAGGTTTCCCGCCTTCTCTTAACGAGTGATCAATTAAACTGTTTACTGGGAACTTGCTAAGTTAATGAACACACGGGATACATTCTTTGGATGAGCAGACATTGGTTGGGCAGAGGGGCAAGAGGAGAGCAGTTTAGACAGAGACCTGCTTATACACTGTAGTGTCTAAGAGAGCTTGTGATGTTCAGGAAACAGTTGTTCACTGTGCTGCAATATAGGGGACGGCCAGTTGCGGTGGCTCACACCTGTAATCCTAGTGCTTTGGAAGGCCAAGGCGGGCAGATCACCTGAGGTCAGGAGTTAGAAACCAGCCTGGCCAACATGGTGAAACCCCATCTCTACTAAAAACACAAAAATTAGCTGAGTGTAATGGTGGATGCCTATAATCCCAGCAACTTGGGAGGCTGAGACAGGAGAATCACTTGAACTTGGGAGGTGGAGGTTGCAGTGAGCCGAGATCATGCCATTGCACTCTAGCCCAGGTGACAGGGTGAGACTCTGTCTCAAATAATAATAATAATAATAATAATAATAATAATAATAATAATAATAATGTAGGGGACTTGATGAAGGGAAAGGATCAGAGAGATTCTGAAAAGAAGGTAGTTTGGGGCCCAGTGATGACTAGATTTTAAGTTTCATATAGTAGGAAGTGGGGCACTAGTAATTTTTCAAGCAGAAAAATTATTTGACCAGATTCGTGATTTCAAAAATAGCTCTGGTGATAGAGTGGAGGATGGGTTGGAGCAGGGAATAAGGGGAAATGAAACCGTTATAAAACTCTTAAAGTGGGCTGGGCATGGTGGCTCACGCCTGTAATCCCAGCACTTTGGGAGGCTGAGGCGGGCGGATCACGAAGTCAGGAGATCGAGACCATCCTGGCTAAAACGGTGGAACCCTGTCTCTACTAAAAATACAAAAAATTAGCTGGGCATGGTGGTGGGCGCCTGTAGTCCCAGCCACTCAGGAGGCTGAGGCAGGAGAATGGTGTGAACCCGGGAGGCAGAGCTTGCAGTGAGCTAAGATCGTGCCACTGCACTCCAGCCTGGGCGACAGGGCGACAGAGCAAGAATCCGTCTCAAAAAAAAAAAAAAAAAAAAAAAAAAAACCTCTTAAAACAAGTACAGCAAGAACTTTGAGGGTCTTTGCTAAGACAGCAGCTGGCAGCTTCAATTTGGAGTAGGGTATCAAAGGCAACTGTGTATAAGGAATAGTTATATAACTGGTATCCAATTTCTGAGATGATTTTGACTTAAACATTGTGTATTTCCCAGCATACTGTTGGTTTTTCTAATTATGTGGGAAATTATGTTGCTTTTACTTTTTTTTTTGCTCATTGCCCAGCCTAGGGTGCAATGCTGCAATCTCAGCTCACTGCAACCTCCGCCTCCCAGGTTTAAGTGATTCTTCTGCCTCAGCCTCCCAAGTAGCTGGGATTACAGGCGCCCACCACCATGCCTGGCTAATTTTTTGTATTTTTGGTAGAGACAGGGTTTCACGACGTTGGCCAGGCTGGTCTCAAACTCCTGATCTCAAGTGATCCACCTGCCTCTGTGTCCCAAATTGCTGGGATTACAGGCATGAGCCACCGCACCGGCCATGCTTTCAGTTTTCAAGAAAGAAGACACCATTATTGCCAAAGATTTTGGTAATTTGAGAGATACAATGTATGTTTTCTCCATGTGGATACTAGATAGTAAGGATGTGTTGAATTTGAAGTGTCTATCCAGAAGTATTTTGGGTACTTGTTTAAGGATTGTAAAACAATGTTTCCATTTCTGGATATAATAAATGTATTTGTTAATATAATAAATGAATAGATTAGACCCATAAACTATTTGCAGTGTTGAGTCATTTCCCACAGTTAAAATCAGGATGAAAATATATAGCTGAATACTTGCTTTGTTTCTTGTAACTGATTTCTTTAGTACAGAACCTGCTAAGGCCATCAAACCTATTGATCGGAAGTCAGTCCATCAGATTTGCTCTGGGCCGGTGGTACTGAGTCTAAGCACTGCGGTGAAGAAGATAGTAGGAAACAGTCTGGATGCTGGTGCCACTAATATTGGTAAGTTTGGGAGAGTTTTAAGCCACAAGAAATGATCAGTGAATGTTGTTGTAGTCAAGAAACATTTGTTATTGAAATAAGACTATCAAGTGTTGATGTAGTAATAAACTATTATTTTTAAGTTAAAGTTAGCACCTATTATGTGCCTAGTACTTAGCTAGGTAGTAATAATAATAACGACAGCTTTTCTTGTGTTCTTATGGTGTGCCAGGCAGGTGTTATGCTAAGAATTGCACAGAAATATCTCATTTAATTTGCAGAATAGCTGGGCGTGGTGTCTGACGCCTGTAATCCTAGCCCTTTGAGAGGCTGAGGTGGGGGGATTGCTTGAAGCCAAGAGTTCAAGACCAACCTGGCCAACATGGGGAGACCTCGTCTCTATTAAAAAATAAAGCAGGCCGGGTGTGGTGGCTCACGCCTGTAATCCCAGCACTTTGGGAGGCCAAGGCGGGTGGATACCTGAGGTCAGGAATTCGAGACCAGCCTGTCCAAAATGGTGAAACTCTGTCTCTACTAAAAATACAAAAATTAGCCAGACCTGGTGGCAGAAGCCTGTAATCCCAGCTACTGGGGAGGCTCAGGAATGAGAATTGTTTAAATTTGGGAGGTGGAGGTTGCAGTGAACCGAGATGGTGCCACTGCACGCCAGCCTGGGGACAGAGCAAGACTCTGTCTCAAAAAAATAAAATAAAATAAAATAAAATAAATCCTGGAGTAGTGGCTCACATCTGTAATCCCAGCACTTTGGGAGGCTGAGGGGGGCTGATGCTTTGAGGTCAGGAGTTCAAGACCAGCCTAACCAACGTGGTAAAACCCTGTCTCTACTAAAAATACAAAAATTAGCCAGATGTGATGGTGCATGGCTGTAATCTCAGCTCCTCAGAAGGCTGAGGGAGGAGAATTGCTTAAACCTGGGAGGTGGAGGTTGCAGTGAGCCAAGATCGATTGTGCCACTGCATTCCAGCCTGGGTGACAAGAGCAAAAGTCCATCTCAAAAAATTAAAAAAAAAAAAAAAAAAAGGAAAGAAAAAAAAGAAAATGACAAAATTAAAAAAAAATTATTAATCTGCCAAATAACTTTATGAGATAGAACTTATTACCTCCATTTTACAGTTGAGGAAATTAAGGGACAGTAAATTTCCTTTTTTTGAGATTATAAAGCTAATAAAATAGAATCTAGGAAGTCTGATTCCAGAACCAGTTCTGTTTTTTTTTCTTTTTTTTTTTTTTGAGATAGAGTTTTGCTCTTGTTGCCGAGGCTGCGGTGCAATGGCACGATCTCAACTCACTGCAACCTCCACCTCCCAGGTTCAAGCGATTCTCCTGCCTCAGCCTCACAAGTAGCTGGGATTACAGGCATGCACCACCACGCCTGGCTAATTTTGTATTTTTAGTAGAGATAGAGTTTCTCTACGTTGGTCAGGCTGGTCTCGAACTACTGACCTCAGGTGATCCGCTCGCTTTGGTCTCCCAAAGTGCTGGGATTACAGGCATGAACCACTGCGCCCGGCCCCCGTTCTCCTTACTGGGTATGTTAAAATTATTTCTTTCAAAGGAAAAGGCTGGTCAAAGTGCAACGGTCTTTACAACTAATTGATCACAACCAGTTACAGATTTTTTTGTTCCTTCTCCACTCCAACTGCTTCACTTGACTAGTGTAAGGAAAAAAAAAAGAGGAAAGAAAGAAAATGCTAAACTATTTAATCTGGGCTAGTAAATGGCCAGAAAGAACTTTATAAAAATGAAATATACAAAATGACACTAGTATGTTTAACTAAAGGTATAGTTACGACACTTAAATTTGCACGTTATAAATAATATCAATATAAAAACTGATAGCGTGGGTCCATTTTTAATAAATATATAAATATTTTAAACTTTCTAGATCTAAAGCTTAAGGACTATGGAATGGATCTCATTGAAGTTTCAGGCAATGGATGTGGGGTAGAAGAAGAAAACTTCGAAGGCTTAAGTAAGTTAACTTTCTAATCCTATTACAAAATAATTGGGCCACATGTCTTAGAATTTTGAGTAACACTGTCTTGGGAAACACAAAAACAGTTTTTTAAAGCCAGTTACTAGATATCATGTATATTTGTTGTTATAGCACTTGAGATATCTTAGTCCTTACTTTACAGTCTCTTTCAGCTCTGAAACATCACACATCTAAGATTCAAGAGTTTGCCGACCTAACTCGGGTTGAAACTTTTGGCTTTCGGGGGAAAGCTCTGAGCTCACTTTGTGCACTGAGGTGAGAAAATATTTTTATCCATTCACTTGACCCCTTAGAAAAACCTCTCTGAAAATTAATTGGAATCATTATTATTTACAATTTTCTATCTCAATATCTCAGCTTCTAGCTTCTGAATTCTGTTTTGTCTCACTGCCAATCTAAGTCCTAGTACTTCTGAAATGTGAGCAATAAATGAATGAAATGAAGCAAATAGTATTGTTTAAAAAATTGGTTACCCTTATTAAAACAGTAACTTCTCAATTTGAACATAACATATAGATAATAAATGATAGTTACCATTGGTTTTCATTATCAATTTTTAGGGAAACATTTCACCAAAGCACTATTTAATTACAGCACAGATACTAAATTTTTATAAATAATTACATGCACACACACATATATATACATATATATACATATATATACATATATATACATATATATACACATATATACACATATATACACATATATACATATATACATATATATACATATATACATATATACATATATATATACATATATACATATATACATATATATACATATATACATATATACATATATATACATATATACATATATATACATATATATACATATATATATACATATATATGTATATATATATATATATTTTTTTTTTTAGACAGAGTCGCACTCTCTCACCCAGGCTGGAGTGCAGTGGCACAGTCTCAGCTCACTGCAGTCTCTGCCTCCCAGGTTCAAGTGACTTTCGTGACTCAGCCTCCTGAAGAGCTGGGACTATAGCGTGCACCACCACTCCTGGCTAATTTTTGTATTTTTAGTAGAGATGGGGTTTTGCCATGTTGCCCAGGCTGGTCTGGAACTCCAGGCCTCAAGTGATCTGCCCTCCTTGGCCTCCCAAAGTGCTGGAATTACAGGCACGAGCCACCGCACCCTGCCCTACATATACATTTTAATTATAATATCTTTTGGATTCTTTAAAAAAAATTTTAAAAATTTTAAAAAATTCTTTAAAAAAATTCTTTTAAAAAATTTTGTTTGAAGAGTAATAACAAAACAAATCTCTATTTGAGAATCAATAAATCTTGAGATCATTTATGGTTTTGCAATTCAACCTGAAAAATGAAGTCAAAGCTTTTATCAAAACAAAGCATGTTTAGTGCTCTCTGTCTCACTGTCTTTTAGATGCCAGACCTTAGATTTTGTGATGACTCCTCAACCGTTTAGATCTCGGTTATCTCAGAGGGATCATCAGCTTTTTAAGAAAATTTTGAGAGAAAAGCAAGTGAAGAAAAGAGTAGTCAGTGCCCAACATCATGGATCTCTCACTGAACACACCATGCCTGGTATTCTCTCACAGTGATGTCACCATTTCTACCTGCCACGTATCGGCGAAGGTTGGGACTCGACTGGTGTTTGATCACGATGGGAAAATCATCCAGAAAACCCCCTACCCCCACCCCAGAGGGACCACAGTCAGCGTGAAGCAGTTATTTTCTACGCTACCTGTGCGCCATAAGGAATTTCAAAGGAATATTAAGAAGGTACAGTAAATTAATCCTGGTTTTCAAGAGTATTGGTTAATGCACGTGAGCAAAAGATTTACTAAAGATGTTTATTCTTCAGTTGATTCTCTTCCCATAATTTATTGAGAAATGCTTTATTTGCATTTCTCATTAAAGACTTAACTTCAGGATGATTTACTTTTTTCTTTTTATCACATAATGTTTATTAGGACTGGGAAACATAGTGAGACTCTGTCTCTATGAAAAATTAAAAAAAAAATTGACTGGGCATGGTGGCATGCACCTGTAGTTCCAGCTACTTGGGAGGCTGAAGTGGGAGGATCACCTGAGCCCAGGAACTTGAGACTGCAGTGAGCTATGATTGCGTCACTACACTTCAGACTGTGAGACAGAGTAAGACCCTGTCTGGAAAAATATATATACATATATATACATTTTTTTTATTTTTTATTTTTATCTTTTTTTGAGATGGAGTCTCACTTTGGCGCCCTGGCTGCAGTGCAGTGGCGCGATCTCAGTTCACTGCAACCTCCACCTGCCAAGTTCAAGCGATTCTCCTGCTTCAGCCTTCTGAGTAGCTACCATTACAGGCGCGCGCCACCACGCCCGGCTAATTTTTGTATTTTCAGTGGAGACGGGGTTCCACCATGTTGTCCAGGCTGGCCAGGCTGGTCTTGAATTCCTGCCCTCAGGTGATCCGCCCACCTCGGCCTCTCAAAGTGCTGGGATTACAGGCGTGAGCCACCATGCCTGACCTTATGTACTTATATTTTTATGAGAATATTTCTCTTGGTTTTCTGATAAATGAGTTACTGGAACCCTTATGAATTTGAATGCAAATGAAACAGCTAAATGTTATATAATTGTTGTGTTTAAAAAGCAGATTATAAAACTGTCTGTATTATATGATTACAGTTTTATAAAAACAAAACAGGCCTAAATGTGTATAGTATAAAGACTGAAGAGTCAGCACTTCCATGTTCTCAGCGGTTATCCTTGGATGTGAGATCTCATGCACTTTTTGCTCTCTTCTTTGTGCCTTTCCATTTTGCATGCGTATTTCTTATAATCTAAAAAGTTACTTAAACATATGCAGCTAAAAACTTTTTTTACTTGTAAAGCGTTTGGTGCTAATTTTAACTTTTTTTTTTAGACGGAGTCTTCTCACTCTGTCGCCCAGGCTGGAGTGCAGTGGTGTGATCTTGGCTCACTGCAACCTCCGCCTCCTGGGTTCAAGTGATTCTCCTACCTCAGCCTCCCAAGTAGCTGGGATTATAGGTGTGTGTCACCACACCCAGCTAATTTTTGTATTTTTAGTAGAGATGGGGTTTCACCATGTTGGCCAGGCTGGTCTTGCACCCCTGACCTCAAGTGATCTGCCCACCTCAGCCTCCCAAAGTGCTGGGATTACAGGCGTGAGCCACCACGCCTGGCTTTTTTTTTTAAAGCTTTTTTGTAAGTCAGCCAGCAAGAACACAGGAGGAAGTACTCAAATCTCCCTTACACAGCTGGGGGCTGTGTCAGGTTTTATAAGCATAGGGTAATGAGGTGTGATTTGATTGGATCTTGCAATAAAGTAATGCTGGGAGGTGTGATCTGACTGGATCCTGCCATGGGGTGACACCAAAACTCAATCTGATTGGATCCTGGCTCCTGCCTGGGGGTGTCTGGTTCTTAAATCGGTCCGAGCTCTTCAGGCTGAGCTCTTAGGTTCCACTCCACGGTGGCACGCGTGGTTAACCTGGGCATGCACAGGGTACATGACCTTCAACCTGCAGGTCGATGGCAATTGGAAAACAACTGACAACTTCATTACATAAAAGTTGAACTGATTCGGGTGCGGTGACTCACGCCTGTAATCCCAGCACTTTGGGAGGCCAAGGCAGGTGGATCACCTGAGGTCGAGGAGTTCAAGACCAGCCTGGCCAAAATGGTGAAACCCCGTCTCTACTAAAAATATAAATATTAGCCAGGCGTGGTGGCGCACCCTTGTAATCCCAGCTACCCCAGAGGCTGAGGCAGCAGAATGCTTGAACCTAGGACGTGGAGGTTGCAGTGAGCTGAGATCGTGCCATTGCACTCCAGCCTGGGTGACAAGAGTGAAACTCCATCAAAAAAAAAAAAAGTTGAACTAGATTTGGTCTGATGCAGTTACAGATTTACAAACCGCGTCCCACCCTCCTGCCAACACCTTCCACTCCTCATTCTTGAGGGATTAGGGATGGAGGTCATGCTTCTGTATCGACTTCATGCTGACCAGGGGCACTTAGTCCCCTAAAGTGAGAGGAATGAAACTCTTGGGCTTCTGAGTTCAGATGAGTTCTGGGGTCACCCGGAGTAGCTTGAAAGGCTGGTATTGTTGTAATACAAGCTGAAGGTGGAAGTGTTGGATCCTGGAGGACAAACAGCTCACCATCCATTTAAATAAATAGGACCAAAAAGTAACAGAACAGTGGCCACGAGGGGCCCCAACAGAGGAAGAAACCAGGTGAGGTGTGGTATAGTGGACTCGACTGCCTTCTAAATCTCAGTGGTTGTCCGGGTGCGGTGGCTCACGCCTGTAATTCCAGCAAAAGAAGAGCCGAGGCAGGGTGATCACGAGGTCAGGAGTTCAAGACCAGCCGGGCAAACATGGTGAAACCCCGTCTCTACTGAAAATACAAAAATTAGCCAGGTGTGGTGGCGTGTGCTGTAGTCCCAGCTACTAGGGAGGCTGAGGCAGGAGAATTGCTTGAACCTGGGAGGCGGAGGTTGCAGTGAGCCGAGATTGTGCCACTGCACTCCAGCCTAGGTAACAGAGCAGGACCCCATCTCAGTCAATCAATCAATCTCAGTGGTTGAACTACCCTTGATATGGTTCAGCTCTGTATCCCCAACCAAATCTCATGTCCAATTGCAATTCCCAGTGTTGAGGGAGGGACCTGGTGGGAGATGATTGGCTCATGGCGGCTGACGTCCCCCTTGCTGGTCTCGTGATAGTGAGTGAGCGCTCATGGGATCTGGTTGTTTAGAAGCATGCAGCACCTCCTGCTTCACTCTCTCTGTCTCTCCTGCTCCACCATGGCCAGAAACGTGCCTGCTTCCCCTTCGCCTTCTGCCGTGATTGTCAGTTTCTTGAGGGCTCCCCAGCCATGCTTCCTGTACAGCCTGCAAAACTGTGAGTCAATTAAACCTCTTTTCTTCATAAATTCCCCAGTTTCCAGTAGTTCTTTATAGCAGTGTGAAAACAGACTAATGGACCCTTCTGGTTGAAGGAATGTAGCCATTCTGCTTGTTTAAGTATTTCCTTTCTATTCATCTCTATTTCCCGGGAGGTGTTTATCCAAGTGCAATAGGAGATATTGGTGACTGCAGAGTCCCCTCAGTGTTCTGCTAGTAAATAGTTGAAGGTTGATCAGTGATCTCCAGCATTTTCAGTCTGGCATGGAAAAGCCCCCATGTAACTGGTAAAGGTATCAGTAAGCACCAGGAGGTATCTAAATCCACCAGGAGCCATAGGCATCATGTTGATGTCCATTTACCAGTCTTCCCTGGCAAGATTCTCTGAATTGTACTGCCTTGGCCAAAAGAGGTATGGGAGGGGCTGGGCACAGTGGCTCACGCCTGTAATCCCAGCATTTTGGGAGACCAATTCGGGTAGATCATTAGAGGTCAGGGGTTCAAGACCATCCTGGCCAACATGGTGACATTCCATCTCTACTAAAAATACAAAAAGTCAGCGGGGTTTGGTGTTGGGTGCCTGTAATCCCAGCTACTCGGGAGGCTGAGGCAGGATAATCACTTGAACCTGGGAGGAGGAGGAGGTGGCAGTGAGCTGAGATCTCGCCATTGCACTCCAGCCTGGGCAACAAGAGCGAAACTTCATCTCAAAAAATAAAAAAAGAAGTCTGGGTGTGGTGGCTCGTGCCTGTAATCCCAGGACTTTGGGAGGCCAAGATGGGTGGATCATGAGGTCAGGAGTTCAAGACCAGCCTGGCCTAGATGGTGAAACCCTGTCTCGAGTGAAAATACAAATATTAGCTGGGCATGGTGGCACACACCTGTAATCTCAGCTACTCAGAAGTCTGAGACAGAAGAATTGCCAAAACCCGGGAGGGAGAGGTTGCAGTGAGCCGAGATCGCGCCACTGCACTCTAGCCTGGGCGACAGAGCAAGACTCCGTCTCGAAAGAAAGAAAGAGAAAGGAAATTCCCCAGGGAAGTACCTCGGCTTATTTCATGAAGAGGTACTGAAGGAAGCAGAGGCATGTGGAGGACTTCCCCACCTCGTGCAGCTATTTGGGCCGTGGCGTCTGAAATTTCTTATTTCAGAGTCACCCCTTTGATGACCTTGGCAGTGGACTGCAGTCATCTGTTTAGGCCTCTCCATGGCCCGTGTCAATGCCGATATTTCTGTCTGTTGCACATTTGATTTCCTTGTTGTTGGCATTTAGAAGGCCCCCTGTTTCCCAGATCACACCACGGGCATGGACCGCAGAGATTGCATCTTGTGAGTCTGTAGAAACAGTCAAGGCCTTGTCCTCTCTTAGGTCCAGAGCTCAGGTGAATGCAGATTTTCCCGGCCATCTGTGCTGAAGTCCCTGTGGGGAGGCTCCTGGCTGGTTTCCTGTAGGTAGACAGCTACACATCCTGCCCTTCATTGGCTTCTTTTCATGAAGCTCCTGCTGTCTACAAAACATGTCTCCCTTTTCTTCTTGAACCACATCTCTGTTATTGAAACTCTAGAAGTCAGCCAGGCACAGTGGCTATGCCTGTAATCCCAGCACTTTGGGAGGCCAAGGTGGGTGGATCACCTGAGGTCAGGAGTTCAAGACCAGCCTGGCCAACATGGCGAAACCCTGTCTCTAATACAAATACTAAAATTAGCCAAGCATGGTGGCCACTGCACTCCAGCCTGGGTGACAGAGCAAGACTCTGTCTCAAATAAAGAAAGAGAAAGTATCATGCTTTTCAGAGTTCTGTGGGTTGTTATGGTGAATTATCAAACCTGAGGACGTGGTGGGAACCTCCAAATTTGCAGCCAGTTGGTGAGAAGTACATGCGGTCTGTGGACACCCAAGCTTGCAGCTGCATCTGAAGCGAGGGCAGCCTAGCGGGGGCTGGTGGCCTTAACCTGTGGCATTTGATGTAACATCAGGGAGTTGACATCAGAATTACGTCACACAGGCCAGGTGCAGTGGCTCATGCTTATAATCCCAGCAATTAGAAAGGCAAGATAAGAAGATTGCTTGAGCTTGAGTCTGAGCCCACAGTGAGCTATGACCGCACCACTGCACCCCAGTCTGGGTGACAGCACAAGACCCCGACTCCAAAAATAAAAAAGAAAAATCACAAAGAATTGCATGGCAGAGTGCCTGTCTTTCACAGCTTGAACTGTTGCAGGAACTTTCTTTTTTTTTTTTTCTTTTGTGATGGAGTCTCGCGCTTTCACCCAGGCTGGAGTGCAGTGGCGCGATCTCTGCTCACTGCAGGCTCCGCCTCCTGGGTTCACACCATTCTCCTGCCTCAGCCTCCGGAGTAGCTGGGACTACAGGCGCCTGCCACCGCGCCCAGCTAATTTTTTGTATTTTTAGCAGAGATGGGGTTTCACCGTATTAGCCAGGATGGTCTTGATCTCCTGACCTCATGATCCACCCACCTCAGCCTCCCAAAGTGCTGGGATTACAGTCCTGAGCCACCGCGCCTGGACTTTTTTTTTTTTTTTTGAGAGGGGTTGGGGAGACATATTCTCTGCTAGTGATTCTCCTGCCTGGTCTCGAACTCCTGCTGGGATCACAGGCGTGAGCCACCATGCCCAGCCACCTTTAGAGTTTTCTTACCACCTGGTTTTCCTCTCTCAATATCTTTCTCTCATTTCCTGCTTTAAAACTCTAGCTTGGGGTCTGGGCACAGTAGCTCATGCCTATAATCCCAGCACTTTGGGAGACTGAGGCGGGTGGATCACTTGAGGTCAGGAGTTTGAGACCAGCCTGGCCAACATGGTGAAACCTTGTCTCTACTATTTTTACAAAAGTTAGTCAGACGTACAGGCGGATGCCTGTAGTCCCAGCTACTTGGGAGGCTGAGGCAGGAGAATTTGCTTGAACGCGGAGGTGAAAGTTGCAGGGAGCCGAGGTTGTGCCACTGCACTCCAGCCTGGGAGACAGAGCGAGACTGTCTCCAAAACAAACAAACAAACAAACAAACAAAAAAACCCTGTAGCTTGGGATCAGCCTTCTCTTCTGTTGTTTTTCTTTAAAAAATAAAAATTAAAAATAGGCTTCAAGTGATCCTCCCGCCATGACCTCCAAAACTGCTGGGATTGTAGGTGTGAGCACTGCACCCAGCCGTATGTTTTTTTCTACATAAAAAACAGCACAGGATTATCTTCCAAAGCTAACAAATATGTTCAAATAACCACAACCCCATTAAGGAAAAATGTCACTTGACAGCAAATAATCAATCCAGACCACAATATGATCACACTCACTGTGAAGGTGAGAAAAGTTCATCTTTATTATGTTTCCCCAAGAGATGCACTGCACTGTTCTCTTGAAAACACACAGCTCATGTCCTCCTTTAGAACACACATCCTCTTTAAAGTAACATACAAACATGCCAAAACAAGATAAAAAATTCCATCTGAATTCTCACATTTCAAACATACACTAAATATCAAATAAAAATTTATTTTTACAAGAATTTAGGGGAACTACCACATAGCTATAAATGTAATATATATGTTAACTAAGTATCATAGATAAAAACCATGCTCCCTTCAGCAGCACGTGTAATAATAGATACAAAGATTGAAAGGTAAAAGATTTAGGATGAAAAGAATCCTCTCTTAAAAAGGAAAACAAAATTATATGTATGTGTATACAACAGTTATAATACCCATCACACAGCTTTATAGAAACAGCATCTATTCAAAAATACCAGTATTTCCAAAATATTTAAAATAATATTTAAAGTAATAATAATATTTAAATAAATAAATATATTTAATAAATATTTCAGTAAATAAAATATTTAAATAATTCTATACCCATGTTTTTCAAAATAAACCAATAAAATAGATAGTATATATTAGACGTGTTAGTATATATATCTGAGACATGTTAAAAATCACAACTGAATTCTCACAAGTCAGTCACAAACCTAAACAGCAAATAAAAATTTCTATCACCAGAATTATGTTTTTTTCTGGTGGGGAACTACCAATAGCTATAAATAGAAGAGATTATTATGGAAGTATCATAGATAAAAAGAGTGCTCGCTTCAGGAGCACATATAATAATACAGAAAAAAATTTAAAGATAATAAAAGATTTAGGATAAAAAGAATTCTCACTTAAAAATGAAAAGAAAATTATCTTTAGGTATATATAACAACTATAACTCTCATCAAAAAACTCTACAGGAACAGCATGTTTTCAAAAGTACAACAATTTCCAAACTATTTGAAATAAACCTATTAATAATTCAATGGCCAACATTTTCCAAACAAACCAATAAAATGCATAGTGTGCATGAAGCTATCTGTTACAGTCTGTGGCACTCATATTTCACAAAGAATTCTGTGCCAATCTGAGCCCCTGCACTGTGCCTTCAAATGCTCCTGGACTGTGGCAACCAAGTCCATAAGAAACAGGACCTCCAGGTTCCGCCCCAGGGAGGTTGGCATTCAGCAATATAAAAAGGGAGGTGGTGCCGCAGGAAAGGGTGGAACTGGAAACACTCCTGGTTTCTTACTTTTCTCCAAGGACTCCTAGAAGTACCCCACCCCACCCCTGCTCCTTGGAGGACAACGTGATCACTGTATTCAGCTCTGTCAAGAATGGTCCAGGTTCTTCTAGATGATCTGCACAAATGGTTCCTCTCCTCCTTCCTGATGTCTGCCATTAGCATTGGAATAAAGTTCCTGCTGAAAATCCACATCTCCCCTGGGTCCGGTGTTCTGGAAGTGAGAGAGACAATGTCACACTTCAAGGAGGCAGCTCTCTAGACAGGAAGGTTATTCACGTCCCATGTCAAGTCTAGCTAGAGTTCAGAGCAATTGAGAAGTGCAATTTTATCTCCTGCCTTTCATTCTATACCCTGCTTCTGAACCATCGTGTTCAACTGTGAAACTCACACTTTGGTGACCCTGACTCCAAAACTTAATACACCCAAGGTCAGCCCCAGTGATCTGCTTCATAGCCAGGACTTTGGGTGGGTCTTCCCAGGGAGTAGGGCACCCTCAGAGAATGTGGCTTTGGACTTCATCACAGCTGGGGCCTTTTGTGTCACTTCAGATCTAAACTTGTAACCGTGCTAGATCTGTTTCTAACGTGACAACATCACGAACCACGAGTCCAGAAGCCTAATCCATAATCCTCCCTCCTCATGACGAAGTCTCATGCTCTGTGCTCAACATGGTTAGCTGCACAAGATGTAAACCAAAGCTTCACTGAACCCTCGACCCAAATCGGTAACTCAAGTGCATCAATCATAATGAACCTCCCCGAACTCAGTATTTATGATTATTTTTGAGGCAGGGTCTCACTCTGTCGCCCGGGCTGGAGTGCAGTGGCAGGATCAGGGCTCCCTGCAGCCCCGACCTCCCAGGCTCCAGCGATCCTCCCGCCTCAGCCTCCTGAGTAGTTGGGAGTAGAGATGCCTCCCACATCGCCTGGCTAATTTTTGTATTTTTGTGGAGAGGGGATCTCGCCACGTTGCCCAGGCTTGAAGCCAGATCAAGCAATTGGGTTCCTTGGATTTCCGAAATAGACCCCAATATTCTGCCTTTACCCCGGAGGATGCAGATGTACCTTCTCTCAGGCCGATGACCTCAGGCCTCCACGGTCCCTGGAGCTCTAGGAAAGGTGGGCGCGATCTCGCGCCCACACCCAGTGCTCTGGGTCATAAGCCTGGATCTGGAAAAACAAACGCGCTTTGAGAAGACGGGGACTCCCCAGGATACCCCTCTCTCCCCTCGTCCAGCCTCCAGCCCACCCGATTCCTCCCCACATCCTCCACGTCCCCAGGCCCCACCCACCTCTTCCAACTCCTCCAGGGAAACCCAAGCCCTGCAGCGCATGGAACAAAAGAAGTGGAACCGATACTTCCGGAACAAGGCTATCTGAGAGCAGTTCTTCCTGGCCCTCGGGTTCATGTAACGGCATAACTGGAACCAAAGCTCACTGAGCAAGGGTATATGAGAGCGGGTCTCCTCGTACAGGAAGTAGAAGATGTTTTGTTTGGGGGCCTCGTCGTCCTCCTCCATGTCATTGGCCAGATAGCTGAGGACAGAAATCAGGTTGCTGCTCAGGGGCACCACCAGGAGAGACCTCCGGCTGAGGTCAGCTTCTCAGAGAGGAAGGTAAGGGACCGTCCCTAGCTCAGGACTGGCACCCACCCTGCAGAGAGCCACGCCTTCCTCAGGAGGGCTCTGCTGGACAGAGACCTGATCAAGGGCGTCTCCCACTCCTTCAGGATGGAGACAAAAACCCAACTGGTGACCAAGAGTGGTGGCTTATGCCTGGAATCCCAGCACACTGGGAGGCCGAAGCAGGAGGATCACTTGAGGCCAGGAGTTTGAGACAGGCCTGGGCAACATAGCAAGACCCTCGTCTCTATTAAAAATATAAAAAATACGCCAGACGTGGTGGCTCATGCCTGTAATCCCAGCGCTTTGGAAGGCTGAAGCAGGTGGATTGCTTGAGACCAGGAGTTTGAGACCAGCCTGGTCAACACAGAGAAACCCCATCTATACTAAAAATACAAAAATCAGCCTGGTGCGGTGGCACACCCATTAGTCCTAGCTACTCAGGAGGCTGAAGCATAAGAATTGTGTGAACCCAGGAGGCGGAGGTTGCAGTGAGCCAAGATTGGGCCCCTCCATTCCAGCCTGAGAGACACAGCAACACTCTTGTCTTGATAAATAAATAAATAAATAAATAACTGTCCAGGTGTGGTGGTACAGCCCTGTAGTCGGAGCTAATCAAGAGGCTGAGGTGGGAGGATCGCTTGAGCCCAGGATATGGAGGCTGCGGTGAGCTATGATCTCACCACTGCACTCCAGCTTAGGGGACAGGGCAAGTCTGTCTCAAAAAAAAAAAAAAAAGCAATTGAATACACTGATATTTTGCCAGGACCCTGCCTTCTACAGGCATCTAGTCTAATGGGACTGGGAGTAATCAGGGGAGATGACCTAATCCCAATGTCACATTATAATAGGATGTAACTGGAGAGCTACGGGCATGCAGAAGTTGGAAGACGAGGGAAGGCATCACAGAGGCTGTGGGGTGAACCGACTTCAAGGAATGGGTCCTTCCCTTCAGAACCACATGTGTGTGGGACACCCAGACAGAAAACACAAATGCAAAGTCAAGTGGAGGGCATTTGGAAGGAGCAGTGAAGCCAAGCCAGGAAACACCAAGATGGCGAGCCAGTGTGGTTGTAGAGATTGTAGAGAGGGTGGAATTGGCACTGTGGACCCTGGCCTCGATAGAGAAAGACATCAGCTAAGGAAGTTGTTCAGGTGGGCAGTGAGGTTGTCGTGCTTTGGAAAGATGTTCAGGCTGCACTAGGAAGCCCCCTGGCTTGGGGAGAGACTCCAGGAAACCCCAGCAGGGAGCATTTGACAGTGGATTCGAGTGATGCAAGGGGGACCTGGACTGTGACCTCTGTCACGGGAACCCGGAGGAGGCTGATGGCTTTTGCGGTTGATGTGGGAAGGAGAGAGAACAACCGGAAACGTCTGCTTGCTGGGGGAAGTGTCATGTCCGCTCCTCCGCTCCTTTTCTTCTCCCCTTAGGAGCGGTTCATGGTTCCTTTTGTTTTTTGTTCTTTTTTTTTTTTTTTTTTGAGACTATAATCCTGTCTTTTTTGTACACAGAGTAAAGAGGACAAATAGGTGAAAGAATAAATGAAAGGCTGGAATCCCACTTCCCCCGCTGTCCCAGGGCATTGGATATTGATGGATAGGAGGCAGCAAACCACTCACAGAGCCAGGAAGAAATGAATGCGTTGGTATTGCCAGGAGGGGAGGCCGGCCCGGCTGAAATACGCTATGACCATAGCCAGGAGATACTGATGGAGAGAAAGGAACACAGAGAGGGAGAGGTCACATCTTGGGAGAGGAAGATTGTGGATATAGTGGAATGGGGGTCTGGGGAGGGGTTGCCCATCAGAGAAGGGACCTCAGTGTTGGGGTGACTGTGCTCATGTGGAAATTGCGGGGTGGAGGGGTATTCGAAGGTCGGATGCAAATCCGAGAAGCCGGAGGAAGGGTTTTTGGTGATGCTCCCAGGATGGTGGGCTCCGATGGGATCTTTGGAGGGGGTGTGTCTAGGTCGGCTGGTGTCAGGAGGGTCTTTTGTGTGCCAGGCAGAGAACTGTCCCAAGGAGCTGAGAGTAGAGGGCCCAGGAGCTTCAGGGCTGCAGCCAGACTGTGGCCCAGGGCTCAGATCCCAAAGGACCCATAGGAGAGGCAGGGGCCACTCATTCACTCTGCAAGAGACCAGCAGAATCCTGACGGAGATGCTGACAAATCATAAAAAGACAAAGAATAGCCGGGAGTGGCAGCTCAAGCCTGTGATCCCAGTACTTTTTGAGAGGTGGAGACAGGAGGATCATGTGAGCCCAACAGTTGGAGAACAACCTGGGCAACACAGCGAGACCCTGTTTCTAAGAAGATTTCAAAAATTAGTTGAGCATGGTAGCATGTGCCTAGTCCCAGCTCCTCAGGAGGCTAAGGAAAGAGGATTGCTTGAGCCCAGGAATTAGAGTGAGCTATGATCATGCCACTGTACTCCATCCTGGGGAGCAGAGCTGGACTCTGTCTCAGAAAAAAAAATGTGTGGGTGCCAAGACTCAAGACCATGGGAGCTGGTCAGACACAGTGCTGACGTCTGTAATCTCAGCACTTTGGGAGGCCAAGGCGGGTGGATCACCTGAGGTCAGGTGTTCGGGACCAATCTGGCCAACATGGCAAAACCCCGTCTCTACTAAAAACACAAAAATTAGCCAGGCGTGGTGGTTCATGTTTGTAATCCCAGCTGCTTGGAGGCTGAGGTGGGAGAATCGCTTGAACCCAGGAGGCATCAGCTGCAGTGAGTCAAGATCGAGACACTGCCCTCCAGCCTGGGCAGCAGAGCAAGACTGTGTCTCACAAAAAAAAACAAAAACAAAAACAAAAAAAAACTGTAGGAGCATCTGGTGGGAGGTGGTGGACGGAGAACTGTGGGTTTGGAAGCTGCGCCCTCCCCCTGGCCGTGCGTTAGAACAGGAACACAGTTACATAGAGAACAACCTTACCTTGTCCGACACCCTCAGATCTTTGTCCCAGGCCAGGAGTCTTTTAATGACAGGATCCTCTGTGATTAGAGAGCAGATGTCAGTGTGAGAAGCAGGACAGGGTTTCCGTGAGAGCAGCAGGGCAGCGAGGAGAAGTGTGCCTCCCGGGGGAAAGTCTCAGGATTGTGGCCGCGGGTGAGGTGGATGAGAGAGGGGAGAATGACTTTCACTGGGCAAGGGAGAGAGGCTCCTGCTCTGAGACTCCCCTGAGAAGAGGCCGAAGGAGGCCCTGGGTGTGAGAATCTACAGGATGTAGAGCTGGGAATCAGCCAGGACCCCCTCCAGCAGACACGGAGGGACCACTGCAGAGTCATAAAGGAATTCCCATCATTTCCTCATGAGACAGTCACACATCAGGGTGTGACCATGGCCTTGGGATCCCTCACTATGGATGGAGACACTTAGGTTTAGAAAAGTCAGTAAGAAACATTAAGTTTCAGAGGGCACAGCTGAAACCACTTTTTTGATTTTTGATTTTGTTTTTCTTTATTTGATTTTTATTTTTATTTATTTATTAATTTATTTTGAGACAGAGTCTTGCTCTGTGGGCCAGGCTGGAATGCATTGGCCTGATCTTGGCTCACTGCAACCTCTGCCTCCTGGGTTTAAGCAGTTCTCCTGTCTCAGCCTCCCGAGTAGCTGGAACTACAGGGATGAGCTACTGTGCCCAGCCTTGGTTTTTCTTTTGACGCAGAGTTTTGCTCTGTCACCCAGGCTGGAGTGCAGTGGTGCAGTCATAGCTCACTGCAGCCTCAAAGTCCTGAGTTCAAGCAATCCTCTTGCCTCAGCCTCCCAACGTGCTGGGATCTCAGGCGGGAGCCACAGCGCCTGGCCCAAAACCAAGCTTTCTTATCCCAAGCACCGACCTTTATCAAGTCTACCTAATCCTCTGTTGTCTCCTTAAGTGTCCCTCATGAGTGATCACTTCAGAGTCCTCCCGCATGGAGAGCTCACCCACTGGGGCATATTTTTCCCATTGGAAAAGTGTGGTTATTGGAAGTTTCCTCTTTAGAAAGAACAGGATTGGAGGTGCTCTCTGGGGTGTCCTCCTACCAAGCAGCCTGTTGAAGGCCTCGTAGTACTCAGGGAGCACGAGCGACACTCGCCGTCGCTTCGCCTTCATCTTGAGGCCACACAGCGTCTCCGCCACCCAGGTCTCCTCAGGCTCAGGGGCGAGCTCCTTCTCTGGCTCATCATCAGATTCATCCAAACATTCTCTCTTCCTTTTCCAGCCAAGGGACCTACGTGGGGGGCTGGGATCTACCCCAGGGGCTGAGTAAAGAAACCAGGCCACCGTGTAATGCTTCTGCAACTGATCACGTTAGACCCCGACCCCAAACCCCAAACCACTCTCCATCCTCCCCAGCCTCGCAGACTGCTGGCTTCTCCAAGCCACCTTTCTGACTTTCTCCTCTGCTCAACCCCATGTGCCACTCCTTCCCCTCCCCATTCTTCCCTCTCTCTGTCCTCAGAACACTGCCTCATATCCTTCCCTGGTCCCTGGCTCTCTGAGTCCCTCTTTTTTTTTTTTTTTTTTGTTTCGAGACAGAATCTTGCTTTGTCACCCAGGCTGGAGTGTAGTGGTGCAATCTCAGCTCACTGCAACATGCATCTCCCGGATTCCAGTTATTCTCCTGCCTCAGCCTCTCAGGTAGCTGGGATTACAGGTGCCTGCCATAATGCCCAGCTCCATTTTGTACTTTTAATAGAGACAGGGTTTCACCATGTTGGCCAGGCTGGTCTCAAACCCCTGGCCTCAAGTGATCCGCCTGCCTTGGCTTCCCAAAGTGCTGGGATTACAAGTGTGAGCCACTGCACCCAGCCTGAATTTCTCCATTCTTCCCACACACCCTCCCCAGGTTCTCCTTCCTGACCTCTGACCCTTCTTTTTTTTTTTTTTTTTTTTTTTTTTTTTGAGATAGCATCTCACTCTGTCACCCAGACTGGAGTGCAGTAGCACGATCTCGGCTCACTGCAACCTCTTCCTCCCAGGCTCAAGTGATTCTCCTGTCTTAGCCTCCCAAGTAGCTGGGATTATAGGCACACACCACTACCACCTGGCTAATTTTTGTACTTTTAGTAGAGATGGGGTTTCACCATGTTGGCCAGGCTGGTCTTGAACTCCTGACCTCAGGTGATCTGCCCGCCTCAGCCTCCCAAAGTGTTGGGGTTACAGGGGTGAGCCACCACGCCTGGCCCCCTTCCTTCATCTTAGTCAATCCTATGCCACCTCTTCTTCCTCCAGTCCCCTCACCTGATGGTCCCGACACTTCATCATCCACCACCTCCTGGAGGGGGTACCCTGAGGTGCTCCGCTGGGGGCTCCGCTCTTCCTGGGGCTGCGGTTGATGGCTCATCATGATCTTTCCCAAAATCTGTCCCATCTCACCAAACCTAGTCTCTGTTCTGTCCTTGGTCTTCTTCTGGACACTGCTGGGATCCAGAAGAGTGTGTTATCAATTCTCGAGGCTGGGAGAAGTCAGGAGTGGAGAACAGCTCTGAGAAGTTACTGTTGTCCAACTGAACTCCCAGGTGCCGACAGAGTCCGGTCCCTCCAATCAGGAAGGTCGGAATCTCTGATGTCATCGCTCATGCCAACCTGGCAACCAGTTTGAAAAAAAACACATGTAACTGCCAGGCTGATCTCTTGTCCTGGAGATCCTGGGTGAATGGTATCTCCTGCCACTGTCCCAACCTCAGACCACTGTCCAAAAGCATCTTCAGGGTCTCCGCATCCCTCTGTTCCCTGTCCCAGCAGAGGCTGTGTCCTCTCCACTCAAAGCTTGAAGCGTGTTGGGGTCTCCTCTTCTCTGTACATGCCCGTTTCAGAGTCCAGTCTGGTGGGAGAGGGATCAGGATGGGAAAGAAAAGTAGGGTAAGCAGAAACGATGAAACCTTACAAGAGTGAGATTACCATGTACAAGAGATCCCAGGAACATTGACTTGATGAAAAAGTCACATCAGAGCACTCAATTTGGCAGAGGTTTTCTGCCGAGTGTCTACTGACATTCACTGTCCGAGATTCTGTACTGGGGGTACACGCGTCCTCTGCCCTAAGGCATCTTTGAGTCCAAGAGATATTTTGAGGACTGGAAATCATAGGAAACTGCCCATGAGTTCACACATATTTCCAATGGTGTCCCCAATTTCAGGGAGTCCACGGATCACCTAAAGCCAGCCCCTCCAGTTTGGCTAAGAAACTCTATATATCAAGTTTTGTATCATATGTATTGCTCTTAACTCAGAAAATTCCACCATTTATAGCAGTGGTTTATTTATTTATACCATTGAAGGAAATGGTTTATTTATGAATCTATATTATGGATATTCTATAAGATACTGGGTGTACAAAAAGACTAAGTCGAAAAATCTCAGCTGTGCACAGTGGCTCATGCTTGTAATCCCATCTCTTTGGGTGGCCAAGGGAGGAAGACTGCCTGAGGCCAGCAGTTCAAGACCAGTATAGGCAACATAGCAAGAGCCCATCTCTAAAACAAAACAAAACAAAACAAAACAAAATTAGCCAGGTGTCGTGGCTGGCACCTGTGTTCCAACAACTTGAGAGACTGAGGTGGCAGGAGGATTGCTTGAGCCTAGGAGTTAGGGGCTGCAGTGAGCTGTGATCGTGACACCGCACTCCAGTCTGGGCAACACAGCAAGACCTTGTGTCAAAAAAATTTTTTTAATTAAATATAAAAGAGTTTCATGACATTCAGAGACCATCCAAAGAACCTGTGGGTTCCGGCCAGGCACAGTGGCTCACGCCTGTAATCCCAGCGCTTTGGGAGGCCATAGCAGGTGGATCGCTTGAGGTCAGGAGTTTAAGAGCAGCCTGGCCAACATGGTGAAACCGCATCTCTACTAAAAATACAAAAAATTAGACGGGGCCAGGTGCCATGGCTCATGCCTGTAATCCCAGCACTTTGGGAGGCCAAGGAGGGTGGATCACGAGATCAGGAGATCGAGACCATCCTGGCTAACACCCCATCTCTGCTAAAAATACAAAAAGTAGCCAGGCATGGTTGCGGGCACCTGTATTCCCAGCTACTCAGGAGGCTGAGGCAGGAGAATGGCGTGAACCCAGGAGGCGGCACTTGCAGTGAGCCAAGATCATACCATTTGCACTGTAGCCTGGGCTATAAGAGTGAGACTCCGTCTCAAAAAAAAAAAAAAATAGCTGGGTGTGGTGGCACGCACCTGTAGTCTCAGCTACTCGGGAGGCTGAGGTGAGAGAATCGCTTGAATCCAGGAGGCGGAGGTTGCAGTGAGCCGAGATCGCGCCATCGCACTCCAGCCTGGGTGACAGAGTGAGACTCTGTCTCAAAAGAAAGAAAAAGAAAAAAAAAGAATATGCCGCAGTGCATTTGTTCATTTCTCCTGCTGGTGGACACTTGGGTCCTTCCAGCACCACTGTGAACATTGTGATGAACGTTCCTGCACACACACCTCTCTAGAACAGTCACCAGGAGCGGAGCTGCTGGGTCATGGGGTGTGGCTGAGTCCATTGCTGGTGCTGGGGTTTCCTTGGTGTTTGTACACCTTGCATTCCCACCAGCACATATGAGAGAATACTTTGTTTCAAATCTCTGCCAACACCGAGTATTCATGACACTGATCTTTTTGCAAGTGTAAATCAGATCATGTCACTCTCCCGATTTAAGCCCTATTTTTTTTTTTTTTTTTTTGGAAACAGAGTCTCACTCTGTCACCCAGGCTAGAGTACAGTGGCATGATCTCGGCTCACTGCAACCTCCGCCTCCCGGGTTCGAGCGATTCTCTGATCTCAGCCTCCCAAGTATCTGGGACTATTGGCGCACGCCACCACGGGTGTCTAATTTTTTGTATTTTTGGTAGAGACGATGTTTCACCCTGTCGTCCAGGATGGTCTTGAACTCCCAAGCTCAAACAGTCTGCCCACCTCGGCCTCCCAAAGTGCTGGGGTTACAGGTTGGAGCCACCCAGCCCAGCCTAGATTTTTAGCTTGATGAAAATCCTGGTTTGGGAACAGAGTCAGCTCCACAGCGGGTCATCTGATTTTTTTTTTTTTTTTTTTTTTGAGACGGAGTCTCGCTCTGTCATCCAGGCTGGAGTGCACTGGGCTCACTGCAACCTCCGCCTCCCGGGTTCAAGCGATTCCCCCACCTCAGCCTCCCGAGTAGCTGGGATTACAGGCACCCACCACCACGTATGACTAATTTCTGTATTTTTGTAGAGATGGGGTTTCACCATGTTGACCAAGCTGGTCTTGAACTCCTGACCTCAGATGAACCACCCGCCTCAGCCTCCTAAAGTGCTGGGATTACAGGTGTGAGCCACCACACCTGGACTGTTCTTTTCTCTTACGTTTGGTCACCTGGTGCCTCTGAACTCCCTCTTCCACTCTCTCTACATCCTGATGCACAATTTATTTGAAAAGGAGGAAACATTTTCCGTCCCAAGTCCCTTTTTACTCCTTTCTTTCCCAACAAAACCTGTACAGAATCCTCACACTACTGTGTTCTGTAGAGGAGCGGAGAGGGAGACCAGTTCTCCACTCCCCTGGCCCTGCTGACACCTGGAGGGTGCCAGGCATGTTCATGGAAACAGCAGCATTGCAGCCTTCCTTCCTTCCCCACAGCTGTATCCGTGTGAGTCTGGACAACAAGGACTTGTCAACACGAATCTCTCTCTTCTCCTGGTGTAAGACAGAACAAAAACAAAAGACGTTGGAGTAGAGATCAGAAAAGGGTGGGTTTGCGATGTTTGGGAGGGTTGAGTGGGCATTTTGACAACTTAGCTTCTCCTTGGGTGGTATTTAGCAGATGCCCTTGTGGTTTAAACTGTAGCTTTAGATATAAAATCCACTCCTGGTCAGGTGCGGTGGCTGACGCCTGTAATCCCAGCACTCTGGGAGGCTGAGGTAGGCAGATCACGAGATCAAGATCAGCAGATCGAGACCATCCTGGCTAACACGGTGAAACCCCATCTCTACTAAAATAATAATTAAAAAAAATTAGCCAGGCATAGTGGTGGGCACCTGAAGTCCCCGCTACTGGGGAGGCTGAGGCAGAAGAATGGCATGAACCCAGGAGGCGGAGCTTGCAGTGAGCCAAGGTCATGCCACTGCACTTCAGCCTGGGCGACAGAGCGAGACTCTGTCTCAAAAAAAAAAAAAGAAAAAAGAAAGAAAATCCACTTCTAATGCTACCTGGGGCCCTGCTGCTTGATGGAGAAACTGAAGAACGTAAAGGATCTTGTTTGAGGGTTTGTGTTGTTGTGTTGTTGTTGTATATTTGTTTGTTTTGAGGCAGGGTTTTGCCCTTTCACCCAGGCTGGAGTGTGGTGGCACAATCACAGCTCACTGCAGCCTCGAACTCCTGGGCTCAGATGATCCTCCTGCCTCAGCCTCCCAAGTAGCTGGGATCATAGGTGTGCACTGCCATGCCTGGCTAAATTTTGTTATTTTTTTTAGGGACGAGTTTTGCCATGTTGCCCAGGCTAGTCTTAAACTCCTAGGCTCAATCTAGCCTCCCACCTCAGCCTCCCAAAGTGCTGGAATTATAGGCATGACCCACTACACACTACACCTAGTTTTTGTTATTTATTTATTTCTTAGAGACAGAGTCTCCTCTGTTGCTCAGCCAGGCTGGAGTTGAGTGGTGCCATCATAGCTCACTGCAGCCTTAAACTCCTGGGCTCAAATGATCCTCCAGTCTCAGCCTCCCAAGTAGCTGGAACCATAGGTGCACATCACCATGCCAGGCTAAATTTTAAAATTTTTTTGTAGAGATGGGGTCTCTGATACTGCCCAGGCTGGTTTCAAGCTTCTGGGCTCACATGATCCTCCTGCTTCAGCCTTCCAAGTAGCTGGGACCACAGGCATGTACCACCATGCCTGGCTTCTATATTTTTGTAGAGTTGGGGGATCTTGCTACGTTGCCCAGGCTGATCTCAAGCTCCTGGGCTCAAGCATTCCTCCCGCTTCAGCCTCCCAAAGTGCTGCAATTACAGGCATGAGCCACTGCACCCAGCCTCAGCCTAACAGATTTGTTTTTTTTTTTTTTTTGAGACAGAGTCTCGCTGTGTTGCCCAGGCTGGAGTGCAGTGGTGCAATCTCGTCTCACTATAACCTCCACCTCCCAGGTTCAAGTGATTCTCGTGCCTCAGCCTCCCAAGTAGCTGAGAGTACAGGGCATGCCACCATTCTCGACTAATTTTTGGGTTTTTTTTTTTGTTGTTGTTGTTTTTTAAGATTGAGTCTTGCTCTGTCGCCCAGGCTGGAGTGCAGTGGCACGATCTCAGCTCACTGCAAGCTCCGCCTCCCGGGTTCATGCCATTCTCCTGCCTCAGCCTCCCGAGTAGCTGGGACTACAGGCGCCCGCCACCACGCCCGGCTAATTTTTTGTATTTTTAGTAGAGACGGGGTTTCACCATGTTAGCCAGGATGGTCTCAATCTCCTGACCTCTTGATCCACCCGCCTCGGCCTCCCAAAGTGCTGGGATTACAGGTGTGAGCCACTGCGCCCGGCCTAATTTTTGTATTTTTAATAGAGACAGGGTTTCACCATGTTGGCCAGGCTGGTCTTGAACTCCTGACCTCATGTGATCTGCCCCTGCTTAGCCTCCCAAAGTGCTGGGATTACAGGCATGAGCCACCATGCCTGGCCAGATCTTATTTGGAAATGGTATTCTGCATTGTAATTTTTGTTCTGTTTTATTTTTACATTTTCTTTTTATGACATATCTAGGATTTGCTTTAAAACATCCCAGCCAAGAAAAAGAGGGGAAGGGGAGGACAGTTTGGAGCACATTGGCAAAATCCTGATTGCTATTTAAGCTGGGCAGTGGGTCCATGGGGGTTCACTGTACTCTTCTGTCTACTTTTGTAAATGTTTAAAAATGTTTGTTGTAAAAAGTTCCTTGGTTTTCCTTATGTTTCTCCAGAGAGGAAAAAAGATGTTCAGTTTTATATCTTAAAATGTACAAGCTACCTTGTTAGAATAAAACTAAATGTGTATGCTGCTGGGCACCAGGGCTCATGCCTGTAATACCAGCACTTTGGGAGGCCAAGACAGGTGGATCACCTGAGGTCAGGAGTTCGAGACCAACCTGGCCAGCATGGTGAAACCCCTGTCTGTACTGAAAATACAAAAATTAGTCGGGAGTGGTGGTGCACTCCTGTAATCCCAGCTGCTCAGGAGGCTGAGGCAGGAAGATCACTTTAACCCTGGAGGAGAAGGTTGCAGTGAGCTGAAATCGCACCACTGCACTCCAGCCTGGGCGACACAGCAAGACTCTCTGTCAAAAAAAAAAAAAAAAAAAAAAAAGCCAGGACTAGTTCATCAAGAAGCAAAATAATATGACAAACCCTACTTAAATGATTTCATCTGGTTTCAACCACTGCCAGCTGGTTTGATCCAGTTTCAGCTGGTTTCAAATGACTTCATCCAGTTTCAGCCAGGTTAATTCAGCTTCAGCTGGTTGTGAACAGTTTGTGGCTCCTTTCAACCAGTTTCAGGTGGTTTCAGCCAAAGTCATCCAATGTTGGCTGGCTCCAACTGGTTTAACTCCTGTTTCAACTGGATTCAGCTGATTTCCACTCTCCTTAAGGCTGTGCTGTCCAATTCAGTAGCTCCTAGCTACATGCAGCTCTTTACATTTAAATTGATTAAAATTAAAGGAAGGCCAAGTTCGCTGGCTCACCCTGTAATCCCAGCACTTTGGGAGGCCGAGGTGGGAGGATCACTTGAGGTCAGGAGTTCGAGACCAGCCTGGCCAACATGGTGAAACCTTGTCTCTACTAAAAATACAAAAAACATTAGCCAGGCATGGTGGTGGGTGCCCATAGTCCCAACTATTCAGGAGGCTGAGTCAGGAGAATCATTTGAACCTGGGAGGTGGAGGTTGCAGTGAGCCGAGATCACGCCACTGCACTGCAGCCTGGGCAACAGAGCAAGACTCTGTCTCAAACAAATAGATAAAATGAAATCAAAATTTCTTTTCTAGTGTTACAGGCAGAATGTTTGTGGACTCTCCAAAATTCATATGTCAAACTCCTAACTCCCAATGTGTTGGTATTTGGAGGCGAGAAGTTTGGGAGGTGATCACGTTGAGAGGAGGTTATAAGGGTGGAATTCACTTGATGGGATTAGCAGCCTTTTGAGAAGAGTCATCAGAGAGCTTGCTTCCTCTCTCCCTGTCTTGGTCCATTCTGGCACTGCTATAAAGAAAAACCTGAGACTGGGTAATTTATAAAGAAAAGAGGGGTGTTTTGTTTTGTTTTGTTTTTGGAGATGGAGTTTCGCTGTCATCACCCAGGCAAGAGTGCAATGGCACGATCTTGGCTCACTGCCACCTCCATCTCCTGGGTTCAAGCCATTCTCCTGCCTCAGCCTCCTGAGTAGCTGGATTACAGGCGTCTGCCACCACGCCCAGCAAATTTTTGTATTTTTAGTAGAGACGGGGTTTCACCATGTTGCCCAGGCTGGTCTCGAACTCATGACCTCAGGTTATCCACCCACCTTGGCCTCCCAAAGTGCTGGGATTACAGGTGCAAGCCACCACACCCAGCCAAGAAAAGAGTTTTAATTGGCTTACATTCCATGGGCTGTACAGGACGCATGATTCTGACATCTGCTCAGCTTCTGGGGAGGTCTTAGGAAACTTACAATCATGGCAGAAGGTGAAGGGGAAGCACGCACATTTCACATGGTCAGAGCAAGAAGATGAGAGAGAGGTGGGGAGGTGCTACTCACTTTTAAACAAGCAGAGCTCATGATAACCTTCTACCATGAAAACAGTACGGAGGGGATGGTGCCAGCCCATTCATGAGAAATCCGCCCCGTGATTTAATCACCTCCTACCAGGCCCCACCTCCAACACTGGGGATTACAATTTGACATGAAACCTCTTTTTTTTTCTTTTTTTGTTTTTTTTTTTTTTTGAGACACAGTTTCACTCTGTCGCCCAGGCTGGAGTGCAGTGGTGCCATCTGGGCTCACTGCAACTTCTGCCTCCCAGGTTC
This sequence comes from Homo sapiens, assembly GCF_000001405.40. Classification (NCBI taxonomy): domain Eukaryota; kingdom Metazoa; phylum Chordata; class Mammalia; order Primates; family Hominidae; genus Homo; species Homo sapiens. The sequence goes on from NC_000007.14 coordinate 73,119,872, forward strand.
AAACGATTCTCCTGCTTCAGCCTCCCGAGTAACTGGGATTACAGGTGCCCACCACCACACCCAGCTAATTTTGTATTTTTAGTGGAGACAGGGTTTCACCATGTGGTCCAGGCTAATCTCGAACTCCTGGCCTCAGGTGATCCGCCCGCCTTGGCCTCTCAAAGTGCTGGGATTACAGGTGTGAGCCACTGTGCCCGGTCTCGGCATGAGATTTAAGCAGGGGACACAGAGCCAAACTATATCACTCCCCATCATGTGAGGATACAGGGAGAAGACAGCCATCCACAAACCAGGAAGTGGGCCCTCACCAGACACCAATCTGCTGGTTCCTCAATCTTGGAATTGTGAGAGAGAAATGTATGTTGTTTAAGCCACCCAGCCTATGGTTTTCTGTAACAGAAGCCCAAGTAGACTAAGATACTCAGTCACGCTGCTCACAATTCCAGTGCCTACAAGGGCCAGGACCACATGTGTTCAAGTGGCCAGCATATTGGATGGTGCATTCATAGAACATTTCCATCACCACAGATGGTCCTTCTGGGCAGCTCTGCTCTCGGGAGGAGTTCAGATGTAGAGATCATGGCAGCAAAAGTCTCTCAGAGTCAGGTGAGAGGCAAAAAGATAAGTCTGTTATTGGCTGGGTGCGGTGGTTCACACCTATAATCCCAGCACTCTGGGAGGCCGAGGCGGGCAGATCACAAGGTCAGGAGATCGAGACCATCCTGGCTAACATGGTGAAACCCTGTCTCTACTAAAAATACAAAAAATTAGCTGGACGTGGTGGCAGGCACCTGTAGTCCCAGCTATTCAGGAGGCTGAGGCAGGAGAATGGCGTGAACCCAGGAGGCGGAGCTTGCAGTGAGCCAAGATCGTGTCTCTGCACTCCAGCCTGGGCAACAGAGGGAGATTCTGTCTCAAAAAAAAAAAAAAAGGAAGTCTGTTATTAACACCAGGAATGATCATTGTCACTTTTTTTTGAGACAGAGTTTCACTGTTGTTGCCCAGGCTGGAGTGCAGTGGCCCACTGCAACCTCCACCTCCTGGGTTCAAGTTGTTCTCCTGCCTCAGCTTCCTGTGTAGCTACAGGTGCCCACAACCACACCCAGCTAATTTTTGTATTTTTAGTAGAGATGGGGTTTCACCATGTTGGCCAGGCTGGTCTCGAACTCCTGACCTCAGGTGATCCACCCGCCTCAGCCTCCCAAAGTGCTGGGATTACAGGCATGAGTCACGGTGTCCAGCCCATTGTCACTTTTTACTGAGCACCTGCTATCTACCAGGGAGTGTCAAATGTGTAAAAATGCTATCAGTATGCCTTCCAACAACTCTATAGGGTGGGCATTATCACCCATATTAACAGAGAAGGAAAATGAGGGTTTTTTCCTTTTTTGTTTGGTTGGTTGGTTTTGGTTTTGGTTACTGAGACAGGGTCATACTCTGTCTCCCAGGCTGGAGTACAGTGGCAAGCCTCATAGCTCACTGCAGCCTCAACCTCCCAGGCTCAAGTAATCCCCCCAAGGAGCTGGGACTACAGGCATGCACCACCATGCCTGGCTTTTTTTTTTTTTTTTTTTTAGAGGTGGAGTCTCACTATGTTGCCCAGGCTGGTCTCAAACTCCTGTTCTCAAGCGATCCTCCTGCCTCAGCCTCCCAAAGTGCTGAGGTTACAGGCGTGAGCCACTGCACCTGGCTAGGAAACTGAGTTTTTTCAGTGGTAGAGGCTCCTAGCCAGTGGCCAAGGGAAAGAGAGAGTTCTGGGTTCAGGGGCTGGCAGGAAGTTAGCAAGACACCAGGGACTCAGCTACACTGGCTGGATCTCAGAGAAGAGCAACTGCCACAGTGGGGACCTGGAGCACAAGGGGAAACTGGGGCAGCAGCTGCACCACAGGGTTGGCGGTACCTGATAAGGGAAGAGGATGACTTCCATAAGTAGGCCCACAGGTGCCCAGGGCTCCCCATACCCACTGGGTGCCAGGTCTAAAACCATGAGACCAGTACCAGCACCAACCACTCAAGGAGCTGAGACGGCTGACCCACTCTCTGCCCTGGCTAGGACTGGCCCCAGCACCCCCAGTGGGGAGGCCTCAATGATCCCAGCTGCCAGGGGCCCAGGAACACTAGCAACAGAAGAATGGCCAAAGTGACAGGGAACCCTTGAGACCCTAGAGCAGCAATGCCTGGGCCGGGCCTGATCCTTCCCACCAGCCCCCAGCCATTCCTGGCCTTCTGCCATGCTTCCTGGTTGGTCTGCAAAGTGCCTGGGGCAAATACCTTCTGGGAGAAGAGTAGAGAGGGTATCCAGGCTCCATGGGCCTCAGGATTCCTGAAGTAGGAGGCTCTGATGGGGCCACCCTGCTCTGGACAGAAATTCCCTAGCCTCAGGGACATGTTGAATCTTGTCACCCAGAGGAACCAAGTGGCTGGGTGGTAGCCCAGTGCAGTGGCTCATGCCTGTAACCTCAACACTTTGGGAGGCCAAGACAGGCAGATCACGAGGTCAAGAGATTGAGACCATCCTGGCTAATATGGTGAAACCCCGTCTCTACTAAAAATACAAAAATTAGCTGGGTGTGGTGGTGGCAGGCACCTGTAATCCCAGCTACTCGGGAGGCTGAGGCAGGAGAATCGCTTGAACCTGGGAGGCACAGGTTGCAGTGAGCTGAGATAGCGCCACTGCACTCCAGCCCGGGCAACAGAGTGAGACTCCATCTGAAAAAAAAGAAAAAGAAAAAAAAAAGAAAGAGGCTGGACAGCAAAATAAAATGGTTCCCCAGTTCAGCCTTTGGAGGTACCAACCGTCTGTTAGCAGAGCTCTAAGACCAAATGGGCTCCCACTCCAGGAACGTCCCCCTTCCCACAGGGGCTGGGGAGATGGAGTCCGGGGCTGTGCTGCCCTCTGGAGCAGCAGGTGGAGGCCAAGGCAGCCTCACTGTTCTCCGGGGCCCTGGGAAGCCATGCAGAGAGGCAGAGGTCCTTTATGTGCCAGATGAGGCTGCTGTCAAGGGACTGCAAATCTGCTTGAGGTGTGACATATCTGTTTTTAGAACAAGAACATCACATCAGGAGGAGCCGGTGGCCAGAGCTTGGGGAAAGGGGGGATCCAGGTCCAATTCCCATGTATCTAGGGCACATGTGCACAGCACTGAGGGCCACTCCAGCCCCTCCCCAGCTCTCAGAGGACCCTGCTCCCACCTGCCTTTTGCTCTGCTATCGGGCAGATGGCATTGTCTCTGCTTTGCAACTGATGAAATAGGAACTCTGGCTTCTGGGCTAGGCTGAGAGGGTGCTTGCTGCTGCCATTCCTGGCCCAGGTGAGACATTCGGTCATGAGCATCTGTAGCTCTTGCCTGAGCCTCTGAGCCTGCCAGGGCAGAGCAGAAGCAAATGCATGAAGGCCCCTCCCCCAGGGGCTGCTCTTAGCCAGTGACTGATGAAAATGGGTGTGTAAACAGCTTAGCCACATGACCCCACACAGGTGGGACAACCATGGGTTTCCACATTCTGTACTGCCTCCCAGAGGTCCCCACCAGGTTTAAGCTCAATTGCCCACACTGGTAACTGGTAACTTCCTTGATAGCACTCATTTCTTTTTTCATTCTTTTGGTGTTTTTTTAGATGGAGTTTTGCTCTTGTCGCCCAAGCTGGAGTGCAGTGGTGTGATCTCAGCTCACTGCAACCTCCGCCTCCCAGATTCAAGCAATTCTCCTGCCTCACCCTCCTGGGATTACAGGCATGTGCCACCACACCTGGCTAATTTTATGTTTTTAGTAGAGAGGGAGTTTCCCCATGTTGGCCAGGCTGGTTTTGAACTCCTGACCTCAAGTGATCTGCCCACCTCAGCTTCCCAAAGTGCTGGGATTACAGGCATGAGCCACTGCGCCTGGCCATTTCCTTTCTCTCTCTCTCTCTCTCTCTCCCTCTCTCTCTCTCTCTCTCTCTCTCTCTCTCTCTCTCTCTGGCTGGAGTGCAATGGTGCGATCTGGGCTTACTACAACCTCTGCCTCAAGAGTCCCTCTGCTGGGACTACAGGTGCACACAACCACGTCCAGCTAATTTTTGTGGGGTTTTTTTGTTTTTTTGTTTTTTTGTAGAGATAGGGTTTCGCCGTGTTGCCCAGGCTGGTCTCAAGCAGTCCTCCTAGGTTCAAGCAATCTTCCGGCCTCAGCCTCCCAAAGTTCTGGGCTTACAGACCTGAGCCATTGTGCCTGACTAACACCCCTTTCTTGGCAGCCTTCCTGTCCATATCTGGCCTCTCTACTCCCCTACCTGGGTTTCTGGGATGACTTGCACTTAAGTCCTTGGAGGGAACTTTAAGCAGAAGGATAGAGGAGAAAACTCAGAAATGGTGTGGGACCAGCAGCTTCCCCATTGTCTGGTCTGGAGTGGAGGTGGTCCAGGGATCCGGGGAGCCTGGCTCAAGCAGGATAGAAGTGACATCCAGGCTGGCCATCAGGGGGTGCAGTTCAGCAGCAGAGTCTCCAGGCCTGCTCACACTTGGACTGGTGCAGGATTCTCTTCTGGATAGCCTGTTTAGATTGCAGTAGGACCTGAAGACTTGAAATTGGTGTTCAGCCCTGGGAGAGGGGTCTGGCCAGGCTTGCACAGCTGGGTCCAGGCTCAGGACTGAGGTAGAAGCATAGTATTCATCACAGCTGGAGCAAAAGTCCAGAAGAATGGACTTAACACTCCCAGTGGGTCAGAGGAGAGGCTAGCACGGGGTACAGACAAGATTCTGCAGACAGAGGCCAGAAGATTTTGTAGGCTACAAGATTCCGTAGACAGAGGCTCATGCCTATAATCCCAGCACTTTAGGAGGCCAAGGCAGGTGGATCACTTGAGGCCAGGAGTTCAAGACCAGCCTGGCCAACATGGTGAAACCCTGTCTCTACTAAAAATACAAAAATTAACCAGATGTGGTGGCGCATGCCTGTAATCCCAGCTACTCAGGAGGCTGAATCAGGAGGATCGCTTGAACCCAGGAGGCGGAGGTTGCAGTGAGCCGAGATCACACCACTGCACTGCAGCCTGGGTAACAGAGCAAGACTCTGTCTAAATAAATAAATAAATAAAGAAATAAAATCATGCAGACCTCATCCCCAGGAGGCAGTCTGAAATGGCTCAGGAAAAAAAAAACAGCAGGTGAAATTTGTGCAGGGGGATCTCACCTGAACAAGGATCAGAAAGACAAGGGGTTGTCCCCAAACCTACCCACCCTCCTAGTGGCAGCTGGACCCTGGACCCCCTCACCACCACCAGCCTACCCCATGCTATCCATCACCGGCCAGCTCATGTCCTAAACATCTCTGCATCCCTCCTCTCTCTCCATCCACGCTGCTGCCTCACTGGTCCTGGCCACCACGGCTCTCTCAGCTAGGCTGCAGTCACTTCCAGGCTGGATTCCCCACCCCTGCCCTTGACCTCCTCCTGTCCTCTACTCCACAAGGCAGCCAGAAGAATCTGCCAATGTATCCAGTCTTCTCTTGGGCTAGAGCCTTCTGGTGGCTTCCAATCTGCACCCATCCAAGCCCTTTGTGTCAGGCACCATCTCATCTTCATAAATCCTGTTTCTATTGCCTGGAGGACTCCCCCAGCCCTAACTTCCCCTGTTCCTAAATGACATTTCACCACCCTTCAGATCTCAATGTCACTTTTGACAGAAACCTTAGCCAGGCATGGTAGCACACACCTGTGGTCCCAGCTACTCTGAAGACTGAGGAGAAATGATCTCTTGAAGTCAGGAGTTGGGGGTTGCAGTGAGCTAGGATTGCACCACTGCACTCCAACCTGGACAACAGAGCAAGACCCTGTCTCTAGGCCAGGTGCAGTGGCTCACACCTGTAATCCCAGCACTTTGGGAGGCTAAGGCAGACAGATCACCTGAGGTCAGAAGTTCGAGACCAGCCTGGCCAACATTGTGAAACTCCATCTTTACTAAAAATACAAAAATTAGCCGGGTGTGGTGGCATGCACCTGTAATCCCAGCTACTTGGGAGGCTGAGGCGGGAGAATTGCTTGAACCTGGGAGGCAGAGGTTGCAGTGAGCCAAGATTGCACCACTGCACTCCAGCATAGACAATGAAGCAAGAAAAAAAAGAAAAGACCTTGTCTCTAAAAAGAGAGAGAGAGAAACCCTGCATGGACCTCCATTCATATGGCCGTTCTGTTACTAGAAGGGTCCAGACCAACACAAGAGCACTAGGAGCCAAAGATGAAATTCACAAAAGAGCAATTATGAGAAATGGGAGAAAGATGGAGGGACTGCAACATAGGGCTAATGGAAGTTTTAGAAAAACAGCAGAAAATCACAGAGAAGCAATATATGATGGACAATCAATGAGAATTTTCAAAAACTAGGCTGGGCGTTTTGGCTCATGCCTATAAACCCAGCACTTTGGGAGGCTGAAGCAAGTGGATCAACTGAGGTCAGGAGTTCCAGACCAGCCTGGCCAATATGGTGAAACCTCGTCTCTACTAAAAATACAAAAATTAGCCTGGCGTGGTGGCGTGCACCTGTAGTCCCACCTACTCAGGAGGCTAAGGCAGGAGAATCACTTGAACCCGGGAGGCAGAGGTTGCAGTGAGCCAATATTGTGCCACTGCACTCCAGACTGGATGACAGAGCAAGACTCCATCTCAAAAAAAAAAAAAAAAAAAAAAAGGAAAAGAAAGAAAAAAGAACTAAAGAGTCATACAAGTCCTCAAATCAAAAACATACTCTAAGAACAAACAGCATAAATTAATATGTCTATATAGGGTTCTATCATTATTAAACCACTTAACATCAAGGATAAAGAGGAATTTTTTTTCTTTTTTTTTCTTTTTTTGAGATAGGGTCTCACTCTGTCACCCAGGCTGGAGTGCAGTGGTGCAATCATAGCTCACTGTAGCCTCAAACTCCTGGGCTCAAGCAATTCTCCCAAGTAACTGGGACTACAAGCCTGCAAGCAGGCACCACCATGCCTAGCTAATATTTGTATTTTTTTAGAGATGGGATCTTGCTATGTTGCCCAGGATGGAAATCTTTATTGTTGTTGGTGGTTTTTTTTTTTTTTTTTTTTTTTTTGGAGATGGAGTTTCACTCTTGTTGCCCAGGCTGGAGTGCAATGGCGCCATCTCAGCTCACTACAACCTCCACCTCCCGGGTTCAAGTAGTTCTCCTGCCTCAGCCTCCCGAGTAGTTGGGATTACAGGCATGCACCACCACGCCTGGCTTTTTTTTTTTTTTTTTTTTTTTTTTTTTGTATTTTTTTAGTAGAGACAGGGTTTCTCCATGTTGGTCAGGCTGGTCTCAAACTCCCGAAGTGAAGTGATCAGCCTGCCTCGGCCTCCTGGAGTGCTGGGACTACAGGCCTGAGCTACTGCGCCCAACCTCAGGATGGAAATCTTAAAAGTTACTAGGCCAGGTGTGGTGGCTCATGCCTATAATCCCAGCACTTTGGGAGGCCGATGTGGGCAGATCAGCAGAGGTCAGGAGTTTGAGATTATCCTGACCAACATCATGAAACCCTGCCTCTACTAAAAATGAAAAAAAAAAAAAATTAGCCAGGCATGGTGGTGTGCGCTTGTAATCCCAGCTGCTTGGGAGGCTGAGGCAGGATAATCACTTGAACCTTGGAGGCCAAGGTTGCAGTGAGCCAAGATCACGCCACTGCTCACCAGCCTGGGCAACAATCTGTGAAGAAGGAAAAAAGAGAAGAGAAGGGAAGGGGAGGGGAGGGGAAGGGGGAGAGGAAGGGGAAGGGGAAGGGAATGGAAGGGAAGACAATTAAAAAAAAAAAAAAAAAACAGGCAAAGAATATGAACAGGCAATTCACAGAAGGAAAACCCAAATGACCCACAAACATGAATAGATGTTCAACCACAATGACAATCAGAGAAATTGTAAAAATAAAGCAGCAACAATATATCATTTTACATTTATCAGCTAAGCAAAAGCTAAAGTCTGATAATCCCAATTATTGATGGGTGTGTAGAAAAAGGAGATTCTGACACATGCTGGTAGAGTGTCAGTTGGTATAAGCCCTTGGAGAGCAAAACAGAGATATTCACCACCCTCTTATCCCAACCATTCCACATACTATTCTACGTAAATATCTTGCAGAGAGATTCCAGCACTAGTGCTATAGAATACATTTACAGGAATGTTTATTGCAACATTGTTTAAAACAAGAGAAAAAAACAGAAACAAAGTAAATGTTCACCAACAGGAGACTGGATAAACAAAGTATAATGTATAATGGAATATGTTGTAGCAGTTAAAATAAAGAAAGAAAAGCTACATATATCATTATAGTCTACGTAGTATCAACTTGGATAAACCTCAAAAGTCATTAGTAGTGAGCAAAAAAAGCAGGTTGCAGAAGGATACATACAATATGATACCAGTTATATACAATGTTTATGGTTCAACTTTTCCAGTCTGGTTTATTGAGCTACAATTTGCATACAGTGAAATTGACTAGTCTTTGTGTACAGTTTTGTGAGTCTGGCAGAATGCATACCTTTAGGTAGACATCATCACAATCAAGATATAAAAGGGTTCCATCATTCCCCAAAATTGCACACTGCCCTATTGTAGTCAAGTCTTACCCCCACCTCACATCTCCTGTAATCATGGAGCACATAGCATTTTGAGTCTGTCTTCTTCCACTTAGCATAATGCCTTTGAGATTCATTCATGTTGTTGAGTATCTCAACGGCTTTTTTTTTAACTGCTGAATAGTAGTCTACTGTATGGATGTACCAATTTATCCATTCTGTAGTTGAAGTGCATTTGACTTGTTTGTACTTTGGGGCAATTATAAATAAACTGACCATAAATATTTGTGAACCGACTTTTGTTTGAATACAAATTTTCATTTCTCCTGGTTAAACACCTAAAAATGGGATTGCTGGGTCATGTGGTAAGTGTATGTTACATTTATTTATTTATTTATTTATTGAGACCAAGTCTCACTCTGTCGCCCAGGCTGGAGTGCAGTGGCACCTTCTCGGCTCACTATAGCTTCTGCCTCCCAGGTTCAAGTGATTCTTCTGCCTCAGCCTCCCAAGTAGGTGGGATTACAGACACCAGCCACCATGCCGGGCTAATTTTTGTATTTTTAGTAGAGATGGGGTTTCACCATGTTGGCCAGGCTGGTCTCAAACTCCTGACCTCAGGTGATCCACCTGCCTAAGCCACCCAAAGTGCTGGGATTACAGGCGTGGGCCACCATGCCCGGCTGTATGTTCACTTTAAATTTTTTTCTTCTTCTTTTTAATTTAAAATTATTTTTATTTATTTATTTTTTGCTGAGGCTAGAGTGCAGTGGCACAATCACAGTTTGCTGCAGCCTCAACCTCACAGGCTCAAGTGATCCTCCTACTTCAGCCTCCTGAGTAGCTGGGACCACAGGAACACACCACCATACCCAGCTATATATATTTTGTAGAGACAAGGTCTTACTGTGTTGCCCGGGCTGGTCTTGAACTTCTGGACTCACGCGATCCTCCTGCTTTGGCCTCCCAAAGTGCTGGGATTACAGCCATAAGCCACTGTGTTGGACTTTTTGGTCATTTTAAATTTAGTTATTTTCTTACTACTGACTTTTGAGGATTCTTTACATTCTCAATAAAAGTCCTTTATCATTTATGTGCCTTGCAAACATTTTTTCCCGGTTTGTGGTTTGTTTTTCCATTTTCATAAGAGTGTCTTTTGAAAATCAGATGTTTTTAATTTTTATGAAATCTAGTTTAGCATATGTTTTTGTTTATGCTTCATGGATATAGAAGCTATATCTAAGAAACTTTTTTCCTAATCTAAGCTCACAAAGATTTTCTGCTATGTTTCCTTCGGGAAGTATTTTAATTTTGAGGTTGGATTTAGGTCTATGATCCATTTTGAAATAACTTTTGTTAAGTTGTAAGGTAGAGGTGGTCAAGGTTCTCTCTTTTTTAAAAAAACATATGCACGACTAGTTATTCCAATATCACTTGTTGTTTGTTTGTTTGTTGTTGAGACAGAGTCTTCCTCCGTCAACCAGGCTGAATAGAGTGCAGTGGTACAATCACAGGTCACTGCAGCCTCAAACTCAAGCAATCCTCCCACCTCAGGCTCCCAAGTAGCTGGGACTACAGGCACATAGCACCACACACAGCTGCTGCTTCTTTTTTTTTAGTGACAGGGTCTTGCTATGTTGTCCAGGCTGGTCATGAACTCCTGGCCTCAAGCCATCCTCCTGCCTCAGCCTCCCAAAGTGTTGGGATTACAGGCGTGAGCAGCCATGCCCAGCTGCAACACCATTTGTTGACATGACTACCATTTATCCATTTGATTGTCTTTGCCATTTTGTAAAAACCAGCTGACCCTGAGGTGGGCAGATTGCTTGAGCCCAAGAGTTCAAGACCAGCCTGGGCAACATGTTGAAACCCTATCTCTATTATTAAAAAAAAAAAAAAAATCAACTAACCATGTATGTGTTGGTTTATGGAGTTTCAAAACATGGTTAACAGGATAGAGCTTTTCGTGTTAGGGAGAAGGAAAGGGGAATTTAGATAGATAAAATTCTTTAATTTTTTCAAGATTTTGTTTGTTTTATTTATTTAGTTAGTTTAGTTTAGTTTTTGAGATGGAGTCTCACTCTGCTGCTCAGGGTGGAATGCAGTGGCACAATCTTGGCTCATTGCAACCTCCATCTCCTGAGTTCAGGCAATTCTGCCTCAGCCTCCTGAGTAGCTGGGATTACAGGCATGTGCCACCACACCTGGATAATTTTTGTATTTTTAGTAGAGACAAGGTTTCACTACATTGGCCAGTCTGGTCTCAAACTCCTGACCTCAAGTGATCTGCCTGCCTCAGCCTTCCAAAGTGCTGGGATTACAGGCATAAGCCACTGCACCCAGCCTGTTTTGTTTCAATTGCAAATAAGAATTGCACATATTTATGGGGTACCTAGGGATGTTTTGATACATATGCACAGGTTGTATGTGCAACCTCACAGATGACGTTCCCCATGAAACGCTCTGAGATGGATTGAGCAAGCAGGATATTTATTAAGCAGTGCCCTTGAAGGCCAGGCACAGTGGTTTATGGCTGTAATCCCAGCACTTTGGGAAGCTGAGGATTGCTTGAGCCCAGGAATTGGAATTCAAGACCAGCCTGGGCAACATAGCAAGACCCCCACCTCCACAAAAAATAAAAAAGCTGGGCATGATGGTGCATACCTGTAGTCCTAGCTACTCAGGAGGATGAGGCAGGAGGATCACTTGAACCCAGGAGTTAAGAGGCTGCAGTGAGCCATGATTGCACCACCGCACCTCCAACCTGGGTGACAGAGCAAGACACTGTCTCTTTAAAAAAAAAAAAAAAAAAGGTGTTCTTGAGAGCAAGAGGCCAGAAGGAAGCAGGAGCAAGCAATGGAGAAATGGTGAGAAGGTAAGCTTCCACTGAGCCCAGGAGAACAGGAGCTGAAACAGCCATTCACACTTGTCCAGGCTTGGCCAAGGTGGTTGGACCTCCACCCTTCCACGGCCATGGGATATTGGGAGAAGGAGTTCCCTGTAGTTGAGACAGTTCCTGTGGACAGCATTCACAGAGGGGCCACAAACCCTTCATGGAAGGTGGTGTGAACCATGTGCCTCTGCACTCTGCCACAGTAGGGCTGTACTTTGTGCTTTCTTTTTATTTTTCTTTTTCCTTTTTGAGACAGAATCTCACTCTTGTCACCCAGGCTGGAGTGCAATGGTGCGATCTCGGCTCACTGCAACCTCCACCTCCCAGGTTCAAGTGATTCTCCTGCCTCAGCCTCCCCAGTAGCTGGGACTACAGGTGTGCACCACCACATCTGGCTAATTTTTGTATTTTTAGTAGAGACGAGGTTTCATCATGTTGGTCAGGCTGGTCTCAAACTCCTGACCTCAAGTGATCCCCCCACCTCAGCTTCCCAAAGTGCTGGGATTACAGTCACGAGCCACCACACCTAGCCTTACGCTTTGTGTTTTCATCTGCATCTGCCATGAATGAGGAAGAATGCCTTTTCATATTCTTGGAGGGAAGTTCTAGAGAGGGTGACCAAGTGGCTCCAGGCCTTCGTGAGACAAAAGGGAACCCCTCTGGAGCAGCCTCTAGAGTAGTGGAAGGCCAGGCAGACCTGGATCTAATTTTAGTCTTTTGTGACCTAACTCTGCACTCCGAAGGGAGTGACTCAACTCCTCTGAGCCTCAGTTTCCCTCTCATAAAATGACAGAGATTGTGATTGTAGTGGAGGATAAAAAAGGAAGGGAAGGAGATGTCCTCACTTTAATCTAAACTCTGATCCTGTCCACAGAATTTAAGGACATTTAGTCAAATTCAGAGGCCCAGCAAAGTTGTTCCCATGGGTCAGTTTGCAAGAGGGACCCAAGAGCTAGGAAGAGGCTGGGCACAGTGGCTCACACCTGCAATCCCAGCACTTTGAGAGGCCAGGGTGGGTGGATTGCTTAAGATCAGGAATTCAAGATTAGCCTGGGCAACATAGCAAGACTCCATCTCTAAAGAAAATGAAAAAAACTAGCCAGGCATGGTGGTATGTGCCTGTAGTCCCAGCTACTCGGGAGGCTGAGGCAGCAGGATCCCTTGAATCCAGGATTTTGAGGCTGCAGTGAACTATGATCACATCACTGCACTCTAGCCTGGGTGACAGGGCAAGACCCTGTCTCAAAAAAAAAAAAAAAAAAAATAGATCTGAGGACCATTGACAACATGCTGGGTTCAGTGTGGCCTCCTGAGCCTGGTTCCAGCCTTCTATCTCCTTAGGCCTGGGGTGCGGATGATGCCTTACCCACTCACTCTGTTTGGGAGTTGAACAGTAAATTAAAGTGCTTCGTTATCTCATTTGAGAGTGGCGTAAAACACTTTGGAAAGGCTGGAGCATTCACAGCAATCAAGCTCTGAAAGGTTCTCAGTTGCTGGAAGGAATATCCTCTGATAGATTGCTCTTTTCTCTGAAACGTGGCTTACATCTCATGAGCAATTCCAGCAGTGTCCACTGCAGATGTTTTTGGCATCTTCACAAAGGAGTTAAAGAGATCAGACTCGTTCCCAAGAGAGAAAAATCATCTTTGCAATGTCCAAAAAGATTCCCTGGGCACAGCTCCCTCTGCTGTGACCTGCCAAGAAATTTTGGGGCTGCTTAGGACATGGGGTCATTCTCTAGCTCCAGTATACTCACCAGTGGTCAGTCACCACCTATGCATCGTGAGTCACTCCACAAACCTTAAATGAACATCATGTTGGGGAAGGCCATGCTTCGTCTCAGCCCTGCCCTCCCTGGGCTTACCATCCAAACTTGGCCCTGTGTAAATTCTACAGGATTCACCCCTGGTTTTCCTGTCCACTGACTCAAATGACCAACATCTCAACACCTTCCTGGGGGTCAGACATGCAGAGACTTGCATTTTCGTGATCATAAAATTGAGGTACAATGTATCCAAAATAAACCTTCAGAATCTCAGACTCCAGTCCTCTCCAGAATTAGTTTCCAGATTTTTAAACATTTAATTTTATTTTTAGAGAAGGGGTCTCACTATGTTGCCCAGGCTGTTCTTGAACTGCTGGGCTCAAGCAATCCTCCCATCTCAGCCTTCCAAAGTGCTGAGATTACAAGCATGAGCCACCATGCCTGGCCACTTAAAAATAATAATAATAATAATTTCTTGCTCTGTCACCCAGGCTGGAGTGCAGTGGTGCCATCATAGCTCACAGCAGCCTCAAACTTCCAGGCTCAGGTGATCCTCCCACTTCAGCCTCCCAAGCCACTGGGGGACGACAGGTGCTCACCACTGTGCCTGGCTACTTTTTTATTTTTTCATAGGGAGAAGGTCTTGCTAGGTTGCCCAGGCTGGTCTCAAACTCCTGGGCTGAAGTGAGCCTCCCACCTTGGCCTCCCAAAATGCTGGGGTTATAGGTATGAGCCACTGTGCCATCCCAGTTTCCAGAATATTAAAGAGCTTCTGTTGGGTTAGGCTTAGGAACAGGCAAAATAATAACAACAACAATTTTCCTCTGTTGGGCACTTCCCATTGGCCAGAACTGTACTCAGAACCAACACACATCACCCAGAATCCTTATAACAACCCCAATTTATAGATGGAAAAGTTGAAGCATGGAGGTATGAGTAGCAGGGGTGTGGAGGGCCTGCAACCTCTATCTTCCACCAGGTCAACCTTTTGGTTCTTAGAAACTGTGCAGGCAGGCACGTATGTTTATTGCGGCACTATTCACAATAGCAAAGACTTGGAACCAACCCAAATGTCCATCAATAATAGACTGGATTAAGAAATCCATTTATGGATTATGCAGCCATAAAAAAGGATGAGTTCATGTCCTTTGTAGGGACATGGATGAAGCTGGAAACCATCATTCTGAGCAAACTATCGCAAGGACAGAAAACCAAACACCGCATGTTCTCACTCATAGGTGGGAATTGAACAATGAAAACACTTGGACACAGGGTGGGGAACATCACACACCAGGGCCTGTTGTGCGGTGGAGGGAGGGGGGAGGGATAGCATTAGGAGATATACCCAATGTAAATGATGAGTTAATGGGTGTAGCACACCAGCATGGCACATGTATACATATGTAACAAATCTTCACATTGTGCACATGTACCCTACAACTTAAAGTATAATAAAAAAGAAAGAAAGAAAAAGAAAGAAAGAAAGAAAGAAAGAAAGAAACCGTGCAGGCAGGACAGGCATAATGGCTCATACCTGTAATCCCAGAATTTTGGGAGGCTGAGGCGGGCAGCTCACTTGAGGTCAGGAGTTCAAGACCAGCCTGGCTGACATGGCGAAACCCCGTCTCTACTAAAAATACAAGAATTAGCCAGGCTTGGTGGCATGCACCTGTATTTCCAGCTAGTTGAGAGGCTGAGGCAGGAGAATTGCTTGAACCCAGGAGGCGGAGGTTGCAGGGAGCCAGGATCATGCCACTGCACTGCAGCCTGGGCAACAGAAACCGCACAGGCAAGTCCTCAGCCATGGATTAAGACCAAAAAGAAAGAAAAAAAAAATGCTGAAAGGGCACAAGCTGAGGAGTGGGGAGGAGAGGAGAAGAGGCAGATGGAAGTGAGCCCAGGTGCAGAGAGAGATAGGAGGGAAAGACTGAGTGGCCTCTTGTCCTGCTGCAGCCTTGCCTATGGACAGCCTGGAGCTGTCATCCTCACCATGGTGCCTAGTGTTCCCTCACTGATCTGACTCATAGGTGTTCCTTCACCACCTCTGCCTGCTCAGCCCTGGGGCAGCCCTGGGGAGACCCAAGGAAAGCTGGGTCCACGTGCACCTTTCCTCCTAACCTCCTCTAGCCTCAGTCTCCCCATCTGTAGAAAGGGCACATGAATCCCTACCTCTCCAGAGGATCAGACGCAACAATGTACCCACGGGCACCAAGGAGAAGCCCTGGACACACACCCGTTTCCTTCCTTTCCTCCTTCATAAGTCAGGAAAGAGTACAGAATACAAGCCACAAAGGGAGCCTGCCCTTAAGCAAGACTGCCAAAGAATTGCTTTGTCCACGCATTCATTCATTCATTCATTCATTCATTCATTCATTCAACAGATACTTCCTGAGCATCTACTGTGTGCCAGGAAGAGCATTGAGGCTTTCCTTTCCTAAAGGCATTCTCTTTTCTTTCTTTTCTTTTTTTTTTTTTTGAGACAGAATCCCACTCTGTTGGCCAGACTGGAGTGCAGCGGTGCAATCTTGACTCACTGCAACCTCCGCTTCCTGGGTTCAAGAGATTCTTGTGCCCCACCACTCGAGTAGCTAGGATTACAGGCATGCATTGCCATGCTTGGCTAATTTTTGTAGCTGGGACTACAGGCACCTGCCACCATGCCGGGCTAATTTTTTGTATTTTTAGTAGAGACGGGTTTTCACCAAATTAGCAAGCATGGACTCAATCTCCTGACTTCGTGATCCCCCCACCTCGGCCTCCCAAAGTGCTGAGATTACAGGCATGAGCCACCACCGCACCCGGTCTTTTTTTTTTTTTTTTTTTTTTTTTTGAGATAGAGTTTTGTTCTTGTTGCCCAGGCTGGAATGCAATGGCGTGATCTCGGCTCACTTCAACCTCCACCTCCCGGGTTCAAGCAATTCTGACTCAGCCTCCCAAGTAGCTGGGATTATAGGCATGCGCCACCACACCCAGCTAATTTTTGTATTTTTAGTAGAGATGGGGTTTTACCATGTTGGCCAGGCTGGTCTTGAACTCCTGACCTCATGTGATCCACCTGTCTTGGCCTCCCAAAGTGCTAGGATTACAGGAGTGAGCCACTGTGCCTGGCCTATGTCTTTCTTTCTTTCTTTCTGTTTTTAATTTATATTTGTTTGAGCCCCTCCTTTGACATCTGTTTGTTTTTGTTGTATTGGTTTTTTTTTTTAGAGATAGGGTCTCATTCTGTCACCCAGGGTGGAGTGCAGTGGTGTGATCACAGCTCACTGCAACCTCCAATTCCTGGCCTCAAGTGATCCTCCTGCCTTAGCCTCCTGAGTAGCTGGGATGCAGGTGTGTGCTGCCACACCCAACTAATTTTTTTTAAATTTTAATATTTTCTTTTAGAGATAGAGTCTGGCTGTTTCACTCACGCTCCAGTGCAGTGGCAGGAGCATAGCTCGCTGCAACCTCAAATTCCTATGCTTAAGCAATCCTCCTGCCTCAGCCTCTTGAGTTGTTGAGGCACCTGTCATCACAACCAGCTGATTTCTTTTTTTATTATTACATTTTGTAGAGATGGGGTCTTGCTTTGTTGCCCAGGCTGGTCCTGAACTACTGGTTTCAAGTGATCCTCCCACCTCGGCCTCCCAAAGTGCTGGGATTACAGGCATGAGCCACTGCACCCGGCCTATTCAATAAACATGTATTCAGTCTGTACCTACTGTTCTAGGGACTGTGGACAGAGCACTGAGCAAGATAGGAAAAAACCAGCATGCACTCTGGGTGAGTGTCAGCAGAGCCGGTCTCAGGGGGCATGAGCCATGCAATTACACACTCGGTTTCATGCTGTACGGTGGCCATTTTGAAATCCTTAATAATTTTTCAACAAGAGCCCTCAAGTTTCATTTTGGAACGGGCCCTGCAAATTATGTAGCCGGTCCTGTGTGTCAGGCCAAACTAGCAGATAAGGAAATGAGGCACAGAGAGGGAAATAACTCCACCAAGGTTCACACAGGATGCAAGCCACACAGCTGGGATTGAAACCCAGGTTAGACTGGGTGCAGTGGCTCATGCCTGTAATCCCAGTACTTTGGGAGGCCAAGGTGGATGGATCATCTAAAGTCAGGAGTTCAAGACCAGCCTGACCAACACGGTAAAACTCCATCTCTACTAAAAATACAAAAATTAGCTGGGTGTGGTGTCTCACGCCTGTAATCCCAGCATTTTGGGAGGCCGAGGCGGGTGGATCACGAGGTCAGGAGATTGAGACCATCCTGGCTAACACGGTGAAACCCCGTCTCTACTAAAAATACAAAAAATTAGCCGGGCGAGGTGGCAGGCGCCTGTAGTCCAAGCTCCAAGCTACTTGGGAGGCTGAGGCAGGAGAATCGCTTGAACCTGGAAGGCAGAGGTTGCAGTAAGCCAAGATCGTGCTGCTGCACTCCAGCCTGGGCAACACAGTGAGACTCCAAAAAAAAAAGGAAAGAAAGAGAGAGAGAAAGAAAGAGAAAGAAAGAAGAGATGAAAGAAAGAAAGAAAGAAGAGATGAAAGAAAGAAAGAAAGAAAGAAAGAAAGAAAGAAAGAAAGAAAGAAAGGAGAAAGAAAGAAAAGAGAAAGAAAGAAAGAGGAGGGGAGGGGAGGGAGAGGGGAAGGGAAAGGGAGGGGGAGGGGAAGGGGGAGGGGAGGGAGAGGGGAAGGGGGAGTGGAGGGCGAGGGAAAGGGGAGGGGAAGGAGAGGGGAAGGGGAGGGGAAGGAGAGGAGAAGGGGAGGGGAAGGAGAGGAGAAGGGGAGGGGAAGGAGAGGAGAAGGGGAGGGGAAGGAGAGGAGAAGGGGAGGGGAAGGAGAGGGGAAGGGGAGGGGAAGGGAAGGGGAAGGGGAGGGGAAGGGAAGGGGAAGGGAAGGGGAAGGGAAGGGACCCAGGCTAACAGACTCCAGATACCAGCAGCAGCCCTTGAGCCATGTTGCCTAATTGTCCCCAAGGAGAAAACTTCCCAGGTCTTCGGAGGCAGCAAAAGCTTTCCTGGCACAGAGCTAGAAAAGAAGATTCTCATGGTGTCCCATGTGGCAGGAACTACAGGAGCTGGGGTGGGTAATCCATTTAGGCCACTTGACAAACACCTATTTTTAGGTCAACTCTGAGAATAGAAAGATGAAAAAGGAGTGGCCTCTGCCATCCTGGAGCTAAGCAACTGGTATAAGGGAAGTGACAGCCCCCATGGAATCGGACCATTTCAACTTCATGCGATGAATGACAGGTCAGGGCTTCTGGGCATGACCATAGGAATGACCACAGCTAACATTGACCATGGGCCTAATTTGTGTGCTGTTTGCTTTTTTTTTTTTTTGAGACAGAGTCTCACTCAAGTCACCAGGCTGGATGGAGTGCAGTGGTGCAATCTCAGCTCACTGCAACCTCCGCCTCCCAGGTTCAAGCGATTCTCCTGCCTCAGCCTCCCGAGTAGCTGGGATTACAGGCGCGCACCACCACGCCCAGCTAATTTTTGTATTTTTAGTAGAGACGGGGTTTCACCATGTTGGCCAGGATGGTCTCAATCTCTTGACCTCGTGATCCACCCACCTCACCCTCCCAAAGTGCTGAGATTACAGGTCTGAGCCACTGCGCCCAGCCATGCTGTGTGCTTTTTAGCATTTTCTTCAGTTTTTGTTGCAACCTATGAGTCAGGAACTCTTATTATGCTATTTTACCTAGGAGGAAAAGAGCATTCACAGAGATTAAACAGTGTGTTCAGGCCGGGTGTGGTGGTAATCACATCCATGACCGTAATCCCAGCACTTTGGGAGGCCAAAGCGGGAGGATTGCTTGAGTCCAGGAATTCAAGACCAGCCTGGGCAACTTAGTAAAACCTCCATCTCTTTTGTAAAAAAATAAATAATAAAATACTTTAGGAGGCCAAGGCAGGCAGATCACTTGAGGTCAGGAGTTCAAGATCAGCCTGGCCAACATGGTGAAACCCCGTCTCTACTATAAATACAAAAATTAGCTGGGTGTGGTGGCATGCGCCTGTAGTCCCAGCTACTCAGGAGGCTGAGGCAGGAGAATTGCTTGAACCTGGGAGGCAGAGGTTGCAGTGAGCTGAGATCACGCCACTGCACTCCAGCCTGGGTGACAGAGCGAGACTCTGTCAAAAAATAATAATAAAAATAATCATAAAATAAGATAAAAATATAAATAAAAAATAAACAACATGCCTAAAACCACGCAGCTAGAAGAAGGCAGTGTCAGAACTCAGCTATGTCTGACATCAGAGACCACGATTTTTTTTTTTTTTTTGAAATGGAGTCTTGCTCTTGTCACCCAGGCTGGAGTGTAATGGGACGATCTCAGCTCACTGCAACCTGCGCCTCCCAGGTTCAAGCAATTCTCCTGCCTCAGCCTCCCAAGTAGCTGGGATTACAGGCGCCCGCCACCACACCTGGCTAATTTTTGTATTTTTAGTAGAGACAAGGTTTCACCATGTTGGCCAGGCTGGTCTCGAACTCCTGACCTCATGATCTGTCCACCTCAGCCTCCCAAAGTGCTGAGATTACAGGCATGAGCCACCACGCCCCCTGGCCTTTTTTTGTTTTTGTTTGTTTGTTTGTTTTTTGTGTTTTTTTTTTTCTTTTGAGGTGGAGTCTCCCTCTGTTGCCCAGGCTGGAGTGCAGTGGCGCGATCTCGGCTCACTGCAAGCTCCATCTCCTGGGTTCACGCCATTCTCCTGCCTCAGCCTCCAGAGTAGCTGGAACTACAGGCACCCACCACCATGCCCAGCTAATTTTTTGTATTTTTTAGTAGAGACGGGGTTTCACCGTGTTAGCCAGGATGGTCTCGATCTCCTGACCTTGTGATCTGCTCGCCTAGGCCTCCCAAAGTGCTGGGATTACAGGCGTGAGCTACAGCGCCCGGCCTTTTTTTTTTTTGAGACAGTCTCTGTCGCCCAGGCTGTAGTGTAGTGGTACAATCTCCACTCACTGCAACCTCCGCCACCTAGGTTCAAGTGATCAAGTGATTTTCCTGCCTCAGCCTCCCAAGTAGCTGGGATTACAAGCATACACCACCACACCCAGCTAATTTTTGTATTTTTAGTAGAGGGGTTTTGCCATATTGGCCAGTCTGGTCTTGAACTCCTGGCTTCAAAGTGATCCGCCAGCTTGGCCTCCCAAAGTGCTGAGATTACAGGCATGAGCCACCATACCTGGCCAGAGACCATGATCTTAACGAGCATATGGCCCTGCCCCAAAGAACTGTGGACATACAGATGAGAGGCAGGTACCCCACACTGCTGGGAAAAATCACAGAAAGCTTCCCGGAGGAGGTGATGACAGAGGTGAAATAAATATGGATCTGTCAGCCTGTACAAGGGTCAGAGGCCATGAGAGAGTATGGAAGAGGGAGAGAGATCTTTCACTGGAGGGTAAAGTACTAGGCTGGGAATGGTGGCAGATGGGACCAGAGATATAAGCAAAGACCACACCACAGTGAGCCTTGAATGCCAAGTACATCAGTTATGGGTCTTAGCTGCAAGCAACAGAATCCATTCTGGTCAGTCTACATAGCAAAGAAATGAATGAATGAATTTATTTATTTATTGAGATGAATTCTTGCTCTATCGCCCAGGCTGGAGTGCAGTGGCACGATCTTGGCTCACCGCAACCTCTGCCTCCAGGGTACAAGCCATTCTCCCGCCTCAGCCTCCCGAGTAGCTGAAATTACAGGCATGTGCCACCATATCCAGCTAATTTTTGTATTTTTAGTAGAGATGGGGTTTCACCATATTGGCCAGGCTGGTCTCGAACTCCTGACCTCAAGTGATCCACCCCCCTTGGCCTCCCAAAGTGCTGGGATTACAGGTGTGAGCCACCTCACCTGGCCAGAAATTTATTTTTAATATGTCAAGTAAACTGACCAGGTGTGGTGGCTCACAACCGTCATCCCAGCTCTTTGGGAAGCCAAGGCAGGAGGATCACTTGAGGCCAGGAGTTTGAGACCAGCCTGGGCAACATAGCAAGACTCCATTTCTACCACACACACACACACACACACACACACACACACACACACACAGACAAAATTAGCCGGCGTGAGGCTTGAATGCCAACTGCATCAGTTATGGGTCTTAGTTGCAATCAACAGAATCCATTCTGGTCAGTTTACATAGCAGAGGAATTTATTTTTAAAACATCAAGTAAACTGGCCAAGTGTGATGGCTCCTACCAGTAATCCCAGCACTTTGGGAGTCTGAGGCGGGCAGATCACCTGAGGTCAGATCACCTGCGGTCAGGAGTTCAAGACCAGCCTAGCCAACATGGTGAAACCCTGTCTGTATTAAAAATATGGGAGGCTGAGGAGGGAGGATCACTTGAGCCCAGGAGATTGAGGCTGCAGTGAGCTATGATCACACCACTACTCTCCAGCCTGAGTGACAGAGTGAGACTGTCTCAAAGAAAATTAATTTTTTTTTGTACACTATCACAGCCAAGAAGAGCCCAAGAAGACATTACTACTAACTGTCACATGGTGTCACGGATGGGATCTTCGGACAGAAAAAGGAAATTGGGCCAGGCGCGGTGGCTCACGCCTATAATCCCATCACTTTGGGAGGCTGAGGTGGGTGGATCACCTGAGGTCGGGAGTTCAAGACCAGCCTGACCAACATGGAGAAAACCCCGTCTCTACTAAAAATACAAAATTGGCCAGGGTGGTGGCGCATGCCTGTAATCCCAGCTGCTCGGGAGGCTGAGGCAGGAGAATCACTTGAACCCGGGAGACGGAAGTTGCGGTGAGCCAAGATCGCGCCATTGCACTCCAGCCTGGGCAACAAGAGTGAAACTCCGTCTCAAAAAAAAAAAAGAAAGAAAGAAAAAAAAAAGAAAAGAAAAAGGAAATTGGTAAAAATTAAGGAGATCTAACTAAAGTATGGACTTAAGTTAATTACAATGTATTAATTTCAGTTCATTAACGGTAACAAATATACTATACCAGTGCAAGATGTTAATAAAAGGGGGAAATGGTACAGGATATATGCGAATCCTACTGTCTTAACAATTTTTCTGTAAATTTAAAACCATTGTAAGATGAAGAGTCTATTTTTAGAGTACTGAGTAAATTGTATGGAACTAAACACACACGCACAATTACATGTAAAACTGGTAGAACCTGGATAAGTTCAGTGGATGGTATCAAAGGCAATTTCCTGGTTGTGAGATTGTACTACAGTTTTGCAAGCTGTTACCATTGGGGGAAATTGCATGAAGGGCACGAGGGCTCTCTGGGTATTAATGTCTTACAATTGCAAGTGAATCTACAATTATCTTAAGATAACAAGCCTAATTTTATTTATTTATTTTATAGAGACAGGCTTTCACTGTATTGGCCAAACTTGTCTCAAACTCCTGGCCTCGAGCGATCCTCCCACCTTGGCCTCCCAAAGTGCGGAGATTACAGACATGAGCTATATAGTACCCGGCCAAAAAGCTTAATTTTAAAACATTGAACAGAGAACAGGATCTTTTGGAAAGCTGAAGAAATAAAGTCTAGGCTTAAAGTTATAGGACCCTTACCCAGCACCATGGGGCAGAACTGTCCTGATAAGAAAATGAAGCTGTGGGCCAGGCACAGTGGCTGATGCCTGTAATCCCAGCACTTTGGGAAGCTGAGGTGGGTGGATCACTTAAGGTCAGGAGTTCGAGACCAGCTTAGCCAACATGGTGAACCCCCATCTCCGCTATACAAAAATTAGCCGGGTGTGGTGGTGGGCGCCTGTAGTCCCAGCTACTTGGGAGTCTAAGGCATGAAAATCACTTGAATCTAGGAGGCGGAGATTGCAGTGAGCTGAGATCACACCACTGAACTCCAGCCTGGGCAACAGAGCAAGACTCTGTCTCAAAAAAAAAGAGAGAGAGGGAGGGAGGGAAGGAGAGAGGGAGGGAGGGAGGAAGGAAGGAAGGAAGGAAGGAAGGAAGGAAGGAAGGAAGGAAGGAAGGAAAGAAGGAAGGAAGAAAATGAAGCTGTGGCAGCTTCCACAGCCACACCTTCTGCAGGACTTCACCTTTCTAAATGTCAAGTTGTATTTTCCCAAAATGGCTACAAAAGTAACTTCATCCAACATGCTCTTCTGCAAAGTAACTTTGTCCTCCTCCATCAAGAAGCAGGGTCTATGACCCTGTCTTAGTCTGTTTTTGTTGCTATAAAGGAATACCTGAGGCTGGGTGATTTATAAAGAAAAGAGGTGTATTTGGCTCGTGGTTCTGCAGGCTGTACAAGAAGCATGGTGCCAGCATCTGCTGCTAGTGAGGACCGCAGGAAGCTTCCTATCATAGTGGAAGATGAAGGGGGGCCGACAAGATCACGTGGTGAGCAACAGACATGCCAGGTTCTTTCAAAGATCCAGCTCTTTGAAAGAATGAGTGAATAGAGCAAGAATTCACTCATTACCACAGGGAGGGCACCAAGCCATTCATGAGGCATCTGCCCCCATGACCCAAACACCTCCCACTTGGCCTCATCTCCAATACTGGGGATCACATTTCAACACGAGATTTAGAGGGGACAAATATTCAGACTATATCAGCCCCCTCCCCTAACTCAAGCTGGGGTTGTACCTGTTTCAACCCAGAGAATACCATGCAGGTGACATCCCTATGATTTCTCTTTTTGTGTGTTGTTTTGAGATGGAGTCTTGCTCCGTTGCCCAGGCTGGAGTGCAGGGGCGCAACCTCGGCTCACTGCAACCTCTGCCTCCTGGGTTCAAGCAATTCTCATGCTTCAGCTCCCGAGTAGCTGAGACTGTAGACATGCACCACCACGCCTGGCTAATTTTTGTATTTTCAGTAGAGACAGAGTTTCACCATCTTGACCAGGCTGGTGTCAAACTCCTGGCCTCAAGTGATCTGCCCACCTCAGCCTCGCAAAGTGCTGGGATTATAGGCACGCACCACCACACCCAGCTAATTTTTGTATTTTTAGTAGAGACGGAGTTTCACCATGTTGGCCAGGCTGGTGTCAAAATCCTGGTCTCAAATGATCCACCCACCTCAGCCTCTCAAAGTGGTGGGATTACAGGCTTGAGCCACCGCGTCCAGCAGCCACCGCACCCAGCTTGATTTCTGAGGTTAGGTCATAAAAGGCCATGTGGCTTCCAGCTGACTTTCTTGGCACATTTGCTCTCCAGACTCTCCCTGCGATATCCTCTCTGGGAATCCAGCTGCCAAGCTGTGAGAAGCCCTAGCCCCATGGAGAGAGGCACCCGTCAACCAGGCTTCAGACACAGAGTAAAGAAGCTTCCAGGCGACCCCAGCCCCCAGGCATCCAAATCACCGCCAGCATTCAGGTCTTTCCAAGTAAAGGCCAGATACCACAGAGCAAAGACAAACTGTTCTCACAGGCCCTGTCTGAATTAGCAACCTATAGAATTTGTGAGTTCAGGCCAGGCATGGTGGCCCACACCTGTAATTCTAACACTTTGGGAGGCAGACGTGGGAGAATCACTTGAGATCAGGAGTTTGAGACCAGTCTGGGCAACATGATGAAACTCCATCTCTACCAAAAAATACAAATATTAGCCAGGTGTGGTGGTGTGTGCCTGTAGACCCAGCTACTTGTGAGGCTGAGGTGGGAGGATCGTTTGAGGCTGCAGGGAACCGTGATGACGCCACTGCACTCCAGCCTGGGTAAGAGTGAGACCCTGTCTCAAAAAAAAAAAAGAATTCTCCCAGCACTTTGGGAGGCCGAGGCGGGAGGATCACCTGAGATCAGGACTTCCAGACCAGCCTGGCCAACATGGTGAAACCCCGTCTCTACTAAAAATACAAAAAAAAAATTAACTGGGCATTGTGGTGTGCACCTGTAATCCCAGCTACTCGGGAGGCTGAGGCATGAGAATTGCTTGAGGCAGAGGTTGCAGTGACTGAGATTGTGCTACGGCACTCCAGCCTGGGTGATGGAGTGAGGCTTCGTCTCAAAAAAAAAAAAAAAAAGAAGAATTAATGAGTTAATATAATGTCATGTCCTATTTTCCTTCCTTCCTGCTTTTTCTTTCTTCTTTCTTTCTTTCTTTCCTCTTTCTTTCTTTCTTTCTTTTCTTTCTTTCTTTCTCTTTTTCTTTCTTTCTTTCTTTCTCTTTCTCTCTCTCTTTCATCTTTTCTTTCTTTCGTCTTTCTTTTCTTTCTTTGGCCTTTCATTTCTTTCTTTTGTCTTTCTTTTCTTTCATTCTTTCTTTTTGACAGGGTCTTGCCTGGCTGCCCAGACAACAGTGCAGTGGTGCAATCACAGCTCACTGCAGCCTTGAACTCCTCAGTTCCAGTGATTCTCCTGCCTCGGCCTCCCAAGTAGTTGGGACAACAGACGTGCGCCACCATCCCCAGCTATTTTTTTAAAAAAATGTTTTAAGACAGGATCTTGCTAGTCTCAAACTCCTGGTCTCAAGCAATCCTCCCATCTCAGCCTCCCAAGTTGTTGGGATTACAGGCATGAGCCACCGTGCTTAGAGGCATAAGCCACTGCACCGGGCTATTTTGTCATTTTTCTCCACTAAGTGTGAGCTATGTAGTATACAGTAATTGTTACCAGACAAATCCCTGCTGCCTTCTCTGAAATCCCATCCATGAACCTTGTGCTCACTTCTGAACCTGAGCCATACACAGTTCTGATGTGCCTGCATCTTAGCCACAGGGAGGCTGCAGAAGCTCACCTTGTGAAGACAAGGCTTGTGACATGGGAAATCATCAAAATCTATGCCGGGCGGCCGCCATGCACAGAAGGCCACTAGGTCAGACCAAGTGTGGACTAACGGTAGCCTGTAACAGAAGAGACCTCCCCTCATCGCACCCAGCCCCATCATGATTTGAACCTCTCTAGAACCTGCCATGTTGAATTGGGTGCTGACTTCACTCTGCTATTTTTTTTTTTTTTTTTTTTTGAGACAGAGTCTCACTCTGTCGCCCAGGCTGGAGTGCAGTGGCATGATCTCGGCTCACTGCAACCTCTGCCTCCCAGGTTTCAGCAATTCTCCTGGCTCAGCCTCCTGAGTAGCTGGGATTATAGGCGCCCGCCACAACACCAAGTTAATTTTTTTGTATTTTTAGTGGAGATGGGGTTTGGTTTCACCATGTTGGCCAGGCTGGTCTCAAACTCCTGAACTCAAGTGATCCGCCTGCCTCGACCTCCCAAAGTGCTGCCAAAATATTAGCATTTTGACCAGGCACAGTGGTTCACATCTGTAATCCCAGCACTTTGTGAGGCTGAGGCAGGCAGATCACCTGAGGTCAGGAGTTCGAGACAAGCCTGGTCAACATGGTGAAACCCCGTCTCTACCAAAAATACAAAAATTAGCTGGGCATGATGACGCGCGCCTGTAGCTCCAGCTACTCAGGAGCCTGAGGCAGGAGAATCGCTTGAACCCGGGAGGCAGAGGTTGCAATGAGCCAAGATGGTGCTGCTGCACTCCAGCCTGGGCGAGGGAGCAAGACTCCATCTCAAAAAAAAAAAAAAAAAAAGTTGGTGCGGGGGCTCACGCCTGTAATCCCAGCACTTTGGAGGCCGAGGCGGGCAGATCACTTGAGGTCAGGGGTTCCAGACTAGCCTGGCCAACACAGTGAAACCCTGTCTCTGCTGTAAAAAAAAATTAGCTGGGCGTGGTAGCGCATGCCTGTAATCTCAGCTACTCAGGAGGCTGAGGCAGGAGAATCACTTGAACACAGGAGGCAGAGGTGGCAGTGAGCCAAGATTGCACCACTGTACTCCAGCCTGGGTGACAGAGTGAGACTCCATCTCAGAAAAAAAAAAAAAAGTGTTTCAACATATAATCAATATTTTTAAATTATTAATAAAATACTTTGAAGTTTTTTCATAATAATCTTTGCAATCCAGGGTTCATTTTACACATGATAGCACATCTCAGTTTGGATGCTTAATTTTCATTCACAATACTCGATCTGTATTTAGAGTTCATAGATTTACATAAGTAAATTGTTTCAAAGTCCTGTGACCAATTTGTCTTCCTGGAGAATGTCCTGGTTTCAAAAATGAAAGTCTTACATCTTGAAATTCTCCTTGGTCCCAGGAAAATCAGGGCAGTTGGTCAACCTCTTCCAAACATACTTGGAGATTTTTCTTTTCTTTTTTTTTTTTTTCTTTGAGACATAGTCTCACTCACTCTGTCACCCAGGCTGGAGTGCAGTGGCGCCATCTTGGCTCACTGCAACCGCCATCTCTCAGGTTGAGGTGATTCTCCTGCCTCAGCCTCCCTAGTAGCTGGGATTACAGGCACATGCGACCATTCCCAGCTAATTTTTTTGTAATTTTAGTAGAGACGGGATCTCACCATATTGACCAGGTTAGTCTCGAACTCTTGACCTCAAGTGATCTGCCCAACTCAAGCCCCTCAACATGCTGGGATGACAGGCGTGAGCCACTGCACCCAGCTGGGTTTTGTTTTTTGGTTTGTACTGTGTTTGTTTTGTTTTTTTGAGATGGAATCTCACTCTATTGCCCAGGCTGGAGTCAGTGGTGCAATCTCAGCTCACTGTAACCTCCGCCTCCCAGGTTCAAGCGATTCTCCTGCCTCAGCCTCCCGAGTAGCTGAGATTACAGTCACTCACCACCATGCCCTGCTAACTTTTGTATTTTTAGTAGAGGCAGGGTTTCACCACGTGGACCAGGCTGGTCTCAAATTTCTGACATCAGGCGATCCACCTGCCTCAGCCTCCCGAAGTGCTGGGATTACAGGCATAAGCCACCATACCTGGCCTGTTTTTTGTTTGTTTGTTTGTTTGTTTGTTTTTTGAGACAGAGTCTAGTTGCCCAGGCTGGAGTGCAATGGCATGATCTTGGCTCACTGCCACCTCCGCTTCCCCGGTTCAAGCGATTCTCCTGCCTCAGCCCCTCAAGTAGCTGGGATTACAGGTGCATGCCACCATACCCAACTAATTTTTTTTTTGTATTTTTAGTAGAGATGGGGTTTTCACCATGTTGGCCTAGCTGGTCTCAAACTCCTGACCTCAAGTGATCTGCCTGTCTTGGCCTCCCAAAGTGCTGGGATTACAGGCATGAGCCATCATGCCTGGCCAGCAAGCAAGACATAGGGTTTATTGAGGGGACTTACAGGGTAGTCCAGACATGGCAGGTGGAACAGGAGAACCACACCTGCTTATAAAAAGCATGCAGTTGGGCCCAGCACGGTGGCTCATGCCTGTAATCCCAGCACTCTGGGAGGCCAAGGCGGGTGGATCACAAGGTCAGGAGATCGAGATCATCCCGGCTAACACAGTGAAACCCCGTCTCTACTAAAAATACAAAAAATTAGCTGGGCGTGGTGGCGGGCACCTGTAGTCCCAGCTACTCAGGAGGCTGAGGCAGGAGAATGGCATGAACCTGGGAGGCGGAGCTTGCAGTGAGCCGAGATGGCGCCACTGCACTCCAGCCTGGGTGACAGAGCAAGACTCCATCTCACAAAAAAAAAAAAGCATGCAGTTTATAGAGCATTTCCACTTAGCACCCTCCCCCTAGCACCCTCCCTCTGGCAACCTTCATTTAACCCCAAACAAAGGCCACCATCCCCTAGATGGTCCAGGGGTTCAGATGTTCCTCATAGATAAGAAATGAATCTCCGGGTTGGCCACTCCTGGATTCCTTAGCTTAGAACTTTCAACACATACTCTTCTTAGACCATGGGGTCATTTTCAAGGTATGCTGATGTTACTGTTGCCAGATGTGTTTGCCATGCATCATAGCTAACCACTAGGAAGTTCTATAAGTGAGGGAGGGCCTTAAGAACATACTCTGAGCTGGAAGTGTCAAGTTGGAGGCCCTTGACATTAGAAGCCAGAGACTGGGTACACCCACATAGTGAGAGAAGGTGAGGGCTGCGGGGATGTGTCAGCTATATCCATTGCTACCCAACAAACCATTCCAAGTCTTAATGACGAAAAATAACTTTTTTTTTTTTTTTGTCAGAGGCAGGTTCTCACTCTGTCACCCAGGCTGGAATGCAATGGTGCAAACACGGCTCACTGTAGTCTCAACCTCCTGGGCTCAAGTGATCCTCCCACGTCAGCCTCCGAAGTAGCTGGAACTACAGGCGTGCGTCACCATGCCCAGGTAATTTTTGTATTTTTTTGTAGAGAAGGGGTTTTGCCATGTTGCCCCGCCTGGTCTTGAAGTCCTGACCTCAAGGGCTCCACCCGCCTTGGCCTCCCAAAGTGCTGGGATTACAGGTGTGAGCCACTGTGCCCAGACAACAGCTATTTTTTGGGGGGGCGGGGGACAGAGTCTCGCTCTGTCACCCAGGCTGGAGTGCAGTGGCGCAATCTCAGCTCACTGCAAGCTCCACCTCCTGGGTTCATGCCATTCTCCTGCCTCAGCCTCCCAAGTAGCTGGGACTACAGGTGCCCGTCACCATGCCCGGCTAATTTTTTGTATTTTCAGTAGAGACGGGGTTTCACCATGTTAGCCAGGATGGTCTCAATCTCCTAACCTTGTGATTCACCTGCCTTGGCCTCCCAAAGTGCTGGGATTACAGGCGTGAGCCATTGTGCCCAGCCAACAGCTATTTTTTTATTCATCGTGTTTCTATTGGTTGGCTGGATAGTTCTGGTTTCACCTGGGCTCATGTGTGTGGCTGCACTCAGTTAGACAGTCAGATGCAAAGTCCAAGATGGTCTCGTTCACATCTTAGCATGCTCTAGTAGTTGGTGCTAGCTGTTGGCAGAGGCCTGACACAGCTGGAACACCTGGACCTCTTCATGTGATCTTTCTTGCAAGCTTCTTTACAGCGTGATGGTCTCAGGGCAGCATTCTTTCCGAGAGGGCAAGTCCCAATGCACAGGACTTAGGGAGCA
Source organism: Homo sapiens (assembly GCF_000001405.40). Classification (NCBI taxonomy): domain Eukaryota; kingdom Metazoa; phylum Chordata; class Mammalia; order Primates; family Hominidae; genus Homo; species Homo sapiens. The sequence goes on from NC_000007.14 coordinate 73,149,884, forward strand.
GATTTGCCAATACCCCATTGGCCAAAGCCGTGAAAATCACATAGCCAGACCTAGAGTCAATCAGTGAAAGACCAGAAAAGGGCAGTGCTAAGGAACCCAAAGAGGAGGGAATTCTACCAGGACGGTGCCCATCCAACACTTGTGTTACCTTGGGAGCCAGTACCTCCTTAAATTCAGGGCCCAAAGTGCCTCAACTTGCTTCACCCCAATTCCAGCCTGAATCCTCAGGACTTGGCAACTCAGAGGTCAATTTCCTTAACACCCCAACATGAATTTCGGAAGTTAGTTTCACAGAAATCTTAAGCACCAAATACAACTGAGCGAAAGCAATTCTGCAAGTCAAAAACAAGGTGGTCTAAATTTGCAAACTTTATGGCAGTCTGGCTTGATGAAATATAAAGCCCACAATGCTTTTAAACAGTTTTGGCCAGGCACAGTGGCTCACGCCTGTAATCCCAGCATTTTGGGAGGCTGAGGCGGGCAGATCACCTGAGGCCAGGAGTTTGAGACCAGCCTTGCCAACATGGTAAAACCCCGTCTCTACTAAAAATACAAAAATTGGCTGGGCGTGGTGGCTCACACCTGTAATCCCAGCACTTTGAGAGGCCAAGGTGGGTGGATCACGAGGTCAAGAGATCAAGACCATCCTGGCCAACATGGTGAAACCTTGCCTCTACTAAAAATACAAAAATCAGCTGGCATGGTGGCACATGCCTGTAGTCCCAACTCCTCGGGAGGCTGAGGCAGAAGAATCACTTGACCCTGGTAGGAGGAGGTTGCAGTGAGCTGAGATCATGATGCTGCACTCCAGTCTGGCTACAGAGTGAGACTCTGTCTCAAAAACAAACAAAAAAATACAAAAATTAGCCGTGGGTGGTGGCGCGCGCCTGTAATCCCAGCTACTCGAGAGGCTGAGGCAGGAGAATTGCTTAAACCCAAGAGGCAGAAGTTGCAGTGAGCTGAGATCATGCCATTGCACTCTACCCTGGGTGACAGAGCAAGACCCTGTCTCAAAAAAAAAAAAATATATATATATATATATATATATATATATATATATATATATTTTTTTTTTTTTACCAAGACCCACAGTAAAACATACCTTTATATCAAGTTCTAGTGCACATAGGCAGACACACACAGGCACGCACCCCTTACACACATGGACAAGATTAAAGTGCCCTGGGGTATAGAAAAGATGATAGTAACCTACCCATTTTATATGCAACACTGTGTCATTTTCTAGTCTATTTAAAATTTTTTTTGTGTTTTTTTTTGCCGGGAATTTTTCCATTTTGTTGAAGAGACGATGTCACTCTGTTACTCAGGCTAGAGTCCAGTGGTACAATAATAGTTCACAGCGGCCGGGCACAGTGGTTCACGCCTATAATCCCAGCACTTTGGGAGGCCGAGGCAGGTGGATCAAGAGGTCAGGCGTTCAAGACCAGCCTGGCCAACATAGTGAAACCCCGTCTCTACTAAAATAAAAATAAAAATAATTAGCTGGGCATGGTGGCAGGCACCTGTAATCCCACCTACTTGGGAGGCTGAGGCAGGAGAAATGCTTGAACCTGGGAGGCAGAGGTTGCAGTGAGCCGAGATTGTGCCACTGCACTCCAGCCCGGGGAACAGCGTGAGACTCCATCTCAAAAAAAAAAAAAAAAAAAAGAAAGAAAGAAAAAAAAAAACAATAATAGTTCACTGCAGCTCCGAACTCCTGGGCCCAAGGGATCCTCCCACCTCAGCCTCCTGAGTAACTAGGACTACAGGTGCACGCCACCACATCTAGCTAGTTTCTTATATTTTTATTTTTGTAGAGATGAGCAGTCTTGCTATGTTGCCCAGGCTGGTCTCAAACTCCCGGCCTCAAGAGATCCTCTTGCCTTGGCCTCCCAAAATGCTGAGATTACAGGCATCAGCCACTGTACCCAGCCTGTTTAATTATTTTTTTAAATAATTGCCATGCCCTGCTAAATTGATTTCACCATCCACTACATGGGTCATACACAGTCTGCAGATTGAAAAATGCTACCTTAGGCCATCCAGAGCAGAAGTCAGAAAACTAGCCAAATCTTGCCTTTAGCCTTGTTTTGTTTCACCTGCTTTTTTTTATTGTTGTTGTTTTGTTTTTTGTGTTTTTTTTTTTTTTGAGGCAGAATCTCATTCTGTCGCCCAGGCTGGAGTGCAGTAGTGCAATCTTGGCTCACTGCAACCTCTGCCTCCCAGGTTCAAGTGATTCTCCTACCTCAGCCTCCCAAGTAGCTGGGATTACAGATGCACACCACCATGCCTGGCTAATTTTTGTATTTTCAGTGGAGACGGGGTTTCACCATGCTGGCCAGGCTGGTCTTGAACTCCTGTCCTTGTGATCTGCCTGCTTTGGCTTCCCAAAATGCTGGGATTATAGTTGTGAGCCACTGCACCCTGCCAGTTGTTTTTTTTTTTTTAAGAAACTGAATTTTATGCCTTCAGGCAGACTTCCCTTCACCTGTACCATTTCCAACATTTTTTTTTTTTTGAGATGGAGGCTCACTCTATCACCCAGGCTGGAGTGCAGTGGCGCGATCTCAGCTTACTGCAGCCTCCACCTCCTGGGTTCAAGCGATTCTCCTGCCTCAGGAGAAGGCACCACCATGCCCAGCTAATTTTTTTGTGTTTTTAGTAGAGACGAGGTTTCACCATGTTTGTCAGGCTGGTCTCAAACTCCTGACCTCAAATGATCTACCCTCCTTGGCCTCCCAAAGTGCTGGGATTACAGGCGTGAGTCACCGCGCCCAGCCACATTTCCAACTATCTGATAGCCAACTGCTTCACACATCTGTGTAATCTGTCTGGCCCCTGAATGCATTTCTGTTTGGGATTTCTGGATCTCTAGATTCTAAAGGCATAGATAGGTGCATTGATGCATTCCACAAATATTGAATGAGTGTCTCTCATAGGCCAGTCACTATTGCTGACAATGGGAACACAGCGGAGAACAGACAAAAATCACTGCCTTTGTGGAGTTGAGATTGTGTAGGGGAGAGACAGATAAGCTTTAAAAAAAAAATGCTGAGGCTGGAGGATCACTTGAGGCTGGGAGTTCGAGACTAGCCTGAACAACATAGTGAGACACCCCTCTCTACAAAAAGTAAAAAAAAAGGCCGGGTGTGGTGGCTCACGCCTGTAATCCCAGCAATTTGGGAGGCCGAGGCGGGCGGATCATGAGGTCAGGAGATCGAGACCATCCTGGCTAACACAGTGAAACCCTGTCTCTATTAAAAATACAAAAAAATTAGCCGGGTGTGGTGGCGGGCACCTGTAGTCCCAGCTACTCGAGAGGCTGAGGCAGGAGAATGGCGTGAACCTCGGAGGGGGAGGTTGCAGTGAGCCGAGATCGTGCCACTGCACTTCAGCCTGGGTGATGGAGCAAGATTCCGACTCAAAAAAAAAAAAAAAAAAAAAAAAGGCCAGGCATGGTGGCTTATGCCTGTAATCCCAGCAGTTTGGGAGGCCGAAGTGGGTGGATCACCTGAGGTCAGGAGTTCAAGACCAGCCTAGGCAACATTGCGAAAAATACAAATATTAGCCAGCCGTGGTGGCCAGCACCTGTAATCCCAGCTAGCTGGGAGGCCAAGGCACGAGAATCGCTGAACCAAGGGGGAGGAGGTTGCAGTAAGCCAAGATCGCGCCATGGCACTCTAGCCTGGGCGACAGAGCAAGACTCCATCTCGGGGGGGAAAAAAGAAAGTTAAAAAAAAAAAAAAATTAGCCAGGCATAACTGTAGTCCCAACTGCTGGGGAAGCTGGGGTGGGAGGATCTTTTAAGCCCAGGAGTTCGAGGCTGTAGTGAGCTATGATTGCGCCCCTGCACTCCATCCTGGCCAACAGAGCAAGACCCTGTCTCTAAAAAATAAATAAATAAAAGAAAAAGAGTAAAAGAAAATAAAGTGGGAGGGGGATATGCATGCTCTAAGATCTATCTACCACAGATTACAGGCTTTTCACCCTTTTGTGGAAATGACAAAACCTAGTATGTTCCTACCTAACAGAGGAGGGCTGAGGGAAGGTGAGGGAGCACAACTGCAATTTTCCCCTGAAAAAGAGTTCTCAGCCTGCCCTGGCAGATAGATCTCACCCATCGCGTCCCCAGATTACTCTGCCAAAGGTGGAAGCACCAATCACTTTAACCCAGAACATTTCAAAACCAGACAGCCATGAAGGAGGAACCTCTGTGGTCCGGGCGCGTGGGCCCTGGGGTTGGAAGTGCCTCAGACGCACTTTACATTTTCCCCGAATTCACCCTTCGCAGTCCCCATCACCCCCTCTCCAGTGGGATAAATGGCCACCTCATTAGCTCTGCACACATGACCCTCCCGACCTGACTCCTGGTGACTATGCCTGCCTTATCTCTTTTCTCTCCTCCCTCACATTTTCCGCTGCAACAAAGCCAAACACAGCACCGTGGGGGCTTTCACGCTTCTGTGCCCTAGGACACGCTGTTCCTGCAGCTTGGAAGGCCTCTGTCCTCCATCCGCGCGCCCTCACTCTCTTGCTAGGAACTCCCATTCATCCTTCAAAACCCAGCCTGAGTGTCCCCTCCCCCGGGTCACCCCCTTTGACCTGTCAATCCCCTCCCTCCGGGTCCCCAGCAAGCTTTTCGGTTTGGCTTCTCCGCACTCTCATGACCGATTGCCCTACATCTTGGCGCTCCCAGACTCGGGCCTTCTCCAGCACCGGAGTCGTCTGGTTTGCTCGCTTTACACTCCAAGCACCTAGTACCGAGCCTGACTGGGTGCCAGAGGGCGCGCCTAGGCTCAGGCTGGCTCCACCCGCCCCGTGCCTCCCCTCGGCCTTCCCCTTAGTCCTGAGGGTGCCCGCGCTCCTGCATTTCCCGTGCACCGGGCTGCCGGTAGCTCCGGCCGCCCAGCCCCCGCGGCAGCAACAGCAGCAACAGCAGCAGCAGCAGCAGCACCGGGGGAGCCCCCCCAGGCGGACTACAAGTCCCGGCAGGCCGCGCGCGGGCCGCGCATGCGCAGCGGGGACCGGCGTTTGAGTGGCAAGTTGTTTGTTACAGCGAACACCAGCTGCTCCCCCCGCGCCGGGCGCCGCGCGCCGCTGCTCCGCCGCTCGGCCCCTCGGCTGCTGCTCTGCCGGCGCTGCCTCCCTCGCCCCGCGGCTCCCCCTTGCAACTTGGCGGGCCTCCTCCCTTTTGTCCGGCCCGGCCCGGCCGCCGCCGCCCCCCGCGCCCGGCGCCGAGCTCCCGGGTCTCCGGGCCGGCTGTCGGTGCCGGCAGGGCGCGGAGGGGGCGGGGGCCGCGGCTCGTCCCCCCGCGGATGAGCCGCCGCGGACGGGGCGCGGGCGGACGATGGAACTCCACATCCTGGAGCACCGGCTGCAAGTTGCCAGCGTCGCCAAGGAGAGTATCCCGCTGTTCACCTACGGCCTGATCAAACTTGCCTTCCTGTCCTCCAAGACCAGGTAAGCGCGCGGGGACGCGGCGCCGGCCGGGGACAGACAAAGGGGGCGCACCCCGGGCCGCTGTCCTCGCCGCCGCGCCTCGGAAAACAACTTCGGGCCCCGGGAGCGCCCCCGCCCCGCCCCCGCCGCCGCTTCGCTCGCGTCTGACAAAGCCGGAGCCGCAGGGTCCTGGCTCCCGGACCCCTCGCAACCTTCCACCCCCCGGTGCGCCACCCCCCACCTCTGTCGTCCCCCCATCTCCCACCCCCTCCCCCATCGCAGCCCCCTCCCCGAAATCCGGGGGGCTGGGGCGGCTGCAGTGACGGATCCGTGAATGGATGAAGGAACGAACGAATGAATGAATGAAAAACAGGTGTGGGGACGAGGCCGTGGAAAAAACAAACGCCCCCATCCCCCCATCCCTCGGTTGGGCCGGCCCCGTCGCCACGGCGGGGGGAGGGATTCCGCTGAGCGCGGTTACCCAGAGCAGAAAATCATAAAATCATTAGTGGGTGTTTATCTCAAGGTGCCTACGAGGCTTGCTGCGGACGGCCTGGAATTGCGGGGGGGAAACGGGGGGTGGGCGAGGGCCAGGGAGGGGCTGCAGAGGACGTGATTCTTTCTCCTTGGGGTCCTGGAAAGGGGGTGGGGGGGTGTTTTGCCCAACCGTAGAAGGGGAGGAGCAGGCATGTTTATGCATCTGCCTTGAGGCTGGGCTTGGATGCTGCAGGGGGAAAAATAGTTGAAGGCCTTGGAAGGTAAAAGAGGGAATCACACACACACACACATACACACACACACACACACACACACACACTCTCTCTCTCTCTCTCTCTCTCTGTCTGTCTCTCTCTCTCTCTCTCTCTCTCTCTCTCTCTCTCTCTCTCTGTCTCTCTCACTTGGATTTTCCCTATGCCAGGTAAGGGTTTGACATTGTGAGCCCCGGTGGGTGCTTGCATTAGGGTTTTGTTGTTGTTGTTTAAGGAGCCTGAGCCGAGGGGAGTGTGAGTGCCAGCTAGCTGCTGTAACTTAAGTCTCATTTGCCCACCATTGTGACTGTTAAAAAGGAATGATAAAGTTGTTACTGGTTGGTTTTTCGCGGTTTGGGGCGGTGGTGGCTCTCCCTCACTGCAAAATGAATGAATACTTTTCGGGTCAAGGTTAGCGTGAAAATGACAGCCCCCTTAGGCTGCCCCCTTTGGCACTGAGCTCTAGGGACACAGGGAAATAATTCCAGCCTGTTATCTGCCTGTGAAAAGTTCTTGCTTGGAAATCTCACTTTGATGTGTGTGTCTGAGCCGGGTGCTCAGTCCGGCTATTGTTTGCGAGATGGAGCCAGACCTGCCGGTGGCATCTTGTTTACTTTCGTCTCCGGCTGCTCAGTAGGGGATGGAGATTTGAAATAGTCGCCAAGCCTCTGCCACGGAGCCTGTGCTCCCCGTTGATTGCAAAGGGTAATGATTAAACAGGTCATTTGAAAACAAAAGCCAACAGCTCGGATTCTGAACCGCGCCCCCACCCCTCACACAAAGCCCCCTCTGGCTATTGACACCTTCAGATCCTGCTTCTGCCTGCCCTCTGCCCCCCACTCCCTAGCCGGGCTTGACGTTCCAAAGCTTGGAGGTAACAGAACAGCCTTGTTTTTCCTAGCCTTGGCCCTCAGCCCTGGGCAGCCCCCTGGCTGATTTCTCGGCCACCATTCAAATGAGAATGATGACTCAGGCTGCGGCTGTGCACAGGGCCTGGGTGCTGGAAGCGGGGGGCATTTGGGGGCTTCTTAGAAAGGCAGCAAAGGGCAGGGTCCCTCAGCCCCTTTCCCTTGGTGGAGAGACTGGCCTTCTTCCAGCCCCCAACTCAGGATCCCCTTTGGGTACTCATGGATAGGCGTGTCTCTGGGGTCAAGCCCCCCTGCTGGCCTCTGGGAACACAAGAAGACCTGTCCCTCAGTGGGTCCCCCTTCCTCCCTCCTGCAGAAAGCAGCCTGTCCTGTCCCAGGCCCAGGTGACCCAGCTGACTAGTCCAGTTTCAAGATGACTCAGAGGCCAAAGGCCATCGCTGTGTTTCCATGGTCCGGCCTCAGAAGGTGCGGAACATTCGTCAAATGCCTGAGGACCTGCCACCCCATGCACTCTGAGCCCAGATCATGGCTTCAGGTCATGTGTGACCACAGCCCCCTGCCTGCCTGGCTGAGGCGAAGTCTGTCTCCTCTGGCTCACACTTCGTCCGTCTGTAAAATAGAGATAGCACTATTTGGCCCCCTCATGGACACAGAACTGCTGTGTGGATGGTGTGGGACGATTGTGGGAAATGGCTTTTTAGCAAGTGTTAATGGGTTGCAGCCTGCCGACATAGCATTTAAACTGTTTTCAATAATCAGCCATCCAGGTAGAACCCCTTAGATTGTTCCTGCAATACCTGCCCCTAGGTGGTGACCCATAGCTCTGTCACCTCCCTCTCCAAAACCTAAGTTTAGCCCAGACTAGCACAGCATGCCCTGAGGGTCCCTGTGCCACCTGTTTACTTTTTTTTTTTTTTTTTTTTTTGAGACTGAGTTTTGCTCTTGTCCGGGCTGGAGTGCAATGGCGCCATCTCGGCTCACTGCAGCCTCCACCTCCTGGGTTCAAGTGATTCTCCTGCCTCAGCCTCCCGAGTAGCTGGGATTACAGGCATGCGCCACCACACCTGGCTAATTTGGTGTGGAGACGGGGCTTCTCCATGTTGGTCAGGCTGGTCTTGAACTCCCGACCTCAGGTGATCCACTGGCCTCGACCTCCCAAAGTGCTGGGATTACAGGCGTGAGCCACCGCGCCCGGCCCGTTTACAGTTTTGTCAGTCACTCTATAGCATCAAATCATTGACATGGCATTCGAGGCCCTTTGGGATCTAGATCCTGAATCCTCATCTTTATTTTTTTTATTTTTTATTTTTCTCTTTTAGAGACAGAGTCTTGCTCTGTCGTACAGGCTGGAGTACAGTGGCGCCATCATAGATCAATACAGCCTCCAACTCCTGGGCTCAAGCAATCCTCCCACCTCGACCTCCCAAAGTCCTGGGATTACTGCTCCTGGCCTTGAATCCTCATCTTTAGCCCTCCCCCAGCAAATACACAATTTCCCTTATTGTTCCCTACATACCTCTGTGCCTTTGTATCTACCTCTCTTCCATTTGCCTGGAATATTCTCCCCCACCCACCCCTAGTAAATTCCTATTCAGTCCTCAAGAGCTAATGATAGCGCTAATGATAGCATGCTGAAACCTTCCTGAACTTTTCCCTCCGCTCCTTAGCAGGCTTAAGTCACTTCTCTCTCGTGGAGTGGAGTTGTGGAAAGGGAATGGCATTAGGAAACATTCACTCTGTGTTGGGGTGTGGCTGGGTCCAAGGGATGCAGAGATACCTTGCCCCTTCCTCTGCCAAGCCCTAGAGCCTGGTGGAAGAGAAAGAAAGAGGCCATCATTCTACAGCAGGGTGGAGTCAGGGAAGGGCTGGTCTAGCAGGGTACCTAGAACGCCGGGTGCCTACCTGTAGGAGGTGGCACTAGATCTTAGAGCTTTTTTTTGTTTGTTTTTAAGAGATGGGGTCTCTGTTGCCCAGGCTGAAGTACAGTGGCACCATCATAGCTCACTGCAGCCTCGAACTCCTAGGCTCAAGCAATCCTCTCACCTCGGCCTCCCAAGCACCTGGGACTGCGGGTGCGCACCACCACACTCAGCTAATTTTTAAATTTCTTGTAGCGATGGGGGTCTCACTGTGTTGCCCGGGCTGGCCTTGAACTCCTGGCCTCACATGATCCTCCCACCTCAGCCTGTCAGAGGTGCGTGCGGACATAACATTTAAACTGTTACAGGCATGAGCTTACAGGCATGAGCCATTGGCCCTTAGGGCTTTTGAAGTAGGAAAGCCAGTGGCTCACATTTGGAGTTAACTAGTTGGAAGAGAGGATCTAGACCCCAGGACCCCCAGGTACGTTCTGTGTATTAGGTATTAAACCTGCTTTGCAAACCAGGAAGCTGGGGTTCAAAGATTAAGTGACTTGCTCAAGGTCAGGCAAGAAGTGATAGATCCGGGATTTAAATGTGCCAATCTGCACCTTTCTGGCACAAGCTCTGAGATTTTGCTATTGTAGGTTGCAAGAGATGCCCCCATTGAATGGTTATGTCCAGCCCTTCTGTCTACAGCACAGTGTTCTGAAAGGCTTAGGAGCACAGAACTGAAATGCTGGCCTTTCTGTATTCCTGCCTATTTGGCTTTGGTGGGCCTTTTCTTTTTTTTTTTTTTTTTTTGGAGATAGGGTCTTCTTCTGTCACCCAGGCCGGAGTGCAGTGGCGTGATCACGGCTCACTGCAGCCTACACCTCCCGGGCTTGAGTGATCTGCTACCAGAGCTGTTTTCTTCTCCCAGGGATACTTGGTCCTTATCACTCCCATCTAGACGGTTACTTCCTTTTTTTTTTGAAACGGAGTCTTGCTCTGTCACCCAGGCTGGAGTGCAGTGGTGTGTTCTCAGCTCCCTGCAACCTCCACCCCAAGAAGCTGGGATCACAGGCGTGCGCCACCACGCCCGGTAAATTTTTGTATGTTTAGTAAAGACTGGGTTTCGCCATGTTTGCCAGGCTGGTGTCGAACTCCTGACCTCAAGTGATCCACCCACCTCGGCCTCCCAAAATGCTGGGATTACAGGCGAGAGCCACCGCGACCTGCTTAGACATTCTACTTCGTTAGAGCCTTAGAGCCTATCTCAGATACTTTCTTCCGGGCACCTTGCGTATTTCTCAACTTTTGCCGATAACAACATGTTATTGGCTTGTCTTTTTCTCTTACCTAGATTATCAACCTTCAAGTTTTTTGTGCATGATTTGATCCACCCCTTCCCACCACATCACCACAGTACCTACCAGTGGTGATGAGAGCTACCGTTGACTTTGCCATATTTTGCAGAGCGGTGAAGACACTAGCTTTGGAGAAGTACAATGGCAAGGTCGCACAGCTGGAAAGAAACAGAATTGGGATTTGAACTAGGTCCCGTCTCCGCTGCGTGTAGCACCCTGCTTTGTAGGCACTTAGTAAACGTCTGTTTGATGGATTTCTGACCATCAGAGTGACCCAGATTTCAACCCAAGTATTTGCCAGAGTCTCATAGGAGTGCCCTGGGGCTGGAAGATATGTCGTTGTAGAAGGCAGGATCACACCTGCTAGAAGCAGAGCCCAGCGACCCTGTCCCGGGTCTGCTGAACCAGGCCTCTGCCCAGGACCTTTGGAGGAGCATCTGGGTGTGGCTGGACTAGGCGAGGAATGTGCTTACTTATTCTCAGCATAAAGCCAGAAGGCAAGACCCTGGGTAGGTCTGTCCGATGAGCTTCCCTTGTCCTCTGTGGTAACCCTGAGGCTCTGTGACCTAGCTGAGGGCCCTCTGTGGCCCACCTCACCTTGTCTCTCCAGCCTCACCTCGAAGCTTCCAGCCACACCCTAGCGTGCCTCCAGCCTTCAGGCCTTTGTTCTTTCTGCCCAGAGTATTACTTCTTGCCTTACCCCTTTCTTCCCCGTGCATCCTTCTAGATTCCATTTCAGCTTCCCTGAGGGCACGTTGGGCTCACTCTTCTTCTGGTAGGACGGGCTTAACTCAAAACGATAAGGCCAGACCCAGTGGCTCCTGCCTATAATCCCAGCATTTTGGGAGGCTGAGGTTGGAGGATCCCTTGAAGCTAGGAGGTTGAGACCAGCCTGGGCAACAAAGCAAGACCCCATCTCCACAAAAAAAAATTTTTTAAAATAACTTTTTAAAAAATAGCCAGGCATGGCGGTGCACACCTGTCTCAGGAGGTTTGGGTGGGAGGATCACTTGAGCCCGGGAATTTGAGGCTGCAGTGAGCTATGATGGTGCCACTGCACTCCAGCCTGAGCGACAGAGACCCTGTCTCTGAAAAATAATAAAAAAAGAAGAAGAAATGTAACCAGGGGCTATCAACAAGGATGCTTTGTGGTTTTTGTTTGTTTGTTTGAGATGGAGTCTCACTTGGTCACCCAGGCTGGAGTATAGTGGTACAATCTCGGCTCACTGCAACCTCCGCCTCCCTGGTTCAAGCAATTCTCCTGCCTCAGCCTCTGGAGTAGCTAGGATTACAGGCACCCACCACCATGCCCGGCTAATTTTGTATTTTTAGTAGAGACGGGGTTTAGCCGTGTTACTCAGGCTGGTCTCGAACTCCTGACCTCAGGTAATCCTCCCTCCTTGGCCTCCGAGAGTGCTGAGATAACGGGCGTGAACCACTGCGCCCAGCCAGCAAGGATGCTTTGAGCTACAAACAACAGAAAGCCAGGACATAACCAATAAGAAGTTTGAACTTTGTGTGATCAGAGTTTATGGGTTGGGCTGCCCCAGGCTTGGATAACTTAAAGGCTTGATGAGGTCATCAATTTATGCTTGGCTACCCATGGCACAGAAGCATAGCCCCACTGTGATGGCTGGGGTGGCTCCGGGCATCCTGGGCAGTCAGGAGGAAACTCCATGAAGGAAGGAGCTAACCTTTCTGGGGGTACCCCTATCCCAGCACAGACTTCCTCATCTCATTGGTCAGAACTGGGTCACATGAACATGCCTCAGCCTATCACAGGCACAGGGAATGAGACCATCATGGACCAATCAGGATTCACCACTCAAGGTGGGGCCTGCCATCCGGATGGATGCTCTCCGCCACAGGGAGGTGGGGGACCCAGAAGCTGTGGGCAATGGCCATGTGCACAGTAGGACTGAGGCACTCAGTCCCGTAGCTGACCTACCTGGGACAGGCCTGGAGGCTGACTTAGGTGTGAGGGGCAGAGAGATTACTGTGCACAGACCGCTGTGTGACCCCAGATCTAGGTGGGATCCCGGTGTGCCCCATCTGCCTGGCTTACCCCAACCCCTCTGGAACCTGAACCTACTCCCAGAGTCCCCTCTGTTTTTTTATTAATATTATTATGGAGACATCTCTTTATTTATTTATTTTGGAGACAAGCTCTATTGCCCAGGCTGGAGTGCAGTGGCACCATCATAGCTCACTGCAGCCTCAAATTCCTGGGCTCAAGGTATCCTCCTGCCTCAGCCGCCCGAATAGCTGGGACTCCAGGCATGCAGCACCACACCTGGTTAATTTATTTTACTCTGTTTTTAGTAGAGACAAGGTCTCACTGTGTTGTCCAGACTGGTCTTGAACTCCTGGCCTCAAGCAATCCTCTCACCTCGGCCTCCCAAAGTGCTAGGATTACAGGTGTGAGCTACCATGCCTGGCTAATTTTTGTATTTTTAGTAGAGATGGGGTTTCAACATGTTGGCCAGGCTGGTCTCGAACTCCTGACCTCAGACGCTCCACCTGCCTTGGCCTCCCCAAAGTGCTGAGATTACAGGTGTGAGCCACCATGCTCAGCCAAGCAGCACTCTCCTTTTTGCCCATGAAATGCTGTTATCTTTAAATTCCATTCTAGAAAGTCCATTGGATTGGCAAAAACTACACAGGCAAGTATGCAGTAAGCATGGGCCCATGGAAACTTCCTGCTGCCTTCCTGGGCCGGATCTGCTGAATGCAGGTCTCTGGTTTGTTTTGGCCTGCACTGGGTCATTCGTGTTCCTACATGCAGGAAATCTTGCAAACGAGCCATGGTGAACACTAAAGTCTTTTGTTTTTTTTTGTTTGTTTGTTTGTTTTTGAGACAGAGTCTTGCTCTGTCGCCCAGCCTGGAGTGCAATGGCGCAATCTCGGCTCACTGCAACCTTCGCCTCCCAGGTTCAAGCAATTCTCCTGCCTCAGCCTTCCGAGTAGCTGGGATTACAGGCGCATGCCACCACACCCAGCTAATTTTTGTATTTTTAGTAGAGACGGGGTTTCACCATGTTGGTCAGGCTGGTCTCGAACTCCTGACCTTGTGATCTGGCCGTCTGGGCCTCCCAAAGTGCTGGGAGGCGTGAGCCACCATGCCCGGCCAGTGAACACTAACGTCTTACGAGGTATTTATGAGAGAAAAGCTTAAAATTGCAAAAAGTCCATGCAGAGCCCTCATTCCTCGCAACACATTGGGCTGAGGCCACTGTCTAATTGCAGTTTAGGGAAAGACAGGCTATCCCAAGGGAGTTAGAGCCCTGGGACACCTGGGCTGGAATCCCAGCACTGCTCATCCTGGCTGTGTGACCTTGGGCAAGTTGCTTGACCTCTCTGTGCTATGTTTCTTACCTGTAAAACAGAGATGATGATCATGCCTGTAACGTAAGTGGTTGTGAGGGCTTGATGAGATAAACCACGTCAAGCACTCTCAAGAGTATCTGGTCCACTAGAAGCTCCAGTAAGCTTTTTTTTTTTTTTTTTTTTTGAGACAGAGTCTTGCTCTGTTGCCCCGGCTGGAGTGCAGTGGCATGATCTCAGCTCACTGCAACCTCTGTCTCCCAGGTTCAAGCGATTCTCCTGCTTTAGTCTCCCAAGTAGCTGGGATTACAGGTCTCTACCACCATGCCTGGCTAATTTTTGTATTTTTAATAAAGACACCTGGAACTCCAAAAGTGCTGGATTACAAGTGTGAGCCACTGTACCCAGCCATTAAGCATTAACTGGGAAGGCCCTGGGGCCACTGGCCAGCACCAGTTTGTGAGGGCAGAGCCAGAAAAGCCCAGGCTTAGAAGACTACACACACACATAATCGCATCCTGATTCTGGAAAGTGGAGATGCTGTCACTGCTCTCGCAGAATTAAGCCAAGGACCTCACCTGTCATTTAGGTGTCAGGCCTCTGGCAGGGGCAGCCAAAATGCTCTAGGACCACAGAGCTGCAAGCCAGTAAGGCTTCCTAGAGGAGGCAGCACCATCTGAGCCAAGAATGGGGTGATGGCTGGCATGAGAAAATGTCAGGAGGTGCTGGGGTTAAAGCAAGATGAGCAAGCAGGGAACAGGAGTGGGTGGCTACAGATGGATCAGGGGAGGGGTATAGGTGAAGAGGGTACGGGGTGAGCCCCAGAGCCTTGCGTGTGCCCACTCAGGACAGCCATAGTCTGCTGCTGCCCAGAGAAAGGGGCTGGCTCAACCCTAGCTCCCAAATCTTTTTCCTATGCCTTTTTCCTTTTTCCTCATCTCTTTCCTGAACTATCCAGATATCTTCCTGCCTCCTGCCTCCTGCTTCTAGGGCGGCTCAAATGCTCATTGCTGCCCCATCCCTCTGGGCTGGAGGAGCAAACGCCTGGAGGCTGAAAGAGTAAGTTGTCTGCAGGGAACAAGCCACTGTCCTGTGGCGGGTGCAAATTGGTATGCTCTGTTCACTGAGAAACCCCGCAGTGTATACCTGCGGTAGGCAGGGCCTGATAGGAAGCGCGAAAGGAGTTTCTGTCCCATGGGAGGAAAAGACGTGAGTCCTGTATGTTCTCCAGCAAAGGTAGAGGGTGAGAGGACCAGAGGCCCACACAGGGGGCATGGCTGGGAGTGCAGGGGCAGGGGGTAGTCTGGGAGGATGGAGGGACACAACTGGAGTGGGTGCTGGGTGGACTTCATGCATTCCTTCAGAAGCCCTGGCCACATCTCTGCCTTGTTGGTTTTGTTTGTTTTTTGAGACAGGGTCTCACTCTGTCACCCAAGCGGGAATGCAATGGCGTGATCTCAGCTCACTGCAACCTCTGCTTCCTGGGTTCAAGTGACTCTTGTGCCTCAGCCTCCTGAGTAGCTGGGATTACAGGCGTGCACCACCATGCCTGGCTAATTTTGTGTATTTTAATAGAGACGGGGTTTTGCCTTGTTGGCCAGGGTGGTCTCGAACTCCTGACCTCAGGTGATCCACCCACCTTGGCCTTCCAAAGTGCTGGGATTACAGGCGTGAGCCACCACTCCCGGCCTGAATCTTTCTTGATCAGATGTCTTCTGTCTATCCACTCTGGCTCTGTCTACTCCCTTCCCAACACATGCCCTATTTTAGGTAACCATGGTAGTTTTGTTTTGTTTTGTTTTGCTTTTGTTTTTGGAGATGGAGTTACACTCTGTTGCCCAGGATGGAGTGCAGTGGCACGATCTCGGCTCACTGCAACCTCTGCCTCCTGGGTTGAAGTGATGCTCCTGCCTCAGCCTCCTGAGTAGCTGGGGTTACAGGTACCACCACCATGCTCAGCTAATTTTTTGTATTTTTAATTTAGATGGGTTTTCCCAGGTTGGACAGGCTGGTCTTGAACTCCTGACCTCAAGTGATCTGCGCGCCTTGGCCTCCCAACGTGCTGGGATTACAGGCATGAGCACTGCGCCTGGCCAACCGTGGTAGTTTTTAGATTTTTTGTACAGAGGGGGTCTCACTCTGTTGTCCACGCCGGTCTCAAACTCCTGACCTTAAGTGATCCTCCCGTCTTGGTTTCCCAAAGTGCTGGGATTACAGGCATGAGCCACTGCTCCCAGCTGCTGGTGGTTTTAAAAGCTAGGATTGGCTGGGCGCAGTGGCTCACGCCTGTAAGGTCAGGAGATCGAGACCATCCTGGCTAACACGGTGAAACCCCGTCTCTACTAAAAATAGAAAAATTAGCCAGGCGTGGTGGCGGGCGCCTGTATTCCCAGCTACTCAGGAGGCTGAGGCAGGAGAATGGCGTGAAGCCGAGATCGCGCCACTGCATTCCAGCCTGGGCGACAGAGCCAGACTCCATGTCAAAAAAAAAAAAAAAAAAACCTGGGATCCCTCCACCCCCCTCTCCTTTAAATGTCTGTCTTGGCTACTTTCTTCTAAGTCACTAGGAGATGGTAAAAGCAATACCATGAGACTTCCGAGGCTAGGGCACGAAAGGATGGCTTCTGCGTGGTGCTCCCTCTCTCCCAGATCCCTTGCTCTGTAGGAAACCAACCCCCAAGGCCTGAAGACACCCAAGCAGCCCCATGGAGAGGCCCATATGGAGAGGAACTGAGGCATCCCACCCCCAACCGGCAGCTCGGGGCTTTGAAAACAGATCCTTCCGCCCCAGGCAAGCCTTCCAATGGATTGCAGCCCCAGCCAATGCCTTGAACTGCCAAGTTCAGCCACACCTAAATTCCTAACCCATAGGAACTGTGAGAGATAATAAAAGTTTGTTGTTGTTTCAAGCCACTAAGATCTGGGGTAATTTGTTATGTAGCAACAGATAAGGAATGAAATGACCCTGCCATTTATCATTGAGATGGGAATAAACTTTTTTTAGAATAGCAGGAAGTACTTTAAATAATTACTAGATTGGCCAAGCACAGTGGCTCACGCCTGTAATCCCAGCACGCCTGTAATCCCAGCACTTCAGGCTGATCGCTTGAGCTCAGGAATTGGAGACCAGCGGAGGCAACATGGTGGGACCCCGACTCTGCAAAAAATACAGAAAAATTAGCTAGGCATGATGGCGCCTGCCTGTGATCCCAACTACTCAGGAGGCTGAGGTGGGAGGATTGCTTGAGCCTAGGAGGTAGAGGTTGCAGTGAGCCGAGATTGCACCACTGTACTCCAGCCTGGACAACATAATGAGACCCTGTCTCCTCCTCCTCCCCCTCCTCCTCCCCCTCCTCCCCCCCCTCCCTCTCCTCCTCCTCCTCCATCGCCATCATCACAATAATAACAACAACAACCTGCAGACAATAAGGCAAACCTGACCATGTGATCACCCTACCTTTAGTCCAGCCAGAGAAGTCTTGTGAGTCCTTAAACCTAACACAGACACTTCTTGAGGTCGGCTTCGGCATCCTCTCCTCCAGGAAGCCACCCTGGTGCCTGGTGAGTGGCTTCCTGGGATCACCCATGCCTCAGTGTGCAGGATGAGAGGGCTGGTCCTGATCCCCTTCTGTCCTCACCCCCAGGTCCATGTCCAGGGCTTAGGACTGGTCGTCCCTTGGTGTTGACTCATCTCCCAGGGATCAAAAAAGTCAGTTGTAGCTGGGCGCAGTGGCTCACGCCTATAATCCCAGCACCTGTGGGAGGGCCAAGCGGGTACATCGCCTGAGGTCAGTAGTTCGAGACCAGCCCGGCCAACAAGGTGAAGCCCTGACTCTACCAAAAATACAAAAATTAGCCGATGTGGTGGTGGGCGCCTGTAATCCCAGCTACTGGGGAGGCTGAGGCAGGAGAATCGCTTGAACCTGGAAGGCAGAGGTTGCAGTGAGCCGAAATCGTGCCACTACACTCCAGCCTGGGTGACAAGAGTGAAACTCCATCTCAAAAAAAAAAAACAAAAAAACACCTTGTAAAAGGTTTAATTGGTCTCTCTTCTGAGCCTGCACACGGCTGGAAAGGTTTTCTCTTATAACAGATCTGCAGTATGAGAAACCAGCCCAGTTGCATCCGTTCTGGGCCAGTGGGATTCTGGGTGTCCAAGGTCCCTGTGGGCCATCTACGGTGCTAAATTGAAACTTTTTGAAAAGCATTTTTTTTTTGAGATGGAGTCTGGCTCTGTCACCCAGGCTGGAGTGGAGTGGTGAGATCTTGGCTCACTGCAAACTCTGCCTCCCGGGTTCACGCCATTCTCCTGCCTCAGCCTCCCGAGTAGCTGGGACTACAGGCACCTGCCACCACGCCTGGCTAATTTTTTTGTATTTTTAGTAGAGACAGAGTTTCACTGTGTGAGCCAGGATGGTCTCGATCTCCTGACCTTGTGATCTACCCGCCTCAGCTTCCCGAAGTGCTAGGATTACAGGCATGAGCCACCGCACCTGGCCTGAAAAAAATTCTTGAGACAGGGTCTCACTGTGTCACCCAAGCTGGAGTGCAGTGATGCAATCTCAGCTCACTCCAGCCTCGATTTCTCAGGCTCCAGCAATCCTCCCTGCCTCAGCCCCACTGAGTAGCTGGGACTGCAAGCACTCGCCACTACACCCAGATAATTTTTGTTTTTTTTGTAGAGATGGGGTCTCGCTATGTTGCCCAGGCTGGTCTCGAACTCCCGGGCCCAAGTAATCCTCCTGCCTCAGCCTTCCAAAGTGCTGGGATTACAGGTGTGAGCTACAGCGCCTGGCCTAAATGGAAAACTGGTGTCTAGGTGCCATATTCTCAGGCTTGCCCTCACCATAACACATTGAACATACTCCAACCTCTGAGCTAGATCTCTGCATCTCTGCTTAAAAGCCTGAGGTTTTGCTTGCACACCCCAATTTTTTTTTTTTTTTTTGGAGACAGGGTCTTGCTGTCACCCAGGCTGGAGTGCAATGGTGCGATCTTGGCTCATTGCAACTTCCATCTCCTGGGTTCAAGCAATTCTGGTCCCTCAGCCTCCCGAGTAGCTGGGATTACAGGTGCACGCCACCACGCCTGGCTAATTTTTGCATTTTTAGTAGAGACGGGGTTTCATCATGTTGCCCAGGCTGGTCTTGAACTCCTGACCTCAAGTGATCCACCAGCCTCGGCCTCCCAGAGTGCTGGGATAACAGGCATGAGCCACCGCGCCTGGCCATGCACCCACATTTACAGCAACCTTATTCACTAAGGCCTAAAGATGGAAGTGACCCAGGTGTCTACTGATGGATGAACAGATCAACAAAGTGGGATGTATTCACACAAAGGAATATTATTCAGGGGGGAAAAGGAAGGAAATTCTGACACATGCTACAACATGAATGAACCTTGAAGACATCATGCTGAGTGAAATAAACTAGTCACAAAAGAACAAATACTGCATGAGATCCCACTTGTATGAAATACCTGGTGTAGCCGGAGTCATAGAGACAGAAAGAATGGTGGTTGCCAAGAGCTGGGGAGTTGGTGTTTAGTGGGTATGGAGTTCCTGTTGGGTAAGATGAAGAGTTCTAGAGATGGATGGTGGCAATTGCTGTCCGTATTGAAAATGTGCTTAACACGATTGAATTGCACACTTAAAGATAGTTAAGATGGTAGGTTTTGTTGTGTGTATTTTACCACAATTAATAAAATTTGAGGCCAGGTGTGGTGGCTCATGCCTGTAATCCCAGCACTTTGGGAGGCTGAGGTGAGTAGATTGGTTGAGCTCACAAGTCGGAGACCAGCCTGGGCAACATGGTGAAACCTCATCTCTACAAAATATACAAAATGTAGCTGGGCTTAGTGGCGTGCACCTGTGGTCTTAGCTACTCAGGAGGCTGAGGTGGAAGGATCGCTTGACCCCGGGAGGTAGAGGCTGCAGTGAGCCGAGATTGTGCCACTGTACTCCAGCCAGGCAGTAGAGCCAGACCTTGTCTCAAAAAAATAAAAATAAAAATTAATGTTTAAGATTTTATTTTATTTTAGATTCAAGAGGTACATGTGGATGTTTGTTACATGGATATATGGCATACTGGTAGGGACTGGGCCTCTAGTACGCCCATTACCCAAATAGTGAACATTGTACCCGATAAGTAATTTTTTTAACCTTCCTCCCCTTCCCAACCTCCCCTCTATTGGAATCCCCAGTGTCTGATGTTCCCATATTTTTTTTTTTTTTGAGACGGAGTCTTACTCTATTGCCCAGGCTGGAGTGCAGTGCAATCTCGGCTCAGTACAGCCTCTGCCACCTGGGTTCAAGTGATCCTCCTGCCTCAGCCTCCCGAGTAGCTGGGACTACAGGCATGTGCCACCACACCCAGCTAATTTTTGTATTTTTTAGTAGAGATGGGGTTTCACCATGTAGGCCAGGCTGGTCTCAAACTCCTGACCTCAGGTGATTCGCCTGCCTCGGCCTCCCAAAGGGCTGAGATCATACGCGTGAGCCGCTGCTCCCGGCCATGGCAGATCCTTCTTGAACACCCACTATGCATGAGGCCTCCGCTGGGAGTTCCCATCATTCACCCTCATAGCAGCTCTACAGGAAGGAGCTGTCTGCCCCCAAGTCACACAGTGGACAACAGCAGTTTGGGGGTCAGCCTTGGCCCCCCCACTCCGAACTCCTCGCCGCCTATGCCCTCCACTCCTTTCCACTGTTAACCCAAGATGGAAAAGCTTATGCCAAGGGTCATTTCTCAGGATATGCACATAACAGGAAAATGTGTTTTTATCCAAATTCCCACAACCCACCAGCCATGTGATCTTGGGCAACTTAGAACCTCCAAGGAGGGTCTGGCTCTGTTATCTATGCTAGAGTGCAGTGGCATGAGCATAGCTCACTGCAGCCTCAACCTTCCAGGCATAAGCAATCCTCCTGCCTCAGCCTTCCAAGTAGCTGGGACTACAGGTGTGCACCGTCATGCCCAGCTAATTTTTAAAAAAGATTTTTAGTAGCAACAGGGTCTTACTATGTTGCCCAGGCCAGTCTCAAACTCTTGAGCTCAGACAATTCTCCTGCCTTGACCTTCCAAAGTGGTAGAATTATAGGCGTAAGCCACCACACCGTGGCCTGGTTTCATCTTTAAAATAGGGATAAGGTGAGGCATGGTGGCTCACACTTGTAATCCCATCACTTTGGCAGGTCGAAGCGGGAGGATTGCCTGAGCTCAGGAGTTTGAGATCAGCCTGGACAGCATAGTGAGACCCCATCTCTACCAAAAAATAACTGAAGATAACACTATCAACATCTTGGGTGGTTGTGAGAATTAAATGGGGAATTTTATGTTAGGGACTTAGTGAGGTGTTGATTACATAGTGAACCTATTATTCACAGAAATTCAATGGATGTTTTGAGGTGCCCTCTACTTGATGCAAGCCTCAGCGAGGTGGCAGTGGTGGCCTCTGTCCCCATGGCACGGATGGTCTGTTCTGCTTTGGAAGCACTGGAAGGGCACATCTGACAATTGCAGGATGGCTGGTTTTTATTGGAGGAAGGGAAGCTGTTTATTTGTTTCAGATTGGCTGAGCTGTGGGGATGCGGGAGGCTGGCAGGAGGGGAGGGGTCTATAGTAAGGAGACTGGAGAAACTCTGGGGACCAGGCAGGCAGCCCCCTGGTAAGAGCTGCTTCTTGGAACACAAAGAGCCGTTGCGTCCTCCAGCCGGCCTTGAGGAAGGTGTGACTTCTCTGCTCCCAGCAATGTCTTGGGCACCCTTCTCTGCCCTGCACACCAGCTCTGCCTGCAGGGTGCCTGGACACTCTGGGTGTCTACTGTGTCCCCATATGGTGCTTGCAAGTCTTCCTCCCAGACTGCCCCCTGCTTCTGTGTCCCCTCCCTGGTGCACAGCACCACATCCAGCCCCCCTCCCACCCAGCCCACCCAGGTCCTGCCCACGTGACCCCCAGTCTTTCTCCAGTCGCACCTCCTCTGCACGCTGACCGCCATGTCTTGTCCTCTTTTTCTTTTTTTTTGAGACAGAGTCTTGCTCTGTCATCCCGGCTGCTGGAGTGCAATGGCGCAATCTTGGCTCACTGCAACCTCCGCCTCCCGTGTTCAAGTGATTCTCCTGCCTCAGTCCTCCCTGGGACTACAGGGGTACACCACCATGCCTGGCTAATTTTTATATTTTCAGTAGAGTCAGGGTTTCACCATGTTGGCCAGGCTGGTCTCGAACTCCTAACCTCAGGTGATCCACCCGCCTCGGCCTCCCAAAGTGCTGGGATTACAGGCGTGAGCCACCGTGCCCAGGCTGTGTGCTTCTATTCTAGCTCCCCGACTCCTGATCCCCTGACTCTGAGGCCTCAGGACGAAGGTCTCATCCCCTCCAGGCAGGCCCTCCTTGGCAGGGCAGCTTCAATTTGTATAGGAATCAAATCCATCCTGTTGGGGTTTTACCATGTTCCCCAGGCTGGTCTTGAACTCCTGGGCTCAGACAATTCTCCTACCTTGGCCTCCTAAGGTGCTGGGATTACAAGTATGAGCTACCATGCCGGGCCTATTTTTTTTTTAATAATTTTTTTTTTAATGTGGGAGAGTTCAAATGTGAAATCAAGGCCCGGTGCGGTGGCTCACGCCTATAATCCCAGCACTTTGGGAGGTGGAGGCAAGAGGATCGCTTGAGGCCAGGAATTCAAGACCATTTGGGGCAACATAGCCAGACCCCGTCTCTACAAGAAATTTTAAAAATTAGCCAGACGTGGTAGTGCACACCTGTAGCCCCAGCTACTCTGGAGGCTGAGACAGGAGGATCACTGGAGCCCAGGAGTTGGAGGCTGCAGTGAGCTATGCTCACACCATTGCACTCCAGCCTGGTTGACAAAGTGAGACCCAGTCTCAAGAAAAAAAAAAAAAAGTGGGAAGAAGCATACCCCACCACACTTCTTCTTTGGGGTTAGAATTTTGGGCCTGCACTGGAATGTGGAACGCTGATAGGGGATGGGGACAGGTGGAGGTGTCAGGGGCGCCCTCAGACTCTACCCTCCTTCATTGCCTTAGAGGTGAGGCTGGGGAACGACCCTGGGGTAAGGGGTTGCCCGTGCCCACTCCCCTGCATGCAGGAGCTGGATCTCTGCTTCACTCTTCCCCTTTCCTGATGGGAACTTGCTCCTGCATTTGGCCCCTGGGCCTCTGGGTAACCTGCCCCAGCCACCGAGGGCTTGGCCCCAGGCGAGTGCATCTGTAAGGGCAGATCCCGCGGCGAATTTCCTGGGTGACTCCTTTGCACACACCCAGGCTGGACTCCCTCCACCCCCTCCCAACTGAGCAATGCTTTGGGGCTGTTTCGTCCACTAGAGCAGCACAGTCAAGAATGAGGGGGTGTATGGGCTGGGCGTGGTGGCTCACGCCTGTAATCCCAGCACTTTGGGAGGCTGAGGCAGGCGGATCACAAAGTCAGGAGTTCAAGACCAGCCTGGCT
This sequence comes from Homo sapiens, assembly GCF_000001405.40. Classification (NCBI taxonomy): domain Eukaryota; kingdom Metazoa; phylum Chordata; class Mammalia; order Primates; family Hominidae; genus Homo; species Homo sapiens. Next base: position 73,172,939 of record NC_000007.14, read on the forward strand.
AATATGGTAAAACCCTGTCTCTACTAAAAATACAAAATTAGCCGGGTGTGGTGGTGCATGCCTGTAGTCCCAGCTACTCGGGAGGCTGAGGCAGGAGAATTGCTTGAACCCGGGAAGCGGAGGTTGCAGTGAGCAGAGATCACACCACTGCACTCCAGCCTGGGCAACAGAGTGAGACTCTGTCTCAAAAAAAAAAAGAATAAGGGGGTGACACCTCAGAGAACAAGCTGCAGGCCTGGTGTCACCTGCAGATGACAAGGCTACCGTATCCATTCCTCAAGCCAGGCCTCTGAGGAGCCCTGGTGGGTAGGGTGCTGGAGGGAGAACTCGAGCTTGCAGGCAGTAAAACGCATTTTTTTTTTTTTTTTTTTGGTGGCGGGGACAGAGTCTCACCCTGCCGCCCAGGCTGGAGTGCAGTGGCGCAATCTCAGCTCACTGCAAACTCTTGACTCCTGGGTTTGAGCGATTCTCCTGCCTCAGCCTCCCGAGTAGCTGGGATTACAGGTGTGCACCACCACACTCAGCTAATTTTGGCGTTTTTAGTAGAGACAGGGTTTCGCCATGTTGGCCAGGCTGGTCTCAAACTCCTGACCTTGGGTGATCAACCTGCCTCAGCCTCCCAAAGTGCTGGGATTACAGGCGTGAGCCACTATGCCTGGCCACATTTCTTTCTTTCTTCTTTTTTTTTTTTTAATCTGTGCTTTTCTCCACCCTCTTCAGACTTTGTTCTAGTCTACAATTTCCCTCCTGCAGCTTCTCTCTGATGACGTCCCCACCCAGCCCGTCAGTCCAAATTAGCCTGGTTTAACTGCGTTTGTCAGTTTCTGTAGAAGAATGAAGAAGGTGATAGCACCCACGTTATAGGGCTGTTCACGGGAGGTTGAAGTGAGATCTTACAGAGAAAGTGCTTAGCAGGTGCCCCAGGTCCAGAGTGTGGGGTTGGCTGGGAGTCGTGTGCATTTCCTGCCCTGACCCCCTCTGCAAGCTTGGTTCCTGAGTGCTTGAGTGAGGCACACTTGACCTGCTTATGTGATTCCCATGGCACCATGGTGTGGGGAATGTCTCCCAACAAGACACCTTATCAAGCGCTCTCTCTCCACTCTGCTGTTCCTACCACATATTCCCAGGCAGGTCACCCTACCTTTCTTGTTTTCTTTTGAAGACAGGGTCTCGCTCGGTCACCCAGGCCAGAGTTCAGTGGCAAAATCATAGCTCACTGCAGCTCCTGGACTCAAGGGATCCTCCTGCCTCAGCCTCCTGAATAGCTGGGGCCGCAGGTGTGTGCCACCACACCTGGCTAATTTTTACAATATTTTGTAGAGACAGGGTTTCACTTTGTTGCCCAGGCTGGCCTCAAACTCCTGGCCTCAAACGATCCTCCTGCCTCGGCCTCCAAAAGTGCTGTGATTTCAGACGTGAGCCACCTCACCTGGCCTGACCCGGCCTTTCTGAGCCTTCAGCCCTCATCTTTGTCTGGGGGCATTCTAAAAACCAAGGAATAGAATACCAGGGTCAGACTCAGACTTTGCGTTCAGTAGGCCATGAATACTTGGGTTTTCGCTCAGTTTCTGGGGCATTGAGACTGATAGAAGCAACTGACCCCCTTAGCTAAGGCAGGCAGGCAGGTATTGTCACCAAGAGACCCTGGAGATCAGGAGAGGTTATTTGGGGTTGGGGATCTCCAAGGAGGGGCAGGGAAGTTAGTACCATCGTCGGGCTGGAAATGGGAAGCGTTTGGCTCGTTGGAAGTGGTGAGGCTGGGGTGTGGGACCCTCGCCATGTGACCTACGTGGGGTGATCTCAGTAGAAATTGGGACCTGCCAACCATGGTTGCCTGGGAGAGTTGCCTGGGCACCTGCCTGTGATCCCAACTACTCAGGAGGCTGAGGTGGGAGGATTGCTTGAGCCTAGGAGGTAGAGGTTGCAGTGAGCCAAGATTGCATCACTGAACTCCAGCCTGGGCAACAGAACAATTCTCTGTCTCAAAAACAAAAACAAAAACAAAAACAAAAAAACAAAAAAAAACTATTTACCCAATTTCCCTTGCTTATGCATGCTTAAATTTTGTATAAGCTTAAATATCTTTTCCATCTAAGCTGTACTCTATCCCCTTTTATAACTTTAGGTGGCTGTCTTTATTAAAAGTTTTTTCTTGAAAGTCTTAAAACAATATAGTTCTTGGCAATTTGAAAGTTATTTGAGAAGGGGAAATTTATAATGACAATTCAAATGAAGCAAACTAAAAAATAATGAAGAAAGACAGAGGAAAAAGCAGTATTCACTTGAACACATCCCAAACAAAGAAAATTTCAAATGTAACAAGGAAAAAGCCTGCTAAAGCTCACAATACAGAAATAACTATTGATACTCAAAATAGCTTTAAAGCCCTGCTCACCTTTTGAATGTTGGGAATTGACCAGGAGGTGACTGTAACTGTAAGATGGTTCTTCCAGTAATGACCATTTTCTTTTTCAAGATGATGATTATTCTCCACCGTCTAAGAGACCAAAGGCCAATGAGCTACCGCAGCCACCAGTCCCGGAACCCGCCAATGCTGGGAAGCGGAAAGTGAGGGAGTTCAACTTCGGTAAGTTCTCAGCGAACGACGTGACCTTTTCCTTCATCTTCTGGATTCTCAGTGTGACTGATAAATGTTGCAACATGCTCTGCAGGGGGAAAATGCTTTAGCGTCTATTACTGCATCATAATCTCATCTTTGGAAAGCCAGGAGCATTTTGAAAATTACATTACAGACATTGTTTAAACATAGTTTGGATTTACCAAAGCATAGGACATTGTCTTGTCTGATGTTAATTAGTCAGCTCAAGATTAGTGCTAAAGACTTAGTAATTTAGTTATTTCTCTTAGCTTTAAAATCTTTATTTCAGAACTATTTCACCTCTTGGTTTTCTTTTTTTTTTTTTTGCTCTGTGTTACTGCAGCTGCTAATCTGTGAGCTCTCAATGGATGATGTATCCTAGCAAGGGACTGAATGAGATATTAGCGGCAAATTATGTTGATGATTCATATTTTGAATAAATGGAATATTAAGCTTGTATACATCTTGAAAATAGTACTTTAATATTCTACTGTGTCATAGTCACAATGATTGGATATGAATTGAATTTTTGTACTTTTTAAATATGTTTTTGTTCTTTATTTTTAATTTTTATTATTATTTTTTTGAGACAGAGTCTTGCTCTGTCACCCAGGTTGGAGTGCAGAGGCACGATCTCAGCTCACAGCAACCTCCGCCTCCCGGGTTCAAGTGATTCTTCTGCCTCAGCCTCCTGAGTAGCTGGGATTACAGGCGCCCACCACCATGCCCAGCTAATTGTTGTATTTTTAGTAGAGATGGGATTTCACCATGTTGGCCAGGCTGGAATCGAACTCCTGACCTCAGGTGATCCGCATGCCTCAGCCTCCCAAAGTGCTGGGATTACAGGCATGAGCCACTGCACTTGGCCTGTTCTTTAGCATTTTAAGTTGCAACTATATATCCGTAAAGTCTTATTTCCACACAACTAACACATGTTTTAGGAAGTTTGCTAAAAGACCCCTGGAGACCTTTATCGTGGTCTCCCTTTTGTCGTGTTTCATTTGCTTGATCTTTTCTGCCCTCCTGCTTTTCAGAAATTAAAAGGCTAAAAAGAGGTGCTAAATGTTAAAACTTCTCGTGTAGTCTCCCATGAGACTATTAAAAGTAATGGCAAAAGCCACAGTTACTTTTGCACCAACCTACTAATTCTAAGAACCACCAAAAAGGGGAAAGTTCTTGGAAAGCAGTAAAATGATATGGACAGTTGGGATGTAAAAATGTAGAAAATATGTCATTGTATGTTCAGTCATCCCAAGACCCTAGTGCTGCCCCGATGGTAGGGACTTCTTAATGAGAATTAACTTTTGCTCAATTTTCAGAGAAATGGAATGCTCGCATCACTGATCTACGTAAACAAGTTGAAGAATTGTTTGAAAGGAAATATGGTATGTCTAAATAGGAAAATTCCTGTAATACTTTGTTCATGAGCATTTACACAATGGCGTTACTGTTCATCATGGGGGTGATGTGGACAAGCCCAGCCCAGGGCTGCCAGTGAACCGTGCCACACTTTCTTACACGTCTCTCATTGTAAGGTCCTTAGTAGTGTCTGTCTAAATATTAGAAACAGTCTTTGTTTCTAGATTACAGTAAAGCTAAGGAAAAGTTGTATTTCTGTAGTTATCAGCTAACATTTCTTTTAAACTTCCAGCATGGATATTTGGGAATTTATTTACATATTTATTACAAAGCTCTGGATCTTGGGGGTTTCATTAAAAATTATTTTTTTAACTGATAGTTTCTGTTAATCTACTTTGTTAAATCCAGTATTTGCTGAGATCCCCCTATTGTCTCTACTTTTATCTTTTTTTTTTTTTTGAGACGGAGTCTCTGCATTGCAGTAGTACGATCTCGGCTCATTGCAACCTCCGCCTCCCGGGTTCAAGCAATTCTCCTGGCTCAGTCTCCCAAGCAGCTGGGACTACAGGTGCCCGCCACCATGCCCTGCTAATTTTTGTATTTTTAGTAGAGACAGGGTTTCACCATGTTGGCCAGGCTTGTCTCAAACTCCTGACCTCAAGTGATCCTCCCGCCTTGGCCTCCCAAAGTGCTGGCATTACAGGCGTGAGCCACCCTTCCCGGCCACTGCTTTTATCTTGATGTATAACTGAGTTGATGCTAGATTTCAATTCCTTCTTTGTCCTTTTACTATTCTGTCCTATAGCCACCTTTATATAATGATCAAAGAAATTCACAATTTGTTATCATTTTTATTTTTTATAAAATATTTAAAATGATTTAAAATAAAAATCATTTTATTTTTATCATATTTATTATCATCTGTTATCATTTTTATTTGGATGACTATTTACTTTGCCATTAACTAGCAAGCGGTAAAATTGTATGATATGCAGTTTTAACTGAATTGCTATAAGTGAAAATTTAAATGCAATAAACCATATTGATGGTATTTGTGTTAACAAACTTAAAATGAGCATTTTTTCTTCATCATGAGTAATATAACCTACCCCTCAATGAAAATCTACAATTAGAGTAAATTTGCTAATGAATTCAGTAACTTTTCCATATTTTTAGTGGTTTACTTAAGGTTCTCTTAGTGTTTCTCCCAGTTTTTAATAGCTTACACCTTTTTTGCCCGTGGTTTTTTGTTTTTTGTTTTTTTTTTTTTTTTTTTTTTTGAGATAGAGTTTTGCTCTTGTTGCCTAGTCTGGAGTGGCACGATCTCGGCTCACTGCAACCTCTGCCTCCCAGGTTCAAGCAATTCTCCTGTCTGAGCCTCCTGAGTAGTTAAGATTACAGGTGCCCGCCACCATGCCCAGCTAATTTTTGTATTTTTAGTAGAGACAAGGTTTCACCATGTTGGCCAGGCTGGTCTTGAACTCCTAACCTCAGGTGATCCACCCACCTCGGCCTCCCAGAGTGCTGGGATTACAGGCGTGAGCCGCTGCGCCCGGCCTCATGTTTTCTATTGGTTCATTATGAAGCAAAAACTTCATAGCATGTGCTACCTGGAAGCACTGTGACCTAGTGGTAAGATCATAGGCTCTGGGGACACAGTGCCTTGCCACGTCTCTTCTCCTGTCTGAGTCTTAGTATCCTCTTTTGTGGTCATGAGAACTGAAGATCTATCCTGGAGATTGATAAGATAGTAAAGTGCTTCACGTAATACCTGGCATACATGTAATAAATGCTTCCTGTGTGTATATATATACACACATATACATATATATGTATATGTACATATACACATATACATATATATATATATACATAAACACATATACATATATATATAACACAGTGAAACCCCCGTCTCTACTAAAAATACAAAGAATTAGCTGGGCGTGGTGGCGGGCACCTGTAGTCCCAGCTACTCGGGAGGCTGAGGCAGGAGAATGGCGTGAGCCCGGGAGGCAGAGCTTGCAGTGAACCGAGATCACGCCACTGCACTGCAGCCTGGGAGACACAGCAAGACTCCATCTCAAAAAAATAAAAAAAAAGTTAAAGAGCACTACAGATTCAATGATTTATTATTCTTTTCTACAAATTGTGTTTAAATGATATCTCTTTCTCTTTTTGTCCTTATAGCTCAAGCCATAAAAGCCAAAGGTCCGGTGACGATCCCGTACCCTCTTTTCTAGTCTCATGTTGAAGATCTTTATGTAGAAGGACTTCCTGAAGGAATTCCTTTTAGAAGGCCATCTACTTACGGAATTCCTCGCCTGGAGAGGATATTACTTGCAAAGGAAAGGATTCGTTTTGTGATTAAGAAGTAAGACTCTTGGATTCCTGTTGAACTCTTGTCTCTTTTCTGAGTAATACGTCTTTTTTATTGTTGACCAATATTCATTCACCACTAGGGTTCTATGTGATGAAGTTTGAGTTATTTTATGTATTTTTATCTTGCACTTTTTAATTTATCTGGGTCCAGCATTGCATCAGTCATGCAGTGTTGGCATTCGAAGCATGAACAGTGCCCGCACTGGATTGGCATGCAACTCACATTTTCTTTCACAATTTTCTGCTACTTTTGCTAAAGAACATAGAATCCACGCCTTGTTTTTAGGCCTGATATATATATATATATATATTTTCGAGATGGAGTCTCACACTGGAACCCAGGCTTGAGTGCAGTGTCGCAATCTCAGCTCACTGCAACCTCTGCCTTCCAGGTTCAAGCGATTCTCATGCCTCAGACTCCCGAGTAGCTGAGATTACAGGCGTGCGCCACCATGCCTGGCTAATTTTTGTATTTTTAGTAGAGACGGTGATTCACCATGTTGGCCAGGCTGGTCTTGAACTCCTGACCTCAGATGATCTGCCAACCTCGCCCTCATAGGCCTGAGATTTTTAAAGCATGCGTGGGAATATATGATTGTTTTTATAGATGTGCAGAGGAAGATAGTCTTGAATGCAATATGACATTAAAGGATCCCATTTAAGATTTTTGTAATATGCTTCAAAGACCTGTGGGTTGCAAAGTTACCTCTTTACTTGTGAGGATACATGCTCCATGAAGCACCTTATGAGACAACTTGCAATTATTAGTTTGCTTTTTACTCTGTAGAAACCTCAAATTAAGATTTAGTTGTGGGCTGGGTGTAGTGGCTCACACCTGTAATCCCAGCACTTTGGGAGGCCAAGGCGGCTGGATCACCCGAGGTCAGGAGTTCGAGACAAGCCAGGCCAACAATGGTGAAACACTGTCTCTACTAAAAATACAAAAATTGACCAGGTGTGGTGGTGGGCGCCTGGAATCCCAGCTACTTGGGAGGCTGAGGCAGGAGGATTGCTTGAACCCGGGAGGTGGAGGTTGCAGTGAGTCGAGACTGCGCCATTGCACTCCAGCCTGGGAACAAGAGCAAAACTCCGTCTCAGGAAAAAAAAAAAAAAAAAAAAAGATTTAGTTGTGCTCAAGCATCCAGATTATCTTTTCTTTTCAAAACCAGCCTTACTGACTAAATGTTAAATATGTACTAGTCGTTATTAGTTTGCTGAATATTACCTAGTGATTATTGAGTATTTATTCTCACCTTTCAGACATGAGCTTCTGAGTTCAACACGTGAAGATTTACAGCTTGATAAGCCAGCTTCAGGAGGTAGGTCTTCAATCTCGAGGCAGATCAGAAGATTATGTGCAATAATTATTTCACGCTTAACATTGATTTCTTCTTTATGTTACCTTCCACATGAAATAATATGTCTCTAACTATTAATTATGTGCCATTACAGGAGAATTCATGTTGTCAAAATTCTAATAATTTCTAGAAGAATAAACGCATCTTCTTTTTATTAACCCATTGTAAATACTTATAAATATTGCATTTATGGGTAGACAGAAGTAAAAGAACAATATTTGTTCTACTTTTGATGCAAGATTTATCTGGCATAATGCATTGAACAGTTTATTATTGAAGTCTACACGAGTCAATGGAACAAGCATTCATTGAATGTCCATGATATGCAGGACATAAGAAGGTTTCCTTTTAGAGCATGGAGCCATTTATATCATCTCTTAATTGTTAGATGTATTTTGTTTTGTTTTGTTTTGTTTTTTGAGAGGGAGTCTTGCTCTGTTGCCCAGGCTGGAGTGCAGTGGTGCGATCTCCGCTCACTGCAACCTCCCGCCTCCTGGGTTCAAGCAATTCTCCTGCCTCAGCCTCCCTGTAGCTGGGATTACAGGTGCCTGCCACCATGCCCAGCTAATTTTTGTATTTTTCGTAGAGACAGGGTTTCACTATGTTGGCCAGGCTGATCTCAAACTGCTGACCTCAGGTGATCTGCCCACCTCGGCCTCCCAGAGTGCTAGGATTACAGGCATGAGCCACCGCGCCCAGCCTGTTAGATGTGTTTTAAAATAAATAGAAATATAATTGATTTTCTTGCTTGCTTTTGCTCTGGAGTGGAGTGGAGTGAGGATAAAACAGAATGGAATCACCCTGTTGATATTTACTAAGATAGAAGGACTGCAGCAAGATCATAGCCCTAATCTTCCTGTAGCAAGTGTTACCTGCTAGCTGTTCCTGAATACACTGAGTTTTGCTTTTTCCTAGCTCTAATGAATGTTTCGTTCTTCCTCTTTTTGTACAGTGTCAGCATTGTTTTAGAAATAAATACATTCTAGAATCTTAGGAATAATTTTATTATTGTCTTTTTTTTTTTTTGAGACGGAATCTCATTCTGTTGCCCAGGCTGGAGTGCAATGGCGCAATCTCAGCTCACTGCAACCGCTGCCTCCTGGGTTCAAGCGATTCTCCTGCCTCAGCCTCATGAGTAGCTGGGACTACAGGCGTGCGCCATCACGCCTGGCTAATTTTTGTATTTTTAGTAGAGATGGGGTTTCACCATGTTGGCCAGGCTGGTCTCAAACTCCTGACCTCAAGTGACCCGCCTGCCTCGGCTTCCCAAAGTGTTGGGATTACAGGTGTGAGCCATTGCACCTGGCCACGAATCTTAGAAATAATTTTGGCCATAGGAAAAGGAAAAGTTATACCTCTTATTTTATAGTAATAATGTTTAATAATCAAGTTATTAAACCCATTAAATTGAGAACACTTGTATTACTGTTATTTTGACAGTAAAGGAAGAATGGTATGCCAGAATCACTAAATTAAGAAAGATGGTGGATCAGCTTTTCTGCAAAAAATTTGGTAAGTCTGTTTTTTTTAATTACCCCTTCAACTAAAATGTATTACTGAGTAACATTTTTTTAAATGTTGTTTTATTTTAGGAAAGTAAATACAGTGAATAGGACTCAGCTTTAGTTTTCCCTGTTTTTTTTTTGGGTTTTTTTTTTTTTTCTTGAGAAGGAGTCTTGCTCTGTTGCCCAGGCTGGAGTGCAGTGGTACGATCTCAGCTCACTGCAACCTCCTCCTCCCGGGTTCAAGCAATTCTCCTGCCTCAGCGTCCCAAGTAGCTGGGATTACAGGTGCCCGCCACCACGCCTGGCTAACTTTTGTATTTTTAGTAGAGATGGGGTTTCGCCATGTTGGCCAGGCTGGTCTCAAACTCCTGAATTCAGGTGATCCACCCGCCTCAGCCTCCTAAAGTGCTGGGATTATAGGCGTGAGCCACCGCGCCCGGCCCCCATTCTATGAATTATCTGTGGAAAGTTATTTCCTTTAAAATGGCATGCTCGTGAGGTTGAAGGGGTAAAGAACATTGATCTGGTTGCCACGCAGATGAAAGTGTAGTCGGAAATGTGTTACCAGTTTGCCATAGCCGATGGAGGAGGGTAATTACGGTCCTGAACAGTTAGTAGCAAAAGGCTGCTTCCAGATAGTATTTAGGTTGTGTCCTCTATTGTCCATGATGATTTTCTTTCTCTCTTTTCTTCCTAAGGATATTGAAAAACAAACTTTAATCTTTTAAAGATCTCAGAGCTATTAAGATTGTCTTAGGACCAGGACACTTAAATCTGCCCAAATCTGGCTGTTGATGATCGGTCATCTCTACTTGTCTTTGCTGTATTAAGTCTATTCAATAGTTAATAAATATGTTTCTAGAAAGAGTTTTTTTCAAGTAAAACAAAATTGACCTGTGCCTTTCTTTGGATTGTACTAAAATCTGATTTCAATACAAATGTAGTCTCCCGAATTGCTTTGATTTTTGTCCAGCGGAAGCCTTGGGGAGCACTGAAGCCAAGGCTGTACCGTACCAAAAATTTGAGGCACACCCGAATGATCTGTACGTGGAAGGACTGCCAGAAAACATTCCTTTCCGAAGTCCCTCATGGTATGGAATCCCAAGGCTGGAAAAAATCATTCAAGTGGGCAATCGAATTAAATTTGTTATTAAAAGGTAAGATGATAATCTGTAGAAATAGTTTCAGTGTCTTCCCTGAGAAGAGGTTAATTTGATGAAGAAGGGCCTTTTGTTTACCTTATGACTTATTTCTATTGACAATGAAGGCATTAATATTTAGATTCACTTAGTGAACAAATATTAGTATAAGCATCAGATGTGCAAAATTGGGTCTAACAAGAACACTGTCCTTGGGGCCTTCATACAAAGAAAAATGCACTGAAGGCCGGGCGCGGCAGCTCACGCCTGTAATCGCAGCACTTTGGGAGGCCAAGGCAGGTGGATCACTTGAGGTCAGGAGTTCAAGACTAGCCTGGCCAACATGATGAAGCCCCATCTCTAGTAAAAATACAAAAATTAGCTGGAAGCGGTGGTGCGAGCCTGTAGTCCCAGCTACTCGGGAGGCTGAGGTTGGAGAATCACTTGAACCCTAGAGGCGGAGGTTGCAGTGAGCCGAGATCGTGCCACTGCACTCCAGCCTGGGCAACAGAGCGAGACTCCATCTCAAAATAATTAAAAAAAAAAAAAATAGAAAAATGCAACGAAGTGTTATTGAGCGTTTTTAAGGGAGAAGGCAAGGATGGCACACCTAGCTCGGTCACTTGTGCATCCAGAAGAGATGGAAGGTGTTTCAAGTGAAGGAAATCATATGAGTAGGGGGAGGAGGTGGCAAATATGCCTGCGTATCCACAGAACTCACCCACCGTGTGTGGAGTGAGGACTGCCACGTGGGCGTGGTGGGGTTGCATGGATCGACTTGGGTGGGCAAGTGGAGGAAGGCCTGAGATCCTACGAACACAGAGGCAGTCACGAAGTGGTCTCGAGGCAGATGCCTCTGAAAATAATGTGGATCCGCCCTTTAGAAAGGTAATTCTGGCTTGATTTTGAAGGATAACACAATGGTTAGTTTGGGTGCGGGGTTAGGAACAGAAGGCCTCTCTCCACTCATTGACGGGATGTGGAAGGGTAAACCTTCCTTACTGATTGGGGTCATGCCTCTGTGTGTTTGTTGGGACTGAGTTATAAGGGATAGGAAACGTTTAAGATGCTACAGCGAGCTGCTTCTGGCTGTGCTGTGGGACAGTTCATCTAAGATTCAGAAACAGAATTGAGCTGGTTTGGGGGAAAAGTGACTTTCGCCTGTTTATCTTAAATATAGGATGATTTTGAAGGTCTCACCCGAATATCTGAAAATTGCCATTTTCAAAATAAACTCGTCACCAAAATGATTTTTTTTTCACTATAAAATGAAGGCAGGATGAACCATATTTATAACTAATTGGCAATGAACAGCTGGTGAGAAAGGCCTGTGAGTTGCTTCTAAATGCTTTATTACTAATATCAACTCTGTTTCTACAGACCAGAACTTCTGACTCACAGTACCACTGAAGTTACTCAGCCAAGAACGAATACACCAGGTAAACTAGTTGTGAAATCCTTTTTTAAAAACACAGATCAGCCAGGCTCGGTGGCTCACACCTGTAATCCCAGCACTTTAGGAGGCTGAGGCGGGCAGATCACAAGGTCAGGAGATCAAGACCATCCTGGCTAACATGGTGAAACCCCATGTCTACTAAAATACAAAAAAATTAGCCGGGCCTGGTGGCGGGCACCTGTAGTCCCAGCTACTCGGGAGGCTGAGGCAGGAGAATGGCATGAACCCAGGAGGCGGAGCTTGCAGTGAGCCGAGATCACGCCATTGTACTCCAGCCTGGGCAGCAGAGCAAGACTCTCTCAGAAAAAAAAAAAAAAAAAAGCACAGATCAATACTTTGTAAGCTTTTAAAAGTTAATCTTTTAAAATTATGGAAGTCCCCCTTCCCCTGCCTCCCCAAAAAATCATTTGCAGAAGCTCAATCCAGCCACTCCTTGATTTATCAATGTGAACACCTGCAGTGCACAGATAACTCAAGCTTTGACCGTAGACCACTGCTATCCATGAGAAAGGCAGTGTGCCCCACAAATGCAAGCCACATGTGTAATCGTCCACGTTCTAGTTCAGCCTGTAATCATTATAAAGAAATACACAGGGAAGTATTTCACGGTCTTTATCCCATGTTCTTTATTTGACAGTTGGCGCGTCTTTCATACTCACAGCATATTTCAGTTCCAAGTAGCCACATTTCAAACATTTCAACTGCTCGGGGATAGTACCTGCTATATGCATTTAGACCTTAATGTTTATTCATATGTATCGTGTTCCTAAAATGGCAAAGACTGTAACTCTGACCTGCACACAAATATCACAGCCTAATAGGGAAGATCTAAGAAGTCTCTGTTCAATGAATGATGTTATTTTCTTTATTAGAGCTCTAAGTGTGCCTTTATTTCTTTCCTATCTTTTTTTTTTTTTTTTTTTTTTGAGACGGAGCCTCACTCTGTCATCCAGGCTGGAGTGCAGTGGTGCAATCTCGGCTCACTGGGGCCTCCGCCTCCCGGGTTCAAGCAGCTCTCCCGCCTCAGCCTCCCGAGTAGATGGGACTACAGCTGCACGCCACCACACCTGGGCTAATTTTTGTATTTTTAGTAGAGATGGGGTTTCACCATGTCAGTCTGGCTGGTCTTGAACTCCTGACCTCAGGTGATCCACCTGCCCTGGCCTCCCAAAGTGTTGGGATTATAGGCATGAGCCACTGCACCTGACCTCTTTCTTTTTGTTTGCCGTTGTGTAATGTCAGAGGAAGTGACCACACTCTGTAGATCATCAGCCACCTTAGGAACTTCTGTTGCCAAGAACCAATAAATGCCCATACCCTGTAGTGTGTAAATGCCCATACCCTGTAGTGTGAAGTTTTCTGTTGTTAGAAATAAGTGTTAGGAATCAAGTATGAAATTTGTGTGTGTACTAGGTGTATACAGATTGGTGCAGTTAATCATGCTCACGACTACTAAGGTGAACAAATGTTTCAAGTTGGGTTCCTGGGTGTGCCCTAAAATACTTCTCCTTCAGCTCTCACAGCACCTTGTGGACATGAGTGAAGGTCAGTCAGTGTGCCAAATAGATTTTGTGTGGATTATGGCATGGAAAGTGGCTGAGAAATTCTGTAGCAGGGTAACAAAATTATCTTGGTCCAGGAGTCCTGTAGTGGAGAAGATAAAAGTCAATGCTTAACTCATAGGTTAACCTCAGCATGCTTTTGATTTGGTCAAGCAATCAAAGTACTGGTGAAGAATTGAAGATTGGAAGTGACACATTTTTTGCTCAGGGAAGTAATGGAGAAAGAAAAATCTTCCTGGAGGTAGATCTTCAGTTTGGATTAGTCTGAACATGATGAAACCTGTAGAAACCTTCATTTCTCAAGACAAAGCTCAAATTCAAGGTTGTGAGGAATGCAGTCACCACTTTTGTTAGGGGCAGTTGTGACAGTGAGTGACTGCAAAAACTGAGAATGCGAAGCCTCTATTGTAAAAAGAATGTGCAAGTGCCATAGAAGTCACTGCAAGGATTGGGTGCTGGAGCAGTGCCGGACCTGCCATCGTCACCAGAGTGCAGCAGATTCACCAGAAGGAGAATCTCCACTCTTGTCGTCACTAACAGCACTTGACTTTGTCCCATTCATAAAAGATCTTGGAAGGAATTAAAGGTGCTTGGTGGTTCCTCATTCCAACAACACCTTACTTGGCCTGCCCGTGGAACATGCGTTAGTCTTTGGACAGGACAACTCGAGTCACAGACCACAAGAGAAAAGAATTTTGTGGCCATCAGAATTGTCTGCTTAAACACACCACGGGTGCACAGTGTCCTCAGCTTGGTGAAAGGGAGATGTCACACGCGAGAAGGCAGCGGAGCCAGGCATGTGATGGAGTGGGAGGTGGCACCTGGCTCTGTGAGGAGGCTGTGAAGTCCTGCATGGGAGGAGCAAGGTGGGGGAGGAGGGGGTGGGGGTGGGGCAGAAGAGGAGGCTGAGCAGTTAATAGAGGCGCTCGACCTTAGAGGAGGAGAGTCCGAGGTCTTTATTGGTAGTATTCAAATGTGGTTCATCCAGAGTTATTTTCTGTGGCTGAATGGCCTACTCTGAAATCCACAGGGAAAAAACAACTCACATTCAACCCTTGAGATGCTAAGTTTTCTTTTAAAGTAAAGGAAATGTTATAAGATTTTCTGAAACCACCAACCTTTAGCGATATTGTCAGACCTTCTCCAACATTTTCCACTGCATTTGTCAGCAATCAGAGATGACCTCCACACCGAGGCGAACCCTCCACCCCCCGACCCGTTTCCTCTTTCTCTCTTTCCCTCCTTTGCTCATCCAGAAACACTTCAGTCATCCTGCATTGTCTCCAAGTTGACCTCCCTCCTCATCCGCACCTTGTCCACACCTGAATACTCTGTCCACATCAGTGATATTCTACATGTCTTTATAATAGCTTTTTTGTTTGTTTGTTTGTTTGTTTTTTAAATTTTGATGCTTAAAAGGCAATGGTTGTCTTAGGGATAGGAAAACACACCCCACTGTCACTGTGAGTGAAGCTGAATAACGTCTCTAGGTCTTTTACCATTGCTTTCTTTTTTTTCTGAAGTGATTTTTCCTTTTATGTCCATTGCTTTAAGCCATTCGTGAAATTGCACAGTGATTTCTGGAGTGGGGACAGAAGGAAGGCGGTAGTAAAAGTCATTGGTGCTGTGGCCCAGTTGGCTGGAGGAGGTGCAGGGCAGGGCGGCCTGCGCTGGGGCAGCTGGAGGAGCACAGATGTCCCCACGGGCAGGTGGATGAGTTCTGAGAGCTGGAGGGCCGGTACAGTGTCCTCCATGGTTCCAGCTTGTGGGCTTGATCAGGCCGTCACCTGCGGTGGCCACTGAGCTGGCGATGAACTCCGTGGCCTTGGAGTCGCCCTCGGCAGAGATGATGGCCGCCGTCTTCTGCTGCTCAGCCCTTGCCACCACAGATCTGGCCCTCTCTTCTTCCTGCTGAGCCACCTCTTTGGTTCCACTGCTTCTGCAAATTCCTTCCCGAAGGTCAGATCCAAGGTCACAGCATCCAGGAGGAACCCAAAGGTTGCTGCTTGCTCCGAAGTTAATTGCTCACCTGTCTGGAGCCCAGCTCTCCCTGCGTGATCAGTTCTCCAGCGTCAGCCTGAGCCGCCCCCAGCTTGAGGAGCTCCGCAGTGATGGATGGCAGCACATTCTTCATTGGCTTCTCCAGTAATTGGAAGATGCAAGGACCTGGCCAGCAACAAGGCGGGAAGAGGACGCCCAGTGTGATGGTGACAATCTTTGCTCACAGTGATGATTGGTGCATAATGTGGTCAAGAGCAGCAGTCAAAAATAATTGGTTTCTTTTCCCATGGGATGAGAAAGTGCGTTCCTTCCCCTATCACAGTGTCCTGAATGCCATGGAATTGGTCGAAGATGACAGACAGCTCTCTGTGCAGCATCACATTGTAGAAGGCAGAGTTCCCCACACCTCCTGCAGAAGCTAAGGACAGGGCAGACTTGGCAGCTGTGTTTCCATCTGCTGGACCCACTCACGCCTGCGTCCACTCCAACCCCCCACATGAATTCCGTCCCTTTATCATTGATTTCTGATGCGAAAAGTCACTTTGATTAGTGAAGTGTTGCTTTATGTAGATTTTTAGGCACACATCTGTTAGATAAAACGAGGATTGCCTGTAGAGAAAGCAAATAAAAGCAAAGTCCCTCTTGTTGAAACTGGTGTGGGAGCCCTTGAACCTCATGCAGCTGGCCTCCCTGCTCTGACCGAGTTCCCTGAGGGACTTCTCCAAGGAGGAATGTGTGAGAAGCACTGATTTTGAGCACTCTTTCATGTGGACAAATTTCACTTTATTTACAATGTAAACTTAAATTTAAATTCTGTCTTTCTAGGCTGGGCACGGTGGCTCACGCCTGTAATCCCAACACTTTGGGAGGCCGAGGCGGGCAGATCACTTGAGGTCAGGCATTCAAGACCAGCTTGGCCAACATGGTGAAACCCTGTCTCTACTAAAAATATAAAAATTAGCCGGGCGTGGTGGCGGCTACCTGTAATCCCAGCTACTCGGGAGGCTGAGGCAGGAGAATCGCTTGAACCCAGGAGGCGGAGGTTGCTGTGAACTGAGATCACGCCACTGCACTCCAGCCTGGGCGTCATAGCAAGACTCTTTCTCTAAATAAATAAATTAATTCTGTCTTTCTGCAGTTTTTCTGATATTTGGCAAGTACTGGAAATTATTATTTTCCTTAAGACCCCAAATTTTCACACCAACATGGCACATGTATACATATGTAACAAACCTGCACGTTGTGCACATGTACCCTAGAACTTAAAGTATGATAAAAAATAAATAAATTAATTAATTTAAAAAAAAGACCCCAAATGTTTGCTTTTAACAAAACTGAATTAAGAGAATCACTGCAGGCCGGGCATGGTGGCTCACGCCTGTAATCCCAGCACTTTGGGAGGCCGAGGCGGGCAGATCACGAGGTCAGGAGATCAAGACCTTCCTGGCTAACACCGTGAAACCCCATCTCTACTAAAAATACAAAAAGAAATTAGCTGGGCATGGTGGCGGGTGCCTGTAGTCCCAGCTACTCAGGAGGCTGAGGCAGGAGAATGGCGTGAACCTGGGAGGCGAAGCTTGCAGTGAGCCGAGATCGCGCCACTGCGCTCCAGCCTGGGCGACAGAGCAAGACTCTGTCTCAAAAAAATAAAACAAAACAAACAAAAAAGAATCACTGCAAACAAGAGTACTTTCTAGCAAAATCCATTCTGATTTGCAACAGCACTGATAAATAACATGGTTATTGGGTTTCTTTTTGTTTTCCAGTCAAAGAAGATTGGAATGTCAGAATTACCAAGCTACGGAAGCAAGTGGAAGAGATTTTTAATTTGAAATTTGGTAAGTAAAAGCCAGTATTTATGTCTTTAATAACATATCAACAAAGGGCCATGTCTGAATGAAGTATAGAAGTTCGGGACCAGCCGGGTGCAGTGGCTCACGCCTGTAATCGCAGCACTTTGGGAGGCCAAGGCGGGCGGATCGGGAGGTCAGGAGATCGAGACCATCCTGGCGAACACGATGAAACCCCGTCTCTACTAAAAATACAGGAAAATTAGCCGGGCGTGGTGGCGGGCGCCTGTAGTCCCAGCTACTCGGGAGGCTGAGGCAGGGGAATGGCTTGAACCCCAGAGGCGGAGCTTGCAGTGAGCCAAAATCGCACCACTGCACTCCAGCCTGGGCGACAGAGTGAGACTCTGTCTCAAAAAAAAAAAAAAAGAAGGAAAAAAAGTTCAGGACCTAAAGAAGGAAGGTCCCAGAAACTGGGTTTCTGTTTCTTTCTACCACTACACTTGCTACTGAAACCAAGCAGATGACTTCATTTCTCTTGGATTCCACTTTCTCACGTGTCAGAATGGGAGAGGAAGGGAGGTGTTGGGATAAGTTTCAGTTCCACTGTTTGTACTTCTCGTCTGGCTAACACCCATGTGGCAAATAGGTTTCATCATTTGTTTCAGCTTAGATTTGTTGACAGCGGTTTCCTGGAGTGCTGTCTTGAGAACGATTCTGAGGAGGCTCAGCAAGAAAGAGTGTTTCAGTTGATTGGGTGTGTCTGTCATGGAGAAGGAAGTAAGGAGTGGGCAGTGCTAGCAAAATTCCCGGGGCACTTCTGTCCATTATCTCAATACCTGGGGTTGACATTTCCTGTCTCAGATCAGGAGTCCTGACTACCCTGCCTCTGACCACTCGAACTGAGTGCTGCTTAGCTGTATCGTAGACACCGCCTGTTTGTGAACAGACACCCTGCTTCTTGATAACACAAAGGCCAGCAGGGTCCACTGCTGTGTGGAATGGCCTTCGGTCATTTCTGCCCAGAGCATAGAGGTCATTTTCACTAATAACATAACTCTCCTTTTGATTGAAAGTGTTAAAATGTTCCTCCTAAAAGCACTTATTTTTTAGGCTCGTTCTTCAGATTTGCCCCATATCCTAAGCAAAATGCCTTCAATATGAAGTGGATATTGCTTGACCGTAGGGAGCTTGTCCATACTGTACTCGAGAATGTAGACACAAAGAAAGAATGTCTGTGTCAAATGTTATCCTCCGCAACTTAACGTTCTCTTGCACTTTCAGCTCAAGCTCTTGGACTCACCGAGGCAGTAAAAGTACCATATCCTGTGTTTGAATCAAACCCGGAGTTCTTGTATGTGGAAGGCTTGCCAGAGGGGATTCCCTTCCGAAGCCCTACCTGGTTTGGAATTCCACGACTTGAAAGGATCGTCCACGGGAGTAATAAAATCAAGTTCGTTGTTAAAAAGTAAGTTCTTTTTGCCACTGTAGTCGTTTCTGGAATCAAAACAATAAAATGACATTTCTGTTAAGATGTTTTTCAAGCTAGAGGTGACAGGCGTGGCTGTAAGTCCTTGATGGCAAAGCCTGGCTGTGAGCTGCAGTCCGGGTACTGTCCATTGCCCCTGCCCATACTCAATCATCTTCATCCGTGCAAGGAAAATAGTGACAATCGCCTCCGCGGAGTCACCGTGAGGCCCCGTGGTGACTCGCAGTATGCCTGAGTACTTGAATGGAAGTTTAATTTGCTGGTTTTTATCTGCTCTGTTATTCCTGGTCAATCTTGAGAGCGACTAAATATTGATGATTGAGTTTCTTTCTTTTTTTTGAGACGGACTCTTGCTCTGTCGCCCAGGCTTGAGTGCGGTGGCGCAATCTGAGCTCACTGCAACCTCCGCCTCCTGGGTTCGAGCAATTCTCGTGCCTCAGCCTCCCGAGTAGCTGGGATTACAGACTTGCACCGCCACGCCTGGCTAATTTTTGTATTTTTAGAATAGATGGAGCTTCACCGTGTTGGCTAGGCTGGTCTGGAATTCCTGACCTCAGGTGATCCACCCGCCTCAGCCTCCCAGAATGCTGGGATTACAGGCATGAGCCACCGTGCACGGCCTAATGATTGATTTTCTTATCTACATTTCTGCAGAATTTTAGTGGCTAAAGAAAGTACACTAGTGTTTTTTTTTTCTTTTTTAATGAAAATAGTCACTTATTTACTCTTCATAAAATGGCTTACCAGTCATGGGAAGGAAAAGTCAGGGTCTTTTGTCCACAACACTAGGAATTATTGTGTTACAGGATGATTCTGTGAATGCCTTTAGAAAAAAAAACCCTGATCACATCACGACCGTTTTACTAGCTGTGAGGCCACCACTGTACTGGCTACTGTAACACTTCTTGGTTTTCTTTCTAGACCTGAACTAGTTATTTCCTACTTGCCTCCTGGGATGGCTAGTAAAATAAACACTAAAGGTAAGAGACTACGTGTACTCCGTATCCTATTTGAGCGCATTAAGACACTCTTTATCCGCATTCCTTAAATCATACGGAATCGGCCAATATCTCTGTGGGGCTTGGAGTTGTTTACTTTGCTTTCTAAGGTATTTTATTTAATGGAACTATTTTTCTTTTTTTTTTTAAAAAAAACAAAACATTTCATTGGAAATGTCACATTTGCAATCCCAGTTCATTCATGTTTTCACAGCTTTGTTGAGCCCCTGTGGAGGATTACACTACAAGTTTAATTCTGCAGGTTTCTTTGAAAAGAACCAAACTGTATGAATTTTAATACTCTGCTCTTATAAAGCATCTCCTTCTGTATTTTTTTTTCCCTACAATATACAAAAGGAACTCTGCTTATTTTACAGCTTTGCAGTCCCCCAAAAGACCACGAAGTCCTGGGAGTAATTCAAAGGTTCCTGAAATTGAGGTCACCGTGGAAGGTAAGGGCCAGTCCTCGGTATGTTTCTGTTCATTCTCTAGTTTACTAATTATGTCAGTTCACTAGCTATGTGTTTATACAGGTTTATACAGATGACGTTAACCAAACTAGCTTTTAACTGTGAACAGCTGCCTGTGATAAAGCTAAATTTCTGAATGCTTCTAATTGAAAATTTTTAAATCCTTAATAGAAAACAGATAACATGGATCACATCATAAACTTCCCCCAAGAAAAGTCCTAAAATGCTTTTCCTTTATCATAACAAATAAGGGTGCAGAGTCATGTGGAATGTTTTATCTTTTTTTTCCTCTTCATTTTTTTCTATTCTTTTAAGGAAAGAAAGTTTAGGGTGGTTTAAACAGCAGTGCCTTGAATAAAAGTATTTTCTTTTTCTTTTTTGAGACAGAGTCTGGCTCTCTTGCCCAGGGTGGAGTGCAGTGGCACAATCTCGGCTCACTGCAGCCTCCGCCTCCCGGGTTCAAGTGATTCTCCTGCCTCAGCCTCCCAGGTAGCTGGGATTACAGGCGTCCACCACCAACTCCAGCTAATTTTTATATCTTTAGTAGAGATGGGGTTTTACCACGTTGGCCAGGCTGGTCTCGAACCCCTGACCTCAAGTGAGCCACCACGCCCAGCTGGTTCTTGTCTTTTCAGGCTCACAGTGTTAAAATACTGCATACAATACTAAAGACAATCTCCAACCAACTGTCAAGTATGGATATTTCTTCCATCTCTTCATAAATGCAGAAGGAAATCACTGCATTAGGATCATTCTCTACATCCCAGGTGTCAAGTTTTTAAATAAGAGTTTGCCGTACTGGTGTTGAGTGGCGCAGAAGTCCCTATTTAGTCATGTGGCACACTTTCAGAGAGCCTGCTTTCTCATAAGATAGCCAACAGGCATCCATGGACAACTTACACCTGATTAATTATTTCTGTTCAAAAATGCCAAGAATTAAAAATATATTGAACCCTTGACTTTCCTCCTTCCGGAAGAGATCAGAGGAAGATCTCTCTTATATACAAGATGCCAGCCTTTCCTAAAGGGCAGAGCCAAGTTCACGGGGCCTGGGAGGCCTGCTTTAAGAATACAAAATTAGGGCCAGGCGTGGAGGCTCACGCCTGTAATCCCAACACTTTGGGAGGCCGAGGCAGGCGGATCACCTGAGGTTGGGAGATCGAGACCAGCCTGACCAACATGGAGAAACCCCATCTCTACTGAAAATACAAAATTATCTGGGCCTGGTGGCGCATGCCTGTAATCCCAGCTACTCAGGAGGCTGAGGCAAGACAATCGCTTGAAACCAGGAGGCAGAGGTTGTGGTGAGCCGAGATTGTGCCATTGCACTCCAGCCTGGGCAACAAGAGCGAAACTTTGTCTCAAAAAAAAAAAAAAAAAAGAAGAAGAAGAAGAGAAGAAAAATGGGTTTCTGTAGAAATAGAAAAATGGTTTCTGTGGAACTCGCCGGAATGACAAGAATACCCATTTCAATTTGAACCTAGCTTTGTTTTCTGGCACAGGCTGGACTTGAAGATTGTAACCTAGAGACACTTACGTCATTAAATGTGTGTTGATTATCATTATTTTTTCTGTCTTTTAGGCCCTAATAACAACAATCCTCAAACCTCAGCTGTTCGAACCCCGACCCAGACTAACGGTTCTAACGTTCCCTTCAAGCCACGAGGGAGAGAGTTTTCCTTTGGTAAGTAAGCGTTTTATTTTTCTTTCTTTCATAGTTTTAAATAGAATACGTTCATTATGTTTCATTTTACCAGGTGAATTGTTCCTATTGGTGAGTCAGTATATATCAAAGGTTAAAGGAATAGCCCGTAGAGCCAGGCTGCCTGAGTTCAGATCTGAGTTCAAATCCGATGCCACTTGGGCAGGCGAATACACCCTGCCTCAGTTTCCCTTTGTGCAAAATGGTAATAACATTACTTTCTTTCTCATGAGGTTATGGTGAGGATTATAAATACTGTCATTTAAAGTACTTAGAACCATACCTCGCATGTAGTAGAGACTATAATTTGTGGGGGCATTTTGGGGGTTTTCATTTGTTTTTTCTTTATTTTAGCATTTGTTCACTTATTTGTAGTCAACATAAAAACAATGTACTAAAACAGTTTGCTTATGTATCAGGATGGGAGTAGTTGTCAAGTCATATCATGGTAAAAGATTATGCATTTTTTATTTCTTCTTAAAGATGCACAAATAAGGCCAGGCGCAGTGGCTCACGCCTGTAATCCCAACACTTTGGGAGGCCGAGGTGGGCGGATCACCTGAGGTTGGGAGTTCGAGACCAGCCTGACCAACATGGAGAAACCCCGTGTCTACCAAAAATACAAAATTAGCCAGGCATGGTGGCGCATGCCTGTAATCCCAGCTACTCAGGAGGCTGAGGCAGGAGAACTGCTTGAACTCAGGAGGTGGAGGTTGCAGTGAGCAGAGATCGCACCATTGCACTCCAGCCTGGGTAACAAGAGCGAAACTCTGTCTCAACAAAAAAAAAATAAGATGCACAAATAAGATGAAACACTCCTGCCTGTGAATGTGTATTGATAAGTACTGTGATAAGTATTGCAATTTAACTCTCTTATGTTTTATATGCAGAGGCCTGGAATGCCAAAATCACGGACCTAAAACAGAAAGTTGAAAATCTCTTCAATGAGAAATGTGGTAAGTCTATTTTGAAACCTTCTTACTGCCACGCAGGGTGCCTTCATGGGAGTAGGAGGGAGCAGAGTGGGATACTGAGCGTTGGAGTATCCCTGTCATTGGCAACGTGTGGGTTTTTCGGGATTGAATGGCGTCATTTCGCCCATGTTCTGTTTCGTGTACGCGGCTGTTTTGCAGGGGAAGCTCTTGGCCTTAAACAAGCTGTGAAGGTGCCGTTCGCGTTATTTGAGTCTTTCCCGGAAGACTTTTATGTGGAAGGCTTACCTGAGGGTGTGCCATTCCGAAGACCATCGACTTTTGGCATTCCGAGGCTGGAGAAGATACTCAGAAACAAAGCCAAAATTAAGTTCATCATTAAAAAGTAAGGAAACTGGATGAAGTGGGATTAGCATGAGTTGATTGTGTTTGACACTGGGAGATGGGTATGTGGGTTTGTGTTTGTGGCAGGGCTGAATTAGCTCTGGAGTCAGAAAAACTGCTTTTTAAGCTGCACTCTTGTATATGTTTAAAACTTCTGGCCAGGTGCGATGGCTCACACCTGTAATCCCAGCACTTTGGGAGGCCAAAGCAGGTGGATTACCTGAGGTCAGAAGTTCAGGACCAACCTGGCCAACATGATGAAACCCATCTCTACTAAAAGTACAAAAATTAGCTGGGCGTGGTGGCACGTGCCTGTAATCCCAGCTACTTGGGAGACTGAGGCAGGAGAATCACTTGAACCCAGCAGGCAGAGGTTGCAATGAGCCAAGATCGTGCCACTGCACTCCAGCCTGGGCAGCAAGAGCAAAACTCCATCTCAAAAACAAAAAAAAAAAAAAAAGAAGAAGAAATTTTCCTTATGCTGCTGGTAGAAGGGAAGGAGGACTCCACCATACTAGAGAGATAACGACTTTTAGTTGCTAAATCTACACAGCTATGTTGTTACTATTTGATGCTGCTGGAATCTGAGCAGCTGTTTAGTTTTTCAAGTCCTTTTATTTCTCCAACTTAATAGAATATTTTCAATTTCTCCTGTTTGCTTGAACATCTGTGGATTAGGCTAACATAATTGAAATAGATAGGAATGGGCCGGGTGCGGCCATAAATCCCAGCACTGTGGGAGGCTAAGGCAGGCAGATCACTTGAGGTCAGGAGTTCGAGACCAGCCTGGCCAACATGGTGAAGCCCCATCTCTACTTAAAATACAAAAAAAAAAAAAAAAAAATAGCCAGGGGTGGTAGCTGGCACCTATAATCTCAGCTACTCAGGGAGGCTGAGACAGGAGAATCACTTGAACCCAGGAGGCGGAGGAGATCGTGCCATTGCACTCCAGCCTGGATGACAGAGTAAGACTCTGTCTCAAAAAAAATTAAAAAAAGAAATAAGAATAATTGGAATTTTATAGTACATGCTAATGCACATGAATTATTTGAAATCAATTGAAATGAATTTTAGGTTTCATTTGCTTGGTGTCAGGCTTAATTTTGAGTCACCCAGGGATGCTCTCAAGCAAAGCTGGCCACTTTTTTTTTTTTTTTTTTTTTTTGAGACAGAATCTCGCTCTGTACCCAAGACTGGAGTGCAGTGGTGTGTGATATCGGCTTACTGCAAATTCCGCCTCCTGGGTTCAAGCGATTCTCCTGCCTCAGCCTCCAAAGTAGCTGGGATTACAGGCATGTGCCACCATGCCCAGCTAATTTTTGTATTTTTAGTAGAGAAGGGGTTTCACCATGTTGGTCAGGCTAGTCTCAAACCCCTGACCTCATGATCCGCCTGCCTCGGCCTCCCAAAGTGCTGGGATTACAGGCGTGAGCCACCGCGCCCGGCCAATGGCCACCTTTTATGCTTTTGGCCAGGTCTGCAGAGGTTTGGCAGCCTCTAAGCCCTCTGCTTCTGCTTCCGGAGTGAGAGCCTCAAGTGCTCCTGTTTTCACAGCCCATCTTGTGTTTCCATGCTGCGTTTGTGGGGCGTTTTCTCTTTCCATCCTCAATTCTGGCGCTGATTCTTTTCAGGATACATTCTAACCTTGGAAAGAAGATGCCAATAAAACCAGTGTAGGGGAAGGGCAGCCAATGAGAGGCAGCAATGGATGTTAAATTTACAATTGTGGTTTGTCTTTTTGGCTGTGGTTCTTTAGATAAGCATGTGATTTCTGTTCTTCATGACTAAGAATTGAATTTAGACTTTACAGAGTTACTGGTTTGTAAATCTTTGAGTTGTTTAAATTTTAATGTTAGAGTTTTACTGTTTGATCAGCACATTTTTTTTCTCTTTTGTCTATAGGCCCGAAATGTTTGAGACGGCGATTAAGGAGAGCACCTCCTCTAAGAGCCCTCCCAGTGAGTGTATTTTCTGTATTTTCATTGCTATAGAACACACGCTCTTAGGCATGCATTGTGCAGCTGTGGTTTACAAACATTGTTTAAAGAATAGCCATTGAGGCCAGGCATGGTGGTTCACGCCTGTAATCCCAGCACTTTGGGAGGCTGAGGTGGGTGGATCACCTGAGGTCAGGAGTTTGAGACCAGCCTGGCCAACACGGCAAAACCCTGTCTCTACTAAAAATATAAAAAATTAGCCAGGCGTGGTGGCAGGCGCCTATAATCCCAGCTACTCAGGAGGCTGAGACAGCAGAATCACTTGAACCCGGGAGGCGGAAGTTGCAGTGAGCCGAGATCGCACCACTGCACTCCAGCCTGGACAACAGAGCAAGACTCATCTCAAAAAGAAAAAAGAAAACCCATTCAAAGTTGTAGTTCAGGCTATTTCACAATTTTTAGTTATTTAATAATTGGGTGGCTCTGTGAGTGTGTGATGATCTCCTAAGTACCCCCAGGAAGAGAAAAACAGTGAAAGGCAGCCCTTCAGGGGGCATCATGTCTTCTTGAAATGATCTACCATGGAAAGAAAGAACCTTGAACAGGACTGAGATAAAACAGTCTCAGACAGCATGATTATTAGAGATGTTGACCGTGTTTTCTACAAATTCTGATTTTAAATGTATATTTTCAGGAAAAATAAATTCATCACCCAATGTTAATACTACTGCATCAGGTGTTGAAGACCTTAACATCATTCAGGTGACAATTCCAGGTATGATTTCTCTGCTTCCATCAGAGTTTTTGGGGGTCTCTTCAGGGCCTCTTGGACTTTCCCAACTAGAGAGGTTTGCTCAGCTCATCCGGGGACTCGGATACATTACACGTTGCCTGGTGCTCCTCCCAGACTCCTACAGCAGTTGCCTTCCAAATACAGTTGCTCTCCAAACAGCAACGGCAAGTTTTGGCACTTGGCATGAGCTAAATCCTGTTAACCACCCAAATGTCTAGTCTGTTCCTTAAAAAAAGTCTATATGAGACCGGGCACGGTGGCTCACGCCTGTAATCCCAGCACTTTGGGAGGCTGAGGCAGGAGGATCGCTTGAGGTCAGGAATTCAAAACCAGCCTAGCCAACGTGGTGAAACCCTGACTCTACTAAACATACAAGAAAAATTAGCCAGGCCTGGTTGTGTGTGGCTGTAATCCCAGCTACTTGGGAGGCTGAGGCAGGAGAAGTGCTTGAACCCGGGAGGTGGAGGTCGCAGTGAGCCGAGATGGGGCCAGTGCACTCCAGCCTTGGTGACAGAGCCATACTCCATCTGGGAAAAAAAAAAAATCTATATAAAACAGCAGGTAAAGGTCTTTATAACAAGAATAAATTTGTAGCATTTTTAGTTAGGCATTATTTTAAACAATTTCAAATTTAATTAGCTCAAAGTGCTCAAATACTTAAATCATTAAAAAATGGAAAATGCTTGAAAACATTACACAGAGCTCCTAAAAATTGGGATTAAAAGTGCATCATTGAGCAGCGGCTTGTACCTGTAGTCTCGGCTACTTGGGAGGCTTAGGCAGGAGGATCGCTTGAGCCCAAGAGTTCAAGGCCAGTCTGGGCAACATCGTGAGATACCATCTCTTTACCATAAAAAAAAAAAAAGTAGTATTTAAGTTTTGGGTTTTCTCTGAACTGTTTCAGATGATGATAATGAAAGACTCTCGAAAGTTGAAAAAGCTAGACAGCTAAGAGAACAAGTGAATGACCTCTTTAGTCGGAAATTTGGTAAGTTTTGCATTTGCAAAGTACAGTTGCTATAAGCAAAGAGATTTGTTTTAATAAGATCTTTTCAGCAGATGATGGTTAGATGGTTGTAATCCTATATAAAAGGAGTTAAAATTTAAAAGTGAGTTGTTTGTGCTAAATTTATTTAATAAGATACCATTAGTGTTACACTATTGATTGTCAGTATGAAAGTTAATGAATTTAAGGTTCACCATCTGGCAGTGTGGCTCACACTTGTAATCCCAGCATTTTGGGAGCCCGAGGCAGGTGGATCAGTTGAGGCCAGGAGTTCGAGACCAGCCTGGCCAACATAGTGAAACCCTGTCTCTACTAAAAAATTCAAAAAATTAGCCGGGTATGGTGGTGCACACCTGTAATCCCAGCTACTCAGGAGGCTGTGGCACGAGAATTGCTTGAACCTGGGAGGCAGAGATTGCAGTGAGCTGAGATCAAGCCACCACACTCCAACCTGGGTGACAGAGCAAGACTCTGTCTCAAAAAAAAAAAAAAATTTAAGGTTCATATTTAAATTTGTTTGAAGTGTACAAAGACCTTAGTTAACAGCAGAGACAGTCTTTAAAATAAATGTTGATCTTGTGCTTTTGACAGGCTGTTTAAGGCGGTGGGTTAATCTGTGCTGTTGTGCTGTTTGTCTCACTGTCCCTGTAGGTGAAGCTATTGGTATGGGTTTTCCTGTGAAAGTTCCCTACAGGAAAATCACAATTAACCCTGGCTGTGTGGTGGTTGATGGCATGCCCCCGGGGGTGTCCTTCAAAGCCCCCAGCTACCTGGAAATCAGCTCCATGAGAAGGATCTTAGACTCTGCCGAGTTTATCAAATTCACGGTCATTAGGTAAGTGAGAGTTTCCTGCTTAGTCACAGGAGCGAATCTGGAGCTCATGAGGCTGACTCTTCTAAAATGCAGCCACAGGTAGTCATCGAATCCGGCTTCCTATGCTGTGCAATCAACAAATCAAAATAACTTGTGTCATCATTAGAATGTCAGATGTGCTTCTACGAACTAAGCTGACTCTTTTAATTCTTTGGCAAAGGGTTGGCAAACTAGGACTGTTTGCCAAATTCAGGCTGCCTCCTATTTTTAGAGTCTTCCTGAAACACAGCTACACCCGTATTATCCATGGCTGCTTTCCTGTCACAGTGAGTAAGTAGCTGGGACTGAGAAGGCATGGCCTCCAAAGTCTAAAATATTTACTCTCTAGCACTTTGTAGAAAAACCTTAGCTAGGCACAGTGGCTAACGCCTGTAATCCCAGCATTTTGGGAGGCCAAGGCAGGCAGATCACCTGAGGTCAGGAGTTCCAGACCAGCCTGGCCAACATGGTGAAATCCCATCTCTACAAAAATAAAACAGTTAGCTGGGCATGATGGCGGGTGCCTGTAATCCCAGCTACTCGGGAGGCTGAGGCAGGATAGTCGCTTGAACCCAGGAGGTGGAGGTTGCAATGAGCCAAGATCATGCCACTGCACTCCAGCCTGGACGACAGAGTGAGACTCCATCACAAGAAAAAAAGAACTTTGTCAACCTCTGTCTTAGGGCGCCTTGTCACAGGCTTCGGGTCAGACGGATTCAACCTCGCATCAGCCATTTGTTAGCCAGGTCACTCTGTTCTTTGTCTGTAAATGAGATTGATCGTTGTTCCCACTGAGAGTGTCAGCTCCTTCCCATAGAGCAGGCATGATGATTGTACTCACCTCTGACACCATTGTGAGTGCCACATTCCTTCCCACGTCCTTGTCACCGTAAGAGATGCCCACCTGAGCACCAACCCCAGGTTATCTTCCCCTTTGTCTTCCAGCCCCCCAGAAACAGCTACGACTCAACCTACCCAATCATTTCATCATCAGATTGCCACTGTCTCTAGTTCAGGTCTCTTGGGACTGGCACTCAGAAATCTCATAATAAATCCTCTTGAGGCTTCTCATACACTCGTCTTCTTCCAATCTTCTTTCCCTCAAAATCTCATATTTTGGTTCCACTTCACCCACGGTCATTCTCCATATCACTCCCAGGAGTTAGGCAAAAAGCCCCTTCCGTTCTTCCGTATGTTAAACTTAGAATCACTCTGTTCCCTGCTCTGCGTTTCTATTTTTTGTTTTTCCTCCATTTACTAGTAGCTTAACACTTTCTAACAGTGTTCTTATTATTGATACGTATCTATCTCTTCCATAAGCTTATAAGGTCATGGATAATACTTCTCATTGTAGTACGTAAATGACGTGGGCTAGATATGAGTTGAATAAACAGTTATACCTGTAAATTCTTACAGAGTGAAAATAAATTGTTATACTTTACAATTTGTTTCTCTCTTTAGACCATTTCCAGGACTTGTGATTAATAACCGTGAGTATTTTGTGAAGTGTTTTGTTTTTGTTTTTTCCTGGGGTCTGACGTGTGTGCGTGTGAGTGTGTATACATGCTTAACGTATATCACGTTACTTCACCTATGTCAGTAACCAGGCCAAATACTTGTTTTAGCCCTCAGTAAAAACACCAGGCACTTCCTAGTTGTAAAATTATTCAAGCTTCTTAACTTCCTATCCTCGATGCACTTAATCATAAAATGGTAATAATAGCACCGATTTTGGGGGAGTCGTTCCAGTAGATGGAAAGCATCTGGAACAGGTGTCAGCAAGCTCCTGCCGACGTGTATGCATAAAGTTTTATTGAAACCACCATCGTGTCCATTTGTTTATGGCAGAACTGAGAGATGGCAGCAGCAAGTGTGTGCCTGCAAAACCTAAAATATTTACTAATTGGCTCTGCAAGAAAAGAGTTTGCATCCCCCTAACCTAGAACAGTGTCTAGCCTCTAGTATGTGTTTAGCCTACAGTATGTGCTCAGCGAATACAATCTATATTTATTACTGCTTTTATGACTGTTATAATTACTGTGCTTGGATTTCGTTACAAAGTAAGTCACAATGTGCCTGCTTCTGTTAGTATTTCAGCACAGTGCCTGGCACACATGGGGCTCTCAAATATTGCTGAGCGAGTGAACAAATGTCCTTTCAATTCCTTAACGTTGATGTCATTTTCAATAGTATTTTGAGCCAAACTTAATTTTGCGAGTGTGTTTTGTTTTCTTAACTTTATTATTAAAAATGTATAAAAGTGAGGCCAGGCGTGGTGGCTCACGCCTGTAATCCCAGCAGTTTGGGAGGCTGAGGCAGGCGGATCAGTTGAGGTTGGGAGTTGGAGACCAGCCCGTCCAACATGGTGAAAGCCTGTCTCTACTAAAAATACAAAAATCAGCTGGGTGTGGTGGCGCGTGCCTGTAATCCCAGCTACTCAGGAGGCTGAGGCAGGAGAGTTGCTTGAATCCTAGAGGTGGAGGTTGCAGTGAGCTGAGATCGTGCCATTGCACTCCAGCCTGGGCAACAAGAGCAAAACTCTGTCCCAATAAATAAATAAATAAAATGTTCTCTTTTGTTCCTGTTCTTGTGCGGTAGTGTGGTATAGAGTTTTATGGTAATTACTGTGAATTAGTGATTCTGAGGGACATATCAGAACTCTGAGGTTTGTTTCCTTCTCATCTTGAGGGAAACAGCAAATGTATGTTAAAATGCTTTTCCAAGGGAACAACACATCCTTACATTATTTAAACCAATCTGCTTCATTTTCAGAGCTGGTTGATCAGAGTGAGTCAAAAGGCCCCGTGATACAAGGTGAGCGAGGCAGGGGAGGGCCCGGAGCTACTCCTGCCTGCACAGTGGCACACATGGCGTGCCTGCGTGTGGCTTTGGCTCTCAGTCACCTGCCCTGAGGGGACTCAGTTACACAGCACACACATGCTTCTCTGTGGTTTTCACTCCTGGGTTTGACAGCTGATCAAAACATAAATTCAAGCTGTGGGTCCTGATTGAGAACTGGGGGCTGCAGACCATTTGCACCCCCTATCCCAGCTCAGGCCTAACATCAGGAACCCCAGGATTAATGGGTAGGATGAAATGGCAGAGCAAGAGGGCCGTCACTTTAACCTGACTCTGCCATCCATTTCTAATGTCTGCCATAAGTCAGTGAGCAAAATGTTCTTCAGTAGAAATGTACAGATTGTGCTCTTAAAAAATTCCTTAAAAAACAAGTGGAATGGCCTGGTGCTGTGTGAGTCATTGAAAGTAATGAGACTGGGCGCGGTGGCTCACGCCTGTTATCCCAGCACTTTGGAAGGCTGAGAAGGGTAGATCACTTGAGATCAGGAGTTCGAGACCAGCCTGGCCAACATGGTGCAACCCCGTCTCTACTAAGAATACAAAAACTAGCCAGACGTGGTGGCGTGTGCCGGCTACTCAGGAGGCTGAGGCAGGAGAACCGCTTGAGCCTGGGAGGCGGAGGTCGCAGTGAGCCAAGATCGTGCCACTGCACTCCAGCCTGGGCAACAGAAAGGAGATTCTGTCTCAAAAAAACAAACATACGAAGAAAAACAAAAAAAGTAATGAAAAGCTTTTATTAAAGGGAGTAAACAGAAGGATAAGGGAGAAAGCATAACTAAGGAGCTTGTTTTCATGGTAGAGCTATGTTAAGACTCTGCTCTTTCAAACTTCAGTTGTATATGTGAACTTAGGACCACATTTGAAAAACAGAAATTTGAAAGTACACTTGGATAATCGTGTGCTCCATCTCAAGACCGTGAGCATTGTTTCATCATGCACCTGTGTTTGTACAGAGTCTAGAGGGCTTTTCTCCTCTTCCTCCTCCTGGGTTCTTTACATAGTATAAAGCAGCTGTTGAACAATGTGGAAATCAGTCTCTGTGTTTCTCTTTAGAATCAGCTGAACCAAGCCAGTTGGAAGTTCCAGCCACAGAAGGTAAAAGGGTGGGGTGGTCCTGCAAGTCCTTAAGACTTCTTCTTTCTTCTTCTTCTTTTTTTTTTTTTTAAAGACAGAGACTTGCTCTGTCACCCAGGGTGGAGTGAGGTTGCGCGATCTCTGCAACCTCCGCCTCCCGGGCTCAAGCAGTTCTCCTGCCTCAGCCTCCCGAGTAGCTGGGATTACAGGCCTGCACCACCATGCTTGGCTAATTTTTGTATTTTTAGTAGAAACGGGGTTTCACCATGTTGGCCAGGCTAGTCTCAGACTTCTGACCTCAAGTGATCTGCCAGCCTTGGCCTCCAAAGTGCTCGGATTACAGGCGCGAGCCACCTTGCCCAGCCAAGACTTTTTTATCAGGACAAAGGATTGTGCATTTAAACTATTTCACTAGAACTGGGTGGTGGTTTTGCTCTCTTTCTTCTGGGTGAATTGGATTTGCAGGTTATGCTGTTGAGTGATGACGCATAGCTGCTTTTGCTCCATTTTCCCCAGATGACTTGGTAAATTCTCCGTGAATGACTCTGCTACATAACCTAGATAACCTAAGTGTGTCCTTTAAATGCATGTAAGCCAGAAGATGTATGTTACTTTGAAAACATAAGTAACAAAATTTTGAATGTATTGCTAAAGAGATGTCTCTCTGAAGCTCTTTTGATGTTTGGTGTCTTGTCCTTCTTATTAAACCATATCTTAGTAAATAGTTTGGTACGAATGGATTTATCACTGAGCAGGTCTGCAAAATAATTAATCGGTACCGTTTTGTTTCTGTTGATAGAAATAAAAGAGACTGATGGAAGCTCTCAGATCAAGCAAGAACCAGACCCCACGTGGTAGACCTCTTCCCTCCTAGGGTAAATCAGCTTCTGTGTCAGGGATGCTGTGTGGCGTCCATCTGAACCCCCTGCATACGCGTAGCTAATGTGATCTCCCCACTTTCACATAAGATGGTGGCCCTGCCTTCAGGGAATGTGGGAGCCAGGTGGGAGCCTTCCCGGATATTTAAGCTAGAAGATTCTACAGGGAGATTCTCCTTGGATCAATATATGTCTCTCAGTCAAAGATGTAAAAGCACTTTTGCCTTAAAAAGAATGTTCTGTTTCTAAATAGAGTCAACGTTGTCCTCCTCATTGGAATTCACTATGAGTCAGAATCATTAGACTGACTTTTTTTTTTCCATAGTAATAGTATTTTGCAGAGTCTCACAGAGCTGCAGATCTTTTGTTCATCTTGCAGAGTTAACAAGTCTGATCCTGTTAGTCCAGATTTCTTAAATTTGGCCAAGTTATAATAGGAGCAGTAGCTTGAGACCCGAAGTCAGGAAACTTTGACAATGGATTTTTTTTTTTTAATCCAGAGACTTGTACTGGAATTTGCCTTACCCTGTCAGCTCATGGACTTAAGGTTTCATCCCGCTTTATGAGTGCTTCTGAATCCAAGTCATTGTTACCTGAATTTGCAAATTAAGTTGTGATATTCGTGACTGTTAAATTCCTGTAATTAGATTAACCTCTTTGCTTGCTTGTTTGTTTTCTCTCCTATTTTAGCTTAAAGTATCAGTGGTTGAGAAGAGCTTTTCGGACCTGTTACTACCCCAAGCTGTGTAATATACTTGTATAACAGAAATACCTTCTATACAAACCTTTTTTTCTACTTTTAGATAGAAATGTCTACTTTTTCAGCAGTTCTGTGAATTAAAGAGCAGAGTGACTGTGGGTCTGGAATGGCTGGTGTACTTGGGAATGTACTATCAGGATTTTACAGCAATGCTGGGAAATGACAGGGAAAATGACAGGAATGAATCTCACCAGATTTTTTATGTACTCAGCAGAGCCTTGAGTTACGGTGTTTATTTTCCAATCAAGTGAAGATATCTCCTACTTCTCCTACTGGAACATCTCAGCTTCTGCAGTGAAGAAAAATTCCTGTGATAGTTCAGTTCTTTAGTTTTTCTATTTGAAAAAAAAAAATCATTTAAATGATCCTTTGTTCACGGCTCTCCTTAATGACTGAGTGAACAGTTCCTATCTGTATATTTGACTAAACCTTTTCCTAAGCTATCTCTCATGGTTCCTATGTTTTTTTATCATAATTAAAAGCAAAACCATCTGGATCACCTAACAGTCAGAGGTCAGTATCTCAGCGTGTGAATTATAGAGGAAATACAGAGAGAACCTCTTCCACTTTTACTTTTCGTCCAAATAAAATGCATGGTGTACCAGAAGTTGAAGATCGGGTTGAGGATTGGGGCTAGCTCGATGACACTAAGGCCCCAACATCGCGGGACCTGCTGTGGCGCGGATTCTTAGGAACGCTGTTCTAGCCGGCCCCCTCTCCAGGGGTCGCCGTGGCCGGCATTATTTCCTAGTTCTTCTTGTAACCCTGAGGTGCCAGCGCGGGGAGTGAGGAGGGGTCAGGGGGCTAAGGATGCAACCTCTGACGTTCTGCGCCTTCCTAGGAGAGTCTTACATGTGTTGAGATTTCACAAGCAATGCGAGTTGTAAAATACCAGCTCTACAAGAAGCTAGGCTCTGTGACGGCATAGTTTTCAGTAGCTTTATCACAATATTCACAATGGAGAATTATATGACATGGTAGCAGAAATAGGCCCTTTTATGTGTTGCTTCTATTTTACCTCAAATTGTAGATATAGGGTAATCAATAAAATCCATCCATGCCTTTCACACACTAAGTCATTGCTCTCTCGGCTGTTTTCATGGTCCTGTCTGGGGAAGCTTGGGGGTGGCTCGGCGTAGGTGGGACGCAGACCAAGGCCGAGGCTGGCGCTGGGCAGAGCCCGCCGGGCCTCCCGGGGACAGCGCCACTTGCGGTGTTTCTCAGACCGCTGCTGCCCATCTCCTCTGAGCGGGCCAGGGCCCCCACCCTTCCATCTGGGCCATGCCAGCTGTGTATGGAGAGCCGCTCACATACGACATTGGGTGCCAAAAGCCCCTGCCATCGAGAGCTCATGCAGCAGTCCCTCCTGCCTGAGCCCACACACTGACTCTGAGGCTCTTCTGTTCTCAGCGTGGTCCCTGCCTCTGCCGTGCCCTATCCGCGTGTGCCAGAAAGGGAAACTGATCTCACGATTCACCTGCCTGCTAACCTGGGAGGAGACTGCTTCTCTGATAGCATCTCACAGTTCTTTTAACATGTTCTTAAAATGTGTCCTGCCGCGCCACCCTCAGCCACACCTCCCAGCACCCATCCTGGAGAATCAGGGCCATGGCAAGGCTGCCGTTGGCAAAAGCCCAGCTCTGCCATGAATCTCCGTTCAGTTACTGGTTTCACACTCATTTGTGAGGTCACAGACTTGCCAAGGATATTCATGATTCAATCCATTACAACAATTCTGTGTGTACATAACACATTTTTTCCTTTCTTTTTTTTTTTTTTTTCCTGAGACAGTCTTGCTCTGTTGCCCAGGCTAGAGCACAGTGGTGCAGTCTCAGCTCACTGCATCCTCCACCTCACAGGTTCAAGCAATTCTCCTGCCTCAGCCTCCCGAGTAGCTGGGATTGCAGGCACCCACCAACACACCTGACTAATTTTTGTATTTTTAGTAGAGACGGGGTTTCAGCATGTTGGCCAGGCTGGTCTCAAAATCCTGGCCTCAGGTATATACACATATTTTTACACACACACACACACACACACACACACACACACATAAAGGATTTAAGCCAGGTGCTGTGGTGTACAACTGTAGTCCCAGCTACTAGGGAGGCTGAGGTGGGAGGATCACTTGAGCCACTGCAGTGATTACACCACTGCACTCCAGACTGGGTGACAGTGAGACCCTGTCTCTTAAAAGAAAAAAGAAGAGGCCTTAGCTGCCTGCATTAATTAATGAACAGGCAGTGTATTTCTGTTCTTTTTTTTTTTTTTTTGAAGACGGAGTCTCACTCTGTTGCCCAGGCTGGAGTGCAGTGGTGCAATCTTGGCTCACTGTAACCTCCGCCTCCTGAGTTCGAGATTCTCCTGTCTCAGCCACCCCAGTAACTGTGATTATGGCCACCTGCCACCATGCCCGGCTAATTTTTGTATTTTTAGTAGAGACGGGGTTTCCCCATGTCGGCCAAGCTGGTCTCGAACTCCCAACCTCAAGTGATCCACCTGCCTCGGCCTCCCAAAGTGCTGGGATGACAGGTGTGAGCCACCAAACCCAGCCTCAGGCAGTGCATTTCTAAAAGGCAGATAGTGTGATTGTTCAGAGGGTGAAGGGGAAGTTAAACTTGTCCAGTAAAATCTTCGTTAGCCCGGTATTCTGGATTGAAAAAGCAAAATATAGTTCAAGTAGGTCTCTTCAGTGTATCTAATAAGCTCTTGTTTCTGAAACAACTGATTCCTTGGCCGGGCGCGGTGGCTCACGCCTGTAATTCCAGCACTTTGGGAGGCCAAGGAGGGCAGATCACTTGAGGTCGGGAGCTCAAGACCAGCCTGGTCAACATGGTGAAACCTCGTCTCTAGTGAAAATACAAAAATTAGCCGACTGTGGTAGTGCACACCTGTAATCCCAGCTACTCGGGAGGCTGAGGTAGGAGAGAATTGCTTGAACCTGGGAGGCGGAGGCTGCAGTGAGCCAAGATCACACCACTGCACTACAGCCTGCGTGACAGAGTGAAACTCTGTCTCAAAAAAACAAAAACCTCCTGATTTTTTTTTTTTTTTTTTTTTTTGAGATGGAGTCTGGCTCTGTCGCCCAGGCTGGAGCGCAATGGTGCGATCTCGGCTCACTGCAACCTCTGCCTTCTGGATTCAAACGATTCTCCTGCCTCAGCCTCCAGAGTATCTGGAACTACAGGTGCCTGCCACCACGCCCAGCTAATTTTTTGTATTTTTAGTAGAGATGGGGTTTCACCATGTTAGCCTGGATGGTCTCGATCTCCTGACCTCGTGATTTGCCCACCTCGGCCTCCGAAAGTGTTGGGATTACAGGCATGAGCCGCCACACCCGGCCGCCTCCTGATTTCATAATAATTCAAGGGACAAACATAATTACTTCCCAGGTAAGGCAGTAGAGTGACTAAGAACAAATCCACTTCTGGACAGCCATTATATAGGGGACATTTTTATCAGAAAAACAGTAAAAGCAAGGAAATGTCTCCCTCCCAGGACTGTATGAATTAAACCCTGCCTGCTGATTGCCAAGTGACAACTCCCATTCCAAGCCCCTGGTCCTCAGTGGGGAGGAAACCAAAGCTTTGTCCCTGGAGGGAGGTCCTGCGGGAATGGCCAGGGACGCATCCGCTCTCAAATGCTAGAGCTGGCAGTTGTCATCTGCTCGTGAGAAGGTTTCGCCTTTGCCTGTCCCCACCCCCGTCCCTCCCAGGCCATCAGCGCACATCAGAGTTAGCACATTACATGATGCCTTAATCTTCTAATTGGTTTAAGTCAGCTGACATGTAAAGTGAGGTCTGGGAGACTGTTCTGGAACTGTATAGATGAGGACGTTGTTGCCCCAGTCTTATTCAGAAGCTTGAGGATGCAACTTGGACCTGGGTCTGTGGTCCCCTAGGACCTGAAACTCATATAGAGCCAGCCGCCAGTTCCATTTTGAAGTAGGTTGGTCTCTCTCTCTATTTTTTGAGACAGAGTTTCGCTCTTGTTGCCCAGGCTGGAGTGCAATGGCACGATCTCAGCTCACCGCAACCTCCACCTCCCAGTTCAAGCGATTCTCCTGCTTCAGCCTCCCGAGTAGCTGGGATTACAGGCATGTGCCACCACACCTGGCTAGTTTTGTATTTTTAGTAGAGATGGGGTTTCTCCATGTTGGTCAGGCTGGTCTGGAACTCCTGACCTCAAGCAATCCGCCCGCCCCAGCCTCCCAAAGTGCTGGGATAACAGGCATGAGCCCCTGTGCCTGGCTGTAGTTTGGTTTTTCTGAGCCTCCTCCTGGTTCCCATTTCTGTTTTTTTGTTTTTGTTTTTGTTTTTTCTCCAAAGACCAAAAGTTCCACCAGAGAGGAAGATCGAGGGACCAGGCCTTTCTAGTTTCCACATTACACTCTAAGTGCTGGTCTTAGTAAATTCAAGGCACCTGGTGGGCTTGACCATTCGGGGGCAGATAATTGTTACACACCAAAGGGGCATCTTTTGGAAAGTCACTGCCCAGTAACCACTTCCATCTTCTGGAAGGTCGCTGCTCATCTTCCTAAATGGAAGCCCCAGTTTCTGGACTTGGATGTGTTTTGAGGATCTGATGTTCTCCCAAAGTGCCTCAGTTTCCCTATGATGGGGAAAGAGGAAGGGGACGGATTTTAGGAATGGAGGTGACCTGGAGGCCGCTGTCCCTGTCCTTAGACCTGCGAGTCCAGGGGGATGACCGCAAACAGGGCTGTGGGGCCTTTCTTTACTCTCAAAAGCATCACTTCCCCTGCCTGGAGTTCAGATCCTGCCTGGATCCACGGTGGGAAGGGAGCCCTGGCTCTCTGTACTTCACCCACGGCTGCCCACTCACCTGGCTCACAGGGCAGACTGGATGCAGCTTTCAGCCAGTTGTAGAAATCACAGGTCCCTGGCCGGGAACGGTGACTCAGGCCTGTAATCCCAGCACTTTGGGAGGCCGAGGCGGGCGGATCATGAGGTCAGGAGATCG
Organism: Homo sapiens; assembly: GCF_000001405.40. Classification (NCBI taxonomy): domain Eukaryota; kingdom Metazoa; phylum Chordata; class Mammalia; order Primates; family Hominidae; genus Homo; species Homo sapiens. The sequence goes on from NC_000007.14 coordinate 73,211,202, forward strand.
AGACCATCCTGGCTAGCACGGTGAAACCCCGTCTCTACTAAAAATACAAAAAATTAGCCGGGCATGGTGCTGGGCGCCTATAGTCCCAGCTACTCGGGAGGCTGAGGCAGAATGGCGTGAACCTGGGAGGCCAAGCTGGCAGTGAGCCGAGATCGCACCACTGCACTCTAGCCTGGGTGACAGAGCGAGACTCCGTCTCAAAAAAAAGAAATCACAGGTCCCTAGGGTCCTAGTGGCCCATCGGTGACAAAGGGCAGGTGGACCTGGTGTGGCTGCACCAGAGGGGCCTTCTCATCCTGGGAACTGGGCTAAAAACCAAGCCCAGACTGAGGCCCATGCTTTTGTCCCCCCAGCCGCCTCGAGGTCCCTCCTTACCTGCCCCCTGCACCCCTACCCCATCTTAACTCTTTTTTTTTTTTCCAAGATGGAGTCTCGCTCTGTGGCCCAGGCTGGAGTGCAGTGGTGCAATCTCTGCCCCCTGCAACCTCTGCCTACCAGGTTCAAGCTATTCTCCTGCCTCAGCCTCCCGAGTAGCTGGGATTACAGGTGTCCACCACCACACCCAGCTAATTTTTGTATTTTTAGTAGAGACGGGTTTCCCCATGTTGGCCAGGTTGGTCTCGAACTCCTGACCTCAAGTGATCCACCTGCCTTGGCCTCCCAGAGTTCTGGGATTACAGGCGTGCGTGAGCCACTGCGCCTGGCACCGCACCTTAATTTTGAGGAAGTGTTGGGAAAGCTGGCTCTGACATCTCTTGTGAGGCAAGCCCAGCTGGGGAAGGTGTTTCCTGCCTGACTTCCTCCCCAGAAGCAATAGCAGGGCTTGCTGTGGCATCCGCTTCCTGCGGGGGCTCAAGGTTGCTCGTTCCTCAGGCTACATAAAGCAGTAAGGACCCACCCAGGAGGACCCCTCCAGAGGTGTGAGGGCGATTTGGTGGACACAGGTAGGGCCAGCGACAGAGCAGAGGGCACACCTCCCAGAGCCCCAAATGCCACAGGCTGAGAAGGTCTAGCTCTAGCTGCATCCAAAGGACCTGTTGAACTCCTGTCCCGATTGACACTAAAACTGTCCCCTCCTGTATGGTGCCCACACCCTTCAGGGGAAACCCCTGGATAAACAGCAGTCACTGCAGGTCTCCAAAAAGACAAGGCCGGAACAGGGAACCTGGGGTGCATGTTCAGGAAGCTGTGGCAAGTGTTGACACCACAGCCCCAAGTTTCTTTTTCTGGCCCGCGGAAGATGAGCTTCAGTCCCATGGAGGTGACAAGGTTGTCCTCCTGCATGATGGGGCTCTGCGGTGCCTCTGCGCCTGGGTAACCCCTCACCGAGAAAGCCACGTCTACAGGTCCCACCTGTCTGCAGGTGTGCCGCCCCCAACTCCAGGCCTGTGTGACTTAGCGACTGTCCCAGATCTCTCCTGGGAAGTGGCACAGGGGCCTGGCCCTCAGTGAGTCCCAGAGGGACCGCACCACCACTGACTTCACTGTGCTGCTTGGAGCTGGGGAGATGTGGAAACGGCCACTCCAGACCCAGTGACTGGCTGGTGCTTAGGATGTGATTTCCTCATTACTGAAATTTGTTTCAAGTGTACAGAAATCACCATCGGCCACGTGCAGTGGCTCACGCCTATAATCCCAGCACTTTGGGAGGCCGAGGCGGGCGGATCACCTGAGGTCAGGAGTTCGAGACCAGCCTGGCCAATATGGAGAAATCCTGTCTGTACTAAAAATACAAAAATTAGCCGGGTGTGGTAGCGGAAACCTGTAATCCCAGCTACTCAGGAGGCTGAGGCAGGAGAATTGCTTGAACCCAGGAGGTTGGAGGTTGCAGTGAGCCGAGACTGCGCCATTGCACTGCAGCCTGGGCAACGGAGTGAGACTTTGCCTCAAAAAAAAAAAAAAAAAAAATTTCACCAAAGCCCCTGGGGGTGGTGGTGCACTGCGGAGTTTATAGCCTTCCTGGGTGGCAGAGGGCAACTGGGCCCCTGAGCACAGAAGTGGGGCTCCCGCGGGGGGTGGGGCTGGCTTGGAAGGTCCCCATTCCTGTGGTGCATATTTGATGAGGGCCCATGTCGTGCCTGGAGCTGGGCCAGAAGCCACAGTGCAGTGCAGTGGGGACAGACCCAGCCTGTCCATGGGCTTGGTTACTGTCAGCCTGGCCGTGTCAGGGAAGGCTTCCAGGCCACCCACACAGCTGCACCACACCCAGACAAGCTCTCCAAGGGACATCATGAGACTGCTCCACTGTCAGAGCCCCGGGCCGGTGGTCCCAGCAACTTGGGGTGCCTGCTGTCCTTCATGTGACATTTTCTTCATTCAAAGCTCAATTTAAACAGCAAGAAGCCTCCCTGCCTCCTACCTGGCAATTTCCCTGCCCCGCACCTTGGAGGCAGCCCCTGCGCAGTTTGCATCTGGTGATGGCCAACGTTTGCCACCCTAGTACTTGACCCTATTTAATCCTCACGGCAGCCCATGAAGTGGGTACAGTGGTCAGTGCCATTTCACAGATGAAAAGACAGAGGCTCAGGGAGCTTCAGCCACGTGCACAGCTCAGCCGTCAGCCTGCACGTCTCCCCACGGGGCCTGGGTCTCCGTCTGACTCCCCTGAGTTGAATGCCTGGGGCCTGGAGCCCATTCTCTTGTGTCCCTAGGCCAAGGGCTGGAGATCAGGTCTAGGGGAGAAGGGAATTCCCAGGGGTGTGGTTCAGGTGTGTCCTGGGACAGTCTCCCAAGGGCAGGTCCCTGATTCCCCTCTGCCGAGGCCTCAGGGTCCACCCCTGCCAAGCAGAGCCCAGCGCAGGTGATTTGGCTGATAAAGGAAGATGGGTCTCTGGGGAGGCAGCGAGTGGCCCACTTTCTTCTTTGCTTTTTTTTTTTGAGATGGAGTCTCACTCACTCTGTCTCCCAGGCTGGAATGCAGTGGCACGATCTCGGGTCACTGCAACCTCCGCCTCCCGGGTTCAAGAGAGTCTCCTGCCTCGGCCTCCTGAGTAGCTGGGATTACAAGCACCTGCCACCATGCCCAGCTAATTTTTGTATTTTTTGTAGAGATGGGGTTCACCATGTTGGCCAAGGCTGGAGTGGCCAGCGTTTCTGCCTATTGACACCTGCCTGCCAATACAGGGTCGGTCACACAGAGCCAGCGTCATAGGTACCTTGGGGCCCATCCTGCTGCCCTAGGCAGGAGGGAGAGCTGGTCCTGTGGGCTGGCCCAGGAGACGGTCACCCAGGGCTGTCCAAGGGGATGGATCCTGGCTGTCACTCGCTCAAGAAGAGGCAGCAGGAGAGGCTTAGGTTAGATCTGGGAAAGAACTGTCCCACCCAAAGGCTGATTTGCTCCAGTCCTGGGAACTGCTAGATTCCCTCTCCTGATAAAATGTCCCAGAGGGCACTGCGTGGGTCCCATGCCCTGATGCCAAGTCGCCTTTCTCCTGATATGGTACCCACTGGCCTGGCCTTGGGGATTTCCTGGTTAAAGAAATAGCGAGCTCAGCCCATCTGGGGAAAGCCAAGTGGCCTGAGGGCGGAGAAGGTGACATTTGGAAAAAGGCCAGGACTGGCAGCTCAGACCTGGAAGCCCCCACTCCCTGCCAGCCTGGCTTGAGGTGAGAGCCTTCCTCATGAGCCCCCTACCCCCACTCATTCATTCATTCATTCATTCACATTGTTCAAGGGCAAGGCATGAGAGTGCAACAGTTAAATCATGGGCCTGGGTCCAGACTGCCCAAGTTCAATCGCGGTTCTAGCCTGGCGCGATGGCTCATGCCTGTAATCCCAGCACTTTGGGAGGCCGAGGCAGGCAGATCACTTGAGGTCAGGAGTTCGAGACCAGCTTGGGCAACATGGTGAAACCCCATCTCTACAAAAAATACAAAAATTAGCCGGGCGTGGTGGCACGAGCCTGTAATCCCAGCTACTCGGGAGGCTGGCACAGAATTTCTTGAACCAGGGAGGCGGAGGTTACAGTGAGGCAGGATTGCGCCACTGCACTCCAGCCTGGGTGACACAGCAAGACTCTGTCTCAAAACAAAAACAAAACAAATCCCAGTTCTGCATATACCAGCTGTGGCAATCTGTTTTCCTCTCTGTTTTCCCATCTGTGAAGTGGGGAAAATTGTACCCACTCCCTGACAGCCTCCTTGTGAGGAGAAGATACGGTCATAAATAGAAAGCACCTAGAATAGTGCCTGACGTAGGGCAGGGCGGCGGGGTGCGGGGGGCCCTTCCTATTAGCACTCGGGACGTGGGGGAATTCTTGGGGCCCTGGTATTGTTCTAACACCCAGTGATGGTTCACCAGCTGTCTCCTTTATAATAATTAGGTAAGAGATGTGGTTTTCTACATATTTCACAATACAAACATTTTTAGAAATTCTATTTCCTTCCCCTGAAAAAACTCTCTTATCTCTTTATTACTTCCTTCCTTAACTTTATTTTATTTTATTTTATTTATTTATTTTTTGAAACCAAGTCTACTCTGTTACCCAGCCTGGAGTGCAGTGGTGTGATCTCGGCTCACTGCAACCTCTGCCTCCCAGGTTCAAGCGATTCTTCTGCCTCAGCCTCCCAAGTAGCTGGGATTATAGGCTTGCAATGCCATGCCTGGCTAATTTTTTTATTTTTAGTAGAGACCCGGTTTCACCGTGTTGGCCAAGCTGGTCCCGAACTCCTGACCTCAGATGACCCACCCACCTTGGCCTCCCAAAGTGCTGGAATTACAGGCATGAGCCACTGCACCTATCTTTTTTTTTTTAATTAAAAAAATTATTTGGTACCTTGTTTCATCCATGCATTAAATTAAATCCTGGCCAGACACAGTGGCTTATGCCTGTAATCCCAGCATTTTGGGAGGCTGAGGTGGGAGGACCACTTGATACTGGAGCTTGAGACCAGGCCGAGCAGCATCTCGAGACCCCGTCTCTACAAAAAAAAAAATAATAATAATAATAATAATAAATAAAAAGTGGAAAAAATCCTATGTCATCCTGAAAAAAGGCTGTAAGCCTGCTTACAGAGGTCATTACAAGGTCAAACTCAAGTTCAGAGCGCTTCCTGCCTCTGCTCATCCAACAAACTTGCTGGATACCTCCTGTCTGCAGAGCACTTTGAGGGAACATAACAGGGTCTTGGGAGGCCACAGGAGGAGAGTTGAAAGATCACAGCCAGGGGCTCAGGGTGTCCACAGGACAAGTACCCTTGGCCAGGCAGTTACGCAAGTGTGGAAAGACCGCTAGAGGAAGGGAAGGAAGTGCCGAGAGCCCACAAAATTCTCTGCTTACAACCAGCCCCACTAGAACCTTCCTCTGCCCTGCCTCGACATGCCCAGGAGAGCACCGCTGCAGGTCTGGCCTCTGTGCTGAGCCTTTTTTTTTTTTTTTTTCCTGAGACAGAATCTCACTCTGCTTCCCAGGCTGGAGTGCAGTGGCAGGATCTCGGCTCACTGCAACCTCCACCTCCCTGGTTCAAGTGATTCTCCTGTCTTACCCTCCGGAGTAGCTGGGATTACAGGTGTGTGCCACCATGCCCAGCTAATTTTTGTATTTTTAGTGGAGACTGGGTTTCACCATGTTGGGCCAGCTGGTCTTGAACTCCTGACCTCAGGTGATCCGCCCACCGTAGCCTCCCAAAGTTCTGGGATTAGAGCTATGAGCCACCATGCCTGGCTACCATGCTGGGCCTTTCGAGGAGGCATTTGACAGGGAAGATGAGAGACAAATTGAGTGTCAGGGAAGGGGTGTTGATAGAAAAATTACAGGAGAGCACACAACTTTCAGCGGGTGAGCCCAGTGCCTGAGCTGCGGGACCACCCTACCAATGACCTTGAACTTATCTGACTGCAGCCTTGAACTCCTGAGCTCAAGGAGTCCTTCTGCCTCAGCCTCCTCCCAAGTAGCTGGGACTACTGGCACATGCCACCATGCCCAGCTAATTATTTTATTTATTTTATTTTATTTTATTTTATTTTATTTTATTTTGAGATGGAGTTTTGTCCTTGTTGCCCAGGCTGGAGTGCAATGGTGCAATCTCAGCTCGCCGCAACTTCTGCCTCCCAGGTTCAAGCGAATTCTCCTGCCTCAGCCTCCTGAGTAGCTGGGATTACAGGCATGTGCCACCACGCCTGGCTAATTTTGTATTTTTAGTAGAGACGGGGTTTCACCATGTTGGCCACGCTGGTCTCGAACCCCTGACCTCAGGTGATCCACCTGCCTCGGCCTCCCAAAGTACTGAGATTACAGGCATGAGCCACCGCACCTGGCCCCACTTGTGGAACTAGCATCTATCTGGAGAGGAGGCAAACATCGCCCACCACCTCCCGCTCTCTCCTGTCACCACTGTCCCCACCATCATTCCAGAGGTCACCCTGGCTTCCAACACCACAGCCTGGCTTGGGCAGTTTTCAAGCCTCGTATAAATGACATCCTCCAGAACATGTGCTCTGTGCCTGCCTTCCTTCCGTCAGTGATGTATCTGGAAGATTCCACTGTGTCGCCCTGTGGGACAGGTCCTTGTCATTGCTGAGTAGATCCTGTTGCAAATGCCTATCTCTCTTCATGGAAAGATCCAAGATACACAGATGGAAATCATCATAGGAAGGGCTGGCAAGGCCGTTCACACCCAGGGCTGGGGACCTCAGGGTGGAGGTGGGGGACAGTAAGGACCAGAAGGAGCAGGTGCCGGCGGGTGATGTGAGCTTTCTTCTCTATAGAGAAGTGAAGGCCGGGTGCAGTGGCTCACTCCTGTAATCCCAGCGCTTTGGGAGGTCGAGGCGGGCAGATCACTTGAGGTCAGGAGTTCGAGACCAGCCTGGGCAATTTGGTGAAACCCCATCACTATAAAAATACAAAAAATTAGCCGGACGTGGTGGTGCACGCCTGTAATCCCAGCTATTTGGGAGGCTGAGGCAGGAGAATTGCTTGTACCCGGAAGGTGAAGGTTGCAGTGAGCCGAGATCATGCCACTGCATACCAGCCTGGGGGACAGAAAGAGACTCTGTCTCAAAAAAAAAAAAAAGAAAAAAAGAAGTGAAGCACTTGCCAAGCAAATCTTTCAGAGCAGGTGGAGTGGACCCTACACCTCTTGGATAATAAATGCACTGGATAATAAAAGCAGGAACAGGCCAGGTGTGGTGGCATGTGCCTGTAGTCCCAACCTACTGGGGAGGCCAAGGCAGGAGGACTGCTTGAGCCCAGGAGTTGGAGGCTGCAGTGAGTTATGACCAGGCAACTGCACTCCAGCCTGGGTGACAGATAGAGACCCTGTCTTTAAAAAAAAAAAAAAAAAAAAAAAAAAGGGCCAGGCACAGTGGCTCATGCCTGTAATCCCAACACTTTGGGAGGCTGAGGCGGGTGGATCTCCTGAGCTCAGGAGTTCAAGACCAGCCTGGCCAACAGGGTGATACCCCTTCTCTACTAAAAATACAAAATTAGCCAGGCGTGGTGGCGCACACCTATAATCCCAGCTACTTGGGAAGCTGAGGCAGGAGAATCGCTTGAACCTGGAAGGCAGAGGTTGCAGTGAGCCGAGATTGTGCCACTGCACTCCAGCCTGGGCAACAAGAGCGAAACTTCGCTTCAAACAAATAAATTAACGCCCAGCATGTCTTGGCTTTCATCTGCCAGACCTCAACCCTCACCCCCAGGAGATCAGGTCCGGACCACGAGCTGACCCTGGACTCAGGCAAGGGTGAGTTGGTGCAGCCCTGGCCTGCTGGGAGGCACAGGCTGCAGCAGGCTGCCTGGGGCTGAGGCCCACCACTCATGAACTCATGACCTTGAATGAGCTCCAAAAGCTCTGGGCCTCCCAGGCTCTAGGGGGAGTGGGAGAGAGAGGCCTCAGCCTGTCCCTGGGCATGCTGCCCCCTCCTCACCTCTTTGTCCCAAATCCCCTTCCTGGCAAAGCTGACAGTCTTAATATCACTCTGGAGAAAACTGAGTCAGCCCTAAGGAACAATTCAATGAACCATTTGCTTACTTGAGGATTGGAACTCAAGTCTCACTCAAAGTCTGTGCCATTTTCGTCCCAGCTGTCACTGGCCCTCATCCACACACACCCAAGGATGAGCATCTAACGCTTGCATGCACACTCCCATGCCCGCGTTCATTCACTCATTCATTCATTCATTCACTCATTCATTGACTCATTCATTCATTCACTCACTCATTCATTCACTCAGTGAATGTTGCAGTCACGATCCAAATATTTATGGCCTCTGTGTGCCAGGCACTAGCTGGAGGGGCTGGGGCTAGAGCCCCTGATAACCCGGTCATGCCCTAGCTTTCCTGGGACACACATTGTGGTAAGGGGAGACTAAAAAAATTAAGTCAGGCCAGGCACGGTGGCTCATGCCTGAATCCCAGCACTTTGGGAGGCCGAGGCGAGTGAATTACCTGAGGTCAGGAGTTCAAGACCAGCCTGGCCAACATGGAGAAACCCAGTCTCTAATTAAAAAAAAAAAAAAAAATTAGCCAGGTGTGGTGGCACATGCCTGTAATCCCAGCTACTCAGGAGACTAACGCAAGAGAATTGCTTGAACCCAGGAGGCAGAGGTTGCGGTGAGCCGAGATCGCGCCATTGCACTCCAGCCTGGGAAACAAGAGCGAGACTCCATCTCAAAAAAAAAAAAAGTGGGAGGCAGAGGCAGGAGGATCACTAGAGGCCAGTAGTTTGAGACCATCCTGGGCAACATAGCAGGACCCTGTCTGTACAAAAAAATTAAAAAAAATTTAACCGGGCATGGTGGCACACACCCGTAGTCCCAGCTACTCCAGAGGCTGAGGCAGGAGGATCGCTGGAGCCCAGGAGTTGGAGGCTGCAGTGAACTGTGATCCCACCACTGCGCTTAAGCCTGGATAACAAAGCAAGACCCTGTCTCAAATAACAATAGCAATAATAATAAAGAAAAATTAAATGCAATTTGCGATGCATCAGTGATAAGTGCTCTGCAGAAAAAGGAGGCAGGAAGAGGCTGAGAAAGGTATGAGGTTTGCTATGCAATGTGAAGTTATCAAGGAAGGCTTCTCGGAAGAGGTGACATTTGAGCAGAGAAATGGAGGAGAGTTATGGAGGGAAGATGGTGAATGGGGGGAACATGGTCAAGACCAGGAATATGGTCAAGGGGGGAAAGATGGTCAAGGGGACGCAGCAAATGCAAAGGCCCTGAGGCAGGAGCAGCTTGATTCACCCCCAAAACCCGTGGGGCCCGTGCAGGCGACGGGAAGGACAAGTGTAAACCCTTTTCCTTGTCCCTGCAGGTGTGTGTGAACATGAGTCTGCCCATGTTTACACCCTGCAAGCCTGAAGAGTCCCCAGAAACTGAAAGAAGAAGCAAAGCCCTTTCTGTACCCTCCCTGCCCCCTGTCCCGACCGCGACAAAAGCGACTTCCTCTTTCCAGTGCATTTAAGGCGCAGCCTGGAAGTGCCAGGGAGCACTGGAGGCCACCCAGTCATGGGGGACACCTTCATCCGTCACATCGCCCTGCTGGGCTTTGAGAAGCGCTTCGTACCCAGCCAGCACTATGTGAGTAGCTGGTGGAGGGCATCCCGTGGGGGGAATACGGGAGGGACAGCACGGCCACCCTTGCAGTCCCAGGGCCAACCAGCTCCAGTGAGGACTAACGGGGCAGGGTCTTGGGCACCTGGTCCCTGGTCTTTGAGCCTGGATCTACCCCTCTGATCCCTGGGAAGACAGTTCCCTTGGACCCGCCCTGGGCCCCAGCCCTTTACTGTCCCCGCCTGTGTCCCCAGCCAGGCCCTCAGCCTTAGCCAGGAGTCCTCTTTCTGCTCCCCTGCCATGGCCAGGCAGCCCAGCGCTCTCTCAGGTCCGAGGCCCACTCCTCCAGGAAGCCTTCCCTGACTAGCCCAGCTATCAGAGAGTGGCCCTCCCAAGAGGGAGGCCTGGAAACTAAAGCTCTCTCTCTCCCCAGCTGCCTGTAGTGTCAGTTAGAGTCTTATCCTCTCCAGTAGGGTGACACCATGACAGGGGCCAATAGAGTCCTCCCATCTGTCCCCAAGGAGGCTGGACAAATGCCTGCTCAGACACACAAGTCCACTGGGTCCCCTAATCCCATAGGAAGGCCAGGGAGGAACTACATTTAGGAAATTGAAGCTTGTATGGAACATTTAGTCCTATGTGCCAAGACCTTTCTCTTTTTTGTTATTTTTTTGTTTTTTGAGACAGAGTCTTGATCTGTTGCCCAGGCCAGAGTGCAGTGGCACGATCTCAGCTCACTGCAACCTCCGCCTTCCAGGTTCAACTGGTTCTCCTGCCTCAGCCTCCAGAGTAGTTGGGATTACAGGTGCCCACCACCACGCCTGGCTAATTTTTGTATTTTTAGTAGAGACAGGGTTTCACCATGTTGGCCAGACTGGTCTCAAACTCCTGACCTCAAGTGATCCACCCACCTGGGCCTCCCAAAGTGCTGGGATTACAGGCATGAGCCACCGTGCCTGGCCTGTTTTTTTGAAATGAGGTCTGGAGTGCAGTGGTGCGATCATAGTTCACTGCAGCCTCGACCTCCCAGGCCCAAGTGATCCTCCTGCCTCAGCCCCTTGAGTAGCTGGGGCTACAGGCGCACACCACCATGCCTGGCTAGTTTTTAAAATTTTTGTGGAGATGAGGTTTCACTATGTTGTCCAGGCTAATCTTGAACTCCTCGGCTTAAGCAACCCTCTGGTCTCAGCCTCCCACAGTGCTAGGATTACAAGCGTGAGCTACCGTGCCTAGTCACTTTTCTCCTTTTCTTTGTAACTTTCAGTTTTGAAATTTCAAATTTACAGAAAGGCTACTGGGTGTCAAAACGGTACCAGTCACTCCAATAGTCTTTCACTCACCTTCATCCACACCTCTCTTTCTGGGGATATTTTCTGAATTATTTGAGAGTGAGTTGAAGACGTGTTTCTTTACCTCTAAATACTAGTTGTTGGGCATTTCTTAAAATCAAGGCATTCTCTTACATAATCACAACACACGTGTCAAAATCAGGAAATTAACATGGACAAAACACCATTATCCACCCACAGACTTTACTGAGGTTTCCCCGATTATCCTGCTTGTCCTCTGCAGTGAAAACTTTTTTCAGGTCTAGGATCCAGTCAAGGATCAATGTCATAGCCTTTAACCTTCTTTAATCTGGATCAGTCTTTTTTCTTTTTCTTTTTCTTTTTTTGGACACGGAATCTCACTCTGTCACCAGACTGGAGTGCAGTGGTGCAATCTCGGCTCATTGCAACCTCTGCCTCCTGGGTTCAAGAGATTCTCCTGCCTCAGCCTCCTGAGTAGCTGGGAATACAGGTGCGCGCCACCACGCCCAGCTCGTTTTTGGTAGAGACAGGGTTTTGCCATTGATTCTGGATCAGTCTTTTTTTTTTTTTTTTATGAGATGGAGTCTTACTCTGTCACCCAGACTGGAGTGCAATGGCACAATCTCCACTCACTGCATCCTCCGCCTCCCAGGTTCAAGCAATTCTCGTGCCTCAGCCTCCCGAGTAGCTGGGATTACAGGCATGCGCCACCATGCCCGGCTACTTTTTGTATTTTTAGTAGAGACAGGGTTTCACCATGTTAGCCAGGCTGATCTCGAACTCCTGACGTCAGGTGATCTGCCCGCCTCGACCTCCCAAAGTGCTGGGATTACAGGCGTGAGCCACCGTGCCAGCGGATTCTGGATCGGTCTTAATCAGTCTTTGTCTTTTGCAACTTTGATGTTTTGCAGAGAGCAGACCAGTTACCTTGTAGAATGTCCCTTAGTTTGGGTTTATCTTCATTAGATTCAGTTTGTGTATCCAGGGCAGTGGATCTTAGATGCAATTCTGTCTTCTTTTTAATTTTTTTGAGAGGGAGTCTCGCTCTGTCACCCAGGCTGGAGTGCAGTGGCACAACCTCAGCTCACTGCAGCCTCCGCCTCCCGGGTTCAAGCAATTCTCCTGTCCCAGCCTCCCAAGTAGCTGGGATCACAGGTGCCCATCACCACTACCGGGTAATTTTTGTGTTTTTAGTAGAGACAGGGTTTCACCATATTGGTCAGGCTGGTCTTGAACGCCTGACCTCAGGTGATCCACCTGCCTTGGCCTCCCAAAGTGCTGGGATTACAGACGGGAGCCAACATGCCCAGCCTTCCTGCCCCTCCCGTCCCCTCCCCTCTCCTCCTGTCCCCTCCCTTCCCCTCCCCTCCCCACCCAAGCTGGAGTGCAGTGGTGCAATCATAGCTCACTAAAGCCTTGACCTCCAAGTCTCAAGCAATTCTCCTGCCTCACCTGGGGCCACAGGTGTGCGGCACCACACCCGGACAATTTTTGTGTTTTTAGTAGATATGGGGGTCTCGCTATGTTGCCCAGGCTGGTCTCAAACTCTTGGACTCAAGCGATCTTCCCACCTCGGTACTAAAAAGTGCTGGGATTCCAGGTGTGAGCCACCGTGCCCAGCCTAGGTCCTACTTTTATCTCCAATTTACAGATGAGTCCATTTGAGAGAAGCTGACCCTCTTGCCCTGGGTCTCAAGGCTGGGGCGTGGCAGCACTTGGGTCCACGTTTGTGCCCTTTCTGCAATCCAGGACAACTGCAAAGATGGTCCTCACCCCAATCCTCTGGGCTTCCTCCAGTGGGTAGTGGGATCCTGGGTGCACACAGCAAAGCCTCTTTGGAGGCTGAATGGGGTCCCCCGACTCTGGCTTTCCCCCAGGTACATGTTCCTGGTGAAATGGCAGGACCTGTCGGAGAAGGTGGTCTACCGGCGCTTCACCGAGATCTACGAGTTCCATGTGAGTGTGGGGACGGAGGAGGGACAGGGACCCACCGTTCCAGCTCCACCCTTTGGGAAGGACCTTAGCCCAGGTGATGGGGAAACTGCAGAACCCAGAATCCCCTCCCAGACCACAGTTAAAGGGGATTTATTTATTTATATAAATTTTTGTGACAGGGTCTTGCTCTGTCACCCAGGGTCTTGCTCTGTCACCACTCTGAACACCTCATGTTCTCTGATTACAGGCATGAGCCCCCACGGTCGGCCTTTTAGGTGGTTTTGAGAGGTATTTAGGTTTGCAGTGCAGGGGCGCAATCATAGCTCACTGCAGCCTCAACCTCTGGGGCTCAAGCGATCCTCCTGCCTCAGCCTCCTGAGTAGCTGGGACTATAGGTGCGCATCACCATGTGTGGCTAATTTTTGTATTTTTTATAAAGATGGGGATCTCACTATGTTGCCCAGGCTGGTCTTGAACTCCAGACCTCAAGTGATCCTCCTGCCTTGGCCTCCCAAAGCTAAGGGGGCATTAAAAGAAAAAAACATTTTTCCCCCTGAAACATTTAAGTAGTCTTACTGAAAACAATAAAACACAGAAACACCAGATTCTCATTTTAAAGTAAAACAGACAGGATCTCCCAGAACCTTCCTAGAATGGAACCATTCTTGTCGCTTTTGAAAAACAAAGCCAAGTTCTAGATCCCAAATAAATGCACCTGCTGGTGAACATTCTCCTTGTGGTTCTCGTCCCTATGTTAGTTATTTTCCTAAATTTTACATTTGTACCTTTTTAAGAATGAGTTATCAGTTTTTTTATATTTGCTTTTCTTTTGAGATGGGGTCTTGCTCTGTCACCCAGGCTGGGGTGCAGTGGTGCAATCACGGCTCACTGCAGCCTCAACCTCCAGGGCTGAAGCGATTCTCCCATCTCAGCCTCCCATGTTGAGATCACAGGTGTGCACCACCACACCTGGCTCCTTTTCCTGATTTGTTTTTTGTAGAGATGGGATTTCGCTATGTTGCCCAGGCTGGTCTCTAACTCCTGGACTCAAGTGATCCTCCCGCCTCAGCTTCCCAAATTGCTAGGATTACAGGTTTGAGCCCCTGCACCTGGTCAACCTGAGTTTTAAGAGGATCCCTTTGGCGACTGGATTGAGGACAGACAAGAGTGGACGGGGGACACAAGGAGGCCATTTTCGTTATCCAGGCCTGGTAGTGGCTAGGGCCAGGAGGGTGGGGTTGGTGGGAAGCAGTCAGATCCCAAAGAGATTTGGGGATTGGAAGCAAAAGGATTTGCTGGTGACTTGCACATGGGAGGGAGAGAGGTCAGTGCCTCTGTTAATCAAGGAATCCAGATTGCCACCGAAATTTCTAGGCCCGAGATATTTAGGTAGTGTCTCACTCTGTCACCCAGGATGGAGTGCAGTGGCGCCATCTCGGCTCACTGTAACCTCCGCCTCCCAGGTTTAAACGATTCTCCCACCTCAGCCTCCTGAGTAGCTGGGATTACAGGCATGTGCCACCACTCCCGGCTAATTTTTGTATTTTTAGTAGAGACGGGGTTTCACCACGTTGGCCAGGCTGGTCTTGAACTCCTGACCTCAAGTGATCCACCCACGACAGCCTCCCAAAGTGCTGGGATTACAGGCGTGAGCCACCATGCTCGGCCTTTTAGGTGGTTTTGAGAGGTATTTAGGTCACTTCCAATCTCGTGCTTTTCCAAGTGTTGTAAACTACAAATATTCCTTCACGTCTTCTTGTCTTTTTAATGTTTAGAAAACCTTAAAAGAAATGTTCCCTATTGAGGCAGGGGCGATCAATCCAGAGAACAGGATCATCCCCCACCTCCCAGGTGAGCACGGGGCTGAGCCGCCTGTCAGGGGGTCATTGGCGGGGGCTCACCTGCCCTCCCAGCACCTCTCGGGCTTGACCTCATGTTCTCTGGTGCCAGCTCCCAAGTGGTTTGACGGGCAGCGGGCCGCCGAGAACCACCAGGGCACACTTACCGAGTACTGCGGCACGCTCATGAGCCTGCCCACCAAGATCTCCCGCTGTCCCCACCTCCTTGACTTCTTCAAGGTGCGCCCTGATGACCTCAAGCTCCCCACGGACAACCAGTGAGTGAACTTTTCACCCTGCCAGGTGGGAGAGGGAAGGAGGGGTGGGACTTTCTGTGTTTTGCAGATGAGGAAACCAAGGCTCAGAGAGGGAAAGCCACCTTCCCAGAGCCACACAGCCAGAAAGAGGAGGCAAATTCCACCTCCGGCCCCTGTGACCCCGCCAAGCCTCCACCTTAATCTTTCACACCTCAGGGCACTGGGGGAAGCACTCGGGGCTGGAGGTTCAAAGTCCTGGGTCCTCATCCTGACATTATGGCCACCTGGCTATGGGACCTGGAGCCAGTCACCACTGCTCTCTGAATGCAGGTTCTCCATTTCTATAATGGGCAGTGAGGATCAGATGAAGCATTGGGTGTCTTGCGGAGCCCCCCAGAAGGATGTGGGGTTGATGCCTCTGCTAAGTGCTGAGCATGTCTGGGGTCTCCTGTACCCAGGACCCTGTGTGGAAGGCACCTGAGAGGCTGAGGGAGCTCCAGGCAGGCTGGGGAAGTCCCCTTCTCCACTCCTCTCTGGTCACTGAAGCTCGAAGTGGGGAGCATGAGGACAGGACGTTACCCCTTGTCAAGGCACCCAGGCTGCCAAGACAGAGACAAGCAGCATTGCTCCGGCCAGCACTTATTGACGCTTGAAGGTGTCCCCTGGCCCAAGGAAGGGCAGTTATCATCAGCCCGGGAGGCGGGGGAAGGATGGACTCTGCAGTGGGGTCCGCTCCTCATTGCCTGCTCTCTCAGGGCTCCAGAAGGAGGAAGAGGCCGGGCACAGTGGCTCACACCTATAATCCCAGCACTTTGGAAGGTCGAGGTGGGCAGATCACCTGAAGTTGGGAGTTTGAGACCAGCCTGGCCAACATGGTGAAACCCCATCTCTACCAAAAATATAAAAATTTAGTCAGGCATGGTGGTGTGCGCTTGTAATCCCAGCTACTTGGGAGGCCGAGGCAGGAGAATCGCTTGAACCCGGGAGGCAGAGGTTGCAGTGAGCTGAGACTGCGCCACTGCACTCCAGCCTGGGTGACAGAGCGAGACTCTGTCTAAGAAAAAAAAAAGAAAAGAAGAAAGAAGATGGCCTGGGAGCCCGCAAGAGCATTTTCCAGGCTTAGGGCATCCTTTGGGTCTGCAGAAGGCTATGCAGTGTCCTCCTCATGTCCCTCCCTTGGGCTGCCCGAGCAGATCCGCCCGCCCCCATCACTTCCTGAAGCCCTTCCTCAGCCAGTCCAGTTGCTGTCTTCTCTCCGCAGTGCCCCTTCCCTTTCCCGGGTCCCTCTTCTCTTGGGAAGTTCTTCTGCAGGTCTACCCAGTGCCTCTTCTTCCTCCATGGGAAGCCAAGGGTCTCACCCAGACTGTTCTCTCCTCAGGACAAAAAAGCCAGAGACATACTTGATGCCCAAAGATGGCAAGAGTACCGCGACAGGTGAGAGGACGGGGGGCAGCCGGCGGGGGGGGACACCCTGAGGAGACCCAGAGTGTTCAGGGAATGGAGCAGGGGCTGGGAGCAGGCTGGGAGGGCTCACAGCTACCCTGCTGAAGAATTGGGTCTTTGGGCCGGGTGCGGTTGCTCATGCCTGTAATCCCAGCAGTTTGGGAGGCCGAGGCAGGTGGATCACTTGAGGTCAGGAGTTTGAGACCAGCCTGGCCAACATGGAGAAACCCTGTCTCTACTAAAAATCCAAATTAGCCAGGCGTGGTGACAGGTGCCTGTAGTCCCAGCCACTTGGGAGGCTGAGGCAGGAGAATTGCTTGAACCCGGAAGACGGAGTTTGCAGTGAGCCGAGATCGTGCCACTGCACTCCAGCCTGGGCAGCAGAGCCAGACTCCATCTCAAAAAAAAAAAAAAAAAAGAAGAATTGGGTCTTTGGAAGGTCCCTGGAGACTGAAAGGAGCCCTTTGCAGGTGGCAGTGCAGAGACCAGCGCAGACCCTTGCTACTGGCAGCCGGGGGAGTGTTTGCGGCTGAATGAATGAACAGGTTTTGGAGGGCAGCGTGGCCTTCAGAGGCGATGCAGGGCTGTGGCAGTTTCTAATACTTATTGCACAGTCACTGCTAATAACAATAATAATAATAATACCTAACATTAATGGAGTGCTTACTCTGTGCCAGCCACTATTTTGTTTTTGTTGTTTTCAGTGACAGGGTCTCGCTCTGTTGCCCAGGCCAGAGTGAAGTGGTGTGATCATAGCTCACTACAGCCTCGACCTCCTGGGCTGAAGCGATCCTCCCACCTCAGCCTCCCAAGTAGCTGGGATTACAGGTGTGTGCCACCATGTCCAGCTAATTTTTAATTTTCTGATAGAGATGGGGTCTCACTACATTGCCCAGGCTGGTCTTAAGCTCTTGGCCTCAAGCAACCCTCCTGCCTCAGCCTCCCAAAGTGCTGAGATTATAGACATGAGCCACTGTGCCCGGCTTTTTCTTCTTCTTATAAGGACATGAGGCCTGTTGGGTTAGGGCCCACTCTACTGACCTCATTTTAACTTAATTACCTCTTGAAACGTACTTAAGAGTACCTTTCTCTTAATATACCCACGCTGTAAGGTACTGGGTGGTTAGGACTTCAACATATGAATTTTGAGAAGGCAGATGTCAGCCAATACCAAACAGCATCAGCACCTCCACGGTTGGATGAAGGGCTGGTCAGAAATGCACACTCAGGTCCCACAGTGGACCTACTGAACAGGATAGGCATTTTAGCAAAATCCCAGGTATTCGGGTGCACCTTAAAGTTAGGAAAAGGTCAGGCACTGTGGCTCATGCCTGTAATCCCAGCACTTTGGGAGGCCGAGGCGGTTGAATCACCTGAGGTCAGGAGTTCGAGACCAGCCTGACCAATATCGTGAAACTCCATCTCTACTAAAAATACAAAAATTAGCCAGGTGTGGTGGCAGGTGCTTGTAGTCCCAGCTACTTGGGAGGCTGAGGCAGGTGAATTACTTGAACCTGGGAGGTGGAGGTTGCAATGAGCCAAGATTGCACCACTGCACTCCAGTGACAGAGCGAGACTCCATCTCAAAAAAAAAAAAAAAAAAAAGTTGGGAAAAGGCCAGGTGCAGTGGCTCCACGCCTGTAATCCCAACACTTTAAGAGGCTGAGGTGGGAGAATCCTTTGAGCCCAGGAGTTCGAGACCAGCCTGGGCATTGTCCCAAGACCTTGTCTTTACAAAAAATTAGCCGGGTGTGGTGGCATACGTCTGTGGTCCCAGCTATTCGGGAGGCTGAGGCAGGGAGATTGCTTGAGCCTAGGAGTCTAGGGCTGTAGTGAGCTGTGATCACGTCACTGTACTCTAGCCTGGGCAACAGAGCAAGACTCTGTCTCCAAAAAAGAAAATAAAGTTGGGAAAGGCTCACTAACTTCATCAGATGAGAACAAAGACATGTTTGAAGTGTGAGGCCGAAGCCTGGAGAACGCTATGCGCCCAGGAAATGCAGGGCAGCAGAGACTCAAGATGCCAGCGCCTGTTCTGGAGGCCCAGATGGGCCCTGCAATGCCCACTCACCCTGCCCTCCCTCTTGCCCCAGACATCACCGGCCCCATCATCCTGCAGACGTACCGCGCCATTGCCAACTACGAGAAGACCTCGGGCTCCGAGATGGCTCTGTCCACGGGGGACGTGGTGGAGGTCGTGGAGAAGAGCGAGAGCGGTCAGACCTCCCACCTTACGGGGCTCCTTCCCCTGGTGCTCAGGAACCCACAGCCACAAGCCCCCTGCCAAGGCTCAGGCAGCCTGGCCCCTGGGAGGACTCCGGCTCTGTTAGGGGCCCTAAATGTCCTCCCCACACTGTGGGTCGCCTTCTCTCTTAGTGTGCACCCTGTGGTGGCTGTGGGCATCTGTGCATGGCAGGCCGGGGCGGGGCATGTCTGCGTGTTCTGTCTGGATGGGTATGGGACCGTCTGTTCATTATGAAGTGGGCTCAGAGCTGTGATTCTGTGAGCATGTGTGCATGCATGCATGTGACCTCATTGTCCAGTGTGGTGAAGGTGACATTTCCAAATCTGAGCATTGGACATCAGTGTGTCTGTGTCCCTGTGTCCTCACCATCCCTGATGGCTGCAGGGAGCCGCTGGGCCCTGCCCCTCAGTCACATTCCCGCACCTCTGGCACAGGTTGGTGGTTCTGTCAGATGAAAGCAAAGCGAGGCTGGATCCCAGCATCCTTCCTCGAGCCCCTGGACAGTCCTGACGAGACGGAAGACCCTGAGCCCAACTATGCAGGTGCCCCCTGCCCTCCGAGGCTGTAGGGGTGTGGGAGAAAGGGGCAGGCAGGGCTCAGGGATATTGAGTGACTGCTTTGGAGTCTGGGCTGGTTGCTGGCTTGGCAGAAAAGTCAGGGCTAAGATCTCATCGTCTCTGGCTTGGGGGCCCTGGCAGGTTGTGATGCCCTTGGTCTGGACAGGGAACCAGGAGGAGGAGCAGACGACTCGGGAGAGTGGGAGGCCAGTGGTGTCTGTGGATATGTGGCCAGGTTCAGTGGGAAGCTGAAGGATGAGCAGACCTTAGGCTCAGGAAGGAGGGCTGCCTGGAAGTGGGGGCATCATCACTGACCAGAAAGGGAAAACTGGCAGTGCCAGGGCTGGATGGGGCCTGCATTGAGCTTGAAAAAAACTATAATAGAATTGGTTACCATTTTATTTTATTATTTATTTATTTATTTTACTTTTTTGAGATAGAGTCTCACTCCCTTGCTAAGGCTGGAGTGCGGTGGTGCTATCTCAGCTCACTGCAACCTCTGCCTCCCAGGATCAAGTGATTCTCCAGCCTCAGCCTCCCCAGGTAGCTGGGATTACAAGCATGCACCACCATGCCTGGATAATTTTTGTATTTTTAGTTGAGACGGGGTTTCACCAGGTTGGCCAGACTGGTCTCGAACTTCTGACCTCAGGTGATCTGCCTGCCTTGGCCTCCCAAAGTGCTGGAATTACAGATGTGAGCCACTGTCCCTGGCCTGGTTACCCACATTTTAAAATGGAGTGATTTCACCCTTTTATGTGGATTTACAGCTTTTTTTTTTTTTTTTTGAGACAAAGTCTGGCTCTGTCACCCAGGCTGGAGTGCAGTAATGCAATCTCAGCTCACTGCAACCTTAGCCTCCTGGGTTCAAGCAATTCTCCTGCCTCAGCCACCTGAGTAGCTGGGATTACAGGCATGCACCACCACGCCAGGCTAATTTTTTGTATTTTTAGTAGAGATGGGGTTTCGCCATGTTGGCCAGGCTGGTCTCGAACTCCTGACCTCAGGTGATCCGCCCGCCTTGGCCTCCCAAAGTGCTAGGATTACAGGTGGGAACCACCTCGCCCAGCCTGTGGCTATCGTTTAAACACTGGGAAGGCCTGCAGCCCCCAGGCCGACAGTTAGCTGCAGCTGAGCAGTTCCCAGTGCCAGGTAGACGGATGCTCCACCCACCTACTCATGGCTGATCTCTTGTCATAGTGAAGTGTCTGGACAGACCTTCATCGTTATGGGATCTCTGGTCCCCAGAGTGGGTGGCAATGAATGGGAGTGGACAAGCTCACCTGGGTGTAGGGGGCAGAGGGCCGAAGTCCAGAGTGTACCCCCAGAGTGGGTGCCAGCAGGAGCTTGCCGAGGGATCTGGGATGGAGCAGGAGGGTGGAGGGAGGAGACCCAGAAGAGGGGGAACTGTGGGCCCTGGGTGGGTCTGGAGTGCCTGGAGGAAGCCCAGGCGCAGAGAGGAGAAGATGGGATGGGTGGCGAGCCCCAGGCTGGGCCGACCTCACACTGTGCTCTGTGCCCCTGCCGTGGACCAGGTGAGCCATACGTCGCCATCAAGGCCTACACTGCTGTGGAGGGGGACGAGGTGTCCCTGCTCGAGGGTGAAGCTGTTGAGGTAATTCACAAGCTCCTGGACGGCTGGTGGGTCATCAGGTAGGAGGGCCCCTCTCCATCCAGAGCACCCATCTGAGTCAGCCCCAGCCAGGACGGGGTGTTTAGGGATCTGGGGTGACTTGTCCCTGGGACTCTGGGTAAGCCACTGCCCCTCTCTGGGCTTAGTTTCCATCTCAGTAGCAGGGAGGGATGAGCCCACCCTTGCCTGTCTTGTGGGGATCCAATGTCCTTGTCCAAGTGGGTGCATTTCTCCTTTGTGATTTAGGGTCTCTTCCCAACCATCTATTATTATTCCTTCTCTGGCAACATGGTGAACTGTTGTATAAATAATTACATTCCTAGCTAGGCGCAATGGCCCAGGCCTGTAATCCCAGCACTTTGGGAGCCCAGGGCAGGACGATCACGTGAGGTCAGGAGTTCGAGACCACCCTGGCCAACATGGCAAAACCCTATCTCTACTAAAAACACAAACATGAGCCGGGTGTTGTGGTGGGAGCCTGTAATCCCAGCTACTCGGGAGTCTGAGACAAGAGAATCGCTTCAACCCGGGAGGCGGAGGTTACAGTGAGCCAAGATCGCGCCATTGCACTCCAGCCTGGGCAACGAGAGCGAAACTCCGTCTCAAAAAAAAAAAAAAAAAAAAGATTACTTTCTTTTTATCATTCCTTTATCTTTTAAAGCTTTCTTGCAGTCAGGTGCAGTGTCTCATGCCTGTAATCCCAACACTTTGGGAAGCTGAGGTGGGAGGATCACTCAAGGCTACAAGTTCAAGACCAACCTGGGCAATGTAGGGAGACCTCTGTCTCTACAAAAAAAATTAAAAAATAGCTGGATGTGGTAGCACACACCTGTAGCCCCAGCTACTCAGGAGGCTGAGGTGAAAGGATCACTTGACCCCAGGAGTTGGAGGCTGCAGTGAGCTATGACTGCACCACTGCACCCCAGCCTGGGTGATGGAGCAAGACCCTGTCTCAAAAAAAAAAAAAAAAAAAAAAAAGCTTCCATTGCAATTCCCATCTGTTTATCCTCCAAATGAATGCAGAAATACTAATTATCTTTTTTCTGGTTCTGGGGAACACAGAATTCTAGCGGCTTGTGGAGCCATTTCCCTGGAGCCATGGGGCCTCCCAGGTCCTTTCCTGTGTCTTCATTTTTTACGAATTTTTTCATTTTTTGAGACAGGATCTTGCTCTGACTCCCAGGCTGGAGCACAATCATCGCTCACTCAAGCGATCCTCCCACCTCAGGCTCCCACGTAGCTGGGACTACAGGTGAGCACCACCACATCTGGCTAATGTTTTTTAATTTTTTTGTAGGGGTGGGGTCTCACTATGGTGCCAAGACTAGTCTTAAACTCCTGGCCTCAAGAGTTCCTCCTGCCTTGGCCACCCAAAGCACTGGGATTACAGGAATGAGCCTCCATGCTGGGCCTTTGCTGGCGTCTTCAGAGCCCTAGGTCACAGGGCCAGCCTGGCGCCCTGCCGCAAGCTTATCTTAAAGCTGGGACCACAACATGCATACCTGCAGCCGGGCCCGGGGCCAGAGGGCTTTGAGGCAGCATTTCTCAGCCTTTTAGACACACACTCTGTTAACCCCCATCCTGTGTCTCTGATAATCTTCTTGTGATCCTCCCACCAGCCAAGAATTGGGTTTTATGTGAACCTTGTATTATGCAAAGTTTTCTTTTGTTTTTTTTTTCACTCCCAAATATAATATTGAGAATAGAAAGAAAGTCTTTTCAACAAATGGTGCTGGAACAGATGGATTTCCATACTGGAAAAAAAAAAAAAGAGCAAAAAACAAACCTAGACCCCTTCCTCACACTGTACACATATGTTTACTTCAGATGGATCACAGGTTTATCCCAGAGTAAAACCTGAAACTAAAAACCATTTGGGGCTGGACAGGGAGCTCACGCCTGTAATCTCAGCACTTTGGGAGGCTGAGGCAGGTGGATCACTTGAGGTCAGGAGTTTGAGACCAGCCATGACCAACATGGTGAAATCCTGTCTCTACTAAAAAAATACAAAATTAACCAAGTGTGGTGGTGCATGCCTGTAATCCCAGCTACTTGGGAAGCTGAGGCAGGAGAATTGCTTGAACTTGGGAAGCAGAGGTTGCAATGAGTCGACATCATGCCATTGCACTCCAGCCTAGGCAACAAGAGCAAAACTCTGTCTTGGGGTTGGGTGGGGGAAAAGCATTTGGAAGAAAGCATAGAATTTGGTGGCTTGGAGGTAGGCAAAGGTTCGTAGGAGACAGAAGGCAGTTAACATAAAAGAAAAATTGGCAAATATAATCTGCCAGTGTCTTCTTTTTTCTTTAATTTTTTCGGGAGGTAGAGATAGGGGTCTTGCTATGTTACCCAGGCTGATCTCCAACTCCTGGCCTCAAGCGATCCTCCCACCTAGATCCCTCAAAGTACTGGGATTACAGGCGTGAGCGACCGTGCCCTGCCCATTCTTGCCAATGTCTTATAGCAAATACCTGTCCCCTGCGGTGACCTGGATCTGCTAACCTCCACCCCTGCCTAGACTGTGGAAGGATTGCTGGAAGGGTCTCAGTTGCACAGACCAGGAAACTGAGGCCCACAGAGGCAGGTGTCCGGTTGTTTGCAACCTCTCAGCCTGTGCTAACCCCAATTGTTCAGAGAGAGCCCTGAAACCCTCTCCTCTGGGCGCCCCCAGGTGACTGCCCCAGCCTCAAGGGCTGCCTCTGTTGCAGGAAAGACGACGTCACAGGCTACTTCCCGTCCATGTACCTGCAAAAGTCAGGGCAAGACGTGTCCCAGGCCCAACGCCAGATCAAGCGGGGGGCGCCGCCCCGCAGGTAAGCGGGGGTCCCCGGGGCTGGGCGGGGTCGAGCGGGGCGCACCACGGGTTCGCTCTGTCTAGGCCATAGCTTGGCAGTGCCGGGGCGGGGGCTCTCAGCCTGGCAGGAGAGGCAGGACCCTCACGGGGGAAAGGGGCTGGACGCGCCTGGCCGCGGTGTGGGGCTGGCACGGGGGCGGAAGGAAAGCGGCGATGCCCGGGGGCTTTGGGGATGGGCAGTCCAGGGGGGCTCCCCGGAGAGGGGGACGACAGACCGAAGGCTGGTGAGGGGCGTGGAAAACCGCCCAGGCTCTGCTGCAGGGCAAGGGTCCTTGTCGTGACGGGGGCAGCCGCCTCTTGTCCCGCCGGGGTCGTGCAGACTACCGGCCCCCTACTGCCCCCCACTTCCTCGGACCAGGGGTGCCCATCTGAGTCCCTGGGGGCAGGGGCGCCCTCGGGCTTTGACGACGCCCCGTCCCGCTGGGCCAGGTCGTCCATCCGCAACGTGCACAGCATCCACCAGCGGTCGCGGAAGCGCCTCAGCCAGGACGCCTATCGCCGCAACAGCGTCCGTTTTCTGCAGCAGCGACGCCGCCAGGCGCGGCCGGGACCGCAGAGCCCCGGGAGCCCGCTCGGTGAGTGCAGCGGGAGAGGGCAGGAAGGGCAAGCCCTAGGGGCGGAGTCAGCGGGAGAGGCGGGGCCAGAGGTAGGGCCAGAGTAGCGGGGCGGGACCAGAGGGCGGAATCAGAGGGAGAGGCGGGGACTGGAGGCGGGGGCAGAGGAGGAGCCAGCGCTAGGGGGCGGAGCGATCCCTAAGAGGCGGAGTCAGAGGGAGAGGCACAAGCGGGAGGCGAGGCCAGAGCGCGGAGCAGGAGTTGGAGACCGCGGCGGGGCGAGGCCAGAGAGCGCTGTGGGCGGGGCCAGTGTGCGGGGCGGGGCGTCTGACTCGGCCCCGCTCTCTGCCCGCAGAGGAGGAGCGGCAGACGCAGCGCTCTAAACCGCAGCCGGCGGTGCCCCCGCGGCCGAGCGCCGACCTCATCCTGAACCGCTGCAGCGAGAGCACCAAGCGGAAGCTGGCGTCTGCCGTCTGAGGCTGGAGCGCAGTCCCCAGCTAGCGTCTCGGCCCTTGCCGCCCCGTGCCTGTATATACGTGTTCTATAGAGCCTGGCGTCTGGACGCCGAGGGCAGCCCCGACCCCTGTCCAGCGCGGCTCCCGCCACCCTCAATAAATGTTGCTTGGAGTGGACCGAGGCTCTGCAGGAATGCAGGGAGGGCCGGGCTCCGCCCCAGGGTTATTTCTAAGTTGAGGACAGGAGGTTGTGAGTTCTGCTGGGGGGAAGTTGCAAGAGCCGAGGTCTGGTTGCATGTTGCCCTGGTCTTGGCCAAGAACAGGTTTGCACAAGGCCAAGTTCAAGAGGAACTCCCGGTTTCCTGCTGACCGTTTGGTCAGAAACCACCTGCTTGGACTCTGGCGGAAGAGTCCTGAAGATGGGTGCACACAGTGCAGCAGGGCAGCCCTGTCTCATGGCAGGAGACAGGCTGCCGTCCAGGGTGTAGGAGTGACCTCATAGCTGGGATAAAAAATATATTATAACTTAGGTTCGGGCGCGGTGGCTCACGCCTGTAACCCAGCGCTTTGGGAGACCGAGGTGGGAGGATCCGTTGAGCTCAGGAGTTCGAGACCAGCCTGGCCAACATGGTGAAACCCCATCTCTACCAAAAATATAAAAATTAGCTGGGCGTGGTGGCATGCATCCATAATCCCAGCTACTGGGGAGGCTGAGGCATGAGAATCGCTTGAACCGGGGAGGCAGATGTTGCAGTGAGCCGAGACGGCGCCACTGGACTCCAGCCTGGACAACATGGTGAAACCCCATCTGTACCAAAAATATAAAAATTAGCTGGGCGTGGTGGCATGCATCCACAATCCCAGCTACTGGGGAGGCTGAGGCATGAGAATCGCTTGAACCGGGGAGGCAGATGTTGCAGTGAGCCGAGACGGCGCCACTGCACTCCAGCCTGGACTACAGAGCGAGACTCCATCTCAAAAAAAAAAAAAAAAAAAAGTAACTTAGGTGCAGGGTGTCCTCTGTTATTCACTGAGACCGTGCCCCGGTTATGAGGTTGTACCAGAAAGCAAGTATTCACTATGCACACTATTCACCGCTCACCCTAGCATTGAAGCCAGCCTGTAGCCTGAAAGCCTTTGCTTTGAGGGCAGGTCTTTCCCCAAAATGCAGACACGAAGGTGCAAAGTGAAGCTGCCAGTCTTGCAAAAGATGTAACTTGTCACGAAGGCCACGAGTGGCAGGGAGAGCTGTCCCACATTTGCGGAAGTGGCTATGTGAGGACGGGGGAGGCGGGTCCCTTAGAGATAAGAGACAATCATAAGGGGAGATATCAGAGAAAATCGTAAGGGGAGCAGATGGTTGTCAAGAGAATAGGCTGACCATCGAAGGACTGGCAGAAGCTTTCAGAAAACCACTGGACGGCTGGGCACAGTGGCTTAGGCCTGTAATCCCAGCACTTTGGGAGGCTGACGCGGGTGAATCACTTGAGGTCAGGAGTTCCAGACCAGCCTGGCCAACATGGTGAAACCCCATCTCTACAGAAAATATAAAAATTAGCCAGGCGTGGTGGCACAAGCCTAGAATCCCAGCTACTCGGGAGGCTGAGGCAGGAGAATGGCTTGAACCCAGGAGTCAGAGGCTGCAGTGAGTCGAGATTGTTCCACTGCACTCCAGCCTGGGTGACAGTGCAAGACTCCTTCTAAAAAAAAAAAGAAAAAAAAAGAAAACCACTGCAGCTCTAAACTAGTTCTGCATTTTTGCCGACCCTGGTTTGCTGGAAAAGCCCAGCACCAAAGGCTATCATACAAAGCTGTGGGAAATTGAATCACCAACCTCACCCCTTCTGCTTGTTCAGTTGCAGTTATAACCCTTTTATTAAATACAGTATAAAATACCACGCCTCTAATCCGAGTGCTCTGGGAGGCCAAGGTGGAAGGATTGCTTGGGGCAGGGAGTTCAAGACCAGCCTGAGCCACACGGTGAGACCCGTCTAGACAAACATTTTAAAAAATTAGACAGGTGTGGTGGTGTGCACCTGTAGTCCCAGGTTGGGTGGGAGGATCGCTTGAGCCCAGGAGTTTGAGGCTGCAGTAAGCTGTGATCGTGCCACTGTACTTCAGCCTGGGTGACAGAGCAAGACCCTGTCTCTTAAAAAAAAAACAAATTAAGGCCAGCCACAGTGTTTCACGCCTGTAATCCCAGCACTTTGGGAGGCCGAGGCAGGCGGATGACTTGAGGCCAGGAGTTCGAGACCAGCTTGGCCAACATGGTGAAAGCTTGTCTCTGCTAAAAATACAACAACAACAAAAAAATTAGCCGGGTGTGGTGGTACACGTCTGTAATCCCAGGTACTCAGGAGGCTGAGGCGGAAGAATCACTTGAACCCGGGAGGCAGAGGTTACAGTGAGCCGAGATCACGCCACCACACTCCAGCCTGGGCGACAGAGCATGACTCTGTCTCAAAAATAAATAAATAAATAAATAAAAATTAAAAAAAATACATACATATAAAAAAGAAGACAAAATACTTATTTTCATGATTGTTTCATTTTTTTCCAAGCTGAGGTCCTGACCAAATGTTTCCCCGTGGTTTTTGTATATTTCTGATCCCCTTAAAGTGGCCCTTGCAGCGTGCTGGGGAGGAGGCCTCTCGGTGGGTGGGTGATTGGGAAGCCACGCCCACAGGGAAGGGAGAAAAAAACTGAAGTTGCCTGCTCTAAGGGCTGCACCTCTGTTTAGCCAACAATTTTCTTGAGGCCAGTCATAGTGCTGGGCTCATTCCATCATCTCCAGTTCTGAGACCAACACTGTCTGGTAGGTGTTTTATGGATGAGGAAACCAAAGCTCATAAAATTAATTAAGTGGTTTGCTTATGAAATAATGCAAGAAAGCAACAGTGCTGGGAGGTGGAACTGGGTTTTTCTTTTCTTCTTCTTTTTTTTTTTGATGGAGTTTCGCTCTTGTCACCTAGGTGGAGTACAATGGAGCGACCTCAGCTCACTGCAACCTCTGCCTCCTGGGTTCAAGTGATTCTCCTGCCTCAGCCTCCCGAGTAGCTGGGATTACAGGTGCCCGCCACCCTGCCCGGCTAATTTTTTGTATTTTTAGTAGAGATGAGGTTTCACCATGTTGGCCAGGCTGGTCTTGAACTCCTGACCTCAGGTAATCCGCCTGCCTTGGCCTTCCAAAGTGGTGGGATTACAGGCATGAGCCACTGCGGCTGGCCCAGGCTTTTCTTTTTGATTCTAAGGCCTTCCAGATCCAGTACTTTATCCTGACCCTGCAGAGCTCAGGATCTGTGGTTCAGGCCTGTGGCTCAGAGGAGGGAATACGGCACACAGGTACGTGCCAGGCCAAGTGTGAGGGGGTCTGGCTTCCAGGGCCCTCTGCAGACCCCTAGTCCCAGGGCCTGTGTTGGAGGAGAGATTGGCTCTTTCCTCTGTCCATCCTGGGATGAGAAGTCGGGGACTTGGGATAGATGCAGTGCAATCCCTGCCCCTGAAAATTGACAAAGACCCACCAAATCTAGCCCCTACTCCTAGGCTGGGCCCCTGCCCATCTCCCTGGACCACACCACTCTCAAGGGCTCTCGTTTGCAGACACCCCATTGCCCTACTAAAAACCTCTCCTGGCCAGGCTTGGTGGCTCACGCCTGTAATCCCAGCACTTTGTGAGGCTGAGTTGGGTGGATCACCTGAGGTCAGGAGTTCCAGATCAGCCTGGCCAACATGGTGAAACCCCGTCTCTACTAAAAATACAAAAATTAGCTGGGTGTGGTGGGGGGCGCCTGTAATCCCAGCTGCTCGGGAGGCTGAGGTAGGAGAATTGCTTGAACTCGGGAGGCAGAGGTTACAGTGAGCTGAGATCGTGCCACTGCGCTCCAGCCTGGGCAACCGAGCAAGACTCCGTCTCAAAAAAACAAACGAAAAACCTTTCCCAGCCATTCAGTCATTCCCACAGTCTCAACTCAGTCCTATGAGTGACAGTGCATGTCAGTGGCCATCATATCTCAAGCCATCCTGGTCCCAACACACATTCCTGGGGCCTTGGGAATTGATTCAAAGCAGAACAGCTTCATGAATGGTCCGGCCAACAGGAGGCAGCTTAGGCTGAGCCCTACTGTCCCCTCCCTATCATCTGATTGGTGGACCACCAGGGAGCCACACACATGACAGATGATGAGGGCAGAGGCTGCATGACAGATACCTGCTGGGTCTCCATGTCAGGCACAGTGGCTGCTTAGGAATGAAGCACATGGGTCAGGTGTCGTGGCTCACACCTGTGATCCCAGCACTTTGGGAGGCCAAGGCGGGTGGATCACTTGAGGTCAGGGGTTCAAGATCAGCCTGGCCAACATGGTGAAACCCCGTCTCTACTAAAAAATACAAAAATTATTCGGTTGTGGTGGCGCATGCCTGTAGTCCCAGCTACTCGGGAGGCTGAGGCACGAGAATCACTAGAACCCGAGAGGCGGAGGTTGCACTGGGCCAAGATCACACCACTGCACTCCAGCCTGGGCGACAGAGCGACACTCCATCTCAAAAACAAAAAGTGAAGCACATGGACTTTGGAGTCACATGGACCCTGGTTTGAATCCTGACAACTCCTATAATGGCTGCGTGACCTGGAGCGAGCCACTTAGCCACTCTGAGCTTCAGCTTCCCGTCTATGAAAGGGGGCTGCTCTGGTCCTGCTGCTCGGCCACACCTCTGATATGTGGTGTGAACGAGTGCTCACTTCCACCAAGACCTGGACTCCCCTCCAACTCCCGTTATAAACCAGCCTATCTGGGATTCCTTCTCCAAAAGAGCGCTGAGCTTGCCAGAGCCAGCTGTACCTGAAGTCAACGACAGGAACTGCCTGGAGTGGGGTCATTTCCCTGTGTCTAAGGATAGGCACCTGGGCTCCAACTGGGCTCCTGGCCTGGGGGTTGCTCTCTCCCTCCTGCACCCCCTGTCATTTTTATCAAAGTCCTTTTCTCCATTGCTTCCTGAGTGGGTCATTAGGTGGAGATCCACAGCCTTCCTCCACGCTGGTCGCGTGAATTCCCCCAATCTGGAAAGTATTCACAATTTTGTGTCACTAATTCCAGTGACTAATAGAGATTACACACACACACACCTTCAAATGACAACCTGCCAGGAGAAAAATGCTATAAAGGGAAAGATATCACTTTGGGAAGCTGAGGCGAGTAGATCGCTTGAGCCTGGAAGTTTGAGACCAGCCTGGGCAACAAAGGGAGACCCTGTCTCTACAAAAAAAAAAAAAAAAAACTCCACAAAAATTAGCTGGGCATGGTAGCATGCACCTGTAGTCCCAGCTACTTGGAAGGCTGAGGTGGGAGGATCACTTAAACCCAGGAAGCAGAGGTTGCAGTAAGCCAAGGTCGCACCACTGCACTCCAGCCTGGGTGACAGAGCGAGCCCATTTCCTTGTTTCCAAAAATAAAAAAGGGAAAGATATTATTGGGTCAACAGGGAAAACTAGAGTATGAACAGTAAACTGGATAAAATAATTGCAACAACGTTCAATTTACTGAAGTTGGTAAAGGAAAGGTTATTGTGTAAGAGAATATCCCTGTTCTCTGAAAATACTCACTGAAGTATTTAGGGGTAAATGATATACGTAACTTTCCCTTGAACGGTCCAGGAAAAAAATGCACATCCATTTATACACATATCATAGATACTCATAGACATTTGCTTATACACACTTACCATAGGTACTGATTATAGATACACATACACACATATGAGTGAGAGGGAGAAGGAGGGAAGGGGGTAGGGAGACAAAGTGATCCAATAATGAAACAAGGGTGAAATGTTAACAATTGAGAGTCTGGCTAAAGGGCATGTGAGTATTTTCCATACTATTTTTATTTTTGCAACTTTTCTTTTTTTTTTTTTTGAGACAAAGTCTCACTCTGTCACCCAGGCTGGAGTGCAATGGCACAATCTCGGCTCACTGCAACCTCTGTCTCCTGGGTTCAAGTGATTCTCCTGCCTCAGCCTCCTGAGTAGCTGGGATTACAGGCACGTGCCACCATACCCGGCAAATTTTTGTGTTTTTAGTAGAGACAGGGTTTCACCATGTTACCCAGGCTGGTCTCGAACTCCTGACCTCAAGTGATCCACCCACCTTGGCCTCCCAAAGTGCTGGGATTACAGGTGTGAGCCACATGCTTGGCCACAACTTTTCGGTAACTATTCATAGTAAAAAACAAACAAAAAAAACCCTCTAAACCTTAACTTACTTTGTCTAACTTTTATAGACAAAGTCTACGTTATTTGCTCTGGGGCTTTCCATTTTAAACCTGACCTTTCTGGCTCTGGGTTTTTCCATTTTAAACCTGACCTTTCTGGTTCCAGGTGAAGGCAGAGACAGATAAAATAGGATTATTGTATGTCAGTATGTTTTCAACTATTTCTCCTGAAACTTGGAAACGTATTAGACCATGTGGGATACCACGCGGACGGGAACGGGGGATAAATGTGTGTTCATATATACTCCTCCACAAATATACATGTCTCAGGCTGGGCGCAGTGGCTCACGCCTGTAATTCCAGCACTTTGGGAGGCCAAGGCCGGCAGATCACTTGAGGTCAGGAGTTTGTGACCAGCCTGGCCAACATGGTGAAACCCTATCTTTACTAAAAATACAAAAATGAGCCGGGCGTGGTGGTGGGCACCTGTAACCCCGGCTACTCGGGAGGCTGAGGCAGGGGAATCACTTGAACCCGGGAGGCAGAGGCTGCAGTGAGCCCAGATCGCCCCATTGTACTCCAGCCTGGGTAACAGAGTGAGACTCCGTCTCAAAAAAAGAACCCCCAAAACCAAAAAGCAAATATACACGTCTCTCTCCCTATTTCTCTGTTGATTGATTTAAACTTCAAGATGCCAACTACAGTGCCTATCAGGGTGGCAGGCAGGTAATGTGAATGAATGAAACAAGCCAGGCATAAGAAAAGTCAACTACCAATAATACAATAAAACTTTCTTGATTTTTAATGAATAGTGAGGCATACAATGTAATATAAACAAGTATGATACTGCAGATTATATTTCTGATTCAAAGTGGAAAAAAAACTGAAAAAAAAAAAGTTTAAGAACTCATTTCGTCAGCTGGGCACAGTGGTTCAT
Source organism: Homo sapiens (assembly GCF_000001405.40). Classification (NCBI taxonomy): domain Eukaryota; kingdom Metazoa; phylum Chordata; class Mammalia; order Primates; family Hominidae; genus Homo; species Homo sapiens. The sequence continues at coordinate 73,242,909 of NC_000007.14, forward strand.
GCCTGTAATCCCAGCACTTTGTGAGGTCGAGGCAGGTGGATCACCTGAGGTCAGGAGTTGGAGACCAGCCTGGCCAACATGGTGAAACCTCATCTCTACTAATACAAAAATTAGCCGGGCATGGTGGCGCACGCCTGTAGTCCCAGCTGCTCGGGAGGCTGAGGCAGGAGAATCGTTCGAACCCAGGAGCTGGAAGTTGCAGTAAGCCGAGATCACGCCACTGCACTCCAACCTGGGCGACAGAGCAAGACTCCATCTCAAAAAAGAAAAAAAAATTCATTTTGTCATCTCCCAATCCCTTGGGACTAGAAGACTCCAGCCTTTCCCACCATAGGGCCCTGCCAGGAGTTTTCTCTCCATCGCGTTGCGATGTGGAGTACAGAATCCCACTGGGAATCCTTTAACTGGGAGCAGTATTTTGTTTTGCTCAGTTTCATAATGGAGAACAGCTGTTCGCAGATGTAGGTGCTCCCGAACATGGAAAGAATCTTTGCGCAATGGTGCTTGTATTTCGGGTAGCTACCCCAGAGGTACTTGTAGAATTCTGGTATTCCCACCTTGTCGTATTTCGTCTTCAGGACCGCGTTGCATTGCAGGTCGATAACCTCCATCTGGAGCTCCTCGTGCACACTGTCGATCTTCGTGGAGAACGGGGAGCTGAACAGAGTCAGTTCGCTTTCGTAGAGTTTGAAATCAGACAGCCTTTTCTGGAATTCGGTCTTGAGTTCCGCGATTTTGGGAATGTAGTTCAGGCCATCGCTTTCATTTCTGGAAACCAATTTCAGGGTGGGAAAGTGGGCCAGATTATTCCTCGTCAAGTGAGTCTCCCAGAGGCACAGTTTTGCTAGGAACACCCGGATCAGGTCATACATCTGCGTGACGATTTGGGAGTGTCCTTGGAGAGAGATGTTCAAAGTGTTCAGATGCATCGTCATGTCAACCAAGAAGGCCAGGTCTCGGATCCAATCTATGGAGCTCAGTTGAGGCAGGGGTTTCCCTCTGGATGACATGAAGGAGTCGATTTCTTCCAAGGATTCGAAAAATCTCTTTAGCACGAGCCCGCGACTGAGCCACTTAATCTCCGTGTAGTACAGGAGGCTACCATACTGGCTGTCCAGCTCATAGAGCAAGGTTGTGAACTCGCTGTGGTTCAGTCCCCGGGAGCATATCCAGTTCACGGACTTCACTACCACGTCCATGACGTGGTCCATCTTCAACTTCTGAGCACAGAGTGATTTCGGATGAATTATACAACAGATGGACTTCAGTTCCGCACCCTTGCAGAACGTCGCCACCCTGGACTTCAGTTTTGTAACAAGCCCGTTATTGGCATCCACCATCGCTGGGGTGCCAGTGGAGGCCACGCTTACTAATTTCGACCAGTCGATACAGAACTTTTTCAGGCTCTTCTCAACACGCGAAAAGATCTCGTTTCCAGATTTTGTACCCGTCGTGGGCACCGTATCCAGAAGTTCTTCGGACACATCGAAATTCTCATCGACACCACGGATGAATATGGCCAACTGGGTGGTATTATTTATATCGGTGATCTCATCGATTGCGATAGAATATGCCACAAAAGACCTGATTTTTTCACGTAACTTCTCCCATAAGTTCCCAGCTAGGTCCTCTACAGGCTGCACGGGGGATTTCTGGGTTGGACTTGGGTTTGCAAACACTTGTTTTTGCTCGGGACACTCGGTGTCTGACGAGCCTAAGAGATACTTCCTGAGCCCTTTTTTCAGCTCGTGAAGCTTCTCGTCACGCATTCTTTCCGTATACTGGTCATAATGCTTGCTGTGATTGGTTTGATAGTGGCGTCTTAGGTTATATTCTTTGGACACAGACATGCTTTGTTTGCATATGAGACATGTTGGAATATTCTGTACTTCCACGAAGAAAAATGCTCTCTCCCACTTTTCTTGAAACACACGGCCCTCCTGGTCTATCTTGCATTTTCCCACTTTTGACAGAGACAGGGAGACAAAGATATTTCACTTTTCTCTTATCACTACTATGAGGAAAACAACAGCAAATGCTTGATGACGCACGAGAGGGAGGAAGCGGGGCGGGGCAGGGCGTGGTTAACAGGAGGGTGACCCACCCTGCAGAGGGACGGCTGACCATCAACTCCAGCAAACCGCTGCCAGGACGCCAGCTGTGGCCAGATCTTCAAGTTTTCTAAAGAAAACCTGAAGACTGAATTTTTGTTGTCGTTGTTGTTGAGACGGAGTTTTGCTCTGTCACCCAGGCTGCAGTGCAGTGGCGCAATCTCGGCTCACTGCAACTTCTGCCTCCTGGGTTCAAGCGATTCTTCTGCCTCAGCCTCCTGAGTAGCTGTTATGACAGGTGCCTGCCACCACGCCCAGCTAATTTTTGTATTTTTAGTAGAGATGAGATTTCACCATGTTGTCCAGGCTGGTCTCGAACTCCTGACCTCAGGTGATCCGCCCACCTCAGCCTCCCAAAGTGCTGGGATTACAGGCATGAGCCACTGCACCCAGCCAGATCTTCAGGTTTTCTAAAGAAAACCTGAAGATTGACTTTTATGAAAGAGTGCCTGGTTTGTGGTGATAATGGCTCACTGCAGCCTGGAACTCCCTGGGCTCAGGTGATCCTCCCACTTCAGCTCCCAGTTGCTGGGACTACAGGCATGCACCACACTGAGCTATCTTTTCTTTCTTTCTTTCTTTTCTTTTTTTCTTTTTCTTTTTTTTTTTTTCTTTTTTTGTAGAGCTGGAGTCTTACCTTGTTGCCTAGGCTGGTCTGAAACCCCAGGCTCAAGCGATCCACCCGCCTTGGCCTCCCAAAGTGCTGGGATTATAGGAGCCACTGTGCCAGGCCTCATCCTTATTTTCAAAAGTACATGAGCCAAACAAAAGACACCTTTGATGAGGTTCAGCATGTAGCTGTGCTTGTTATGTCCAGTTTAAACAGGAATTATTTGATAATATGTTTGCATTTTCTTTTTAGAGACAGGGTCTTGTTCTGTCACCCAGGCTGGAGTGTAGTATTGCAATTATGGTTCTCTGCTGTCTCAAACTCCTGGGTTTAAGTGATCCTCCTGCTTTAGCCTGCCAAGTAGCTGGGGCTACAGGTGTGAGCCACTGTGTCCAGCTAATTTTTAAATTTTTTGTAGAGATGGGGTCTTGCTATGTTGCCCAGGCTGGTCTCAAACTCCTGGCCTCAAGCAATCCTCTTGCCTTGGCCTCCAAAAGTCCTGGGATTATACGTGTGAGCATTTTAATATATTTTCTCATTTGATTCCCAAGAAAACTTTGTAATAACAGAGATGGGAATGAGCACAGAAAGGCATATGATTTTTACCTACTGTGAGTCTCAAATGACAAGGGTGACGGCCACAGATCCACACAAAACTCATTCATATAAGTGTGTTCGAGTGTACAGGGGCTAGTGTTTTAGATTTAAAGAACCTGGCCACGCTGCAGGTAATCAAGGTATTTCCAGAGTACACACACATAAAAGTGCACCTTAAGAAAATGTAGGCCATGTACAGCGGCTCATGCCTATAGTCCCAGCACTTTGGGAGGCTGAGGCAGGAGGATCGCTTGAAGCCAGAAGCTCAAGGCCAGCCTGGGAAACATAGTGAGACCCTGTCTCTACAAAAAAAAAAAAAAAATTATCTGGGCATGGCAGTGCTGTCCCAGCTACTCGGGAGGTGAAGGTGGGAGAATCACCTGAGGGCAGGAGTTCCAGGCTGCAGTGAGCTATGATCATGCCACTGCACTCCAGCCTGGGTGACAGAGTGAGACCTTGTCTCTAAAAAACCCCAATAATAATACAATAAATAAATAAAGATATTATAAAAGATCAAAAAATCATTTAGCAATCAGATGCGTTTGGGAATAAAAATGGAGCATTTTAATAGGATACTTTGGTTTTCTTTTCTTTTCTTTTTTTTTTTTTTTTTGAGACAGAGTCTTGCTCTGTCACCAAACTGGAGTGCAGTGGCACGATCTCGGCTCACTGCAACCCCCGACTCCCTGGTTCAAGTGATTTTCCTGCCTCAGCCTCCCGAGTAGCTGGGATTATAGGCACGCGCCACCATGCCCGGCTAATTTTTGTATTTCTAGTAGAGACGGAGTTTCACCACGTTGTACAGAAGGGTCTCCATCTCCTGACCTCATGATCCGCCCGCCTCGGCCTCCCAAAGTGCTGGGATTACAGGTGTGAGTCACCGCGCCCAGCCTACTTTGGTTTTCAAATGTTACATTAGGAGGTTCCCTGGTGACTCATGCTCGTGAGAACACCTCTCCGTATTCTACTTGACAGGATACTGACTCACTTGCAAGGGCTCCGGGGAAGACATTAAGAATATTTAACAGGGTGGGGGCGGGTAGGGGGAGGGAGAGCATCAGGAAGAATAGCTAATGCATGCTGGGCTTAACACCTAGGTGATGGGTTGATAGGTGCAGCAAATCACCATGGCACACATTTACCTATGTAACAAACCTGCACATCCTGAACATGGACCCTAGAACTTAAAATAAAAGTTGAAGGGGAAAAAAAAGAGAATATTTCAGAAGCAGAGTGCCTGGGCATTGCTCAATCAGAACAGATGCTGAGCCAGGTGCAGTGGCTTACATCTGTAATCCCAGCAGTTTGGGAGACCAAGGAGGGTGGATCACTTGAGGTCACGAGTTTGAGACCAGCCTGGCCAACATGGCTAAACCCTGTCTCTACTAAAAAATACAAAAAGTAGCTGGATGTGGCGGCACGCACCTGTAATCCCAGCTAATCGGAAGGCTGAGGCAGAGAATCGCTTGAACCCGGGAGGCGGAGGTTGCAGTGAGCCGAGATCTTGCCACTGCACTCCAGCCTGGGTGAGAGAGCGAGACTCTGTCTCAAAAAAAAAAAAGAACAGATGCTAGTCTCAGCACTGGAAGGGTTCTAGGGGCCTCTGCTGTGCCAGGTGGAACTCCTTTTGCTTCAGCACTGTAGGGAGGTCAAGCCACGGTCGGAGGGTACTAGGGTGGGACTGCATGGCCAGGCAGGCACTATTTACCAACACAGAGGAGATCGGTACTGTGATCCTGAGTGCAGCTGTGCGGGTGGCCTCAGGGGAGCCCCCACCACAAAGCACACTTGAATAGTGTGCCACATCAGCCATGCGTGGTGGCTCATGCCCGTAATCCCAGCACTTTGAAAGGTGGAGGCGGGCGGATCCCTTGAGGTCAGAAGTTCGAGACCAGCCTGGCCAACATGGCAAAACCCCATCTCTACTAAAAATACAAAAATTAGCCAGGCGTGGTGGCACACGCCTATAGTCCCAGCTACTCGGGAGGCTGAGGCAGGAGAATCACTTGAACCTGGGAGGCGGAGGTTGTGTGGTGAGCCGAGATTGTGCTGCACTCTAGCCTGGGTGACAGAGCGAGACTCTGTCTCCAAAAAAAAAAAAAAAGAGTGCGCCACATCACACGTCACACTCATGGTGTGATATAGATCACTCTCCTTCAGACTGGTTAATCAAACTCAAGTAACAGAGTTATCTAACTTTATCACATGCAGGAAAAATAAAGCATGCATCGAAGGCTGCATACTTGGGTCCCAGGCTCACGGAAGCAAAAACCCCGTGGTGAGCGCCCACCAAGACACTTCCCATGGCCCAACATTGCCGGAACGTTCTTCTCACCTGTAGAATACTCACCATTACTGAGCTCAAGCCCTGGAAGCGGCCTGAAGAGAAAGACACATTGATAAATGCGACAAGCTCACGTTTCCTCTTTTGCCCACTTAGTTTTATTTTTTTTTAATTTTTACTTATTTATTTTTTTACAGAAGAATATTTATTTATTTGTTTGTTTTGTTTTTGTTTTTTTTGAGACAAGAGTCTCGCTGCGTCACCCAGGCTGGAGTGCAGTGGCGCGATCTCGGCTTAGCGCAACCTCCGCCTCCTGGGTTCAAGCCATTCTCCTGCCTCAGCCGCCTGAGTAGCTGGGATTACAGGTGCCCGCCACCACGCCCAGCTAATTTTTTGTATTTTTAGTTTCACCATGTTGGCCAGGCTACTCTTGAACTCCTGACATCAGGAGATCTACCTACCTTGGCCTCCCAAAGTGCTGGGATTACAGGCATGAGCCACTGCGTTGAGCCTTTTGTTTTTGTTTTTTTTGAGACGGAGTCTCACTCCATCACCCAGGCTGGAGTGCAGTGGTGTCATCTGGGCTCACTGCAACCTCCGCATTCCAGGTTCAAGTGATTCTCCTGAGTAGCTGGGATTACAGGCACGTACCACTACACCCAGCTAATGTTTATTTTTAGTAGAGATGGAGTTTCACCATGTTGGCCAGGCTGGTCTCAAACTCCTGACCTCAAATGATCCACCTGCCTCAGCCTCCTAAAATGCTGGGATTACAGGCCTGAGCCACCATGCCCAGCCTATTTATTTATGTTTTGAGATGGAGGCTCATTCTGCTGCCCAGGCTGGAGTGCAGTGGTGCCATCTCAGGTCACTGCAACCTCCACCTCCCAGGTCAAGTGATTCTCACGCCTCAGCCTCCTGAGTAGCTGGTATTAGAGGCGCACGCCACCACACCCGACTAATGTTTGTATTTTCAGTAGCAACGGGGTTTCACCATGTTGGCCAGGCTTGCCTCATACTCCTGACCTCAGGCGATCTGGCCCGCCTCAGCCTCCCAAAGTGCTGGGATTACAGGCGTGAGCCACCGTGCCTGGCCCCACTTAGTTTTATTGGACAAATTTTTGCAGAGTGTTAACTCTACGCTAGGTGCTGGGTGAGCTAAAACTGGGACGGGCTGCCCATGATCACCGAGGAACAGGGACATGGACACATCTCAAGGAAGCAGAAGATGATGAAGTCAGTGTGAGAGGCAGCATGGCCCAGCGGTCAGCTGCGGGAACAAACCCCCAGCCCAAGTCATGGGACAGACATTCCTGGGCAGCCACATGCCCACCTCGGGCAAGTCAGAGTCTCCAGATTCCTTCTCTTGACTCACTTACCTGATGACTGTGAATTTGATAAACTCAGCTGCCTCCAAGATCCTCCTCATGGAACTGATTTCCAGATAGCCGGGGTCCTTGAATACCACCCCCGGGGGCATGCCATCAATCACCACACAGCCAGGGTTGAATGTGATCTTCCTGTAGGGAACTTTCACAGGGAAATCCACGCCAATTGCTTCACCTGTGACGGGATGAGCAGCATAAAACCAGCTGAGTTTGGCTGGGCACGGTGGCTCACACCTGTAATCCCAGCCCTCTGGGAGACTGAGGCGGGTGAATCACTTGAGGCCAGGAGTTCGAGACCAGCCTGGCTAACATGGTGAAACCCTGTCTCTACTAAAAATACAAAAATTAGCTGGGCGTGGTGGCGCATGCCTGTAATCCCAGCCACATGGGAGGGACCCAGGAGGCAGAAGTTGCAGTGAGCCGAGATCGCCCCACTGCACTCCAGCCTGAGAGACAGAGCGAGACCCTGCCTCAAAACAAAACAACACAAAACAAAACAACAAATTAAAAAAACAACAACACAAATAAAACTAGCTGAGTTTGTTCCTTACATTTCCTAAACCAGGATTTATCTTTAATGTCAGGATTTAGAAGCATCAAATGACAATACTTATGATCAGTCATTTTATTTTCCAGTGCTACTATGATGTGTGAATATAATTTTAAAAGTTTGGAATTAGCATGGGTAGTAGGCAAACTCAGTTTCTCCATCCATTACACAGGGTTATCATGGCGCCTACCTGAAAGGTTTTATGTAAGGATTAAATGATCAAACACATGTTGAGCACAAAAAATAATACACAAGGTAAGCACTCAGTAAAACAAAGATAGCTATTATTATTATTATTGTAATTAGTCAATGATACCATGCAAAAGCTCTTCTGTAAAAAGACATATTGACTAATTTTTATCATAGCTCTTTCACAAAAAGATCAATTTCTTTTTTTTTTTTTTTTTTTTGAGACAGGGTCTTGCTCTGTCGCCCAGGCTGGAGTGCAATAGCGCGATCTAAGCTCACTGCAACCTCTGCCTCCCAGTTACAACCAATTCTCGTGCCTCAGCCTCCTGAGTAGCTGGGATTACAGGTGTGCGCCACCACACCCGGCTAATTTTTTGTATTTTTAGTAGAGATGGGATTTTGCCATGTTGGCCAGGCTGGACTTGAACTCCTGGCCTCAAGTGATCCACCCACCTTGGCCTCCCAAAGTGCTGGGATTAAAAGTGTGAACCACTGCGCCCAGCCAAGATCAAATTCTTATAAGATAAAGTTTTGTTTTTTTTCCTTTTGTAGACCTGGGGTGTCACTTTGCTGCCCAGGCTGGTCTCAAACGCCTGGGCTCAAGTGATTCTCTAGCCTTAGCCTCCTAAAGTGCTAGGATTACAGGTATGAGCCAATGCACCTGGCCAAGTATTCTTTTAAAAAGAAGTATTTTAGGTATATGAATTCTGGATATAAAAAGATATAAAAACTTACCAAATTTTCGGCTAAAGAGGTCATTAACTTGTTCTCTTAGCTGTTTAATCTTTTCAATGCTTGATAATCTTTCCTTCTCATTATCTAAAAATAATTAAACAAATAAACAAACCAAGGTTATTAATGTATTTTCTCCCAAGAAAGCTGTTGGGAGAAATGCCTGTTAGCACCCGAGAAAGTGCTTTACCTGGATTGTTATTCAGTCTACTTTTAGCAATAATTAAGCATCTTGGAAATTTGGAAATGGAAGCCATTACAGACAATAGAGAATTTTCCAAATTATAACCCTATATAAACATACTACATACTACTTTTAAGGAATATTTTCAATATCATACAAGACAAGGATGTTTAGGGCCAGGCGCGGTGGCTCACGCCTGTAATCCCAGCACTTTGGGAGGCCGAGGCAGGTGGATCACGAGGTCAGGAGATGGAGACCATCCTGGCTAACATGGTGAAACCCCGTTTCCACTAAAAATACAAAAATTTAGCTGGGCATGGTGGCAGGCGCCTGTAGTCCCAGCTACTCGGGAGGCTGAGGCAGGAGAATGGTGTGAACCCAGGAGACGGAGCTTGCAGTGAGCCGAGATCGCACCACTGCACTCCAGCCTGGGTGACAGAGCAAGACTCCGTCTCAAAAAAAAAAAAAAAAAAAGACAAGGATGTTTACTTTCACCACCACTTTTCGGCCTTAAAATAGAAATCTCAGCCAATGAAATATGACAAGTAAAAGGAATAAGAGGTACTAGGATTAGAAGGTAAGGTATATTTTTATTTTCTTTCCTTTTTTTCCTCTCTTTTTTTTTTTGTTTGTTTTGTTTTGTTTTGTTTTGAGGCTGAGTTTTGCTCTTGTCACCCAGGCTGGAGTACAATGGTACAATCTTGGCTCACTGCAAACTCCTGGGTTCAAGCAATTCACTGCACCCCTCCTGGGTTCAAGCAATTCTCCTGCCTCAGCCTCCCAAGTAGCTGGGATTACAGGCACCCACCACCACACCCAGCTGATTTTTGTATTTTTAGTAAAGATGGGGTTTCACCATGTTGGCCAGGCTGGTCTCGAACTCCTGACCTCAGGTGATCCACCTGCCTCAGCCTCCCAAAGTGCTGGGATTACAGGTGTGAGCCACCGCACCCGGTCTGTTTTTCTTTTCTTTTTGTTTTTTAGAGACAGAGTCTCACTGTGCTGTGCAGGCTGGTCTCAAACTCCTGGGCTCAAGTGATCCTCCTGCCTCAGCTTCCCAAAGTGCTGAGATTACAGGCACATGCCACCATGCCTGGTCCTTTTTTTTTGTTTTTATTTTTTAGATATTTTTCAACACTTTAAAACTTTATTTACTTTTGAATAACTAAAGCAATCACATGGCTCAACATTCAAGAGGAGTAATATACAGAAACATCTCAAACGTCTCTCTCCTATCCCTATCTCAGCGGTCAGTTTCCTTCCCTGGAGGAACTATGTAATTAGATTCTCTTGTATCTTTCCAGATATATTTTACATACAAATATTCAGAAAAGAAGATTATTATTATTATTATTATTTATTTTTTTGAGACAGAGTCTCGCTCTGTCGCCCAGGCTGGAGTGCAGTGGAGTGATCTCCGTTCACTGCAAGCTCCGCCTCCCAGGTTCACGCCATTCTTCAGCCTCAGCCTCCCGAGTAGCTGGGACTACAGGTGCTCGCCACCACACCCGGCTAATTTTTTTTGTATTTTTAGTAGAGACAGGGTTTCACCGTGTTATCCAGGATGGTCTCGATCTCCTGACCTCGTGATCTGCCCGTCTTAGCCTCCCAAAGTGCTGGGATTACAGGCGTAAGCCACCGTGCCCGGCCAGAAGATTGTTAATGATGAGCAACAAAACATTTCACCTCTGTGGCCAATTCCAATTCAACCATAGCTGGTGCTCCATGCTGCCTGCTCTGAGATGCATTTTCCAGGTAATGCCCGGGCTTGTCCAGGAGAAGCAAAATATCCGATTAATAATGTCTGATGTGAGCAAGATGCTCGTTGTGTAGCAACTTGCAGAATATTTTATATTCCCAAAATGTCATTTCTTAGCTATCAGGGTGAACTAAGTGAAAAATGACAGGTCCAAGAGACCACCCTATGTCAAAAAATAATTAAGACAAAAGGAAAAATGTAACATTAGTCCATACCTGGAACAGTCACTTGAACGATGTTAAGATCTTCAACACCTGCTGCAGAATTTGTAACACTGGATGAATTTGTGTTTCCTTAAAACAGAAGTTGAAGTTTAGAATTTACCAAGAATAAGACCAATTCTCCTTTAAATATGTCTAAGTGCTGCTTTGATCAGAAGCCCAGACTGAATTTTTTTTTTCTTTTTTTTTTTTTGAGACAGGTTCTTACTCTGTCATTCAGGCTGGAGTGCAGTGGTGTGATCCTAGCTCACTGCATCCTCGACCTCCCATGGTCAAGTGATCCTCCCACCTCAGCCTTTTGAGTAGCTGGGACCACAGACATGCACCATCATGCTTGGCTAATTTTTTTTTTTTTTTTTTGAGACTGAGTCTATCACCCAGGCTGGAGTGCAGTGGTGTGATCTCGGCTCACTGCAACCTTTGCCTCCCAGGTTCAAGTGATTCTCGTGCCTCAGCCTCCTGAGTAGCTGGGATTACAGACACCCACCACCATGCCCAGTTAATAATTGTATTTTTTTTTTAGTAGAGACGGAGTTTCACCATGTTGGTCATGCTGGTTGAGAACTCCTGACCTCAAGTGATTCACCTACCTGGGCCTCCCAAAGTGCTGGGATTACAGGCTTGAGCCACCACGCCCGGCTCTAATTTTTGTATTTTTAGTAGAGACAGAGTTTCGCCATGTTGGCCAGGCTGGTCTTGAACTCCTGGCCTCAAGGGATTCACCCACCTGGGTCTCCCAAAGTGCTGGGATTACAGGTGTGAGCCACCCACCACGCCAGCCTTAAATCACACTTTCAACTTCACTTCCTTTAGATACTTGCACTTCAACTGAGTTCACCGGCTGCAGGCCTGCGGAGTTACCTTTGATATTTATCTGTCCACTCCAGTAGCAAAGGGGCTATGTCTGAGTGAATCGTCCTTTTCTTTCCATTCTCCCCCCTTATGTACCCTCAACCCTTCATTCTTTCCTCACGTGAACACAGCACAGTTGAGGCCCAGTTGTGGGTCAGTGCTAACGTGCAAGACTTAAAAAAAAATTTTTTTTTAATTTTTATTTTTAGAGATGGAGTCTTGCTCTGTTGACCATGCTGGAATGCAGGGGCATAATCACAGCTCACTGCAGCCTCAAAATCCTGGGCTCAAGCGATCCTCCCACCTCAGCCTCCCAAGTAGCTGAGACTACAGATGCATGCCACCATCCATGGCTGATATTTTTGTTAGTTTGTTTCGAGGCAGGATCTCACTCCCATCACCCAGGCTGGAGTATTGTGGCACAATTATGGCTCACTGCAGCCTCGACTTCCCTGGGCTCAGGTGATTGGCCCACCTCAGTCTCCCAAATAGCTGGGACTACAGGTGTGTGCCACCATGCCCTGCTAACTTTTTGTATTTTTAGTAGAGACAGGGTTTCACTATGCCCAATTTGGTCTCAAACACCTGGGATCAAGTGATCTGCCCACCTCAGCCTCCCAAAATGCTGGGATTACAGGCGTGAACCACTGTGCCTTGCCTAACTTTTTCTTAATGTTTACTTTTTGCAGAGATAGTCTCACTATGTTGCCCAGTCTGATCTAGAACTCCAGGGTTCAAATGATCTTCTTGCCTTGGCCTCACAAAGTGCTGGGAATACAAGCATGCACCATCATGCCTAGTTATTATTTTTCTTTTCTTTCTAATTTTTTTTTGCACAGCTAATTATGTTGTCTACAACACCTCAAAGCACTGGGCCCTAATGGGAATGGCTGCTCTATTATATATACACATTATACTACATCAGAGATTTCAATCTCTTCCCCACAATTTTTTTTTTTTTTAGATGGAATCTCGCTCTGTCACCCAGGCTGGAGTACAGTGGTGAGATCTCAGCTCACTGCAACCTCCGCCTCTCAGGTTCAAGCGATCCTCCTGTCTCAGCCTCCCAAGTAGCTGGAAATACAGACATGCACCACCACGCCTGGCTAATTTTGTATTTTTAGTAGAGACAGGGTTTCGCCATGTTTCCCAGGCTGGTCTCAAACTCCTGGGCTCAAGCAATACACCTGCCTTGGCCTCCCAAGGTGCTGGGATTACAGGCTTGAGCCACTGAGCTCTGCCATCCTCCCTGCAATTAATCCTGTTAGAAAGAATGAAAACCATACTTGGCAATGGGGCTTTGGGCAACTAACCTTCGATTTTCACCTCGGCTTCAGGGTCCTCATTTGGTTCTTCTGAAGGGACCAGCGGAGTGGAATCTTGAAAAAAAAATGTCTAAAATGACATTCATTATTAAGTATTCTCCTCATATTCCAACACATTAATGCTCCTATACCAAAAAAGTAGCTTATCCTGGCATTTTAAATATATTTCATATATAAATAATATAAACATAATTTTAATTTTATAAGCAATAATAATAGGATAATAAACAGTAACTGGGCCGGGCACGGTGGCTCGCACCTGTAATCCCAGCACTTTTGGGAGGCCGAGGTGGGCGCATCACTTGAGGTCAGGAGTTGAAGACCAGCCTGGGCAACATGGTGAAACCCCAACTCTATTAAAAATACAAAAATTATCCAGGCGTGGTGGCGCACACCTCTAATCCCAGCTACTCAGGAGGCTGAGGAAGGAGAATTGCTTCAGCCCGGGAGGTGGAGGCTGCAGTGAGCCAAGGTCGCGACACACTGCACTCCAGCCTGGGTGACAGGGTGAGATTCTGTCTCAAAAAAAAAAAAAAAACAGAATCATTTTGGTAGTCCATGTGTCACTATCTCTCTAAGGCAGATATTACAACTAAAAGTAAGATCACATTGCCTGTAAATGGCAAAGATGTCCCACGCCACTAGGTTTGGAAAGGAAATCTTTATTATTATTATTATTATTATCATTATTGAGACAGTCTCACTCTGTCACCCAGGCTGGAGTGGAATGGTGCGATTTCGGCTCACTGCAGCCTCCGCCTCCTAGTTTCAAGCAATCCTCGTGCCTCAGCCTCCCGAGTAGCTGGGATTACAGGTGCCTGCCACCACGCCTGGCTAATTTTTGTATTTTTAGTAGAGACAGGGTATCACCATGTTGGCCGGGCTGGTCTTGAACTCCTGACCTCAGGTGATCTGCCCACCTCAGCCTCCCAAAGTGCTGAGATTACAGGCATAAGCCACCATGCCTGGCCCTTTTTTAAAATTATTAATTTTATCTTGGACATACACAAACCACCGTAGGAATTTAGGCTTTATTCATATGATGCTCAAGATTTATATATGAATGGAGGGAAGTATTATCAAATTTTACTTCTAATGCAAGGATTTCCTAAAATACTATTCGACTCTGTCCAAAAGAATTATGTCATGCCATCCAAAAGACAAAGCAAGAAACAGCACCACTGCAAAGTTAACTTCCATATTCGGGTGCTTTAAGTAGAATCACTCACAGATCAGAAGCACAAGAAGTGATAGAGCCCTTCATGTTATATCTTAGGGCAAGAGCTCAACTATTCATAGTTTTCTGAGAAGACAGGCATGCCAGAAAGTCACCTTCCTTATTTTCCAACTTACATGTATAAAAGAGTATGTTCTCTGTAAAATACTATAAACTTTCAGGTGGGCATGGTGGCTTACGCCTGTAATCCCCGCACTATGGGAGGCAGAGGCGGACGGATCACTTGAGGTCAGGAGTTCGAGACCAGCCTGGACAACATGGTGAAATCCCGTCTCTACTAAAAATACAAAAATTAGCCGGGCGTGGTGGCACGCGCCTGTAATCGCAGCTACTCAGGAGGCTGAGGCACATGAATCGCTTGAACCCAGGAGGCAGAGGTTGTAGTGAGCCGAGATTGCGCCACTGCACTCCAGCCTGGGTGACAGAGCGAGACTCTGTCTCAAAAAAGAAAAAAAAAGTATGTTCTTTGTAAAATACTATAAACTTCTATAAACTTTTCTTAAAAGAGAGAGAAAAAATGCTGCATTTTTCTAACCTTCCATTGGTAATTCCATTTCTATTACTTCATTGCTTGTGGAAGAAGGGTGGCTTCCTGAAAGAAAAATAAATAATATATAACAAAGGAGAAATACAAAAATGTAAAAAGAAATCACTGAATACAATGCAAACAAGTCAATACCCACACAGGAATACACCTGAAATACTTCTACCCCTTGAAATAAAACTGGCTGCGCGTGGTAGCTCACGCCTGTAATCTCAGCACTCTGGGAGGTGGAGGCGGGCAGATCACCTGAGGTCAGGAGTTCGAGACCAGCCTGGCCAACATGGTGAGACCCCTTCTCTACAAAAAAATACAAAAATCAACCGGGTGTGGTGGCACACGCCTGTAATCTCAGCTATTCTTGAGGCCGAGCCAGGAGAATCACTTGAACCTGGGAGGTGAAGGTTGCAGTGAGCCATGATCACGCCACTGCATTCCAGCCTGGGCGACAGAGCGAGACTCTGTCTAAAAAAAAACAAACAAAAAAAACATAAACCAATTAATTTCTCTGAGTTTCTCACATTCTGGATTTTATTGACTACATCCTTGTGGTGATGTTTTCATATGTGCCTGTATTCCATGCATCTCCTAAAAACTGCTGGTTAGATCTAAATGCTGGATCAGACTTAGGTCTGATTGTTTTGTTTTGTTTTGTTGTTGTTTTGAGAGAGAGTCTCACTCCAGCACCCAGGCTGGAGTGCAGTGGTATGATCACAGCTCGCTGCAGCCTTGACCTCCCAGACTCAAGCGATCTTCCCACCTCAGCCTCCCAAGTAGCTGGGGCTACAGGTGTGTGCCACCATGCCCGGCTACTTTTTGTATTTTTTGTAGAGACGGTGTCTCACCATGTTGCCCAGGCTGGTTTTGAACTCCTGGGCTCAAGTCATACACCTGCCTTGGCCTCCCAAAGTGCTGGGATTACAGGTATGAGGCACTACACCTGGCCAGGTTTGATTTTTTTTTTTTTTGGAAGAATCCTTGACAAAGGTGGTGTGGTGTACTTCCTACTGGATACCGTCAGACCAGTGACCAGTCAGTTCAGGAACTGTCAGTCAGGTCTGCCCATGATAAAGTCCCCATCAGACTTTTATAAAATGGTTTTAATGACCACTGACAATTATTGCCAAGATGCACTGCTTCATTAGGTGGTGCAAAATCATGACAGTCGTGACAATTTATGACTTCTTTTTAAAAGCCTTATGGGTCAGGTGTGGCGGCTCATGCCTGTAATCCCAGCATTTTGGGAGGCCAAGGTGAGTGGATCACCTGAGGTCAGGAGTTCGAGACCAGCCTGGCCAACATGGCGAAACCCCGTCTCTACTAATAATACAAAAAATTAGCCAGGCGTGGTGGCACACGCCTGTAATCCCAGCTCCTTGGGAGGCTGAGGCACAAGAATCATTTGAACCCAGGAGGCAGAGTTTGCAGTAAGTGGAAATAGTGCCACTGAACTCCAGCTTGGGCAACAGAGTGAGATTCTGTCTCAAAAAAAAAAAAGAGTATGTGGATTTAGCCCAGGCATGGTGGCTCACGCCTATAATCTCAGCACTTCTGGAGGCCAAGGCTGGAGGACTACTTAAGCCCAGGAGTTAGAGACCAGCTTGGGCAACAAGGTGAGACCTCATCTCTGTAAAAAAACAAACAAAAGAGTACATGGATTTAGGCTAAATAGAATCTATTTTATAACTGTAGGATTATTTACTCTAAATGGCAGCATGCTTGATCCTAGGTAAACACACATGGGTGCTCGCCAGTTTTTCAGACAGGTAGTAATTAAAATCTTCCATCCCAAATAACTTTTGGGGAAGAAAATTATTATCAAACAGTATTACCTTGCATATTATATTGATAGTAATTAGGATCTTCTGATTCTTTCTTGACTGAGACAGCTTCTGCTTTCAGTGAAATGCCTTGGAATGTAATGGAAATGATAAAATTGTATGTTAGGTTAAGTTTGCCAACAAAGAAATACGACTAGCTAATATAAGTTGATTAATACAGCAATGTTACAATCAGCAAAAGAACTTGTAGCTCACTCACTATGAACAAATTTGACCTCTTGATACAAAAATAGAAATACTATAAATTAAAATAATATACATATAGAAAACATACATTTGTGTATTTATGTATGTTTATATAAAAATAATATCAATTGTAAAATCAATAGAAAAGGAAAGAAGGAAGGAGGGGACCGGGCACGGTGACTCACGCCTCCAATACCAGTACTTTGGGAGGCTGAGGCGGGCAGATCACTTGAGGTCAGGAGTTTGAGACCAACCTGGCTAACATGGTGAAACCCTGTCTCTACTAAAACTACAAAAATTAGCTGGGAGTGGTGGCGGACGCCTGTAGCCAGCCACATGGGAGGCTGAGGCAGGAGAATTGCTTGAACCCAGGAGGTGGAGGTTGCAGTGAGCTGAGATCGAGCCACTGCACTCCAGCTGGTTGACAAAGCGAGACTCCATCTCAAAAAAAAAAAAAAAAAAAAAAGAAGGAAGGAGAAGAGGATGAAGGAAGGCATCGTGAAGATGGGAGAGCTTAGTTCTGATTCTAGTCCTAGTTTTGGGAGATTTTCCCCTTCAGGGTGGCTGAATATCCACGTGCATTTACATGAAATGCTGTGAAGATTCTTCTGTCATGAAGCCTGAACTGACATATATAACCATTTTTTTTTTTTTGAGACAGAGTCTCACTCTGTTGCCCAGGCTGGAGTGCAGTGGCATGATCTCGGCTCACTGCAACATCCACCTCCCAGGTTCAAGTGACCCTCCTGCCTCAGCCTCCCAAGTGGCCCACGCCACCATGCCTGGCTAATTTTTGTATTTTCAGTAAAGACGGGGTTTCACCATGTAGGCCGGGCTGGTCTCAAACTCCTGACCTCCGGTGATCCACCCACCCACCTTGGTCTCTCATAGTGCTGGGATTACAGGCATAAGCCACCGTGCCCGGCTAGGCACTTATAATCTTAACTTACTCACTATAATGGAATGGATTTCAAAACCTGGAGAAGCTATATCAGTACAACCTAACGCCTTTATCAGAGAAGGGTGCGGTTGGCTGCAAAAATTAGCTCAAGACCTCTCCCATCCCAGGATGTACATCCCTTTGCAATGTGACTATCCCATGCTTCTTTTCTAGAAGTAAAGTCTGTTTCTATGCCATTTTGTTATTATTTTTTGAGACAGAGTCTTGCTCTGTTGCCCAGTGGAGTGCAGTGGCATGATCATGGCTCACTGCAACCTCTGTCTCCTGGGCTCAAGTGATCCTCCTGTCTCAGCCTCCTGAGTAGCTGACTATAGGCATGCATCACCACGCCTGCCTAATTTTTGTATTTTTTGTAGACATGAGGTTTCACCATGTTACTCAGGCTGGTCTCGAACTCCTGGACTCAAGCAATTTGCCTGCCTTGGCCTCCCAAAATGTTGGGATTACAGCTGTAAACCACGGCGCCAGGCCATTCTCTGCCCTTTAAATCTGGCCCTGGCTGTGTGACTTGCTTTGGTCAATGCGACATCAGCCGATGGGATGCAAAGAGAGGCTTGAGAAGAGCTTGATCATCTGTGCCTGCTGCTTCTAGAACTTCATCACCATGGGAGCCAGCCTAGGGTGCCTCCAAAGGGTATGAGGCCACAAGGAGAGAGACCCTGATGTCCCAGCCGGGGCCTCAGACACACAGCCATCCGGCCCTTGCTGAGCCAGTCCAGCCAACACACAGAAATGTAGGAAAGACTAAATATTCCATTCCATTCCATTGGAGCCCTTCCCCTTCTCTTTCCAGCCCAGGTTGGAGTGCAATGGCATGATCTTGGCTCACTGCAGCCTCCACCTCCCAGGTTCAAGTGATTCTCCTGCCTCAGCCTCCCAAGTAGCTGGGACTACAGATGCGCACCACTACGGCTGGCTAATTTTTGTATGTTTAGTGGAGACAAGGTTTCACCACGTTGGCCAGGCTGGTCTCCAACTCCTGACCTCAGGTGATCCGCCTGCCTTGGCTTCCCAAAGTGCTGGGATTGCAGGCGTGAGCCACCACACCCAGCCTCATTTCAGGGGTACTTTTAAATACAGCAATAGATGACTGATACTAAAATGTACATGTAATTTAACCATGAATGTTTGTAATAGCAAAACAAAAAAACTGTGGCATAGCTTGGGGTTCATTGTTTAACATAATTTATAAGTTCTGAGGGGTCGTCTGAAAACCTTTAACAGCTCTGTTGGTATAAGGACAGTGAAGCTAAACATTTAAAAATCTGATTTTCAGCTGGGGACAGTGGCTCAGACCTGTAATCCCAGCACTTTGGGAGGCTAAGGTAGGCAGATCATTTAAGGTCAGGAGTTCGAGACTAGCCTGAACAACAGGGTGAAACCCCGTCTCTATTAAAAATACAAAAACCAGCCAGGTGTGGTGGTGGGCACCTGTAATCCCAGCTACTCGGAAGGCTGAAGCAGGAGAATCACTTGAACCCGGGGGGCGGAAGTTGCAGTGAGCTGAGATCACACCACTGTACTCCAGTCTGGGCAACAGTGAGACTGTCTCAAGAAAAGAAAAAAAAATTGGCCTGGTGCGGTGGCTCATGTCTGTAATCCTAGCACTTTGGGAGGCCGAGGAGGGTGGATTACCTGAGTTCAGGAGTTTGAGACCAGCCTGGGCAACACGGTGAAACCCTGTCTCTACTAAAATACAAAAAAATTAGCCAGGTGTGACGGCGTGCACCTATGATTCCAGCTACTCAGGAGGCTGAGACAGGAGAATCACTTGAACCTGGGAGGCAGAGGTTGCAGTGAGCTGAGGTCGTGCCACTGCACTCCAGCCTGGCAAGACAAGAAAGAAAGAAAGGAAGGAAGGAAGGAGAGAAAGAAAGAAAGAAGGAAAGAAAGAAAGAAGGAAAGAAAGAAAGAAAGAAAGAAAGAAAGAAAGAAAGAAAGAAAGAAAGAGAAAATAAATTAAAACCAGGGAGATGGTTTGTTTTTGTAGCAAATGCTACACACATATCACAAGAAATAAGGACCAATTGAGGACCAGCTCTCAGGAGCCTGCTGGCAGCTGGTAGCAATCCATATCGCTTTATAAAGTCTACAGTAGGAAGTTTTGTGAATAAGGAAGCATATTTTTGTTCAAATGAAACCACATCTCCAACAAAGGCACGTGAGAACCACAGATCTAGCCCAACAGCTGGTGAGGAAGGAAACTCAGCCCCTGGGGACACTGATCACTTCTCACTCTCACCCCCTTCATCTTCCCAGGTTCTTTCTTTTTTCTTTTTTTCTTTTCTTTTTGAGACAGTCTTGCTCTGTCACCCAGGCTGGAGTGCAGTGGTGCCATCTTGGCTCACTGCAACCTCCGCCTCCTGGGTTCAAGCAACTGTCCTGCCTCAGCCTCCTGAGTAGCTGGGATTACAGGCATGCACCACCACGCCCAGCTCATTTTTGTATTTTCAGTAGACATGGGGTTTCACCATGTTGGCCAGGCTGGTCTCGAACTCCTGACTTCAGGTGATCCGCCCACCTTGGCCTCCCAAATTGCTGGGATTATGGGCGTGAGCCACCGTGCCTGGCCTCATCTTCCCAGTTTGTATGTGGAGCCTGTGGCTTGGGGTATTCTTTTAATTCTCTGTGACCAGGTAAGACACAGGCAGAAGATATCTGAGCTCTGAAAACATCCAAGGCTAATATTGAGTGGGCAAGAGTTTGAGGCCTGTCACGTCAGAAACGAGACCAAGATTCCACAGCTGACCTGTGCTCACAGCTGAATTGTGCTGAGCTGAAATACTGCGCCCGTTTCTTTCCATTCAACTTGTCTTGGTTTGACCTAGAACCACACTGCACAGGAGAAGCACCATTTTTTGTTCAGACTCTCATCTGAAGCTGGAGCTTCTGCTAAGCACTTGTTTGCATGGGAGTGGAAGGGGACATGCGCACCCACAGTTGTGGCGAAAAGATCCTTGGGTGTGACAAAGGAGGAGGCGGGCCAAGGAGACCCATCCACTGTGTCCCTGGACCCTCCCAAGGAATCCCAGGAACTGCGAAGCATAAACCACATCTTCACTGTCTTAGAGACGCTGCTGTCCTTCCTTCATTTTACTCATGCTAAAGGCTCTATTTTTCTTTTCTCTAGAACTTTCTTTCTTTCCTTTTTTCTGAGACGGAGTTTCACTCTGTCACCCAGGCTGGAGTGCAATGGCGCAGTCTCGGCTCACAGCAAACTCTGCCTCCTGGGTTCAAGCGATTCTCCTGTCTCAGCCTCCCAAGTAGCTGGGATTACAGGCGTGCGTGGTGGCGCCTAATTTTTGTATTTTTAGTAAAGACAGGGTTTCACCATGTTGGCTAGACTGGTCTCAAACTCCTGACCTCAGGTGATCTGCCTGCCTCCGCTTCCCAAAGTGCTGGGATTACAGGCGTGAGCCACTAGACCCAGCCAGGTCTTTGTTTCTTAACACAGAATATTGTTTTTCTTTTGGATTATGATTATTATTCTTTGAAGCCAGGGTCTCGCTCTGTCACCCAGGCCGGAGTGCAGTGGTGCAATCATGGCTCACTCCAGCCTTTATCTCCTGGGCCCAAGTGATCCTCCAACCTCAGCCTCCCAAGTAGCTGGGATTATAAGTGCGTGCTACGATGTCTGGCTAATTTTTTATTTATAAATATTTTTTGTAGAGACAGGGTCTCGCTTTGTTGCCCAGGCTGGTCTCAAATTCCTGGACTCAGGCGATCCTCCTGCTTCAGCCTCCCAAAGTGCTGAGATTACAGGCGTGAACCTTTCAACTTGTAATGCTTTCAGTATTTTCCCATCCCTTGATTGAACATTTGGGTTTTAAATTATTTTTGTTGTTGTTTCTTTTTGAGACAGAGTCTTGCTCTGTCACCCAGGCTAGAATGCAGGGGTGTGATCTCGGCTCACTGCAACCTCTGCCTCCTGTGTTCAAGCGATTCTTGTGCCTCAGCCTCCTGAGTAGCTGGGATTACAGGCGCCTGCCATGATGCCCAACTAATTTTTTGTATTTTTAGTAGAGACAGTGTTTCACCATGTTGGCCAGGCTGGTCTCAAACTCCTGACCTCAAGTGATCCGCCCACCTTGGCCTCCCAAATTGCTGGGATTACAGGTGTGAGCCACTACACCCGGCCTAAGCTTTTTTTTTTTTAATCTTAACCTGTTAACATTTTTCCTCTAATTAATGCTGGTTTTCTTTTATTGAGGAGTGAGGAGAAGCAAGAATGGGGTCAACCCCATTGAAGAGGGATTTTTTTTCCAGTATACACTGTCATAGTAATGTACCTATATTGTAAAACATTTAGAAATGACAGAAAAGTCCAAAAAAGCAGTAGTATATGTCCAAAAATGAAAACACTGCTCTATTTGTGAGTCAAGTAATAATTCCAAATTTATATTCAAAATGTTTTACTCATTTCAAATTCAGGTTCTCATTCAACTATAAATAAAATAATATTCTGTCCAAAAGTATGTGTATTTAATAACATCTTAGTCCCCATTTATGTACTGAATTAGAAGGCTCCCTCTCTCTCTCTCTCTCTCTTTTTTTTTTTTTTTTTTTTGAGACAACGTCTCTCTCTGTCACCCAGGCCGGAGTGCAGTGGTACCATTACAGCTCACTGCAGCCTCAACCTCCTGGGCTTAAGCGATCCTCCCACCTCAGCCTCCTGAGTAGCTAGGATCACAGGCATGCACCACCATTTTTTATATGTTTTGCAGAGATGAAGTCTCGCCATGTTGCCAGGCTGGTCTTGAACTCCGGGGTTCAAGCAATTTGCCTGCCTCGGCCTCCCAAGGTGTTGGAGTTACAGTCATGAGCCCCCACACCCTGCCAAGGCTTGTTTTCTAGATATTTGAGTAAAATAATGGTTCTTCTGCAAATGAGGCTCCACTGAGGTTAATTCACGCCCTGGTCTTTATTTATTTATTTATTTGATAAAACAAAAGAAAGGTGTCAAATGATAACCTGCTAGATACTTGGTTCTTTTTTTTGTTTGTTTTTTTTTTTTGTTTTTGTTTGACACAGAATCTCACTCTGTAGCCCAAGGTGGAGTGCTGTGGTGCGATCTTGGCTCACTGCAACCTCCACCTCCCGGGCTCAAGCAATTCTCATGCCTCAGCCTCCCAAGTAGCTGGGACTACAGGCGCACACGACCATGCCCAGCTAATTTTTTGTATTTTAGTAGAGACAGGGTTTTACTATGTTGGCCAGGATGGTCTTGAACTCCTGAGCTCAGGCGATCTGTCCGCCTCAGCCTCCCAAAGTGCTGGGATTACAGGCGTGATCCACCGTGCGCAGCCTTGTTTGTTTTTTTGAGACAGGGTCTTGCTCTGTCACCCAGGCTGGAGTGCAGTGGCGCCATCTCAGCTCACTGCAGCCTCAGCCTCCCAGGTCCAAGCAATTCTCCTGCCTCAGCCTCCCTGGTAGCTGGGATTACAGGCACGCACAGCCACGCCTGGCTAATTTTTGTATTTTTAGGAGAGACGGGGTTTCACCATGTTGGCCAGGCTGGTCTTGAACTCCTGACCTCAAGTGATCCGCCTGCCTCGGCCTCCCAAATTGCTGGGATTACAGGCGTGAGCTACCACGCTTGGCCGATACTTGATTCTAAAAGCATCTTGGTACCCACCAGAATCTTCCATGGGTTCAGTTTTCACATTGATGGGGCCGCAGCTGCAAGGAGAAGGGAACCCTGGTCAGATGGGCAGGGTGAGGACCAGGCACAGCCGCCTGGACACGATGAGCTCAAATGCCCTGGATCTCCGCAGCACCAAATCCCCCTCCTCCCCTCAATCAAATGCAACAATGCCTCCATTTTAACATTAATGTCTTAATAAGTTGTTCCCAAATTAAACGTGTCTACCGAAAATAGTCTTCTAATTCCAAAGGTCCTTTTGGACAAAGAATAGGATAGAAAATAAGGAAGGGAAGAAGCACATTAACCCTTTACACTCCACTTAAATGCTGTAAGGAGGCCTTTCTGTCATCCAAAAACGAACACTGTGCATAGTTGTGGATTTTGGTTGCTGTGATTTATCTTTTACCTTTCACTTGGTGATACTATGGATCTCTCCGCATCTGTTACCATCCCAGGGCCACCTGTAGAGGAATGAAAAAACACACACCAGCCCCTTTTAGCACCTCGGAAAATGACTAACATCCAAAGGCATAGAAATTGACAGCAAATACACAGAAAACGGAACTCCCAGATCGAAGCCAACGTGGAAAAGTCATCGAGAGAGAAACTGACTCAAAGCAGCCGCTGTGTTCCGGGGCCATTTGTGTGGGCAGGATGGGGGTTACCGAGGAGTGTTTTGGGGCCAGAGCACGGTCGTGCGGCTGAGCCTCAGCTCACCAGCTGGGCTGCCTCCAGCAACTCACTAAACCTCCCTCTGCCTCCGCTTCCTCGTGAACACGGTGGTTGTGGGAGGATTCATGAATATACGCAAAATGACTAGAACAGTGCCTGCATGTTGTAAGCACTAAGTTAGAGCTGCTATGACACGAGCTCCCCCTTGATCTGTGGTTTCGCGGTCCTCGGTTTGCTCCCCAAGGTCAACCAAAGTCTGCAAAGAGTAAACGGAAAATTCCAGAAATAATTCAGAAGTTTGAAATCACACGTTGTTCTGAGCAGCGTGATGAAGTGTCGTGCCGTCCCGCCTGGGACGTGACTCATCCCTTTGTCCTGCAATCCACGCTGTCTACACTACTCTCCCACTAGTCACTGAGTAGCTGGCTCTGTTATCAGACTGACAGTCCTGGGAAGGCCAGGGTGCTTGTGCTCAAGTCACCTTTATTTGACTTCATAATAGCCCCAAAGTGCAAGAGTAGTAATGAAGGCATATTGTTATAATCATTTTATTTTATCTTTAGTTATTGCTGTTAATCTCCTACTTTGCTTGATTTATTGATTTATTTACTGAGATGGATCTTGCTCTGTTGCCTGGGCTGGAGTGCAGTGGCACGATCTCGGCTCACTGCAACGTCTGCCTCCCGGGTTTAAGCAATTCTCCCGCCTCAGCCTCCCGAGTAGCTGGGACTACAGGCACGCACCACCACGCCCGGCTAATTTTTGTATTTTCAGTAGAGACAGGGTTTCACCATGTTGGCCAGGCTGGTCTCAAACTCCTAACCTCAGATGATCCACCCGCCTCGGCCTCCCAAAGTGTTGGGATTACAGGCGTGAGCCACCACACCTGGCCTGTGCTTGATTTATAAATTAAACTTTCTCTTAGGTATGTATGGCTAGGGAAAAACATAGTATATGAAGGGTTCTGTACTACCCATGGGTCCAGGCATCCACTGGGGGTCTTGGAGCATATTCCCCGAGGATAAGGGGGGACCACTGTATTATTGTTTTTCTATGATGATGATACAAGTCAGTTGGGACAACAATCCATGGCCACCTGCCACCCTGCCCCTCTCATTTGTCCTTTAATGTGAGTTAGAGGATGACAGGAACTCACCAACCCTCCCGAAACAGACTTTCCACTGTGTTTAGTCCCCGGCTAAGAAGAACTGAAGCATGTCATACACCCAGCAGGTGCCTTGTGAACTGTGCCACCCCCCACCCCTGCCGTCTCCTTACTCCACTTAGGCAGTCTCAGCAAGACATCTTCTTTTATTCTTCTTTATTTATTTATTTTTGAGGCACAGTCTCATTTTGTCACCCAGGCTGGAGTGCAGTGGCACAATCTTGGCTCACTGCAAACTCTACATCTCGGGTTCAAGTGATTCTCCTGCCTCAGCCTCCCGAGTAACTGGGATTACAGGCACCCGCCACCATGCCTGGCTAACTTTGGTATTTTTAGTAGGGATGGGGTTTCACCATGTTGACTAGACTGGTCTCGAACTCCTGACCTCAAGTGATCTGCCCACCTCTGCCTCCCAAAGTGCTGGGATTACAGGTGTGAGCCACTGCGTCCGGCCAATTTTTTTTTAATAGCTACAAATGTATTTTTCTTTTTTTAAAAAATATTCTTTATTTCTTCTAAAAAAAAAAAAGGGGGGGATACATCTGCAGAATGTGCAGGTTTGTTTCCTAGGCACATGTGTGCCACGATGGCTTGCTGCACCTATTGGCCTGTCCTCTAAGTTCCCTCCCCTCACCCAAATTCAAGTTTTGTTTTTTTTTTGAGACGGAGTCTTGCTCAGTCGCCCAGGCTGGAGTGCAGTGGCGCGATCTCCGCTCACTGCAAGCTCCACCTCCCGGGTTCACGCCATTCTCCTGCCTCAGACTCCCGAGTAGCTGGGACTATAGGCACCCGCCACCATGCCCGGCTAATTTTTTTTTGTATTTTTAGTACAGACTGGGCTTCACTGTGTTAGCCAGGATGGTCGCGATCTCCTGACCTTGTGATCCACCTGCCTCAGCCTCCCAAAGTGCTGGGATTACAGGTGTGAGCCATCACGCCCGGCCCCCAATTCAAGTTTTAATGAAGAAGAAGTGGTTCAGCAGCTCAGAAGAGCCACCAAACCTGAGAAGCTGTCACTTACCCAGCTGACTCTCTGGTCCTAGGAAGGGTCTGCAAGAAAAGCAACACCATTACCCAGCACGGACCAATGAAAAAAGCATGACACATCTGAACAGTCAGCTCTGAAACGCAGCAGGCGGGATGCACGAGTGAATTAAAATTAGGCTATTGGTTTCATCTTTAAATGAACTGAAGGGGCGGGGGTGCAGAGTGTGTCACCTATTTATGATGAATGAAATCCCTGCTTTGTTCTCCAAAATCCATTTCAGGGTTGCAAGGTCGTAATTCTCAGGGTGTTGAAAGGCAACGCCTTCCGGAAGCCCCTGCACTACCACAGCCGACTGGTCTCGCAGCATCTTCTCATAGGGAACAGACACCATCACTGTTGTCCCTAAGGCTTTACCTACAAGAAGATGCAAACGTCTTTGGATGGTGTGAACCTAACGTTCTACCAGTTTTTTTTTGTTTGTTTTTTGTTTTTTGTTTTGTAGAAACAGAGTCTCGCTCTGCCACCCAGGCTGGAGTGCAATGGCAAGATCTCGGCTCGCTGCAACCTCCACCTCCTGGGTTCAAACAATTCTCCTGCCTCAGCCTCCCGAGTAGCTGGGACTACAGGCACACACCACCATGCCCAGCTAATTTCTTTTGTATTTTAGTAGAGATGAGGTTTCACCATGTTGCCCAGACTGGTCTCGAACGGCTGAGCTCAGGCGATCTACCCACCTTAGCCTGCCAAAGTGCTAGGATAACAGGCGAGCCACTGAGCCCAGCCTAGTTTTTTTTGTTTTTGTTTTTGTTTTTAATTAAGAGACAGGGTCTCGACTGGGCTCACTGCAACCTCTGCCTCCTGGGTTCAAGCAATTCTCCTGCCTCTGCCTCCTGAGTAGCTGGCATTACAGCCGTCTGCCACCATGCCCGACTAATTTTTGTATTTTTAGTAGAGACGGAGTTTCACTATGTTGGCCAGGCTGGTCTCGAACTCTTGATCTCAGGTGATCCACCCACCTCAGCCTCCCAAGTAGCTGGTGTGAGTCACCGTGCCCAGCCTGTTATCTAGCTTTTTAAAACACTGCAAAGGATTTTTGAAAATTATTTTTATTTTATTTTGTAGAGACAGGGTCTTACTATGTTGCTCAGTCTGGTCTCAAACTCCTGGGCTCAAATGATCCTCCCACCTTAGCCTCCCAAGTAGCTGGGATTACAGGCTCAAGCCACCATGCCCAGCGTATTTTTTTTTTTTTAATTCCCATCTTCATGCCTATGGAAAGACATGGGTAGGTGGAGTGACAACTGAGGGGTGAGGGAGGTGACTGAGCCAACATTGACTGTCTTTAGCAATACACTGGCCTTGATGCGGGGCTCTCTAAAATGGGATCAAGGAAGAAAGAGTGATCAATACAGAAGTTTCCACAGAGCAGAAGATCCAAGATCCACATCATCTTCTATAAGAACACTTAATCTGGTAATTAAGAACTGGTGGGCCGGGCGCGGTGGCTCACGCCTGTAATCCCAGCACTTTGGGAGGCCAAGGTGGGTGGATCACGAGGTCAGGAGATCGAGACCATTCTGGCTAACACAATGAAACCCCGTCTCTACCAAAAAATACAAAAAAAGTTAGCCGGGCGCGGTGGTGGGTGCCTGTAGTCCCAGCTACTCAGGAGACTGAGGCAGGAAAATGGCAGGAACCCGAGAGGCGGAGCTTGCAGTGAGCCGAGATTGAGCCACTGCACTCCAGCCCGGGCAACAGAGCGAGACTCTGCCTCAAAAAAAAAAAAGAACTGGTGGCCAGGCATGGTGGCTCACACCTGTAATCTCAGCATTTTGGGAGGCCGAGGCAGGAGGATCACCTGAGGTCAGGATTTCGAGACCAACCTGGCCAACATGGCAAAACCCCATCTCTACTAAACATACAAAAATTAGCTGGGCAAGGTGGTGGGCACCTGTAATCCCAGCTACTTAGGAGGCTGGGGTGGGAGAATCGCTTGAACCCAGGAGGCAGAGTTTACAGTGAGCTGAGATTGTGCCAATGCACTTCAGCCTGGGTGTCAGAGCAAGACTCCTCTCAGAAAAAAAAAAAAAAAAGAACTAGCTCCTCGCTTGATAAGCATATGGGTTTTGAAATGTTCAAACATTCTAAGTAGTCATGGCAATAAGACTGTCTGTGACACTGTCCTACTCCTGGGTGAACCACTTAGAGAATTCATGCTTGGCTGGGCGTGGTGGTTCACGCCTATAATCCCAGCATTTTGGGAGGCCAAGGCAGGCGGATCACAAGGTGAGGAGTTTGAGACCAGCCTGGCCAACATGGTGAAACCCCATCTCTACTAAAAATACAAAAATTAGCTGGGTGTGGTGGTGGGCGCCTGTAATCCCAGCTACTTGGGAGGCTAAGGCAGGAGAATTGCTTGAACCCAGGAGGCGGAGGTTGCAGTGAGCCGAGATCGCACCACTGCACTCCAGCCTGGGTGGCAGAGCAAGACTCCATCTCAAAAAAAAAAAAAAAAAAAAAATAGAATTAATGCTTAAAGTGAACGTTACCATGACAAAAGCAGAAATAGTCCTCCACTGCCTTCCTGAGTATTTCCGTTTCGCCCGAGTGGACCTGCATCCCGTTCACAGGGCAGGGAGGTTTCACCTCACACAGTCCCTCTGCAACGCCTGCAAATGGATGATTGGCATTAGGTCAGTTTCTAAGCATTTGTGCTGTACACTTCCGTACTTTGTTTCTGGTATTGAAAGAAAAAAGGGGAAAAAAGTGGATAAATATAAAACAAGATCTTTTAAAGAAAAACAAGAAAAAATTGTATTTATGATAAACAGGTTAATGAACTATAAAAAAATCAACATATAAAGAAATAGTAGTAGTTTAAGGAAATTATTATTTTTAGAGACGGTTTCACTCTGCTGCCCAGGCTGGAGTGCAGTGGGATGATCGAAGTTCCCGGCAGCCTCAAATTTCTGGGCTTAAGCGGTCCTCCCACCTCAGCCTCCAGGAGTGCCCCATCACACCTGGCTAACTTTTAAATTTTTTTTAGAGATGGGATCTCACTATGTTGCCCAGGCTGGCCTCTAACTCCTGGCCTCAAGTGATCCTCCCATCTTAGCCTCCCAAAGTGTTGGGATTACAGATGTGAGGCACTGCACCCATCCAGAAATTATCTTTATAACAGAAATTTGATTTGCTATACAGTTGAAACGTGGCAATAATTGTATAGGAAGACTATACCCCTGAACCCATTCAAGACCAGCCCCAGAATCAATTGCTCCTCCAAAAGTTTTAAAACTGATTGTTTTCATCAGTCTAGTCAGAAGAGAGAAACCACATAGTAATTTGAACACAGAAAGGTTTTTTTTTTTTGTATCAATGTAAGGGGCACAAGTATAGTTTTATTTCTTTCTTCTTTTTTTTTTGAGACAGAGTCTCGCTGTGTCACCCAGGCTGGAGTGCAGTGGCATGTTCTCCACTCACTGCGAGTTCTGCCTCCCGGGTTCACGCCATTCTCCTGCCTCAGCCTCCTGAGTAGCTGGGACTACAGGTGCCTGCCACCACGCCCGGCTAATTTTTTTGTATTTTTTAGTAGAGATGGGGTTTCACCACGTTAGCCAGGATGGTCTCGATCTCCTGACCTCGTGATCCGCCCGCCTCGGCCTCCCAAAGTGCTGGGATTACAGGCGTGAGCCACCACACCCCGCCAAGTATAGTTTTCTTGCATGGATATACGGTGTTGTTGGTGAAGTCTGGGGTTTTAGTGTACTCATCACCCAAATAATGTACATTGTACCCATGAAGTAATTTATCATCCCTTACCCACCTCCTGCCTCCCACCCCTGAGTCTCCAGTGTCTGTTATTTCACACTCTATGACCATGTTTTTGTTTGTTTGTTTTGAGACAGAGTCTCACTCTGTCGTCTAGGCTGGAGTGCAGTGGCGCAATCTCAGCTCACAGTAATCTCTGCCTCCTGGGTTCAGGAGATTTTCGTGCCTCAGCCTCCCTAGTAACTGGGATTACAGGCACCCGCCACTACACCAGGCTCATTTTTGTATTTTTAGTAGAGACAGGGTTTCACCATGTTGACCAGGCTGGTCTCGAACTCCTGGCCTCAAGTGATCTGCCCACCTCGGCCTTCCAAAGTGCTGGGATTATAGGAGTGAGCCACTGCACCTAGCCTCACATTCTATGTCCATGTGTACCTATTATTTAGCCCCTCTTGTAAGTTAGGACATGCCGCATTTGCCTTTTTACGTCAAATGATAAAGACAATAGCCCCCAATCCCATCCATGTTGCTGCAAAAGACATCATTTCATTCTTTTTTTTTTTTTTTTTTTTTTTTTGAGAGAGTCTTACTCTGTCGCCTAAGCTGGAGTGCAATGGCATGATCTCGGCTCACTGCAACCTCTGCCTCCCGGGTTCAAGCAATTCTTGTGCCTCAGCCACCTGAGTAGCTGGGATTACAGGCATGCACCACCACCCCCGGCTAACTTTTATATTTTTAGTAGAGACGAGGTTTCGCCATGTTGGCCAGGCTGGTCTAGAACTACTGATCTCAAGTGATCCATCGCCTCAGCCTCCCAAAGTGCTTGGATTATAGGCGTGCACTACCATGCCCGGCCATTTCATTCTTTTTTATGGCTGAATAGTATCCCATAGTGTACGTACCACATTTTCTTTGTCCCGTCATCTGGTGATGGATGCTTAGCTTGATTTGCACATCTTTGCTATTGTGAATAGTGCTGTGATAAACGTTCAAGGCAGGTGTCTTTTTGATAGAATGATTTATTTTCCTTTGGGTAGATGCCAAGTAGTGGGCTTGCTGGATTGAATGGAGGTTTATGTTTAGTTCTTTGAGAAATCTCCATACTGTTTTCCATAGAGCTTGTACTAATTTACACCAACAGGTGAAGTTTCCTAGAAGAGTCGTCAACTGGTAACATGGGATTAGCTGCTAGAGGGACTGAGGACTCTAAAGAGAACATAAGCAGCAAATTGCAAGAGCATCTGTGACTGCTGGGCTAAGGCAGGGGACCCAGGAGGGAGCAAATCCAGGAATGGGGTGGCTCCCCAGGGCCGAGATCCAGACCTCATTAAACAGGATTTGGTCACGGCCCACTGGATAGTGGGGAAGCCTGTGGGGGTGTCCATGTGGTGGCTGGCAAGCAGGGGCCTGCTTTCTGGGGGTGCTGGTGGAAATCACTAGACAGTTACCCTGTGGGTGCCTGCAACACTTTCTGGGCGTTATAAGGAAGATGGCCTCTAGTGTGCTAGTGGAACTCTCTGGAAGCTACCTGGAGGGTGATGCCAAGAGAATTTGCTGGGAAGCCATGCTCTGGGGAACTGGTGGAACTCCCTAGGAAACTGCCTGTGGGTATGGTGCCACTGAAATTCACTGCGAAACCTCCTTCTGGAATTTTCTTTCTTCCTTTTTCCTTTCCCTTTTTTTTTTTTTTTTGTCTTGCTCTGTCACCCAGGCTGGAGTGCAATGGCACGATCTTGGCTCACTGCAACCTCCACCTCCTGGGTTCAAGTGATTCTCCTGCCTCAGCCTCCCGAGTAGCTGGGATTACAGGTGCATGCCACCACGCCCAGCTAATTTTTGTATTTTTAGTACAGATGGGGTTTCGCCATGTTGGCCAGGCTGGTTTCAACCTCCTGGCCTCAGGTGATCCGCCAGCCTCAGCCTACCAGAGTGCTGGAATTACAGGTGTGAGCCACCACACCCAGCTGATATATATATTTTTAAAATAATAATAAAAAAGAAAAAAGGCCAATGTAAAAATGTATATATATATATGTATTTTGTAGAGACAGGGTCTTGCCATGTTGCCCAGGCAGGTCTCAAACGCCTGGGCTCCAGCGATCCTCCCACCTCAGCCACCCAAAGTGCTGGGATTACATATGTGAGCCACTGCACCTGGCCCCTTCTGGAATTCTCTGGGACTTCGATAAGACTTGCTGGGAAGCCAGCTGGAGTATTAGTGGAAGTGACTGGGAAGCTGTGTGTGGTGAGGGTGTCACTAAAACTCACTGGAATGAGTGCCACACTGGGTATCCCAAATGCTGTTGGTCATCACAGGCAGGTGAGAGCTCACTGCAACCTCCGCCTCCCGGGTTCGAGCGATTCTCCTGCCTCTCCCTCCCGAGTAGCTGGGATTACAGGCTCCTGCTACCACACACCTGGCTAATTTTTGTATTTTTAGTAGAGACGGGGTTTTCCCATGTTGACCAGGCTGGTCTCGAACTCCCAACCTCAAGTGATCTGCCCGCCTTGGCCTCCCAAAATGCTGGGATTACAGGCGTGCCTGGCCCCAAGTGGAATTTATTCCTCAAATACAAGGATGGTTCAACATATTTACATCAATCAATGTAACATACCACATTGACAGAATAAAGGACAAAAGCCACATGATCATCTCAATTGCCACAGAAAAACATTTGACAAGATTGAACATCCTTTCATGATAAAAGCACTCTACCAACTAGAAGTGGTAGGAAATGACCAATGTAATAAAGGCCATTTATAAAAAGTCCATGGCTAATATCACTCAACAATGAAAGACTGATAGCTAAGATCAGAAATAGCAAAGATGGGCCAGGTGCGGTGGCTCACCCCTGTAATCCCAGCACTTTGGGAGGCGGAGGCAGGCAGATCACTTGAGGTCAGGAGTTTGAGACCATGCTGGCCAATGTGGTGAAACCCCACCTCTACTAAAAAAATACAAAAATTAGCCAGGTGTGGTGGCACGCACCTGTAATCCCAGTTACTCAGGAGGCTGAGGCACGAGAATCACTTGAACCTGGGATCCGGAGGTTGCAGTGAGCAGAGATCAAGCCAGTGCACTCCAGCCTGGGCAACAGAGCAAGACTCCATCTCAAAGAAAAAAAAAAAAAAGAAATGGGAAAGATGCCCTCTCTCCCCACTTCTGTTCAACACAGTTTTGGAAGTCCTAGCCAGAGCAATTAAATTAGGTAAGAAAAAAAAAGGCCTCCAAATTTGAAAGAAAGAAGTAAAATTATCTCTGTTCATAGATGATACATGATTTTGTATGTAGAAAATCCTAAAAATTCCACACAAAAATCTATTCGAACTCCAACATATTCAGCAAAGTTGCAGGATACTACATCAACACAGCAAATCAACTGCATTTCTATACAGTAACAATGAACAATCTGCAAAGGAAATAAAACAATTCCATTTACAATAGCATCAAAAAGAATAAAATCCTTAGGGATAGACCTAATCAAGGAAGGGAAAAATCTGTATACTAAAACAATAAAACACTGCTGAAAAAAATTAAAGAAGACAGGCTGGGCGTGGTGGCTCACGCCTATAATCCTATAATCCCAGCACTTTGGGAGGCCAAGGCAGGCAGATCACTTGAGGTTAGGTGTTCAAGATCAGCCTGGGCAACATGGCGAAGCCCTGTCTCTACTAAAAATACAAAAATTAGCTGGGTGTGGTGGTGCATGCCTGTAGTCCCAGCTACTTGGGAAGCTGAGGCAGTAGAATCGCTTGAACCTGGGAGGCAGAGGTTGCAGTGATCTGAGATCAAGCCACTGCACTCCAGCCTGGGCAACAGAGCAAGACTCCGTCTCTCAAAAAAAAAAAAAAAAAAAAGAAAGAAAAGAAATTAAAGAAGACACAAACAAATGGAAAGACATCTCATGTTCATGGATTGGCAGGCTTAATATTGCTAAGATACCTGTACTACCAAAAGCCATCTACAGAATTATTGCAATCCCCATCAAAATCTCAAGTGCATTTCTCGTACAAATTAAGAAATCCACTCTAAAATTCACATGGGGCTGGGCGCGGTGGCTCACCCTGTAATCCCAGCACTTTTGGGAGGCTGAGGAGGGTGGATCACGAGGTCAGGAATTCAAGACCATCCTGGCCAACATGGTGAAACCCTATCTCAAAATACAAAAAAAAAAAAAATTAGCTGGGCATGGTGGCATGTGCCTGTAATCCCAGCTACTCGGGATGCTGAGGCAGGAGAATGGCTTGAACCGAGGAGGCAGAGGTTGTGGTCAGCCGAGATCTCTCCACTGCCCTCCAGCCTGGGCGATAGAGAGAGATTCTGTCTCAAAAAAAAAAAAAAAAAAAAAAAAAAAAAAAAAAAAAAATTCATATGGAACACCAAGGGACTCTGAATAACAGAAATAATCTTGAAAAAGAGCAAATTTGGAGGTCTCATACTTCCTGATTTCAAAACATATTATAAAGTAATCAAAACAGCATGATACTGGCATAAAGACAAATAGATCTACGGAATAGAGTAGGGAGTCCAGAAATAAACCCTTGACCAAATATTTAGCATGCATGCCAGGTGCAGATCTCAGCTACTTGGGAGGCCAAGACAGGAGGATCACTTGAGCCCAGGAATTTATGACCAGACTGGGTAATATAGCAAAACCCTGTCTCAAAAAAAAAAAAAAAAAAAAAAGCTGGGCACGATGACTCACGCCTGTAATCCCAGCACTTTGGGAGCCAGAGGCAGGCGGATCACCTGAGGTCAGGAGTCTAAGACCAGGCTGGACAGCATGGGGAAACCCTGTCTCTACTAAAAAATACAAAAATTAGCCGGCTGTGGTAGCAGATGCCTGTAATCTCAGCTATTTGGGAGGCTGAGGCAGGAGAATGGCTTGAACTCAGAAGGTGGAGGTTTCAGTGAGCCAAGATCATGCCATTGCACTCCAGCCTGTCCGAAAGGGCAAAACTCTGTCTCAAAAAACAAAAACAAAAACGAAAAACCTGCAGCCATAGAAAAGAAAGAAATCATATCCTTTGCAGCAATGTGGAGGCAGCTGGAGGCCATTATCCTATGTAAATTAATGCAGGGACAGAAAACCAAATACCACATGTTCTCACTTGTAAGTGGGAGCCAAACCTTGGGTACACATGGACATAAAGATGGGGATGGGAACAATAGACACTGGTGGCTCCTAGAGGAAAGAGGGAAGTGGGGGCAAGGGTTGCAAAATGAACTACGGGGTACTATGCTCACTACTGTACCCCAAACCACAGCATCACACGATATACCCATGTAACAAATCTACACGTGTGCCCCCCGAATCTAAACTAAAAGTTGACATTATTAAAAGAAAAGAAAATATAAAAAGATTATCACACCAATTTCAGAACAGTTTCATTACAAGATGAATACTAGAGAAAATATTTGCGACAACAAAATTAACATGCAACTATGAATCTTAAAAAAATCTACAAGTAAATTTCAGTGATTAGAAATTCAACTGGCATCTGACATTAATGAATTGAGAATACCCTTCTTGTGTATCAATTACATACTGTATTATTTAAAGATGGCTTCATTTTTTAATCTGTCTTCTTGATAGTGGAGACCTTAATTTGGGATCTCGGAAGTAAATTTGAATCAATCTATCACTCAATTCTCCCCTCTCTCATCTCTCTCTCTCTCTCTCTATCCATTCATCTAATCTATCTATATACATATATATATATATATAATTCCTGTCTCCCTTATCTATCTATCCATCCATCTAAGCTATCTACATACATATATATATATAATTCCTCTCTCTTATCTATCATCTATCCATTTATCTAATCTGTCTATATACATATGTATATAATTCCTCTCTTATTTATCTATCTACCTATCTATCTAATCTACTTATACACACACAGACACACACACACACACACACACTTTATATACCTTCTGCCAATCCATAGAGACCCCTCTCTCTGTACATACATACACACACACACACACACACACACCCTTATACCCTCTGACGAACCTTTCTGATTTTTATCCTTTCATGGTTACAAGGAATATTAAATTGCTATATCAATACTTGGTAAATAACCTACAGTGTTAGAGATTACCACCATAAAAGGTGTAGTTTTTTGTCTGGTTTTGTTTTGTCTTGAGACCGGGTCTCGCTCTATGGTCCAGACTGGAGTGCAGTGGTGTGATCACGGCTCACTGCAGCCTTGACCTCCCGGGCTCAAGAGATCCTCTCACCTGAGCCTCCTGAGTAGCTAAGACAACAGGCGAGTGCCACCACGCCCATCTAATTTTTTTTTGTATTTTTTAGTAGAGATGGAGTCTTGCCATGTTGCCCAGCTTGGCCTCAAACTCCTGAGCTCAAGTGATCCATCTGCCTTGGCCTCCCAAAATTTTGGGATTACAGGAGTGAGCCACCGAGCCCGGCAGAAGGTGTAGTTTTTAACACTGTAGAGTAGTTCCTTGACATATGGCCACATATACTCACTCACACTGGATGCTTGCAGCACACCGTGGCATATTGAAGGCTCTGAAATTGCCATACTAAGAAAAGGAAAAAACGGCCAGGTGCAGTGGCTCACACCTGTAATTCCAGTACTTTGGGAGGCAGAGGTGGGCAGATCACTTGTGGTCAGGAGTTTGAGACCAGCCTGGCCAACAGGGTGAAACCCTTTCTCTACCAAAAATATAAAAATTAGCTGGGCATGGTGGAAGGTGCCTGTAATCCCAGCTACTCGGGAGGCTGAGGCAGGAGAATCGCTTAAACCTGGGAGGCGGAGGTTGCGGTGAGCCAAGATCGCACCACTGCACTCCAGCCTGGGTGACACAGTGAGACTCTGTCTCAAAAAAATAAAGAAAAAAAGAAAAAAGGAGTAATTGTATAATGGCTATTAATAGGCAGTAATACACAACAAGCTCTGAAAAAGTTTTTCCCCCTTCCTTTGGAAAGGACTAAAGAGTATTTTGTAAAATGGTGTTTATTTTAGGAATTAAAGATAATTTGTTCTATGTCCTTGAAATTTATTCTAATAAACCAGAGTACTGCTGAGGACCTAGTATAAAATAAAATGACCATTTGTCTTGGACTCTGCAGTGTTAAGCAGTGTTTATTTGGTAAGCTGAATCCAAGAAGATGTGTTAGGATCGTTTCTAGGAGAATGCTTATGATAGCTTAGAAGAAAATACTGTGGAAGTCTTGCCTGCGATCCTTTTGAGATTGGGAATACAAAGGATAAAATTAAAACGCCTACAGTATTTTGCAAAATCTTTCTGAAAATCCGTCCTGGCATTAACAAAAGCGCATCCTCTCTCGGTTCCGACGACAAACACGTCTGTTTCGTACACTGCGATGCAGGCCACTTCTGCCTTGGACTTGGCCAGTTCTTTACACTGAAACAGAAACAAAAAGCGATGTATTATCTACAAGGGCAGATCCAAGTTTCTGGGGCCTGGGAGGCCTGATTTAAGAATACAAAATTAGGTAGCAAAAGGAATATTTATTTATTTATTTATTTTTGAGACGGAGTCTCGCTCTGTCACCCAGGCTGGAGTGCAGTGGCGCAATCTCGGCTCACTGCAAGCTCCGCCTCCCGGGTTCATGTCATTCTCCGGCCTCAGCCTCCTGAGTAGCTGGGACTACAGGCGCCTGCAACCACGCCTGGCTAATTTGTGTGTGTGTGTGTGTGTGTGTGTGTGTGTGTGTGTGTGTGTGTGTGTGTGTATTTTTAGTAGAGACGGGGTTTCACCATGTTAGCCAGGATGGTCTCGATCTCCTGACCTCATGATCCGCCCACCTCAGCCTCCCAAAGTGCTGGGATTACAGGCGTGAGCCACCGCGCCCGGCCTCTGGATATGTCCTTCCAGCTGATGGACCTCAGGATTGGGAGAAAGATCGGGGACAAGAGACGGGCACAACAGTCACCTGGTTTCTTTTTCTTCCTTTATTTTTTGAGACTGAGTCTCGCTTTATCACCTAGGCTAGAGTGCACGATCTTGGCTCACTGCAACCTCCACTTCCCAGGTTCAAATGATTCTCCTGCCTCAGCCTTCCGAGTATCTGGGATTACAGGCGTGCACTGCCATACCCGACTAATTTTTGGATTTTAGTAGAGATGGGGTTTTGCCATGTTGGCCAGGCTGGTCTTGAACTCCTGACCTCAAGTGATCTGCCCACCTTGGCCTCCCAACGTGTTGGGATTACAGGTGTGAGCCACCGTGCCCAGCCACATGGTGTCTTCCATGACAGCTCCCTCTCTGCTGAAATAGCATTTCCCACCCCCACCCATGGCATCACTCTTCTGCTGCCATTTTCATCAAAGACTGATGTCACTTGGCATGTTTTTAGGTTTTTTTCTGGTGGCTTTTATTTTTTTAATTTTAGAGATGAGGTCTCACTATGTTGCCCAGCCTAGTCTCAAATTCCTAAGCTCAAGGGATCCACCTGCCTCTATCTCCCAAAGTGCTGGGGTTACAGGCATGCACCACCACGCCTGGACCACATTGCATGCATTTTATTTAAATTTTTTTTTTTTTTTTTTTTAAGACGGAGTCTCATTCTGTCACCCAGGCTGAAGTGTAGTGGTGCGATCTTGGCTCACTGCAATCCCGGGTTCAAGCAATTCTCCTGCCTCAGCCTCCCGAGTAGCTGGGATTACAGGCGTGAGCCACTGTGCCCGGCCTTTATTTAAGATTTGCCTCCTTAACCATTACACCTGTAATCCCAGCCCTTTGGGAGGCTGAGGTGGGCAGATCACCTGAGTTCAGGTGTTCAAGACCAGCCAGGCCAAGATGGTGAAACCACATCTCTACTAAAAATTCCAAAATTAGCCAGGCGTGGTGGCAGGCACCTGTAGTCCCAGCTAATCAGAAGGCTGAGGCAGGGGAATTGCTTGAACCTGGGAGGTGGAGGTTGCAGTGAGCCAAGATTGCACCACTACACTCCAGCCTGGGCAGCGGAGTGAGACTGTCTCACACAAAAAAAAAAAGAAGTGTCAGGTGCTGGCAGAGACACTGCTTTTCCCTAATTGACCTGTTTGGTCCTCACATTAACCATATTTTACAGCTACTCTCATTTACAGATAAGGAAACTGGGCCAATGAGGAGGTGAGAAATCACTCAAGGCTGCCAGGTACAGTGGCTCATCCCTGTAATCCCAGCACTTTGGGAGGCCAAGGGAGGAGGATTAATTGAGGCCAGGAGTTTGAGACCAGCCTAGGCAACATAATGAGACTCTGTCTCTACAAAAAATTTAAAAATTAGTGGGGTGTGGTGATGCATGTGTAGTCCCAGCTACTCCGGAGGCTGAGGTGGGAGGATCGCTTGATCCCAGGTGTCTGAGACAGTAGTGAGCTACGATTGCACCACTGCACTACAACCTCGGTGATGCAATGAGACGCTGTCTCAAAAAAAAAAAACCACACACACACAAAACAACAAAAAAACAAATTGTTCAAGGCGAGCCTGGTGTGCCAAGCCCTTGTTCTGGGCACTTGGCTTATATTATCTCCCTTAATCCTTCCCACCACCCCACGTGCTAGATACTGGGATTAATTTAGTTGAGCTGTAATACATCAATACTGTGTGAAATGCTATGCAACATCTAAAAGGAAGACAGGTGGAGCTTTTATTTATTTTTTATTTTATTTATTTTTTGAGACGCAGTCTCGCTGCATTACCCAACCTGGAGTGCAGTGGCACAATCACAGCTCACTGTAGCCTCAACCTCCTGGGTTCAAACAATCCTCCCACCTCAGCCTCTCAAGTAGCTGGGACTACAGGCTTACACCACCAAGCTTGGCTAATTTTTTTTTTTTTTTTTTTTTAGAGATGGTGTTTTGCTAAGTTGCCCACACTGATCTCAAAATCCTTTTGTTTTTGCTTTGGAATGGTCTGGAACTCCTGAGCTCAAGTGATCCTCCCACCTTGGCCTCCCAAAGGCCTGGGATTACAGGTATGAGCCACCGCACCAAGCCCAGGTTGAGCTTTTAAGGTATTAAAGATCCACTAGGTGAAAAAAAAGAGTGAAAGATACATATGCCATTTAAGGGAAGCACAGGAAAACTCCTATTTTGTTTATATGTGAATAGAGGCACATAGATGCCTAGAAAAGTGTCTGGGAGGGAATGAAACCAGATTGGCCACAAAAATCACCTCTGGAAAAAGGAAAAGAATGGGGACTTTCACTTTTTGCTTCATATGTTTCATGTACCTTTTTTTTTTTTTTTTTTTTTTTGAGATGGAGTTTCACTCTTATTGCCCAGGCTGGGGTGCAGTGGTGCGATCTCAGCTCACTGCAACCTCTGCCTCCTAGGTTCAAGCGATTCTCCTGCCTCAGCCTCCCGAGTAGCTGGGATTACAGGCATGCGCCACCACGCCCGGCTAATTTTTTGTGTTTTTAGTAGAGACGAGGTTTCTCCATGTTGGTCAGGCTGGTCTCGAACTCCTGACATCAGGTGATCCGCCCACCTTGGCCTCCCAAAGTGCTGGGATTACAGGCGTGAGCCACCGCGCCCAGCTGCTTTTTCTTTTTTTTTTTCCTATTTTTATTTTTATTTATTTATTTTTTTAATTTATTTTTTTTTATTGATAATTCTTGGGTGTTTCTCAGAGGGGGATTTGGCAGGGTCATGGGACAATAGTGGAGGGAAGGTCAGCAGATAAACAAGTGAACAAAGGTCTCTGGTTTTCCTAGGCAGAGGACCCTGCGGGCTTCCGCAGTGTTTGTGTCCCTGATTGCTTGAGATTAGGGATTGGTGATGACTCTTAACGAGCATGCTGCCTTCAAGCATCTGTTTAACAAAGCACATCTTGCACCGCCCTTAATCCATTTAACCCTGAGTGGACACAGCACATGTTTCAGAGAGCACAGGGTTGGGGGTAAGGTCACAGATCAACAGGATCCCAAGGCAGAGGAACCTTTCCTAGTGCAGAACAAAATGAAAAGTCTCCCATGTCTACTTCTTTCTACACAGACACGGCAACCATCCGATTTCTCAATCTTTTCCCCACCTTTCCCGCCTTTCTATTCCACAAAGCCTCCATTGTCATCCTGGCCCGTTCTCAATGAGCTGTTGGGCACACCTCCCAGACGGGGTGGTGGCCGGGCAGAGGGGCTCCTCACTTCCCAGTAGGGGCGGCCGGGCAGAGGCGCCCCTCACCTCCCGGACGGGGCGGATGGCCGGGCAGGGGGGCTGACCCCCCCCACCTCCCTCCCGGACGTGGCGGCTGGCCGGGCGGGGGGCTGACCCCCCCACCTCCCTCCCGGACGGGGCGGCTGGCCGGGCAGAGGGGCTCCTCACTTCCCAGTAGGGGCGGCCGGGCAGAGGCGCCCCTCACCTCCCAGATGGGGCGGCTGGCCGGGCGGAGGGCTGACCCCCCCCACCTCCCTCCCGGACGGGGCGGCTGCCCAGGCGGGGGGCTGACCCCCCCACCTCCCTCCCGGACGGGGTGGCTGGCCGGGCTGAGGGGCTCCTCACTTCCCAGTAGGGGCGGCCGGGCAGAGGCGCCCCTCACCTCCCGGACGGGGCGGCTGGCCGGGCGGGGGGCTGACCCCCCCACCTCCCTCCCGGACGGCACGGCTGGCCAGGCGGGGGGCTGACCCCCCCACCTCCCTCCCGGATGGCACGGCTGGCCGGGCGGGGGGGCTGACCCCCCACCTCCCTCCCGGATGGGGCGGCTGGCCGGGCGGGGGGCTGACCCCCCCCCACCTCCCTCCCGGACGGGGTGGCTGCCGGGCGGAGATGCTCCTCACTTCCCAGATGGTGTGGCTGCCGGGCGGAGAGGCTCCTCACTTCTCAGACGGGGCAGCTGCCGGGCGGAGGGGCTCCTCACTTCTCAGACGGGGTGGTTGCCAGGCAGAGGGTCTCCTCACTTCTCAGATGGGGCGGCCGGGCAGAGACGCTCCTCACCTCCCAGACGGGGTCTCGGCCGGGCAGAGGCGCTCCTCACATCCCAGATGGGGCGGCGGAGCAGAGGCGCTCCCCACATCTCAGACGATGGGCGGCCGGGCAGAGACGCTCCTCACTTCCTAGATGTGATGGCGGCTGGGAAGAGGCGCTCCTCACTTCCTAGATGGGATGGCGGCCGGGCGGAGATGCTCCTCACTTTCCAGACTGGGCAGCCAGGCAGAGGGGCTCCTCACATCCCAGACGATGGGCGGCCAGGCAGAGACACTCCTCACTTCCCAGACGGGGTGGCGGCCGGGCAGAGGCTGCAATCTCGGCACTTTGGGAGGCCAAGGCAGGCGGCTGGGAGGTGTAGGTTGTAGTGAGCCGAGATCACGCCACTGCACTCCAGCCTGGGCACCATTGAGCACTGAGTGAACGAGACTCCGTCTGCAATCCCGGCACCTCGGGAGGCCGAGGTTGGCGGGATCACTCGCGGTTAGGGGCTGGAGACCGGCCCGGCCAACACAGCGAAACCCCGTCTCCACCAAAACCAGTCAGGCATGGCGGCGCGTGCCTGCAATCGCAGGCACTCGGCAGGCTGAGGCAGGAGAATCAGGCAGGGAGGTTGCAGTGAGCCGAGATGGCAGCAGTACAGTCCAGCTTCGGCTCCGCATGAGAGGGAGACCGTGGGGAGACAGAGCGAGAGGGAGAGGGAGAGGGAGAGGGAGAGGGAGAGGGAAAAGTCACACTTCTTAAAGTTGCAGTCTCACCAATGCACCACCCAGATATTTTTATAAATGAAAATAAAAGGAGAATCATATGGTTCCAGATGACATTGCTAATAATTTGGTATATCATTTTACAGATTCATTCTTCATGCTTATTTTTCATAAATTAATACACATGCATTTTATTTTACAAAGTAAGAATAATACTATACATTGGGGTCCCCAACCCCTGAACCATGGACCAGTACCATCTGTGGCCCATTAGGAACCAGGCTGCACAGCAGGAGGTGAGCAGCCTGCTTTTTCTTTTTAAAAAGTAAAATATAACAGAGAAAACTGCACAAAACAGAAGTGTTCAAATTAAATTTTTTTTTTTTTTGAGACAGGGTCTTGCCCTGTTGCCCAGGCTGGAGTGCAGTGGCTCATTCATAGCTCACTGTAGCCTCAAACTCCTGGGTTCAAGCGATCCTCCCACCCCAGCCTCCTGAGTGGCTGGAAGGCCAAGGGAGGATCGCTTGAGCCCAGGAGTTTGAGGCTGTGCCACCACACGCAGCTGGTTTTTTTTGTTTTTTTTTTTTTTAATTTTTTGTAGAGACAGGGTCTCGCTATGTCACCCAGGCTGGTCTCAAACTCAC
This sequence comes from Homo sapiens, assembly GCF_000001405.40. Lineage (NCBI taxonomy): Eukaryota > Metazoa > Chordata > Mammalia > Primates > Hominidae > Homo > Homo sapiens. The sequence goes on from NC_000007.14 coordinate 73,285,978, forward strand.
GGGCTCAAGCAATCCTCCCATCTTTGGCCTCCCAAAGTACTGAGACTACAAACATGAGCCATCTTGCCCAGCCCCTAGAACGTGTTATCAAATAAACACCGATGCAACCCTCACTCAGCCGAGAAGTAAAACATTGCCAGCCAATCCCTAAATGCTTCTGCTTGCCGCTTCCCAATCCTAACCAATGCCTTCTCCTGACAATTATGATGGTCATGTCTTTGCATTTCTCTAATGTTTCCCATCACGATCAAACTAGTTTTGTTTTGCCTGTGTCCAAACTTTGCATAAATGAGCAGCATGTGTCTGGTGGACCTGGCTTCTTCCACTCAACATTATGATAAGAAGATTGACCATTTGGTGCCCATAGCTATTGCTCTTGCATTTTCATTGCTCTATAGATTCTTACTCAACATACCTTAAAAATTTTTTTATTCTGAAATAAGAGCGGGATGCTATTAAAAAAAGCAGTATCAGTGTCATTGTTAACACTGTCATTATTAAGACGGCTGAAGTCAGTTTAAGAATTGTGATTCATTTGTCTTTATATCCCTGTGTGAATGCTAGGGACATGTAATCAATATATCGTGTTTTAAAGTAATGTTAATTGTCCTTTGGGTACACCAACTTTATATACAGTGAGGTTCGTTTGTTCAGTATGTTTGAAAGTTACAGGGATTTCTGTGTTTTCCTTTTTGAAATAGTTCTGTTTTAAATTATGTAAAATCTTTGAAACAATAAGTTGTTTCAAAAAAAATACACTAAAACAAGATACACTCAAAAATTCAGTTTCCATCCCTTTCCACTCTACATTTTTCCTTCCTCTCCATTTTTATTTTTTGATTATCCTTTATTGTTTTTTAAACGATATGCATATCAGTGTATCTGAAAACCGCCACCTTCTAACATTTAAGGTAGTAGACAGTATATACAGATTTGAACCTTGCTTTTTCACATAATAGATAGTTGAGGTCATTCCATAGCAGTACACAGAAACTCATCTTTGGTCTTAAAACTGCATAGGTACTTTAGTCCTCTGTTGACAAATGTTGGGTTGTTTCAGTCTTCTGCTATCACAAATAATGCTGCAAAGAATACATTTGTTCATATGTCATTTCACCCTTGGCAATTTTGCCTCTGGAAAGTTCCTAGAAGTCAGATTCCCAGGTCAAAGGTTAAATGAGCATGTAATTTTGCTGGATATTGTTAAATCCCCCTACAGAGCATGCACCACTCAGCATTCCCCTCAGCGTTGTATGAGAGGGACCATTTCTCTATGGCCTCACCAGCAGATTTGGTTATTGTAGCTCTGGGCTTTTACCAATTTCACAGGTTAAAAATAGTATCTAAGACAGGCGTGGCAGCTCATGCCTGTAATCCCAGCACTTTGAGAGGCCGAGGAAGGCAGATCACTGGAGGTCAGGAGTTCGAGATCATCCTAGCCAACATGGTGAAATCCTGTCTCTACTAAAAACATAAAAATTAGCTGGGCATGGTGGCACATGCCTGTAATCCCAGCTACTCAGGAGGCTGAGGAAGGAGAATATCAGGAACCTGGGAGGCAGGGGTTGCAGTGAGCAGAGATAGCGCCACTCCACTCCAGCCTGGGTGACAGAGTGAGACTCTGTCTCAAAAAAAAAAAAAAGCCAGCCGAGCTTGGTGGCTTACACCTGTAATCCCAGCACTTTGGGAGGCTGAGGCAGGTGGATCACCTGAAATCAGGAGTTTGAGACCAGCCTGGCCAACGTGGCAAAAACCCGTTGCTACTAAAAATACAAAAAATTTAGCCAGGCGTGGTCGTCTGTGCCTGTAATCCCAGTTACTTGGGAGGCTGAGGCAGGAGAACTGCTTGACCCTGAAAGGCAGAGGTCAAGTGAGCCGAGCTCACGCCACTGCCCTCCAGCCTGGACGACAGAGTGAGATTCTGTCTCAAAGAAAAAAAGGTATCTAATTTTTGTCTCTTATGAGTAGTTTGATCATCTGTTCATATGTTGAATGATTATTTTCAGTTCTGTTTCCGTGAGTCTTAGTTCATATCCTTTACCCATTTTTCTGAAGGGCTACCAGCCAAATCTCATGTTCAAGAGTTTTTCCTATAGTAGAGAAACCTATTCCAAATGAAGCAAAGTTTTGAACGTAAAATAGAAACCATAGAAGTGCAGTGTTAGAAGAAACAGGCTCCTCACGAGTTGCAGGTGGGAGTGTCAGTTGGTACAGCTCTCTAGAGGGCTTTGTGACAGGAATTGTCCACATAAGAGATACATGCACCCTTTGATCAAGCAGCTTTACCTTTAGGAAGTTATCCTACACACATACTGGGAAATGGATACAAGGATTTAATGTAACATTTTTTTAATAATAGCAGCTTGGAAACAATGTACATGTTATCTTTTCAGGGAGCTGATTGAATAACTTACAGTATTGGTGTAAGTTGGAATATACTATGTAACTATGAAAAAGAATAAGGCAACTGAAGAAGTACTCATGAGAATGATCTCAAAAAGCAATTACATAAAAACAAGGCTCAGAACTGTATAGTATCCTCTATTATTCGGGCTTTTAAAAATCTTTTAATATGCATAAAATAATTCTTACAGGATATATTAAAAACTGGCAATCGTTACTGAGATAAAAAGGAAATTTACTTTTTACTGTACAGTCTTTTTTTTTTTCTTTCTTTTGAGACAGAGTCTCGCACTGTCGCCCAGGCTGGAGTGCAGTGCTGTGATCTTGGCTCACTGCAACCTCCACCTCCTGGGTTCAAGCAATTCCCCAGTCTCAGCCTCCCAAGTAGCTGGGATTACAGGCACCCACCACCATGCCCGGCTAATTTTTGTATTTTTAGTAGAGATGGGTTTTCACCATGTTGGCTAGGATGGTCTCGAACTCGTGACCTCAGGTGATCCGTCCGCCTTGGCCTCCCGAAGTGCTGGGATTACAGGCATGAGCCACCACACCTGGCCCCAAGTTGTTGTCTTTTTCTTAGAGATTTGAATACGCTCTTTATATATTCTAGATACAAGCTGTCTGTCATGTATGTGTTGCAACAAAAAAGTGTCCTGCTCTTGCCATTCTACTTCCTTGTGGTTAGCATACTTTGTGTAGTATTCAGGAAATCTTTGCCTACCTAACCTAAGGTCATGATAATTTTCTTCTGTGCTACCTTCTAGAAGCTTTATTATTTTATTATTACTTTTATATGTAAATCCATAAACCACCTGAAATTAATTTTTGTATATGGTGTGAGGTTGGGATCAAAATTAGTTTTTTTTGTGTTTGGTGGTGTTGGTGGTTTTTGTTGTTGTTGTTGTTTTTTTTTACTGTAGAAATACCCATTTCTCTTAGCAACATTTATTGAAAGGACCATCCTTATTTCTCTGCAGCACCGTCTGTGTCTAATTTAAGTGTCTGTATATATGTGGGTCCATTTCTAGACTCTGTTTTGTTCCATTGGTCTATTTTTCTACCTAGACCTTGTGCCAGTCTTTGTTTTACCCCTAGCCTTATACTTTAAGTCTTGATAGAGTCAGTCATCCCACTTTCTCATTTCTCTTCAGGACTGTCTTGTATCTTGGCCTTTTGCATTTTCATATAATTTTTAGATCAACTTGTCAATTTCCACACAAAAAAAAAAAAGTTCTGAGATACTGATTGGGATTGCCTTTCATCTACTGATTACTTTGGATGGAATTAACATTGTTACAATATTGACCTTGTTTACTTCTAATCTATGAACATGGAATGTCGTTATTTATTTATTTAACTTTTGAGACAAGGGGTCTTGCTCTGTGGCCCAGGCTGGAGTGCAGTGACATGATCATAGCTCACTACTGCCTTGAACTCCCAGGCTCAAGCGATTCTCCTGCCTCAGCCTCTTGAGTAGCTGGGACCACAGGCATGCATCACCACACCTAGCTAATTTTAAAAAACTTATAATAGAGACACAGTCTCACTATGTTGCCTAGGCTGGTCTCAAACTCCTGAGCTCAAGCAATCTTCCCACCTTGGCCTCCCTGGGTGCTGGGATTGTAGGTGTGAGCCACCATGTCCTGCCTCCTTCATTTATTTACATCATCTCTATTTCTTCTCTGTAGAGGTTTTACTTCTCTTTTATTAGATTTACAATCTCGGCTCACTGCAGCCTCCACCTGCTGGGTTCAAGTGATTCTCCAGCCTCAGACTTCCGAGTAGCTGAGATTACAGGCACGTGCCACCACACCTGGCGAATTTTTGTAGTTTTAGTAGAGACAGGGTTTCACCTTGTTGGCCAGGCTGATCTCAAACTCCTGACCTCAGGTGATCCACCTGCCTCTGCCTCCCAAAGTGCTGAGATTACAGGCGTGAGCCACGGCGCCTGGCCCTAGGTATATGCTATTCTAAATAGTGCCTTCATATATGCTATTCTAAATAGTGCCTTCAAAATGTGATTGACTGTGCTGGTGTGTAGAAATACAACTGATTTTGTTTTCAGAAAGTTTGCTAAATCTGTATGTTCTTTAGGATTTTAGTACATACACTCAGGTCTATGATAATGAGTTTTTCCTTTCCTCTGCAATCTTATTCTGTTTATGTCTTGCTGCACTTGGCTAGGACTTTAAGTTGAATAGACATGATAATAAACATCCTTGTCTTGTTAGATCTGAAATGAGTGTGTATGTACAGTCAATGAAGTAGAGGAGTAATACTTTTTTCCCCTAATTGTTAAACCAGTTGTTCAGTTGTCTTCCAGTCCTAGCTAATCATTACAGTCTCCTTTGGCATTTCTTTTTTTTCTTTATTTTTTCTTGGTAGAGATGAGACTTCACTATGTTACCTAGGCTGGTCTCAAAACTCTTGGGCTCAAGTGATCCTCCCACCTTGGCCTCCCAAAGTGTTGGGATTACAGGCATGCACCACCACACCTGGCTAATTTTTGTATTCCTTTTTTTTTTTTTTTTTTTTTTTTTTTGAGACAGAGTCTTGCTCTGTCTCCCAGCCATTCTCCTGCCTCAGACTCCCAAGTAGCTGGGACTACAGGCACCTGCCACCACACCCGGCTAATTTTTTGTATTTTTAGTAGAGACGGGGTTTCACCATGTTAGCCAGGATGGTCTCAATCTCCTGACCTCATGATCCACCCACCTTGGCCTCCCAAAGTGGTGGGATTACAGGCATCAGCCACCGTGCCCAGCTTGTTTTTGTATTTCTAGAAGAGATGAGGTTTCACCATGTTGGCCATGCTGGTCTGGAATTCCTGACCTCAGGTGATCCTCCTGCCTCAGCCTCCTGAAGTGCTAGGATTACAGGCGTGAGCCACCTCGTCCGGCCCCTTTGGCATTTCTGACCCTTGCTTGCTCAGTGATGTGTATCCCTCAGTGTCTGGAGCACATTGTGAAGAAAAATGCAAGGTTTATGGTTTTTATTGTTTTAATTTTATTACTTTAACTACAGGTAAGGTCTTGCTATGTTGCCCAGGCTGGTCCGAAACTCCTGGGCTCAAGCAGTTCTCCTGCCTCAGTCTCCGAAAGTGCTAGGATTACAGGTGTGAGCCACCGCACTCGGCCATCTATGTGCTTTTAAAGTTCCACAGGTGGCTAGGTGTGGTGGCTCACGCCTGTAATCCCAGCACTTTTGGAGGCCAAGGCAGGCAGATCACGAGGTCAAGAGATCAAGACCATCCTGGCCAACATGGTGAAACCCTGTCTCTACTAAAGATACAAAAATTAGCCGGGTGTGGTGGCATGTTCCTGTAGTCCCAGCTACTCGGGAGGCTGAGGCAGGAGAATCGCTTGAACCAGGGAGGCGGAGGTTGCAGTGAGCTGAGATCGCGCCACTGCACTCCAGCCTGGTAACAGAGCAAGGCTCCGTCTCAAAAAAAAAAAAAGTTCCACAGGTGACTGATGAGCCGTCGTGTGAGAACCAGCGAGGTAGTGTCAGGGATCTGAAGTGATTGAAAATGCCGCTTATATATTCAATCCTTGGATCCCTTTGATGAATTTTTGTATTCTGCTCTTTTATATGCCTGTAATCCCATGTTTTTTAAACCATTGTGCTCTGGCCTTTCTTGCTGTTTGAGCGTAACTTCAACTGTTATTGCCGTGAGCAGTCTTCTCAAGCTCCTCCTGGGCCCGGCTTCCTGATGGTGGCCTCACTGAACTGTTCTGCTGCTTACCACTTGTCTGAAGCTTCCTCTTTTCCCTTTTTGAACTCTTATTAAGCATTGTTGGCTTCCTGTTTGTACTTATATGATGTAGCTGGTACTGGGTAAGAAATCACTAGCAGCTTTTCAAGTAGGAAAGACGGTCTGAGGTGACAGTTTAGGCTTTGTAATTAGGCTCAGCACTTACGAGACTATTTGCAGTGTCCGCTCTGTGCCATCTACTTTGCTGCTGGTCTGTGGAGGAAGCAGAGATGAAAACACCATCTTTGCTGTCAAGAACTCACCTGGTGGAAGAGGCAGATGTATGGATAATCATCACATGATGATAAATGCCATCGTTGTTGCAAAAGTCATAAATATTATGACAGTGCTTTTTTTGTTTTTGTTTTTGTTTTTTGTTTCTTTTTGAGACAGAGTCTCACTCTGTCACCCAGGCTGGAGTGCAGTGGCACGATCTTGGCTCACTTCAAGCTCCGCCCCCCAGGTTTACGCCATTCTCCTGCCTCAGCCTCCCGAGTAGCTGGGACTACAAGCACCCGCCACCACGCCCAGCTAATTTTTTGTATTTTTTTGTATTTTTAGTAGAGATGGGATTTCACTGTGTTAGCCAAGATGGTCTCCATCTCCTGACCTCGTGATCCACCCCCCTTGGCCTCCCAAAGTGCTGGGATTACAGGTGTGAGCCACCACGCCTGGCCATGACAGCGTATTTTTAAAATGAAGTTACTAAATGAAAAATCGAAAATTTAATGGAAGCAAGACTAAATTAGTTTACTGGGTTGTCTTCTTTAATTTACTTGTATCCTTTCCGTAGACAGTCTGGCACAGGTTTGAATGTGTCCTGGCTCTTCATTACTGAGGCTAATATATGCAAAAGTGTGTCCATCCCTTCTACCTTTATTCACATTCCATTACTTTTATAGACTTTTCTTTTTTTGCTTTCATAATTAATACTGGCAGTTGACTTTCTTTTCAGGGGTCTTTCTTCACAAACAAATTTTTTCCATTTTCATTTTCTTTTTTTTTTTTTTTTTTTTTTGAGACAGGGTCTCACTCTGTCACCCAGGCTGGAGTGCAGTGGGGCAATCTCAGCTCACTGCAGCCTCCTGAGTAGTTGGGACCACAGATGCAAACCACCACACCCAACTGATTTTTCAATTTTTTGTAGAGACGGGGGTCTCGCTATGTTACCCAGGCTGGTCTCAAACTCCTGGGCTCAAGCAATCCTCCCACCTTGGCCTCCCAGCATGCTGGGATTACAGGCATGACTAACCATTTAACCATAAAAAATATTTTTTTAGTCACTTAAAAAGAGACTTTGTCATGTTGAGGGTCAGATGCTAAGTTATCAGCAGGCTCAGTCATGTCCCTCTTGATTTTTAGCTGTGGAAGAGAAATGGCCCCAGTTCATCACCCTTCTCTAGCCCAGCCTCATCCCGCTCCCAGACACCGGAGAGGCCAGCAAAGAAAATAAGGTATTCGGCATTCTCCTGCAGTTTTCATTTGCTACGTGGACAGAAGGGGGTGAGGAAAGGTGGGAAACGAACCTGGCTCTTAGGCTTTGTGCTGCTGTGACTTGGAGAATCAAAGAAACTAAGTCCCTGAGAGGGACAATGCAGCACCCACCTGAACAACTATCATCCCTACAGTCTTGGATACTGACTCCAGTGGCCTCTGGCTGTCGCCTCCCACTCCAGCATGAGGGATCGGGTGCAAGCACAGAGGCCATGCAGAGTGGAGAGCAGAGAGAGTCAAGTCAGCGGGCAGTCACCTTCAGGTTCTTGACTCGAGCTGATCCCCTAGGTGCTTGCAGTTGGCTGGAATGCCACTCCCTCAGGGATCACATCTGTGTCTAGAACTCCCAGGGACTTGGTAGGTTGTAAGTAAGGTTTGAAGATTATTGTTTTGTGCTTGTTTTAAGACAAAAACTGTCTTCATGGCCTCTGTGAACAGTCTCCCTTCATTCTGTTGGAATTTCCTGTTGACTTTTTTTATCCTGGCATACTGAGATCTTAAATGATGGTTGTTTTAGATGTTGGCCACTTGGTAGTTAGGAGGGTGTGAGAAATTATTTAATACTTCAGCCAAGAAGTCTTTCTAGACTAAATTGTTCCTTTTTTCCCAACAGAGAAGAAGAGATGTGTCATCATTCCAGTTCTTCAACTCCATTGGCAGCAGACAAGGAGTCCCAGGGAGAAAAGGGTAGGTTGCTGAGCCAGGAGGAGGGGCTGCTGTTGGTGGTGGAGGTATTTGTGGAGGATGTAGAGATTAATACCTATTGAAAAAAGGTCTTGAGCATTGCTATGTCTAAGGCATGTTAGATACAAAGAGAGAGATTTCCTCTCCTTCAGAAGTTTATAGTCTGATGAGGGAGAAAGGCTACAGACGGGGGCTAACGATTGGATAGAGGTAAGCTCAGTTTGAGTCACCTGTGGGTGATCCCAGTAATTACTGCACAGTAAGCGGTTTGTGTGCGCGCCTTAATCTTACAAACACCATCCAAGCAACCAAACCATAGAAGATTGAATCTTTTCAGAGATACCATCATTGAAAACTCAGTGTGAAATGCGAAGTGGGTAGACACAACCATCCATTTCTGGAAGAGGGAAGGAAGCAAACGAGTCTTGATTTCTTTCTTTAGCTGCAGATACAACCCCAAGGAAGAAACAAAACTCGAATTCTCAGTCTACACCTGGCAGCTCTGGGCAGCGTAAGCGGAAAGTTCAGCTGCTGCCTTCTCGGCGAGGGGAACAGCTGACCTTGGTATGGTCTTGTCCATCTACTCCTGCCCTCCCCGGCTTAGCTCTCCTAAGTCTTAGGAACGCTAAGGACAAGTTTCTTCTGATTTTTTTTCTAATTTATTTTTGTTTTTGTTTTTTGAGACAACATCCCTCTGTCACCCAGGCTGGAGTGCAGTGGCTCGATTTTGGCTAACCGTAACCTCTGCCTCCTGAGTTCAAGCAATTCTCCTGCCTCAGCCTCCCAAGTAGCTGGGATTACAGGTGCTTGCTACCACGCCTGGCTGATTTTTTGTGTTTTTAGTAGAGATGGGGTTTCACCATGTTGGCCAGGCCGGCCTCAAACTCCTGACCTCAAGTGATCCAGCTGGCTTGGCCTCCCAAAGTGCTGAGATTACCGGTGTGAGCCACCATGCCTAGCCTTCCCGTTTTTTCTGATTGGCCTGACTTCTTCTTTTTCACTTTGGTAGCCTCCACCTCCCCAGCTTGGCTATTCGATCACTGCCGAGGACCTAGACTTAGAGAAGAAGGCTTCATTACAGTGGTTCAACCAGGCCTTGGAGGACAAGAGCGGTAAGGAGCACAGATTGTTGCACACTGGAGAGGTTTCAGGTGTCTGTTTTCTTTGGTTTTATTTTGGTGTTTGAAAAAATGGGTTTCTCTGGGAAAATCCCAAGTAGGGTTCCATGTTTTCTTGTGGTCTTTCTCACCTGAGATATCCGTGTTGGTCTTCACGGGAACTGGACAGCAGGGACCACTGCAATTTAGGGCAGGCATTCCTCCATGAGCTGTGCTGAGAGCCTGCTCTCCGACAGGCATGTGGAAAGAAGTCCCAGACAAGCCAGGACTGCTTCACCTTTCTTTCTTTCTTAGATGCTGCCTCGAACTCTGTCACTGAGACCCCACCTATCACTCAGCCTTCATTTACCTTTACCCTGCCTGCTGCTGCACCTGCCTCCCCACCCACCTCCCTCCTGGCCCCAAGCACCAACCCACTGTTAGAGAGCTTGAAGAAGATGCAGACTCCCCCGAGCCTGCCACCCTGCCCAGGTGAGCTGGAGTGGGGCCGTGGATCCAGCCTTCTGAGCAGCATCCCCGGCTTGGGTTGGAATAAGGGCGTCGTGCCTGTCAGTCGCTGGAGATTGCTCTGCAGGCCGAACGCACCCTGGCTCAGCACACCGGAGCGGGCCCACGTTTAACAGCGCCAGAGCCCGCATCAGGAAGTGTTAGAGAAGGGGTGCTGCGACGCTCAGGATCTGAAGCCTGGCTCGTAGCTGCCCTGAGCCTCGCCTTCCTCATCTGTCAGATGAGAATGATCTTCCCGGTGCAGCACCTCTGAAGTGTGAATGTGGTGGCGTGGTCAGGATATCCTTGCCTGTCAGAACCACTGGTCCAGAACAGCACTGCTTCCTTTCCCTCCAGCACTTCGAGGGCTGCTGGTGTTCCCGGCCCAGGCCTTCACGGCACTGCGCGCGCACACCTCTTTATCAGACGGTAACCTGGGGTTCGTACGCACCCTCCCTGCTCAAGGGCAGAGACTTCCCCATTCATAGTTGTGTGCTCTTAGCGCCTGGCAGGTGAGCTTAGTAGGCAAATAAAGTATATCTAGATTCATACGTGAACTTCAGAGTTCAGACAATTGGACTGTCTTAGTCTCTACACATTAGGCCCCCATTTAGGCCCCATTTTATCCCCTTCTGTCTGATGATCTGTGAGGTGGAAATAATGAACACTTCCTTGATTTACTGTACAGGCCTGTAGTGTAGACTTAGCTGAGTTTATTGACTGACTCTTGGATCCCAGGCTCTGTGGTAGGCGTGGGGAGGACACTGAAATACTGAATACCATCATCTTTGAAGTGTTTATTCCAATTTCACATTTTCTATTCTTCTTCCAGAATCTGCTGGAGCAGCAACCACTGAGGCCCTCTCACCTCCAAAGACACCCAACCTCCTACCCCCGCTGGGTTTATCACAGTCAGGGCCGCCAGGGCTGCTCCCCAGCCCCTCCTTTGACTCCAACCCCCCGACCACTTTGCTGGGGCTGATCCCTGCTCCATCCATGGTACCAGCCACTGACACCAAGGCACCTCCAACCCTTCAGGCAGAGACGACTACCAAACCCCAAGCCACATCTGCCCCGTCCCCCGCCCCCAAGCAAAGCTTCCTGTTTGGAACACAGAACACCTCACCTTCCAGCCCTGCCGCCCCTGCTGCATCTTCAGCATCTCCCATGTTCAAGCCCATTTTCACGGCTCCACCCAAGAGTGAGAAGGAAGGCCCCACACCGCCTGGCCCTTCAGTCTCAGCCACAGCGCCCTCCAGCTCCTCCCTCCCCACGACCACCAGCACCACAGCCCCGACCTTCCAGCCTGTCTTTAGCAGCATGGGGCCACCTGCATCTGTGCCCTTGCCTGCTCCCTTCTTCAAGCAGACAACTACTCCCGCCACTGCTCCCACCACAACTGCCCCGCTCTTCACTGGCCTGGCCAGCGCCACCTCTGCTGTGGCTCCCATCACCTCTGCCAGTCCATCCACAGACTCTGCTTCGAAGCCTGCGTTTGGCTTTGGCATAAACAGTGTGAGCAGCAGCAGTGTGAGTACCACGACCAGCACCGCCACTGCCGCCTCACAGCCTTTCCTCTTCGGGGCGCCCCAGGCCTCTGCTGCCAGCTTCACCCCGGCCATGGGCTCCATATTCCAGTTTGGCAAACCTCCTGCCTTGCCCACAACCACCACAGTCACCACCTTCAGCCAGTCCCTGCACACTGCCGTGCCAACGGCCACCAGCAGCAGCGCTGCCGACTTTAGTGGTTTTGGCAGCACCCTCGCCACCTCCGCCCCGGCCACCAGCAGCCAGCCCACTCTGACGTTCAGTAACACGAGCACCCCCACGTTCAACATTCCCTTTGGCTCAAGCGCCAAGTCCCCGCTCCCATCATATCTGGGAGCCAACCCCCAGCCCACATTTGGGGCCGCTGAGGGGCAGCCACCGGGGGCCGCCAAGCCGGCCCTTGCCCCCAGCTTTGGCAGCTCTTTCACTTTTGGAAACTCTGCAGCCCCGGCTGCTGCACCCACACCTGCACCTCCGTCCATGATCAAGATCGTGCCTGCGCACGTGCCTACGCCCATCCATCCTATCTTTGGCGGTGCCACGCACTCGGCGTTTGGGTTGAAAGCCACGGCTTCGGCCTTCGGCGCTCCCGCCAGCTCACAGCCCGCCTTTGGCGGCTCCACTGCTGTCTTCTCCTTCGGTGCAGCCACCAGCTCCGGCTTTGGAGCCACCACCCAGACCGCCAGCAGCGGGAGCAGCAGCTCGGTGTTTGGCAGCACAACACCATCACCCTTCACGTTTGGGGGTTCGGCAGCCCCCGCTGGCAGTGGGAGCTTTGGGATCAACGTGGCCACCCCAGGCTCCAGCGCCACCACCGGAGCTTTCAGCTTTGGAGCAGGACAGAGTGGGAGCACAGCCACCTCCACCCCCTTCGCAGGGGGCTTAGGTCAGAACGCCCTGGGCACCACCGGCCAGAGCACACCGTTTGCCTTCAACGTGGGCAGCACAACTGAGAGCAAACCTGTGTTTGGAGGTAAGGAGGGGCGTGGACTTGGGCTACCGGGCCGGACACTGAAAAGCTGTGCCTGCGAAGCCTGTGGTCTCGGGGAGCTTATGCTGTGGCAGTGAAGAGACAGGCACTGAATATAGAACTCAGTGAGATGCCAGGGAACGATACATGTTTTGCTAACGTAGTAATGACTGGAGGAGCCATTGTGGATTTAACTGGTCAAAGGCCTTCTGAGTAGTTAACAATTGTAAGCTGAAGGTTGGGCGCAGTGGCTCACGCTTGTAATCCCAATATTTTGGGAGGCCAAGGAGGGTGGATCACTTGAGGACAGGAGTTCAAGACTAGCCTGGACAACTTGGCGAAACCCTGTCTCTACTAAAAATACCAAAAAATTAGCCGGGCATGGTGGTACCCACCTGTAATCCCAGCTACTCAGGAGGCTGAGGCACAAGAATGGTTTGAACCCAGGAGTTGGAGGTTGCAGTGAGCCAAGATCATGCCACTGTACTCCGGCCTGGGTGACAGAGCAAGACTCTGTCTCAAAAAACAAACCGTAAGCTGAATATGGGGGTGGGGTGGGGGTGGGCACAGCACAAGTGGACATGCCTTTCAGGCCCAGGATGGCGCATGCAAAGGCCCAGAGGCAGAAACATGTTTGGTATGTTGAAGAGCAGAACAAAGACAAGCATGGCAGGAGGGCAGGAGCTAAAGCAGTGGTGTGGAAGGAGGCCAAGAGGCAAGGATTGTTTGTGGCCAGGGTTGGGTGTTTGGGTCTTAAGTGTTCAGGAAAACCATTGCAGAATCAGGCAGAAGGATGCAGTGATGGTTCCTCCCATGTGGAAGATGAATGTAGATCCCATGGCTTCTGTTTGCTTCGTGAAGTAGGAGAGAAAATCTGGGAGAGAGAGGGTCAGGATAAAGTGTATAAAAAAAGGGGTCTTTTGAAATAGTCATTTTGGACAGTGGGGGAAAGGAACATCATATTAAAAAGTGTGATCAGTTTCCAGGCAGTTTGTGGGCTGGAAAATTGTGATTGTGAAGTTAAAGTGAGGCCAGTTAGCATGGCGTGTGTTTCCCAGCGACACTGTGGGTGTAGACCTAAGGTCAGCGGACAGCTGGTGCCACCCGGCCATGGAGACCCCAGCAAGCACAGCAGGAGGGGCAGCGTGTCAGTGCCCCGATGCAGCTCAGGGGGTGCAGGAGTGGAGAGCGGGTGAAGTCAGCTGCAGGAGGGGTGGTGCCTACAGGAGATTCGGGAGCCGGAGCAGTTGTGGTGACAGTGTGGCTGCAGGAGTGGTGGCAGGGGTCGGGGAGAGGAGGTCATGGGGGTGGCAGGGTCGAGGGGCTGAGAGGACCATCAGTCAGCCTCACAGGGCGAAGTCACCGTGAGTGGTGATGGGGAGGAAGCCAGTGAGCCAAGGGTCCTCTGTGAATCAGGGAGTGACCTGGCAGTTGACAGGTGACATGAGGACATGGCAGATTAAAGTGATCTGAACTTGAGTTACGGTATTTAGGGAAGGAAGAGAAACAGTGTGGAAGCAGCGTGGGAGCACAGGGAGCTTCCTCTTGTCCGGGCCGGAGGCCAAGCCCTGAGAGCAGCCATCCCTGCAGAGGGGCTGCCAGAGAGGGCCTCGGGCAGGCAGCCAGAGCCAGTCAGGGCAAGGCCGGGGAAGGGAGGGTACCACGGGGCATCACAAAAGACGCGGGACGGACAAACCAGGCTTCAGAGGGGAGGGGACGGTGGCTAGGGGAAAAAGGCCTGAACAGAGGAGGTAGCCAACCCAGGTACGCTAGGAGGCGGGGGCCCCAGAGTACTCCCCTCTGCAGCGATGGTCAGGAGGCCCACGAGGTGGCTGCGGGGCAGGGGGGCTTTTTCTCTGCCCTGGCGTGGCCATTAGCGGGTGGGAGAAGCAGGCTGAGCTGGGGCACCAGGCATGAAGACTCGGTTGTCTGGCTCAGCTGCTGATGGAGGAGTGCCCCAGAAGCAGAAGTGGGGCTGAGGGTCCCGTGGGAAGTGCCCTGTGGAGCACAGGCTCCTGCCCGGCTCCTCGCTTGCCTCCGCCCTCTGCTCACTGGCTAGCTCTCTGTTCTCTTCATTCCAGGCACCGCCACCCCCACCTTTGGTCTGAACACCCCTGCGCCTGGAGTGGGCACATCAGGCAGCAGCCTCTCCTTTGGGGCATCCTCAGCACCCGCCCAAGGCTTTGTTGGTGTTGCACCTTTCGGTAAGCAGCAAGCCACCCTGTGGCCCTGCTCGTCTGTCTGAGGAGAGGTTGGGCGGGGTGGCAGGCTCCTGGCCCTCTGAGGCCCCGTGAAGATCAGGTTCAGCACAGGAAAGACATTTCGGGTTAGGAGTACAGCACAGCCCAGGGATGGGAGTTGGATGGCAGAGATCAGAGAGGAGCTGTCCGGGGTGGAAGTTTGCCTCCCATGGGAAGCCAGGTAAAAATGGATTCTTGGGCCTCGCTCTGAGACTCTCTGGGAGTTTGCATTTCGGGAGGCTTCTCCCGTACAGTGTTTCTGATGCAGCGGGGAAAGCCCTATTGAGGCACCCTGTGTTTTATTACTGGCCTGGCCTTCCAGAGATTTGGGCACCCAGAGCCAGAGTCTCAGGTAGCAGCTGCCCTGATGAGGTCTTGTTGAATCTTTCCAGGATCGGCGGCCCCTTCATTTTCCATTGGTGCGGGATCCAAGACCCTAGGGGCTCGACAGCGACTGCAGGCCCGAAGGCAGCACACCCGCAAAAAGTAGCCTTTGTCCCCTGTCCCTGTTCCCCCCACCCCTTCCCTAAATCTGGACCTTGGCACGTGCTAGAAAGAGCCTTGGACCCTTCCAGCTGCGTAAAGCAAACCTACCCCGGATCTCTGGCTTCAGCCGCCAGGGGGCAGTGGCAGCCCTGGGGCCCTTTCCCTTCTGGAGGAAGCACAAGCCTCAGGGAAGGGGAAGCAGGATGCGGAGGGCCAAAGCCCGGGACCTCTACTTGAACAGTTCCACTGGGGAGGCTGGAGAACTAAGGAAACACCTGTACATAGTGTCCGCTACCCTGACTCCCGCTTAGCGCACCCTTAGGCAGGCGCCCCTTCCACCTTTCCCCGAGAGCCGTCGTCGCTGGAGGGGGCAGGGTCCAGCCCGCCTGGATCGGTGGTGTGCACCTGATGGGATTTGGGAAATGGGCTATCCGTAAAGCTTTATCTTGCTTGGCTTAGCTGTGAGAAGTGGTTCTCTTCCTCTGGTCCCTTCTGGGGACTCTGTTTCCCCATTTCTTGCTGCTGTGTCCCTCACCGGTTCCTTGCAGGATTCCCTCCTTTTTAAATGCCCTTGAATCTAGCTTTGCCTTGGAGACCCCAGTGGGTGCTGCTCCTGCCATTTTCTTCCTGCCAAGCCTGAATCAATGTTTCATCTCCAACCCTCTGCCAGTTTGGCCCCTCAGAGCTTGGTGGCTCAAGACTGTTAGCCTGGCAGAGCCAGGGGTGAAGGGAGAAGCTCTTGGAGCAGGCAGGATGCCCACCGCTGCTTCAGCTGCCTCCTCGCCCAGCTACCCTTTGGCCCCATTGGGCCCTCGTCTGCCTCTCCAGGATTGTATGTTTCAAGCCTTGCCCTGTGTTCCTTTGTCTGACGCTCTGTGTATTGCTCTTTGAATCGAGTTTGGAGGAAGAGTTGAGTTGTATGAGTGGCGGCATGTTGGTAGTGCCGGACTTCCTGTTTCAAGTTTTCTGGGGCCTCGCTAATTGAATGTGGAAAGTAGCACCACTTGACGGCTACAAGTGCCGACTCCTGAATTTTCCCATGGTGTTCTGACTTCAAGGGCTGGCAGCCAGGGAGAATGGGCCCAGGGGAAGCAAAGACCTCTTCCCTCTGCCGTTTCTGTCCCACTTAACTGACCTCACTGGAGGCTACATCACCCAAAGTAGATGTTAGAAAACCTAAATTAATGAACCATATTTTTAAAATCCTATTTTTCCCAAACAGGGCCCTCTGCAGCCCAGCCTTTCCTTCCGTCCTTCTGAAACCACATACCCCAGGCCCAAGCGCCTTGCTGCCACGCCCAACCTCTTTGGGAGAAGTATGAATGCGTGTGTCTAAATTAAAAGAAAAAAATATTTAAACGTTTTTTAACAAAAATTTATTTTTGTATTTAAGCTAAATTGCCTTTTAAATTCCTTCAAGCTTGGTTCATTGAGGTGGTTAAGTATAAATGCTATTAACTAGGAATTAGCTGTATAGTTAAGTTATGCCTGTGCAAAGAAGAGGCTCAAATGCTGTCCCCGGCAGCTTTCCTGGGGGACTAGAGCTCCTTCTGGCCATGTTATATGAAATGTAATTCTTATTTTATAAATAATGTGATGTAAATGTAACTGGTGCCCCCTCCCCGATGTGACTGAGGGTGAGTGAGTGGTGGTGGGGCTGCTCCTTCCCACCCCTCAGAACAGCTCTGATCCTCGTTAATACCTGGCTGCGTGTGCAGCTGAGGAGGGAGTGAACCTCAAGCCTAAATACCTGTTAGGATTGGAGGGTCTGGGTGGGCCTGGGCCTAGCAATCAAGCTTCTACCTGTACCTTATGTAAGGTAGACCCTCCTAGTGTCAGCACCTGAGCTAGTTTACCTCAGTTCCGCAGGCAGGACAGCCGGTCCGGGAACCCTGAGTGAGTGTGAGTGTGGATGTGTACAGTACACGCACTGGACGGCAGCGGGAGGCTGGGACTTTCCATTACAAATAGAGACTTCATTCCTGTTGAGTCTAGTTGGAACTTTTAGTATGAATGTGAGATTTTTCTCCTGCTTGTGACATTAAGAATAAAAAACTGTGATCTATCGTAGAGTACGTTCTGCATTTTATTTTTGCAGGCAACACTTTGCTCACCAGCAAGAACACAGCCCAAGGAAGGGACCCAATAACCTTTCAAAACCCAAACTGCTTCCTGCGGTGAGGGCCCAGGGTCCTCCACGGAGAGGACAGGCATCTTCCTTTCCCACCAGGAAGGAGTCAGCCCGGAGCCTCTGCTATGTGCAAGGCGGTGTGCAAGCACCGGCTGCGGCTCTTTGCTGTCTCTTCTTTCTCTTTGGGGCTGGGCTGGGTGTGCGTTCTGGTGCTGATGCTTTGGCCTGTGAGGCTGAGCTAGAGAAGTGTAGATGTTAGATGTGCCGGTGCCATCCTGCGCCTCCCAAGCACGCCCCCACTCACTCACCTTGGCACCTCGACCCGTTCAATTACAGCAACGAAGAAGCCACTGCTGAGTGTGGTCTCAGGGGAGGCCCGGAGGCAGTGCTCGGCACCCGGGAACGTGCTCAGGCCTCGGTGGGGCCAGGCAGGCAGGGCGGGAGCTAGCCTGCAAGAGAAACGGCCCCAATGCTGGGTAAGAGAGCAGCTCACCCCGTCCCCCACTCCCCACGACCCTGGCGCCCGCCCTGTACCTGAAGGCGCCCGGGTTCTGCTGCAGCGCATCTCGCACCACGTCTTCATTCTCCTCCTGGCAGAGGGAGCACGTGGAGTAGACGAGCCGCTGCAGGGAAGGGAAAGTGAGTGCGTGGCACAGGGCTCGCTGCTGGAACCCTGCCAGGGCATGCAGACGCACCGGGCTAGGTGTGCCTGCCCCGGGCTCCTCCAGCTGTCTGCTCGGCATACCTAAGGAAAAGAGTGTCTCTGTTACATAGCTTCACAGGCTACCTCAGTCCTGAAATCCTCGCTTCACAGAGGAGAACTTTTGTCCCAGGGTCCCAAGCCCATTAGTGTCAGAAGTAAGACCAAAACAAATGACTCCAGGTCTAAGCTGCTGTGGATCTGCGAGTCCCTCGGCCACGCTTTCTCGCCATCTCACCCGAGCCACTGCAGGAAGGATCCAGCAGGATGTAGTGGACCTCATGGTAGCGTGGATCCGAGGGGGAGACCGCCAGGAAGTCCTCCTCAGCCAGTTCACAGCAAGAGACGCCAGCCCGGGCCAGCAGCGTGGCCATGGATGCCAGCCGCTTGGCATCCAGGTCAAAGGCAAAGATCTTCCTAGGGCAAAGCAGGGGTGAGCTGAGCACGCATGGAGCAGCTAAGGGCCTGTCACAGCCAACCAGAACATGCAGGTTAAGCCAGGACACACAATATTGAAACGGCCTACGTTTAAAGGGCTCACAGTCAGAGGTAACTGGCCTGGGGTCTCTGCCCCAAGGGCTAAGGGATCCACATCTCACACCTGCAGTGGGGAAAGCTTAGCTTGGGGCAAATACCGTGAACTGCTTTGGTGCAGCAAGAAAGACTTAAGCGAAAGTCATCCTTTCAGCCTTCATTACCCACTGAAAGGCACAGAATCAAACCCCATGTCCTCCTCCTCCTCCTGTGGCACTCACCCTTGGTTCTTCAGAAGAGCAGCCAAGTGACTGGTCTTATTGCCTGGGGCGGCACAGGCATCGATGACATGGGAGCCTGGCGGGGGGTCCAGCAGCATGGCTGGGAGACAGCTGGCCTGGCAGGCAGAGCACAGGAGCCAGGTAAACAGAGACCCCAGGCTAGGCCCTTCCCGTGCCTACACATTCTTCCCTTTTCTATTCCTCTTGCCTACCCTGTCCTGCAGAATGAGGTGTCCGGCCCGGTACAGTGGGTGTTCATGCAGATCTGTCTGGGCGGGAAACACCAGCAGCTCCGGCATCAAGGGGTCCAGGAGAAAATGCTTCCCCTTGAGGGCTCGTAAGTCATCGAGGCTGCCAGGGAAGAACCATTCATTCATTTCCTGAATTTCTCCCTGCCAGGCCCCATTTCAACGGTCCATTCATGCAACAAATGTTACCACAGCTATGGAGAAATCAACAGGGTGATAAGCTAGAGATGGGCGGAATCCGCAGTTGAGGGAATGGGTTGTCAAGCCAGACTGATGGGTCAGGAGCCCCCTCTACTGTTTACCAGCAGTGGGAGCCTGGGCAAATGATTCAATCTCAAGCCCCACTGGCATCTCTGTAAAATAGTAGGTGTGGGGATTCAATGAGCCAATATATTCAAGATACTTATTTGGCACAAATTAATAAATGTTAGCTATTCCTGTTGAAGCATAACCTTGGAAAAAGTTTACTTTTTTTTTTTTTTTTTTTTGAGACGGAGTCTCGCTCTGTCGCCCAGGCTGGAGTGCAGTGGCGCGATCTCGGCTCACTGCAAGCTCCACCTCCCGGGTTCACGCCATTCTCCTGCCTCAGCCTCCCGAGTAGCAGAAAAAGTTTACTTTACAGGGGGGTGAGGGGATGCAGGGAGGTGAGAGCTGAGCTCATTCTTGATGGATGAGGAGTTAGTCATGTGAGGCGCTTAGGTTAAAACTACATTCACTATAACTCAGTAAAGGAGTCCCGCCGACTCTCCGACCCATGCAGAAATAGGCCTAGAGAGTCACATCTCTCAGTTCAGAAATCTGTCAAAGTGGCAGAGCTGGAATTCAAACGCAAGCAGCCGTTCTCTGCTATTCCACCCTGGTGTCCAAGCAACATGGTAGAGGCAGAAGGAAGAGGATCTTACAAAGAGTAGGAGAAAGGGAGAGGGGCAGAGGCTGCTTCTCAGAGCCAACGAAGGACAAAACGAGACAGGTGTGAGCCCAGTGGAGGAGGCACGGGGCAGGGACCAGCCACTGTTGCTGGCACACTGGTGCACGCAGCACCGTGGCAGATGGACCTGAGAGAAAGCAGGAGGGACAGCACAGTGGAGCCAAGAAAGGGCTTAGCATGGCCGGGCACGGTGACTCACACCTGTAATCCCAGCACTTTGGGAGGCCGAGGCGGGCAGATCACCTGAAGTCAGGAGCCTCGAGACCAGCCTGACCAACATGGAGAAACCCCGTCTCTACTAAAAATACAAAATTAGCCGGGCGTGGTGCTGCATCCCTGTAATCCCAGCTACTCAGGAGGCTGAGGCAGGAGAATTGCTTGAACCCAGGAGGCAGAGGTTGCAGTGAGCCGAGATTGCGCCATTGCACTCCAGCCTGGGCAACAAGAGCAAAACCCTTGTCTCAAAAAAAAAAAAAAAAAAAAAAAAAAAAAGCTTAGCAGAGGAGTAACAGCATCAGATCTGGCTTTAGAGCTTCCTACAGTCAACCTCAAGGAAAATGCAGTGAGACAGTCTGGAAGCAGAGAAACCAGTCTGGGAAGTTCTTGTGGTCATCCCAATAAGAAATGAGTGCTTAACCTAGGCAGTGTCCGAGGGGCTGAAGAGAAAGGAGTGGAGGCCAGATGTGGTGGCTCACGCCTGTAATCCGAGCACTTTGGGAGACCAAGGCGGGCAGATCACCTGAGTTCAGGAGTTTCAGACCAGCATGGCCAACATGGTGAAACCTCATCTCTACTGCAAATACAAAAATTAGCTGGACATTGGTGGTGGGAGCCTCTAATTCCAGCTACTCAGGAGGCTGAGGCAGGAGCATCGCTTGAACCCGGGAGGCAGTGAGCCAAGATCATGCCACTGCACTCCAGCTTGGATGACAGAGTGAGACTCAGTCTAAAAAAAAAAGAGAGAAAGGAGTGGAGCTGAGAAAGATGCTCAAGGTAGGGGAGTAAATGATTGGAGGGAGGAGAAGGAAGCACCTAGGATGACTCAGTTTCTGGCTTGACCAAATGGGTGGAAGATGGTGACATCTGTTAGATTTAACTGGGGATGTACTAGGTGTAAAGTCTGAGAGGAAAGATGACAAATGCAGCGACTGTTAGCATCTGTGGTGCGTTCATATGAACCTGAGGAGGTAAGAATGCAAGAGGGAAGTCTACACTGGGTGGTGAGAATCACCAGGTGGGAGGCAGGAGTTAAAGCTAGAGAAAAAACGGAGAGATCAAGAAGAATGTAGGATGAGGCTCCTAGGAGTTCGATGTTTAAGGGATGGCAGGAAGACAAACCTTGGAGATGGATAAACTGCTGGAAAGGTAGGAAGAAAGCCCAGAGAGCAAAGTCACAACTATCCAGCCACTTCTCTTCCCAATACCCCAGACACCTCCCTAGATGAGGACAGCCAGGGCTCTAAGCTCTCACCTGGAAGCCCGACCCTGATAGGAGAAACCTTGTCTCTTGAAATAATCAACTACATCATCGGAGCAGGTCTTGAGAGTGTTCACACGCACAAATCGAGGCAGCTGGGAGGCTACGTAGGACGCAATGAGCAGTGAGTAGGCAGGAGCAAAGTTCCCCGCCTCCCCCACCCCCCAACTCCTTCCAGCTTACCTGGACCAGGCCTGGATCCCACTTCCAACAGGTCCTCATTCCGGCTCACACCCCGATGAACCTTGAGCCGAGCCAACTCAGCCTTGAGCCTCGCCTGGTGCCGGCCCAACAGAGCCTTCCATCGGCCCCCACCCCCTCGAAAGCCCTTTCCCAACAACAACTCATACACTAGCACCTGGGAATGAGGGAACAAAGACAAAAACAAAAATGCCCTAAGCATGAAGCATGAATGCCTTAGAACTAACTCTAATGGAGCCCCGGCAATGGAATGGCTAAACAGATCACCTGACAAGATACAGGTGGGATACCTTATCCAAGATCACACCAGAAATTAACTACAGAACAGGATCGGAACCTGGCGTCTCGCTTCCCAGCCTTAGACCCTTTCTCCACCGATGTTCACCAGTAGACACCTCTGCACCCAACTTCTTGCCAACATTACCCTTTCGTGGGTTTGGGTTTTCTTTTTAGAATGGGGTCTAGCTCTGTCGCCCAGGCTGAAGTGCAGTGGCCAGATCATAGCTCACTGCAGCTTCGACCTCCTGGGCTCAAGTGATCCTCCTCCCTCAGCCTCCCGAGTAGCTGGGACCACAGGTGCGCGCCGCCACGCCCGACTTCCTTACAGTCTCCGCCACTACCACTTTGTACTTCGGTTATTTAATCCTTCAAAACACTCAAAGTTAAAGCATTTTCATCCCATCTTAATTCGTAACCCAGGGAAGGTCGGCTCATACTCATTTCAGATGAGCGACTTGCTCCAGTCCCGCCGTGCACGGCAGCAGAGCTGAGACCAGATGACAAAGCGCTGACCGTCGGGGTTCACTTCCCCGTCCCTCCCCTCCCCTCACCTTGGCCAGGTGCGGCCGCAGCTTCTTCTCCGCACGGAGGAGGCCGGCGCTGGCGATCACAGCATCCAGCACGGCGGAGTAGCGCTGCGTTTCGCACACCAGCGCGTACAGCTGCTTCACGTTCTGTGTGGCCGAGGAAGACAAGCTGGGTGGGGGCTCCCCCGGCCCTCCTCGCCGGGCCCCACCTCCCGACCCCACCCGGGCCCGTCCGACCCCACCCCGGGTTCCTCACTCCCCACCCCTACTACTCGCGCCCAGGTCCGCTACCTGGAAGTTGCTGGAGTACACCAACCCCTTGATAGAGCCCTGGCGGCTCTCCACGCCGGCCAACACGCCTGCAGCTGCAGCATACAGCCCCATGTTCCCGCGCGCCTTTACGGCTCTGTGGCAAAACGCACCCGGCTCGGCGCCCGCCCGGACTTCCGGGGTCAAAAAGCACGACCTTCCGGGACCGGAAGTGCCGGTCGAAGTCGCCCTGCAAGGCGTGTGTGTGATCGCGCACCTGCCGGGGTAGGGAGTGCGACGCTGCAGCCCGTTTCGCCACTTCTTCTCTAGTTCTTAAGTTTTTGCCAATCTGATGGGCAAATAATGGGATTTTACTGCTGTTTAACTGAAGTTACTGAGGTTAAATATCTTCACATGTGTATTAGTCATTATATATATATATATATATATATAATTTTTTTTTGACACAGAGTCTCACTCTGTCGCGCAGTGTCGCAATCGCGGCACACTGCAACCTCCGCCTCCCGGGTTCAAGCAATTCTCCTGCCTCAGCCTCCCGAGTAGCTGGGACTACAGGCCCACGCCACCACACCTGGCTAATTTTTGTATTTTTAGTAGAGATGGGGTTTCACTATGTTTGCCAGGTTGGCCTTGAACTCCTGACCTTAGGTGATCTGCCCACCCTGGCCTCCCAAAGTTCTGGGATTACAGGCATGAGCCCCCGCGCTGGCCATAATTTTGTGTCTCCGTTTATTGTCTTATCTTCCTCTGCCATGTGTCATCCAATGGCTGTGTTCTCAGGGAGGCTTCTGTGTAATGGCAAAAAAGGTCCTAGCAACTCTAGGTCCACAATGTGGTTTACAATACCTGCCATTCACCCTGCACCAGTAACCACATTAGTCCCAGAGCCAAGCAAGAAAGCACGTGGGGTATTTGGGTACCTGAAATGGGCCGGTTTGGCCAAATTAAGTGATGTAGGTATGATCCAGGCCTCAAAGCCACAATAACGGTTTTGTTTTTGTTTTTGATGAGGTCCCACTCCGTCACCCAGGCTGGAGTGCAGTGGCACCGTCATAGCTCACTGCAGCCTCAAACTCCAGGGCTCAAGCGATCCTCCCACTTCACTCTCCAAGTAGCTGGGACTACAGGCATGCACCACCACTCCTAGCTAATTTTATCTTTTGTAGAGATGTGGTCTCACCATGTTGCCCATGGATGGTCTCGAACTCCTGGCCTAAAGTGATCTTCCCACCTCGGCTTCCCAAAGCAGTGATTACAGGCATGAACCACTGTGCCCAGCGAGGATTTTATTCTTTTATCTTGAAAGAAATGGTAGTCCTCTTAAGGTTTTTAAGTCATGGAGTGCTGTGCTAACATATACTTCTTTAAAAGATCAGTCTGGCCAGGTGTGGTGGCTCACACCTGTAATCCTAGCACTTTGGGAGGCCAATGCAGGCAGATCACTTGAGGTCAGGAGTTCAAGACCAGCCTGGCCAACATGACAAAACCCCGTCTCTACTAAAAATACAAAGATTAGCCAGGCATGGTGGTAGACACCTGTAATCTCAGCTACTTGGGAGGCTGAAGCAGGAGAACCATTTGAACCTGGGAGGCTGGGGTTGCAGTAAGCTGAGATTGTGCCACTGCACTCCAGCCAGGGGGATAGAGCAAGATTCTTTCCCCAAAAAATAAATAATCAGTCTGGTTACAGTGTGGGGATATAGGATGGAGGGGGCAGAGTTGAGGCAGGGAGAGACCAATGGGGGTCATGGGAGTCACCTAAACAAGAACTGGTGGCCTGGACTGAGTTGGTGGCAGTGGAGTTAGGTTGAAATTGGCAGTGTGACCGCTAAGTTAAATCCACAGAACTTGCTCAGGAAAAAGGACAGGTCGAGAATAACTCGTAGGTTTTCAGTTTGGGCAGTTCACACAATGCTGCTGTGTCTTTTGGTAGGATGGGGAAACGTGGGGTGATGGAGTGAACAACGGCCACCCAGAGAGAGCAGGTCCTAATTCCTAGAGCCTGGAAATGTCACCTTCTATGGAAGAGATCTGTAGGAATGATCAGGGGAAGGATTTGGAGAGAAGGTTATCCTCGATTATCTGGGCAGGTCCTGCATGGCATCACCAGTATCCCTATAAGAGAGAGGCAGAGGAAGGACAAGCGCAGTGACTCACACCTGTAATCCCAGCACTTTGGGAGGCCGAGGCTGGCAGATCCCTTGAGCCCAGGAGTTCGCAACCAGCCTGGCCAACATGGTGAAACCCCATCTCTACTAAAAATACAAAAATTTGCCAGGTGTGGTGGTGCATGCCTGTAATCCCTGCTACTCAGGAGGCTGAGGCAAAAGAATTGCTTGAACCTGGGAGGCGGAGGTTGCAGTGAGCTGGGATCATACCACTGCACTCCAGCCTGGGCAACAGAGCAAGACTCTGTCTCAAAAAAAAAAAAAAAAAAAAAAAAAAAAAAAAAAAAAATAAGAAGCAGAGGAAGATTAGACCGGCACATACAGAAAAGGCCACGTGAAGACGGAGGCAGAGATTGGAATGATGCGGCCACAGGGCCAGGAAACACCAGGGCATGGCAGCCACCACCTGAAGCTGAAGAGGAAAGGGGCAGGTTTTCCCCGACAGTCTCCAGAGGGAGCGCGGCCTTGCCGTCATCGTGATCTTGGACATCTGGCCTTCAGAACCATGAGAGATTAAATTTGTTTGAAGCCACCAAGTTTGTGGTCATTTGTTACAGTAGCCACAGGACACCACAGCCACAGGATAAATCTCAGGGATGGGGGAGTAGGAAGATCATGAGCGCGGTTTTGGACATGCCCTTGACGTCCAGGCGGAGCTGCTGAATGGCTGGAGCGCTACTGGATGTGGCATGTAAGGGACGGGTCTCCCGGAGAGGGAACTTCTGAGTCATCCCTGTGGAAGTGATGACTGGAGCTATGGGTGTGGAGGGGTAGACAGCCAGAAGAGGAGCCTGGAGGTCCTCAGGCCATGAGTGGCCAGGAGGAGAGGCTGAATCCTTGAAGGAGACTGAGGAGAGGAGGGAGGAAAGTCAGGATTGTGGGGAGGCTGAGGGTTGCTGTTTGCCCCAGCTAGTCTCCCTCAGGCCCTCTTATTGGTCTGTGCACCCAGTTTGACTTCCAGTGGCCAGAGCCAGCATCTTGGTTAGAGGGCTACCCCAGAGCTTCCAGGACCCACTTAGCCTGTGGGTATGGTGAGTCAAAGGGGCATGACAGCCTAGGCACAGTGGCTCACACCTGTAATCCCAGCGCTTTGGCAGGCCAAGGTGGGAGGATTGCTTGAGGCCCAGACCAGCCTGGGTAACATAGCAAGATCCCGTCTCTACTAAAAATTTAAATATTAGCTGGGTATGGTGGCAGACACTTGTTGTCTCAGCTACTCAGGAGGCTGAGGCAGGAGGATCACTTGAGCCTGAGAGGTCAAGGCTGCAGTAAGCTACAATTGTGCCACTGCTCTCCAGCCTGGGTGACAGAGCAAGATCCTGTCTCTGAAACTAGACTCGAGGCTGGGCACGGTGGCTCACGCCTGTAATCCCAGCACTTTGGGAGGCTGAGACAAGTAAATAATTTGAGGTCAGGAGTTCAAGACCAGCCTGGCCAACACAGCGAAACCCCATCTCTACTAAAAATACAAAAATTAGCTGGGTATGGGGCACATGCCTATAATCCCAGCTACTCGGGAGGCTGAGGCAGGAGAATCACTTGAATCCGGGAGGTGTAGGTTTCAGTGAGCCTACATCGTGCCACTGCACTCCAGCCTAGGTGACAGAGAGAGACTCCATCTCAGGAAAAAAAAAAAAAAAAAAAGACTCGAGCATAAAGCAGTATGTATAGCAACTAATATGTGCAAATCATTTAAAGAGAAAGAAATAATGTCAAATTTATTATCCTTGATAGTAGTTGAAAGTTCACAGTAATATGGAAAAGGTATACATGGGACTATTTCTGCCCTCGGAAGCGTCTGCGCAGATAGCATGGTTAGCAAGTGGCAGGAACCATGGGGATTTCAGTGTGTCCCTGGCTGCCAAGGCCTGGGGGCCGAAGTTTACAAATACACCCTTGGCTGAGGGGAAAGGGACTGGGGTCCTGTTCCCTATCATTACATGTTCCAGGGACACACAGGCCTGAAGACCTTCCTAAACAGTGACGATATCACCTCAGGCGGGACCCAGCAGAAGCCCGCGAGTCCCCGGTGCCCCGCCGGGATGGGCCTGTGGGCCGGCAGGACTCCGGGCGGCCCTACAGCTTGGTGGGCTGCTCGGGGCTGAGGGGGCCAGGCCCGCTGGGCGGGGGCAGCACCATGGGCAGCGAGTTGCTGCCCCTCTCGTGCCAGCAGGTGTCCAGGATGGGGTAGAGCTTGCCCTGGAAGTCGGCCTGGAAGGTGTAGAGCGGCCGCAGGTCATCGGGGCGGTCGGCATCGAAGAAGGTGAGTTCGCCCTGCTCATAGTGCAGGTAGAGCCCGATGCGGTGGGGGTGGCCGGCCACGGGCAGGGGTACCCGGGGGCAGGCAAAGGCTTCGTACACCCGGCCCTCCTTCAGGCCGATCAGCCACACGCCGTGCTCGGGGGACCTGTTCAGCTTGCCCTTACGGCTGGCTGTGCCCTTGATGACCCCCAGGCGCCAGTCGCTCTTGCTGCCCACCACCACCTCCCAGTAGTGGCGGCCGCAGGAGAAGCCGCGGCTGGCCAGGACGCAGGTGCTGTAGTCGAAGCGCTCAGGCTGGCTGGCTCGCCGCTGGGCCAGAAGCCCGCACTGCACCACCGTGTTGCCCTTGGAGAGCTCCAGGAGTGGGTGGGCAGTGGCAGGGTCCAACTTGAGAGGCTCCGGGGCTGGGAGGGAGATCACAGAGGGTCTGTGAGGCCACGTGGAGGGCAGCAGACCCGGCCCACAGAAGCTGATGGAGGCCCTGAACTCCCCAAGGAGAGGGGCTGTGTCTTCCTCATCTCTCTAGCCCCAGGGTCTAGAAGGGGCCAGTACAGGGCTGCTCCCTGAATGAATGAATGAATGAATGAATGAATGAATGAATGAAGTTTTACATAAGGAAGATCAATCACAGACTGATTGCATCCACCCAAGGCAAAAACAGTGTTTATATAAAAGGGAGCAGCTTGGTGGGCTGTGGGGGGCTGAGGTGGCTGGAGAAAGAAATGGACACTGGGCTCGGGGTTCTGGCCTGCCTGCCTGACACAGAGGTGTTGTGGGAAGGACCCGGAAGACACCTGTCCTGTGAGCCTATAGCTCAGCCCTCAGGGATTTCTGGAGAACCCATAACAACTGCAGCTGTTGGATTTGCTAGCCTAGTCAGCCTATTCAAGGACGAACTAGCCCACCTGAGCTTTTTGCTAGTTACCAGCTGATCCGTTTACCCCAGAAATGTGAGATGTGCTCCCCCCTGCCCGCCTCCCACCCCTTCCCGCCACCCAAGTTGCCGCAAGGAAAGAAGGCCAAGGGGAAGAAGGTGGCTCCGGCCCCTGCTGGCGTGAAGAAGCAGGAGGCCAAGAAAGTGGTTTATCCCGTTTGAGAAAAGGCCTAAGACTTTTGGCACTGGACAGGACTTCCAGGCCAAAACGGACCTCGCCCACTTTGTGCAATGGTCCTGCTCGGTCAGGGTGCAGTGGCGGACAGCCATCCTCTATAAGTAGCAGAAACTGTCTCCTGCTATTAACCAGTTCACCCAGGCCCTGGACCGCCAAACAGCTATTCAGCTGCTTAAGCTGGCCCAGAAGTACAGACCAGGGGCAAAGCAAGAGAAGAAGCAGAGACTGTTGGCCCTGACTGAGAAGAAAGCTGCCAGCAAAGGGGATGTCCCCACTAAGAGGCCACCTGTCCTTGGAGCAGGAATTAACACCGTCACCACCTTGATGGAGAACAAGAACGCTCAGCTGGGCCAGGCACAGTGGCTCATGCCTGTCATCTCAGCACTTTGGGAGGCTGAGACAGGCAGATCACTTGAGGCCAGGAGTTTGCAAGCAGCCTGGCCAACATAATGAAAAACCCCGTCTCTACTAAAATACAAAAATTAGCCGGGCGTGGTGGCACACGCCTATAGTCCCAACTACTCAGGAGGCTGAGGCAGAAGAATCACTTGTACCCAGGAGCCAGAGGTTGCAGTGAGCTGAGATCACACCACTGCACTCCAGCCTGGGTGACAGAGACTCTGTCTCAAAAAAAAAAAAAAAAAAAGGAAGGCTCAGCTGGTGGTGACTCCACGCAACATGGGTCCCATCAAGCTGGCTGTCTTCCTGCCTGTGCCTGTGTGTAAAGTGGGGTCCCTGACTGCATCATCAAGGGGAAGGCAAGACTGGGATGTCTAGTCCCCAGGAAGACCTGCACCACTGTCGCCTTCACACAGGTTAACTTGGAAGACAAAGGAGCTTGGGCTAAGCTGGTGGAAGCTACCAGGACCAATTACAACAACAAATGTGATGAGATCCGCCATCACTGGGGAGGCAGTGTCCTGGGTCCCAAGTCTGTGGCTCACATTGCCAAGCTCAAAAAGGCAAAGACTAAAGAAACTACCACTAAACTGGGTAAAACGTACACTGTTGAGTTTTCTGTACATGAAAATAATACAAATTTTCCTTCAAAAAAAAAAAAAGAAATGTGAGATGTACAAACAGGATTCACAGTTCACAAACTGCAATTTTTTTCCTTCTTATCTTTCCTTTTTTTTTTTTTTCATTCTTTTCTTTTTTACTGATGAGGTCTCCTCTGTCACCCAGGCTGGAGTGCAGTGGTGCAATCATAGCTCACTGCAGCCTCCCAACTCCTGGGCTCAAGCAATCCTCCTGCCTCAGCCTCCTCAGTAGCTGGGCCCACAGGCACATAACACCACACCCCACTAATTATTTTTTGTAGAGATGGCGTCTCACTATGTTACCCAGGCTGGTTTTGAACTCCTGGCCTCAAGCAGTCCTCCCACCTTGGCCTCCCAAGGTGCTGGGATTGCAGGCGTGAGCCGCCGTGCCCAGCCCCTTCTTTTATATAAACCCTATTTTTGCTTTTGGTGGATGAAATCGCTCTGTTAGCAGTCTCCCTTATGTACAAGACAGCATGCTAGTAATAAAGGAATGAAATGTGTTTGAGTTGTTTTTGACAGAGAACAAGAATAGGTTGGTTCAAAAGTAATTGCGGTTTTTGCCATTACTTTGAAGACCACTTGTCCTTTGAGTAGGAAGGACATTTTTAAAAGGATATTACTTTTTTTTTTTTTTTTGAGACGGAGTTTTGCTCTTGTTGCCCAGGCTGGAGTGCAATGGCACGATATCAACTCACTGCAACCTCCACCTCCCTGGTTCAAGTGATTCTCCTGCTTCAGGCTCCTGAGTAGCTGGGATTACAGGCGCACACTACCACGCCCAGCTAATTCTTGTATTATTAGTAGAGACGGGGTTTCACCATGTTGGCCAAGCTGGACTTGAACTCCTGACCTCAGAAGATCCGCCCTCCTCAGCCTCCCAAAATGCTGGGATTACAGGCATGAGCCACTGTGCCCAGACAAAAAGTACATTACTTTTAAAAGTAATGGCAAAAACTGCAATTACTTTTGCACCAACCTAATACCATTTATGAAGCACTAAGCTGCAACACACGTATGTCTATATACAAGCTCTGCAGCCTGGCCGGGTGGGTGCAAATAGCCCCACTTTACAGATGAGGAACCTGGGCTCAGAAATGACACAACTTGCCCAGCCAGCAGCTAGGAAAGGAAAGAGTAAGCAGGAACCCAAGCTGTTCGGAAACTCAGTCCCATGCTCTCACTAGGACCCTCCACAAACCTCCATCTGAGTTCTCTGTAGCTTATTATCTCTCTGATACAATCGATGAACTGCCACCTGCCCTGGGCGGCAGCCCTCAGGAAGGAGGACGGGTCAGGGCCTCACCTGGCAAAACTTTCCGGAAGAGCCTTTTCCACACGGTCAGCTTGATGTCAGCCTGGTGGAGGCCTGGCTTGAAGGAGATGGGGCTGAATGCGCCTTCTAAGGGCCGGGCCTGCGGCATCTCTGCTCTGCAGGTGACAGTTCACAGTACAAGAGAGTGAGGTATCACGTGGCCCACCCCACCCCTCCATCCTATCTATGTTTGCCCAGCCAGATCCACAGTGCAGGACTGCAGTCACAATGCCCATCAATGCCCATCATCCCCTCCCCTGCACAGCCCCTTCAGGGAGGACCCATCTCCTTCCTAGAAGGGGAAACGCTCTATAGTGGTGCTTCTAGAGTGCAGGTTTGGGGACCAGCAGTGTTGGTTGGAAAATGGTCCAACCCATTCCCAGTAGAAAGTCAATGGTCCACCTGGGAAATGGTCAGAAATGCAGGTTCTTAGACCCCACACCAGACCTGCCAATCAGAAACCAATTATGGGGGCCAAGTAATGTGTCTTTTTTTTTTGAGTCAGAGTTTCACTCTGTCACCCAGGCTGGAGTGCAGTGGCATGATTTCGACTCAGTGCAGCCTCAACCCCCTGGGCTCAAGTGATCCTCCCACCTCAGCCTACCTAGCAGCTGGGACTATAAGCATGTGCCACCATGCCCAGCTAATTTTTTTCTATTTTTGGTAGAGACAGTTTCACCATGTTGCCCAGGCTGGTCTTGAGCTCCTGAGCTCAAGCAATCCACCCACCTTGGCCTCCCAAAGTGCTGGGATTACAGCTATGAGCCACCATGCCAAGACTTTTTTTTTTTTTTTTTTTTTTGAGATGGAGTCTTGCTCTGTCGCCCAGGCTGGAGTGCAGTGGGGTGATCTTAGCTCGGTGAAACCTCTACCTCCCAGGTTCAAGTGATTCTCATGCCTCAGCCTCCCCAGCAGCTGTGATTACAGGTGCCTGCCACCACACCCAGCTAATTTTTGTATTTTTCATAGAGACGGGGTTTCACCATGTTGGCTGGGCTGGTCTCGAACTCCTGACCTGAAGGCATCCTTCTGCCTCAGCCTTCCAAAATGCTGGGATTACAGGTGTAAGCCGCCATGCCCAGCCTCTGTCCCTTCATTTAAACCCATGTCTTCTGACCAAATTGTCTCTAAGACTAAAAGAAATGTGAGAAACACGGAGTCTCCCATAAACAGGGAGTGAGGAAGGCTTGGGAACTGCACGTGTTCGTTTGTTGGGTCTAGAACATGGATCCACTCTCTTCCCACAATCTGCAGAGCAAGTTTCAGGCAGGGCTGATACTGCCTGCTGCGCAAGGGTGAGGAGGGTAAGCAAGGGATGCCCGGTGCTCCTGGATGTTGCTTCTGGCCATTTCCCACCTCTCCCAGCTCCGACTCCTGGTGATATCCTGCCTTACACCCAGCCACCCTGAACTCATAACCAGAGTCCACATGCCACTCCCCCTTTTACAGGACCGTTTCCTCGGCTTGCCTGGCAAACTCAGGTCCTGGGTCCTTCTCAGCCATCAGGCCTGTGCCCCTCTGCCAGGTCCCCCAGACACCTGCTCCTCCTCTAGCATTCTGTTTTGTTTTCTGAGACAGGGTCTCGCTCCGTCACCCAGGCTGGATCATGCAGTAGCATGGTCACGACTCACTGCAGCATCAAACTTCTGGGCTCAAGCAATCCTCCCGCCTCAGCCTCATGAGTAGCGGGGACTATAGGCACATGACACCATGCCCAACTAATTTTTTTATTTTTGTATTTTTTGTAGAGATGGGGTCTTACTACATTGGCCAGGCTGGTCTCGAACTCCTGGCCTCAAGCAATCCTCCTGCCTTGGCTTCCCAAAGTACTGGGATTGCAGGCATGAGCTACCCTCCTCTAGTATTTCTGTAGCTTGAGTGAACTTCTGCTGTTCTAGGTACCCACAGTTCACCATCTGCCTCCCCACCCATCTACGAGACCCTTGAAGGCAGGGACATGACTTTCCTCTGTTTTTCCCAGGCTCAGTTATAGAGCCAGCTGTGGGCAGCTGCTTGGGAGGCGCTGGTTAAACCGAATGGAGGAACCAGTGGAGCTGAGATGCCCGTGCCCGCAGCCACCAGACCCTGGCTGAGCTCTCTCCAAGGTTATTACCTGGAGGCCATGGAGTGGAACTTCTGGAAGGCAAGAGAGAGGGAGGTTAAGGCTAGAAGGTGGGAAGCTAGGGCACTGTTGGGAAGGGGAAGGCCCTGGCGGGTATGGGGATGGGACGCCTCCCTGTCCACTCACCCGGATGAACTTGTGGTGGTCCTCATTGCCGAACTGTTCCAGCACACACTCGGCTTGGGCCAGCCGCTCCCGGGTTCCCTGGGCCTGCTCCAGCTGCATGTCCAGGGAGGCCACCAGGCCACGGGTGTGACCCCCTATCCCCTCCAGGCAGCGGGCCTTCTCCTCATCCACCAGGTGGTGCAGCTCCTGGAACTCGCGGCGGATCACCCAGCTGAAGACATCCGACTCATTCTGGGACAGGGAGGGCTGGTCACTGCAGAGTCACAGCCGAGCTGCCAGGCTCTGTCTGGCTGGCCTCGGTGTCCCCAGGGCCTTCCTGACCGGGTTGGTCCTGGGACCTGAGTCTCAGGGGAGGCTGCATGGCCTGGCGCCGGGCAGGGAGTTCACCCCATGCATGGGGAGCCCTGGCGGTGGCCGTGGGGAGGGTGACCCCAGCTCCCGTTTCAAATGGAGAGGCTCTGTTTTGGCCTGTTTTAATTTTTTTTTTTAAGAGACAGGGTCTCACTCTGTTGCCCAGGCTGGAGCACAGTGGCATGATCATAGCTCACTGTAGCCTTGACCTCCCAGCCTCAAGCAATCCTCCCGCCTCAGCCTCCCGAGTTGCTGGGATTACAGATGCACGCCACCACACCCCACTTTGCCTATTTCAGCTATTAAATGTGCATATCCCAGAGTTCCACAACTGAAGGAAAGCAGGAAGGCCCTAGGCGAGCAGGCTTTGCTGTGAGGGAGCCAGAACTCCCTGCAGAACCCTGAGCTCCGCCTCCACCAGGCAGGGCTGGTACCGCCTGCCGCGCAAGGGTGAGGAGGGTAAATGAGGGAGGCTGAGTGCTCCTGGATCTTGCCCGGCTCCTGTTTCTGTTTCACAGCCACCTCCAGGGCCGGGGCACTATGGCTCCCAGCCCCATGTGCCTCTCACTTCGGGAGATCAGCCAGGGCCCAGGGCTGCCAGCCTCTCCACGCCTGAGCACCCAGGTACTGGGAGGGCACCATGACAGGCTGGCAAGGTCAAGCAGACACAGGTGGCACAGGGGCGGAGGAGTCATGCCCATGCTTTGAGCTGTTTACCCCCTGAGACTCAAGTCCTGGGTTATCTCAGTCTCAAGGACACAGAGGGCAAAAGCCAACTTGGAGCCAGTCCTAACGACAACTGGGTTGAATTCCCCTGAGAGGATTTGCGCTTTCCCCACCCCGCCCTGGGAATGCTTTGAGTTCTGGCTTTATATGGAAGGCATGGTTTTCTGTAAAGGACCAATGAGAACTGAGTTCTACAGGAAAGTGAAGGTGGCCGGTCCCAGGCAGGGGCAGAGGGAAGGGGCACTCACGACGATTCGGGTCCGGTTGTTCACCAGTTTGGCGATGAGCTCATCCACCTTTTTCTGCTCCTGCTTCAGCTCAGAGATGAGGGCTGCGAGCTCCTCCTGGAGGCAACAGGCCATGGCCCCATGAGCAGCTGATCCCTCCCCTTCTCAGCTCCTTGGATCACCTTCTTGGGAGTATCCCAATGGCCACAAGCACTCCCAGGGAAACCAGGGCGGGAACCAGAGCCACCCAGGTACCCTTGAGTCCAAAACAGGTTAAATTGTTCGAGAATAGTCTGGGCGCAGAAGCTCACGCCTGTAATTCCAGCACTTTGGGAGACTGAGGTGGGACTTCACTTGAGGTCAGGAGTTCGAGACTAGCCTGGCCAACATAGTGAAACCCCATTTCTATTAAAAATACAAAAATTAGCCAGGCGTGGTGGCATACACCTGTAGTCCCAGCTACTTGGGAGGCTAAGGCACGAGAATCGCTTGAATCTGGGAGGTGGAGGTTGCAGTGAGCCAAGATCATGCCACTGCACTCCAGCCTGGGTGACACAGTGAGACTCTGTCTCAAAAAAATAAAAATAAAAAATAAGATAAATTAATTCAAGAATATTCTAGGCTGGGCGCAGTGGCTCACGCCTGTACTCCCAGCATTTTGGGAGGCCGAGGCGAGTGGATCACCTGAGGTCAGGAATTCGAGACCAGCCTCAACATGGAGAAACCCTGTCTCTACTAAAAATACAAAATTAGCCAGGCGTGGTGGTGCATGCCTGTAATCCCAGCTACTCGGGAGGCTGAGGCAGGAGAATTGCTTGAACCTGGGAGGCAGAGGTTGTAGTGAGCCAAGATCGCGCCATTGCACTCCAGCCTGGGCAACAAGAGTGAAACTCCGTCTCAAAAAAAAAAAAAAGGAATATTCTAGGCTGGGCACAATGGCTCGTGCCTGTAATCCCAGCATTTTAGGAGGCCAAGGTGGGAGAATCACTTGAGGATAGGAGTTTGAGACCAGCCTGGGCAACACAGTGAGATCCCATCTCTAATTTTTTTTTAAAGAATATTCTGCATTGACAGCAGGAACTTCCCAGGCATAAGAGGGTCTCAATGTCACCCCTCTGCATGACATGGAGAGAGTCACTAAACGTTACAGCTACCAGAAGTCACCATGTGATGCTGGCACTTCCTGGATTGAATGCTGCCTGTAGGGGACCCATCAGGTGAACTCTGTGGTCACCAGCAGATCCAGAATTAGTGGGTATTTAATCAGGAGCCATCACAAAAAGGCCGGCGCCAGGTGAGGCTAATTCTAGGGCCAGTGGTGCTCACACGGGCCTGGGTTAAACCTGGTGAATCCCCACACCCATAAACACCTGAATCCATTCCTGGTGGGCTTGGACACAGCACGGATTTGCGACCTCCCCAAGCTGACATAAATGCACTTCTCCTGGACTGCCCGGGCCCCAAACCTGACCTAGCCTTGGGGGTGCCAACCGGGACCCCTGGACCACCATCTACTGCACGATTTGACCAGAGCCCCCGTCGGTTTGTACCCATGCAATATACAGAATTTTTGGCTTGGATCGTGCCCAAGCACCAGAGAGCTGCAAGGGGCTTTCAGGAAGGGAGTTGCGTAAAGAATCAAGCACTTGCTGGCATAAACGGACAGAGTCCTTGCTCTGGAGAACGAGGCATCAGAATATTTCACAGCGGCCCAAGAACGACATTCCAATGTCACTCTCCCCAGGCAGACAGACGGGACTCATTCCTTCCCCGTGAGAGGAACTAAGTTATGCAAATCAATGCACCCATCAATCGAGCATCTCAAAATCTCAATAAACAGGAGGCAACGGGAACACCTAAAAGAGGGCAATAAAGGAGTGCAATTTAGTTGTATTCTGTGTTGCAACAGAGAAGAGCCTCGGGATCATCAAACCCCAAATCTGGCCGGGTACAGTGGCTCACACCTGGAATCCCAACTCTTTGGGAGGCTGACGCGGGTGGATCACGAGGTCAGGAGATCGAGACCATCCTGGCTAACACGGTGAAACCCCGCCTCTACTAAAAATACAAAAAATTAGCCGGGCATGGTGGTGGGCGCCTGTAGTCCCAGCTACTTGGGAGGCTGAGGCAGGAGAATGGCGTGAACCCGGGAGGCGGAGCTTGCAGTGAGCCGAGATCGCACCACTGCGCTCCAGCCTGGGCGACAGAGCGAGACTCTGTCTCAACAACAACAACAACAAAATTAAGCCCAAATCTAAAACAGGGACCCAAGCTGGGCTGCTGGATCCTAACCACAAAGGACAGATAAGCTCCCAGCCTGTTTCCCTCCCTCCTTCCCATTAACTAATAAAACATAAACTCGGCTTCCTCACCTGCAGTCAGCTTCCACCTTCCATACTCCCCTAAACCTGCTCTTGCCAAGATAATCAGTTCTTACTGCTACATCTAACACTTTTCAGTCCTCAGAGACATTTCACACACGTGATCTCCTTCAGTCTCTGTCTCTCTGATTTCCGGGAGGCCACACTCAGCTGGTGTTCCCGCTCTGAGGATTCTTTCTATCCCTTTTTTCAGGGCTCTCTCTCAATCCAGATTTTAAGCCTGGTACCCCTTGGGGTCATCATCAGTGTCTTCCCTTATCACTATGTAGACTCTCCTGGGTTGGTCTTCTCCACCAAAGGGGACTTCAGTGACCACCAGGAGGAAGGACCCTCCACACCTCTCGCCCTGAGCCCCACCGCTGTCCTGGTCTGCACACCCCTCGACCCGACTGCACATATCCAGGCACCTCCGGCTCCACCTGCCCACGCCGGATCCTCCCCTGCGATCATTTCCTCTGTGCAAGGGGGAATCACAGAGCTGGAGTCAACCTTCCCGTCCCTCACCCTCCTTGCCACACACAGTTGTCAGGGTTTTTTTCTGTTTGAAATTTGTCTTTGGTCTGCCCCAGGCCTTTGTCCCAGTTCCCATCGACTTAGGTCCTGGCACCTTCATCTCTCACTGTCCTTTTGCCTCACCCTCAAAGCTCCCCTCTGCCAGAGAGATCTGAGCATTTCATCACTGGCTTAAAACCCTCCAGCCTCCGCCTTGCTCCCTCATCCTGTGAATAAACTCCAAATCCCTTCCCGGGTCACACTGGCCTCTCCATGCCCCAGCCGCAGCTTACCTCGCTGGCCCTATCTCACCCCCACCGATGTTCCCTCCAGCCTTATGCTGGGATTACAGGAGTGGCCACTGTGCCTGGCCAACAAGGCTAATTTTGAAACTTTTGTAGAGGCAGGGTCTCACTATGTTGCCCAGGCTGGTCTCAAACTCCTGGACTCAAGTGATCCACCCACCTCGGCCTCCCAAAGTGCTGTTATTATAGGCATAAGCCACCCAGTCACGTGTTTTATAACAGGTGTTTTATATATATAACAGCCAGCCAGGTATTATTATTACTCGTCTTAAAGAATGATCTGCTAGGTTTGGTGATGGCCTATAAAGGCAGGAATTCACTGATTCAGCATTTTGGACATTTACAATGTGCCAGGCATGGCTCCAGGCACTGAAATACACCAGGGGACAAAATGAAGTCCCCACCCTCATGCACCATAGAGTGCAAACAGGGGAGTGTCCAGACACAAACAAGGGGCCTAGGGCAGTGGTGCATGCCTATAATTCCAGCACTTTGGGAGGCCCAGGCAGGAGGATCATTGGAGGCCAAGGAGTTCAACACCAGCCTGGGCAACATAACAAGACCCCATTTCTACAAAATATGAAAAATGAGCTGGGCATGGTGGTGTGCACCTGTAGCCCCAGCTGCTCGGGAGGCTGAGGTGGGAGGATTGCTTCAGCCTAGGAGTTGGAGGCTGCAGTGAGCCATGATCACACCACTGCACTCCAGCCTGGGCAACAGAGTGAGACGCTGTCTCCAAAAAGAAAGAAAAAAAAGAAAGGAGAGAGGGAGAGGGAGAGGAAGAGGGAAGAGGGAAGAGGGAAGGAGAAGGAAGAAAAGAAAAAGGAACAAACCAGAACTGCAAATAAAAAAACAGGAAGGGGTGAGCACGTGACACCAGGGAGCTCCCATCCTGTTCGTGTGGCTTCAATCCCCGGCACCTGGGTTGAGCTGCAGCTCAAACGCTAAGGAATGAATGCGCCAGGGCACAGCTGCAGGGAAATCGAGGATAGCTGGATCCTTTTGGTGCCAGGTGATGGCACCAGAGAGCACAGGATCTGGTCCCCGCGGGCCTCTCCAGCCGCCCCTGCACCCTCACTCCCCACCTTCATGCGGCTGTAGACGGTGGAGACGGGCGTGACCGGGTGGTGTTGGTGGGAGCCCAGCAGACCGCAGAGGCCACAGATGAGCTCCTGGTCCTTCTCGCAGAAAAGGCTGAGCGGGTTCCGGTGGTGCACGCAGACCTTGGGCTCCGGGTCCCCAGGGAGCCTCAGGGCTTCGATCACCCTGGCCAGGGAGACGTTGGGCAGGGAGCTGCTGCCGTCCACCGCCTGCCGGCACACGGGGCAGCGCAGCTCGGCATCCAGGTGGCAGGACAGGGAAACCAGGCAGCCCTTGCAGTAAGAGTGGCCACACTGCAGCATCAGGGGCTCCTTGAAGACCTCCAGGCAGATGGGACACTGAAGCCGGTCCTCCAGCTCTGGCAGGCTCACCTGCCAAGCCATCCACACTCACTGCCCGGGCTGAAACACAGGCATCCGACCTCAGTCCTGTCCCCTCCCCTCCCCCTGTCCAGCACTCATCCACCACCCTCAACCCTAAGGAGCACCAGAATTTTAGAGGAAACACTTTGAGTCCTGGATCCCAGTCCTAACCCACATGACCTTGGGCCCCAGTTTCCGCAGCTGTAAAACAAAAGACTGCAGTGAAAAAAACTGGTCCCTTGAAGATATGTGTGTGTGTGTGTGTGTGTGTGTGTGTGTGTGTGTGTCTACATTTTTTACTCAAATTTGGAGACAAGCATGAAAGGGGCCATCTGCAGGGTCATTTGCAGTGACACTAATAATGCAAGGTCCAGCCCCAGCATGCATCCGGACCTAGAACTGAACAGCAAAACCTAGGCAAGCTCCCCACCTTCTAGATCAGTTCCCAAACTTTCGGGAAACTGTTGAAAGCATAGGTGTAATAGAGATTCTAGAGGCCCACCTTCAAAGGATCTTCTTCAGGGGGTCTCCAGTGAGACCCAGAACTCTACACTTATAGGTGACACTCCCAGGTAATTCTAGAGAGCCTGGAACCTACAAGGCCTCTACCCTGATCTCCCACCTGCTCCCCTATGAAAGCTTGTCAATGAGACAGAAGCAGCACCAGCAGCCCCCGGGGGAGCCCGACATTGGAATACCTGGCTTCTCACAATCCGCTGGGCCTCCCACTACAGCCTCAAGCCAGCATCACTGGCTTTCCTTCTTCCCAGCAGGGAACAGCAGGCACAGAGTCAGAAGTGGGAAATGCAGCTGGACGCCTGCACCACTGCCTGGTCTCTGCCCCTTCTCTCCTCCCCTTTCCCAGCAACACCCCTGTGTCCCCAAGGTCACCAGAATCAGGTGGAAACTGGGTTACATCACGGGACTGGGGAGGCAGCCTTTGTTGGGCCTGCTCTGATAACATTCAGGTGCTGGCCTTGGCCACTGTGGAGGAGGGGCAGAAACAGAGGGACTGGGTACACCGTCCACACCTCATGACCCCAACAGGAGCAGATAGGTGCTGGGAAACAGTTCTTTCTGAATCTCAAACTCTTGCTCTTACTCTCCTTTTTTTGGGCGGGGGGGCTGGGGGGTGGGGAAAGACAGCTTGTTGCTCTGTTGCCCAGGCTGGAGTGCAGTGGCGTGGTCATAGCTCACTGTAGCCTCCAACTCCTAGGCTCAAGCCATCCTCCTACCTCAGCTGCCTGAGTAGCTGGGACTACAGGT
The DNA here is from genome assembly GCF_000001405.40 of Homo sapiens. Classification (NCBI taxonomy): domain Eukaryota; kingdom Metazoa; phylum Chordata; class Mammalia; order Primates; family Hominidae; genus Homo; species Homo sapiens. The sequence goes on from NC_000007.14 coordinate 73,326,033, forward strand.
GCATGCCACCATGCCAAGCTAATATTTAAAAAATTTTTTTAGATACCGGGTCTTGCTTTGTTGCCCAGGCTGGTCTTCAACTTCTGGGCTCAAGCAATCCTCCCACCTTGGCCTCCCAAAGTGCTGGGATTACAGGCGTGAGCCTTACTGCACCCAGCCTTCCCTCTCTCTCTCTTTTTTTCTAATACAAACTGGCAGATGATGATTCAATCTCTCTATTTTTTTTCATTTTATTGTTTTATTTATTTTAGTAGAGACAGGGGTCTCGCTTTGTTGCCTGGGCTGGTTTTGAACTCCCGGCCTCAAGCAATCCTCCTACCTCAGCCTCCCAAAGTGCTGGGATTATAGGTGTGAGCCACCAAGCCTGGCCTCTTTTTTTTTTTTTTTTAAGATATTCAAAGGTATCCTTATTTACTTAGATTTTTTAAATCAAGGTATAACATATACAAGTGTGCAAATCTTAACCACACAGCTTGATAAACACTTGATGTATATACACCCACTCTCAAGAACAAGATGTAGAGTGATTCCAGAAAGCTCCCTCCTGCCTCCTCCCAGTCATAACTCCTAACAAGGACAGCCACTGTCCTTATTACCATGTTGTCATGTGGACTGTTTTTGAATTTCACATAAACAGCATCATATAGAATGTACTCTTTTGTGTCTGGTTACTTTCACTCAATAATATTGAATTGTGAGTTTTTTTTTTAATGTGAAGTCTTTCAACGTTTAGAAATTCAATGACACTCTGTTATACAGGTTTTGTTTGTTTTCTGAGACAGAGTTTTGCTCTTGTTACCCAGGCTGGAGTGCAGTGGCGCAATCTGGCTCATTGCAACCTCCGCCTCCCGGGTTCAAGTGATTCTCCTGCCTCAGCCTCCCAAGTAGCTGGGGTTACAGGCGCCTGCCACCATGCCCGGCTAATTCTTTGTAATTTTAGTAGAGATGGGGTTTCATCATGTGGGGCAGGCTGGTCTCAAACTCCTGACCTGGAGCGATCCACCGGCTTTGGCCTCCCAAAGTGCTGGGATTACAGGTGTGAGCCACCGCGCCTGTCCTGTTATACAGTTAATGAATATTATGGTCATAATATACTGCTGTGGTTTGAATGTATCCTCCTAATTTCATGTGTTGGAAACTTAACCCCCAATGGGGCAGTATTGAAAGTTGGCTGTAGCTTACGCCTATAATCCCAGCACTTTGGGAGGCCAAGACTGGAGGATCACTTGAAGCCAGGAGTTCAAGACCAGCCTAGCAACAAAGCTACAAACCATCTTTCCAGCAAATTAAAAACTAAAAAATAAATTAGCTGGGCCTGGTGGTGCAGTTCTGTAATCCCAGCTACTCGGGAGGCTGAGGCAAGAGGATCTCTTGAGCCCAGGGAGTGGCGGCTGCAGTGAGCTGAGATCCATCACTGAACTCCAGCCTGGGCTCAGAACGAGCCTCTGTCAATCAATCAATCAATCAATCAATCAGTGTCTTGTCTGGGCCTAAATTCTCTAGAACACAATGGAAGAGAGAAAGTGAAAGAAGGTGGAAGTAACCCACAGCTGGGAGCCCTGAACCCTGCTGGTGGCAGGTGGCTCTCGTGTCCTCACCAGGTTGCCCTGCAATCACATGCTGCATCCTTTTTCCTGAACCTGCCCCACGTGCCCCACCACGCAGCCACTCCGAGGGCTCCTTCAAGGGCGGCAGCCCTGTCACTCACGTGTTCCAAAAGTGCTTCCCCTGTGCCCTGATGGCCTCGCCATGTGTCTCATCATGCCCCACGCGCTCCCACTGTGCGCCCCACCTCGCACCCGTGCCCCATCATGCTCTGCGTGCTCGTTAGGTGCCCCATCATTTCCCGCTCGCTCTCGTTACGTACCCAGCCTCCGGCCCCTGTAAGTGCCCCATCGTGCTCTCTGTCGCTCCAGTTAGATGCCCCATCCTGCCCCGCGAGCTCCAATTACGTGCCCCACCTAACCCCCCACGTCCGTGCCTCATCATGACCCGCACGCTATGGTTACATGCCCCGCCTCGCGCTACCGCGCGTGCCCCATCATGCTCTGCGCGCTCCCATTACGTGCCGCCACCTCGCGCCCCTGCACGTACCCAACGTGCCCTGCGTGGTCCCGTTACGTGTCCCATCATGTTTCGTGCGCTCCCATTACGGATCATACCTCGCACCTCACCGCGTGGCCTCTGTAGTTCCAGAGCTCGCGAGGGCCAGGGCCGTTGGCGGCGGTTGGAACGAAACGATGAGTGCCTCCTCGTGGCCCCAGAATGGAATGCCGCCGTCGGTAGGGGTCTGCCGGGCATAAAGGGGCCTTCGGAACCCCACCAGAGTCACAGCCAGGGAGGGCAGCGGGGCGCACCAGGCCGAAGGCTCACGCCACAGGGAGGGCAGCTAGGACATGGGGGGAAGCGCGTTAAACCAGGGAGTCCTGGAAGGGGACGACGCCCCCGGCCAGGTGAGGGCCCAGACGTTTCGGGGGCGTAGACGCTGAGGGGTGGCCGGGTGGGTCTGCGGCTCTGAGGCCTGGCTTTCATTCTCCATCAGTCCCTGTACGAGCGGTTAAGTCAGAGGATGCTGGACATCTCGGGGGACCGGGGCGTGCTGAAGGACGTCATCCGAGAAGGAGCTGGAGACCTAGTGGCGCCTGATGCTTCGGTGCTAGGTACGCCCTGGGGCGGTTTGTCCTCAGGATCCATGTCATCGCACTCTGTTGGGAAGAGAGAGGCCTCATTTTCAAAAAGCACTTAATGGGGTTGGAAATGCTTTGTTTGAAGTGGATTTTTGTTTTTTGTTTTTGAAACGGGGTCTTGCTCAGTTGCCCAGGCTGGAGTGCAGTGGTGCGATCATAGCTCACTGCAGCCTCCACCTCCTGGGCTCGTGATTCTCCTGCCTCAGCCTCCCAAATAAGGGATTTACAGGCGCGATCCACCATGCCCGGCTAATTTTTAATATTTTTGTAGATATGGGGGACTCTATGTTGCCCAGGCTGGTCTCAGACTCCTGGACCCAAGTGAGCCTCCCACCTCAGCCTCCCCAGTAGCTGGGATTACAAGCATGAGCCGCTGCTTCCGGCCTGAATTAGTTTTTTTAAGACGAAAGCTAGGGACTCCTATGTCCCCTTTGTGTGATGCTTCCGCAAAGCTCTTGAACCTCTGAGCCAAAGGGCCGGCACCCAAAATGCAGAGAGAAGATTTATTCCTGTACCTCGGGGTGTCGGGCAGCTTAAGCTCATCTGTTCACATTGTTTCTGTGTGATCATGAGAGACTCGATATTATGGTGGCGTGGGTGTTTTTGGTCCATTTTCCTTACATTCTTTCTTCTATCCTAGTGAAATACTCGGGATACCTGGAACACATGGACAGACCCTTCGATTCTAATTACTTTAGGAAAACTCCTCGGCTAATGAAACTTGGAGAGGGTAGGTTCAGAGTGGGAGCTGGAGAAGAAGGAATTGTTTAGGGGCTAGATGAGGCACGATGCCTCAGGCTGGGAAGACTGCTCAGAGCGCAGGTTCTTTGAGTTGGCTTTGCTGAGGCTGGGTTTTGGTAACACAGCCATGTTCTCTCCCCTTGAGACCTAGGCATTTGGGAGATGGCTTAACGGGCAAGGTATAATCTTTGCACTCTGACTTAACTAACCACTGGGAATGTTTCTTTGTTCATTTATTAAGTAAAACTCAATCGAATACTTACTTCCCACAATACATGGTGAAAAGAGAGGATGTACTCAGAAGATTAGAACATCTCCACCCTTAAGGACCTCACAATGTAGTGGAGGAGACTGACCTGCACTCAGCTCACTTGGTAGAATCGGATGAGTGCCTGGGAGGTGAAAGCAGTGTTGTGGGTGTGCTTAATGAAGGCATGATTAATTCTAGCTGGGAGGTTCAGGGAAGGCTTCCTGGAAGTGGGGGCATTTGAACTGAGCCTGGAAGTTTGAATAAAATTTATATCAGTAGAAGCTGGGCACAGGCTCAGGAGGAAGACATTGCAGGAAGAGGGAACTGTGTGAGGGAGACATGGAGGCCAGAGTACTGCTGACTTAGAGGGGGAAGAAACTGATAGCACTGAGCAGGATACTGAGCAAGCTTCACCCACCTTCTTTGTCCATTCTTACAGATATTACACTGTGGGGCATGGAGCTGGGCCTTCTGAGCATGCGGAGAGGAGAGCTGGCCAGGTTTCTGTTCAAACCGAACTACGCCTATGGAACGCTGGGCTGCCCTCCCTTGATCCCCCCAAACACCACTGTCCTGTTTGAGATTGAGCTGCTTGACTTCCTGGACTGTGCTGAGTCAGACAAGTTTTGTGCTCTCTCAGCTGTAAGTTCCAGAGCACAGATGTCAGCACTTTATAGAGAGACGAATGGGTTGGTGTTATTGGTAATTCTTCTAGATGGCCTGCCCTGAGGCTGATCGTCCTCTCCAGGGTACCCCCGCGGCTCCTGTGCGGTGGCGGCGGAGTTCCTCTGCTTCCTAGTCTGTGTTTGTCTTAGTAATGGCTCTCATGTGTAGATAAATGTGCTGGGCAAGGTAAGGCTGTGAGTTTAAGGATTAGTGGTTTGAACTGATTTTTCAGTCATCCTTTGCCTAGTTCTCCCTGTGAGACAGTGAACACTTGCTTTTCATCGTTTGGTTTCCAGCAAGGCAGGCATTGGTAGCTCATAACTAGGGTGACTGAATAATTGATTGTCCAGCCCAGCACAGGTGAGAGTAAAAGGGGCTGTTCACTGGAGGGGTTACCCATGACATCGGGTTTAAACTGAGACAGTCCCAGGCAAACTGGGATGTATGGCCACTGTCCTCACCACTTAAGTCTTGCCTCCTCTTTGTAGCCTTTCACTTAACCCTGTCCCGTAGATGCAGGGCTTCTGACCCCGTCAGCAGTCACAGGCACTGTCTTTATCATGCTGTCTCACACTGACTCCATCTGTGGCCTTAGAGGTCCATGCCAGGGTTTATATCTTCACATGGAGTCTCCCCAGCTAAACTGTCAGCACTCCAAGTGAGGGAGCTCACCCTTTTTCATCATTCTGAGATTCGAGTTTCTTGCAAATGCCTCGTCCCACCTGTGGTGAACTCATTTAGGATCTGGGGGGTGGGGCCGGGACCAGAGAGGCTCTATGGGTGACTCTGAAGATGGCCAGGGCAGAGCATCATGACCATAAAGACTGCCAGGGCCCTGAGCAAACCAAGACCTGTTCAGTGCTTGGTGGCCAAATAGTGGTTTTGAGCACTGACTTCTGTGCTTGGCAAGTTCCGTCAGTTTTTGATTCCATGGGACACTGCTTCCTCAGAGAACATCAGGGGAAGACTGAAGACGTAGACTTCCTTCTGGCTCTAGGGTGTAAAATGGGACAGGTTATAACACTGGTGTGGCTTCTGTCAGATTCAGAGGTGACTCCAACACAGAAGGCTGTAAACAGAAGTGCATGATCTGAAAAAGAAGAGCTCACAGCTGTAGTAACACTTCCTTTCTTTCAATTACTATTTTTTTAAATGGAGACATGTTCTCACTATGTTGCCCAGGCTGGTCTCGAACTCCTGGGCTCACGTGTACTAACACTTCCATTGTGGCATTACTGCTTTTGGTTTCCTTGCTGAATATTCCTGTCTCTGGTCCTCAGGAGCAGCAAGACCAATTTCCACTTCAGAAGGTCCTGAAAGTGGCAGCTACGGAACGGGAGTTTGGCAACTACCTTTTCCGCCAGAATCGTTTCTATGATGCCAAAGTGAGATATAAAAGGGTGAGAATGCTTTGAAAGTTAAGTGTAAGTTTAGATCCTGAAAACTTCCTTGTTTAAAAAACACAGATTTTGTTTTGTTGTGATTTTTGTTTTGTTTTGTTTTTGAGACAAGAGTGTCGCTCTGTCGCCCAGGCTGGAGTGCAGTGGCGCAATCTCAGCTCACTGCAAGCTCCGCCTCCTGGGTTCACGCCATTCTCCTGCCTCAGCCTTCCAAGTAGCTGGGACTACAGGCACCCGCCACTTCACCTGGCTAATTTTTTTGTATTTTTAGTAGAGACAGAGTTTCACCGTGTTAGCCAGGATGGTCTCAATGTCCTGACCTCGTGATCTGCCCACCTCGGCCTCCCAAAGTGCTGGGATTACAGGTGTGAGCTACCGCGCCCGGCAAAAAACACAGATTTTTGTCTTTCTCCCTACTTTCTATGAGCAGCCATTAAGAAAAATCTCATTTAAAAAAATCCTCATGCCAGGCCAAGGCAGGTGGATCACCTGAGGTCAGGAGTTTGAGACCAGCCTGGCCAACATGGTGAAACCCCGTCTCTACTAAAAATACAAAATTAGCCGGGCGTGGTGGTGGGTGCCTGTAATCCCAGCTACTTGGGAGGCTGAGGCAAGAGAATCACTTGAACCCAGGAGGTGGAGGTTGAGGTTGCAGTGAGCCGAGATTGTGCCGTTGCATTCCAGCCTGGGCAAGAAAGGCAAAAAAACTCCCATCTCAAAAAAAAAAAAAATCCTCATGCCAAAGGGATAAGTACTGGAGAGGGGACTAACGGGGGGATAAGGGCTGAAGAGGGGACTCTCGAGGGGATAAGGGCTGGAGAGAGGACTCACGGGATTGGGAGGCACCTGGGAATGTTCTGTGTTTTGACGTGGTTCTTGGGTACATGGGTGTGTTCAGGTTGTGAAAAACATTTGCCTCTGTATATGTACTTGAACTAGAAGTGTTTAGAATTTCCATCTCACTGCTCTAAAACAATTCAGTTTATTAACTTTTAAAAATTCTCATCCCAGTGCTTATTAGGTCCTCCACCAACCGATTTCTCCACCCCTTTGCCATCATCATTTCATGTCTCTGACAGTGGAGGCTCATTTGGCGATTCTAGCCTGAGGCAATTGCAGCCTCATCAAGCCTCCTGTTGTGATTTTGCTTCTTGTGTAGGTTATGCTGAGCTGTTTTCTGTTTCCTTTTTAATTTTATTCATTCAACAAACATGGCTGGACGCAGTGGCTCATGCCTGTAATCCCAGCACTTTGGGAGGCTGAGGCGAGTGGATAGCTTGAGGTCAGGAGTTTGAGACCAGCCTGGGCAACGTGGCGAAACCCCGTCTCTACTAAAAATACAAAAATTTGCTGGCATGGTGGTGGGTGCCTGTAATCCCAGCTACTTGGGAGGCTGAAGCAGGAGAATCACTTGAACCCAGGAGGCGGAGGTTGCAATGAGCCAAGATCGCACCACTGCACTCCAGCCTGGGCAACAGGGCAAGATTCTGTCTCCAAAAAAAAAAAAAACAAAACACCACACATGCGTGTGCTGTCTCTGGAACATACTCATATAGGCCAAATGTTGCCGACCCTGTCACCCAATATCTATTCCCCCTTCTCCTAACAGAACCTCCCATTTCACTCAAAGCATCAGTGTACTAATTAAAAAACTACATCTTCCCAGCTTCCCATGAGCTTAGGGTGTCCCTGTAACAAGGGTCTAGCCAAGGAGACATAAAGGGAAACCTCTGGAGGGTCTTCCAGAAAGCTCTTAACATAACACAAGCACCAGACTCTTCTCCCCTCCCTCCTTCCCACCCAGGTGACCCCGCAATGCGTGGCCAGGGGAGAATCTCCCTGGGGCCCGCCACACAGCTCTTGTCCTGGGGCTGCCCTATAATGCTAGTTTGTGGATTTCCTGTTTTTTTCTCAACTTACTCCTTTGTTTTAACAGAGTATGTTGATGTATGTCTAAAATATTCTTGGTTTTTAAATACATATTTGTCTAGAGTTGTTATTAAAAAGTCTTTTGGCTGGGCACGGTGGCTCATGCCTGTAATCCCAGCACTTTGGGAGGCCGAGGCGGGTGGATCACCTGAGGTCAGGAGTTCAAGACCAGCCTGGCGAACATGGTGAAACCCCGTCTCTACTAAAAATACAAAAATTAGCTGGGCGTGTTGGTGGGTGCCCATAGTCCCAGCTACTTGGGAGGCTGAGGCAGGATAATTGCTTGAACCCGGGAGGTGGAGGTTGCAGTGAGCCAAGATGGCATAATTGCACTGCAGCCAGGGGAATAAGAGTGAAACTCCATCTCAAAAAAAAAGGTCTTGCTAGTTCTGAGCTCAAAGCTAACAACAACAACAAAAAAATCTTACTACTACTTAGGTTCTTTATTCCTTTCTACGTGACCTGTTTTTTCTTCTGTAGAGACGAAGATCGTTTTTCCCCGGCATTCCTAAATTTTACGGTGATGTGCCTCTGCGTGTGTGTATCTTTTCATTCAGGAAACTTTTCCTCCACTCTGGGAAACTTTCTTGAGTTATTTCTTTGATAATTTACTCTTGTTCCCTCTGCCCTCTTTGTCTGGAACTCCTATTATCAGACCTCCTGCACTGAGCTTCTGGCTGCTGTCCCTCCCCCCTCCCCACCTAGTTTCCATCTTTTCTCCTGTTTGTGTCATGTATGGAAGCTTTCCTTGACTTTTTGCCACCTCTTCTGATGAATTTTTCATTTAAAACTGGGGGGCCAGGCACAGTGACTCACACCTATAATCCCAGCACTTCAGGAGTCCAAGGTGGGAGGATTGCTTGAAGCCAGGAGTTAAAGATCAGTCTGGGCACCATAGCAAGATCCCATCTCTACAAAAAATAAATTTTAGAAAATTGAAGGGCTATTTGTTCTTCCCCTCCCTAGCATTCTGTTCTTGTTTCATGTGTATATTATTTTATATATTTAGACTGTCGATTATAATTTAATCTCATTCTTTTTCTGTTTGGTTTTTCTACATATTGGGGACTGTGTCCTTTTGCACTAAGTTTGTCAATGACCTAAAGATGGTTTATTTCTCACTCATGTAAAAGGCTAGAGTAGAGGCATGCAAGCTAGGGCCAGTTGGTGACTCTGCTGCAGATATTTTCAGATACCCAGTTCTCATTTCTGGGGTGAGACTCTGGCCTTGTAGTCCAAGATGAGGGTCTCTGAGTTCTAGCAGCAGAAGGGAAGAAAGGCTGAAGGCATGTACAGCTCTGTTAAGGAAGGTCCTTGTCATATGATGCTTCTACTGAATTATGTTTTCCAGAACCTGTTCTCCAGGCTTTGCCTAGCTGCAAAGAAGCCTAGCAAATATCTAAATTCTGGTTGTACGTGTTCCTGGCCAAAAAAAAAAAAAAAAAAAGTCCTATTACTGTGAAGGAAGGGAGGGCAGCTGCTGGGAGGCAGGAGGCCACCTCTTTCACAGAGGGTTTCCTCAAATGGCTGGTGATCTTTGACCACTAAGATTTAAAAGAGACATCACAAAGCTGATTGGGAGCTCCAGGTGCTTGGTGGGGCAGGTTGCAGTGTGGTCAAAGACAGCCTGCACACATTAGAGTATGTAGGTGTTTCCTCAGGGTCCATTGAGTCCTCCTCTTTCTGCCCCGTGTGTGTGCCAAGGGACCGGCATTCTGGGAGCCAAGCTGGGCAGCAGGACAGAGGTTCTCACTGTCTGGTATTGAGATTCCTTTTCATAGCCGCGTTACCAGTATACCACCTTCCTGCTGTCTGCTCCAGCCTGCCCCCAAGTCAAGGGCCTCTTTGGTTCCATTTTCCCAGAAAGGAGACCTCGTGATTGCTGAGGCCATCTGGACACATAGGGGCAGTGGACGGGGTGGGGAACATTTGACCTGACCTCCTTTATTCAGCCCCACCAGATAGCTCTAATTCCTGGTTCCATCAGTTCCTAGGTCTCTCCAGGCTCTGAGGGGCAGACCGGTCCCTTTTACATTGGCACCACTCTGCCAAATCAGTCATCACACTGCCACCCACCCTGAACCTTTGGGTTTATTGGTCCTTTTCCTGTCCTTTGCTTGTGTTGGAGTACTACCTGTCTTAGTCCCTTAGGGTTGGAGAAAGTAGGGATGTGTGTGGAGCCTGCCTTGCTGAGCCAGAGGTTTTGCACGTCTTTTCCTAGTGGAAAGTTTCTCCGTCTTTGGAGCAGCGGACTGACATTGTCAGCACCACTGTGTCTCCACCTTTTGCTCAGCATTGTCTGGGTCACACAAGTATGGGGTTTCCTGCTTTCAAGGGATTTGAATCTAGTTAGGGAGTTAAATGCAGCTCCAACAGCTAACCAATACCTATGGTCTGAATGTTTGTGTCTCCCCAAAATGTGTATGTTGAAACCTAATCATCCATGTGATATTAAGAGGTGAGGCCTCTGGGAGATGATGAGGTCATGAAGATGAAACCCTCTTACATGGAGTTAGTGGCCTTATAAAAGAGGTCCCTGAGAGCTGTCTTGTCCTTTCCACCATAAATTCTCGGCAGGAAAAAAGATGAACAAAGTGATCAGAACCTATTCAGGCCACAGTTGGTAGATTCCTAGTCAGAAACATAGGTTACATCTAAGGAATCATAGGTGATAGGAGGCGGCCAGATTCAGGAAGACATTCAAATATGTGTGGATGGATTTGGACTTGATGAAGTGGATGGCAGGGAACCACTGAGGAAGAGTGTGTTGATAAAAGTCATATTCGGGGAAGAGGCAGTAGTTGTGCTGGAGCTCGTGAAAACTCAAAATTTCAATTGTAAAATTTTCAGGAGTTTTGTGCCCTCGTTAATGTCACTTTGGTAGTTTGAAATCAGCTCTGGGAGGAATATTTACAGCATAGGAATAGGCAAATGCTACAAACAGGGGTCCACCTCCCCCGAGAGCTGGCTATTAAACATGTACCAGCACACCACTGTGTGCAGGACATGTCAAATGACAAACTTCATTTTAATGAGGCTCTGTTTCATGTTAGGCACCGTGCTGGGTGTGCTGCGGCTGAACCTGTTAACAGGGTCCAGGAATGTGTTAAAGCAGCTGTGAGTTGTGCAAATAGAAGAAAAAGCTCTGGAAGTACTTCCACAAAATGGATGGTTAGACTTGATGACGTTGTATATGATGAAGTTGTATATATAAGAGATCAAGGAAACAGAAGAAGGGAATGACTTGAAACTTCCTGGTCTGAGAAAAAAATTTAAACCAAGGAATAACTGGGAAAGAAATGTGTTACTTTCAATTTTGATTACTCATGGGAATGAGCAGGTAAGCAGGGCCTGTAGAAAACTGTTTCCAGCTGACAACTTGCTTCACAATTTCATTTGGGTATGAGAGCAGGGTTCAGGCGTGAGGTTCCAGCTGGTGATGTGAATGGGAGCTGAATCCATTCAGAAGGTATGGAGACAGTTGATGGGAACTTGCCTGGTGAATGCCCAGAGTTTAGAGATGGAAGGGAGGACCAAGGAAGGCTCATGACTTTCTGCCTGTGCTGCCATCTCCTGACACATTTTCTCCAGTTCTTCCATGTTCTTTTTTTTTTTTTTTTTTTTTTGAGACAGAGTCTCACTCTATCACCCAGGCTGGAGTGTACTGGCGCCATCTCGGCCTCACTACAACCTCCGCCTCCCAGGTTCAAGGGATTCTCCTGCCTCAGCCTCCCAAGTAGCTGAGATTACAAGCGCCTGCTACCACATCCAGCTCATTTTTTGTATTTTTAGTAGAGGTGGGGTTTCCATGTTGGCCAGGCTGATCTTGAACTCCTGACCTCAGGTGATCCGCCCGCCTCGGTCTCCCAAAGTGCTGGGATTCCAGGTGTGAGCCATCGTGTCCGGCCTTCCAGTTCTTCCATTCTACTTGCACCTTCCAAATGGAGTTCCAGGGAGTGCAGGCTCTGCCTTCATCCATTTTTTTTTGTTTTACTATTTTTTTTCTTGTTGTTGAGATATGATTCACATACCATAAAATGTGTGCTTTTAAAGTGTCCAATTCAGTGGTTTTTAGTATATTCACAAAGTTGTGCAGCCATTGCCACTATCTAATTCCAGAACATTTTCCTCACCCCGAAATGAAACTCACAATTCTTTGGCCTCAGATAGCCTCTGTTCTCCTTTGTTTCTATGGATTTGCCTATTCAGGACATATTTTGTAACTAGAATTGTCAAATATGTGTCATTTTGTGGCTGTCTTATTTCACTTAGCATGTTTTTGAGGTTTATCCATGTTGTAGCTTGTACAAACCTCATTCTTTTTTTGTTTTTTGTTTTTTATGAGACAGAGTCCCTGTTGCCCAGGCTGGAGTGCAGTGGCACGATCTCGGCTCACTGCAACCTCTGCCTCCCAGGTTCAAGCGATTCTCCTGCCTCAGCCTCCCAAGTAGCTGGGATTACAGGCACCTGCCACCACACCTGGCTAATTTTTGTATTTTTAGTAGAGACAGGGTGTCACCATGTTGGCCAGGCTGGTCTTGAACTTCTGACCTCAGATGATCCGCCCACCTCAGCCTCCCAAAGTGCTGGGATTACAGGCATGAGCCACCGCACCCGGACCCTCGTTCTTTTGTAAGGCTACTTTTCCGTTGGATGGCTCTGCTGCTTTTTGTCCATTCATCAGTTGGACATGTGGGTTGTTTCCACTTCGTGATTATTATGACTGATGCAGTGAGCGTTTATGTACAAGTTGTCGTGTGAACACGTTTTCAGTTTTCTTGGGTATGTGCCTAGGAGTGCAATTGCTGGATTGTGTGGGAACTGTCAAAATTTTTGAGGAACTGCCAAACTGCTTCCTACAGCAGCTGTACCATCTTACATTCCCACGAGTAATGTGCGAAGCTTCCAATTTCTCCACATCTTCACCAACACTTATTTTATATTTTTAAAGTTAGGCATCTTAGCGGATGTGAAGTGGTATCTCACTGTGGTTTTGATTTGCATTTCCCTGATGACTGATGACATTGGACATATTTTCATGCATTTAATGACTATTTGTCTATCTTCTTTGGAAAAATGTCTATTCGGAGTCTATGCATATCTGAAAGTTGGGTCATCTGTCTTTGTACTGAGGAGTAAATGTTGCTGCTGTGCTCTGGATACTACACCCTCAACAAACACAGGATGCGCAAATGCTCTATGCTGTTCTGTGGGCTGTCTGCACTTTCTTTGCAGTGTCCATTGAAACACAAAAGTTTTACATTTTGATGAAGTCTAATTCTTTGCTTATTTGTGCTTTTGGTGTTATATCTAAGAAACCATTTTCTAATCCAGGGTCACAAAAATTTACACCTATTTGTACTTCTAAAGTCTGATAGTTTTTTAAAAAAATATATGAAATGCTTTATGAATTTGCATGTCATCTTTGCACAGGGGCCATGCGATCTTCTCCCTGTCTTTCCAATTTTTAGTATATGTGCTGCCGAAGCCAGCGCAGAGTCTTAGAGTTTTAACTCCTACTTTTAGGGCTATGCTCCACTTTAGTTAATTTTTGCATCTAGTGCAAGGTAAACATTCTTTTGCATGTTGATAGTCTCTCGTCCCAGCATTATTTGTTGAAAAGACAGTTCTCTCCCATTGAATGGTCTGGACACCCTTATTGAAAATCAGTTGACTGTAGATATATAAATCTATTTCTGGACTCTGTGTTCAATTTCATTGATCTACATGTCTGTCCTTATGCCGGTGCTACACTGGCGTAATTACTGTAGCTTTAGGAAGTTTCGTGTTTTTTGTTTATTTTTTGTCTTTTAGTAAGTTTTGAAATGGGAAATATGAGTTCTCCAGCTTTGTCCTTTCTCAAGAGTATTTTGGCTATTCAGGGTCCTTTGAATTTCCATGTGACTCTTTTTTTTTTTTTTTTTTTGAGGTGGAGTCTTGCACTGTCACCTAGGCTGGAGTGCAGTGGTGTGGTCTCGGTTCACCACAACCTCCGCCTCCCATGTTCAAGTGATTCTCCTGCCTCAGCCTCCAATGTAGCTGGAATTACAGGCACCTGCCACCACACCCAGCTGATTTCGTATTTTTAGTAGAGATGGGGTTTCACCATGTTGGCCAGACGGGTCTCGAACTCCCGACCTCAGGTGATCTGCCCGCCTCAGCCTCCCAAAGTGCTGGGATTACAGGCATGAGCCACTGTGCCTGGCCACCATATGAATTATCTAATCAACTTGTCTGTGTCTACAAAAAAGGCTGTTGAAATTTTGGTAGGGTTGCATGAATATGTTGACCAGTTAGGAAAATATTACCATCTTAATATTGTCTTCCAATTAATGAACATGAGATATTTTTCCATTTTATTTGAATCATCTTTAATTTCTTTCAACAACCATTTTGTAGTTTTCAGTGTGCAAGTCTTTCAGTTGTTTTAAGTTTATTGCTACTTACTGTATTCTTTTTGATGCTATTGTAAATGGAGTTGTTTTCTTAATTTCATTTTTGGGTAGTTCGTTGCTAGAGCATAGAAATATACCTGACTTTTGGCCGGGCATGGTGGCTCACGCCTGTAATCCCAACACTTTGGGAGGCTGAGGCAGGTGGATCACGAGGTCAGGAGATCGAGACCATCCTGGCCAAAATGGTCATATTAAAATATGAAAAAATTAGCCGGGCATGGTGGTGCACACCTGTAGTCCCAGCTACTCAGAAGGCGGAGGTTGCAGTGAGCTGAGATCACTCCAGCCTGGCGACAGAACAAGACTCCGTCTGAAAAAAGAAGAAAAAAGAAATATACCTGACTTCTTATGTTGATCTTGTGTCTTGCAACCTGTAACAGCCGATTTTTAGCTCTGATAGTTTTTGCGTGTGGATTCTTTAGGGTTTTGTACATAAGACTGTTACTCCTCTTGACCATCTGCCTTCCCTCTCCACAGGCCCTATTGCTTCTGCGCCGGCGATCAGCACCCCCTGAAGAGCAGCACCTGGTGGAGGCCGCCAAGCTTCCTGTTCTCCTGAACCTGTCCTTTACATACCTGAAGCTAGACCGACCCACCATAGCCCTGTGCTATGGAGAGCAGGCTTTGATCATTGACCAAAAGAATGCCAAGGCCCTCTTCAGGTGTGGACAGGTGAGTTGGAAGCCAGTGACTTGGGAATAAACACCCAGGAAAAGGTAGTAGCAGTGCTCAACTCAGCTACTGCAAAAATGCTGTCTTTTTTTTTTTTTTTTTTTTTTTTAGACAGAGTTTTGCTCTTGTTGCCCAGGATGGAGTGCAGTGGCGCAAATTCGGCTCGCTGCAACCTCCGCTTCCTGGCTTCAAGCAATTTTCCTGCCTCAGCCTCTCAAGTAGCTGGGATTACAGGCATGCGCCATCACACCCAGCTAATTTTTGTAGTTTTAGTAGAGATAGGGTTTTGCCGTGTTGGCCAGGCTGGTCTGGAATCCCTGACCTCAGTTGATCCGCCCGCCTTGGCCTCCCAAAGTGCTGGGATTACAGGCATGAGCCACCGTGCCCAGCCAAATGATATCTTTTCTAACTGTGCTTTTAAAGTTCTCTCCTTGGGACAGGCTTGTCTTCTCCTGACTGAGTATCAAAAGGCCCGGGATTTTCTAGTTCGAGCCCAGAAGGAGCAACCCTTCAATCATGACATCAATAATGAGCTGAAGAAACTGGCTAGGTGAGCTGTGTTTGCAGGAGCATGAAGAGAGATGGGTGGGGTTGTGACTCTGGTCTGTCCCCCCACCCCCCCCAACAAAGGACAGTCTGGCGGTGTTGCCCAGAGTGTTAGGAGGCCGCCCCCTCTACAGCTGGGTTTCTGAAGTGCTCGGCCGTGCGCTGCACCAGCAGTTCCCAGCAAGCAGGTGAGACAGACTGCCAGACTATACATCTCCATCATCGCCCACCTTTCTGTTTCCCCTACCGCAAATAAACAACCCCTAGAGAGGTGGGAGGGTGTCACTTTTTTTTTTTTTTTTTGAGATGGAGTCCCTCTCTGTCACCTAGGCTATAGGGCAATGGCATGATCTCGGCTCACTGCAACCTCCGCGTCCCGAGTTCAGACGATTCTCCTGTCTCAGCCTCCAAGGTAGCTGGGATTACAGGCGTGTACCACCACATCTGGCTAATTGTTTTTGTATTTTAGTTGAGACAGGGTTTCACCGTGTTGACCAGGCTGGTCTCAAACTCCTGACCTCAGGTGATCCCCCCACCTCGTCCTTCCAAAGTGCTGGGATTACAGGCACAAGCCACCACAACTGGCCCCGGTGTCACTTAAAAAGAGTCTTCTGGTGCGCTCTTCCCTGCGTGCTCCACCAAGAACCACTGCTCCTAACCAAGTGCAGAAAGGCCCCTCGTAGGTCCTCATGTGACCAGAAACAGGCGTTTCGGGTCTGACTCATACCCATGGATTGACCTCCTTGTTACCCACGTGACTAAGCACACCAGTCTTTTAGTGATGTAATTTTTTCTCATTATAGAAGTTTTGTGTCCATTGTAGAAAACCTTGAAAATGTCTACCTATAAATAGGAGTCCCCCATAACTCCATCACTTGGTAATAGGTCCATGGTTTTTAAGGTATATCTTCTTCTGTAATGGTGAAATTCTCTACTTGTCTTAATATTAAACATTCGGTCCAGATTGCTAGTTAAAGCTTGCTTGGCATTAGTGTCTGAGATGTGAGTATCTCTTAGGTTACATTTCAAGCCTTTTAGGACTTGCCAGCAATTTCCTTTCTGGTATTTAAAAGTATCCTGTCAGATCTGGTCATTCTTTAGTGAGAAAATCAGGAGAGGTTAGAGGCTGCTGAGGGTGAGGGGTCGTTTGGCGAGACTCAGCCCGGAGCCTGGTGGCCAGAGGCACCTGCCCTTCAAGGCAGCTGTCCTTTCCAGTTAGGGGGTTTTGTCCAGGGGCTTGGCTCCTTGGCCAGCTGTGGGAGCCTTCCCTGCCTCCCCACCTCTCCAGCTTACTTCCATCCCTCCCAACTCAGTTTGAGTCCTGATAAATTTTCAGTGTTTCTGGATGTGAGTGGAGAATTCCAGCCACCAGATGTCACCTCCTCCAAACACAGACCTCCTCTAACAAGTGTGTATTTCCCTCTCCAGCTGTTACAGGGACTATGTGGATAAAGAGAAAGAAATGTGGCACCGCATGTTCGCGCCCTGTGGCGATGGTTCTACAGCAGGAGAAAGTTGAAGGTAATCAAAGGGCCAGGGTGGCACACAGGCTTCCGGATGGAGAAGCGTGCTGCTCTCCTCCACCCCCAAGTGAATGGTGGCTGTCTGCAGCTGAGGGTGGACGAGGGGTAGACAAGTTCCTTGCTGTAAAGAACAACACAACGGTAGTGCAGGATGCACGTGCTGCACGCCTACCTTTCCCGTGAGAAGAAAGTTCGCCCAGACCTGTGGGTTAAATGTATAGGTTCAGGGGGCCTTGAGCTATTTATTTATTTATTTGTTTGTTTGTTTGTTTGAGGCAGAGTCTCACTCTGTTGCCCAGGCTGGAGTGCAGTGGTGCGATCTCAGCTCACTGCAAGCTCCGCCTCCCAGGTTCAAGCGATTCTTCTGCCTCAGCCTCCTGAGTAGCCGAGATTACAGCTGTGAGCCGTGGCGCTCAGCCTAAATTTATTTTTTAAAAAACCTTTTTTTTTCATGTTTTATGTGAAACTCTCCTTGCAGTTGCTTGGAACATGAGACTGAGTAGAGTCATGAATGTGATGGTTGATAGAGCTGGGCTTTGACGTGTCAAGCTTCTGTTCATCTTCTTTCTCCTGAGAACTCGAAAGCCTCCAACTTGACTGTGTCTCTAACACATTACTAAAGCAGACAAGATCGCAGGGTGGGGATGGGCTGTGGCTCTTAAATTCTACTTTCTATTAGACTTAGAGATTTGAAGATGCTGAAAGCAACAGGGAGCGGAATATAGCATTCCTCCCAAGATCACACCTAGTAATTTTGCAGGCACAGGGCGGGAGTTCCCAAGCACATGAGATAACCCTCCAGTCTGAACCCTCCAGTCTGGTCTACTATTTAATAAAATTAATGGAAACAAAATCACCTGCCTGAAACACCTGCTTAGCTGCACAGATAACTCTGCTCTCTCGGAGAAGTCAAACAAGGAACAACAAGAAAACAGCTGCTGAACGGGCTCATGGTGATAAATCTCTCCTTTGTTGCTTCCTCCATCTCCCTACAAAAGGGGCTTGAGAGGAGGAGGCAGTGAAAAGGCCTATTCATCCCCGACATTTTCATAGCGGTCCATAAACTGCTGCTATCTGCACTTTCAGATGCGCCCACCAGCATCACAGGTAAATGTTGCCTTCGTCACTGATGCTGGCCATGTGAACCCTGGCCTTCAGGTCTTTCAGTGGCCTTTGGAGTACATATTTGCAGGTCTTCAGAACTGAGATGTGAGCCAGAGGACTTCCCTTGTTTGGTCACTTCTAGTATCCAGTAAAAATGAAGGGCAGTGACTGTTTGCCAAACATTTTGGACTGTGACCCCACAAGTCCTGTCATGAATGAAGACCCAGGTCTGCCAGGGTCCATCCCAGACAAGGGCTTGGGCAGCCCAGCTGGGCAGCAGTTTTCCTCGCCATCATGTTTGCTTCCCAGCCTTTTCAGTCTGTAGGACTGGAGGCTGCTGATCTTCAGATGCTTTCCCCCAGATTTCCAACTCCAGCATTTATCTTACCATCAGCAATGACTGTATTTGTGTTCTAAAGTAGCCACCACTGTCATATTGCCACTGCTGTCACAGTTGTGATAAGTTTTAGCTTTTGTGTCTTTGCTCTCCCTGCTCCCCTTTTTTTCTGTAGTATTTGAGGCCTAGTCATTTAAAAGAAGCTAAAAATCCAGTCATCTTGACAACCTAGTTGTCACTAACCAGGACAATTTTTTTTTTTTTAAGGGTCTCCCTCTGTCACCCAGGCTGGAGTGCAATGGCACAATCTTGGCTCACTGCAGCCTCTGCCTCCCAGATTCAAGTGATCCTCCTGCCTCAGCCTCCCGAGTAGCTGGGACTGCAGGTGTGAGCCACCACGCCTGGCTAATTTTTGTATTTTTAGTAGAGACAGGGTTTCACCATATTGGTCAGGCTGGTCTCAAACTCCTGACCTCAGGTGGTCCTCCCGCCTTGGCCTCCCAAAGTGCTGGGATTACAGGCCTGAGCCACTGCACCTGGCTTAGGACAATTTTAACTTTTGTTCTTTTCATCTTAGATGTTAGATACCACTGACTTGTAAGATTACTTCTGGAGGAATGAGTGTTCTCTTAAGTATTAGTTATGTGCTCTAAGCCTCTGACTATAGTAGACAGTATGCCTTTTCCATCTTTGCATTTTCTAGCTTCTGGAGCCATGCCAGGTGCACGATTGGTGCTCAGGAAATGTTGGTTGGACTAAGTGTGAAATAGCCGAAGCAACAGACCAGCCTCTAATAAAACATCCTCCAGGCTGGCTCTGGGATTGGCTGTTGGACCCTTGGTATTGCCAGGGACAGAAACCTATCTTTAGCATCAGCCAGAAAAAAAAAAAAAAAAAAAAAGATTTGCAGAAGGGGTCCTGGGAGTGGCTCACAGAGTTGAGGAGGAGTTTGGCAGTCCTTGGGCAGACAGTGACCAGGCAGCTCTGAGGGCCTTAGGGACTCAGTCTCCCCTCGGCTTTGTTTTCTCCCCCTGTAGGGAGTGCCCATACATCCCTTTCTGCAACCTCCTCCCTAATGGAGTGAGAGTTCTGTACCCTAAAAGTCCCTCCTCTTCCTGCCCCAAACATAACTCTTCAGTTTGAAAGATCCTGGGCAGGACTCCGGCCTGGTTGGGGGTATGTAGAACCCCATGAATGGGAGTTTGTGTTTTGTCCTTCCTATCCTGACATGCTGGTATCTGAGGCCCTTGTGATCATTTTACTGTGTCTGGAAAGGAGCTGTGAAGGGAGCTCTATAGCTATTTTCAGGCATTTAAATGGTTAACATACAACAGGTGAAATTTGTTCTGTGGTTTCCAAAGGTCAGCACCAGTAAGCTGACACAATAGGAAGACAGAATCTGACCTGATAGGAGATTTACCAGTCAAATGTCCTGCCATGAGTTCTCCCACCATGGAGTACACAGTGGAAGGGGCCACTTTTGACTGCTTTTGGGGAAACATCTGTTCCCGGGCCACTCCACTTTGTTCCACGGGGCTGTGGGGCATCTCGGGAGCTGGTGCAGTCCCTGTTAGGGTCTATCCGAGCAGAGCTGGAGGGCCTGAGAGGTGGTTAAAGGGAGAAATTAGATCACCTTCCTGGTCGTTTTTACCATCAGGTAATTGCAGACCTTCAAGGCAGAGGTAGCAGCTCCCATCCCCAAGGCACACAGCAGAGATGAAATATGACATCCTATACTTAGCATCAAAAAACACCACCCGAGGAAAGGAAGTAGCAGGAGGGGCCTCGTTCAAGAGCAGAC
The DNA here is from genome assembly GCF_000001405.40 of Homo sapiens. Lineage (NCBI taxonomy): Eukaryota > Metazoa > Chordata > Mammalia > Primates > Hominidae > Homo > Homo sapiens. The sequence continues at coordinate 73,346,144 of NC_000007.14, forward strand.
AGATTTTGTTGCCTGCTGTTCCCAAACATACCAAATGCAAGGAATGGCTGCCAGAGGAAAGTGTTCCGAATGGGGGAAAGCCATGCCTGCCCTGCCCCGCGTGGCCCGCCTTCACACTGTCTCCTGCCATCCCTGTGGGGAGCCGACTGTTGGTGGGCACTCTAGATGCTATGTGGCATATAGAGAGAGTTCCAGTACCACTTCTGCAGCCCTGACCTGCAGGGATTGGGGGTCTAAACAGGGACAACAAGATAAGTCCATTAAATCACAGTGTTCAAGAGTGGGCTGTGAGGGAGCACCCCTGATCAGAAAGAGGCTTTGCTGAGCTAGGCCTGGGGCATGGGCCCAAGGGGCCCCAGGAGGGAGTTGTGAGAGGTCCTGATATTGTCCTTTCATTTGGGGCCTCCTTGGAATGTGGGTGGCATTCTATAGGGCATTATAGAGGAGGAGAAGACCTGGCCAGAGCTGAGCTGCTCTGAGGGGCTAAAGGGGCAGCGTGGGGACACATTTAAAGTGGCAGGACCATCAGGTGGCAGGTGTCTGAGTAAGAGGTGATGGCAGCCTGGACGTGAACCTACTGGCAAGAGCGGAAGGGTGGCAGGAGTATGCGGCCTCCCATCTGGAACTGACAGGAGGGTATTCTCTGTGAAGAGTTCTCCTGACAAACCAGACCTTACCTGAGGGAGCATGACCATAGTGCCTGAGGGGCTGAAGATGCCCTAACCGAAGTTACTGATTGTGGAGGAGGGCAGCTTTAGTGACATGTCAGCCATCTGCTAACAGAGGTGGGTGGGCAGAGGCCAGAACCAGGAGTCCAGGGCTGGTCCCCATGTACCAGGAGTGACTGGGAAAACTCCATGAGGGGCGGCCAGAACTTGAGGGAGTCTTGGGTTACCTGGCAGGACCAGGGGTGCAGGGCGAGGTGACCACCCACACGGTCAGCTTACCTACGCGTGGCTTTCATTCTTTTGCTCTTGGTTTATCATAACATTTTTCTTCTAGGTTGTTTTGCTAGTATTGCCTAGCATTTATACTGTTTTCTTAGTGTATTTTTATTAATTTTGGTCAAAATTTTTATTCATATTTTAAATGCCAGGTATTCTTCTACATGTTTCACATGTGTTAATATTTTTAATGTAAGATCTGCATAATGTAGATATGATCCCCATTTTACAGTTGATGAATTAGATGTGAAGAAGCTATGTAATTGCCAAGGTTGCAGAGCTCCTAAGTGATAGAGCCAGAGTCAAACGCTGCATATACACAGGGAACCCGAACTGAATTTCAGTTTCTTCTGGAGAGTCTTCCACAGGGCTCAATACTATGTTTCTATTACCACTTCTTGATTTATGTTTTGGATATTTATCTGTTGACTTCCTGCTATAATATAACTCTTTCTTCTCTTACATTACTACTTGTAGATCCTCTGTTAGATTATTATAACAAAAATAATTCAATACTGATGTTCTTGGCTTCATACAGCTAAAGACAGTATTTCTTGTGCTCCACTTTGTTTTTAGAGACAGAGTCTCGCTCTGTCACCCAGGCTGGGGTGCAGTGGCATGATCATAGCTCACTGCAGCCTCAACTTCCCAGGCTCTAGCAATTCTCCCTCCCCAGCCTCCTGAGCAGCTGGGACCACAGGCATGTGCCACCACGTCCAGCTAATTTTTTTATTTTTTGTTGCGACAGGGTCTCACCATGTTGCCCAGGCTGGTCTGGAACTCCTGGGCTCAAGTGATCCTCCCTCCTTGGCCTTCCAGAGTGCTGAAATTATGAGCGTGAGCACAGCACCCAGCCATATCTGTTTATTCTTGATTCATCTAAAATTACACAGTAGCATGTCCAGGTACTCCCTGTTGCTCAAGTCCTTTAGATAGGTCCCTTACTTCTAGAGGCTTAAGCTTTTAAGAGCCGAGAAATTCCTCTATACTATTTCTTAAATCACGTCTTCCTCGTTATTCCCTGTCATCTTGTTATGGGACACCTATTGACTGGAAGTTGGACCTCCTTCTATTCTGTCTCCTTAAAATCTTTTTTTTCTCCCTTGTGAAATGTTCTTAATTTTCCAACTCTTCCATCTTCATTTCATCAATCAAATATTTGAATCTAAGAGCTCTTCTCAGATTTGTCTTTTTCATAATGCCACACCTTTCCCCCCCTTCTTTGAAAAATCTCAAAGTTACATAACGAATAATACTAAGATTCCCCGATGTGCTCAACGTCTGGCTTTAACAATTACCAAGGTAAAGCCAAGGTTTCCTTCTAGGCTTCCGTCCACATCCTCCCTGTATAGCAGGGAAGCCTATTTCCTTCTATACTCTCCTTCGCAACACTCAGGACTTCCAGAACATTTCACTTCTGACACCAGACATGTAGGGATTTTCCCCACACCAACCAATTCTGAAAGCAGCTCAGTGTCCTACATTACAGCTCTGACACTTGACCTGGACTTAGTGCATACTCCACAGGTTAAGGGCTCATTTCCACAAGACTGACCCCATTTCAGACTCCAGTGACAATTCCAGGTTGTCCCTGTGCTTCTTACTAACTGGTTATACATCAGAGGTTCCCATACCTGTTCCTTTGGGTTGAGTCATCTGGAATGGTGCTCAGAACTCAGAAACACCTACTTATAGTCACTAGTTTATTACAGAGGTTTTTAAAAGGATACAAATGGGCCAGACATGGTGGCTGAGGCCTGTAATCCCAGCATTTCGGGAGGCCAAGGTGGGCAGATCGCTTGAGGTCAGGAGTTAAAGACCAGCCTGGGCAACATGGTGAAACTCCTTCTCTACCAAAAATGCCAAAATTACCTGGATGTGGTGGTGTGTGCCCGTGGTCCCAGCTACTTGGGAGGCTAAGGCAGGAGGATTGCTGGAGCCTGAAAAGTCAAGGCTGCAGTGAACCCAGATCACGCCACTGCACTCCAGTCTGGGTGACAGAGTGAGACCCTGTCCCAAAAAAAAAAATTTAAAAAGGGTGGCCAGGTAGGGTGGCTCACGCCTGTAATCCCAGCACTTTGGGAGGCTGAGGCAGGTAGATCACCTGAGGTCAGGAGTTCGAGACCAGCCTGACCAATGTGGAGAAACCCCGTCTCTACTAAAAATGCAAAATTAGCCAGGCGTGGTGGCACATGCCTGTAATCCCAGCTACTTGGGAGGCTGAGGTAGGAGAATCGCTTGAACCCAGGAGGTGGAGGTTGCGGTAAGCTGCACACCACTGCGCTCCAGCCTGGGCAACAAGAACGAAACTCCATCTCAAAAAATAAATAAAAAGGCCAGGTGCAGTGGCTCACGCCTGTAATCCCAGCACTTTGGGAGGCCGAGGCAGGCGGATCACGAGGTCAGAAGATCGAGACCATCCTGGCCAACATGGTGAAACCCCGTCTCTACTAAAATACAAAAAAAAAAAAAAAAAAAAATACAGGCGTGGTGGCGCACATCTGTAGTCCCAGCTACTTGGGAGGCTGAGGCAGGAGAATCTCTTGAACCCAGGAGGCAGAAGTTGCAGTGAGGTCAGATTGCACCACTGCACTCCAGCCTGGCAACAGAGCAAGACTCCGTCTCAAAAAAAAAAAAAAAAAAAAAAAAAGATGAAGAGCCACATGGGGTGGCGCACAGGGCATGGTGTGAGGGAAGGGATGCGCCAGCACCCACACGTGTTCAGCAGCCTGGAAGCTCTCCAAACCCTGTTCTTTCTGGCACAATTGGTTGAATGGTTGGCCATTGGTGATTGCCAGTTGAAGGTTGCTTCGGCCCTTCCCTTGTCCCATGGTTGGTTCCCTGGCAACCAGCCCCCATTCTGAGGCTGTCCGAGAATCCCCAGCCACCAGTCATGTCATTAGCATACAAAGAAACACCCATCATTTCAGAGATTCTGGGGGTTTTAGGAACTGTGTGTCAGGAAATGGATAGAGACCAAATATATATTTCTGACTATGTCACAGTCCACCCCCTGCTGTCCGGCCACAGACCCCTTAATAGCAAAACGATGTGCAGCTTAAGAGGTACTGGCATATTACTAGAATCCCATGTAGCCATGAATAAAGAGTCCAGTCCATCGTCATGTGGGCCCAGAGTGGAAGTGTCATCCCCTGTCTTTAGTGCTTTATCATGTCTGTAAACCCACTTAACTTTCCTGACATTCTTGTGAGGAAGAATGATTGTTTCTGCCTCAGATTGGGGAAGGAGTAAAGCTTAGAGAACCAGGACCCTTTCCCTGAGGAGGCCTCTGTGTGTATAAACAACTGAGTGTTTTCATTGGATTTGAAATGTTAAGCCCCAGATGATGCCTGAAGCCTCAAACATATTCAGCTGCTGTATTCAGGTGGTGCGTGACCCCGAAGCGGCCATGCACTTTTATCCTTCTCTCAGATGTTGAGGAAATTCCCCCCTCCTTTGCTTTTTCCGTTGAAGAGAAGCTGAAGCCTTTGGGCTGTAGAGTATTGAGCCCTGCTACTTGGCCAGCCTTGGGGAAAGAGGATCTTAACAGACTAAAAACAATGTTTTCTGGAAAGTCAGGAGGCCCAAGTGGAAGTAAAGGCAAGGTTGTGGAGAGTACTCTCTGGTTGGTCGAGATTCTGGGATTTGGTCCTGGCTCAGAGCTGGCCTGAGGTGAGCCCCGGAGCAGCGGGCCCTCAGCCCAGTGCCAATGCCGAGGCCACAGGAGGCCTCTGGGGCCAGGGGTTCCCTGGTTCCAAAATAGCTTTCCTGTGACCCGGCTGTCCTGCTCAGTTGCCAGGAAACCCCGGGAGCAGATCATCATCTCTCTCGGTATGTGACTGGATCTAGGCAGGGAATCTGTTTGATCCCCTTCTTCCCAAAGAGATTAAGAAATATCTAGTGGTGAGTCTCTCAAAGTTACTTCGTGCATCCAGTGAGACACTGCTGAGTCCTGAATAAAGACTTGTTTAAATATATTTTTGTAATTATTTTTTTTTCCTTAATTTTTTTAGATGGAGTCTTGCTCTGTCACCCAGGCTGGAGTACAGTGGCGCGATCTCAGCTCACTGCAACGTTCGCCACAGACATGCGCTACCACTCCCAGCTAAATTTTGTAGTTTTGGTAGAGACGGGGTTTCACCATGTTGGCCAGGCTGGTCTCGAACTCCTAACCTCAAGTGATTCATCCGCCTCAGCCTCCCAACGTGCTGGGATTACAGGCGTGAGCCACCGCACCTGGCAATTTTTGTAATTAATTTTTCTGACTTTCCTTCCCTATGCCTCTACTTTTTTTTTTCCCCTCCTCTAAATGGCGTTGCATCTTCTGCCGGGCATCTGGGCCAGGAAGGCATTCTCTTATTGTCAGATGAAGGCCATGCCCTGTTCCAGGCAAACTGTGTGACCTGGGCTCTTAATCTTCCACGTACCTGTGAAGTGCCTTTTCTCCCAGCTCTGGAGGTGTCCCTGAAGTCATCCCTTTGTTGTGTGGCTATAAATACCTCAACTTCGGTGGCTGCCTTTTCATCATACCCCTTCCTGGGAAGGCATTTCCTCTGGAAGGGTTGCTTTGGCCCTTCATTCCCTCTCCACATCCTCTCTTGGCAGCCGTAATAGGCCTCAACCCTGCTTCCTGCTAAGATTTACTGTTGTGGATTCTGTGTTCTTTGCGGATGAGGTACGAATGACAGCTACTAAGTTCAATCCTGGAGATAACTGGGTTCCTTTTGCTGATCGTCCACAATCATGGAAGTGCCCTTTATGATTCATGATGGGGTTGAAAGACAGAACATTTGGATCCTCAGTTTCATCTCTTGCTATGACATTAGCCAAGTCATTTCACCTCTCTGGGCCTTGGTTGCATTGTCTGCAGGGTGAAGCTGAATCACTTTTTTATTTTAAAAGAGAAACAAGGTCTCCTATGTTACTCAGGCTAGAGTGCAGTGGTGCAGTTATAGCTCACTGCAGCCTCCTGGGCTCAGGCAGTCCTCCTGCCTCAGCTTCTTGAGTAGCTGGGACTACAAGTGTGTGCCAGCATGCCCTGCTGATTTTTTTTATTTTGTAAGATGGGGTCTCATTATATTTCCTAGGCTGATCTCGATCTCCTGGCCTCAAGCGATCCTCCTGCCTCGGCCTCCCAGAGTGCTGGGATTATAGGCATGAGCCACCGCGCCCAGCCATGGAGCAGTCACATCTTTAAGATCACTGTGGAGTTGTTTATGCTTCATGAAGACCGTCAGATATCGGCTTAGTCTGTTTTTAATTTCTTGCGTTCATTAGGTGCATAAGCCCTGCCTCCAAGCATACATAATCCCAAACACCAACCTGGATAATTAAGTGTACAGGTAGTGAGTGAAAGAAGTGAGCCTAAGCAATAAGGAATTGACATCAAGCCAGTGCCTTGTACCTTCTAGGGAGAGCATGAGTCCCCGCCAGCTTTGCTGGCTGACCCCCATTCTGCAGGTGCTGATCCTGTTCTCAAGACCTTTGGTTGTAGCTGTTATTGACTGTCATACTTTTGATGCTCCCCTACGCTCCCAAGCAGCCACCGACCCAGGGTGAAGCTGAGATGAACTGGGGTGAGCCTCAGAGGTTCAAGAATCCAGAGAAGGGTTTTCAAATCTAATAGATAAGTGAAGAGCTATGAGCAAAAGTTCTCTCTAGCTCAGAGGTCACTCAGACATTCACAAGGTGAGAAGGATGTGGTCTGCCGTCACTGTGAGGGCACCCACAGCAGTCATTGTCAGCATCAGTCCAAACAGAAAAGGCAGCAAGAGGCAGACAGAGGGGCATCTCCAGGATGTTTGGCATCCTGAGGTCATACAGCTTCATTTTTTTGGTGAGCTGAATATCATGGCCATGAATGCGAGCAAATCTGCACTAACTTCCTTTTGCTTCTCCAAGAAATGGCCTAGAGAGGCTGCCTGCATTTCTTGGCTAGTGGCCCCTTCCTCTTCTTCAAAGACAGCGGCATGATATCTTCCAATATTTCTCCCTCTCTCCCTTTCTGTCTCTCCCTCTCTCTCACCCTCTCTGTGAATCTCTCATTCAGCCCCTCTCTCCCCTCTGCTTCTGTCATTTTGTCTCCTCCTTTTTCTGACCCTCCTGCCTCCCTTTTACGAGGATCTGATTACATTGGGCTGACCAAGATAATCGCCCAGCTCAAGATCCTTCATTTAACCACAGAATCCCTTCTGCCATGTATGGTAATGTATTCGTGGGTTCCGGGAATTGGAACAAGGATATCTTGGGGGGCATTTTCCCATCTCTCATACTCTGTTACAGATCAGCATCTGTGAGGGACTACACATCTTGCCAATGCAGAGATAACTCAGCACTCTGCATCCTCAGCATTCTCGGCTTAATCCTTTCCGTCCCAGATGAGATCATCCTGACAGCCGTCTTTCAGAACATTTCCTTTCTCGTGCTCCCTTCTGGTGGCTGGGGCCTGATGGACACAGCTCACCTCATCTTTCTGCTGTTTGTTTACTGCACTTGAGGGTTGCTGTACTGTTTACATTGTTAACAAATGCTAGGTTTGCTACAACCCCACATCAAGCAAGTCCGTTGGTGCCATTTTTCCAACAGCATGTGCTGAATTTATTTCTCTGATTTACATTTTGGTAATTATCACAGTATTTCTTTTTTTCTTCTTTTTTTTTTTTTTGAGGCAAAGTCTCGCTCTATTGCCCAGCCTGGAGCACAGTGGCACGACCTCAGCTCACTGCAACCTCTGCTTCCCAGGTTCAAGCAATTCTTCTGCCTCAGCCTCCCCAGTAGCTGGGATTACAGGCGTGCGCCACCACGCCCGGCTTATTTTTGTTATTTTTAGTAGAGACGAGGTTTTACCATGTAGGCCAGGCTGGTCTCAGACTCCTGGCCTAAAGTGATCCTCCTGCCTTGGCCTCCCTAAACCTTGTTTTTAAACAAGCGTGGCAGTTTGGATGGCACTTTGACCCTTCTTTGACCATGTATCACAGCACAGTGGCAGCTGGTGGTGGTGAGCTGCAGTTGTTGGAGGAAGTGCAGCAGAGCCATGCTGTGAGGCCTGGCCCACCCCCAAAACCGGGAGGTACCTGCAGGCGCTCTCATTCCATGTCAGCCTGGAAAGGGTGGGCTCCAGACCACTCAGCTCCATGCGCATTCTCATGGGACTAGGTGGCCAGTTGTGACAGTGGGGAAGTAATCGCACTCCCTGCAGAGGGACGTGGCCAAGGGAGGAGCAGAGAGCTGGGCTGGTGGAGCACGAGGGTGGCTGCAGGAAGTGCAGCAGTCAGCATGGAGTGGCCGCCAGAGAGCCAGGGCCACAGGTTGGGTGGGGAGAAGCAGGTCAGGGAGTCCCTGCAATGAGGGTTGGCTCTGAGAAGCCGCCTGGCAGGAGTGGAAGGGGCAGGTGGAGGACCCAGCAGGCCGGAGGACTGCCGCCTTGCGGGCTGGCCAGAGTGTCACAGCAGAGTCCCAAGGGGTGAGGACTCCTCAAAAAATTTTCCCCCTCAGTTGATATTTTTGGAGATATCCAGATTAGGTTCTTAAGATTGGCTGAGTAATGCATTTTGGGAAGGGGAACCAGTTGAATGGTTTCAGGAAGGTCTTTCATTCTCCACGTTTACTATGTACAGCCTTGGTTCATCTGCTGGGATTTTGAAGAGGCAGCCATAACTTTGATCAGTGTTTTTGAAGGGCTGAGTGACCCATGCAGGGTTCCAGGGTCTTCTCACCAGATGATGTTCATGGCTGAGTTTACTCTAGTTCCCCGTTGCAGGGTACAGGGAAGTGCTTGAGGCTGGGGCTGCGAGGCAGGGCTGGCACACGACACCCACCGCCACCGTGGGAACGGCACCTGCTGAGCCTTGATCCTCAGCTCTTTGTCCTCCGATTTCCGACAGAAACATCCTGGGCTCTACAGCCTCCAGCCCGTGGCTCCGCGATTACATCACTCCTCTGTCTTCTCTGTTACATTTCACACCCTTCTTTGATTACTGCTTATTATGTTGTGCGATTATGGTGGACACCACTGGCATTGCTGCTTGGGTTTCTAGTTCACAGTCCCTGTGCCTTTTCCGAGGCCTGGGGCCCACCCGCCGTGGAAGCAGCCTGGTTCGTAGGAATGGATTCAGCTGGAGTCGGCTGTGGACCTTTGTCTGTGTTCGCTGCCTCAGCCTGACTGCCATTGTCTTTGTCGATCTCCGGACTTATTTCTCCTTGAGCCACGGATACAGCTTTTTTCTGACTTTGCACCTCTGTGCGATACATGTATTGGGTTTTCAAAATGAAATGTGAGCTGAGCTTTCCTATGTTGGCGCATTCTCGTTTATGCTAAAGTGTTACTTTTTATTGGCTCCGATTTGAAAATTCAACTACCTGAACCTCGTGGGATCCCTTCGTCTGTAGGGAGCTTGAAGTTGATCTCCCCCCATCTGCATTCATGCCTGGAGAATATTGATTTTAGGGCTTATTCCTAAAGTCATTTCATGGGACACACCCTAGATCAAAACTTTCTTTTTTCACTTGATTATTATTAAACTTGTCATTATGGACATTTTCAAACGTCTCCAAAGGTAAAAAAAAAAAAATGATAACATGATCACTACCCATGTATCATTACCCAGGCTTGACAGTGAACATCTTTCTGCTGTTCCTGTACCCACTCTCCAATTTTTTGGTAGTACTTAATTTTGAATTATAAAAATGCCACATGCCAGCCGGGTGCGATGGCTCACACCTGTAATCCCAGTACTTTGGGAGGCCGAAGCAGGCAGATCACGAGGTCAGGAGATCGAGACCATCCTGGCTAACACAGTGAAACTCCGTCTCTACTAAAAATACAAAAAATTAGCTGAGTGTGGTAGCGGGCGCCTGTGGTCCCAGCTTCTCGGGAGGCTGAGGCAAGGAAGTGGCTTGAACCCGGGAGGCGGAGCTTGCAGACAGCAGAGATCGTGCCACTGCACTCCAGCCTGGGCGACAGAGCAAGACTCTGTCTCAAAAAAAAAAAAAAAAAAAAAAAAAAAGTGAGTGTATATGTAACTTGTCCACAAAAAGAATTATACATTTTGTACTAGAATATATTTTTATTGCATTTTGAGTGTTTTCTAAGTTAACACAAAGAGAACTACGTCGTTTTTAAGAAGTGGCTGGATAGCATTCCATCCTGTCAGGATATGGAAATGGTTTTCACAGTGATTAGTAGGCAGGTAGGTAGGTAGAGATTAGATAGACACACAGAAACATGGTCATGGAGCTATCCTCACGCCTGACTTTCCTGTGACAGTCAAAGTCCTATCACTGGTTGTGATGGGTGTGTCTTTGCCTGAACTAGGTCATGCTAAACTGACCTCTCCAGTGGCTGTACCAGTTTGTTCTTGGTAGTGTCTGAGAGATTCCATTCCGTCGCTTTGCCATCATTTGGATTGCTAGACTTTTTAATATTTGCCAGGTTGGTGTATCTCAAATAGGATCTCATTACTAGCATTAGCAGTTCCCTGACCAGGTCTCTGTTCACATGTTTCCAGACTGAGGTGGCCTTTCTGTAAATTGCCTAATTGTTTCTCTATAACCAAACACCTTTCTGATGTTTTTAAGTTATTTTTGATAACTCTGTCATTAATTCTGTGAGTTCTATCAGCAGTTTCACTGCATGCATCAGGTATGTGATACCATATGCCGGTAATGGTCATTTTGTCTTCTCCTCTTGTATCTTTTTTGTTTCCCCTCACAAGACAGAGTTTCACTCTTGTCACCCAGGCTGGAGTACAGTGGCGTGATCTCGGCTCACTGCAACCTCTGCCTCCTGGGTTCAAGCGATTCTCCTGCCTCAGCCTCCCGAGTAGCTGGGATTACAGGTGCCTGCCACCACGCCCAGCTAATTTTTGTATTTTTAGTAGAAACGAGGTTTCACCATGTTGGCCAGGCTGATTTTGAACTCCTGACCTCAGGTGATCCCCCCCAGCTTGGCCTCCCAAAGTGCTGGGATTACAGGCATGAGCCACTGTGCCTGGCCCTCCTCTCATGTCTTATTCAGAGCCTGATGGTGCGGTGCATGCTTCTAGAACAGTAGCGATGGGTGTGCCTCATGACCGTAATGGAGCTGCTGCTCGCTCCACCGTTAAACACCATGCTGACTTTGGCTGAGCTGTATTTTTTTCTTATCATGTTATGGAAATGTTTGTTTGTTTTTGTTTGGTTTGGTTTTTTTTTTTTTTTTTTTTTTTGAGACGGAGTCTCACTCTGTCACTCAGGCGATCTTGGCTCACTGCAACCTCTGCCTCCCGGGTATAAGCAATTCTCCTTGCCTTAGTCTCCCAAGTAGCTGGGATTACAGGCACCAGCCACCACGCCTGGCTAATTTTTGTATTTTTAGTAGAGATGGGGTTTAATCATGTTGGCTAGGCTGGTCTCGAACTACTGATGTCAAGTGATCCGCCCGCCTCAGCCTCCCAAACTGCTTTGATTACAGGTGTGAGCCAATGCGCCTGGCACCACCTCAGTCTTTACTTACTTCTGTCCCGTTGCCTGTGGTTCTGGAAGTCTGACTGGAAAGGGGTCTGTTCCTGACACCCCACCTCCTCTTCCCTCTCTCAGGTGCTGGCTCCTTTGGTTGTATTGGGGTAGGGAGGAAAGAGAAGGGAAAGGGTAGCTCACGCCTGTAATCCCAGCACTTTGAGAGGCCGAGGCAGGCAGATCACTTGAGGTCAGGAATTCGAGACCAGCCTGGCCAACATGACGAAATCCTGTCTCTACTAAAAATGCAAAAAAAAGTATCCAGGCGTGGTGGTGCGTGCCTGTAATCCCAGCTACTCAGGAGGCTGAAGCAGGAGAATCACTTGAACCCGGGAGGCAGAGGTTGCAGTGAGCAGAGCCTGTGCTACTGCACTCCAGCTGGGTGACAGAGTAAGGCTCTGTCTCAAAAAAAAAAAAAAAAGTTTCCCAGAGCCCATCTAGTAGGGCCACACGGTGATGGCATCTGTCTCTTGGCTCCTGTGTGGTCACCGGCCATGCCCTTCCCTGACCTCAGCTGCTAGCCCTCAGCACATGTGACTGTGACGTCGTGTGGCAGCTGCTGAGTCCTGAGATGTTTTTAATGGCTGTTTGATTCCCAGGTTCTTCACCTACCAACGAGGGGAGAGAGCTGTGGTTCTCCATCATTGGGGGAGTGGAAGGGAGCTCCCAGCGCAGCCGTGGCAGCCACCTTCCAGGAGCAGGGGCTGGAATGTCCTGTGGCCGCATCTCTCATGGACGCGGCTGAAACGTGTTTTCACAGGTGCTGTTTTCTGTTTTCCGTGTTCGTAACAGAAGGGAGGGGAAAGCGCAGCTACTGACAAGTAGAACACTGCTACTTTTTTTAAGGCAGTTTCTTGTTTTTTTAGACGGAATTAGTCCTTGGCTTCCCTCCCAGTCCCAGCCCTGCTTCCGGCTGCGAATGTCCCTGAGTCAACACCAATAGAGATTGCTTTGTGTATTTTGTAGGGTTCTCTGTTTTGAAGACAGAATTATGTTACAAATGTTTTTGTTGTAAATAAATAAAACACTTCCTTGTCCTTGCAAGATCCAGTATAAGTGAATTGCGTGGACTCAGCTAAGCTTCCAGAGTCCCCAGGTGGGCAGGGGGAGGCCATTTGCCAGTGGGGCTGGGGCTCAAGCTCTGGAGCCAGCGGTTCTGATTCACCTGATAACGAAACGCTGCACACCAGGCTTGGGGTTCCCTAAGCCCGCTCCCAGTGTGGGGAGCTGATGCCAGCAGCTTAATGGAAAGTTGAAGCTACTTCACCCTCCCATACCCCGACACCCCGGGATCCTTGTCCCACACAGCCCTGAGGCCACCTCACCCTCCTGCGCCCCGACACCCCGGGCTCCCTGCCCCACACGACCCTGAGGCCACCTCACCCTCCTGTACCCCGACACCCCGGGCCCCCTGCCCCACACAGCCCTGAGACCACCTCACCCTCCTGCACCCCGACACCCCGGGCTCCCTGCCCCACACAGGCCTGAGGCCATCTCACCCTCCTGCACCCCAACACCCCGGGCTCCCTGCCCCACACAGGCCTGATGCCACCTCACCCTCCTGCACCCCAACACCCTGGGCTCCCTGCCCCACACAGCCCTGAGGCCACCTCACCCTCCCGTACCCCGACACCCCGGGCTTTCTGCCCCACACAGGCGTCTCTGAGCCTTTCCCAGGGTCCCACGCTCCCTCATGGGGCTGAGGCAGGAGGCTCCCCTCCCCTGTTCTGCCCCACCTCTCAGCCTCCATGAGTACCCACAGCTGTGCCTCCAGGTCTCCCCCACAGTGCCCACACTGCCCCGAAGCCTTTCTCGACCCCGTGTCCCCTCTCATTAGCCTCCCTGACCTTGGTCACCCTCCTTCCTCAAGGGTGCCGTCTACACTGGCTTCTCCACTCTCAGCCAGTGACTCCTTGCCCCGCTGCCGTCCCATCTCGCTGCTGATCTGCTCGGGCCATGGGATCCAGCAGGCATTTCTTTGTCCCGATCGGACCTGACTTTACTACTCTGAAACTTCCTCCTCCCCAAGACACTGTCTTCCTTGAATTTCCAAGCTTCCAGCTCCGGGATTTCCTGGCTCCTCTTTTGGGAAGGCTGCCCATTGCTTGTACTCTCTTCACTGCCTGCCTCCCGCCACCCCAAAAACACTTCAGAGCATTTCAGATATAACCCAGCGGCGAAGGGCTGGGAAAGGGACCCATCCAGGCCATGGGTCCTTCTCGAGGGCTGGGCGTGCTGCCTGGCCTAGGAGGCCCCCGGCCTGTGCCCCCACCTACCAGGGCCTCACCTTCTGACAGAATCGGCTTAGAGAGCAGAAACCAAGTCCTGGGGGAGCAGGCTGCACTGCCTCTCTTTGTGGAGGAGGAGGGCGGGTGATGCCACCAGGGGACCAGGGTATCATCAAGAGGCCTCCCCTGGAAGTGCCTGCCCTCCCCCAGTGCTCCCTTCAACCCGCGTTGCTGGAGTGGTGGCTCTAGAAGAGTGGCTTTCTCAGAGGTCACCAGGAACTTGGCGATGTTTGCCACATCTACACCTCCAGACCTCATGACCACGGTCTGGCTTCATCTGGCATGAGACGTCCCTTAGTCCCTCCTGATTCAGGAAGGCCCAGACCCCACACCACACTCTGCCTGCTGCTGAGCCCTGCATCAGCCACCAGCACTGTCACCTGCCCAGCTGTCTCTTTTCAGCCTTCTCTAACATGCCCATACAGCCAGAACAGTCTTTTTAAAAGTTTGTCAACCCCATCAAAAAGTGGGCGAAGGACATGAACAGACACTTCTCAGAAGAAGACATTTATGCAGCCAACAGACACACGAAAAAATGCTCATCATCACTGGCCATCAGAGAAATGCAAATCAAAACCACAATGAGATACCCTCTCACACCAGTTAGAATGGCGATCATTAAAAAGTCAGGAAACAACAGGTGCTGGAGAGGATGTGGAGAAATAGGAACACTTTTACACTGCTGGTGGGACTGTAAACTAGTTCAACCATTGTGGAAGACAGTGTGGCAATTCCTCAAGGATCGAAAACTAGAAATAACATTTGACCCAGCCATCCCATTACTGGGTATATACCCAAAGGAATATAAATCATGCTGCTATAAAGGCACATGCACATGTATGTTTATTACAGCACTATTCACAATAGCAAAGACTTGGAACTAACCCAAATGTCCATCAGTGATAGACTGGATTAAGAAAATGTGGCACATATACATCATGGAATACTATGCAACCATAAAAAAGGATGAGTTCATGTCCTTTGTAAGGACATAGATGAAGCTGGAAACCATCATTCTCAGCAAACTATTGCAAGAACAAAAAACCAAACACTGCATGTTCTCACTCATAGGTGGGAATTGAACAATGAGAACACTTGGACACAGGGAGGGGAATACCACACACTGGGGCCTGTTGTGGGGTGGGGGGAGGGGGGAGGGAAAGCATTAGGAGATATAGTGTAAATGATGAGTTAATGCATGCAGCACACCAACATGGCACATGTATACATGTGTAACAAACCTGCACGTAGTGCACATGTACCCTAGAACTTAAAATATAATAAAAAAAAAGGAAAGGAAAAACATAAAAAACATCACAATTGTAAATAAGGACCAAAAAAAAAAAAGTTTTGTTTGTTTTTGATGGAGTCTCATTCTGTTGCCCAGGCTGGAGTGCAGTGCTGCAATCTCAGCTCACTGCAACCTCCACCTCCCGGGTCCAAGTGATTCTCCTGCCTCAGCCTCCTGAGTAGCTGGAATACAGGTGCACACCACTGTGCCCAACTAATTTTTTAAAATATTTTTAGTAGAGATGTGGTTTCACCATGTTGCCCAGGCTGGTCTTGAACTCCTGTACTCAAGCGATCCTCCCACCTTGGCCTCCCAAAGTGTGCTGGGATTATCAGCATGAGTCACCACACCCGGCCCCCGGAATGGTCTTTCTAAAGTTCGGCCCCGTCATCTCTAAATGGTGCTGTGGTTACCTTCCTGGACCTCCTCTGCCTCATTTCTTGTGGCCTGGCTCCCTGTCCCCAGCCCAGCCTCCTGCCCCACAGCATAGGCATGCCCCCTGCAGCCTGCAGTGGTGGGAGCTGACTGATCACTGCCTGCCCCCTGTCCAGCCTCCTTTCTAGGCTTTTCCTTGGAAGAGGGTTTTTGGAAGGACTTCAGCACAGAAGTGCCGTGAAGAGATGGGTGTTTCAGGAAGTCGCTCTTCTGACTTAAGAATATTAAAAATGGAAGAAAACACTGCACGCAGCACTTCTGCTCGTAGGACTCTGCCTTCAAAGACATGCACACTTGTGGACTAAGAGGATGTTCATTCATTGCACCATTGCTGATGAGGTCATAAAATTGGAGGCCGCTGTGAGGCCTTCAGAGGGACTGGTGAAAGAGACCCCAGCACAGCGGCCTGGGGAGGACTCTATGGCTTTTTTTTTTTTTTTTTTTTCTTGTGAGACAGAGTCTCGCTCTGTCGCCCAGGCTGGAGTGCAGTGGCACAATCTCAGCTCACTACAACCTCCACCTCCCAGGTTCAAGCAATTCTCCCATCTCGGCCTCTCAACTAGCTGGGATTACAGGTGTGCGCCACCACGCCCAGCTAATTTTTGTATTTTTTGTAGAGACGGGGTTTTGCCACATTGGCCAGGTTGGTCTCAAACTCCTGACCTCAGGTGATCCACCCACCTTGGCCTCCCAAAGTGCTGGGATTGTATACAGGTGTGAGCCACCGTGCCTGGCCCCCATTACATCTTTTTCAAATTTAACACACGTGT
Organism: Homo sapiens; assembly: GCF_000001405.40. NCBI lineage: Eukaryota > Metazoa > Chordata > Mammalia > Primates > Hominidae > Homo > Homo sapiens. Next base: position 73,362,366 of record NC_000007.14, read on the forward strand.
ATGTAAGGGGGGTATTCAGTGAGCACTTGAGGAAGGTACAGACCCCCTAGCCCTGCGCTGCACTGAGCTTTTGACAGCCCCAGTGCCTGGCGAGATGAAGCTGCATGGTGTTCCAAACATTTCTTCCAGTCAGTTCTTCTCTCATGATAAGTGCTTTACCTGTTACTCTGTTACCTTTGTTAAATAAAGTTAGTATGTTGCATTTTAAAAATAATAAGAGGCTGTAATCCAGCACTTTGGGAGGCTGAGGTGGGCGGATCACCAGGTCAGGAGTTCGAGACCAGCCTGGCCAACATGGCGAAAACTTATCTCTACTAAAAATACAAAAAGTTAGCCAGGCATGGTGGCTGGCATCTGTAATCCCAGCTACTCAGGAGGCTGAGGCAGGAGAATCGCTTGAGCCTGGGAAATGGAGGCTGCAGTGAGCTGAGATTGCGCCACTGCACTCCAGCCTGGGCAACAGAGTGAGACTCTGTCTCAAAAAAAAAAAAAAAAGAGGCTGATGCAGGAGGATCCCTTGAGGCCAGGAGTTTGAGACCAGCCTGGGCAATATAAAGACACCCTGTCTATACAGAAAATATTTTAGAAAATAAGCCAGGCATGGTGGTGCGTGCCTGTTGTCCCACTACTCGGGGGGTTGAGGTGGGAGGATCACTTGAGCCCAAGAGTTGGAGGCTGTGTGAGCTGTGACTGCACCACTGCACTCCAGCCTGGGTGACAGAGCAAGACCCTGTCTCAAAAAAAAAAAAAAAACATGGAGACTCGTGTGTGTACACAGCACCAGAGGACACAGGCTCAAACGTACTGTCATTATGGCGAGCACAGCACCGAGAGGGGAAAGGGGTCCCGTGTTTTCTCCTGGGTGCTTCTATACAATTTGAGATGCATCCATGTATTGTTAGTGCACTTTAGAAATGAGAAGGAATGTGACTTGCCTGCCTCGTGGACTGTGGGGTTGGAGCTGGGGAGCGCAGGAGTGCCGTGGGGTCCTTCTGCCGCAGCTCGCCCGAGCCTTGTGCTGGAGGCACGTGCAGGGAGCACCAAGGAGGAAGGCAAGCTGGGTGCCCCTAACCCATCGCGCAGGAGGTCAGTGGGATGGTGGTGTGCCCTGTGTCTGCCAAGGAGACGCGTGGTCCCTGAAGCACATGAAACCAAATTCCACGCTGGAGGTCCATAGACCAGCTGCCGAAGAGGCCCCCACGCAGGTCCCCAGGTGGCATTGACCTTGTCCAGGGCATCACAGTTCTCAACCTTTCCCCTGAGGTGGATTTCGGGGTTGAGTGCCCCCTTTTTAAGCTCAGATGCAGAGCATGGAGTTGATGACGCCCCACAGTCATGCACAGCACCGCATCCGTCCACGACACCCTCATTATTCTAGTCCTGTACACTCTCCCACAGGCAGCCGTGCCCACGTGCTTCGTGTATATCTTTGAGAGTGTTCTTGCAAAACGTGTCCACCGTGGATGTCCTGAAGCCAGCCAGCCTCCCGGTGGCCTGTGGGATGGTATGGTGCAGGAGTGACAGCGCCTCTGCCGGGGCTTCCCTTCATTCCCCCAGCAACACTGGAGACCACTGAAGTCTCTGCACTTTGCAAGGACGGAGGAGGCTGGCTCAGAGGGGCCCAGAGGCTTCCCAGAGACCCCCTACTTGTCAGATCCCGGCACCGGGGGCTGCCTTTCTGGCCTCACCCGGGGCATAGTGGGCTGGGTCCGCCCTGGGGGCCTGCTTTGTGGCGCCCCACCTCTCCCCGCGGTGGAATCTCCACGGTCATTTCAGAGGGAAGGTCATGAGACCCTGGGCAGGAAGGACTTGCCCCGGGGGACAGAGGCACGCTGAGGGAGACCCCGGTTGCAGCCTGGAGCCGCAGGCTTTTCCCACTGGGCCCTCGAGTCCTCTCCTCCCCGAACCTGGGTCCTTCTCTTGAAGAGAGGATTCGGGCTCAGGGTAGGCTGACCTTTGCTGAGCAGATCCGGCAATAGGTGGTGACATAACCCACTCCTTGCTTTCTGGGCAAGCCTGGTGGCCCCAGGGAACTTCATCACCCTCCTCGGCCCCCTGCCTATGGCCTGAGCCTGGGTGCCAGGGCGCTGCTGAGAAGGGCACTTGGCCTCTCTCTGCCACCCAAATGCTAGACACAGTCCCCAGGAAAGGGCACAGTCCCCAGGAAAGGGCTGACACAAAGACCACCCTTGCCCTCCGAGAGTAGGAAAGGCGGCGGGCACGGTCACGGGCAGTCCTCCAGGCACAGTGGCAGGAGCCCGGAAATGTTGGCAGCCAGCCCCTCTTGTCTGCAGAGGGGAGCCCTAGGGGGCCCTGAGCCTCCGGGGAAAATCAGTGCTAGAGGCCCCTTCTTTTATGGGCTCGGGAACCGGGCTGGTGCGGAGAAGAGGTGGAGCTGCTTTCCTGGCACCTGCTCTCTCCTGGCAGGTGAAGAAGCTTCCCTTAAGCACTCTGACTGCTGTGACCACCGCAGTCGTGATAAGGTCGCAGTAATGCTCAGCAGAGGGACTTCACCCACGGCGACCGCTAAGCCAGTGTGTGTGTGTGTGTGTGTGTGTGTGTGTGTGTGTGTGTGTCCAGGAGGCAAACACTCTAGAAAGAGACAGAAATGTCAAATGTCAGCAGATAAATAACAATATATAATATATATAATATAAATATTGTAATAAACCAAAAAGTGTTTCATCTTATATATGTGATATTCTTTAATTCCCAACCATTCAAACTGAAAGTGCAGCTGAGGCTGGGCACAGTGGCTAACGCCTGCAATCCCAGCACTTTGGGCGGCGAAGACGGGAGGATTGCTTGAGCCCGGGAGTTTGAGACCAGCCTGGGCCACAGAGTGAGACCTCACCTCTATATATTTTTTTAAATAACAAAATTTTTTTTGTTTTTTGTTTTGTTTTGAAACAAGGTCTCACTCTGTGGCCCAGGCTGGAGTGCAGTGATGCGATGTCAGCTCACTGTAATCTCCACCTCCTGGGTTCAAGCAATTCTCCCACCTCAGCCTCCCGCGTAGCTGGAACTACAGGCATGCGCCACCACACCCAGCTAATTTGTGTGTGTGTGTTTTTTGGTAGAGATGGGGGTTTCACCTTGTTGGCCTGGCTGGTCTCGAATTCGTGACCTCAAGTGATCCGCCCACCTCGGGCTCCCAAAGTGCTGGGATTACAAGTGCGAGCCACGGCGCCTGGCCAGAAAATATTGTTAAAAATAAAAATGAAAGCCAGGCACATTGGCTCACACCTGTAATCCCAGCACTTTGGGAGGCTGAGGTGGGTGGATCACGAGGTCAGGAGTTCGAGACCAGCCTGGCCAACATGGTGAAAACCCGTCTCTACTAAAAATACAAAAAATAGCTGGGTGTGGTGGCGGGTGCCTGTAATTCCAGCTACTCAGGAGGCTGAGGCAGGGGAATTGCTTGAACCCAGGAGGCGGAGGTTGCAATGAGCCAAGATCGCACCACTGCACTCCAGCCTGGGTGACAGAGCAAAACTCCATCTTGGGGGAAAAAATGGAATTAATAAAAATATAAATGTGCTGCGGAGGGGCATTGGTGTGGGGGGGCTTGAGTCAAATCTCCATTGTCCCGTCCTGCCCCTCTTCCCACTCCCTCCTGCTGAACTTACCCCACTGCTCAGGTCAAGGCAGAACGGCCCCTCTAGTTAGGAGAACCATTCAGACCCAGACAGTCACCTCCCAAAAAGGGAAAGAGCTTGGGGGTGCTGGAGGTTTAGTAGCTGCTTTTGGAGAAATCCCAAAGACAGGAGCAGCACCAGGAGGCCAGTCTCTGGAAAACAAGTACAGTGGAAAAGGTAGATTCTGGAAAAGGGGCCATATGGCATTCCAGAAAGAGCCCTGAACTTTCTCCTGCCAGGTGACAGCCCCAGCATCACTGCAGTGGCGCCCATGAGGGCTGTCCCAAGGGAGCTTCTGTCACTCTGTGCTGGGCGCGCTGTGGGTGCTCAAGCAGTGCCAGTGGAGTGTGAAGTCGCTGACGCTGACCTTCATGTGGGCTCTCACATTGAGGTGGGCGATGAGATGGAGAAGTCTCAGAGGTGGCTGCAGTCGCGGTCTGTTCCTGAACAGGCTCGCCAAACTTGGGTTGGTTGGTTTTTTTCAAAACGCCTCCTACACAGGTCAAGAGACCGCCACACACACAGTGTGGACCTCAGTACCCTCCACACAAGGTACAGGAAAGTCACTTATCAGCCAGGCATGGTGGTTCACGCCTGTAATCCCAGAGCTTTGGGAGGCCAAGGCGGGAGGATCGCTTGAGCCCAGGAGTTTGAGACCAGCCTGGGCAATATAGGAAGACCTTGTCTCTATAAAAAAAAAAATTGTTTTAATTAGCCAGGGGTCGTGGCGTGTGCCTGTGGCCTGGGTACTCGGGAGGCTGAGACAGGAGGGTCACTTGAGCCCAGGTGGTTGAGGCTGCAGTGAGCTATGATTGTGCCACTGCACTCCAGCCTGGGCGACAGACCGAGACCCCGGCTCAAAAAAAAAATGGTCGTTTATCTCCACCTGCTGCCCAGCCCCTGAGCCAGACTCTGTCCTGCTGCCCCTCCTCCCCACAGCCCCATCCGACTTGAGGCCTTGGGCTTTGTGGCTTCAGGTACCCACTCCTCCTTTCCATCTCCCTGCCCTGCCCGGATGGGATGCTAACACTTCTCACCTAGATTGATTACTGCCAAACTGTCCCCACGGCCTCCCCTCTCCACCTGCCAGCCCTGCCTCCCGCCAGCTGGAAGTCCTTGAGTCGCCTCAGTAGCCTTTGAGACCAAGACCAAACTCTCTATTTAGCACAGAAGCCCACCTGCTACCCCCCACAACAGCTGCTCTCTGCCTTCCAGCCGCACTGAACCACTGCGGGTCCTGAATGTCCACAGCGGCCACCCCCACCCCGTGCCTTCCCGCCAGCGGCTCGATCCTCCTGGACTGCCTCTCCGCCTCTTTCCAAAACAGCAGAGGCCCCACAGTTCACAAGCCTCAGGGGGCAGGACCCAGGAGTCCAGGCACCATTGCCCCAGTAGCCATGGAAAAGGGGCCCCTCAGCACAGGAGTGAACTCTTTCCCAGTCCAAACAAAACTACAGGAACTCTCCTCTTTGCCTGGTATTAAAATATTCCTTTCTCATGTTTTCAAAGAAATACTTTCATTTCCTTATACAAAAACCACGCATAGAAGGTAGTTAAAAATACATGCATAGGCCCGGCACGGTGGCTCACACCTGTAATCCCAGCACTCTGGGAGGCCGAGGCAGGCAGATCGCCTGAGGTCAGAAGTTCGAGACAAGCTTGACCAATATGATGAAACCCCATCTCTACTAAAAATACAAAAATTAGCCAGCGTGGTGGCATGGGCCTGTAATCCTAGCTAGTCAGGAGGCTGAGACAGGAGAATCACTTGAACCCAGGAGGTGGAAGTTGCAGTGAGCCGAGATTGCGCCACTGCACTCCAGCCTGGGCAACAAGAGCAAAACTCTGACTCAAACACACACACACACACACACACACACACACACACACACACACACACACAAACCTGGACAGAAAAAAACAGCTGAAGCTCCACCTCCTCCTCCGGGCAGCCTTCTTTGACCACCATCCAGGTTGGTGGTGGCCCCTGGAGTGTGCCAGGTCACACTCCTGCCACGGGACCCCAGGCAGGCCTGCAGGCTGCCGTTCTGAAGACAGTCACCAACCCAGGGAAGTGCCGGGGGGCACATGGAGTGAACAAAGTCATGCTCTGTGGCTTTTCTCCACCGGGGGCAACGGGGCTCCCTCCTTTGATGCTGTTTGTGGCCCTCAGATCCGATGACACCCTCAGGTGCACCTGCGCATTGCCAGACACACAGAGGGGGTGTCGGGAGAGCCCCAGGGCCTCCAAAAGCAACCCGTTGGCTAGAAATGCAGGGAGGTTTTGAAACATAGTTGTGAATAATTGTCAGAAAAACCACAGTTGAGGCCAGGCACGATGGCTCGCGCCTGTAATCCCAGCACTTTGGGAGGCCAAAGCAGGTGGATCACTTGAGGTCAGGAGTTCAAAACCAGCCTGGCCAACATAGTGAAACCCCGTCTCTACTAAAAATACAAAAATTAGCCAGGCTTGGTGGTGCGCACCTGTAGTCCCAGCTACTCGGGAGGCTGAGGCAGGAGAATCGCTTGAACCTGAGAGGTGGAGGTTGCAGTGAGCGGAGATCACAACATTGCACTCCAGCCTGGGTGACAGAACTAGACCCTGTCTAAAAAAAAAAGAAAAATCACAGTTGACTGGAAGAATTGAAACCCTAAGCCATGTCACCTACCTCTTCTACGTCCTCTAACCAATTTGGGTCCCTAACCCAGGTTGGTTTTTGTTTTGTTTTGCTTTGTTTTTGAGACAGGGCCTCGCTCTGTCACCCAGGCTGGAGTGCAGTGGCAGGATCTCTGCTCACTGCAACCTCCGCCTCCCAGGTTCAAGCGATTCTCATGCCTCAGCCTCCTGAGTAGCTGGGATTACAGGTGTCCGCCACCACGCCCAGCCAATTTTTATATTTTTAGTAAAGACGCGGTTTCACCAAGTTGCCCAGGCTGATCTTGAACTTCTGACCTCAGGTGATCCACCTGCCATGGCCTCCCAAAGTGCTGGGATTACAGGCATCAGCCACCACGCCCAGCCCCCAACCCAGTTTAGAGGAGGAGCCATCTCAGGGGGCACCCCTGACCCTCATGGACACTGTGCACCTCTGCCTGGGCCAGGCACCTCCATCCCCTCTTCACACACACACGTGGCCCTGCCTCCTGGCAGCAGCTCCTCAAAGGGCACTGGAAGGTCCACTTGCCCCACCCCACCTGGCATTTGGACTATAAAGCAGGCGCCTAGATGGGCGACCCTGTGTGGACACAGTCCATAGCTCACAGCCATCAATAGCACAGTGTTCCACGGTGCGTACAGAGAGCCTCACTCCGGCTCCATGGAATAGACGTGAAAGTCACCGAGGTGCGTTTCCAACCTCAGAATTACTCAGCAGCCCTTTCCTGCGTCACTGGCTCCTTTTTGATTCTGCAAGGAGGCCCTTCCCAGCTTCCCTCTTGATGCCCACATCCCCCTTCCCTTCCAGGCAGCCCCACGCCTCTCCAGGCCCAGAGAAAATAAAAGCCACCAGGTGGGAAATAAGCCCTCCCACGGGCCAAAGACCCCTTCCCTCACACCTCCTCCTACTCCTGAATCTTCACCCACCCTCACTGCCTCCTCTGGGTCCTTGAGGGGCAGACATGCCTCTTCCTCTGTGCCAGTGACACTGGCCCCACCGGCTCCATTGCCATCCTCTACCTGCAAGCACAGCCCCGTGCCTCCTTCCAAATGTGACAGTCCTCCAAGCCTGCCTCTTCCTCTCACCCAGAGCCAGATCCGTTCATTTTATTCCACTTATTTATGTCTTGAAAATGTAATCCATTCACACAATTCAAAACTGAGGTTCAACAAGTGCCCTCCCACTCATCCTTGTGTCTCACCCATTCTAGGCCCTTCTCACTGTTAGCATTTTCTTAGTCATGCCTCAAGGAGAGTGAGTGACTTTTTTTTTTTTTTTTTTTTTTGGATACGGAGTTTCACTCTTGTTGCCCGGGCTGGAGTGCAATGGCGTGATCTCGGCTCACCGCAACCTCCGCCTCCTGGGTTTAAGCGATTCTCCTGCCTCGGCCTCCTGAGTAGCTGGGATTACAGGCATGCACCACCACACCCGGCTAATTTTTTGTATTTTTAGTAGAGAGCAGGTTTCTCCATGTTGGTCAAGCTGGTCTCGAACTCCCGACCTCAGGTGATCCACCTGCCTCGGCCTCCCAAAGTGCTGAGATTACAGGCGTGAGCCACTGTGCCCAACCCAATTTATATTTTTTTAATGGAGTCTAGCTCTGCTGCCCAGGCCGAAGCGCAGTGACGCAATAATACTTCACTGCAGCCTCAAACTCCCAGGCTCAAGTGATCCTCCCACCTCAGCCTTCCAAGTAGCTGGGACTAGAACTGTGCACCACCACACCAGGCTAATTTATTTTATTTTACTTTTTGGAGAGATGAGGTCTTGCTATGTTGTCCAGGCCGGTCTCAAACTTTTGGCCTCAAGCAGTCCTCCTGCCTCAGCCTCCCAAAGTGCCAGGACTACAGGCGTGAGCCACTGCACCCAGCTGAGAGTGAGCAATTTTTACATGACAATATCTTTATATATTCTTCCCTATTTAAAAAAAAATTGAGGGCTGGGCGCGGTGGCTCACGCCTGTAATCCCAGCACTTTGGGAGGCCGAGGCAGGCGGATCACGAGGTCAGGAGATCGAGACCATCCTGGCTAACACAGCGAAACCCCATCTCTACTAAAAATACAAAAAATTAGCCGGGCATGGTGGCGGGCATGTGTAGTCTCAGCTACTCAGGAGGCTGAGGCAGGATAATGCCGTGAACCCGGGAGGCAGGGCTTGCAGTGAGCCAAGATCACGCCACTGCACTCCAGCCTGGGCGAGACAGCGAGACTCCAGCTCAAAAAAAAAAAATTGAGATACTGGCTGGGCACAGTGGCTCACACCTATCATCCTGGCACTTTGGGAGGCCAAGGCAGGAGGATCATTTGAGGCCAGGAGTTCGAGGCTGCAGTGAGCCATGATTGCACCACTGCATTCCAGCCTGGGCAACAGAGCAAGATTCTGTTTCAAATAAATAAATAAAATGAGATATTCACATACCCTGAATTTTACTCTTTTAAGGTATACAATTCAGGGAGTGTGTTTTTTAAGTACAGTGCAACTATCACCCTATCTAATTCCAGAATATTTTCATCACCTCAAAAAGAAACCCTCACCCCACAACAGTCACTCCCCAACTCTGACTCCAGATATACTTTTTTTTTTTTTTTTTTTTTGATACAGAGTCTCCCTCTGTCGCCCAGGCTGGAGTGCAGTGGCGCAATCTCAGCTTACTGCAGCCTCTGCCTCCTGAGTTCCAGTGATTCTCCTGCCTCACTCTCCCGAGTAGCTGGGATTACAGGCACACGCCACCACGCCCGGCTAATTTTTTATTAGTAGTAGAGACGGGGTTTTTATCATGTTGACCAGGGTGGTCTCAAACTCCAGACCTCAAATGATCCGCCCGCCTCTGCCTCCCAAAATGTTGGGATTACAGTCATGAGCCACCGCGCCCGGCCCAGATTTGCCTTTTCTATGGTTCATAGAAATGGAATCATATTTGGCCAGACGCAGTGGCTCATGCCTGTAATCCCACCACTTTGGAAGGCCGAAGCAGGTGGATCACCTGAGGTCAGGAGTTTGAGACCAGCATGACCGACATGGTGAGACCTCATCTGTACTAAAAATACAAAAATTAGCTGGGTGTGGTGTTGGGCGCCCGTAATCCCAGCTACCTTGAGGCAGGGCGCGGGGGGTTGAGGCATGTGAATCACTTGAACCCAGAGGACAGAGCTTTCAGTGAGCCAAGATTGCACCACTGCACTCTAGCCTGGGTGACAGAGCCAGACTGTTTCAAAAAAAAAAAAAAAAATTGAATCATTAAATACGTAGACTTTTGTGTCTGGCTTCTTTCACTTAGCACAATACTGTCCAGGTTCATCCATGTCCATATGTCATTCCGTCATTCCTTTTTTTTTTTTTTCTGAGATGGAGTCTCATTCTGTCGCCCAGACTGGAGTGCAGTGGCACGATCTCAGCTCACTGCAACCTCTGCCTGCCAGGTTCAAGCAATTCTCTTGCCTCAGCCTCCAGAGTAGCTGGGACTACAGGCGCCCACCACCACACCCGGCTAATTTTTTGTATTTTTATTAGAGACAGGGTTTCATCATGCTGGCCAGGCTGGTCTCGAACTCCTGGCCTTGTGATCCACCCACCTTGGCCTCCCAAAGTGTTGGGATTACAGGCATAAGCCACTGCACCTGGCACCCCCCCAGCTTTTTTTTTTTTCTTTTTTAAGAGGGTCTCACTGTGTCACCCCGGCTGGAGTGCAATGATGCAATCATAGCAGACTCCAGCCTCGACTTCCCCGGCTCAAGCCATCTTCCTGCCTCAGCCTCCCAAGTTGCTGGGACCACAGCCACGTGCCACCACGCCTGGCTAATTTTTGTATTTTTTGTAGAGACAGGTTCTCCCGATGTTGCCCAGGCTCGTCTCGAACTCCTGGGCTCAAGCAATCTGCTTGCCTCAGCCTCCCAAAGTGTTAGGATTACAGGTGTGAGCCACCACGCCCAGCCTGTCATTCTTTTGTATGGCTGAATAATATTGCATTATATGGCGCTACTCAACATCTTTTATCTGTTCATTCGTTGGTGAACATTTGGCATGTTTGCACTTTTTGCCTTTTATAAAGCTCCTATGAACATTTGTGTATGTTTTTATTTAAACACTTATTTTCAGGCTGGGCGTGGTGGTTCACACCTTTAATTCCAGTACTTTGGGAGGCTGAGGCGGGTGGACTACCTGAGGTCAGGAGTTCGAGACCAGCCTGGCCAACATGGTGAAAACCCCATCTCTACTAAAAATACAAAATTTAGCTGGGAGCGTTGGTGGGCGCCTGTAGTCCCAAGCTACTTGGAAGGCTGAGGCCAGAGAATCGTTTGAATCTGGAAGGTGGAGGTTGCAGTGAGCCGAGATCTCGCTACTACACTCCAGCCTGGGTGACAGAGCGAGACTCCATCTCAAAAAAAAAAAAAAAAAGGCAGCTGGGATGTTTTTTTGAGACACGACCTTGCACTGTTGCCCAGGCCGGAGAGCAGTGACGTGATTATAGCCCACTGCAGCCTCGAACTCCTGGGCTCAAGCGATCCTCCTTCCTCAGCCTCCTGGGTAGCTGGGACTACAGGCTGACACCACCACCCCTGGCTAATTTCTATATTTTTTGTAGAGATCATGTTGCCAGGCTGGTCTCAAATTTCTTGGCTCAAACAATCCTCCCACCTTGGCTCTCAAAGTGCCAGGATTACAGGCATGAGCCGCCACACCCGGCCACAGCTGGGATTTTGATAGGGATTGCGTTCAATCTGTAGATCACTTCTGAAGTATTGAAATTTTAATAATATTAAGTCTTTTAATCCATGAACATGATTTCCTTCCATTTATTTAGGTCTTCTTTAGTTTCTTTCAATGATGTTTGTAGTTTCTTTTTCTTTTGGAGATGGAGTCTTGCTCTGTCACCCAGGCTGGAGTGCAGTGGCATGATCTCGGCTCACTGTAACCTCCGCCTCCCGGGTTCAAGCGATTCTCGTGCCTCAGCCTCCCGAGTAGCTGGGATTACAGGTGCGCACCACTGTACCCGGCTAATATTTGTATTTTTAGTAGAGAAGGGGTTTCACCATATTGACCAGGCTGGTCTCGAACTCTTGACCTCAGATGATCCGCCCACCTCGGCCTCCCAAAGTACTGGGTTTACAGGCGCGAGCCACTGCGCCTAGCCTCATCTTTTCTTCCACACAGATGCTTCGTCTTGGGTAAACTCCTCGACTCCCAAGGCCCCAGCCTCCATCTTTACCTCAGAGCCTCCTGAACCTGCTCCTCCAGCCTCACCTTCCTCCAGCCTCACCGCTCCTCCCTGGACTTTCAGCTCCACACCCCTGGGGCCTCAGAACTACCCCTTCCGGTTTCTCCTGCGTAACCTTCCGCCTACCTTCCTGAGAGTGGTTGGTGACAGCAGCCGGGGCTAGAAACCTCGAGCCTACTGTGCTTGAGTCCTCTCTTGCTCTTTACATCCCAAATCCCATCAGTTGTCACGCCTTGTGCCTTCTGCCTTTCAAATATTCAGAAAGCAGATGTATGCTGGGCACGGTGGTGACTCAAGCCTATAATCCCAGCACTTCGGAAGGCGGAGGCAGGAGAATTGGTTGAAGCCAGGAATTTTAGACCAGCCGGGGCAACATAGTGAAACCCCGTCTCTACAAAAAATAAAAATAAAAATTAGCTGGGCGTGGTGGTGTGTGCCTGTAGTTTCAGCTGCTGGAGAGGCTGAAGCGGGAGGATCACTTGAGCCCGGAGTTCAAGGCTGCAGTGAGCTACAGTCATGCCACTTCACTCCAGTCTGGGCAACAGAGCAAGATCCTGTTTAAAAAAAAAAAAAAAATTGGCCAGGTGAGGTGGCTCACCCCTGTGATCCGAGCACTTTGGGAGGCCGAGGCGGGTGGATCACGAGGTCAGGAGATCAAAACCATCCTGGCTAACACGATTAAACCCCGTCTCTAGTACAAATACACACACACAAAAAAAAAGAAAGAAAGAAAGAAAGAAAATTAGCCAGGCGTGGTGGCTGGGGCCTGTAGTCCCAGCTACTCAGGAGGCTGAGGCAAGAGAATGGCCTGAACCCGGGAGGCGGAGTTTGCAGTGAGCCGAGATCGTGCCACTGCACTCCAGCCTGAGTGACAGAGCGAGATCCCGTCTCAAAAAAAAAAAAATTTAAACCAGATCTAAAGAGAGGCCTGGCGTGGTGGCTCACGCCTGTAATTCCAGCACTTTGGGAGGACAAGGCGGGCAAATCACCTGAGGTCAGGAGTTCAAGACCAACCTGGCCAACATGGCCAAACCCCGTCTCTACTAAAAAATACAAAGATTAGCCGAGCGTGGTGGCGGGTTCCTGTAATCCCAGCTACTCGGAAGGCTGAGGCAGAGAGAATCGCTTGAACCGAGGACGCGGAGGTTGCAGTGAGCCGAGATTGTGCCACTGCATTCCAGCCTGGGCAACAGACCGAGACTCCGTCTCAAAAAATAAGAATAATTGGCCAGGCGCAGTGGCTCACGCCTGTAATCCCAGCACTTTGGGAGGCCAAGGCGGGCAGATCACCTGAGGTCAGGAGTTCAAGGGCAGCCTGACCAACATGGAGAAACCCTGTCTCTACTAAAACTACAAAATTAGCCAGGCGTGGTGGCACATGCCTGTATTCCAAGTTACTCGGTAGGCTGAGGCAGGAGAATCGCTTAAATCTGGGAGGCGGAGGTTGCGGTGAGCCGAGATCGTGCCATTGCACTCCAGCCTGGGCAACAAGAACAAAACTCCGTCTCAAATAATAATAATAATAATAATAATAATAATTTTTAAAAATTGTAAAAAGATGTATAGAGCAGACTCTATTTGGTGCCTCCAGCACCCAATTCTGCACACTGGGTAACAAGATGGCTGGCAGCCACCCAGCCCTAAGCATCGGGAGCTCAGGTGTCAACACCTGAGGCAGGTGCAGGACCAGGGCAGGAGAAGGGGCTTCTGCAGAAAGCGCCTAAGGGAGGTGGCACACACTGAGCTGGTCTGAATCAGCAGAGAGGAGAAGGAAGCGTTTGAGTCACGATGCATGGTGAAGAAGCCCAAATGCGGGGGGTCAGGAACAGTCAGTCCTCAGGGGAGGCAGGAGAGCAGGGGAGTGAAGGTGAGAGCGGGGGGTGGAGTCAGATGAGGGGCTCAAGTTCATTCATATCCCCCCCACTGCCTGCGTGACGTGGGCTACAGTACTTCCTACTGAAGCCTCGGTTTCCTTATCCGAAACCTGAAGTGTGGTGGGGATCACCTCTATTCATTCTTTGTAAATGAAATGTGCAGGACAAGCTTAAGGGGGGACCAAGGAGGGGAACGCATCTTACACCTTGCAAAGGCCACCAATACCAAGTCCAAGTGCCCAGGCTTTATTTTTCAGATGGGGTGACCTTCACGCAGTGAAGGTATTCGGTGGGACTTCTTTTTTATTTATTTATTTATTTTTGAGACAGGGTCTTGCTCTGTCATCCAGGCTGGAGTACAGTGGTGCCATCATAGCTCACTGCAGCCTCCACCTCCTGGGCTCAAGCGATCCTCCCACCTCAGCCTCCCCCGTAGCTGGGACCACAGGCACGCACCACCACACCTAGCCAGTTTTTTTTCTTTTTGTAAAGACAGCGTCTTGATAGGTTGCCCAGGTTGCTCTGGGACTCTTGGCCTCAAGCAATCTTCCTACCTCCACCTCCCCAGTTGTTGCTCCATGGTGCCTAGCCAAGATGAGACTCTCATTCAAACAGTCAAAAACCCGACTTAAAGTAGCTCAGACAGGCACAGAATGGATTGGCTGCTGTTGTGGACTGTCCGAGGGTGGCTCCATCTGCAGGCACTGTTGGATCCAGTACCCAAGGATGATGTCCCAGCATCTGTCTCTCTGGGATCTCACCTTTATCCCCTGCCCTCACTGGCTGCGTCTCATTTCTGCTTCCCTCTGTGTGGCTTCCTGTTGGTGGCAGGGTGAGGCCCCCAGGACAGCAGGCAGCCTCAGCCTCACGCTTTCCCAGTACTGAGACCCAGAAAATCCCAGGGAAGGCTTTGATTGGCTTAGCTTGACTCATCACTGCTCATCCCTGGACCAATCAGAAGCTCGGTGGTGCTCCCTGATTGACCACCTGGTTTAGTGCTGCTTCTGCGCTGGAGGTAGGAGCCACGTGAGGAGGTCCTGGAATTGGGGAGGCAGGGTCTTGGGAGGCCAGGCTGTGACCTCCTCCCCCAGGGAGTCCTGCGGATTCTGAACAGAGTGATGAATCCTCTGTGAGGGGCAGGGAGCCACAGATGGAGAGGGATGATGGCGGCGGATCTGGGCTGTGCCCGGAGAGGGGACCCTGCCAGGAGTGAGTGTCTTATGGAGGCAGGACGGGCTCCTGCAGTTCCCAAGGTGCCCTTAGGCCCCCACAGCCCCTGTCCCCAGCCTTACACAGAGTCCTGAGACTTCGGGGAAATGACTTCACTGTGCCCGTTTCACCGGTGAGGTTCAATGACTTTCCCAACATGATGGGAGTCAGAGGCCCCAGGTCGCACATCACTAGAGCACCCAGCCTCCACTCAGTCCAGGGGGACTTCTACGGGGAACCAGCACTGGGTGTCCAGGGCCAGTGGCAGAACCAGGGGCGCTTCCTTCATCACACCAATACGTTTGGGAGGGGGCGAGCTCCTCTCGCCCTAGTTGCTAGCGGGGCTGCAGGAGAGGCACAGACCTTGCAGGGGGTGGGGGAATTAGGGCCAACAGGGGCAGTGAGGAAGGCCCAGGGGTATTGCCTGTGGGAGTCCAGCGGAACCTGGGCGGGCTTCCCGGAGGCGGCGGCCTCCGAGCCCCTGGGCACCCGTGATCCGCCAGGGCCTGGAAGAAAACGGACGGAGCAGGAGCAGAGGGAGGGGAGACGGGCAGTGGTGCGGCCCCCACCCGGGGGCTCGGGGCGCACAGGGGTCCCCGCCGCCCGCCCGGCCGCCCCGCGATTCCTGCGCGTCAGCAGAGCGGAAACGCGGAGCAGCGCCAGCCGGGGCGGGCTGGATGGGGCCTGGCAGCGCGGCCGGCGCTCCGCGGGTTCGGTTCCGCCCGCGTTTGTGTTGGCAGCGGCCCACGGCGCGCGGCCGGGCGCATGAAAGGGGCCTCTGTCTGCGCCCCAGCCACCCCGCTCCCCTTTCACTCTTAATATAATCTTCACTTCATTTTTAACCCAGCGGAGGTTCTCTTGGAATTTTTCCCCTTCTTCCAAAAATACATGTGCGTGCGTGTGTGTTTGCAAAAGGCCTTGACGGTGAAGGTCGGGATTGTCCCCGGGAAGGGAAGGGAAGGGCGAAACCCGAGGCGGAGAGGGAGGGAGACAGGAATGTCTTTCTTTCTTCCTGTGCCCGGGCCTCCTCGGGGTCGCCACCGCCGCTGAGGGTCCCCCATCCTGCGCCCCCCTCCGGGGACTGGAGGTGCAGGACAGGATGGGGGGGTCCTCCTCTGACCACCCCCACATCCCCAACCCCGGGATGAATGAACGGGCTTTTTGGAAATTGGGGTCAGCAGGGAGGGGTGGGCGTCTCCTCCAGGGGTCGCTCCCCGGAGCTGGTCAGAGAATGGTGTCACCAGGTGTGGCCAGCTGGGGCTGTCCTCCCAGAGCGGGTAGGAAGGGAGACAGGACATCAGTCCTGCTAGGAAAGACCCTACTCTTTTTTATTTTTATTTTTTTCTCTGAGACAGGGTCTTGGTCTGTCACCCACACTGGAGTGCAGTGGTACAATCATAGCTCACTGCAGCCTCTACCTCCTAGGCTCAGATGATCCTCCTGCCTCAGCCTCCCAAGTAACTAGGACTTCAGGCAGTGTCACCATGCCCAGCTAATGTTTTGATTTTTTTTTTTTTTTAGAGATGGGGTCTCACTATGTTGCCCAGGCTGGTCTTGAACTCCTGGCCTTAAGCAATCCTCCTGCCTTGGCCTCCCAAATTGCTGGGATTACAGGTGTGAGCCACCGTGCCCAGCCCTATAGCCTACTCTGTGCTGATGCTTGCTTGTGGGCTTAAATAGCCTGCCACAGTGTCCGGAAACTGTCACCAGTCAGCCCTTTGTTCACTTGCTGGGCAGAGGGGCGTTACACCTGAGGGAATTTTCCAGATTATACCCACGGAGGCTGTTTGGAGAGTTCTCACTTCAAACATCTCAGGGCTCATCACAGAGCTTTCCATGCATGTTCCCAGGCAAGTCTCTTGTGGTCAGGGAAGTCAAGTAAGATTATCCCCGCAGAAGGGAAAAAGAAGGCTCAGAGAAGACAACTAGCTTGTCCCCAAGTTGTGGAGCATGAGGGAGCTAGGGTGGGGATGAAAAAGCGGGTGATGGGAAGCCCAGGTTCTCCCTGCTGGATGCCTGGTTTTCAAACTGTTTTCTGCAGAGCTTCTGTTCATATTGGGGGTCCTGGAAAGTATGATTCTAACTATCTAAATATATATATTTAGGCCAGGCACAGTGGCTCATGCTGGTAATCCCAGCACTTTGGGAGGTCCAGGTGGGAGGACTGCTCGAGCCCAGGAGTTTGAGACCAGCCTGGCAACATAGTGAGACCCCATCTACAAAAGTAACCTTCTGCCGGGTGCGGTGGCTCACACCTGTAATGCCAGCACTTTGGGAGGCTGAGGCAGGCAGATCACCTGAGGTCAGGAGTTTGAGACCAGCCTGGCCAACATGGTGAAACCCCATCTCTACTAAAAATACAAAAATTAGCCTGGCGTGGTGGCACACCTGTAATCACAACTACTCAGGAGTGTGAGGCAGGAGAATCGCTTGAACCTGGGAAGAGGAGGTTGCAGTAGCTGAGATCGGCACAGCAGTCTGGGTAACAGAGTGAGACTTGGTCTCAGAAAAAAAAAAAAAAGACTTATTTAAAAAAAAAAATAGCTGGGCATGGCCATGGTGGCACATGCCTGTAGTCCCAGCTACTCGGGAGACTGAGGCAAGAGGATCCCTTGAGCCCAGAAATTGGAGGAGGCAGTGAGCTATGATTGTGCCACTGCACTCCATCCTGGGTGACAAAGCAAGACTCCATCTCAAAAAAATATATTTAATTTGTGTGTATATTTGGACTTCTGGTGTGAGCAATATAGTAGTAAATTCGATAGCCTGAAAACTATCCTACTCTAAACGTCTTGGTTACAAAACACCAACCACATCCTCTTTTTTGTTTTAATTCCAGAGTCGGGGTCTTGGTCTGTTACCCAGGCTGGTCTCAATTTTTTTTTTTTTTTTTGAGACGAAGTCTCGCTCTGTCGCCCAGGCTGGAATGCAGTGGCGCGAACTCGGCTCACTGCAAGCTCTGCCTCCCGGGTTCACGCCATTCTCCTGCCTCAGCCTCCCAAGTAGCTGGGACTACAGGCGCTCACCACCACACCCGGCTAATTTTTTGTATTTTTAGTAGAGACGGGGTTTCACCATGTTAGCCAGGATGGTCTCGATCTCCTGACCTTGTGATCCGCCCACCTCAGCCTCCCAAAGTGTTGGGATCACAAGCGTGAGCCACTGTGCCCCGCCGGTCTCAAACTTCTAATTTCAAACAGTCCTCCCACCTCAGCTTCCCAAAGTGCTGAGATAACAAGCACGTGCCACTTATTTCTTAATTTAAAATAATGCAGCTGGGAGTAGAGGCTCAGGGCTATAATCCCAGCTCTCCTGGAGGCTGAGGTAGGAGGATTGCTTGAGCCCAGGAATTCCAGGCTCCAGTGAGCCATGATCGAACCACTGCACTCCAGCCTGGGCAATAGAACGAGACCTCCATCTCAAAAAAATTAAGAGGCTGGGCATGGTGGCTCATGCTCATAATCCCAATACTTTGGGAGGCCAAGGCGAGCAGATCATTAGAGGTCAGCGTTTGAGACCAGCCTGGCCAACATGGTGAAACCCTGTCTCTACTAAAAATACAAAAATTAGCTAGGCGTGGTGATGCACACCTGTAGTCCCAGCTACTTGGGAGGCTGAGGCAGGAGAATCACTTGAATATGGGAGGCGAAGGTTGCAGTGAGCCAAGATCGCACCACTGTACTACAGCCTGGGCAACGGAGCGAGACTCTGTCTCAAAAAAACACAAACAAAAAACAAACAAAAAAAACTAAAGTAGGGATTGAAATGGTGACATCAACTAAAATGAGGCTATCCAAGCTATCCCCTCAGTGAAACAAATGCTTGAGAAAGAAGATTTTTAGGCATAGAAAGATAAGAAAGAAATTTGCCTGTCTCAACCTGAGCTGGTGGAGTTTGTTTTTAAAAAAAATCCCTCCCATAAAAGGCTGGGCACGGTGGCTCACGCCTGTAATCCCAGCACTTTGGGAGGCCGAGGCAGGTGGATCACTTGAGGTCAGGAGTTCGAGACCAGCCTGGCCAACATGGTGAAACCCCATCTCTACTAAAAATACAAAAATGAGCCAGGCATGGTGGTAGGAGCCTGTAATCCCAGCTACTCAAGAGGCTGAGACAGGAGAATCGTTTGAACCCGGGAGGCGGAGGCTGCAGTGAACTGAGATCACACCACTGTACTCCAGCCTGAGCGACAGGGTGAGACACCATCTAAAAAAAAAAAAACTCTCCCATATTAAAAAAGAAAAAAATTTCTCCTGCAGATTTGTTACCGTGGGCCAGTGCTCACATGTTTCAGATTCAAATGAACTCCACCCTTTTCATCCTAAAACTCAGAAATCGACATAAATATTGATCCTGGACTAATGATATCTGTGTGGGGCTCCCACTGATAAAGCCCTGTTGATGTGGACAGAAGGAAGCAGGCATGACGAAAACTCAGGAGGTACACTAACAGCAGAATAAAGACCCAAGAACAATCTCATAGAGACGATGAACTGATCAAAGAAGTCAAAAACACAAGAGCGAGAACTAACACTAGGAAAGAAGAATGGGTTTGGCCGATTCTTCTTTACAGAAGAAGGCTCATGCCTGTAATGTCAGCACTTTGGGATGCCAAGGCAGGAGGATTGCTTGAGTTCAGGAGTTCAACATCAACCTGGGCAACATGGTGAAACTCCGTCTCTACAAAAAATACAGAAATTAGCTGGGCATAATGGCACATGCCTGTAGTCTCAGCTACTTGGGTGGCTGAGGCAGGAGAATTGCTTGAAACTGGGAGGCAGAGGTTGCAGTGAGCTGAGATGGCACCACTGCACTCCAGCCTGGGCAATAGAGTGAGACCCCATCCCAAGGAAGAAAAAAAGAAAAGAAAAAAGAATAGATTTGAGAAAAATCAAATGGAACTTCTAGAAATGAATAATATAGTAATCGAAATTAAACATTTGAGTGCATGGTTAAACACCACATTGACCATAGCTGAAGAGAGATTTAGTATACTAGAAGACAGATATGAGATGATTTCCCTACAAGGAAGTACAGAGTTTAAAAAAAAAGTACCCATGACAGAGAGTATGGTAGATAGCATGCAAAATTGGCCAAAATTCCACTCTGATCCCAGAGTTTGTTTGTTTATTTATTTATTTGAGATGGAGTCTTGCTCTGTTACTTAGGCTGGAGTGCAGTGGCGCAATCTTGGCTCACTGCAACCTCCAACTCTCAGGTTCAAGCAATTCTCCTGCCTCAGCCTCCTGAGTAGCTGGGATTACAGGCACCCGCCACCACACCTGGCTAATTTTTGTATATTTAGTAGACATGGTATTTCGCCATGTTGGCCAGGTTGGTCTCGAACTCCTGACCTCAGGTGATCCACCCACCTTGGCCTCCCAAAGTGCTGGGATTATAGTCTTGAGCCACCGTGCCCAGCCTGATCCCAGAGTTTATGATCTAAACCACTGTCACATATAGGCCACCAATACAAAGGTGTAATAAATGTCACTTTCTTATTTTATAAAATTCAGTTTTCCACCATGTGATTTTAATGCTTCTAACATCTAGAAATAGAGTCTTCTCCTCCACCACCTTGCAACTTGTTTGACCAATAAAAGTGACAGAAGTAAAGCTGGGCATGACGACTCACGTCTGTAATCCCAGCACTTTGGGAGGCTGAGGCAGGAGGATCACTTGAGGCCAGGAGTTTGAGACCAGCCTGGGCAACATGGCAAAACCTCTCTTTACAAAAAATACAAAAATTAGCTGGGCATGCTGGCGTGTGCCTGTAGTCCCAGCTATTCAAGAGGCTGAGGTGGGAGAATCACCTGAGCCCAGGGGTTCGATGCTGCAGTGAGCCGTGATCACACCAATGCACTCCAGCCTGAGCAATAGAGCAAGACCTTGTCTAAAAAAATAATTAATTAATTAATTTATATAAAAAGATTAGCTAGATGTGGCAACACACACCTGTGGTCCCAGCAGCAGGGGATGCTGAGGCAGGAGGACCTCTTGAACCCAGGAGGTTTAGACTGCAGTGAGCTGTGTTCAATTCACTATACTCCAGCCTGGGTGACAGAGTGAGATCCTGTCTCAAGAAAAGGAAAAAAGGAACAAAAAAAAAAAAAAAAAAACAGAAGTGATGGTTTCTGAGCCTTGGCTGCAAGAGGCTTTGCACAACTCTGCTCATTCTCTTGAAACCCTTAGTGAGTACGTTCAGACAAGCCCGCTGGAGGATGAGAGACTATGTGAAGCAAAGAAAATTCCAACTGAGGCCAACCTAGACCAGCCAGCTCCCAGCTGACCTGGAAACTGCCTGTGTATGCATGAGTGACCCCAGCCAACCAGCCAAGAACAGAAGAACCGCCCCGCTGAGTCTAGCCCAAACCAATGATCCACAGAATCATGAGATAAATAAACAGTTGTTATTTTAAGCTTGTAAATGTTGGATGATTTGTTACAGAGCAAAAGCTTGCTGATACAGAGAGAATAAAAGACATGAATAGAATGAGAAATTCCAACATACATCTACAAGGAGTTCTATAGAAGGGAGAAGAGGCAAATGGTGGAGAGGACATATCCAAAGAGATGATGTCTACCAAGTCCCAGCTTCTGTGAAAAATATCAGTCCTCAGTTTCAAAAAGTACTGGTTCTAGGTGAGATAAATATAAATAAATCCACACCTAGACACATCACTATGAAACTGTCAAACATCATAAAGATCTAAAAGGCAATCAGAAAGAAAAGACAGACTAGGCACAGTGGCTCACACCTGTAATGACAGCACTTTGAGAGGCCAAGGTTGGCAGATCACCAGAGGTTGGGAGTTCAAGATCAGCCTGACCAACATGGAGAAACCCCGTCTCTACTAAAAATACAAAATTAGCTGGGTGTGGTGGTGCATGCCTGTAATCCCAGCTACTCAGGAGGCTGAGGCAGGAGAATCACTTGAACCCAGGAAGTGGAGGTTGCAGTGAGCCAAGATCGTGTCACTGCACTCCAACCTGGAGACAGAGCAAGACTCCCTCTCAAAAAAAAAAAAAAAAAAAAAAAGAAAGAAAAGAAAAGAAAAAGAAAAGACTGGCCCGGTACAGTGGCTCATGCCTGTAATTCCAGCACTTTGGGAGGCTGAGGTGGAAGGATCACTTGAGGTCAGGCGTTTGAGACCAACCTGGCCAACATAGCAAGACCCCGTCTCTATTTTTAAAAAGAAAAGAAAGATTGCCTTCAAAGAAATGACAGTTATTCTGCCAGTAGATTCATCAATAGCAACATTAGAAGTCAAAAGACTGTCGGCCAGGTGTGTTGGCTCATGCCTGGAATCCCAGCACTTTGAGAGGCCGAGGCGGGCAGATCACCTGAGGTCGGGAGTTCGAGACCAGCCTGACCAACATGGAGAAACCCCATCTCTACTAAAAATGCAAAATTAGCCAGGCATGGTGGCGCATGCCTGGAATCCCAGCTACTCGGGAGACTGAGGCAGGAGAATCGCTTGAACCCAGGAGGCAGAGGTTGTGGTGAGCTGAGATCTCGCCATTGCACTCCAGCCTGGGCAACAAGAGTGAAACTCTGTCTTAAAAAAAAAAAGGAGTCAGAAGACTGTCTTATAAATAAAATGTGGAATACTATTCAGCCTTTAAAAATAAGGAAATCTGGCAGGGTGCAGTGGCTCATGCCTGTAATCCCAGCACTTTGGGAGGCCGAGGCAGGTGGATCACCTGAGGTCAGGAGTTCGAGACCAGTCTGGCCAATATGGTGAAACCCTGTCTCTACTAAAAATACAAAAATTAGCTGGGTGTAGTGGTGCATGCCTGTAATTCCAGCTACTCAGAAAGCTGAGTCAGGAGAATCACTTGAAGCCAGGAGGCAGAGGTTACAGTGAACCAAGATTGGGCCATTGCACTCCAGCCTGGGTGACAAGAGCAAGACTCGTCTCAAAAAAATAAATAAATAAAAATAAAGTAAATAAAAGGAAATCCTATCATTTGTGACTACCTGGAGGATATTATATTAAGTGAAATAACGAAGCACAGAAAAGTAAATACCACATGATCTCCCTTATATGTGAAATTTTAAAAAGCAGAACTCATAGAAACAGAGTAGAATGGTAGTTACCACAGGCTGTGGGAAAGGACTGGGGAGATGTTGGTCAAAGGATACAAAATTTCAACTAGACCGAAGGAATAAGTGCAATAAATCTATTGTTCAACATAATGACTATTTTATTTTATTTTGAGACAGAGTCTCGCTCTACTGCCCAGGCTGGAGTGCAGTGGCAGAATCATAGCTCATGGCAGCCTCCGCCTCCCAGGCTCAAGCAATCCTCCTGCCTCAGCCTCCCAAGTAGCTGGGACTACAGTCACACTCTACCACACCCAATTTTCTTTTTTCTTTTTTTTTTTTTTACTTTTTGTAGAGATGAGAGTCTCACTATGTTGCCCAGGCTGGTCTCGAACTCCTGGGCTCAAGCAGTCCTCCCTACTCAGTCTTCCAAAGTGCCAGGATTACAGATATGAGCCACAACACTCAGCTGTGACTTTAGTTAATAACAATGTATTGGATACTTGAAACTTGCTAAGAACGTACGTTTTAAGTATTACCACAAGAAAATGATATGCGAGGCAAAGGATTTGTTATTAACTTCATTTAGATATTCCACAATGTATGTATATTTCAAATCATGTTGTACACTATAAATATAGACAATTTTATTTGTCAATTACAAATAAATGAATAGCCAGTGGCATGCACCTACAGTCCCAGCTACATGGGAGGCTGAGGCAAAAAGATTCCTTGGCCCCAGGAGTTTGAGGCTGGAGGGCACAGTGGCTGCACCTGTAAATGGCCACAGTAGTCTAGCCTGGGTAACATAGCAAGACCCTGTCTCAAAAGACAAAACCCAGGGCAAGGGTTGGACAGGGCACTTGAATCTCTCAAGTCACCCACTTGGCCCTCTTCCAAGTGTACTTCCTTTCATTCCTTCTCTAAAACTTTAAAAAAACTTGGCCAGGCGCGGTGGCTCACGCCTGTAATCCCAGCTCTTTGGGAGGCCGAGGCGGATGGATCACCTGAGGTCGAGAGTTCAAGACCAGCCTGGCCAAGATGGTGAAACCCCATCTCTACTAAAAATACAAAAAATTAGCCGGGTGTGGTGGCAGGTGCCTGTAATTCCAGCTACTCAGGAGGCTGAGGCAGAGAACTGCTTGAACCCGGGAGGCAGAGGTTGCAGTGAGCCAAGATTGTGCCACTGGACTCCAGCCTGGGAAACAGAGCAAGACTTGTCTCAAAAAAAAAAAAAAAATTCTTTTTTAAAAATAAAGACTATCCTGAAGAATTATCTTTAAAGTGCTAAGAGAAAATAAGAATGAACTTAGAATTATTTATTTAACTAAATTATTACTGAACAGCAAAGGTAAAAATTAGATTAAGGCCAGGCATGGTAGCTCACACCTGTAATCCCAGCACTTTGGGAGGCCGAGGTGGGCAAATCACTAGAGGCCAGGAATTCGAGACCAGCCTGGCAAACAAGGCAAAACCCCATCTCTACTAAAAATACGAAAATTAGCCAGGCATGGTGGTGGGTGCCTGTAGTCCCAGCTACTTGGGAGGCTGAGGCAGGAGAATTGCTTGAACCTGGGAGGTAGAGGTTGCAGTGACCTAAGATCATGCCACTGCACTCCAGCCTGGGCGACAGAGTGGGACTCTGTCTCAAATAATAATAATAATAATAATAATAATAAAGTTACTATCTTGAGTCATTTTCTTCACTCAATACAGCTTTCCTCCCACTCATCTCCTTTGCACTGTTATTGGCAAATATATTACATTTCCATATGTCATAGGCCCAATAATACATACTATACAGATGTATACTTTTGCTTTTTAAAACAGTTAAGAGAAGAAAGAAGAAGGAATATGACTTTATTTTTATTTTTTTCATTTTTTTTGAGACGGACTTTTGTTTTGTTTCCCAGGCTGGAGTGCAATGGCATGGTCTTGGCTTACTGCAACCTCTGCCTCCCAGGTGCAAGCGAATCTCCTGCCTCAGCCTCCCAAATAGCTGGGATTACAGGCACATGCCACCACACCCAGCTAATTTTTTTGTATTTTTAGTAGACACAGGGTTTCACCATGTTGGCCAGGCTGATCTCGAACTCCTGACCTCAAGTGATCTGCCTGCCTTGGCCTCCCAAAATGCTGGGATTACAGGCATGAGCCACTGCACCCGGCCAAATATGACTTTATACTGTCTTTTATAGTTATATAATTGTCTTTATTGATTTTTTTTGTTTGTTTTTTATGTGATTTACTGTCTGGGGTCACTTGCTTTCAGCCTGAAGAACTTTCTTTAGTATTTCTTATAAGGAAGGCCTGCAAACAACTAATTATCCCAGTTTTTTGTTTATTTGGGAATGTCTTTATTTTGCTTTCGTTTTCAAACAATAGCTTTGCTGGATAAAGGATTCTTGGTTGACAGATTTTTTTTTTTTTCCCTAGAGCATTTTGAATATTTTTTATCTATCTCAGTGCCTTTTGGCCTTCATTCTTTTTGTTTATTTGTTTGTTTGTTTGTTTGTGACAGAGTCTCACTCTGTCACCCAGGCCTGAGTACAGTGGCATAATCATGGCTCACTGCAGCCTAGAACTTCTGGGTTCAAGCAATCCTCTGCTTCAGCCTCTTGAGTAGCTAGAACTACAGACATGTGCTACCAGCCAATTTTTTTATTTTTCTTTTGTAGATATACAATCTTGCTATGTTGACCAAGCTGATTTTGAACTTCTGGCCTCAAGCAATCCTCCCACCTCAGCCTCCCAAAGTGCTGAGATTATAGGCATGAGCCACGATACCTGGCCTAGCTGTCATTCCTGAGGTTCCCTTATAGGTGATGAGTTGTTTTCCTCTTCCTGTTTTCAAGATTTTCTCTTTGGCTTTGGCTTTCAATATTTTCACTACGACATGCCTATTTGTGGATCTCTTTATCCTATTTGGAGTTTGTTGAG
Organism: Homo sapiens; assembly: GCF_000001405.40. Lineage (NCBI taxonomy): Eukaryota > Metazoa > Chordata > Mammalia > Primates > Hominidae > Homo > Homo sapiens. Next base: position 73,387,944 of record NC_000007.14, read on the forward strand.
CTTCCTAAAGACGTAAATTAATGTTTTTCAATAGATTTTGGTGGTTTTCAGCCATTCTTGCTTTAAATATTTTGTTTTGTTCCTTCCTCCCTCTCCTCTCTTTCTGGTACTGCCATTGTGTTCAATGATGTCCCACATTTCTCTGAGGCTTTGTTCATTTCTCTTCACACTTTTAAAAAATCTCTGTTCTTCAGACTGCATAATCTTTATTAAGCTATCTTCAAGTTTACTAATTGTTTCTTCTGCCAGTTTAAATCTACTGCTGTACTTCTAGTGTATTTTTCAGTTTAGTTGTTGTATTTCCAATTCTAGTATTTCCATTTTTTTTTTTTATAATTTCTATCTCATTATTGATATTCTGTACTTGATGCAACTTTGTCATCATACGTTCCCTTAATTCTTTAATCATGGTTTTCTTTAGTTCTTGTTATAAATAAAGTTTCGGTGCCGCAAAAGAAACAGCACTCAAATATAAACTTTTCTTTTTAATTCTTAGCAAGGCAATGTACTTCTATAGAAGGGTGCACCCTTACAGATGGAGCAATGGTAAGTGCACACTTGGACAAGGGAGGGGAAGGGGTTCTTACCCCTTACGCACGTGGCCCCTGCTGCTGTGTCATTCCCCTATTGGCTAGGGTTAGACCACACAGACTAAACTAATTCCGATTGGCTAATTTAAAGAGAGTGACGGCGTGAGTGGTTTGGCGGGAAAAATTGTTATGGCAGAGCAGGAAATCGGAATGAGTCAGGGTGGAGAATGAGCAGGTAATCGGAATGATTCAGGGTGGAGCAGGTAATCAGAATGAGTCAGGGTGGAGCAGGTAATCGGAAAAGGTTGCTTTACAAGGAATTTAAGTTTAAAAGTAGAAAGCAAAGAATTGAACATACTGACATATTGATTCTTTTTTTTTTTTTTTTTTTTGAGACAGAGACTCCGTCTGTCGCCCAGGCTGGAGTGCAGTGGCGCGATCTCTGCTCACTGCAAGCTCCGCCTCCCAGGTTCACGCCATTCTCCTGCCTCAGCCTCCCGAGTAGCTGGGACTACAGGTGCCTGCCACAGCACCCTGCTAATTTTTTGTATTTTTAGTAGAGATGGGGTTTCACCATGTTAGCCAGGATGGGTCATATTGATTCTTTGAAGAGAAATTTAGAACTCACATCTGACAGTTCTTTTAACACATTTTTAACAGCTTTTTTGAGGTCTTTGTTAAATCTGACATCTGATCACTCTCACAGGCAGTTTCTGTTACCTGCTTTTTTCCTGGTGTATGGGTCATACTCATCTGTTTTTTTGCATGTCTCATATATTTTTGTTGGAAACTAAACACTTTAGATAATATAGTGTAGCAACACAGTACTGATCATCCACTTCCAGGGGTTATTTTTGTTACTTGCTTATTTGTTTAATGACTGGATGGATTTTTTTTCCTTTTGAGACAGGGTCTCACTCTGTTGCCCAGGCTTGAGTGCAGTGGTGCAATCATAGCTCACGTCAGCCTCAACCTCCCTGGCTCAAGTGATCCTCCCAAGTCAGCCTCCCAAGTAGCTGGAACCATAGGCATGCACCACCACACCTGGATAACCTTTTTTCTTTCCTTTTTTTTTTTTTTTCTATAGAGACAGGGTCTCTCTGTGTTGCCCAGGTGAGTTTAAGCAGATCCTCCTCCTCAGCCTCCCAAAGTGCTGGGATTACAGGCATGAACAACCACAGCTGGTCTGGATGGATTATTTTAGCATAGTCTATTCCACCCTCTTCCTCTCCTAAGCATGTGGCCTCTGATGTTGCTTCTTAGGGGATGCAGCCTTGGATATGCCCCAGTCGCCCTGAGATGACAGTGGTCTGGGAAGGTCTCTATTTGACCATCTTTTTCCCTGACCACACCCAGTTGTTAAGCTCTACTAATTGTTAGTTGATTGCTCTATTGTTCTCTCTGTCTCTCTCTCTCTCTCTCTCTCTTTTTTTTTTTAAATAAAACCTATACCTGATAGAGCTCTATTGTTCTCAACATTCCCCTGGGACATAAATTGTCCCAATCAGACTAATCCAATAAAATTCAGGCTCATTTTTAAAGAAATAAGTCCCAAGGTCAGTGTTTGAGATTTGTTCTGACCCCAGAAGGACACCTCTCAGTGGTCTCCTTCCCTGGCTGTTTCCAGAAAACTAGCCAGCCTAAAGTTTAGCCTACCTCTCCAATGAATCTACCAATCTCTTTCCAATTATCTTTCACCACAACCTCTACTGTTTTTGAGAGCACCCTTAGGCTTCAACCTTTCTACATTCAGTTGCCAATGAAGTCAGTTCCTTTGGGAAGAGACTTGGAAATCTCTGTGCTACAGCCCACCTCACTTTCTGGGCAAAATCTCTGTGCCATTGCTGTATAGCTGGGGGATGGGACAATCTATGCTTCTCTCTGAATGACACTCCTGCTTTAGGGGCTGAGCACTCAGTGGAGGAGAAGTAGCCTCAGGTCTTTTTGGCTTGCTTTTCCCACCATAGAAACTGTCTTTTTTTTTTTTTTTTGAGACGGAGTCTTGCTCTGTCGCCTAGGCTGGAGTGCAGTGGCATGATCTTGGCTCACTGCAACCTCCGCTTCCTGGGTTCAAGCGATTCTCCTGCCTCAGCCTCCCAAGTAGCTGGGACTACAGGCGTCCGCCACCACGCCTGGCTAATTTTTGTATTTTTAGTACAGACGAGGTTTCACCACATTGACTAGGCTGGTCTCGAACTCCCAACCTCAGGTGATCCGCCCGCCTCAGCCTCCCAAAGTGATGAGATTACAGGCGTGAACCACCACACCCAGCCAAGTGACTTCTGTCTTACAAGCCAGAACAAAGAGGCTGAGGACCCCAGTAGCCTCAGTGGTGCCATGCCCACAGCAGAGTAGGGGCTGCGTGGAAGGTGGGAGACCTCACCTCTTGGGCATGAAACTGCCTTTGCAAAATTATGACTGAGACAGTGAAAGAGATCTAACTTAATTGACTCCATCTTGCTTCTAACCTCCAAGCTGTCCTTGTTCATTCCTGGGCATAGGCTGAACTAACTTTGGGAGAAACTTAGTTTATAGTTTATAGTTTAAAACAAAGACAGTAACAGCCCTTTCCCAAGGCAGACCTCCTTCTTGTCTGAGGACTAGATTGCCTTTATAGGACTAACATTAGCTATAAGATGAGAAATTATGGTTTAGGAGTCATGCAGCTGGAGGCTACAAGATTCTGACCCCTCTCCAAACTGCTTCTAAGATCAGTGCTTGGGATATTCTGCAGACCCTGCACTTGATGGAGCAGCTGGTACCATCCAGTTCGATAAACTGGCTCATCTAATCTTGTGGCCTCCACTCAGGAACACACTCAGCACAAGAAGACAGCTCCAACTCTCCACGATTTCATCCCTGACCAATCAGCACTCCTGGCTCACTGGCTTCCCCCCACCCACCAGGTTGTCCTTAAAAACTCTGCTCCCTGAATGCTTGGGGAGACAGATTTGAGTAATTAATACAACTCCAGTCTCCCACACAGCTGGCTCTGCATGAATTACTCTTTCTCCATTGCAATTCCCCTGTCTCAGTAAATTGGCTCTGTCTGCAGTGGGCAAGGTGAACCCCTTGGGCGGTTACAGGCATACTTGCCCAGAACAATGTTTCACCGACCAGTAGCTGGGGACAAGGTGAGAAATTCTGATTTCCTGCCCCTCCTGGGAGGAAATCTTTCCTACTGGGAGCAGGAGGGAGGGGACCTTTAGTGTGGAATGGAATTTCCATCTATTTGAGCTCAGGGGGTGGGGAGTGGGTCTTAATTTCAATACCACAGACTCTCACTGTTCTCATTAAATTTGAGTAGATTTGTTGAATAAATGTTTATTCATCTTTTGAAATGCCTTTAGGACCATTTCCAAAGGGTGTTTGAGTGCTGTGGTGAGCTTTCCACCCCCGGTGGACAAGAAGCGTGAGGAAGAACTATTTCTTTGCTGTGTTAAGCCCCTTAGAGAGTTTTCGATACGACAGCAAATCTAGCTCAGTGCTTCTCAAACTTGAGCATTCATTAGAAACATCGAGAAGCCTTGTGAAAATTGGGCCCTACTCCCAGAGTTTTTGATTCAGCAGATCTGGGTTGGTGTCTAAGAATTCACATTTCTGGTCTTATTCTTTGTTGGTGGGAGGGACAGAGTCTTGCTTTGTTGCCCAGGCTGGAGTTCAATGGCATGATCTCAGCTCACTGCAACCTCCGCCTCCCAGGTTCAAGCGAGTCTCCTGCCTCAGCCTCCCAAGTAGCTGGGATTACAGGCACCCACCACCATGCCCAGCTAATTTTTGTATTTTTAGTAGAGATGGGGTTTTGCCATGTTGGCCAGGCTGGTCTCAAACTCGTGACCTCAAGTGATCTGCCCGCCTCGGCCTCCCAAAGTGCTGGAATTACAGGCATGAGCCACTGTGCCCGGCCAGAATTCACATTTCTAACAAGTTCCCAAGGGAAGTCCATGCTGGGGGTCAAGGGATCACGCTTTGAGAACCACTGCTCCAGCCCATCCTCTCTGATACTGGGGGATAAATAATAGTACAATAGTGTTTATTTCATAAAACAGTTACAAGTTATTGCATTAAGATCTGAAAAGCATTTAGAATAGTGTCTGGCACACAGGCAGTCTTAGTATTGTTAATATGTCCCAAGATTTTCTTAATGTAAAGATTCGCTCTGGTTTTTCAGATTTAATACTATCTGCCCTTTTACTGGAAGAGCCCAGATGACTAGATTTTCCAGCATTTTCAGCTGTCTCTTATAAATTTTTTTTTCTTCTTTTTCTTTTTAAGAGACAGGGTCTCCTTCTATTACCCAGGCTGGAGTGCAGTGGTGCACTCAAAGCTCACTGCAGCCTCAACCTCCTGGGCTCAAGCGGTCCTCCTGCCTCAGCCTCCCAAGTAGCTGGGACCACAAGCATGCGCCACCACACCTGGCTAATTTTGTGGGGGGTGGGGGCCTGTGTGTGTGTGTGTGTGTGTGTGTGTGTGTGTGTGTGTGTGTGTGTGTGTGTGTAGAGACAGGGTCTCACTATGATGCCCAAATTGGTCTCAAACTCCTGGACTCAAGTGATCCTCCCACCTTAGTCTCCCAAAGTGCTGGGATTACAGATGGGAGCCACCACACCTAACCTTTCTTTTATTACTTTTTGATCCACTTATAGCTCAGACCAATTGCCGAAGACAGTCAGTCATCGGGACAGGACTGTTAACTGGACACCACACTCTTACGTGCTTTTTTTTTTTTTTGAGATGGAGTCTCGCTGTGTCGCCCAGGCTGGAGTGCAGTGGCGCGATCTTGGCTCACTAGAAGCTCTGCCTCCCGGGTTCATACCATTCTCCTGCCTCAGCCTCCCGAGTAGCTGGGACCACAGGCGCCCACCACCACGCCCGGCTAATTTTTTTGTATTTTTAGTAGAGATGGGATTTCACCATGTTAGCCAGGATGGTCTCGATCTCCTGACCTTGTGATCCACTCATCTTGGCCTCCCAAAGTGCTGGGATTACAGGCATGAGCCACTGCGCCCGACCTCTTACCTGCTTTTCTAAGTCAGCATGCTGGCCCCCGCAGAGCTGAAAGGAGCTCTGTCCTGTTTGCATACAGACACGGGGCCTTGCTACTATAGATCCCTCTCTTCCCATTGGGGCTGGACTAGGGGTTTTGCTTCTTGGGGAACCGACAGACCTAAGTCACGTTCCCAACATGATGCTAATGGGAAGCAAGCAGAAGGTAAACAACTGTCAAATGTCTACTTGTGAACAGATTGTATAAACAGAAATATAAAAACTGAGCCACGTCAGGCAGAAGGAGATATCTGTGTTCTCTGCTGAATCCCAAGCCCTTCTTCCAGTTGCATAAGCGTTTGGGAGGTTGTCAATTGTGGTCCCAAAGGAAACAATCTGGGGAGAAGGTCAGGGCGGGTCCTTTTGGTTTTTTTGTTTTTTGTTTTTTGAGACAGAGTCTCACTCTGTCACCCAGGCTGGAGTGCAGTGGCACTATCTCAGCTCACTGCAACCTCAGCCTCCCGGGTTCAAGTGATTCTGCAGCCTCAGCCTCCCAAGCAGCTGGGATTACAGGTGCACGCCACCACGCCCAGCTAATTTTTGTATTTTTAGTAGAGATGGGGTTTCACTATGTTGGCCAGGCTGGTCTTGAACTCTTGACCTCAGGTGATCCATCCTCCTCGGCCTCCCAAAGTGCTGGGATTACAGGCGTGAGACACTGTGCCCAGCATTGATGTTCTCTAGAATGTAAGTGCCAGGTGTACAGGGACCTTGCCTGTCCTGTCCCCTGCTCTACCCCCAACCCAGGAATAACGCCTTTCCCATAAGAGGTCCTCCATGAATGCCTGTAGAATGAATGAGAGAATTCCCAGTTTAGAACTGGATAAGAGGGGCCTGTCTGTGGGTTCTGTGCTCATCAAGTGTTGTTTGTGTTACCAGAAAGGGGTCCAGATCCAGAGCCCAAGAGAGGGTTCTTGGACCTTGCACAAGAAAGAATTGGAGCAAGTCCAGCAAATGAAAGCAAGTTTATTAGAGAAGTAAAGGAATAAAAAAATGTGATGTGGTTTGTCTGTGTCCCCACCCATATCTCATCTTGAATTGTAACTCCCACAATTCCCGCATGTGCTGGGAGGGACTCGGTGGGAGGTAATTGACTCATGGGGGTGGGTCTTTCCCATGCTGTTATCATGATAGTGAATAAGTCTTACAAGTCTGATGGTTTTATAAAGGGGAGTTTCTCTACACAAGTGCTCTCTTGCCTGCCACCATGTAAGACATGGCTTCCACCTTCCACCATGATTGTGAGGCCTCCCCAGCCACGTGGAACTGTGAGTCCATTAAACCTCTTTTTCTTTATAAATTACCGAGTCTTGGGTATGTCTTTATCAGCAGTGTGAAAACAGACTAATACAGAATGGCTATTCCATAGGCAGAGCAAACCCCAGGGCTGCCGACTGGCTATTTTTATGGTTATTTCTTGATCATATGCTAAACAAGGTGTGGATTATTCATGACTTTTCCAGGACACGGGCAGGCCATTCCCAGAAATGACGGTTCCTCCCCCTTTTAGACCATATAGTGTAATTTCTGGACATTGCCATGGCATTTGTAAACTGTCATGGGGCTGGTTGGGAGTGTCTTTTGTATGCTAATATATCTGTGTGTGTGTGTATATATATATTTTGTTTTTGAGACGGAGTCTCGCTCTGTCACCCAGGCTGGAGTGCAGTGGCACGATCTCGGCTCACTACAATCTCCACCTCCTGGGTTCAAGCGATTCTTCTGCCTCAGCCTCCCGAGTAGCTGTGACTACAGACGCGTGCCACCACGCCCGGCTAATTTTTGTATTTTTGGTAGAGATGGGGTTTCACCATATTGGCCAGGCTAGTCTTGAACTCCTGACCTCGTGATCCACCTGCCTCAGCCTCCTAAAGTGCTGGGATTACAGGAGTGAGCCACTGTGCCTATACGCCATGCTAATATATTTTAATTACCATTAATGAGCAGTGAGGGTGGCCAGAGGTCACTTTAGTCGCCATCTTGGTTTTGGTGGGTTTTGGCCAGCTTCTTTATTGCATCCTGCCTCATCAGCAAAGTCTTTGGACCTGTATCTTGTGATATCGGACTTGCCGACCTCCTATCCCATCCTGTGACTTAGAATGCCTTAACCGCCTGGGAATGCAGCCCAGCCAGTGTCAGCCTCATTTTACCCAGCTGCTCTTCAAGGTGGAGTCACTCTGGTTCAAACGGCTCTGACAGTTACACAAAGGAAGCTCAGAGAAGAGTAACTCCTCCGAGGTCTCCTGGGGTGTGGTGTGGCCAGAACCACCGCTGAAGTCCAATTAAATGAATTACGTGCCTGCAGCCTCTGCCAGGACGAGAGCCTCTACCCTCAGCGCCCAGGGCATGGTGATGTTCTGCCAGGCAGAGGCCACTGCCCTGGAAGAGGGCCGGACTCCAGGACTCCAGAGAGGGTGGAGAGGGCACCTTGCCACCCGCTGGTTGGGCCGAGGCTGGACGCCCACACCCTGGACATTATGGGAGAGAGACGCTGGAGGCAGCTGTGTGACAGTCCTGAGCTTGGACACAAAAGGAATTTGGAGTTTTCCACTGTGATCTAGACCCTGGGTTGTGGTTGGAGAGACCCCAGTTCAAATTCCAGTGTGTAAAAACAGAGATAATAATAGCTGCTGCAAACACGTGTTGTGTGGATTGAATGAATGTGCTTATGAATGGCCCCTAGCAGGTCCTTCCCTACCGGCCCTTCCCAGACCTGACCCGGGGCCTGATCCCTAGGAAGGTTGCATCCCTGCACCCCCAACCAGGAATGGATCCTTCAGAGAGAGGCTGGGACACGGGAGAACTGGGTGACCAGGGCAGAGTGTGATCATGCCCCAAATAGGTTGCTTTTCCACCCGGTCACTTTTTCCCACGGTTGTTGACCTAGAGACAGCTGGAAAACTGGCTGGCCCAAGGGGAAGGGATGGCAGGGAGGGCACAGAGGGACACCTTGACCCTGTCCTGCCTCCCACCTCCCAAGGCGCCAGTCTTCTGGTGGGGGCTGCATCAGAGTGGAGGTCGGGAGGGCCTGGGATACTTAAGGCAGGGACAGTGGCTCTTGGAGCTGCACGGGGATGGGGAGTTGTTTAAAATGTAGCTCTGGGGCCAGGCACGGTAGCTCATGCCTGTAATCTCAGCACTTTGGGAGGCTGAGGCGGGTGGATCACCTGAGATTGGGAGTTCAAGACCAGCCTGGCCAACATGGTGAAACCCCGTCTTTACTAAAAATACAAAAAAATTAGCCAGGCATGGTGGCACATGCCTGTAGCCCCAGCTACTCAGGAGGCTGAGGCAGGAGAATTGCTTGAACCCGGGAGGCAGAGGTTGCAGTGAGCCAAGATCATGCCATTGCACTCCAGCATGGGCAACAAGAGCAAAACTCTGTCTAAAAAAAAAAAAAATGCAGCTCTGCACCAGATGCAGTGGCTCATGCCTGTAATCCCAGCTACTCAGGAGGCTGAGGCAGGAGGATTGCTTGAGGCCAGGAGTTCAAGACCAGCCTGGGCAATATAGCAAGACTCTGTCTCTACAAAAAAATTAAAAATTAGCTAAACATGGCAGCATGTGCACCTGTGGGCCCAGCTACCGCGGAGGCTGAGGTGGGTGAATCGCTTGAGCCCAGGAGGTCAAGGCTGCAGTGAGCCATGATCACACCACTGCACTCCAGCCTGGGCAACAGAGCAAGACCCTGTCTCTTAAAAAATACAAATAAATATAAAATGATCAATTAAAAAAATAAAATGTAGCTCTGGCCCCAACCCCAGAGAGTCTATGTCTTGGGGGGCTCAAAGCAGGCCCTGGAGCCTTTATCATAAGGAGCCTCCCCAAATGACCCTGCTGCAGACCCCAGGCTACACCGGCAGAGGGGTCTCCTCCCAGCTCAACCCTGGTTCCAGGTCACCCTGAGCTCCTCCCTTCCCTTCCGCCTCAGTTTCACCTGCTGTCAGATCACAGAGGAGCGAATAGCGCACTCGGATGCTTTTTAGGGGCTTTCAACTGAAGTCTCTCCGCCTCACAGTCCGCAACCGCTGCCGCCTCTGACTGTTTCTCCATCTTGACTTTGCCCAGGGATCTGTCCTGTCTCCTCTGCAGCTGGCCTGAGCCAGCCCAAGTCAGCCGTCTCTACCGGGCCCCTCTTCTCCAGCAGCTCAGTTTGGGAGGCAGCACCCGTCTTGGGAGACGCAGGGCAGGCAGTAAGCCTGGTGCTGGAGGAAGAGAAGGGGGAAGAAAAGGAGAAGGGGGAGGAGAAGGAGAAGGGGGAGGAGAAGGAGAAGGGGGAGGAGGAGGGGAGAGGGAGGAGGAGAAGGGGAGTGGGAGAGGGAGGAGGAGTAGGGGAAAGGGGAGGGGAAGAGTGAGGAGGAGGCGGGGGGAGGGGAGGGGGAGGGGGAAGAGGAGAAGGGGGAGGAGGAGAGAGGAGAAGAAACCTGGTCCAGATGGGCAAATGGGGCTTGACCAGCGGGTGGGGCCTTGTTGGGGGTGGGGGGCGGGTGCAGGGTTGGCTGGGCCATCTCTGCTCCACGCACAGCCATGTGCAGGATGCCATGTGGCTATTTTTACCCCTGCCAAGGAAATAGCCTGATTTATGTGAGGCATGGTCCCATTTGTTCGGGCCTGTGTTATAAATACACCTGGCCCCACACTCGTGTTCACTTGGACAGAGAACTCAGGTCCTGGCCTGCACAGCCTCTCTCTGGCCTCCCTCCCTGCCTCACCCTGCTATGCAGCCTTGTTGAGAAGGCCTTCTGTTACAGTAGGGAGCTAGTCACACAGGAGCAGGGCAAGACCCCCACAACCAGGAATGTCAGGCAGCCACCAGGTGATGGTCAGATGGTTGAGTTTTTGTTGTTGCTTTTTGTTTTTTTGTTTTTGAGACGGAATTTCTCTCTTGTTGCCCAGGCTGGAGTACAATGGCGCGATCTCGGCTCACAGCAACTTCCGCCTCCCGGGTTCAAGCTGTTCTCCTGCCTCAGCCTCCCAATTAGCTGGGATTACAGGCATGTGCCATCACGCCTGGCTCATTTTGTATTTTTAGTGGAGACAGGGTTTCTCCATGTTGGTCAGGCTGGTCTCAAATTCCCGACCTCAGGTGATCCGCCTGCCTCAGCCTCCCAAAGTGCTGGGATTACAGGCATGAGCCACCACGCCGGGCCTGTTTTTTGTTTTTGAGACGGAGGCTTGCTCTGTTGCCCAGGCTGGAGCACAATGGTGTGATCTTGGCTACTGCATTCTCCGCCTCCCAGGTTCAAGCGATTCTCCTGCCTCAGCCTCCCGAGTAGCTGGGATTACAGGCGCCCACCACCATACCCTGCTAACTTTTGTATTTTTAGTAGAGACGGGGTTTCACCATGTTGGCCAGGCTGGTCTCGAACTCCTGACCTCAGGTGATTTCCCACCTCGGCCTCCCAAAGTGCTAGGATTACAGGTGTGAGCCACCGCACCCGGCCTGTTGTTGTTTGTTGACACAGAGTCTTGCTCTGTTGCCCAGGCTGGAGTGCAGTGGAGCCATCTCAGCTCACTGCAGCCTCCATCTCCCCAGCTCAAGTGATCCTCCCACCTCAGCCTCCTGAGTAGCTGGGACTACAGCCTCCACCACCACACCCAGCTTGCTTATTTATTTATTTATTTATTTATTTAGTATTTTTAGTAGAGCTGGGGTTTCACCATGTTAGCCAGGCTGGTCTCAAACTCCTGACTTCAGGTAATCCACCCACCTCAGCCTCCTAAAGTGCTGGGATTACAGGCATGAGCCACCTCACCCAGCAGTCAGGTGGTTGGTAACTGTCTCTCTAAAATAATAATTGGTTGCAACCAACACCAGGGAAAGGCAGTTTCCCAATAGATAGAAAGCACCTGGAACTGGTGATCAGCAGCTTCCCGATAAGATCTCAGGAGCTGGGCGAGTGGGCTCAAGCATGTGCACTAAGAGGCAACATGGTGGAGTTTAACTGGCATATGACCTGGGAGCATTTGACTGGTAAAGGAAGAATGCCTCAAGTAAGCATGCGCACTTCAGTAAACACGCTGCGCATGAGGCCCCTCCCGAGCGCTGGCAGGCCACTGCGCATGCGGCCCCTCCCGAGTGCTGGCAGGCCACTGCGCATGCGGACAGACCACCCCAAGGGAAGAATCGGGGAAAGTTAACGCAAGCCCCGGAAGGATGCCAACGTATCAAACGCCAAGTCCAAGGTCAAACAGTGCACTTGACTCTCAAGTCACCTGCTTGACCCTCTTCCAAGTGTACTTTACCTCCTTTCCTTACTGCCCTAAAACCTTTTGTTTGTTTGGTTGGTTTTGTTTTTGTTTTGAGATGGAGTCTTGCTCTGTTGCCCAGGCTGGAGTGCAGTGGTGTGATCTCAGCTCACTGCAACCTCCACCTCCCGGGTTCAAGCAATTCTCCCACCTCAGCCTCCCCAGTAGCTGGGATTATAGGCGTGTGCCACTATGCCTGGCTAATTTTTGTATTTTTAGTAGAGACAGGGTTTGGCCATGTTGGCCAGGCTGGTCTCAAACTCCTGACCTCAAGGGATCCACCCGCCTCGGCCTCCCAAAGTGCTGGGATTACAGGTGTGAGCTACCATGCCCAGCACCTGCCCCAAAACTTTTTAATAAACATTCACTCCTGCTCTAAAACTTGCCTCAGTCCCTCACTCTGCCTCATGCCCCTTGGTGGAATTCTTTCTTCTGAGGAGGCAAGGATTGAGGTGAATCCATACGGATTCACCACCACTAACACTTCCCCCATATATCTCCCCACTGCTGGGCCCAGCTCACCTCAGTCCCCAAGGCCTCAGTGTGAGTGAGTTTATCAGATGCATTCACGAGTGGCAGGTGTCTGGGAGCCGATTCTGATGAGGGAAGAGAAAGAGAAGGGCTTTGAATTTGAGGTTCACACTTTCTTCAAGGAACAGGTTTAGCTGGACATAATGGTACACCTGTAATCCCAGCACTTTGGGAGGCTGAGGCAGGAGGATCACTTGAGGCCAGGAGTTTGAGACCAGCCTGGGCAACATAGCGAGACCCCCATCTCTACCAAAAAAAAAAAAAAGAAAAATAAGCCAGGCACAGTGGTGTGTTCCTGTAGTCCCAGCTACTCTGGAGGCTGAGGTGGGAGGATAGCTTGAGCCCAGGAGTTTGAGGCTGCAGTGAGCTATGATAGCACCACGGCACTCCAGCCTGGGCCACAGGTGAGACCCTGGCTCCAAAATAAATAAATAAATAAATAAATAAAGTATCCCATGTGGGTTGATGTGGGTGAAATTCAGCCCAGGCTGGACAGACAAGGGCGATTTTCAGGGCAGGCAGCTACTGTTGGACATCACCCTCTCCTCTGAGGATCCCTGGTCCCTCCTCCGTGAAGTGGGGGCACAAGCAGCTGGAAACAGGTCCCCACCACTGCTCTGCCCCAGAAGGAAGACTGGGCTGCTTCCCATTGAGCTCCCGGGGCACTCAGTTCCTTTGCTCAATTCAATGCAGCATCCAGTCCAGAGAAGTGGGTCTTCCAACTTGGCTGACCAAAGGCCGGGAAAGGTCCCTCGTAGACACTCGAAGCTTCCAGGGGCCTCAGGGTTCATCTGATTGTACCCGTCAGCCACTGCCCCAGTGAGGCTGCCTAACACACCACCCCAAAACCCAGAAGTTTAAAACAAGCATTTATCACTGGGCGAATTGGCTCATGCCTGTAATCCCAGCACTTTGGGAGGCCGAGCCGGGTGGATCACTTGAGGTCAGCAGTTTGAGACCAGCCTGGCCAATGTGGTGAAACCTCATCTCTACTAAAAATACAAAAATTACCTGGTTGTGATGGTGCGCACCTGTAGTCCCAGCTACTTGGGAGGCTGAAGCAGGAGAATTGCTTGAACCTGGGAGGTGGAGGTTGCAGTGAGCTGAGATTGTGCCACACTGCACTCCAGCCTGGGCAATAGAGCGAGACTTAGTCTCAAAAAAAAACAAAAAACAAAAAACAAACAAAAAAAACCCAAGCATTTATCTCTCACTCAAGCTTCCAGGCTTGCTCCCAGCCACGGCTGGGTCCAGGACTGTGCCACGTGCCTCTCATTCTCCCCAGGGCCAGAGGGCTAAGGAGGGGCTGGGGTGTGTGCTTTCTGTGGCTAAAGGCAGGAGCCCCGGAGGACCAGCACCAAGCACAAGCCCACTGTAAATCTCTGCTCACCTTGTCAGTTACATCCCGTTGGCCAAAGCGATTCACCTGGCCAAGCCTAACAGGAATGAGTGGGGAGGTACGTTCCTCCTAGAGAGGGGAGTTTGTGGGAAAGGAGTGGTTGCTGCTGAGCAATAATCTAGTCTTCTAATAATCAAACTAACTGATTTTTCCTTTTTTCTTTCTTTCTTTTTGTGTTTTCTTTTGTTTTGTTTTGTTTTGTTTTTTGAGACAGTTTCACTCTTGTTGCGCAGGCTGGAGTGCAATGCCACAGTCTCGGCTCACTGTGAGCTTCGCCTCCCGGGTTCACGCCATTCTCCTGCCTCAGCCTGCAGAGTAGCTGGGATTACAGGTGCCCATCACCACGCCCGGCTAATTTTTTGTATTTTTAGTAGAGATGGGGTTTCACCGTGCTGGCCAGGCTGGTCTCCAACTCCTGGCCTCAGATGATCTGCCTGCCTCGGCCTCCCAAAGTGCTGGGATTACAGACGTGAGCCACTGCACCCAGCTGAACTAACTGATTTTTCAATTGCTCCCTGCACAATGGCAGAAATTCCTGGAGATTCTCTGAAAGGGGAGGGAGAAGGGGCAGGGAGGGCTTAATGTCTCCATCAAGAGCCAGGGCACTTTTGTTTTTAAGGTGGGGCGTGGGTTGGGTGCAATGGCTTACGCCTGTTATCCCAGCACTTTGGGAGGCCAAAGCATGTGGATCACTTGAGGTCAGGAGTTCAAGACCAGCCTGGCCAACATGGCAAAACCCCATCTCTACTAAAAAAAAATAAATAAATAAATAAATAAGAAAATTAGCCGGGTGTGGTGGCGGGGACCTGTAATCCCAGCTACTCAGGAGGCTACGGCAGGAGAATTGCTTGAACCCAGGAGGCAGAGGTTGCAGTGAGCCAAGATTGCACCACTGTACTCCAGCCTGGGCAACAGAGCGAGACTCCGTCTCAAAAAAAAAAAAAAAAAAAAAAAAAGTGGGGAGAGAAGGGAAGACGCCTAATGATTCATGATTCATGACGTTTCACGATGACTCTTTTGCACTTCGAAGCCATGCCCTTCGCCTTGTCAGCCTGGAGAAGACTGCGATTTGCTACAGAGGGAACACAAAGAGAAAGAGACAATCATGGATTTCTGACATTCAAATGTATAATTTCGCCTCCTTGATAAAGAATGGACTTAATGCCAATATCTCCCACTTTTTTTCTTTTCCTTTTTAAATTCGTTCATAAAGACAGGGTCTCCTATGTTGCCCAGGCTGGTCTCAGACTCCTGGCCTCAAGCGATCCTCCTGCCTCAGCCTCCCAAAGTGCTAGGCTTACAGGCATGAGCCACTGTGCCTGGGCCGGTATCTCCCACTTTGACTCATGTCCAGGCTTCATGAACTGGAGTAGACCATAGGGTTTTCCATAGAGTTTATTTATTTATTTGTTTGTTTATTTAGTCACTTTGTCACCCAGGCTAGAGTGCAGTGGCATGATCTTGGCTCACTGCAGCCTCAACCTTCCAGGCTCAGGCCAGGTGCGGTGGCTCATGCCTATAATCCCAGCACTTTGAGAGGCCAAGGAGGGAGGATCACCTAAGGTCAGGAGTTCGAGACCAGCCTGACCAACATGGAGAAACCCTGTCTCTACTAAAAATACAAAATTAGCTGGGCATGGTGGCACATGCCTGTAATCCCAGCTACTCGGGGGGCTGAAGCGGGAGAATCGCCTGAACCCGGGAGGAGGAGGTTGTGGTGAGCTGAGATCTCACCATTGCACTCCAGCCTGGGCAACAAAAGCAAAACTCCGTTTAAAAAAACAAACAAAAAACAGACAAACAAACAAAAAAAACAAAAAAAAACACCAAAAAAAAAAAAACCTTCCAGGCTCAAGATATCCTCCTACCTCAGCCTCCCAAGTAGCTGGGACTACAGGCATGTACCTCCATGCCTGGCTAATTTTTGCTTCTTTTTTTTTTTTTTTTTTTGGTAGAGATGGGATTTCACCATATTGCCCAGGCTGGTCTCGAACTCCTGGGCTCGAGTGATCCGCCCACCTTGGCCTCCTACAGCACTGGGACTAGAGGCATGAGCCACTGTGACCTGCCTATTTATTTATTTATTTGTGTTCGGCTCGTCCAGTGAAGCAGTGGGAGTGGAGAAGGAACAAAAAAATCTGTAACTGGTTGTGATCAATTAACTGTAACCACCGCTGCATTCGGGCCAGCTCCATGGAGTTCATTATGAGGAAGGAGAGAAGAGGGGAGAACCTTCTACTTTCTAGACCCTGGGGTCTGTGGGGAGAGGAAGGCCGAGGGAGGAGAGGAAGAGATTGGATCCGGCGCCCTGCTATGGGTGTCTCCATCTGGGCTGCTGCTAGAAGGGGCGGTTGTTCTTTTTTTCTTTTTTAGACGGAGTTTTTTTGCTCTGTCACCCAGGCTGGAGTGCAGTGGCATGATCTCAACTCACTGCAACCTCCGCCTCCCATGTTCAAGCGATTCTCCTGCCTCAGCCTCCCGAGTAGCTGGGACTACAGGTGCCCACCACCACACCTGGCTAATGTTTGTATTTTTAATAGAGACGGGGTTTCACCATGTTGACCAGGCTGGTCTCGAACTCCTGACCTTAAGTGATCCGCCCGCCTTGGCCTCCCAAAATGCTGGAATTACAGGCGTGAGCCACTGCGCCTAGCCAATTGTTCTCTTAAGAGGGGCAGGATTCTCTGGCCCTGCTGCCCTGGGGACCCATGGAGGAGACCTTTGCAGGCTGCTGCACCATCGTGGGCTGAGAAGCATCAAAGCAGATGTGGGGCCAGCATGCTTACAGCGGGGACACCACTTCCCAACAGCCTGAAAAACTCCCATTTCCCCTTAAAAACTCATCAGACCTGGCTGGGTGCGGTGGCTCACGCCTGTAATCCCAGCACTTTGGGAGGCTGAGTCAGGCGGATCACGAGGTCAGGAGTTCAAGACCAGGCTGGCCAACATGGTGAAACCCCGTCTCTACTAAAAATACAAAAATTAGCCAGGTGTGGTGGCAGGCGCCTGTAATCCCAGCTACTTGGGAGGCTGAGGCAGGAGAATTGCTTGAAACTGGAAGGCCGAGGTTGCTGTGAGCAGAGATCCGGCCACTGCACTCCAGCCTGGGCGAAAGAGTGAAACTCTGTCTCAAAACAAAAATAATAAAAAAAAAACTCATCAGACATCTTTTCTGCAAGGCCCCGCTCCCCAAACTCTCATAGACAGAGCTAGCTGCTCCCCATTGTGGGTCCCCTACTCTACTGTCAGAGTCATTGAAAGGCCTGTCCCTCCAGCCAAGCAAACACAGGGCAGGCAAGGGGGTCACACCCTAGGCTGTGCCAGACATGGTGTGGGGCTGTGGGAGCCCCAGGTGGAGCCTCCGCAGTCTCCTTAGGGAGCCTCTGGGAAGAGGTTCTGGACAGAGAAGACCAAGGGGCTGTGGTGGTGTCAGGGCTGGGGAGGAGAGGGAAGGGCTGCACCAGGGAAGTGCCAACTCCTCTCCCTAGAACCTTCCACCGCCCACCCCTGGGCAGACACAGTCCAGGCATCATTGCTGCAGCTGTAGGAAGGACCTGCTAGCTAAGCTCATCTCTCTGAGCACTGACTGGCAAGAGAGCCCCCTTCGTAGCTAGTGTTCCTCTGAAACAGCGATGCTATCAGAGGGCTGGCTTCAAGTCCCTGGGGCCTCACCCTTCCTGGGCACTTGCTGTTTCCCCGCCTCCTCTTTCTCTGTGTGTCCAGAGAGGAGGAACCCCTGCCTTGAGGACTGGCCCCTTGCACTGCAGGGAGAGGAGCAGGGCCCTGACACCAATGGTGGGCACCTGGTGTCTGGCCTCAGGGATCCACATGTTTTGAGAACAGATATGGTCCCAACTTCAGACTGAGCCCTGCTGTTCTAAGCATATCCACATGTGGCTGGGTTGAAGTCAATATTCCAGAGAAAAAATCCATCTGTCCCTAAAATTTCGGTTTTTTTGTTTATTTGTTTGTTTGTTTTTGAAACGGAGTCTCGCTCTGTCGCCCAGGCTGGAGCGCAGTGGCACAATCTCGGCTCACTGCAACCTCCACCTCCCGGGTTCAGGCGATTCTCCTGCCTCAGCCTCCCTGAGTAGCTGAGATTACAGGCATGCACCACCACGCCCAGCTAATTTTTGTTTCTTTGGTTTTTTTTTTTTGGAGACGAAGTTTCGCTTTTGTTGCCCAGGCTGGAGTGCAATGGCGTGACCTCCAGTCACCGCAACCTCTGCCTCCCGGGTTCAAGCGATTCTCCTGCTTCAGCCTCCCAAGTAGCTGGGATGACAGGCATGCGCCACCATGCCTGACTAATTTTGTATTTTTAGTAGAGACAGGGTTTCACCATGTTGGTCAGGCTGGTTGCGAACTCCCGACCTCTGGCGATCTGCCCGCCTCGGCCTCCCAAAGTGCTGGGATTACAGGTGTGAGCCACCGCACCTGGCCACCTTTTTCTTTTCTTTTTTTTTTTTTGAGACAGAGTCTTGCTCTGTCGCCAGGCTGGAGTACAGTGGCACGATCTCGGCTCACTTCAGTCTCCACCTCCCGGGTTCAAGCAATTCTCCTGCCTCAGCCTCCCGAGTAGCTGGGACTAAAGGCATGCGCCACCACGCCCAACTAATTTTTGTACTTTTAGTAGAGACGGGGTTTCACCATGCTGGCCAGAATGGTCTTGATCTCTTGACCTCGTGATCCTCCCGCCTTGGCCTCCCAAAGTGCTGGGATTACAGGCGTGAGCCACCGCACCCGGCCAATCTCTTTTATCTTGTTTCCAAACCAAATCATACCTGAAGACAACTTCATTCTCTTGGACAAAAGAGCACCGACCTCTAGCTGATCCTAACTCACACCTCCCACCTTCTCCATGGCTCCTGCTTAGACACCAGGACACTCAAATCTGTGGATGCCTCGGGCCTTCCCCCATCTGCCTTTCCTGAGACTTCCAGAACCCCCAGGTCAAATTGATCACCCTTACCCCCACCCCAACATAGCCCATTGGCATCATACATGCTTTGCTGTAGTGTACACTTCTTTTTTCTTTTTCTTTTTTTTTTTTTTTGAGACAGAGCCTGGCTCTGTCCCCCAGGCTTGAGTGCAGTGGCACAATCTCATCTCACTGCCACCTCTGCCACCCAGGTTCAAGTGGTTCTCCTGCCTCAGCCTCCCGAGTAGCAGGAGGGATTACAGGCGTCCACCACCATGCTCGGCTAACTTTTTGTATTTTTAGTAGAGATGGCGTTTCACCATGTTGGTCAGGCTGGTCTCAAACTCCTGACCTCAAATGATCCACCTGCCTTGGCCTCCCAAAGTGCTGGGATTACAGGAGTGAGCCACCGTGCCCAGCCGTGCACTTCTTTTAAAGAAATAAAAATGATCAGAAACCATAAATAGGCCTGGCTTGGTGGCTCATGCTTGTAATCCCAGCACTTTGGGAGGCTGACGAGGGAGAATCCCTTGAGGCCAAGAGTCTGAGACCAGCCTGGGCAATATAGTGAGACCCTGTCTCTACAAAAAATAATAACGATAAATTAGCTAGGCATGATGGCGCGTGCCTGTAGTCCCAGCTACTCAGGCATGGAAGGAGGATCGCTTGAGCCCAGAAGTTCGAGCTGCAGTGAGCTATGACTAAACTGCTGCACTCCAGACTGGGCAACAGAGTGAGACCTCATCTCAAAAAAAAAAAAAAAAAAAAAAATTAAAGCCTTAGTTTACAGGCATATATTATCATTGCAAAGGATGACTGCAAAAGAGAGTTCTCACTGTGACCAATCATGGGATCTTTAAAAGTTATCATTGATAAAACATGACAGAGTGGGAGGAAAGAAAAAGGAAAGGAGGCCGGGCGCAGTGGCTCACGCCTGTAACCCCAGCACTTTTGGAGGCCGAGGTGGGCGGGTCACTTGAGGTCAGGAATTCGAGACCAGCCTGACCGACATGGTGAAACCCCCTCTCTACTAAAAATACAAAAATTAGCTGGGCCTGGTGGCCAGTACCTGTAATCCCAGCTACCTCAGAGGCTGAGGCAGGAGAATCACTTCAACCTGGGAGGCAGATGTTGCAATGAGCCGAGATTACGCCACTGCACTCCAGCCTGGCAACAGAGCGAGACTCTGTCTCCAAAAAAAAAAAAAAAAAAAAAAAAAAATATATATATATATATACACATATGTACACATATATATAATGAAAGAAAAGAAAAAGGAGCAGCGGGGTGGGCAGTGGGGGGGTTGGCGGGGGGTTCACCATGTTAGCCAGGCTGGTCTCGAACTCCTGACCTCAGGAGATCCACCTGCCTCGGCCTCTCAAAGTGCTGGGATTACAGGCATGAGCCACCGCGCCTGGCCGAACAAGTTATTGTTGAAATAAAAATGAAAAATTCAAATCCTCAAGGAATTTGAAGATCTCTCCAAATGCATTTTCACGTCCCTGTTTTGAGAGCCATCCCTGGGAAATCACCCCCGCCCACACACAGCAAGACCCCAGAGTCCAGGACCACCTCACTGTGTAACGTCCAGAACAGAGCAAGCACTTGGTAAATGCTAACGGGTGATTAAGTGAAGGAAGGAAAGATCTGGAGTACAAGCAGGGGATGAAGACACATGCAAAACATTGGTTCAGAAGGTGCCCCTTCCCACAGTGGAGTGGAGGAATCTCCAAGGCAGGGGTCCATGGTCCCCAGCTGGTCCCTGACTTGTTAGGAATCGGGTTATGCAGCAGGAGGTGAGTGGCAGGTGAGGGAGCATTACCGCCGGAGCTCCATCTCCTGTCAGATCAGCGGTGGCATTAGATTCTCACCGGAGCGTGAACTCTATTGTGAACTGCGCACGTGAGGGATCTAGGTTGCATGTTCCTAATGAGAATCTAATGCCTGATGATCTGACATGGAACAGTTTCATCCCCAGACCATCTGGCTAACTCCTACCCCCAACCCCACCCCCATTCGTTGAAAAATTGTCTTTTTTGAAACTGGTCCCTGGTGTCAAAAAGGTTGGGGTGGCTGGGCGCAGTGGCTCATGCCTGTAATCCCAGCACTTTGGGAGGCTGAGGTAGGTAGATCACTTGAGGTCAGGAGTTCAAGATTAGCCTGGCCAATATGGCGAAACCCTGCCTCTACTAAAAATACAAAAATTGGCTGGGCGCAGTGGCTCACGCTTGTAATCCCAGCGTGATTACTTTGGGAGGCCGAAGCAGGTGGATCACGAGGTCAGGAGATCGAGACCATCCTGGCTAACACGGTGAAGCCCTGTCTCTACTGAAAATATAAAAAATTAGCCAGGCGTCATGGCGTGGGCCTGTAGTCCCAGCTACTCGGGAGGCTGAGGTAGGAGAATGGCGTGAACCCGGGAGGCGGAGCTTGCAGTGAGCCGAGATCGCGCCACTGCACTCCAGCCTGGGAGACAGCAAGACTCCATCTCAAAATAAAAAATAATAATAATAATAATAAAATTAGCTGGGCGTGGTGGCACATGCCTGTAATTCCGGCTACTCAGGAGGCTGAGGCAGGAGAATCACTTGAACCTCAGAGGCAGAGGTTGCAGTTACTTGAGACTGCGCCACTGCACTCCAGCCTAGGCAAGACAGCAAGACTCTATCTAAAAAAGAAAAAGAAAAAAAAAAAAACTGGGGACCACTGTTCTAAGGGATAGAGGACAGGGAGGTGGAAGAAAGAAAGGGAGAAGTGTGAGGGGCGTTTTGTCTGCCCTGAGCTCTCTCATACCCACAGCCCAGGGCAGGCAGGGCTGGGTTTGGAGGGTAGAATGGTCTGGGCAGAGGTCAGTCTGAAACTTCAGCCCTGGAGGGAGCTGGAGCTGGGGCTTTATCTTGCTCTCTTTCTTTATTTTAACTTATTCTTGTCTTTATTAGTTTTATAGAGATAGGGTCTCACTATGTTGCCCAGGCTGGTCTTGAACTCCTGGGCTCAGGAAATCCTTTCACCTCGGCCTCCCAAAGTGCTGTGATTACAGGTATGAGCCACTGCACCCAGCTCTTTCCTCCTTTTAAAAACAAGAAACCTGGCCAGGCACGGTGGCTCATGCCTGTAACCTCAATACCTTGGGAAGCTGAGGCAGGCTGATCACTTGAGGCCAGGAGTTTGAGACCTGCCTGGCCAACATGGTGAAACCCTGTCTCTACTAAAAATTCAAAAATTAGCTGGGCATAGTGGCACACGCCTGTAATCACAGCTACTCGGGAGGCTGAGGCAGAAGAATCGCTTGAATCCAGGAGGTGGAGATTGCAGTGAGTCAGGGTCATGCCACTGCACTCCAGCCTGGGTGACAGAGTGAGACCCTGTCTCAAAAAAAAAAAAAGAAAGAAAGAAAGCCTGAGTC
Organism: Homo sapiens; assembly: GCF_000001405.40. Taxonomy (NCBI): domain Eukaryota; kingdom Metazoa; phylum Chordata; class Mammalia; order Primates; family Hominidae; genus Homo; species Homo sapiens. Next base: position 73,410,023 of record NC_000007.14, read on the forward strand.
ACAGGGAGAGGCTTCTCCCCAGCCCCTGGGAAGCCGAAGAAGCCCTGGCCAGGCCGGCTCCCAAACTCACGGGTCCTGCTAGGCACCTGCTGTCACTCTCACTACCGACCTGGGAGAAGGCAATGGCCCATTTATGACACTGGAGGCGAGGGCCATGCACCCCCTAAGCAGGCAGCACCTCTGGAGCCATTCTGCAGCTGGAGGTTCATTTCCTTCCTGATGTCATAGTGCTCCAAGGTGGCACAGCCAGGACGGGAGCCTAGGGAATTGTCATCCACCCTGGAGCACTTTCCGTCTCTCAGCGGCTGTCCCAGCCCTGCACTCAGGCAATTCCTGCGGGAATCGGTGGCCCCTGGGCGTCCTGGATGGGGAACCACAGCCCCTGAGGCAGAGCGGCACAAACCCTCCAGTGGATCCCGTTCTCTTCTCCCAGGGATCAATGAAGCCCAGGGTGTGGGGGCTCAGCCTTGGTGTCCCGGCCCCTGTGGTCACACAGCAGCTATTGCTATGGGGTTGGGATGCAGGGAGGAAAAGCCCAGCGTCCCCCTTTCCACCCCAGGCCCCAACTTCTCTGTATTTGTTTATTTACCTTGGAAAAAGCCCCACAGCCCAGGCAGGAAATGGGCCAATTCCAGGAGGCCGGGCCGGGGAACAAGGAGCTACATTGTGCTCGGGCGGTGGCTCCCCACCCGGGCCTGCCAGGAGCCCAGAGGTGGGGGGGTCTGCATGGGGACCGGGCGGGAAGGAGGCGTGGGGCTGAGGGGCTGCCAGTACTCCCAACCAGCCAGCGTGTGAAAAGGCTTCTGTGCAGGGGGTGGGATGGGGGCTGTGGCTCCCCGTCCCACCTGGGAATGAACAGAGGCTGGGCAGTGGGGGAGGCAGACGCTGGGCTGGGGCTGGACCCCGGTCTTGACCCAGGGCCCACCTGGCACTGATCTGCCTGCCCAAGGCAGACCCTGGCCTGGGAACCCCATCTCCTTGGGCTGAGATCCCACCCTGTGGCTGGAGAATGTTCCCGCCCTCGGCCTCCCTTCTGGGGTCTCAACTCCTGCCAGGCAGCTGGCCTGACCTCAGACTGCCCCTAGCCCAAGGCTGGGGGCTGGAGAGCCCTGTGGTCAGAGCCCTCCCCTCCATGCCCAAGCCCAGGCTGGCACTGGGGCTGATGTCATCATGGGGGCGGCTTGAGGAGGGCTGAGCTCTCCCTGACCCTAGACTCTTCTTTACTAACAGGCTAGTGTCCATATGGATGGATCATTCATTCACTCATTCGTTTATTTAATACACTCCCTGTCTGTTCGACGCACACTCCCCTTCTCTCCACTTCTGGCCCCGTTTCCTCTAATCCTTCATTCCTTGGTTCCCAGAGGGTTAAATGTAGATCGATATGTCACCTCTGGCTCCAAAGGTCTCTGAAGGGCCAGGTGTGGTGGCTCAAGTCTGTAATCCTAGCACTTTGGGAGACCGAGGTGGGTGGATCACCTGAGGTCAGGAGTTCGAGACCAGCCTGGCCAACAAGGTGAAACTCCGTCTCTACTAAAAACACAAAAATTAGCCGGACTTGGTGGTGGGAGCCTGTAATCCCAGCTACTCAGGAGGCTGAGGCAGGAGAATCACTTGAACCTGGGAGGCAGAGGTTGCAGTGAGCTGAGATCACACCACTGCACTCCAGCCTGGGCAACAAGAGGGAAACAAAAAAACAAAAAACAAAACAAACAAAAATAAATAATTAAAAAATAAGGGTCTCTGAAGACTTCCTGCTACTTTCTGGGTCCATGCCCCTCCTCTTCATCCTCCACGTCCCACCGGGCTCTTCAGGCCCCAGCCTAGATAACACCAGGCTAGATTTTGATCTCCCAGGGACTGGGTGTCGGGAGGGAAAGGCGGGGGGAGTGTCAGAGAGGGGATGGATTTCTCCCACCCACACTCGGGGAGGCCTCCGGATGGATGTGTCCTTCCATCTGATGGACCTCAGGATTGGGAGAAAGATCGGGGACAAGAGACGGGCACAACAGTCACCTGGTTTCTTTTTCTTCCTTTATTTTTTGAGACTGAGTCTCGCTGTATCACCTAGGCTAGAGTGCAGTGACACGATCTTGGCTCACTGCAACCTCCACTTCCCAGGTTCAAGTGATTCTCCTGCCTTAGCCTTCCGAGTATATGGGATTACAGGCGTGTGCTGCCATGCCCGACTAATTTTTGGATTTTAGTAGAGATAGGGTTTTGCCATGTTGGCCAGGCTGGTCTTGAACTCCTGACCTCAAGTGATCTGCCCACCTTGGCCTCCCAACGTGTTGGGATTACAGGTGTGAGCCACTGTGCCCGGCCACATGGTTTCTTCCATGACAGCTCCCTCTCTGCTGAAATAGCATTTCCCACCCCCACCCATGGCATCACTCTCCTGCTGCCATCTTCATCAAAGACTGATGTCACCTGGCATGTTTTTAGGTTTTTTTCTGGTGGCTTTTATTTTTTTAATTTTAGAGATGAGGTCTCACTATGTTGCCCAGCCTGGTCTCAAACTCCTAAGCTCAAGGGATCCACCTGCCTCTACCTCCCAAAGTGCTGGGGTTACAGGCATGCACCACCATGCCCAGACCACATTGCATGCATTTTATTTAAATTTTTTTTTTTTTAAGACGGAGTCTCATTCTGTCACCCAGGCTGAAGTGTAGTGGCGCAATCTTGGCTCACTGCAATCCCAGGTTCAAGCAATTCTCCTGCCTCAGCCTCCTGAGTAGCTGGGATTACAGGCGTGAGCCACTGCACCCGGCCTTTATTTAAGGTTTCTCTCCTTAACCATTACACCTGTAATCCCAGCCCTTTGGGAGGCCGAGGCGGGCAGATCACCTGAGTTCAGGTGTTGAAAACCAGCCAGGCCAACATGGTGACACCGCATCTCTACTAAAAATACAAAAATTAGCCAGGCGTGGTGGCAGGCACCTGTAGTCCCAGCTACTCAGGAGGCTGAGGCAGGAGCATTGCTTGAACCTGGGAGGTGGAGGTTGCAGTAAGCCAAGATCGCACCACTGCACTCCAGCCTGGGCAGCGGAGTAAGACTCTGTCTCAAAAAAAAAGGGGGGGGGGCGCCGGATGCTGGCAGAGACACTGTTTTTCCCTAATTGACCCATTTGGTCCTAACATTGACCGTATTTTACAGCTACTATCATTTACAGATAAGGAAACTGGGCCAATGAGGAGGTGAGAAATCGCTCAAGGCTGCCAGGTACAGTGGCTCATCCCTGTAATCCCAGCACTTTGGGAGGCCAAGGGAGGAGGATTAATTGAGGCCAGGAGTTTGAGACCAGCCTAGGCAACATAATGAGACTCTGTCTCTACAAAAAATTTAAAAATTAGTGGGGTGTGGTGATGCATGTGTAGTCCCAGCTACTCCGGAGGCTGAGGTGGGAGGATCGCTTGATCCCAGGTGTCTGAGACAGTAGTGAGCTATGATTGCACCACTGCACTACAACCTCGGTGATGCAATGAGATGCTGTCTCAAAAAAAAACACACACACACACAAAACAACAAAAAAACAAATTGTTCAAGGCAAGCCTGGTGTGTCAAGCCCTTGTTCTGAGCACTTGGCTTATATTATCTCCCTTAATCCTTCCCACCACCCCATGTGCTAGATACTGGGATTAATTTAGTTGAGCTGTAATACATCAATACTGTGTGAAATGCTATGCAACATCTAAAAGGAAGACAGGTGGAGCTTTTATTTATTTTTTATTTTATTTATTTTTTGAGACACAGTCTCGCTGCATTACCCAGCCTGGAGTGCAGTGGCACAATCACAGCTCACTGTAGCCTCAACCTCCTGGGTTCAAACAATCCTCCCACCTCAGCCTCTCAAGTAGCTGGGACTACAGGCTTACACCACCATGCCTGGCTAATTTTTTTTTTTTTTTTTTTTTTTTTTTAGAGATGGTGTTTTGCTAACTTGCCCACGCTGATCTCAAACTCCTTTTTTTTTTTGGCTTTGGAATGGTCTGGAACTCCTGCGCTCAAGTGATCCTCCCACCTTGGCCTCCCAAAGGCCTGGGATTACAGGTATGAGCCACCGCACCAAGCCCAGGTTGAGCTTTTAAGGTATTAAAGATCCACTAGGTGAAAAAATAGAGTGAATGATACATATGCCATTTAAGGGAAGCACAGGAAAACTCCTATTTTGTTTATATGTGAATAGAGGCACATAGATGCCTAGAAAAGTGTCTGGGAGGAAATGAAACCAGATTGGCCACAAAAATCACCTCTGGAAAAAGGAAAAGAATGGGGACTTTCACTTTTTGCTTCATATGTTTCATGTACCTTTTTTTTTTTTTTTGAGATGGAGTTTCACTCTTGTTGCCCAGGCTGGGGTGCAGTGGTGCGATCTCAGCTCACTGCAACCTCCGCCTCCTAGGTTCAAGCGATTCTCCTGCCTCAGCCTCCCGAGTAGCTGGGATTACAGGCATGTGCCACCACGCCCGGCTAATTTTTTGTGTTTTTAGTAGAGACAGGGTTTCTCTATGTTGGTCAGGCTGGCCTTGAACTCCCAATCTCAGGTGATCCGCCCGCCTTGGCCCCCCAAAGTGCTGGGATTACAGGCGTGAGCCACTGTGCCCGGCTGTATTCAATACTTTCTTTTCCATTGCACAAGAACAGAATGCTAGGGAGGGGAAGAACAAATAGCCCTTCAATTTTCTAAAATTTATTTTTTGTAGAGATGGGATCTTGCTATGGTGCCCAGACTGATCTTTAACTCCTGGCCTCAAGCAATCCTCCCACCTTGGCCTCCCAAAGTGCTGGGATTACAGGTGTGAGCCACCGCGCCCGGCCGCTTTTTCTTTTTAAAAAGTAAAATATAACAGAGAAAACTGCACAAAACAGAAGTGTTCAAATTATTTTTTTTTTTTTGAGACAGGGTCTTGCCCTGTTGCCCAGGCTGGAGTGCAGTGGCTCATTCATAGCTCACTGCAGCCTCAAACTCCTGGGTACAAGCGATCCTCCCACCCTAGCCTCCTGAGTGGCTGGAAGGCCAAGGGAGGATCGCTTGAGCCCAGGAGTTTGAGGCTGTGCCACCACGTGCAACTAGTTTTTTTTTTTTTTTTTTTAATTTTTTTAGAAACAGGGTTTCGCTATGTCACCCAGGCTGGTCTCAAACTCACGGGCTCAAGCAATCCTCCCATCTTTGGCCTCCCAAAGTACTGGGACTACAAACATGAGCCATCTTGCCCAGCCCCTAGAACGTGTTATCAAATAAACACCGATGCAACCCTCACTCAGCCGAGAAGTAAAATATTGCCAGCCAATCCCTAGATGCTTCTGCTTGCCGCTTCCCAATCCTAACCAATGCCTTCTCCTGACAATTATGATGGTCATGTCTTTGCATTTCTCTAATGTTTCCCATCATGATCAAACTAGTTTTGTTTTGCCTGTGTCCAAACTTTGCATAAATGAGCAGCATGTGTCTGGTGGACCTGGCTTCTTCCACTCAACATTATGATAAGAAGATTGACCATTTGGTGCCCATAGCTATTGCTCTTGCATTTTCATTGCTCTATAGATTCTTACTCAACATACCTTAAAAATTTTTTTATTCTGAAATAAGAGCGGGATGCTATTAAAAAAAGAAAAAAAGAGAACAAAAAAGTCCTCCAGTAAATTTAAAATATGGTAGTTAAGGCTGGGCACGGTGGCTCACACCTGTAATCCCAGCACTTTGGGAGGCTGAGGTGGGTGGATCACCCGAGGTCAGGAGTTCAAGACCAGCCCGGCCAACATGGCAAAACCCTGTCTCTACGAAAAAAATACAAAAATCAGCCAGGTGTGGTGGTGTGCACCCGTAATCCCAGCTACTCGGGAGGCTGAGACATGAGAATTGCTTGAGCCCGGGAGGCAGAGGTTTCCATGAGCTGAGAAGTGCCACTGCACTCCAGCCTGGGTGACAGAATGAGACGAAAAAGGAAAGAAAGAGAGAACGAGAGAGAGAAAGAGAGAAAGGAAGGAGGGAAGGGAAGGGAGGGGAGGAGAGGGGAAGGGAGGAGAGGGGAGGGGAGGGGAAGAGAAGGGGAAGGGAAGGGAAGGGGAAGGGAAAGGGAAGGGAATGGGAAGGGAAGAAAATTAGAGATTAATTCAGGAGATTCAACATCCGCCTAATAGAAATTCCAGAAAGAGGAAGTAGAGAATAGAGAGGCCGGGTGCAGTGGCTCACACCTATAATCTCAGCACTTTGGGAGGCTGAAGTAGGAGGATTGCTTGAGGCCAGGAGTTTGAGGCTGCAGTGAGCTATGATTGAGCCACTGTACTCCAGCCTGGAAAACAAAGCAAGACCTCGTCTCTAAAAGTAATAATACGCCGGGACAGTGGCTCCCCACACTTTGGGAGGCTAAGGTGGGCGGATCACTTGAGGTCAGGCGTTCGAGACCAGCCTGGCCAACATGATGAAACCCAATCTCCACTCAAAATAAAAAAATTAGCCAGGTGTGGTGCTGCACACCTGTAACCCCAGCTACCTGGGAGGCTGAGACAGGAGAATCGCTTGAACCCGGGAGATGGAGGTTGCATGAGGCGAGATCGCATCATTGCACTCCAGCCTGGGTGACAGAATGAGACTCTGTCTCAAAATAATAATAATAATAATAAAGTTAAATATAAATAAATAAAAGCAAATGAATAGAATTAGTTTTATTCATTTGTTTTGTTGTTGTTATTGTTTTGGAGACAGAGTTTTGTTCTTGTCACCCAGGCTGGAGTACAATGACGTGATCTGGGCTCACTGCAACCTTCGCTTCCTGGGTTCAAGCGATTCTCCTGCCTTAGTCTCCTGAGTAGCTGGGATTAGAGGCGTGTGACACCTCGCCCGGGTAATTTTTGTATTTTTAGTACAGACGGGGTTTCACCATGTTGGCCAGGCTGGTCTCGAACTCCTGACCTCAGGTGATCCACCCGCCTCAGCCTCCCAAAGTGCTGGGATTACAGGTGAGCTACTGTGCCCGGCACGGTAGCTCACTTTTTATCGTTTTTTGTTGTTGTTGTTGTTTTGGTTTTTTTTAAGACACAGTTTTGCTCTTGTTGCCCAGGCTGGAGTGCAATGATGCGATCTTGGCTCACCGCAAGCTCGGCCTCACAGGTTCAAGCGATTCTCCTGCCTCAGCCTCCCGAGTAGCTGGGATTACAGGCATGCGCCACCACGCCTGGCTAATTTTTGTATTTTTAGTAGAGTGGGGGTTTCTCCATGTTGGTCAGGCTGGCCTTGAACTCCCAACCTTAGGTGATCCACCTGCCTTGGCCTCCCAAGGTGCTGGGATTACAGGTGTGAGCCACGCGCCCAGACTTTATTGTTTAAATGCATATATACTGTAATTTAAAGTTTGCACAAAACATTATGCTTGTTATTTTTAAATATGTGATTATAGGCCGGGAACAATGGCTCACACCTGGAATCCCAGCACTTTGAGAGGCTGAGGCGGGCAGATCAATTGAGGCCAGGAGTTCCAGACCAGCCTGGGCAATACAGTGAAACCACATTTCTACTAAAAATACAAAAATTAGCTGGGCATGGTGGCTTACACCTGTAATTCCAGCTACTTGGGAGGCTAAGGCAGGAGAATTGCTTGAACTCAGGGGGCAGAGTTTGCAGTGAGCCGAGATCACACCACTGCACTTCAGCCTGAGTGACAGAACAAGACTCTGTCTCAAAAAAAAAAAAAAAAGGTGATTATAAGTGAGATGTATTATATTTCTTTGTCCTTAAGAAAAGTAAGCACAAAGCCACAGTCAAGAAGGGTATAGCCAGCAGAGGGACTGTCTTGGGCAAAGGTGTGAGCCAAGCACTGGGCTTGCTGGTGTGTCTGGGCTGGGTGAGAGACACAGGTGTTGGGAACCCAGGCTCTATGAGTGGGGCTGGGAGAGCAATGGCAGGTCACTAAGGCCCAGCAAGCCCTGATCACCAGGCTGACCCGTGTGGGTATGACACTAAGAAGATGAGAGCCAGTGAAGGCTTTGGAGCGGGGTAGAGGCGATGTCGGGCATCAGAAAGACCTGACCTCTCCTACTGGGTGGCTGGGGTTGAGACACAGGGGAGGGGGCTGTAGCCAAGGCACCCCCGGCTGGCTCAGCCACCCGGGAGGGAGAGGGGAGCCTGAGCCCAGAATACTGGAGATTTCTCCTCGGCCGAGGATGTGGGAAGGACTGCAGGGCTCTCGTGGGCCAAACCTCCCACTTTTATAGGAGGAAGCATTCTTTACCCAGGTGCAGGGAAGAAGGAAGGGAATTCCAAACAAGACAGAAACTCCAGTCAGTGTGTCCGCCCACTTGGGGGAAGCAAACCTCTGTGCAGAGGGAATGAGGCTCCACCAGGCAGCCAGGGCTGCCTACCCAGCAGGCACAGGGGACACCATGCCCAGAGCCCACCACGTGCTCAGGGGCCCCCAAAGGCTGGCTTGCTCTTTCTTCTTCCTTCCTTCCTTCCTTTCTTTCCTTCCTTCCTTCCTCCCTCCCTGTCTCTCTCTCTCTTTCTTCCTTCCTTCTTTTCTTCTCTTTCTTTCCCTTCCTTCCTTCCTTCCTCCTTCCCTCCCTCCTCCTCCTCCTCCTCCTCTTCCTTCTTCCTCTTCCTCTCTCTCTCTCTCTTTCTTTCAGACAGAGTCTCGCTCTGCTGCCCAGGCTGAAGTGCAATGGTGCGGCCTCAGCTCACTGCAACCTCCACCTCCCAAGTTCAAGCAATTCTCCTGCCTCAGCCTCTGAATAGCTGGGATTACAGGTGCCCACCACCACGCCCGGCTAATTTTTATATTTTTTAGTAGAGACAGGGTTTCACCATGTTGGCCAGGCTGGTCTCGAACTCCTGACCTCAGGTGATCCACCTACCTGGGCCTCCCAAAGTGCTGGGATTACAGGTATGAGCTATCATGCCTGGCCCCATTTCTTTTAAAATCAGAAGGAAAAAATATATATAACTTTTAGGCCAAAAATGTCTTCATGTATATTAATAGATTCATCTTTTCCCAATGTAACCATAAATATCATTTTTTAAAATTATTATTATTTTAGAAACAGGGTCTCACTCTGACGCCCAGGCTGAAGTGCAGTGGTACGATCTTAGCTCACTGCAGCCTCCAATTCCTGGGCTCAAGCGATCCTCCCACATCAGCTTCTTGAATGTGACCTCAGGCAGAAGTCACCGTGCCTGGCTAATTTTTAATTTAATTTTTTTTTTTTTGGTAAAGATGGGTTCTCATTATGTTGCCCAGGCCGGTCTTGAACTCCTGGCCTCAAGTGATCCTCCTGCCTTGGCCTCCTAAGGTGCTGGTATTATAGGATTGAGCCACCAAGCCCGGCCCGAATATAATTTTTAATTTTTTTTTTGAGACGGAGTTTCACTCTTGTTGCCTAGGCTGGAGTGCAGTGGCACGATCTCGGCTGACCGCAACCTCCACCTCCCGGGTTCAAGAGATTCTCCTGCCTCAGCCTCCTGAGTAGCTGGGATTACAGGCATGCACCACCACACCCAAATAATTTTCTATTTTTAGTAGAGACAGGGTTTCTCCACATTGGTCAGGCTGGTCTTGAACTCCCGACCTCAGGTGATCCTCCCACTTTGGCCTCATAAAGTGCTGGGATTACAGGCATGTGCCACCGCACGTGGCCTAATTTTCTAATTTTTTTTTTTTTAACGGAAGAAGGACCCCAGGAAGTCAAAAGTGCCTACAACCCATGAAAGTCTAAATGAGGACAATGGAGGCTGGGCGTGGTGGCTCACTCCTGTAATCCCAGCACTTTGGGAGGCCAAGGTGGGCGGATCACCTGAGGTCAGGAGTTCGAGACCAGCCTGGCCAACATAGTGAAACCCTGTCTCTACTAAAAAACACAAAAATTAGTCGGGTGTGGTGGCGGGCACCTATGATCACAGCTACTCAGGAGGCTGAGGCAGGAGAATCGCTTGAACCTAGGAGGCAGAGGCTGCAGTGGGCTGAGATCGCACCACTGCACTCCAGCCTGGGGGACAGAGTGAGACCCCGTCTCAAACAAACAAAACAAAACAAAATGAGGATGATGGGGCTTCCAATGGCAACTCGAGACATTAGTTTACTCCAGAGTCATGGAGACAGTGAATGGAGTGTGTGTGTGTGTGTGTGTGCGTGTGTGTGTGTGTGTGTGTTTGTGTGCGTGTGTGTGAGTGAGAGAGACAGAGAGGAAGAAGGGAGGGAGGGACGGTTACAGGAGTGTGGGAAAGTCAACAGGAAAAGGAGGGAAGGTTCGCTGTGAACTGACAGTAACTGTGACCTCACAGGCATGTGCGGAGTCCCCGCCCCACCAGGCACTGTGCCAAGGCCAGTACCTTCATGTCATGAGACCCTCTCAGCAACTCTATAACCTTGTCCCCACCAGAATATTCCTTTCACAGCTGAGAAAACAACAGCACAAAGAGGATGAATTAAAAATTGTCTAACATGCTGGGCGCAGTGGCTCACGCCTGTAATCCCAGCACTTTAGGAAGCTGAGGCAGGTGGATTATCTGAAGTCAGAAGTTTGAGACCAGCCTGGCTAACATGGTTGAAACCCTGTCTCTACTAAAACTACAGAAATTAGCCAGGCGTAGTGGCAGTCACCTGTAATCCCAGCTACTCGGGAGGCTGAGGCACGAGAGTCGCTTGAATCCAGGAGGTGGAGGTTGCAGTGAACCGAGATCACACCACTGCACTCCAGCCTGGGTGACAGAGTGAGATCCTGTCTCAAAAAAAAAAAAAAAAAATTATCTGACGTGACACAATCGTGGGGCATGATTTGAATCTGGGCATCTGACTCTACAAGCTGACTCAGCCCTTCTGTGACATTGCTTCCCAGGGCCTGAACCCCAAAGTAGCACCTGAGGTTTTTCCTTGCATGGGTGCCCAAGGAAATGGTGATAGAACTGACTGAAAAGGGGCCGGGTATTATAGCTCATGCCTGTAATCCCAGCATGTTGGGAGACCGAGGCAGGAGGATCACATGAAGCCAGAAGTTCAAGACCAGCCTAGGCAACATCTCAAGACACTATCTCTAGAAAAAATTAAAAATTAGCCAGGCATGGTGGTGGGCGCTTATAGTAGCAGCTACTCAGGATGCTGAGGCTGGAGAATCACTTGAACCCGGGAGGCAGAGTCTGCAGTGAACTGAGATTGTGCCACTGCACTCCAGCCAAAAAAAAAAAAAGAATTGACTGAAAAGGGGCTGGGTGTGGCAGCTCATGCATATAATCCTGGCACTCTGGGAGGCCGAGGCAGGAGGATACATTGAGGCCAGGAGTTCGAGACCAGCCTAGGCAACGTCTCAAGACACCATCTCTACAAAAAATAAAAAATTATCCAGGGCCGGGCACGGTGGTTCATGCCTGTAATACCAGCACTTTGGGAGACCAAGGCGGGCAGATCTCTTGAGGTCAGCATTTCGAGACCAGCCTGGCCAACATGATGAAACCCCATCTCTACTAAAAAATACAAAAATTAGCCAGGCCTCGTGGCACACGCCTGTAGTCCCAGCTACTCCGAAGGCTGAGGTGCGAGAATCACTTGAACCCGGGAGGTGGAGGTTGCAGTGAGAAGAGATGGCACCACTGCACTCCAGCCTGGGCGACAGAGCAAGACTCCATCTCAAAAAAAAAAAAAAAACAACAAAAACACTTAGCCAGGCGTGGTGGTGGGCTCGGGCTCTGTAGTCTCAGCTACTTGGGAGGCTGAGGTGGGAGGATCATTTGAACCTGGGAGATCGAGACTGCAGTGAGCCATGATTGCACCACCGCACTCCAGCCTGGGCAACAGAGTGAGACCCTGTCTGAAAAAAGAAAAAAAAGCACCTGTTTCTGCGGGGATGTCAGGGGCCTCCTTGCAGGCCTGGCCCCACCCCCAGGCCCACACCCAGGCCCTGGTTCCACAGATCATGGCACATGGCAGGCAGGAGAAGGGACAAAGAGGAATAGAGGGAGGAGGAGGCCCGGAGCTCCAGGATAATACAGTGGGGGGACAACAGAACCCCAAATGGCCATGAAGTTAGCAGATCGAGGACCCAGGTGAGTGTCTCCTCCTTGGGGTGTCCAACTCTCATTTCTAGAGGACTTCATTCAACAGATACGTACTTAGCACAGTGCTGAGGGCACGGCAATGAATTGGACCCAGCCTGGGGGACAACGGGGTGGGAGATGACAAGGCAGGTTAGGTGGGTATGCCCTGGAGGGGGTGATGACCAAGTCAAGTCCTAGGACTGAGTTAGCTCGAACTAGGTTAGGTACAGCTCGGGCATACCAGGTGCAGGGGCCTCTTGAGGAGTGAACGGCAGACTTTGGGTCCTGCCCGCAGTCAGTGGGACTGGAGTACAGTTAAAGACTGGGTGTGGGATGTGCCGTGGGGAACCCCCGGGAGGCTGGATCTGCCATGTGCTGGTGTAAGGAGGACCAAGGGCTGCTGCTTACAAGTCAAGCAGGGGTCCCCGGGTGACCTGGAGATAGGGTGCAACTCTTCTTCTTCTTTTTTTTTTTTGAGACGGAGTCTTGCTCTGTCGCCCAGGCTGGAGTGCAGTGGTGCAATCTCCGCTCACTGCATCCTCCACCTCCCCAGTTCAAGCAATTATCCTGTCTCAGCCTCCCAAGTAGCTGGGACTACAGGTGTGCACCAACAGACTTGGCTAATTTTTGTATTTTTAGTGGAGACAGGGTTCCCCCATGATGGCCAAGCTGGTCTCTAACTCCTAACCTCAAGCGATCCACCCACCTCAGTCTCCCAAAGTGCTGAGATTACAGACTTGAGCCACCGCACCTGGCCAGTTGCAGATTTTTTTTTTTTTTTTTTTTTTTGAGATGGAGTCTTGCTCTGTCACTCAGTCTGGAGTGCACTGGCGTGATCTTGGCTAACTGCAACCTCTGTCTCCCAGGTTCAAGCGATTCTCCTGCCTCAGCCTCCTGAGTAGCTGGGATTACAGGCGCACGCCACCATACCCAGCTAATTTTTGTATTTTTAGTAGAGATGGGGGTTTCACTAGGCTGATCTCCTACTCCTGACCTCGTGATCCATGCGCCTCGGCCTCTCAGAGTGCTGGGATTACAGGTGTGAGCCACCACGCCTGGCCCAGGTGCAGCTCTTTTAAAGTTCCTGCTGGGCTGGGCACAGGGGCTCACATCTGTAATCCCAGCACTTTGGGAGGCCAAGGCAGGAGGATTGCTTGAGCCCAGGAGTTTGAGACCAGCTTGGGCCACATGGCAAAACCCCATTTCTACAAAAAATATTTAATACAAAAATTAGCTGGATGTGGTAGCTTGAGCCTGTGGTCCCAGCTACTTGGGAGGCTGAGGTGGGAGGATGGTTTGTGAGTCCAGGAGACAGAGGTTGCTGTGAGCCAAGATCGCGCCTCTGAACTCCAGCCTGGGCGACAGAGTGAGACCCTGTCTCAAAATAAAGCTCCTGCTGTGACCAGGTGGGGCCACTAAGCACTCATAGGAGGCTGGGAAAAACTTAGTGTAGGGCTGGGGGCAGGGAGTGGCACCCCCCACCCTAAAGACGTCCTGCCAGAGCAAGGGTAGTGGAGACAGGTACCCTTGTCCCCGCCCCGGCACACATCACTGGGGCAAGGTGAGGGGCTGGGCCAAGTGCTACCTGCCCCTTGGACCAGGGACTGACTGCTACCTGGGGGGACTGAAGGGAGACAGTAGGGAGGAAGAGGCTGTGCCAGTGGGGGGCGGGGAGGCCCACTCCTATCCTGCACACATGCCCCAGGCTGAGAGAGGACGTGGTCTGCGGAGGCTGAAGGTCACAGCCCCACCTGCCCCGCCGTGCTGGGCTTTGCCCCTCATACCTGGAGAGGCGGGTGGGCCGGGAGCCAGGGTCCTGCGTTGGCTGCAGTGGCCCGCCTGCGGCTGGGCCAGCCAAGCAGGGTCAAGAAAGTCCCCAGAACACCTTGGGGACCATCTCTCCCAGAGCCTCCCCCAGGCAGGGGCCGGGCACAGTGCAGCTTGCTGGCCTCAGGGGCTGGCCCAGGAGTCAGGTGACATTCCCTGGGGACCCCCCTGGGACCAGCACAGCCTCCGAGAAGGTGGGCTCCCGGCCCGGCCCGGGGCTGGGGCAGGGCTCTGCGCCTGCGCCGTCTGAGGCCCAGGCTGCAGGGAGCTGGGACCCCGGGTCCTTCCAGGTTCCCTGGCCCCTCTGTGGGCCGGACAGGCCGGCGGGAAGGAGGGTGGGGGTGGGGGACGCTGGGGCCTCTTTCCTGGTCGCCCGGCGGCAGCTGAGGTTATTTTTTCCCCCTCGCCGCTGCAGAATTTCCCTCCGAGTTGGATAAATAAGCAGCAGAGTCCAACGTCAACGAAACAGGAGCTCGCTGGGCCGCACAAAAGCGGCTTTCAGCAGCGGCGGCGCCTCCGGGCCTGTCCCGTGGCCGGGGCTCCCCGAGCAGCGCAGAGAGCGGGACTGCCCTTGGCCGACGCTGCGATCACGGCCTCAGAGGCCTCCAGGGCTCCGGCGCTTGTCCACTTCTCTTTTTCATTTTTATTTTTAATTTAAATTTTTTTTTAAGAGATGAGGTCTCGCTCTGTCTCCCAGGCTGGAGTGCAGTGGTACAATCACAGCTCACTGCAGCCTCTACCTCCCGGTTCAAGCGATCCTCCCGCCTCAGCCTCCCGAGTAGCTGGGACTACAGCTGTGAGCCACTGGGCTTGTGTCCTCTTCTGTCCTCTCTTCTGGTCCCCACCTGCTCCCTGCAGAACCCATGCTTGCCATTTGCCCCCACAGCACTCTGTGCAGCCCCTATTAAGGACTCCCTCCCTTAAAACCTGTGGCTCCGCCAGGCGTGGTGGCTCATGCCTGAAATCCCAGCACTTTGGGAGACAGAGGCCGGCGGATCACGAGGTCAGGAGTTCGAGACCAGCCTGACCAACATGGTGAAACTCCATCTCTACTAAAAATACAAAAATTAGCCGGGCATGGTGGCGCAATCCCAGCTACTCCGGAGTCTGAGGCAGGAGAATCACTTGAACCCAGGAGGCAGAGGTTGCAGTGAGCTAAGATCGTGCCATTGCAGTGAGCCGAGATCGCGCTATTGCACTCCAGCCTGGGCAACAGAGCGAGACTCCGTCTAAAAAACCAAAAACAAAACAAAATAAAACAAACAAGAAAAACCTTCTAAGGCTCCTCATTGCCCGAGGGAAGATCCTGGCTTTCCAGACCCGCAGCATGAAGTGGGCTACTTCCTGTTTCTCGCCAGTGCTTTTGCAGAGGCTGGTCCCTCTGTCAACAACACCCTTCCCTCTCTTCTACCTGGCTCCCACTGGGTTTTGAGATTCAGCTCCTGCATTGTTTTTGCTGACTCCAGCCCCCACAGCTTCTCTCTCTAATCATGGGCATCAGCTGACACCAGAGTGGTCACTGCTCTGTCTGTCACTCCAGCTGATCTTGAGCCACCCTAGGGCAGGAGCTGAATCTTTTTTTGTTTTTGAGAGAGATGGGGTCTTGCTCCATGCCCAGGCTGGAGTGCAGTGGCGCGATCATAGTTCACAGTAGCCTCAACCTCCTGGGCCCAAGCCATCCTACCGCCTCAGCCTCCCGAGTAGCTGGGACTCCAGGCATGTGCCACCATGCCCTGCTAATTTAAAAAATATATATAGAGAGATAGGGTCTCACTATGTTGCCCAGGCTAGTCTCAAACTCCTGGCCTCAAGTGATCCTCCCACCTTGGCCTCCCAAAGCACTGGGATTCAGGCATGAGCCACTATGCCCGGTCCCAAATTTGGCTCATCTTGTGTCCCCCGAACCCAGTCTAGTCTGTGCTGTGTGCTGCAGAGGCACAAAAGGGCCATTGCCTGGCATGGAGTAAGTGCTCACTTAATGTCCCCTATTAAAAAGTGACATAAAATCAGGCAGAGGTTATAGTGAGCCGAGATCGCGCTACTGCACTCCATCCTGGGTGACAGAGCAAGACTCTGTCTCAAAAAAAAAAACAGTGACATAAAATCATAACATTATATTCTATATAACAAATGCAAACTAATCTGTCATGACAAAATGTAGTGCAGTGATTGGCTGCCTGACTATAGATGCAAGGAAGGGAGGGAGGGCACAAGAAAACTTTTGGGGTGATAAATATACTCGCTGTCTTTTTTTTTTTTTTTTTGAGGCAGAGTCTCACTCCGTCGCCCAGACTGGAGTGTAGTGGTGCGACCTTGGCTCACTGCAACCTCCGCCTCCTGGCTTCAAGCAATTCTCCCGCCTCAGCCTCTGGAGTAGCTGGGACTACAGGCACGTGCCACCATGCCCAGTCATTGTCTTAAAAAAAAAAATCCTGGCATTATCACTTGCCCAAGTTGCTTCAATTCTCTCTAAATATCAATGTCCTCATCTAAAAATGAGAATAAAAAATAACCACCAGCCAGGTGCAGTGACTTATGTCCGTAATCCCAACACTTTGGGAGGCCGAGGTGGGTGGATCACTTGAGGTCAGGAGAGGCCAACATGGAGAGACCAGCCTGGCCAACATGGTGAAACTCCGTCTCTACTAAAAATACAAAAAATTTAGCTGGGCGTAGTGGCGCATTCCTGTAATCCCAGCTACTCAGGAAGCTGAGGCAGGAGAATCACTTGAACCTGGGAGACAGAGGTTGCAGTGAACTAAGATCACGCCACTGCACTCCAGCCTGGGTGACAAAGCGAGACTCTGTCTCAACAAAAATAAATAAATAATCACCTCATAAGGTATTGTCAGGATTAAATGACATACAAATTAATATTTAATAAATGGTAGTTATGATTAAGCTCCTTTCACACTATACTGTAGTATGTACTAGTTATTAATTTTTTTTTGGACAGGGTCTCTGTGCCCAGGCTGGAGTGCAGTGGTGATTGCAACCATAGTTCACTGCAGCCTCGACCTCCTGGGCCCAAGTGATCCTCCTGCCTCAGCCTCCCAAGTAGCTGGGACTACAGGTGTGTGCTACCATACTCGGTTAATTTTTTCCTTTTTTTGTAGACATGGGGTCTCACTTTGCTGCCCAGGCTGGAGTGCAGTGGCAAGATCACAGCTTACTGCAGCCTCGACCTCCCAGCTCAACCAATCCTCCTGCCTCAGACTCCCGAGTAGTTAGGGCCACAGTTGCACACCATTACACCTGCCTAGTTTTTAAATTTTTGGTAGAGATGGGGTCTCGCTATGTTGCCCAGTCTACTCTCAAACCCCCAGGCTCAAACGATCTTCCCACATCGGCCTCCCAAAGTGCTGGGATTACAGGCGTGAACCACCAAGACTGGCCAGTTATTAACATTTTAATGTGCTACTTTCCAGTAAGATATTTGCATTTTAACTGGAATATGTTCATTATGTGGACCAATCCTGATGAAGACTGCATACATATAATCCATAGGTCAAAAATCATCAAATTGGGACAGGTGCAATGGCTCACACCTGTAATCCCAGCACTCTGGGAGGCCGTGGAGGGTGGATCACCTGAAGTCAGGAGTTCGAGAACAGTCCGATCAACATGGTGAAACCCCGTCTCTATTAAAAATACAAAAACTAGCCAGGTGTGGTGGCGCACGCCTGTCATCCCAGCTACTCTGGAGGCTGAGGCAGGAGAATCGCTTGAACCCAGGAGGCGGAGGTTGCAGTGAGCCGAGATCATGCCACTGCACTCCAGCCTAGGCAACAGAGTGAGACTTGGTCTCGAAAAAAAAAAAAAAGAAAAAATGGAACAGACAGTCTAGTATAGCCCTTGATAGCTCATAAAGGGAAACTCAGTTAGAACCAGGGCTCAAGCTACAGAAGGGAAAATATTCCCTGAGCCACACCCGGGGTCTTTCCAGCCCCGCCCCTGTGCACAGCCTGTGTACCTGGGCACAGGTGCACACACAGGAGTAAACAGGCACCTGCATGGACCCTGTGTGTACACCTAACCTACACACACAGAGACACACACACACACACAGACGCACACACACACAGACACACACACAGACAGATGCGCACACACAGACACACACACAGACACAGACACATAGAGACACACACACAGAGACACACATACAGAGCCACACAGACACACACAGAGACACACACAGACACACACACAGAGACACACACAGAACCACACACACAAAGACACGCACACACACACAGAGACACACACATACACACAGAGACACACACACAGACACACAGATGCACACACAGACACAGACACACACAGATACACACACATACACACATAGAGACACACAAAGACATACACACACACACAGAGATACACACAGACACACACACAGACACACACACAGAACACCCCCACACACAGACACACACACACAGAGACACACATACAGAGACACACAGACACACACACACAGAGACAGACACACACACTCAGAGACACACATACACACACAGAGACACACACACACACACAGAGACACACACAGAGACACAGACACACACAGAGACACACACACAGAGACACACACAGAGACACACACACACAGACAGACACACAGCCCCCCACCCAACACACACACACTAACTGGCACCTGCCTCCGCAGGAACACACTGGTGCTCCTGCCCATCCTGCCCCAGGGAGCAGGTGTGTCGGGTGGACCTGCTGGGTACCCCGAGACCACAGACAGCCTCTCCTGTAGGGCAGCCCAGGCACCTGAAGGAGGCGCAGGATATTCCCCTTTCTGGTCCCTGCTTACTCACACCGCCACCTCTCTCCCCCAGAATCCAATCAATACCCCTTCCCCAGCCTTAGGCCCCACAAGAGTTCAGCCATTCCAGAAGGATCTCTGCTCCTCTTCTCATTCTGACATTCTTTAGACACAACAGATATTTATGGGGGCCCACTCCAGGGCAGGCTCCCAGACGCTGCAGAGCACAGCCAGGGCCCTGACCTCCCCAGGCTCATGGGGATGAAGGCACAGGTGCAGCATGGTGGCTGCAAGGCACAGAGGTGGGCACGAGGGTCCGCAGGGCGCTGAGTGGGGGTCATCCTGGAGGAGGCAGGAAAGGAAGGGGAGGGTGTACCCTCTAGGGGTTGACATGTGTTCGGGGAGGGGAGGGTTGGGGATGCAGGGACACAGGTCAGGAGGGCGTCCCTTCCCACATATGCAGGACAACTACTGGCCCCAGCCAGGGGTCCCAGGAGGGACGGCTTCTCCCCAGGGGGAGGAGGAGTTAGGGGGGCCCCTCGGCCCAGGGAGGGGTGCCGGAGATGGGCATTGATAGTGACCTCCCTCCTCCCGGCCCCTCCGGTCCTCCGGTCCTCCGCATAGTCTCCCTTTCAGTGAGCTCCAGGAGCATTGTTCCACCTTTGTAAAGAGGGAGATCGGGTGACAAAGCCGGGTGGGTGGGCAGGAGGCCAGAGGCCTCTTCTCTCCCAGGCCGCATCTGCGTGGGGGCGGAGCTCATCCACTCCCCTCCTCTGGCTTCCCAGGCGCGGCCGTTGCCATGGTGACAGGCCTGGCATCCCACGGCCCCTGGGGCGCCCTGCCCACCGAAGCTGCCAGAGGAAGGGCCCCCCGACGCTTCTCCACCCTGGCAAGATGGGGGCGGGGGCCCACAAAACCTGGCTCTTAGGCTAGCCCCAGCACTGGGAGGTTTCTAGCAGCCTGAACCTCCCAAGTCTGTGGGAGGGGAGCCCCACCTCCTGGCACCCTGACAGCTGGGGGCTCAGGAGTTGGGGCCACACATCACTATCATCTGTGCACCTAGGCCTCCTTGGGGCCAGATACAGAGAAATAATATGGTTGTTTTTTTGTGGGTTTTTTTGTGGAGAGAGGGGGTCTTGCTGTGTTGCCCAGGCTGGTCTTGAACTCTGGGCTCAAGCAATCCTCCCACCTTGGCCTCCCAAAGTACTAGGATTGCAGGTGTGAGTCATTGCACCCGGCCAATATGTTATTTCTTGATGTTATTCCATGGCCCTTGAACAGTGGCTGGCATGGGGCCGAGGGAGGGCACGGATGCAGAGGCCACAGTGTGCTGGACAGATGGGCTGGCCTGGACCCTGGATCCACAGAGCAGAGCCTCCAGCCCCAGCCCAGCTCTGCTGGGCTGGCCCTGGGAGGTGATGCTTCAATCTGGGGTGCCAGATGGAACAGAAGAGGAGGAAGACCTTCAGAGCTGGGGAAACAAGCCTGGCAAAGGCCTGGAAGCATGGCTTTGCAGGGTGTTTCTGGGGAGGAGTAAGAGTGGGGTGTCGGGTGTGACAGGAAATGAAGAGGTGAGGCGGGGTCTCTGCTTGGAGGAACTTCCACTGCCATCCCTGAGAGCATGCACTTTATTCTGGGCAGCTGCTGCTGAAGTTTTGGGACCCTCCATTATCAATGCCCAGGTGATCAAAGCTGGGTCCCTTCCCTTCCCTGCAGTGCCCTGCCCTGCCCTGCCCTCCCTTCCCCCCCGCTCCCCTCCCCCTCCCCCTCCCTCCCTCTAACCCCTCCCCCTCCCTCCCCTTCCCCTCCTCCCCCTCCATCCCCTTCCCCTCCTCCCCCTCCCTCCCCTTCCCCTCCTCCCCCCTCCCCCTCCCCCTGCCTCCCCTCCCCCTCTCCCTGTCTTTCTTTTTATTTTTTTTCTAGAGATAGGGTCTCACTCTGTTGCCCAGGCTGGAGTGCAGTGGTGTGATCATGGCTCACTGCAGCCTCCCAGGCTCAAGGGATTCTCCAGCCTCAGCCTCTTGAGTAGCTGAGACTACAGGCGCATACCACCATCCCTGACTTTTTTGTTTATTTTTGTTTTAGAGATGGTGGGGTCTTGCTATTTTGCCCAGGCTGGTCTCGAACTCCTGGGCTCAAGTGATTCTCCCACCTTGGCCTCCCAAAGTGCTAGGATTACAGGCTTGAGCCACGGTGCCTCACCTGGGTCCCCCAGGGTCACAGGTACCATACTCCTGCCTTACCTCTTTGGGAACTTCAGGACGTCTCATGGCCCACATGTGGCTGAGTACTATCCTGTGCTGGACACAGGGCTGGCTGCGTCTCCTTGGTGCCCCATCTCCCGATCCTCTTGAGGAGCGAGGGGCTGAGTGTATGCACGAGATGGCATGTCCCCTGCCTGGTCCCCTCCCTGCTCCAGCACAGCTCTAAGGGTAGCAGAGTACTAATTACAGGGATGTGTGGGAAATGATGGCCCCATTTTCTCACCATTGCCACCACCACTGCTGACTCCTTCCCAAGTCCCTACCACAGGCCAGGCTCTAGTGCAGGCAGGTGTGGCTGAGCTGGGCCGGCTGGGCTGGTGTCCTGCCTCTGGTGGTGTTAACAGGCAGCCTCTTGCAATGGAGGAGCCTGGATGCCAATCTTGACCCTTACGAGCTGCGTAATCCTGGGCAAATATTTGAGTTTGCTAAGCCTCAATTTCTCATCTGTATATGGGTACGGGATTCCTTGTAGCACTGTGATGAGGGTGAACAAATGATCACTGTAAAATCCCTGGCCCAGAGCCCAGGAGGCTCACAACAGGTCCTCGGTCAGTTTCTGTGCCTCCCTGAAGTTCTAGGTTACTCACTCATTCATTCACTCACCATCCCTGGGCTCAGCCAGGGTGCCTAGCCCTGTACTAAGTGCTCGTATGAAACAGTGCTAAATGCTCACGTGCAACAGTACTAAGTGCTCACGTCAAACAGTACTAAGTGCTCATGTGAAACAGTGCTAAGTGCTCACGTGAAACAGTACTAAGTGCTCACATGAAACGATGCTAAGTGCTCACGTGAAATGATGCTAAGTGCTCACGTGAAACAGTACTAAGTGCTCACATGAAACGATGCTAAGTGCTCACATGAAACAGTACTAAGTGCTCATGTGAAACATTCTGAGTCCTCCAGGTGTTTCCAGGCCAAGAGAATAGGAACAGTTGGGTGAAAGGGGGATGGCCTTCTCTAAAGAGTCCCAGATCAGGGCCCCTTGCCCCTTGTGTGGCCTGCCGGTGGCACTTGGATTTCACCCACAGAGCTACCCAGGAACCATGGCAGTTTCTAAGCGGGTCCCAGGAGTCTCAAGGGGGCAGCCTAGAGAGAGGTGAGAGGGTGATGGCGACACTCCCCAGAGGAGCACGGTGGCCTTGTGAAATGGGTATGGGTTCCGGAACAGACAATCACAAATGGAACACTTAGTAGCTCTATGCCCTTGGGTATGTCATTCCTCTCTGAGACTCAGTTTCCCCACCTGGGAAATAAGGATAACGTAGCATTCTTGGATTGCTGAGAAGATACAATAAGGGCAAGTATGAAGTGTGATCGATCAGATTCAGGTGCCCAACACGTGTTGTTGATTTTCTTTTTTTTTTTTTCTTTTTTTTTTTTTTCAGGCCAGGCACCGTGGCTCATGCCTGTAATCCCAACACTTTGGGAGGCCGAGGTGGATGGATCA
The DNA here is from genome assembly GCF_000001405.40 of Homo sapiens. Lineage (NCBI taxonomy): Eukaryota > Metazoa > Chordata > Mammalia > Primates > Hominidae > Homo > Homo sapiens. Next base: position 73,432,358 of record NC_000007.14, read on the forward strand.
CCTGAGGTCAGGAGTTCGAGACCAGCCTGGCCAACATGGTGAAACCCCTGTCTCTACTAAAAGTACAAAAATTACCCGGGAGTGATGGTGGGCGCCTGTAATCCCAGCTACTTGGAAGGTTGAGGCAGGAGAATTGCTTGAACCCGGGAGGCGGAGGTTGCAGTGAGCCAAGATCGCACCATTGCACTCCTGGGCGATGAGATGAGCCTGGGCGACAAGAGCGAAACTCCATCTCAAAAAAAAAAAAGCTATTTTTTTTTCTTTATTAGAGACGAGGTCTCACTATGTTGCCCAGGCTGATGGGGCAAGATGGGGGTGGGGGTGAGCCACTGCGCCTGGCAGAACTGTTGATTTTAACAGTAGGATTATCTGCCTGCATTACAGAAAAGCAAGCTGAGGCTCAGAGAGGAGCCCCAAGTCACATACACTGAGGGGAGAGGCAGACGCTGTATTTGAGCTGCCACTGGGTACAAGGCAGACTTCCACACGTGGGAAGCCTTAGAAATGGTCTCCCCTGGCCGGGCACGGTGGAGCACGCCTGTAATCCCGGCACTTTGGGAGGCAGAAGCGGGAGCATCCCTTGAGCCCAGGAGTTCAAGACCAGCCTGGGTAACATAGTGAGACCCTGTCTCTACAAAAACATTTTAAAATTAGCCGGGAGTGGTGGTGCCCACCTGTAATCCCAGCTACTCTGGTGGCTGAGGCGGGAAGGTCGCTTGAGCCCGGGAGATGGAGGCTGCAGTGAACTATGGTCGTTCCACTGGACTCCAGCCTGGGCGACACAGAGAGACCCTGTCTCTAAAAAGAAATAACAATTAAAAATAAAAATAAAAAGTCTTCCAGCTGGGCGCGGTGGCTCAAGCCTCTAATCCCAGCACTTTGGGAGGCCGAGGCAGGTGAATCACCTGAGGTCAGGAGTTCGAGACCAGCCTGGCCAAAATGGTGAAACCCCGTCTTTACTAAAAATACAAAAAATTAGAGGGGCGTGGTGGCAGGAGCCTGTAATCCCAGCTACTCGGGAGGCTGAGGCAGGATAATCGCTGGAACCCGGGAGGCGGAGGTTGCAGTGAGCCGATATCGCGCCACTGCACTCCAGCCTGGGCGACAAGAGCAAAACTCCGTCTCAAAAAAAAAAAAAAAAAAAAAAAAGTCTCCCTCCTAGAGTAAAATGAGGCGACCCAGTCTGAGAGTGTGGGTACGGGGACTTCCCGCAGCCTCTCCCAGGCAGCAAGGGAAGGGAAGAAACCGAGTGTAAGCGGAGGGCAAGCGGGCGGACACCCACCAGGCCCGGCCCCACCCCGTGCTCCGCGTGGCCGGGAGACGCGGCGCCTTTAAAGCCCAGTGGGAGGCGTGTCCCTGGGCGTGTCCTCCCGGAGCCCCGCCCCGGGGGCTGGTAGCCTCGGCCCCGGGAGGTTGCGCCGGCTCTGGCTCAGCGGCGGCTCCGGTGGCAGCGGCGGTGGCGGCTAGGCGGGCTCGGCGGCTCCTGTCCCTCGGGCGGCTGCCCGCTCGCTGCCCAGGGCGCCCGGACACACGTGGGCGGCTCAGCGATGGCCCGCGCCCCGCGACGTGGCGGGCAGGCACCGGGGCGCGGGACCGCTGAGCCCGAGTGAGCCGGGGCCGCGCTCCCGCCTTCGGCCCGGGCCTCCCGGGATGGCCGTGGCGCCTCTGCGGGGGGCGCTGCTGCTGTGGCAGCTGCTGGCGGCGGGCGGCGCGGCACTGGAGATCGGCCGCTTCGACCCGGAGCGCGGGCGCGGGGCTGCGCCGTGCCAGGCGGTGGAGATCCCCATGTGCCGCGGCATCGGCTACAACCTGACCCGCATGCCCAACCTGCTGGGCCACACGTCGCAGGGCGAGGCGGCTGCCGAGCTAGCGGAGTTCGCGCCGCTGGTGCAGTACGGCTGCCACAGCCACCTGCGCTTCTTCCTGTGCTCGCTCTACGCGCCCATGTGCACCGACCAGGTCTCGACGCCCATTCCCGCCTGCCGGCCCATGTGCGAGCAGGCGCGCCTGCGCTGCGCGCCCATCATGGAGCAGTTCAACTTCGGCTGGCCGGACTCGCTCGACTGCGCCCGGCTGCCCACGCGCAACGACCCGCACGCGCTGTGCATGGAGGCGCCCGAGAACGCCACGGCCGGCCCCGCGGAGCCCCACAAGGGCCTGGGCATGCTGCCCGTGGCGCCGCGGCCCGCGCGCCCTCCCGGAGACCTGGGCCCGGGCGCGGGCGGCAGTGGCACCTGCGAGAACCCCGAGAAGTTCCAGTACGTGGAGAAGAGCCGCTCGTGCGCACCGCGCTGCGGGCCCGGCGTCGAGGTGTTCTGGTCCCGGCGCGACAAGGACTTCGCGCTGGTCTGGATGGCCGTGTGGTCGGCGCTGTGCTTCTTCTCCACCGCCTTCACTGTGCTCACCTTCTTGCTGGAGCCCCACCGCTTCCAGTACCCCGAGCGCCCCATCATCTTCCTCTCCATGTGCTACAACGTCTACTCGCTGGCCTTCCTGATCCGTGCGGTGGCCGGAGCGCAGAGCGTGGCCTGTGACCAGGAGGCGGGCGCGCTCTACGTGATCCAGGAGGGCCTGGAGAACACGGGCTGCACGCTGGTCTTCCTACTGCTCTACTACTTCGGCATGGCCAGCTCGCTCTGGTGGGTGGTCCTGACGCTCACCTGGTTCCTGGCTGCCGGGAAGAAATGGGGCCACGAGGCCATCGAGGCCCACGGCAGCTATTTCCACATGGCTGCCTGGGGCCTGCCCGCGCTCAAGACCATCGTCATCCTGACCCTGCGCAAGGTGGCGGGTGATGAGCTGACTGGGCTTTGCTACGTGGCCAGCACGGATGCAGCAGCGCTCACGGGCTTCGTGCTGGTGCCCCTCTCTGGCTACCTGGTGCTGGGCAGTAGTTTCCTCCTGACCGGCTTCGTGGCCCTCTTCCACATCCGCAAGATCATGAAGACGGGCGGCACCAACACAGAGAAGCTGGAGAAGCTCATGGTCAAGATCGGGGTCTTCTCCATCCTCTACACGGTGCCCGCCACCTGCGTCATCGTTTGCTATGTCTACGAACGCCTCAACATGGACTTCTGGCGCCTTCGGGCCACAGAGCAGCCATGCGCAGCGGCCGCGGGGCCCGGAGGCCGGAGGGACTGCTCGCTGCCAGGGGGCTCGGTGCCCACCGTGGCGGTCTTCATGCTCAAAATTTTCATGTCACTGGTGGTGGGGATCACCAGCGGCGTCTGGGTGTGGAGCTCCAAGACTTTCCAGACCTGGCAGAGCCTGTGCTACCGCAAGATAGCAGCTGGCCGGGCCCGGGCCAAGGCCTGCCGCGCCCCCGGGAGCTACGGACGTGGCACGCACTGCCACTATAAGGCTCCCACCGTGGTCTTGCACATGACTAAGACGGACCCCTCTTTGGAGAACCCCACACACCTCTAGCCACACAGGCCTGGCGCGGGGTGGCTGCTGCCCCCTCCTTGCCCTCCACGCCCTGCCCCCTGCATCCCCTAGAGACAGCTGACTAGCAGCTGCCCAGCTGTCAAGGTCAGGCAAGTGAGCACCGGGGACTGAGGATCAGGGCGGGACCCCGTGAGGCTCATTAGGGGAGATGGGGGTCTCCCCTAATGCGGGGGCTGGACCAGGCTGAGTCCCCACAGGGTCCTAGTGGAGGATGTGGAGGGGCGGGGCAGAGGGGTCCAGCCGGAGTTTATTTAATGATGTAATTTATTGTTGCGTTCCTCTGGAAGCTGTGACTGGAATAAACCCCCGCGTGGCACTGCTGAGTCCTCTCTGGCTGGGAAGGGGGGAAGGTAGGAGGGTGAGGGCCCTGCAGGAGTCTTTCTTGTAAGCAGAGCTGGCAGTGGGTGCTGGCACCCCCCAATCAGGAGGAAGTCCCCCCGGAACAGCTGTGCATTGCAGGAGTCCCAGACACCATGTGTGCGTGTTTTCCCCTCCCGCCCGTCTCTGTGCTTCCAAATGGAGACAGGGACGCCTGCGGATGTTCAGGGAATTCCCCAGGGTGACACTGCCACCTCTGGCCCCAGGGAGTCCAGTTTGAGGCTATGGATGAGTTTTCCTTCTCTGGGAACTTGCTCTCCTTATTGGCGTGGAAAGTAAAGGTGTCAGCCTGTGTCAATGTTGTCACGAGGACCGCCTCCCTGGGGCCTTGGAAAATTGCTGGTGCGTCTGCCTGGCTCCTCGGGGCCCCCACCAGGGCAGCCCCCACCAGGGCAGCCCCAGCCTGCTCCCTGGCGTCTCCAGGTGGGGTGAAGAGGTTGTTCTGGTCTGTGGGCCTCTGGGTAGCACAGACATGCACGTGGAGCTGGGAAGCCCTTGAGTAGAGTGGGAATTGGGCCCCTAGCTCCTAAGCTTGTCAGATTTGAGTTGCTAATGGCAGCGGTGGGAATGAGGCAGCTCAGGTGGCTGTGCAGAGCTCCACACTGGGGCAGGTATGGGGAAAGGTCCCATGTCCATCTGTGTGCTGGGGTAGCTTAGGGCTGCTAGGGCCTGTCCTGTTTCTGCGGACTGGGTAGCTGGGCACGTGTGGCCATCTGGAGACCCCTATTGGCTTGGGGTCAGACCCCAGGGCCCCATCTTGGCTGCTGTGACTCCAGCCAGGTGAGAGTATTAGTTACTAGTGTCCCTGGGTGCCTACTATACACGGCCGGCATTTGGTGTCAGTGCCAGGAGATCCCAGCGGTCCAGCCCTGCTGCCAGCCTCACTTTAGAGCCACGGGGAGGCTCCAGGAGGGGAGACGCTCAGGTGCTGAGGATGAATGGTGAGGCGGAGCCCCAAACCTAGGGCCTCTCGGGCTGGAGCCCTGTGCCCTACCCCAACCACCAATCCTACAGGGACAAGAAAAGTCCAGTGAGAATCAAACAGGTTGGGTCACGCTCCCAGGAGACAAGACCATGGCAGGCTGAGGGGGTTAAGGGGTATTCCTCACCACAAGGCGCAGTGGTGCCCCAGGGAAGCTTACAGCCCTTGCACCTGTTCTTAGGCCGTTTATTGCACGGGGAACGCCCTCTCCATCTAAATCCTTCCCTTTGCGCAGAGCACACATTAAGTAAGTCCCCATGTGCCTCTGACCAACAAAGCCAAGTGACCCTACCTCCTTGTAATGCTGCACGAGGGTTTTTTGTTTGTTTTTTGTTTGTTTTTGTTTTTAATTTAAGGCAGAGTCTCACTCTGTTGCCCAGACTGGAGTGCAGTGGCACGATCTCAGCTCACTGCAATCTCTGCCTCCCAGGTTCAAGCAATTCTCCTGCCTCAGCCGCCTGGGTGGCATCCGCCACCATGCCTGGCTCATTTTTGTATTTTTTTGTAGAGACGGGGTTTCACCATGTTACCCAGGCTGGTCTTGAACTCCTGGCCTCAAGTGATCCACCCACCTTGGCTTCCCAAAGTGCTGGGATTATAGGCTTGAGCCACTGCACCTGGCCATGCGAGGGTCTTTGAGTGGGAAACAGAATGAGCTCGTTAGAGGCAGTAAAGTGCCCACACTGGGCGTGGGAGGGGCAGAGGCTTCAGGGAGCTGGGCTCACAGGCAGTGGAAGGGAAGATGGGAAGGGCCTATACCAGGGCGGGGGCAGCTGGAGCGAATGGAGAGGATTCCACAGACTTGGGAAGAGCAAGGCAGGCGGGGTGTGGGAAAGGCAGGGGGAGGATGAGCATCCAAGGGCACCCACCTGCCCCTTCTTTCTTCCTTGCTGTCAGTGACCATGTCCTGCTCAGCAGACACCAGCCTGCTGCTGGTTTTCAGGGCAGCCCAGATGGGAGCGCAGAGAGGGGCAGTGCAGGGTCAGGACAGGCCCCGGGGGCTGTGCTTTGAGGCCAGGACCTGGGAGGGAGGGCAGGGCCCTGCCAGCTTTCTCAGACCTGGAAGATGCTATGGAAATAAGTCCTAGGCCCTGGAGGAAAGGGAAAAAGGAAACACAGCCCTCTCATGTGATCTGCTCGCCTCACGTTTCGGACGGGAAGTGTTTAGATTGGTTGGCCGCTACAGCACATAGCCACGCAGTTTGAGGCCAAGCTGGGAGTTGAACCCAAGTCTGCCTCCAGAACTTTTGTGCGTTCCACACCAGGGATCCGATTAGGTCCTGGTGGGGAAAGGCAGGGTGTATGCCTTGGCAAGTTTATGTCCCCAGAAGCTGGGCAAAGCGGGTGGGGAGGAGACAAACACCCCTACCACTGCCAGACCTCTCCCCACGCCCATTAAAGAACCCTCCAGGGCCAAACAAAAATACCTCGGAAACCCACACGTGCTGGCATGTGCATCGCGTGCCCAGGCCCGGGCCTTCCCCTTAGTGGTCCTGGTGCCCAGCATTTGGGTCTTCAGAGTGCGGCACCACACGCCCGCAAGCCTCTTGGGAGGCTGAGCCTGTCCCTGTGGGTTTGCGCTTGTGTGTGGTGAGCCCAAGATCCTCCTGCTCCCAGGAAGTTGCCCGCTCAAGGAAGCAGCTCCTGAACACAGCAGTCCCAGGTGTTGAAAAGCCAGGAGGCCCAGGGCTGGGGTTAGGAGAGCGCAGTTAATGGGAGGTGAGTTCCTCAGTGTCCTCCAGAGACACCCTAGCCCCTGGCCAGCAGGAAGAGATGCCCCCTCTGAGTGGCTCTGTTGGAATCCAGATGCCACCTGTTAACCAAGTCTACTGACCATGTCACCTCCCCAGAGACAAAACTTGAGAAGAGTGTGCAGGACAAGGACAGGCCTCAGCTGACTCCCAGGTCATGACTCAGGCCCCTGTCCTCAGAGATGGAGTTCCCATGCCCCCATTTGCAGTCATCAAAGTGGCTGCCCCACAAGGTCACAGCCTGGTAAGGCAGTGGCTAAGAGTGTGCTGAGACCAGGACACGACCAGAAGTGACCACCCCAAGGCAGTATCCTAGTGTGTGCCTGGGGAAATTACTGGAGGAGCAGGACTTCATAGAGGAAGGCTGGGAGCCCCAAGTGTCACTGTCGCCATGCAGAAAATGTCCAGAAGGAGCATGGTTCTCTTCTCCAGAGCTGGAGGCTGGAGCGGATGAGCAGGAAAATTCAATCTGCTGTTGGGGCAAGCCCGCTTCCTCCAGGCAGGACAAAAATTCCCCAAGTGTTCTGTGTAGGACCTGGCTCGCCCGTGCTTACCAAGGCCGCAAAGCTGCTCAGCAGCAGAACCTGCGCCCAAGGCTCAGGCCTCAAAGGCTCTTCCCATTACACCAGCTTCACCTCGTTCAGCTGGTCAGGAATTGGCAGTTTAATTTCTCAGTAATTGGGCCCACAGCAGTGGCTCAGCAAAATCTCTGTATTCCATTGGCGGGTGGCTGCCTAGCAGCACCCTACGCATATCAGCCAGTCAGACTTTAAAAGATAAATGAAGGCATAAATAAAACAAGATTAGACATGTGGTAGAACCGTCAAAGCCGAGTGCATGGGAATTCATTATACTTTTCCACTGTTTGTGTGTTTGAAATTTTCCTTGAGGCTGGGCGCGGTGGCTCACACCTGTAATCCCAGCACTTTGGGAGGCCAAGGCGGGTGGATCATCTGAGGTCAGGAGTTCGAGACCAGCCCGGACAACATGGTGAAAACCTGGCTCTACTACAAATACAAAAACTTAGCCAGGCGTGGTGGCATGTCCCTGTAACCCCAATTACTCGGGAGGCTGAGGCAGGAGAATTGCTTGAACCCAGGAGATGGAGGTTGCAGCGAGCTGAGACCACGCCACTGCATTCCAGCCTGGGTGATGGAGTGAGACTGTCCCCACCGCCCCCCTCCCCAAAATTTTTTTTCCCTGAGAAAGGTTTTAAAATGGCAGAATTTCCCCATAGTGAAGGCTTAAAAACCTATTTTCACCGTAATTCCTAGTTTCAAATGAAGTTTTTCAGGGTTTTAGACGGAGACAGGGCCAGGAGAGGCTTGGAGGGAGTACTTCTTTCTGTGGTTAAGAACACTGAGAGGCCCTGACTCTGGAGGCCAAGCCTTCAGAGGACCCGGCTCCAAGGGTCAGTGGGAAAGCAGCACTCGGGACAGCACTACCCACCCCCACCCACCAAGAAAGAGCACAAACAGCCACCAGAGTGGTTTCTTCTTTATAAACACAAGTACATGAGGTTTATTTGAAATTCCAATTTATTACAAGTTCACCCTTTAATGGGGCCCTTCCTCTTTGAAGACAATAAAAAAAAAAAACAACAACAAACAATTCAGGTGTCACTGAAGTGGGAACACAGGATTCTCACTATGAACAAGAACAGACTGGATGTAGGAGGCAGGGGAAGCTGGCGGTGGTGGGGTTATGAAGCTGTGATGTCAGTGCCAACTCCATGCCTATAGAAGGGACGGTAAACTACCCAGCAGCCCTGGAGCAATCCTCGTCGTCCTTGGGCAGGAGGACGGAGGAAGCAGAGGCCACATTCCGCAGTTTAAAATTAAGAGGCTTGATTCTCATGTTCTAGGAGCTGCAGTCCCCTTGGTGGACTTTAAATAGGTACAGAAGAGCTTGGGTGCTCAAAATTTCCAAATTCAAAGGTGATAAAAAAGAAAAACCCTGTTTTGTACTTTTATCAAAATCCATCATAAAAGGGAAAGAAGACTACAAAGTTTTGCCTAAATATAACAACTAGAGCTAGATTTGTTGTGGGGGAAGGGGCTCTCAGAGCTTCTCTGCCGCTCTCTCCTCCCACCCCCCACCGACACTGACCACTGGAATCTTCAGGTTCTTGAGGAGTTCCAAGGCTGAGGTCAGAACGGGCATGGGAGGCAGCAGACACAGCACTGCCCTGCTCCCCCTCCAATGTTGCTGCTTGCCTCAATGAGCCTCCAACCCAACTGCTCTAGAGGAGAGTGGATGGGCTGAAGGAGAAGCCAGGGAAGTTAGAGCAAACACATTATCATAGAAACTGTACTGTACATGTGCTAAAGCAAGATGTCAGGAGTATCTTACAAGATGTTCTTTATACAATATCACTGCTGAAACAAGCAACTTTTAATAACTAGAAAAGTCAATTTAAAAAAAAAATTAAACATTTAAATTCTTCCTGCTTTTCTTCTGCTCCCCTAAGAGCTTGACTGGTATGTGGGTGGGCTGGGCTCCAACACCCCTCTGGCCAGATCCATCAAAGTAAAGGTTATATGCATGATTATAAGCAGGACTCCAGTCTCTAAGTGAAGTGCCTTAGTTTTGTTTTTTTGTTTTTTGTGGTTTTTTTATTTTTTGGGGGGGTGGGAGGAGCTGTCACAAAGAAGGGGAGATTCAGGAATGGCTCCAGGACACGTCCCTTTACTCTGCCAAGATCAACTCAAAAGACCACAACTGTTTCATGATGCTGGTGAATACACAATTCTGTATGGCACTCACTGATACTGTCACCTGAGAGGAAGACGGGGGAAGAGACAGAGTATGGGCTTAAAGAAACAAGACTGTATAATAAATACAGATTAAAAAAGAAAAATCGCCACCATCTCCCCTGTTGGCCTGATTACCCCGATCCTGCTATGTAACACAGCAATCCCTCCCCTGGAGACCAGAGGGGCTTGGCACTGTGGTGGAAGCCAGAGCGAGCAGGCCCTTAGGAAAGAAGGCAGGAACAGGAACTGGCTTCACCAGAAAAGCTAGACCCTCGGACTCCTCCTGGAAACTCTCAGAAGGGAGGGTTATGGCCCTCTTTGTCCCTTCATATTTCTGGACAAAGACCACCAACCCAATATCAAGCCCCATAAAGAGCTTTTAGAAAAACAGCATAAGCTTGGGATGACAGGCGTTTCTGGACTCCCTGTGATCTCTTCCAGGTTCTTGGTCTTCCTCGCTCGCCTCCCTCCCACCCTCCCTAGCTGTCCCCCCACCTCAGCTCCCTTACCACGGCCCTGCCTCTCTACTTCTTCTGTCTTCGTCCCCTGGACTGTCCAACGGCCTCTGGCTCACTGTCCCCTTCATCTTCAGCAAGCCTATCAGGAAACTTCTTGCGCTTCCTGCGGACATATGGGTGGCCAGGAAGGTGTTTATGCAACAGAGCCACTAGACACTGTTCTGTCTTCACCATGCAGCTTAGCACATGGCTGCCACGGCAGTTGTAAACCTCAGCATTGGTAAACACTTGCTTCATGTCAGTAAGAAACTCCTGCACAGAGCGGTAGCTCCCACAGGAACATTTGTTCTGCACTGTCTGAAAGTCCATGGGGTGCGTGATCACATCATAGTAGTCCTCGGCCTCATCTCTGGTCACAGGCTCCCTGTGGAGAAGAACCAAATGGAGAATCTGCACAGCCTTGACGGCAGTGCCCCTGCCACTGAGACACGTCCTGAAAAGCAAGGGCTTGGCTGAGAGCCCCTCAGGGGCTCTGGAAGCTTTTAGAACCAGCCAGGCCACTCCTCTCCCCTGCACCTGAGAACACAGCACTCACCTGAAGGGCCAGCTGAAGCGGTACTTCACGATCTTGTGGAGGATCTCTTCACACTTCTGCAGCTCCAGGCTTTGCCTCCGGGAGCTCCGCTTGGTCTGAAGCACCTGGCAGGAAAGAAAGAACAATGTTATTACAGATTCAAGACAGGAGGAAGAATGGACAGGGCAGAAAATAAGTGTATCTGCTCAAAAAAGGAAGAGAGTTCAACTATTTCCTTGGCGCAGAGGTGCTGAAACCTTCTGATATTCAAGTCAGGGAGCACCCTCGGCCCAGGTGGCAGGCATCTTCCCAGTAGTCCACTCACTCGCCTCCCCCGGGGCCACGGCAATCAAAGCAGCAAAGAGCAGGCAGCGGGGGCCGCCTTTACCAGCAGTCCTGCTGGAGGTCGGCTGAAGGGGGCTACTGTCAACAGGACACTAGCTCTCAGAGAACAGGTGGACCTGGGGTTACAGTGACACCATGGAAGGGCATCAACAAGCCACTGCAGAAAGCAAAACATGCTATCTGGGCCAACAGCAGCCAATTCTGTGGGGGTGGGGTGCCTCTGGTAAGAAAAGCAAGAGGTCCAATTCCCTTCCTGGGCTCTTCCACCGTAGACATGTGAGGGTTAAGTGGCTAAAGAGAAAAGGGGCGGGGCCTCCATTCCAGGTAGCCATAACAAAAGCTGTGATTCACAGCAGAGGCCACAGAGCCCAAGGCTGTGGCAAACCGAGCATCTTCTAATGCCTTATGATCTCCCAAATGGCCTGCCTTAAGCCCCTAACTCCAATTTGATCTGTCAAAACAAGCACCTTTTCAAGAGTTTCTTTTTTGTTCTTTAAAGCTCAAGTGAGATCTAAAAACTACTAAAATTACATTGGTTAAGGAGCAGAGGGGAGGGTAATGTCCCTCCCATAACAACTGTCGACTCAACAGTAAGTGAGGCTCCAGCATTGCTGACATTCCCACAATGAAGACCCAGCCCCTCTGAGCCCACTGGAGACACATGGATACTATTTTTAAATCCTTAATAAGTTGCAGGCTGCCCGCTAACTAGTTTGCAGGCTACAGCAGGGGAATGCCGGACATAGCTGTTCCTGGAGGCCTTGCTGCTTCTGTCTGCGTACAGGCTCACCCATCTGCCTCCCCAGCCTCCCAAGTTTGGTAAGAAGGAGGAGGGGGGAGGCTCCCCTCCCACCTGTTGCCTGATGAATTCCTAATTGCTGGGGTAGGGAATAAGAAACAGAAAGGTTAGAGAAGGGATGATAAATAATTCTCACCAGCTCATCCACCTCAGCATCATCCACAGGTGGTGCCTTGGGCTGAGACCTCCTGGTAGAGTGTGGCTTCTTACCCGGGCGCCGGCCTGACCTTGCTGCAGGGGGGATGACGCTGTGCTTGCCCCGGATGGTCTTTCGAGGTCTCACTGAAAGAAAAACTATGGATTCAGCAGAGAACAACGGAAGGTGAAGGGAGGAGCATCTTCGAAATGGGGGAAAGGGATGCAGGGAGAATCCTTTTCCTGGACAAGGAAAGCAGTGGCCTCCTTTGGTTTTAAGGTGCTCTTGCTATTTTATCTTGCCTTACCTAACAGGACACTAAAAGGCAGTGGCAGCCGATGAAGAATGGGTGCCTTTCATCCACTGCCAAAGCCCTTCAGAGGGCTAGGTCCTTCAGTACTTCTGTCCTGCCCCGTCCTGCAGTTACTCCCAGCCATAAGGCCCCTGCAGGAATCAACTGTAAACTCTCACTCATGAGAAGCCATTTGCTAATAGGTCAGCCTGGATTTCCCACAGCCCAAGCTCAGCCTGAGCGAGTGGATGTATTTACATGTAAGATGGAACTGGATTGTAAAACAAACCCTATGTTGTAATTCCCAGAGTTATTCTACACTTACCATCAGAATCTTTCCAGAGAAAAGCTGGTACTTCCATGAAGGGCCACAAGGCTCCTCATTAAATACAATTTAGGGCTAGTCCCCTCCATAAGAGCCCTGCCCAGGATCCCCAATGAGAGAATAAAGAATATAGGCCGGGCGTTGTGGCTCACACATGTAATCCCACCACTTTAGGAGGCTGAGGCAGGTGGATCACCTGAGGTCGGGAGTTCAAGACCAGCCTGACCAACATGGTGAAACCCCGTCTCTACTAAAAATACAAAATTAGCAGGGCGTGGTGGCACATGCTGGTAATCCCAGCTACTCAGGAGGCTGAGGCAGGAAAATCGCTTGAACCTGGGAGGCGGAGGTTGCAGTGAGCCGAGATCACGCCACTGCACTCCAGCCTGGGAAACAAGGGTGTAACTCCATCTCACAAAAGAAAAAAAACACACACACACACACACACAAAGGCACTGAGACTACTTGTGTCTCAGGTTTACAACAGGTGCTCACCATCAAGCCAACTGGCATTCCTCAGTGAGCCCTGGGAAACAATGCCATGAGGATTTAGCTCCAGGCTCTCCACCACCTTCCCTTGGGGAGTGGGGAGATGACACTGGACACAGAGGTCTAGGAAGGCAGTGACACGAATAATCCAGAAACACTACTTTCCATTCTATTTCTGGATCACGATAACCCTTTCTTGGCTACTTTAGCGTCTCTAGCTCAAGCCCAGGCTAGTAAGAAAGGGTAAGAATCTGATGCTTAGGTGCTAGAACCTTGAGCTGCACTGGGGAACCACATCTTTGGTGGTCTGAAAGATAGAGTTGACAAAAAGCTCTGAAGTACCAAATACTTCCCAGATCCTTTTGGCAAGTCGAGGCCGTAAAAACTTAGAAAAGCAATTCCTTGGAAAGAGAGCTACAACGTAGAAGTGGAAAGCAATCACTAGCTTACAAATAAACAGAATCAGTATACTACCATATTCAGGATCTGCCCTCAGAGAGATCAGGCGCAGTGGCTCACACTTGTAATCCCAGCACTTCGGGAGGCCAAGGCAGGAGGATCACTTGAACCCAAGAGTTCAAGACCAGCCTGGGAAACATGGCAAGACCCTATCTCTACAAAAAAGCCGGGCATGGTGGCACGTGCCTGTAGTCCCAGCTGCTCAGGAGGCTGAGGTAAGGAGGATTGCTTAAGCCTGAGAGATCGAGGATACAGTGAGCAGTGATCATACCAGTGCACTCTAGCCTGGGCAACAGAGAAAGATACCCATCCCCCGCTCCGCCAAAAAAAATATGTTCCCAAACAAAGGTGTGCCCAAGTCACTGACTCTGACCAACAGAAGAGGATATTCCTGAATGCAGGACTGATGGGCCATTTGTTCACTTACCCTAGGATACCTGAAAAATCAGGCGTAGTGAACAAACAAAAAGAGCCCATACGTATGTGAGAGCTTAAGGTGTCCCACATCACACCTCTGAAGTATGGGGGGGAAAGTGGGAGGACAGGAGAAGACGGGCAAGCCCAAATCATTAGGTTTTGGCAGTCTCACTACAGTAAGAGACTAGTCATGCCAGGCATCCTCTCTCTCACTCCTTATACCAAGTATGACCATTCAGAGCTGCTATGATCTTGGGAACTGTACCACTGCTTCAAAAGCTCATTAGAATTTTGATCTGTGGTCTGTTTTCTACGAACCTGTAAAGAAAAGTGTATTGGCCGGGCATAGTGGCTTATGCCTGTAATCCCAGCACTTTGGGAGGCCAAGGCAGGCAGATCACTTGAGCTCAGGAGTTCGAGACCAGCCTGGCCAACATGGTGAAACTCCATCTCTACTAAAAATACAAAAATCAGCCAGGTGTGGTGGTGGGTGTCTGTATACTCGGGAGGCTGAGGCAGAGACTGAGGTAATCTGAGGTCATACCACTGCACTCCAGCCCAGGCGACAGTGAGACCATCTCAAAAAAAAAAAAAAAAAAAAAAAAGTGTATTTTGGAAAGAGGGAGGCTGCTAAAAGAAAGGCTAGACTGGAGGACATTAGCCACAAACACCAGACTCTCCAACACTCATGAGAAATGAACATGAGAGAATGAGAGTCAATGCGGTGAACACAAAAGATGATGCCTTTTTTCCTACTGGCATCTAGTGAGAACAGATCTGAATCTTCCTAACATCCTTCCACCTAAGCCTTCAAATAATCAGTCGTCTCTTTTCAAACCAGCAAAGCTATAACCCTGCACACTGCAGGGAGGAGAAAATCACTGTAACCAGACAGAAAAAGTCACTCTCTGAAAGCAGCGATAAAACAACAGCCAAAAGAACTGTCAGGAGATGGCAATGGGCCAAGATCTTCCTTCCCCATTGTCCCCATATGCCGAGGAGCTGAGAATCAGCAGCCTTGGCATAAATATACTTGGGACCATGAATTCTACTAAATCTTAGAGCAAGTGGGTTGATGTTACTGAGATCAAGCCACCTTCTCTCCCACCAGGCAGGAAGTTAAACGCCATCTTGGAAACCCATTTAAACCCATGGCAGCTAAGTTACGCCACAGTCACAACACAAGAGAAAAGGAATAGGGCAAGCCGGCCACACTACCTACTGCCAAGCCAGCCTTTCCAAGCGTTCCAAGCTTAGAAGACTGTGAAATCAACTACAAAGGCAGACAAAATACTTACATCGCAAACCAGCCACCTCATAATCTTCTTCCTCCTCCTCCTCTTCTTCCTCCTCCTCCTCTTCATCACTCTCATCATCTTCACTGTCCTCAGAAGCAGACTCTTCAGTATAGTTCCTGTGGGTAGAAAAAATAATGTAGGGAACACAGTTTTAGCCCAAAGTGGTCCTAAGAAGGGCTCAAATCCCACAGGGATCAGGAAACTTCTCTTCACAGACTACATATGTATAACGTATGATAATTCAGGGAGGGAACCTGAATGTAAGCCAGGAGAGTTTTTCATAAAAATGAAAAACCAAGTTTCAACAGCATGCCTCATGCCTCCTTCTGCCAGGCCACAGACAGTTTGGACAAGATACCAAAGGCAACAGAAATTAAGACCAAAATGCAATCCTACCCTTCCCCACACAAAGCAATACAAAACACTGTTTCTTTTGTCTCACAAAAAGAGCCAGATAATGTAATACATCAGTTACTAAAAGCTGTCCCCACCTCTGAGGTAGACTGAAAAGAATAAACAGAGCCCAGACAGGTGTGACTTCACCTTGATGGCCCCCTTCCAGGAGCTGAAACAGCTTGCAGATGACCATAATATCAAAGCAGTGGTAATCCCAGCTCGGAACAGCTGGTCCAAAGCCCCACCATTTCAGAGCAACATGTCTCATCTCTAAGTGCAGCTGGGATGGAGTGCAAAAGAACCTGCTAATACTGTTAAGGTGGGGTCAGGATCAAACAGCTCTGCCCCTTAGAAGGAAGCCCAGGCCGGGCACCGTGGCTCACGCCTGTAATCCCAGCACTTTGGGAGGCTGAGGCAGGCGGATCACCTAAGGTCGGGAGTTCGAGACTAGCCTGACCAACATGGAGAAACCCCATCTCTACTAAAAATACAAAATGAGCTGGGTGTGGTGGCGCATGCTTGTAGTCCTAGCTACTCGGGAGGCTGAGGCAGCAGAATCGCTTGAACCTGGGAGGTGGAAGTTACAGTGAGCCGAGATCGCGCCATCGTACTCCAGCCTGGGCAACAAGAGCGAAACTCCGTCTCAAAAAAGAAGCCCAAGCCAGAGTACCTATAAGCTGCACATTTTACAACCCCAAATTTCAGTGTGGAAAACAACAGTATTATCTTGGCAAGTACAAGGTGTCTCCTCTTTACAAGGCCCGGTATTTGGCCTTATTGAGATTCAAGTAAAAAAACAAAGCACCACCTCTACTCTCAGGGCATTCATAATCTCATGGGAGACAGACATGTATAAAACCAGAGACAAGATCCATGCACCAAAATACTACTTCAGAGAATGGAGGTTCAGCTGAACACAGAGGAGAAACCATGAAGCCTAAGGATGCAAGCACTTTTCAAAAGCGCAGTGAAATTTTAGCGAAGCCATGGGCAGTTTACCCACTGGGAATTCTGGGCAGAGAATGTTCCCAGCTGGGAGAAAGGCACAAGAGGCAAGGATGAACAACAAACGGTCTGTAACAAGTACACAAATATGGGATCTAAAGCTAATAAAAACCCAAGCTGGTATTGTGTAAGAGTCTCAGAAGTGAGGCCAGGAATTGGGATGTTATTCTAGAGGCAATGGGAAGACTAGAAGTTTGTGATCAGGAATGTGAGCAGATCTTTGCTTTGTGTACAGCATTCTGGTGTTGCAATAGTTGGGTGGATAAGAGGGGAGAAGACGTGATATAAGAAAGAGGAGTTGAGAAGCCACCAAAGGAGCCCAGGTGACAGATGTAGAAGGGACAAATGATAGCGGAGACCACGGAGAATGGAGAGCAAGAAACTGGATCATCAAACATCTGGGCATTGGATTGATATCATGGCAAATTAATGGGTTTGTAGGATGAGGGAGAGATGTTCATTTCCAAGTTGACACCCAAGTTCTACTCATGATAGGGAAGAAAACATTATGTATCGGTAAGGAAGGTAATGAGTGTGAGATTTTTAGCAGTGGGTGATAGCAGAAGTAATCATGAAGACACAGGAAGTGGGCAACAGGAGGCTAAAGGCAGAGAGAGAGATTTCATTACTTGAGAAGAAGGTATGATCAAGAAGACAGAGAATGTGGCTGGCAGTGAAAACTAGAAATGTCAACATTCAGCTAAAATTAGCTCAGAGTCCTTTGAGCTCCTATTGAAGTACTGTAAATGATCAGGCTCTGTACCCAAAAGATGAACTTAAAGCTCCTTAGATTCATTCTGTTTGAATAACTCAAGCTTAATTATAACAGCTATTCATATTTATTCATTCAATTATTTTTAAAAGAAAAGATTCTCACCTGCCACGGGAGTTGCGCCTGGCAGTAGCGGGCTGGCAAGCTGGGCACTGCCACTCACCATCTGGTACTTCATAGAGGGCCGGCCTCAGACAAAACAGGTGGAAGGCTTTATTACACTCATCACACAAGATCAATTTGTCATCCTCACCTGCAGAGAGATAAATGTGAATAGCATTGTTGGGAGCACAGCAGCAGTCAATGAGCTGTAAGGAAGAGGCAATCACCCTACAATTCAAGGCACACGAGGAGACATGTTCCATAGAATGCTACCCAGTTGTTGCTTTGTAAATGCAGGCATTTTCTAAAAAGAAATGAAGCATAACTTAGATTACAGATAATTTGGGAATCAGGTCTCCTAATTTATATCCCAAAACTTACCCATGGCTATGACAGAACAGTTAACAATTACTAAGAGGCACAAAAAACCCAAGTGAGAGTAGGAAATTTTGCTGCTTTTTCGACCTCCCCAAACGTTTCTCAACTTATGCCTGATGAGTGTTCTCTCTCTCTCTTTTTTTTTTTTGGAGACAGAGTCTTGCTCTGTCACCCAGGCTGGAGTGCAGTGGCGCGATCTCGGCTCACTGCAACCTCCGCCTCCCGGGTTCAAGTGATTCTCCTGCTTCAGCCTCCCAAAGTGCTGGGATTACAGGCGTGAGCCACCGCGCCCGGCCCCTGATGGGTTCCCTTAAACCATGTGGTTTCTTACATTTGAAAAAGTGTTGTGCTGAGTCAACTTAATATGGTAATCTCTCCTTCCAACCTTCATTCTAGAGCGATTGAACGCTTTACAGCAACTGAATGATTTTACGTAGATCTTTTCATCTCTAACCTAACTCAGAAAATAACTCTAGCCACTGAAAAGCCAATCAGCAAGGGGCTTCTAACCATGAAGTTCCTTTTGCACATATGAGACTGCATGCCACCCTCTGTACCCGGACTGCCTCCTGCTGAAAGCACATATCTTACTTCACAGATGACTAAAGTTCTGAGCCAATCAAAGGATTTAAAACTAAACTAACTAAAATAGTTACAAGGATTAACTAATTTTGTTTTCTGTAAAAAATCAGAAGATTGAAGAGATCAATTGCTTTTATGTTATGCTCTAAACCGAGGAACAAAGGGCCTGCTCTGATTCCCTGGCACGACATTTCAAAGACTGGCATGTTACAGACCTGCAGGAGAGTAAAATCTATACCACACTTATATTCTGTGTACACAAAATTCTTTTGGGTAGAAATGAAGATCTTGGGAATAGAAATCCTACTCCCTAATATACCCACATAAGCAAATTTGATTTAAATATACCTTTCTTTCGACAAACTTTGCACCTAGCATTTTCTGCGGACATATCCCACTTGATACAGGCATCAAGCATCCCAAGCAGCACGTGCATCCTGGAGAAAGTCTGAGCTTCCCGGATTGCTGTCTTCCATTTCTCCAGTGCAGATGCAACCTAAACAGAGACCAAACCAGGCCAGCATTACTACACTGACCAAAGACACTGAGAGAGAACTAGGAACAGGGGACAGTATGAGAGAATTCTGAGGACACTTGCCTCCTAGAACTTCACTAATCTAAACCATTTATTCTTATAAAAGGCTCCAAAGGGGGAAAAAAACTTGCCAAAGGTCACACAGAGATGCAGTGGAGTGGGTGGATGACTGGGGACAAGCATCTTCTAGGGAAATCCACCTAACAACTCAGTATAATTTAAAAATAGGATCACCTGTATGCTGTAAATGCTATAATGCAACAATTTTAGACAGCTAATAAAACTCCGATTTAAAAGATAATCAATAACCTACCACAACACCACCAATCCAATACCACAGCTGGATTTCAATGCCCTGCCCGAAGCAAAGAAGTCCTTGTGAAGTAATGAATCTCCTAAAGGAAAACAGCCAGTTATCCTGGAAGGTCATGGGCTTTAAAATACAGGTGCCAAGGAACAAAGATAGTTGATTCTGTTCCGAAGTGGGGTACTAAACAGACTGGGGAGAGGGATGAGGGGAACAGGGCTGCTTTTTCTCTTTCCTATAGAAACAGAGAATCACAGGGAGCCTTGTGTGTATAAATTTATGAATAACAAGGATAAGTAATATAAACACACATACAAAAATCTACATTTAAGAAGCTGCTAAAGTTCAACTGGAAACTGACTGACTCTGTTGTAGATATTTCAACATCTGCTTTGAAAAACAGCAATCTCCTTCCTTACTTTTGCAGAGCTCCTCAGTAAACTGAGGTCCACAATCACAGCTGCCTTGCTGTCTTCTCCCCTGATAAAAAGAGAGCTGACAGACACTACTGCAGATTCTCTTCTTGAGAGGATAACCCAAATCTTTTCAATGGAATATCAATGTAAGAATTTCAGGTTCGGTTCTTTAAAAGTGCTTGAGAACTGGCAGGGAATGACTACCAATGGGCTTTGCTGTCCTCTAGTGGACATTCACATGTAGTGCACACAGTATGGAAGAAAACAGTCATGGGCAGTCCTGCTTTTTACTATTTCCTATGAATTATAAAATCTGAGCATCCAATAGCTCATCTGACCTCATTAAAACTTTTTTTAAATTTGAAGGTGTTTTGGGAATAGGCTTATTTAACCTCGTTTTTTTAAAAAACAGATTTTAAATAGTATCATACAATAATAGGTAGCCCTTGTAACTGGCTTCTTTCACTGAGCATGTTTCTAGGTTCATTCGCAAAGCATGTAACAGTACTTTCATCAGTTTTACTGCTGAACAATATCTCATTGAATAGACATTGCACATGCTGTTTATCCATTCATCAGCTGACAGTTACCTGGGCTGCTTCCGTATTTTGGTTATTCAGAATCACCCCATCTTACGATGGGTCAAACCTATGACTTCACAATGGTGCAAAAGTGATACACGTTCGGCCGGGCGTGGTGGCTCACACCTATAATCCCAGCACTTTGGGAGGCCGAGGCGGGCGGATCACAAAGTCAGGAGTTCGAGACCAGCCTGGCCAATATGGTGAAACCTGGTCTCTACTAAAAATACAAAAATTAGGCGGGTGTGGTGATGTGTGCCTGTAGTCCCAGCTACTCGGGAGACTGAGGCAGGAGAATTGCTTGAACCCGGGAGGCGGAGGCTGCAGTGAGCCGAGATTGCACCACTGCACTCCAGCCTGGGTGACAGAGCAAGACTTCATCTCGAGAAAAAAAAAAAAAAAAAAGTGATACACATTCAGCAGGCTCCTCGACTTATGATAGGGTTAAACCCAGATAAAACCATCATAAATTATAAATACTGTAAGTCAAACAATGGGTTTATTGGGACATAGCCCCATCCTAAATTCAGGAGCATCTGTAATCAGGATGTCCGGACAAACGCCACCAAAGTAAACAATCAAACAAAACCCAGGATTTTGCCAAACAATATATCAGTCTTTTCTATTTAATTCAATAAAACAAAATAAGCATTAAAAACCGAAATCAACCACTATTACAAAAAGAGATTTGAGAGACAATCCATTTTTATAAATAAGGAAGCTGAATCCTAGATTAGAGACTGATAAAAGCTCATGCAACAGCCTAGTGCCAGTTGAAAAAACTTTGGCCCTTGCTAAGTGGAAACCTTCAAAGCAAAGAGCAGTGGAAAATTTCAAAGCTGTGGCTGAGTTGACCTCTGGTGGGGAACCACGAGGCATAATGCCATTTTAATGCAGAACACTGCTGAACTACTTAGTAGGCAACCTAGTTGATTTTCCAAGAAACTCTTCCATGCTTTCCATTTATGTACTGTGTCTGGACCTGCAAACTTCTCACATTTTCCTCCCCAACTAAGCTAAGAACAAGTCTCATCTGACAAACTAAAATGAGTTTACTTCACTGTGGAACACAGTACTTCAGAAGTTAATGAGAACCCTACAGTGATGGGTGAGTTCTCAATGAGAAGGAAGCACTGTTGCAGGAAAAGAAATGGAAAGGACAGACGTGACTCTTGGACAGATCACATCAAGAAAGAGACTCTTCTGTATTGAACTTGAGTTAAAAACAAAACCTATGTAGTAGTAAGACTAAAACTTAAGCCTAATGAGAAGAGATTTAGCTAAGGAGACTAGTTAACTGTTTAATATCTTAGACATCTAAAAGGTTACCTAGGTGCTATACACAGTCATTTAAAAGGAACACAGGGCCAGATGCGGTGGCTCCTGCCTGTAATCCTAGCACTCTGGGAGGCCAAGGCAGGTGGATCACTTGAGCCCAGGAGTTCAAGACCAGCAACATGGTGAAACCTTGCCTCTACAGAAAAATACAGAAAAAGCCGGGTATGGTGGCACATGCCTGTGGTCCCAGTTACTTGGGAGGCTGAAGTAGAAGGACACCTGAGCCCAAGAGTTTGAGGCTGTAGTGAGCCAAGATCACACCACTGCACCCACCAGCCTGAGTGACAGAGTGAGACCCTGTTATTCATTCATTCATTCACAAATAAAATAAAATAAGCATAGGCTGGGCATGGTGGCTCACGCCTATAATCCCAGCACTTTTGGAGGCCAAGATGGGAGGAGCACTGGAGCCCAGGAGTTCAAGATCAGCCTGGGCAATGTAGGGAAACCCCTTCTCTATAAATAAATAAATAAATAAATAAATAAATAAAAATTTAAAAATTAGCCAGGAATGGTAGCAGGCACCTGTAGTTCCAGCTACTCGGGAAAGTGAGGTGGGAGATCACAAGCCTGGAGTCTGAGGCTGCAGAGAGCCTGGGCAACACAGTGAGACCCCATCCCAAAAAGTAAAGACATTTTTAAAAATAAAAGAAACACAGGAAGGTGAAAACTAAATCCCAGCAAGATAATGACACACCACATAGTAAGTGTCTCAGCTTAAGTCATGAATTAAATCTTTATCTAAACTGAATTTTCTTTCTCCACCCTGCTTACCTCTTATCCAAAATTATCTCCCCCATATCACATATCATCCTCGGCCTCAGGAAGAAATGTAGGGGGAACATGACAACTATGTATAAACATTTGATAAGCTTTGGAAAGGACAGCAGACTCACTCTATGTAAATGGGGAGGACAAACAAGAACCAGCTGTCAGTGACAAAGAGCCCAATTTCAGTTCAATCTGAACAGGCCTATGCTGCCCCTCCCATGACCTGATCCACTCCTACACATTCTTCAAAACCCATCCTCTCTTCCCTCTGGTAAGTTTTCTCTAGTGTGCCCTGGGTATCCCTCACAGTGAGCCTGAGTACTGCTGTTTCTCATCATTACTGGTCACACCACAGTAAGCGTCCCCTGCCGGTCTCTCACACTCAAATTGAGTTCCCCGAAGGCAAGAACTTAAGGCTTTTTTTTTTTGAGACGGAGTCTCGCTCTGTTGCCAGGCTGGAGTGCACTGGTGCGATCTCGGCTCACTGCAACCTCTACCTCCCGGGCTCAAGTGATTCTCATGCCTCAGCCTCCTGAGTAGCTGGGACTACAGGCTCGCGCCACCACACCACCACACTCGGGGTGTGTGTGTGTGTGTGTGCATTTTTTCTTTTTTTTTTTAGAAGAGACCGGTTTTCACCATGTTGGCCAGGCTGGTCTCGAACTCCTGACCTCAAGATCCGCTAGCCTCAGCCTCCCAAAGTGCTGGGATTACAGGCGTGAGCCACCGCACCTGGTCCTGAACTTAAGGCTTTTTTACTCATCTCTATAAAACCTCCAAACTTACTAGCGACTGGCACAAGCAGGGCTTTACCAGATCTTTGTGAAAAAAAAGGAAAGAAGGCAGGGAGAGGCAAATCTAAAATTAGGGACAATATTCTGCACTAAATAATGGTTAGGACCTCTCCCATAATGTAATGTTCTCAAATTCTTTTCTTCACAAGTAATCTTAAGCAGAAATCTAATACGCAAAACAGACAAAAATGGAGCTGCTAGTTATTCTATTAAGTTTCATATTTATTAATAAGTAATACAAAATTAAAAGACCAAATGTGGCTGGGCGAGGTGGCTCATGCCTGTAATCTCAGCACTTTGGGAGGCCAGGGTGGGTGGATCACTTCAGCCCAGGAGTTCAAGACCAGCCGGCCAACACAGCAAGGCCCCGTCTCTATAAAAAATTTAAAAATTAGCTGGGCATGGTGACACTCGCCTATAATCCCAGGTACTCAGGGCAGGCTAAGGTGGGAGGATTGCCTGAGCCCAGGAGTTTGAGGCTGCAGCGAGCCATGACTGCACCACTGCACTCCAGCATGGACAGTAGAGACCCGTTTCTAAAGAAACGCAATAAAATCAGAAAAGAGCAAATATGACATCAGGTAGATCTGTGTGGACTAACGGGACGGAGGGGACAGATGTTTAGAATATACTGGTAAGTGAGAAACTGAAGACTGTTGTGCACAGTATAAGTTTCCACTTTTAATAAATCCAACAAATCTTTGTATATACATAAAAAGGACACCAAACTATTAAAAAAGTGACATCCTTGGGCAGTGAAACTAGGGTGGGAGTTATATATTTTACTTACCTCTCATTTTATTTACTTACAATAATAAAGCATGCTACATTTAAAAATAAAAAGTGAGGAAACTGGGTATCTAATATGAAAAAAATGAAGCTGAAGCCTTACCTTCTACCACTGACAAAAATTAACTCAAATGATCAAAGACCTAAATGTAAAAGTTAAACTATAAAATATCTAGAAAAATACAAGAGAAAGAAACGTTCATGACACTGAATCTGGCAATGATTTCTTGGACATGACACCAAAAGTGGAGGCAACAATGGAAAAAAATAGGTTAAGTTAGACTCCATGCAAATGAAATGCTTGTATGCAAAGGACACTATCAACAGAATGAAAAGGCTACCCATGGAACTGGAGAATATATTTGCAAATCATGCATCTGAAAAAGGGTTATTATCAAGGACATATAAAGAACTCCTACAACTCAACAACAAAAAATCCAATTGAAAAATGGGCAAAGGACTTGAATATATATTTCTCCAAATAAGGTAGACAAATGGACAATAAGCACATGAAAAGATGCTCAACATCATAAATCATTAGAGAAAAACAAATCAAAACCACAATGAGATACAACTTCATATCCATTAGGATGGATACTATTAAAGAAACAGGACATTAGTATTGGCAAAGGCTGGGCGTGGTGGCTGAGGCCTATAATGCCAGCACTCTGGGAGGCCATGGCCGGCGGACCACCTGAGGTCAGGAGTTTGAGACCAGTCTGGCCAACATGGTGAAACCACGTCTCTACTAAAACTACAAAAAAAAATTAGCCAGGAGTGGTGGTGCACGCCTATAGTCTCAGCTACTTGGGAAGCTGAGGCAGGAGAATCGCTTGAACCCAGGGGAGTTTGCAGTGAGCCAAGATCACACCACTGTACTCCGGCCTCGGCGACAGAGACTCTGTCTCAAAAAAAAAAAAAAAAAAAAAAAAAAAAAAAAAAAAAAAAGTATTGGCGAGAATGTGGAAAAACCAGAACCCTCATGAGTTGCTGGAGAGAATGTAAAATTGTACAGTCACTATAGGAAACCATAGAGTGGTTCCTCAAAAAGTTAAACACTGAATTACCATATGATGCAGCAATCCCACTACTGGGTATACACTGAAAAAAAATTAGAAGCAGGGACTCAAATATTTGGCTTTTTTGGTTGTTTTTCTTGTTTTTTTGAGATGGAGTTTTGCTCTGTTGCCCAGGGTAGAGTGCAGTGGCTCCATCTCTGCTCACTGTAGCATCAGCCTCCTGAGTTCAAGCAATTCTCCTGCCTCAGCCTCCCTAGTAGCTGAGAATACAGGTGTGCGCCACCACGCCTGGCTAATTTTTGTATTTTTAGTAGAGATGAGGTGTCACCATGTTGGCCAGGCTGGTCTCAAACTCCTGACCTCAGGTGATCTGCCCACCTCAGCCTCCCAAAGTGCTGAAATTACAGGCGTGAGCCACCACGCCCGGCCGGGACTCATTTGTACATTCATGTTCACAGCAACATTATTCCCAATAGCCAAAAGACGGAAGCAACCCAAGTGAGTGGATCAACAAAATGTGGTACATAGAGACATGATATAATAAATATATTTGGTCCTTCTCCGCAGACTAAAACCTTAATAGGAGTGTCTTTTGTTATTCAGAGGAGCCCCTTTGGATCACACCTAAATTTATGCTAATGAGGCTTTCGGTGAGACCTCTAGTTATGGGGCTGGCCACCAGAAAGACCAGATGATTAGAAGACTGGAATGTTCAGCCCTACCCACAAGCTCCTGAAAGGCAAGAGGAGGGGAGACTTCGGAGATTAAGCTCTACGAAGATACTGGAACAAGATCTGATCAGCTTCAGGTAACACACTCAGAAGCTGGAAGGAAGGAGTGTTCAGAGAACACGTGAAAGCCCCACGTACCCCTGCTCCGCCACCTTCCTTGTTCCACACGTCTCATCCATCTGGCTGTTCCTGAGTAGTATCCTTCAAAATGACCCGGTTAACCTAAGTAAAATGCTTTCCCGGGTTCTGTCAGGCATTCTAGCAAATTATCATACTTAAGGAGAGGGTCATGAGAATCCTCAATGTATAGATGGTACAGGTGGCAACGTGGGGCTTGCGACTGGCATCTGAAGTGAGAATAGTCTCGTGGGACAGAGCACTTTAACTTGCAGGATCTGACACAAACTCCAAGTAGAAAGAGTCAGAATTAAACTGAATTTTAAGAGTAGTTGGTATCAGCAGAGAACTAGAGAGTTGCTTAGTGTGGTAAAAACCCATGTATTTGGTGTCAGAAGTGTATGAAAAAGTTTTGAAGGCTGATGGTGGTGATGGTTGCAAAACAACGTGAATATACTTAATGCCACAGAATCGAACACATAAAAATGGTAAATTTGGGCTGGACGTGGTGGTTCACACCTGTAATCCTAGTACTTTGGGAGGCTGAGGTGGGCAGATGACCTGAAGTCAGGAGTTCGAGACCAACCTAGCCAACATGGTGAAACCCCGTCTCTACAAAAAATACAAAAATCAGCCAGGCATGGTGGCATGCACCTGCAATTCCAGCTACTTGGGAGGCTGAGGCAGGGGAATTGCTTGAACCTGGGAGGTAGAGGTTGCAGTGAGCTGAGATTATGCCACTACACTCCAGCCTAGGCAAGAGTGGGACTCTTTCTCCAAAAAAAAAAAAAAAAGTAAATTTGTATGTTATGCATATTTTTACCAAAATTTAAAAAATATCTAGAGCAAGCATGGCTGGGCGCAGTGGCTCACGCTTACAATCAAACTTTGAGAGGCCAAGGTGGGAGGATAGCTTGAGGCCAGAAGTTCAAGGTTACAGTGAGTTATAAGCAAATCACCGCATACCAGCTTACACAAGAGCAAAACCCTGTATCTAAAAATTAAATAAACAAATTGTTAATGTGTTTAAAAGTCACCACCACCTTTTTAAAAAAGAAAGTAAACTGGTAGACCAGGAGTGGTGGCTCACGCCTGTAATCCCAGCACATTGGGAGGCCGAAGCGGGTAGATCACAAGGTCAAGAGATCGAGACCACTCTGGCCAACATGGTGAAACCCCGTCTCTACTAAAAAATACAAAAATTAGCTGGGCGTGGTGGCACGCACCTGTAGTCCCAGCTACTCGGGAGGCTGAGGCAGGAGAATCGCTTGAACCTGGGAGGCGGAGGTTGTAGTGAGCTGAGATTGCACCACTGCACTCCAGCCTGGTGACAGAGCGAGACTCCATCTCAAAAAAAAAAAAACAAAAAAAAGAAAGTAAACTCTGGTAAAGGTGGGAAGGCCACATCCACTGTGACCATCACCCAATGACCAAGAAGCAGGGCTGCACTCCACAGGCCAGTGTGAAAACCACAGAAGGGGTAGAAAGTGATTAAAAAAAAAAAAAACACACACACACACAAAAACACTCACTCAGGGCACAGTGCCTATAGCAGCTAAAATGCATAGGGTTAGATTATTTTAAAACCAAATCAACTCATCTACGGAATCATAAACTACAACTTATAACAACAAAATACCTTTGCTTCCTCTACCATTTTCTTCTCTTCATCCACTTCCTCAGTTTTTGCTGAATCTTCACTTTGGAGTTTTCTTCTCTTTTGCTTGGGAGCCATGAAGCCTTGGAGAAATTTCTTTATGACACTGGCCTGAAGGGCAATCACACACTCACCAAAATCCTTCAATTTCTCTAATGAAATGACCTATAGGAAAGGATTTTAAAACCAGACTGAGAAAAGGCCCAGAGGAAGACGAAAGGAATCCAACCTCAAATTCAAATAAATCTAGACTCAAATGCCACATAACATTCATTAAACAAAATCGAGAGCCACATACCATTAATTTAACTGTGCTCCTCAGTTCACTGCATGGCTCATGCATTTAAAAGTACTTGACTGGCCGGGTGCAGTGGCTCACGCCTGTAATCCCAGCATTTTGGGGGGCCAAGGCGGGCGAATCACCTGAGGTCAGGAGTTCAAGACCACTTTGGCCAACATGGCAAAACCCCATCTCTACTAAAAATACAAAAATTAGCCAGGCGTGGTGGCACGTGCCTGTAATCCCAGCTACTCGGGAAGCAGGAGAATCACTTGAACCCGGGAGGAGGAGGTTGCAGTGAGCCAAGATCGTGCTACTGTACTCCAGTCTGGGTGACACAGCGAGACTCCGTCTCAGGGAAAAAAAAAAAAAAAAAAAAAAAAAAGTACTTGACTACTTCCCTTTTCCCAGCTAAGGGATCCACTAAATGGCAGAAGCCCCCCCACATAAAGGAGTTACATAGTTGATTCATTCAATAATGACTGAGTGCCTACTATGTGTAAAATACAATTTTAACGCAAAGACACACTAAGAAAGTAAAATAAAAATTCACTGACTTTCCATCTTAATGTTTTTTTAATTTTTTTCTTATTTCTAACTTGCTTCCAGCATGTAACTAACTATATGTAAGGTAGTATGTTTTACAAACTTGATCTCCTTTTTTTTATTTTTAAAGAGATAGGTCTCACTGGGTCACCCAGGCAGAAGTGCAGCAATCACAACTCACTGCAGCCTTGAACTCCCAGACTCAAGTGATCCTCCTGCCTCAGCCTCCCCATTAGCTGGGACCACAGGTACATGGCATCACGCCTGGCTAATTTTTTAAATTCTTTTTAGAGACAGGGTCTCACTATGTTGCGCAGGCTGGTCTCAAACTCCTGGCCTGAAGCGATCCTCCTGCTTCACTGATCTCTTTTTAAGCTTCACATCTACCTGATAGATGAGGAAACAGAAGTTAAATCACTTCATCAAAATCATGCACCCAGCCAGGTGTGGTGGCACATGCCAGTAGTCCCAGCTACTTGGGAGACTGAGGCAGAAGGAGTTTGAGGCTGCTGTCAGCTATGATCTGTGAATAGCCACTGCACTTCAGACTGGGCAATATAACAAGACCTATCTCTCTCTTTTTTTTTTTGGTTTTTTGTTGTTGTTGTTTTTTGAGACGGAGTTTTGCTCTTGTCGTCCAGGCTGGAGTGCAATGGCGCGATCTCAGCTCACTGCAACCTCCGCCTCCCGGGTTTAAGCGATTCTTCTGCCTCAGCCTCCCGAGTAGCTGGGATTACAGGCATGTGCCACCATACCCAGCTAATTTTTGTATTTTTAGTAGAGACGGGGTTTCTCTATGCTGGTCAGACTGGTCTCGAACTCCCAACCTCAAGTGATCTGCCCACCTTGGCCTCCTAAAGTGCTGGGATTACAGGCGTAAGCCACCGCGCCCGCATGAACAAGACCTATCTCTTAAAAGATCAATTAATTTAAAAATAAAAAGAAAAGAAATAAAAAATGTCCTTAAATACTATCTTGTCAATCACACAAGACATGCCAATTAGAAGATAACGTTTTAATAGTCACAAAGAAAACTAAGAAAAATGACAACCTAACGTCAGCAAGATATAGGCCTGAATTTGGCACAAAGTAGGCAATTAATGAACATTTGCTACACAAAAAAGTAAACATGTAACATCTGAAACCTGCAAGATCCTTTGGGTTCAATAATTCTTTTTAAAAAAATCATTAAGAACCATAAAGATGTTTAAATCCTTTTCCCCAGGAAATGTACCAAGAATTCATCACAAGATTAATTAAAAAGAAAAAATGTGCATATGTAAGATACACATATTATTTGCTTATTCCAATAGCAAAGAAAAACAAGCTAAAATAGTTGAAA
This sequence comes from Homo sapiens, assembly GCF_000001405.40. Taxonomy (NCBI): domain Eukaryota; kingdom Metazoa; phylum Chordata; class Mammalia; order Primates; family Hominidae; genus Homo; species Homo sapiens. The sequence continues at coordinate 73,461,722 of NC_000007.14, forward strand.
AGTACTTATAAATTAGGAAAAATGGCATGGGGGAATGCAAATGAAACTGTTCATAAAAATCACAAAACTATAAGAGCACATATGTTGGCTGGGTGAGGTGGCTCATGCCTATAATCCTAGCATTTTGAGAGGCTGAGGTAGGAGGATCTCATGAAGCCTGGAGTTTGAGATCAGCCAGGGCAACATAGTGAGATTTTGTCTCTACAAAATTTTCCATGTGTTTGTGTGTCAAACAGGGTCTTGCTATGTTGCCCAGGCTGGTCTCGACCTGCTGGGCTCAAGCAATCCTCCTGCCTTAGCCTCCCAAAGTGCTGGGATTATAGGCGTGAGCCAACATGCCCCGTCTCTACAAAAAAATTCTAAAAATCAGCCAGGCATGGTTGCTTGTACCTGCAGTCCCAGCTACCTGGAAACCTGAGATGGGAGAATCACTTAAGCCCAGGAATTTGAGGCTGCAGTGAGCAATGACTGTGCCACTGTACTTCAGCCTGGGTAACAGAGGGGACTTCATTTCTTTAAAAAGAAAAAAAAGACAAAACATCATAGTGCATGAGGAATTTGAAAAGACCCACAAATATTAATATGTCTAGAATTATGTGGACTTATTGATTTAAAATCAGTAAAAAACGGTTTATAATAGTAATTGATGGATACTATTCACCAATCTTTGATACCTAAACCTACCTGTTACGGGGTATGGGATCTTTTGAAAAGTTTCACCTATACCACTTAAGGGTCCCTCTGAGCAATAAAGGACAGGACTGTAATGACAGCACACTGGACAACATGAGTGATGCCCAACATAAATAGAAATCTGAGCTGACTGAGTGTGAAGAATGGGCAAGTGCAGGATATGCAAGCATGTTTCACACCTGAAAGCACAGGCATCGCAAGGTAAAGATGTTAAATGATGCTATACGACTGGAGCCTCTACAACCAGTTTTCATTCACCTTAGTAGTGAAGCTCTTTTCATACCAAGGTTGTAAGCCAATTACTAAGTTTTTCTGGATAGCAGCAAAAGATAACAAGGAAAAAATACATATACATAAGGTATTTTTGGTTCCATACATGTCTTCCAAGACAAATCCAAACATCTGATTTCCAGGAGGGTCATGTTGGGAAGTCAAGAACAGCACCAGGGAAGAACTTCAGATTGAGTTGCCATGAGTAATCTAAGGGGGATTTTCTTATATTCCTACCCGGGCTTCAAATTCTGATGTTTCTTCCACATATCCAAGTCCTCCTTTTTGTAACCTTGTTGCAACTTCAATGAGATCACTACGAAGGAAGTTTAAAAGCTCCTGGTTGCCATCACAAGATTTTAGACCCAAATTTGGCTTCCGTGCTAGATGAATAGAGTGAATAATGTCCTGGTACCTAGAAGATTTGGGACAAGAGAATGGGGAAAGAAACAAACTTTTGAAGATGTTCTTCAAATTTCAATTACTTAACATGTTTTATTTCTAGAAAACTTACTTAGATCTCTTTCACCTCTCCCTGGTGTTTTTTCTTTTTTCTTTTTTTTTTTTTTTTTTCCCCCGAGACAGGGTCTTGCTCTGTCACACAGGCTGGAGTGCAAAGGTGCCATCACAGCTCACTGCACCTTCAAACTTCTGGACTCATGCAATCCTCCAACCTGAGCCTACAGCTGGGACTACAGGAATACCCCTCCACACCTGGCTATATTTTTAATTTTTTGTAGGGATGGGGTCTTGCTATGTTGCCCAGGCTGGTCTCAAACTCCTGATTTCAATTCAAGCGATCCTCTCCCCTAGGCCTCCCAAACTGCTAGGATTACAGGTGTGCACCACCACACCCAGCCACTTCTAAGCTTTTAATGGAAGGATTCGATCTTCATATTTAGTGAACAAAACAGGTCTTTTCAATTCAACACACATAGCTATCAAATGCTCTGCCCAAAGAGAAGGAACATCATAGAACTATATTTCTTTGTGGCTCTGTATACCGACATTTTCCTTTGTCTTTTTTTTTTTGTTGTTTTTGAGATGGAATGTCGCTCTGTTGCCCAGACTGGAGTGCAGTGGTGCGATCTTGGCTCACTGCAACCTCCACCTCCCGGGTTCAAGCAATTCTCCTGCCTCAGCCTACCTAGTAGCTGGGACTACAGGCACCCGCCACCATGCCTGGCTAATTTTTGTACTTTTAGTAGAGACAGGATTTTGCCATGTTGGCCAGGCTGGTCTCGAACTCCTGACCTTGTGATCCGCCTGCCTCTGCCTCCCAAAATGCTGGGATTACAGGCGTGAGCCACCGCGGCCGGCCCTCCTCTGTCTTTCTTAATTTGCCTAGACACATCTGTATTCAGACAACACAATTCTGAATACAGTTTTACTTAATTTACACATTAAGCAGTGGGCTAACATCAATATAATGTACCTATTGTCCTTCGCAAAAGTCTGGCAATGGTGTAGAGTATGTACTGAATCATATTTTCCTTCTCTCTTCCATCAAACCTAAATTCAACCGTGAAATTGAGCACAGAGTCAGCAATGAGAGGAGGCATTAAGCCAAAATCTTGTCCTGGCTTTGATAGAAATAATGTCTACAACAAATATGGCAGTCGCAAATTTGATGCTACTTTGTAGACAGAACAGGGTTTTTTGATTCTTTTTAATTCATATGACATGAAATTCACCAACTTGAAGCATGTACTTCAGTTTTTTGTTGTAGAACCACACATGTAATTCCAAAACATTTTCATCACCCCAAGCAGGAATCTCTTACCTGTTAGCAATCATCACTCCTATTCTCCCCTTCCCCTATCCTCTGGCAACCACTAATCCACTTTCTGTTTGAAATAGATTTGCCTATTCTAAGATGTTTCATTTGAATGGAATCATACACCACATGGCCTTTGATGTCTGACTTCTTTTGCTTAGCATGTTTTCTAGGTTCATTCATGTTGTAGCACAGAACAGTACTTCATTTCTTTTTGTGGCTAAATAATATTCCACTATTTGAATATACTAAATTTTGGGGGTTTTTTGTTTCATTTTGTATGAGACAGCATCTCGCTCTCTCACCCAGGCCAGAGTGCAGGGGCATGATCTTGGCTCAATGCAACCTCCGCCTCCTGGGCTCAAGTGATCAACTCAGCTCAGCCTCCCAAGTAGCTAAGACTACATACACAAACCACCACACCCAAGATAATTTTTGTTTTGTTTTTTTTTTTCAGAAACGGAGTTTCCCTATGTTGCCCAGGCTGGTCTCAAAACTCCTGGATGCAAGACACTGGCCTGCCTTTACCTCTCAAAGTGCCGGGATTACAGGTGTGAGCCACCGCACAAGGCCTGGATATATACTAACTTTTATTTATCCGTTCCATCAGTTGATAGTCATTGCCGTTGTTTCCACCTTTTGGCTCTTCTGAATATTGATAGAATACTTCTGGACACCCACCCATCTGGGCCTCCATCTGCAAAGCTGTCTGACAACCATGAGGCTCACAGCTTGGTGCTGGCAACTGTTCTTTAGTGCATAATAATCCTGCTACTCTATATATAGATGGCCAAAGGTATATTTTTCCAATAAGCATAATATGCCAAGAAAATACCAGGCAATATGAACACAAAACGGTTACACATTTAAAATATTTTACTTTAGTAACTTAAATGGATAAGAAAAAAAACCCTCAGATATTTATATCCAATGCTAAAGAGAAGTAAGATGTGAGGAGTAAGATGAAAACCTCTTACCTCTTCTCTAGTCTCTCTTTAAGTTGACTTTCTCTTATTCCCTGAGGGTGAAGACAGTTTAGCAACTCATCCAGCTCCTTTTGACTATCACATAAAAACCTGTAGGGGCAAAAGAGACCTGATAACTCTGAAAAAAAAAAAAAAATTCAAAATCAAACACTAAGCAAGGGATCTAGAGTTGGTGGTGGGACTTGGGAGAACAGAATTCCAAATGTGTTCACAATCTACTATCTAGAAGTAGAATAAGTAATTTACTATTTTCATGATGCCTAATGTTAATTCTGTACTAGGACACCAGAGCCAATATGGTTCCTATTAAAATATTATATGAAATTTTATAAAGTTAATTGGCATACTTGTCCCTTTCCCTCCAGAGAGTAAACCTATACCCAAAATTCAAAAATGAAAGGTCATTAAATCACAGGTGATCACAGTTAAAGCCGTAGAATGGATCCTCTAAAACCTAGCTCGCTGCCTAAAAGCAGAAATGCGCATAAAGGAAACGAATAGCTATGCATACAATTTGTTAATTAATAAAATTTAAGGAAAATCTTAAATACTTCTATTCCCAACCAAATTTAAGCTACATTTCTACTGCTATATAAGATCTATCACATAATATACAAAGTTATATTACAGGGGGGAAAAAATCAAAATTCCAACCCTTAAAAAAACAAGTATCTTCTTAACAAAAAATCAGGTCTGCTAATGCAAGAAGTTTTGATATCCAAAATATCAGTCACACAAAGTATCCTGCGCAAATAATTATTAACTCACTGGCATCACTATACTAAATACTTTCTTCCTTAACAATTAAAAGGAAAAAGAAAGAGCAACCAGATGAATGCTCACATTACCATAGGTTCTGTCCTTGTTTGGGTGTGGTTGTCTCTACAGCAACTTCTGTTGCTGTTCCATGTTGTGTGTTCATGCTTGCATTTTTACCTAAGTTTGCTTTCTTACCTAAGAAAAATTGAGACATTAGGTTGACTTTAGTAAATACCCAATTGCTAGTTTCAAATCTAAGCAGTACACAGTGCCAAACTCAACAATTTGTAACAACACAGATACTTCCTGTGAAATATATCAAATATATCTTCATGTATAAAAGATGCTAATTTCTCTTAAATATCTTAAACACAGCATGTTATCTCAGATATTTGCTCTCTGAAGTGGAATCGTTACACAGTTCCAAAGTTTAGGGGTACTGCAACTTAGAATGAAGAATGACTAAATATCTTTATATCAAAGCAAAATAAAGAATTTACTCCTTTTACATGATGTTAAGAGCAAAGGCATCTGTAGTGAAGCAGAGGTAATGAGAACATATAAATACTATAGACTTATCCTTGGAGGCTTCAAGTGTCAAATAATACAACTAACTTTTTTGTAAATCAGTTCCTATATACTGATACGTGACTTTAACATAGATATATCTTGAGCCAATTTATCAAAGCCTATCTTAGATCATCACAATATTTGGTTTTTTGTTTTGTTTCGTTTTGTTTTTTGAGATAGAGTCTCGCTCTGTCGCCCAGGCTGGAGTGCAGTGGTACAATCTCAGCTCACTGAAACCTCTGCCTCCCAGGTTCATGCAATTCTCCCTGCCTCAGACTCCCGAGTGGCTGGGATTACAGGCACACACCAACACACCTGGCTAATTTTTCTATTTTTAGTAGAGATGGGGTTTCACCATGTTGGCCAGGCTGGTCTCCAACTCCTGACCTCAGGTGATCCGCCCGCCTTGGCCTCCCAAGTGCTGGGATTACAGGTGTGAGCTACCACGCCCGGCCAGTCACCACAATATTTGAAGCCTTACCTCATACTATGATTGTTTATCTTCTCTTTCCCATTCTCCCCACTTTAACCTGAAACATCTCTGCAATACTAACACATAACTTTGTTTAGTCTTTTCAATTGGGTAATTTATTTATTTTTTTTAATTTTTTGAGACAGAATGTTGCTCTGTCACCCAGGCTGCAGTGCAGTGGCGCAATCTTGGCTCACTGCAACCCCTGCCTCCTGGGCTTAAACAATTCTCTTGCCTCAGCCTGCCAAGTAGCTGGGATTACAGGTGCCCGCCACCACACCCGGCTAATTTTTGTGTTTTTTGTAGAGACGGGGTTTCGCCATGTTGGCCAGGCTGGTCTTTTAACTCTTGAGCTCAAGTGATCCGCCTGCCTCAGCCTCCCAAAGTGCTGGGATTATAGGCATCAGCCACTGCATCCAGCCTCAGTTGGGTAATTTTAAATAAAAACTGCCATTCTAGAACTGGAAAACACGAAACAACATCCACCAGGATGCTCTAGAAGTGAAGGGTCTGGCTCCCCAATCTTGTCTCGGGGACACATTATAAAGTAACACTCCTTCATCCCACTGGAATCTCTTCCAAATCTAAACATCCAGGCTCCACAGTTACTGCTCTCAAACCTAACTGCCCTCACCTGAGTATTTATGAAGTCTAACGAAACCAGATTCTTCTATAAAGTGACATAATCTATGCTCGATATAATTCAACATGCAAACACCTTAAATCTGAAGTTTTATTTGAAGGAATGTTTATTTTTGTAAATCAGTATTATTCTTATTTAACAATTTTGTGAGTTTCAAGCTTGAGTTAGGAATTTCTCTAAAATGAATTACTTTTTAAAAAATAAAGATTTATCGAAGAAGCACAATAACCTAGTACTCAGGAAGCAACTTCTTTTATTTCTTTATCTCCCACATGACACCAACACATAAGCAATTTTCATTAGGTTACAGACAGCAGAGCTGAAAGAAGCTTATGGATCATTTAACCTAGTGGTTCTCGAAAGGGAGCACTGCTGCCTGCCACATGTATCTGGCAGGATTTAGAGACATACTTGGTTTTCACTGCTACCACCTAGTGGGTAGAGGGGAGCTCCCGAATAACCTATAATGCACAGGACAGCTCCCAGTACAAAAAACTATCTTCCTCATCAGTGTCATGGTGGGAGGAAAAAAAAAAAGATTCATCTAGCCCAAAATGTCAGTAACACTGAGGTTGAGAAAACCTGACCTAACCTAACCATCTTATTTTTTTAATTAAAATTTGTTTTATTTCTTTCTTGAAATATACTCAATACATACACTTTAAGAAAGAATATGGATATATATTCAGAAAACTATTCAGTGTGTGTTTCTTTTACAAACTGAACACATATACCCGGCACCCAGATCAAGAGAAAGAATATTACCAGTGTCCCTACATGATCCCCTCTCAGTCACTCATTTTTCGTTAGGTATTTGCCATGTTTCTCCTCACAAGAATTTTAAGAACCTTATCTGTCTTGTTTGCTGCTATACCCCTAGCGTATGACAAACTGCTTCACAAATAGAGATTCAGCATAAACACTGAATAAATTAATTTTAAAAGTAGAAGAAGAGGGTCAGGTGCAGTGGCTCACACTTGTAATCCCCAGCACTTTGGGAGGCCGAGGTGGGCAGATCACCTGAGGTCAGGAGTTTGAGACCAGCTTGGCCAACATGGCGAAACCCCGTCCCTACAAAAAATACAAAAATTAGCCAGATGTGGTGGCACACACCTGTAGTCCCAGCTACTCGGGAGACTGAAGTAGGAGAAGTGTTTGAACCCAGGAGGTGGAGGTTGCAGTGAGCCGAGATCACGCCATTGCTCTCCAGCCTGGGCAACAAGAGTGAAATTCCGTCTCAAAAAAAAAAAAAAAAAGAAGAAGAAGAAGAGGACATCTAACACTGCCCTTCTTAGACCCCATACCTCAATTTCAGCCCTTGAGGCACCTACAAAGGCTTCCAAGGGACAAAGTTTGAAAACTGCTCCTATAAAAGCTAATACCCAAATATCCTCATATTCAAGCTCTTCATCTTCTCACACTATGCTTAGAACAAAGGTGGTAATCAAACGTGGGTTTCTCTCCTTCTTTCTACACATTTCACATCTACCTACTTCACTCAAATAGATCTAAGACCACAATAAAGAAATTCTGCAAATGGAAAACGTGACAGAGGAAAAGCAGTCCTTAATGTTGAGCCCACTTGAGCAGGGTGAAATAACTCTTAGATATACAGATATACTCACTGCGAGGACAGTAATCCTCATCACCAGAGACTGTGTGGTCTTTGCAGTGATGGTTGAATCGGTAGTCAATGCTGTCATGTACCCAGCCTTTTTCAATGAATAATCCTGGAACTTCATCTGAGAAGAGCCAGTATCTACAAATCACAACCAGTATTAATAAGACAGTGAATAGATCAGGATTGCAGGATGATTTTACTGCTGGAGAAGATAATACAGAGTATCACTGAGCATTCAAAACCACAGTTTACAGAATTCTTCCTCTTCAGAACTCTAGACAGATAAAAATTGCAAGGTAAATCAAAGTATACGAGAAATGTTGAAACTGGAGACTAGCTTAATGTTCGTAATTTGTATAATTTCTTTCTTTTTTAAATTGAAATGGGGTCTCGCTATGTTGGCCGGGCTGGTCTTGAACTCCTGGCCTCAAGCAATCCTCTCGACTCAGCCTCCCAAAGTGTAGGATTACAGGTGTGAACCACCACGCCCAGCCCTAATTTGTGTAACTACTAATATTTCTCCTTTAGGTTTCACAAAATGTATGTATTTAAAACCTACTGCCATTTTTAAAGACTTGGATTACATTTCACCTATCACCATCATGTAAGCTTCCTACTTGTGGTATATGCAAGGGCAGGAATATGTCTTACTTAACTTTGCAACTCTAGCATTTGGCAGTTAATATTCAATAATCATCAACAATTCTGTTTCCAAAAAGAATTGGAAAACTGAAGAGAGAAGCTTGTCTATTCTTGTACTTTAGAAAATTTTCCTAACTAATAGCAATGTAAATAGTCCTAAAGAAAACAAAAATTTGGTTTAGGAACTGACCTATTATGGTTTCGATCTGTGCCAATAGGAGTCCTGCGCATGACTAGTTTGGCCTTGGCAATCCCTTCCTGGAAAGCTTTCTCAGCAGCTGCTTTGTGCTTCCGTATTCGTTCTTCTTCAGCTTGGCGTTCCAGTTTCACTGTTAAAAATAAAAAGACTCAAATCAGATATTTTCCTAGTAAATCCCACTCTTACAAATTAAATAAAATATGGAGTAAAAAGTGCCTAGTATACAGTAGTTATCAAATCTTAGTTTGCTTTCTCTAATTCTAATCTGTTACAAGAAATTACATGTAAGGCAGCAACATCTAGTCCTCCTACACTCCTTGAATTTGTGGTGACATCTCATCCCTCAACTCAATGCAAAATCTTTTATCTCCAAAATATCACTTCTTTTTGTTTTTGTTTTGAGGCAGAGTCTTGCTCTGTCACCCAGGGTGGAGTGCAGTGGTGCGATCTCGGCTCACTGCAACCTCTGCCTCCTGGGTTCAAGCAATTCTCCCGCCTCAGCCTCCTGTGTCGCTGGACTACAGGCACACACCACCGTGTCCAGCTAATTTTTACATTTTTAGTAGAGACGGGGTTTCCCCATGTTGTCCAGGCTGGTCTCGAACTCCTGACCTCAACTGATCCACCCGTCTCGGCCCCTCAAAGTGCTGGGATTATAGGCGTGAGCCACCACACCCAGCCAAAATATCACTTCTTAATATATTTTAAACAATCCTGAAGAAACAGTTAACAGTCCATAAATAGGACTAACTGAAACATCTTCTGACAGGTGCACCTACAGGATCCTCAAAAAGATCACGATAAATCAAACTAGTAAAATAACTATTTCAAAATAAAACATATTTCAGTCCTGAGGAATCTGACAGTAATTTGGCTTAATAGCCCTGATGACAAGAAAACAAACCTGAAAAGCAACAGCAGGGACGCACTTGTGGATAATAATTATTTTACATTGAACACCTATTTTTCTAATTATTCTGCAAGTTACTGTTAATGATAAAAATTTTATTTCTGATCATTCATTAATTAGGTTTATTCAGTTAGAAATTTCCCTCAACAAAAGCAGCCCGCTAATTTTGTTAAGTTTTTCCATAATTGTCACAAACCTTGACACCATAGGGTACATGGCAATGCTATTTACAATGTCACAATTTTTAAGAAGTGTTTATTATTTTTTTAGAGATAGGGTCTTACTATGTTTGCCCAAGCTGGTCTCAAACTTCTGGGCTCAAGCGATCCTCCTGCCTCGGCCTCTCAAAATGCTGGGATTAGAGATGTGAGCCACTGCACTCAGCCCCAATAATTTTTAACCCTGATTGTCTATTGACAATAACATCTACAATAAGATGTAAATCTGGAAAATGCATCTGTCTAAAGATGTTACTTTAAAAACTTAAGATAAATTCCATTTATTTAAAACATGGAATTTGTTACCTTTGATAAACAGTTTTCTAGCCCAAGTGAAACTGTGTATTTGTAACAATGGTTATAGTAGAAAATAGCACAAAGGTAAATGATTAAAAAAAAAAAAAAGCGAGAGAGTGAGTGATGGCCCAATTACAATCAAGGAAAAGTTCAGTCTCCCAAGACTACAAACAAACATAAACCAACTTAGGACAAGTCACCAAAGGAAGACCAAATTCTGTCTCAGAGGTTACAGCACTGAACTAGTTATCCAAAGACCTGAACTCTAATCCAAATACTGATCTTGGTAAAACACTAATATTCTGTCTCTTGTTTCCATACAAATAACAGAGTATCATCTTCTTTTCCTTCTCTTAAGATAAATATAAAACACAGTGGAGCAGTCCAAAAATGCAAGAAGAAATTATTACGTTTCAGATAAAATAGAGCTGAAGGTTTTAACCTACATTCTGCTTCATCTGGAACACAGTTATACTTTTTTTTTTTTTCTTTTTTTTGAGACAGAGTTTCTCTCGTGTTGTCCAGGCTGGAGTGCAATGGTATGATCTCGCCTCACCGCAACCTCCGCCTGCCGGGTTCAAGTGATTCTCCTGCCTCAGTCTACCGAGTAGCTGGGATTACAGGCATGTGTCACCACGCCCGGCTAATTTTGTATTTTTAGTAGAGACAAGGTTTCTTCATGTTGGTCAGGCTGGTCTTGAACTCCCAACCTCAGGTGATCCGCCCACCTCAGCCTCCCCAAGTGCTGGGATTGTAGGTGTTGAGCCACTGCGCCCGGCCGCAGTTATACTTTCTTGATAGGTATTGTTTTGTTTTGAGACGGAGTCTCACCCTGTCACCCAGTCTGGAGTGCAACGGCATGATCTCGGCTCACTGCAACCTCTGCCTCCCAGGTTCAAGCGATTCTCCTGCCGCAGCCTCCCAAGTAGCTGGGATTACAGGCGTGTGCCACCACAGCCAGCTAATTTATTTATTTATTTATTTATTTATTTATTTTGAGATGGAGTCTCGCTCTATCATCAGGCTGGAGTGCAGTGGTGTGATCTCGGCTCTCTGCAACCTCCAACTCCCTGGTTCAAGCGATTATCCTGTCTCAGCTTCCCGAGTAGCTGGAATTATAGGCCGAGTAGCTGGAATTACAGGCACCACCACACCCAGCTGATCTTTTTTTTTTTTTAAAAAAGACAAGAGTCTCGCTCTGTCCCCCAGGCTGGAGTACGGTGGCCGATCTTGGCTCACTGCAACCTCAGACTCCCTGGTTCAAGCAATTCTCCTGCCTCAGCATCCTGAGTAGCTGGGATTACAGGCATGCGCCACCATGCCAGGCTAATTTTTGTATTTTTAGTAGAGACAGGGTTTCACCGTGTTGGCCAGAATGGTCTTGATCTCCTGACCTCGTGATCTGCCTGCCTCAGCCTCCCGAAGTGTAGGATTACAGGCTGTGAGCCACCGAGCCTGGCCTGTTCATATGTCTTTAAAATGTTAATACAATGGCCAGGGGCGGTGGCTCATGCCTTTAATCCCAGCAATTTGGCAAGTTGAGGCAGGCAGTTCATTTGAGGTCAGAGTTTTGGGACCAGCCTAACCAACATGGTGAATCCCCATCTCTACTAAAAATACAAAAATTAGCTGAGTGTGGTAGCAGATGCCTTGTTATCCCAGCTACTCAGGAGGCTGAGGCACGAGAATAGCTTGAACCTGGGAGGTGGAGGTTGCAGTGAGCCAGATCGCACCATTGCACTCCAGCCTGAGCGACAGAGCGACGCTCTGTATCCAAAAAAATAAATAAAATGGAAAGTACACATTACATATGTATACTCAGGCACAGTATGCATACATATGCAAAAATATTTCAATGGCCTTAAGTAGTGTAAACTAAAATTTGTTTTAAAAGGAATATACATTTTCTAATGAAAGAACTATTCAAGCCGGGGTTTGGTGGCTCAGGCCTGTAATCCCAGCACTTTAGGAGGCTGAAGCAGGAAGATTGCTTGAGTTTAGGGGTTCAATACCAGCCTCCACAAATAATAAAAAGATTAGCCAGGCGTGCTGACACATGCCTGTAAGTCCCAGCTGCTCGGGAGGCCGAAGTGGGAGGACCACTTGAGCCCAAGAGGTCAAGGCTGCAGTGAGCTGAGATCACACTGCTGCACTCCAGCTTGGGTGACAGAATGAGACCTTGTCTCAAAATAAAATAAAAAAGAAAATGTTGAAAAAGAACAAGCTGGAAGATCAACACTTCCCTATTCCGAAACTTACTACAAAGCAAAGTTATCAAGACAGTGTGGCTTTTACATAAAGACAGACATACAGATCAGTGAAATAGAATTCAGAGTCCAGAAATAAGCCAACGTATCCTACAGTCATATGATTTTTGACAAGCGTATCAAGGCCATTCAATGGGGAAAGGTTTGTCATTTCAAAAAACGGCACTAGGACAACTGGAGAGCCACATGCAAAAAAAAATAAAGCTGGACTTTTACCTTACACTATAAAAATTAGCTGAAAATAAAAGACCTAAATTTCAGAGGCAAAACTATTAAGACATTTGGAAGAAAACAGGAGTAAATCTTCATGACCCTGGATTTGGCAAAAGATCCTTAAATCTAACACCAAATCTATAAGTAACAAAAGAATAAATAGATAAAATGAACCTCATCAAATTTAAAAAACTTTTGTGCTTCAAATGATACTACTAAGAAAGTGAAAGGACAGGCCAGGTGCAGTGGCTCACAGCTGTAATCCCAGCACTCTGGGAGGCCAAGGCGTGCGGATCACCTGAGGTCAGGAGTTCGAGACCTTGCCTGGTCAACATGGTGAAAACCCACCTCTACTAAAAATATAAAATTAGCCAGGTGTGGTGGCACACGCCTGTAATCCCAGCTACTCGGGAGGCTGAGGCAAGAGAATCACTTGAACCCAGGAGGCAGAGGTTTCAGGGAGCTGAGATCACGCCACTGCACTAGCCTGGGCACAAAAAAGAGCGCAACTCCGTCTCCCCCAAAAAAAGTAAAAGGACAACACGCAAAATAGATGAAAATATTTGTAGACCAGGTATCAGACAGAGAATTGTATCTAGAATATATACAGAACTCTTACAACTCAATAATAATCAGATAACTCAATTTAATAATGGGCAAATGATCTGAATACTTCGCCAAAGATACACAGGTGGCCAGGAGACACATGAAAAGATGGTTCAACATCATTAGCCATCAAAGAAATGCAAATCAAAACCACAATGAGATACCATTTCACACCCACTAGTATGACTATCATCAAAAAGTCAGAAAATAACAAGTATTGATGAGGAAGGAGAAAAGTCAGAACCTTTAATTCACTGCTGGTGGGCATGTAAAATTGTGCAGCCACTTTGGAAAACAGTCTGGCAGTTTCTCAGATGGTTAAACATAATCATATGACCCAACAATCTTATTCCGAGGTATTTACTCTAAAGAAATTTAAGTATATGACTACTCAAAAACTCATACATGAATATTTATGGCAGCATTGTTCATAATAGGTAAAAGATGAAAACAATCTAAATGTTTATCAAGTGATGAATGAGAAACAAAACGTGGTATATCCAAACAATGGAATATTATCCAGCCATAAAAGGGAATGAAGTACTAACACATGCTACAACATGGATGAACCTGGAGAACATGCTAAGTGAAAAAAGCCAGCCATAAAAAGGCTACATATTATATGATTGCATTTACATGAAATATCCAGAATAGGTAAATCCATAGATGCAGAGAACAGATTGGTGGTTGCTGGGGGATGTGGACAAGGGAGAAGAGTGAGTGACTTTTGGGTTTTCTTTTAAAAATGTTTTGGGGCCAGGCATGGTGGCTGGCCCGGCATGGTGGCTGGCCGGGCACAGTGGCTCACGCCTGTAATCCCAGCACTTTGGGAGACTGAGGCGGGTGGATCAGGAGTTCGAAACCAGCCTGGCCAACACGGTGAAACCCCATCTCTACAAAAACACAAAAATTGGCCAGGCATGATGGCGCATGCCTGTAATCCCAGCTACTCGGGAGGCTGAGGCAGGAGAATCGCTTGAATCCAGAAGGCGGAGGTTGCAGTGAGCCAAGATCAAACCATTGCACTCTAGCCTGGGTGACAGAGCGAGACTCCATCTCAAAAAAAAAAAAAAAAAAATGTTTTAGAACTAAATAGAGGTGGTCTATTTTGTGACTGGCTTCTTTCACTTAGCATAATGTTTTCAAGATTCATTCATGTTGTAGCATGTAAAACATTATGCTAAGTGAAAGTCACAACAGACTATTTATTATACAATTCCATTTAGAGAAAATGCCTAGAATAGCAAATCTATAGAGACAAAGTAGACTAGTGGTTGCTCAGGGCTGGGGAGGATGGGCGAATGGGGTAATGACAGTTCATGGGTAGCAGGTTTCTTTGAGATGATAAAAATGTTACAAAATTGGCAATGGTTGTACATTATCTGTGACTCTACTGAAAACACTAAATTATACACAATAAGTGAACTAATTATACTGTATGTCGATTATTTCTTAATAAAGCTGCTTTTTAAAAGTTCAGATTCGATGGAGCCATCAAAGCCCAAAATTTTTAAGTTCTTAAATCTTAAAGGACAGATTACTATCTGAGTTGGTGACCGTGCTAGGGGCTTCAAATACCTTGTCAATCAATTTTACAACAATCTTATCAAGCATATGAGGAAAGTGAGGCACGGATAAGTAATCTGCCCAAAGGAACACTGTACAGCTAAGTCAGAGCTAGAACCTGAACCCAGGTCAGTCAACTCCCAAGTCCTATGTTGTTTCCACTATTTCTATTTGTAGATTTGGTCCTTTACTGAACCCAGAAAAGATGCCAACATCACATTAACTTATTAACTAATCAGAATGCCAGGCTGAACACTCCAGCTGAAATATGAAATTATCAACAGAACTAATAAAAAATAAAATACATACCAATAGGTGCTGGGTTATTACATACAGAAATAAGTAAACAAACAGAGACCCTACCATTACCTCAGTAATTTCCTTTCTTTTACTATCTTCTACAGAGCTTCCCCTTTTCTCTCAGCATGAAATTTTACCTTTCATTTCTCTTTCCTGGATTTCCCGTTCCTTCTTAGCTTGAATGGCAAGCAACCTTCTGCTCTTCACAGCACTAATCATGTCTTCAGCTTCTGTATCTACTTGGGGCTCAAACTTCACAATTTCTTTTTTCCTATCAGTTTTGCCTAACCCATTCTCAACTTTTCCATTTTCTTTATTTTTGGCTTCCATTTCTTTCCGTTTCTGTTTCTCTGCTCTCTTCTTATCATTTTCTTCCTTCAACACAGCAAGCCGTTCCTTCCACAACTCTGCAGACATCTGCTGTCTGGTCTCCATGTGGTCTTGCACTGAGTATGTCATGAGGATCCGGTGGCACAGTGCTGTCAAGATCTGTAGCTTCTCCTCTGACGTCAGCTCAAAAAATTCAGAGGTCTCCAGCTTTTCTAGGAACTCATCTTGTACCTCATTATCCTCAAATGCAGCTGAATCTTTATTGTCATCTGTGTCTGAGCCCTCGCTTTCCTCCTGAACATCAGATCTGCGCAAGCAGAGCCGCACCAGCTCTGAAACAGAATGCAGAGTCAAGGGGATTTCCGACAGCTTCATTCCCAATTCACCATAGTCTTCTGCTATCTCATCTTGTAGGAGGGTCTGTAAGAGGATGACCAACACCCTGTTAAGGTATAAAAAGCCACCCTTATCTGCACTCAAGGCTTCCATAAGGGACACAGCAGTAATAGGATACTGAGCATCTGGTAAAAGTAGCCCAGAATAACAGCTCAAGAATTCCACCACCATGGCCACATCCCCAAACAGCGTGTTGGGCAGCCCTTCAGGGGTATCCACCAATCTGAATGCTGGAAGGTTTTTGCCAGTTAACTCTTGGTCCTCATACCGCTTCTGTTTTTCTAATCTCTCAAGCATTTCTTTCTCTCTTCGTTCTTTGGCTTTTTCCTTCAACTTCTTTTTCAGCTCCTCCCGTTTCTTTTTCAAATATTCTTTCCGTTGTTCTTCAGACATAGAAGCCCACCTCTTTTTGTGCTCTAGAAGTTCATAGCGTTTTTGAACAAGACTTCGCAATTCTTCTGGGAGACGAGCTCTATCTTCACTAGAGAGAAGACGAGCTGTTTTGGAGATAACACAGGACAGGGCGCTCCTCTTGTCCTCCCTGTCTTTGTTTTCTTTGTAGTATGCAATGAGGTGTAGGGCTGCAGGAGGCAGATGTTTATGAGGTTTACTAGAGGTCCTAGGTGTACCCCCAGAATTCCGTGGGGCTCGTGTCATCTTCTGCGTGCCTTTGGCCATATCCAACAAAGTCATCTGCTTCATTTTGGTTTTAGGAGTCTTCAGTCCTTTTTTGGGAGATTTGGAATTCCCTGTGGATTTCTGTCCATTCAGGATGCCTTTGCTTCTGCCCTTTGCCTTCAAAGGCTTGTCACTGTGCTTCCCTGGTTTCTTGGCAGGTGGGCCTTTTTTAGGAATGTGAAAGTTAGTGTGCAGCTTATTGGGCGACATCATCTTCATCATTTCTTCTAGATGTTCTTCAGGAGATTTGGAATTCTTTGAGTTCTTCACTTTGAGTGGCGAGCCACTCAATGACTTCTTCAAGTGTACGTGACACCATAACTTAGGATTTAGTGGTGAACTAAGAGAAGAGTTGTCTGTCTTGGATTTCTTTGAGGGCTTCCTGTCTGGGGATCCAGTATTCTTCCTCTTAGTAGAAGGGTTGAGAGTCATATACTAGAATTTAAGAATAGGAGCAAAATTAATTTTAAAATCTAAAACTAACTTAAGCAACATTTAAGCATCTTAAAGGCCCTCTTCCCCAGCTATTCAGGTAAAGCTACATATTCATATCTCTTCATAGATACTTTGTCCCTGAAAAAACAAAGACATGAATGTTAGCTAATGTTTTTGTCATGTCAACACAAAATTCCCTTGACATCCAGACTTAATACTAGACATTTTTGCTATGTAACTAGTTCTGTTTATGTATATTAATGATTCTTAAATATTTAAACAAAATCTGTGAACCCCTCCAGCAGAAATAGTAGACAAAAACTATGCATACAATTTCAGAGAATCCATCCATGGACCCCAGATTAAGGATATCTGATCTACAAAATGGCAATATCTGAAAAGTTTAAAAAGCACTGTTCTTGAAACAAGACTGAATTTTCATCCTTTCACTGTTGGTTCCTATTCAGGGCATTTTATGCTTTTAAGTAGAAATGATACTGTTTAAAGTACTTTTGTCTTAACTCTGAGGTACATTTTCTTATAGAAGCATCAGTGAGTGTAAGAACAACATGAACACTGCTCATAGATAAAGACACCTCCTGACCTGGGCCTCAAACTCCCCTTTGTCCTCACCCAACACTTTTAAGAACTCATTCTGGCCAGGCGCAGTGGCTCACCCCTGCAATCCCAGAACTTTGGGAGGCCGAGGCAGGCAGATCACTTGAGGTCAGGAGTTGGAGACCAGCCTGGCCAACATGGTGAAACCCCGTCTCTACTAAAAATGCAAAAATTAGCCAGGCATGGTGGCACATGCCTGTCACCCCAGCTACTCGGGAGGCTGAGGCTCGAAATTGCTTGAACCCGGGAGGAGGAGGGTGCAGTGAGCCAGGATCACACCACTGCACTCCAGCCTGGAGGACAGAGCAAGACCCCCGTCTCAAAAAAAAAAAAAAAAAAAGAACTCATTCCCACAACTAATTTCACACCATCCTCTCTTTGAACATACCCTCTTATGTTCCAAATCCACTCCCTCCAGTCCCACAACTCTACAATCCTTCAATCTCACCAGAACCTTAAATCCATTAATTCTATTACATTTTCACCATCCTAACCCCCATGTCTTGCTTTACCCAGATTAAATTTTAGTCAATCATGATAATTAATCTCACATAAACCTATAGTTCCCTTGTCTCTCTTATTCTATTGTATCTACTTGGAAAAACCATAACCCTGATTAACTCACTCTATTTACTCCTGCCCTGCATATGTTCAGCTGAAACACGGCTAAAATAAAAGATAAATAAAAGTGGGTGGTCTCAGCTGGGTGTGGAGGCTCACACCTGTAATCCCAGCACTTTCGGAGGCCAAGGCGGGCTGATCACAAGGTCAGGAGATCGAGACCATCCTGGCTAACACGGTGAAACCCAGTCTCTACTAAAAATCAAAAAAATTAGCCAGGCATGGTGGCGGGTGCCTGTAGTCCCAGCTACTTGGGAGACTGAGGCGTGAACCCGCAAGGTGGAGCTTGCAGTGAGCCGAGATCACGCCACTGCACTCCAGCTTGGGCGATGGAGCAAGACTCTGCCTCAAAAAAAAAAAAAAAAAGTGAGTGGTCTCACTTTAAATTCATTGCCAGGCACCTCAAACGGGTCCTCCATATCACCTAGCAAACACAGTATGTTCCTTTAGTCCACTCATGTTCCCACTCTCCTGATACACATCTCATCTCCTCATACCTCCCATGCCTCATCTCCATCATATACAATCAGTTAACAGGTTACAGTCCGGTCCATTTGTCATGATACCACTGCTTCTCTTTTTAAATGTGTATTGAAAAAAAGAAAAACCAAACTCTTTGAGTGGAATGCTTTAAAAAAGATAATTACAAAGAAAAATGCCTGGTAGCTAAAATGCAAACTAATTGAAATAACCAAGTCAAGTAATCCAAAATACAGCCCATTTCAGAAGAAAACTGTTGCTTTATGTGATTAGGGAAAAGACTAGATCAACTCTAGAATACTTGATTTTTATTACCAAAATCAGCTAAGTACATCAATGGCACTCACAGATATGAACATCCAGTTTTTCAACAGAAGGGACTAACCAGAAAAGAGCAACATGTAAAGAAGAAGTCTAAAGACAAGTAGGTTAGGCTAGTTTGAGATGAGACTACAGGCAAGAAAACAGCTAAGGATTACTGAATAACGAAATTATGAGCCCCTTAAAAAAGGGTACAGGGAAATGGCTAAGGTGAGATAAATCCCAGGGATCACACAGTAAAACACCTATGCTCTTGTTAGGAGAAAAGCAAATAGGTTTAGTAAAATTAAATAAGCTGTACTATAAAGCCATTTAAATTTTTATTTTTTATTTTTGAGATGGAGTCTCGCTCTGTCTCCCAGTCCGGAGTGCAGTAGCGCAATCCTGGCTCACTGCAACCTCCACCTCCCAGGCTCAAGCGACTCTCCTGCCTCAGCCTCCCAAGTATCTGTGATTACAGGTGTGCGCCACCATACCTGGCTAACTTTTGTATTTTTAGTACAGACAGGGTTTCACTATGTTGGCCAGCCTGGTCTCTAACTCAAACAGGTGATCTGCCCACCTCCGCCTCCCAAAGTGCTGGGATTACAGGCATGAGCCACCCAGCCAGACCCCAATTAAGATTTAAACATTAGGGGCTGGGCGTGGTGGTTCACGCCTGTAATCCCAGCACTCTGGGAGGCCGAGGCAGGCGGATCATGAGGTCAGGAGATTGAGACCACAGTGAAACCCCATCTCTAGTAAAAATACAAAAAATTTTAGCCAGGTGCGGTGGCGGGCGCCTGTAGTCCCAGCTACTCGGGAGGCTGAGGCAGGAGAATGGCCTGAACCTGGGAGGTGGAGCTAGCAGCGAGCCGAGATGGCGCCACTGCACTCCAGCCTGGGGAACAGAGCGAGACTCCATCTCAAAAAAAAAAAAAAAAAGATTTAAACATTAAAGATACAATGAGAGAAACGAGCCCACAGAACCATGGCTACACGCAGAGGAAAAAAATATGGCCTACACTGAGTAGGATATACTTAACAAATCCCTCTTTTGGCTAAGCTATCTAACTTCAAAGGCCAACTGGCCTTTGAAGAGTTCCAGGCAACTGCAGGTTATTGTTCCTCTGCCCTTTTTGTTGCCTGATTAAAACTGTAATGTGTTGCCGGGCGGGGTGGCTCACGCCTGTAATCCCAGCACTTTGGAAGGCTGAGGCGGGCAGATCACGAGGTCAAGAGATCGAGACCATCCTGGCTAACACAGTGAAACACCATCTCTACTAAAAATACAAAAAAAATTAGCCTGGCGCGGTGGCGGGCGCCTGTAGTCCCAGTTACTCGGGAAGCTGAGGCAGGAGAATGGCGTGAACCCGGGAGGCGGAGCTCGCAGTGAGCCGAGATCCCGCCACTGCACTCTGGCCTGGGAGAAAGAGCGAGACTCTGTCTCAAAAAAACAAACAAACAAACAAAAAGAAACTGGAATGTGTTGTTCCCCAATCTCCAATAACCATCCTTAGAATGGGCTGACAAAGAGGCTTTATAGCTTTACAACATATAAACCCTATCCATGACTCCGGGATTACTTTCCCTAGATGCAGAATTTCCTCATTCTAGTTTCCCAGAACTGTATTTCAAAATGCTAGGAAGAATAAGCCAAGATAACTTATTTAAGACTCCAATCTCTTCATGCACAGTAATTACTATCAGTACTCCAAAGAGAATATGGCAGAGACCATCCAAATTGCAGAGCAAGACCCATTACTACCCTGGCAGGAAATAAGAACAAATGTGTGCCCCCAAAAAGTTAACAACCTTCTTCAGTCAGCCTTGGAAAATCTTCAGAGTACACACATACAGGCGGACATTTTTTCTAATGCTCAGAACAACAGATTATATATTTAAAGTCATCCTAAAATGAAATTTATCGCTAAAAAGGAGACTAAGTTTCATTTTTAGCATTTTAAATAGGTATGTTTTAATAGGGTCTGTTACAATAACTGGGACACTTCTTTATTTACTGATTATAGTTCTATTTTAAAAGAAAAATCACTCACATTTTACATGAGGTTCTTTAAACTTCTTCCACTTAGAAGCATAGTAGTATGAAGAAATGATACAAGAAAATGGTGGGATGGCTTAGCCATGAGGGTCTAGCAACCCATTTTTATTCGTAAGGTGTGTTTTTGTGCCAAGCCACACCATGTTTTTGTTTGTTTTTTTCTTAAAAATGAAAGAAATGAACTCACCCAACCCCCTCCCAATAGGCCGGCTCCCCACGTGAGCAGTCCTTCAGTAACTGGATCATCTCAGCATGGGGCATGCTGGGCAGTCACAGCCAAATGGGAGCCGGCATGGCTGGACTCAGGGGGATCTGAAAAAGTATAAAACCACTTATGTGCTAACAGTGCTCCCTATCCCCCACTCAGCACAGTTAATCTACCAGACTAGCAGATGGGGAGGGAGAAGAAAGGACACCTGGATTACCAGCAGTATAATTTTTGCCAAAGGCCCTTCCTAATTGCTAAACAGAAAAAAATATTTATGACTGTCTCGGCAACATGGAAGGTTGAAAGAAAAAGAGAGCGTCCACAATTTTACATTTGTTCCTGTCACTTGAAACTCACCACAACCACAAATATCTGTCTGCAACTCCTGTTTCTTGATTAAAAAAAGGATAAAAATTAAAGAAATTACTTGTAGCAGCTCATTCAGATGCTGCACACAACTTAATAATAAGCAATATAATCTAGGCAGCAAAACCCTGAATTAGCAAACCTTGGCAATCCATATTGATTCTTATCTCACTGTTCTCATTCACCCAGGGCAACATGTTAGAACTCTGAGGACAACACTCAAATAGTGGGCTTTTCTCAATTTCCACATGCCTTTATTAGCAAGTTTGCAAAATTTGTTACTATAAAATATATTTAAAGTGTTCTCAAAATAATATAACTTACTTTTCATTTTTTTTCTTCTAGCAACCATTCCTTCAACAATATAATTTACCTTTTAAAGTACTTCTGTTCTAACCCCTAACTCACAAACTTTTTTTTTTCCTCCACCCAAAACAGGGTCTCACTCTGTCTGTCACACAGGCTGGAGTGCAGTGGCATGATCACAGCTCACTGCAACCTTGACCTCCTGGGCTCAAGGGATCACCCTGCCTCCATCTCCAAAGTAGCTTGGACTAGAGGCACACGCCACCACACCCAGTTAATTTTTTGTGTATGTAGAAACAGGGTCTCGCCATGTTACCCAGGCTGGTCTCAAACTCATGGGCTCAAGCAATCCTCCCACCTCAGCCCCTCAAACTGCTGAAATTACAAGCAAGAGCCACTACGCCCAGCCATACACAACAAACAAACTTTAAGAGCGAGACTTTAAAGAAAAATCAGGCCGGGTGTGGTGGCTCATGCCTGTAATCCCAGCACTTTGGGAGGCCGAGGCTGGTGGATCACAAGGTCCAGGGATTGAGACCATCCTGGCCAACATGGTGAAACCCCATGTCTACCAAAAATAGAAAAATTAGCCAGGCATGGTGGTGGGTGCCTGTAGTCCCAGCTACTCGGGAGGCTGAGGCAGGAGAATCGCTGGAGCCCAGGAGGCAGAGGTTACAGTGAGCAAAGACTGCACCACTGCACTCCAGCCTGGCGACAGAGCGAGACTCTGTCAAAGGAAGGAAGGGAGGGACGGAGGGAGGAAGATAGATAGATAGATAGATAGACAGACAGACAGACAGACAGACAGATATAGATAGATAGATCAGCCAGGCATGATAGCTCACACCTGTAATCCCAACACTTCAGGGGTCGAGGCGGGGAAGGATTGCTTGAGCCCAGGAGTTTGAGACCAGTCTAGGTAACATGGCGAGACCCTGTCTCTTCAACAAATTAAAAATAAAAATTAGCTGGGCTTCATGGTGCACACCTGTGGTCTCGGCTACTCAGGAGGCTAAGGTAGGCGGATTGCTTAAGCCCAGAGGTCAAGACTGCAGTGAGCTATGATCACACCGCTGCACCTCCAGCCTGGGCAGAGCAAGAGCCTGTCTCAAAAAATAAAAAAATAAATAAAATATGTAATACTATGAGTAATGGACAAAATTATGTCACTGCCTTCTTAAATGATGCACTAAGAATACATCAATTCTTAATGTCCAAATATTCATAACCTGAATCTAATCATGAAGAAATAAACCAAAATCAAAGAGCATTCTACAAAATAACCGGGTTCTATTATTTCAAAACGTCAAGGTTTTGAAAGACAAAGAAAAGCTGAGGGACTGTCCCAGATTAGAAGAGACCAAAGAGACAAGTAAATGTGAACATGTGACACATGGTAGCACAATGGATCCTATTAAAGCAAAACAAAATTGTTTTTTTGGTTAAAAGATTACTGAAGAACTGGGAAAATGTGAGTAAAAACTATAGATTAGATAATAGAGTTATTTCAATGTTAACTTCCTGATTTTGACAACTGTACTGTAGTTACGTTGGAAAATATCCTTGATTTTTTTGTTTTGTTTTGTAGAGATGGAATCTCTCCATGTTGCCCAAGAAGGTCCTGAACTCCTGGACTCAAGTGATCCTCCCACCTCAGCCTCCCAAAGTGTAGAATTACACAGGTGTGAGCTAGCAAATATCAATGTTTTTAAGAAATTCATATTCCAGTATTCTGTAAAAGGGCATCCTGTCTGGAAAATTACTTGGCTCAGGAAAAAATAATTCGTGTGTATATAGACAGCAGATTAGGCCAGATGCAGTGGCTCACGCCTGTAATCCCAACACTTTGGGAGGCTGAGGCAGGAGGATCACTTGAGACCAGGAGCTCAAGACCAGCATGGGCAAGAGTGAGACTCCATCTTTACAAAAAATAAAAAACACAAAAATCAGTTGGGCATGGTGGTGAGCACCGGTAATCCTAGCTAGTCAGAAGCATGAGGTGGGAGGACTGCTTGAGCCAGAAGTTCCAGGTTACAGTGAGCTATGATCATTCCACTGCTCTCTAACCTGGGAGACAGCATAAGGCCTACCTCAGAAAAAAAAAAAAAAAAAGAGAGAGAGAATGATAAACAAATATGATAAATGTTAACATCTGAGGAAATCTAATTAAAGAGTACACAGAAATTTGGTAGTGTTTTGTCAATTCTCCTGTATAAAATTATTTAATAAAATATTAAAATGTGTTAAGAACAAGGCTAAATTCATGCAGGATTCCAAATGCCTTAAAGTATTATTTTCTTCTTACATCTCTAATCCAAAGGCTTCCCTACTAGGATTTATCAGTCTAAAATAAGAGCTCAAACATGATGGAGACTAACAAAATAGGGCTGCAATGTATTACAAGAGGAAAATGAGCTAGAGATTTCATCTTAGATGACAGTTATCACCCAATTGCCTTGTAAATCATTCCTCCAAGTCATTGGGCCTACAAAAAATTACGCTGCCCCTAAAGCCCAAATGTCAGTGGCATTTTTCTCCAACAAATGGAACTTCAAGAAATGAATAGCCAGTTACCTATTATATGCAACATACTATGCTAAACGTTACAAGATATAAAATAAGCAAGGTAGTTCTTATTCTCAAGTAATTTATATTCTACAAAGATTTTAGAAAACCACAAACACACCCTCATCATCATATTAGGTACTCAGGTAACAATCCAAAATTCCTGTATCTTTACATAATTTTCCTCTCTCCCACGTAAGCCCTCACTATGGGTCCTTTGGTAAAACTATTTTATTTATTTATTTATTTGAGACAGAGTCTCACTTTGTTGCCCAGGCTGGAGTGCAGTGGCGTGATCTCGGCTCACTACAAGCTCAGCCTCCCAGGTTCATGCCATTCTCCTGCCTCAGCCTCCCGAGTAGCTGGGACTACAGGTGCCCGCCACCACGCCCGGCTAATTTTTTGTATTTTTAGTAGAGACGGGGTTTCACCATGTCAGCCAGGATGGTCTCGATCTCCTGACCTCGTGATCCGCCCAACTCGGCCTCCCAAAGTGCTAGGATTACAGGCGTGAGCCACTGCGCCTGGCCTGCTAAAACTATTGCTCAGAACTCACTCTCTTTACACCTGGTCTCACTCTACAGTAAATGTACTCAGAGCCTGACAGAACATTACATTCTACAAAAACCAAAGAGTATACAGAGAGAGAAAACATCCCATGCCTTTGGATGGATGGGTCCTATGTGATCAACTTTAATCCTCAACAGATTATTTTAAATTTCTTCTAGAAAAAGAAAGAAAACAAAGCAATGTTTTAGGTTCTACTTATCATCTGTGTTACTATGTTTTGCCCTGGCTGAGAAGCCAAAGTCCTAATTTTATAAATAGGAAAAACACAGCTTATATACAGAAAACAATCAGTGACATGTCAGATAGTATTAGGAAATAAGAAATTATTGTTTAAGGTAGGGAAAACAAATAATAAACCTGAGTATATGCCTTTAACTTTGTAGACCAGTATTTTACATGAGTCTTAAGTTTTCTGAGTAAAATCACTGCCATCTTCCAGCACTTTAAGCAAGCTTCCATTTCCTAGTCTTAACCTAAATTATAGCCAAATTTCATAACATTAGTAAGTTAAGCCCCCACTAGAAATTCTGGGAGAAGCTTATTTCTTCAGAAATTGCCTTTCAGGTTTTAAGTTCCTGGAGTTCTAGTCTCTCTCTCCTACAAAAATTGTGGATCAGCTGGGCGTGGTGGTACGTGCCTGTAGTCCCCAGCTACTAGTGAGACACAGGGAGGAGGATCACTTGAGCCCAGAAATTTCAGGCTGCAGTGAACTGTGATTGTCCCACTGCACTCCAGCCTGGGTAACAGAGCAAGACCCTGTCTCTAAAGTAAGAAATAAGTGTGGATCAGCTTTTATGTCTTAGGAAACTCAAAAAATATTTTACCCATAAAAAGAGTCTTTCACATTATTCACATACTTGAATCACTAAACTAAAATACATAAAACAGAGCTGTAAGATTAGAAAAGAGGAAAATATTAAGGACTCAAGTAATCCAAGAATTAGTCTAAAACCCATTTAGAGATGGTTTCATGGAGTTCTCATATAGCGAAGATAGGAATCTCATGTGAAGACCACAGAAAGCTGAATCATGGTTCCAAACTCTGTGGCAACAAAATGACAGTGAACTCAAAATTTCTCCTCAACAAACAAAAACAAACATCTGAGAAAAAAATTATAGTTCCATGGAAAATTTAGTCCTGATCTAGAAAAAGCCAATTACTTTCTAAATTTTTCCTTTTAAGCAAATAATAATAATTTAAAGAGCATAACAGAAGACACCACTTATCTTGCTGGTCTAGAATAAGAAAATCTGCTAAGTGCTAAAACCATGACTGGAGGTCTTTACTAATGTTTTGGAGAAATAAAATTACTTTTCAATATGCTTTTGTCACCATAATCAACTTAAGATAATTGAACAAATTTAGTTGTTATGACTTCAGATGTCTTTATATTTTCATAATTAAATGAAATGGGAAAAAAAGAAATCCTGGAAATGTGACCTAGTTTTAATGGATCAAGAGCCCTTTTCTGGTTCTACGCTGGCCCAGAGACCAAGATGAAAATTATCAGCCAGTATGCTGCGTTACATTTACCAATGAAAGAAGCATTAAGTACTTTCAAAACCTACATTAAAAAACCACTTTAACAGGTAAAGCTTGAAATGGAAAAGAAAATCAGAAATCCTAGGCCAGTGTCTTAAGTCTTGTCATCACTTTCTGTTGGTTCTGATTAGACTAGGCCTCAGATACCCCATCTGTAAAATGAAATATATATATGTACCATATAACTTCATAAAAATATTTGGAAAATCAAAAGTGAGGATTTTAAAAATTACTCCTTCTCGGCCAGGCATGGTGGCTCACATCTGTAATCCCAGCACTTTGGGAGGCCGAGGCAGGCGGATCACTTGAGGTCAGGAGCTCAAGACTAGCCTGGCCAACACGGCAAAACCCCATCTCTACTAAAAATAGAAAAATTAGCCAGGTGTGGTGGCACATGCCTGTAATCCCAGCTACTCAGGAGGCTGAGAAGAAGGAGAAGGAGGTTGCAGTGAGCCGAGATCGCACTACTGCACTCCAGCCTGGGTGACAGAGCGAGACTCCAACTCAAAAAAAAAAAAAAAACAAAAAAAACTTACTCTTCAAGAGGAAAATACTAGGTTTTCCACTAATCTATCACACACACTGCTCCTCATTCCAGGTTCTTTTCAAGGCTGCCACTGTATGTGATCATCTTGTCCGACATGCAAAATCAGTTTTCATTCTTGGTAACTGGTTAACAAAATACTTTTTATATTTATACCATACCTCATTCCAAAAAGGGTCTGAGGCACAAAAGCACATGTATATAGACTTTTAAAATTATGCTAGCATAATAAAAAATAAATTGAACTGGGGAAGATATTAAATGTGGCCTCTCCCCTACCAACCTCACATAACAACCTGTATGTAACAGATATACCTGAAAAATTTTTAATTCATTATCTGATGTTAGAGTTCAAAACCTGCTATAAATATAAATATACTGGAGCCATCAGAGAAATAATGATGCTTTATCCTGCTGTCCAAAAATTAACAGTGACCTTACCTTGTATGGATCAAGTAAAAAGTCACTGAACTTGCTGGGCAGAGAGTATTTCTTCACCAATTCATCTTCTACGACCCAAGGTGCATTTTCACCAGTACCAGCTCGTAATGCATTATGCCGTATAAAGTATCGAACTATCTCCTTATTTGGTGGGCGCTCTGTACGAATCAAGCTGTCTGCTGGCACGTTACTGATGATCTAGGTTAAAAAGAAACAAATAACTCACCACTGGGGTAAAAAGTAATTACCCAAATGAGAACAAGCAATATACGTTCTCTCCAGAAAAATCAAAATTCCATCTATATCAACAGGGCTACAAATTAGAAAGAAAAATATATAGGCCAGGGATGGTTTCTTACACTTGTAATCTCATCAACTCAGGAGGCCAAGGTATAAAGATTGTTTGAGGCCAGGAGTTACAGATCGACCTGGGCAATATAACAAGACCCTCTGTGTACAAAAATCAAAATACGCCAATAGTCCTAGCTATTTGGGAGGCTGAAGCAGGGGAATTACTTGAACCCAGGAGTTCGAAGCTATAGTGAGCTATGGTCACACCAATGCACTCTAGCCTGGGCAACAGAGTGAGACCCTATCTGAGAGACAGAAAACGGAGAATAATTTTCAGAGACAGAATGTCAATTTAAAAATATCCTTAGGCAATATGTCAATATGTATCAAAGTTTTCTAAAAATATGTATACCCTTTCAGCAATTCCTCTCGTTAAGAATTTATCTTAGGAAGTAAATGGACAAAGTTGTCATCAAATGCTTGTAATAGCAAAAAAGTGAGGAATGGGTTGAGAGTTATTACCTAAAGGTACACCAATAAGGGATTTGTTAAATGAAACTATGTACATATAATGGACACTGCAGTCCTATGAAAAAACTTTCTCAATCCAGAAAAATTCATCAGAATCATCTAGGGTACTATTAAAATGCAGATGTTTGGGCCTCACCACACACTTAATGAATCTTATGACTCTCTGGCAGTAGAGGTTAGGAATCAACATATCTAATCACCTCCCCTGGTGACTATCACACACATTAAAATCTGAGAACACTGTTTTGGAAGAAAATTTAATGACATTACAGATGTTTAGCACACAATAAATGAAAAAATTAAGTTATAAAATAATATAAACAGAATAGTTCTACTTTTAAAAGTCACTTAATAGCAGGAAACAGAGAAGGAAGGAATACAAAAAAATTTTTTTTAAAAAGTCACTTAGGAGCTACCTACCATTCACTAAATCTATATTCACCAATTATCTCTGAGCATGACATCAGATACTATCTCTTTCTTATTTGCATTTTCTTTCTTCCTGTAACCAATACTTATATTTGTGAACAAAATACTTATACTCATCAATATGAATACAAGGGATACTTAGGGAAGTGGTTAAAACTAAGCATTTTTTTTTTTTTTTGAGATGGAGTTTCACTCTTGTTGCCCAGGCTGGAGAGCAATGGCGCAATCTCTGCTCACTGCAACCTCCGCCTCCCTGGTTCAAGCTATTCTCCTGCCTCAGCCTCCCTAGTAGCTGGGATTACAGGCATGTGCCACCACGCCCGGCTAATTTTGTATTTTTAGTAGAGATGGGGTTTCTCCATGTTGGTCAGGCTGGTCTCGAACTCCCGAGCTCAGGTGATCCACCTGCCTCGGCCTCCCAAAGTGCTGGGATTACAGGCATGAGCCACCGTGCCTGGCCTAAAACTAGGCATGTCTTAATCAGCTACCTTGCTGAATGAGAAGAAACTCTGTGAAAAATTGTATTTAACAATATCCAATATTCAAATATAAAAAAATCCTGGCCAGGTGCAGTGGCTCATGCCTGTAATCCCAGTACTTTGGGAAGCCGAGGCAGGCGGATCACAAGGTCAGGAGTTCAAGACCAGCCTGGCCAACATAGTGAAATCCCGTATCTACTAAAAATACAAAACTTAGCCGGGCACGGTGGCGGGCACCTGTAATCCCAGCTACTTGTGAGGCTGAGGCAGGAGAATCGCTTGAATCCGAGAGGCAGAGGCTGTAGTGAGCCAAGACCGTGCCATTGTACTCCCGCCTGAGCGACAGAACAAGACTCCGTCTCAAAAAAGACAAAAAAACAAAACAACAACCTAGGCCGGGCGTGGTGGATCACGCTTGTAATCCCAGCACTTTGGGAGGCCAAGGGGTGGTAGACCACCTGAGGTCAGGAGTTCGAGATCAGCCTGACCAACGTGGTGAAACTCTGTCTCTACAAAAAACACAAAATTAGTCAGGCATGGTGATGCATGCCTGTAATCCTAGCTACTTGGGAGGCTGAGGCTGGAGAATCACTTGAACCCAGGAGGCAGAGGATGCAGTGAGCCGAGATTGCGCCATTGCACTCCAGCCTGGGCAACAAGAGCAAAACTCCATCTCAAAAAAAGAAAAGAAAAGAAAAAAAAAATCCTAACAACCCAGCCAAGGCTTCTGATCACGAACCATAACACCAACAGTCAGAATGGAATCGGACTTGTCAGCATTCTGAGGCAGGAACAAAACAATGTAAATAAAGAAGCAAAAGATTTGGGTTACAATCCTTCCCATTTTCATTTACTGAATCAAGAATTTTGACAGTTATTAAACTTCTCAGGTCTTAGCTGTTTCTTCTGTAAAATGGTTATACCTGAAGACAAATGTGCATTGCCTTCCACACCCAGTCTCCTAATCCACCTTTCTAAGATTCTGCACATACAGGTGGTGTAGGAATACCTGAAAAGTAACATTCCATATTTCTTAGAATCTTAGTTCCAATCAGCAAAACGCTTTTTTTTTTTTTTTTTTTTTTGAGACGGAGTCTCGCTCTATGTTGCCCAGGCTGGAGTGCAGGGGCGCAATCTCAACTCACTGCAACCTCCGCCTCCCAGGTTCAAGCGAGTCTCCTGCCTCAGCCTCCTGAGTAGCTGGGATTATAGGCGTGCGCCACCACACCTGGCAAATTTTTTTTTGTTTTGTTTTTTGAGAAGGAATCTTGCTCTATCGCCCAGGCTGGAGTGCAGTGGCGTGATCTCCACTCACTGCAAGCTCCGCCTCCCAGGTTCATGCCATTCTCCTGCCTCAGCCTCCTGAGTAGCTGGGACTACATGCGCCCGCCACCACGCCCGGCTAATTTTTTGTATTTTTAGTAGAGATGTGGTTTCACCATGTTAGCCGGGATGGTCTCGATCTCCTGACCTCATGATCCGCCCACCTCGGCCTCCCAAAGTACTGGGATTACAGGCGTGAGCCACCACGCCCGGCCTGACTGCTCTACTTTTAACTGGGAAGAGTGATTTCCTTGGAAAGTCCATAACTGCTGGGAACAGATTCTTAATTTTCAAACTGAATTTCAAGCTCAAATGTAAATTACTTACACTCTACTAATTCCTATAAGAAAGAGGAAAAGCATGGTATCTTCTAGGAAAGAAAATATAATTTACATTAACTTGAAGTCATTAATTACTGTAACTACAAAACCACTCAGAATCTGCTGTACATTCATTTACATTTTTCTTCAGCACATTTTCTCCAACAAAAGCAACCCTATGATATTTTCTTAAAGAACATCTATCACATGTAAAAAGTAAAGTGTCAACTAACCTTATCTTCATTTTGTAGTTTCACATCATATTTGTGAGGCAGAAATTTTGGAGGAGCCCATTTCCTTTCTCCTTTTTTTAATGAAGTAGGAAGTTTTCGTGGCGATCTACGTGCTCTGTCATCTAGTCAAATCATAGAAAATTAGTGAAAAACGTAATTATTTTAATCCTTTTCATTCATTCATTAACAAGTCTTAACTGAACGTCTGCTCTTCACTAGGCACTGGGTGATGCAGTACAAAAATGAATCATAATGTCCTTAACTTCAAGGAGCTAAAGTCTATGAGGAGAGTCAGCAAGTAAATAACTACAATGTACTATAAATAACTACAATGTAGTAAACAGTGTAATAGAAGTTGGTAAAGAAAAACACTATGAGAGGCCGGGCGTGGTGGCTCACGCCTGCAATCCCAGCACTTTGGGAGGCTGAGGGAGGCGGATCACCTGAGGTCGGGAGTTCGAGACCAGCCTGACCAACATGGAGAAACTCCATCTCTACTAAAAATACAAAATTAGCCGGGCTTGGTGGTGCATCCCTATAATCCCAGCTACTCGGGAGGCTGAGGTAGGAGAATCACTTGAACCCGGGAGGCAGAGGTTGCAGTGAGCCAAGATCACGCCATTGCACTCCAGCCTGGGCAACAGAGCAAGACTCCGTCTCAAAAAAAGAAAAGAAAAGAAAAATACTATGAGAATACAGAGAAGGAATACCTAACTTAGTCTGGAAGGTAGGTAGAAAGATGAGTAAGAATATGACTTGGGCCAGGTGTGGTAGTTCACGCCTGTAATCCCAGCACTTTGGGAGGCCAAGGCAGGCAGATCCCCTGAGTCCAGGAGTTCGAGACCAGCCTGGGCAACATGGTGAAACCCTGTCTCTATAAAAAATACAAAAAATTAGCCAGGTGTGGTGGCACATGCCTGTAGTCACAGCAACTTGGGCGGCTAGGGTAGGATGGCTTGAGCCTGGGAGGTCAGGGCTGCAGTGAGCCCTGATCTTGCGACTGCACTCCACACTAAGAGACAGAGTGAAACCCTGTCTCCAAAAAAAAAAAAAAAAAGAGAGAGAGAGAGAATACGATATGACCTGTTCAGAGATTGCAGATTGCAAGCAATAAGGTGTGGTTAAATATGATGTATACTACAGTGAAAAAAATTCAAAAAGGTAAGCCAGGGCCATATTAGAAAGGGCCTTGTATACCATTTAAAGAGATTAGAATTTGTCTTGCTAGCACTAGAGAACCAATGACAGACTGTGGCTGTAACTAACTACGGTGCATTTTGGAAAGATCAATATAAAATGGGGCCCATCACAGTGGCTCGTGCCTGTAATCCCAGCACTTTGAGGAGCCAAGGCAGAAGGATCACTTGAGCTCAAGAATTCGAGACCAGCCTGGCCAGCATGGTGAAACCCTGTCTCTACAAAAAATAGAAAAAATTAGCTGGGCATGGTGGCACGTGCCTGTAATCCCAGCTACTCGGGAGGCTGAGGCAGAAGAATTGCTTGAACCCGGGAGGTGGAGGTTGCAGTGAGCCGAGATCATGCCACTGCACTCCAGCCTGGGCAACAGAGCGAGACTCTGTCTCAAAAAGAAGACGAACATAAAATGGAAAGTTGATACTGAAGATAAGGAAATTGGAAGATACAATGCTAAACATCTGAATTAGGCTGGGCACACAGGCTCACACAGGTAATCCCAGAACTCTGGGAGGCTGAGGTGGGGAGACTGCTTGAGCCCAGGAGTTTAAATCAAGCCTTAGCCACATGGTGAGACCCTGTCTCTAAACAAACAAACAAAAAAAATTAGAAAGGTGTTGTGATGCACACGTGTGGTCCCAGCTACTCAGGAGGCTGAGGCAGGAGGATCACTTGAGCCTGGGAGGTTGAGGCTGCAATGAGCTATGATCACACCACTGCACACCAGCCTAGACAACAGAGCAAGACCCTGTCTCAAAAATAAACAAACATCTGAACTAATGTAACTGTAATACAGAAGGAAAGAGAGTCAAAATTCTTCCAGTTCGTGACCAACTAGACGTGAGAATGTTAAAGGTATTTTAACTTTTCTGCCTTAGACACTAGGTGGATGGACGGTGAGCCAAGTAAAAGAATGAGAGAACAATTCTTGTTTACCTGCCTTGGGATACAAGAAGAGTGAAGTCAATTCAGCTTTACACATGTTGAATCTAAACTGCATAAAGGAGGGGCCAGGCGTGGTGACTCACGCCTGTAATTCCAGCACTTTGGGAGGCCAAGGTGGGCAGATCACCTGAGGTCCAGAGTTCGAGACCAGCCTGGCCAGCATGGTGAAACCCCGTCTCTACTAAAAATACAAAATTAGCTGGTTGTGGTAGCGTGCTCCCATAGTCCCAGTTACTGGGGAGGCTGAAGCAGGAGAATCACTTGAACCCATGAGGCGAAGGTTGCAGTGAGCCAAGATCGTGCCACTGCGCTCCAGCCTGGGTGACAGAGCGAGACTCCGTCTCAAAAATAAATAAATAAATAAATAAATTGCATATAGGACAGGCAAGTAAAGATCAAGTCTACAGTTAAAAGTCTGACCCAGGCTTGGAAATCACCAGGCTACAAACAGTTAAGAATTCAAACTGTGCCATGAATAGCATATAACATTACACTATGCAAACTGAAAAACAGAAGGCAAAGAATAGAATCCTATGGAAAAAGTCAAAGGAATGGCAGGGAAGGAAGGAAGTAAAGAAACCGAATAGCTGGAGCACTAGGAGACAGTGGTATCAAGCTAAGAGATATGAGTGACCAACAGTATTAAATGTAACAGATACAGCACTATTCACAATAGCAAAGACACAGAATCAACTTAAATGCCAACAATGGACACAAGAAAGAAAATGTGGTACACATACACCATGGAATACTATGCAGCCATAAAAAAGAATGAGATCATGTCCTTTGCAGCGACATGAATGAAGCTGGAGGCTATTATCCTTGCAAACTAACACAGGAACAGAAAACCAAATACTGCATGTTCTCACTTGTAAGTGGGAGCTAAATGATGAGAACACATGGACACATAGAGGGGAACAACACACACTCAGGCCTTTTAAAGAAAAACAACTAATGGGTACTAGGCTTAACACTTGGGTGATGAAATAATTAATCTATGCAACCAAGCCCTATGACACAAGTTTACCTATGCAACAACCCTGCACTTCTACCCTTGAACTTAAACGTTAAAAAATAAATAAATATTAATAAATATAACAGAAAAGTCCAACACAGGCCAAGAAGAAATCTCTGCTTTTGACAATTAAGAGGACACTTGTAAACTTAATAGGAACTATTTCAGGAATATAGAGGCAGAAGTAAGACCACAATAAAACTGATGTTCGGAAAGCAGAGAGAATATTCCTAACCAAAACACTTCTCAACCTCAAGGAATTGCAAGTAATGCCCTTATTACAAAACTTCAGTATCAAAAAGAAGAGGGAAACTGGAAAATACAGACGTTAGCATTCACAATACAGGAGAAAACAAACTGAAGTATCAACAACTTGGGATGGACCAACTACAATGACACTCTCAGAAGTTTGCTTCGAACTACATTAAGAAAGTACCTCAAAAACCATCTGCACAGATCCAAAACATCTAGACACACAAAATAGAATGGGAGACAGACAACATCACATTCTAATGCAAAGTTTGTACCAGTTAAATAGTAAGCTAACATTTGATCCTCTAATACTCATGCGGAGGGAGACCAATACACACCAAACACTTGGTGCACCTACATTTTTGGAGACAACAATAATCAAGTCCAGTCAAATTCTTTATTAATGAAGGCCTCAGAGGCTGAACGGTCTTCCCAGTGAGCCAAATCTCAATTGTTCAAATTTAAAAACATTATTGTTAGAGTCTCCAGGTCCCTAGGACATCATAGTTTCAGGATTTTACCTGCTCCCGTGTGAGAGGGACTTAGATTACAGATTATGGAGAGAAAAAAGTGCAACTGACCCTTGAACAGCATGGGGGTTAGGGCTCTGACCTCTCCTCCTCTCGCAGTCAAAAACCTGTGTATACAGCCAGGCACAGTGCGTCATACCTGTAATTCAGCATGAGGCCGAGGCCACAAGGAGGTCCAGGCTGCACTAAGCTGTCATCACAACACTCCACTCCAGCCTGGGGGCAACAGAGTAAGACCCTGTTTCAAAAAAAAGAGGTCAAGGCAGGAGGATCGCTTGAACTCACGAGTACAAGACCAGCCTGAACAACATCGTGAGAACTGACCTCTACAAAAAAAAAAAAAAAAAACCTACAAAAATTAGCTGGGTGTGGTGGTGCATGCCTACGGTCCCAGCTACTTGGGAAGCTGAGGTGGCAGGATCGCTTCGGCCAGGAATGTCGAGGCTGCAGTGAGCCATGATCGTACCACTGCACTCCAGCCTGGGTGACAGAGCAAGACCTTATCTATGAAAAGCCAAAAAAGGACACTAGGACAATTAGCACTTTACTAGAGAGATGAACTAGCATCACATAAAATGACTGAGGTCACTTCAACAGCAACAGGAGGTCATTAGGAAATGATTACAGTAGTATAGTACGTACTACAGTTCATTTTATTGTTATTATTTAATACTGAATCTTCATATTTTTCTTGACTGAGAATGGTGCCAGGTATGGTCTGTGTAAGTTTTGATAAATTTTAACTTTTTATAATAGATTTCTGTATATATTTTATGGTAGCAAATGATAGACTAGTATCTACATGTATTTTATGCATTTATGACATACCTAACTCTTTGTTCTTTTTTTACAATATTTCTAGGTTACTCAGTTCGTCTCTGAGTTTCTTCAAACTGTCACAAGCCTCCAAAGAATTTTCCAATACATTCATTGAAAAAATATTGAGAGATGGGTTAAGTGCCATAAAAAAAAGAAAAAGAAAAATTCCATTCATATGTGGACCTGTACAGTTCAAACCTATGTTGTTCAAGGGTGAGCTGTACCTAAAACCATCACATTGGCTTATAATGTGAAGATCAGGGTTAGAATTTGCTCTTCCTACCTTGATCACCCCCCAATACATAAATACATATTTCCACTTCAAGACGAAAGGAAAGCAGACTTTCCTTGCCATCTTGAGTAGCTAGCAATGTGCACACAGCTTTTGTGTTTTGTTTTTTTTTTTTTGAGATGGAGTTTTGTTTTTGTGGCCCTGCTCTTGTGGCACAGACTAGAGTGCAATGGTGCGATCTCAGTTCACTGCAAACTCCACCTCCTGGGTTCAAGCGATTCTCCTGCCTCAGCTTCCCGAGTAGCTGGGATTATAGGCACCCACCACCACAAGCCGCTAATTTTTGTATTTTTAGTAGAGACAGGGTTTCACCATGTTGACCAGGCTGGTCTCGAACTCTTGACCTCAGATGATCCACCCTCCTCAGCCTCCCAAAGTGCTGGGATTACAGGCATGAGCCACGGCACCCAGCCCTGCATAGAGCTTTCTAAGCAACTAGAGGAAACGACTTCCCAATGGTCTTAATTATTTAGGGATATTCAAGTGTTTCATGTTGTGGACATTTTAGTTGTTCTATGAATCATAAATGAACAAAATCATGTCTACATAAAAAATCACACATTTAGTTGCTAGAGAACCCTAAAAGATGTGTTCATAATAAAATAAACAGGATCTCATAAAACACTAAGGAAAGCTAATATCAAACATACTAATACTCTCTCTCCTTCCTTCATCCTCTTTCACAACTGTCTCCTTCTTCTGATGGTCCTGAGCAATCTGACTGGAGTTCTCTTTGTCACTTGATGGAGAATCACAGGCACCATCAGATTTCTTCTCAGTGGCCTCTTCATCCACTTTCTCCAAAGGATGAATCTTCACAATCTTCACCTTGAGCATTTTCTCCTTCCCAACCTATAAAGGAGGTAGTAGAGAAAATCAGAGATAATAAACACCCAGAAACCTGAAGATGTTTAGAACATATCATCCAATATACATGCCTCCTCAACTAACAAAAGGTGATTGAAACAGTAAAGTATCCAAGTACAATGAAGTGTTTTCAACTTTTTTTCTCAGACTTCTAGGTTGAAATATGACAGCCTAAAAAAATGAAATAAATGATCACAATCTAGGTTCATGATTCATGTAAAATGCCAATATACAAGGCCAAAGGGCAATCACTGTACCAGCCTAAAATATGTGAATACAGTTCAAGAATTTACATTTTTGTATGTATTTACTTATTATTATTTTTTTTTTGAGACACAGTCTCTCTCTGTCACCCAGGCTGAAGTGCAGTGGTATGATCTCGGCTCACTGCAACCTCCGCTTCCTGGGTTCAAGCCATTCTAACCTGCCTCAGCCTCCGGAGTAGCTGGGACTATAGGCACGCACCATCGTGCCAGGCTAATTTTTGTATTTTTAGTAGAGACGAGGTTTCACCATGTTTGCCAGGCTGATCTCAAACTCCTGACCTCAACTGATCTGCTTGTCTCAGCCTCCCAAAGGGCTGGGATTACAGGCGTGAGCCACGGTGCCTGGCCTACATTTTAAAAAAAAGAAATCAACTGTATATGGATATACAAATGTTCCAGAACCATTTGTTGAAATAACACCTTTCTCTACTTAATTACCTTTCCACCTCTATCAAAAATCAACTGTGTAGGGCCAGGATTACAGGCATGAGCCACCATGCCCGGCCAGACCCAGGAATTTGAGGCTAGCCTGGGCAATATAGGGAGACCCCATCTTTACAAAATAAAATAAAATTAGCCAAGCATGATGGCGTGTTCCCATAGTCTTAACTACGGAGGAGGCTGAGGCAGGAAGATCGCTTGAGCCCAGGTTTTTGAGGCTGCAGTAAGCTATGACAGTGCCACCACACTCCGGCCTAGGTGACAGGGTGAGACCCTATCTTGGGGCATTAGAGGGCTGCGAACCACTGCTATGTCCTCTTGACAAACTGACTCATTTTTTTCATTATAAAATGACTTGCTACTTCTTTATCCCTGGTTATATTCTTTAATCTGAAATCTATCCTCTGATACTTACATAGCCCCTTCAGATTTCTTTTGACTTATGTTAACATGGCATGTATTTTTCCATTCTTTCACTTTTATTCTATGTGTTTCTCTCTTATACACAGCAATACCATTTGGTCTTGCTTTTTCTGCCCAAAATGAGTATTTCTACTGTTCTGTTATTGTTTTAAAGAAATGAGATTTTTGTTATGTTGCCGAGTCTGGCCTTGAACTTCTGGGCTCAAGCAATTCTCTCGCCTCAGCCTCCTAAGTAGCTGGGACTACAGGCACACACCACACCTGGTCAATGTCTACCCTTTAATTGAAATGTTTAGATTACTTATGTTTAATATAATTATAGATATATTTAAGGTTTATTTGCTTTTCTATTCAGCCTCAACAAAACTAAAAACTGCTCTTCAAAAAATACTGTTAAGAAAACAAAAACACTGGCCAGGCATGGTGGCTCATGGCTGTAGTCCCAGCACTTTGGGAGGCCAAGGTGGGTGGACTGCTTGAGCCCAGGAGTTCAAGACCAGCCTGGGTAACATGGTGAAACCTCATCTCTACAAAAAACACAAAAAAATTTGCCAGGCGAGGATGTGGTGCATGCCAGTGATTCCAGCTACTAGGGAGGCTGAGGTAAGGGGATCACTTGAGCCTGGGACGTTGAAGAAGAAGGGAGTTATGATTGTGCACCGCACTCAAGCTTGGGCAACACAGCGAGACCTTATCTCACAAAATAAAAATAAAAATAAAAAAACTCTACAAAGCTTTTCCAATGCTCATTAAGAGTTCAAACCAAGCCGGGCACAGTGGCTCATGCCTGTAATCCCAGCACTTTGGGAGGCTGAAGTGGGTGGGTCACCTGAAGTCAGGAGTTTGAGACCAGCCTGTCCAACATGGTGAAACTTCGTCTCTACTAAAAATACAAAAAGTAGCTGGGCATGGTGGCGGGCACCTGTAATCCCAGCTATTCAGGCAGCTGAGGCAGGAGAATCAGTTGAACCCGGGAGGTGGAAGTTGCAGTGAGCCGAGATCGCGCCATTGCACTCCAGCCTGGGCAACAAGCAAAACTCTGTTTATAAAAAAAAAAAAAAAACAGAGTTCAAACCATTTTTGCAAAGCAACCCTTATGATAAATCCAAAACCAAAAACAACAGAGTTCAAGGCCGGGCGCAGTGGCTCACACCTGTAATCCCAGCGCTTTGGGAGGCCCAGGCAGGCGGATCACCTGAGGTCGGGAGTTCGAGACCAGCCTGACCAACATGGAGAAGCCCCGTCTCTACTAAAAATACAAAATTAGCTGGGTGTGGTGGCGCATGCCTGTAATCCCAGCTGCTCGGGAGGCTGAGACAGGAGAATCGCTTGAACCTGGGATGCGGAGGTTGCGGTGAGCCAAGATCACGCCATTGCACTCCAGCCTGGGTAACAAGAATGAAACTCCGCCTCAAAACAAAACAAAACAAAACAAAAACAAAAACAACAGATTTCAAACCATGACCTAACCTTTGACAACCTGTACAAGATCTAGCCCTTGGCTACCTGATACTACCATTCCCACCATCCTCCCTCCTTCTGTAGTCCAACCACACTGATTTTTCTCTGTTCTTCCAGTACAATGGTTTTCCCAGTACAGTACAGGGGTAATTATGTCATACCTCTTTTCCTTTCTTTCCCCGAGACATATGGCAATGTCTGATTTTCACAGCTGAGAGGGTGCTACTGGCATCTAGTGGATAGAGGCCAGGTATGCTGCTGAATACCCTACAATGCACAGGACAGCACCCACTAGAATCATCTGTCCTAAAGTTTGTAATGCCAACGTTGAGAAACCCCGTTCCTGACCATCAAGTTCCCTTCTGTCTAAAGGCCTTCACACACCCTGTTCTCTCTCCCTGAAATACTCAATGCCCCCTTCTCCCATGGATATATCCTACTCAACCTACAGGCTTCACCTTAAATGTTGCCTCCTCAGAGGAGCTTTACTGGATCAACACCAATTCTGGTTCTAAGCTAGATTCCCCTGATTATAAACTTTAATAAATACTCTGTGCTTTTCTTTCATAGTTCTTATCAAGAATTTTTTTTTTTTTTTTTTTTTGAGACGGAATCTCACTCTGTCACCTAGGCTGGAGTGCAGTGGTGCAATCTTGGCTCACTACAACCTCCACCTCCTGGGTTCAAGCAATTCTCCTGTCTCAGCCTTCCAAGTAGCTGGGACTACAGGCACGCGCCACCATGCCTGGCTAATTTTTGTATTTTTAGTAGAGACAGGGTTTCACTATGTTGGCCAGGCTGGTCTTGAACTCCTGACCTCGTGATCTGCCTGCCTCGGCCTCCCAAAGTGCTGGGATTACAGGTGTGAGCCACCGCACCTGGCCTCATCACCAATGCTAAACACACAGAAACAACTGTGGATTTTGGTCACTACTGTTTTTCCAGCACCCAAAACATGCTATCTACATAGCCGGTCATCAATAAATATCTGGGATAAACCCCTCTATATTGGGACAATGTTTGTGGCACGCTTCCAATGTCCATCATATCTACTTTTTTTTTTATCACACTTAGAGTGCAAAACATTTTTATAAATAATGAACACCTGTGTACCCACCATACAGGTTAAAATACTTAACATTAATAGTGGCCAGACCCAGTGGCTCACACCTGCAATCCCAACACTTTGGGAGGCCAAAGCAGGAGGACTGCTTGAGCTCAGGAGTTCAAGAACAGCCTTGGCAACTTGGTGAAACCCCATCTCTACAAAAAATACAAAAATTAGCCAGTGCCTTTGGACTGTAGGATGAGGAAAAAAAAAAAAAATACAATTAGCCAGGCATTATAGCTACAGTCCCAGCTACTTGGGAGATTGAGGTGGGAGGATGGCTTGAGCCTGGGAAGTGGAGGTTGCAGTAAGCCAAGGTTGTGCCTCTGCACTCCAGCCTAGGCGACAGAGCCAGACCCTGTCTCAAAAAAGAAAAGAATATTAACAGTACCTCAGAATCTCCCAGTAAGCCTACGCACAGGTGGAAACAACTCTCTCCTCTCCTCCTGACAGTGATAACAAACATTCTGAGTTAGTTTTGCCTGCTTTGAGCCTTCTATAAATGTAATCATACTGTATTCTTCTGCGACTTCTTTCAAGTTCACATTTTTTCTGCTATAGAGTATTGTGTGGCTTAACAATTTGTTTATCCATTCAACTACTGATGGCTACCTGGGTTATCTCCTCATTGGACTACTATGAACAATTCTATTAATATACTTACACAGATTTCCTGCGGCAAAACTGAGGGTAAATACTCAAGCAAAAATCCTTAGTCAAAGGGTATGTATAA
Organism: Homo sapiens; assembly: GCF_000001405.40. NCBI lineage: Eukaryota > Metazoa > Chordata > Mammalia > Primates > Hominidae > Homo > Homo sapiens. Next base: position 73,503,146 of record NC_000007.14, read on the forward strand.
TAACCAATTGTATTCAGCAATGCCGAGTGCTTTCCAAAATATATGTGCTATTTACACTATAAGCAATTCCACATTCCTGTCAAAACTTGGCAGCAAGTTTTTTTCTTTATTAATCTGATGTGTATACATTATCTCACTATGGTTTCGATTAGATTTCCTGCATTATTGATGAGTTTAAACATATTTTCATGTTTATGGACATACATACTTCCCTAGTATCTCTTCCCTTTCCTCTTTTTTTTGTTTTTGAGACAGGGTCTTGCTATGTTGCCCAGGCTGGAGTACAGTGGTGCGATCATAGCTCACTGCAGCCTTGAACTCCTGAGTTCAAGCGATCCTCTTGCCTGTCTTCCAAGTAGCTGGGACTACAGAAATGCACCACCATGCACGGCCAATTTTTATTATTTTTTGTAGAAACAGGGTCTCCCTATGTTGCCCAGGCTGGTCTCAAACTCCTAGCTTCAAGCCAACCTCCCGCCTCAGCCTCCCAAAGTACTGGGATTACAGGCAGGAGCCATTGGGTTCAGCCCATCTTTCCTCAAACATTTCTTCTTTCACCTTGCAGATGTGTGCAAAATATTTTCGTTTTGCCATGTCAATTCCATTTCCATCCTTCTCTACCTGGCTCTATGCTTAAATAGGCTGACCTTTACAGCCTCCACCAAGACTCCCCTTGCCCTCTAGATTCTGGTGAGTTCAGTTCATAGGGAGCATGAGCAGAAAACCAGGAGATGGAAGTAAAGCATCCTTGGGGTGTTTATTTCCAAATGCCTCCCTAGGAGGATGGTTACAGTTACAGTTTTCTCTCACTACCATAGTACTCTTCAACAACAGCAGCTACTCTTTTCTAGTTCCTGTACCCACTCCCTCCCTCTGCTTCCTTGGGGTTTAGAAATGATAAAGTCTTCCCCAACTGCTGATAGGTATGAGGCACTCAACCTTTCCTTGTTAAGTTTTCCTTAACCCTGATCAGACTGCTGTCTGCTGTCAACAGCCCCTTTATTAAACTCAATTCAATTACATTTGAGTATGCCATCTGTTTCCTGCCAGGACACTGACTGATATAAAGTATGTGATTAGAACCCACTAATGGTCAGCCACAGTGATTCATGCCTGTAATCTCAGCATTTTGCCAGGCCAAGGTGGGAGGATCATGCAAGTCCAGGAGTCTGAAACCAGCCTGGACAACATGGCAAGACCCTGTTTCTCTATAAAAAATAAAAAACTTAGCTAGGCGGCCAGGCGTGGTGGCTCACATCTGTAATCCCAGCACTCTGGGAGGCCGAGGCGGGTGGATCACGAGGTCAGGAGATCGAGACCATCCTGGCTAATACGGTGAAACCCCGTCCCTACTAAAAATACAAAAAAATTAGCGAGGCATGGTGGCAGGTGCCTGTAGTCCCAGCTACTTGGGAGGCTGAGGCAGGAGAATGGTATGAACCCGGGAGGCGGAGCTTGCAACGAGCCGAGATCGCGCCACCGGACTCCAGCCTGGGCGACAGAGCGAGACTCTGTCTCAAAAGAAAAAAAAACTTAGCTAGGCATGGTTTTGAGTGTCTACAGTCCCAGCTACTCGGGAGGCTGAGGTGGGAGGACTGCTTGAGCCTGGGAGGCTGAGGCTGCAGTGAGCTATGATCACACCACTGCACTCCAGTCTGGAAGACACAGCAAGACCCTGTCTCAATAAAAAACAAACAAAGAAACAAAAACCCCACTAGTACTGCCAGACATGACAAATAAAAAAGAACTAGCTAGGAGATAGAAAGGAGTCAGAGTAAATTATTGAAACAAAGAAAGAACAAGAACTTTGAAACCAGAGAGACAGGTGTGAATCTTGGCCCCATCAAGTACTGGCTATTGTAGCACAAACTGCTGCTGAGCTAGCTACCAAGCTATTCCCTCCCTCTTCTCTCTTGCCAGCCTGTCTCTTTTGAGACTTAAATACAAAGGAAGATACTCTCTTTCTCAGCCCCCGCTGCAGCTCTGGGTGGTTATGTAAGCCAAGGTCTAGCCAATAACATGTAAAGATAAAGGGTGGAGCTTTCTATTTTATGCTTCAAGAAAGATTTTTCCAGATATGCTTCTGGAAAGATTTTCTTAGCCTGCTTTGATAAGTATTCCCTCACTCTGAATACAGTCACATTTTTTCACAACTCAGGGGACAGCAAAGCTAAGGACCAGAACTCAACACACTGAGAAGAACAGAACAGAAAGACAGAGAAAGTCTAGGTCTTGACAATAGTATTCAGCCTCTATACCAAACTTGGAACTATCTAAGACTTACTACATGAGATAATCACGTCTGTCTTGTTTAAGCCAGTACTACTAAAGTGTTGTACCTCATGTAACAGCATCACTACCACCCTGCAGACTGTTAGAACTGAAAAATGTTAGGTCTATCCTAGACCTTCTGAACTCTCAAGGAATGGGCTGAAGAACAGTTCAAGCATGATGGAGAAGCAAATTAAACATTTGTCCTGAGAGGGAAAAAAAAAAAACAGTTCAAGCAATTCTCCCACTTCGGCCTCCCGAGTAGCTGGGACTACAGGCATGCACCACCATACCTGGCTAATTTTTGTATTTTTTGGAGAGATAGGGTATCGCCATGTTGGCCAGGCTGGTCTCAAACTCCTGACCTCAGGTGATCTGCCCACCTTGGTCTCCCAAAGTGCTGGTACTACAGGCCTGAGCCACCATGCCCAGCCAAGAACGCATTTTCAGTAGCTTAAGTATCACACCAAAGTTTGAGAACTACGGACTATTATTACAATTTCGCTACATAACGGCTGAAAGCACTCATAACTAGTATGTATCAACCTCAACATGTCATTTAAATGTACAAGGCTACCTACCACTTCAAGATTTCCGTGCAAATTCTGCAAGACATTATGTAAAGCAATTAGCCCAGTGTCAAGTACATACAGATAGATATTTAACAACTGTTTAGTTTTTTCTCCTGAATCTTACTTTCAGCTGTTACAAGATTATACAGGGATTGCTTTAGTGTTCGGTATCACTTTTGTAATAGTTATCCTTTAGCTATTTTGACTGGATAATTAAAAAACAAATAAGGCCGGGCGCACTGGCTCATGCCTGTAATCCCAGCACTCTGGGAGGCCGAGACAGGTGGATCACAAGGTCTGGAGATTGAGACCATCCTGGCTAACACAGTGAAACCCCGTCTCTATTAAAAATACAAAAAAATTAGCCGGGGGTGGTGGTGGGCACCTGTAGTCCCAGCTACTCGGGAGGCTGAGGCAGGAGAATGGCGTGAACCCAGGAGGCGAATCTTGCAGTGAGCTGAGATCATGCCACTGCACTCCAGCCTAGGCAACAGAGCGAGACTCCATCTTAAAAAAAAAAAAAAATTTAAGTAGAAAAAGTCCAACTCTCATTACAGCGAGGACTTGGATTAAACATGTCTGAGGCCGGGCGCAGTGACTCACGCCTGTAATCCCAACTCTGGGAGGCTGAAGTAGGCATATCACCCGAGGTCGAGAGTTCAAGACCAGCCTGACCAACATGGAGAGAACCCGTCTCTACCAAAAATAAAAAATTAGCAGGGCATGGTGGCAGGCGCCTGTAGTCCCAGCTACTCGGGAGGCTGAGGCAGGAGAATCACTTGAACCAGGGAGGCGGAGGTTGCAGTGAGCCGAGATCACGCCATTGCACTCCAGCCTAGGCGACAAGAGCGAGACTCCACCTCAAAGAAAAAAAAAAAAAAAGTCTTAAAGTCTTTTTTTTTTTTTTTGAGATGGAGTCTTGCTCTGTCCCCCAGGCTGGAGTGCAGTGGCACGATCTCGGCTCACTGCAACCTCCGCCTCCCAGATTCACGCCATTCTCCTGCCTCAGCCTCCCGAGTAGCTGGGACTACAGGCGCCCGCCACCACGGCCGGCTAATTTTTTATATTTTTAGTAGAGATGGGGTTTCACCGTGTTAGCCAGGATGGTCTCGATCTCCTGAACTCGTGATCCACCTGCCTCAGCCTCCCAGAGTGCTGGGATTACAGGTGTGAGCTACCACGCCCGGCCTGCAAGTCTTTTCAACATAGTAACAATTATGTGCTCACTTTGTCAGCACATATAATGAAACTGGAATAATATGGAGAAGATTAGCATGGTCATTGCATGGGTTGGGCACAGTGGTTCATGCCTGTAATCCCAGCACTTTGGAAGGCCAAGAGAATAGTTTAGGAGTTAGAGACCAGCTGGGGCAACATGGTGAAATCCCATCTCTACAAAACATACAAAAAATTAGTCAGGCATGGTGGCGCACACCTGTGGTCCCAGCTACATGGAGGGTGACATGAGAGGATCGCTTGAGCCCAGGAGGTAGAGGTTGCAATGAGCCAAGATCGCGAAACTGCACTATTCCAGCATGGATGACAGACTAAGACCCTGTCTCCGAAAAATAAAAAAAGAAAAGAAAAATCAAAACCAAAAAGACAAAATAACAGAATTATCAAAAAAGGATGAAAAAGACAAAGGACAGACCAGTACAACAAAGTGTTGCAATTATTACAATACTAAAACATTCTCAGTGATGAATGTGGTTCTAAAATTTGGTTCAAGGCCAAGAGTGATGGCACATGCCTGCAGTCCCAGCTACTCAGAAGGCTGAGGTGGGCGGACGGCTTAAGCCAGGGAGTCCAAGGCTACATACAGTGAGCTATGACTGCACCACTGCACTCTAGACTCTGTGACAGAACAAAACCCTGTCTCTAAACAAATAAATAAAAATAAAATTTAGTCCTTATAATAATTGATGGGAGGCCAAGGTGGGTGGATCATCTGAAGTCAGGAGTTTGAGACCAGCCTGGCCAAAATGGTGAAACCCTGTCTCTACCAAAAATACAAAAAACTAGCCGGGCGTGGTGGTGCACACCTGTAGTCCCAGCTACTCAGAAGGCTGAGGTGGGAGAATCACTTGAACACGGGAGAATGAGGTTGCAGTGAGCCAAGATTGCGCACTGCACTCCAGCCTTGGCGACAGAGTGAGACTCCATCTCAAAAAAACAAAACCAAGAAAACACACAAGTATTAACGTAAAGTATTAATACTTAACATTAAATATAATACTAAATATAACACAGTTTTACACACATAGAAATGTGTTCTGTAACCTACGATGACAGCTCTAATTCTGATGGTAAGTCAAATCAGAAACGAACAGGCACTCACCTCGAAGTCACACTCTTCTCCCACAGCATATTTGGTCATGATCTCCAACCAAGCAGTATCTACTAACTTCTCTAAGGAGGCTGTGTTATGGTGAACCATTTCCAGAACAAGCTTCTCATACCAGGCAGGAAACTCCTCCTTCAAACTAAATAAATGTAATTAGTTATCAAGAAAACACAGAAACACCTACCCAGAGATTTAATTCAAGTCAATTCAAACATTTCTTTCTTTCTTTTCCAAACATTTCAAACATTTATCGCTCTGTCACCAAGGCTGGAGTGCAGTGGCACAATCATAGCTCACTAGCCTCCACCTCCTGGGCTCGAACAATCCTCCTACCTCTCAGGTAGCTGGGACCACAGGCATGCACCACTGCACCTAACCTCTTTTAAGACTTAACTTTTGGGCAGGGCGCGGTGGCTCACGCCTGTATTCCCAGCACTTTGGGAGGCCGAGGCGGGTGGATCACGAGGTCAGGAGATCAAGACCATCCTGGCTAACACGATGAAACCCCATCTCTACTAAAAATATAAAAAATTAGCCGGCCATGGTGGCTGGTGCCTATCGTCCCAGCTACTTGGGAGGCTGAGGCAGGAGAATGGCATGAACCCAGGAAGCGGAGCTTACAGTGAGCCGAGATCGCACCACTGCACTCCAGCCTGGGCGACAGAGCGAGATTCCATCTCAAAAAAAAAAAAAAAGACTTAACTTTTGGCTGGGCGTGGTGGCTCACACCTGTAATCCTAGCACTTTGGGAGGCCAAGGCGGGCAGATCACCTGAGGTCAGGAGTTCAAGGCCAGCCTGGCCAACATGGCGAAACCCTGTCTCTACTCAAAATACAAGAATTAGCCGGGCGTGGTGGCACATGCCTGTAATCCCAGCTACTCGGGAGGCTGAGGCAGGAGAATCACTTGAACACGGGAAGCGAAGGTTGCAGTGAGCCAAGATCACACCATTGCACTCCAGCCTGGGCAACAGAGAGAGACTCAGTCTCAAAAAACAAACAAACAAAAAAAAACACTTAACATTTTACGAGTTTTAGGTTCACAGCAAAACAACACTGCTTTAGCAAATATACGTAAAGCACTGGGGAATACAAAGATTAAAAAAAAACATGCAGTTTGCTGGACACAGTGGGTCCCAGCACTTTGAAAGGCACAGGTGGGAGGATTGCTTGAGCCCAGGAGTTTGAGACCAGCCTGGCCAACAGAGTGAGAACCTGCCTCTATAAAAAACTAAAATAATTAGCTGGGTGAGGTGGCATGCACCTATAGTTCCAGCTACGTAAGAGGCTGAGGCAAGAGGCTGGCTTGATCCCAGGAGCTATGTGCATACCACTGCACTCCACCCTGGGCAACAGAGCGAAACTGTGCCTCTTAAAAAAAAGGAAACCAGGAAGCGTTAACATGTTGGAAACGTGACTTGAACACCAGAGCTGTTGCAAAAGGACAGCAATGATTTAACACTTTTCACTTATTAAACTAGCAAAAAAAAAAAAAAATTTAATTATCATACCCGGTTGGGTGCAGTGGTTCACGCCTGTAATCCCAGCACTTTGGGAGGCCGAAATGAGCAGGTCGCTTGAGGTCAGGAGTTCGAGACCAGCCTGGCTAACATGGTGAAACCCCATCTCTACTAAAAACACAAAAATTAGCCAGGCGTGGTGGTGAGCGCCTGTAGACCCAGCTACTCAGGAGGCTGAGGCACGAGAATCACTTGAACCCAGGAGATAGAGGTTACAGTGGGCCGAAATCGTGCCCCTGCATTCCAGCCTGGGCAACAGAGTGAGACTCCATCTCAAAAATAAAAATAAGAATAAGGGCCAGGCGCGGTAGCTCACGCCTGTAATCCCAGCACTTTGGGAGGCCAAGGCGGGAGGATCACGAGGTCAGGAGATTGAGACCATCCTGGCTAACATAGTGAAACCCCATCTCTACTAAAACTACAAAAAATTATCCGGGCTTGGTGGCGAGCACCTGTAGTCCCAGCTACTTGGGAGGCTGAGGCAGGAGAATCACTTGAACCCGGGAGGCGGAGCTTGCAGTGAGCCGAGATCGTGCCACTGCACTCCAGCCTGGGCGAGAGCGAGATTCCGTCTCAAAAAAAGAAAAAGCAAAAAAGAATAAACCACATTACCAGAGTACTTACAAGGTCAAAGTATGGAGCAGGAACACTCAAAGGCCTGGTAAATACCTAAACAAGTGCACCTATAACTAAATAAATATTCCATATTGCTACTGCAAAATGCCATTAGGCAAAGGAACCCAGAAACCCATACAGTACACTAATGTAATATAGTCTAATTTGTGCCCCATAAACTTAAATACACATACTGCTTTAGGGTTAATATTCCCTCCTTTCCTAACAATGTGAAGATGGTGGCAAAGAGCAATACTTCCATTACTTACAGCTCAGCAACTTCCTGTTCTTCCTCCCAGGCTTCCTTGTGTGTTAGCTGACTGCTTCCAGTACTCTTGCACGTCCAAATGCGCTCACTGTACCTTTCCAAGCGGGCTTCATACTCTCTGTTGGCAGTAGTTCAGGAAAACAATATGCAAGCAACAGAGACGACAAACCCATACCCATAAGATACTTATATACAGAAAAAAATCTAGTCTCCTTTTTAAAATGTGTAGCATGAGAGGATAAAAATGGAATTGGAGGCCGGGCGCAGTGGTTCACGCCTGTAATCCCAGCACTTTGGGAGGCCGAGGCGGGCGGATCACGAGGTCAGATCGAGACCAGCCTGGCTAACACGGTGAAACCCCGTGTCTACTAAAAATACAAAAAATTAGCTGTGAGTGGTTGTGGGCGCCTGTAGTCCCAGCTACTCAGGAGGCTGAGGCAGGAGAATGGCGTGAACCCGGGAGGCGGAGCTTGCAGTGAGCCAAGATCACGCCACTGCACTCAAGCCTGGGAGACAGTGCGGCTCCGTCTCAAAAACTAAAAAAAATAAAAAAAAATGAAAAAAATGGAATCAGGGCCCAAAGCAAGATGACTAAGACTGAAGTATAATGAGAATGGATTGTCATGGGCTGGGCACCTGCATGGGATTTACAGACTGGGATGATCACGTCTCTAATCTCAGCATTTTGAGAGGCCACGGCAGGACAATCACTTGAGACCAGGAGTTCGAGACCAGCCTGGGCAACATGATGAGACCTCATCTCTACAAAAAATAAAAATAAAAAATAATAAAAATGGTTTTTCGTGTTTTACAAAAAAAATTAATATTTTAGTACAAATGTGATTTCCTCAATTCACCAAAGTTTCATTACACAAGACTTACGCTGTACCAAAAACTCATAAGAAAAAGTAAAGGTACATTAAAACACAAGTCATAAAAAATAACAATGTAAGGTAAGCAAAATTTTCAGAAAACTCAGACAAGTTTAAGAGTCAGTCCACCACTGCCAGGCGTGGTGGCTCACGCCTGTAATCCCAGAACTTTGGGAGTCCGAGGCAGGCAGATCACCTGAAGTCAGATGTTCGAGACCAGCCTGAGCAACATGGAGATACCCCATCTCTACTAAAAATCAAAAAAAAAAAAAAAATTAGCCGGGCTTGGTGGCACATGCCTGTAATCCCAGCTACTCAGGAGGCTGAGGCAGGAGAATCACTTGAACCTGGGAGGCCGTTGCAGTGAGCCGAGATGGCACCACTGCACTACAGCCTGGGTGATAAGAGCGAAACTCCACCTCAAAAAAAAAAAAAAAAAAAAAAAAAAAAAGGAATCAGTCTACAGTAAAATGAGGTGACTAGGCCACAGTCTCACAGGCAGTTTGGAATAACCTTGAGCATACATTAATGATCCATTTACCCACAGCCCTCCAGTCCACCTTGGAAACATGTTACTTCTTAGGGTTTACAAGCTTGTCCAACCTTTGTCCAACCTGCGGCCCAGGACGGCTTTGAACACAGCCCAACACAAGTTCATAAAGTTTCTTAAAACATTATGAGTTTTTTGTGTGATTTTTTTTTTTTTTAGCTGATCAACTGTTTTTAGTGTTAGTGTATTTTATGTGTGGCCCGAGACAATTCTTCTTCCAATATGGCCAAAAGATTGGCTACCCTGGTTTAAAAAATAAATTTCATAAAATACTTAGAAGTATTCCGGAAAGTACTTTTGATATAATATTTATCCAGTCTCTATGATGTCTCCAATAATACTGAGATTCAGAAGATCATTTACTAGCCGTTTAGACAGTCTTCGTGAGGGAGACGAGGGAAAGAAAAACATCAAGTTGGTAGTGTAAATATGGCAACTTTCCACACAAAACCAACTGGAATTCACCATCAGCCAGCCACTTCCAAATTCAAACGGCAAGTAACTAATTTACTTTTAAGCACAGCAACAGATGCTATGTAAGAAAATCAACTGACATAAGTAGAAAGTTAGTGAACAATACCTGTATATTCCAAGTGACACATTTTATAGTGGTTGAAATAAAAGTATTTAAACAGTTTCCTCTACAATACTATCTAACAAATAAACAAATATTCTAATTTTTGTTTTTTGGAAACAAGGCTGGCCTGTATCTCCTGAGCTCAAGAGATCCTCCTACCTTAGCCTCCTGAATAGCTGGGATTACAGACTTACACTGCAGCATCTAGCTCATTTTTATCTATTTATGTATTTATTTTTGACACAGGGTCTCACTCTGTCACCCAGGCTGAAGTGCAGTGGTGGGATCATGGCTCACTGTAGCCTTGACCTCCTGGGGTCAAGCAATCCTGGGCCTCAGCCTCCTGAGTAGCTAGGACTACAGGTGCACACCACCATGCCCACCTACATTTTTTATCTTTGCAGAGTCAGGGTCTCACCACATTGCCCAGGTTGGTCTTGAACTCCTGGGCTCAAACAGTCCTCCTGCCTCAATCTCCCAAAGTTATGGGATTACAGGTGTGAGCCACCACGCCCAGCCGCATGTTTAATAAATATAGATGCTTGGTTTTCCAAGGTTATGATCAGCAAAAACGCAAACAAGAACAAACCCACAGGTAATCCAAAATAGTAACTTTATGCAATAGTATAAGCACCTTTGCTCATTGTGGATCTTTCCCCAGATCTGCTAAAACTGAGTAATAAATCCATTTTCCTTACAGGGGTGGTGCTAATATCTAAGTGATTAAACAAAATATATAGAATGTTTGAGTAAAAACCTGAGTCAGACTTCCATATACAGATATGTAAATCCAATCACCGAAAAATTTTCAAACTTATACCCAGAGAAGAGCAACGGAACGGCTTCCAGAGGACATTATCCCAAGACGGATTTGTCTTATTTTTGTCTACTGAACTAGGGGAGTGGAAGGGATGGGTAGTAAAATAAGGACAGAGGAGGAATCAGTAAGTGGACTTATTTAAGCTTTCAAAAAGCTTGATAACATTCTAACACATTATTTAGCCATATTTAAGAAGCTCCAACAGGCATGGTAGCTTACACATGCAATCCCAGCATTTGGGAGGACAAAGTGGGGGGATCTTGAGCCCAGGGGTTCAAAACCAGCCTGAACATAGCGACTTTACAAAAAACTATTAAAAGAAAAAAAAAAACTCACTGTGTCATCAGAGAGAATGTAAGAGAAATACATTAACAAATATGTCTTAAAGAGAGAACAGTAAGTTTTTATTATTACAGGTTGAGGATCCCTTATCCAAAATGCTTAGAACCGGGAGTATTTTGGATTTTGAATTTCTTTCAGATTTTGGAGTATTTGCATTATACTTACTAGTTCAGCATCCCAAATCCAAATATCCAAAATGCTCCAATGAGCTCTTCCTTTGACGATCATGTTGGGGCTCAAAAACTTTCAGATTTTGGAGCATTTCTGATTTATGGATTTGGGATGTTCAACCTAGAGTTGTTACTTTAAAAAGCAGGGGCCAGAAAAAAACAAAACAAAAAAAAGTAGGGGCCGGCCAGGCACAGTGGCTCATGCCTATAATCCTGGCATTTTGGGAGGCCAAGGCAGGTGGATCACCTGAGGTCAGGAGTTCGAGACCAGCGTGGCCAACATGGTGAAACCCCCGTCTCTACTAAAAATACAAAAAATTAGCCAGGCGTGGTGGCGTGCGGCTGTAATCCCAGCTACTCGGGAGGCTGATGCAGGAGAACTGCTTGAACCTTGGAGACGGAGGTCGCAGTGAGCTGAGATCATGCCATTGCACTGTAGCCTGGGCAACAAGAGTGAAACTCAGTCTCAAAAAAAAAAAAAAAAACTGCATAGTGGCAGTTTATGAGGCCCAGGCACGAACATCGCTCAAGCCCAGGAGTTCAAGAGCAGCCTGGGCAACATAGCAAAACCCCATCTCTATTAAAAAAAAATTAGTTGAATGTGGTGGCACAGGCCTGTAGTTCCAGCTACTCAGGGATCTGAGGTGGGAGGATCACTTGAGCCCAGGAGGTGGAGGTTGCAGTGAGCTGTGATGGAGAGCAACAGAGGGAGACTGTCTAAAAAAAGAAGATTAGCCCGGGCATGGTGGGTCACGCCTGTAATCCCAGCACTTTGGGAGGCTGAAGTGGGTGGATCACGAGGTTAGGAGTTCAAGACCAGCCTGGCCAAGATGGTGAAACCCTGTCTCTACTAAAAAACTAGCCACGCATGGTGGCGGGCGCCTGTAATCCCAGCTACTCGGGAGGCTGAGGCAGAGAACTGCTTGAATGAGGAAGGCGGAGGTTGCAGTGAGCCAAGATCACACCGCTGTACTCCACCCTGGATGACAGAGTGAGAATCTGTCTCAAAAAAAAACAAAAAACCTCCAAACTCACACAATCACGACGAACTCATCACACCTTCTCTGCCAAGAATATACAGTCCTCTATTATTCGTCTAAATTCTAATCATCCTTTAGATCTCAAAAATAACTTTTCCCAGAAAACATTCATTGAACCTTCAAATATGATAGATTGTATTAGTTTCTAACTATTCACCTCCTTTCCATAAGAGGATTTTTACATCTCCACCCACTGCCATGTGGCTTGTCTACAAGGTCCCTGAAGAGGAATGTACCTCCCCTCTTCATTAACATCAAGCTTGACCCCGTGACTGGTTTCGACCAATAGATGTGAGCAGATGTAATATATGTCACTTCCCGGAAGAGGCTTAAAGTCATGATGTCTTCTAGCTCTTTCTTTGTGCCACTAGCAAACTAGCAAGCAAGACATGTCACACACAGGGTCTGCCCCTCCAGCCTTGTTCCTTTTTTTTTTTTTTTTTTTTTTTTGAAGCAGGGTCTTGCTCTGTCACCCAAGCTGGAGTGCAATAGCACCATCTCGCTTCACTGCAACCTTTGCCTCCTGGACTCAAGTGATCCTCCCACCTCAGCCTCCCAAGTAATTGGGACCACAGGCAAACGCCAGCATGTCCAGCTAATTTTTCTATTTTTTTTGTAGAGACAGGGTTTCATTCACTGTTGTCCAGGCTGACCTCAAATTCCTGGGCTCAAGCAATTCACCTGCCTCAGCCTCCCAAAGTGCTGGCATGAACAACCATACCAGGTGTCAGCCTTGGTCTTAAAATGAGAAAAATGTGGAAGGGTGTGGTGGCTCACGCCTGTAATCCCAGCACTTTGGGAGGCAGAGGGGAACGGATCACTTGAGGCCAGGTGTTCGAGACTAGCCTGGCCAACACGGTGAAACCCCGTCTCTACTTAAAAAGTGCAAAAAAGGAGCCAGGTGTGGTGCACGTGCCTGTAGTCCCAGCTACTCGGGAGGCTGAGGCAGGAGAATCACTTGAACCCAGGAGGTGGAGGTTGCAGTGAGCCGAGATGGCACCACTGTACTCCAGCCTGGGCTACAGAGCGAGACTCCACTCAAAAGCAAAGAGAAAAATGTGGTTTTCTTTTTTATTATTTATTTATGTTTTTGGAGATGGTGGTCTCACTACATTGCCTTGTCTGGTCTCAAGCTTCTGGGTTTAAGGAATCCTCCAGCTTTGGCCTCCTGAGTAGCTGGGACTACAGGCGCACACCACCACATCCAGCTGTTTTCTTTTTTCCCACCATTTTTTTCTTTTTTTAATATGAGAGTACTACAAAATTTTAAATTACATATGGCTTACATTATACTTTTGTTGGACAGCACTGAAACCTGAAGTATACATCTCAGAAAATGTCCTCTGACAGTATTAACTTAAAATTAATTGCCTAGTCAAACTGATTATAAAATCTGGGGCCAGGCGCGGTGGCTCACGTCTGTAATCCCAGCACTGTGGGAGGCCGAGGGGGTGGATCACTGAGGTCAGGAATTCGAGACCAGCCTAGCCAACATGGTGAAACTACTAAAAATACAAAAAATAGCCAGGCATGGTGGCAGGCGCCTGTAATCCCAGCTACTTGGGAGGCTGAGGCAGGAGAATTGCTCGAAGTTGGGAGGCGGAGGTTGCAGTGAGCCAAGATTGCACCATTGCACTCCAGCCTGGGCGACAGACTGTGACTGTCTCAAAAAAAAAAAAAAAAAAAAAAAAAAACAACTGTAAAAGAATTTCCTACAACCCCTAACAACGGCTATTTTAAGTTTGTGTAACTGTTCTGGTAACTGTTCTGGTAATTATATTAAGAGAAAGCAAGGCTGGGCATGGTGGCTCACGCCTGTAATCCCAGCACTTTGGGAGGCTGAGGCCGGTGGATCAACTTGAGGTCAGGAGTTCGAGACCAGCCTGGCCAACGTGGTAAAACCCCATCTCTACTAAAAATACAAAAAATTAGCCAGGCGTGGTGGTGGGTGCCTGTAATCCCAGTTGCTTGGGAGTCTGAGGCAGGAGAATTGCTTGAACCCAGGAGGCGGAGGTTGTAGTGAACCAAGATCGCACCACTGCACTCCAGTCTGGGCGACACAGCAATAACCCAGCTCAAAAACAAAAAAAAAAGAGAGAAAGTAAGGCCACACACAGTGGCTCATACCTGTAATTCCAGCACTTTGGGAGGCTGAAGCGGGAGGATCACTTGAGGCTAGAAATCCAAGACCAGCCGGGGCAACTTTGCAAGACCTCGTCTCGTCTCTACAAAACATACAAAAATTAGGCGTGGTGGTGTGCACCTATGGTTATAGCTACTCAGCAGGCTGAGTGGGAAGAATCACTTGAGCCTGGGAAGTTGGAGGCTGCAGTAAGCCATGATCACACATCACTGCACTCCAGCCTGGGCAACAGAGTGAGACCCTGTCTCAATAAATAAATGAATAAGAAAAAAAGGGAAAGCAAGAAAAAAAATGAAAATGAAAAGGCAAAAAGGCCCATCAGAAGGATATTGAGTCAGCTGCCTCTAAATCCTATTTCAGATTTTAGGTTACCAAAATAAGTCACTCACTCTCAAATAACCTCTCAGAGCAAATGCCAATTGAGGTTTTTATGTTCCAGCAACTGCTGCACATATAATTGCAGACAAAATGTCAAAGCAATTCTCCAAAGGTTGTGTAAGCTATAAAAGATAAGATATTTTCGAATCCTAGACTATCTCATTATGTATCTACTTTGCCATCAGCTACCTCCTTATCACAATATGCTGCTGCTTTGTTCTCTTCAGTCTTGCAGGGATTGTTTCTTTCAATTAAGTACTTGATATCCTGAAAAGATGTGGCCCAGATAAGTATAGAGTCAAACAAGCATAACTGTAACTAACCTAAGTGCTCTAAGTCAGAAGATGGCAAAGAGTGAGCCAACTCAAGATTTGCTTTTTACTCGATATTCTCTCTTACTCGATTTTTTCTCTTAAAGACTCCAGACTGTCTTTAAGTTAAAAACAAGTCTAATATGGCATAACGTATTACTTTAAAGAATGTATAAAAATCAGGCTGGGCGCAGTGGCTCACGTCTGTAATCCCAGAACTATGGGAGGCCGAGGCGGGCGGATCATAAGGTCAGGAGATCAAGACAATCCTGGCTAACACAATGAAACCCCATCTCTACTAAAAATACCAAAAAAAAAAAAAAAAATTAGCCAGGCGTGGTGGCGGGCGCCTGTAGTCCCAGCTACTCAGGAGGCTGAGGCAGGAAAATGGCGTGAACCCGGGAGGCGGAGCTTGCAGTGAGCCTAGATCGCGCCACTGCACTCCAGCCTGGGCGACAGAGCGAGACTCCGTCTCAAAAAATAAATAAATAAATAAATAAAAATAAAAATAAAAATAAAAATCAACGTAAGAGCTCAGTATTCCAAATGTCCAGTAAAACTCTATCTTACAACTACAACTTAACTCCATCTATAGCTACTCAACTCTTAACACATGCTCTAAGGCAGACGCAGTAGTGCGTGCCTGTAGTCCCAGCTACTCTGGAGGCTGAGGCAGGAGGATCTCTTGAGTCCGGTTCAAGGCTTCCCTGTGCTACCACCTCGTCTGTGAACAGCTGCTGCACTCCAGCCTGGGCAACACAGCAAGATTCCATCTCTTAAAACAAAACAAAAACATGCTCTAGTCACACTTGTGTAGAGCCAGATTAACAGTATGAATAAGCCCCTCATTATCATACCCTCAATAAATTCTCACATAATGATGCTACAAAGGTCGTGAACTAGTTATTTCTAAGCTTTAGAAACTATGACAGTTGAAGTAACACAACAAAAATACTCATCTACAACACGCTGCTTGTAGCTCCAATTCCTGCCTAAAACCTATCTTGACTTAAATACAGTCAGTGTCACATCAAGAACTGATTCTGATAAAGTTAGTGTTTTCCAAGATCTAGTGTCCTGCCTGTGGGAATACCTTAGGAAGTAATGTACCATACAAAGCTACAGTACAATCAACATAATCACCAATATTTAACACCTAGTCATTAAATGTGTGCATTACTCACAACTTCCACTAAGTTTAATGAAGATTCACAATATACTCCAAGAACATACCAACATACAGCTTTAAGTCAGTAAAATATCACACAAAGTTCTGTGATACATGCAATCAAAAGGTAGGTATTAAAAGAAAATTAAAATATCAAGTCCCATTAAAAACATAATTGTAAATATAAGTTGAGAACTGGGAATACTACTTCAAAGGCAGCTGTTACCTAACCACATATTTGTTCTCCTCTATGAAACCACTAATAGCCTAATAAAGAAATATGCCAATCTGCCAACCATACAGTACAATTGTTTAAAAACCATCCTCAAAGTGCTTCCACTTGCAGAAATTCCCGAAAGAGCAATTTCCCCCCAATATATAATATGTTTTAAGACTTCTTTTGTTAAAACAGTTTTAAATGCTGTTATGGGAAATTAAAAAATGAAGAATGTTTATTAAATACATACCACTTAAAATGTTTCCGGTTTCAGTTTTAAATTGTTACCATCAAAACTCTTCATATATATATTTCAATTTCATTCATTCAATAATATGAAAAAGCCTGCGTTGCCAGTCCTAAATTAACTTCCTACAGCCATTTTTTACATAGCTCAGTACCTGAAATATACTTAGAAATTGTCTCTTCTCTATGGCATGTTTCTTATACTCTGCTAGAACCAGACCTGAGAAAGTATCATCTGAAAGTGTGTGAGCATCCATCAACGGCTCAAAACATTAATGACATTGGAAAAGTATATGTCGGATTCTCACAAGTTGCTACTCCACTGCCGATTCGAATGTATTAAAAAGTAGGGTACTGGCCAGGCGCGGTGGCTCACGCCTGTTAATCCCAGTACTTTGGGAGGCCGAGATGGGCGGATCACCTGAGGTCAGGAGTTTGAGACCAGCCTGGCCAACATGGTAAAACCCCATCTCTACTAAAAACACAAAAAGTTAGCCGGGCGTGGTGGCACGCGCCTGTAATCCTAGCTACTCAGGAGGCTGAGGCAGGAGAATCACTTGAACCCTGGAGGCGGAGATGGCAGTGAGCCCAGATCGTGCCACTGCACTGCCACCTGGGTTAACAAGAGGGAAACTCCGTCTCAAAAAAAAAAAAAAAAAAAAGTGGGGTACTTCGGTATAATGCAGTATTTGGTAGAGCTAGTGGAACTTCTCCAGAACATTCCAAGTCTTCACAGGACAAGAAAAAAACCAGATCACCACCCCTCCACTTTAAAGTGCCTTACCTTATACCATAATGACAAAAAAGTGAGGTAATATTTAAATTAATTGAAAGTGAAGGAGTAACATTCCACCTTCTTCTGTTGATTGACTTACAGGGATGAGGTAGGAAGAGCGGTGGATTCTACTCCTCTTTCATCATTTGACCTTCAACAAGTCAACCTCCACTCTCTGGGCCAACTCAGCAAACCAAGCCCGAGGACCCGACCACCTCCAAGATCCACTTCAGCTCCAAGATGCTACAGCTCTATTTCTCCAAGAGCCTTCCTCCAGCATGGACTGATTTTCCAGGCCCCTTTGTGTGTATACTCCCCACAAAGGGACACTCACAAATTGCACTCCAACAAGAATGAGATTATCCTCTAAAGTACTGCGTTAAAGTGAGGATCAGGGAGAAATGAAATAACTCTGAGAGACACTTCCTCCTATACAGAAGCAAGCAAGAAACTGAGAAATGAAGTCCTTCCGAACAGAAGGGGCTGAGAAAACTCATAACACATTAGCCTTCACTCTTAAAGCTTTCAGTCACCAAAGAAATGCTTGATTCCGAAATCGTTTTTGTTTTTTTTACAGATAAGCCTCAAAAACGATTCTTCTGGCACCCATTAAAAAAAAGCAAATAAAAGCTGCACAACTTTTCACTAAAAGATAATGCTTATGCAAGAAATCTTAGTCATGACGAGAGGATGCTTCCTTTGTAAAACATCCAATTTCATGTTCCTAAAATACAACATAAAAACTTCACGTCTTGGTTTTTTTGTTTGTTTAATTTTAACAAATACCAATCTCCTTCTAAACCTTCAAAATTTCAAACCTGTGTCTGCCCAGGGAAGGCAGGCATCAGCTCCTCCACAGGCAGTTTCCTTCCCTCCCTTTCCTCTAAGCGGGGAATCTCATTCCTAGTTTTCTGCCCCAGGGTCCTGTCAGTTCATCCCCGGCCTAAAGTCCCCTCGGGAGACGAAAAAAACGCCAAGTATCCCCGCAGAGATCGGGGTAAGACGCAGTTGAGTCTTGCACACGCCGCATCACGAGGCCGCGCGAGTACAATTTCAAAACTTAAGCTGCAGGTTTCATTTAAATTTTTAAAAAATTTTTGTAAAAATTAAAGGAGAAAACCTAGCTCCCCCTCCCCACGCCTCCTCCTCCCTCTCGGGTCCTCAAGGCCTAAAGCCAACCCGGGGAAGGTAATGGGGATGGGGGATGCGCTCCTCGCCGGCGAGGCCCCGGGACAAAGTGCGGGGCCCCGGGGGCGGCCGAAGCGGGCCCTTCTCCTTCCAGGGCCGGTGCGCGCCCCCCGCCGGATCCCCTGGAAGGATCGGCGGGCGCAGGCTGAGACTCAGCCTCCAGGCCCGCGAGCGGCCGGGGCGCGCTGACAGCTGCCCCGGGCCGGGGATGCGCGGCTGACCTGGTCTCGCGAGCCCCAGGCCCTACCCCGGCCCAGCCCGGCCCAGCCCGGCCCGCGCGGCTGGAAAAGGATACTCCCGGGTGCGGAAGGCCTCCTGAGTGTGCGGGATGGTGAAGAGCGGCTCCTCTCCGGGCAACGGCTTCACCAGCGGGAAGGGCTTGCGGCCCAGGAGCGGCGCCATCGCGGCGGCGGCGGTGGGGACTGGCGGCTGCTGGGGCCGGCCCCGCGGCGCAGCACTAGGCCCCGCGGCCCGGAGCGAGCGCCAGGCGCCCGGGGGTGGGGTGGGGGAAGGGAGGGGTGAGAGGGCGGCGCGAACTCCGGCTCCCTCACCGCCGGCGCGGCCGCGCGACAGTCATGGAGCGGAACGCCACGGCGCAGAGCTCCCGCGCACACCGCCGCGCCTCCCAGCAGCCCCCCGCCGACCTCCGCTTCGGGTCCCGGCGGCCGGCAGTCACGACTCCTCCTCAGCAGCACCGGAGGAAATTATTGAAAAATGGCGGGAGATTCCCCTCCTCCCCCGGGCCCGGCCAACGCACACACTAACTTGCTCCCCCGTGGCGCCGGTGGCGAATGCTCCAATAGGCGGAGAGCTGGTCAGCGCTCACAGCCTATTGGCTCGGAGGAGCTGCCGCTCCGCGCCTGGGTCCCGCCCCCCTGCCCCTGTCGCGTAGTTGGGTTGCAGCGCACTAGAGGGCAGTCTGAAGAGGTGAAAGGTCACGTTATGTAAGCGCCCGTGATAGGCGTGCGGGCCTCCGACGGCAGAGTTAAAAGTGGGGGACAGCGGGGGATGGAGAGGACGAGAACTCAAAGAGGTCAAGCCGGAGAAGCCCCTCGCATATACAGATACTGCGCCATCTGTCACCGACGGCGACACCGACATCCGGGCACCACTGTCCGTGTGGTGCGCCGGAGGGGGAGGGTGAGCGCGCGGCCAGGGGCTTTGTCTTTCCTCTTGGGCGCCTCCCCCTTCTTAAAGGCGCCGTGCTCGGCCACGCCCGGGGATGCGCGGGTGGGGCTGGGCTGCAGGGAGGGGTTGGCGGGAAGTGGCCCCGGGAGCTTACCCTACCAAAGGTTCTGCGGAAGGACAACGTGGGGGCCAGCTTTGCTCACCCCAGAGTTAACTTCTGGGCGGGAGTGTGGTTGAGATCTGGGTAGAAGTATACTGCTTGTTTCTAGGGGCTGGCTGGAAAGTAGAATATAGAAGCTTCTTTGGAGAAATAGATTAAAAGACGTACTTAGTTTTTTGGTTTTTGGTTTTTGTTTTTTTTGAGACGGAGTCTCGCTCTGTCGCCCAGGCTGGAGGGCAATGGCGCGATATCGGCTCACCGCAACCTCCGCCTCCCGGGTTCAAGAGATTCTCCTGCCTCAGCCTCCCAAGTAGCTGGAATTACTGGCGTGCACCACCACGCCCGGCCAATTTTGTATTATTAGTAGAGACGGGGCTTCTCCATGTTGGTCAGGCTGGTCTCAAACTCCCGACTTCAGGTGATCCGACCGCCTAGGCCTCCCAAAATTATCATTATTTTTTTTTTTGAGACGGAGTTTCACTCTTGTTGCCCAGGCTGGAGTGCAGTGGTGCAGTCTCGGCTCACTGCAACCTCTCCCTCCCGGGTTCAAGCTATTCTCTTGCCTCGGCCTCCCGAGTAGCTGGGACTACAGGTGCGCGCCACCACACCCGGCTATTTTTTGTATTTTGTAGAGACGGGGTTTCACCATGTTGGTCAGGCTGGTCTCGGACTCCTGATCTCAGGTGATCCACCCGCCTCGGCCTCCCAAAGTGTTGGGATTACAGGCGTGAGCCACCACGCCCTGCCAGAGCTGTGACTCTGGCTTTTTTTTTTTTTCTCCCATGATACTCAGCACCTGGCTCGGAACATTGTAGGTGCTAGTGAATACTATTTGAATGAATTGGATCTACCTTTTATTTTTTATTTTTTTTGTAGAGACAGGGTCTTACTTTGTTGCCCAGACTGGTCTCGAACTCTTGGCCTCAAGCAATTGTCCCGCCTCTGCCTCCCAAAGTGCTGAGATTAGGCGTGACCCACTGTGCCCAGCCAGGATGTCTCTTTAATAGGTACGTCTGGGCCGGGCGCAGTGGCTCACCCCTGTAATCCCAGCACTTTGGGAGGCCGAGGCGGGCGGATCACGGGGTCAGGAGATGGAGACCATCCTGGCTAACACGGTGAAACCCCGTCTCTACTAAAAATACAAAAAATTAGCCAGGCGTGGTGGCGGGTGCCTGTAGTCCCAGCTACTGGGAAGCTGAGGCAGAATGGCGTGAACCCGGGAGGTGGAGCTTGGAGTGAGCGGAGATCGTGCCACTGCACTCCAGCCTGGGCGACAGAGCGAGACTCCGTCTCAGGGAGGCGGGGGGGGGGGGGAAATAGGTACGTTTGGTCGGGCACGATGGCTCACGCCTGTAATCCCAGCATTTTGGGAGGCTGAGGCGGGCGCCTCACCTGAGCTCGGGAGTTCGAAACCAGCCTGAGCACCATGGAGAAACCCTGTCTCTACTAAAAATACAAAATTAGCCGGGCGTGGTGGCGCATGCCTGTAATCCCAGCTATTCGAGAGGCTGAGGCAGGAGAATCGCTTGAATCCGAGAGGGGGTGGTTGCGGTGAGCCGAGTTTGTGCTATTGCGCTCCAGCCTGGGCAACAAGAGCAAAACTCCGTCTCAAAAATTATAATAATAATCACAGTTCTATACAAAGTGCAGAATAAGAAAATAGCATCAACTATTTTAATGCTATTAAATGGGGAGCATTTCAGTTGCTTCTCCAAGCAGACAACACCCACATCCAGAATTTGTTTGGCTTTCCAGTACAATCAAAAACACACTCATTAAGTTATCTCCCTATTAAACTGTCTCCCTTAGTTTAAAGAACTTCACTTTAAAGTTTCCCAGCCTGTACCTTCCCAGCTGTACCTTCCCAGCCTGTCCTTCAACGGGGCTAGACTGCGAGGTGTCTCTAAATGCAGTCTCCTAATGTCAGACCTCTATCTCCTTTTCTTCTCACCTCAAGGATCTCCTATCCCCACTAGGAGGTCTAGGTCAAAAGCTACCTCTGTGAAGTTTCCTCTGATCACCTAGCAGAAAAGATCTCGGTTCCTTTTCCTTGAGGCAGTAGACTTTTCTCCCAAGAACAGCAGGAGAAGCCTTGCCAGAGCACATAGCGTTTGAGTTAATTGAGAAAAGAAAAGAGTTCTCTAGACAGAGAAGGAGGGACGAACATTATAGACAGAACAGCAGAGTGAAGCCTGGAAGTTCAAGATCGTGTGCCCAAAATGTGAGGATTTGAGGCAGAATATATCAGATGAGAATGGTAAAGGAAGTGACCATCCTGATATATTCTGTAATGGCTGAATCGGAGTGACTACTTAGAAGGGAATTACAGGGCTAGGCATGGTGGCTCACACCTGTAATCTCAGCACTTTGGGAGGCTGAGGAGAGAGGATACTTTGCGGCCAAGAGTTTGAGACAAGTCTAGGCAACATGGCAAAACCCCGTCTCTGCTAAAAATACAAAAATCAGCCGGGCGTGGTGGCGCATACCTGTAATCCCAGCTACTTGGGAGGCTGAGGCAGGAGAATTGCTTGAACCCGGGAGGCAGAGGTTGCAGTGAGCTGAGATGGTGCCCAGTCTGGGCGATAAAGCGAAATTCCATCTCAAAAAAAAAAAAAAAAAAGCAAAAGAAAACAATTTGATATTTCAGAACAGCATCTCACTTTGCACATGTGAACTGGGCACCATAATCATTTCAGCGCTTGGGTCCGCTGTGGGCTAGAATCCATTGCTGGGATTGGTGAAGATGGGATCTGAGATGGGAAAATCGGTAATGGGCTTGGTTTCAGCCATGTGAACTCCAGGTACCCTGAAGAGCCATCCAGAACACAGCCGGAAATTCTGAGGGAGGAAGTGGGAGCTGGAGGTGGGGCTTGGTGGTCACAGTACAGAAACTTGAGCTTCAGGAACCATATAGAGCTTATGAAGAGACCCCAAATAAAGAACAGTGCTCATCTCGGGGAAATGGATTTATGGTTTTTGCGTTTTGTCTCATTTTGAGACAAGATCTTGCACTGTCGCCCAGGCTGGAGTGAGTGCAGTGGGGGATCACAGCTCACTGCAACCTCGACCTCCTGGACTCAAGATCCTCAGCCTCCAGAGTAGCTGGGACTACAGGCACACACCACCATGTCCTGCTAAGTATTTTCTTTTTTGTAGAGACGGTGACGGGGATGGGGTCTCACTGTGTTGCCCAGGCTGGCCTCAAGCCCCTGGCCTCAAGGTTTCCTCCCTCCTCAGCCTGTCAAAGTGCTGGGATTACAGGCATAAGCCACCGCACCAGGCCTGGAATTACAATTTTTTTTCTTTTCTTTTTTTTCACCCCTCCTTTTTCACTGGAATTACAATTGATGTGATTTTCTTCTTTATATTTTTCTATATTTTATGATTATGTTTTTATAATGACTACATTATTAGTTTGTTTTTGAGATAGGGTCTCACTCTGTTGCCCAGGCTGGAGTGCAGTTGCACAATCTCAACTCACTGCAACGTCCACCTCCCAGGCTCAAGTGATCCTCCCACCTCAGCCTCCCAAATAGCTGGGACCACAGGCACACAACACCATGCCCAGCTCTTTTTTTGTGTTTTTGGCAGAGACAGGGTCTCACCATGTTGCCCAGGATGGTCTCAAATTCCTGAGCTCAAATGATCCACCCACCTAAGCCTCCCAAACTGCCAGGATTACAAGCGTGAGCCACCACTCCTGGCTCTTTTTCTTTCTTTCTTTTTTAAAATACATTTTAAAAACTATTTTAGGCCGGGCAGGGGTGGATCATGCCTGTAATCCCAGCACTTTGGGAGGCCGAGGCGGGCAAATCACGAGGTCAGGAGTTGGAGACCAGCCCGGCCAATATGGTGAAACCCTGTCTGGCTCTACTAAAAATATAAAAATTTAGCTGGGTGTGGTGGTGTGTGCCTGTAGTCCCAGCTACTCGGGAGACTGAGGCAGGAGAATCGCTTGAACCCAGAAGGCGGAGGTTGCAATGAGCCGAGATCGCGCCACTGCACTCCTGCCTGGGTGACAGAATGAGACTCCATCTAAAAAAAAAAAAATATATATATATATATATATATATATTTTAATAAAGACACGTCTCACTATATATTGCCTGGGCTATTCTCAAACTCCTGCCTCCTGGGCTCAAATGATCCTCTCACTCTGGCCTCCCAAAGTGCTGTAATTACAGTCATGAGCCACCGCACCTGGCCCTGGTTTTATTTCTCTTAATGGCTTCGCCTTCCTGTTTAGCCCACAGGCTCAGCCTCTGACCTCTCTCTTGAGCTCCACAGCCTCAGGGGCAACTAGATAACATCCATTCTAGCAGCCTAAAATCTTGAACTGTTTCCCCTTCCTGTCTTTCCACAGCACCTGCTTCAGGCCTTTATTATTTCTGCCCAAAATTGCTATGATACTGACTTGTTGCTTAAAAAAATGTTTTCAGTTGCATTCAAATTATGTATTATCATGGTAAAATGAAAACAGTTCCAAAAAGAAACATATATCAGTGTGCAGATGGATGGATTTTTAAAAAACATAAAAACATAGTTCCAAAGAAAATCAAATACTCCTACAAAAAGCAGCCCAGCCACACTCCTCTAACCACTTCCTGCTCCCCTTGGGCATCCATTTCCAACTCCTTAAACGTTTCCTCTAGTCTTTAGCTCTATATTTTTAATAATTCATATACTGCTATTTTCAGTTTCAGTTTTTTTTTCCTTTTTTTTTTTTTTTTTTTTTTGAGACAGGGTCTCACTGTGTCACCCAGGCTGGAGTGCAGTGGTGTGATCAAAGCTCACTGCAGCCTCGAAGTCCCTTTCTCAAGCAGTCCTCCCACCTCAGCCTCTAGAGTAGCTGGGACCACAGGCATGTGCCACCCAGTTGATTTTTGTATCTTTTTTTTTTTTTTTTTTTTGAGACCAAGTCTCGCTCTGTTGCCCAGACTGGAGTGCAGTGGTGCAATCTTGGCTCACTGCAACCTCCACCTCCCGGGCTCAAGCGATTCTCCTGCCTCAGCATCCCAAGTAGCTGGGATTACAGGCTCCTGCCGCCACCCCTGGCTAATTTTTGTATTTTTAGTAGAGACAGTATTGCACCATGTTGGCCAGGCTGGTCTCGAACTCTTGACCTCAAGTGATCCACCTGCCTCGGCCTCCCAAAGTGCTGGGATTACAGGCATGAGCCACCGCACCCAGCCTAATTTTTGTATCTTTTGTAGAGACAGGGTCTTGCTCGCTGTGTTGCCCAGGCTGGTCCTGAACTCCTGAGCTCAAACAATCCACCCACCTCGGCCTTCCAAAGTGCTGGGATTACAGGCGTGAGCCACCGCGCCTGGCCTAGTTTTTCAGTTATAAATATTAGCTATTGACTTTCTTCAGTGGAAGATGAGAACTTAGCCCCACAAACACCACGCACATATGCAAACATATTCCCAAAAGAATTATATTGCAATTGGCTAAATCAGCATGCAGCGTATAACTTATGATTATGCATTATTCAGATGATTCATGTGGTAAACTCATTACATTTCCTTTCTTTTGTTGTCTCTGGATGACTTCAGTCTGTTTTTACTTCGTTTTCTCTGGACCTATCTCTGCTCTGTCCCCAGACTGACAGAACTGTAACTCTTCTCTCAATATATGCAAACACATCCGGCAGGCACTGTCCTTCCCATCTGTCTCCCTGCCTCCCCTCTCTTTCCTCTCCATGGTATCCAGCACACCGTGGCACTCTAATGTTTACAGCTTCCAATGGATGGCTCCTTAAAGCAAACAGAATTAAACCAAACTGTGGCCTAACCTTCAAGGCCCTCCACAATCCATCCACCATCTTGGTACTTCTGCCCTCAAACTCCTTATGCTATCAAAACCTAGGTTTATCTAGGTTTTTTTTTTTTTTTTTTTTTTTTTTTTGCGACGGAGTCTCACTGTATTACCCAGGCTGGAGTGCGGTGGCGCAATATTGCCTCACTGCAACCTTGCAACCTCTGCCGCCCAGGTTCAACCGATTCTCCTGCCTCAGCCTCCCAAGTAGCTGGGATTACAGGTGCCTGCCACCACACCAAGCTACTTTTGTTTTTTAGTAGAGACGGGGTTTCACCATCTTGGCCAGGCTGGTCTTGAACTCCTGACCTCGTGATCCACCCACCTCAGCCTCCCAAAGTGCTGGGATTACAGGTGTGAGCCACTGCACCCAGCTGGTTTTTTTCTTTCTTTTTTTTGAGATGGAGTTTCGCTCTTGTTGCCCAGGCTGGAGTGCCATGGCGCGACCTCTGCTCACCACGACCTCCGCCTCCTGGGTTCAAGCAATTCTCCTGCCTCAGCCTCCAGAGTAGCTGGGATTACAGGCATGTGCCACTATGCTCAGCTAATTTTGTATTTTTAGTAGACATGGGGTTCCTCCATGTTGGTTAGGCTGGTCTCGAACTCCCAACCTCAGGTGATCCGCCTGCCTCGGCCTCCCAAAATGCTGGGATTACAGGCGTGAGCCACCATGCCCGGCCAGTTTTTTTGTTTTGTTTTGTTTTTTGTTTTTCTTTTTTTTTGAGATGGAGTTTCCATATTGTTGCCGAGGCTGGAGCGCAATGGCCCAATCTCAGCTCACCGCAACCTCCGCCTCCCAGGTTCAAGCAATTCTCCTGCCTCAGCCTCCCAAGTAGCTGGGATTAATGGTGCCTGCCACCATGTCTGGCTAATTTTTTGTATTTTTTTTTTAGTAGAGACAGGGTTTCACGATGTTGGCCAGGATGGTCTCCAACTCCTGACCTCAGGCAGTATGCCCGCCTTGGCCTCCCAAAGTGCTGGGATTACAGTTGTGAGCCACTGCACTGGCCTATCTAGGTTTTAAAATACTACGCCAGCCAGGTATGGTGGCTGTTGCATGTAATCCCAGCACCTTGGGAGGCTGAAGCAGGAGGATTGCATGAGCCCAGAAGTTTGATACCAGCCTGGGCAATATAGTAACATCCTGTCTCTACAAATAATTTTTAAAATTTACCCAGGCATGGTGCCATGTACCTGTAGCCCCAGCTACTCAGGAGGCTGAGGTGGGAAGATCACTTGAGCCTGGGAGGTCAAGGCTGCAGTGAGCTGTGATTGCCCCCCTGCCCTCTAGCCTGGATGACAGAGTGGGACCCTGTCTCAAAATATAAAAAAATTAAAAAGATTCCCCCCTAAAAAGATCCAGGGCTCCTTGAAAAAGGGCTGGGGCTGGACAAGTTCGGGGCCGGGCACAGTGGCTCACGCGTGTAATCCCAGCACTTTGGGAGGCCAAGGTGGGTGGATCACCTGAGGTCAGGAGTTCAAGACCAGCCTGGTCAACATGGTGAAAACCCGTCTCTACTAAAAATACAAAAATTAGCTGGGTGTGGTGGTGCATGCCTGTAATCCCAGCTACTTGGGAGGCTGAGGTGGGAGAATTGCTTGAAGCCGGTAGGTGGAGGTTGAAGTGAGCCGAGCCTGGGTGGCAAAGTGAGACTCCGTCTCAAAAAAAAAAAAAAGTGAGTCTGGAACATTTCGTACCTGACAGTAAGGCACTGCTGAAATCATGATGCAGAAATGTCAAAGGGCACAGGCGCTAACTGGCCCAATCTGGAACAATTTGGACATTTATTTTATTTTATTTTATTTTATTTATCTATTTAGAGACAGAGTCTCACCGTGTCACCAAGGCTGGAGTGCAGTGGCATGATCTCGGTTCACTGCAACCTCCACCTCCTGGGTTCAAGCTATTCTCTTGCCTCAGCCTCCCAAGTAGCTGGGATTACGGGCATGTGCCACCACGCCCGACTAATTTTTGTATTTTTTGTAGAGATGGGGTTTTGCCATGTTGTCTAGGCTGGTCTCGAACTCCTGAGCTCAAGCAGTCCACCCACCTCGGTCTCCTAAAGTGTTGGGATTACAGGCATGAGACACTGTGCATGGCCGTTAAATTTCTTGGGTGTGATTTGGTAGTCTAGTTGTGTTAGGGAACGTCTTTGTTCTTGGGAGATAGAAGCTCAAGTATTTAGGGGTAAAATGTCTTAGTCCATTTGTGCAGCTCTACCTAAATCCCTGAGTCTGGGTAATGTACAAGGAACACAAATTTATGTGGCCACAGTTCTGGAAACTGGGTAGTCCAAGATCAAGGTGCTGGTTTCATTATCTGGTGAGGGCTGCTCTCTGCTTCCAACATGGTGCCTTGATGTTGCAATCTCCTTGTGGGGAGGAACCTGTATCTTCACATGGCAGAAGGCAGAAGGGCTAGAGAGCCAAACACTGCTGAAACCTTTTATAAGGGCCTTACTCCCATTCATGATGGAGAAGCCCCATGGCCTAATCACCTCTTAAAAGCCCCACCTTTTGGCCGGGCGCAGTGGCTCACGCCTGTAATCTCAGCACTTTGGGAGGCTGAGGCAGGCGGATCACGAGGTCAGGAGATCAGGACCATCCTGGCTAACATGGTGAAACCTTGTCCCTACTAAAAATATGAAAAATTAGCCAGGCATGGTGGCGGGCGCCTGTAGTCCCAGCTACTCCAGAGGCTGAGGCAAGAGAATGGCGTGAACCTGGGAGGCGGAGCTTGCAGTGAGCCAAGATCGTGCCACTGCACTCCAGCCTGGGCGACAGAACGAGACCCGTCTCAAAAAAAAAAAAAAAAAAAAGCCCCACCTCTTAATACGATCACAGTGGCAACACCTGAATTTTGGGGAGGACACATTCAAACCATAGCAGAGTCATAATGTTGCAACCTATTTTCAAGTAATTCAGCCAAAAAGCTGGGGGGGGGGGGGAATATCTGTAGGCCGAGCACAATGGCTCATGCCTGTAATCCCAGCACTTTGGGAGGCAGAGGTGGGAGGATTGCTTGAACCCAGGAGTTTGAGACCAGCTTGGGCAAAATAGTGAGATCTCATCTCTACAAAGAAAAATTTTTTTGGCCTGACGTGGTGGCGTACGCCTGTAATCCCAGCACTTTGGGAAGCCGAGGCAGGTGAATCACCTAAGGTCAGGAGTTCGAGACCAGGCTGAACAACATGGCAAATCCCCATCTTCACTAAAAATACCAAATTAGCTAGGCATGGTGGCGCATGCCTGTAATCCCAGCTACGGGAGGCTGAGGCAGGAGAATCACTTGAACCCGGGAGTTGGAGGTTGCAGTGAGCCAAGATTTCACCATCATACTCCAGCCTGGACAAGAGCGAAACTCCATCTCAAAGGAAAAAAGAAAAAAAAGATCTCATATCCAAATTTCTCAAGGCCCAACTCAAACACCACCTATTTTATAAACTTTTTTTTTTAAGATGTCTCACTCTGTCGTCCAGGCTGGAGTGCAGTGGCATGATCTCAGCTCACTGCAACCTCCACATCTCAGGTTCAAGTGATTCTCCTGCCTCAGCCTCTGGAGTAGCTGGGACTACAGGTGCCCACCATGCCCGGCTAATTTTTGTGTTTCTAGTAGAGATGGGGTTTCGCCATGTTTGCCAGGCTGGTCTCAAATTCCTCACCTCAGGTGATCTGCCTGCCTTGACCTCCCAAAGTGTTGGGATTACAGGCGTGAGCCACCACGCCCAGCTCTATAAACTTTCTATGATCTCAAAGCCTCCAAGATTCTTCTCCAGACCCTAATGGTATTCCACCTTCACGACCCCTCATGGCTCCTACTTCTCCACCTTCTCTGCTGCATCAGACCATAAGCTCCTTAAAGGCAGTGACCATGTGTTTACCAGTTATACTTTACAAAGAACCTACCAAGATTATGTTTGCAACAAATACAGTTGTCCCTCAGTATCCACAAATTCAACTGGTAGTGGATCAAAAATACCGGATTCAAGAGATGCAGAACATGGCCTACTGTGGGACTTGAGCATCTGCAGGTTTTGGTATCCACCAGGGTCCTGGAACCAACCCCTCCAGATACCAAGGGACAACTGTATTTGTAAAATATTTTTATTTATTTATTTTTTTGAGACATAGTGTTGCTCTGTCGCCCAGGCCAGGCTGGAGTGCAGTGGCAAGATCTCGGCTCACTGCAACCTCCACCTCCAGGGCTCAAGCTGGGATTACAGGTGTGTGCCACCACACCCAGCTGATTTTTGTATTTTTAGTAGATGGGGTTTCACCATGTTGGCCAGGCTGGTCTCGAACTCCAGGCCTCAAGTGATCCATCTGCTTCAGTCTCCCAAAGTGCTGGGATTACAGACATGAGCCACCACGCCTGGCCAATATTTTTATTTTTTAATAAGACAAGGTCTCTTTCTGTTGCCCAGGCCGGAGCGCAGTGGTGCAATCATGGCTCACTGCAGCCTTGACCTCCAGGGCTCAGGCAATCCTCCTGCTTCAGCCTCCAGAGTACATGGGTCCAGAGGTGTGCACCACCACACTCAGCTAACTAAAAAAAAAAAAAAATTATTTGTAGAGATGGAGTCTCCCTTTGTTGCTGAGGCTGGTCTTAAACTCCTGGACTCAAGCAGTCCTCCTCCTCAGCCTCCCAAAGTGTTGGGATTACAGGCATGAGCTACTGCACCCAGCCCATTATACTTTCCTTTGTTTAAACACATTAAAACAGTTATGTTGGCCAGGCATGATGGCTCACGGCTGTAATCCCAGCACTTTGGGAAATGGAAACCGAGGTGGGTCCAGCCTGGGCAACATAGTGAGACCTTGTCTTTACAAAAAAAAAAAGGGTCAAGCGCAGTGGCTCACGACTGTAATCCCAGCACTTTGGGAGGCTGAGGTGGGTGGATAACGAGATTGGGAGTTCGAGAACAGCCTGGCTAAGGTGGTGAAACGTCGTCTGTACTAAAAATACAAAAATTAGCCAGGCACAGTGGCAGGCACCTGTTATCCCGGCTACTCAGGAGGCCGAGGCAGGAGAATTGCTTGAACCTGGGAGGCGGAGGTTGCAGTGAGCCAAGATCACGCCACTGCACTCTAGCCTGGGTGACAGAGAACACTCTGTCTCAGAAAAAAAATACGTATTTTGTGTACCACATACAATCACATTATCTGTAAAATTCATTTGACAATTTGATTTTATATGTCTCTTTTTTTGAGACTCCCTCTGTCGCCCAGGCTAGAGTGCAGTGTCATGATCACGGCTCACGACAGCCTTGACCTCCTGGGCTCAAGAGATCCGCCCACCTCAGCCGTCGAGCAGGGGATGCTACAGGCATGCACCAACATGCCCAGCTAATTTTTGTTTTTGTTTTAGAGATGAGGTTTCACCATGTTGCCCAGGCTGGTCTCGAACTTCTGGGCTCAAGCGATCTTCCCAAAGTGCTGGGATTACAGGCATGAGCCACTGTACCTGGCTGTTACATTTTTAAAAGATTATTACTTATTTTTTTAGAGACAGAGTTTCACCCTGTCGCCCGGGCTGGAGTGTAATGGCGCAATCGGGCTCCCTGCAACCTCCGCCTCCCAGGTTCAAGAGATTCTTGTACCTCAGCCTCCCA
This sequence comes from Homo sapiens, assembly GCF_000001405.40. Lineage (NCBI taxonomy): Eukaryota > Metazoa > Chordata > Mammalia > Primates > Hominidae > Homo > Homo sapiens. The sequence goes on from NC_000007.14 coordinate 73,534,249, forward strand.
AGTAGCTGGGATTACAGACATGTGCCAGAACGCCCGGCTAATTTTTTGTATCTTTGGTAGAGATGGGGGTTTCACCACGCTGGTCAGGCTGATCTCGAACTCATGACCTCGTGATCCGCCCGCCTCAGCCTCCCAAAGTGCTGGGATTACAGGTGTGAGCCACCACGCCCGGCCTACATTTTTGTATTTGTTAATGAGACAGGGTCTTGCCATGTTGCCCAGGCTCGTCTTAACTCCCAGGCTCAGGCAATCTTCCTGCCTTAGCCTTCCAAAGTGCTGGGATTACAGGCCACTGTGCCCAGCCCTATATATATAAAAATATTTATATATATATATATATTTTGAGATGGAGTCTTGCTCTGTCGCCCAGGCTGGAGTGCAGTGGCGTGATCTCAGCTCACCGCAAGCTCCGCCTCCTGGGTTCACACCATTCTCTTGCCTCAGCCTCCCGAGTAGCTGGGATTACAGGCGTGAGCCACCGTGCCCAGCCCCAGCCCTATTTATATTTTGTAAGAAAAGATAAAACAGGGGCCGGGTGCGGTGGCTCATGCCTGTAATCACAGCACTTTGGGAGGCCGAGGCGGGCAGATCATGAGGTCAGGAGATCGAGACCATCCTGGCTAACACAGTGAAACCCCGTCTCTACTAAAAATACAAAAAATTAGCTGGGCGTGGTGGCAGGCGCCTGTAGTCCCAGCTACTCGGGAGGCTGAGGCAGGAGAATGGTGTGAACCCGGGTGGCGGAGCTTGCGGTGAGCCGAGATCCCGCCACTGCCAGCCTGGGTGACAGAGCGAGACTCCGTCTCAAAAAAAACAAAAACAAAACATAGAACAGTAGAACTTGTATTATAGTCTCATCCATGACACCTGGAGCCCCTGTGAGAAATGAGGGGAATCACTCCGGGAAATAAACAGATCTGTGGCTGCCAGGGCCCGAGGGGAGGGGAAGAAATGGTGAATGATGCTAACTGGACATGAGGTTTCCATTTGGGATAATAAAAAAGTTCGGAGCTGGACTGTGAGGACTGCCCAGCACTGTGAATGTACTCAGTACTCAGTACCACTGAAATGCACACTTCACAATGGTGACAAAAGTAACTCTTGGCCAGGTGCAGTGGCTCACACATGTAATCCCAGCACTTTGGGAGCCTAAGGGGTTCGAAACCAGCCTGGCCAACATGGTGAAACCCCACCTCTACTAAAATTACAAAAATTAGTCAGACGTGGTGGTGCACGTCTGTAATCCCAGCTACTTGGGAGGCAGAGGTTGCAGTGAGTTGAGAACACACCACTGTACTCCAGCCTGCTGGGTGACAGAGTGAGACTCTGTCTCAAAAAACAAACAAACAAAAACCTTTTATGTTACGTGTATTTTACCACAAGGGGGGAAAAAAAGAACTCATGAATCCCTCCGAACTACATGGACCTGTGGAAAACACATCCATGGGCTGCATTTGGTGTACACAGGGATGGAATTTGGTTTTGTTTTTTGAGATGGAGTCTCGCTCCGTCACCCAGGCTGGAGCGCAGTGGCGCAGTCTTGGCTCACTGCAACCTCCACCTCCCAGGTTCGAGCAATGCTCGTCTCAGCCTCCCAAGTAGCTGGGACTAAAGGCGCCTGCCACCATGCCTGGCTAATTTTTGTATTTTTAGTAGAGATGGGGTCTCATTTTGCTGGTCAGGCTGGTCTTGAACTCCTGAGCTCAGATGATCCACCCACCTCAGCCTCCCAAAGTGCTAAGATTACAGGCGGGAGCCACTGCGCCTGGCCTGGTTTTTATGTTTTAATTTAAAAATATTGTTTAGATAGAGATAGGGTCTTGCTGTGTTGCCCAGGCTGGTCTCAAACTCCTAGCCTCAAGTGATCCTCCTGCCTCGGCCTCCCAAAGTGCTGGGATAAGAAGTATGAGCCACCACGCCCAGCGAGAAGCATAATTTGAACTACGTGACAGCTTCAAAGGGAGGCTAGAAATCACTGTCATGAAGTCCACACTGTGGGAGTGAAAGGATGGGCAGGCCCAGCCCACAGTGACCCCACAAGCACTCAGCCACCACCCCCACCCCGGCCCGCAACCTTCAAGAAGGAAGCACTCAGATACCAACAGGACATATTTCAAATAGTTTAATTTTAAAAATATTCTATTCAGTGCTAAAATATGTCTTCACTCACTGTTGCCCATTTCCATTTTCTTAAACTTTTTTGAAACAAAAAATAAAATCACAAAGTTCAATTCAACATGCAGATTTCAAAGAAAAGGGAGCTTTCTAGAAACTGAGCTGAAGGGGTACTGTGGGGGATGGGTACTGTTGTCAGAACCTCAAATTCTTGCTGGGGCAGTTTGTGACAAGAGGCAGGGATGCTGGAATGACAGGTAGAGGTGAGAACAAAGCTGCGTGTGTGCAGATGTGTGTGCTGAGGGCAGGGGATGGGGACGGCGGCCACAAAGGGCTGTCAGCAGCTAGGGTGCCCGTGAGAGGTAGGACCACCTCAGGCATGGGCAGAGCTGGCAGGACAGCAAGAAATCTAGACGGACTCTCTGCCCTTGTGTGGAGAAAAGCCCTTCCCTTCCCTCCAATGTCTCTACCCAGTCCTCCAACAGCAGCCTACAGGGCCCCCAGTCCTAGGGGAAAGTCCGGGAGTCTACAGTCTCCGTTCAAGTTCAAGTAACCTGAGGCACGCTCTCTTCTAGAAGGTGCCTTCCACATCTCTCTCTTCTCGCAGAAGCTGCCAGCAGCTCCGTCCAGAGATTCTGGAGCAGAGACTGCTGCCTGGAGGTCACAGATGAATCTTGGGGTGGCCGATGCTCCAGCCAACTTGGGGTGCAAAAAAGACATGAGCGCTCCTCTTCTCGGGAGCAAGTAGACACAGGTGCCAGGGTCAGGAAGATGATGCTACAGCCCCAAGTCCTACGCCAGCCTTCCAGCCCGGAAGGCTCATGTGTGCAGGCTCTTGACCCCAGTGCTTGCCCTTACCCCAGCAACGCGGCGCGGCCAGAACCAGAATGCAATAAATAGAGGCAGGGCCAGGAGGCGGAGGGCCGGGATGGTGCTAGCTTTCTGACGCCGTCTGCGGCACTGTGGGTTGGTCCACACAGAAGCGCTTCAGGGGCGGGGCACCTGAGTCTTCCTCTTCCTCAACGACCTAGGAGCAGGCAGAGCATGGAATGCCAGGGCCACCCCTCCCAACCAGAACCTTCCCACCCACCCGAATTATAATGGGATGTCCACTCTGCTCCTTCCAGCAGATGATCAAACATCCTCCCCTGCCTACAACCCTGGGACTCATTTCCGGCGCTGCAGATCCAACCCCACATCCACAGTCTTTCCTGGTTTTTTGACTTAGAAACTGGGAAGCCTGGCCGGGCACAGTGGCTCACACCTATAATCCCAGCACATTGGGAGGCTGAGATGGGTGGATCACTTGGGCTCAGGAGTTCGAGACTAGCCTGGCCAACATAGTGAAACCCCATCTCTACTAAAAATACAAAAATTAGCCAGGTGTGGTAGTGGGCGCCTGTAATCCCAGCTACTCAGGAGGCTGAAACAGGAGAATTGCTTGAACCCAGGAGGCAGTGGAGGTTGTAGTGAGCCAGGATCGCACCACTGCACTCTAGTCTGGGCAACAGCGAGACCCTGCCTTAAACCAAAAAAACAAAAAACTGGAAAACTCAAAGTGATTGCTTACCTGTGTCTCTAGTGGAACTGGTTCTTCCTTGGTGAGGGTAGGAGGTTCATCAGCAACTTCCGAGGAGGGCAGGGAGGGCTCTGAAAAGGCAGTAGGGTCGGCCTGAGGGCAGGGCTCCCCTGAGGCCTGGACCTGGGGGAGCTTCCTTAGAGCTGTGTGGAGGTGGCTTGGTGAGGAGGGGAGAATACTGGCCTGAGAAGCAAACATTCATTCAGGGCCCAGCTGGACCAGGTCACAGCCAAGAATGGTGGAAGGGCAAAATACGGCTAGACTGCAGAGGGCCATCTCTGCTGGGCTGGAGATATCTGGAACCGACAAAGCAGCTCATCTTGTCATCCTCTAGCCCAAACATCACAACTCTAACTCAATCTCCCAGTTTTCTGAGAGTTGCTATGAGGACGAGATGAAGTAATAAAACACAGGAGCTAAGAACAGCACATGCCAAATAGTAAGAACACAATAAATATTAACTACAATTGGCATTTCCCATGGAGAAACAAGTTCCATTTTGTAGTTGGCTGTTAACAGGTCACAGCACAGGAGAAGGTAACAAGGGCCTAAGACACATCTATATATCCATATTATAACAAGAAACCTGGGTCGGGCATGGTGGCTCACACCTATAATCCCAGCTACTCTGGAGGCTGAGGTGGGAGGATCACTTGAAGCCCAGGAGTTCAAGACCAGCCTGGGCAACATAGTGAGACTCCATTTCTACAGAAAATTAAAAGAAAGCCAGGCATGGTGGCAAAGGCTTACAGTCCTACTACTACGGAGTCTGAGGCAAGAGGATCACTTGACCCCAGGAGTTCAAGACTGCAGTGAGCTAGGATTCAGCCACTGCATTCTAGCCTGGGCAACAGAGCAAGACCCTATCTCTTTAAAAAAAAAAAAAAAAAAAAAAAGAAAAGAAAAAAATTTAGCATGTAATGCAGACAGCATAAATGCTGAAAATAGAAGGACTTAAAGTGACATTCATTCCAACAGTTACTAGACTGGCTATGTGATCTCAGACAAGCGATTTAACCTTTCTCTGTTTTTTTTTGAGATGAAGTCTAGCTCTGTCGCCAGGCTGGAGTGCCCTGGTGCGATCTTGGCTCACTGCAACCTCTGCCTCCTGGGTTTAAGTGATTCTCCTGCCTCAGCCTCCCGAGTAGCTGGGATTACAGGCTTGCGCCACCATGCCTGGCTAATTTTTGTATTTTTAGTAGAGATGGGGTTTCACCATGTTGGTCAGGCTGGTCTCTAACTCTTGACCTCAGGTGATCCACCCACTTCGGCCTCCCAAAGTGCTGGGATTACAGGTGTGAGCCACCGCGCCAGGTCTTTTTTTTTTGAGATGGAGTCTCACTCTGTTGCCCAGGCAAGAATACACTGGTGTGATCTCAGCTCACTGTAACCTCTGCTTCTTGGGTTCAAGTGATTCTTCTGCCTCAGCCTCCGGAGTAGCTGGGATTACAGGCACATGCCACCACGCCCAACTAAATTTTTTATGTTTTTAGTAGAGACGGTTTTGCCATGTTGGTCAGGCTGGTCTTGAACTCCTGGCCTCAAGTGACCCGCTCACCTCGACCTCCCAAAGTGCTGGGATTACAGGTGTGAGCCACCATGCCCAGCCCAATTTAACCTTTCTAAGCTTTGAATGTCCATTTTCCTCATCTGTAAAAGAAGACAATAGCTGCCACCTCACAGGATTTTTGAGAGAATTATAGCAGGCGTCAAATACTCAAGTTCCTTCCACACAGCCTGGCACGCAACTCTAATGCTTGTTTTCTCCCTTCCCTCTGTGAAAGGGGAAACTATAATCATTCCTAAGCTATCGAGAAAGGGCTTGGTGCTGCCTGGCTCTGAGGTGCTCTCTCGAGCCTGTTACTCTAAAGACGAGACACAACAAGAGCAGAAAGCAAGGCCCTTCTAGGAAACTCATCCTCGGCCAACCACGACTCACCCTCCAGGATCTCCTGGCCCAGCGTTGGGGGCTGGGAGTCATCCGTGCGGAAGTCGGAGGTGTGTGCTGGGCTCAGGGACTCACTCTGCTGGGGGCTGGGGCTTGAGTTGGTGCTGCTGTCCACCTTAAGCTGATAGACGTCAGACACGGAACTCTGGTTGCTGTTTTCGTCTGAAAACCAAACAGAACAAAGGCAGCAGCTGAGCGTGGTCATTTTCCTCAAGAGGAACTCTGGACAGAGCCAAGGGCCTGGCATCACTTTAGGCAGCCAAGGATACAACTGAGTATAATAATCATTGTGCCCGGCCTACACGACATAGATTCTAAGCACCAGAGGCAGCCAGAATCTTTATGTTTATGCAACATTACACTTTAGGAAGGTCAGGATATGCTTATTAAACTCTTCTTTATTATCCACTGATTGCAGCTTGTGGAAGGGAGGGATGTAGCTGTGTCTCTGGTCAGTACTTCTCAATCCTTCTCACATCATAAGATGTGTAGAAAATGACATTTGTCAGGCATCCTTGGGCATCTGAAGGAGGCTGGTGGTGTCTGAAGGTGGTGAGCTCAGGCTTCGGCTGCCGGACTGACGGATTAGCACCTGGGAGTTCTGCCTGAAGGCTTAAAGTCACCATCAAGGTGCAAAACTTAAGAGTTACCAGGCCGAGGCCAGGCACGGTGGCTCACGCCTGTAATCCCAGCACTTTGGGAGGCCGAGGTGGGCAGATCACAAGGTCAGGACATCGAGACCATCCTGGCTAACACGGTGAAACCCCGTCTCTACTAAAATTACAAAAAATTAGCCGGCTGTGGTGGTGGGCACCTGTAGTTCCAGCTACTCAGGAGGCTGAGGCAGAAGAATGGCATGAACCTAGAAGGCAGAGCTTGCAGTGAGCCGAGATCGCGCCATTGCACTCCAGCCTGAGCAACAGAGCGAGACTCTGTCTCAAAAAAAAAAAAAAAAAAAAAAAAAAGAGTTACCAGGCCGAGTGCAGTGGCTCACGCCTGTAATCCCAGCACTTTGGGAGGCCAAGGTGGGCGGATCACTTGAGGTCAGAAGTTTGAGACCAGCCTGGCCAACATGGTGAAACCCCGTCTCTACTGAAAATACAAAAATTAGCCGGGCATGATAGCACGCGCCTGTAATCCCAGTTACTTGGGAGGCTGAGGCAGGAAAATCGCTTGAACCCGGGAGGTGGAGGTTGCAGTGAGCTGAGATCGTGCCATTGCACTGTAGCCTGGGTGACATGGCGAGACTCCGTCTCAAAAAATAAAAATTAAAATTAAAAAAAAAGAAAAAAAGTAAGAGTCACCAATGCATTCCTCCGCTGCACCTACAGTAGCCAGTCACCAAAGTGTTTCCCCCTCCTGCTCTGGTATCATTTGTGCTCATTCCTTCCTCTCCTACTGCTTCAGTTCAAGCCTCATCATCTCCAGCCTGGCCTCCTGCAACAGCCACATACCTCACTGCCCTGCCTCCAGTCTCACGTACCTTAAACTGAACTGCAAACCACTGCCAGAGAGACCTTTCTAAACCCTTCGACGCTCCACTGCTGCCTAAGGGAGAAATGTCATACCCAGTACTTTTTTTTTTTTTTTTTTTGAGACCGAGTTTCGCTCTTGTTGCCCAGGCTGGAGTGCAATGGTGCTATCTCAGCTCACCACAACCTCTGCCTCCTGGGTTCAACTGATTCTCCTGCCTCAGCCTCTTGAGTAGCTGGGATTACAGGCTTGCGCCACCACGCCTGGGTAATTTTGTATTTTTATTAGAGACGGGGTTTCACCATGTTGGTCAGGCTGGTCTCGAACTCCTGACCTCAGGTAATCCACCTGCCTCAGCCTCCCAAAGTGCTGGGATTACAGGCATGAGCCACCACGCCCAGCCATACCCAGTACTTCTTAGGAGAGGCAGGAGCTGGCCTTATCGCAACATAGGAAGTCCTTTCTGATCTCTGGCCTCAGTGCCTACTGTTCTCCTACAAGCATCCTCAGCTCCAGGCAGACTGGACCCTAACCCAAGAGCTTCGTCATGCATGGGTGCTTCTGCCCAGCTGTTCCTTGGCTAGGCTGCCTTCTCTTGTCCTGGAAAGCCTCAGACCTCCCAACACAGCCCCGACATCACTTCTTCCGCGGAGCCCTACCTCCCTGGCTCGCATAGGTGGAAATGCCCACCCTCTCTTACTCTCCTGTGATAGCCTGTGCACGCCTGCATTTATCATTTCGCACACGTGCTTCCTCCCATGAGCCTCTGTGGACAGGCTCTGTGGCTCACTTGTCCTTGACTCCCCAGTGCAACGCACGGTACCTGCATACAGTGGGAGTTCATTAAGTGTTTACTAAATGAAAAGGAGGAGATGGTGGCCAGACTGAGGAAATGGAGCCTCATATGTCTCCCAGAGCCTTCTGACTACTGAACACACGTTGGTGTTCCCTTTCCAACAGCACATGGTTGACCTTGGTGGGGCCTGGGAAAGAGGTGGGGAAGGAATAACTACACGCTGGGTTAGCTCCAATCTGGTTTTGAAGAGAAAGTCATAAACTCATGCTAGTCTTGACTCCTATAAAGACCTTTAATACCCACACTAAAATGGAAGTAGCATTTTGTCACCAAATGAATAAAACTGTCACTTTTGAGCTTAGACAAAACACTGTTCCTCCCTGAGCATCAGTTTCCTTAAATAGGGATGATAATAACTGCCTGGTTTATATCACAGGCTGATACATGGGTAAAAATGAGAAAGTAAAGTAAAAGTGCTTCGTAGACAGTACCTAGCAGGTAGGTGTAAAAGGCAGTATCATGACTACGGTGATGATCCGGCGGGATTGGTTTAGGAGGCAGAACATGTCCTAACAGTGGGTAAGCAGAAGCTTCGGCTTTGGGTAGCCTACTCTAAGCGACTATGATAAAACATACAGTCTAGGCCAGGTGCAGTGGCTCATGCTTGTACCTTGGGAGGTCAAGGCTGGGGGACTGCTTGAGGCCAGGAGTTCACAACCAGCCTGGACAACATAGCCAGACTCTGTCTCTACAAAAAATAAAAAATAAAAAATGAAGTACAATCTAAAAAAAAGCTTCTGATTCGGACAACCAGGACCTGACATGGAGTCTGTCACTTACAAGTTATGTAACTTTAGACACGTAACTTAACCTCTCTGAGCCTCAGTTTCCTTAACTGGAAAATGAGAATACCATTACCTATCTTGCAGAGTTATCGTGAAGTTTAAATGAAAAGATTTAGGTCAAGTGCCTCGCAAAATACCAGCGAAACAGCAGGCACTGAATTGATACACAGAATTCTTTTTTTTTTTTTTTGAGACGGAGTCTCACTCTGCAGCCCAGGCTGGAGTGCAGTGGCGCAATCTCGGCTCACCGCAACCTCCACCTCCTGGGTTTAAGCGATTCTCCTGTCTCAGACCCCCGAGTAGCTGGGATTACAGGCACGCGCCACCACGCTCAGCTAACTTTTTGTATTTTTAGTAGAGACTGGGTTTCACCATATTGGCCAGGCTCGTCTTGAACTCCTGACCTCAGGTGATCTGCCCGCCTCAGACTCCCAAAGTGCTGAGGTTACAGGTGTGAGTCACTGCACCTGGCCAATTCTTCTTATTAATGCATTCATCCAAGTTTTCATTCTCCTGCAAGGAAGACACAGAGATGCAACTCACCCTGGAATTCAAGAAGGAGAGAGGAATTGGCTGAGGCATCAGAAGGAAAGCCATTAGGTTCTCGGGCTGCTGAACTGTTCGATTTTGACTTTTCTTTCTAGAAAAGGAAAAAAAGAGGAATATGACAGAGCCAAGCAGGAGACTCACAGAGAGGGAGGAGGGTGCTATGTGACAGACCACAGAGGTCTGGATTAGGACTGAACAGGAAAAACGACAGCAGCGTGAGAATCCAAGGACCCAAGGAAGAACAGAATCCTGGACAAGCAACTTCTCCTCAAGCCTCAGAAAAATGAACCCTTCCAGCAGGAATACTGTGAATCATAAGCAACAGGCAGATACATACACTTCGACTAGAACATCCCATAGTATCCCTCTCCTGCCCTGATCAAATTGCGCCAGGCAACCCTTCTCTATACGAATGGGCAAGAAATACAAAACACTCATTTGAGAAAGATTCCTGTTTCAGTAGCAGAGTGGGGAAAAAGTGAGAGAAGAAGGAACCTCATGTAACACAGACAGTGACAGGACAAATGGGCCCAGGCTGGCTCTATTCCTGATCCGTCATCCTCATCCATTCAAAACGACCACCCCAGCCGGGCGCACTGGTTCACGCCTGTAATCCCAGCACTTTGGGAGGCCAAGACGCATGGATCACCTGAGGTCAGGAGTTCAAGATCAGCCTGGCCAACATTGTGAAACCCTATCTCTACTAAAAATACAAAAATCAGCCGAGTGTGGTGGCATGTGCCTGTAATCCCAGCTACTTGGGAGGCTGAGGCAGGAGAATTGCTTGAGGTGGAGGTTGCAGTGAACCAAGATGGCACTACTGCACTCCAGCCTGGGCTACAGTGCGAGACTCCATCTAAAAAAACATAAAATAAAACAAAAAATAAAATAAATAAATAAATAAATAAATAAAAATACAAAAATGAGCCTGGCATGGTGGCATGTGCCTGTAATCCCAGCTACTCTGGAGGCTGAGACAGGAGAATCGCTTGAACCTGGGGGGTGGAAGTTGCAGTGAGCCAAGATTCTGCCACTTCATAACAGCCTGGGCGAAAGAGCGAAACTCCATCTCAAAAAGAAACAAACAAAAAAACCCAAAAAACAAAATGATCACCCCATGTTTATTTTTACCTATAACATTTGTTTCAAGAAAGATGTAGGTTATAAGTGCAGGGCAACCACAGTGGGCAGGTAAGCACCAGCTTGCAACAAGAAAGCCCAAGGGCCAGGCACAGTGGCTCATGCCTGTAATCCCAGCACTTGAGGAGGCGGAGGTGGGAGGATCCCTTGAGCCCAGGAGTTTGAGACCAGCCTGGGCAACATAGTAAGACCCCATCTCTACAAAAAAATAAAAAATGAGCCATGTATGGTGGCATAGGCTGGTGGTCCCAGCTACTGAGAAGGCTGAGGTGGGAGGATCGCTTGAGCCTGAAAGTTTGAGGCTGCAGTGAGCTATGACTGTGCACTCCAACCTGGGCAACACAGTTAGACCCTAACTCAAAAAAAAAAAAGCCCAGAGTAAATCCAAGCATATGAAAATGAGAGCATCCCAAAAGCCAAAAGTTTAAATCTGAGTAGCCTCAAATTTACCAGTTCACACTTTTTATACATTTCCGGTAGATGCATTATATTAGTAACGTAATTTTTGTTAATAACTCAATTTTTTGTTTGTTTTTTGAGACAGAGTCTTGCTCTGTCACCCAGGCTGGAGTGCCATGGCACAATCTCGGCTCACTGCAAGCTCCACCTCCCAGGTTCACGCCATTCTCTTGCCTCAGCCTCCCGAGTAGCTGGGACTACAGGCGCCCACTACCATGCCCAGCTAATTTTTTGTATTTTTTAGTAGAGATGGGGTTTCACCATGTTAGCCAGGATGGTCTCGATCTCCTGGCTCCAGGATGGTCTCAATCCGCCCGCCTCAGCCTCCCAAAGTGCTGGGATTACAGGCGTGAGCCATCGCACTCGGCCAAGGAAAGGGGGTTTTCTAGCAGCATCTACTCCTGTCTATACACAATGCCCAAGAGATTTAACTGCTTGACCTTTGACCCCTGTGGGTAATGGCCAGAGCCAGGCTGGATGGGGGAATAAACAGTTGCTCCAGAACCACGCCCCATCAACTCCATGAGTTTGGCATCCTAGAACTTCTTGGGATGGCTGCTCTCAGATAAAGGCAGAGTCCATACAGTTGGTGCTAGGAGGTTCCCTGGAGCCAGAGAGGACAGCAGAGAGCAAAAGGGAGAGGCTGAACCCTGAGGCTAACCTCAACCTCCTAAATTCATTTACAGAAAGGAAAACTGGCCGGGCGCGGTGGCTCACGCCTGTAATCCCAGCACTGTGGGAGGCCGAGGTGGGCCGATCACGAGGTCAGGAGATTGAGACCATCCTGGCTAACACGGTTTTCACCCGCCTCCACTAAAAATACAAAAAAATTAGCTGAGCGTGGTGGCGGGTGCCTGTAGTCCCAGCTACTTGGGAGGCTGAGGCAGGAGAATGGCGTGAACCCAGGAGGCAGAGCTTGCAGTGAGCCAAGATCGTGCCACTGCACTCGAGCCTGGGTGACAGAGCGAGACTCCATCTCAAAAAAAAAAAAAAAAAAGAAAGAAAAACTACGGATCAGGCTTCCGTCCTCCTCGTAGTTACACATTACCAGCCAATGCAATTGAGAGTCCCAAGGGAATAAAAGGTGAGTGCACGCATAAAACTCACCAGAGATTGGAGGAACACAGGCACCCTGATAAACAGAACAGTCTGTACCAGAAGGAGCAGAATAACTGAAATTAAACATGGATTTGCTCAGAAAGATAAGGATAATATTGAAAAGTTGTTTTAGCCAGGGGCAGTGACTCACAGCCTGTAATCACAGCACTTTTTGGGAGGCCAAGGTAGGCAGATCACTTGAGGTCAGGAGTTCGAGACCAGCCTAGCCAATATGGTGAAACCTGTCTCTACTAAAAATAGAAAAAAATTAGCTGGGCATGGTGGCACATGCCTGTAATCCCAGCTACTCAGGAGGCTGAGGCAGTAGAATCATTTGAACCTGCAAAGTGGAGGCTGCAGTGAGATGAGATCATGCCACTGCACTCCAGCCTGGGTGACACAGCGAGACTCTGTCTCAAAAAAAAAAAAAGTCGTTTTGAGGAAGAACCAATTGAGGCAATTTGTTATGAAAAATACAATTGCTCAAATAAAAATTAAGTGAATGAGGTTAATTGAAATACATACAGCTAAATAAAAGATTAATGAGCAAAAACTGCGTTGAGAAACTCAGAATGCACCAGGAAAGACAAGAAATGAAATGAATGAGAGAAAAGTTAAGAAATAAAGCAGTTGGCCAGGCGTGGTGGCTCACGCCTGTAATCCCAGCACTTTGGGAGGCCAAGGCGGGCGGATCACCTAAGGTCAGGAGTTCAAGACCAGCCTGACAACACGGAGAAACCCCATCTCTACTAAAAATACAAAAGTAGCTGGGCATGGTGAGGCAAGCGCTACTCGCGAGGCTGAGGCAGAAGAATCACTTGAACCTGGTAGGTGGAGGTTGCGGTGAGCTGAGATTGTGCCATTGCACTCCAGCCTGGGCAACAAGAGCAAAACTCCATCTCAAAAAAAAAAGCAAGCAAGCAAGCAGCTGCGTGGGTGCAGTGGCTCACACCTGTGATCCCAGCACTTTGGGAGGCCAAGACAGAAGGATCGCTTGAGCCCAGGAGTTTGAGACCAGCCTGGGAAATACAGCAAGACCCTGTCTCTACAAATAATTTAAAAGTTTGCCAGGCGTGGTGGCACGTGCCTGTAGTCCCCGTTACTTGGGAGGTGGAGACATAACTATTTCTTGAGCTCAGGAATTTGAGGCTACAGTGAACCATCATTGCACCACTGTACTCCAGCATGAGCTATGGAGTGAGACAGTCTCAAAAAAAAAGGAAAAGAAATATTACAGGATATTTTGAGGGAATTCCTAGGAGATCAAATATAGAAGAAATGCTAAAGTTTCCAGGAAGCCAAGTAGATCACCTACAAAGACTCAAGCATGGGAATAACATCACATTTCTTAACAGCGACACTGGATGTACAATTCAGTAATAGCTTCAAAGTGCTGAAAGAAAATAATTTTGAACCTAGAATTTCATATACAGGTAAAATCATCAATTTTCAACATGAAAGTGAAACAAAGATATTTTCAGAAAGTTTTCCCCACAGAAGCTCTCTTTGACAAAACTCTTGAAGGATGTATTCTAGCAAAAAGAAAAACAAATGTAGGAGAAAACAGTAAGAAGTCGGTGCATGAGGCTGAGCACAGTGGTTCACACCTGTTACCCCAGCACTTTGGGAGGCCTAGATGGGCAAATCACTTGAGGTCAGGAGTTCAACACCAGCCTGGCCAACATCATGAAACCCCGTCTCTACCAAAAAATACAAAAATTAGGCTGGGTGTGGCAGCATGCACCTGTAGTTTCAGCTACTGGGAGGCTAGGCACCAGAACTGCTTGCACCCAGGAGGCGGAGGCTGCAGTGAGCCAAGATTACGTCACTGCACTCCAGCCTCAGAGTGACACCCTGTCTCAAAAAAAAAAATGTAGGTGCATGAAATTTTAGGCGAGCCTGGGCGCAGTGGCTCACGCCTGTAATCCCAGCACTTCGGAAGGCGGAGGTGGGCAGAACACGAGCTCAGGAGATCAAGACCATCCTGGCCAACATGGTAAAACCCTGTCTCTACTAAAAATACAGAAATTAGCCGGGCCTGGTGGTGTGTGCCTGTAATCCCAACTACTCTGGAGGCTGAGGCAGGAGAATTGCTTGAACCCGGGAGGCAGAGGTTGCAGTGAGCTTAGATCGCACCACTGTACTCCAGACTGAGCAACAGAGTGAGACTCTGTCTCGAAAAAACAAAACAAAATAAGGAAACAACAACAACAAAAATTAGCTGGATGTGGTGGCATGTGACTGTAGTCCCAGCTACTCAGGAGGCTGAGGTGGGAGGATCACTGGAGCCCAGGAGACAAAAGTAGAAGTAAACCGAGATTACATCACTGCATTCCAGCCTGGGCGACAGATTGAAACCGTGTCTTACAAAATAATAATAATAATAAAAAAAGGAGCAGGCCGGGCACAGTGGCTCACGCCTGTAATCCCAACACTTTGGCAAGCCGAGGCGGGCGGATCACCTGAGATCGGGAGTTGAAGACCAGCCTGACCAACATGGAGAACCCTAGTCTCTACTAAAAATACAAAATTAGCCAGATGTGGTGGCGCATGCCTGTAATCCCAGCTACTTGGGAGGCTGAGGCAGGAGAATCGCTTGAAACCAGGAGGCAGAGGCTGCAGTGAGCCGAGATTGCGCCACTGCACTCCAGCCTAGTCAAGAGAAGCGAAATTCCGTCTCAAAAAAACAAACAAACAAACAAAAAAAACTCCAAAAAACAAAACTCCTGTTTCTGGTGGGAATATAAATTGGTACAACTACCATTTCAGCAAATAGTTTAGCATCAGCTAATATAGGTCAAAACATACATACCCTAAGACCCAGCCACTTCCCTTCCAAGAATATATCCTAGGAAAACTCATGTACATGTTGATGTGGATTCTGAACAAGAATGCTCACAGGGGCATTGTTCCTATTGGCCCTAACTGTGGACAACCTCAATATCTACAGGAGAACCAGAAAAATAAACTACACTTAGCCATGTGATGAATATGCAGCAAAATACAGCAGAGAGAGCAATGGAAAGGAATGGGTAACTCCAAGGACAACATGGATGCATTTTACAAACATAATGCTGAGCAAAAGAAACAAGACACACGAAAATAGATACTTTATCATGCTGTTTCCATAACACTCAAAATGTTAGAGGCTGGTGCAGTGGCACATGCCTGTAATCCCAGCTATTTGGGAGGCTGAGATAAGATCCCTTGAGCCCAAAAGTTCAAATCCAGCCTGGGCAACAATGAGACCCCCCACCATCTCTAAAAAAGGAAAAAGCGTGGGTACGATGGCTCATGCCTAAAATCCCACCACTTTGGGAGGCCGAGGTGGGAAGATCATTTGATCCCAGGAATTTGAGACCTATCAGCCTAGGTTGACATAGCAAACTCCCATCTCTCCAAAACAAACAAAAAAAAGAAAGAAAAAAAATTAGCTGGGCATGATGGCATATGCCTGTGGTCCCAGCTTCTCAGGAGGCTGAGGTGGGAGGATTGCTTGAGCCTGGGAGGTCAAGGCTCCAGTGAGCTGAGATCATGACACTGCACTCCAGCTTCGGTGACATAGTGAGA
Organism: Homo sapiens; assembly: GCF_000001405.40. NCBI lineage: Eukaryota > Metazoa > Chordata > Mammalia > Primates > Hominidae > Homo > Homo sapiens. Next base: position 73,549,821 of record NC_000007.14, read on the forward strand.
TTTTGTCTCTGGAAAAAAAATCTCAAAAATAATAATAAAGGAAAAACTGTTTATGAATGACTAGACAAGTGGTAAGAAAAGCAAAAGTAGGAGAGTCATTACCTTTAGAGGGACAGGAGGAAGAGGATGGGAAGAGCTGCAGAGAGGTCTGCTGGGGTCTTGGCAAAGCTGTGTTTTGCAGAGTGGTTCTCACAAGAGTGTTAGCTTTATATTTATTCATACACTGTACATTTATGTTTTATATACTTCTCTGTATGTGTTTTATATTTGAAAATTTAAAAAACAATTAGAAAAAATAAAGTTGGAAACAATCTGGGTATTTATCACCCAGAAAATATGTAGATAAAGGTACTCACTGCAAATAAGAAAATGCAATGCATGAGTCAAAGGTAATAATTCTATTTATATTTACAGATACATGGAGGGTTCTCAAAACAAGGTTGGGCCAGGCACGGTGGTTCATGCCTGTCATCCCAGCACTTTGGGAGGCCAAGGCAGGCGGATTACTTGAGGTCAGGAGTTTGGGACCAACCTGGCCAACATGGTGAAACCCGTCTCTACTTAAAATAGAAAAATTAGCCAGGCGTGGTGGCAGGCGCCTGTAATCCCAGCTGCTCAGGAGGCTGAGGCAGGAGAATTGCTTGAACCTGGGAGGCAGAGGTTGTAGTGAGCTGAAATTGCACCATTGCACTCCAGCCTGGCGACAGAGCGAGAGTCCGTCTCAAAAAAACAAAAAAGCAAAAAACCCCAAATTAAAAAACCAAAGTTGAACCACAGAGAATACAAAGAGGTTCTGGCAAAATACTGTACATATTTTTTTTTTGTTTTTTTTTTGTTTGTTTGTTTGGTTTTTTTGAGATGGAGTCTCACTCTGTCGCCCAGGCTGGAGTGCAGTGGTGCGATCTCGGCTCACTGCAAGCTCCGCCTCCTGGGTTCACACCATTCTCCTGCCTCAGCCTCCCGAGTAGCTGGGACTACAGGCGCCCACCACCATGCCCGGCTAATTTTTTGTACTTTTAGTAGAGACGGGGTTTCACCATGTTAGCCAGGATGGTCTCGATCTCCTGACCTCGTGATCCGCCCGTCTCGGCCTCCCAAAGTGCTGGGATTACAGGCGTGAGCCACCACGCCCGGCCCACATATTTAAGTTTTGTTTAAACACAAAAATACACATATGAAACAATGCTATGTATTTTTAAAGAATATACAGGTATCCAAATACATCCAACAAAGATGAAGCACAAAGGTCTACACCAGAATTAGAAAGATGTATATACATATGATACACACAATACAGTGGGGGACTAATCGCATAAGAGCAAGTATCAGCAAACTTTTTCTTAAAGGGTCAGATGATAAATATTTTAGGTTTTACGGGCCATTTGGCCTTATGGCAACCACTCAATCTGCCACTGTAATTCAAAAGCACCACAGACAATAAGGAAATCAGTGGGCATACTTATGTGTTTGGTTTTTTTTGTTTGTTTGCTTATTTTCGAGATGGTGTGTCACACTGTTGCCCAGGCTGGAGTGCAGTGGCGGGATCTTGGCTCACTGCAACCTCTGCCTTACAGGTTCAAGCGATTCTCCTTGCCTCAGCCTCCTGAGTAGCTGGGATTACAGGTGCCTGCCAGCAGGCCTAGCTACTTTTTTTGTATTTTTAGTAGAGACAGGGGTTGCACTATGTTGGCCAGGCTGGTCTCGAACTCCCGACCTCAAGTGATCCGCCCACCTTGGCCTCCCAAAGTGCTGGGATTACAGGCGTGAGCCACCACGCCCAGCCAGTTATGTTCTAATAGAACTATACTGACAAACCTAAGGAATACGCCAGGGCTGTAGTTTGTCAAGCCCTGGAAAAGAGGCTTGGGTTAAGGGAAAGGAATAAAGTAGGAAAATAATAAAGAGAGGCCTTGCATGGACCAATAACAGGGTACCTTGAAGTATTTTCCACTCAATTCTGGGCAAATAAATTCCTTTAATTAAAAGGCAATTAGGCCGGGTGCAGTGGCTCACGCCTGTAATCCCAGCACTTTGGGAGGCTGAGGCAGGTGGGTCACGAGGTCAGGAGTTCAAGACCAGCCTGACCAACATGGTGAAACCCCGTCTCTACTAAAAATACAAAAATCAGCTGGGTGTGGTGGCAGATGCCTGTAACCCCAGCTACTTGGGAGGCTGAGGCAGAGAACTGCTTGAACCCAGGAGGTGGAGGTTGCAGTGAGCCAAGATCATGCCACTGCACTCCAGCCTGGGTGACACAGCGAGACTCCGTCCCAAAAAAAAAAAAAAAGAGGCAATCAAATAAAGAAATAAAGAAAATGGTATCTTTTGATTTTCTTCCACACTTACCTCCTTGCTGTCTGTCACAGGAACCCACTTAAATATCCTCAGGGACGTGTCACCCACAGTCACCCACTTCTTCTCCCTAAAAGAAAGACACTTCTTAGAACGGATAAAACAATGCAATGTGTTTTCTGTTCATCACTTGTGTTTTTCTACTACTCAGCAGATCATTCCTTCAATCTGGAATCCTTCTGAACTTCCTCTTGGTGGGGTATGGTAGCTCACACCTGAAATCCCAGCACTTTGAGAGGCTGAGGCAGGAGGATCACTCAAGCCTAGGAGGTTGAGAACAGCCTGGGCAATTTAGCGAGACCTCATCTCTAAAAAAAAAATACAGGCCAGGCGCAGCGGCTCACGCCTGTAAACCCAACACTTTGGGAGACTGAGGTGGGCAGATCGCTTGAGGTCAGGAGTTCGAGACCATCCCGGCCAACATGGTGAAACTCTGTCGCTACAAAAAAAAAACAAAAAGTAGCTGGGCGTGGTGGCGTGTGCCTGTAATCCCAGCTACTCCGGAGGCTAAGGTGGGAGGATCCCTTGAGCCCAGGTGGCAGAGGTTGCAGTAAACTGAGATCACGCCACCACACTCCAGCCTGGGCAACAGAGACCCTGTCTCAAAAGAAAGAAAGAAAAAAAAAAGGATGTGGGACATAAGGCTGGAAGGTAGCACACACAGCACCATATTCTTTTTTACTTGCATGCGAGTTACTTTGAGTGCTTTTCTCTTTACCAAATATATGAGTTCTATTACTACATTCCTTTTCTTTGTTTGTTTTAGTGAGACAGGGTCTCGTTCTGCCTCCCAGGCTGGAGTGAAGTGGCACAATCATAACTCACTGCAGCCTTGACCTCCTGGGCTCAAGCAATCCTTCCACCTCAGCCTCCTGAGTAGCTGGGACTAGAGGCGCACACCACCACGCCCAGCCAAATTTTTATTTTTTGTAGAGATGGTTGGGGTGGTGGGGTGGGGGTGGGGGGTCTCTCTTTGTTGCCCGCGCTGGTCTTGAACTCTTGGTCTCAAGCAGTCTGCCCACCTTGGCCTCCCAAAATGCTGGGATTACAGGCATGAGCCACCACACCTGGCCTCCTGTGTCCATTTAAAGACCCTTCCAAGGGGCAAACAATCTCAGGAGAGACACCTGCTGCTGGGGGGTATGGCCTGGTGGGTGTGAAATGTTAGGAACCTTTCCCTTTCTGGGTTACTAAGACTGCATAAAGAAAAAGAAAACTAGGCCAGGCGCGCTGGCTCACACCTGTAATCCCAGCACTTTGGGAGGCCAAAGTGGGCGGATCACGAGGTCAAGAGATCGAGACCATCCTAGCTAATACGGTGAAACCCTGTCTCTACTAAAAATACAAAAAATTAGCTGGGTGTGGTGGCACGCACCTGTAGTCCCAGCTACTCAGGAGGCTGAGGCAGGAGAATTGCTTGAACCTGAGAGGCAGAGGTTGCAGTGAGCCGAGATTGCGCCAATGCACTCCAGCCTGGGTGACAGAGCGAGATTCCGTCTCAAAAAAAAAAAGAAAGAAAACTAGTCTAAAGAAATTTTTAAATTTCAACTTTGAAGTTCAAAGCTTTGTAGAAATCCTGTCTCTTGCTGTGTTCCAAAGGGGTAAAAATGGCAGAGTTTATCAGTCCACTACGCTCACGAAATAAGCAAAGGGATAAGCCTTGCACAAGGTCACTCTCTAAATGACTAAGGACCCCCAACTATCTACACCAGATTAGAATGCCACTGTTCTGAGCTTACCCACAGAGTGCCTTCGAGGTCTGCAAACAAATGTGTGGAGGAGATAGAACAAAGGAGACTTTTTTTTTTTTTTTTTTTGAGATAGGGTCTCCGTCACCCAGGCTGGAGTGCAGTGGCGTGATCACCACTCCTTGCGGCCTCAAAATCCCAGGCTCAGGTGAATCTCCCATCTCAGCCTCCCAAGTAGCTGGGACTACAGGCCACCACGCCCAGTTAATTTTTTGTATTTTTAGTAAGGATAGGGTTTCACCATGTTGCCCAGGTTGATCTTGAACTCCTGGGCTCAAGCGATCCTCTTGCCTCAGCCTCTCGAAGTGCTGGGATTACAGGTGTGAGCCACCGTGCCCAGCCTCTCCTTCATTCCAAGAAGGTTATTCCCTAAGCGTGCAGGCAGAGAACAAATTTGCTTATTTTAAGGTCCACCAATACCTTAAGAGGTACTTGCTGTCAGTAGGAACAAGGGTCAAATGCAGGGAACTGCTTTGTCACAGATCTGAGCCAACTTCTCAAAGAGTCAAGTCCAAATATGAAGTCACGAAAAAGCAAAAAAAAAGCAACTGCTGTTGTAGTTGTTGATGCTGTTCAGCAAATGATGACATAATAGGGCCGGGCACGGTGGCTCACACCTGCAACCCCAGCACTTTAGAAGGCTGAGGTGGGTGGATCACTTGAGCCCAGGAGTTCGAGACCAGCCTGGGCAATATGGTGAAATCCTGTCCTCACTAAAAATACAAAAATTAGCCGGGCATGGTGGCGCACACCTGTAGTCCCGACTACTCAGGAGGCTGAGGCGGAAGAACTGCTTGAACCCCAGAGGCGGACACTGCAGTGAGCCAAGACCACGCCACTGCACTCCAGCCTGGGTGACAGGCAAGACTGGGTCTCAAAAAAAAAAAAAAAAAACAGATGACATACTGGGAGTGTAAAGAGACTGTGATGTAACAGAAGGAGCGAATTAAAGTCTTAGAAAATAACTAAAATTAATTCCTGAACAGACCACTCCATTTTCTCATTTATTCAACCAATTAGTATACAACAGGCTGTGCTAGGCCCTGGTGATGCAGGGAACAAGATCCACAGTCCCTGCCCTCACAGACCCTGTCTTATATCTGGAAACAGACATGAATAGCTCAATTCAAGATTAGTCACTTAATCATCAGGTTCAACCATATCAAATTGCCATTTTTGTAGGTTAATTAGTCAAATACAGGAGGCCAGGCACAGTGGCTCACATCTGTAATTCCAGCACTTTGGGAGGTCATGGTGGGAGGACCACTTGGAATTCAGGAGTTCAAGACCAGCTTGGCCAACATGGTGAAACCCGGTCTCCACAAAAATACAAAAAATTAGCTGGGTGTGGTGGTGTACACTTATAATCAGCTACTCGGGAGGCTGAGGCAGAATTGCTTGAACCCGGGAAGCAGAGGTTGCCGTGAGCCAAGATCGCACCATTGCACTCCAACGTGGGTGACAGAGCAAGACTCTGTCTCAAAAAAAAAGAAATCAAATATAGGAAATGTCTTATGAGTCCATCTAATACAACTGTGGAAAGGTCTATGAAGGAGACTTGATCTAGATTGGGAATCTCAAGTGGTAAACCTAAGGAAGCAACTTTTGAGCTGAGCTAGGAGTTAACTCGGCAAGAGGGAGGAGAGGAGAGAGGAAGAAGAATGCCAGGCGGCAGGAAGAGCAGAGTGACTTCATTGGTAAGACAGCGGGCATCCTGGGAAAGAGCCAGCCAAGTGAGGCAGGAAGGAGGGCCTTCTTCAGTATTTATCCTAAAAGCAAGAAGGGAACCACTGAAGCATTACTAGGGGTGCTAGGATAAGATGCACATTTTATATATTTTTTTACAGATGGGGTCTCACTGTGTTGCCCAGGCTGGAGTGCCATGGCATGATCATAGTTCACTGCAGCCTCAACTCCTGGGCTCCAGCGATCCTCCCACCACAGCCTTCCAAATAAGGCTGTGCACTTTAAAAAGGTCACTCCGCTACTCGGAAGAGAGAAAAATAAAATCACTCAGTGCAAATGAACAGACTGGGGAATGAGCAAGAGCAGAAGCAGAGAGTTTACAGGGAGGCTGGTACAGAGTTCCAGGTGACAGGGGATGGCCCTTCAGCCTAGCCTGCTAGGGGCGGGGGGGTCAAAAATGGGGAGAAGAGAAAGGTGTACCTGTTCTTAGGTTTCACCAAAACCTCGGAGGATTAAAGGTGGACGAGGAAAACCATGAGTATGTTAAACTAATATTTATACTGAAACCCAACTATATATGAAGCCCTCAGACATAAAAAAGAGAAGGAACTTCCCTCTTGTGGGGAAATGGACAGATAAACACACAAATAAAGTCCAACGTACCAACGACCTTAAAGGAGGTAAAGGGATGGGAGGAGTTAAGGAAAGCTTCCTGGCGGGAGGTAACATCTACTTGAACTTTTATTTTCTGTAGAGACGGGGTCTCACTATGTTGCCCAGGCTGGTCTCAAACTCCTGGCCTCAAGCGATCCGCCCACCTCAGCCTCCCAAAGTGCTGGGATTACATGCCTGAGCCACCTCACCTAGCCAGACCTGGGTTTTTAAATTATTAGTAGTAATTGGCTATACAAAAGAGCTGACGAAGTTGGCTGTGAAAGTTTAATGTGATGACTCCGATACACACCGATATAGTATGTATCGGAGTTCCGGATACTAAACAGGGGCTCAATCGGCATCTTCCATGAACATTTTAGACACGGGGTCTCTCTCCGTAGCCCAGGCTGGAGTGCCGTGGCACGATCATAGCTCACTGCAGCCTCCAACTCCTGGGTCCCAGCAATCCTCCCACCACAGCCTCCCAAGTAAGGATGTGCACTTTAAAAAGACCACTCTGCTACTTGGAAGTGAGAAAAATAAAATCACACAGTGCAAATGATGAACGGACTGGGGAATGAACAAGAGCAGAAGCAGGGAAATTAGAGGGAGGCTGGTACATAGTTTGCAAAGGACTCTCCTGACAGCCGCCGGGGCAGCAAGAGAAAATGCCTACCAAGCTCGCGGCGCAGGGGCCGGTTACTGGGGGAAAGGGAGGGGTATCCCTCTGGATGACACCAGGCTTGCTCCCTTGACAGATGGACTAACCCAGAAACTCACCCAACTTCAACGCCTGAATACGCAGAGCGCTCAGCCTGGCGGGCTGACACCACTCCAGGGCTACTCGCTATTATCAAGAGGAAGCCTGGAAACGCAGGCGGGGCCACTGCCCAGGAAGAGGGGAGGGCGGGCCCCGGGCTGGGCCGGGCGCGGGCACCGACGCCAGGCAGCTCCAGTCCGGGCCGGAAGCCGGAATCCCCTCCCAGGCGGCGCGCGGCAGCAGCCGCAGCAGGTGGGCGGGCCCGCGAGCCGGGAGGACCGCTGATTGGCCGCGGCCGGCGCGCCCTCTGACCTCACGCCGACGCCAGCGGCGCCCTCCTCCCGCCTTCTCCCGCACCCCCCTCCCCCAGCGCCGGCCGGTCGGCTCCCACCTGACCCGCCAGTCCCACGCTCCTCAGGGCCTGGATCCGCGACCCCCGCCAGCCCCCTAAGCTCCGGCCCCTCACCATTTCCGCACTTTCTCGATGGCCGCCATCACCTTCTTGATGTCGTCCTTGGCCCGGCTGCGGGTCTCCGCCCGGACCGACCGGCCCGACATGGCGGCGGCGGGAGCGGCGGGGGCCGGGGCACTGCTCCCAAGACACCGGGGATCGCGCGCCTCACGCGCCGCCGCCCGCCCGCCGCCGCCGCAGCGTCACAGCGGCCGTCGCCCCCTCCGTGCGCGCGTGCGCGAGAAAGCGCGCGCACCCGCCCGCCCCTTGGGGCTCACGGCCTCAGCGCGCCTGCGCGCCCCGCCCGGGGCGTCCCTCCTGAGTGCCCCGGGAGTCCCCTGAGCCCCCTACCCGGGCCGGGGTGCGAGGCGGGTTGGGCGCACGTGCTTGTGGTCAGGGCGAGGTGCGAGGTGCCGCCGGTGGGCAACCTGGTTCTCTTCCCTGAGAGTTTGGAGGTCGGCTCCCTGCTCTGGCCAGCGTGTTAGGAACCTGACCCTGTGGAACCGCACTCCTGCGCCATCTCTGTCCTCCCGCCTCTCCTGCCCAGCACCTTTGCCCTCTGGCTCCTACGCTGTGCTCCAACCACGCCTTTCTTAAGGATGGCTTCCGGTCTTTGCACACACCTGTTCCTCACCTGGAATCCCCTCCTCTCTTTACCAGATGAACTGCTTTCCCAGCATTCAGACCACATTCTTGCCTTTTCTCGAGTATCTAGTAGTCCCAAGTATTTGGGAGGCTGAAGCGGGAGGATCACTTGACCCCAGGAATTTGAGGCTGCCGTCAGCTATGATATGATCGCACCTGTGAATAGCCACTGCACTCCAGCCTGGGCAACATATGGAGACCCCATGTCTAAACGAGACCCCGTCTCTAAAGTAAATAAATAAAAAGATGTCTATTTTGTGCAAGACTCTGTACCTAAAGCTGAAGACATACGTGGTTTTGGTTTCAAAGAGCTTCCAGTTTGTTTATTTATTGAGACGGAGTCTCGCTCTGTGACTCAGGCTGGAGTGCAGTGGTGTGATCTCCGCTCACTGCAACCTCCGCCTCCCGGGTTCAAGCGGTTCTTCTGCCTCAGCCTCCTGAGTAGCTGGGATTACAGGCGGGTGCCACCACGCCCAGCTAATTTTTGTAATTTTAGTAGAGACGGGGTTTTATCATGTTGGTCAGGCTGGTCTGGAACTCCTGACCTCGTGATCTGCCCGCCTTGGCCTCTCAAAGTGCTGGGATTACAGGCGTGAGCCACCACGCCTGGCCTTTTTTTTTTTGAGACGGAGTCTCGCTCTTTTGCCCAGGCTGGAGTACAGTGGTGTGATCTCGGCTCACTACAATCTCCGCCTCCCGGGTTCAAGCAATTTTCTGTCTCAGCCTTCCGAGTAGCTGGGATTATAGTCGTCCGCCATCACACCCAGCTAATTTTTTTATTTTTAGTGGAGATGGGGTTTCACCATGTTGGTCAGGCTGGTCTTGAACTCCTGACCTCGTGATCCACCTGCCTCGGCCTCCCAAAGTACTGGGATTACAGGCGTGAGCCACCGCACCCGGCCCAGTTTATTTATTCATGTGGAGAGGGGATCTCACTATGTTGTCCAGGCTGGTCTTGAACTCCTGGTCTCAAGGGATCCTCACAAAGTGCTGGGATTACAGGCATGAGCCACTGTGACTGGCTGAGCTTCCAGTTTAGTAGAACATTCAGACGAAAAAAAAATATTTATTTTTTACTTTTACTTATTTTTTGGTACAGGGCCTTGCTCAAGTGATCCTTCTGCCTCAGCCTCCTGTGTAGCTGAGACCACAGGCGAGGGCCACCATGCCTCGCTGACATTTTTTTTTTTTTTTTTTTGGTAGAGACAGGGTCTTCCTATGTTGCCCAGGTTGGTCTTGAACACCTGGACTCAATTGATCCTCCTTCCTCGGCCTCCCACAGTGCTGGGATTGCAGACGTGAGTCACTGGGTCCAGCTTCCCAAAGCATATTTAAAATGCTATTTGATAAATGCTAGCCTAGGCGGAGCATGGTGGCTCACGCCTGTAATCCCAGCACTTTGGGAGGCCAAGGTGGGTGGATCATTTGAGGTCAGGAGTTTGAGATCAGCCTGTCCAACGTGGCAAAACCCCATCTCTACTAAACATACAGAATTAGCTGCTTGGAAAGCTGAGGCAGGAGAATCGCTTGAACCCAGGAGGTGGAGGTTGCAGTGAGCCAAGATCGCACCATTGCACTCCAGCCCGGGCAACAAGAACAAAACTCCATCTTGGAAAAAATAAATTAATTAAACAAATAAGTAAAATGCTATTTGATAAATGCCAGCTTAAGTAGGGGAGGGGAGGTGTAAGATGCTATGGCTTTTATTCCTAGTCTGCAGCAAAGAAAAAAGAGGTGTTATGACAACCTTAATCTTGAAGCTGACCTCTAAAAATAGGGTAGGTGCTGTTACTCCCAGGGCAGTGTTCACAGATGCTACAGATGCTCAATAAATGTTTGCATGAATGTTGAATCCAGTGCAAGCTCTTGTCCTCTTTGCCCCCACCCAATTGCAGGCAGGTGTCACCCACGCTTGCAGTATGCGGAGAGGGTCCTGTAGCAGCTGTTTCAGGACACAGCTTGGGACAGAAAGCAGATTGGTAGTGGCTGTTCTCACCTATAAAGAAACTAATTTCCATGTGCTCCAGAGAAATGCCTAGCTAGCCCTGAACTTGAGACAGCCTCTGATTATGAGTCAGCCTTTCATGATCAAGCAACATAGGGCAAGCATATGTCATCTTACTGGCGAGGGGGCCAGAAATAGCTTCTGCCTGACTGAGGAGTGCAAAAGCTGAACCAGCATGTGGAGTGAAAAGATGATTCTAGAAATAACGGGATCAAAGGTGGCACATTTGTTGTTCAGACCCAGCCGATCCAAAATAACCGCAGATTGCCTAAGCACCTGCTGTACGCCCTAGCACAGTGGACACTGCAGGTGATGTGAAGTTGAGTAAGACACACTCCTTGTCCTTGGGGTGAAGGTGAGGAAAGCAGTAGAAAGGCAGAACATACGTGCCAAGAGAGAGGCCAGCCCTTGAGACTTCTCCAGTTCTGCCCATAGATCCCCCTGGTTGAGGCACACAGCCCCTGTGTCTGTCTCACCCTTGTCCAAATCCTCCCACGTGAGGTTTCTTGTCTGTAGCTTCCTTCTCGTCCACAGCCCAGCGCTCCTCCCAGCTGCACAGGTTCCCTGCACACATGTCTCCCCCAGCTCACCCAGCCAGTCGTCTTCCTGGGGCAAAGTCCCAGAGACCCCCCCAACCTTGTTTTCTCCCTACATTTGTCCACCTAGTCCTACATTCCCCACCTCATCTTCCACTGGGGCTCGGTCTGTGTAAGAGAGTGATCAAAGTGGGCACCTACCACCTATTCCTCATAGCCTACCCAAATGCTCTGTGTTGATACCCTTTTTTTTTCTTTTTCTTTCTTTTTTAGACAGAGTTTCGCTCTTGTCACCCAGGCTGGAGTGCAGTGGCGCAGTCTCGGCTCACCGCAACCTCCGCCTCCCTGGTTCAAGCCATTCTCCTGCCTCAGCCACCTGAGTAGCCGGGATTACAGGCATGCGCCACCACGCCTGGCTAATTTTGTATTTTTAGTAGAGACGGGGTTTCTCCATGTTGGTCAGGCTGGTCTCGAACTCCCGACCTCAGGTGATCCGCCTGCCTCGACTTCCCAAAATGCTGGGATTATAAGCATGAGCCACTGCGCCCAGCCTCTTTTCTTTTTTTCCCTTAAGACGGAGTTTTGCTTTTGTTTCCCAGGCTGGAGTGCAGTAGTGCGATCTTGGCTCACTGCAACCTCCGCCTCCTGGGTTCCAGTGATTCTCCTGCTTCAGCCTCCTGAGTAGCTGGGACTAGAGGTGCCCACCACCACACTCGGCTAATTTTTTGTGTTTTTAGTAGAAACGGAGTTTCACCATGTTGGCCAGGCTTGCCTCGAGCTCCTGACCTCAGGTGATATACCCACCTCGGCCTCCCAAAGTGCTGGGATTACAGGCGTGAGCCACCACACCCAGCCTGACACCATTTTCTTAAAATAATAATAATAATAATAATAATAATAATAATCAGGTCCGGCACGGTGGCTCACACCTGTAATCCCAGCACTTTGGGAGGCCGAGGCTGTTGGATCAGAAGGTCAGGAGTTCGAGACCAGCCTGGCCAATATGGTGAAACCCCGTCTCTACTAAAGACACAAAAAATTAGCTGGGTGTGGTGGCGCGCGCCTGTAATCCCAGCTACTAGGGAGGCTGAGGCAGGAGAATCACTTTAACCCAGGAGGCAGAGGTTGCAGTGAGCCGAGATTGTGCCACTGCACTCCAGCTTGGGTGACAGAGCGAGATTCTATCTCAAAAAGAAAAAAAAAATCACATCTTGTCATTTTCTAGGTGAAAGGCTTGTGCTAGATGAGATGCCGAGGTGGATACAGAGGAGCCACCCCAGATCTCTGCATTGGGCGACCTGCATTCAAGGGCTCAGCTTCCTTTCTCACTTTGAGTACAAGCTACAGCGGCTGACAAGGCCCCATCCATCCCCAGGCATCATCCTGTTAATTCTCTGACCTCACCTCCTACAACTCTACCCGTGCTGTCTCTGCTCCAAATCCACTGGCCTCCTTGCTCGTCTGAAAGCACAGTCCAGCTCCTGCTTCAAGTCTCTGCACTTCCGCTTCCTCTACTGCAGCACCCATCAACCATATATTTACATGGCTCCCTCCCTTACCTCCTTAAGGTCTTTATTCAAATGTTATCTTCTTGGCCAGGCACAGTGGCTCACGCCTGTAATCCCAGCACTTTGGAAGGCCAAGGTGGACGGATCACGAGGTCAGGACCTCATGAGGTCGAGACCATCCTGGCCAACATGGTGAAACCCCATTTCTACTAAAAATACACAAATTAGCCAGGCATGGTGATGCATGCCTGTGGCCCCAGCTACTTGGGAGGCTGAGGCAGGAGAATCGCTCGAATCCGGGAGGCGGAGGTTGCAGTGAGCTGAGATTGCGCCACTGCACTCCAGCCTGGTTTGGCAAGAGTGAGACTGTGTCTCAAAAAACAAAAAAGCAAATGTTATCTTCTCAATGCAGCCCTCTCCGCCCACCCTATCTAAGACTGCGGTATCCATCCCCACACACACGCTATATCCTCCTTCCCCTATTTATTTCTCTCCAAAACAGTCATCACCACTGTGATAGTTAATACTGAGTGTCAACTTGATTGGGCTGAAGGATGCAAAGTATTGATCCTGGGTATGTCTGTGAGGGTATTGCCAAAGGAGATTAATGTTTGAGTCAGTGGGCTGGGAAAGGTAGACCCACCCTTAATCTGGGTGGGCACCATCTAATTAGCTGCCAGTGCAGCTAGAATATGAAGCAGGCAGAAAAAATGTGAATAGACTGTCCTAGCCTCCCAGCCTACATCTTACTCCCGTTCCAGATGCATCTTGCCCTTGAACACTGGACACCAAGTTCTTCAGTTTGGGGACTTGGACTGGCTCTCCTTGCTTCTTAGTTTGCAGATGGCTTATTTTGGGACCTTGTGATTGTGTGAATTAATACTTAATAAACTCCCCTTTACATATATATATATATATATATATATATATATATATATATCTCCTATTAGTTGTGTCCCTTTAGAGAACCCTGACTAATAAAACCACTTAATATCCTATTTTATTTTTCTAGCCAGGCGTGGTGACCCACACCTGTAATCCCAGCACTTTGGGAGACTGGTCGGGGGGGTGGATCATTTGAGGTTAGGAGTTCAAGACCAGCCTGGCCAACATGATGAAACCCCATCTCTACTAAAAATTCTAAAATTAGTTAGGTGTGGTGGCATGTGCCTGTAATCCCAGCTACTAGGGAGACTGAGGCAGGAGAATCACTTGAACCTGGGAGGTGGAGGCTGCAGTGAGCAGAGATCGCACCACTGCACTCCAGCCTGGGAGACAGAGTGAGACTCTGTTTCAAAAAAAAAAAAAAAAAAACAACAACACAAAAAAGCCAGCTGATTAGCAACCTTAATTCCATCTGCTACTGTAATTCCCTGTTGGCATATCACCCAACAAATTCCTGAGTTCCAAGGATTAGGATGTGGATATCTTCAGGGAATCATTATTCTGTTACCACATCATAGAAATCTGTCCACACTAGTGGAAAAACAAAGCATATCATATATGTATACATATATGAATATATATACACACATATGTACATATATACAAATTATATGTTTAAGAGACGGAGTCTTGCTCTCTTGCCCAGGCTGCAGTTCAGTGGCACAATCATAAGTCACTGCAGCCTTGAACTCCTGGGCTTAAGTGACCCTCCTGCCTCAGCCTCCTGAGTAACTGGGATTATAGGTGCGCGCTAACATGCTTGGCTAATTTTTAAATTTTTTTTAGAGATGGGGGGGGGGTCTCACTATGTTACCCAGCCTGGTCTTGAACTCTTGGCCTCAAGCAGTCCTCTCGCCTTAGTCTCCCAAAGTGCTGAGATTGTAGGAATCAGCCATAAATGGGATTACAGGCATGAACAACCATGCCCAGCCACCTAGTGCTTTTGATTACCCAGTAAACCACACAGAATCCTCTGTTTCCAGCTGGCAGAAAAGAGAGTATGGAGAGCCTCAGGAGGGTTTTTGTTTGTTTATTTTATTTTATTTTTTTGAAATGGAATCTCTCTCTGCCACCCAGGCTGGAGTCCAGTGGCACAATCTTGGCTCACTGCAATCTCTGCCTCCCGGGTTCTGGGTTGAAGGGATTCTCTTGCCTCAGCCTCTCAAGTAGCTGGGACTACAGGCGTGCACCTCCACGCCCACCTAATTTTCATATTTTTGTAGAGATGGGGTTTTGCCATGTTGGCCAGGCTGGTCTCAAACTCCTGACCTCAGGTGATCTGCCCGCCTCAGCCTCCCAAAGTGCTGGGATTACAGGGGTGAGCCACCGTGGTTTTTAGAGGCAGCCCTCAGGAGGGTTTTTAGAGGCAGCCAGAGACTCAACAGATCACTTCTGCACACATTCCATTGGCCTGAAGTCATCAAAGGGTCTCACCTAACTGCAGGGAAGCCTGGGACATGTAGTCCAGCTTTGTACCTAGGAAACTGAGAAGCGGAGTTGGGGAACATAGCAATCTTTGCCACTGTGGGCAAGTCCCTGGCAGTCATGACACGCTCAGTGAATTAACGTGGGGTTGAGGAAATTTGGGGTGCAGCACATCAAGAAATTCACTTTTGCCCTGGGTTCTTTTTTGTTTGCTGTTAGTTTTGCTTCTTATTCTAGAGAGATGCCCTAGGTTCTAGATCACAAAAGGCTAAAATATGCAGGGCAGAGGCCATTATTATGGTGAAATAAAGACTCAAGGGCCAGAGACCAACACAGTTATTACCAACATAATTATCGCCTTCCGTATCATCATCATCAACTTTATCATTTTGGGGGTTGTTGTTTGGTTGATATTTTTCCTGCCTCTGGGCTCCAAAAGCAACTGAAACATACCTGGGCTGTCAAACCTACTAGCTGGCTGGGCACGGTGGCTCATGCCTATAATCCCAGCACTTTGGGAGGCCAAGTTGGGCCGATGACTGCAGCCTCAACCTCTGAGTCTCAAGCAATCCTCCCATCTCAGCCTCCTGAGTAGCTGTGCCACCATATGCCCGACTAATTTTTGTGTTTTTTGTAGAGATGGGGTCTCCCTGTTTCCCAAGCTGATCTCAAACTCCGGAGGGTTTTTGTTTATTTTCTTTCATTTTTTTGAGATGGAGTCTCCTGGACTCAAGTGACCCTCCTGCCTCAGCCTCCCAACGTGCTATGATTATAGCCGTGAGCCACTGTGCCCAGCTGGCACTCTTTTATTTGTATTTTTTCAAGAGGTGGAGTCTCACTCTGTTGCTCAGGCTGGAGTGCAGTGGCATGATCATGGCTCACTGCAGCCTCCAACTCCTGGACTCAAGTGATCCCCCTGCCTCAGTCTCTCAAGTAGCCCAGTAGCTGGGACTACAGAGGTGTGACACCATGCCCAGCTGATTTTAAATTTTTTTGTAGAGATGGGGTCTCACCACATTACTCAAGATGGTCTCAAACTCCTAGTCTCAAGTGATCCTCTCACCTTGGCCTCCCAAAGCACTGGGATTATAATCATGAGCCACCCTGCCTAGCCCAGTTTTGGAATTTTGATCATCTCCTCACTTTGGAACCATTAGTCCCTGGGAGAATCACACTGAAGTGTATGAACTCACAAGATGCAGTGACTTTTGAAAGTAATAGAATGATTTCTGCTGCCAATGCAACTGCGTGGTGGATGCACAAGTGGTGGTCAAAGTGAGCTCATTTGCTGTTGGGCAATCAGTATACAGGTTCGTCTTATTAGTCAACAAATTGAAATAGTGGCTACTGTGTGCTCACTTGCATGGGTGCAACAGAAAGAGATACAAGACGAATTTCTAACACTATAAACTCCCTGCCCTCAAAGAGCTTATTTTCTGGATGGCAAGGTCAGAGGCTGTATGGGGTCACACTAGGAACCAGCTCGAGCTCTGTACTCAGACCCAGAGTTGAATTCCTGCTTGCCACTTAACTTCCACAAACCTTGGTTTTTCCAATGGGGATAATAATTGCTACTTCACAAGAGCTGCTATGAAGTGAAAGTGAAAGAGTATGTATCACGGGAGGCTATCGTTAATGCTTTCAATATATCATGTTACTGATTTTTTCTAAGAGACAGGGTCTCACCGTGTTGTCCAGGCTGTGATCATAGCTCATTGCAGCTTTGAACTCCTGGGCTCAAGCAATCCTCCCACTGCAGCCTCCAGAGAGGCTGGGACTACAAATGTCCATCACCATGCCCCAATTTGTGCGTGTGTTTGTGTATAGACAGGGGTTTCAGTATGTTGCTCGGGCTGGTCTTGAACTCCTGGCTCCAAGTAATGCCCCTGCCTCGGCCTCCCAAAGTGTCAGGATTACTGGTGTGAGCTACCACTCCCAGTACCTGTTATTTAATTAATGAATTTTAAGTTCCAGGGTCCATGTGCAGGATGTGCAGGTTTGTTACATAGGTAAATGTGTGCCATGGTGATTTGCTGCACCTATCAACCCATCACCTAGGTATTAAGCCCAGCATGCATTAGCTATTCTTCCTGATGCTCTCCCTCCCCCAACAGGCCTCAGTGTGTGTTGCCTCCTCTCTGTGTCTATGTGTTCTCATTGTTCAGCTCCCACTTATAAGTGAGAACATGCAGTGTTTGGTTTTCTGTTCTTGGGTTAGTTTGCTAAGGATAATGACCTCCAGCTCCATTCATGTCCCTGCAAAGGACATGGTCTTGTTCTTTTTGTGACTGCATAGTATTCCATGGTGTATATGTACCACATTTTCTTTATCCAGTCTATCATTGATGGGCATTTGGGTTGATTCCATGTCTTTGCTATTCTGAATACTGCTGCAATGAACATTACATAAGAATTGCACATTCATTGTAGATAACACAGTAACAAAACTTTTTGTGCCTTTCCCAAGCTGTCAGTCTCTGAAATGTGACTTTACTGGAGTAGCTATAATTGTGAAAACATGTCCATATGCAAGACACTATCCAGGGCTTCAAGTTATCACAGATAAGCAAATTAAAGAGTTGGTTTTCCTCATGCGCCCGAGTGTTGGATGCAGGTGGTGGAAGACCCACTTGCAACCAAACCCCAGGAAAGTAGCCAGGAGGAGGGTGGACTGCACTGAGGAAGGAAGACTCCCTGGGAAGTGGCAGGCCACTGTTGAGATGGCACCACCATCTTAATCTGTGTATTGCATGGTTTAAACGACTGCAAGCCCCAGCCTGGGCAACACAGTAAGACCCCCATCTCTACACAAAACAGACAGGTGTGATGGCATGCGCCTGTGATCCTAGCTACTTGGGAGGCTGGGGTGAGAAGATCACTTGAGCCCAGGAAGTCGAGGCTGCAGTGAGCCATGATGGCACCACCACACTCCAGTCTGGATGAAGGAGTGAGACCCCAACTCTAAAACAAACAAAACACCAAAATAGGCTATACACCGCCATTTAAAATATTTCCCCAAATTTTTTTTTTGAAAAATTTCACACCCACAGATGTTGAAATTATAATATTAAGATACAATTACTGCCTTCACATGCAGGATTTTTGATTAAAAAAAAGAAAAACCTTGGTGGCCTCTGCTCTATGTTAATATCCAGACACCTTCTCTGTGGTTACAAGAGAAGCTTGAGTGAGGGCACTTTCTGTCCTCAGAAGTCTGTGGAATGACTTTTTGGTAGTGTTTTCTCGTCTCACTGAAACACAACATGGCAAGGTGGGTAGCACAGGATTCATTCTTATTTTGCAGCTGAGGAAACAAGCTCAGAGAGGTCAACGGACCTACTATCTGCTCTCCAGCTGGAACTGGAACTGAAGACATCTGACTTCAGTAACTCAACATTCTACTGCCACTTCCTGTCCTGGATACACAACGGGAGTAATGCCAGAGCTGCTTCTAAGAACAGGTGCGCAAAGGAAGTGTTTTAGTCTCATTCTTCTGACAATTGCCAAGGAAATACTCCTCAGGCCTTGTGTGCACAGCATTGCCAAAAGTCTGTGGTTAGGAACATACAAAACCACAATGGAGACTGGGAGTGGGAAGATGCGCGGAGAAGATACTGGGAGGTCTGTGGCTTGCCCCTGGCTTGAGTTTCACATTGAGTGCTTACACTGTCCCAGGTACTGTGCCTGGACCACAGAGCTGACAGTGGGATGGTCCAGGAGTCTGCCCGGTGGTGCTCTCATTCCAGTGGGTTCAACAGTGAGCCAGAAGCTGCCAATAAGAGAGTAGTGGACTGCATCGGGCCGACCTTAGTGTTTTGTTTGGTCCAGATAGTGTTTAGTTATTTAAGTTGCTCACTTCTAGCTTCTGTGAAGCAATTTCTGCTGGATTCCTGAATAAGTAGCAGCCACCCCCCATCCTGCAGGCAGGACACAAGCCCGCCCTCCAGCTCACTTCTGTCCCCACCTTCTACTGCCTTACACCCAGGTAACTGACCCTTCACACATTTACGGTGCCCATCTGACATTCATAGCATTTAGAGGGGGGACGAAGCCAGGTTACACAGGACCTTGCAGGCCATGGTAAGAATTTTGGATTAAGTGTTTTTAGCTAGGCACGATGGCTCACACCTGTAATCCCAGCACTTGGGGAGGCCAAGGGGGGTGGTGGATCATTTGAGGTCAGGAGTTCGAGAGCAGCCTGGCCAACATCGTGAAACCCTGTCTCTACTAAAAATACAAAAATTAGCCAGGCGTGGTGGCACATGCCTGTAATCCCAGCTACTCTGGAGGCTGAGGCAGGAGAATCGCTTGAACCTAGGAGGCGGCGGTTGCAGTGAGCCGAGATTGCGCCATTGTACTCCAGCCTGGGTGACAAGAGATTGTCAGAAAAAAAAAATTGTTTTTACTATTTTTGGTTTAGAAAAATTCTTTTGGATTTTATTCCAAGTGTGATGGGAAGCCTTGGGGGGTTTTAACTAGGGAATAATGTGATCTGGTTCACATTTTCAAAAGATCATTCTGCTATATAGAAAAGTAATGAGGCAACAGAGGAAGCAGGAAGATCCATTAGGAAGCCATATTATAGTGGCCCACTAGGTGACAGTAGCCAGGACCAGGATGGTAACAGAAAAGCTGGAGAGAAGCAACAGCCTCAGGATGTCACATGGAGTGTAACCAAAAGAACGTTCTGGTGAACAGATGACAGCTGTGGTGGTGGGACAGAAGGGATAATGAATGGGGAGTCATCAAGGATAACTCCACGGTTGTGGCTTGTTCCAACATTGAGAGGTCAGGGGCAACCAGGGGGGGTCATAGTTTTCGTGAGAGAGATCAAGAGTTTGACTTGGGATGAATAAATTTGCCTACACTCAAGCCTTCCCAGATACCTCATTTCCCTTACCTGCCACACCCACGCAGCCTTCAAATTCACAAATTTAAACTTCTCAATACCGACTCTCTTATCAAATGTACCCCTTCAACTTCAATACCCATTGCCTCTGTCCTGCTCTGGTCCTCTCTTGCCTTGACATATATAACAATAGCTATGAATAAACTAACACAAAGCACTTAATAAGGGTGTATCTCTCTCTCCCACCAGCCATCTTTGATGGCAGAAACCATGTCTTATTCGTATTTAATCCCCAGCTCATATTTATTTGGGCACAGAGTGGGCACTCAAATATCTGATGAACTTGATGAACTGAAAAGAGGTCTCCTTAAACAAGATATCATCTCCCGAAGAGAGAAGTCCCAACCATATAAAATGTATGATCAAGTCCCAGAAAACTTTGCCTTCCCAAGGAATGTGTTTCTAATTTGGTTTCAAAGCACACTGGTTCCCACTTTTACCACTTTCATGACATTGGACAATAGTACTACTCTTTTCTACTTTTCTTCCAGACCTGGGGACTTGATATTCTCTTAGCCTCATATCATCTTTGCAAGGAGTTCACAGAGAGGATTATTCTCCATCTTACAAATAGAACTGAGGCCCAGAAGGAAATCCCTTAGTGTCTTTTTGATGGAACACAGTTCTGTGATGGGAAGCTATCCCAGTCTCCCATCCTTGCAAAACTGCTGCTTAGTACTCAGGTGTTCTCTAGGTTGTTCTGGAACATTTACAAACTTCTTTGGGTGTGAGGATGTGCTGCCACAAGGCCAAAAATCACATTCTCTCTCTCTCTCCTCTCCTCTCTACCATTCTCCTCAGTGCCAGGTGGGGACAGATTCCACCCACTGGGCCTGGGAGGAAGAAAAGCACCTTGGCCACTAGTCAGGGAGGAGTCACAGCCAGCAAGAAGAGAGAGACCTAAGTAGACAAGAGTAGTTTCAATGGGAAGAAGCAGGGCCACCAGTAAGAAAACCAGGAGACTCCTTCTGAAAGGCTTCCACCTGGGAGGAAAGATGGCAGCAGTGCCATGAGGAGGCCAGATCCCTCCTCCTCAATCCTCTGCGCCGGGCCCTCCCAGAGTCACTTCTTCAGGGCACCCAGGCTCTTCAGGGTCTCTTGGGCCTGGGTCAGCTGCTGCTGCAGCCTCTGGCGGGTGCTCTCGTTGGAGGCCCGCTTCAGGTGGCCCTGCATCTCCTCCACCATGGCTCGGTGGCCAGGAGTGTTGTGAAACAGCCGCACCGCCCGGTCCCCACAGGAGGCCAGAAAGCGGCCAGTGATGTCAAAGGACAAGTTGGCGATACACTCGCCATGGACCCGCTCAAAGCACTCCTCCTTCTCGCCCCGCCGGGTATTGTAGAGATGAATACTACTGCCACTGGCCAAGGCCAAGACCTGGGCGTTGGGGGAGAGGGCCAGGCGGCACGGCGCGGCACCCGCCGCCTCTTCAAAGCGGCCTGTCTTCAGCAAGTAGGGGTCCTGCTTCTTCTTGTATTCCACATCTGTGTCCCACAGTTTCCATGTACCATCCTTGGAGACAGAAGCCATCCTGCAACACAGAAAATCACAGCTCAAGCCCCAACACACCCTGGCAGGGTAAGCACTGGCCCAACTTGAGCAGCTCCAGCTAGGAAGCTAAGTCAGCTTCCTGCCGAGGGCCAGGCACCCCACCCTCTTCAGAGCCATGGCACAAACAGACAGAAGGACCCTGGTTGTCAAGAGGGGCCAAGAGCCACTGGTCAGACATCAGAGCGGATTCACTCACCTCCGTGAGTCGTTGGAGAAAGCAAACGAGTGCACAGCCGCGGAGTGGCCCTTTAGTTCGAAGGCTCGCACCACCTCCTGGAACTCCCCCTTCTTTCCAAAGCAGACTTCCCAAACCTTCACATCTGGGGTGAAGCCACACGAGGCTACAAATCTGCCATACAACCCAGAAGCCTTTAAAACTTCATTTTCGGAGCATGTTGTTCCTGTAAAACCCCTCAATCTCTTTCCTGAGAAAGTTGATAATCCTCATATCTGGATAATATAAACCTTTAAAGAGTTATTTTGGCCGGGCGCGGTGGCTCACGCCTGTCATCCCAGCACTTTGGGAGGCCGAGGTGGGTGGATCACCTGAGGTCAGGAGTTCGAGACCAGCCTGGCCAACATGGTGAAACCTCATCTCTACTAAAAATACAAAATTAGCCAGGCGTGGTGGCGCATGCCTGTAGTCCCACCTACTGGGAAGGCTGAGGTGGGAGAATCACTTGAACCTGGTAGGTGGAGGTTGCAGTGAGCTGAGATTGAGATTGCACCACTGCACTCCAGCCTGGGCAACAGAGTGAGACTGTCTCAGAAAAAAAAAAAAAAAAAGGCCGGGTGTGGTGGCTCATACCTGTAATCCCAGCACTTTGGGAGGCCCAGGCGGGCAGCTCACCTAAGGTCCGACAGTTTGAGACCAGCCTGACCAACATGGAGAAACCTCACCTCTACTAAAAATAAAAAATTAGCTGGGCATGGTGGTGCATGCCTGTAATCCCAGCTACTTGGGGGAGGCTGAGGCAGGAGAATCGCTTGAACCCGGGAGACGGAGGTTGTGGTGAGCCAAGATCCTGCCATTGCACTCCAACCTAAGCAACAAGAGCGAAACTCCATCTCAAAAAACAAACAAACAACCACAACAAAAAAGTTCTTTTATGTATGTGACCTCAGTTTATCTTCTAGCCTTGTTCTAAGATATGTAACATCCCCGCCCAAAGGTGGCTTGGCACAGTGGCTCACGCCTGTAATTCTACCACTTTGGGAGGTCGAGGCAAGAGGATCACTTGAGGCCAGGAGTTCAGGACCAGCCTGGGCAACATAGTAAGACCCCATCTCAACAAAAAATACAAAAATTAGCCAGGTGTGGTAGTGCACGCCTGTAGTCCCAGCTACTCGGGAGGCTAAGGTGGGAGGATGGTCTGAGCCTGGGAAGTCAAGGCTACAGTGAGCTGTGATTGCGCCACTGCACTCCTGCCTGGGCGAGGGTGAAACCGTCTCAACAAACAAACAAACAAAAAACAAAAATTAGCTGAGTACAGTGGCACATGCCTATAGTCCTGACTACTCAGGAGGCTGAGCTGGGAGAATAGCTACAACCCAGGAGTTTGAGGCTGCAGTGAGCTATGATCGCACCACTGTGCTCCAGCCTGGGTGACAGAGTGAGACTAATTTTCTAAAAAACAAAAACACTGAAGATGAAGAAATAGCGACTAAGGACATGGGGCGACCTGCATGAAATCCCACTACTGCAAGTGGGGAGAGCTGAGACTTGAAGCTCGGGTTCCTGACCCCACCCCGTATGCTCTTCCCACGCGATGAAGCTGGCTCTCTGTTCTGTGCCTGCTCCCCAGCCCCAGCCTCTCGTGGTCCCAGACGCCAATACCCCTCCTTGCCCACCTGCCACAGGGAGATACAGCAGCGTGTGTGTTGTTCATCTGGTTGGTGTTGATGGTAGACAGCACTTGACCCTTCAGGCTCCAGATGAGGACAGTGGTGTCACTGGAGGCAGTC
Source organism: Homo sapiens (assembly GCF_000001405.40). Taxonomy (NCBI): domain Eukaryota; kingdom Metazoa; phylum Chordata; class Mammalia; order Primates; family Hominidae; genus Homo; species Homo sapiens. The sequence continues at coordinate 73,572,958 of NC_000007.14, forward strand.
ATGATAAACTTCCCTGAGCGGGAAGGGAGTGATGTGGGTCACGGGCAGTGACCTGACCAACTGTCACTCTCCAAAGACACTTACAAGGCCTCTGCTGCCCGAAGTATACATGTCTCCTCCCAGGCCAAGGGTCACTACAGATAAGGACTCTGCTGAAGACTGTGGCCCTTCCCCACCTTCCCTAGGGACCTGGTGTGGCCCAGGGACTCCAGGGGAGCACAGAGCCAGGCTGTTCAGAGCCAGGGACCCCTTGTTCCTCTCAGGTTGAGCAGAACTTTCAGGCAGCATTAACTCATTGAGGAAATAGAACTGGATCTTTCCTTCATGCTTTGGGCAGGCGCCACCCTCTGAATGCCTCTTACCTGTGTTAGCAATGCCAATGTCGATGACAGGCGCCTTGTGCTTTTTAGGGAAGTCCTCTGGGGTGGCTGTGAAGGTGTAGCCCCCATCCTCCCGCTTGGTCATCTTGAAGACACGGAGGGTGTCCCCGTTGGCCAGCCAGACGATGAAGGCTCTAGAGACAGGCAGCAGACAAGTCACGCTCTCACTGGACAAAGAGGCTCTGTGTTCCAGGTCCTGTGCTGGGTTCTCGGGGAAGTCAAGATCTCTCCTCATGCCCCACAGTCTAGCCTTAAAACTTAAGCCCCTGGTTCCAAATCTCATAAAACTCCTCAAAAGGTAAGATTCTGATAGCTTTGGCTCCTTTAGTTTCTCTCTAGGGTTTAGAAACTAAGGCTCATCTGGAAGCCAGGCCAAGGTATTTCCAGGTAGGAAGAGACCTCCCCCTGTTTCCTTGCTGTATAGCAGCCCAGATCTCCAGGGAGCCCCAGGCAGCGCGCAAACTATGTGGATGCTCTTTCTGGCACCCCAAGGGAGGCCCTGGGTCCAGGTCCCTCCTCACTACCTCAAAGCAGATATGGGAAGGCCAAAGCCTGGGACTAGGCCTCTGCAGGCAAACCTGAGGCTCCGTCTTGTCCCACCTGCAGTCAGGGCTGAAGCGCACCAGGGTGGCGTGGTCCAGCTCCACGTTGGCTCTCATGCTGCGGTGCTCTCGCTGCAGGAAGTCCTTGGTGCTCCAGATGCGGATGGTGCGATCATCTGCACAGGTAGCCAGGTATTTGCCATTGCTGCTAAAGTCCATGCAAGATATGTTCCCGCTGTGGCTCTAGGGGAAGGGTGGCAGGAAGTGTCAATAGGAGCTCCTGGGGGAGATGGGGAAGCCAAACCTGGAGCCGGGGAGATGGGGCCCTGTGGCCTGGATTAACAGCAAGCTGAGATTGGGCTGCGATGAGAGGGGACAGAATTAAGCACCCCCGCTGATTCTGATCAGAGGCAGGAGAGCCTGTAACATGCATGGAATACTCCAGAGGAAAAGCCTGTGGGGCTGAGTCTCAGGGTGCACGCTGTGCCAGGTACCCCACGTACCTTCAGAGCTGCAGCCAGGAGGCGGTGGGTGAAGTTGTGTTGTTGAGGCTTCTCCTTCCGAATCCGCTGATATTGTTTCTGCTTCTTGGATCCCGAAGATTTGTCAGGTGGAAATCCATTTGCTTTTTGGCCTATAAGGAAGGGCCATGTTGTTCTCCAGTTACTCACTGATAAGCATTTACTGCCCACCTATGATGAGCCAGGCATTGAGTGGAACAGCAGGAGATTAACCAGATATGGCCCTTGTCTTCTGGAGGAGAATGAGTGTGATATGGGCAAAAACAGAGGCTTTGGCTGGCTGGGTATGGTGGCTCATGCCTGTAATCCCAATGCTTTGGATCATTTGAGCCCAGGAGTTCGAGGCTGCAGTAAGCTATGATCACAACACTACTGCATTCCATCCTGAGTGACAGAGCAAGACCCTGTCTCAAAAAAAAACAAACAGAAAACAGAAACAAAACAGAGGCTTTGGAATCAGACCTGGGTTTGGATTCTGTCTCTACTACTGACTGACTACTGAGGAGGCTGTTTACAGTAAGTCCACAGAGCACCTTCATGTAGAGTGGAAAAGGCGCACTCTCTGGGTTGGGTGATGCTGCTGGGCGGGTACACAGCACGGCCAGTGGAGTGTGGATCCTTGGCCAGACATCCCTATGTAGGGAGTAATGTGCACAACCATCTCTAGCGGCCCTGCTTTGGGTAAGTTAGTGAATTGCTCTGGACCTTGGTTTTTTTTTTCTTTTCTTTCTTTCTTTTTTTTGGAGACAGAGTCTTGCTCTGTCGCCCAGGCTGGAGTGCAGTGGCGTGATCTCCGCTCACTGTAGCCTCTGCCTCCCAGGTTCAAGCAATTCTTGTGCCTCAGCCTTCCAAGTAGCTGGGATCATGGGCGTGCACCACCATATCCAGCTAATTTTTTTTTTTTTTTTCAGATGGAGTCTCGCTCTGTCACCCAGGCTGGAGTGCAGTGGCGTGATCTCAGCTCACTGCAAGCTCTGCCTCCCGGGTTCACGCCATTCTCCTGCCTCAGCCTCCCAAGTAGCTGGGACTACAGGCGCCCGCCACCATGCCCGGCTAATTTTTTTTTGTATTTTTAGTAGATGTGGGGTTTCACCACATTAGCCAGAATGGTCTCAATCTCCTGACCTTGTGATCCACCCGCCTCGGCCTCCCAAAGTGCTAGGATTACAGGCGTGAGCCATGGCACCTGGCCCCAATTTTTTTGTTTTTTTAGTAGAGATGGGGTTTCACCATGTGGGCCAGGCTTGTCTCCAACTCCTCACCTCAAGTGATCTGCCTGCCTTGGCCTCCCAAAGTGCTGGGATTATAGGCGTGAGCCACTGTGTCCGGCCCAGCCTTGGTTTTCTTAAAGAGAGGTTGAGAACTGGGGGCGGTGGCTCATGCCTGTGATCCCAGCATTTTGGTAGGCTGAGATGGGAGGATTGCTTGAGCTCAGGAGTTCGAGACCAGCCTGGGTAACATAGTGACACCCCATCTCTACAGAAAACTTTAATTAGCTGGGCATGGTGGTGTGCGCCTGTGGTCCCAGCTATTCGGAGGCTGAGGAGGGAAAATTGCTTGAGCCCAGGAGTTCAAATGCAGTGATCGTGCCACTGTATTCCAGCCTAGGCGACAGAGTGAGATTCTGTCTCAAAATAAATAAATAAATAAATAAATAAAAATAAGGGAGATTGAATTGGATGAGATATCTACAAAGTGACAAGCAAAAGTACCGAACACAAGCATTAAAGGCTCTATGGAGGCCGGGTGCGGTGGCTCATGCCTGTAATCCCAGCGCTTTGGGAGGCTGAGGCAGCTGCTGGATCATTTTTTTTTTTTGTTTGATACAGAGTCTCGCTCTGTTGCCTCAGTCTCGATCTCCTGACCTTGTGACCTGCCCGCTTCGGCCTCCCAAAGTGCTGGGATTACAGGCGTGAGTCACCATGCCCGGCCCGGCAGCTGGATCATCTTGATGCCCAGGAGTTCCACCAGTCTGGCCAACATGGTGAAACCCCGTCTCTACTAAAAATACAAAAATTAGCCGGGCGTGGTGGCAGGCGCCTGTAATCCCAGCTACTCAGGAGGCTGAGGCAGGAGAATCACTTGAACCCAGGAGGTAGAGGTTGCAGTAAGCCAAGATCGCACCACTGCACTCCAGTACCTGAAAGAACTCGGGGATGAGAAGTCAACATCTGTTGAGTCCTGTGCGGGGGAGTGGAGCCAGTCACTTTTGTAAAAGATACTTAATTGAGTCACAAAGCTGGCATGTGGTAAATGACTGCAGATGCTCCCCAATTCCAACAGGAAAAAAGCTCCTGGGCCCTGCAAACAAACACAGCCACAATCTGTCCTCTGCTTCCTTCTCTCCAGGCATGTCTAACAAGCCCCCCTCCTCACACTTAAGTCATACCAAATGCTGTTTGGGGACTCCTTGCCTTCTCGGGTATTGCCATTGGCAGGAATGTCTTTTTTCCTTGGCCTTCTGGCAAACTCTTCTTCTAGAACCATCCTTTGAGACCCCACACTACCTCATGTGCCCCCTATTCTCAGTAATGATTTCCCTAACAACCACCTCCCCCATAAAAGAACAGGACTCGGCCAGGCAGGGTGGCTCACGCCTGTAATCCCAGCACTTTGGGAGGCCGAGGCAGGTGGATCACAAGAGGTTAGGAGATTGAGACCATCCTGGCTAACACAGTGAAACCCCGTCTCTACTCAAAAAATACAAAAAATTAGCCGGGTGTGGTGTCGGACGCCTGTAGTCCCAGCTACTCAGGAGGCTGAGGCAGGAGAATGGCGTGAACCCAGAGGCGGAGCTTGCAGTGAGCCGAGATCCCGCCACTAGACTCCAGATTGGGCGACAGAGCAAAACTCCGTCCCCCTGCAAAAAAAAAAAAAAAAAAAATGCAGGGCTGGCCGGGCACAGTGGTTCACGCCTGTAATCTCAGCACTTTTGGAGGCCAGGACGAGTGGATCACCTGAGATCAGGCGTTCGAGACCAGCCTGACCAACGTGGCGAAACCCCGTCTACTAAATATACAAAAATTAGCCAGGCGTGGTGGTGTGTGCCTGTAGTCCCAGCTACTCGGGAGGCAGAGGCAGAAGAATCGCTTGAACCTGGCAGGCGGAAGTTGCAACGAGCCAAGATTGTGCCACTGCACTCCAGCCTGGGCAAGAAGAGCGAAACTCTGTCTGAAAAATAAATAAAAAGAGCAGGGCTGCCCACTGACTCTCTGGTGTTTCCCATTTCTAGTACTAACCTCTTCTATGAAACTTTTCAGAGACAGGCTCTTGCCGTCACCCAGGCTGAAGTACAGTGGCGCGATCTATCACAACTCACTGCAGCCTTGAATTCCTGGACTCACGACACCCTCCTGCCTCGGCCTCCCATGGAGCTGGGACTACAGGGGCGTGCACAACCACACCCAGCTAATTTTGCGTAGAGATGGGGTCTTGCTATGTTGCTCAGGCTGGTCCCAAACTCCTGGGCTCAAGCGATCTCCCTGCCTCGGCCTCCCAAAGTGCTGGGAATACAGGCGTGAGCCACTTCGCCTGGCCTCAGTGAAACTTATTTCACCGTGTTTTTCACTTACATATTTAGGTGTTCATAATACAGATGTACTTCTCCTTTACTGGACTCCTTACAGAAAAAGACCCCAAAGCCTATCACAGGGTCATAGATGCCCAGTAAATGCTGCTGCACATCACAGAATTGGTGCTTTTTCCGAGATCGCGGCCACGGAGCAGGCTGAAGAGTTTACGGTGCTCTCCTGGCCACCCCGGGGACGGCCTGGCCTCGGCCACAGAGAAAGCCGCAGTAAGGGGCCCAGGTTGGAGCCAGTCCCGCCCCAGGAGGTGCGCCTAACCCGGCAAGGCGGGTCCCCGTCTCTGGAAGCGAAGCTCACGTTACCAGAGGAGAAACTGAGGCCCATGGAGTCGCCGGGCCCCACCAGCCGCGGGCCCAAACCGCAGGTCGGACCACGAGGAGGCCGGGAGCCGGGACACCGCGGGCCGCCCCCACCCGACCCGGCCCCACTTACAGGCGGGCCGGCCGCTCCTCTCCTCCCCCGCGCGCAGCCACCCCCGCGCTACCGCCGCCGTCGCCATCAGGGCCAGCAGCCCAAGCAACACCGACAGCCCCATGAGCTCCGACATCTGCGAGAGCTCCATGTTGGTGGAACCACTGCCACCTCAGCTAGTGAGTACGCGGGCGCCCGCACGGCTCTGCCGGGCCGCGCACGCACGCGGGGGCGCGGCCTGGCCGTTGGGGAGCCTCAAGCGGCTGGGCCTGGCCGTTAGAGCGCCTGGGGGCGGAGCCTGGTTGTTACAACGCCTTCAGGGCGGGGCCTGGCCGTTAAAGCACCTCAAGGGGTGGGGCCCGGCTGTTGTGGCGCTCGAGGGGCGGGGCCTGGAGTTAGAGCATCTCCACCCGCCGAGCCTAGTTATTAGAGCGCCTCGAGAGGCAGAGTCTGGAGTTAGCGCGTCTCGAGGGGCGGGGCTGGGTTGTTAGAGCGTCTCGAGGGGCAGAACCCGGAGGTAGAGTGTCTCGAGGGGCGGGGCCTGGAAGTAGAACATCTCGAGGGGCAGGGCTCGACCCTTGGTGCGTTTCGAGGGGCGGGTCGCCTGGCGGTTGAGATTGCAGGGCTGCGGAGGGCGGAGGAAGGCGGGATTTGCGATCACTGCTCACGCCTCCTCCTGAAGAACTCACTGATAATTGTTTATTAAAGGCATTATTCCAGCCATCACCACACTGGATCCTTTCAAGGAAGCGGGGCGGGGATTATTATTACCATTTAACGGATAGGAAACTCAGCATCAGCGAAAGTTCAGATGGGCTTTTAAGGAAGAGTAGGCCAGGCGCGTGGAGTGGAACAGCCTCCGCAAAGACCTGAGAAGCTGGGATGTGGGAAATGGCTAGAGGGGCGGAAAGGTCTGGGGGACGTTGAGCGCTGGCTCCATCCAACAAGCTGCTCATTACAGGGAGAGGTGGGGCAAAAGCTGTGTCTGAGGATTCCCTGGATGGACCTTTGTGTGAAAAGACCAAAATCAGAAAACCGGCAGTGGCTTCAAGGATCCGAGAGGGAGGTGACGAGGGCCTGGATTTGGGGCTGGCCTGGCAAGTCGAAAGTTAAAAGGGAGAATTTTTAATAGAAAACTTATTTTATTTATTTATTTATGTATTTACTTTTGAGACGGTTGCCCAGGTTGGAGTGCAGTGACGCGTCTCGGCTCACTGCAACCTCCGTCTCCCGGGTGCAAGAGATTCTCCTGCCTCAGCCTCCAGAGTAGCTGGGATTACAGGCGCGTGCCACCATGCCCTGCTACTTTTTGTGTTTTTTATAGAGACGGGGGTTTTGCCATGTTGGCCAGGCTGGTCTCGAACTCCTGACCTCAGGTGATCCACCTGCTTCGGCCTCCCAAAGTGCTGGGATTACAGGCGTGAGCCACCATGCCGAGCTGGGAGATTATTTTTATTTTTTATTTTTTGAGATGGAGTCTCGTTGCACTGTCGCCCAGGCTGGAGTGCAATGGCGCCATCTCTGCTCACTGCAACCTCTGCCTCCCGGGTTCAAGCGATTCGCTTGCCTCAGCCTCCCGAGTAGCTGGGATTACGGGTGCCCGCTAGCATGCCCCGCTAATTTTTTGTATTTTTTAGTAGAGACGGGGTTTCGCTATATTGGTCAGGCTGGTCTTGAACTCCTGACCTCGTGATCCGCCCGCCTCAGCCTCTCAAAGTGCTGGGATTACAGGTGTGAGCCACCGCGACTGGCCCAGACCAGGAAATTTTTTCATAGAAAACTTATTTTTTTTTTTGAGACAGAGTCTTGCTCTATTGCCCAGGTTGGAGCGCAGTGGCGCGATCTCGGCTCACTGCAACCTCCGCCTCCTGGGTTTATGCCATTCTCCTGCCTCAGCCTCCCGAGTAGCTGGGATTACAGGCGCCCGCCACCACGCCCGGCTAATTTTTTAAAAATATTTTTAGTAGAGACGGGATTTCACCGTGTTAGCCAGGATGGTCTCGATCTCCTGACCTCATGATCTGCCCGCCTCGGCCTCCCAAAGTGCTTGGGGGATTACAGGCTTGAGCCACCGCGCCCGGCCAGAAAACTTCTTTTAAGGCCGGGTGCGGTGGCCCATGCCTGTAATCCCAGCACTTTGGGAGGCCGAGGCGGGAGGATCACCTGAGGTCAGGACTTCGAGACCAGCCTGGCCAACATGGTGAAACCCCGTCTCTGGCCAACATGGCGAAACCCCGTCTCTACCAAAAGTACAAAAATTAGCTGGGCGTGGTGTCCCACGCCTCTAATCCCAGCTACTCGGGAGGCTGAGGCAGGAGAATCACTTGAACCTGGGAGGCAGAGGTTGCAGTGAGCCAAGATTGCTCCACTGCACTCCGGCTTGGGTGATAAGAGTGAGACTCCATCTCAAAAATAAATATAAAATAAATAAAAAAAGAAAGAAAGAAGAAAACTTCTTTTAAAATAATTACAGCCGCCAGGCACAGTGGCTAAAGCCTGTGATCCCCAACACTTTGGGAGGCCAAGGTGGGAAGATTGCTTGAGCCTAGCAGTTCAAGACCAGTCTGGGCAACATAGCAAGACCCCATCTCTATAAAATAAATAAATAGGCTGGGTGTGATTGCTCACACCTGTAATCCCACCACTTTGGGAGGCCCAGATTTTAGCCCAGGAGCTTGAGCCCAGCCTGAGCAACATAGTGAAACCCCGTCTCTACCAAAAACTACAAAAATTAGACGAGCGTGGTGGCACATGCCTGTGGTCCCAGCTACTTGGGAGGCTGAGGCAGAAGGATCACTTGGACCCGGGAGGTGGTTTTGCAGTGAGCCGTGATTGCATCACTGCACTGCAGCCTGGGTGAGGGTGAGACTCCGTTTCAAAAAAAAAAAAAAAAAAGTTAAGGCTGGGCACGGTGGCTCATGCCTGTAATCCTAGCACTTTGGGAGGCTGAGGCAGGCGGACCACCTGAGGTCAGGAGTTCGAGACCAGCCTGGCTAACATGGTGAAACCCTGTCTCTACTAAAAATACAAAAATTAGCCTGGCATAGTGGTGCGCACCTGTAATCCTAGCTACTCAGGAGGCTGAGGCAGGAGAATCGCTTGAACCTGGGAGGCGGAGGTTGCAGTGAGCCAAGATTGTGCCACTGCATTCCAGCTGGGGCGACAGAGTGAGATTCCGTCTCAAAAAAAAAAAAATTAGCCAGACATGGTGACATGTGCCTATAGCCCCAGCTAACTGGCAGGCTGAGGTGGCAGAATCACCTGAGTCCGGGAGGTCGAGGCTGTAGTGAGCTGTGATCGTGCCACTGCACTGCAGCCTGAGCAACAGAGTAAGACCCTGTCTCAAAAAAAAAAAAAAAAAAAAAAAAAGATATAAAGATGCACAGTGGTTTGAAAAAGTGAACAGGGAGGTCTCATGGACTCTTCCTCTCAGTTTCCTCCAGTAGTAACATCTTGCATAACTGCAGTGTAATATCAAAACCAGGAACTTGACATTGATGCTATCTACAGAACTTATTCAAATTCCACCAACAAGGAGACAATCTGAAAGACTTATTGGTAGAATTTGGGTTGAACAGTCATGCTCCGTGGGTGTCCCAGTCCCAAAGCCCAGAGTGAGTCGAAGTACCAGAGTTGGAGATTCCTGCTGCAAACATTTCCATCCCCACCCAGGAGCCTGCCTTCCTGACAGTCCAGGCCCTTCGGCAATAAAGGACCCTCTGAGAACAGTGGCCGCTGCAGAGGCTAGATGACAGACAGACACACCCACAATCTTGGGGGAGGAAATGGATCCAGTCAGAGAGCAAATGGAGCAGCCTCATTTCCTTCCCTTTTGTCCTTTGCGGGAAACTGGCATTGACTCAGCTGTGGGCAGTGGGGTAGGGAGGGGTGCGAGGGGGTGTCTAGAGCATCCTGAGGCTTGTCCTCCCTATCTTGCTACTTAGGACTGTGGGCCCAGCCATAAGCCACTTTCTTCACACCATCTACAGACAAGCTACACTTTTCAAAGTATTTATTTATTTATTTATTTTGAGACAGAGTCTCACTGTGTTGCCCAGGCTGGAATGCAATGGCATGATCTCGGCTCACTGCAACTTCCGCCTCCCGGGCTCAAGTGATCCTTCTGCCTCAATCGATCATCCTGCCTCAGCTCCCAAGTAGCTAGGACTACAGGCATGCACCATCACACCCAGCTAATTTTTGTGTGTGTGTTTTGTAGAGACAAGGTTTCACCATGTTACTCAGGCTGGTCTCGAACTCCTGAACTCAAGTGATCCTCCCGCCTCAACCTCCCAAAGTGCTGGGATTAAAGGCGTGAGCCACCAAGCCTGGCCAAAGATGCACTTTTAAGAAGAATTTCATTTACCAAGCATTTTGCATGTGACATTTATTGATCCAGGAGCATTTTTTTAATAAAGAGAGTCTCACTGTGTCGCCCAGGCTGGAGTGCAGTGGCGCAATCACAGCTGATTGCAGCCTGAAACTCCTGGGCTCAAGCAATCCTCCCACCACATCCTCCCAAGTAGCTGGAACCATAGGTGCTCACCACCACACCCAGCTAATTTTTGAATTTTCTGTAGAGACAGGGTCTTGCTATGTTGCCCAGGCTGGTCTCTAGAACTCCTGGCCTCAAGCAATCCTCCCGCCCTCAACCTCCCAAATTGCTGGGATTACAGGAGTGAGCCACTGCACCTGTTTGATCCAGGAGCTTTGCGTTTCATTTCACTTGCTCACATTCCCTTCTCACAGATGAGGAGACTGATGCTTTAGGAAGTTAAGTGACTTTCCCAAGGTCATACAGGTGGAGAGTGAGCCTGGGGACAAATACATGTCCTGTCTGGCTGCAATCTGTGGATGTGGGGTAAGAGGAAGAAAGAGTAGCCTCTCTTTGTACAGCTCAGTTGAGGCTACCAAATTCTTTCATATCCTTGAATTCAGTTGGCCTTTAAGACAGGCCATGTTATAATTTTAATTTTTAAGCAGATGGAGAGAAACACTAGGCTTACATCAAATAATATGCCCAAGGTCAACAAGGAAGCAAGGGAAATAACCCAGGTCTACTACAGGATCCATACTCGGGCAGGGCACTGTGGCTCACGCCTGTAATCCCAGCACTGTGGGAAGCTGAGGCAGGAGAATCACCTGAGCCCAGGAATTTGAGACCAGCCTGGCCAACAAAGTGAGACCCCATCTCTACAAAGTAAAAAAATTAGGCGTGGTGGTGCATGCCTGTAGTCCCAGCTACTCAGGAGGCTGAGGCAGGAGGATTGCTTGAGCCCAGGAGTTTGAGGCTGCAGTGAGCTGTGATCACACCACTGCACTCCAGCCTGGGCTACAGAGTGAGATCCTGTCTCAAAAAAGAAAAAAAAAAAATCCATGCTCCTCCCAGCAAGCCACTCTGGCTGTGGCGTGGCCTTGCTCTTACTCTCAAGTTTTATGTAGCCCAGTTGGAAGCCAAGACTGATACGTGGAAGGACAACTGAGGACACACAGCGGGACTCAGGAAAGCTGAATGCATCAGGAAGCAGGGGACTTGCCAATGGATCTTGAGGGGCAGTGAGACTTGACTGTAGCTTCAGGGATGGGCATTTAGACAGGTGAAACAGCACGAGGGAGTGCTACATGGAAAGCGAGAACCAGCCGAGGTACGGAGGTGGAAGTAACTGATTCTGACTGGGCACGGTGGCTCATGCCTGTAATCCCAGCACTTTGGGAGGCCGAGGTGGGTGGATCATCTTGAGGTCAGGAGTTCAAGACCAGCCTGACCAATATGGTGAAACCTTGTCTCTACTAAAAATACAAAAATTAGCCAGGCGTGGTGGTACGCGCCTGTAGTCCCAGCTACTCAGGAGACTGAGGTGGGAGAATCACTTGAACCCAGGAGGAAGAGGTTGCAATGAGCCAAGATTGTGCCACTGCACTCCAGCCTGGGCGACAGAACAAGACTCCATCAAAAGAAAAAAAAATAGAAGTAAATAAGGAGACAGGAGGCCAGGCACAGCGACTCATGCCTATAATCGCAGCCTGTGGGAGGCTGAGGCAGGAGGATCACTTGAGGCCAGGAGTTTGAGACCAGCCTGGGCAAAGTAGCAAAACTCCATTTGTATAAAAAAAATTAGCCAGGTGTGGTGGTGCACACCTCTAGTCCCAGCTACTCAGGAGGCTAAGGCAGGAGGAGGATCGCTTGAGTCCAGGAGTTCAAGGCTGTGGGTAAGCTATGATCATGCCACTGCACTCCAGCCAGGCAACAGACCTGTCTCAAAAAAAAGAAAATTGAGAGGCCAAGGCAGGCAGGTCACTTGAGGCAGGAGTTCAAGACCAGCCTGGCCAACATGATGAAACTCTGTCTCTACTAAAAATACAAAAAGTTAGCCAGTCATGGTGGTGCACATCCGTAATCCCAGCTACTCAGGAGGCTGAGGCAGGAGAATCACTTGAACCCGGGAGGTGGAGGTTGCAGTGAGCTGACATTGCATCACTGCACTCCAGCCTGGGTGACAGAGCGAGGCTCTGTCTCCAACAAAAGAAAAAAAAGCAAAAAGAAAAGAAAAAGAGACAGGAATCCCTAAGCTTGCCTCCCTCATGGGTTGATCACACCTTTCAAGAGCAAAGCAAGATGAGTCCCAGGTACCACTGGAGATTGAAGACTTTTAGGGATGTGAGGGGAGGGAGGCTATGGAGAGAAATGAGGCTGGAGGGAAAGCAGGGTTGGATCACAAAGCACCTCGAACACCTGCCCTGAAGCCTGGCCTTGTCAGAGGCAAACAGTAGCCAAAGAAACAACTGAAGCACACGAGCTCCAACTTGTATTGTCTGGAGTCCTCCCTACCTCTGGCCTCTCTACATTAGGTGAAATGGTAACTTTCCACCTTGTTTAAGTAGTGGTTCTCAAAGTGAGGTCCCTGGACCAGCAGCACTAGGAATGCAAATTCTGTTTTTGAGACAGCGTCTCACCCTGTGGCCCAGGCTGGAATGCAGTGGTGCAATCATAGCTCACTGCAGCCTTAAACTCCTGGGCTCAAGTGATCTTCCTGCCTCAGCCTCCTGAGTGGCTGAGACTACAGGCCACCGTACCCAGCCAGGAATGCAGATTCTTAGACTCCATCCCAGACCTGTTACTTGGTCAGAAACTCTGGAGGTGGGGCCCAGCAAGCTGTACTTTTTTTTTTTTTTTTTTTTTTTTGAGACAGTCTTGCTCTGTCGCCCATGATGGAGTATATTGGTGTAATCTCAGCTCACTCCAACCTCCACCTCCTGGGTTCAAGCGATTCTCCTGCCTCAGCCTCCCAAGTAGCTGGGACTACAGGCACACACCACCACACCCAGCTAATTTTTGTATTTTTAGTAGACAGGGTTTCGCCAAGTTGGCCAGGCTGGTCTTGAACCCTTGACCTCAGGTGATCCATCTGCCTCGGCCTCCCAAAGTGTTGGGATTACAGGTGTGAGCCACTTGCCTGGCCCTCTAGCTGATCCTTAACAAGCTCTCTAGTTAATCCTGATGCATGGTACAGTTTAAGAAGCACTGATTTAAACTAATTTGAACCCCTACATGTAATTTGCAGCTCAAAGCCTCTATTACAGTGGTTCTTGACCATGGCTCCATATTGGAATCACTTTGAAGATGCTGATGTCTAAACATCATACTGGCTGGGCATGGTGGCTCACATCTGTAATCCCAGCACTTTGGGAGGCAGAGGTGGGAGGATGGCTTGAGGCCAGATGTTCGAGACCAGCCTGGACAATATAACAAGACAAAAAAAAGTCTGTAGAGTCTCTACGAAAAATTTAAAAATTAGCCAGGCCTGGTGGTGCATGCTTGTGATCCCAGCGTTTGGCAGGGGCTGAAGTGAGAGGATCACTTGAGCCCAGAAGGTTGAGGCTGCAGTGAGCTGCGTTTGCACCACTGCACTCTGGTCTGGGTGACAGGATGAAACCCTGTCTCAAAAAAAAAAAAAAAAAAAAAAGTAAAGCCACCACGTTTATTTTATTTTATTTGTTTTTGAGACAGAGTCTCATCTGTCGCCCAGGCTGGAGTACAGTGGCGTGATCTCGGCTCACTGCAACCTCCGCCTCCCAGATTCAAGCAATTCTTTTGCCTCAGCCTACTGAGTAGCTGGGATTACAGGTGCCCACCACGCCAGGCTAATTTTTTTTTTTTTTTTTAGATGGAGTCTCGCTCTGTCGCCCAGGCTCAAGTGCAGTGGCGCAATCTCAGCTCACTGCAAGCCTGCAAGCTCCGCCTCCCGGGTTCACACCATTCTCCTGCCTCAGCCTCGCGAATAGCTGGAACTACGGGCGCCTGCCACCAAGCCTAGCTAATTTTTTGTATTTTTAGTAGAGACAGGGTTTCACCATGTTTTCCAGGCTGGTCTCGAACTCCTGACCTCAGGTGATCCACCAGCCTTGGCCTCCCAAAGTGCTGGGATTACAGGCGTGAGCCACCATGCCTGGCCCACATTATTAATAATTAATGCATGTTTAAGTTTGAGAAGCTGTTCACTGTAAGGGATACAGGAGGCTAATGCACATGTATGGAAGAGGCGATGTCCTATTGGACCAGGGCGGTGGCTATGAAGGTAGATGTTCAATTGGCCAGGCTTCCGTCCTCAGTGACAGCTAGCGCAGGGCAGCGGGGTGTGTGGAGGAGCTGAAGATGATGGTTTCCAGCTTGCACAAGTGTCCGGGTGGTGGTGCCTGTGCCAGGGCTGGGGCACACTTGGAGGACCAGGTTTGAGTGGGAAGATTATGGAAGTGGTGAGTTCTGTATTGGGATCCGTCAGTGTTAAGGGAGCTGCGGAGCGCTCAGAGGGAGAAGTTAGGGTGATGGTCGGACATGTAGTTGTGTAGCTCTGGGGAGACAGCGAGGCAGATACAGAGTCGGGGTCCTCTGCAGAGAGGCTGAAGGGGATGAGATGGCCTGGGGCTTGCCAGAGAGCAAGAAGGGAATGGCTAAGGAAGGGACAGGCCTAGAAAGAGGCTCACACAGCAGGACCTGGGAGGGCATTGGCAGGGAGGAGGAAAGGAGAGCTTGGCAAGAATTCTGTTTTGTTTTTTGTATTTTTGAGACAGGGTCTCTCTCTGTCGCCCAGGCTGGAGTGCAGTGGCGCAATCATAGCTCACTGCAGCCTCGAACTCCTGGGCTCAGCCTCCCGAGTAGCTGGGGGTACAGGCCCATGTCATAACACCCAGCTAATTTTTTTGTAGAGATGGGGTCTCACTATGTTGCCCAGGCTGGTCTCTAACTCCTGGCCTCAAGCAATCCTCCCGCCTTGGCCTCCCAAAGTGCTGGGATTACAGGCATGAGCCACCGAGCCTGGCCGAGAATTCTGGACTCCCAGGGAAAGAGTGGTTTAAGACGGAGGCCCAAGGGCCGCAGAAAAACCAGAATAGCACTATGAAGCAGGCACTGGATTTCGCAAGGAGCGGGTCAGTCAGAGGTGAGCTCAGTGACAGCAGAGTCAGCGCAGGGGTGAAGCTGGGGTGTGAGGGTGGAGGAGGAGCCCAAACGTGGGGAGCCAAGAGGGGAGAGGGAAGAGAGGAGGGAGAGTGAGCACGTGTAGATGACTCTTTCAAGGGAAGAAGCCATCTGGAAGGGACACGGGGTCAAGGGGATGTTTGATGGGGAACTTCTGGCCGCGTGGGAGTGAAAACAGCAGCGTATACACTGCCTGGACCCTCCCTTGCGGTGAGCCACGGCCAGCCTGTCTGCAGCAGCAAAGAGCATGCGTGAAAGGCTGGGCGCACCTGCCACCGTCACAGCAGAGAAGCGGCCAACGGCAGACGAAGGCAGTTGGGTGGGCACTGCTGGGCTGCTTACCAGCCCAGCAAGCTGAGTCAAGGGACCGAAACTGTCTGTGTCTCAGTTTCTCACCCGTAAAATGGGGATGCTGATAATTATTACAACTCATTCTCATTCTTACATAGTGTTATATATTTATAATATATATTATATATAATGTATATAATTATATAATATATATAAAATATATATAATGCCCTGTAGCTTCCATGCCTCGGTTCCAGCTCTGCCTTCTTCTAACTCTGAATAATAACTATATATTATATATATTATAATATATAATTATATATTATATTATATATTATATTATATATTATATATAATTTATATGATATATATTATAAATTATATATATTATCTATTATATATAATTATATTTATATGTATTTAATACGTATATATAATTATATTGTATATTTATAATATATAATTATATATTACATATTATATATTATACATATATACTATATTATAATTATGTATTTATATCGTAATATATAATTATATTAATTATAATATATAATAAATTATATTATATATTTATAATATATTTATACATTATAAACAAATATGTACTTTATTTGTTAAAGTATATATTATATATAATTTATAGATAAATTAGATATAAATTAAATATAATATATTTAACTTATATATTATATATAATCTATATATTATAAACAATATATTTTATATATTTATATATTTATATTTATTATATATTTATATTATAAATGTATTTATATTATAAATACATTTATAATATAAATATAAAATACATTTATAATATAAATACATTTATAATATAAATATAAAATACATTTATAATATAAATATAAAATACATTTATATTATAAATATAAAATACATTTATATTATAAATATAAAATACATTTATATTATAAATATAAAATACATTTATATTATAAATATAAAATACATTTATATTATAAATATAAAATACATTTATATTATAAATATAAAATACATTTATATTTATTAATATAAAAATAAAATATATTTATATTTAATATAAAAATAAAATATATTTATATTTAATATAAAAATAAAATATATTTATATTTAATATAAAAATAAAATATATTTATATTTATTATAAAAATAAAATATATTTATATTTATTAATATAAAAATAAAATATATTTATATTTATTAATATAAAAATAAAATATATTTATGTTTATTGATATAAATATAAATATATTTATATAGTTTTATTGATATAAATATAAAATATATTTATATAGTTTTATTGATATAAATATAAAATATATTTATATAGTTTTATTAATATAAATATAAAATATATTTATATAGTTTTATTAATATAAATATAAAAATATATTTATATGGTTTTATAAATATAAAAATATATTTTTATAAAATGTAATATATTTATATATTATAAATATAAAACTATATAGTTATAAAATGTAATATATTTATATATTATAAATATAAAACTATATATTTATAATATATAAAGATTATATATAATATATAAAGTATATTGTATATAAAGATTTATATAATATATAAAGTATATTGTATATAAATATTATATATAATATATAAAGTATATTGTATATAAAGATTGTATAGGTTATACAAATTGTAATATATAAATTAATGTAATATTATATATTATATATAAAGATTATATAGATATGGCTGGGCGCAGTGGCTCACGCCTGTAATCCCAACACTTTGGGAGGCCAAGGCAGACGGATCACGAGGTCAGGAGATCGAGACCATCCTGGCTAACACGGTGAAACTCCGTCTGTACTAAAAATACAAAAAATTAGCCAGGCGTGGTCGTGGGCAACTGTAGTCCCAGCTACTGGAAGGCTAATGCAGAAGAATGGTGTGAACCCGGGAGGCGGAGCTTGCAGTGAGGTGAGATCCCGCCACTGCACTCGAGCCTGGGTGACAGAGCGAGACGCCGTCTCAAAAAAAAAAAAAAAGATTATATAGATATATAGATTAACATATAATTATTTAATCTTTATTCTCTATATAAAAATTTATATATAATCTATATCTTTATATGTAGAATATATATTAACTCATACATATTTTATATAAACTATAAATATAATATAATATATAAAAATATATTAAATATAATGTATAAATATAATCTTTGTATATTATTAAACATAATATACAAACATAATATATATATAATATATAATTATTATCCCCATTTTACAGATTTATAAATATATGTATAAATCTGTAAATCTCTATATGTGTATATTTACCCTTTTAGGTTCTCACAGCAAGCCTACGAGGTAGGTGTTGTGAGGATTAAGTGAGTTAATATACATAAAGTGGCCAGGTGTGGTGGTTCATGCCTGTAATCTCAGCACTTTGGGAGGCCAAGGCAGGAGGATCCCTTGAGCTTGGGAGCTGAAGACCAGCCTGGGGAACTTAGTGAGAACTTGTCTCTACTAAAAATAAAAATAACAACAACAACAAAAATCTAAAGTGCTTATAGGAGTGCTTGGCACATAGTCCATACTAGATCTGCGGGCAGCGATTCTCCTTCTTCTTATGCACGAACGAGAGAAACTGAAAACCTATGGAAGATACTTTAGGCTGTTTAAATCCTGCAAATGGGCCAGGCACGGTGGCTGCCACCTGTAATCCCAGCACTTCAGGAAGCCTAAGGCCAAGGTGGGAGGATCACTTGCGGTAGGGAGTGTGAGACCAGCCTGGGCAACATAGCAAGACCCTGTCTCTATGAAAAATAAACATGAATACATCAGTCCTGCAAATGTCTCCAGAAGGTCTGAAACGTGAGAGGATTCCAACATGCCAGGCTGGAATGTCAGCTCCACAAAGAGAGAGATACTGTAGTGAACAGCATCTGCAGAGCCAAGACCACAGCCTAGTCCATAGCAGGCACTCAGTAAATATTGGGGCCTCTGAGGCCTTCTACCCCAGCCCCATCTGAAGGATCAGTTTTTTTATTTTTTGTTTTTATGTTTTTTTGAGATGAAGTCTCACTCTGTCACCCAGGCTGGAGTGGAGTAGCGCAATCTCTGCTCACTGCAACCTCCACCTCCTGGGTTCAAGGGATTCTCCTGCCTCAGCCTCCCGAGTAGCTGGGTTACAGGCACCTGCCACCATGCCCGGCTAATTTTTTTTGTATTTTTAGTAGAGACGGGATTTCACCAAGTTGGCCAGGCTGGTCCGGAACTCCTGACCTCAGGTGATCTACCCGCCTCGGCCTCCCAAAGTGTTGGGTGGCGTGAGCAACCGCACAGGCCGCTGTCAGTTTTTTCTAAGACATCCCAACTAAGTGGCCATCCACTCTCTGCATGCATACCTCTCATAGCGGGGAGGTCACTACCCTCCATACCTGCCCCGCCAAGGGAGCACATTCTCCTTCTGGGTGGTTCCAGTGGATGCCCTGTCGGTTCCACTCCTTGGTCCCAGCTCTGCCTTCTTCCAACTCTGAAGGTAGCGAGCCTCTCCAAACTGTCTCCTGGCCATGGAGGGAGGAGCTCCAGGAAGCAAATCTATCACCTCTCACCTGGATGACTGCAACTGTCCTCTAACTGGTCTCCCTGCATCCACCTAGTCTCAACTCAGCACCCAGGGGATTCCTGTAAAAAAGTTACATCTGGCCAGACGCCATGGCTCATGCCTGTAATCCTGGCACTTTGGGAGGCCAAGGCGGGAGCATTGCTTGAACCCAAAAGTTCAAGACCAGCCTGAGTAGCTGGGATTACAGGCGTGTGTCAGCACATGTGGCTAATTTTTGTATTTTTAGTAAAGACCGGGTTTTGCCATATTAGCCAGGCTGGTCTCGAACTCCTGACCTTGTGATCCGCCTGCCTCGGCCTCCCAAAGTGCTGGGATTACAGGCGTGAGCCACCACACCCGGCTGCTGACTCTATTCTTATAAGAAAAATTTTTTTGTCTGGGCGCGGCAGCCTCACACCTGTAATCCCAGCACTTTGGGAGGCTGAGGAGGGCAGATCACAAGGTCGGGAGTTCAAGACCAGCCTGACCAACATGGTGAAACCCCGTCTCTACTAAAAATACAAAAATTAGCTGGGCATGGTGGTGCGCACCTGTAATCCCTGCTACTCAGGAGGCTGAGGCAGGAGAATCGCTTGAACCCGGGAGGCGAAGGTTGCAGTGAGCCGAGATTGCGCCACTGCACTCCAGCCTGGGCAACAGAGCGAGACTCTGTCTCAAAAAAAAAAAAATTTTTTTTTTTAAAGTTACATCTGGCAGGGCGCGGTGGCTCACGCCTGTAATCCCAGCACTTTGGGAGGCTGAGGTGGGTGGATCACAATCGTGGTCAGGAGATCGAGACCATCCTGGCTAACACGGTGAAACCCCGTCTCTACTAAAAATACAAAAAAAAAAAAAATCAGCTGGACGTGGTGGCGGGTGCCTGTAGTCCCAGCTACTTGGGAGGCTGAAGCAGGAGAATGGCATGAACCCAGGAGGCAGAGCTTGCAGTGAGCCGAGATCGGGCCACTGCACTCCAGCCTGGGTGACAGTGCGAGACTCCGTCTCAAAAAAAAAAAGTTACATCCGATTTTCTTTTATTTATTTTTCTCTTTTTTATTACTGAGATGAGGTCTATGATCCTCCCGCCTTGGCCTCCCAAAGTGCTGGGATTACTGGTGTGAGCCACTGTGCCCAGCCTTTTTTGTTGTTGTTATTTGAGACAGGGTCTCACTCTGTTGCCCACTCTACAGTGCAGTGGTGCTATCATAGCTCACTGCAGCCTCGAACTCCTGGGCTCAAGCGATCCTCCTGCCTCAGCCTCCTGAGTAGCTGGGACTACAGGCGCTCGCCACCACTACATCTGATCTTGTCCCACCTCCACTCAAAGCCCTCCAGCTGCTTCCAGCTCAGAGTAAATGCCCAGGCCCTCTGCAAAGCCACTTCCCACTGCCAACAGGCTCTCTCTCCATCCCAGTGTGAGACACTGACCAGCACACCAACAAACCAGCAGACAGTTTTTGCTTTTATTGGTCAAGAATTCTTTACAAAACCCACACACACACATCCACACACACACACACACATGATGCCTGCCCTGCTGTGGTCACTCTGGCCCTGGTGTCTCCTGGGATCAGGCCCTCCTGGCCTCTCCCAGGGGAAACCATCCTGCAGCCCCTCTGGGTCAGCAGTGAAGGAGCAGAGAGAGGGAACCTCCTTTTCTGCTTCTCTGCTCAGGAACAGAGGTCTGTGCCCCACCTGTCGGGGAGCAAGTGGAGGTGACAGAGAAACAGCATCCTCCTCTTTCCACCGTTGAGCCCCCGGAGTTGCCAGCCTAGGCCCCCAATGTCACAGCTGCCAAGGCCTGGGGGTCATCTGCTGATTGAACCTTCCCCATCCCCATTTTGCAGATTGAAACACAGCGGTCCAAAGACAGCGGACGAGTCACCCAAGGTCACGGTGCTGGAGCACAGTGGCAGAGCAGGGACGGGGACTCTGCTCTTCTTGACCTCCAGGAGGTGGCAAGTGTGAAACCTGGACCCTGCTCCACCCCCCAGGGAAGGGCAGAGCCAGGGCCTGGGGCAGGAAGGGAGTGCCCAGAGATGATCCCTGGAGCCCGTGCCCAGGGAAAGCAGCCCCCAGGGCAGCTGAGTGAGCAGCAGGGTCTGGCCAGGACTATAAAGGTTTGCCAAGGGTGCCCTCTGTGACTGCCCGTGTGGCTTGCTCAGGGATGCGGCCCGGGTCGGTCAGGATACTGGTAGATGTGCCCAGCTGGCGTAGGGAGTTCAGGACAGCTGGGTGGGAGACAGAGAGAGAGAGACAGACACTTCCTGGGGTCAGGGCCCTACCCTTGGATGTGGAACCAAAGGGATAGGGGGAGGTATTAGTTGGCAAGACTGTCACCCCCTCCTAGAACCTCTGTCTACAGGCGTCTGGTGGCCAGAGGACCATCTGGGGGATGCGGGGTGGCCACAACCCTAGGCTGTGTTGATGGCAAGCTGGATGTGGGATCTAAGCAGGGTGGAATGCTCCCTCCACCCCCGAGGCTGGGTCCCTCTAGCAGGCAGGGAGATGGCTCACGTACTTGGCCGGAGAGCGGGCAGAGAGCAGTACTGGTCCAGCCAGGCCAGTGAGGTCTGGCGGAGGGTGTGCACACTTGCCGTGGACACCATCCCGTTGAAGGACTCAAACAGAGGCCGGATGAGGATGCTGAACTGGGCCCAGGTCAAGGAGCTGCCTGTGGTCCAGCTGGTCCCCCCACACCACGTGGAGCCCTGATGCCCAGTTCAAACCAGGGGAAGAAAGGGCCTGGACACTGTCTAACGTTGAACCCCAATGACTCATGTTGCAGCCCCTACTTCTTCTTTTTTTTTTTTTGAGACGGAGTCTCGCTCTGTCACCCAGGCTGAAGTGCAGTGGCACGATCTCAGCTCACTGCAACTTCTGCCTCCCAGGTTCAAGCAATTCTCCTGCCTCAGCCTCCTGAGTAGCTGGGATTACAGGTGTGCGCCACCACACCTGGCTAATTTTTGTATTTTTAGTAGAGACGGGGTTTCGCTATGTTGGTCAGGCTGGTCTCGAACTCCTGACCTCGTGATCCACCCACCTCAGCCTCCTAAAGTGCTGGAATTACAGGCGTGAGCCACTGTGCTCGGACTTTTTTTTTTTTTTTTTTTGACAGAGTCTCACTCTGCTGCCCAGGCTGGAATGCAGTGGCACAATCTTGGCTCACTGCAACCTCCACCTCCCAGGTTCAAGCTGTTCTCCTGCCTCAGCCTCCCGAGTAGTTGGGATTACAGGCACATGCCACCACGCTTGGCTAATTTTTGTATTTTTAGTAGAGATGGGGTTTTGCCATGTTGGCCAGTCTGGTCTTGAACTCCTGGCCTCAAGTGATCCACCTGCCTCGGCCTCCCAAAGTGCTGGGATGACAGGCGTGAGCCACCGCACCTGGCTTGCAGTCCCTACTTCTGTCCTGCCAAGACCTTCCCAGCTCTCTGCCTCTCAGTCCCCTCCTCCTTGCCCCTCCACGGCCCTTACTGTGTGCTGAACCATCCCCCATCCCTGAGCTCCCTGCCTGGGCTCAGTCAAGAACTTGACCCCTGAGCCAGATCAGGGAGTGGATTCCAAGTCTTCTGTAGTCCTCACTCCAGAGTTCAGATTCTCCCAAACTGCCCTCGGGGCTTCCTGAGGTCAGGGCCAAGGCTCCCCTTACCCAAGGACTCCTCCCTCAGTTTCCCTCTCTGCTCCCAGCCCCCCATCCCTGGGCAATTTTGCTGGCCAAGATGGCCAGGGCATGGAAGCAGGGGGCAGAGCCAGAGCCTGTCACCTGGGAGCAGCTCTGAGCCTGCCCGGCCTGGAGAGCTAGGCCTCCATCCCAGGCCCAGCCTGGTCTCACCCTGCCACAGCCCCTGCAGCCCCCCAGCCATGGGCTTGAGGGAGGATACCACCCAGAACTTCCAGTTGTGCAGCGTACGGGTTCGGACGTAGTCATCAAACATGTCTCGCATCTGGTCAAAACGCTGGTGTGTGATGGGTACCCCTGTGGCGGGCAGCTGCTGCTGGCACAGGCTGGGGGCAGGGCAGGGGTCAGGGGCTGGGGGTAAGGCGGCATGGCCCCCTGGTCCCAGCACCCGCCTGGACCCTGCCTACTTAATGGCGGCATTGAGCTCCTCAATCTCATCCCGCAGCTGCTGGGCCTCCTCCTGCAAGCCCGCACGCTCCTGCTGTAGCATAAGGATGTACTCAGCTGTCTTCTGCAGCGTGGTAGCTTTGCTCACCTGCAGACGCCACCAGGGGGGCTCAGGCAGGTGCTAGAGGCTGTACCCTGGGACCCACTGAGGCACTGGGATGGGAGGAGGCAAGAGTGTCTGGAGCACTCCCCTGCAATTGAGTTTTGGGTGGGGGGGGTCCAGAAAGGGGCCCTGTGGTTTTGGGGGTGCCAGCCTGGGCCCGGGGCTCACCTTGAGGCTGGGCTGGGCACTGAGTGTGCTCACGAGCCCATGAAGGGTGTCAAACCCCAGCTTGATGTTGAAGCGCCGCTTCTGCTCCGCGGAGATGTGTGTGATACGCCGGTTCTCGGTCTCGGGGAGCAGAGAGTTGGGTGAGCCTAGGAAGGAGCCCAGGAGGGCCTGGGGGTAGCAAACCGATCTTGGGGTGGGGGATGGTGCCCACCTTGTTGCTGTCTGGACGGCCCCGGCTGAGGATGGGTTGCGGGGGAGAGACACGGACGCTCAGAGTCCCAGGGCCTGGCATGGAGCTGAGGTCCCCTGACAGCCGCCGTTCACTGCCTGTGGTAGGGACAGACAGACCCACAGAAAGACCGACCCAGGGGAAAGGGTCCCCATTGCCCCCTTCCTCTCATCTGGCCCCAGACCCAGTCCCCTTCTTCTTCCTCCTCTTCCCCTCATCCCCTAGATTCCCCCAATCCCTGCAACCCCTCTCTTTACCGCTGGGCGCTGGGGGTGAGAGCCGCTCCGCTTTGGGGACAAGCAGGGGCCTGGAAGGGGCCAATGTGGCCGGGCCTGGAGGTGGCCGGGGCGGTGTAGGGGCCGGGGTCGGGGGAAGGAATGTGCAGGGGAATTCAGGGACTGTCTCCTGCTGGGGTGGAGAAGGGCGGAGAGTCGGGTTGAAGGCCGTGGGCACAGCCCCACCGCCCAGTGCCCGAGATCTTACCGGGGACCCTGGGGACCGGAGGAGGGTGCTGGATACAAGTGGTGGCTCCAGGGCTTGCTCCGGCTTAGCTGTGCACGGGCAGAACCGTGAGGCTACTGGGGCTGGCCCACCCCCGGCATCTATCAAGACCCCATCCTGCCCCTCCCAAGAGTCCACACCCCTTTTAGGTACAGGCCCCACATCCCTCATTCCTTGCCACTCTGTCCCTTGAACTGGACCTGCCCCTTCACCTTCATCTTCTGCTCCCAAAACCCCCTGTCCTCCCCACCCCCTGGCCTCCCTCCCCAGGCTTTCCTCTCCCCGTTGCTGGCCCTCACCTGCTGTGAGCAGCTGTGTGAGGCAGGGGTTGTTGCTCCCCGCAGTGGTGGGGGGACTGGCAGTGGCAGGGGCTAAGGTAGGGGGGCTGGCTTTCTGTCCCCTAGGGGATGGGGCGGGGGGCTTGCCTCTGGGCATGGAGAAGCAAGGCCCAAAGGCAGGCTCCGAATACCCCAAGGGTAGAAGCTCTATGGGGAAGGGGGTGGGGGCTGGGCTGGGGACAGACTGTGGGGTGGGTGGGAAGGCTGCAGGAGCAGGCAGCGGAGACACTCCTGGGGCAGGAGGGACGGTGGGGAAGGGAAACCTGGGAGAGAAGAGAGGCTCTTCCTGCAGCAAAGCAGTGGGTGGTGCCATGGGAGGGAAGGGAGGTGGGGGGCAGGGCTCCAGGCCTGGCACCTTGGCAGGGGGAGGGTAATGCAGCAGAGGTGGGGGTACAGGAGGGGGTGGGAGCCGGGGCTTGGGGTCTTCAGGAAGGAGGAAATCAGAACTCAGGAAGGCGCTGGAGTCCAAGGGGCCAGGGCAGCTGTTCCGAGCCTGGTTGGGGGGACAGACAGACACTCAGAGAGCAGGGGAGAGAGCTGCCCCTGGCAGCCATCTGGGCCTCCCCTGCCCTGCCTTGCCCTGGCCAAACTCTAGACTGGGGCCCTGGGGAGAGATAGGAGAAATGAGCCCTGCCTTCCAACACACACAGGTGTGCGAACATATACATGCAGCAGGGAAATTACAATGAGAGGAGGGAGTCGAGTACATTTATGCAAAAAGCAGGAACAGCGGAGCATCAATCTTCCTGCCCGTCCATTTGTCTCCCAAATAACTTATTCATCCATCCATCCACTAACTTGTCCACCAATCCATCCACCAACCAACTCACCCATCCATTCATCATCCATCCATCCACTAACTTGTCCACTGATCCATCCACCAACCAACCTACCATTCCTTCATCATCCATCCACTAACTTCACCAATCCATCCACTAACCAACCCACCCATCCATTCATCAATTGTCCATCTACTACTTCATCCACCAATCTCTCCATCCATCCGTCTTCCATCCATTCACCTACCTATTTATCAATCTATGAACCAGCTCATCTACCACTCTCTCCACCAGCCTACCAGATATTAACATATTAACTAATCCATCCAACCATCTATACTTCCATCATTCATCCACCAACCCATCCATAATCCTTCCATCCATCCACCATCTATACATTTCCAGCCACTTAACCACCAATGAACCCATTCACTAATCCATTAAACTATTCATCTATGTATCCATCCACCAGCCCACCCATCCACCCAACCACTCACCTACCCATATATCCACCAACCCACGTGTGCCTCCACCGCAGTCTAAGATGCATCTATCCATTCACCAGCACGCCCATTCATCTGCACACTTGCTCATTCATTCAGTCACTGACTCACTCATTGGACAACCATTCACTGAGTGCTGTTATGTGCCTGAGCTGTATTAGGTATAGAGAATGCAGTGGTGAGCAAAACATAACCCTTTCAGTAAGGAGCTCACTGTCTGATGGAGGAGAGACACCCCTCAGCAACCGATTAGAATTAGCACCTGAAAAGTCTGATGATGGAGGGAAAAGGCCTATAACCAAGCAGCAGGAAGCAACTTCTGAACTGCACCTGGGGGCCAGGTGTGGTGGCTCACACCTGTAATCCCACCACCTTGGGAGGCCGAGGCGGGCGGACTACTGAGGTCAGGAGTTTGAGACCAGCCTGGGCAACATGGTGAAACCCTGTCTCTACTAAAAATACAAAAATAAGCCGGAAATCGCTTGAACACGGGAGGCGGAGGTTACAGTGAGCCGAGATCATGCCACTGCACTCGAGCCTAGGCGACAGAGTGAGACTCTGTCTCAAAGAAAAAAAAAAAAAAGAATTGCATATGGGGAATTGATGAACCAAAATGGTAGATTCACTGTTTCCTAAACATCCACGCTCAGCTTTCTGCCTCGAAGCTTTTGTTCCTGCTGTTCTCCCATCTGGCTTGAGGTCAGCCAGTCCCTTCTGTCCAAAGCTGACCTATTCTCTAAGGCCCAGAAACTCCCCTTCTCCAGGAAGCCTTCCACAAGCAACTGGCCCTTGGTGGAGCCCATTCCATGGTCTCCATGCCCTTAGCTTTCTCCCACAACCGTTTTGTCCAGTTCTGCTTCACGGGGTCCCTCCCAGAGGGCAGAGATGGGGTCTTTCTTTCCCTCCAATCTCCAAGCAGAAGACTGGGCACTCAGGGAGTGTCTGATACCTCCTGGACATGAACAGGGCAGGAACAGCTCTCAAGTGAGCTACACAGGGCTGGACGGGGTGGGGTGAGCTCACCTGCAGACGGCTGTGTCCAGAGAGGTGGGTCATGGCCGAGGAAGCCGGGGGCACCTCTGGGCCCAGGGTCCCACTGCTGAAGAGGGAGTCAACCACGGGGCTGAAGCTGGGGGGCTCTGGGAAGTTTGAAGGCATGGGCGGCTGTGGGAGGCGGGAGTTGGTAAAGAAATCTGTAATTCAGACACACAGGGCAACAGCAGTTAGGGCCAGGGCTATGGCTGGGAAACAGCTGAGAGGAGAGTGGCCTGTCCCCAGCCTTGGCGGGTGGGGACATGGGGACTGGCGGGCAGAGGGTGGGGGTCCCTTCCACAGAAGATTGTGAAACTGGGAGGGTTTCTGTCTCGATTAGGGGAAGCAGCAACCGTCTTGGGTGGAATGAGCTTGCGTGGGAGAGAGCAGGGGACTGTGGATGTGAACAGGGACCCCAGGAAGGAGCCCCCTCCCCTCCCCAGCCCCAGGCTTAGCTCAGGAAGTCCCCCTCCCCACCCCCTGGTGGCTCCCCTTCCCTGATCTGCTGGAGGTGCAGAAAGGGGGTGCCCAGAGCGAGTGCCAGGGTGGAAAAGGGGTACGGTGCTAGGGGAGGAGGCCTGGCATGGGAGGGGCCCCAGGGTGGCAGAAGTTCAAGAGGGTGAGTTGGAGATGAGGGGGAACGTGAGGTCACTGGGTCCGGGACAAGCTTGGTTTGTTGGAAGGTCAACAGGTGGAGCCTAGGAGTGGGGTGAAGAGTGTAATGGGGCGAGAGGGGCCTAAGGCTGGGCTCCGAGTGGGGTGGGGGCGAGAGGGGCCTAAGGGTGGGCTCTGAGTGGTGTGTGGGCAAGAGGGAGATATGGGTGGGCTCTGAGTGGGATGGGGGTGAGGGGGGTGCCTAAGGCTGGGCTCCAAGTGGGGTGTGGGCAAGAGGGGCTAAGGGTGGGCTCTGAGTGGGGTGGGGGCGAGAGGGGCCTAAGGGTGGGTTCTGAGTGGGGTGTGGGCAAGAGGGGGATACGGGTGGGCTCCAAGTGGGGGGGGGGTGAAGGGGGACCTAAGACTGGGCTCCAAGTGGGGTGGGGGCAAGAGGGGCTAAGGGTGGGCTCCAAGTAGGGTGGGGATGAGAGGGGGCCTAAGGGTGGGCTCCGAGTGGGGTGGGGGCGAGAGGGGCCTAAGGCTGGGCTCCGAAAGGGGTGGGGGCGAGAGGGGCCCTAAGGGTGGGCTCTGAGTGGGGTGGGGGCGAGAGGGGCCTAAGGGTGGGCTCTGAGTGGGGTGGGGCAAGGGGTCTGGGAAGCCTGCGAGAGCTGGGGGAGGCAGTAGCGGATTGTTTGGGGTGCGGGTTGTGTAAGTCCTGGGCTATTCTGGTTTTGGGAAGCAGCTGGCCACGGCCTGACCACATCCCGGGCCTGGGCGCCGCCCGCCCACCCGCTCCCTTCCGGGCACCTTTCTCTGACCCTGACCAGCCTGTGATCCGTGCCAGCTCCTGAGGCCTCTTAGTCTGGGCAGTTCCGACCCCACCGTGACAACTCCCCACAGACCTGGGTGGGCCCCAGCTCCCAGTTTTTTCCCTCCCACCCCCCTGCCAGGAGAGCTGCTCAAGTCTGCCTCCCAGGAGCCACCTCCAAGGAGACCAGGAGTCAGTTAGATAAGGTCACCCCAAACCCAGAACCCACTGCAGGGTCAAGTGTGTGTGTGTGTGTGTGTGTGTGTGTGTGTGTGTGTGTTTGTGTCTTCACCCCCAACCCCATCCCCCAGAGATAGAATCGTGCTATGTTGCCCAGGCTGGTCTCAAACTTCTGGCCTCAAGCCATCCTCCTGCCTCAGCCTCCTAAAGTGCTGGGATTATAATGAGCTTGCGTGGGAGACAGCAGGGGACTGTGGGTGTGAACAGGAACCCCAGGAAGCAGTCCCCTCCCCTGCACAGCACCAGGCTTAGCTCAGGAAGTCCCCCTTCCCATCCCCTGGTGGCTCCCTTTCCCTGATCTGCTGGTACAGAAAGGAGGTGCCCAGAGAGAATGCCAGGGTGGGAAAGGGGTGCAGGGCGAGGGGAGGAAGTTAGCCACCGTGCCTTGCTGTCACCCAGGTTGGAATGCGGTGGCACCATCTCGGCTCACTGCAACCTCCACCTCCTGGGTTCAAACGATTCTCATGCCTCGGCTTCCCGAGTAGCTGGGATTACAGGCATGCACCACCACACTCAGCTAATTTTTGTATTTTTTAGCAAAAATGGGGTTTTGCCATGTTGCCCGGGCTGGTCTCAAACTCCTGAGCTCAAGCGATCCTCCTGCTTTGGCCTCCTAAAGTGCTGGGATGACAGGAGTGAGTCACCGCGCCCGGCCCTGTGTGTCGTCAGTGGCTTTGCTTTGCAGGAGGGTGCAGAGCCTGTGTGTTGCAGTCGCTGAACCCTGGAGTCTCAGCATGGGGTCTGCACGCAGCCTCTGCCTACCCTCTGGGTGTCTGTCGCTCCGTCTGAGGCCATGTGAACCTGTCCTGCCATGATAGCATGGTGCACGTGCGTCTGCTCTGTGCCTGTCCGCGTGTCTAACCTCATGGCAAAACGGTGTCTTCTTGCTGTCCACCTGCCTGCCTGCCTGCCTGCCTGCCTTCCTGCCTGCCTGCCTGCCTGCCTGCCTGCCTGCCTTCCTTCCTTCCTTCCTTCCTTCCTTCCTTCCTTTCTTTCCCTCTCTCTCTTTCTTTCATCTCTCTCTCTCTCTTTCTCTCTTTCTTTCTTTTTTTTTTTTTGAGATGGAGTCTCGCTCTGTAGCCCAGGCTGGGGTACAGTGGCACGATCTCGGCTCACTGCAGCCTCCCAGGTTCAAACAATTCTCCTTGCCTCAGCCTCCTGAGTAGCTGGGATTACAGGCCCCCCTGCTGCCTTTCTTTAAAAGGGGGACCAGGCCAGGCGCGGTGGCTCACGCCTGTAATCCCAGCACTTTGAGAGGCTGAGGTGGACGGATCACCTGAGGTCAGGAGTTCGAGACCAGCCTGGCCAATGAGGGGAAACCCCGTTTCTACTAAAAAAAAAAAAAATACAAAAATTAGTCAGGCGTGGTGGCGGGCGCCTGTAGTCCCAGCTATTCTGGAGGCTGAGACAGGAGAATTGCTTGAACCCGGGAGGTGGGGGTTGCAGTGAGCCAAGATGATGCCACTGCACTCCAGCCTGGGCAACAGAGCAAGATTCCATCTCAAAAAAAGGGGGACCAGGTGGGAGATGGCGAGTGGTCACTGCTGCTCCCCCATCTCCCAGGGTCCACAGTTCCTGTCACTAGGTCCCCGAGGCCCTGGCTCTAGAATCAGCCTCATGCTGTGCCTGGCCCCAGGCCGCTGAGGGCCTAGGGCTCCTCCCTGCTCACAGCTGCTGCCCACTCCCTGGGTCCCGGGCAGGGGTCATGGGGCCGCAAGGCCCTCTCATCCCTGAGTCACCAGCCACCCGCTTACCATCGTTGCCCAGGCCTGTCCCCACCCTGCCTTGAGAGAAGTTGCTTCCCAGCCCGAGCTGCTCACCAGGGCCCAAGTCCCTCCCTAGCCTCTGTCCCCTCCACGGACCTGACCTGTCATCCCCTCCCTGAGCTCCTCTGCCTCTGGCTGCCTCCCTGAGCACCCCTCACTAAGCCTCCTGCCTCCATAGAGTTCTGGTCCCCTCCCTGGGTTTCCAGCCAGACCTCCCCAGTGGGAGGCTCTTGGGGGCAACGAGAGCTGCCGTCTTGGTGGTACCAGTGCGCTCTGCCCTCTGGGTACACGGAATGTTTGATAAGAGAGGGCCACACGAGCCACCTCCTCTGTGTGGCCCACACTTTTTCCCCCATGCGCCAGCAGCCACCCGGGCTTGCCAGACATCGCCTCCTAGCCCCAGTCCCTGCTGGTCTTGCCCAGACCCCAGGTGGGGGTGGCTGGGCTCCTACCTGTGGCCGGGCGCTGTGTGCCCAGACAGGGCCGCTGCCCTCCCAGGCTGGCCTGCTCCCAGGGCACTGCCATGCACACTTCTGCCCCTGGGCAGCCCCCACCCCCTCCCGGGACTGGAACAGGGGTGGGGGTGGTTCCTCATTCCCTAGTTCCCGCCCCATAGGCCTCCACCTCTTGATTGACAGGCCCAGGACCCCGTGGGGAAGGAATTAGGAGGTCACTAAGACTAAGCTTTATCCCAGGGACCCTCTTTCTGTCCCCAGGGGCTTCGATGAGACGGGCTGAGCCTGGATATCTACCTGGCCCGCACATAGCTCCGGGGGTCCCTAAATGTGTGGCTATCGGGAATAACCTGCAAGACCTACAGCGAAGTGAGGAAGGCCACTTGGAAAGTCAATTGTGAAAACAGAGACATTTGTCCACATGTGCTTCTACTGACAGGAGCATCTCTGGGAGGACACTGAGGAATCAGTAACTTGGTGGCCCTGTGGTCAGGAGAGGGAGGCAGGGACACTCATGACTTACAAAAATTGCTTTAGGCCAGACGCGGTAGCTCACACCCGTAATCCCAGCACTTTGGGAGTCCGAGGTGGGAGGATCGCTTGAGGTCAGGAGTTCAAAACCAGCCTGGCCAACATGGCAAAACCCCGTCTCTACTAAAAATACAAAAAGTAGCTGGGTGTGGTGGCACATGCCTGTAATCCCAGCTACTCAGGAGGCTGAGGCACAAGAATCGCTTGAACCTGGGAGGCGGAAGCTGCAGTGAGCTGAGATGGACTCACTGCATTCCAACCTGGGTGACAGAGTGAGACTCCGTCTCAAAAAAAAAAAAAAAAAAAAAAAAAAAAGCTTTACAAGATATGATGCATGCCTGGGATTTTCTTTAAAATAACGCACTGGGCACGGTGGCACACACCTGTAATCCCAGCACTTTGGGAGGCTGAGGTGGGAGGATCTCTTGAGCCCAGGAGTTCTAGACCAGCCTGGGCAATACAGGGAGGCCCTGTCTCTTCAAAACATAAAAAAAATTAGCCAGGCATAATGGTGCGTGCCTGTGGTCCCAGCTACTCGGGAGGCTGAGGTGGGAGGATCACTTGAGCCTGGGAGGTTGAGGCTGCAGTGAGCTGTGATTGTGCCACTGTACTCCAGCCTGGGCAACAGAATGAGACCCTGTCTCAAAAATAAATTAAATTAAAATAAAATAAAATAGAAACATAACAGAAGAGAAGGAATGTTCTCGGATAAAAGACTGGCCAAGAGTTGATAAGTCGGTGACATCAGTGATGGTGACTTGGGAGGTTTTTGCTGAGCTACTCTTTCTCTACTAGTGTGTGCATGTTTGAAATGTTCTCTAGTAAATAGTTTTATTTTTTATTTTAATTTTTTTGAGACAGAGTCTTGCTCTGTCACCCAGGCTGGAGTGCAGTGGCGCGATCTCGGCTCACTGCAACCTCTGCCTCTCAGGTTCAAGCAATTCTCCCACCTCAGCCTCCTGAGTAGCTGGGATCACAGGTGCCTGCCACCACGCCCAGCTAATTTTGGTACTTCTAGTAGAGATGGGGTTTCACCATATTGGTCAGGTTGGTCTCGAACTCCTGACGTCAGGTGATCTGCCTGACTCGGCCTCCCAAAAGTGCTGGGATTACAGGTGTGAGCCACCATGCCCAGCCTAGCAAATAGTTTTAAAATGCATTGTGTGAAAAATAAATAGACCCAAATAATTCAAAGTTCTTCTCTCCCCTGAGAGAGTCCCAGCCTTCACTGCTTTCTTGGGAGCCCCTGGTTCCCTGGCCAGGTACTCTCTTGGGCCCTGCCCCCATTGGAGGCCACACCAGCTGGACAAAAGGAGACCAGGAAGAACCCTCAGAAACCACCCAGACCTGCCAGGCATGGTGGCTCATGCCTGTAATCCCAGCACTTTGGGAGGCCAAGGCAAGAGGATGGCTTGAGCTCAGGAGTTTGGGACCAGTCTGGGCAACATGGTGAAACCCATCTCTACCAAAAATACAAAAAAAATTAGCCGGGTTTGGTGGTGCACACCTGTAGTCCCAGCTACTCAGGAGGCTGAGGCGGGAGGATCACTTGAGTCTGGAGGGCAGAGGTTGGCACCACTGCACTGCAACCTTGGTGACAGAGTGAGATGCCATCTCAAAATAAATAAATAAATAAAAAGACAGAAAAAAAGAAACGACCCAGACTATCAGCCCTCCCAGAGGGGCCTGGGATGGGCTCATCGGCCTTCCTCACACAGACCCTGCCCGTCCACCCGACCTGGGGAGGGGCTCGCCCCACCTGAGATGTCCATGAAGTCATCCAGGCTTGGCTGCAGTGGCGTCAGGTCCGGCTGGATCATGTCAGCATTGCCGACGTAGGCTGGAGGCAGCAGTGGCGACATCAGCAGCAGCAGGCAGGGAGGAGCAGGGTCCCCACCCCCATCCCCAGCCATCCCTCCCTTGGCCTCCTGGAATCTCACAGGCCTTCACCCCTCTCCCCTGCCCTTTCTCAGACCCTCACCATCCTCAGGCGGCAGCTGCAGGGGCGAAGGGCCGGACTGAGTCATGGTGAAGAGAGTGTCTGAGATGTCGGACAAAAAGCAATTGAGGTCCAGGAGCTGCCGCCCACCCGGCTCCTCCTCTGGGTCCCCCAGCAGCACGGGGACCACACTGGAGAAGAGCTGTTTGCACCATTGCTCCGGCGGCGGCCACCTGCCTTCCGCCTAGGGAGACAGAGCCGTCAGCAGCCGCTAGAGAGCTCCCACTGCCCCGATCTTCCATATCACCCCTCTCCAGGGTCAAGTGGTCAGCAGGACAGAGGGTCTGTCTGTTCACACCTCTGTCACCTTTCCCTAGTGGACCTAGCTTGCTGCTTGAAAGGCCAAGATCACTCCATTGGCCTCTAAGAACTTCCCCCAGGAGATAGACCAGGATGCAGATACAGGGGTCCCCTTCCTGCTCTTTAGATTTTTTCCTGTCTGGGACCCCAGTTCTTTGGTCCCTCTGGTTTTTTTTTTTGTTTGTTTTCTTTTTCTTTTTCTTTTTTTTTTTTTTGGAGACGGAGTCTCACTCTGTTGCCCAGGCTGGAGTGCAGTGGCGCAATCTCAGCTCACTGCAACCTCCACCTCCCAGGTTCAAGCGATTCTCCTGTCTCAGCCTCCTGAGTAGCTGGGATTGCAGGCATGCGCCACTATGCCCGGCTAATTTTTGTATTTTTAGTAGAGACGGGGTTTCACCATGTTGGCCAGGCTGGTCTCGAACTCCTGACCTCAGATGACCCACCCGCCTCGGCCTCCCAAAGTGCTGGGATGACAGGCGTGAGCCACCACGCCCGGCCTGGTCCCTCTGTTCTCCCATGCCTCCCACCACTTGCTCAATGACCTGGGGTCTTCTCACCACCTCACCCTCACCCCCCAAGAAGAGAAGAGCTCAACAAATGAACCACAGGATGGCAGTAACATCCCACATTCCACCCTCATGCCCAGCCACTGTCTTGCCCACTGAGGCGGAAACTGTCAACTCTGCCTCCCATCTACTTGGGGGGCAAAGGGATGCCCTTGCCTGCTGGACTTACAGAGCACCCACCTGCTTAGGGGCCAGGAGGTCATCTTCCCTGCTGGGCTTACGGAGCTGCAGGGACACACAGAGTTGGACACCGGATCCCTTGCCCCATCCTCCATCACTTTCCCCCCAAAGTCTCCTCTACTCACAAGCGATGAGATCCCCCATTTCCCATCAGGAGCTCACCCGACCCCTAGGTAAGGAGGCCGCTAGGAGACGCTGTGGCCACACGGTGGCGCTGTCGGCCCGGGACTGAATGGAGGGCCCGAGGGGCGCAAGCTCGGGGGTCAGGATCCCCTTTCCAGGGATCTTCCGAGGCGGGCGGTAGCCGGCAGCCGCAGGAGGAAAGCTCTGGGGCCTCCCTGGCCCTCCCCCACTGACCCGCTTCTTGTAGTAGATGCGCCACTTGTGGTATTCCCGCATCACCACCTCGATGCGCCGCTTCCAGTAGTTCCCCTCCAGGACCACGGCCTGGGGTAGGGGCCGGGGGAGGGGGATCAGTAGAGAGGGGAGCACCGCACACCCATCTCCCACCCTTCACCCCATCCCTGTCTGCTCAGCGCAAGGCTACAGGAGGCAGGGGCTGGTCTTGGTGGGTGGGCAGGTGGGCAGGTGGGCAGGCGGTCCAGAACCCAGCTACCTCCGGCTTCCGGTGCGCATCAGCCTCAGGCCCCTGCAGGGGGGTCACGAAGCCACACACGGGGCTCTTCCTCCGCTTCACATCTGAGAGAAGGGGGCCAGGTCAGGGGCACCCAGCTTCCTCATCCCCCACCTCACCCCAGGGGACTGGGACTCAAGTGACACCCTGCGAAATCCTGCTTGGCCTTTGACGTTCAGATTAAGTGCCCATGCTGCCTCCTCCAGGAAGTCTTCTCGGATGATGCTCTAGCCTCCTAGATCTTCCTTTTTTTTTTTTTTTTTTTGGAGATAGGGTTTCACTCTTGTTGCCCAGGCTGGAGTGCAATGGCGTGATCTTGGCTCACTGCAACCTCCACCTCCTGGGTTCAAGCGATTCTCCTGCCTCAGCCTCCTGAGTAGCTGGGATTACAGGCGCCCACGACCAGGCCCAGCTAATTTTTGTGTTTTTAGTAGAGACGGGGTTTCACCATGTTGGCCAGGCTGGTCTCGAACTGCTGACCTCAGGTGATCCACCTGCCTCGGGCTTCCAAAGTGCTGGGATTACAGGCTTGAGCCACCTCACCCAGCCTGATCTTCCTCTACAGGGCACTGTGAATCCAACCTCCCACACCTTCTCTGGGTTCCTCTGGAGCCCCATAGGTACACTTGCAAAGACTGCTGAATGGATTGTGGGGCCATAGGCCACAGAGAGTGAGCTGCCTCCAGAAAGTCCTGGTTAGGGCTGGGTGCGGTGGCTCACACCTGTAATCCCAGCACTTTGGGAGGCCTAGGTGGGTGAATAACGAGGCCAGGAGATCAAGACCAGCCTGCCAACATGGTGAAACCCCGTCTCCACTAAAAATACAAAAATTAGCCGAGCATGGCGGCACATGCCTATAGTCCCAGCTCCTTGGGAGGCTGAGGCAGGAGAATCGCTTGAACCTGGGAGGTGGAGGTTGCAGTGAGATCACGCCACTGCATTCCAGCCTGGTGACAGAGCAAGAATCCATCTCAAAGAAAAAAAAAAAAGAAAAAAAGAAAGTCCTGGTTAGACTGGCAGGCCAGGGGCCTAGAGCCTTGGGTCCTCTGCCTCAGAAGGCTAGGCACTACCCACTTTCATTGCAGAGAACCACCCTTGGTTCACTTCTGACCACCAACATGTGTCCTCTTCCAGGCCTCCACCTCCCCTCCCAGTCTCTAATTCTGA
The DNA here is from genome assembly GCF_000001405.40 of Homo sapiens. Classification (NCBI taxonomy): domain Eukaryota; kingdom Metazoa; phylum Chordata; class Mammalia; order Primates; family Hominidae; genus Homo; species Homo sapiens. Next base: position 73,608,775 of record NC_000007.14, read on the forward strand.
CCTCTCCCCAGGCTCTTGCCCTTGGCCCCAACACACACTCCAGGCTCTTTTTTGTTTTTGTTGTTGTTTTGAAACAGGTTCTTGCTCTGTTGCCCAGGCCAGAGTGCAGTGGCGCAATCATAGCTCACTGAAGCCTTGACCTCCTGGGCTCAAGCGATCCTCCCGCCTCAGCCTCTGGTGTACGCCACCATGTCTGGCTAATTTTTAAATTTTTTGTAGAGACAGGGTCTCCCTGTGTTGCCCAGGCTGGTCTCGAACTCCTGAGGTCAAGGAATCCTCTTGTCTTGGCCTCCCAAGGTGTTGGGATTACAGGCGTGAGCCACTGTGCCTGGCCTCTTCCTTTTTATTACTGTTATTTTTAATTTTTTGGTAGAGACAGGGCCCCACTATGTTGCTTTGAGGACTGGCCTCAAATTCCTGGGCTCACGAGGCTTTTCTTTATCTCCTAGCTTCCCTGGCCACTTTTTTTTTTTTTTTTTTTTTTTTTGAGATGGCGTTTCACTCTTGTTGCCCAGCCTAGAGTGCAGTGCCACGATCCCAGCTCACTGCAACCTCCACCTCCCGGGTTCAAGCGATTCTCCTGCCTCAGCCTCCCAAGTAGCTGGAATTACAGGCACGCGTTACCACGCCCAGCTAATTTTTTGTATTTTCAATAGAGACGTGGTTTCACCATATTGGTCAGGCTGGTCTCAAACTCCTGACCTCAAATGATCCCCCAACTCAGGCTCCCAAAGCACTGGGATTACAGGTGTCAGCCACCTCACCGGGCCCTGGCCGCTTTGTGTGTGTGTGTGTGTGTGTGTGTGTGTGTGTATGCTTGAAACAAGGACTGAATCTGTTGCCCAGGCTGGTGTGTGTGTGTTTGAGACAAGGACTCAATCTGTTGCCCAGGATGGAGTGTGTGTGTGTGTGTTTGAGACAAGGTCTCAATCTGTTGCCCAGGCTGGAGTGCAGTGGCAGGGATCTTGGGTACTTCGATCTCCGCCTCCTGGGTGCAAGTGATCCTCCTACCTTAGCCTCCAGAGTAGCTGGGACTACAGGTGTATACCACTGCACCCAGCTAATCTGTGAATTTTTAAAAAAAATTCAACATGGTTTCACCATGTTGCCCAGGCTGTTGTCAAACTCCTGGGCTCAAGCGATCTGACTGCCTCAGCCTCCCAAAGTGCTGGGATTGCAGGCGTGAGCCACCGCTCCCAGCCCCTGACCACTTTTCACTGACTCCTTTGCAATGCCCACCCTGCAGCCTCTCTCACTCTGGCCCTTTCCTGCTCTAGCCTCATATCCAGCTGCCTGGGGACCCTCCCTAGGATGTCCCAAAACTTGCCACAAAAACCCCACTGACTCCCAGCATTCCAGGTCTGACTGTTATATTCCGGGTCTAATTGAGAAAAAAATCTCAATCTCATAGGATCTGTGACATTTCTCCCGCTGTCCCCTCCCCTCCATCCTCTCTCACTGTGTCACCCCTTGGCCTGGTGTCATTTCTCACAGGGACCTCCCTGACTCCAGTGTCACACTCGGAGCTCATCTTCCAGTTGCAGCCAGGACAATTCTTTCTAAAGTGCAGTTCAGGTCTGGAACCCTCCATGGCTCCCTACTACCTCTGGGACAAAGTCCACACTCCTTGGCTTGGCTTCCAAACCCGTCCCCCTCCTCCATGACTGGGCCACCACTTGCTTCTCTCAGCATCTCATCTCCTTTTTTTGAGACAGGGTCTCACTCTTGTCACCCAAGTTGGAGAGCAGTGGTACAGTGCTACGGCCTTGGCTCACTGCAGCCTGCACCTCCCAGGCTCAAGCGATCCTCCCACCTTAGCCTCCCGAGTAGCTGGGACTATAGGCATGTGCTACCATGCCCAGCTGGTTTTTTGTATTTTTGGTAGAGACAGGGTTTCGCCATGTTGCCCAGGCTGGTCTCGAACTCCTGAGCTCAGGCGATCCACCTCCCTCGGCCTCCCAAAATGCTGGAATTACAGGCATGAGTCACTGTGCCCGGCCTCCCTGTCTCCTTTATACACCTCACCTTGAAGCCACACAGCCCACCTTTTCTTTTCCTTTTTTTTTTAAGATGAAGTCTCACTCTGTCACCCAGGCTGGAGTGCAGTGGCCTGATCTTGGCTCACCACAACCTTTGCCTTCTGGGTTCGAACAATTCTCCTGCCTCAGCCTGCCTAGTAGCTGGGATTACAGGTGAGCGCCACCACGCCCCACTAATTTTTGTATTTTTAGTAGAGACAGGGTTTCTCCATGTTGGCAAGGCTGGTCTCGAACTCCTGACCTCAAGTGATCTGCTCGCCTCGGCCTCCTAAAGTGCTGGGATTACAGGCGTGAACCACCACATCCGGCCCTTCTGGTCTTATTCTAACAGGGAAGCCCCTCTTACCTTCCCTCCTCTGCCCACAATTCAGGATAGCGCCTCCTCCAGGAAGCCTTCCTGCCTGCCAAAGCCCACAGCGCTGCCCACCTCCCCTCCACCCTGGCCTGTCAGGTCTTTACATGCTCGCCTTGCTGCAGGGAGTAAAAGCAGCTCCTGCCTTTGGCACAGAGCTTGACACACAGCTGGTCTACTTAGAGGCAACCTGAGACTTTTCCTGGCTGCTCTGACAAAGAGAACAACTGCTGACCCTTCCTGCCCCAGCCAACTTCCTCTGGGACAAACGAGGACACAGAGGAAGGGGGACCACTGGAACATGAAATTTACTAGGGCTTTTTAGCATCATTTACAAAGTTCTGTCCTAAAGAACATTCTCCAAAATCTGCTGGGCACGGTGGCTCACGCCTGTAATCTCAGCACTTTGGGAGGCTAAGGCCGGCGTATCACTTGAATCTAGGAATTCAAGACCAGCATGGGCAACATAGTGAGACCCCATCTCTACTAAAAATACAGAAATTAGCCAGGCGTGGTGGCGCATGCCTGTAATCCCAGCTACTTGGGAGGCTGAGGCATGAGAATTGCTTGAACCCGGGAGGCAGAGGTTGCAGTGAGCTGAGATTACACCACTGCACCCCAGCCTGGGTGACAGAGTGAGACTGTCTCAAAAAAAAAAAAATAAAATAAAATAAAGCATTCTCCAAAATGGACACTGATAGGATTGAAGGAGGGGTTTTGTCCTGGTTTCTGAGCCCAGATTGGACAGAAAACAAAGGGCTGGGTCCTTGGGTGCATAGACTCCCAGGGGGCTAGATAAGGAAGGAGGGTCTCAAAGTGTGTCTGCCCCTGGCTTTCCAGATGAGGAAATGAACACCAGCAAAGATGAAGTTTGTCCTGGTACGGTGTGGTGGCTCACGCCTGTAGCCCCAACATTTTGGGAGGCTGAACTGAGAGGATTGCTTGAGGCCAGGAGTTTGAGACCAGCCTGAGCAACCTAGTGAGACCCTGCCCCTACAAAAAATTAAAAATAAAAAATAGCTGGGTGTGGGGGCGCATGCCTGTAGTCCCAGCTACTAGGGAGGCCGAGGTGGGGGAATTGCTTGAGCCCAGGAATTGGAGGCCGCAGTGAGCTATGTTGGCTCCACTGCACTCCAGCCTGGGTGATGAAGTGAGACCCTGTCTCAAAAAATAGAATAAAATTAAGTTTGTTAGGCCAGGCGCGGTGGCTCACGCCTGTAATCCCAGCACTTTGGGAGGCCGAGGTGGGCGGATCACCTGAGGTCGGGAGTTCGAGACCAGCCTGACCAACATGGAGAAACCCTGTCTCTACCGAAAATACAAAAAATTAGCCGGGCGTGGTGGTGCGCACCTGTAGTCCCAGCTACTCAGGAGGGTGAGGCAGGAGAATCGCTTGAACCCCGGAGGAGGAGGCTGCAGTGAGTCGAGAGCACACCATTGCACTCCAGCCTGAGCAACAGAGTGAGACCCCCATCTCAAAAAAAAAAAAAAAAAGTTTGTCCAGGGCTCTCAGAAAGTCAGGGCCAAGTGAAGCCCCCCTCCCCAGCCCAGAGACCCCATCCTCTGGACTGTTTCTCATGGAAAGGCTGTAACCATGTGGCTTCCTGGGGGCTGGGGCAGGCTTTGTTTAACACTGATAAGTTCTTCCCTTCACTCAGCCGCGGAACCCTTTGCACCTATGCTGAGACAGATACTGGGACAGGACACATGGATGAATCAGGCAGGGTGCCCACAGCTTAGCGGGAGAGATAAGGAAAGTAAACAAACAACCCGAGACAATGCAAAGTGGAAAGTCCTTCTTGCCCCAGGAGCGGTGCAAAGTGCCAGGGAGCTCCCAGGACACCAAGACGATTTCAGAGTGTGGGAGTATGACTGTTGGATCAGGAAAGGAAGAATCTTAGAGGATAGGAGCCTGCAGGGGGTGGCAGAGCCCTTCCTGCTTGAGCCCTAAGGCCCGACATTAGTGGCGTCAAGCCAAGTAAGCCCTTCTCCTCCCCACTCCCGTGAAGCCCACCTTCAAACCTTTGGCGTTTAGGGAGGAGGAGGGGTCTTGACATTTGTTGTATGTGTGTCACGTGCTGCTATGACTATGACAGTGAGATACAGATGATCTCACTGAAAACTCAGTGAACCTCAGAAATAGGACCTATTGGCCGGGCGCGGTGGCTCATGCCTGTAATCCCAGCACTTTGGGAGGCCGAGGTGGGCAGATCACTTGTGGCCAGGAGTTCAAGACCAGCCTGGGCAACATGGTGAAACCCCGTCTCTACTAAAAATACAAAAATTAGCCAGGCATGGTGGCATGCGCCTGTAGTCCCAGTTACTTGGGAGGCTGAGGCACAATAATTGCTTGAACTGGGAGGTGAAGGTTGCAGTGAGCCGAGATCGTGCCATTGCACTTCAGCATGGGTGACAGAGCAAGACTGTTTCAAAAAAAAGAAAACCAAGAAAAAACAAATAGGACCTGTCATTCCCATTTTCACAAATAGCAAGCTTCGACTCCGGGAGGCTAGAGAATTTCCCAAGCCCACACAGTTAGGACATGCTAGGGCTGGACTGAAACCTCACTCTGTCTGATTCCGAACCTGGGGTCCTTCCAGCAACTTGTGCAATAGCTGGAGATCAGTGTGTCTGGGTGAGGACCCCAGGTGACATCATGCCTCAGCTGCCATCAGAAATTTCTTCTGCAGGCTGGGTGTGGTGGCTCACGCCTATAACCCCAGCTCTTTGGGAGGCTGAGGCGGGCAGATCATCTGAGGTCAGGAGTTCGAGACCAGCCTGGACAACATGGTGAAACCCTGTCTCCACTAAAAATACAAAATTTGGCGGGTGCCTGTAATCCCAGCTACTTGGTGCCCACAGCTTAGTGGGAGAGATAAGGGAAGTAAACAAACAACACGAGACAATACAAAGTGGAAAGTTCTTCTTGCCCCAGGAGAGGTGCAGGAGGCTGAGGCAGGAGAATCTCTTAAACCAGGGAGACGGAGGTTACAGTGAGCCAAGATCACGCCACTGCACTCCAGCATGGGCAACATGAGCGAAACTTCGTATTAAAAAACAAAACAAAACCAAACAAACCCCCCCCACCGCCATAATTTGGAGTTGGGGAACTGTGGACTTCCAGCCAGCCCCAGCTCTGCTTCTTTTACGCTCTGTGAACCTGAATATGTCACTTGCCTTCTGAGCCTCAGTTGCTCATCCATAACATGGCGGTAATAAAACCTATCTCCCAGGGTTGCTAGGAAGCCTTAAATAAGGTGATTCACGAAAGTGCCTGGCATGTAGATAAATGGAAACCAGAAAACACACCCTCTCCCTGCTTGGATGAAATCCAGCGGGGCGAGGACAGAGAATACTGCGTGTGGTCTCTCCTGGGCTTTGCATTCCCAGCTCAGTGCAGCCTTTGATCCTGCAGCAGAACCTGACCTGAATGAGGTCCCAACACAGGGCTGGCGGATCCAAGTCCTCTCTGCCTCTGCTGCCCTGCCATGGGGAGTGGGGTGTTCCCAAATGAATGAGAATGTGACCTCCTTAAGGATACATCATGTATTGGATACCAACTTAGTGGCAACACCCTGGAATACCTGTTATCTCCACACCAACCATGAAAGTTAGGACTATTGGCCTCGTTTTTTGTTTTGCCCTTTTTTTTTTTTTTTTTTTGAGACGGAGTCTCGCCCTGTCGCCCAGGCTGGAGTGCAGCGGCGCGATCTCAGCTCACTGCAAGCTCCGCCTCCCAGGTTCACGCCATTCTCCTGCCTCAGCCTGCCGAGTAGCTGGGACTACAGGCACCCGCCACCACGCCCAGCTAATTTTTTGTATTTTTAGTAGACACCGGGTTTCACTGCGTTAGGCAGGATGGTCTCGATCTCCTGACCTTGTGATCTGCCCGCCTTGGCCTTCCAAAGTGCTGGGATTACAGGTGTGAGCCACCGTGGCCTCGTTTTTATAGATAAGGAAACAAGTTCAGAGAGGCTAGGCAACTAGCCTGAAGTCACACAGCCAGCAAGGGGCAGAGACGGGGTGGAGGAACTAGCTCTGGGCAACTCTAAGTCCAGAGTTCCTTCCACGAGATGGCATGGCCTCTCTGGATCCCCTCTGCCCAATTGGCCATGGTGGGCACCTACTGGATATTCAGGAAGGACTTCAATGAAAGGCTGGTGGAGACCCATGCGGGATCCTCAGTTTCTCCATTTACAAAGTGATGCAGTTGGCCCCGCTAGTGTCTAATGGCCCTTTTTACCCTCGCATTCAAGGCACCCAACTATGCTAATGGGATGCAAAATGGGCTTTGAACTGTACCTCAAATCTCAGCCTACCCTAGTGCTACTGAGGGGTGACCTCTGCTGTGCCCAGCTTCACAGTGGAAACACCCTTTGGGACCTATTCCCCGAGACCCGCTGGAGGTCAGGAGCTATTCAGGAGTCCTGGTGCTGGGGGCCTGGTCTCCCCCTAAAAGGCTGTCAGGGTCAGGCGTGGTGGCTCACGCCTGTAATCCCAGCACTTTGGGAGGCCAAGGTGGGCAGATCACTTGAGGTCAGGAGTTCAAGACCAGCCTGGCCAACATGGTGAAACCGTCTCTACTAAAAATACAAAAATTAGCTGGGAGTGGTGGTGGGTGCCTGCAGTCCCAGCTACTTGGGAGGCTGAGGCAGGAGAATGGCTTGAACCTGGGAGGCGGAAGTTGCAGTGAGCCGAGATGGCACCACTGCACTCCAGCTTGGGCAACAGAGCAAGACTGTGTCTCAAAAAAAAAAAAAAAAAAAAAAGGTTGGCAGAACTCTGCTAGTGCTGGCCTTGAGGACCCCGGGGATTTTCCTGGGCAGCCACCATGTAGAACCCTCTGGCAGGAGGGTTGGAGGGGGCAGTCCCTCCCGGCTTGGGAGGCTGGTGGTAGCCACTCACACTGGATATACCAGGCCCTCCAGATGGCGTTGTTCAGGCGGATCTTGTCTCTGCAGAGCAGCTTGAGGCCTTTGAAATTCTTCCACTTGGGAGACACCAGCTTGCCACTGTCAAAGGGGAGAGGAGTAGGGTTAGGGAGATGCAGTGCTGCCACAGAGGCTGGTCCCCATATTCCCCATGCACTAGGCATCCATCTATGGTTGGCATTTGAGGGGCCCCTCCAAATCTGGCCCCCCAACCCAACCTGCCTGAAATTCCTATCCAGAGAGTCAGACCTTCAAAATCCCCTTCCAGACTCCCACCAGCGGCCCCTGTGTTCCCTGGGGAGACCTGTTTGTCAGTCTACTGCAGAACAAAAGCCACGCTGAAACCTGTGGATCAGCTCGGCCCTGGAAGCAACAATGTCCAGTGGCCTCACAGGTGTGTCTTGGAGGCTGGCTGGGGACAGTGCTCAGGCCCATTTCTCATTTAAGAGAATAAGAAATGACCTTCCTGGGCTGGGTGCAGTAGCTCACGCCTGTCATCCCAGAACTTTGCGGGGCCAAGGCGGGTGGATCGCCTGAGGTCAGGAGTTCGAGACCAGCCTAGTCCAACATACTGAAGCCCTGTCTCTACTAAAAATACAAAATTAGCTGGCTGTGGTGGCGCACACCTGTAATCCCAGCTACTCAGGAGGCTGAAGCAGGAGAATTGCTTGAGCCTGGGAGGCGGAGGTTGCAGTGAGCTGAGATCACACCGTTGTACTCCAGCCTGGGCAACAAGAGTGAAACTCCGTCTCAAAAAAAAAAAAAAAAAAAAAAGACCTTCCTGAGAGTCAGGGAGGAAAGGGGCAGGTCCGAGGTCACTCAGGCCTCCTTAGGCCCAGGAGAGGCAAAGGGGATGGCCATGGTTTGCCTGGTAGAGAGGGAGCCTCTGTGTTTTGTTTTGGTTTGGTTTGGTTTTTTTTGGTTTGCTTTTGGTTTTGAGACGGAGTCTCAGTCTGTCATCCAGGCTGGAGTGCAGTGGTGAGATCTCAGCTCACCACAACCTCCATCTCTTGGATTCAAACAATTCTCGTGCCTCGGCCTCCCGAGTAGCTGGGATTACAGTTGTGCGCCACCACGTTCAGCTAATTTTTTTGGTATTTTTAGTAAAGACGGGGTTTCACCATGTTGCCCAGGCTGGTCTCAAACTCCTGACCTCAAGTGATCTGCCCACCTTGGCCTCCCAAAGTGCTGGGATTACAGATGTGAGCCACCATGCCCAGCCGAGGGTGCCTCTTTATAGAGAGTGGCAGTCACTGCCTTCATGGTACAGTCCTTTTGGTGTCTGCCATGCCCAGAATCCCAGGGTGGCAACCTGGACTCAGCGAGAAGGTGTGCTCTTCTCAGGGCTGCACAGAAGACAATGAACCAACAGATCCCAAAGGAAGGCCGCTAGGATGAGCAAATGGTATTCATGGAGACAGAGCACCCTCACTCTAACCCTAGCTGTCCATCAAATCCACAGGATGGGCTGGGCGCGGTAGCTCACGGTTGTAATCCCAACACTTTGGGAGGCCAAGGCGGGAGGATCGCTTGAGCCAAGGAGTTTGAGACCAGCCTGGGCAACATAGCAAGACCCTGTCTCTACAAAATAATTTTAAAATTAGCCGGGTGTGGTGGCATGCACCTATAGTCCTAGCTACTAGGGAGGCGAGGTCAGAGGATTTCTTCAGCCCGGGAGTTTGAGGCTACAGTGAGCTATGATCACGCCACTGCACTCCAGCCTGGGCAACAGAGCAAGATCCTGTCTTGAAGGAAAAAAAAATCCACTGGATGGAAGAGCTTACACTGGTGAGGGTCCTGCTAGGCACAGGCCAAGTCTTCTGCCTCCAGGAAGCTGAGCCAGGAGGCCAAGACATTCAGGGTCTTAGACCCCCTGCTAGTCTCTCCCTCCCTCTCTCGTCTCCATCCACAAGCCAGGGTTGTGTACCAGTCCCCTCTAGCCCGCCTTTTGCATCCCTTACTCAGATCTCAGATGGGAAGGCTGAGGCCCCAAGTCTTAGCCATTTTTTCATTTTTTTGAGATGGAGCCTCATTCTGCCACCCAGGTTGGAGTGCAGTGGCATGATCTTGGCTCACTGCAACTTCCGTCTCCCAGGTTCAAATGATTCTCGTGCCTCAGCCCCCTGAGTAGCTGGGATTACAGGCATATGCCATGACACCCAGCTCACTTTTGTATTTTTAGTAGAGACGGGGCTTCATCATGTTGGCCAGGCTGGTCTCGAACTCCTGACCTCAAGTGATCCACCCACCTTGGCCTCCCAAAGTGCTGGGATGACAGGCGTGAGCCACCGCACCTGGCCCCCAAGGCTTAGTCTTTCAGAAAACCATACCTGCTTCCTCCAGGGGTCTTTCCTACATTCTGGGGGTGAAATGTGGGTGGGTGCCAGTCTGACTCCGCAGCCTCTCCCTACTTGAGTGCATTGGTCATTGGGCCCTCTCTCCTCCCTGGTCTCCAAGTTCCTGTGTTTGCTTTGGGGTGGGGGTGGGGGACTGCCCCCTCCCCACCAGGGACAACAGGCCTCATTACCCAAATAAGATACACAGCCCAGCTCTCTGGGCCACTGGCTGGGCCCCTCCCTCTGAGAATTAGATAAACACCATCTGTTTGGTAGGGAGACATGGAGGTGGGGGTGGGGGGAGACTCTGCTACCTCCTGGGCCAGCTTCTTCTGTGGCACCTGGTGGGGGACTCCTGAGTCTGTTGTCCCTGTCTGTATCCCAGCAACCTCCCAGCCCATTCTGATCACCCCGTGTCGCACCCTTGACCTGCCTGCCTTCTCTCCCGCTTCCATGCTAAGGTTATGACGTTCATGGCCCAGGCAGGGTTAGAGCAGATGTGACAGTGACAATATCCAAGCCCAGGAGGAAGAAAAGGATTTGGGGCTGTGAGAGAAGAGACTCAGCCTGGAGGAAGAGCGTAACGCTAGGGTTCAAGAACTTTTTATGACTGGCTGGGGATGGCTCACACCTGTAATCCCAGCACTTTGGAAGGCCGAGGCAGGAGGACTGTAGGAGGCCAGGAGTTTGAGATCAGCATGGGCAACATAGTGCAACCCTGTTTCTACAGTTAAAAAGTTAGCTGGGGCCAGGCACAGTGGCTCATGCCTGTAATCCCAGCACTTTGGGAGGCCGAGGTGGGTGGATCACCTGAGGTCAGGAGTTCGAGATCAGCCTGGCTAACAACGTGAAACCCCGTCTCTACTAAAAATACAAAAATTAGCCGGACGTGGTGGCAGGCGTCTGTAGTCCCAGCTACTTGGGAGGCTAAGCCAGGAGAATGGCGTTAACCCGGGAGGCGGAGTTTGCAGTGAGCCGAGATTGTGCCACTGCACTCCAGCCTGGGCGACAGAGAGCGACTCCATCTCAAAAAAAAAAAAAAAAAAGTTAGCTGGGCATGGTGGTGCAAACCTCTAGTCTCAGCTACTCAGGAGGCTGCAGTGGGAAGATCGCTTGAGCCCAGGAGTTCAAGGCTGAAGTGAGCTGTGATCACACCACTGCACTCCAGCCTGGGCAACAGAGTGGGAACCCGACTCATAAAAAACAAGTAAATTCTGGTTGGGCGCAGTGGCTCAAGCCTGTAATCCCAGCACTTTGGGAGGCCGAGATGGGTGGATCACAAGGTCAGGAGATCGAGACCATCCTGGCTAACGCAGTGAAACCCGGTCTCTACTAAAAATACAAAAAATTAGCTGGGCGTGGTGGCAGGTGCCTGTGGTCCCAGCTACTCGGGAGGCTGAGGCAGGAGAATGGTGTGAACCCGGGAGGCAGAGCTTGCAGTGAGCCAAGATCGCGCCACTGCACTCCAGCCTGGGCGACAGAGCAAGACTCCGTCTCAAAAAACAAACAAACAAAACAAAACAAAACAAAAACTTGTTATGACCAATAGAAAAGTCTGATGAGGAGCAGTGGTGGGCCTGTAACCTAAGCACTTTGGGAGGCTGAGGGGAGAGGATCGCTTGAACCCAGGAGTTCAAGACCAGCTGGGCAATACAGTGAGACCTTATCTCTATTTAAAACTATTAATAGGGCCAGGCGCGGTGGCTCACGTCTATAATCCCAGCACTTTGGGAGGCCAAGGCAGGCGAATCACCTGAGGTCAGGAGTTCAAGACCAGCCTGGCTAACATGGAGAAACCCCGTCTCTACTAAAAATACAAAAATTAGCCGGGCATGGTGGTGCGTGCCTGTAATCCCAACTACTCGGGAGGCTGAGGCAGGAGAATCGCTTGAACCCAGGAGGCGGATGTTGCAGTGAGCCGAGATCATGCCATTGTACTCCAGCTTGAGTGTCACAGCGAGACTCTGTCTCAACAACAAACAAAAAACAACAACAACAACAACAAAAACTATTAAAAGAAGAAAAGAGCTGGGCCCAGTAGCTCACACCTGTAATCCCAGCACTTTGGGAGGCCGAGACGGGTGGATCACAAGGTCAGGAGTTCAAGACCAGCCTGGCCAACATGGTGAAACTCCACCTGTACTGAAAAAAAAAAAAAAAAAAAGCCGGATGTGGTGGCAGGCGCCTGTAATCCCAGCTACTCAGGAGGCTGAGGCAGAGAATTGCTTGAACCCGTTGGGTGGAGGTTGCAGTGAGCTGAGATTGCGCCACTGCACTCCAGCCTGGGCGACAGAGTGAGACTCCGTCTCAGAAAAAAAAAAGAAAAGAAAGAAAAAGGCAGGACACGATGGCTCATACCTGTAATCCCAGCACTTTGGGAGGCTGAGGTGGGCAGATCACTTGAGGTCAGGGGTTCGAGACCAGCCTGGCCAACATGGTGAAACCTCGTCTCTACTGAAAATTAAAAATTAGCTGGGGATGGTGGCACATGCCTGTTACCTCAGCTACTCTGGAGGCTGAGACATGAGAATCGCTTGAACTCAGGAGACGGAGATTACAGTGAGCTGAGATCATGCCAGCGCACTCCAGCCTGGGCAACAGAGTGAGACTCTGTCTCCAAAAATAAATAAATAAATAAATAAATAAATAAATAATAAGAAGGAGAAGAAAACTCTGAGACTTAGAGAGGGGGTTGAGAAAACCCCAAGTTCAGCTGCCCACCTCCCACCTTTCAGGAATTCCTTTTAGATTGCCCCCTAACCAGGTCCTGTTTGCTCCCCTGCACCCTCAAGGCCACTCTTCCTAAAGCTAGCCAGCTCTGACCATGAACAAGTGCTTCCTTGAAGCTTCCAGAAACTACCTCCCTGGGGCTTCCACCCACGGAGCCATGGAAGACGGCCTCCTCGATCCTCCCTCTGCCCACGCTAACCTGCAGAGGGTGAAACCTTGCCAGGCCTCTGCAGGCTGGTCTCTGGGTCAGGCTGGTCCCTGATTCAGGTGGGTCCCTGGTCAAGCTCGCTGTTCTTCCCACCACCTTCTGAACTCTCTGCCTTACTGTCTCTTCCCATATAGTCACTCCCCTGGGACACTCAGCTCCTGTAATCTGCTCCCCTCCAGGGGACCCCTGGAACTGGGGGTCTTTGAGGATGAAAACACTGTCCCAGTTCAAGCCTCAGGGCTTTTCCACTACCAAATGGGGAAATCTAGAAGCTCTCCTGGTACCGAGCCAACCCTCCATCTCCCTCCATCTCCCTCCCTCCCTCCATCTCCCTCCCTCCCTCCATCTCTCTCCAGCTCCCTCCCTCCCTCCATCTCCCTCCCTCCCTCCCTTCCTCCCTCTCTCCCTTCCTCCCTCCCTCCATCTCCTTCCCTCTCCCTCCCTCCATCTCCCTCCGTCTCCCTCCCTCCATCTCCCTCCCTCCCTCCTTCTCCCTCCCTCCTCCATCTCCCTCCCTCCATTTCCCTCTATCTCCCTCCCTCCCTCCATCTCCCTCTCTCCATCTCCCTCTCTCCATCTCCCTCCCTCCTTTATCTCCCTCCCTCCTTCCATCTCCCTCCCTCCCTTCCTTCCTTCCTCCCCCCATCTCCCTCCCTCCCTCCCTCCCTTCCTTCCAACAAGGTCTCACTCTATCACCCAGGGTGGAGTGCAGTGGCACCATCATGTCTTACTGGAGCCTCAACCTCCTGGGCTGAAGTGATCCTCCCACCTCAGACTCCCCAGTAGCTGGTACTAGGAATGTGCCATCACACCTGGCTGATTAAAGAAAATTTTTTTTGGCCAGGCATGTTGGCTCATGCCTGTAATCCCAGCACTTGGGGAGGCCAAGGCAGGTGGATCACCTGAGGTCAGGAGTTTGAGACCAGCCTGGCCAACATGGTGAAATCTCGTCTCTACTAAAAATACAAAAAATTAGCTGGAGGTGGTGGGCGCCTGTAATCCCAGCTACTCAGGAGGCTGAGGCAGGAGATTCTCTTGAACCCGGAAGGCAGAGGTTGCAGTGAGCTGAGATGGCACCACTGCACTCCAGCCTGGGCAACAAGAGCAAAACTCTGTCTCAAAAAAAAAAAAAAATTTTTTTTTTTTTGGTAGAGACAGGTTCTCAGTATGTTGCCCAGGCTGGTCTCCAACTCCTGGGCTCAAGCAATCCTTGGATGAGAACCTTGGCCTCCTAAAGTGCTGGGCTTACAGGCAGGAGCCACTGTGCCCAGCCAGAGATTTACTATTAATATTTGGGTATTTGGGAAGAAAACACAGTCCTCTCTACCCCAGCTATCTCTGACTGGGGTTACATCAGCCTTGAGTCAGCCTCTGGGTGGGGGGGCAATTTTGGGGGTGCGCTCTGTCCCTTACCTTGCCAGCTCCCCAGAACCTCTCCTCTTTGGTCACCCATCGTCAGGGTTGGAAGTGAGGCCCCCTCCCAAATAGAGTGATGTGTAGTATATAATGAGCAGCCAAAGTTGGGGTTGGGTGGGAAATGGGAGACCCTTAGGAGGAGGAGTGCCGGCATCCGGTGTACCAGGACCTTAGATGCCCTGTCCCAGGCAGTCGCGTGACATTTGGGGAGGGAGGGAGAAGGGACGGGAATTTGAACTTTCCACACGGGTCCGACGCCCTGGCCGATCGGGTTGCAACATGACCTGGGCCAGGGGCCAGAGCTTGTGGGCCAAGGTTACTCCGCCTCCAGCCAATGGGGTCGCAGCTGGGCGGCTGCGGTTGGGGGCAGGCAACACTCCCCTCACAGTCCCCACCCCAGCTCCTGCTCCCCCGCAGGGCGGCAGGTGCCGATCTGTAGCCAGCGGTTCTCAGAAGGGGAGGAGGCGCCGCGGAGGAAGAGGAATATTTGCACAGAGAAAAGATCAAGGCCGGCCGATCCCCCTTTCTCCCCTACGGGTTTTCGGTTGATAATTTATACTGGCCCCTCAACTCCGGGGAACTTTGCTCCAGGGCACTGGGCCAGGCCTCGGGTTCGCGCCCTCCTCTGGGACGCGGGGCGTGGAGCGGCAGCGGGGCGCGGCCTGTGCGCTCTCGGTGGCACTAAGCGGGGGTCCCAGGCAGCGACGGGCGCTCAGCCTAGTGTGGCGACGTGGGTAGGCGAACCCAGGCCTCCCGGGCACCGGCGTAACCTCTGCGAGCTGCGCCTCTTGGACATTTCTGGGACATCCTCCTCCCGCCACCCTTAATGTAGCAGATCAAGAAGAGGTGTCTCAGCAATTGCGGGGAGGTGGACGTGAGAGTGGGCCAGTTCCAGTCCACTTTGGTTATGAACTGGGACAATCAGGGGCGCTGGGAGTATCTCAGGGTCCAGGAATAGGGCGGGCTTGGGCCGGGGCTGCTGGGGAGAAGGCCGAGGCCTGCAGGGGGTCGGGTGGAGTGGCTCCAGAGTGGAGAGTGGGGATGGGCGCGGGTGGCCTAGGGACCAGGGGCGCCTGGCATTTTTGTAGGGACGGAGGGGCTGGGACCAGAGAGAGGGGACCAGAGGTCCAGGTAGAGGTGGGGCGCAGGCGGTCTGCGCTTCGGGGAAGAGGGAATGGGGGAGGAATGGGAATCAGAAATGCGTGGGTCCGTCAGGGGCCAGCGGGCTGGGCCGCTGTAGGAGGACCTCGGGGCTGGGAGAAAGGGGGTGTCCAGGGCGTGATCGGAGCCTCCGGGAGCCGCAGGACCGGGCTCGGGTGGGGTGTTGAGGGCCCCAGCGCGCAGTCCTGCCCCGGACCCCCCCCCCATCCCCACCTGGAAGCCAAGGCCGTCAGGGCCCGGAACCGCCCTCACCTGTAGGCCAGGCTCAAGCACTCGAAGAGGCGTGTGAGTGTGGGGTCGATACTGCGCGGCCCGAAGTCGGAGGGCCCCACGGACCCCTCCTGGTCGCGCCGCCGGGGCAGCGAGTCGCTGTGCGGCGACGACACCATGAAGTGACCGCTGTGGATGACCTGCGAGCGGAGCAAGCCGCCCGCGCTGCGCCGGAGACTCGGGTCCTCCGAGTCTGTGTCCGAGTCCGAGTCTGGGCTGGGCGCGACCCGCGGGACCTGCAAGCCCGCGGCCAGACCTGCCAGCGCGCCGGCCATGGCTGTCGCCGCCGCAACCGCCTGGTCCCTGCTCCGCGCAGCGCGGGGAACAGCTCTTGGCCAGCCGGGCCTCATTAACATAGCCCCGCCCCCACACCATAGGCCGATCGGGTGGGCGGGGCCTGGGACGGGGCGGGGCTTGTATTAGCATAATCCTTACGCCAGGTGAGAACCCGGTGCTCTGGAGCTCTGGCGGGTTGGCCCCATCTCCCTTCCCGTCTTTCCTTGGAGTCCTGATAGAGCCGCCCCTACTTTGCTCCAAAGGGATATTAAGAAAGGTCAGGCCGGACGCCAGGGGCTCTTGCCTGTAATCCTAGCACTTTAGGAGGCCAAGGCGGGAGGATGGCTTGAGGTCAGGAGTTCGAGACCAGCCTGAGCAATATGGCAAGACCCCCATCTCTACCAAAAAAATGCAAAAATTAGCCGGACATAGTGGAGAAAGCCTGTAATACCAGCTACTGGGGAGGCTGAGGTGGGAGGATTCCTTGAGCCCAGGAGTTCGACAATATGGCAAAACCCTGTCTCTACCAAACATACAAAAATTATCCAGGCATGGTGGCGTGTGCATGTAGTCCTAGCTACTCCGAAGGCTGAAGTGGGAGAATCGCTTGAGACCAAGAGGTTGAGGCTGCAGTGAGCGGAGATCGCGCCACTGCACTCCAGCCTGGATGACAGAGTGAGACCCTGTCTCCACAACAAAAGGGTCCCCTATCACACCTGAGCCTGAAAGCGCCTCAGGACCTGGGGTTTGTTCTTTCAGGGGCACCCTCCTGTGAGGCCAGAGATCACCATCTCCCCTCACCTAACTCCTGCCCTTCACCTCCAACCCCCGCCCCCCATATTAGCTCTTCTGGGTCCTCCACATAGGTAGAAGCCCCCAACTCTCAGGGGCCTGATGTGGTAAGCCCAAGGTAATGCCCCTGAAGGGCCTGGCCCACAGGAGGTTGCTAACACCTCTAGTTAACATGGTGGCCAACACGGTGGCCGGGCGCGGTGGCTCTCGCCTTCAATCCTAGCACTTTGGGAGGCCATGGTGGGTGGGTCACTTGAGGCCAGGAGTTCGAAACCAGCCTGGCTAACATGGAGAAACCCCTTCTCTACTAAAAATACAAAAATTACCGGATGTGACGATGCGTGCTTGGCTTATAATCCCAGCTACTCGGGAGGCTGAGGTGGAAGAATCACATGAGCCCAAGAGGTGGAGGTTGCAGTGAGCCGAGATCGCGCCCTACTGCACTCCACCCTGGGCAACAGTGAAATCCTGTTTCAAAAACAAAATAAAATACTTAAGAAAAAATATATATTAAAAAAATTGTGATCATTACTTCACCTGCACAGAGAGGCCCAAGGGGAGCCTCGAGGGACTGTTACTGGTAGGGATGGGTGGCTCACTGGAAGGTGGACATCCCCTAGGCAGGCATCTACCCAGGAGCTCTGAGCCCCTTCTCTCACTGACACTGAGGTCCAGCTTTTGTTCCTGCTTCTTTGTATTTTTATTTATCTATATACTTCTATTTATTTATTGTTTTGAGACGGAGGCTCACTCTGTCACCCAGGCTGGAGTGCAATGGCACGATCTCGGCTCACTGCAACCTCTGCCTCCCTGGTTCAAGCGATTCTCCTGCCTTAGCCTCCTGAGTAGCCGGGATTACAAGTGCCCGCCACCATGCCCAGCTAATTTTTGTATTTTTAGTAGAGACGAGGTTTCTCCATGCTGGCCAGGCTGGTCTCAAACTCCTGACCTTAAAGCGATTTGCCCACCTCAGCCTCTCAAAGTGCTGGGATTCCAGGCATGCGCCACCGTGCCCAGCCTATTTATATATTTTTAGAGACAGGGTCTCGCTCTGTCACCCAGGCTGGAGTGCAGAGGCACGGTCATAGCTCACTGCAGCCTCAAACTCCTGGGCCAAAGCGATCCTCCCACCTCAGCCTCCCTAGTAGCTGGGACTACAGGCTCATGCCACCAAACCTGGCTAATTTTTTTTTTTTTGTAGAGATGAAATCTGCTTCAGCCTCCCAAAGTTTTGGGATTACAAGTGTGAGCCACTGTACATGGCCTTTCTGCTTCTGAAGCCTCTTTTCTCACCTTGAGGACAGAAACCAGACTGAGGCATTCACACCTGACACCTCACTGGAGCGTTTAACTAACAGCCTCAAAGATGGGTTCAGAGGCACAGGAGAGCAAAAACACACCCAAGCATCTCTGAGGGGCAGCAGCAAAGCCTGGTCTAGTAGATTTCCAGATTTCCCCCAAGGATGTCCCTAGTGGGTGGGGACAGGAAAGAGTTGTAGGCACATGCTAAGCTCTGCTGGCTTTCTGACAGGTATCCTGTGTGTGGTCATGTTAGGGAAAGCGGAGGAGGTGGTTTCCCATGTGTGGCAGCCTTGGAAAAGGTTGACATGCAGCACTTTCTTCCAGCCCACAGGAGGATCACACAGCACCTAGGATCACAATGGCAGTGCCCTGAGGGCCCCAGCCACTGGCTGTGGGAGGAAAGTGATTATCCAAGGCTGCTCACAGGCCAGCCCTTCCACCCACCTCCCTTGGCCGGGTATCTTCTGTCTCTGCCAAATGTTCGCATCACATTCCCAGGAGCCCCAGCTGTTCTGCTCCATCCTCCCTGCTGCCCTCTGTAGGATGTGCATTCTCTCTGCCCATCCCTGCCAGGTTAGGAAAGGGGGTTCTGATGCTCACCCCACTCTCCCTCCTTTGGAGGGGCTCTGCCCTGCTTCAGAGAGCCATCCCCAAGTGGCCCTCTTTTTTTTTTTTTTTTTTGAGCCAGTCTCAGTCTGTCACCCAGACTGGAGTGCAGTGGCATGATCTCAGCTCACTGCAACCTCCGCCTCCCGGGCTCAAGCGATTCTCCTGCCTCAGCCTCCCAAGTAGCCGGGATTACAGGCGTGTAACACCATGCCCGACTAATTTTTGTATTTTTAGTAGAGATGGGGTTTCACCATGTTGGCCAGGCTGGTCTTGAACTCCTGACCACAAGTGATCCACCTGCCTCAGCCTCCCAAAGTGCTGGTATTACAGGCGTGAGCCACCGTGGCCAGCTCTCAGGTGGCAGTTAACCGTCTTTTGAGGCCCTTGGTACAGAGGCTGACAGGATCATTACTTACCCCTATATGCCTGTCTGGCTTCTCCCCCTATTCCTCCGTAGGCCATTGAGGCAAGACTGTGTCCTAGCATCTCTGAACCCCCACACTGGGTACCTGGAGACTTGGGGGATGCTTGAAGAAAGGGGCATGAGACTAAGAGGAGCGGGTGGGGTGCTGTGGAGGAGGTTGGATAGGAAGTGTCAGCTCCGCCCTCGCCTCTGGCTTGGGACCTCCTGGCTCCGGGGACCCTGGCTCAGGTGAAGACCGGAATTGATCCTTGCTCTGCTGCTAATTCCATGAGTAACACTGGGGAGATCTCTGTCTCTCTGTCTTACTGGCGATCTGTCTCACTACCTGTAAAATTGAGGGCCAAACTCAGTGCTTTCTTTCTTTCTTCTTCTTTTTGCTGTTGTAAAGATGAGGTCTCACTATATTCCCCAGGCTGGTCTCGAGCACCTGGGCTCAAGCGACCCTTCCACCACGGCCTCCCAAAGTGCTGAGACTACGGGCATGAGCCACTGTGCCTGGCCTGAATTCAGTGATTTGTTGGGGATCCAGGAATCTTGGCTCCAAGTCTCTGCTGGCCGTGTCTCCAGATCACCCCACCGTGCTCTCCCCATGCTCTGAAAACATCAGAGTTGTCTCCTGCGGTTTCAGGGACTTTCCTCTGAGCTGGATCTGAGCGGGTGGGAAGATTATGAGTGAATTCTCTCCTTCACCCAACATCCCTCCTTCCCCAGCCATGAATTGCCCCTCAACAGGCATCTGCATCTCATTTCTGCCCTCCTCCAGGGCTTAATAACACCTCTAGAAGCCTAACCGCTGAAAAGACAAACCCTGACTGCACAATGCAAAACATCCAAACACTAGAGTGTCCAATAAATGCAAGGACGTCCACAGATTCTGATTTCTCCTGTGTTTAGAGACAGGGTCTCGCTGTGTCACCCAGCCTGGAGTGCAGTGGCACAATCATAGCTCACTGCAGCCTCAAACTCCTGGGCCAAAGTGATCCTCCCACTTCAGCCTCCCAAAGTGTTGGGATTAGAAGTGTGAGCCACTTGTAATGGGACCACAGGCGCCGCACCCCCTGTTCAGGGCACCATTGCCCAGATAATAGCACAGCCATGTACATGTAAGCTGGCTCACGCTCTTGCTGCTTCTCTAGCCTCTGTTACTATAGCCAGCAGTTTACAGCCTCTGTACAAACAAGTCTTGTTCATGGTCCATGGAGATGCAAGACAAGATCCTAACTGTGGTGTGAATACCTGGCTGTCCCCAGCCATCCCACCTGATGTCACATCCTCTCTGCCTTCCAGTCTTGGTCCTCAGGGCTCTTCACCCAGCCTGCCCTTCCTTGTTGGGAAAGCCCACCTGTCCTTGAAGTCCCACCTATGACATCTTCCCCAAGTTCTCCAGGTTATTTCTGAGTTCCCACCACCCTTGTTCTTTTCTTTTCTTTTTTTTTTTTTGAGACCAAGTCTTGCTCTGTCGCCCAGGCTGGAGTGCAGTGGCGTGATCTCAGCTCACTGCAACCTCCACCTCCCGGATTCAAGCGATTCTCCTGCCTCAGCCTCCTGAGGAGCTGGGATTACAAGGGTGCACCACCACGCCTGGCTAATTTTTGTATTTTTGTAGAGACGGGGTTTCACCATGTTGGTCAGGTTAATCTTGAACTCCTAACCTCGTGATCCACCCTCTTCAGCCTCCCAAAGTCCTGGAATTACAGGAGTGAGGCACCGTGCCTGGCCGCACCACCCTTGTTCTAATATAAGTCTAATTTCATTCAGCTTTGCATTCACAGTGATGACGCACGTGCTTTTCCTCCCCACTAGATGGCAAATTCCTTGAGAGCAAGAATCACTGCTGGGCGTGGTGGCTCATGCCAGTAATCCCAGCACTTTGAGAGGCCAAGGGGAGGATTGCTTGAGCCCAGGGGTTCGAGACAAGCCTGGACAGCATAGCAAGACTCTGTCTCTACAAAAAATTAAAAAATTAGCTATTTGTGGTCTTGTAGTTCCAGCTACTTGGGAGGCTGAGGTGAGAGGATCGCTTGAGCTCAGGAGTTGGAGGCTGCAGTGAGCTATAAACATGCCACTGTACTCCAGCCTGGGTGACAGAGTGAGAACCTGTCTCTTAAAAACTAAAAGGCACGTTCATAAATTATTCCATTTACTAGTGAGCCTGTCAACTGTGTGTATATGTGGGTGTGTTAGAATTTTCATTGCCATTTTACAGATGGGGAGACTGAGACTCTGAGAGGTGAAATGATCTGGCGGATTGTGGTGAGAATTAGCTATATAAAGCTAACCTTTATGGAGCACTTACCACCTAGCAGGTCCGCAGGATCTTCACAACAGCCCCTTGGCTTGTCTTTTTTATTATTTTTATTTATTTATTTATTTATTTATTTATTTATTTATTTATGAGACGGAGTCTTGCACTGTTTCCCAGGCAGGAGTGCAGTGGCACGATCTCAGCTCACTGCAAATTCCGCCTCTTGGGTTCACGCCATTCTCCTGCCTCAGCCTCCCAAGTAGCTGGGACTACAGGCGCCCGCCACCACTCCCGGCTAATTTTTTGTACTTTTAGTACAGGCGGGGTTTCACTGTGTTAGCCAGGAAGGTCTCGATCTCTTGACCTCGTTATCTGCCCGCCTCGGCCTCCCAAAGTGCTGGGATTACAGGCCAGCTTGTCTTTTTTTTTTTTTTTTTTTTTGAGATGGAGTCTCACTCACTCTGTCACCCAGGCCAGAATGCAGTGGCATGATCTTGGGTCATTGCAAGCTCTGCTTCCTGGGCTCAAGTGATCCTCCCACCTAAACCTCCCGAGTAGTTGGGACTACAGGCGTGTGCCACTATGCCCACCTAATTTTTGTATTTTTTGTAGAGATGGGATTTTGCCATGTTGGCCAGGCTGGTCTTGAACTCCTGAGCTCAAGCAATCCTCCTGCCTTGGTCTCCCAAAGTGCTGGGATTACAGGCGTGTGCCACTGTGCCCGGCCTACCCTTTGATTTTCAACACATTTTGCAGATAAGAAAACAACCTTTGCTGAAGGTCACATGATAAGAAGAGAACTGGGATTCAAACGCAGACAATTGAATGCCAGCCTGTTCCACAAGTACCTATGTTCTCAAACTCAAAGGGCTGGCCATTGTGCAGGAGGATGTGGTACGAGCAGACACTCATCTACTGCTCCTGCCAGTGGAGGCAAAATCACTTTGGAAAGGTATTTGGCAGCATCTACTAGCATTGAGCATCTCCCACCTTAGTTAGAACCCAGCAGTGTGCACACATGTGCACCAAAACACAAGACTATTCGTGGCAGCACTGATCTTACTAGCCCAACACTGGAGATGCCCCGGATGCCTATCAACAGGTGAATGGATAAATACATTGCAGAACAGTCACACTAGGGAATACTTTTTTTTTTTTTTTGAGACGGAGTCTTGCTCTGTCACCCAGGCTGGAGTGCAGTGGCATGATCTCAGCTCACTGCAAGCTCCATCTCCTGGGTTCATGCCATTCTCCTGACTCAGCCTCCCGAGTAGCTAGGACTACAGGTGCCCGCCACCACGCCCAGCTAATTTTTTTTGTATTTTTAGTAGAGACTGGGTTTCACTGTGTTAGCCAGGATGGTCTTGATCTCCTGACCTTGTGATCTGCCTGCCTCGGCTCGGCCTCCCAAAGTGCTGGGATTACAGGTGTGAGCCACCGCACCCGGCCCACACTAGGGAATATTAATGCAGCAATGAGAATGAACACTCTACAGCTAAGTGCAGCCCTATGGGTGAATCTCACTGATTATGTATTAAACAAAAGAAGCCTGACACGGAAGTGTATATGTTGTAAGATTTCATTCATATAAAGCTCCAAAATAGGCTCATCTATGGTGTTAGGAGTCAGGGTTGCATTTAGCCTCAGGGTGACTAGAAGGGCTCAAGAAGAGAGCTATGAAGGATGTTGCTACTTTTTTTTTTTTTTTTTTTTTTTTTTTTAGGTAGAGATGGGGTCTGCTATGCTGCCTAGGCTGGTGTCAAACTCCCAACCTCAAGTGATCCTCCCACCTCAGCCACTCAAAGTACTGGGATTACAGGCACGAGTCACTGTGCCTGGTCAAATTTTCTTCCTTTCCTTCCTTCTTCCTTTCCTTCCTCTCTCCCCTTCTCCCTCTCTCCCTCTCTCCCTCTCTCTCTCTTCTCCCCTCCCCTCCACTCCCTTCTCCTCTCTTCTCTCCAGTCTTGTCTTGTCTTTTTTCTTTTCTTTCCTTTTCCCTTCCCTTCCCTGCCCTCCCCTCCACTCCCCTCTCCTGTCTTTTCTTTTCTTTCCCCTCCCTCCCCTCCCCTCCTCTTCTTTTCTCTTTTCTTTTCTTTTCTTTTTTCTTTTCTCCTCTCCTCTCCTTTTCTTTTCTTTTCTTTCCAGACAGGGTATCCCTCAGTCACCTAGGTTGCTGGAGTGCAGTGATAGAATCATGGCTTACTCTAGCCTCAAATTCCTGGGCTCAAGCCATCCTCCTGCCTCAGCCTCCTAAGTAGCTGGGACCACCACACTCAGCTAATTTTTTAAATTTTTTTATTATTTATTTATTTTTTTTGTAGAGGTGGAGTCTCATTATGCTGTCCAAGCTGGTCTTGAACTCCTGGGCTCAAGTGATCCTCCTGCCTCAGTTTCCCAAAGCACTGAGATTATAGGCATGAGCCACTGTGCCTGGCCACATTTTGTTTCCTTATCTGGATTCTGGTTATATGGGGATGTTCTCTGTGAAAATTCATGGAGTTAGATACTTATGACATGTGCACCATTTACATGTATGTTAGACTTAGTGGTTTTATTTGAAAACGAAACCGACTTTGCACCCATATACATATATGAAATCAGCCATTCTACATCCTGATTCGCCCTTACAAGGTAGTGTGAGAGGTGTTCCATGGGTTATTTCCCTCGGCCACAACCATCTTCACTGATGTCCTAGTGCAGATCCAGGGCCCAGCCCTGTTCCCCTCCTCACCTACCCTGTGTTCCTGTGTGTGCCTCAGTGTGACAGTCTGGGGCTTGTCACAGACTGTCTTCCTGTGGGAAGGAAGACAAGGGGCTTGTCACAGACTGTCTTCCTGTGGGAAGGAAAGTCTTCCTTTCCCTTTCATTCCTTCCTTCTTTCCTTCCTTCCTTCCTTCCTTCCTTCCTTCCTTCCTTCCTTCCTTCCTTCCTTCCGACGGAGTCTTGCTCTGTTGCCCAGGCTGGAGTGCAGTGGCGCGATCTCAGCTCACTGCAACCTCCGCCTCCTAGCTTCAAGCGATTCTCCTGCCTCAGCCTTGTGAGTAGCTGGGATTACAGGTGCCCACCACCACGTGTGGCTAATTTTTTGTATTTTTAGTAGAGATGGGGTTTCCCTATGTTAGCCAGGCTGTTCTTGAACTGCTGACCTCAGGTGATCTGCCTGCTTCGGCCTCCCAAAGCGCCGGGACTATAGGAGTGAGCCACCCCA
The DNA here is from genome assembly GCF_000001405.40 of Homo sapiens. Lineage (NCBI taxonomy): Eukaryota > Metazoa > Chordata > Mammalia > Primates > Hominidae > Homo > Homo sapiens. Next base: position 73,633,074 of record NC_000007.14, read on the forward strand.
CCCTACCTTTTTTTTTTTTTTATTTGAGATGGAGTCTTGCTCTGTTGCCCAGGCTGGAGTGCAGTGGCTCGATCTCGGCTCACTGCAAGCTTCACCTCCCAGGTTCATGCCATTCTTCTGCCTCAGCCTCCCGAGTAGCTGGGACTACAGTCACCCGCCACCACGCCCGGCTAATTTTTTTTCTATTTTTAGTAGAGACGGGGTTTCACCGTGTTAACCAGGATGGTCTCAATCTCCTGACCTTGTGATCCACCTGCCTCGGCCTCCCAAAGTGTTTTTTTTTTTTTTTAAGATGAAGTCTCACTCTGTCACCCAGGCTGGGGTACAGTGGCCAGATCACATCTCACTGCAGCCTTGACCTCCTTGGGCTCAAGCAGTCCTCCCGCCATGGTGTGTGCCAACGTGCCTGGCTAATTTTTGAATTTTTTTGTGGAGACAGGGTTTCGTCATGTTGCCCAGGCTGGTTTTGACCTGGGCTCCAGCCATCCTCTTGCCTTGACCTCGCGAAGTACTGGGATTACAGGTGGGAGCCACCATGCCAGGCTAATTTTTATTTTTTTTGTAGAGACAGGATCTTGCTATATTGCCTAAACTGGTTCCGAACTCCTGGGCTCCAGCAATCCTCCTGCCTCAGCCTCCCAAAGTTGCTGGGATTCCAGGCGTGAGCCATGGTGTCTGGCTGATAGTCTGGAGTTTGATGGTGCCCTAAACAGCCTGAGCACCTCAAAGTGAGAAACATGCCTCTGCCTCTTTTCACTGACCCCTCAGCTCCTCTCACCAGCTTACATACTCAGGAAGCCACTACTGTGGCTAGGGGTAGATTGGCATCTAGGTGCGGGGACGAGGGAGATGATGTATCAGGCCTACGGAAGGACTTGGCAAAGTTAGCTTGGCAAGATTAACTTGGCAGTTAGCTTCTCACAAAGCTCACTGAGTGAGAAGAGGATGGAGAAGCGGACAAGAGTGAGAGAGAGGAGTCTCGAACTGTGTCTTTAACTGGCGGCAAGTTGGGAAGTCACTTCCCCTGTCTGGATCTCAGTTTCTGTATCTGTAAAATGGGTGAACAAACCATGAACGAAAATTGGATAAATATGACTATATCGAAGTGAAGAAGTTGGACCAGACTTGTTTTCATATCAGAAGTACCCCAATTGTTCTACCAAAAATTACGAGTTTGCCAGGAGCAGTGGCTCACACCTGTAATCCAAAACACTTTGAGAGGCTGAGGTGGGAGGATTGCTTGAGGCCAGGAGTTCAAGACCAGCCTGGGCGACGGAGTGAGATCTCATCTCAAAAATAAATAAATAATTATTTACTTTAAAAGGAAAATTTTTTTGAGACAGAGTCTTACTCTGTTGCTCAGGCTGGAGTGCAGTGGCTCGATCTTGGCTCACTGCAACTGCCACCTTCCAGGTTCAAGCAATTCTCCTGTCTCAGACTCCCAAGTAGCTGGGACTACAGGTGTGCACCACCATGCCTGGCTAGTTTTTGTATTTTTAGTAGAGATGGGGTTTCATCATGTTGGCCAGGCTGGTCTCGAACTCCTGACCTCAAGTGATCTGCCTGCTGCCTCGGCCTCCCAAAGTGCCGGGATTACAAGCGTGAGCCACTGTGCCTGGCCAATAATTTTAACTTAATTTTTTTAAATTATGAATTCAACATATTAGGAACGAAAAACCCACTTTTCTTTGCAAGAAGTACACTTTTATAGGCTTTCTGCTTCTATATGTATTTATTATTATTATTATTATTATTATTTTGAGACGGAGTCTCATTCTGTCGGCCAGGCTGGAGTGCAGGGGCGGGATCTTGGCTCACTGCAACCTCTACCTCCTGGGTTCAAACGATTCTCCTGCCTCAGCCTCCCGAGTAGCTGGGACCACAGGAATGCACCACCACGCCCAGCTATTTTTTTTTTTTTTTTGTATTTTTAGTAGAGATTGGGTTTCGCCATGTTGGCCAGGCTAGTCTTAAACTCCTGACTTCAAGTGATCTGCCCACCTCGGCTTCCCAAAGTGCCAGGATTACAGGCGTAAGCCACTGTGCCTGGCCTATATTTATGTTTAATAATACTATAAATATCAGTCATATTGCTCATACATTTCTAAATTATACAAATACCAAGTCCTGTGTAGGACAAAAAGTCCTGTGTAGATTACCTCTGGTCTCAACTGAAAATCATTGATCTTTGTGCTCTGAGGCTATGAGAGTGGAGGAGGAGGTAGAGAAAGAGGAGAAGAAGGGGAGGAAGGACAGCAGGGTAGAGATCAAGTGAGTATCTAGTCATCCGTCCAGCCATCCATTCATCTGTCCATCTAGTTATTTACCTATTAATTCATCTATACTCTAATAGTCAGTCTACCCACCCATCTGTCTGTTCATCTACCTGTCTATTCATTTACAATCTGTCCATTCACCTTACTATCCACCCATCTCTTCTTTCATCCACCCATCTCTTCTTCCATCCATCCATCCATCCATCCATCCATCCACCCATCTCTTCTTCCATCAGTCCATCTCTTCTATCTATCCATCCATCCATCTCTCTCCATCCACCCATCTCTTTTTCCATCAATCCATCTCTTCTATCTATCCATCCATCCATCATCCATCCATCTATCTCTTTATCCACCCATCCATCCATCCCCCTCTCTATCTATCCATTTCTTCTTCCATCAGTCCATTCATCTACCAATATGTCTATCTGTCCATCCATCGTTCCATGTATACACCTACCTAACTTTCTATTCATCCAACCATCCACTCAAATACCCACCCATCTGCCCACCCAGTACACATATTAACCGCCTGCTGATGTCATGCCCTCTGTTCAGGCAGAGGTGGGGAATGCTCAGATGCTTGCAACATGGCTCCTGCCTTTGTGCAGCTCAGTATGCAGAGTGAGGCATGCCCTCCAGCAACTAGAGGGGGCCAGTCCCAGTTCCTGGGACTGTGGAAGTTCAGTTAAGGGCGGCCGGACTTGCAGCCCAGGGGGTTAAGGAAGGCTCTCTAGAAGAAACTGTGCTTGAGGGGGACCTCAAAAGACAAAGTGGAGGCCGGGCACCGTGGCTCACGCCTGCAATCCCAACACTTTGGGAGGCCAAAGTGGGAGGATCACTTGAGGCCGGGAGTTTAAGACTAGCCTGGCCAATATGGTGAAACCCCATCTCTACTAAAAACACAAAAATTAGCCGGATCCGGTGGTTTATGCCTGTAGTCCCACCTACTCAGGAGGCTGAGGCACAAGAATTGCTTGAACCTGGGAGGTGGAGGTTGTGGTGAGCCGAGATTGAGCCACTGCACTCCAGCCTGAGCGACAGAGTGAGACTCTGTCTCAAAAAAAAAAAAAAAGACGAAGTGAGAATTAGTCACACAGAGAGGGCAGAAGGTATTCTGGGAGGGAAGAGCTGGAGAAACAAAGGCGGGGGCTGGGGAACCAGAGTAATGAGTCATTCAACTGGCTGGGGTGCCAGCAGGGTGCCAGCAGCCTACATAGCTGCCATGTCCCCAGCTCCCTCGGAGCACAGGCAGCCACCCTGTGACTCCATGCTAGGCTTGGCTCCAGTGGGCACCGAGGTATCTGTATTTCTCAGAGAGTAGCCCATGGACAACTGCCAGGCTGGGGATTCTGTTATGAGTTTGCAACAAGATAAACACAAAAATTCAGAGTGTCTAGAAGCACTTATATCAATTAAAAAAAAATTTAGGTTGGGCACGGTGGCTCACGCCTATAATCCCAGCACTTTGGGAGACCAAGGCGGGTGGGTCAAGAGGTCAGGAGTTCGAGCCCAGCCTGGCCAAGATGGTGAAACCCCGTCTCTACTAAAAATACAAAAGTTAGCTGGGCATGGTGGCGGATGCCTGTAATCCCAGCTACTCGGGAGGCTGAGGCAGGAGAATGATGTTAACCCGGGAGGCGGAGCTTGCAGTGAGCTGAGATGGTGCCACTGCACTCCAGCCTGGGCAACAGAGCGAGATTCCATCTCAAAAAAAAAAAAAGAATAACAAACTGGGCATATAATTTACATATTTCCTTCACTTCAATTTTTCTAGTAATTCATTTTCTGTTGTATTTTGCATACTCACAAGTCTATGTAGATTGAAAATAAAAAAGCAAAAAGGGGCCTTGTGCAGTGGCTCATGCCTGTAATCCCAGCACTTTGGCAGGCCGAGGCAAGAGGATCACTTGAGGTCAGGAGTTCCAGACCAGCCTGGCCAACACGGCGAAACCCCGTCTCTCCTAAATACAAAAATTAGCAGGCATGGTGGCACACGCTTGTAATCCCAGCTACTCAGGAGGCTGAGGCGAGAGACTTGCTTGAACTTGGAAGGTGGAGTTTGCAGTGAGCTGAGATCACACCACTGCACTCCAGCCTGAGTGACAGAGTGAGACTCTGTCTGGAAAAAAAAAAAAAGAAAAAACAAAAAGGGGCTTTTCAGTCAGTTTGAGAAGCACTGATACGCAAGACAGCTTACACTCATATGTCCTTTGCCAATGTGGCTTCATGGTCATTATCTCATTATGAGCCAGACAGAGCAAGGACCATGGTCCCCATTGCCCCGTTGTATAGGATACCTGGCCCAAGGTTCTTACTGATGGTAGATGGCAGGGCTGAGATTTGAACCCACAGCTGTTCCCCATCAGACAGCAACTTCCTGTGAGCTCATGTTCCAGGCTAGGCTGAGCTGGGGTGTGGGACAGGGAGGACACAGGAGAGGAAGAGAGAAGTACCTGGAAAAAGAATGTCAGGCAGGGTGAGAGGTCGGGTCCGGGGCCTGCCCTTTATGCTAAGGGCACTGATGGAGGTCAGTGGGGGATTCCCAAATGGCCCTAGAAGGACCAGGCAAGTCCTCTGGGCTCTCTGTTGGGGAACACGCAGTGGCACCACTGCCAGGCTCAGCCTGTCTCAATCCTTCTCTATGTTCTTCCTACCTCTTTTCCTTTGGCCTCCCCCATTAACCAAGCCCTGAGCTCCCCATGGCCAGGGTCTGGTCTTGTCCCATCCATCTGTACACCCAAAGCTGGCCCAAAGTTCAACCAACAAAACCACCAGTCTCTGCCTGGCCCTTGGCAGGAACCATAGCACCCTCGGACACCATTTTCTCCTCCTGTCCCTGAGGGAGACTAGATGAACAGGGATTTTGATCACTCCATGCTACTGATGAGGGAACAGGCTCAGAGAAATTAAGTCACTCGCTTGAGGTACCAGAACAGGTCATCTAACACTTTATATTTATTTTATTTTTTGGGGACAGAATCTCACTCTGTCACCCAGGCTGGAATGCAGTGGCACAATCTCGGCTCACTGCAACCTCCACCTCCCAGGTTCAAGCGATTTTCCTGCTTCAGCCTTCCAAGTGGCTGGGATGGCTAATTTTTGTATTTTTAGTGGAGACAAGGTTTCGCCATGTTGGCCAGGCTGGTCTCAAACTCTTGACCTCAGGTGATCTGCCCACCTTGGCCTCCCAAAGTGCTGGGATTACAGGTGTGAGCCACCACACCTGGCCTCAACTAAGGCTTTAATTCCCAACCCAGTACTTTTGTTTGTTTGTTTGTTTGTTTTTCCAAGACAGGGTCTCACTCTGTGGCCCAGGTTGGAGTGCAGTGGTGCAATCTCAGCTCACTGAAACCTCTGCTTCCAGGGTTCAAGCGATTCTCCTGCCTCAGCCTCCCTAGTAGCTGGGATTACAGGCACCTGTCACCATGCCCAGCTAATTTTTGTATTTTTAGTAGAGACAGGGTTTCACCATGTTGTCCAGGCTGGTCTTGAACTCCTGACCTCAGGTGATCCACCCACCTCGGCCTTCTGGGATTTCGGGCATGAGCCACCATGCTGGGGCTCATTTAAGTCTTTCATTCCCAACCCAGTACTTTTTGACTAGAGGTTAAATTAAGTAGAGAGGAGAAAAAAAATAGTAGAGAGGAGAAAAAAAAATAGTAGAGAGGAGAGGGAAGACTTTCCCTTAGTGCTCTGGGCTGCAGCCTGTGGTGAGGCTGAGGATGAGTGGACGGTGGGGAGGAAGAACTCGGTGGCACAATGTTATTTGCTCAGAAACTTCCCCTTCTGTACCACTTTGGCTGCTTCCGGGGGAGGCTTAAAACCCCATCCCAGGCCAGGAAGAAACAGAAATGCCAGGAGGGGCCAATAGGCCATTTTCCTAATCTGTGGATGATAAGTAACATGGGACTGTATTTTGGAAAAATCTATTAAACAAAAAATGTAGGTACTCTTTGACCCATCAAATTTACTTCTAGGAATTTGTGCTATAAAATATTTCCAGGAGTGTGCAAAGATGAACAAAGATATTCCTCACAGCACTGTTTATAATAGTGAAAAGCAGCATGGTTGGATACATTTTGATAAATCCCTATAGGGAAATACTATGCAGGTGTTAACAGAACCTCATCTGTGAAATGGAGATAGCTGGATGTGGTGGCTTGAACCAGTAATCCCAGCTACTCAGGAGGCTGAGGCAGGAGGATCGTCTGAGCTCAGGAGTTCAAAACCAGCCTGGGCAACATAATGAGACCCTATCTTTAAAAAAAAAAATGGAGATAATAATCTCATAATTTTTATGAGGATGAAGTGAATTAATACCTGCAAAGTGCTTAGATAGTAAATGCCAGCTCTCATTATTATTATAGGTGTAGGAATAGGAAAAGATAACTAAGATGCAATGCTAATTTAAAAAGAAAGTTATGGGCCGGGCGCAGTGGCTCACGCCTGTAATCCCAGCACTTTGGGAGGCTGAGGCGGGTGGATCACGAGGTCAGGAGATCAAGACCATCCTGGCTAACACGGTGAAACCCCGTCTCCACTAAAAATACAAAAGAAAAATAATTAGCCAGGTGTGGTGGTGGGCGCCTGTAGTCCCAGCTACTTGGGAGGCTGAGGCAGGAGAATGGTGTGAACCCAGGCAGAGCTTGCAGTGAGCCAAGATCGCACCACTCCACTCCAGCCTGGGCAACAGAGCGAGACTCCATCTCAAAAAATAAATATAAATAAATAAAGTAAAGTAAAATAAAATAAAATAAAAAGAAAGTTATGGGCCGGGCATGGTGGCTAATGCCTGTAATCCCAGCACTTTGGGAGGTGGAGGCAGAGTGATCACTTGAGCTCAAGAGTTCAAGACCAGCCTGGGCAACATGGCGAAACCCTGTCTCTTAAAATAATAGCAAAATTAGCCAGGTGTGGTAGCAAGCACCTGTAGTCCCAGCTTCTTGGGGTGCTGAGGTGGAAAAGTCACTTGAGCCAAGGAGGTGGAGTCTACAGTGAGCCAAATTTGCATCACTACACTTCCTGGGTGACAGAGCAAGACCCTGTCTCCAAAAAAAAAAAAAGAAAAAGAAAAAAAGAAATGGCAAAGAACCCTCAAAAACAGTAAAGAAAATAAGAAGAGGCAGTAGAATAGATGATGGCGGCCGGGCGTGGTGGCTCACGCTTGTAATCCCAGCACTTTGGGAGGCTGAGGCATGTGGATCACTTGAGGTCAGGAGTTCGAGGCCAGCCTGGCCAACATGATGAAACCCTGTCTCTACTAAGAATACAAAAATTAGCTGGGCATGGTGGTGCACACCTGTAATCCCAGCTACTCAGGAGGCTGAGGCAGGAAAATCGCTTGAATCCGGGAGGCGGAGGTTGCAGTGAGCCAAGATTGCACCACTGTACTCCAGCCTGGGCGACAGAGCGAGACTCCATCTCAAAAAAAAAAAAAAAAAAGGAGAAAAAAAAGAACAGATGATGGCATGGGAACCCTCTCCCTCTTCTTGAGGACCCCAAAGTCCAGAGATTAATGCTCTCCAACAACAGGAAAAGGCTCTCTTTTTGATTGACCAAACCAGAGTCTGTCCCTGAGCAGACACTGGGAAGACAGAGGCACAGCTTCCCACCCTAGCTTGTCTGCCACTCACAATCTCATTCTGAGGGGCCTAAAGATCTGTAGGGGGCCAGGCACAGTTACTCATGTCTGTAATCCTCGCACTTTGGGAGGCCGAGGCAGGAGGATCACTTGAGCCCAGGAGTTTGAGACCAGCCTGGGTGACATGGCAAAATCCTATCTCTACCAAAAATTAGCCAGGTGTAGTGGCGAGTGCCTTAGTCCCAGCTACCAGGGAGACTAAGGCAGGAGGATTGCTTGAGCTGGGGAGGGTGAGGCTGCAGTGAGCCTTGATTAAAAAACAAAACAAAACCCTATAAGGGACTTTCCTCTTTCCCCAGGAGGTTGGCTCACTGGGGACCCATGGATCACCTCAGGCAAGACATTTGTCCTCCCTGGGCCTCAGTTGCCCTCCCTGTAACATGGGAGGAATTCACCTAGCCTCTTGGGTATGTTGTGAAGAGCCAGGGGAGGATCATGTGCTACCAGCATCATAGCAGTGCAGGGCACAAAGGTGAACCTGGAGGTGGTGTTTCACCAAGATGAGCCACTGTGCCAATGGTCTGTCTGTAAAAATTCCGATAGCCACCGTATACCAGCAAATGGTGTTTACTCACACTTATGACACCATTTCTCAATTCTCTGACACCAGCTGTGTGTCCTGCGATTCAATTCTGACACTTTTTTTTGTTTTTGAGATGGAGCCTCGCTCTGTCACCCAGGCTGGAGTGCAGTGGCGCAATCTCAGCTCACTGCAACCTGCAACCTCCACCTCCAGGGTTCAAGGGATTCTCCTGCCTCAGCCTCCCAAGTAGCTGGGATTACAGGCATATGCCATGACGCCTGGCTAATTTTTGTATTTTTAGTAGAGATGGGGTTTCACCATGTTAGCCAGGCTGGTCTCAAACTCCTGACCTCATGATCCGCCCACCTCAGCCTCCCAAAGTGCTGGGATTACAGACGTGAGCCACTGTGCCAGGCCAATTCTGACACTATTTACCTGGAGTTAGCATCCGATTTCACAAGTTATGGGCTTATTCCCACAAGCCTGCCTCTACTTCAGATAGCAGTCACAAGTACTAGGCTGCCACTTGAACTTCTGATTGACCAGCTATAAATCAGGGGTTCTCATGACTTTCTCCTCAGTGTCAATAATTTGGTAGAATGGCTCACAGCACTCAGTAAATCATTTTACTTACATTTATCAGTTTGTTATCAATGATACAACTCAGGAACAGCCAGATGGAAGAGATGCATGGGCTAGAGTATGGGGGTGGTGCACGGAGCTTCCATGCCCTCTCTGGGAGCATCACCCTCCTAGCACCTTGATGTGTTCACAAACTCAGAAGCTCCATGAAGCCCAACATTTAGGGGTTTTTAATGGAGGTTTCTATTTATTTATTTATTTATTTTTGTGTGTGATAGAGTCTCACTCTGTCACCCAGGCTGGAGTGCAGTAGTGCGATCTTGGCTCACTGTAACCTTCACCTCCTGGGTTCAAGAGATTCTCCTGCCTCAGCCTCTGGAGTAGCTGGGACTACAGATGAGCACCACCACCCCTGGCTAATTTATTTTTGTATTTTTAGTAGAGACAGAGTTTCGCCACCTTGGCCAGGCTGGTCTCAAACTCCTGATCTCAGATGATCCACCCGCCTCAGCTTCCCAAATTTCTGGGATTACAGGCGTGAGCCACCATGCCTGGCCCTTTTTTAAATTTATTTATTTTATAAGACAGGGTCTTGCCATGTTGCCCAGTCTGGTCTTGAACTTCCAGGTTGAAGCACTGCTCCCACCTTGGCCTCCCAGAGTCCTGGGATTATAGGCGTGAGCCACCTTGCCTGGCCACTGCAAGTTTCATTACGTAGACATGATTGATTATGTGACTGAACGCATTCTCCAACCCTCTCTTCTCCCCCAAGTTTGGGGAGGCAGGGAGCTGAAAGCTCCAATCCTCTAATCATGCCTTGGTCTTTCTAGTGAACAGCCCCCATCCTGAAACTCTCTAGGGGCCTCCAGCCACCAGTCCTCTTAATAGCTTTCAAAAGACACTCTTAGCATTCTGGAGATTCCAAGGGTTGTAGGAGCTGTGTGCCAGGAGCCACAGTCAAAGACCACAAATATATTTCCCCTTGCACCACAGCCAGGGATGCCAGTGGGCTGCCTGGCCCTGTGTATTTGCTATTGAGTCTCATCCATCAATCTGCTCAACCAGCCCGTTGCTCAGGGCTGAGGGTCCCTATTGTACACAGCACATCAAGGCTCAGAGACATGTTTATTTGATTCTCTCATGTAGTGAGATATGTTACAAAGATTAGGACATTGGGAGGCCGAGGCGGGCGGATCACGAGGTCAGGAGATCGAGACCAGCCTGACTAACACAGTGAAACCCCGTCTCTACTAAAAATATAAAAAATTGGCCGGGCATGGTGGCGGGTGCCTGTAGTCCCAGCTACTCGGGAGGCTGAGGCAGGAGAATGGCGTGAACCCGGGAGGCGGAGCTTGCAGTGAGCCGAGATTGCGCCACTGCACTCCAGCCTGGGCGACAGAGCGAGACTCCGTCTCAAAAAAAAAAAAAAAAAGAAAGATTAGGACAGTCATCCAGGTTACACAGTTCATGAGTAGTTCAGCCCAAATTTGAACCCAGTTGTGTCTGATGGCAGAGCCCAAGTATGTCTTTCTGCTGGGCTGCTTGGTGGAACTGAAGGATGACCCGTCCCTTAGGCCTCCTTGCAAACATCATGTGTCAGGTAAATCCACCCAAGACTGAGCTAATCAGCAGGTACTAGGACAGAGGGGACAGCTGGCACATAGTAGACACTTTATTTTATTTTTTGGAGGCAAGGTGTTGCTCTTTTGCTTAGACTTCAGTGCAGCGGCACCACCATGGCTCACTGCAACTTTGAACTCCTGGCTCAAGTGATCCTCCCGCCTCAGCCTCCCAAGTAGCTGGGACTACAGGTGTGCATCACCACCCCTGGCTAATTTTTAAAAATTTTTATATAGATGGGGGGTCTCACTATGTTGCCCAGGCTGGTCTCAAAGTCCTGGGCTCAAGCAATCCTTCTGCCTCAGCCTCCTGAGTGGCTGGGACTATAAGCTTGTGCCACCATGCTTGGCTAATTTTTTTGTAGAGACAGGGTCTCACTAGGCTGCCCAGACTGGTCCCAAACTTCTGGTCTCAAGCAATCCTCCTGCCTTGGCCTCCCAAAGCTCTGATATTACAGATGTGAGCCACTGCACCTGGCTGAGGACTGGTTTTGTCTTTTTTTTTTTTGAAGCTGAGTTTAGCTCTTTCTCCCAGGCTGGAGTGAAGTGGCTTGATCTCGGCTCACTGCAACCTCCACCCCCAGGCTTCAAGTGATTCTCCTGCCTTAGGACCTCCCAAGTAGCTGGGATTACAGGTGCCCGCCAACATGCCCGGCTAATTTTTGTATTTTTAGTAGAGACAGGGTTTTGCCATGTTGGCCAGGCTGGTCTTGAACTCCTGACCTCAGACGATCCACCCGTCTCAGCCTCCCAAAGTGTTAAAATTGCAGACACGAGCCACTGTGCCTTGCCGGTTTTCTCATCTTTAAAATGGCTATGACTATGTGATGTTATTGTGCAGTTGTTGCAAAGATGAAATGAAATATGTAAGTGAGAGCCAGTGGTACCTGGTAAATGTGGGTTTTCTTCTTCTGTCCCTCTTTTCCTCCCCCCAGCCCGCCCTTTCTTCTTTCCTTCCTTCCTGGTCGACATCTCTGATTACAATGTCAGAGAACCAGGAGCTGTAGGACAAAGAAGATAGGGCGACAATCTCCTCCAGGGGACTCAGGGATGGAAAACGCTTCTCAGACTGTTGCAGCAGGTGACAGTCATCTGCTCTGCCCAGAATCTCCTGGCCTCTCCCCTGCTGGATAACTGGCCCCATGCCGGCCCCATCAGGGCATCAGGCCCCTGGACTGAGATAGAAAGTGGATCCCAGGAAGCATATCTCTCGCCCAAAGTCACACTGCTAATGGGGCTGAATATGGGACAAGAACTTTTGTGACTACCCAAGCCAGCTAGCAGGGGGTGGCCTGGGATTCTGGGTAGAGCATTTTTTTTTTTTTAAGAGAGGGGTTCTTGCTCTGTTGCCCAGGCTGGAATGCAGTGGTGACATCATAGCTCACTGCAGCCTCAAACTCCTGGTCTCAAGTGATCGTCCTGTGTCAGCCTCCTGAGTAGCTATGACTATATGCCTGTGCCACCACACCTGGCTAATTTTTTAATTTGTTGCAGAGACACAGATCTTTCTATGCTGTCCAGGCTGGTCTTGAACTCCTGGCCTCAAGCAACCCTCCCACTTTGGCCTCCCAAAGTGTTGAGATTACAGGCTTGAGCCACTGCCTCTGGCCCTAGGGCAGTAGTTGTCTGTCTCTTATTTATCAGTGCCAGGACCTACCCTGGGAATATTCTGTTCACTCTTCCCTTGTTGGGGGCCCCCTTCTCCAAGGTCAGCTTAGCTAACTTCAAAGAGGAGAGACAGAGCCACCTTGCCCCTAAGTTTCAGGAGTGAGAAAGATGGGTGGGGAGGGGGTGGAGGTGGGTGAGGTGGGCGCAGGACACATGGACACCCATGAGCTGACCTGGGAGGTTGGGGGTCAGCCAATGTAATCCCCTCTTGTGTGTTTCTCCCTGAATGCAGAGAATGCACCACCCATGTTGCTTCCAGACCTCCTCCCAGCTCTGCTCAACAGTCCAGGCGAGCCCATTTAACCCCAGGTTACAGGTGTGCAGAGTGAAGCCCGGAGGAGGACAGGGCTTGCCAAGGTCACTGACAGTAGTGGGAACAGAAACCAGGGCTTTGGAGCCAAGATGCTTGGGTTTGAATATCAGCTTTGCCGTTCCCAGGCTGTGTGACCTTGAGCCAGAGCCTTGACCTCTCTGAGCCTGTTTCCTCATCTGTAAAATGGAGATCTTTTCCTTCTCTGGTTATCAGGAAGAAGGAAACAGTGCCAGAAAAGCTTGTGCAGTGCCTGGCTTGCAGTAAATGCATAGCAAACCCCAGTTCCTCTTCCTCTTCTCCTATCTGAACAGCAATCCTAAGCCTGCACGTCCCCTCTCTCTTCCCTCCTCTGCCCCACATCTGTAGCCAAAACTTTTTCTTTGGCCCTAACCAGAGAGTGAGGACTGCACTAATGATGGCCTCTCCCAGCCCCTGACAAACCCAACACATGTCTAAGCTTGCATTTAGCCACCACAGGGCTGGCAGCAGGGCCAAAGACAGCCCCGGGGAGGGTACCCAGGGAGGGCCATTGCCTGAAGGCACTAGAGACTCTGGGCAAGTGTGGCTGCAGGAGCCTCGGAGACATGACCTCTCCCACTTCCACGCTTCCAGTCCACTCTTCCATCCCACTCTACAGCCTGCAGAAGCTCATATGCCAGCCCTCCACTTCAGCTGACAAACATCATCTCCACCAGTGCCACCCCTATATCGGCCAGAGGATTTCAATCACAGGATTCCAAGACACCAGGCGGATGCTTCCTGGACCCTGGCTCTGAGCTGCCCTCCCATGTGGTCCCCAGGCTGAGTCCCAACCCCAGCCTGAGCCCCAACCCTGATTCTAAACTGAGCCCTGGCCTGGCTCAGCCAGCAGACTGTGTCCTTAGGGGGCAATTAGGGAGAAGTGAGATGGGTCATCTTCTCAAGATGGGGAAACTCCTGGCTACTACAGCTCAGACCTCTTCTGGTATTACAGAATCTTCCTCCTCTCCCAGAAGCTACCCTAGGCTGAGGAGCTGAGCTTCCCTGGGGCGGACCTGAGATTCCCAGACCTGTATTCTGAGACTTCTCCTGCATCTGAGGGCCTGGGCAGGACATGGGGCAGGGGAGTTGCTGAGTGTAAGATAAGTTCTTGGGCAAAGTGGGGACCAGCTCAGCTCTCATAGATCCCTGGTCCCCCTGACTTCCTGACTCAGCTGACCCTGTAACACCATCCCCCTTGTGAAGGCCCAGAGGGACTTGGTTGGAGTGGGCCACACTGTCCCCCAAAGCAACCTGGTGTTCCGTTTTACTCTGTCCCCATCTCCACACGAGTGGCCCAGGAACAGTAAACCTTCCCATGTCACGGAGGGAGAGCCAGGCCCAGAGACGGAAAGTCGTGCGCCCAAGGTCACACAGTCAGACACAGACAAGAACCCAAAGCTCCCAAACCCAGCCCAGAGGTGGGGGCAGGGTGGCTGGGAGGAAGCCCTGGCTTTCCCCCCTGGGCAGAGCAGCAGGAGTGCCGGCCACCACTTCTGTGGCCCCCACCTGTTGGCTAGAAGCCTAGGGGCCAGAATCCACATACCCCACCCTGCCATCTCCCTTCTTTCTGTCCCAGCCAGGGGCAGTTTTGGTCCTCCTCATCCCAGGGCCCACCTGGACAGGGTTTCTCCACTGGCATGTCACCTGCCCAGGGCAGGGAGAGCCAGAGGGAGGAAGGCCCTCCCTCCTGACTCCCTGGGCCCCCTCTCAGCTCCTGGGAGAACCTCCCAGACCAGGATGGAAGCCCAGCCCAGTCCAGCCAGTGGGAGACACGGGGCTTCCAGGACCCGTGTGCACTTCACCTTCTAGCAGGATGAATTCTTGGATTCCTGATCCGGAGTCCTCCCTGGGGTACGAGTTTGCCTCCTTCCTCCTGGCAGCTGAGGCTGAGCGAGGAGGCCACATAAGCCTATGAACCCCTTCAACCCAGCTGAGCCAGAGACGCGCGCCTCTATGGGCAGAGGGGAAACTGAGGCCCAGCACAGAGGCGGATCCAATTCCCCTTGGGTGAGGCCCCTGCACCCACCTGATGACGCGGGGGCTCCACGCCCTCACCTGGAATCCGCTCGACCTGCAGAGGGGCGCGGCGCGGCCAGGGGCGGGCGGCGGGCGGCGGGGGCGCTGCGGGGATGCTTGGGACCGCCGGACCGCGCCCGGCGCCTTCTCCGCGCGGGCGGCAGAGGGCTCCGTGCGCTGCGCCGCGGGCCCGGCTTTTAGCAGCGGGTGTGGACGCGGGCACCCCCGCCCCGCTCCGAGGTGTCCTTTGCCCCTTGATCTGGTGCCTCCTTCTCTCCTTAGCACGTGGGCGGCAGCCGCTCAGCCGCTCAGAGGCCTGTGGGGCAGCCATGGCCCGGGCCCTGGGCTCGGGCGCCTGCCAATCCCCGTCTGCCGCCGGCTCGTGCCCGCTCACCTTTAACCCCCTCTACTTTCCCCGGGGGCTCGGTGCCCGGCCCCCAGCCGCGGGCTGGGCTCGGGGAGGGAGGAGCCGCAGGTGTGGGGCCACCCCAGGTGGGCAGAGAAAGACGCTGGGACCGCCTCGGGCTCCTCCCAGAGCCCCAGCCCGGCTTTGAACCTCCTCCTAGTCCCTGAGTCCCCCCAGCACTCTCTCTCACTCTCATCCCTCACTCTTACTCTCTTCTCTCCCCGCTTTCTCTCTTTCTCTCTCTCCCCCTCCCTTTCCTCTCCCTCTCTCTTCTCTCCTCCAGGCTCCTCTCTCCCTCTCCCCTCACTTTCTCTCTACCCCCTCTTCTCTCTCCCCCTTCTCTCATCTCTCTCATTCTCCCCCTTCCTCTCTTTCCCTCTCTCTCTCCTCTCTCTCTGTCTCTCACTCTGTCTCTCTCCTCTATCTCTCTCACTTTCTCTTTCTCTCTCTATTCCCCTCCTTTTTCACTCTCCCCCCTCTCTCCTCTCTCTCTCTCATTCTCCCCCTCCTCTTTCTTTCTCTCTCTCTCTCACACTGTCTCTCTGTCCCTTGTCTCTCCCTGCCCCGTCTCTCTCCCTCTGTCTTCTCTCTTTCCCTCTGACCCTGGCTCTCCTCTCTCTCTCCCACCCTCCTCTCTCTCTCCTTTACTTTCTCTCTATCCCCTCCTCTCTCTCTCCTTTCTCTTCTCTTTTTCTCTCTCCCTCTCTCCCCCCTCTCTCTCTCATTCTCCTCCCTCTCTTTCCATCTCTCTCCTCTCTCTGTCTCTCACTCTGTCTCTCTCCCTCTCTCTCCTCTCTCTCTCACTTTCTGACTTTCTCTCTCTCCCCCCTCCTCTCTTTCTCCCCCCTCTCTCTTTCTCTCTCATTCTCCCCCCTTTCCCTCTCTCTCCTCTCTCTCTCACTCTGTCTCTCTCCCTCTCTCTCTCCTCTCTCTCTCTCACTTTCTCTCTGTCTCTACCCCCTCCTCTTTCTCTCTCTCCCTCTCTCTCCTCTCTCTCTCTCTCATTCTCCCCCCTTGCCTTTCTCTCTTTCCCTCTCTCACTCCCTCTCCCCCTTCTCTCTCCCTTTCTCTTCTCTCTTTCCTTCTCTCTGTCTCTCACTCTGTCTCTCCCCCTCCTTTCCCCCCCTCTCTCTTCCTCTCCTCTCCCTCTCTGTCTCTCCCTCTGTCTCTGTCTCTCTCTCTCTCTCACTGTCTATCTCCTGTCTCTCTCTCATCTGGCTCACTGAGCCCCATTCATTCCCTCTTTGACCAGCTTCATCCCATGCTCCCTCTGAGTCCCCCCTCAAGCCCCCACCCTCCCTGCCCTTGACATCACATCCCCTCCCTAAACCCCACTCCCCTCCCTGAGCCCCCATTCCTCACCCCTCCCTGAGGCCCTTCCTGCCTTCCGGGGCCCACTGACTTCCCCTCTCTTGCTCTTAGTGCTGTGTCCTCTCAACTCTTTTTTTTTAAGCAATGGGTTCTCACTATGTTGCCCACGTTGGTCTCTATCTCCTGGTCTTAAGCAATCCTCCCACCTCGACCTCCCAAAGTGCTGGGATTACAGGTGCAAGCCACTGGGCCTGGCCCAGACTCTTACATTTACTCCACAAACATCCTTAAACACCCTTGGCGTAGCAGCCCAGTGAGAGAGCGGGATAGGCCAGCGGTGGTATCAGTTTCAAAGTCCAGGATGGATGCCTCCAAGTCCTCAGAGGTCCTGTGGAGTAGGCACCACCTGGGAAGGGGGCATTCAGGACCTCAGCTTGCCTGCCAGCTTCAAGGGGCCGTGTGGGGTAGAAGGAAGGATCCCCCTGGCCACCGCTCGGCCAGGAGCGGGCAGTGTGGGATGGAAAGAAGAAAGGGCTTTCACAGCCACCCTACCCAGCAATGAGGCAGCTTCCTCCCAGCCCCACGGGCTTCCTTCCTTCTACGGCTAGCGGGGGGCAGCAGAGGCAGAAGGGATCCTGCCAATAATGCCCCTCAGAGTCCCCTGGTGATGGCAGGAGGTAGAGCGCAGGGGGAAGGCCGGGGGCATGCCGGAGGATGAGGCTGAGCCCGAGCCCAGAAGAGACCCTGAGTTGATCAGATTCTGCCCACACACCATTTATTTGTTTTGAGACAAGGTCTCGCTCTGTCACCCAGGCTGGAGTGCAATGGTGCAATCTCAGCTCACCGCAACCTCCGCCTCCTGGGTTCAAGTGATTCTCCTGCCTCAGCCTCTCAAATAGTTGGGACTACAGGTGCATGCCACCACGCCCGGCCAGTTTTTTTGTACTTTTAGTAAAGATGGGGTTTTGCCATGTTGGCCAGGCTGGTCTCAAACTCCTGGCCTCAAGTGATCTGCCTGCCTCGGCCTCCCAAAGTGCTGGGATTACAGGTGTGAGCCACTGCGCCCAGCCCCACACCCCATTTGGAATTCACTCTGCCTGAGGGTGGGCGGTGGTGGTGGAAGGGTGCATCTTGAGAAGGAAGCAGATGAAGACACCTCCTGCTTCTTCCACCTGCCTCATACGTCCTGGTGGGTCAGCTTGGCCTTCTCTGCCCACTGTTTCCTGTCTTGCATGAGTTTCTTGTCACGTGACCTCCTACTAGTAGGCTTCAGTCTGCTACCTTGGACAGACACCTGTTCATGGCCAGCGCCAGGACCCAGAGTCAGCGTGTGTGTGTGTGTGTGTGTGTGTAAAGGAAGTGGGGCTTGAGCCACCACCACATTGACTGGCTCTGCAACTGGGCATGATACTGATACTCCATCTCCCAGGGCCTCAGTTTCCCCATACATAGGGTTGGTGGATTTAGCAAATACAAATCCAGGATGCCCCATTAAATTTGAATTTCAGATACACAATGGCTTTTTTTAGTATAAGTATGTCTCATGCCATATTTGTGGCATACTTATACTAAGAGATTATTCATAATGCTTATCTAAAACTCAAATTTAACTGGGCATCCTGGGTTGACCCTACCCATATGTAAAACAGGAGAGGCAGGGAGGTATGAATAAGATGTTCTCCAGTGGGGCATGGTGGTTCATGCCTCTAACCCCAGCGCTTTGGGATACTGAGGTGGGAGGATCGCTTAGACACCAGGAGTTTGAGACCAGCCTAGGCAACAATATAGTGAGACCCTGTCTCTAAAAAATAAAAATATAAAAGATGCTCTCTCTCATGAATGCTCTTAGCTCCAGCTACACCCTGTGAAAAACCTCAGGTCTACCTGAAAGTGGTCCAGAGATGTTTGTTTGTATCCCTTGCAGAGGAAGAGGAGAGCTGGGGGAAGATAGGAAGTAGGGTGCAGGACTCAGCTGTGGTCACAGGGCATCAAAGAGAAGAGGCAGAAAGAAGAAGTTCCTAGAGGCAGTGCAATCCTGGAGGGCTTTCTGAAGGAGGAAGATTTTCATGGTTACTTTGATGCTGGAAAGGAAGGGAGGTGGATTAGGGGGCCTCTGGTGGAGTGCTCCCTGACTTTAATGGAGGTGGAGAGGCATGGAGGGTCTCCTCTTTTTTTCTGAGAAAGAGAGTTTCACTTCTTAGCCTGGGCTGGAGTGCAGTGGGTCCACCATGGCTCACTGCAACCTTGAACTCCTGGGCTAAAGTGATCATTCTGCTTTAGCCTCTTGAGTAGCTGGGATCACTAGTAGGCTCCAACACGCCCAGCTAATTTTTGTTTGTTTTTGTAGAGACAGGGTCTCACCATGTTGTCCAGGCTGGCCTTGAACTCCTGGGTTCAAGCAATCCTCCTGCCGTGGCCTCCCAAAGTGCTGGGATTACAGGTGTGAGCCACTGTGCCTGGCTGTGAAGATCAATATAAAGTATCTTCCCCTTCATATGAAGAGTACCTATACCTAGGGCAGTCTCTCTTCGACCCAACAAGTTACTATCACTTTTTTTTTTTTTTTGAGACAGAGTTTCACTTGTGTCGCCCAGGCTGGAGTGCAGTGATCTCGGCTCACTGCAACCTCCACCTCCCAGGTTTAAGCGATTCTCCTGCCTCAGCCTCCCAAGTAGCTGGGATTACAGGCACCCACCACCACGCCTGGCTAATTTTTGTATTTTTAGTAGAGATGGAGTTTCTCCATGTTGGCCAGGCTGGTCTTGAACTCCTGACCTCAGGTGATCCGTGTGCCTCGGCCTCCCAAAGTGTTGGGATTACAGGCATGAGCCACCATGCCTGACCCCAGTACCACTTCTTTTTTTTTTTTTGAGATGGAGTCTCGCTGTGTCTCCCAGGCTGGAGTGCAGTGGCTCAATCTTGGCTCACTGCAAGCTCTGCCTCCCGGGTTCACGCCATTCTCCTGCCTCAGCCTCCTGAGTGGCTGGGACTACAGGCGCCCGCCACCACACCTGGCTAATTTTTTGTATTTTTAGTGGAGACGGGGTTTCACCGTGTTAGCCAGGATGGTCTCGATCTCCTGACCTCATGATCCGCCTGCCTCGGCCTCTCAAAGTACTGGGATTACAGGCGTGAGCCACCGCGCCCGGCCCCCCAGTATCACTTCTGACTAACATTTACCAAACACTTACTACTTGCCAGGGTCCCGCCCACACCTGCTAAGCTGTTTATGTGGGTTAATCATTTAATCCCTTCCACAACCAGATGAAGTGAGTGTGTTTCCCCCACTTTACAGAAGAAGAGACAGAGGCACAGGGAGGTTGGGTCATTTGAGGTTCATACTGGCCGTAAGCGGCGGAGCTGGAATTTGAGCCCTGGTGTCCTGGCTCTCTGTACCTGCCGTGTGACAGATCCTGAGCTGGAAGCTGGAACTGGAGAAATGACATAAATGCCATCCCTGCCCTCAGAGGACCTCTGGTCTAACAGTGGGGACAGGTTAGTCTCTAAGAACTCCAGTACAGGGCAGGCTGGCATCAGAGCTGTGAGGGAGCGTGCCGGGAAAGGACTGATTCAGTCTGTGCATGAGGGGAAGTGGAGGCTAGGATGAGAAGGATGAGTCAGTTCTACAACAACCTTCAGCTTTAGGATCAGACATTGGGAGAAATAGTATTCCTTTCTCTTTTTTCTTTTCTGTTTTCTTTTTTTTTTCTTTTTTAGATGGAGTCTTGCTCTGTCACCCAGGCTGGAGTACAGTGGCGCAATCTCGGCTCACTGCAATCTCCACCTCCCAGGTTCAAGCGATTCTCCTGCCTCAGCCTCCCGAGTGGCTGGGATTACAGGTGTGTACCACCACCCGGCTAATTTTAGTATTTTTAGTAGAGATGGAGTTTCACCATGTTGGCCAGGCTGGTCTCAAACTCCTGGTTCTCTCCCGCCCAGCCGGGAGGAAGAGCATTCTAGGTGAAACTACGTCTTGAGCTAAGGCAGAAGAGGTGTGGAAATGCAGCATATGATTGGGGAATGGGCCAGCCACAGTGGCTCACACCTGTAATCCCAGCACTTTGGGAGGCTGACATGGGAGGACAGCTTGAGCCCGGGAGTTCAAGACCAGCCTGGGCAACATAGTGGGATTATACCTTTATAAAAAATAAAAATAAATAAATCAGCCAGGCATGGTGGTGCATGGCAGTAGTCCCAGCTACTCGAGAGGCTTAGGCGGGAGGATTGCTTCAGCCCAGGAGGTCGAGGCTGCCGTGAGTCGTAATTGTGCCACTGTATTCCTGCCTTGGTGACAGAGTGAGAACCTGTCTTGAAATAATAATAATAATAATTGTGAGTAAAAAAGCCCCCCAGAAAGTATATACTATATGATTCATTTACGTAAAATTCAAGAAAATGTAGGGTAACCTGTAGTGAGACAAAGCAGATTAGAAGTTATTGTAATCAGCTGGGCGCAGTGGCTCATGCCTGTAATCCCCGCACTTTGGGAGGCCGAGGAGGGCAGATCACCTGAGGTCAGGAGTTCAAGATCAGCCTGGGCAACACAGTGAAACCCCGTCTCTACTAAAAATACAAAATTAGCCAGGTGTGGTGACACATGCCTGTAATCCCAGCTGCTCGGGAGGCTGAGGCAGGAGAATCGCTTGAACCTGGGAGGTGGAGGATGCGGTGAGCCGAGATCGCGCCATTGCACTCCAGCCTGGGCAACAAGAGTAAATCTCCGTCTCACCAAAAAAAAAAAAAAAAAGAAAAAAAAAAAAGAAATTGTAATTGTAATCCCAGCACTATGGGAGGCCCAGGCAGACCTCCCTCACTTGAGGTCAGGAATTTGAGAGCAGCCTGGGCAACATAAAAAGACCCCATCTCTACTAAAAATACAAAAAAATCAGCCAGGCATGGTGGCACACACCTGTGGTTTCAGCTACTTGGGAGGCTAAGGCATGAGGGTCACTTGAAAGCCGGAGGAAGAGGTTGTAGTGAGTCAAGATATCGCCACTCCAGCCTGGGTGACAGAGCGAGACTCTGTCTCAAAAAAAAAAAAAAAAAAAAGAAAGTAAATCTTTGTGGGCCAGGTGCAGTGGTTTACACCTGTAATCCCAGCATTTTGGGAGGCTGAGGTGGGTGGATCATCTGAGATCAGGAGTTCGAGACCAGCCTGGCCCCGTCTCTACTAAAAATACAAAAATCAGTCAGGCATGGTGGCAGGCACCTGTAATTCCAGCTACTCAGGAGGCTGAGGCAGGAGAACCACTAGAACCCGGGAGGTGGAGGGTGCAGGAAGCCATGATCACACCGCTACACTCCAGCCCGGGCAATACAGCAAGACTCTGCCTCAAAAAATAAATAAATAAATAAATCTTTGTGACTTTGATTTAGAAAATTGTTCTTTAGATAGGACACTAAAGCACAAGCAAGAGAAGAAAAAATAGGTAAAATGGACTTCACCAAAATAGAATAAAAAACGTTTGTGCTTCAAAAGACATCATCAAGAGAATAAAGATAACCTACAGAGGGGAACTAAATTGCAAATCATATATCTGATAAAAGACTAGTTTCCCAGAAATATAAAGAACTCTTACAATATAAAGATAGCCCAATCAAAACATGGGCAAATTGTCTGATCATTGCAATGCTATTCACAATAACAAAAACATGTAATTAAACCAGGTGCCCATCAATGGTGGTTTGGATAAAGAAAATGTGGTATGGATACACCATGGACTACTACACAGCCATAAAAAGGAAGAAAAACCATGTCCTTTGCAGCAACATGAATGCAGTTGGAGGCCATTATCCTAAGCAAACTAGCACAGAAATAGAAAATAAAATACTGCATGTTCTCACTTATAAGTGGGAGCTAAACATTGGGTATATATGAACACAAAGATGGTGTATTAGTCCATTTTCACACAGCTGATAAAGACATACCCAAGACTGGGTAATTTATACAGGAAAAAGGGTTTAATGGACTTACAGTTCCACGTAGCTGGGGAGGCCTCACAATCATGGTGGAAGGCGAGGAGGAGCAAGTCACGTCTTACATGGATGGCAGCAGGCAAAGAGAGCTTTTCAGGGAAACTGCTATTTTTAAAACCATTGGATCCCCTGGGACTTATTCACTATCACAAGAACAGCAGGAGAAAGACCTGCCCCCATGATTCAATTACCTCCCACCAGGTCTCTCCCACAACAGGTGCGAATTCAAGATGAGATTTGGGTGGGGACACAGCCAAAACATATCAGATGGTAACAATAGACACTGGGGACTATAGAGAGGAGAGAGAGGGAGACAAGGGCAGAAAAACTACCTTTTGGGCACTATGCTCAGTACCTGAGTTCAGTCATACTTCAAACCTCAGCACCACGCCATATACCTCATAAAAAATCTGCACATGTACCTTCTGATTCTAAAAGAAAATTTGAGGCCGGGTGTGGTGGCTCATGCCTATAATCCTAGCACTTTTGAGTGGGTGGATCACTTGAGGTCAGGAGTTCAAGACCAACATGGTGAAACCCCATCTCTACTAAAAATAAAAAATAATTAAAAAAAAAATTAGCTGGCGTGGCGGAGTGCACCTGTAGTCCCAGTTACTCGGGAGGCTGAGGCAGGAGAGTTGCTTGAACCAGGGAGGCGGAGGTTGCAGTGAGCCAAGATCCTGCCACTGCACTCCAGCCTGGTGACAGACAGAGCAAAACTCCGTCTCCAAAAAGGAAAAAAGAAAAGTTGGGGCCGGGCGCAGTGGCTCATGCCTGTAATCCCAGCACTTTGGGAGGCCAAGGTGGGTGGATCACTTGAGGTCAGGAGTTCGAGACCAGCCTGACTAACAGGGTGAAAACCCCGTCCCTAGTAAAAATACAAACATTAACTGGGTGTGGTGGCGGGCGCCTGTAATCCCAGCTACTCGGGAGGCTGAGGCAGTAGAATTGCTTGAACCTGGGAGGCAGAGGTTGCAGTGAGCAAAGATGGTGCCACTGCACTCCAGCCTGGGTAACAGAGCCAGACTCCATCTCAAAAAAAAAAAAAGTTGAAAAAGGAAAAATAAAAACAGAGGCAAAGGGTCTTAATACACATTTTTACAGAGAAGATCTACAAATGGCCGATAAGTACCGTACATGAAAAGATGTTTGACATCATTAGTCATCAGAGAAACACAAATCAAATTATGAGATGCCACTTCACACCCACTAGGGTGGCTATAATTAAAAAAGACGGGAAGCTAGTGTTGGCAAAGAAATTGGAACCCTTGGCTGGGTGTGGTGGCTCAACCTGTAATCCCAGCCCTTTGGGAGGCTGACGTGGGAGGACCACTTGAGGCCAGGAGTTTGAGACTAGCCTAGGCAACATAGTGAGACCCCCATTTCTACCAAAAAAAAAAAATGTAAAAAATTAGTCAGGCATGGTGGTGCGCACCTGTAGTCCCAGCTACTCAGAAGGCTGAGGCGGGAGGATCACTTGAGCCCAGAAGGTTGAGGCTGCAGTGAGCCATGAACACACCACTACACTCCAGCCTGGGGGACAGAGAGACACCCTGTCTCAAAAATATAAAATAAAATAAAATAAAATAAAATAAAATGAAATAAAATAAAATAAAGAAATTGGAACCGTTGTGCTTTGCTCGTGTAAATGTAAAGAGGTACAGCTGCTTTGGAAAGCAGTCTGGCCCTTTCTCAAAAAGCTAAACATAGAGTTATCATATATTCACTCCTCAGTATATACCCAAGAGAAACGAAAACATATGTCACACAAAGATTTATATGCGAATGTTCATAGCATTATGCATAATAGCCCCAAAGTGGAAAAACCCCAATGTTCACCAACTGATGAGTGGGTAAACAACTTATGGTACGTTCATTATAATAGAATATTATTCAGCCATAAAAAGCACAACATACATACACAAAATATTATTCAGCCTTAAAAAGGAATGAAGTTGGCCAGGTGCAATGGTTCAGGCCTGTAATCCCAGCACTTTGGGAGGCCGAAGCAGGAGGACCACTTGAGGTCAGGAGTTCGAGACCAGCCTGACCAACATCTTGAAACCCCGCCTCTACTAAAAATACAAAAATTAGCTGGGCATGGTGGTGCATGACTGTAATCTCAGCCACTTGGGAGGCTGAGGCAAGAGAATCGCTTGAACCTGGGAGGAGGAGGTTGCAGTGAGCCAAGATCATGCCACTGAACTCCGGCCTGGGCAACAAAACGATACTCTGTCTCAAAATAAATAAATAAACAAATAAATAAATAAAACAAAAAATCAGCCAGGGGCCGGGCATGATGGTTCATGCCTGCAATCCCAGCACTTTGAGAGGCTGAGGTGGGTGGATCACTTGAGGTCAGGAGTTCGAGACCAGCCTGGCCAACTGGTGAAACTCTGTTTCTACTAAAAATACAAAAAAAAAAAAAACAAAAAAAAAAAACTTGGCCAGGTGTGGTGGCACGCAGCTGTAATCCCAGCTACTCGGAAGGCTGAGGCAGGAGAATCACTTGAACCCGGGAGGCAGAGGTTGCAGTGAGCCAAGATCACACCACTGCATTCCAGCCTGGGCGACAGAGCAAGACTCCATCTCAAAAAAAAAAAAAAAAAAAATTAGCCAGGCACGGTAGCATGTCTGTAGTCCAGTGACTCAGGAAACTGAGGCAGGCAGATTGCTTGAGCCCAGGAGTTTGAAGCTGCAGTGAGTTGTGATGGTGCCACTGGACTCCAGTCTGGACGACAGAGCGAGACTCCGTCTCAAAAAAAAAAAAAAAGAAAGAAAGAAAACATTATACTGAATGAAATAATCCAGTCACAAAAGAAAAAATACTATATGAGTCCATTTATATGCGGTATCTGGAGTAATCAAATTCATAGAGACAGAAAGTAGAATGGTGCGTGCCAGGGGCTGTGGGGAAGAGGAATGAGGAGTGAGTGTTTCATGGGGATGGAGTTTCAGTTTGGGAAGGTGAGGAAAATTCTGGAAGTGGATGATGGTGACGGTTGCACAACAATGTGAATATATTTAATGCTACTGAGCTGTTCATTTAAGTGGTTTAAAGGATAAATTTTATGTTACATATATTTTACCACAATAAAAAAATCAAAAGGAATTAGGTACTGATAAATGCTGCACTGTGAATGAATCTTGAAAACATTATGCTGAATAAAAGCAGCCAGTCACTGGCCGGGGGCGGTGGCTCACGCCTGTAATCCCAGCACCTTGGGGGCCGAGGCGGGAGGATCACGGGGTCAGGAGTTCGAGACCAGCCTGGCCAACATGGCGAAACTCTGTCTCTACTAAAAATACAAAAAGTAGCTGGGTGTAGTGGTGGGCGCCTGTAATCCCAGCTACTTGGGAGGCTGAGGCAGGAGAATTATTTGAACCCGGAAGGTGGAGGTTGCAGTGAGCTGAGATCATGCTATTGCACTCCAGCCTGGGCGACAAGAGCAAGACTGTCTCAAAAAAAAAAAAAAAAAGCCAGTCACGAAAGACCATATATTATATGATTCCATTTATAGGAAATGTGTAGGATAGGCCAATCTATAGAGAAAGAAAGTAGATTTGTGGTTGCCAGGGCTGGGTGGGCAGGCTTGGGGGCAAATGCAGAGTCACTGTTGAGATCTCTGCTCACTGCAACCTCTGCCTCCCGGGTTCAAGCGATTCTCCTGCCTCAGCCTCCCGAGTAGCTGGGATTACAGGCACCCACCACCACACCCAGCTAATTTTTTTTTTTTTTTTTTTTTTTGAGACGGAGTCTTGCTCTGTCACCCAGGCTGGAGTGCAGTGGTGCGATCTCGGCTCACTGCAAGCTCTGCCTCCTGGGTTTATGCCATTCTCCTGCCTCAGCCTTCCCAGCAGCTCGGACTAAAGGTGCACGCTGCCACGCCCAGTTAATTTTTTTTTTTTTTGTATTTTTAGTAGAGGGGGGTTTCACTGTATTAGCCAGGATGGTCTTGATCTCCTGACCTCACGATCTGCCTGCCTCGGCCTCCCAAAGTGCTGGAATTACGGGCGTGAGCCACCACGCCCGGCCAATGCCCAGCTAATTTTTGTATTTTTAGTAGAGATGGGGCTTTACCATGTTGGCCAGGCTGGTCTCGAACTCCTGACCTCAGGTGATCCATTCGTCTTGGCCTCCCAAAGTGCTGAGATTACAGGTGTGAGCCGCCAGGGTATGAGGTTTCTTTTGGGCGAGATGAAAATGTTCTACGATTGATTGTGCCAACAGGGCACCGTGGCTCATGCCTGTAATCCTAGCACTTTGGGAGGCTGAGAGGGGAGGATCGCTTGAGCCCAGGAGTTCGAGACCAGCCTGGCCAACATAGTGAGACCCTGTCTCTAAGAAGAAAAAAAAATCAAACCATCAATGCCATTAAAGTTCCCAGAGTCTCCCTGCCAACTCCAAAGCCCTTCTATCAGAGAGCTACACTTCTGAATTTTATGTTTATTGTTTCCAAACTTTCACTCTGTATGTATCTCCAAGCAATACAAAATATAGTTTTTCCTGTTTCTTTTCTTTTCTTTTTTGACAGGGTTTCGCTCTGTCATCCAGGCTGGAGTGTAGTGGTGGGATCAAGCTCAGTGCAGCCTCGACGTCTTTGGCTCAAGCAATCCTCCTGCCTCAGCCTCCCAAGCGTTGAGATTACAGGTGTGAGCCACTAGACCGGGCAGTTTGGCTGGCTTTCTCCTTCCTTCCTTCCTTCCTTCCTTCTTTCCTTCTTTCCTTCCTTCCTTCCATCCTTCCTTCCTTCCCTCCTTCCCTCCCTCCTTCCTTCCTTTCCTTTCTTTCTCTCTCTCTTTCTCCTCCCCTCCCCTCCCTCCGTCCCTTCCTCCCTCCCTCTCCCTCTCTCTCTTTCTTTCTTAGATGGAGTCTCACACTCTGTCACCCAGGCTGGAATGCAGTGGTGTAATCTCGGCTCACTGCAACCTCCACATACCGGGTTCAAGCGATTCTCCTGCCTCAGCCTCCCGAGCAGGGACTACAGGCGCCTGCCACCACGCCTGGCTAATGTTTTTTTATTTTTAGTAGAAACGGGGTTTCACCTTGTTGGTCAGGCTGGTCTAGAACTCTTGACCTCGTGATCCACCTGCCTCGGCCTCCCAAAGTATTGGGATTACAGGTGTGAGCCACCGCGCCTGGCCAATCTTTCCTGTTTCTAAGCTTTATATAAACAGTAGTATACTGAATATATTTTTCTGCTGCTTCCCTTTTTCACTCAGTGTTGTTTGAGATTCACTCAAATTCACATGCATGGCTGTAGTTTTCTCATTTTTGTTGCTGTATATATGAAGTACTCCATTGTATGAAGACACACTGGTGTCTTTGCCATTCTCCTATGGTTGGACATTTGGATTGTTTCCAGGTTTTTTTGTGACTACAAATAATACAGGCAGGGTGCGGTGGCTCACGCCTATAATCCCAGCACTTTGGGAGGCTGAGGTGAGCAGATCACCTGAGGTCAGGAGTTGGATACCAGCCTAACCAACATGGGGAAACCCCGTCTCTACTAAAAATACAAAAATTAGCTGGGAGTAGTGGCACACGCCTGTAATCCCAGTTACTCAGAAGGCTGAGGCACAAGAACCGCTTGAACCTGGGAGGCGGAGGTTGCAGTGAGCCAAGATCGTGCCACCACACACTCAGCCTAGGCGACAGAGCAAAACTCTGTCTCAAAAATAAAAAATAAAATAATAATAATAAAAATAAAAATTCCTGTCCTTGCCTCCTAGTCCAAGAGGGAAAAATTTTGTAGAAGTTTGCATTAATTTCCTATAGCCACTATAATAAATTAACACAAAATCAGTGGCTTTGGACAACTCAAATGTATTATCTTACAGTTCTGGATGTCAGGAGCCCAAAATGGTTCTTTGTTTGTTTTGAGACAGAGTCTCACTCTGTCACCCAGGCTGGAGTGCAGTGGCACAATCTCGGCTCACTGCAACCTCCACCTCCCGGGTTCAAGCGATTCTTGTGCCTCAGCCTTTCGAGTAGCTGGGATTATGGGCGGGTGCCATCATACCCAGCTAATTTTTGTATTTTTAGTAGAGATGGGGTCTCACCATGTTGGCCAGGCTGGTCTCAAACTCCTAAGCCCAAGCGATCTGCCCGCCTCCACCTCCCAAAGTGCTGGGATTACAAACGTGAACCACCGTGCCCTGCCCCAAATGAGCCTTATTGGGCTGAAATCAAGGTGTCCTGCTGGAGTCCCCAGAGGCCGAGTCCATTCCCTTGCCTTTTTCTGCTTCCAGAGGTTTCCTGCATTCCTTGGCTTATGGCCTCTGCCTTCATCTTCAAAGCCACCAGTTTCTCTCTGACTCTGACCCTCTGCTTCCACTATCACATTTCCTTCTCGGATTCTGACCCTCCTTCCTCCCTCTTATAAGAACCCTTGTGATTATGTTGGGTCCAACTTGGTGATCTAGGATGCTCACTGCATCTCAGGCGTCTTTTTTTTTTTTTTTTTGAGTCAGGGTCTTGCTCTGTTGCCCAGTCTGGAATGCAGTGGCACTATCATAGCTCACTGCAGCATCTACCTCCTGAAATCAAGTGATCCTTCTGCCTCAGCCTCCTGAGTAGCTGGGACTACAGCATGTACCACCATACCTGGCTAATTAAAAAAAAACTTTTTTTTATAGAGATGGGGGTCTCACTATGTTGTGCAGGCTGGTCTTGTACTCTTGGGCTCAAGTGATCCTTCTGCCTCAGCCTCCCAAAGTGCTGGGATTACAGGCATGAGCCACCAAGCCTGGCCCATCTCAAGATTCTTCTTCTTTTTTTTTTTGAGACACAGTCTCGCTCTGTCACCCAGGCTGGAGTGCAGTGGCGTGATCTCAGCTCACTGCAAGCTCCGCCTCCTGGGTTTATGCCATTCTCCCATCTCAGCCTCCTGAGTAGCTGGGACTACAGGCACCCGCCACCACACCCAGCCAATTTTTTTGTATTTTTAGTAGAGACAGGGTTTCATTGTTAGCCAGGATGGTCTTGATCTCCTGACCTCATGATCCACCCGCCTTGGCCTCCCAAAGTGCTGGGATTACAGGCATGAGCCACCGTGACCAGCATTTTTTTTTTTTTTTTTTTTTAGAGATGGAGTCTTACTCTGTTGCCCAGGCTGGAGTGCAGTGGCGCCATCTCGGCTCACTGAAGCTCTGCCTCCCAGATTCGAGCAATTCTCCTGCCTCAGCCTCCCAAGCATCTCAAAATTCTTTTGTTCTTTTCTTCTCTCTCTCTCTTTTTTTTTTTTTTTTTTTTTTTTGCGACGGAGTTTCGCTTTTGTTGCCCAGGCTGGAGGGCAACGGCATGATCTTGGCTCACTGCAACCTCCGCCTCCCGGGTTCAAGCGATTCTCCTGCTTCAGCCTCCCAAGTAGCTGGGACTACAGGCATGTGCCACCATGCCCAGGTAATTTTCTATTTTCAGAAGAGACAGGGTTTCTCCATGTTGGTTAGGCTGGTCTCAAACTCCCAACCTCAGGTGATCCACCTGCCTCGGCCTCCCAAAGTGCTGGGATTATAGGTGTGAGTCACCATGGCTGGCCAAGATTCTTAACTCTACTGCATTTGTAGAGTCCCTGTTGCCATGTAAGGTAACATATTTACAGGTTCCAGGGTTAGCATGGGGATGTCTTTTGGGACAAGGGGGAATTATTGGATCTACCACAGAGGGAAACAACTGAGTAGGTGTGACATGAATATCTTTGAATTACCCAGTTTGTTAAAGTGTTCTCCAAAATGAACTGATTCTGTCTTCTGCTAACATTGCATGAGAGTTCCTGGTGCTCCCCTTCCTCACCAACACTTGATGTTATTGGACTTTTTAATTTGTGCCAACCTGACAGCTATGAAATATCTGAGCTCTGATTTCTATGTGATCAAGAAGAAAAAGGTGGCCCATGGTATTGAATGTGAAAAAGCAGGGCCCTAGCAGTAAGAAGGTAATTGGTAACCTTGGCTAGAGGGATGCACTTGAAATGGTGGGAGGGAGTGAAATTAGACTGAGTCACAGAACAAGGGGGAGTGGTAAGAAAATGGACAGAGGAAGTGCAGGATGTAGAGGGTACTTTCAAAACATTGGGTGGGGAGAGAAAGTGAAGTCTAAAGGCAGAAATTACAGGTGAAAGAGACAGAAAGAGAGACAGACAGACAGACAGACATTCATTACTACTGTAGTGGAACAAGGCTTTTTTTTTTTTTTTAAAGATGGACTCTTGGTCTGTCACCCAGGCTGAAGTGCAGTGGCACAATCTTGGCTCACTGCAACCTCCACCTGCTGAGTTCAAGCAATTCTTCTGCCTCAGCCTCTTGAGTACCTGGGACTACAGGTGTAAGCCACCACGCCCAGCTAACTTTTGTAGTTTTAGTAGAGACGGAGTTTCACCATGTTGGCCAGGCTGGTCTTGAACTCCTGACCTCAGGTGATTCGCCCCACTTTGGCCTCCCAAAGTGCTGAAATTATAGGCGTGAGCCACGGTGCCCCTCCCAAGGCATCTTAAAGGAGTAAAGGAGACAGGTGAAAGTGAGACCCACAGCAAGGGTACCTGGGTTGGCTTTGGAATGAAGAGAGGTTGCCCTTCCTGGAGGCAGTAGGGAAGGAAGGGCTCTGGACAGAGGCAAAGAACATGCAGCCAGGCGCGGTGGCTCACGCCTGTAATCCCAGCACTTTGGGAGACCATGGTGCAAGGATCACTTGAGTCCAGGAGTTCAAGACCAGCCTGGACAATATAGCAAGTCCATATTGCTACAAAAAAATAAAAAATTAGCTGGGCACAGTGGCACAGGCCTGTAGTCCCAGCTACTGTGGAAGCTGAGGTGGGAGGATCCTTTGAGCCCAGGAGTTCGAGGCTACAGTGAGCTATGAACGAGCCACTGCATTCTTGCCTGGACAACACAATGAGACTGTCTCAAAAAAAAAAAAAAAAAAAGCAAAGATGTGGAGACAGGAACTGGCAGGAGAGTTATCTGCTGAGGGACAGGAGTGGGCTTGGTTGTCTGCGGAGTATGGGGAAGGTTTACAGGGGGCATTGTTGTGGGGTATTGAGGCTGAACAAAGGGGGATCAGCGAGAAAGAGGGGACAAGCTGAGGTAGGAACCTCCCATTGGCGCTGACCACTGCCTTTTAGGTTGAAGAAGGCTTGTAACACAAAGTGGGAGGGGCCGAGGGAGGGCTGGATAGAGGGAGTATCTAGGAGACCCCCGAACACTTAGTGAACACAATGGGCCCTGAGGAGGCAGAGCAAACTGGGGAGCTCAGAAAGGCTTACCAGAGAAGGTGACATTTGAGCTGGGCTTCAAAGGTGCAATAGGAGTTCTGAAATTGAGGGAGAAAATAATGGAACCAAAGAGAAGTCCACAGGCAAGGTAAGGGCTAAAATAAATGGTGAAAGGGGCCAGGCATGGTGACTCACGCCTGTAATCCCAACACTTTGGGACGCCGAGGCGGGTGGATCACTTGAGGTCAGGAGTTCAAGACCAACCTGGCCATCATGGTGAAAACCCCATCTCTACTAAAAACACACAAAAGAAGGCTGCACGCGGTGGCTCATGCCTGTAATCCCAGCACTTTGGGAGGCCGAGGTGGGCGGATCACGAGGTTAGGAGATTGAGACTATCCTGGCTAACACGGTGAAACCCTGTCTCTATTAAAAATACAAAAAATTAGCCGGGCTTGGGGGCGGGCGCCTGTAGTCCCAGCTACTCAGGAGGCTGAGGCAGGAGAACGGTGTGAACCCGGGAGGCGGAGCTTGTAGTGAGCTGAGATCGCGTCACTGCACTCTGACCTGGGTAACAGAGTGAGACTCTGTCTCAAAAAAAAAAAAAAAAAAAAAAAAAAAAAAAAAAATTACTGTGATCCCAGCTACTCCGGAGGCTTAGGCAGGAGAACTGTTTGAACCTGGGTGGCAAAGATTGCAGTGACCTGAGATCACACCACTGACTCCAGCCTGGGCGACAGAGGGAGACTCTGTCTAAAAAGAAAGTGAAGGGACTGTGTGAGTCCAGAGGAAAAGGGAATAACCCCCTAGCCTGGGAAGGTGGAGAGGGCTTCCTGGAGGTGGTGATATTCCAGATGAGTCTTGAAGGGGAAAGCCAATTTTAGTTGTTGTAAAAATGTAGAACTGTTTTTAAAAAAAAGTAGAAGTGTTACTTTTATGGTCTGTCAACAAGGCTGTCCTGCCGCTTCTCCCAGACATTGGCACCATGCCTGCCCACCATGCTATGGCTGGATAGGGAGAGTCCTTGCTCAGCTCTTCCCGCCCCTATGCCTTGGCTTATGGATTTCTGTTTGCTTTCATCATTTTCTCCTTCAACTTGAGAACTCCTATTCAACCTCTGAAACCCAGCTCAAATGCCACCTCCTCTGGTAAGCCTTCCTAATTGCTCTTTGTACTTTTGTAGCAGTGTATTAAGGTGGAACAAGCTCAGTTGTCGTTGTTGTTTTTTGAGACGGGGTCTTGCTCCATTTCCCAGGCTGGAGTACAGTGGCAAAATCATAGGTCACTGCAGCCTCAACCTCCTGGGCTCAAGTGATCCTCCCACCTCAGCCTCCTGAGCAGCTGGGGCTACAGGCACGAACCACCACGGCCGGCTACTTTATTTTTTATGTTTGGCAGAGATGGGGGTCTCATTGTGTTGCCCAGGCTGGGTCACTCATTGTCTGACTTAATTTCTGAGTGTCTATTTCCTGAGATGGGGACAATGGCTTAACCTATTTGTAAAGACAAGGTACAGGACATATCGGGGATCACATGGGAATCACAAAGCCATCATGAGGTGACACCTGCCATTTGTCTTATACTAGAATTAGTTGAGTGGGAATGGGACTCTGCCTTAATCCATGAACTCCCTGAGGGCAGGGACAGTGTCCCCACAGGGCCTAACCCAGTGTTCAGCGCAGAGCGGCATCGTATGCTCTGTGGACACTGTACAAATGAGAAGAAACGGGACTGTATCATTTACCTGTAATGTGACTTTGGGGAGGCGACATCATCTCTTTTTTTTCTTTTTTTTCTTTGTTTGAGACGGAGCACGGAGTCTCTGTCGCCCAGGCTGGAGTGGAGTGGTGCTATCTCGGCTCACTACAACCTCCGCCTCCCAGGTTCAAGCGATTCTCCTGCCTCAGCCACCTGAGTAGCTGGAATTACAGGCGCCCACCACCACGCCCGGCTAATTTTTGTTGGTCAGGTTGGTCTCAAACTTCTGACCTCAAATGATTCACCCACCTTGGACTCCCAAAGTGCTGGGATTACAGGCATGGGCTACCGTGCCCGGCCTCTGTGATGCTTCTGCATGTCTAAAATAACAAGTGGGTATTGACCTACTATGTGTATTCATTATAACATTGCTAGCCATATCACTATCCCTCAGCATTTTAATTTTACTTTTATAGAGATGGGGTCTTGCTGTGTTGCCCAGGCTGGTCTCAAAACTGAGCTCAAGCAATCTCCCACCTCTGCCTCCTGAGTAGCTAGGACTACAGACGCATGCCACCATGTCCGGATACTTTTTAAAAGCATTTAAATACTTTTAAAAATTGTTCTTTTCACTCTTTTTTTTTTTTTTTTTGAGACGGAGTCTCGCTCTGTCACCCAGCCTGGAGTGCAGTGGCGCGATCTCCGCTCACTGCAAGCTCCGCCTCCCGGGTTCACGCCATTCTCCTGCCTCAGCCTCGCGAGTAGCTGGGACTACAGGCGCCCGCCACCACGCCCGGCTAATTTTTTTTGTATTTTTAGTAGAGACGGGGTTTCACCATGTTAGCCAGGATGGTCTCGATCTCCTGACCTCGTGATCCGCCCGCCTCGGCCTCCCAAAGTGCTGGGATTACAGGCGTGAGCCACCGCGCCCGGCCTCTTTTCACCCTTTTGACAATTTTTAAATTTTTTTAAATAGAGACGGGGGTCTTGTTATGTTGCCCAGGCTGGTCTCAAACTCCTGGCCTCAAGCGATCCTCCCTTCTCGGTCTCCCAAATCGCTGGAATTACAGGAGAGAGCCACCGCGCCCGGCCAGCAAGTCAGCGCTCACCATCTCCAACCCCATTTTACAGAAGAGAAAACTGAGGCTTGGGGAGGGCTGCAAGGCAGGAGCCCTCGGCGCCCGGCCAAAGTCAGAAATTTGTTGTTGCCATCCGAGGGGAAAACGTGCACGGGCTCTGCAAATTGTAACCGCCCGGGGTGGGAGAGTCCGTGCCTGGGGGCGTGGTGAGCCAGGGCCGGTGCTGGGGCGCAGAGCAGGGCGGCTCAGATTCCGGGAGGGGCGGGGAGATCGGGTTGCTGGGCGATCCTGGGGTGCTGGAGGCGGCGCGGCGCGGCCGGGGCGGGGAGGGGTGCGGCCCGCCTCCTCCCTGCCCCACCCCCAGCCCCGGCGCCGCGGCTCCTTTAAGAGCGGGAGGGGCGCCCCCTGGCGGCGGAGCGGTGCGTGCGGCCGGAGCCGGAGCGGATCCTGGAGCCGGAGCGGAGCGGAGCGGAGCGGAGCCGGGGCGGAGCGGGCCGAGCGGGCCGAGCCAGCAGCCGAGCTGGGGGCGCGGGCGGGCGGCATGTACCGGGCCCGGGCGGCGCGGGCGGGGCCGGAGCCCGGCAGCCCGGGGCGCTTTGGGATCCTCAGCACCGGGCAGCTCCGGGACCTGCTTCAGGATGAGCCCAAGCTGGACCGGATCGTGCGGCTCAGCAGGAAGGTAGCGCGGGGGGCTCGAGCGGGGGGCGCGGGGGACGGGCAGCGGCCTGCGGGACCTGCCGCTCGAGGGAAGGGCCGCGCGGGCCGGGCCGCGGGGCCGCCCGTGGGCGCGGAGCCTGGCACGTACGAGTGGGCCCCGCGGAGCCACCCCCGGGGGAGGGGGCGCTTGGAGCTGGCCTGGGGCGGGTGGGGCGCCGGGGACCCGAGGGGGGCGCCTGTGCACCCCCAGGATGGCCGCGAGGCGTGTCCTACAGCGGATGCTCCGGGGAGGTGTGTTCCGGGGGGCTGTGTTGTGGGGGGCCCTGGCTCGCACACCCACGTTCTGTAAGGGCCAGAAAGAGGAGGCGCCTTCCACTGGGAGAACTAGGGGCCTGTCTGACACCTGGAGGGGCCGTTGGGGGTTCACGCATTCTGGGGGCGCAAGAGGGGGCTTTGTGCCTGGCGTTGGGGAGGGGTGCTGGAAGCTGCCGTGTGTATTGCATAGGCCACCGTAAGAGAAAGTTGTATATTTCACGGGAGATAGGCCCGGGCTGGTTGTCTGTGGGGGGCAGAAAGGGCAAGTGTGTGTTGAAAGCAGGCAGGCGAGGAGGGGCTTGTGCATCCCACAAGGGACAGATGGAGGGGAGTGCGTTCTCCAGGGGCAGGGAGGGGAGGTTGGGCCCTGCTAGAGACAAGGAAAAAGCCTTCTCCAGGGCCGGGGCTGCTGTAAGCCCGGAGCAGGGAGGAAAAGGGGGTGTGTATTCCTTGGGGTGTGAGGATTCCACTGGAGGCAGAGGAAGGGGTGGGAAGGGAAGAGAGGGTGACCCGAGGGGGTGCTGTGAGGGGACGGGGTGCAGACACCCCTCTGGAGAGGATGAGCAGGGGGTGGGAGTGTTTTCGGTGCAAACACCTGAGGAGGAAACAGACAAAGGCCTGGAGTGAGAGGGAAGCTGTCCATGCATGGAAAATGGGGCAGAGGAGGGAGGGGCACTCCTCCGGGACCTGAGCAGACATATTAATTGAAAAATTAAAAATTAACTAACATTTGTAGAGGCCTTTATAGTTTTCCTCACTTAAGTCTCTCAACAACCCCATAAGGTGGATGTTTTTTAACTCGATTTGTAAAAGAGGAAACTGAGGCCAGAGAGGGAGCTCAGGGCAGAGCCAGTTCTGGTCCCGGCCTGTCATCGTCCCTTCACCTGTTGGGTTCACCACCCTGAAGGGGTGCCTGACAGGTGCCTTTGGCCTGGCCCTCAGGCACGGTCGCCCAGTAGGGTGGACGGGGCAGTAGGGTGGACAGGGCAGATCCCCTGAGCGGGCCTCTTAGCTCCTCTCTGCCCGCAGTTCCAGGGCCTGCAGCTGGAGCGTGAGGCCTGCCTGGCCTCCAACTACGCGCTGGCCAAGGAGAACCTGGCCCTGCGGCCCCGCCTGGAGATGGGCCGGGCTGCCCTGGCCATCAAATACCAGGAGCTTCGTGAGGTGGCCGAGAACTGCGCGGACAAGCTGCAGCGACTGGGTGAGGGCACGTCTGGGAGAACCCCCTGGGGCTGGTGGGGGCAGTTGGCCATCCGGTGGGTTGGCCTTGGGAAGTGCCAGGCTCTGATGGATGGGAGTTGGGCGGACCTGCTCCTGGCTTGCTGGGCAGTAGAGTTGAGGAAGTGAGAGGAAGTGGGGAGGGTTGGGTGGGAGAAAGGGGACCCAATACGCAGGGTCCCCCTGAGATGCTGAGGGGGACAAAGCCTCCCCTGTCTCTTTTGTACTAGGACGAGGAGCAGAAACTTGGTAGGGGCCGGATCCACAAAGCGGTCACATGGGCACGGTACAGATGAGGAAACTGAGGCTCTAGACCAGGGGAAAGGGAAATATAGAATCACATGGGGTCAGCGGGAGAGTGCAAGCCCGGGGCCCTGGCCTGTCTGTCACTCTGTCCCTCTGTGGCCCTCAGAGGAAAGCATGCATCGCTGGAGTCCCCACTGCGCGCTGGGCTGGCTGCAGGCTGAGCTAGAAGAGGCGGAGCAGGAGGCAGAGGTGAGGGGAGGGGTGGCTGGGGCTGGGGGCCAGGAGGGAGACCCATTCTCTGCCACCCCCTGGCTCATTCTTACACCTCAGGCTGGGGAGCCCCTCCTCTGGGAAGTCCACCCTGAATGCCTGGCGCATGCCAGAGCCTAGCATTGCTGTCCACCAGCACTGGACAGCCAGCAGGGCTCACTTTCCTACCTGTGAATTTTTTTCGGGCTCCCCTGTGACTGGGCTAGGGCAGCGTGGATCTGGGGCTACAGAGGAGCTGGGGCAGACTTTGTGCTGGGTTGGGAGTGCAGCGATCAGTGAGCTGAAGGTGGTGGGCTCCCGAAGGACATGTTAAGTCTATACTTCACATATGTCCCTGCCTCTGCTCCTGCCTCATCTCTGATCCAGCAGGTCTGGTGATGGCATCCTTATTTTAGAAGTTAGGGCTGGGCACAGTGGCTCACGCCTGTAATCCCAGCACTTTGGGAGACCGAGGCGGGCGGATCGCCTGAGGTCAGGAGTTCGAGACCAGCCTGACCAACATGGTGAAACCCCGTCTCTACAAAATACAAAAAAAAATTAGCCGGGCGTGGTGGTGCATGTCTGTCATCTCAGCTACTTGGGAGGCTGAGGCAGGAGAATTGCTTGAACCCGGGAGGTGGAGGTTGCAGTGAGCCGAGATTGCGCCACTGCACTCCAGCCTGGACCACAGTGAGACTCTGTCTCAGGAAAAAAAAAAAAAAGTGGGAGGACATTTGTC
This sequence comes from Homo sapiens, assembly GCF_000001405.40. Taxonomy (NCBI): domain Eukaryota; kingdom Metazoa; phylum Chordata; class Mammalia; order Primates; family Hominidae; genus Homo; species Homo sapiens. Next base: position 73,670,842 of record NC_000007.14, read on the forward strand.
CACAGTTCACTTAGCAAGTAATCGGAGGCAGGCCCAGGCTGGAACGCAGGTCCCCTGTCCCCCAGCTGAGGGGTGATCACCATGGGGAGGGCCTCAGGGTGGGAAGGAGTGAGGACCAGTCCCCAGTCTGTGGTCGTGCCTCTCCCAAGCCTTCCCTTCCCTCCCGGCCCAGGAGCAGATGGAGCAGCTGCTGCTCGGGGAGCAAAGCCTGGAGGCCTTCCTGCCTGCCTTCCAGCGTGGCCGCGCCCTGGCCCACCTGAGGCGGACGCAGGCAGAGAAGCTGCAGGAGCTGCTGCGGCGTCGGGAGCGTTCTGCCCAGCCGGCCCCCACCTCGGCTGCTGATCCCCCCAAATCCTTCCCGGCTGCAGCTGTCCTGCCCACTGGGGCCGCCCGGGGGCCACCAGCAGTGCCCCGGAGCCTGCCCCCCTTGGACTCCCGCCCAGTGCCCCCACTGAAGGGCTCCCCCGGGTGCCCCCTCGGCCCGGCCCCCCTGCTGAGCCCTCGGCCCTCGCAGCCAGAGCCCCCCCACCGGTAGGATCCACGGTGCGGCCCCCCAGTTGGGGGGCCTAGACAAACTTGATGCGTGGCTCCTCCTCCTCCCCCACTGCCTGGGTGGGGGGAGGGGCAGGCCCCTCCCCCTGGCCTCAGGCAGGCCCTGGCCCTGGAGGCTGAGCTGGGGAGGAGGGTCCCCTGGAAGAGGCCCGAGAGGGGGCTGGGGGTGGGTGGGCAGGGCTTTATGCCTCTGGCGCTGAAGACACCCTGCCTTTTTTGTTTCCGTGCCCCGGGGCCTCTAGGGTGATGGACCAGCCCCGTTAAAGAACTTGACTCAACTACAGGGGCCTGGGAAGATGCCTGGGTCCCCTAGGGGCCTTGCCAAGGGGACCTGTCGCACCCCACCACTCCACTGGGCTCGCACAACGCCAAGGCCGCCAGGAGTGTTTTACATCATGTCCTGAGCCTACCTTTCCCCCAAATTCTGGGGCCCACAGCCTAGGAGCCAGGTGATCAGGCCTCGGCTGTGGGGCCAGGGACACCATGGCCCTGGGGCTACTACGTGTCCACACATGCTCCAGACCCTGGGGCAAGGTAGGCCAGGGGCTTCTGACCTGTGCAGGTGAGAGTGGGCCATACCCAGGAAAGACCATTCTGTATTTTTCTGTCCCTGTCTCCTTAGAATGGAAGCTTTTTGAGGGCAGGTCCTTGTCTTTGTACGTTCTGTCCCCAGCCCCGCCTCTTAGGGGCCGTCAATAAATGTGATGATGAGGATGACGATGCTGCCCGACTCCTCTCTGCTGTTGCAGCCTCCACAGCTCAGCTCCTGTGCTTCCACTTCCTACTTTTGAGATGCTCTCCCCTCCTTTCTGCCCATGCAAAGCCCAGCTGTCCGGGTCCAACACCGCCGCTGCCTCTTCCATGAAGCCTTCTCTGATTACCAACCCGTTGAGAGCCTTTCCTAAATCTTAACTTCCCGGCATTTCCAGTCAGAAGCGCTCACTGCTCCATCTTGGTTCTCCAATTGCCTCACCTGTACGCATCTTTTCCTGGGTTGCCCATAAGCCCAATCGGGATGGTACCTGGTCTTCTCTGGCCTGCCAAATGACGGTCCCCACGGAGTGATGGAGGGCATTTTGCAGGACTGATGGCATCTGTCCTCAGCCAGGGGGAATGCTAGGTGCCAGTTTGGCTGATGATTGTGGAACAAGGAGGTGGGATATACCCTGGGTCAGCTTAGGTCAAGTCCAATGAGATGCAGTTTGGCAGGGAGGCGTGGAAGTTCTTGCAAACAAAAGGGGACAGTCACAGTGTTGTGGAAGCCTACAAAGCTAATATGGTGTTGGTCCATGTTAATAAGGACATAACTATCTGGAAAGAGGAAGGTGTTGGGGTAGCTTTGCTTTTCACTTAAGTTTTTTACTGGAAGAGGGTCCCCTCCCCCCACCCGCCCCAAATGGCACCTTTGGAGAAACAAGGATGAGAAAGAACAGTCAGTGAGGAACAGTTGAGGGATCTGTTTCAAATGTGTTTGTGTGTGATGTTCAGCCTTTGAATCTCTAAAGGGTTGGGTCACCTAGAACCAGAGGTTAAAGCCAAGACCAGTGGGTGGGAACCACAGGTCAAAGCTAAGACCAATTGGTGGAAACCGTAAGGGGCCGGATTTTGGCTCCGTTTGAGGCTCTTAAATTAGGGATGAGGCCAGGAGCGGTGGCTCATGCCTGTAATCCCAGCACTTTGGGAGGCCAAGGTGGGTGGATCACCTGAGGTCAGCAGTTCAAGACCAGCCTGGCCAACATGGCGAAAACTCATCTCTACTAAAAATACAAAAATTAGCCACGCATGGTGGTAGGGACTTGTAATCCCAGCTACTCAGGAGGCTGAGGCAGGAGAATTGCTTGAACCCGGGAGGCAGAGGTTGCAGTGGGCCAAGATCACGCCACTGCACTCCAGCCTGGGCGACAAAAGTGAAACTCCGTCCCCCCACCCAAAAAAAAAGTTAGGGGTGTTCTGTGAGGTGGATGGTCCCCATCCCTGACGATGTGGGGGCAGCAACTGCTTGATGGGCTTTTTAGAGATGTCGGCTGTAGCTAGAGGGATTGGGCTGTGGGAGCTTTAGAGCCTCAGGCCTAGACAGTCAGAGTGTCCCCCTAGTACAGGCACAGTTTAAGCACTGAGAGTGCCCACTTTAGAACCTCCATCCCACCTTGGTCTTGGTTCTACTCTCTTCACTGCTGGCACTTCAGCTGCTGGAGGCCAAGGGACACCAGAACCGCTGAGTTCCTGCTGATATGACCAAAGACTGAGCAGCCTTGGAAGACCTCTCCCCCATGCTCTCCTTCTCAGCACAGTCTGGGGCAGGATGGGCCCCTCCTGCCCTGGCTTCCCATTCCTGGTCCAAGCTTCCAGGGTGCAAAGCAGTCCATTCCCACGAAAAAGTACCTTTGTCCCATTTTTCTGAAAATGCATGGTTCCCTGCTGTTTTTTGTTTTTTTTTGCTTTTTGTTTTTTTTTGAGATGGAGTTTCGCTTTTCTCACCCAGGCTGGAGTGCAATGGAGCGATCTCGGCTCACTGGAACCTCTGCCTCCCACGTTTAAGCCATTCTCCTGCCTCACACTCCCGAGTAGCTGGTATTACAGGCATGTGTCACCAAGCCCGGCTAATTTTGTATTTTTAGTAGAGACGGGGTTTCTCCATGTTGGTCAGGCTGGTCTCAAACTCCTGACCTCAGGTGATCTGCCCGCCTTGGCCTCCCAAAGTGCTGGGATTACAGGCGTGAGCCACCGCACCTGGCTTTTTTTTTTTTTTTTTTTTTTTTGAGACGGAGTCTCGCTGTGTCGCCCAGGCTGGAGTGCAGTGGCGTGATCTCGGCTCACTGCAGGCTCCACCTCCTGGGTCCATGCCATTCTCCTGCCTCAGCCTCCTGAGTAGCTGGGACTACAGGCGCCTGCCACCATGCCTGGCTAATTATAATTATTTTTGTATTTTTAGTAGAGACGGGGTTTCACCATGTTAGCCAGGATGGTCTCCATCTCCTGACCTCGTGATCCGCCCGCCTCAGCCTCCCAAAGTGCTGGGATCACAGGTGTAAGCCACAGTGCCCGGTCCCCACTTTTTTTTTTTTTTTTTTGGCTCTCCTTCATGATTGACATGGTGTAGAGTTTGCAACCAAAAGGTAAAAAGGGGCAAAGGTTGGGCAGGTCTGGACCTTTCTCCACTATCATGAATTGGGGAGCAGCCTTTAGAAGGCAGCAGCTACCAGGTTGAGCCTCCCCTCCTCAGGGTAGGTAAGAAGCAGAGAAAGTTGAGACATGGACAAGAGAGGGACTAGGAAGAAGTGTTACCATGGGAACCAGATGGGGTCCTTCAGAAGGCCTCCCACACACCTTGTCTTGCACAGAGCTGATTCTTCTTTAGAGGGGCAGGGAGTGAGACCCCTCTGTGTTCAGCTCCAGCCTGAAAATGATCGGAGGCAGGTGAGGATGGACACCACCAGAGTGGAGTGGGCCCAGTTCTGGGTGGGCCATGGAAAGGCTTACAGTTGGATGGTTTGAAAAATCATTAACCCCTTTTGCTTGAAGGTACATGGAATGTTCAGGAAGGTTCTGGAATGTTCTGGAAGGTGCAGCACTCTGGGCCCTTCCTTTTGCCTAAAACCTTCTTGAACTTGCTGCTTCTAGATTCAGGGGGCCCCAGGAATGTTCCTGGCTGTGATCTGTGAGAGAAAACAAACTTGAGGGTCTGCATCAGGGGGCTCATGAAAAAGGTCCTACCTATTAGATACCATTTTGCTTTTACAAAACAAAACCAAAGAAGTCTCCAAATAAAACTCCCACCCCTTTTAATAAAAACAGAGCTCCCTGTTCCTCAAGAAAGTCTATTATGTACACCTCCTTGTTTGTGAATCACTAGCTTCTGCATTTTTCTAACCTTCCCCATCTTGGTTTCCAAATATGAAACATAGTAACATTAAATTGCTTTTTCTTTTTCCTAACCAATCAAGGCTCACTGAGCTAAGCAGGCTCCAACCAGTGTGGGCTCAAACCTTCACCACTGAATCGTGTAGTCCCTGCAAAGCCATGGCTAAGAACTTGCCCCTAACCTCCAAGGCTGGAGAATCGAATGGTTTCTAAGAGACCCAGTTGGACTTGCTGCAGGTTTATCCCAGTGTATACGGGGATTATACACAAAAGACTGAGTGAAGGAACTGGTGTTACTGTACCAAAGGGCCTCTGGTTGTGTCTAAGCTTATCATTGCTGTAGACCTCTGGAGAGATTCCCCTTGTCCCACAATGAAAATAAGATTTCACTCAACCTCCCTGCATAAAGTGCAGGCTCTTGCAGCAACATACAATATAAGAATTTGCAACCTCAAATGCCTACAGGGGCCAGGAAGGTGACACAGAGGTGCAAAGTAGTCCCTTTCCAGGAAGAAATTCTCCTGCCCCTATTTTTCTGAAAATGCATGGTACCTTTTTACTTTTTTGCTTTCCCTCTTGATGGACATGGGGTACAGAAATGTTTTTCTGCTATGGGAAAAACGGTGCAAGTGTGTAGATAAAAGGCGTTTTACACTTCACCCCTGTTGGTGGAAGTGCAGCAAATTGGGGAGTGATGTCTCATCTAAATGGACGAAATTTTTTTTGTTGTCTTTTTTTTTTTTGAGACAGGGTCTTGGTCTGTCACCTAGGCTGGAGTGCAGTTATGTGATCATAGCTTACTTGAAATCTCAACCTCCCAGGCTCAAGCCATCCTCCCACCTCAGCTTCCCAAGTAGCTGGGACTACAGGTGCGTGCCACCATGCCTGGCTAATTTTTGTATTTTTTGTAGAGATGGGGTTTTGCCATGCTGCCCAGGCTGGTCCCGAACTCCTGGGCTCAAGGGATCCGCCTACCTTGGCCTCCCAAAGTGCTGGGATTACAGGCGTGCATTACCGCACCTGGCCTCAAAGGGGAAATGCTACTGAGCTTCTCCCACAGCGCTAATGCAGGTACGTGAACTGAATGGTGGCAGATTTTCTTTCTTTTTTTTTTTTTTCAAATGGAGTTTCACTCTTGTTGCCCAGGCTGGAGTGCAAAGGTGCTATCTCGGCTCACTGTAACCTCTCCCTCCCGGCTTCAAGTGATTCTCCTGCCTCAGCCTCCTGAGTAGCTGGGATTACCGGCGTGCACCACCACGTCGGCTGATTTTTTTGTATTTTTAGTAGAGATGGGGTTTCTCCATGTTGGTCAGGCTAGCCTTGAACTCCTGATCTCAGATGATCCACCCGCCTCGGCCTCCCAAAGTGCTGGGATTACAGGCATGAGCCACTACACCTGGCAGATTTTCTCATTTTTTGAGAGATTAGAAATCTGTTTTTATGGGGGCGGTGGCTCATGCCTATAATCTCAGCAGTTTCAGAGGCTGAGGAGGGTGGATCACTTGAGGTCAGGAGTTTGAGACCAGCCTGGCCAACACGGTGAAACCCTGTCTCTACTAAAAATACAAAAATTAACCAGGCGTAGTGGCATGTGCCTGTAATCCCAGCTACTTGGGAGGCTGAGGCAGGAGAATCACTTGAACCTAGGAGGTGGAGGTTGCAGTGAGCTGAGATTGCACCACTGCACTCCAGCCTGGGGGGACAGAGCAAGACTCTGCCTCAAAAAAAAAATCGGTTTTTATGCCCAAATTTTGAATGTTGGGTAAAGTTGTTTTAGGACACTGTGCCAGCCAAATACTATCTGCAAGGTGACTGTGGCCTATGAACCCCAAATCCCAGTCTGCTCTTTGTACTCCTCAAACAGGCCTTCCCTGCCATTTTTTTTTTTTTCTGAGATGGAGTCTCACTCTGTCACCCAGGCTGGAGTGCAGCGTCATGATCTTGGCTCACTGCAACCTCCGCCTCCTGGGTTCAAGCTATCCTCCCACCTTGGCCTCCTGAGTAGCTAGGATTACAGGTGTGCGCCACCATGCCTTTTTTTTTTTTTTTTTTTTTGAGATGGAGTCTCGCTCTGTCACCAGGCTGGACTGCAGTGGCACAATCTCGGCTCACTGCAACCTCTGTCTCCCGGGTTCAAACGATTCTCCTGCCTCAGCCTCCCGAGTAGCTGGGACTACAGACGCACGCCACCACGCCCAGCTAATTTTTTGTATTTTCAGTAGAGATGGGGTTTCACCATGTTGGCCAGGATGGTCTTGATCTCTTGACCTCGTGATCCGCCCACCTCGGCCTCCCAAAGTGCTGGGATTACAGGCGTGAGCCACCGCGCCCAGCCAATGTTTTTTTTTTTTTTTGAGATGGAGTCTTACTCTGTCGCCCAGGCTGGAGTGCAGTGGTGCGATCTTGGCTCACTACAACCTCCGCCTCCCAGGTTCAAGCGATTCTCCTGCCTCAGCTCCTGAGTAGTTGGGATTACAGGCACCCACCATCATGCCCGGCTAATTTTTATATTTTTGTAGAGACGGGGTTTCACCATGTTGGCCAGACTGGTCTTGAACTCCTGACCTCAAGTGATCCGCCCACCTCAGCCTCCCGAAGTGCAGAGATTACAGGTGGGAGCCACCACGCCCGGCCATTTTTTTGTGTGTGTGTTTATAGTAGAGACAGGGTTTCACTATGTTGGCCAAGCTGGTCTTGAACTTCTGACCTCAAGTGATCTGCCTGCCTCGGCCTCCGAAAGTGCTGGGATTACAGGCAAGAGCCACCGTGCCAGGCCCTGAAACATGCCTTCTTTTGTCTAAAGTGGCTGTCCCCTCTCAGGGCTGAGGATGTGAATTTTGAAGGGACAAGGGTAGGATGGGAGAGCCAACCCACCACAAGACTAGTGACAGGACCCTAGCCTTAAGAGACACTGGTGAGGTGGCTAGATCCATAGCGACGCTGTGACTTCAGGACAGATAGTGAGAGATGAGCTCTCTGCATGCGTTGAGCATGTTTGGCCTACGCAAGGTCTTGAGATCCAGGCTCAGCTCTCACCATGGTTTGCACACATTAACAGAGGGACACTCAGCTGCTTTGCACAAAACCACGACGGCTGCAAGCTGGACCTCGGAGCTGAGCTGCTGAGGGCAGGCTAAGGTAGGTCTTCTCCCATGATGTTGTTTTTCTTTTTTTTGAGACGGAGTTTCACTCTTGTTGCCCAGGCTGGAGTGCAATAGCGCGATCTCGGCTCACTGCAACCTCTGCTTCCCAGGTTCAAGTGATTCTCCTGCCTCAGCCTCCCGAGTAGCTGGGATTACAGGCATGCACCACCACACCCAGGTAATTTTGTATTTTTTAAAAGTAGAGACGGGGTTTCTCCATGTTCGTCAGGCTGGTCTCGAACTCCTGACCTCAGGTGATCCGCCCGCCTTGGCCTCCCAAAGTGCTGGGATTACAGAGGTGAGCCACCGTACCCGGCCTGTTTTTCTTTTTAGAGATGAGGTCTTGCGTGTTGCCCAGCTGGAGTGCAGTAGCTATTCATAGGCGAGATCTTTGTACACTAGTCTTGGACTCCTGGGCTCAAGCGATCCTCCTGCCTCAGCCTCCCAAGTAACTGGGACCACAGGTGTGTGCCATTGTGCTGGGCTTTCCCTCATGATCTTCCCCATGGGCAGGTGGCAGCATGTGACTTCATCATGGCGCTGAGGAACTGAGAGGAGGCAAAGGCCAGGACAGGGCCCGCTTTTCTAGTGCACTGAATTCCAGAGTGTGGACTGAGGTAGCACCACCACTTATCAGCCGTCCCTCTCTCAGCCTGTTTGCACAGGGTCTGGCGACCTTCCAGGAAGCCCAACAGTTTGAAACACAGACCTCTTCCATTTCCAAAAAAGGGTGTGTTGGTGGCCACTCCAAGTCAATCGTGACCCAGTAGGACAGCTCTGTGGCCTAAGGTAAGCTATTCCTAATCAATTTGGCTCATACAGAGGTGCACTCAATGAATGAAATGCCGGAACCTCAGAAGGAAGAGGGAGAAAGCCTACTTCCTCAACACTGGGATCTGTAAAGGGTCATCTCACCCAGCAATAAATAAAGGGCAACAGAAGGGAAAAAGCAGTTTGGCTCAGGAGAAATAAAGTCCCATTCAAGCCCAAAGACACCACCACAATTACCTAGACCTGTGCGCCTTTGGTTCCTGTCTTGTGGCCTCTGTCTCCCCATTTAGGAACCACGCCTGTGGCTCACTCGGCCTCGTGCTATACCAGTAACCCCCTCCCCACCCCACTGAGCACAGCCTGGGCCAGGCTGGGCCCCTTTACCCTATTCTCCCATCCTAGGTCCAAACTTCTAGGGAGTTTTGTTTCAGTTTGTGAAAAAGAAAAAGGATTAAGGCTGGGCATGTCTGAGCCATCCTCCACAACCAGGAATTATGGAATAGCCCCTAGAAGGCAGGGGCTAAGGTCATGGCCGAGTTCAGCCTCCACTTGCCAGGTAGCAGCAGAGAAAGAAAAGACTCAAGCCAATCTGAGTGGGTGGGGGGAAAATGTGACCATGGGAACCTTTTGGGGGTCCTTCAAAAAGCCTCCCACACATTTTCCTTTCCATGAAGAGCACAGGCTCAGTTTCAGGGCAGGCAGGGAGTGGGGTCCCTCAGGCATTAGCTCTGGCCTACAAAACCCTGAGGCATAAAGGGATGACATTACGGAGTAGGCCTTGTGCTGAGTCAGGGGAGAGGCTTAGGATTGGATGATGGTTAGTAAACCTTATAGAATACTTTGCTTAGAGTTTCATGGAATGTCCCAGAAGTTTACCTTAGTCTGGACCCACCCCCAGTCTGAACCTTCTGGAATTTTCTATGTACCCCAGATTCGGGGGCTCACAGGGAACGTTCCTGGCTGGGATCTTGACTGAGAAAACAAACTTCAGAGGTCTATCTCAAGGAGCCCATGCTATTAGACCACTAGTGCTTTACAAACCCACATCGAAAGGAGGCCACCTGTTTCACTAGAACAAAAAGCCCTTGCCCCACTGTTTCTGTCGTGCCTGCTTTACTGGTTGAGAAGCACTAGTTTCAGAACATTTTGCTAAACTCCACTTCGTGCAGTTTGTTTTTCCAGAAAAAAGAAACTCCACTTGCTGCAGTTTTGTTTTTCCAGAAAAAAGTCTCTGTCCTGTTTTCTAAATATGAAACATAGTAACAATAAATGTTCTTTTAAAAAGTACATATCCCCTTCCCCCAAGTCCAGGCTCACTGAGCCAAACAGGTCTGAACCAGATTGGGCTCAAATCTTTTTTTTCTTTTTCTTTTTTTTTTTTTTTGAGATAGGGTCTAGCTTTGTAGCCCAGGCTGGAATGCAGTGGCAGGATCGCAGCTCACTGCAACCACGACCTCTCAGGCTCAAGCGATTCTCCCACCTTAGCCTCCTGAGTAGCTGGGACTACAGGCACTTGCCACACCCGGCTAATTTTTGTGATTTTTGTAGAGATGGGGTTTTGCCGTGTTGCCCAGGCTGGTCTCCAACTCCTGAGGTCAAGTGATCCACCCGCCTTGGGTGGATCCCAAAGTGTTGTGCCAGGCCCCAGATCTTCATTACTGCATCATATGATCACTGCAAAGCCTGGAGTAGGGGCATACCCCCAACCTCCGAGGCAAGAGACAATCAATGGTTTCCCTTTTTTTTTTTCCTTTTCAGGCTAGATTGGCACAATGATGGAATGGTTTTCAAGAGGCCAAGTAGGACCAGCTGTGGGTTTATCCCATTTTACCTAAGGATTTTACACAATACATTGAGTGCAGGAATGGCACGCAATGATTGCACTCAGTAATATACCAAACCACTCCTGGCTTTGTTTAGACCCTAGACTTGGGCCCTCATCCTTCTCGTAGACCTCTTGCGAGGATTTTCCCCTTTTACAGATTCACACTCAGTCCCGAACAGAAACACTTGAGCACCTACAATCTCACAGCCAACTCCCTGCCAACGTCCAGTGACTCACAGTTAAGAGAGCTTCAGCAGCAGCTCTGACCAAAGTGATGACCAACTACTTAACATGAATTAGAAACAGAGCAGAAAAAACACGCCTTTAGCCTGCTCTGCGTAAAGAACCAAGTCTCCACCATGAACACCAAGCCACCAACTCCCCGTCCCTCAGTAGTCCTGTGTACTCCCAAAGCCCCAAAATTTACCCCAGCCTCAAGCAGCCTTGTTTAAAAAATTAAGGAAGGGCCTGTGATAAGCACTGCAAGTTAAACAGAAACAGGGGACTTAAGTGCAGAGTTTGTCACTCTATTTCTGGGAGGGGATGGGCTGCACAGTGTGCAATGGGGCTGGCTGGTAAAGGGAGGACCAGGTGACAGCCAGCCACACTGTCTCAAGGATGAACCTGGCCCTGCTAGCATTATGCTGTAATCCCTGTGGATTAGAACTATGGATAATAGGGCCGGGAGCAGTGGCTCATGCCTGCAATCCCAGCACTTTGGGAGGCTGGACGGGCAGACAGCCTGAGGTCGGCAGTTCGAGACCTCAGTCTGGCCAGCATGGTGAAACCCCGTATCTACTAAAAATACAAAACACTAGCCAGGTGTGGTGGGAGCCTGTAATCCCAGTTACACAGGAGGCTGAGGCAGGAGAATCGCTTGAACCCGGGAGGTGGAGGTTGCAGTGAGCTAAGATCGCACCACTGCACTCCAGCCTGGGCAACAGAGCGCAAGACTCCATCTCAAAAACAAAACAAAACAAAAAACCCCCCAAAAACTATGGATAATAAAGCATGACAGACCTCAAGATGCCAAATGATTTTCTCCTCTGCTGTCATGCCTACAGAGTAACTTCTCCAAGGTCACACATTAAATATGGGCACAGGAACACTCATTCCTTATGCTCAATGACTTTTTCTCACTCCTACATGCTATCAACATAAGGAGGAGTGCCCCAGGGGGCTGACCTTAGCGGGAGGAACGACAGGCTCTCCACCGATCCCATTCTTACCCTGGACCAGGTCTCACCTGCGGCTTGGGGAAGTCACAGAAAGACAAGTTTCGTACAACCCCAGACCTTTTCTTTTGGTAGTCAACAATTGGTCACATTGCACATTTCAAGGTTACAGAGGCCCACCATACACATGCGGGGCAGGAGGAGATAAATCTTGCTTGGGGCTAAACAATAAAGCTACAGCGAGTGTTCCAGAAGTTGACCACATCTGGAAGCAAGAAGACAGACTCTGGAAGAAGCACCCTAGAGACTCCAGGAACCCCCTTCACTCCTGGGCTTTCGGGACTCTACAGCGTGGGGCCTCTTTCTCAGACATCGAAAGGCCTCCTTTTCTGGACCACAGTGGAGCGATGTGCAGGTCATCGGCTAAGCTGGGCGGGTCGGGGAGGGCAGGGGGAGTACAGTTCCTTCGGATCCCAGCAAAGGTAGACTATCAATGGCCAAGGGTTCAGAGGCAGGAAAAAAGGCCGTTTCTGGGGGGTTGGCTGGGGACACTCCCCTTCCCTTCTCTCTCCGATTAAATATAAAAGCCGATGATGATGAAGATTGAAAAGATGAGGAAAATGGCAGCCGTGTCTCGGGTATCCTCCCAGCGGAGGCCTTTCATGGACCGATACTCCTGCCGTTTGCGAAGGGCCTCCCGCCGGGCCCTCAGGCGCCGTTCCCGCTCCAGTTGTTCCCCGTAGTGGGCCTGGTAGAAGGCGTCAAAGTTGAACATCGTGCGGTTGGCGCCGGGGGAGGCCCGAGAACCGTCGTGGGTCCGAGAGGTGGGCGGCGGGGTACGCGGCGAGCCGGGGTCGGGTGCGGGCGTCCTGGAGGGCCGGACGCCAGGTCCGCGCAGGTCCTCGTCGCTGAGTAGGCCGCGATCATACTTGCGACGGAGGGTGGCACTGCCCAGCACCACGTAGGCCTGGGAGATGCGCGTGAAGCGCTCGGCGGCCTCCGCGCTCCCGGAGTTGCGGTCCGGGTGGTAGAGAAAGCACTGACGGTAGTAAGCCGCCTTGATTTGGGCCTGCGTGGCTGTGGAGGGGACGCCGAGCAGATCATACAGCGCCGTGCGCGAATACGAGCAGTCGCCCTGGGAATAAGTCCTCGCTCCTAGGCCCAGGCTGGGTGCAGAATTTTGTGGAAAGCCACGGGCCTGCAGCAACCTCCAAGGTAACAGCCGCTGCCACCATCGCCAGCGCATGGCTGCCATGTTGAATTGATTCGGCAGGCGGTGCAAGAGAAACCGGCCAATGAGAGGAGTCGGTTGGTCGCCCTGTGGCCAGTCACGTAAAGGGGGGGGCGGGGCGGTCGTGGGGGTGGAACATGCGTATTACTAAGCGGTCGCCGGGCTGATGACATAAAAACCGGGTGCCGGCAGGCGCCAGTCGCAGGTGTGCTGCTGAGGCGTGAGAATGGCGTCCCGCGGCCGGCGTCCGGAGCATGGCGGACCCCCAGAGCTGGTAAGTCCCGGGGCCCGCGGACACCCCTCTCCCCACTTCTGCGGCCACCGCGTCTGAATTATTCCTCTACATGCCATTTTCTCTTTTTCGCAGTTTTATGACGAGACAGAAGCCCGGAAATACGTTCGCAAGTGAGGGGAGCCTGAATACTGCGGGGCGTCCGGGGGTCGGGAAGCGGCAAGTTGCCCCTGTTGCTGGCGTTGCCCGGAAAGGCCGTAGAATTTGGGGGTGCGGGAAGGGAAGGACCCGGGTGGGTGCCGATTTCTGTCTCTGGTAAATCAACTTTAAGTTGCCGACCTCTCTGGGCCTCGGTACCTCAGCGTTGAGGTAGGGGTGATCGCGCTTGCTTTCCGTGGGTGGTTTTCAAAGTCGAATGTGACAATTTGTCCTAAACATGTGGTAAAAGAGGCGCTGGGCGGTGGGTACGGGCGAGGGGTCAGTCCTGGTGGGGGGAAGGAAGTAATGGCCGTAGGATGCTTATCGTGGCGCCTTGTTGCCAATAAATCTCCAAGACAGCAGTTGGTGTATTATTGTCTGAATTTCATAGAGGGTAGTTTGTATAACTACTGAGTTGTAGCCAGGTGGGAGTGGCTCACGCGTGTAATCTCAGCAATCGCAGCACTTTGGGAGGCTGAGGCGGGAGGATCGCTTGAGCTCAGGGGTTCGAGACCAGCCTGGGCAACGTAGCGAGCCCCCGTCTCCGCAAGTAATAAAAAAATTAGCCGGGTGTGGTGGCTCCCCTCTGCCTCTCCAGTAGTTGGGACCACAGGCGCGCGCCACTACGCCTGGCTTTTTTTTGTAAATTTTTGTTGCGATGGGGTCTCGCTGTGTTGCCCAAGGTGGCCCAAGCCCAGGGCTCAAGCGATCCTCCCGCCTTCGTCTCCCGAACTGTTGGGATTGCAGGCGTGAGCCAGCGCACCTCGAGTCGTTAAAAAAAAAAAAAAGGGGGGGGGATGGGGGCGGGGGGAAGCTGGCGCGGTGTCTCACGCCTGTAATCGCAACACTTTGGGAGGCTGAGGCAGACGGATCACCTGAGGTCAGGAGTTCGAGACCAGCCTGGCCAACATGGCGAAACTCCAGCTCTACTAAAAATGGAAAAAATTAGCCGGGCGCGATGGCGGGTTTCTGTAACCCCAGCTACTCGGGAGGCTGAGGCAGGAGAATAGCTTGAACCCGGGAGGGGGAGGTTGCAGTGAGCCGACATCACGGCACTGCACTCCAGCCTGGGCGACAGAGCAAGACTTTGTTTCAAAAAAAAAAAAAAAAAAAAAAAAAAAAAAAAAAAAGATACTTTGTGGTTTTTCCGTGCTCTCTCACTGAGAGACTAGCCCTATTTCAGTAAATGGTTACTGGCCGGGCGCTATGGCTCATACCAGTAATCCCAGCCCTGTGGGAGGCGGAGGTGGACGGATCACCTGAGGTCAGGAATTCCGAGACCAACCTGGCCAGCATGGTGAAATCCCGTCTCTACTGAAAATACAGATATTAGCCGGGCCTACGGGAGGCTGAGGCAGGAGAATCACTTGAACCTGAGAGGCAGAGGTTGCAGTGAGCTGCGATCGCACCACTGCACTCCAGCCTTGGCGACAGAGTGAGACCCTGACTCAATAAATAAATAAATAGCTATTGGATACTGTTTCTTTTTTTTAGGGACAGGGTCTCTCTATTGCCCAGGCTGGAGTGCCATGGCATGATCCCTGCCGACTGCAGCCTCAAGCCATCCTCCCCAGCAGCCGGAACTAGAGGCACTCGCCACCACACCGGCTGAAATAGCTTGATAATTTTTTGTGCGTGTGAGACAGGCTCTCATTCTATCGCCCAGGCCGAAGTGCTGCAGTGGCTGCAACCTCGCCTCCCGGGTAGTTGGAACTACAGGCGCGCCTCCTCGCGCCCGACTAGTTTGTGTAATTTTTTTGTGGAGAGGGAGTTTTGCTATGTTGCCCAGGGATCTGGTAAGTTGCTCACGGGATCCACCCGCCTTGGCCTCCCAAAGTACTGGGATTATAGGCGTGAGCCACCAGGCCCGGTCCTTGCTGATGACTTTTTATGTCGATTATATGTTGAAGTGATATTTTGAACATATTGAGTTAATGGAAATACGTTATTAAATATATGGGGTTAAAAATATGACTCCAGAGGCCGGGCGCGGTGGCTCACGCCTGTAATCCCAGCACTTTGGGAGGCCGAGGCTGGCGGATCACAAGGTCAGGAGATAGAGAAATCCTGGCTAACATGGTGAAACCCCGTCTCTACTGAAAATGCAAAAAAAAAAATTAGCCGGGCGTGGCGGCGGGCGCCTGTAGTCCCAGCTGCTGGGGAAGCTGAGGCAGGAGAATGGCATTAACCCGGGAGGCGGAGCTTGCAGTGAGCCGAGATCGCGCCACTGCACTCCAGCCTGGGCGACAACAGAGCAAGACTCCGTCTCAAAAAAAAAAAAAAATATGACTCCAGTTTCTTTTACCTGTTTCTTTAAGTTTCTTCTTGACTGGCTATTGGGAAGCCATGCGTGGCTCACATTCTGTTTCTCACAGACAGTGCTGCTGTAGGTTTTTGTGCATTGTTGATCCTTCTAGATGAGAGAAACTATGGAGAATAATTTTTGGAGAAAATGTTTTCAACAAGTGCTAGAGCAGCCCAGCCTAATAGAGTTGCAGATCCCAGTGGTTGTTTATTACTAGCTAAGTGATTTGCTTTTACACATCTGCTTGGCAGCTGGTGCAATGATAAGTTGTTACCACAAAATAACATGGTCCTGAATTACATGGAATTTTTGGGGTCACTTTCGAATGGTTGAATTTGTTGATCCCAACTTAGAAGGGGTCAGAAAAGAGTACCTCGGGATGATTGATCCGTTTTTTGTTTGTTTTTAACTTGGCTTTTTTTTGTTTTTTGTTTTTTGGTCTGGGGGAAGTATTCACCCAGAACTCCTTTACCATGTCCACTTGTGTTTCTGCCTTACCAGCTCACGGATGATTGATATCCAGACCAGGATGGCTGGGCGAGCATTGGAGCTTCTTTATCTGCCAGAGAATAAGCCCTGTTACCTGCTGGATATTGGGTGAGATTCTGGGGCCTGGTTCAGATTGTCTAAGGTGGTGAAGTGTCTTTGTAAACTGACCCTGAGTGTCTGGTCATGTCTTCCAGCTGTGGCACTGGGCTGAGTGGAAGTTATCTGTCAGATGAAGGGCACTATTGGGTGGGCCTGGATATCAGCCCTGCCATGCTGGGTAAGTATGTCCTGTCTGGCACCAGGGTGGATTACCCTGATGGGTGTGGAGAAGCCACAGGTATTTCTCTTTCTCTGACTGCCTTTTCTCTAATGTAGATGAGGCTGTGGACCGAGAGATAGAGGGAGACCTGCTGCTGGGGGATATGGGCCAGGGCATCCCATTCAAGCCAGGCACATTTGATGGTTGCATCAGGTGAGGGTCTTTAATTCCTGCTTTTATTTATTTAGAGACAGGGTCTCACTCTATCACTTAGGCTCTAGTGCAGTGTCTGTGATTATGGCTCACACTGCAGCCTCCACCTCCTGGGTTCAGGTGATCTGCCCACCTCAGTCTCCTGAGTAGCTGGGACTACAGGCCCACACCACCGTACCTAGCTAATTTTTTGTTTTTTTGAGATGGAGTCTTGCTCTGTCACCAGGCTGGAGTGCAGTGGTGTGATCTTGGCTCACTGCAGCCTTCGCCTCCCAGGCTCAAGCGATTCTCCTGCCTCAGCCTCCCAAGTAGCTGAGATTACAGGAGCACGCCACCACACCCAACTAATTTTTGTATTTTTAGTGGAGGTGAGGTTTCACTATGTTGGCCGGGATGGTTTCAATCTCTTGACCTTGTGATCCACCCTCCTCGGCCTCCCAAAGTGCTGGGATTACAGGTGTGAGCCACCGTGCACAGCCTAACTTTTTTTGTATTTGTTGTAGAGATGGGTTTTTGCTATGTTGCTCAGGCGATCCACACACCTGGGCCTCCCAAAATGCTGGGATTATAGGTGTGAGCCACCCTGGCCTCTTTCTTCCTGCTTTTAGTCCTGCAAGCCAGTGCCTCCCAAACCTGGCTGTGCAGCAGACTCATGCAGATATTTACAAATACACATCCCATGGGATTTTCAGATTTACAAGGTTAGAGCAAGGCCCAAGAGTGTATTTTTTTGGATTCTAAAACTTTGCAGTCTGGCCAACATGGTGAAACCCAGCCTCTACTAAAAAGCCAGACGTGGTTGTTGTTTTTTTTTTTTTGAGATGGAGGCTCTCTCTGTTGCCCAGGCTGGAGTGCAGTGGCGGGATCTCGGCTCACTGCAAGCTCCGCCTCCCGGGTTCAAGCCATTCACCTGCCTCAGCCTCCCAAGTACTTGGGACTGCAGGCGCCCACCACCACGCCCAGCTAATTTTTTTATATTTTTAGTAGAGACGGGGTTTCACCATGTTAGCCAGGATGGTCTCAATCTCCTGACCTCATGATCCGCCCTCTTCAGCCTCCCAAAGTGCTAGGATTACAGGCGTGAGCCACCGCGCCCAGCCTAAAAAGCTAGACATGGTGGTGGCCACCTGTAGTCCCAGCTAGCTACTCAGGAAGCTGAGGTAGGAGAATTGCTTGAACCCGAGAGGCGGAGGTTGCAGTGAGCCGAGTCCACGCCATTGCACTTCCAGCCTGGGTGACAGAGCAACACTTCATCTCAAAAATAAAACTTGTCTACTATTGCGATTATTTTGCATTGCCGGGTTCGGGCACCACTGGTACAGATTCTGTGTCAGCTTTGTGTGTCTGGTGGGGCAGAGGAGGTGGTCTTTTAGTCTCTAGCGGCCATTTTATGGGCCCCAGCCATCTTGTGGGCCCCAGCAGCCATCTTACTTTATTTGCCAACAGATAACTGGTAGAGAGCGTCTGGACTTGCTCTAATCTCTTAAGTGCTTCACAGTCCTTTCTCTGTAATCAGAGTCGGGTTAAACATCCACATAGCACTTCAATAACAGATCTTAGAATGTTAAAATTGATTAAGTTTTTCTTAGGCTGCTGTGATCAGTTCTGTTTAGTTTTTGGTGTGGTGTGGGAGTGAAAGTGAGAAAATAGGGGAGGAAGTTACAAATCATTACTTGCAGGGGAGACTTCCTTTGGTTACCCTAAGTTGAGTGGTGGGGATGTGAAGTGGGGAGCCAGGTGAGAGGTAAAAATTCAGATTAGAAGATTTTCCTTTTACATCTGGGAACAAGACCCAGGGGGGTTGGGGAATAATTTCAAGGGTAGCAGATGCTTTTTGGTAATGGTCAGATGAGGTGTTTTAAGCTGTGAAAAACCGAAGGCCAGCAGTATGGTCTGTATGTTTCGGAAGGGGATGGTCAGTTTTTGTTTGTCTTCGGGGAGAGGTGAGATGGTATAGCAAACTGTTTTTTTGGAGACGGATTCTTACTGTATTGTCCAGACTGGAGTGCAGTGGCACGATCTCGGCTCACTGCAACCTCTGCCTCCTGGGTTCAAGCGATTCTCCTGCCTTAGCCTCCTGAGTAGCTGGGATTACAGGTGCTCACCACCATGCTTGGCTAATTTTTGTATTTTAGTAGAGATGGGGTTTCACCATGTTGGCCAGGCTGGTCTTGAACTCCTGACTTCATGAACTGCCCGCCTCAACCTTCCAAAGTGTTGGGATTACAGGCGTGAGCCACCGCACCCGGCCCAGACTTTTTTTTTTTTTTTAAACATTTGCTACATGTAAGGCGTACAAGGTGCTGTGGAGTACAGGGAAATGAAACAGTTTCTGCGTGTAAGACTCTCCACGGTTTATTAGGTGCTTTAGGACATGGACCAGGCAACTGAATATAAGGGCATGAGTGGTGTGTGCCCTAGGGAGTCATGGGGCTGCCAGAGCACAGGAAAGCCTTGGGTGGAGGGGCTGCACCTTGAAGGCTGGGAGGAATTTGGATAGTCAAGGAGAGGGTTTCTGAGTGAGGGAACAGTGGGCAGAGGCACAGATGCCGGTGGGAAAGGGGTCTGAGATGAGAGGGATGAACGAGAGATTCCACGGAAGATGGGGTTGAGTGTGGTTGCTTCCTAGAAGGCACTTAAGTGTGTCCTAAGAAGTTTGGGCTTGATGGAGTAGATGATGGGGAGTTGGCAGGTGACGGGATCAGATGTGTGTTTAAGGAAGGTGATTTTCTGGTGAAAGAGGAGAGAGAGTTAGGTGGAAGCATTTGAGCTGGTAGCACTGAGCATTGGTGCGGGGAAGTGAAAGTTGGGAGAGGCTGTGGGACAAGCCAGTGGGGTGGAGGTAGGGCTCTGTGTGTGTACAGCAGGGCGGAGGGGAAGGGCAGGAAGGAAGACATAGTGACTGGTTGAGGTTTTATTTATTTATTTTTTGAGATGGAGTCTTGCTCTGTTGTCCAGGCTGGAGTACAGTGGCACAAGGCTTACTGCAACCTCTGCCTCCCAGGTTCAAGTGATTCTTCTGCCTCAGCCACCTGAGCAGCTGGTATTCAAGGCACATGCCACCAAGCCCAGCTAATTTTTGTATTTTTAGTAGAGACGGGGTTTCACCGTGTTGGTCAGGCTGGTCTCGAACTCCTGACCTCAAGTGATCCACCCATCTCAGCCTCCCAAAATGCTGGGATTACGGGTATGAGCCAATGCACCTGGCTGCTTGAGGTTTTAAATCTGGGGGTTGTAAAGACACTTAACAGGTAGAGTGGAAGGGAGTGATTTAGGAGGAAGGGTGATGGGATGGCTGTGTGTATGTGAGTAGTCTAAAGCCTGTTTCCTTGGATTGGAGGAAGGGAACAAGGAGGGGTGTGTGGGCAGACAGCCTTGACACGGAGGACTTTTCAACTCAAGATGCAGATGGAAACAAGGTGGAGGAAAGGTTTCTTGGGACTATGGGACATAAATGCTGTCCTTCTGTATGTCCTATTTTTCCAGTGTTGTAGAGTCATGACCTGCAGTGGACCTGCACTTTTTTTGTCTTTAAATTTTTAAATTTAAAAATACTTTAAGTAAAGATGGGGTCTTGCTATGTTGTCCAGGCTGGTTTGAAGTCCTGGCCTCAGGCAATTCTGTCTTGGCCTCAGAAAGTGCTGGGATTACAGGGCGTTGAACCACTGTACGTGGCCTCAACCTGCACTTTCTAAGAAGGGAAGCTGTGGGAGGAGGGGTTTCTCTTGGAGAGCCAGGACGGATGATGTCAAGAGGCTTGAAGTGGTTGGGGGAGCAACGTGGATTGCTCCGTTGCCTGACTAGGTCCCTTCCTTTTTAGCATTTCTGCTGTGCAGTGGCTCTGTAATGCTAACAAGAAGTCTGAAAACCCTGCCAAGCGCCTGTACTGCTTTTTTGCTTCTCTTTTTTCTGTTCTCGTGAGTATAAGATCTTCTCCCCATCTGGGTTAGCTGCCTGTCCCTCCCTAGCACTGCAGGTAGAGTGAGGAAATTGAGGTGTCCCATGATGGGTAAGCTACTCATATGGGACCGCATGGGGTGGCAGGACCTTACTGTGGTTACTTCTGTCCAGGTCCTCAGCCTAAATGGAAGTTCAAGCTCAGTGGACTGATATACTCTAATCAAACCCAGAAGTCACTGATACCAAAATCGGAGACCAATTTATTAACTTGTAATAGGGCCTACTTCTGTTGATTGGTATTCCTATGTCTATTGCGCTGAGTTTTAATCAGAAGTTGGTTTGGGGGCATGGACTGAGCAGAGTGAGGACAGAGATGTCGTGTCCGGACCATCCAGAGGGGTACCTTCCAAAGTGCCCACATCCTTCTGACTCCTCACTTATCCCTCCTCCTAGTGCTGATCCTTTTCTTCGGATGAGGAACAGGATAGTTATTTACTGCAAAGAGAGCCTTTATTAGCTTTGTCTTCAAATTAATGATGTTAATTTCAGTTGTTCACTAGGATTAGCTGATAGTCTGAGATTTTAAGTCCTAAAAATGAGTTCTTTTTAAATTTTGTTTTTTGAGACAGACTTTTGCTTTGTTGCCTGGGATGGAGTGCAATGGTGTGATCGTAGCTCACTGCGCCCTCGAACTCCTGGGCTCAAGTGATCCTCCTGCTTCAGCTTCTCAAGTAGTTTGGACTACAGGCACACACCACCATGCCAGGCTAATTTTTTACTTTTTTTTTTTTAAGAGATGGGGTCTACCTATGTTGCCCAGGCTGGTGTTAAACTCCTGGCTTCAAGCAATTGTCTGGCATCAGGCTCCCAAAGTGATGGGATTATAGGCGTAAGCCACTGTGCCCAGCTTAAAAATGAGTCCGTTTTGAAGGATCTGAGTGGTTTTTGCCTCCTTAGCCTGGTCTAGCCCACCCCTAGTTTTCCTGGGGTGGACTGCACCTGCCGATCTGGCCACTGGTCTTTCTTGGGGTGAACTGCCCCTGCTGATGTGGCCGCTGGTCTTTCCTGGGGTGAACTGCCCCTGCTGATGTGGCCGCTGGCCTTTCCTGGGGTGGACTGCGCCTGCCTATCTGGCCGCTGGTCTTGTGTGTCACATGAGTTCTCCTCCTGGCACACTGGGTTAATATTTTAGTTCTGAGGTCCTTTGTGTTTCCTCTTCTCCCTGCTGGAAGGCTCCTCCCTTATATGTTTAAATAGCCAGCTCCTCACTCCATTCAAATCTCTGCTCAAGTATCCATTTGAAACAGGCCTTTTTGGAACCAAAAGTAAACTGAACTGAAAGGAAACTCTGTCACTTTGTCTAATTCCTCTTTTTGTAACAAAGAAAAAATTTGCTACTGTGAATTAGTTGCCTCCTTTACTAAAATGTGAGCTCCAAAGTTCAGGGTGATCTCTTTTGTTCATACTATCCCCAGCCCTAACAATGCCTCACACATAATGGAAATTCAGGAAATACTTGGTGAATGAAGGAAGAGAGGGGTGTCCAGGCCCTAAGCTCATGCAGTCATTTGTAAGACAGTGATGTTCCTGTTTCTTTCAGGTCCGGGGATCCCGAGCTGTCCTGCAGCTGTACCCTGAGAACTCAGAGCAGGTGAGTCCCTCGGCTACTGGGTGTGCCGGGGAGTTGGGGGACTCAACAGGTAAGCTGTCCTGGGGAAGCGACAAAGAATCTTATGCAGATTGGCGGGAAAAGGAGGAAACATGCACCCTAGTGTGGCCCCTGATGGCACATTTGATGACCTGATATCCTAAGGGGGTGGCATCTGCGGAGGTGGGGTGGGATGCCTTCTCTTGGCAGATGACATGGTATTACAGATAAGGTGATGCGACTGATTTCCATAACCAAATAAGTAAATGCCATTTAGGAAGGGTGAGAGGGCACCGACAGTTCTCCGTTGTGTGATGTATAAATTAAGGAATGGCGGAGTAGGATGTAGATGTTGAAAGATAAGTGAAGAGCTGTTCCTGACTAATAACATGAATGACTCTGGATTCCAATTGGTGGCCATCTCCCTAAACTTGAGTGGGGAGCTGGGTCCCTGCACTGGAAAGTGAGAATGAGGGGAGTTGCTTTGTTCTGTAATTCTCCTGAGGGAGGTGTGGGCCATGCCAGATTCTAGCCTGTACTTTTCTCTACGTGGCTTACAGCGACCTTAAGTTCTCCCAGGCAGGATTTGTCCTGGAGCAGACTGGCTTCTGAAGGAGGGGAGGGAGGTGAAGCTGTCTGCTCCTCTCAACCTCCGCTGCCTGACCCGCTGCCTTTCTTTCCTCAGTTGGAGCTGATCACAACCCAGGCCACAAAGGCAGGCTTCTCCGGTGGCATGGTGGTAGACTACCCTAACAGTGCCAAAGCAAAGAAGTGAGCGCTGGGGGCCGGTGTGCTGCCTGGGCTGCAGGAGGGAGGGTAGTGGCATAGCCCTTTCAGGCCACTCAGTGGTGCAGAGGAGTGCTGGGGTGTGGGTCACCAGGGTCCAGGCAGGCGGAGGGGGTGCGGGTGGGGGAGCTGAGGGCTTGTCTCCCTGTGGGGCTTTCTCCACCCAACCCTCACTTTGCACTTTCTCCTTTCAGATTCTACCTCTGCTTGTTTTCTGGGCCTTCGACCTTTATACCAGAGGTGAGGGACACTGGGTTTGCAGGCAGGCCTGTGTCTTTTGACTTCCAGGCAGTGGGGCTCAGCCTGCAGAGCCTGCTGGGAGAACACTGGTGGGGAAGCAGGGCCCAGCCCCAGAGTGCAGACCCTGGAGTGCTCACATCCTCTGGAATCTGGAGGCAGAGACCTCTGCTCTGCAGGTCCCAGAAAGGCGTGTCAGTTCCTTCTCGTGGGACTGGACCTCGTCCCTGTCGGAAGGGTCAGGCCTGGGTGCCTGGGCTTCTGGAGTGGGGCAGATGGTTTGAGAACTCTCCAGGGTGACCTGAGTGCACTTTGGTTCCTGCAGGGGCTGAGTGAAAATCAGGATGAAGTTGAACCCAGGGAGTCTGTGTTCACCAATGAGAGGTAAAGCAACTGCTGAAGCCTGCCCCGGCTGCAGCGGGGGCTGCCACATTTGTTAGACATGGACTTTCTCTCTGCCCTCACCCAAGCCTCTCAGGTCACATGCAGCAGGGACACCAAGGTGACGGTAGAAACATCAGGTCCCATTTGGACTGTGCCTGTTTGGGGCTAGGGGTTTGGGGTCCTGGATGTCTGGGTGCAGCCATGCAGCCTGGACTCCCTTTGTGAGCCCACACATGCCCCTTCCCCTTGCCACGCCTGGCAGGCTGTCTCCTTCTTTTCTGATGCTGCCCTCCACCTGCATCTGGGACCCTCTCCCTTGGGTGCTGTGGCTCTCCCTTCCTTCCTGCATCCTCATCTTGACTCTCCTGGGTCACTGCTGTCGGCACACAGACATGCTGCACAATTTCTCCTTTTCTAGAAAAGTTCCTTCCTTAACCCCATAACAACAACTAACCACCCCGTTGTTGCTTCCCTTCATAGCAGAACTCAGACCTGCCTCTTCTTCCCCTCCCACCATTCTCTCAATCCACTTCTCAGGCTGACAATTCTGTCTCATCACAAATTGTTCTTGTCAACTCCACCACCAATTTCCATCAAGCCACATCTGGTCACTTGTGACTTTTTTTCATGTCCTTAATGTGCCTGCTCGGTAGGGTCAAAGACAGCAGTGCGCTCCCTCCTTGACGCTTCCTTCACTTGGCCTTCCACCCACCATCGTGGTTTCCTCAGCCTTCCTGGCTGCTCCTCACTCCACTGCTGCTTCCTCTTCGAGTGCTGGGCCCAGCCTGGATTGGATCCCTTCTCTACCTGTGGTGCTGTAAATGCCAGCCGGAAGGTCCTAATTCCCAAATGTGTATCTTCAGTCTCTTGCCACCTGGGGTTTCCCAATGCCCCCTCAGTGTCTATACCTGGAGTTTCCATGGGTAGTCTCTCTCTGTTACCCAGGCTAGAGTGCAGTGGTGGAATCTTAGCTCACTGCAGCCTCGAACTCCTGGGCTCAAATGATCCTCCTGCCTCAGCCTCCCAAGTAGCTGAGACTACAGGTGCATGCCACCATGCCTGGTTAATTTTTAAAGTTTTTGGTAGAGATGAGGTCTTGCCATGTTGTTCAGGCTGATCTTGAACTCCTGGCCTCAAGCAATCCCCCTGTCTCGGCCTCCCAAAGTTCTGGGATGACTGATGTGAGCCACCATGCCTGGCCATCCTCCATTCTTTTTTTTTTTTGAGATGGAGTCTCACTCTTTCCCCCCAGGCTGGAGTGCGGTGGCTTGATCTCGGCTCACTGCAACCTCTGCCTCCCAGGTTCCAGCGATTCTCTTGCGTCAGCCTCCCGAGTAGCTGGGATTGCAGGCGCCCGCCCAACTAATTTTTTGTGTTTTTAGTAGAGACAGGGTTTCACCATGTTGGCCAGGCTGTTCTCAAACTCCTGACCTCGTGATTCGCCCGCCTCGGCCTCCCAAAGTGCTGGGATTACAGGTGTGAGCCACTGCGCCTGGCCTCATCCTCCATTCTTTACCATTCTTGATCATTCCTGTCTTTCCCTACATTTCACATCTTGTCAGCCTGTCATTGAGCCCTGCTGTCCGTCCCTCAGTGTGTATCCCCGTGCTGACCCTCCCTGCTTCCAACGAGCCTAATCCAGCACTGCCCCTAGCCTGGATTGCTGAACAGCTGCCTGTGTTGTCTCCTTGCCTTTGCAGTCTTTGCCTCTTTCAGATTATTTTCTGCATAGCAGCAAGACTGGTCTTTTTCTTTTTTTCTAAAATGTAAGTTGTATCTTGTCATTGCTCTTTTAGTGCCTTCATTGCAGTTGTGCTCCCCGCTCATGTTGATTTTCCTTAACACCCTTCACTGCTCTAAGTCATACACATACCAGTTGACTTGGTTATTATTTGTATCTCCAGCTAGAGTGAAAACTTGGTGAGGACTGGTATTATATCCCTGACATTAAAAATAGTGTCTTGTTAGTAAAAAGTGCTCAGTATTTTTCTGAATGAATAATTGATTATAAGGTAGTGAAGAGGGAGGTTATATCTGAGGTCCAGTTGACATGAGGGAAAGGTCTTAAGACCTTTAAGACATTTAAGAGGAAAAATGAGCCCAAAATGCATGTGTTTGGAAGGCCCACAGCTGGGCACAGCCATGCATGTTCCTCACGTCCACCATAGGTTTATGCTGCCTGACCCCTTGGGTCTTTGCTCATTTCCCTTAGTTTCCCTAGTCCATTCCCCATGGGGAGCTGGGACCCTTCTGGATGACCTCTTCTCTGAGGCGCCCATCTCGTGCTCCCAGGGAGCACTCCCATCTCCTCCCTCCCAGGGGAAGTACACATTGCCTTATCTCCATGTGTCTTAGGATCCTTCTTGTCCTTACACTGGTGTCTTCAAACGACATGTCCTAAAAGTAAATGTGGGTAAGTTGAATGACCTGAGCATCCATTCCTCAGCTATTCAAAAAGTAGGGGTAGTGCCACCTATCTTGGCAGTGTGTTGAGGGTGCCCAGCACGTACCTTGCCATCCCTCGTTCTGTAGGCTCTCACTTCCAGTTCCTCAGATGAGGTACAGGGCAGGGAGGAGCTTCTCCCGTTACTGTCATCTCAGTCTAACCACATTCAGGACACTTGTTTATTTTAAATAAACAGGTGAATTAAGAAAAAGTTTTTTAAGTCTTTACCTAATCAGTCTCCAGGCTCTCTTTTTGGCCTGTTCCTCCCTTCCTCCTGGCCGCCTCCCTCCCATGCCTCTCATGTGCCTCCTGCAGGGCTGGGCCCCCACTTCTCTTGGGACCTGTGCTTTGGGGCACTCCCCGTCTTCACCTCCTTCCTTTAGCTCCATTGATGACTTTCCCCCTTGCTGCTTCTCCCATGGCTCACCTCTTGCCCCCTGGTTCGCCACTCTGCCCTCACTTTGTACTCTTTGTAGAATCTTGAGATGACTCCTCCTGTGTCCCCAGCCCTGCTCTGCAGCTGCTCCTGCTTTGTGCTGGCTCATCAGGCTCAGGCATCCGAATGGCAGCTCCTTGGCTTGCCCTGTCTCTGGTTTCTACGGATGGTCACAGGGGTCTTCGGGGTTACCCCGCCCTCTTTCCTTCTTCCCTCATACCCCTCAGTCCTTCCTTTTCAGACCCTCCTTTCCATCCCTGTCTTCCTGCCCCCAAGCTGTGGGACCCTAAGCTCCTGCTGTGAACTGTCGACTGTGCTCTTGAAGTCTAGGTGATGATGTGTCATTGCATTGGTAGAAAGCGGCCTGCTTACTGCTGCTTAGCTGCTTCCCGAAGAGGGAACAGACTGCTCGCTGGTGTTTAGGTCTCCATGCCCGGCCCAGCTCTCTCCTCCTCTGCCCACCCAACAACCTCTGTGGCCCGGATGGATGTTATCAGGAAGGAGGGTGTCCAGAGCGGGGAATTGTGTTATAGGGAAGGTGGAGCATTTGAGAGAAGGGGCATCCGAGGCCACCAGACTCGGAGGTAAGCTTGCCATGGATTCACATGGGGGCCAGTCGGGCAGCCCCATCCATCAGCTGTCCATCAGCTCATAGCTGTGTCTCCGCCACAGGTTCCCATTAAGGATGTCGAGGCGGGGAATGGTGAGGAAGAGTCGGGCATGGGTGCTGGAGAAGAAGGAGCGGCACAGGCGCCAGGGCAGGTGAGTGCCAGCCTGGGAGCTGGCAGGGTGGGTGGGGGGTGGATGACTATTGCCATGAAGAGCTTCCCTTTATTTGAAGGGTCCAGGGCTGCTTTGATCTTTTTTTTCTGAGACTGTCCTATTCCTTTTCTGCACAGGGAAGTCAGACCTGACACCCAGTACACCGGCCGCAAGCGCAAGCCCCGCTTCTAAGTCACCACGCGGTTCTGGAAAGGCACTTGCCTCTGCACTTTTCTATATTGTTCAGCTGACAAAGTAGTATTTTAGAAAAGTTCTAAAGTTATAAAAATGTTTTCTGCAGTAAAAAAAAAGTTCTCTGGGCCGGGCGTGGTGGCTCACACCTGTAATCCCAGCACCTTGGGAGGCTGAGGTGGGAGGATCATTTGAGGCCAGGAGTTTGAGACCTGCCTGGGCAACATAATGAAACTTCCTTTCCAGGGAGGAAAAAAAAAAAAAAAAAAAGCTCTGAGAGCATCTTATTTTGTTTAAAGGCAAGAAATAAAATTTCCTTTTGTGGAGCTCTGGCATCTCCCAGCTCTGTGATTCTCACCAAACTCCAGTTCCTCCTGGTGGGCTACTGCTCGACTCCCCAGGCAGGAATCAGATTTAAAACACTTAGATGAAAGCATTCTTTCCATTTGCAAGGAACACAGAGTCCTTTAATTTAGGGCTTATATATAACTGTATCATAATCACACCAAGCAAAGTTGGGAAGAGGGCCCACATGAAATGTGTTCGTGGTGCCTGCTGGCCAGTCCGTTTTCCCTTCCTGTGAAGGCCTTGCCAGTCCAGCGGCCCCAGCTTGAACTGTGGCACTGAGCTGCACGGTCAGCTGCCTACCAGCCCAGTGCTTGGATGTCTTGGGCTGATCTCTTGTCCCGTCACTAGTGGTTGGAAAGGGAAGGTCCTGCTCTGGGGTAGTGTGGGACTGTCCAGCTGGCTGTGATAGGAGAGGAGGTGTAATGGTTGCTTGAGCCTTTTGGTCCATGTGGGAAGAGGGGCAAGATCCTGGGCATTGCAGTACAGAGCTGGATTAGGTGTTCAGCAGCTTAAGACATTAGGGAATGGGTGCCGGGGCCCGAGGGGCTGGGTGTCTGGGAGTGGGGTGAGGCTTGGGGCCTGAGGATCTAAGCCCTGCAGTGGGGTTTCCTGCAGGTGTCAGATTCCAGGCCTTGAGAGTGGCCTCTGGGCCTGTTCTCAGGGAATAAGGCCTGGATGTTTTCCACTGCACGGCCAGAGACAGGTCTGAGGAAGTTGAAGGCCCAGGGTGGGGTTGAGGCTGAGTTGGGATCCTCGCCTCTGAGCCCTTCCTCTTAGTGCCACATTCATTCATCCTCAGGTTCTAAGACTGTGACACTGCAGATGGCAAGAAGTCTAGAGCAGCCAGGCCAGGCACAACCTGTGGTCCCAGCTCTGTGGGAGGCTGAGGTGGGAGGCCAGCTTGGGCAATAGTGAGAACCCTCCTAAGGTTTTCCCCCAGGAGACCTGGGGAAGAAATCTACAACAGAGGCCTGGTACAGATACAAATGTTTATTCTACATAAAAATTTCACAAAATGGGCAGCTGGTTGTACCAAGACCTTTGGTGAAGGGGTTGGGGGGAATCGCTGTTCAAGAAGGCAACACGGACAGTGGTCACAGTCACTGGGCAGGAGTAAAGCCGAGGGAGGGTGGGGCACACGGACACGGCCCCATCCCCTGCTGCATGCACTCGCATGCATCTCCCTGCCTGTCCACAAGGGAGAGGGTCCTGGGGCGGGGGCACATTTCCCATGAGAAGCCCCAAGGTGGTGAGGAGGAGGAGGTAGCCCTCCCCGGCTGGCTGCCGAATACTGCATCTGGGACACGTGACACCCACGTGGCACATCGATGGGAGGATGGCAAGGGCAGGATGAGACTGCAGGCCTGAAATGACATCTGACTTCCCAGAGCGCAAGACAACAGGAGCCACCATCCCAAACATGCAACGCTGGCTTGAGGGACTGACTGCAGCCTGCTTTGCCTCCCTAGCTGCTGGGGTGGCTGGAAATAGGGCACCAGCCAGCCCCTTCCAGAGGGACACCTGGGGTCAGACCTAGCCCAAGGGGTTGCTCCTGGGGCCGGAGGAATGTGGGAAGGGAAGCTGAGGCCCAGGACCCGATGGACTTTGCCCCTAGGCAGGGGAGGGAGCCTGGAGCCATGGCAGCCTGAGCCTCCCTGGCAGTGATCAGCGACTGAGACTCAGAGCTGGGCTGTCCCTCAGGGCCACCTCTCCCCTAACCTGAAAAGCAGCACCATGTGGCCAGCTGGTCCCCACCCCTCAGGGCTCTGCTTGTGGGGACAGCTGGAGAGGACAGGGCAGGTCAGCTGGAGGCGAGGTTAGGGTCCCCAGGGAAGAGCAGAACCTGGGCCCACCGAGTTACTGAAGGCAAGGAAGGGTGGCCTGTGTCACCCTGGCGGCCCTGCCTGGGTCTGCTCCTCGCTGTGCACACTGCATCACGCCCCGCTGGCTGCCTCCCTCTGCCTCTTCCCGTACAGACGCACACTCACAGAGATCATGCACACGACACGGGGCGGGGACGGAGGGCCCATGGCAGAGAAGGGAGCATGGGGGCCGGGAGGGAGGGTGCTCTGAGCCAGAGGCGGGGGTTGGGAGGGCAGCCCAGCCAGGTGGCAGCAGCCAGGGCCTCCTTGGAGTGGCCCACCTGGAGTGGAGTGGCAGTTTGGGTGGCTTCTAGGCGAAGATGCCCCCAACAGTGGAGGCGATGACGATGCCCAGGATCACACAGCAGATGATGATCATGATTTTCTTCTGCATGGGAAGCGGGCAGGAGAGGCCTCAGACAGTGTTGGCGGCAGGTGGGGTGGGACTA
Organism: Homo sapiens; assembly: GCF_000001405.40. Taxonomy (NCBI): domain Eukaryota; kingdom Metazoa; phylum Chordata; class Mammalia; order Primates; family Hominidae; genus Homo; species Homo sapiens. The sequence continues at coordinate 73,700,546 of NC_000007.14, forward strand.
TGGCAAAGGCTGAGGACTGGACAGTCGGGGGGGATCCAAGCAGGGGAAGGTGACGGCCTGGGAGGGGGCTGTCATGGGGAGCTCCTGAGAGAAGGGAGAGAGGTGGGATGGGGAGGGATGTGGGATGGTTGGGGGTCCCTAATGGGTGCTGGGGCATGGCCTTGGGCAGGGCTGGGCTACTGACCCGGCGCGCCTTGCTCTGGTACTTGACGGCCTTCTTGGTGTCAGACACGGCCCTCTCCACATAGTCTACCGCGTGTTCCACATTGTACTCGATCCTGTCAATCATCTCTCCCTGCGGGGCCGGGGGCACCCGAGCTCCAGAGGGCCCCCTCCTCAGGGTTGGGTTGGGGCTCGGGGCAGGACTTCAGGAAAGCACCCTGAGGCTAGAGACAAAAAGGGGGCGTGAGGAGGTTAGGGTACAGCTTCTCACCTGGGCCAGGTACCCTGGGTGGGGTGTAGAGGGCCAGGCAGGCTCCCCAAGGCAGCTCCCACATTTCCCCGCAGAGCAGCAATCCTGGGGGTGGAGCTGGCCATGCAGTCTCAGCTGAGGGTTGGGGACCATGCAGAGAACACTGTCAGAGATGTGGCAGTGCCAGGCAGAGGAAGGTGGGAGCAGGAGTGGGTATGCTGGAGTCTGGTCCTGCCCTGGCCATAGCTCCTGAGGTGGCCACAGGTGAGCCTGCCCACACCCCCATCCTCAGGCATGACAGCTCCATCCAGCTCTGTCTGCTGTCTGGGGTCTTCAGTCTTTAAGAACTTGAAGTCAGGTTCGAGACCATCCTGGCCAACATGGTGAAACCCCATCTCTACTAAAAATACAAAAATTAGCTGGGCGTGGTGGCGAGCACCTGTAGTCTCAGCTACTCAGGAGGCTGAGGCAGGAGAACTGGTTGAACCTGGGAGGCAGAGGTTGCAGTGAACTGAAATCCTGCCACTGCACTCCAGCCTGATGACAGAGTGAGACTCCGTCTCAAAAAAAGAAAAAGAAAAAAAAAAAAATAGAACCCCCTGCCCAGCCCACAGCCCTTTTGAGCCCTGTGATCTGGTCCCATGCTGCCCCCAGAGGCCAATCTGACCATGACACTGCCCCACAAGACTCCTAGGGCGTGTCTCCCTCTCCAAGTCCATCGGTTGCCTTCACTGGCGTCCACGTCACCATGGTCTGTTTCTCACCAGATGGCGGCAGCGGCAGCCTCCTGACGGCCTCCGTACTTCCTAACCAAGGCCACATCACTCCCATACTTAACACATTCCAACCTGGCTGGGTGCTGTGGCTCACATCTATGATCCCAGCACTTTGGGAGGCTGAGGTGAGAGGATCACTTGAGCCCAGGAGTTCCGAGACCAGCCTGGGCAACACAGCAAGATCCCATCTTTTGCTAAAACAAAACAAACAACCCAAACCCCCTCCAATCTAGAAGAGACCGCAAATTCCCCAGCACACTGCCTGCCAAGGCCCCGTCCACCTCGTCTCCAGCTTCATCTCAGCTCCGACCACTCCTTGTGCCCCAGCAGCAAGGACCTCCTTTTTCTGTTCCTGAAATAAGTCTGGGTCTTGCTGGGCTTGGGACCTTAGTGTTGCTGGGGCCAGCTCTTCATCTCCGCTGCGAAGTCTTCACAGCTGGCTCCTTTTCCCCCTTTTTTGGCATCAGCTCAAATGTCCCCTCCTGAGAGGCCTTCCTTGACCACTCACTCCAACAAAGGCAGCCGCCCCATCGTGGTCACGGTGTTACTCTGTGTAACTTTGGAACCATAGTGGTGGTGGCACCACCTTTGAGCTTGTCAGAGAGGCACCTTCCTGGACCTTCACCTCAGCTGCCAGTCTCTGGGACGGGGACCTGGAAACTTACAAGTCCTCCAGGTGACTCATTCAAGTTTGAGCCCCACTGGAGAACCTTCGATTTGTTCTTAGGCAACTCTTTTGCCCAACAGCCATTCACTCCAGGAAGCAGGTCCCTGAGCTGTCCTGGTCACTGCTATGCCTTCAGTCTCTGGGGAAATGCGTGGCCCACAGTGGCCCCATGAGGAAACAGTAGTAGGGGAATGAGAGACGGCGGGGTATAGAGGGTGGGGCCATGCAGGGCCTGGGGTCCTTGAAGCTCAAGCAGAGCCATGCAGAGGACAGGGACCTTCGGGTCGGCAGGGCCCTGGCGGCAGTTTCAACAGCGGGTGATTGGTTACCTGAGAACTTGGTCCCTCCCCGGCAGGGCAGCGTGTCGGGCAGAAAGGGCGAGGTTAGTGCAGCCCTGGGTGCTGGTGTGGGCTGGAGTGGAGGGCAGGGGGGCCCGGCACTCACCTGGCTCTCCACGAGCATGGCCATGTCCATGAACATGTCGTGTAGCTCACGGATGCTGTTCTCCAGCTTGATGATCTCACTGTGCCGCGTCTCAATCTCGCTCAGAGCCTGCTTCGAGATGCTGGAGTCCATGATGATCTGGGGGTGGGAGCAGGGGGCTGGGACCCAGAGGCTTGCTGAGGGGCAGGGCAGAGGGCCGAGGGGGAGGGCGTTTGGGGTGGGCAGAGCTGCTCCGGAAGGGGGCCTGAGGCTTCCTCCCAAGCCGCAGCCTTCCCCGCCTTGCTACCTGGCTCTGCCACATGCTAGCTGTTACCTAATTTCTCTGCAAGCCAATCTCCTACCTGTAACGTGGGGCTAGTGACACTTTCCACCTGTGCTGGCCACAGAGCGAGTGCTCAGTGACAGTCCTTATCACCAGCATTTTGCAGAGCCGAAGTTGACTGCCCCGTGGACCCAAGCCTGGAACTGCCTTTCTCCCGTCCCTTCCCCCACATTGAATGTGACTGCTCCTCCCCTCTCTCCTGGAACTCACAGCCCCAAGCCTGCCTCGAACACCTGTGTGCCACATCCTTCAGGGAGCACCCCTGCCCGGCTTCACGTGAACACAGAAATGGCCAAATGTCCTCCAGGAGAGGAAAAGGGCCCACGGATAAGAGGAGGAGCCGCTGGCCGCCGGCGAAAGTGAGTCCAACTGGGAGGCATCAGGAGACAGGGGTCTTGAGTCCACCTTTGCCGCTGACATTTATGTGACCTCAGCCTGGTGTTTTCCCCTCTCTGGGACTCTTCCTTCCCTAAAACCTGCCTTACAAGGGGTCTGTGTCCAAATACTGTCCAGACCCAGCACTAGGGGTCATGGACGTAGGGAACATGGTGAGGGGGTCATGGCAGGAGGGATGGGGCCTACACTCACCCCAGAGGCAAAGATGGCGGGGTTCCCACTCTCCAGCATGTCCTCCAGCTCCTCACTGGTCGTGGTCCTGCCGGCTGCAAGCGAGTGGGGTCACACTGAGCCCAGCCCTCTTCGGGGAGTTCAGCAGCAGCATTGGGCCCCGCCCCCTCCGTCCCAGGCCCGGGCTCCCCCCAGCCCCGAGCTCAGCGGCAGCCTCAGGCCCCGCCCCCCCGGCCCTTAACACAGCAGCCGCCTCAGGCCCCCGCCCCTCCAGCCCCAAACTCAGCAGCTGCCTCGGGCCACCCGCCTCGGGCCCCTAACTAAGCAGCAGCCTTGAGCCACGCACTCAGCAGCAGACTCGGGCCCCGCCCCTCCAGGCTCCAGGCCCCGCCCCAGGCCCCACCCCCAGCTCACTGATCTCCAGCTGCCTCTGGATGCGGCCTTTGCAGCGCTCGCGGTAGTCGGACTGCGTGGCGTTGTACTCCGACATGACCTCCACAAACTTTCTGGACAGCGTGGAGTGCTGGGGGCCCGAGATGGAGGTGCAGGGGTCAGGCCCTGCGGGGACCGACCCAGAGACTCAGGTGCCCGCCCATCCTAGACTCCGTGGCCGCACCTGTGTCTTCCGGATCCTCAGGTCAGCGGAGGAGCGGTTCAGGCCTTCCTCTTGCTCGATGGACTGCTCGATGCCTGGGGGCACAGGTGGCTGCTAAGTCATAACCAGGCCCCTTCAACCCCGTCCCCTACCCGCACACCCAGCATCTATCCACCTTCCCACATCCCCTAGGGTATGTGTGTGGCCTGTGGCTGGTGGGATCAGTGCCAGGCACCGATGGAGGAGGGGCCTACAGAAGCCCTTCCAGCTGTGACGCTGTGTGGTGTGTGCATGTGTGTAAATGCACACCCACTCCAAGCTCTGCGTGTGTGTGAGGTCTGGTAGCTCCGGCCACCCTATGCCTGGGTACCACTCCTTTTCTGCTCAGAAAGGCTGTGTACGAGGGACCATGCCCACAGCGGGGAGAGCCAGGTGGCCCCTCCTGCAGGGCATGTGGCCCCGAGGCCTTGGCACTCATGGGGTGCACGTGTCTGTTCACCCAGAATACCGGGCTTCTGCAAGAGACCAGGAAGTACTGGCCACTTCTTCAACCCTCTTTAGCAGAGGTGAGGGGCAGTGCCCATCCAGAGTGGAGCCCTCCCTCGCCAAAGCCTTAGGTGGGTGTGTCCCTGGGCCCAGCCCAGAGTCTGGCACCAACGGGCCTTGCCAAGTAGCTGCTGAGTGAATGGGCACATGACGCCACCCTCAGAAAGGAAAGCAAGATCCGGCGCACCCCCTCAGGGCGAGCAAAACCCCATGGGCTCCGCAGAGGAAGCAGGCCTAGAATGCCCCCCACCCACCCCCAGACAAGCCTGACTCACTCTTTAACTTGGAACGAACTTTGTTTGCTGTCTTCTTTATGTCGGACATGAGTTCTTCCAGCTCCTCCTTCGTCTCTGGGGAGGTAGAAAGGGTGGGGGTAGGCCTCCTAGGCTCCGCGGGGACTGATGTGCAGGCTCAGCCTCCAGCCCAGGGGGCCCAGTGGGAGGCTCTGGGAAGATCCCTGTTCTCCCCTGTTCCCCTGGCTAAGGCTCTGCCTGCCCGCCCCCCTCCCCCAATTCTGGGCCAGGGCTGCACCAGCTGCAGCTTCACCCCCTCTTGTGCTGTCTTCGGAGGAGCCTCCCTTCCTCCTTTGCTGGCGCCCCCACCCCCTGGAGATAACAGATGGGTCTAAATTTAAGGCAGAAGTAATTGTGGAGCAGCTGGCGATGCTGGAGTTGGCGCCGGGAACAGTGACTTGATGCTTGCTGGAGTTGAAGGGGTGGGGGGGCGGTGTGGGCTCACCTGGTGTTACCTGGTGGCTCAGGAGGGTACGCAGCCAGGCAGGGGGTTGACAGGGGACCACCCCACACTCCCTGAGTCATATGCGCAAACACTCTGGGTGGGGCAGACCTTGCTGTTCCCACAAAGCTACGCCTCCCTGGGTGCTAAGTACCTGGCGGGCGGAAGAGGGCAAGGGGTGGATGGCCTGGGTGGGCGCTGATGTGGGCCCTCAGGTCCAAAGAGGTGGGCACAGTTGGCCCTGGCCGTGGCAGGTAGCTGGGGCCCTGGTGAAATTGGACGAGGGTGGTGACATAGTGTTTTGTGGCCCTTGTTCCAACTAGAACCATCTCCCTAAAGCTGGCAGAGGCCATGGGGGTGCCCAGCTTGCCCCCCTGCCTGAGAGAAGCTGGATGGAAAAGTGGGACAAGACAGCTGCCTCCCTTGGGGGTGCTCCTGGCAACACCCCAGTCTCAGGACACCCCCAGGACTCTGCCCCGAGAGAAGCCGGGACTGAGCTCTGGCTATCACCTTCCCACCTGCCCCTCTGCTTGCCCCTGGGGCTGGGGTTTGTCCTAGAGGGGACAGGGAGGGGTGTTGAGAGTGGTCTATCAGGAAGGCCCCGGATGGGGTCACCTCCCAAGTGGAATGCAGTGAGGTGGAGCGGGGAAGGGGGGGTTCCGAGGCGCGGAGGAGGGCGCCTCATCCGTAGGAACAAAGGAAAAGTCGGTTACCAGCTGCTCTGACGTCTCAGCCTCTTTTGCTCAGACCCAAAATAGCCCAGGCCGGATGGCAGCCCCCAGAGGAGGCAGAGCCTGCCTTGCCCGGGAGAGCCCCCCACTCATTGCCATCTTTCCTTGAGACTTCTCCTTAACTCTGTGCCGCCTGTGCCCTAGAACCCCCAACATGAGCCCCCTCCTCTTAGCGAGAGCCTGGGACTCCGCCAGGTCTCAACTGCTCAGCTCACGGGTGGTGACTCAGAACCGGTCCCTATGACTGTGCATGACACCGCAGCAGGAGACGGTGCAGGAGGTGGCCTGCAGGAGCCCAAGGTGTGGAGCAGACAGCTCTGCTGCCCCATGCCCGCCCCACCTGCCAGCAGTGAGAGACCCACTCCCCTGCTCTTTAGAGCCCTCCGTCCCCACCCCACAATCAGCCACCTCCTGACCCTGAGCAGGAACAGCCCACAGAGGGACACACAGTGACCCAGATACCTCTGGGCGCACAGACATCCGTCTCATGCTGCCATCCAACAAATCTCTCAGGCAAGGAGCTCAGCGTGGTGAGCCCTGGGCGTCCCTCTCTCCCTCCTGCCCTTCCTGAGGCAGTCCACCCTGCTCCCACCTGACCCATTTTGCCTTCTGAGGGCGGGGCACTGGCTTAGTTGGTGTGGCACTGACCTGGGTTCATGCACACTTTGGGGCTGTGAAAAGATTTACTCTGGGTTCTTGAAGATGCCAGTGGGCTTGGGGGTGAGGGGTCATAGACCAGGAGGCCGTGCTGGAGGTGAGAAGAAAATCTGACCCCGGGCACCTGGGTGGCCAGCGCTTGCCTCCCTCAAACACCTGATGGCTGCATCCCTGGGGCTCATGGTGAGCCCCCCTCCAGGGAAGGGCACCTATGCCATCAGCCTGGCATCTCTCAGTGTAGTAAACAACATCTCAACAGGAACATGAGGACCGGGTCAGGGGGACCTGTCTGGGGACAGAGTGCGAGCCTGACACACAGGCTCCCAGTGTGGAGGGAGAGGGGTGACTTCCTGGAGCCCTGAGAATGCCCGCCCCGGGGTGCCACATGGCCAGGTGCCAGGGCTGCCAGCTCCTTCCGGAAGCTCTGCCTGCTTGGCCAGCTTGCCCTCCCACAGCGCTGACGACTTAGAGCTGCCATCTGCTCCCCTGGGAGGCGAGGGGAGGGGCGGGGCTGGACCGAGAGGCCTTCCTATTGATCACAGACAGCTTCCTCCTTCCCTCCTTCCTTCCCTCGCTCCCAGAAGCCCAGGGCTGCAGCCAGCCCAGTTGCCTTAGAAAAAAGCCAGTTCGAAATGAAAAAAAATACCTTCTTGGGGCTGGGCGTGGGGGCTCATGCCTGTAATCCCAGCACTTTGGGAGGCCGAGGCGGGCGGATCACCTGAGGTCGGGAGTTCGAGACCAGCCTGACCAATATGGAGAAACCCCATCTTTACTAAAAATACCAAAAATTAGCCGGGCGTGGTGGCGCATGCCTGTAATCCCAGCTACTTGGGAGGCTGACGTAGGAGAATTGCTTGAACCTGGGAGGCGGAGGTTGCAGTGAGCCGAGATGGCACCACTGCACTGCAGCCTGGGTGACAGAGCAAGACTCCGTCTTGAAAAAAAAAAAAAGAAAAAAGAAAAGAAAAAAGGAAAAAAGCCAGTTCGGCTGGGCGCGGTGGCTCATGCCTGTAATCCCAGCACTTTGGGAGGCTGAAGCAGGTGGATCACGAGGTCAGGAGATCAAGACTGTCTTGGCCAACATGGTGAAACCCCGTCTCTACTAAAATACAAAAAATTAGCCGGGCATGGTGGCGCGTGCCTGTAATCCCAGCTACTTGGGAGGCTGAGGCAGGGGAATCGCTTGAACCCGGAAGGCAGAGGTGGCAGTGAGCTGAGATTGTGCCACTGCACTCCAGCCTGGCGACAGAGCAAGACTCCATCTCAAAAAAAAAAAAAAAAAAAGAAAAAAAGAAAAAAAAGGCCAGTTCACCTGGGAAGGGCGGGGCCGATCGCCTCTCCCATCACCCAAGTCTTTCATGGAGACCTGGTCTGGCCGGCCTGGGATGCTGGGTACTGACCCCCCAGTTCCAAGCCGGGGACAGCTGCATTTCCCAAGGCTTCTCGTGAAACCCTCCCGACCCTGGCCCGCCCAGACACTCCTAAGCCCACCAGCCATGAAGGCTGCAGAGGTCCCGTGAGGCCTCCCTGGCAGCAGCCCCTTCCCGAGGCTTGTGGGGCCTGAAACCCGTCCCCCGCCCCACACACTCACTCTCATCGGGGTTGGGGGATGCCAGGATGGCACTGTGCTTCCGCTTCACCTCCTCCACGTTCTCTGCGATCTTGTCAATGAAGCCTCGAATCTCCTCCACCTGCGGACCAAGGCCAGGTGGTCAGGAGAAGGAAATCAGGGGAGAAGCCTTCTGGGGCCCAGAGATGGCCCAGAGTAGGGCTGCGGTCAGGGCTCAGGGGGAGGACGGGCCAGGCTCCGGGTGCTGGGGTGCAGTGGGGGTGCATCCTTCCAGACCCAGATGGGGAGGAGTGTGATCCCAGATTTAGCTCCGCTCTGAGCTTCCATCTATTCACCCTCAAAACGGTTCATTCGTTGGCACCCCGGAGCTGCTGAGCCAGGTGCAGGTGTGAAAGAGCACTGAACCTGGCTCAGAGGCGAGAGTGGCCCCCCAAGTTCTGCCAGTGTGCGGGAAGGGTGGGGTGTGCTGGCTCCCACCTGCTCAAAGAACTCATCCATGAAGCGGTCTCGGTCCACGGTGACAGCGACATCATCATCATCATCGCTGTCCTTGGCCTGTGCGGGGTTGTGCACACATAAGTGGACGTATGTACAGGACCCACCTGTACACACGCAGGTGCCCAGGGTACAGCGCCAGGGCCCTGCCCCTCCCCCTCTCCCTGGGGGCCTCTGGGCAGGGACAAGAACAGGCCTGGCTGTTCCGCTCCCAGCCACAGTAAGATCTGGAGGACCACTGGGGGCCCGGCACAGAGAGAGGAACCTTGCCTGATACACTGGTGTCAAGGCCAAGTCTCAGCCTCTGGGCCAGGGACTTCCTCCCTCACCTATCTGCCTGCCCCCTCCCTGTGGCTGGGGAGGCAAGCGAGCCTGGGGCCGGCCGCTCTGTCTGGGCCCTCTGGGTCCCCTAGGCCCCTAGGACAGCTGCCTGGAAAGTGCATTCTCTACTCTCCTGGCCCTGTGGTTTACACACACACACACAAACACATACACACATCTGTAGAGTTGAGGTCTTGCTGTGTCACCCAGGCTGGAGTGCAGGGGTGCAATCACAGCTCACTGCAGCCTTAAACACCTGGGCTCAAGCGATCCTCCCAACTCAGCATCCCGAGTAGCTGGAATTATAGGTTTCCACAACCATGCCTGGCTCCAGTGGTTTTAATTCAGGTGGAGCCCAGAGGTCCCAAGCTCCCTTTCCAGAGTGGGCCCTATAAGGGGAGACCTGCCTACTGTGTCCCAGCCCTGGGCACCACTAAACCCCAGTCCCGAGGTGGCACGGATCAGATCTCTTAGGAATCTCCTGTGAGTCTTTTTTTAAAACAGTTTTTAAATTTAATTTTTATTTTTGTAGAGACGGGGGTCTCACTGTGTTACCCAGGCTGGTCTTGAACTCCTGGCCTCAAGCGATCCTCCTGCCTCAGCCTTCCAAAGCACTGGGATTGTAGGTGTGAGCCACTGCACTTGGCCTCCCTGTCGGTCTTGCCATTGGACCTCGGTCTGCCTCCTTCCAGTCCCCAGACCTGGGCCCAGCAGGCACAAGGGGACAGTCATGTTGCCACTTGGCTTGGGTCCTGCCTTAGGCCTCAGCCACAGTTACAAGCCCCACTCCACTGTCCCAGGACCAGCTGTACAAAAGCCACCCCCATCGTGGGGCAGGGGTAATCATACTTCTGACTTCCCAGCATGCTGCGCACAATTATTACTGTCTGCCTCATACCGCCAGTTGGCCAGGGTCAGCCCACGCTGCTGGCAAGGCCAGGTCTCTCTCTGCAGCCAAGGCAAGGATATCCGGGGTGGCCACCCTGGGGCAGGGACTGAGGTCTCTCAGCCTGGGGCTCAGGGCTTGTTCCCACCTCTTTTATTTTTATTTTTTTATTTTTTGAGAGAGTCTCGCACTGTCACCTAGGCTGGAGTGCAGTGGTGTGATCTTGGCTCACTGCAACCTCCACCTCCTGGGTTCAAGCAATTCTCCTGCCTCAGCCTCCCGAGTAGCTGGGATTACAGGTGCATGCCACCATGCCCAGCTAATTTTTGTATTTTTAGTAGAGACAGGTTTCACTATGTTGGCCAGGCCGGTCTCGAACTCCTGACCTCAGGTGATCCACCCGCCTCGGCCTCCCAAAGTACTGGGATTACAGGCGTGAACCACCACATCTGATCTTGTTCCCACCTCATTTCTGAGTGCCTCACGGGAGTGGCCACTGACTAGCTCAGCACTGACCCCACCTCGGTGCTCTCGCGTCAGGACGGAGGCAGGTGGAGGTTGAGGGGCTGAGAGAACTGATGGGACTCATCAGGCTGGGCCTTAACCCCTCTGGCTCTATTTACTCTTCTGTGAAATGGGGACAGTGACACCTGGCTGCATGGAGGGAGGGCTGAGAAAAAGTGGGGAAGCAGGGCAGGTATGTTTGTTTGATTGATGGATGGACTGATTGATTGATTGAGACAGGGTCTCGCTCTGTCACCCAGGCTGGAGTGCAGTGGCACAATCATAACTCCCTGTAGCCTCAACCTCCCGGGCTCAAGCCATCCTTTCACTTCAGCCTCCCAAGCAGCTGGGACTACAGATGCATCAGATGCATGCCACCACACCCAGCTACTTTTTGATTTTTTTTTTTTTTTTGTAGCGACAGGGTCAAACTATGTTGCCCAGTCTGGTCTCAAACTCTTGGGCTCAAGTGATCTTCCCACCTTGGCTTCCCAAAGTGCTGGGAGTATAGGTGTGAGCCGCCACCATGCCCGGCCTGAGCATGTTCTGTGAGGGGCTCACATCACCCCATCAAAGTGGGGACTCATGGGGAGAGGGGGTAGTTAGGAGCTTTGATAGAGGCGGCTCAGAGGGGCCTCCTCTCTTTAAGATATCGTACCACCTCCCCAGCAGCTAAAATAAATCCTCGTTCCCACTCCCCACCGAGTGCCTGGGGCTGTCACCAGGTGGTACCCCCTCCCCCACCAAGCTCCCTACAGACACAGAAAATCCAGGAGCCGTTTTCACGCTTTTAGACCGTGACAGGCCTAGGAGTTGAGTCAGAGGAGCCCTCCCTAGGGAAACTGAGGCAGAGCACTGCCAGGAGGAGCCCAGTTCCTCCTCCTGGGCAGGCTGCCAGGTTGGGAAGTGGCCCCAGGAGCTCCTGCCATTCAGTGTCCTGCCCTCTCTGCCCTGGTGCTCAGAGGATCAGGGTAGATGACAAAGGGTGGATGGAGAATTATCCAGCTCCTTTTCCGTGGCCAGAGACGAGCGTCACTGCCAGCCCCACCGAACCCCTGTCCTGCCCTCAGAGACCCCTGGCACCTGTCTGGTGCCTCTCTTGACCTCAGCTTGCCCATCTGTGTAATGAGGGCAGATCTTCTCCAGGCATCCGGCCAGCTCTGACCTGCTACCTTCCCAGAAGGCTGAAGGCTGGACCAGGAAGCTTCTCTAACAGAAGGGCTGGGAGGAGAGATGCCCGCATCCTCCTCTGGACCCTCCGTCTATGAGGGTAGGGCTGGGGAAAGGGAGATCAGGGCCAGGGTAGATGGGGGCACGCAGGTCAAGTCTACCCTGGAGGTGGCATTGAGATTGGCCCCAAAGCCAGTCGGGGGGCTGAGGGCCTGACCTCTGAGGCATGGTCAAACCAGCCACAGCTCCAAGCAAAACCTAGAGGGGATGGGCGAAGTGGGCCTTTCCTCCCCACGTCCTTCTACTTCTTCGTTCTTGGGAATTTTCACCCCCAGCTCTGCTCTTTATCCTGCTGCCCTCCCCTGGGATCAGACCCCACTCCCCCACACCTACAACTGGTTCCTGGCCCTACAATCCACCCTCTGCCCCCAACTTCCCCCAGGCACATCCCTTTGCCCGGGATGCTGATTCCATGAAGGTGACATTCCCTTCTTCCTCGATGCCACCTCCTTCCAGAAGCCTCCCTGCCCCCCCAAATCAGTATCTCGCACCTTGTTCTTCCACACGCCATTCACATTCCTATTGGAGCCATGGCTGAAAACTCTCAGGCCCTAAGGGACCTGAAAAGTCCCCCTGGCTTCAGCTGCCAGCCTCAGCTTGCAAACCTCCTGTGACAGTGAGCTCACTAGCTTCCCCAGACAGCTCTGCCCATCTCGGGCAGCCCCAACTGTTAGAGTCCTTCTCTTCCCTGTGGTTTGGTTCCAGGCCATAAAGAACCTGTGGGTGCCCTCTCCCTGGGGTACCCCTGCTATAGATTTGAAGGCGGCATCCACATCCTCCCTAGATTTTTCTTTTTAAGTATTCCTTCCCTTTCAGATCCTTCCCAGGGACCCCAAATTACAGCCCCTGCCCAAGAGTTGTTCCACTGTGCCTCTGTCTCCTGTCATACAGCACACAAACTGAATCTGCTGCTGACTGTGGTCTGGGCAATGCCAAAGATCTGGCCCATCCCCTCCCTCTTTCTATATGATCTACCTCTAGTAATACAGCCAGGAATCAGATAAGTGATCATGTAGCATTTCCTGTCAAGAAAAGCCCCAAGCCCTTCCCAACCACTGTCTGTGGAGTGGATTTGGGGTTCGAGTGAAGGACCTTCTTCCTGTTTCATTTCTTCATTTGTTCTGATGCTTATTTCAGTTTGTGGGATTCTGATGGCTCCTGGCTCTGTCGCCCCTGCACCCTCATCCACATCCAAGCTAGAGCCTGGTGGCAGCATTCTAGAGATGTCCTCCAGATTCACTCAGATAAGGAATCAGTTCTCATTGGACACGGAATAAACTGATAAGGACGCGGGATGGCAGAGCCCCACTGCCACCCTCACCTCCTCTGTTTCCCAGCCCAGACACACTCTTGACCAAAATGTAACTAGGTGATGTGGCTACCCTGGCATGCTGTCTTCCTGGTGTCTTGGGCTGGCCAGGGCGGGCACTGTATACATAAAGTGGCCAAGCATGATGGCTCACGCCGGTAATCTCAGCACTTTGGGAGGCCAAGGTGGGAGGATTACTTGAGTCCAGGAGTTTGAGACCAGCCAGGGCAACATAGCAAGACCCCATCTCTATCAAAAGCTACAAAAATTAGCTGGGCGTGGTGCCATGCATCTGTAATTGCAGCTACTCAGGAGGCTGAGGTGGGAGGATTGCTTGAGCCCTGGAGGTCGAGGCTGCAGTGAGCTATGATCGTGCCATTGCACTCCAGCTTAGGTGACAGAGCAAGATCCTGTCTCAAAAAAACAAAAGTGGACACACAGATTTCTGTGGAATAATTAGGGCCCAGCTCCCTTGGGGATCTACCAATGCTTTCTGAGTGGCATTCACAGCTCTGGAGAGGGGGCTGGATTGGAGTTGGGGACTTGGAACCCTTCGCTGTGCAGGTGGCAGCTGGAACTGTGGGGCACAAACTCAAAGGCCCAAGTGTCTTACGGACGGATGTGCCCAGATATCATACGGGCACCTTGCCTGCCTCCTGGCCAAAACCAGGCTCCACCTGTTTTGCCAGAGCCCCATCCTCTGAACTGCCTAGCGCAGAACCCCAAGCCAGAAACCTAGGACATCTGCCATCTTCCTCCTCTTCTCCCATCCAACCAACATCCAATTTGTCCTGGCACTTTTTTTTTTTTTTTTGAGGCAGAGTCTCGCTCTGTTGCCCAGGCTGGAGCGCAGTGGCGCAATCTCGGCTCACCACAACCTCCGCCTCCCAGGTTCAAGCGATTCTCCTGCCTCAGCCTCCCGAGTAGCTGGGATTACAGGCACCCGCACCACACCCGGCTAGTTTTTGTATTTTTAGTAGAGACGGGGTTTCACCATGTTGGCCAGGCTGGTCTTGAATTCCTGACCTCAGGTGATCCACCCGCCTCGGTCTCCCAAAGTGCTAGGATTACAGGCGTAAGCCACCGCGCCCAGCTCTTTTTTTTTTGAAACAGAATCTCGCTTTGTTGTCCAGACTGGAGTGCAGTGGCAAGATCATAGCTCACTGCAGCCTTGATCTCCCAGGCTCAAGCAATCCTCCAGCCTCAGCCTCCAGAGTAGCTGGGACTACAGGTGCCTGCCACCACACCTGGCTAATTTTAAATTTGTGTAGAGATGGTGGTCTCACTATGTTGCTCAGGCTGGTCTCAAACTCCTGAGCTCAAGCAGTCTTCCCGCCTCAGCCTCCCAAGTAGTTGGTACTGCAGGTGTGAGCCCCCAAGCCCAGCTAACATCCTGGTGTTTTTTTGTTCTGCATTCAGCAGTTCTCAAAGCTGGGCGAGCACCAGAATCCTTTGGGGGGGTTAAAAAAAAAAAACAAAAACGGCTTCCAGGGATCCACCCCAAAGAGACTGAATCAGAATTTATAGGGGTAGCCGGGTGCAGTGGCTCATGCCTTAATCCCAGCACTTCGGGAGGCCAAGGTGGGTGGATCACCTGAGGTTAGCAGTTCAAGAACAGCCTGGTCAACATGGCAAAACCCCATCTCTACTAAAAATACAAAAATTAGCCGGGTGTGATGGTGCATGCCTGTAATCCCAGCTACTCGGTAGGATGAGGCAGGAGAATCACTTGAACCTGGGAGGTGGAGGTTGCAGTGAGCCAAGATTATGCCACTGCACTCCAGCCTGGATGACAGAATGAGACTCCGTCTAAAAAAAAAAAAAAAATTGGCTGGGTGTGGTGGCTTACACCTGTAATCCCAGCACTTTGGGAGGCCGAGGCGGGCAGATCACGAGGTCAAGAGATCGAGGCCATCCTGCCCAACATGGTGAAACCCCGTTGCTACTAAAAATACAAAAATTAGCCGGGCATGGTGATGCACACCTGTAGTCTCAGCTACTCAGGAGGCTGAGGAAGGAGAATCACTTGAACCCAGGAGGTGGAGGCTGCAGTGAGCTGAGATGGCACCATTGCACTCCAGCCTGGAGACAGTGCGAGACTCCGTCTAAAAAAACAAAAAAAAAACCAACAAAAAACACCACCTCCAACCAGGAAGGCTGGGAGGGAGTGCTCCTTACCTCCCTAGCATGGAGACTGCTAGGAAGAACAGACCCTGCTGGAACCACGGGGAGCTGGATGCCCTGAGCTTCCCCTGGCAGAGGTGGGGCAGCCCTGGTGGTCTCTCCTAGCAGAGACTCCAGGATTCCAGGACACCTTCCTGGATGTAATAGTCTGACTCCTCCAAGAGGCGCAGAGGCCAGGCAGCCTCCAGGCGTGTCCCAGGGGAAGCCACCAGGCTGGCAAGGTTGATTCATCACTGCTGAGCACAGTGGCTGTTGTCTGCCTCGAGGGCTATTTTTTTCCCTTCTTCTTTTAAATGACTAATCAAAGTCAATATCACTAGTGCAGAGAGGCCCGGAGCTGAGTCAGGGGTGTGCGAGAGGCCAAGCTGGGTCTCCAGGAAAGACGGCTGTGCAATCTGAGCCTCCTCACCCTGTCTCCAGCCTCCAGCTGTGTGTACACCAGGTCCCCGCCCTGCAGAGCCTGCCCCTTCACAGGGCCCCAGAGTGGCTCAGGGAGGCAGCTTCAGGCCGTGGAAGGGGCCAGGCTCTGCCCCCACAGGCTGCATGACCTCAGATAAACACCTGGCCCTTTCTGGACCTGTTTTCTGATCTGTAAGATAGGAGGTTGAACTAGATGGTCCCGGGAGGCCGTTCCACCTGCACCCCAGATGAAAATGTACCCAAATGCATCGTTCATGCTGGGAAACCTCTGGAACGTAATGGGAGGAAGGATCGGGCGAGCCCTGTCCGGCTCCTGTTCTTACACTCTCGTGCCTGCCACTCTGCAAAGTAGGTAACACTGGCTCCATTCTGCAGATGAGGAAATGAGCAGAGGGAGATTAAGGATGAACCTGCCCGGTGTTGCCACCCAACCGCCAGACTCTTCCCAGCAACGAAAGAGAAGGGGAAACTGATGGGCAAAGCAGGGCCCTGGGCCTTCCCATCCAGGCCTGCCTGGGCTGCTCCAGTGAGTTGGGCCCTAGTCTAGACCTCAAGGCACTTCAGGGGGCCCCAGACACCAGCTGTCAGGACCACCTGCTATTCTCTCCTGGTTGAGCATTCCAATCTCTCTGCCTTCACTAAGCTGTCCCCTCCTTTGGATCACCTTCTCTCCTCCTATTCAAATCCAGCTCCTGCTCCTGTGCTATCCCAGGGTCTCTTCTTCCAGGAAGCCTTCCAGGATTGTGCTGCTCCAACTCTCCCTCCTTGCTACGTCTTCAGCCTCCTGCAACAGGTCCCATGTGTCTGTCCCACATGACCTGGCACATAGACAAATACATGTTCTGGGCCCAGGGAGAAAGGTCAGCTCTGCAAAGTCCCCAGGAAGAAAATCAGGGAGTCTCTGAGTTGAGGGGAGGAGGCAGCTACAGCCTGAGTGGGGCTCCTGGGGATGCTCTAACCTAAAAGTCTTTCCCTGGCTGTGTGACCCTGGCCCTGTCTTCGGTCTCTCTTTGTTACCTGTAACCTGCAAGTGGCCTTTCTGATCTCTGAGGGACTGCGACAGCATTGAGGCCCCCTGGCTAGTCCCCAGTGACCCCCTTCACTCCCCATCTGCAGAGGGAGAGTTGGGAGCTGGAGAAGGCTGGAGAAGGCTGGAGGGCTGGGCCGGGCCTGCAGAGTGAGGAAACGCGCCAGCTCCTTCCCCAAGTGTGACTTTTATAAATAAGCTCTCTTCGCCTCCTTCCAAATGTGGTGGTGTTGGGTGGGGGAGAAGGAGAAAGAAGAGGGAGGAGGAGGAGGAAGAGGGAGGGAGGGAGGGCTGGGAGCGGTGCACAGCCGCTGTCCCCAGCACCATCTCTGTTCAGCCCAGCCCAGCCCAGCCCGCCCCAGTCCAGCCCAGTCCAGCCCAGTCCAGCTCAGCCAGTGCTGGCCTCTTCCTTTCTGGGGATTCTGGGCTGAAAATTCTGACTCCTGGGGCTTCAGGCCTCCTACAAATGTGGAGCTGGAGTCAGGAGACCTGTAGCCCTGCTTCTCGTCCCGAGAAACTGAATTCTAGGCTTTCCCATCCCCACTTCACAGATGGGAACCCTAGGTCCAGAGGGAAAGCAGCCTGTGGGAACAGTGGCCCCACCAAGACTGACTGTCTCACCCCACCCCGGGTGGGCTCCTGCCTGCCAGCCGTCCACCTGTCTGCTAGAAAGCCCTCCCTGGGCAGGGCCACCCAGCAATGGGTACAGCCTCCCTGGGCTCTGAATGCCTTGTGTGGGGAGGGTGGGGGTGTCTGGAGCGGAAGCCTCAGACCATTCAAAGCAAAGCCTGGCTTCACCATCTAATCAGGGGGCGAGGAGGTAGTAACAGAGACAGACATCAGAGCAAAAAGATCTGGGTTCAAACGCTTCACAACCCCAGCTCCACTGGCTGTCCCCCAGTGTCAGCCAGGCCTGAGTCTGACTATCTTCAGGGATGAGGCAAAGCCCTTTTCTACCACCCCTCCCTCTAGCAGGCAAGCCGTGTTTCTTTTGTGCCTCAGTTTCCCCTTCAGCTAGGGGGATGAAGGCTGACATGCCAGAGGCTATTATCCTATGTAGGGGCCCATGGTTCCCCTGACCACTTGGTTCCCACACACACCCTCAGGTAACCTACCAGGCGCCTAAACATCAGCACATTACACCACACAGCCATCCGTCACCAGGAAAACACTCATTCTGACTCAACGGAGCTCAGGAAACTTGAGGGCAACCACAGGGGCCGCGGGGGAAGTGTTTAGAGCCCATATGCGACTTGAGGGACCATCTTCTTCCTTTGAAACCTCATGGGGTTTACACCAGGGGCTGGGCGCTCGGCCAGGAATAACAGGTCTGGAGGCAAAGTGGAGGCCGTGGTGCCAGAGCAAGTGGGGGACATGAAGGCAGGGGAGCCCAGGTCCCGGCTCCAGGATGCCCAGGAGGCAACCATGACATAATGGGGCAGACAGGCTCCAACTCAGGGAGCCTCTGGGTGGAGAAGACAAGCCGTGGGGT
Organism: Homo sapiens; assembly: GCF_000001405.40. NCBI lineage: Eukaryota > Metazoa > Chordata > Mammalia > Primates > Hominidae > Homo > Homo sapiens. The sequence continues at coordinate 73,718,436 of NC_000007.14, forward strand.
CAAATGCCCAAAGGACACTTGACATTTTCCATAGGAGGGGACCTTAGGGTTCTAGTTCCTAGCCCAGGGAGCGGGGTGGGGGGTGCTCCCAGGGATCAGCAGGCAGGGCTGCCAGCCAGGTGGCCAGCCAGGGGACCAGATGACCAGATGAGACTCAATCTAGTCTTGAGCCTTGATCCACCCCCCCTCCCCGACACACCCAGAGAGGCTTCATTTCCGTCGCTGTCCTCCACTCCCGGTCACCATCCTCCTGGGCTCCTCATCCCTAAGGGCAGAGGCCAGGGGAAGGGGACCCACGCAGGCTGCAGGGGTCTCTGGGCTGGGAGAAGGTGGGCTCTGACTCAGAACGTTTGTGCATCCTCCTACTCCCCCCAAACCCCGCCCCAGGAGCCACACCCCAGGGGTTTCCCAGATACAGGTAGAAAAATAGATCCAAGTCGCAAGGAACCCTGAAGGGTCTGGAAACGCCAGCCAGTGCTGCCCGAAAGCCCGAAGGTGGATAGGTGGACCGGGGGCGGGTGTGACGCCCCCCCCCCCATACCTGGGGCGGGCAGTGGATCCCTACTGCGACCAAGCAGAGGGGGAGCCACAGGTGATGGGAGCCACAGGTGACCAGGGTGGCCCGAGGAGGCCGCCACCACCCGACGATCAGGTTTCCGCAGCGCGCCCCGCAGCGGGGCCCCGCGCAGGGGACCGGCACCGGCCCACCGCGGTCCCCTCGTCTGTCTACACCAAGGAGGTTCCCACCGCGGTCCCCTCGTCTGTCTACACCGAGGGGGCACGGGAGGTCAGAGATGAGGGGCAGTGAGGGGGCCAGAGAAAGGGCCTGCTCTGCGGGAGGGGGAAGAGGTCCCGCCACCAAAACCCCATCATACCCTCCGAACCCCCCAAATCAAGAGGGCCCCGAAAAGTTTATCCAGGACCCCGGACTCCAGCCGACCGTCCACGTGTCAGCGCGGCCGAGCTCACGCGAGCCTGACCCCGAGTGGGTCCGAGGGGCGGAACCCGGAGGGGGGTCGAGGTCCCTGGCTCGCCCCGCTCCCTTCAGCCCTGGCTGGGGGCGCAGGAGCGGCCACCATCCTGGCCGCGGGAGCCGGGCGGGAAGTGTCCGGCGCGTTGGCGCTGGCGGCGGGCGGCGGGCGGCCGCGCGCTGGGGCCGGACTCACCGTGCGGAGCTCCTGGGTTCGGTCCTTCATGCTCCCGGGAGTGGCAGCGGCGCCGGCTGCAGCCGTGTGAGCCCCGCATGCGCGACGGCCGCCCCGCGGCTGCGCAGCGCCAGCCCGGCCCCGCCCCGGCCCCCGGGACCCCGGCCCCGCCCCACCCCGCCCGGGCCCCGCCCAGACCCCGCCCAGACCCCGCCCCACCCCGCACGAGCAGCCCCGTGGGGATCGAAGCCCTGGGGTCTCGTCCTGGACGTTCCGCACGCGTGATCGCTCCCGGGGATGGGTCCCCAGAGACCCTGCTGCCTCCTCTGCCCCAGCCCTGTCTCGTTTTTTATTTATTATTTTTGGAGACAGGGTCTCGCTCTGTCGCCCAGGCTGGAGTGCTGTGGTGCAATCATAGCTCACTGCAGCCTTGAGCTCCTGAGCTCAGGCAATCCTCCCGCCTCAGTCTCCTGGGTGGCTGGGACTAGAGTTGCTCGCCACTACTCCTGAATAATTTTCAAATATTTTGTAGAGACAGGGTCTTGCTATGTTACTCAGGCTGGTCTTGAACTCCTGTCCTCAAGCGATCCTCCCTCCTCCCAAAGCTCTGCGATTACAGGCGTGAGCCACCGTGCCTGGCTTCCAGCCTCTTCCCGACTTAGCAGCTCAGCATCCCTGTCCCAGAATCCGGTCCTCATCCTCAGATCCCTTCACTTCCCCAGAATTTGCTGAAGGTTGTAACTCCCTCCTTCATTTCATTACCTTGGGACCTCCTGCTCTCCCTTCTGTTCCCCAGCCAAAAACCTCCTGGAGAGTTCCAGTCTGGGAGCCTCCACCCTTCCCCCTTGCTCCCATCATCCAGTAGGGACTCAGGCACTGGCCTCTTCTTTCCCTAGGATTTCTCAGTTCACAGCTCTGATGCTGCGTGACCCACCCCTTTTTCCTGCAGGATGAAGGAACTCCTCTATCTTTTTATGTTTGTTTGTTTGTTTGATTATTTATTTATGAGATGGAGTTTCACTCTTGTCGCCCAGGCTGGAGTGCAGTGGCGCTATCTCAGCTCTGCCTCCTGGGTTCAAGCGAGTCTCCTGCCTCATCCTCCCAAGTAGCTGGGATTACAGGTGCCCACCACCACGCCCGGCTAATTTTTTGTATTTTTTAGTAGAGACAGGGTTTCACCATGTTGAGCAGGCTGGTCTCAAACTCTTGACCTCTTGATTCTCCCGCCTCGGCCTCCCAAAGTGCTGGGCTTATAGGCGTGAGCCACCGTGCCCGGCCTATTTTTTTTTTTTTTTTTTGAGACGGAGTCTCACTCTGTTGCCCAGTCTGGAGTGCAGTAGCACGATCTTGGCTCACTGCAACCTCCACCTCCCGAGTTCAAGCAATTCTCCTGCCTCAGCCTCCCAAGTAGCTTGAGATTACAGGCACCCACAACCACGCCTGGCTAATTTTTTTGTATTTTTAGTAGAGAAGGGGTTTCACCATGTTGTCCAGGCTGGTTTCGAACTCCTGACCTCAAGTGATCTGCCTGCCTCAGCCTCCCAAAGTGCTGGGATTACAGGTGTGAGCCACTGCACCCAGCCAGGAACTACTCTATCTTTGGGAAAGAGATTTGAGTTATGGCCCCCCTCTCCTCCTTTCCCTGCATCCCCAATCCTGAACTCTGGCTCTAGGCCTGAGGTTCTATTTTCTCTTTTTTCGTTTTTGTAAAGACGGGGTCTCCTCATGTTGCCCAGGCTGGTCTCAAAGTCCTAGCCTCAAGCGATCCTCCTGGCTTGGGCTTCCAAAGCACTGGGATTACACTTGGCCAATGTAGGTTCTATTTTCTATCTAGAAGCCTGGGGCCTGGCTTCCTCTAGGACTCATGGGAAAACCTGTGGAGGAGTGGGAGTGGGGAGGCCAGTCAACAGCAGATGTTCTTTTGAAGGTCCCTGCCAGCATCTTGTTGCAACAGTGGTCTCGCACACACCCCCATAAGCCCGCTGTGCCCTCCACCACCCCCAGCTGTCACTTCTGTGGCCCACACCCTCTTGACCTGAAGCCAAGCACATCCCTTCCCTTCCCCAGGACTGCCAAAGCATTGGAGCTCTGGAGCCAATCCAGCCCCCTGCTGCCCAGTGTGTCTGGGCCTGGCACCTCTCCCAGACTATGGGCACAGGTTAGCTGGCTGCCAGGCAAGCTAGGGACACTGTTCCAGCTTTCCCTTCTTCCCTGGAAAATCTGGCCCAAGACGGTCCGATGTGGCCTGGCAGAGGGAACAGCCACACCCTGTTCCAGTTGTCCCGGCTTCAACTTTGGGTGCCCTGCAGAATGGGCATTGATGGCGCCCCACTTCACAGAGGAAAAGTAAGGAGGTAAGTGCTAGAGGAACTTGCCCAGAGATGACAAGTGACAGGGGAGTCTGCCTGACTCCTGGTCTAGCCTGCAGGGTGAGTCAGTGGGGTGGGTCACAGGTATGCCCCCAGAGCCCAGTGTCTGGCCCCTTAGGGAGAGGGCAGGAAAGGGAGGCTCAGCTCCTGCCCTCTGAGAGCCCTGGTGTCACACCAAGCATCACTCATTGAGACGCATATTAAATAGTAGCATGAAAAATGAATAAAGAAATAAATGTGGCCAGGCACAGTGGCTCATGCCTGTAATCCAGCACTTTGGGAGGCCCAGGAGGGAGGATTGCTTGAGGCCAGGAGTTTAAGACCAGCCTGGACTCCATCTCTTAAAAAAAAAAAAAAAGTGTGCCTTTCACTTCTTTTTTTTGTTTGTTTGTTTTTTTAAGGCTGAGTCTCTTTCTGTCACCCAGGCTGCAGTGCAGTGGTGCAATCCAGGCTCACTACAACCTCCACCTCCCATGTTCAAGTGATTTTCCTGCCTCAGCTTCTTGAGCAGCTGGGATTACAGGCACCCGCCACCACGCCCAGCTAATTTTTGTATTTGTAGTAGAGATGGGGCGTCACCATGTTGGCCAGGCTGGTCTTGAACTCCTGACCTCAAATGATCTACCCGCCTTGGCCTCCCAAAGTGCTGGGATTACAGGTGTGAGGCACTGCACCCGGGCTTGCCCTTCTCTTTAAACTCTGTTTTTCTGCTAAGTCTTTTCCTCATTTAATCATTCATTCATTCATCAAACATTAAATGGGAAACCATGCTCTGGGGCCACTGTTCTGCACTCAAGATGTTCCCACTGCAGTGGGGGAGACAGACATGGTTTTGGTAGGTGAGGGAACCAGGGTGGCTTCCCAGAGGTGGTGACATTCGAACAGGGTGTTGCAGTGGGATTGCAGCAGGGAGTGGACAAAGGAAGGATGCTGGGGCAGGGGTGGGGGTGGGGAGCTCTCTAAAATGGAGCACTCTACCGGGAGCACCTCAGGAGCCTGCTGTGGCACTTGGGTGGACATAGGTGGGGGATGAGCCCAAGGAAGGGGGAGGCCTTGGATGCTAAACTATTGTGCAGAAAAGGGAAGCCCATCGAGGGCCAGATTATCATTCCTTTATTTATTTAGAGACCGAGTTTCACTCTTGTCATCCAGGCTGGAGTAAAATGGCACAATCTTGGCTCACTGCAACTTCCGCCTCCCGGGTTCAAGCAATTCTCCTGCCTCAGCCTCCCAGATAGCTGAGATTACAGGCATGTGCCACCACACCTGGCTAATTTTTTGTATTTTTAGTAGAGATGGAGTTTCTCCACCTTGGCCAGGCTGGTCTCGAATTCCTAACCTCAGGTGATCCACCCACCTCGGCCTCCCAAATTTCTGGGATTGCAGGCATGAGCTACCATACCCAGGCTTCATTCCTTCATTTAAAAAGTATTGGCCGGGCATGGTGGCTTATGCCTGTAATCCCAGCACTTTGGGAGGCTGAGGTGGGCGGATCACGAGGTCAGGAGATCGAGACCATCCTGGCTAACATGGTGAAACCCTGTCTCTACCAAAAATACAAAAAAAAAAAAAAAAAAAAAATTAGCCGGGCATGGTGGTGGGCGCCTGTAGTCCCAGATACTTGGGAGGCGGAGGCAGGAGAATGGCGTGAACCTGCGAGGCAGAGCTTGCAGTGAGCAGAGATCGCACCACTGCACTCCAGCCTGGGCGAAAGAGCGAGATTCCGTCTCAAAAAAAAAAAAGTATTTATTAGGCTGAGTGTGGTGGTGGCTCACACCAGTAATCCCAGCACTTTGGGAGGCCGAGGCAGGAGGATCGCTTGAGGCCAGAAGTTCAAGATCAACCTGGGCAACACACGGAGACCCTGTCTCCAAAGAAAAATATTTTTCTAAAAATTAGCTGAGCATCGTGGTGCACACCTGTACTCCCAGCTACTTAGGAGGCTGAGGTGGGAGGACTGCTTGAGCCCAGGAGTTTGAGCCTTCAGTGAGCCATGATTGTGCCACTCTACTCCAGCCTGGGCAACAGAGTGAGACCCTGTCCAAAAATATATACAAATAAAAAAGTATTTATTGAGCATCTACTATGTGCCCGCTATTCTAGATGTTGGGAATATGGCAGAAAAAAAGATGGACAAGCCCTTGCCCCCATGCAGTCTGTGGTCTAGTAAAGATGCCAAACACACAAATAAATAACATATATAATGGTGATGATATGCTACAAGGAAAGACGGGGTAGGAACTACTTACTGGGTTTGAGTGAGGAATTCCAGTTTTACTGGTACAGTTCAAGTTTTTTTTTCTTCTTCTTTTTTTTCTTTTTTCTTCTTTTTTTTTTTTTTTGAGACAGAGTTTTGCTCTTGTTGCCCAGGCTGGAGTGCAATGGCACGATCTCAGCTCACTGCAACCTCCGCCTCCAGGGTTCAAGCGATTCTCCTGCCTCAGCCTCCCTAGTAGCTGGGATTATAGGCATATGCCACCATGCCCGGCTGATTTTTTATTTTTAGTAGAGATGGGGTTTCTCCATGTTGGTCAGGCTGGTCTCGAATTCCCGACCTCAGGTGATCCGCCCGCCTCGGCCTCCCGAAGTGCTGGAATGAGCCACTGCGCCCGGCCTTTTTCTTCTTTTTTTTTTTTTAAAAGACAGGGTCTTGCTATGTTGCCCAGCCTGGAGTGCAGTGGCATGATCATGGCTCACTGCAGCCTGAAACTCCTGGGCTCAAGTGATCCTCTTGCCTCAGCCTCCCAAGTAGCTGGGACTACAGGTGCACACTAACACACCTGGCTAATTTTTGTTATTTTTTGCAGAGACAGGGTCTTGATATGTTCCCAGGCTGGTCTTGAATGCCTGGGCTCAAGTGATCCGTCTGCCTTAGCCCCCTGAGTAGTTGAGACTCCAGGCAAGCGCCGCTGCGCCCAGCTTCAATTCTAGATGATTTGGTCAGGGAGGTCCTTGATGAGAAGGTGGTATTTGAGTATATCTCTGAAGGAGGTGAGGGAGTGAGCCATGTAGGTATCTGGGGAAAAGCATTCTGGGTAGAGGGAACAGCAAGTGCAACAACCATGAGGAGGGAGCCTGCCTGGTGTGAATGACAAAACAGCAAGGAGGCGAGGAGGCCTGGAGTAGAGGAGGTAAGAGAATGCGCTCGAAGGAAGTGAGGCCAGGCCGGGCACAGTGGCTCACACCTATAATCCCAGCACTTTGGGAGGCCCCAGTGAACAGATCACTTGAGGCCAGGAGTTCGAGTTCCAGACCGGCAACATGGCAAAACTCTGTCTCTACTAAAAATACAAAAATTAGCCAGGTGTGGTGGCGTGTGCCTGTAATCCCAGCTACTTGGGAGGCTGAGGTAGGAGAATCGCTTGAACCCGGGAGGCGGAGGTTGCAGTGAGCCGAGATCCTGCCACTGCACTCCAGCCTGGTGACAGAACAAGACTCCGTCTCAAAAAAAAAAAAAAGGCTGGGGAAATGGCTTACACCTGTAATCCCAGCACTTTGGGAGGCTGAGGTGGGCGGATCACTTGAGGTCAGGAGTTTGAAATCAGCCTGGCCAACATGGTGAAACCCCATCTCTATTAAAAATACAAAAAACTAGCCGGGTGTGGTGGCAGGTTCCTGTAGTCCCAGCTACTTGGGAGGCTGAGGCAGGAGAATCGCTTGAACCGGGAGGCAGAGGTTGCACTGAGCCAGAATCGCGACACTGCACTACAGCTTGGGAGACACAGCAAGCCTCCGTCTCAAAACAAACAAACAAACAAACAAACAAACAAACAAGCAAGCAAGCAAGCAAGCAAGCAAGCAAGCAAGCAAGCAAGCAAAGCAAGCAAGCAAGCACAGGGCAAAGGCTGGGCATTTGGGAACTCCCAGAGCTCCCGGGCACAGTTTGGTGTTTCCATCCCATAGGCTGGGAGGGTTGGGGTGAGCCCAGGCCCGCTGCATCCCTGATGTTGAGCGCTGCTGCCACCTTCTGGGCAGGGCCGGTATTGCCTTGCCTTGCCTTGTACCTGTGTGGATGGTTGGCACGAAGACAGTCACCACCTGTCCTCCAGAACCTCTGGGGCTGGTAGGAAAGGCGCAGTGACAGTGACAGGACAACGATGAGGAGGCCCAGGGGCTGCTGGGGTCTGGAGGAGGAAGAGGAGGAAGCTTTTGTAGGATTCAGGAACAGACTTGTTCCTGGAGCATGGTTGTGGGGGCTGGGGAATGGGAAGGGCGGCTGACCCAGGCTGCATGGCTGTGTGTGTATGTGTATGTGTGTGTATCTGTGTGTCTGTGAATCTGTGTGTGTGTCTGTGAATCTGTGTGTGTCTGTGTCTGTGTATCTGTATGTCTGTGTGTCTGTGTATCTGTGTATGTCTGTGTGTGTATGTGTGTGTGTCTGTGTATCTGTGTGTCTGTGTGTGTTCTGTTTGTGTATCTGTGTGTGTCTGTGTGTCTGTGCATGTCTGTGTATCTGTGTGTGTGTGTCTGTGTATCTGTGTGTGTGTCTGTGTGTGTGTCTGTGTGTGTGTGTAGTTGAGATTCTCTTGTTGTTGCTTTCTTGGGTCTGGCAGGCTTATTCCCTTTTTATCCTCTCCTGGGAAGCCTGGCCCTGGTCCATTTTTTTTTCTTTTTGTAATTTAATTTTTAAAAATTGCAGGTTCCAAAAAAAAGAAAGAAAAAAAAATTACAGGGTCTTGCTATGTTGCCCAGGCTTGTGTTGAACTCCTGGGCTCAAGCCATCCTCCTGCCTCAGCCTCCCAAAGGGCTGGGATTACTGTGTTTGGTGCCCTGGCCTGTGCTTTATACAAAGCACTGGCCACCGAGTGAGTTGCCTGCCTCCTTTAACCCTTACTGTGACTCTGTCAGGGAGGCCCTCTACTAGCTGCATTTCACAGATGAGGACATTGAGGCTCCCAGAGGTGCATACAAAGTCATAAGCCTTGGGTGGCAGTGCTTAAATTGCCAGCCCTGCCAATCCCTGGTGTTGTGATCACCATGCCCAGCCCCGCAGCCCACCTGGTAGCTCTCTCTCCCCATCCCAGTTCACCATTAGCTGGGAACCGTCTCCTGGCTCAACCCCAGGCCTGGGCTCAGCCATCCTCGGGGAGCAGGAGAGGAGGAGGATGTGGGCGGCCAGGCAAGGAGTCCTGGTACTTAGTGTGTGACATTTGCATAGTGCTTTGGGATGAAATTCACTATATGCCTGAATGTAAATTTCTTTCCTCTTTTTCTGAATGAGATTTAAAAAAAATTTGTCCCAAATTCTAATTTAAACTTTTAGAGATACAGATGAATAATCAACTCCCTACTTATAATATTTAGTTAAATATTTAAAATTTAGACTTTAAAAATCCCATATTTTATTTAATTTTTATTTATTTATTTTTTTGAGATGGAGTCTTGCTCTTGTCACCCAGGCTGGAGTCCAATGGCACAATCTCGGCTCACTGCAACCTCTGCCTCCCGGATTCAAGCGATTCTCCTGCCTCAGCCTCCTGAGTAGTTGGGATTACAGGCATGCGCCACCACGCCAGGCTAATTTTGTATTTTTTTTAGTAGAGACAGGGTTTCTCCATGTTGGTCAGGCTGGTCTTGAACTCCTGACCTCAGGTGATTTGCCCGCCTTGGCCTCCCAAAGTGCTGGGATTACAGGCGTGAGCCACTGCACCCAGTGTTATTTTAATTTTTTTTTTTTTTTGAGATGGAGTCTCGCTCTGTCTCCCAGGCTGGAGTGAAGTGGCACGATCTTGGCTCACTGCAACCTCTGCCTCCCGGGTTCAAATGACCCTCTCACCTCAGCCTCCAGAGTACCTGGGATTACAGGCATGCACCGCTGCACCCGGCTAATTTTTTGTATTTTTAGTAGAGACGGGGTTTCACCATGTTGGTCAGGCAGATCTCAAACTCCTGACCTCAAGTGATCTGCCCACCTCAGCCTCCCAAAGTGCTGGGATTACAGGCGTGAGCCATTGCGCCTGGTCTAAAATCTTATATTTTAAAGAATAGTTTTATTTAGAAACATTGCTTTTCCACTCTTGTGGTTTGTGAAAGTTTATGCAAACTCTTTATTCGCATTTCTGCCTCCCATGGTCATTGTCATTGTTACGTGTCATCCCCTAGTGCCTCTTTCAAGTTCCCTAGTTTTCTCAAACACATCATCTTCGCTTTTGCTTGGAAACACAGCACTTTTTTATTTTTCTATTTTTTTTGTTTTGCTAACTCCTACTTGTGTGACACAGCACTTTTTGAGCTCATTAATGATGCTGTCACTGAAAATATCACTCCAAGTCATGAGAGTGATTAGGTTGGTTGTTTTTCATCTAAATGGTAGGTGAATATTTGTCATCTCCTTAGGGTAACCACAGAATTATGTAAAATAGCAATTGGGCTGGGTGCAGTGGCTCACACCTGTAATCCCAGAACTTTGGGAGGCCAAGGCGGGCGGATCACTTGGGGTCAGGAGTTCAAGACCAGCCTGGCCAACGTGGTGAAACCATGCCTCTACCAAAAATACAAAAAATTAGTCAGGTATGCTGGCAGGCGCCTGTAGTCCCAGTTACTTCGGAGGCTGAGGGGAGAATCGCTTGAACCTGGAGGTGGAGGTTGCAGTGAGCCGAGATCACACCACTGCACACCAGCCTGGGAAACAGAGTAAGACTCTGTCTCTAACATAAAATAAAATAAAACAGCAATCGCCTGTTCCTTCCTCATTTCCTCTCCCTGCTTAATTCTTCTCCACAGTACTTCTTACCATCTGATACGCTTGTTAATTTGTTTATGGTCTATGTCCCCTCCCTGGAATGTGAGCTCCATGAGCTCAAGGAGCTTTGTCTGTCTTGATTTACGTCTGCCACTTGGAAACATACTTTGAACACAGTAGGTGCTCAGTAAATATTTGTGGGCTGAACGAATGACTGTAAAGCTCTTAGAAAGATGTGCTAGTCTGACTGGGAGCCATGGTGCACGCCTGCCATCCCAGCACTTTGGGAGGCCAAGGTAGCAGATTACCTGAGCTCAGGAGTTCGTGACCAACCTGGACAACATGGTGAAACGTTGTCTCTACTAAAAATACAAAAATTAGCTGGGCGTGGTGGTGCCCGCCTGTAATCCCAGCTACTTGGGAGGCTAAGGGGTTAGAATCGCTTGAACCTGGGAGGAGGAGGTTGCAGTGAGCTGAGATTGTGCCACTGCACTCCTGCCTGGGCAACAGAGCAAGACCCTGTCTTGAAAAAAAAAAAAAAAAAAGGAAAGGGACCTGGGCACGGTGGCTTTCACCTGTAATCCCAGCACTTTGGGAGGCGAAGGCAGGAGGATCGCTTGAGCCCAGGAGTTTGAGACCACCCTGGGCACTATAGCAAGACCCTGTCTCTACAAAAAAAAAAAAAAAAAAATTAGGTCAGGCTTGGTGGCTCATGCCTGTAATCTTAAAACACTTTTGGAGGCTGAGGTGGGCAGATCACTTGAGGTTGGGAGTTCAAGACCAGCCTGGCGAACATGGCAAAATCCCATCTCTACTAAAAATACAAAAATTAGCTAGGCGTGGTGGTGCGTGCCTGTAATCCCAGCTACTCGGGAGGCTGAGGCATGAGAATCACTTGAACCTGGAGGCAGAGGTTGCAGTGAGCTGAGATCTTGCCACTGATCTGGCCTGGGTGACAGAGTAAGATTCTGTCTCAAAAAAAAAAAGAAAAAAAAATTGGTATGGTGGCGAGTGCCTGTAGTCCCAGCTACTCAGGAGGCTGAGGTGGGAGGATGGCTGGAGTCCAGGAGATTGAGGCTGCAGTGAGCCATGATTACACCACTGCACTCCAGCCTGGGAAACAGAGTGAGACCCTGTCTTAAAAAAAAATATATATATATATATAGTCCGGGTGCGGTGGCTCACACCTGTAATCCCAGCACTTTGGGAGGCCAAGATGGGTGGATCACGAGGTCAGGAGGTCGAGACCATCCTGGCTAACAAAGTGAAACCCCATCTCTATTAAAAATACAAAAATTAGCTGGGCGTGGTGGTGGGCGCCTGTAGTCCCAGCTACTCGGGGGCTGAGGCAGGAGAATGGCGTGAACCCGGGAGGCGGATCTTGCAGTGAGCCAAGACTGTGCCACTGCACTCCAGCCTGGGCAACAGAGTGAGACTCCATCTCAAAAAAAAAAAAAGAAAAAAAAATATAGTATATGGGGTCAAGAGTTTCAGACCAGCCTGACCAACATGGTGAAACCCCATCTCTACTAAAAGTACAAAAATTAGCTGGGTGTGGTGGTGCACGCCTGTAATCCCAGCTACTCAGGAGGCTGAGGCAGGAGAATCGCTTGAACCCAGGAGATGGAGGTTGCAGTGAGCTGAGATTGCACCATTGCACTCCAGCCTGGGCAAAATAGCAAGACATCGTCGCCAAAAAAAAAAAAAAAAAAAAAGGCAAGGATGAAACTTGTGCTTTTAGACTGGAATTTAAGGTGTAAATATAAACTATTTTTCCCCAGTTTATGTAGACAGATAAAATAAACAGATGTAAATATGTATGTTTATGTGTGTGTATAAATGTGTGTCCACTGAGTGGACCCTGGTGTAGAATGACCCTAATTGCATTGAATGTGCCTACCATGGAGATCCTGGTTTCTAAATACCATTCCTCCTTACAAAGAAACCAAGTATTCTTGAAGAAATGGAGAATTCAGGGCCGGGACAGGGAGAAACAAGATAAGCCTGAAATATCTTGCTGAGCCAGAAAGAAAGGAAGTGATTAAAGAACAACGGGGCTTGTCAAAATGACAAGAGGTCAGCAAGGGGCATCCACTGATCAAATCTGGGACAATTTGAGCATCAAAATAAATGACAGGAAAAAGCCTGTCATGGTGGCTCATGACTGTAGTCCCAGTTACTTGGGATGCTGAGGAGGGAGGATCGCTTGAGCCTGGGAGGTCAAGGCTGCTGTGAGCTATGATTGTGCCACTGCACTCCAGCCTGGGTGACACAGTGAGACCCTGTCTCAAAAAAAGAAAAGAAAAAAAAAGCATGGTTTGGTCTTGCTTTGTTTTTTTTGTTTTTGTTTTTTTGTTTTTTGAGCTAGAGTCTCTCTCTGTCACCCAGGCTGGAGTGCAGTGGTGCAATCTCGGCTCACTGCAACCTCCGCCTCCTGGGTTCAAGCGATTCTCCTGCCTCGGCCTCCTGAGTAGCTGGGATTACAGGCACCTGCCATCATGCCCGACTAATTTTTTGTATTTATCTTTTTTTTTTTTTTGAGACAGTCTCACTCTCTTGCCCAGGCTGGAGTGCAGTGGTGGCGCGATCTCTGCTCACTGCAACCTCTGCCTCCCGGGTTCAAGCGATTTTCTTGCCTCAGGCACCTGAGTAGCTGGGATTACAGGCACGCGCCACCATGTCCGGCTACTTTTTTAAATTTGTAGTTGAGATGGGGTTTTACTGTGTTGGCCAGGCTGGTCTCGGACTCTTGGCCTCAAGTGATCTGCCCATCTCGGCCTCCCAAAGCGCTGGGGTTACAGGTGTGAGCCACCGCGCCAGGCCGATTTTTTGTATTTTTAGTAGAGATGGGGTTTCACTATGTTGGCCAGGCTGGTCTCGAACTCCTGACCTCGTGATCAGCCTGCCTCGGCCTTCCATAGTGTTGGGATTACAGGCGTGAACCACCGCACCCAGCCAAAAAAAGCATCTTAATGAAGTGATGGACGTTGGTACTACCATTCATGGCTCCAATGGACATTTGGCTACAGTGAGAGCATAGCATCATTTTTGTGGTATTTCTGTCCAGAATGTGTCACGGTGGTCTCATCGTCAGGAAGGAGTGGACAAACCGAAATGGAAGGACAGTCTACAAAATAACTTCCCTGTAATCTCCGAAAATATTAAGGTCGTGAAACTCAAAGGCTGCAAATTGTTCTAGATTGAGAGAGAATACAGATGTCACAACTAGGTACAGGGTTTCACAACTTACCAGTTTTTTTTTTTTTTTTTTTTGAGATGGAGTCTCGCTCTGTCACCCAGGCTGGAATGCAGTGGTGCAATCTCAGCTCACTGCAACCTCCGCTTCCTGGGTCCTGGGTTCAAGCGATTCTCCTGCCTCAGCCTACTGTGTAGCTGGGATTACAGACCCACACCATCACGCCCAGCTAATTTTTGTATTTTTAGTAGAGACGGGGTTTCACCATGTTGGCCATGGTCTTGAACTCCTGACCTCGTGATCTGCCCACTGTGGCCTCCCAAAGTGCTGGGATTACAGGTGTGAGCCACAGCGCCCGGACAGTTTTTTTTTTTTTTTCACCTTAAAGGTTAAATTTTTTGGACATTGGAGAGCTGTTTTAAATTTGTTTTTGTTGTTGTTGTTTTGAGACAGAGTCTTCCTCTGCCGCCTAGGCTGGAGTGCAGTGGCATGATCTCAGCTCACTGCAACCTCCATCTCCCGGGTTCAAGTGATTCTTCTGCCTCAGCTTCCTCAGTAGCTGGGATTGCAGGCACCCACCACCATGCCTGGCTAATTTTTTTGTATTTTTAGTAGAGACAGGTTTCACTATGTTGGCCAGGCTGGTCTGAAACTCCTGACCTCATGATTGCCCACCTCGGCCTCCCAAAAGTGCTAGGATTACAAGCATGAGTCACTGTGCCCTGCCTATTTATGTATTTTAGAGATGGGTCTTGCTATGTTGCCCAGGCTGAAGTGCAGTGGCTATTCACAGGCAAGATCCCACTACTGATCAGCAAAGGAGTTTTGACCCCTCTGTTTCTGAGCTGGGCTGGTGCACCTCTCTTTAGGCAGCTTGGTAATCCCCTGCTCCTGAGAGGTCACCAAATTGGTGGTGAACTTAGTGCAAGTATAGCTATCTGCACTACAGGCATACTGCACTACAACCCGGAACTCCTGGACTCCAGCGATCCTCCTGCCTCAGCCTCCCAAGTAGCTGGGACTACAGACACTGCACCTGGTGACATTTACTGTTTGGAGCTGGGTTGAAGACCTAATCCCTAATATGCAACTTTGCTGACAAGACCTTTGCTGAAATGGAGATTTCTTTTTACACATTTATGAATATGTTGCTGGTATACTCCGGGTACTTGTGGAGGTGGTGGTCACCTCAAGGGAGGTGGGGGGTACTGAGACCCCTGGGGGCACAGCAGACCTACCCATGCTCTTGGATCAGAACGCTGGGAATATTAGAGGTAGTATTGAAGATGTTAGGAGGGCGGGGTGCGTTGGGAGGCTGACACTGGAAGTCAGGAGTTCAAGACCAGCCTGGGCACCACAGAGAGACCTCATGTCTACAAAACATTTTAAAAACATTTGCTGGGCATGGTGGTGAATGCCTTTAGTACCAGCTACTTCGAAGACTGAGGAGGGAGGATCCATTGAGCCCAGGAGTTTGAGGCTGCAGTGAGCTATGACTGTGCCACTGCACTTCAGCCTGGGCGACACATTGAGTCTAAGAACAAAAAATGTGGGCTGGGCATGTGGGTCACACTTGTAATCCCAGCACTTTGGGAGTTCGAGGCAGGCAGATCACTTGAGGTCAGGAGTTTGAGACCAGCCTGGCCAACATGGTGAAACCCCATCTCTACTAAAAAAAATACCAAAATTACCCGGATGTGGTGGCATGCACCTGTAGTCCCAGCTACTTGGGAGGCTGAGGCAGAAGAATCGTTTGAACTAGGAGGTGGAGGTTGCAAGGAGCTGAGATCTCACTGCACTCCAGCCTGGGTGACAGAGCAAGAGTCCATCTCAAAACACACACACACACACACACAAATGTGGCTGGGCGCAGTGGCTCATGCCTGTAATCCCAGCACTTTGGGAGGCCAAGGCGGGCGGATCACAAGGTCAGGAGATCGAGACCATCCTGGCTAACGTGGCGAAACCCTGTCTCTACTAGAAATACAAAAAATTAGCCGGGCGTGGTGGCGGGCGCCTGTAGTCCCAGCTACTCGGGAGGCTGAGGCAGATGAATGGCTTTAACCTGGGAGGCAGAGCTTGCAGTGAGCCGTGATCGTGCCACTGCACTCCAGCCTGGGCGACAGAGTGAGACTCCATTTCAAAAAAAAAAAAAAAAATTGAGTTGGGTGCTGTGGCTCACGCCACCGGCTCATGCCACTGGCTACTCGGGAGGCTGAGGCAGGGGAATCGCTTGAACTCGGGAAGCAGAGGTTGCAGTGAGCCAAGACTGCACCACTGCAGCCACTGCACTCCAGCCTGGCAAGAGAGTGAGACTCCGTCTCAAAAAAATACATAAATTAAAAAAAATTAAAAATGGCCAGGCGCGGTGGCTCACGCTTGTAATCCCAGCACTTTGGGAGCCCAAGGCAGGCGGATCACGAGGTCAGGAGATCGAGGCCATCCTGGCTAACACGGTGAAACCCCGTCTCTACTGAAAGTATAAAAAATTAGCCGGGCGTGGTGGTGGGCGCCTGTAGTCCCGGCTACTCGGGAGGCTGAGGCAGGAGAATGGTGTGAATCTGGGAGGTGGAGCTTGCAGTGAGCTGAGATTGCACCACTGCACTCCAGCCTGGGGGACAGAGTGAGACTCTGTCTCAAAATATATATATATATATATATAAAATAAAATGTGAGGAGGAATTTGTTAGGGATACACTTTTTTCCTTCTGTTTTTCTGCAGAGGTAAGGTTATATTTATATGTGTGGATGATGCCATTCAAGGTACCAAGCTAACCCTTCAGGATGGGGGCTGGGGTACCTTATGCCTCTCAGCATTGGAGACATAATGCCTTCTTCCCTCCTCTCCTTACCTCTCCCTCTCTTTTTGAGACAACGTCTTGCTCTGTTACCTAGGCTGGAGTGCAGTGGTGTGATCCTATGGCTCACTGCAGCCTTGAAGTGGGCTCAATAGATCCTCCTGCCTCAGCCTCCGAGTGCTGGGATGACAGGCATGAGCCACTGTGCCCAGCTCCGCCCTTTCTTTCACAAGACGTGGGTAGAGCACCCTCTTGTGGTGAAGGGAGGAAGGGGGCTGAGTGTGCTCTGGGCCTGGCCGGAAGTTTCTAGGATGCAGCAGGCCTTCCTCCTTGGCCTGGCAGGGGTGGGGCCTGCCAGGGAGTGCCTTGCTGGGAAGGGAGGGCAAAGGGCCATGTCTTTCGCTTGCTCCACCCAGCTGCCAAGAGTCCCAGTCACCAGGCCACCCTAAGTCCCAGCCCTTGAGGGTAAGTGTTCTTCTGAACACAGCTGCCTCGTCCTTCCCTGATGACTGGGTGAGAATTCTTTGCTCCCTGGAGGTCCAAATACCCTGCCCACGCTGCTTGCATTGAGGCCAGGCAGTGGCCACACCATCCACCTCCTCTTCCTTTCCATAGGTCCATGAGACTGGGGCAGCAGCAGGGGCAGGTACAGAGCACCTCAGCCGCCTCTCCACCTGACAGCAACATCAAAGCCGAGGCCAAGGCGGGAGGGCCCAGAGTGAGACACCTCTTCCAGACAAGACTTGGTCGCTGCCTCCTCCTCTGTCACCCTGCGACACAGCCCAGAGTACCAGGCGGCTGGAGCACTGGGGGACACCCGGACAGAACCCTCCCTGGACCAAGTCCTCCAGGAACGGGATGAAGCCATTGCCAAGTAAGGGGAAGCTGCTTTTGGGGGCTGGGAGGGGAGTTGGGGGCTCCCCTGCAGGGCCTTGTCCTGCTAATGGAGGAGCGGGGGGCTAGTCAGGCATTCTGGAAGGAAAGCCACACAACCAGCTGCCCTTCACTGAGGCGGGGGCTGTGGCCATACTCGTCCACCCCCAGGACCTCACAACCAGACCCACAGGGTCCGAGCCTCAGCTACTCTCTCTGCCACCCACAGGAAGCAGGCGGTGGAGGCGGAGCTGCAGAGATGCAAAGCCAGGCTACACGCCATGGAGGCCCAGCTGCTGGAGGTCCTGGAGGAGAAACTGAGGCTGAGGCGGGAGCTGGAGGCCTGGGAGGTAGGGGAATGCCATCAGGGCCTGGGAGGTGTGGGGAAAGAGGGCACAGGCTCAGCCTTGAACCTGCTCTCCTGTCCACAGGAGGACGTGCAGCAGCTGGTGTGGCAGCAGGTCCAGAATCAGCTGCAGAGAGAGGCCAAGGGTACTCGGGGAGCCCACGTGGACCCTGGAGCTGCCAGCACCCCCCGATCCAGATTCTCCCTGGGTCGGGGACGTTGGTGGTGACACAGACCTCAGCCCAGGACTTTGGGAGTAGTGTCTTTATTCATTAAAGCCTGAGGTCTGACCACCCCTGTAAAACCTCGTGCCCACACAGTGCCTGTCTGAGTCCTTCTGTGCCCAAATGTGGAGCAGGCTGCAGAGACTTGAAGCCTGGGGTTTTGTGCCTCCTTTTTGTTTTGTTTTTTTTGAGACAGAGTCTTGCTCTGTTGCCTAGGCTGGAGTGTAGTGGTGTGATCTCGGCTCATTGCAACCTCTGCCTCCAGGGTTCAAGTGATTCTCCTGCCTCAGCCTCCAGAGTAGCTGGGATTACAGGTGTGCACCACCACGCCAGGCTAATTTTTGTATTTTTAGTAGAGACAGGGTTTCACCATGTTGGCCAGGCTGGTCTCCAACTCCTGGCCTCAAGTCATCCTCCCGCCTTAGCCTCCCAAAGTGCTGGAATTACAGGCATGAGCCACCACGCCCGGCCATCTTCTTGCCAGCAACTCTTAGACCAGGAAGCCTCGGATGGCAGCTATGAAGTCCTGTGGGCGGTCAGCGTGGATCCAGTGGCCAGCGTTCGGCACCGTCTGCATCTGGGCCCGAGGGAAGAGCCGCATAATCTCAGGGTGGTGGCTGGGACTGTGCATCGCAGCGACGGCCATCAAAAACGGGTGAAAGTGGGATGAGGAGGAGTGAAAGAGACACGTGGAAGCAGAACGGGGAGAAATGGAGAGAGCTGTGTGAGCCCATATGCCCGGTGGTATTTCTGGCCTCTCAGCCACCCCCCTTCCACACCCAAGGCCTCCCCTGGTAGGGTCCCCAGGCTGGGGCCTGGGCGAGTAAAGCATGCCCCTCCTACTACCCAGGCTAGCTTACTGCACGAACTGGGAGTTTCCACCAAGGAGAAAGAGTGTTGGCCCGAGGTAGGACTCCTGCCTCTGTGGGAAAGCCAAGATCTTGTCTAGGTGCTGGGTCAGGGCATCCAAGTTCACCCTCCACACGAAGCGCCCGTCTACCTCTACCAGGTTAGTGAGCAGGTGCTGCCGCACGGCCATGTCCTGTGGGGGTGCAGCAGTTGGGGGAGGTTCCTTGTGCGGTCTGGGGGTGCCACTCTTCCCTTGACAGGTCCTGGTCTACAATACCATCCGGGGCACCTTGGGTGTATCACCTGGATGACAGAACTGAGCTGTTCATCCGCCAGTTTTCGGGCACGGGAGCGGGGCAGCTCATCTGCGATGTTGATGGCCCTCATGGCTGCCACATAGGTTGCAAAGTGGGAGACACCTGTGCTTTCCACTGGGCTGATATCTACAGCAATGAGACGTTCCACCAGCTCTGGCTGTGGGAGAGAACCGAACTGGGACCAGTCTTAGGCAGACATAGGGAGTCTCAGGCATGGCTCCTGGAGCCTGAACTTGGTCATCCAACGATCATGTGAGTCCCAGGTTGCCTGCAGGGCCCTCAGGGTATATACTGAATGGGAGGAGGCCCCAGACATGGGCGGCTCACCCTCTGTAGTGCCAGCAGCATGGCTGTCTTTCCTCCCATGCTGTGGCCAACGACGACGCAGGGCACCAGGCCCAGCTGGGGCAGAAGGTCCTGCAGGTCCTGGCTCATGATCTCGTAGCTCATGTCTGGGCTGTGGGGGCTGTCACCGTGGTTACGAGCATCCACCGTCAGCACCTGGGGAGTGGGGTGAGACGGGGCTGCGTTGATATCCCCATTCTGGGGGTAGACAGCCAAAGGCTTGTAGGGACAGCAGGTCAAAGGTGTGGAGAGCCTGGGGATACACCCTGTGGAGGGGAAGGGCCCAGTTTCCAGACCTAGGAGGCCCAGATGAAGAACCTGGGGCCACTCTGCCAGAGAAGAGCAGGCCCCAGGGTTGTGACCACGTCTCTGAAGGGCTGGCCTGGCTGGGTGGCAATCTCGGAGAATGCCAGGAAGGAGACTCCAGGAATTTCCAACAGTAGGAGCACAGAAGAATGGGCTGCCATAAGAGGTGGTGAGCTCCCGGTCATCCCTAGTGAACAAGCAGGCCCCTTCATGGAAAGGGTGCAGGCGCCTAGGCATGGGCCAGCCCCGATGGAGATCTACAACATGAATTAATGAAGATGGCAACGTGAGGGAATAAATGGGGTTGCCGTTCAGGGTCCATACTCAGAGTGAGGGATCTGGAAGTGAGCGTGAGAAGCGGGACCCCCCCTGCCCCGCCTCCTCTCAGGCCCCGCCCACTCCCGCCCAGCCCCAAAGGAGCCCCGCCCACTCGAAAGCTCACCCTACGGCCTGTCTGCTGGGCCAAGATCTTGGCGATGGAGTTGAAGTTAGTTTTGCTGCCGAAGAGCCCGTGCAAAAAGACGACGGCCGGGAGGGCTGCCTCCCCGTCCAGAAGCCTGTAGGAAAGCGGAAGCGGCCTGGCAGGGGAAGGATCGAGGTCAGAGTCTGAGCCGGCGGAGACGGGGAAAGGGGTAGGGGGAAAGAGCTTTGGGGGAGAGGCCTGGGAGGTGACAGGCCCAAAGGGAGGAGATGGGGCCGTCGGGGCCCGGCAGGAAAAGGAGGACAGAGGATGGCCTCCCGCCCGGTGCCCTTGACTGACCTCGGCTCGGCGCCCCCTCGGCCGCCGCTGCTGCTGCTGGGTGCGACAGGCACCCTCGCGAAGCTAGGGCCGTGGGGGCCGAGTCCCTCACGCGGGAGCCTCCAGGCTCGGGTCCAGCGGAGCATGCTTGCAAGCTGTTGGCCGGCTCGCATCTCACAAGGTACGTCCTCCCCGCGCTCCTTCTCCCGCCCTAGCTCGCAGCCCCGCCCATTTCCGTCTTCAGCCGCCCCGCCCAGTTCCGACTTGAGCCCCGCCCTCTCCCCGCCCCCATCGCGGGATTCTCCGCCCTTGGTCCCGTTTCCTTACGTATCCCCGAGAACAGTCCGGCCCCGCCTCCATCCCCGCCCCTTACGCCATTACGTAATCCCCGCAGGCTTTGCGCGGGTCGCCCTGAGCGCCGCACCTGGCCTCGCCCTAGGCTGGGCAACCCGCGGTGCTTGCCCCTCCCCTCGCGAAGCGCCGCGGTGCGTAGAATCTGGGAATTCGGTCTGCGCCGCTCTGTGCGTGCTCGGTTCTGGTTGCAGCTTAGGGCTCGGTTCCCGCCCCGCACCTGCCATCGCTCACTGACCTGGGTGGCTGCCATCGTTTCTGTGCCGCCGGCGGGGGCGAGCGGCGCCAGGGTGGCTCTGGGCGGCGGAGTGCCAGTGTGGTGGCGCCGTGCTCCACTGCCGGGGGCCCGGGCAGGTTGGGCGGAGCACGGACACCCACCCATCCTGGAGTCGTCGATCTAGAAGGAGCTCGGGGGCACTCTAGAGCTCTTCCCCAAGCCCCTTCGTCCCTTTTACGTTTGGGGAAGGCTCCCCCAGTCTGATCCCACCTGCTTTTCTGCCCATACTCCCCATTCTCATACTCCCCTATCAGGCACCCTGCCTTTCAAGGTCTTCTCCACACCCCACCTCCTGCTGGGGTGCTGTCTGTCTTCCAGATAGCCAGTTGCCCGAGTCCTATACTTTTTTTTGGTGGGGGTCTTACCCTCGCCCAGGCCGGAGTGCAGTGACGCGACCGTAGCTCACTGCAGCCTCGACCTCCTGGGCTCAAGCGATCCTCCCGCCTTTGCCTCCCGAGAATCTGGGACTACAGGCGCAGACTAATTTTAACATTTTTTTTTTTTTTTTTTTTTTTACTGAATCATGGTTACAATTTTTTTTTTTAGGCCGGGTGCGGTGGCTCACGCCTGTAATCCCGGCACTTTGGGAGGCTGAGGTGGGCAGATCACCTGAGGCCAGGAGTTGGAGACCACCCTGGCCAATATGGTGGAACCCCGTCTTTACTAAAAATACAAAAATTAGCTGGGCGTGGTGGCGGGTGCCTGTAATCCCAGCTACTCGGGAGGCTAAGGCAGGAGAGTCGCTTGAACTCAGGAGGCGGAGGTTGCAATGGGCGGAAATCATGCCACTGCACACCAGCCTACCGGACGGAGACAGACTCCGTTTAAAAAAAAAAAAAATTGCCGTGGGTGGTGGCACGGCCCTGTAATCCCAGCTACTGGGGAGGCTGAGGCAGGAGAATCGTGTGAACTTGGGAGATGGAGGTTGCAGTGAGCCGAGATCTTGCCACTGCATTCCAGCCTCAGTGACAGAGCGAGACTCCATCTCAAAAAAAAAATTTTTTTTTTAAAAAATAGAAGCGGGGGCTTGCTATGTTGCCCAGGCTGGTCTCGAACTCCTGGGCTCAAAGTGCTGAGATTACAGGCATGAGCCACCACACCTGGCCCAACAAAATTTTTTTTAGAGAAGGGGTCTTGCTACCTTGCCCAAGCTGGTCTCCAGCTCCTGGCCTCAAGCGACCTTCCTGTCTCAGGTATATGGCTTTTATTTTATTTTTTCTGAGACAGGGTTTCACTGCGTCACCCAGGCTGGACTGCAGTGGCACAATCACGGCTCACTGCAACCTCTTCCCCCTGGGCCCAGGCAATCTTCCTGCCTCACCCTCCCGAGTAGCTGGGACCACAGATGTGCACCACCATGTCTGGCTAATTTTTTTCTGTTTTGTAGAGATAGAGTCTTACTATGTTCTAGGCATAGCAAGGGGACAGTTTCAGGCTGGTCTGGAACTCCCAGACTCAACTGATCCTCCTGCCTCAGCCCCCTGAGTAGCTGGAATTACAGGTGTGCTCCACCATGCCTGGCCTCAGCTATAGGCCTTTTAAGGCATTGTATAACTGCTGCCTCCTCCTCAAGCCTTCGCAGACTTTCTGAGTTAAAACTAATCTCTTTCATGGAATGTTCTGGAAGCATTTCTCAGAGGCTACTGTGTAGTATTATAGAGGCAGCCCTCCCTGTGTGTCCACAGCGGGAGCTATGTCTTGTTCATCTGGTGCAAAGTGGTAATAGTCATCAAGAGCTTCAGGGCACTGGTAAATGCTTATGTGGAAGTCCTGCGGGTGGCTGGGTTAGTGGCCCTCCCGGATATGACACCTGGGCCAGCTAGTCTTACACTGACCCCTCCCCCACCTCCTTAGGGCGGTCCAGGACCTACAGGATGAGTCCTAACTTTTTTTTTAAAAAAATAATTAATTAATTAATTATTACTATTATATTTTGAGACGGAGTTTTGCTCTTGTTGCCCAGGCTGGAGTGCAATGGTGCGATCTTGGCTCACCGCAACCTCTACCTACTGGGTTCAAGCGACTCTCCTGCCTCAGCCTCCCGAGTAGCTGGGATTACAGGCATGCGCCACTACGCCGGCTAATTTTGTATTTTTAGTAGAGACGGGGTTTCTCCACGTTGGTCAGGCTGGTTCAAACTCCCGACCTCAGGTGATCTGCCCGCCTCGGCCTCCCAAAATGCTGGGATTACAGGTGTGAGCCACTGCGCCTGGCCATTAATTTTTTTTTTTTTTTGAGACAGGGTCTGGCTCTGTCATGGAGGCTGGAACCTGGCTCACTGCAACCTCTGCCTCCCGGGTTCAAGCAGTTCTCATGCCTCAGTCTCCCGAGTAGCTGGGACTACAGGCGCGCATCACCACACCTGGCTGATTTTTTTCTGTTTTTGGCAGAGACAGGATTTCACCATGCTGGCCAAGCTGAGGATGTGTCCTAACTCTGTAAAGCTCCATCTCCTGCTTAATGGGACCCTGAGGTGTTTGGTTCCAATCTGAGGAGGGCTGAGGTCACCGAGGACTCTAAGCACACCAGGTGGTGTGATCATGTTTCCCGCATAGTAATTAGGGGAGTGATGAGGACATCTGAGCCCTGTATGGGGGCTGGTCCCAGGCCTGGGAGGGGTCCTTGGAGAGTGTTTTTCTAGAGTTGGTGGGTGTTTTTCTAGAGTTGGTGGGTGTTTTTCTAGAGTTGGTGGGTGAAGGGCGTGGGGGTTGAAGATTCAGAACAATAGTATTTCAAAGGTGCTTTTTTTTGTTTGTTTGTTTTGAGAGAGTCTCTCTGTTGCCTATGCTGGAGTATAGTGGGACAATCTCAGCTCACTGCAACCTCTACCTCCCGGGTTCAAGCGATTCTCTTTTGCAGACTCCCAAGTAGCTGGGATTACATGTATGCGCCACCATGCCCGGCTAATTTTTGTATTTTTAGTAGAGACTGAGTTTCACCGTGTTGGGCAGGCTGATCTCAAACTCCTGACCTCAGGTGATCCTCCTGCCTCGACCTCCCAAAGTGCTGGGATTACAGGCATGAGCCACTGTGCCTGGCCTCAAAGGTGCTTTCAAATTGATCCCTGCCATACACCCCACCCTCCACCAGGTAATCTCAGCCTGGCCCAAGATCCCCACATCTAGGGGCAGAAGCAGCCTTGAGATATTTACTCAGAGTCCTGGGCCCCAGCCCTGATCAGGTGGCTGATGAAGGCAAGCAGAAAAACCAGTTGGTTTGATGTTTCCACTTGAACATTCCAGAGAAAGTGGTGGGGGCAGGGGAGGGGTCGTTGCTACCTGGGAATGGATCTGGGGGTGGTGTCATCCTGGGGGCTGCCCAGCCCTCTCAGCTTGTTAGGAACAGGCCAGGAAGCGTGCTGTTGGTTGGCGAAGGCCTCCTTCTAGGGGAGGCCAGAGGGGAGGACTTCCGGAGCCCCTGACATGTGGAGGTGAAGGTGGGAGGTGAAATGGACTATCGCTCTTTGGAGGTCGAGTGTACACTGCCCCATCCGTGTTCCCAGGCTTCCTGTGAAGTGGGAGGGTGCCGTCCTTATTCTGCTGATGAGGAAAGAGAGGCTTGGACGGCGAAGTAACCCAGCTCCAGGTCACTCAGCCAGTGCACAGCCCGGATTGTTTCCTTCACTGACTCCTAACGCAGTGCTCCGTGTATTTCATCACCACCCTTCAGGCCGTGGGGACCAAGGGCCGAAGGGGTGCGGCCTGAGGCGGCCGGGACACTGCGCCTAGGTGGCGCGGTGGCATTGAATGGGTTAAGGAGGGGAGGTGGCGGGTGTCCCTTAACTGCACCTGGCCCAGTATCGGTCACGTGGCCAGGGTTTCACCTGCCCCGCTGAGCAGGGACAATCAGGCTGCTTGTTTTGTGGCCGGTCGCCATGGTGACAGCAGCTTGCCAGGGGCGGTCATGGGGCAAATTCCTGCTGGCCAGCCGGGTGGGGCAGGAGTGTCAGCTGTGCTGGCACCAGTCGGGGCTTCCCGAAAGACCCCTGGAGCTTTCCCGTGGGGCTGTCCCTGGGGGGCCCCTATGTGACTCCGCTCGAAACCTCCTCCCATCTCAACCCCCACATCAGCCCAGCTTCTCTCCTCCCAGATTTTGAACCTGAGTTGATGTATTAAGCAGCCGGGATTTTCATATACGTTATTGTGTTTAATCCTCACACAGCAACCTTTCCCATGTGGGAATGGTAATCCCTGCAGGTCTGCTGCCGGCTGCGCCTCCCCTACTACTCACCCAACACTTTGAGAACACTGGCTCCTTCCTGCCTTGCTTCAACAAGCCCAGATCCATTAGAGCCTCTCACTGCACGCCAAGCACCTTCCTAGACGCAGCCGTGAACAAAACAACAAATTAATCTCACAACAAAGGATTATGTCCGAGTATTTATTTTCTTCGGAACAGGTTAGGTTGGCCCCAGTCATCCAGAGAAGGTGGGGACGGTACAGGATCAGGCCAGGGCTCTGGTATCCAGAACATCTCCACAAGCTCTCTCTGCCACCTCCCTGCCTCACCCGCACCTGCTGCCCACCAAGCCTTCCCACGGATTGTCCACAGATTCCCACCAGCCCCACAGATTCTCCTGCTTCCAGTCATTGCTCCCTCTGCTCCCTAACCTCCAACAGGCCCTGCTGACAGTAACAGTTGTCAATTTTTTTTTTTGAGATGGAGTCTCGCTCTGTCACCCAGGCTGGAGTGCAGTGGCACGATCTTGGCTCACTGCAACCTCCACCTCCCAGGTTCAAGCGATTCTCCTGCCTTAGTCTTCAGAGTAGCTGGGATTACCGGCACGCACCACCACGCCCAGCTATTTTTGTATTTTTAGTAGAGACAGGGTTTCACCGTATTGGCCAGGCTGGTCTCGAACTCCTGACCTCAGGTGATCCACCCGCCTCGGACTCCCAAAGTGCTGGGATTACAGGCATGAGCCACTGTGCCCCACTGGTTGTCAACTATTTTTTTCTGCCTCCTGATTCTGTGGAAGACCCAGTGTCTCCCAGGAACAGTCTCATCACATGTACAGATTCTTTCTTTTTTCTTTTTTATTGAGACAGGGTCTGGCTGTTGTTGCCCAGGCTGGTCTCAAACTCCTGGGCTCAAATGATCCTCCTGCCTCGGCCTCTCTAAGTGCTGGGATTACAGATGTGATTCTTAAAGTGGCAGGGTGAGGACACCTTCCTTTTTGGAATGAATGGAGGATGGTGAGAGAGTCTGTGTATTTTGACACCCAGCAACCTCTACCCCACTTGCCTGCAGGATACAGCTCAGTCTCCTCTGTCTGCATTTTGGTGTCTTTATTTTATTTATTTATTTATTTATATATTTATTTATTTATTTTTATTATTATTTTATGAGGCAGAGTCTCGCTCTGTCCCCCAGGCTGGAGTGCAGTGGCGCGATCTCAGCTCACTGCAAGCTCCGCCTCCTGGGTTCACACCATTCTCCTGCCTCAACCTCCCGAGTAGCTGGGACTACAGGTGCTCACCACCATGCCTGGCTAATTTTTTTGTATTTTTAGTAGAGACGGGGTTTCACCATGTTAGCCAGGATGGTTTCGATCTCCTGACCTTGTGATCCGCCCGCCTCGGCCTCCCAAAGTGCTGGGATTACAGGCATAAGCCACTGCGCCTGGCTTTTATTTATTTATTTTGAGATGAAGTCTCACTCTGTTGCCCAAGCTGGAGTGCAATGGCACGATCTCGGCTCACTGCAACTTCTGCCTACTGGGTTCCAGCAATTCTCCTGCCTCAGCCTCCTGAGTAGCTGGGACTACAGGCATGAGCCACCATGCCCAGCTAATTTTTGTATTTTTAGTAGAGATGGGGTTTCACTATGTTGGCCAGCCTGGTCTCGAACTCCTGACCTCGTGATCTGCCTGCCTTGGCCTTCCAATGTGCCGGGATTACAGGAGTAAGCCACCGCGCCTGGCCCTGGTGTCTTTATTTTTTTGAGACGGAGTCTTGCTCTGTTGCCCAGGCTGGAATGCAGTGGTGCAATCTCAGCTCAATGCAATCTCTGCCTCTCAGATTCAAATGATTCTCTTGCCTCAGCCTCCTAAATAGCTGGGACCACAGGCATGCACCACCACACCCAGCTAATTTTTTTGTATTTTTAGTAGAGATGGGGTTTCACCATGTTGGCCAGGATGGTCACCATCTCTTGACCTCGTGATCCACCTGCCTCGGCCTCCCGAAGTGCTGGGATTACAGGCATGAACCACCGCCCCCCACAGGTTCTGTTTATTTTTATCCCTTAAATAGCTCTGATTCCTTTTTAAATTTTATTTATTTACTTATTTATTTATTTAGAGACAGAGTCTTACTCTGTTGTCCAGGCTGGAGTGCAGTGGTGAAATCTTGGCTCACTGCAACCTCTACCTCCTGGGTCCAAGTGATTATCTCGTGCCTCAGCCTCCCAAGTAACTGGGATTACAGGTGTGTGCCACCACACCTGGCTAATTTTAGTATTTTTAGTAGAGCTGAGGTTTCACCATGTTGGCCAGGCTGGTCTCGAACTCCTGACCTCAGGTAATCTGCCTGCCTCTGCTTCCCAAAGTGCTGGGATTACAGGCGTGAGCCACCACGCCTGGCCTAATTTTTAATTTAATTTTAATTTTATTATTACTTTTTGAGACAGGGTCTCACTCTGTTGCCCATTTTAATTTTTTTATTATTTTTTGAGACAGAGTCTCACTCTGTTGCCAAGGCTGGAGTGCAGTGGTGCAGTATTAGCCACTGCAACCTCAACTTCCTGGGCTCAGGTGATCCTTCCACCACAGTCTCCCCAGTAGCTGGGACCAGAGGCACATGCCACCTTGCCCGGCTAATTTTTGTATTTTTGGTAGAGATGGGGTTTCGCCATGTATCCTAGGCTGGTCTCAAACTCCTGGGCTCAAGCGAGCCTCTGGCCTCAGCCTCCGGAAGTGCTGGGATTACAGTCCTGAGCCACCGGGCCTGGTCAAGCTCTGATTTCTATCCAGCACCCTCCATTTCTAGGGCCTTATCTCTCCTCTGCCTTGCCACCTCCTCCTGGACTTGTCCATTTTGGCCCTTCTAGACATTTCTGTCCCTGGTCATCAGCATGATCTTTTAACAACGTAAAATATGCTTCTATGTTAATCATTTTTCTTGTTTTGTACATTTTCCTATTTTTCTGTGTTCTGGGTTCTGGGCTCATTGCCCCGGGGGATGCATACGGCTGGACCTAAGAGTGGAGAAGCTGGTTTATGTGTTTCAAAAGCTAAAGCCCTTAAGGGAAGGGAATGCTTCAGCAGAGACAGTATCTTGGCCAAGAATGGAAGGAAGGTCTGCCACCTGCTTCTTGGCAGGGTCCCCAGAGAAGAATGGCTCATGAGCCTGCCAGGCCGGCAGGACCATAAGCAGCTTGCAAAATATTCCTCTGTTTCCCAGGTTCAGAGCAGACACAGTGCAGCCTGCGGAACTGGAGGGGCTGTTGACACAGGATGATGGATGTCTTGTCATTGCTGCTAGAGGGCTGGATGCTGTACAACTCCCTGCAGGCTCCCTCCTCTCTAAGCAAATCTGGCCCTGTTGAGTATGCAGGAATTGTGGCCCAGTCTCAGGAGGACTGAGGTTAAACTTGTTTCCAGGCCGGCTGTGATGGTCACGTCTGTAATCCCAGCACTTTGGGAGGCTGAGGCAGGTGGATCACTTGAGGTCAGGAGTTCGAGACCAGCTTGCCCAACATGGTGAAACCCCGTCTCTACTAAAAATACAAAAATTAGCCAGCGTGGTGGCACCCACCTGTAATCCCAGCTACTTGGGAGGCTAAGGTAGGAGAATTGCTTGTATCTGAGACGTGGAGGTTGCAGTGAGCCGAGATTGAGTCACTGCACTCCAGCCTGGGTGACAGAGCGAGACTCCATCTCAAAAAAAAAAAAAAACTTGTTTCCAGCTGCTTCTGCAGAATAGAGCATCGAGGATGGACACTAAGGTGAATTACAGAAAATAATGTCATTGCACATTTAAGTTTGTTACTGACATTCGGTAACTGCTAGAATGCCATACATATTGGTCCACAACCAACTGACTTTCCTTTTCTTTTTCTTTTCTTTTCTTTTTTTTTTTTTTTGAGACAGAGTCTGGCTCTGTTGCCCAGGCTGGAGTGCAGTGGCAGGATCTCGGCTCACTGCAACCTCTGCCTCCTGGACTCAAGAGATCCTCCCACCTCAGCCTCCCAAGTAGCTGGACTACAGGTGCATGCCACCACACCTGGCTAATTTTGTTTGTTTGTTTGTTTGAGACCCCAGAACACAGAGCCCAGAAAAACAGGAAAATGTACAAAAAAACAAAATAGATTAAAATAGAAGCATATTTTATGTTGTTAAAAGATCATGCTGATGACCAGGGAGGGAAATGTCTGGAGGGGCCAAGATGGACAAGTCCAGGAGGAGGCAACACAGGAGTCTTGCTCTATCACCCAGGCTGGAGTGCAGTGGCACGATCTCAGCTGACTACAGCCTCCGCCTCCCGAATTCAAGCAATTCTCCTGCCTCCACCTCCCAAGTAGCTGGGATTACAGGTGTGTGCCACCACGCCCAGCCTAATTTTTGTATTTTTCTGTAGAGACGGGGTTTCACCACATAACCCGGTTGGTCTCAAACTTCTGAGCTCAAGTGATTCTCCTGCCTCAGCCTCCCAAAGTGTTTACAGGTGTGAGCCACCGAACCCAGCCTCTTTTTTTTCTTTTTCTTTTTCTTTTTTTTTTTTTTTTTTTTAAAGAGACAGGGTCTTGCATTGTCATATCCAGGCTGGAGTGTGAAGTGCATTAAAACAATCATAGCTCATTATAGCCTCCAACTTCCTGGCTCAAGTGATTCTCCTGCCTTAGCCTCCTAAGTAGCTGGGACTACGGGTGTATACCACCACACTGGCTAATTTTACGTATTTATTTATTTTAGTTTTAGAGATGGGGGTCTCACTATTTTGCCCAGTCTGGCCTTGAACTCCTGGGCTCAAACAATCTTCCCTCCTCAGCCTCTGGACTAGATGGGACTACAGGTGCACACCACCGTGATTTACATTTTTATTTATTTTCATTTTTATTTTTGAGATGGAGTTTTGCTCTTGTCACCTAGGCTGGAGTGCAATAGTGCAATTTCGGCTCACTGCAACCTCCACCTCCTAGGTTCAAGTGATTCTCCTGCCTCAGCCTCCTGAGTAGCTGGGACTACAAGTGTGAGCCACCATGCCTGGCTAATTTTTTGTATTTTTAGTAGAGATGGGGTTTCACCATGTTGGCCAGGCTGATCTCAAACTCCTGACCTCAAGTGATCTGCCCACCTTGGCCTCCCAAAGTGCTGGGATTACAGGCGTGAGCCACCGTGCCCAGCCGATTTACTTCTTTTGTTTTTTTTGAGATGGAGCCTCGCTCTGTCTCCCAGGCTGGAGTGCACTGGCGCCATCTCAGCTCACTGCAACCTCCACCTCCCGGGTTCAAGCAGTTCTCTGCCTCAGTCTCCCAAGTAGCTGG
Organism: Homo sapiens; assembly: GCF_000001405.40. Lineage (NCBI taxonomy): Eukaryota > Metazoa > Chordata > Mammalia > Primates > Hominidae > Homo > Homo sapiens. Next base: position 73,748,739 of record NC_000007.14, read on the forward strand.
GATTATAGGCTCCCGGCTAATTTTTGTATTTTTAGTAGAGATGAGGTTTCACCATCTTGGCCAGGCTGGTCTTGAACTCCTGATCTCATGTGATCTGTATGCCTCAGCCTCCCAAAGTACTGGGATTACAGGCATGAGCCACCATGCCCCGCCCGGTTTACATTTTTGTTTTTTTTTGAGGCGGAGTCTTGCTCTGTCGCCCAGGCTGGAGTGCAGTGGCACCATCTCAGCTCACTGCAAGCTCCGCCTCCCAGGTTCCCACCATTCTCCTGCCTCAGCCTCCCGAGTAGCTGGGACTACAGGTGCCCACCACCACACCCGCCTAATTTTTTGTAGTTTTAGTAGAGACGGGGTTTCACTGTGTTAGCCAGGATGGCCTCAATCTCCTGACCTCGTGATCCACCCTCCTCGGCCTCCCAAAGTGCTGGGATTACAGGCGTGACCCACCGCACCCAGCCCCGATTTACACTTTCAAAGGACTATTTGGCTGTGTAGAAGAAGGTGTGAGGCAGATTAGAGGGGAAGCAGAGGAGAAGCGGCAAAATGAGGAAGCTATTGCAGACATTCAACTGAGGCATGATGGTCACATGACTGGAAGGTGGCTGTGGAAGTAGGGAAAGAAAGATAGATTTGGGATGTATTTTGGAGTTCGAATCAACAGGATTTGATGAGGAATGGGATGGGGAGGGGGAAAGATGGTGGTGAGGGAGAGGAAGACACCAAGGACAGCTCCCAGGTTTCTGGATTGAACATGTGGGTGGCGAGTAGTTGTGCTATTTACTGAGATGGGGAAGGTGGTTTTGTTTGTTTGTTTTTTTCCACTCTATAGGGTGCAAGTAAGGAGACTCTAGAATGTCCACTTGGGACATTCTAGCAGTTACCGAATGTCAATAAAAACTTAGATGTGCAATGACATTATTTTCTGTAATTCATCTTAGCTTTCACCCCAGTGCTGTAGGGGGCCTGCCCCTCCACACCTGTGGGTATTTCTCGTCAGGTGGGACGAGAGACTGAGAAAATAAATAAGACAGAGACAAAGTAGAGAGAAAGAACAGTGGGCCCAGGGGATCAGCGCTCAGCATACGGAGGACCCGCACCGGCACTGGTCTCTGAGTTCCCTCAGTATTTATTGATTAGTATTTTCACTATCTCGGCAAGGGGAATGCAGCAGGAGAACAGGGTGATAGTGGGGAGAAGGTCAGCAGGAAAACGTGAGCAAAGGAATCTATGTCACAAATAAGTTCAAGGGAAGGTACTGTGCCTGGATGTGTACATAGGCTAGATTTATGCTTCTCTCCACCCAAACAGCTCAGTGTAGTAAAAAATTACAGCGCAGCATTGCCGCCAGCATATCTTGCCTCCAGCCACAGGGCGGTTTTCTTCTATCTCAGAATAGAACAAATGTACGATCGGGTTTTACACTGAGACATTCTGTTTCCAGGGACAAGCAAGAGACAGAGGCCTTCCTCTTATCTCAACCGCAAGAGGCCTTCCTCTTTTACTAATCCTCCTCAGCACAGACCCTTTTTTGGGTGTTGGGCTGGGGGACGGTCAGTTCTTTCCCTTCCCACGAGGCCACATCTCAGGCTGTCTCAGTGGAGGGAAACTTTGGACAATGCCCAGGCTTTCTTAGGCAGAGGTCCCTGCGGCTTTCCGCAGTGCATTGTGCCCTTGGTTAATCGAGACTGGAGAATGGCGATGACTTTTACCAAGCATACTACCTGTAAACATATTGTTAACAAGGCACAGCCTGCACAGCCCTAGATCCCTTAAACCTTGATGCCATACAGCACATGTTTCTGTGAGCACAGGGTCGGGGCTAAAGTTTACGGATTAACAGCATCTCAAGGCAAAACAATTTTCTTAGTACAGATCAAAATGGAGTTTCTTATGTCTTCCTTTTCTACATAGACACAGTAACAGTCGGATCTCTCTCTTTTCCCTATACAATGCTCTATATGTTTGAGATGCCCCTGAGATATTAGAACAGTTAACACTTATGGAATGCTTAACAAATGCCAAGCACTGTTCTTGTTACCAAAACAGCAGGGGTTCAGGCGAGGTCCTGCTGCTTGCCGCACAGAAAGCCAATCACTGAGACGATTATTGCCAAGGAAGAAGGCTTTAATTGGGTGCTGTGGCTGAGATGGGAGATTGGTCTCAAATCCATCTCCCTGATCGACTGAAGTTAGGGTCTTATATAGCAGGGAACAAATGTAACCATGTATGGGAAAACAAGAACTTGGGGGAAGGGTAAGGAAGCAATCATGATGAATGAGGGGCCTGGCATTTCATTGTCTAGATGCCATGATCTGGTGAGTTTCAGTTCTTTCATACTTTTTGAGAGGGCTGATGGTCATTTCCTAAAGAAGAAATTCAGATCAAGTAAATGTAAGTTTCAAGCTTTAAGACCAAAAGGGTTGACCCGCACCATGGCTCATGCCTGTAATCCCAGCACTTCGGGAGGCTGAGGCCAGTGGATCGCTTGAGGTCAGGAGTTTAAGACCAGCCTGGCCAACATGGTGAAACCCCATCTCTTCTAAAAATACAAAAAATTAGCTGGGCATGGTGGCGCACGCCTGTAATCCCTGCTACTCAGGAGGCTGAGGCAGGAGAATCACTTGAACCCAGGAGGTGGAGGTTGCAGTGAAGCGAGATCATGCCACTGCACTGCAGCCTGGGCCAAAAGAGTGAAACTCCATCTCAAACAAACAAACAAACAAACAAACAAGAAAACAAAGTACTAGGATTATAGGCATGAGCCAACACTGTGTCCGGCTTATCTAAGATTTTCATAGCTAGAGAGAAGTTAATGCCTGGCTTTGAAGCTTCAAAGGACAGGCTGACTCTTGTTCGGGGTAATGCAGCTGGTGACTTGAAGTTAAAACCAATGCTCCTTTGCCATTCTGAAAATCCCAGGGCCCTTAAGAATTACATTAAATCGGCCAGGTGCGGTGGCTCACACCTGTAATCCCAGCACTTTGGGAGGCTGAGGTGGGCAGATCACCTGAGGTCAGGAGTTCGAGACCAGCCTGACCAATATGATGAAACCCTGTCTCTACTAAAAATACAAAAATTAGCCAGGTGTGGTGGCATATGCCTGTAATCCCAGCTACTTGGGAGGCTGGGACAGGAGAATCGCTTGAACCCAGGAGGCAGTGCCGTGAGCCGAGATTGCGCCACTGCACTCCAGCCTGGGCAACAAGAACGAAACTCTATCTCAAAAAAAAAAAAAAAAAAAAAAAAAGAATTACATTAAATCGACTCTGCCTGTGCTCTAGAAATGGAACAACAAAGCTTAGGTGACTGCACATCTGTTTACAAGATGGTTTGCTGAATATTTGAAGCCCACTGTTGACACCTCCTGCTCAGAAAAAAGAAAAGATTCTGTTCAAAATAGTATTGCTTATTGACAATGCACCTGGTCACCCAAGAGCTCTGCTGAAGATGTACAAAGAGATTAATGTTGTTTTCATGGCTGCAAATAAAACATCCATTCTGCTGTTCATGGATCAAGGAGCAATTTAGACTTTTAAGTCTTATTATTTAAGAAATACATTTTGTGAGGCTGTAGCTGCCATAGATAGTGATTCCTCTGATGGATCTGGGCAAGGTAAATTGAAAACCTCCTGGAAAGAATTCGCCATTCTGGAAGCCATTAAGAACATTCAGGGTTCATGGGAGGAGGTGACAATATCCACATTAGCAGGAGTTTAGAAGAAGTGAATTCCACCCTCATGGATAAGTTTGAGGGATTCAAGACTTCAGTGGAGGAAGGAATTGCAGATGTGGTGGAAATAACAAAAGAACTAGGATTAGAAGCCAAGCGTGAAGATGGGACTGAATTGCTACAATCTCATGATCAAACTTGAAAAGATGATGAGTTGCTTCTTTGTTACGTCTTGGTGTTTTTTGAGACAGAGTCTCGCTCTGTTGCCCAGGCTGGAGTGCAGTGGTGTGATCTTGACTCACTGTAACCTCCGCCTCGTGGGTTCAAGAGATCCTCATGCCTCAGCCTCCTGAGTAGCTGGGATCACAGCTGTGCACCACCACACCCTGCTACTTTTTGTATTTTTTTTTTTTTTTTTAGAGAGGGGCTTCGCCTTATTGGCTAGCCTGGTCTTGAACTCCTGGTCTCAAGTGATCTGCCTGCCTTGGCCTCCCAAAGTGTTGGGATTACAGGCATGAGCCACTGTGCCTGGCAAGGGGTTGCTTCTTATGATGAGCAAAGAAAGCGGTTTCTTTTTTTTTTTTTTTGGAGACGGAGTCTTGCTCTGTCACCCAGGCTGGAGTGCAATGGTGCCGTCTGGGCTCACTGCAATCTCTGTCTCCTGGGTTCAAGCGATTCTCCTGCCTCAGCCTCCCAAGTAGCTGGGACTACAGGCACGTGCCAGCATGCCCAGCTAATTTTTGTATTTTTAGTAGAGACAGGGTTTCACCATGTTGGCCAGGCTGGTCTCAAACTCCTGACCTCAAGTGATCCACCTGCCTCAGCCTCCCAAATTGCTGGCATTACAGGCGTGAGCCACCGCGCCCAGCCAGAAAGTGGTTTCTTGAGATGGAAACTACTCCTGGTGAAGATTGTGTGAACACTGTTGAAATGACAACAAAGGATTTATAATATCCTATAAACTTGGTTGATCAGCCATCTAAGTTTTATAGTTTTAGATCTTATATTTAGGTCTTTGATCCATTTTGAGTAAATTTTTTTATATGGTGTTAAGGAACCAACTTCATTTTTTTGCATGCAAATATCCAGTTTTCCCAGCATTATCTGTGAAAAGATTGCCCATTCCTCACTGAGTGGTTTTGGTATCCTTATTGAAAATTATTTGACTTCATATATGAGTGTTTATTTCTGAGCTTTTTATTCTATTCCATTGGTCTATATGTCTGTCTTCATGCCAGTACCACTGTTTTGATTACTGTAGCTTTGTAGTAAGTTTTGAAAGCAGAAAGTATGAGTCCTCCAACTTTGTTCTTTTTTTTTCTGAGACAGAGTCTCACTCTGTCACCCAGGTTGGAGTGCAGTGGTGCAATCTCAGCTCACTGCAACCGCCACCTCCCAAGTTCAAACAATTCTTGTTCCTCAGCCTTCTGAGTAGCTGGGATTACAGGCTCGCACCACCATGCCTGGCTAATTTTTGTATTTTTAGTAGAGACGGTGTTTCACCATGTTGGCCAGGCTGGTCTTGAGCTCCTGACCTCAGGTGATCCGCCTGCCTCGACCTCCCAAAGTGCCGGGATTACAGGCATGAGCCACCGCGCCTGGCCTCTTACTGTTTCTGGATATGAATTTCCTGCTTCAATCAGGTCAGCCTCTGCTCACTCTTGTGCATATCATTTTTCTGCCTTGTGCATATCATTTTTCTCCTTGCTGTTGCCCATCAGTGAATCCTGCTTGGGAAGGCTTCCCCTCTTAGCTCTGCCCATCTCAAACTTACTTATTTAAGACTCAGAAGCATACTTATAGGTTGGGCATGGTGGCTCACGCTTGTAATTCCAGCATTTTGGGAGGGTGAGGTGGGCGGATCACTTGAGCCCAGGAGTTCCAGACCAGCCTGGGCAATATGACAAAACCCTGTCTCTATTTAAAAAAAGAAATTTAGGCCGGGCGCAGTGGTTCATGCCTATAATCCGAGCACTTTGGGAGGCCGAGGTGGGCGGATCACAAGGTCAGGAGATCGAGACCATCCTGGCTAACATGGTGAAACCCCGTCTCTGCTAAAAATACAACAACAACAAAAAATTAGCCGGGTGTGGTGGCAGGCACCTGTAGTCCCAGATACTTGGGAGGCTGAGGCAGGAGGATAGCATGAACCCGGGAGGCAGAGCTTGCAGTGAGCTGAGATGGCGCCACTGCACTCCAGCCTGGGCAACCAAGCGAGACTCCATCTCAAAAAAAAAAAAAAAAAAAAAAAAAAAAGAAATGTAATTAAAAAACAACAACAACAACAACCAGCCCTGCAGCACTATTCACAATAGCAAAGGCATGGAATCAACCTAAATGCCCATCAGTGATAGACTGGATAAAGAAAATGTGGTACATATACACCATGGAGTACTATGCAGCTATAAAAAAGAATGAGAACGTGTCTTTTTCAGGAACATGGATGGAGCTTGAGGCTGTTATCCTTAGCAAACTAACACAGGAGCAGAAAACCAAATAGCGTATGTTCCTGCTTATAAGTGGGAGCTAAATGATAAGAACTTATGAACACAAAGAGGGAAACAACAGACACTGGTGTCTACTTGAGGGTGAGGGTGGGAGGAGGGAGAGGAGCAGAAAAGATCACTATTGGGTACTGGGCTTACTTGGGTGACAAAATAATCTGTTCAACAAACTCCTGTGACACGTGTTTACCTATGTAAGAAACCTTCATATGTATCCCCAAACCTAAAATAAAAGTTAATTAAAAAACCCAACCAAACCAAAAACCGGCCAGGCGTGGTGGCTCACGGCTGTAATCCCCACACTTTGGGAGGCCAAGGTGGGCAGATCACTTGAGGTTAGGAGTTTGAGAGCAGATGGGCCAACATGATGATACACCATCTCTACTAAAAATACAAAAAGTTTGGCTGGGGATGGTGGCTCACGCCTCTAACCCCAGCACTTTGGGAGGCCAAGCCAGGAGGATCACCTGAGGTCAGGAGTTCGAGACTGGCCTGGCCAACATGGCAAAACACTGTCTCTACTAAAATTACAAAAATTAGGCGTGCTGGTGGGTGCCTGTAATCATAGCTACTTGGGAGGCTGAGGCAGCAGAATTGCTTGAATCCGGTAGGTGGAGGTTGCAGTGAACCGAGATCGTGCCATTGTACTCCAGCCTGGGCGACAAGAGGTAAACTCTGTCTCAGAAAAACCCCCAAAGTTAGCTGGGCATGGGGGTGGGTGCCTGTAATCCCAGCTACTTGAGAGGCTGAAGCGGGAGAATTCCTTAAACCCGGGAGGCGGAGGTTACAGTGAGCTGAGATCGCACCACTGCATCCTAGCCTGGGCCAGAGAGCGAGACCCCGTCTCAAAGAAAACAATAACAACAACAAAAAACTAAAAAACCAAAACCAAAACAAAAAAACCCTACTTATTCAAGGCTGTCTATGAAGTCTTTTTAGACTGTTATACCCCTCTATGACCTTTGAACTCTTCTGGACCCAATCTGCTATTCCTTGATTGCACATAAGACATAATTAATTTATTTTCCAAACTGCATGATGGGCGCGGGCCTTGTCTTCCCTTTACAGAGCATCAGCTCTGAGCAGGGCATTCTGCTAGGCTCAGGGCATACTGAGGATGACAAGATGCTTAGGGGTTGCTCCCTGACAGAGCATGGTCTGGGGGTAGAGGAAAGATAAGCTAAGAGGTGATTCTGGACCAGTGTAACAAATAGCATCGAATGGTCATGGTTGCGGGATGCACAGGAGTCAGGGAACCGTTCTCAACTGAGATGTGAAATGACCTCTTTTTTTTTTTTTTTTCTTTTTTGAGATCGAGTCTCACTTTGTCACCCAGGCAGTGCAGTAGTGCAATCTCGGCTCACTGCAACCTCCGCCTCCCGGGTTCAAGCAGTTCTCCTCCTCAGCCTCCCGAGTAGCTGGGATTACAGGCGCCCGCCACCACGCCTGGCTAATTTTTTTGTATTTTTAGTAGAGATGGGGTTTTACCATGTTGGCCAGGCTGGTCTCGAACTCCTGGCCTCAAGTGATCCACCTGCTTTGGCCTTCCAAAGTGCAGGGATTACAGGCGTGAGCCACTGTACCCGGCTGAATGATTTCTCTCTTTCTTTTTTTTTTTTTTCCCTGAGCAATCTTGCTCTCTTGCCCGGGTACAGAGCAGTGGCACGATTATAGCTCACTGCAGTCTTGACCTTATATGCTCAAGTGATCCTCTCACTTCAGCCTCCCAAATAGCTAGGACTATAGGCATGTGCCACCATGCCTGGTTAATTTTTAACATTTTTTGTAGAGATGGGGGTCTTGCTATGTTGCCCTGGCTGGTCTCAAGTGATCAACTTCTGGGCTCAAAGTGATCCTCCCACCTTGGCCCCCCAAAGCGCTTGTATTACAGGCATGAACCACCAGGCCTAGGCTATAAAGTGATCTCTAAGCTTGGCAAGTAGAGTGGGGTAAGATTGGATAAACTGCCAAGAAGAGAGAACTTGTGGCCAGGCATGATGGCTCATGCCTGTAATCCCAGCACTTTGGGAGGCCGAGGCGGGAGGATCACCTGAGGTCAGGAGTTTGAGACCAGCCTGGCCAATATGGTGAAACCCCACTTCTACTAAAAATACAAAATTTAGCCAGATGCAGTGGCACGTGCCTATAATCCCAGCTACTCAGGAGGCTGAGGCTGGAGAATTGCTTGAACCCAGGAGTGAGCTGAGATTGTGCCACTGCACTCCAGCCTAGGTGACAGAGCAAGACTCTGTCTCAAAAAAAAGAAGAGAGGGCCGGGCATGGTGGCTTACACCTGTAATCCCAGCACTTTGGGAGGCTGAGACGGGCGGATCATCTGAGGTCAGGAGTTCGAGACCAGCCTGGCCAACATGCTGAAACCCCTGTCTCTACTAAAAAAATACAAAAATTAGCCGGGCGTGGTGGCATGTGCCTGTAATCCCAGCTACTCAGGACGCTGAGGCTGGAAAATCACTTGAACCCAAGAGGCAGAGGTTGCAGTGGGCTGAGAACGTGCCACTGTACTCCAGCCTGGGCAACAGAGCAAAACTCTTTTCTCTAGAGACGAAGAAGAGAGAACTTGTGCTGAAGCCTATGGTCCAGAGAGTGCAGGGAGAGTGCAGGGTTTTTGAGGAGAGAAAGGATGTCGAGTGGGGTTGAGCTTGGTGGCTGGGATGTGGAAGGGCAGTTTGGGGAGCACAGGTGGAAACAGAGAGGCGAGCATGGCCTGTGCTCACAGGGGCTCCTAAGGCATGGCATGAAGTCTGAGTGGGATCTGGAGGGCCATCTGGGGGTAGAGGGCCTGAAGGATTTTAAGTAGGGGAATGACATGGTCAGACTCAGGATTGCACTGCGACTAATGGCTTGGAAAGGGGCATAGCTAGGTTGGGAGTGTAGGGAGGGAGCCTGGGGACCAGAAACCCTCTCCAGGCTGTTACAGAAAGAGGGTGGTGTCCTGGCTGAAGTTGCGGCGGTGCGAGTGGAGAATAGAGGTCGATGCATCCAGACATAAAGAGAAGGTTGACAGTTTAGGGACTGGTTATTTTATTTTATTTTTTTTTGAGACTGAGTCTTGCTCCGTCGCCCAGGCTGGAGTGCAGTGGCGTTATCTTGGCTCACTGCAATCTCTGCCTCCTGGTTTCAAGCGATTCTCCTGCCTCAGCCTCCCAAGTAGCTGGAATTATAGGCGTGTGCCACCACGCCCAGCTAATTTTTGTATTTTTAGTAGAGACAGGGTTTCACTATGTTGGTCAGGCTGGTCTCGAACTCCCGACCTCAGGTGATCCACCCGCGTCGGCCTCCCAAAGTGCTGGGATTACAGGGTGAGCCACCGCGCCTGGCACCACCTTTTTTTTTTTTTTTTTAAATTTTGGAGACAGAGTCTCGCTCTGTCGCCCAAGCTGGAGTTCAATGGCGTGATCACGGCTTACTGCAGCCTCGACCTCCTGGGCTCAAACAATCCTCCCACCTCAGCCTCCTGAGTAGCTGGGACTACAGGCATGCACCAACACATCTGGCTAATTTTTGCATTTTTTATAGAGACAGGGTGTTGCTTTGTTGCCCGGGCTGGTCTTGAACTCCTGGCCTCAAGTGATCCTCCCATCTCTGCTTCCCAAAGTGCCAGGATTGCAAGCGTGAGCCACTGCACCTGGCCAATACCCCTTCTTTTATAGTTATGAGCTAGAGGCAGCAAGTGACTTGGTCAAGGTCCCACAGTGGGCACCTGACACCCATGCTCTTGCTCTCTCCTGGCTCTGCAGAGCATTCTTGTCTCAGCATGGGTGACCTTTCGGGCAATCCTGGTATGGGAGGGGGAAGGAAGGTACTATCTGTTCTTCCAGGCCAGCCACAGACCTTGAGGGAGCCACAATAAACGCTGTGTTTGTTTGATAAAGCAGTTGGCTTTTGGTCTGGCAGGAGGAAGAGCTGGAACAGGTGTGGCAAGAGCGGGCAGCCTGCAGCACCTCTGTGGGAGATGGGTGAGACAGCCCCAGGGCCTGGCAGGGGGCTCCAGGGCTGTGAGTTTTGAAGAAACCTAGGGACTTTCTCAGCCATCTCTCTCATGTGGCACCACCCCAGGGCCTGGCAGGGGGCTTTGTGGGTGTGGAGTTTGAAGAAACCTAGGGACTTTCTCACAACCTAGCCATCCCCCACGCGTGGCCACCTCTCTCATGTGGCACCACCCCAGGGCCTGGCAGCGCGCTCCAGGGCTGTGGAGTTTGAAAATCCCAGGGACAGCCAGGCACGGTGGCTCACGCCTGTAATCCCAGCACTTTGGAAGGCCGAGGTGGGCAGATCACCTGAGGTCAGGAGTTCAAGACCATCCTGGCAAACATGATGAAACCCTGTCCCTACTAAAAATACAAAAATTAGCTGGGTGCAGTGGCAGGCACCTGTAATCCCAGCTACTTGGGGGGCTGAGGCAGGAGAATCGCTTGAACCCGGGAGGCGGAGGTTGCAGTGAGTGGAGATTGCGCCATTGCACTCCAGTCTGGGTGACAGAACGAGATTCTATCTCAAAAAAAGAAAAAAAAGGCCGGGCGCAGTGGCTCACGCCTGTAATCCCAGCACTTTGGGAGGCCAAGGTGGGCGGATCACGAGGTCAGGAGATCGAGACCATCCTGGCTAACATGGTGACACCCCGTCTCTACTAAAAAAATACAAACAATTAGCCAGGCGTGGTGGTGGGCGCCTGTAGAACCAGCTACTCGGGAGGCTGAGGCAGGAGAATGGTGTGAACCTGGGAGGCAGAGCTTGCAGTGAGCTGAGATCGCGTCACTGCACTCCAGCCTGGGCGACAGAGCAAGACTCCGTCTAAAAAATAAATAAAAACAAAAACAAAAACAAAACAGAAAATCCCAGGGACTTTCTCACCATCCACCCAACACTCTCATGTTCCCAGGCCCCTGCCTGACGGAATACACCAAAATTTTTTTTTTTTTCTGAGATGGAGTCTCACTCCCTCGTCCAGGGTGGAGTGCAGTGGTGTGATCTCGGCTCACTGCAACCTCCGCCTTCTGGGTTCAAGAAATTCTCCTGCCTCAGTCTCCCAAGTAGCTGAGATTATAGTTGTAAGCCACTGCACCTGGCTGTGAGCCACCACGCCCAGCCCAAAATCTTAACAATACAAACTCACATTAATTGAACTCCTACTGTATACATAGCACTATGCCATGTGCTTTTCGTGCAGACAGGCATGCCTTCATTCCACAGATATTTCTGACCAGCCTCCTTGTGCCAGCCCTCTCTGGGTGCTACAGACAGAGAGAAACAGCTCAAGACACTGTCCGTGACCTTGGGAGATGACTTTCTGGTAGAGAAGTCTAACAAGAAACAAAACAACAATTGGCCAGGCTTGGTCACTCACACCTGTAATCCCAGCATTTTGGGAGGCTGAGGCAGGCAGATCACTTGAGGCCAGGAGTTCGAGACCAGCCTGGCCAACATAGCGAAATCCCATCTCTACTAAAAATACAAATTATTATCTGGGCACGGTGGCTGACACCTGTAATCCCAGCTGCTTGGGAGGCTAAGGCAGGAGAATCGCTTGAACCTGGGAGGTGGAGGTTGCAGAGTGAGACTCTGTCCCAAAAAAAGAAAAGAAAAGAAAGGGCCAAGCGCAGTGGCTCACGCCTATAATCCCAGCACTTTGGGAGGCTGAGGTGGGCGGATCACAAGGTCAGGAGTTTGAGACCAGCCTGGCCAATATGGTGAAACCCCGTCTCTACTAAAAATACAAAAATTAGCCAGGCGTGGTGGCACGTACCTGTAGTCCCAGCTACTCAGGAGGCTGAGGCAGAAGAATCGCTTGAACCCTGGCGCTGGAGGTTGCAGTGAGCTGAGATCGAGCCACTGTACTCCAGCCTGGGCGACAGAGCGAGACTCTGTCTAAAAAACAAAAAAGAAACAAAACAATATACAGGGACATAGTAGGTGCTGTGACAAGGTGACAATAGGCTACATGGGAACCCAAAGGATGGCCCAGTTAAGCCTCAACACAGCCCAGTGTTATTATCATACCCATTTTGTAGATGAGGAAACTGAGGTTCAAAGGAGTAAACTCCACTGTTTACCTGGTCAGTTTGGTTTTGGCCAATTTTCCTCTGCAGGGAGTAAGGATAAAGATGGGGATGGAAAAGACAAGTTAGAGGGGCTCTCATGGATCAGCCAGTTTCAGCCTCTTTGTTGAAATGATGGGGAAACTGCTGGGTGTGGTGGCTCATGCCTGTAATCCCAGCACTTTGGGAGGCAGAGGCGGGAGGATCACTTGAGGCCAGGAGTTTAAGACCAGCCTGGGCAACATAGCGAGACCTCATCTCTATTGAAAAAAAAAAAAATTAGCCGGGTGTGGTGGCACCCGCCTGTGGTCCCAGCCAGTTGGAAGGCTAAGGTGAGAGGATCGCCAGAGCCCAGGAGGTAGAGGCTGTAGTGAGCCATAATCATGTCATTGTGCTCCAGCCTGGGCAATGGAGTGAGACCCTGTCTCAAAAACAACAGCGACAACAACAAAAAAGAAATGATGGGAGGTTGGGTGCGGTGGCTCACACCTGTAATCCCAGCACTTTGGGAGGCTGAGGTGGGAGGATCACTTGAGGTCAGGAGTTTGAGACCAGCCTGGCCAACATGGTGAAACTCCATCTCTACTAAAAATACAAAAAATTAGCCAGGTGTGGTGGTACATGCCTGTAATTCCAGCTACTTGGGAGGCTGAGGCACGAGAATTGCTTGGACCTGGGAGACGGAGGTTGCAGTGAGCCGAGATCGCGCCATAGCACTCCAGCCTGAGCAACAGAGTGAGATTCTGTCTCAAAAAAAAAAAAAAAAAAAAGATGGGGAAACAGACCTGGAAGGGGAAGGGATTTTCTTGGAGCCACACAGGAAAGCAGTGGCCAGGCTGCACCTAGAGTGATCAGGTTTTCTGACTCCCGCCTGGGGTGTGTTTCCTGATGCCAAATGCCTTTCTCTTCTCTGGCTGTTGGAAGATTTCCTGGAACCCTTTACCTGGGACCCTGCTCAGCTGTGGTCTCTGTGTTACCAGCTCCGCCACCTCCGCTTAGGCCTTAGACTCCAGAAAGGATAAAAAAAAGAAGTTAGGATGGACCTGAAGCCAGACACAGATGTGTGTGCACATGGGGGAAGCTGTAGGATGGAGTAGGATACCTCCCTTCCCCCATCCCTCCCCCAGGAGGCCCCAGGGGTGCCCAGGTGTTGGGAGAGACAAGGGGAGACTCTGAAGCCTGGGAGCCCTGCCATTGGGGATTGGATCTGTCTCCCTTCTCTGCCACATCCCCCTGGCTTGGGGTTGCTGGGGTGGGCTAAGGAGGCAGGCGAGACCTGGGCCTCACAGTGTAGCCAGGAGGGATGGCGTCCAGGCTGCTCTCTTGAAGCTGCTGGTAAATGAATAACCCTGCCCCTGCCTCCATGGCTCCCCGGCTCTCCTGGCCAGGGACTGCTGGGGGTGGAGGCAGATGCAACCCCTTGGTCCTCTGCCCATGCCTGCAAATCCCATCCCAGACAGACCCAGAGAAACCTCCTCTCGGTTCCCTCCATCTCCTTTCCCTAAGCCCCTTCATTGTCTAAGGCGACCTCCTTCTCCCATCCTTTCCTCTCACTAAGCCCGGCCCCTTCACTGAGCCCCCTCCAATCTCTAAGCCCCCTTCCCTCTTGGAGCCCTTCCCCTTGCTGAGCCCCACCCCTTTTCCAGTCCCATCCTTTCATCCTCATCCCCTCCCTCCCTCTCTTTCTTTCCCTCTCTTTCCCTCCCTTCTACCCTCCCTCCCTCTATCTCTTCCTCTTCCTCCCTCCCTCTTTCCCTCCCTTTCTTTCTTTCCTTTCCTTCCTTCCTTTTTTTTCTTTTTTCTTTGTCTTTCCTCCCTTTCTTTCTTTCCCCTTCTTTCGTTCTTTCTCTTTCTCTTTCTTCCTTTCCTCTTTCTCTCTCTTTTCCTCCTTCCCTTTCTCCTTTCCTTTCTCCCTTCCTCTCTTTCTCTTCTTTCTTTCTCTTTCTCTCCCTCCCCCATCTTTCTTTTTCTCTCTTTCTTTTCCTTTCCTTCCTCTCTCTCTCACTTTCACTCTCTTCTCTCTTGCCCCCCCCTTCTCTCTCCTCTCTCTCTCCCATCCTTCTCTCTTTCTCCTTTTTCTTTTTGAGATGGAATTTTGCTCTTGTTGCCAGGCTGGAGTGCAATGGCTTGGTCTCGGCTCACTGCAACCTCTGCCTCCCAGATTCAAGCAATTCTCCTGCCTCAGCCTCCCGAGTAGCTGGGATTACAGATGCCCGCCACCACACCTGGCTGATTTTTGTATTTTTAGTAGGACGAGGTTTCACCATGTTGGCCAGGCTGGTCTCGAACTCCTGACCTCAGGTGATCCGCCCGCCTCGGCCTCCCAAAGTGCTGGGATTACATGTGTGAGCCACCGTACCCGGCTGTCCCCTCCCTTCCCCTCCCCTCTCCTTTCCTTTTTTTGTCTTGCTGTGCCGCCCGCCTCGGCCTCCCAAAGTGCTGGGATTATAGGTGTGAGCCACCATACGCTTGACCTTTTTTTTTTTTTTTTTTTTGAGCCAGAGTTTCTCTCTTGTCGCCCAGGCTGGAGTGCAGTGGTTCGATCTTGGCTCATTCAACCTCTCCCTCCTGGGTTCAAACGATTCTCTTGCCTCAGCCTCTGGAGTAGCTGAGATTATAGGTGCCAGCCACCACACCTGGCTAAATTTTTTTTTTTTTTTGAGACGGAGTCTCGTTCTGTCGCCCAGGCTGGAGTGCAGTGGTGCGATCTCGGCTCATTACAAGCTCTGCCTCCCGGGTTCACGCCATTCTCCTGCCTCAACCTCCCGAGTAGCTGGGACTACAGGCACCCGCCACCACACCCAGCTAATTTTTTGTATTTTTAGTAGAGACGGGGTTTCACCGCGTTAGCTAGGATGGTCTCGATCTCCTGACCTCGTGATCTGCCTGCCTCCCCCTCCCAAAGTGCTGGGATTACAAGCGTGAGCCACCGTGCCCAGCCAATTTTTTGTATTTTTAGTAGAGACAGCGTTTCACCATGTTGGCCAGGCTGGTCTCGAACTCCTGACCTCAGGTGATCCACCTGCATTGGCATCTCAAAGCGTTGGGATTACATGCATGAGCCACTGCACCCAGCCTTCCTTGCTATTAATAGTAACCCACTTTCTCTTCCTTGGGTCATTAGGGGTGACTATACGTTGGTGTTTCTTAACTGGAAGGGAATTTTTCTGGAGTTAACTGGAACGTTCTACCATGAAATCTAGGCTGTGCATGGTGGCTTATGCCTGTTATCCCAGTACTTTCAGAGGCCGAAGCTGGAGGATCCCTTGAGCCCAGGGATTTGAAAGGGGCCTGGGCGACATGGTGAGACCCCGTTTCTACAAAAAATACAAAAAATTAGCCAGATGTGGTGGCTCATGCCTGTAATCCCAGCACTTTGGGAGGCCGAGGCGGGTGGATGACCTGAGGTCAGGAGTTCGAGACCAGCCTGGCCAACATGGTGAAACCCCGTCTCTCCTAAAAATACAAAAATATTAGCCAGGCATGGTGGTGGGCACCTGTAATCCTAGCTACTTGGGAGGCTGAGGCAGGAGAATTGCTTGAACCCGGGAGGTGGAGGTTGCAGTGAGCCAAGATCCCGACATTGTACTCCAGCCTGGGTGACAAGAGCAAGATCGTCTCATTAAAAAAAAAAAAAAAAAAAATTAGCTGGACATGGTGGTGTGTGCCTGTAGTCCCAGCTAGCTGCCACAGGGATCTTTTGCCCTTTTTGCTTTAGCTTTGCTGCAGCCAAAAACATTTTTTTGTATTTTTTTAAATTATTTGTTTATTTATTTATTTATTTATTTTTTTGAGGCAGGGTTTTGCTCTGTCACCCAGGCTGGATGGAGTGCAGTGGCGTGATCATGTCTCACTGCAGCCTTGACCTCTCTAGGCTGAGGTGATCCTCCAACGTCAGCCTCCAGAGTAGCTGAAACTGTAGGCATATGCCACCACACTCGGCTGATTTTTTTTTTCTTTTTTTTTTTGAGATGGAGTCTCACTGTCTCCCAAGCTGGAGTGCAGTGGTGCGATCTCGGCTCACTGCAACCTCCGCATCCCGGGTTCTAGCGATTCTCCTGCGTCAGCCTCCCGATTAGTTGGGATTGCAGGTGCCTGCCACCACGCCCAGCTAATTTTTGTATGCTTTGTAGAGATGGGGTTTTGCTATGTTGCCCAGGCTGTGTTTGTGTTTGTGTTTTTAGAGACAGCCTGTCACTCAGGCTGGAGTGCAGTGGTGAAATCATAGCTTGCTGTAGCCTCGAACTCCTTGGCTCAAGTGATCCTCCCATCTCAGCCTCCCGTGTAACTGGGACTACAGGCATGCACCACCATGCCTGGCTAACTTTTAAATTTTTTTGTAGAGATGGGGTCCTTGCTATATTGTCCAGGCTGGTCTCAATCTCCTGGCCTCAAATGATCCTCCCACCTTGGCCTCCCAAGGTGCTAGGATTACAGACATGAGCCATCATGCCCAGTATCCAAAACATTTGAGATACAATAATTTAGAAAAAAAAAAGGCCAGCTGGGTATGGTGGCTCACGCCTGTAATCCCAGCACTTTGGGAGGCTGAGGCAGGCGGATCACCTGAGGTCGGGAGTTTGAGACCAACCTGACCAACATGGAGAAACCCTGTCTCTACTAAAAATACAAAATTAGTCAGGCATGGTGGCATATGCCCGTAATTCCAGCTACTTGGGAGGCTGAGGCAGGAGAATCGCTTGAACCTGGGAGGCGGAGGTTGCGGTGAGCCGAGATTTCGCCATTGCACTCCAGCCTGCACTCTGTCTCAAAAAAAAAAAAAAAAAAAAAAAATTGGGCCAGGCGCAGTGGCTCACGCCTGTACTATAATCCCAGCACTTTGGGAGCCCAGGCAGGCAGATCACCTGAGATCAGGAGTTTGATGCCAGCCTGGCCAATGTGGTGAAATCCCGTCTCTACTACTAATACAAAAAATGAGCCAGGTGTGGTGGCACACACCTATAACCCCAGCTACTTGGGAGGCTGAGGCAGGAGAATTGCTTGAACCCAGGAGGTGGAGGTTGCAGTGAGCCCAGATCACGCCACTGCACTCCAGCCTGGGTGATGGAGTGAGACTCTGTCTAAAAAAAAAAAAAATTTCAAGTCTCCCCAGTGCCCAAATACATGTGCAACCCTCGTTTCCCTTCAAGTTGCTGGCTCGACCTACAAGTCCCTTTCTTTTCTTTTTTTTTGAGACAGAGTCTCGCTCTGCTGCCCAGGCTGGAGTGCAGCGGTGAGATGTCAGCTCACTGCAACCAGTTCATCATGTTGGCAGGGCTGGTCTTGAACTCCTGACATCAGGTGATCCTCCCGTCTTGGCCTCCCAAAGTGCAGGGATTACAAGCGTGAGCCACTGCCCCCAGCCACAATACCCCCCTACTTTTTTTTTTTTTTTTTTTTTTTTTTAAGACAGAGTCTGTCTCTGTCACCTAGGCTAGAGTGCAGTGGTGCGATCTCGGCTTGCTGCAACCTCTGCCTCCTGGGTTCAAGCAATTCTCCTGTCTCAGCCTCCCAAGTAGCTGGGATTACAGGCGTGTGCCACCACACCCGGCTAATTTTTAATATTTTTGGTAGAGATGGGGTTTCACCATGTTGACCAGGCTGGTCTCGAACTCCTGACCTCAAGTGATCCTCCCAAAGTACTGGGACTACAGTGCCCACCACCATGCCTGGCTAATTTTTGTATTTTTAGTAGAGTTGGGGTTTCACCATGTTGGCCAGGCTTGTCTTGAACTCCTGGGCTCAAGCTATCCCCCTCACCCCAACCCCTGCCACGCCTCGGCCTCCCAAAGTGCTGGGGTTACAAGCGTGAGCCACTGCTCCCAGCCACAATTCCCTTTCTATGCAAATCTCTTGCACGCATTGTCTACGGCTCCTGGTTTCAACTCTCGCCTCCCACTCCCTTTTCCATCTAGTGTTTCCGTTTCCACACCTCTTGCTAAGGCCACCAATGACCACCTGGCTACTGTGAATTCCGTGGCTATTCCTCAGGTCTCATCTTGCCTGACCACTCCTGCAACCTCAGACACTGTTGCCCACACCCACCTCCTTGAAACTCTTTTTGTTCTGTGAGTTTCTAGACTGACTTCTTCCCCGACCCTGGTTTCGGTTGCCATCCCTATGCAACGACTTTCAGGTTTACGAGATCTCTAGACGTCATCCTACTTCCTGGACGTCTCTGCCAGGACGTTCTCCAGACTCGCCAAACTCTACATTTATTTTATTTTTATTTATTTATTTTTTGAGACAAGATCTCACTCTGTCGCCCAGGCTGGATTGCAGTGGTGCATTCTCTACTCGCTGCAGCCTCAATCTCCTGGGCTCAAGTAAACCTCCCACCTCAGCCTCCCATGTAGCTGGGATTACAGGCATATACCACCACACCTAGCTAATTTTTAATTTTTTTGTAGAGATGGGGTCTCACTATGCTACCCAGGCTGGTCTCGGACTCCTAGGCTGAAGATACTCTCCAGCCTTGGCCTCCCAAAGTGCTGGGATTACAGGCGTGAGCCACCATGCCCTGGCCTCACCAAACTCTATACGTTCAAAATGGAACCCATCATCTTTCCGTCTCCTATTTTGGTAAATGATACCACTATCCAATCAGTGACCTAAGTTGAAACTCCCAGATTCCAGCCTTCTTTTCTAGATTCTCGCCTCTCTCACCCTGCACATCCAAATGGCTCCCGGGTCCTGCCCACTTTAACAGCCCCTGTCAGGTTCTGCCCCCACTCCCTGCCCCTGCCTAATTTCTGGCCACCATCATTTCACTCCAAGATGGCGGCATATCCTGTTAGGTGGTTCCCCTCCTTTATCTTTCTCCTTGAATCCCAGTTCCACAGGGGCTGCTGGAGAGGTTAAAAGCATCTGACCAGGTACTTCCCCTTTCATGACTCCCTACACCCAGAGTAAGGTTCAAAGTTTGTAATTCCACATACGGACTCTCCATGACTTGGCCTTTGCTTGCTGGAGTCCTGGGCTTTACTGACACTTCCTGTCTCCCTTTATGTTCCATCCAGTCATTTGAATCTCTCGCCCCCACCAAGTCACCCTGTGCCTGGGTTCAGGCCCCTTTTCCCGCCTGAATCTCCTGTGTTTTCTCCAAGGCACCAGTGCCTCTCCACACTGTTCACCTTAACCACTCCTCTGGGGTGTGTGTGTGTGTGTGTGTGTGTGTGTGTGTGTGTGTGTTTTGTCGTTGTTGTTTTTGAGACAGGGTCTCACTCTGTTGCCCCAGCTGGAGTGCAGTGGCACAATCATAGCTCACGGTAGCCTTTACCTCCTGGGCTCAAGCCATCCTCCTGCTTCAGCCTCCTGAGTAGCTGGGACCACAGGTGTATGCCATCATACCCAGTTAATTTTTTTTTTTTTTGGTAGAGATAGGGTCTTGCTATGTAGCCCAGGTTGGTCTCGAACTCCTGGGCTCAAGCGAGCCTCCCACCTCGTCCTCTAGGAGTGAGCCAGTGAGACCCGGCCTCAAGCCCCTCTGAGATACCCCTTCTAAGTCCTCCCTCTTTCCCTCCCTTGAGGGTCCCAGGAAGGAGATGGGGACCCTTTCTCATCTCTCCCCCAGGTGAGAAGATTTGGCCCGGTTTTACTTTTGGTGGCGTGTTTTATCCAAACAATAGGTCTTTTTGTTTTCGTTTTTCCAATAGGAAATGGCAGTACGGAATGCGCTCTTTCACAAGGCGCACGGGAGATTCCGAATGTGTCGGGTATTGTGCGGGGTCCGGGCTCCCAGCACAGACCCAGGGGCACATCTCTGCCACCTTCCCCTCCCATCCCCAGCCATGGCGTGCGGAAAGTGCTCATGCCTGCTTCCTAGATTGGGCGCTGGCTTTGGCCTCACAGGCTGTCTTCCGAATCCCCAGGGAGTGGGCAAGTGACCACCCCGCCATCACCAAGCTCAGCTTACAACCCCATCTTCCCTCTAAGCTCCATCCGGGAGAGCGAGATCCAGCCAAGGCCGCCCCGAGGGGGAGCTCTGCAGGGAGGTGGAGGCGCTGGGAACAAGGAGGCTCCAGCGAGTGCAAAACGAAAGGCTTTTATTGAAAAATATCAAGTGCCCCTTCCAGGGCTGCCGGTCCCTGCCCAGCGCGAGCATGGGGGCAGCGGCCCGATGGGGCTCGACGGGGTGGTCAAGTATTGGCGGTCACCCAGGCCCCGTGCTCCAGAAGGGTGAGGTTTCACAGTCCATGCAGGTTGGTCCCTGGGCCCCGAAGTCGACTGCCCGGCCCGCAAAGCCGTGGCTGCTGGGGAAGCTGCCCCAGTCCAGCGCGGGGGCTTCCTGGCTTCTGGGGGTGGGCTGGCCTCCGAGGCAAGGCTGCACGCTGGATGGCCTGGTGCGCGCTCCAGCTCGCGGTGGTGGTGGTGGTGTTGGTGGTGGTGGTGGTGGTGGGGTCTCCCTGCGTCTGTCCCTTAGACGTAGTCCTTGCGGTCGTAGCCTGTGCCCAGGCTGGCTCCCGGGCCGGTGGAGCGCGGCGCGGAGTAGACGACCTTGGTGGCCGTGTACTTCTTCTCGCGTGGGGGACACGAGCAGCAGAGCAGCGCGCCCCCCAGCAGCTGCAGCGCCGCGGCCGCCCAGCCCACGTACAGGCCCGCGCCCATCTCGCGCTTCTGCGCCTCGGGCACCACGGGGTTGTAGAAGTCCCGGATAATGGTGTTGGCCGACCAGGACACCGGCACGAGGGTGAGCAGGGCGGCGAGAAGGAACAGCACGCCTGCCACGATGGTGATCTTGGCCTTGGCCGTGTCGTCCTGCACGCAGTTGGTGCACTGGGCGCCCACCAGCGCCACTAGCAGCCCGAAGGCGGCCAGCAGGATGGCCACCACGATGAGGGCGCGGGCCGCCTGAAGGTCCTGTGGCAGTGCCAGCAGCGAGTCGTACACCTTGCACTGCATCTGGCCGGTGCTCTGCACCACGCAGTTCATCCACAGGCCCTCCCAGATGTTCTGCGACGTGATGATGTTGCTGCCGATGAAGGCCGACACGCGCCACATGGGCAACGCGCAGCACACGATGGTGCCCAGCCAGCCCAGCACGGCCAGCGCGGTGCCCGTGATCTCCAGGCCCATGGACATGGCTGCCGCGGCAAGGCCCGCTCCACCGGGTGGCTCCGGGTGCGGGGAGACGAGGGGCCGGGGCCGCTGGGCCTGGCGGGAGCTGCGGCGCCCCGACGGACGGACGGACGGACGGACTGACTCACCGACGGCGCGCGCTAACGGCTCGGCTCCATACGCTCTCGCCGCGGCTGCGCCTGCACCTGCCTGTGGCTTTGTGGGCGGGCGGCGGCGACTGGGCTGGCCCTGGGCTGGGGCCGGTGCGTCTTAGCTAAGTGCCCAGCGCTCCGGTGGGGGCGGTAGGGGCGGAGCCGCGCTCTCCAGGGCCTAAGGACAGTGACGTGGCCCCTGCCTCCCACCTTCACCGAGCGTCCTGGGAGGAAGGACTTGGCCCTGCGCGGCCCACAACGCCGGGGTAGGGGGGTTGCCAAGGAAGGGCGGGACCTGACCCAGCCCCCGCCCCTCGGTCCTTGTCCCTCTCTGCTCGGGAATGAATTCTCCGGGGCAAAACCGAGGACGGGATGCGTCAGGGGCTTGGGGTGCAAATCCCAAAGAATTTGACACGGCTTCTCTCTCCTCACCACTTTGGGCGCTTTTGGCACGTGCCGCGTGGGGATGGGGGCGCTGCCAATTACCCCGGAACGGCGGGGCGGGGAGGACCAGGGTGGGCGTGGCCGCGGCTGTTTGCAGGAGCCGCGCACCTGCTGCTCTGCCCCTCCCGTACACACGTCGCACAGGCTCAGCCTGAGTCCGGGCGGTGGGGTTGTCCAGCCCAGGAATTGCTGGGCCCAGAAGCCAGGGACTGCCTGCGCAAAGGTACCCAAAAGATGCCCTTAAGCCTAACTAAGCTCAAATTCCTCTCCAGCTCTCCCTCCAGTTCCCATCGCTGGCCGTGAGCCTGCATGCCTTTAGCTAAGCTGCTCTCCCCTCCCAGAAGTCCCCCTCCTCCCATTGAGTCCCCTCCCCTCTCCGAGCCCTGTCCTCCCTCCCTTTGAGCCTGAGTCAGGGCTGAGGCCCACCTTAATGAAATGGTGGTGAAAGAGGTTCGATCTCCGCAAAAGTGGGAAATCGGGCAGGACCGAGCACCGTGGTGGCTGACTCCTGTAATCCTCGCACTTTGGGAGGCTGAGAAGGGAGGATTGCTTGAGACCAGGAGTTCGACACCAGCCTGGGCAAAATAGTGAGACCCCGTCTCTACAAAAAATTAAAAAACTAGCCAGGTGTGGTGGCGTGTGCCTATAGTCCCAACTACTCCGGAGGCTCAGGCAGGAAATTACTTGAGCCCAGGAGTTCGAGGCTGCAGTGAGCTATGATCGCACCACTGCACTCCAGCCTGGGCATCAGAGCAGACCCTGTTTAAAAAAAAAAAAAAAAAAAAAAAAAAAGGTTGGGAAGTCAGAAATGCTACACTCAAAGCCCTGGCTGTCACACCTGGACGATCGTTCCCCCTTCTTCACCAAGCTCAGAGCCCTTCAGATTTGGCCTTGGAGGTTCAGCCTGGGCTGTTCCTAACCCCATCCCCTCTCTTCCCCTCAGAGCAGCCCTTGCATACCACATGCCCCTGCCTCAGAGTCCCTGCACTTACTGTCCCCTGTACATGGAACATGCCTGCAGACATCCACATAGCTTACTCCTAACTGCCTTCAGCTTTTTGCTCTCAGTGAGTCTTTCCCTGACCACCCTATTTAAAACTGCAGCTTCTGGCTGGGTACGGTGGCTCACGCCTGTAATCCCAGCACTTTGGGAGGCTGAGGCGGGTGGATCACTTGAGGTAAGGAGTTCCAGACCAGCCTGGCCAACGTGGCGAAATCCCGTCTCTACTAAAAATGCAAAAATTAGCCAGGCGTGGTGGTACACGCCTGTAATACCAGCTACTCGGGAGGCTGAGGCAAGAGAATTGCTTGAACCCAGGAGGTGGAGGTTGCAGTGAGCTGAGATCACACCCCTGCACTCCAACCTGGGTGACAAAGCGAGACTCTTTGTCTCAAAATAAAATAAATAAAATAAAATAAAATAAAATTGCAGTTTCTTACCCCACAATGCCTGCCCCCCTTTAATACTTTATATTCTGCTTAGCATGTAACACCATCGGACAATATTCTATATTTTTCTTATTTATGTTTCATTGTACTTAAAAAAATTTTAAATTGGCAATGATCGTACCTACGCGTGGCACACCCAGTGATGTTTTAATACATAGAATGTATAGTAATCATATCAGGGTAATTGGCATATTCATCATCTCAAACTTTTATTTCTTTGTGCTGGGAACGTTCAATAACTTATTTATTTATTTATTTTAGAGACAGTGTCTTGCTCTGTCACCCAGGCTGGAGTGCAGTGGTACTATCATAGCTCACTGCAGCCTTGAATTCTTGGGCTTAAGCAATCCTCTAGCTATAGCCTCCCAAGTAGCTGGGACTACAGGCATATACCACCAAGCCCACCTAATTGTTTCATTTTTTTTTGTAGAGATGGGGTCTCACTGTGTTGCCCAGGCTAGTCTTGAACTCCTGGTCTCAAGCAATCCCCCAACCTTGGCATCCCGAAGTGCTAGGATTACAGGTGTGAGCAGCAGTGCCCAGCCTATTTTTTTTTTTAAACGAAATCTCGCTCTTTTGACCAGGCTGGAGTGCAGTGGTGCAATTTCGGCTCACTGCAACCTCCACCTCCTGGGTTCAAGCAATTCTTCTGCCTCAGCCTCCCAAGTAGCTGGGACTACGGGCACGTGCCACCACGCCCAGCTAATTTTTGTATTTTTAGTAGAGATGGGGTTTCACCATATTGGCCAGGTGGTCTCGAACTCCTGACCTCATGATCTGCCCGCCTTGGCCTCCCAAAGTGCTGGGATTACAGGCATGAGCCATGGCACCCAGCCAATTTTTAAATTGTTTCTTTCTTTCTGTTCCAGTATGTCAGCTCCATTGGGACATCTGTAATGTCCCAGAACAGGCAAGAAT
Source organism: Homo sapiens (assembly GCF_000001405.40). Taxonomy (NCBI): domain Eukaryota; kingdom Metazoa; phylum Chordata; class Mammalia; order Primates; family Hominidae; genus Homo; species Homo sapiens. Next base: position 73,772,989 of record NC_000007.14, read on the forward strand.
TTTGCTGGTTTTATTCACTGCTGCATTCCTATTGCCTAGAATGGTGTTGGGTACTCAACAGAGAGTCGATTTAGTGACTTGAATGAAGGGAAGACTTTCTCATGTTCCTTCAACCTTGCCTACCCAGGCTTTCCTACTGGCATAAATGACTGATAAAGGGATACTGCTGTGCTGAGTCAAGGGGGCTTGGTCATCTTGTAGGAGTCAAGGGCTCTTCCAGAGAGAAGAGAGACCCCATTGAGCTGGGCCTTGGGGTTTTTTGGGGTTGCCTCCATATCTCAAATCACAGGCATGCAGCCTGTGCCCTCTTCTGTAAATGCCTAAGCCTTGGAATGATAGAAGAGCAAGAAACATGGCTGGGTGCAGTGGCTCACACCTGTAATCCCAGCACTTTGGGAAGCTGAGGCGGGTGGATCACCTGAGGTCAGGAGTTCGAGACCAGCCTGGCCAGCATGGTGAAACCCCGTCTCTACTAAAAATACAAAAATTAGCTGGGCGTGGTGGCATGCACCTGCAGTGCCAGCTACTCGGGAGGCTGAGGCATGAGAATCGCTTGAACCCAGGAGGCGGTGGTTGCAGTGAGCTGAGATCGTACCACTGCACTCCAGCCTGGGCGACAGGGCGAGACTCCATTTCAAAAAAATAAAAAAAAAGAAAAGAAGAAGAAGAGTAAGAAACAGTGTCAGGGGCTCATGGAAACCAGGGTTCTACTTCTTTCAGGAGCAAAGGTCTTGGGCTGCACCTGTTGGGCAGGGCCTGGGCAGATCTGGGAGTGCCAGTCCAGAGGGCCCAGCTGGTGCTGGGTGGAGCTGTTCTAGAGGAAGTTCATATAACTCAAGTCCTCCAGTGGACTACTGGCTGCTACAGTTTCCTGGTGAGTGGGGGTGGCTCTGGGCCAGAAGAAAAGTAGACCCTCCAGGTGGTGTGGCTGGGCTTAGACTAGGGGTTGAGGCCCAGAGTGGTCCCCACTGCACTGCCAGTTGTGCCTGGATTGGGCACTGTGAGCCCTACGCCTGCTGGCCTTGAGGCTGGTGAAAGTCACGTCGCCTCTCTTAGCCTCAGTTTCCTCCTCTATAAAATTAGGGAAATGGTGTCTGCATGACTCACTTCCAGGGTTATGGTAAGAATAGAGGCGATGTTAAGTATGCTATAAAAGCAGAAAACAGCCAGGCAGGGCATGTATATGTCCAGAGAAATTGTACAGAGAAAAGGTAGATCTGAACTTGAGCCTGGCTTTGCTCTCCTGGGTCACGAGCGCTTGAGCCAGTCCTTTTACCACCTTGAGCCTCAGTTTCCCCATCTGTGAGACAAGAGTTGTCCTGAGTTGCTTGGGTTTGGGGCTTGTCCCTGAGCCTGGGGGAGGTGGACCTGCTGGGCAGGGCTGCACTGAGATGAGGCCAGCAGGACAGAGCTTCATGCCCAGAGGCCAAACTTCAGGGACTTTGCAAATAAGACTTTGCCTCTGGGCAAACACAGCTCCAATCAGCTTTTTGCTCAATACCTACCATGATTCCTACAACTCAATAATAAAAAGACAAATAAACCAATTAAAAAATGGCCAAAGAAACTGAGCAGACATTTAGAATAGAGAAAGAATGTATAAAAATGGCCAATAAATGTGACTAGGGGGCGGTATCTCACGGCTGTGATCTCGGCACTTTGTGAGGCCAAGGCAGGAGGATCGCTTGAGGCCAGGAGTTTAAGACCAGCCTGGACAACATAGCGAGACCTTGTCTCTACTTAAAAAAAAAAAAAATTAGCCAGGGATGGTGGTGTACACCTGTAGTTCCCAGCTACTTGGGAGGCTGAGGTGGGAGAATTGCTTGAGCCCAGGAGTTTGAGGCTGCAGTGAGCTATGACTGTGTTACTGCACTCCAATCTGGGCAAGGGAGCAAGATGTGTCTCAAAAAAAAAAAAATCCAATAAATACATGAAAAGATGCTCAACATCATTGGTCATTAGAGAAATGCAAATCAAAGCCACAAAGAGATACCACTTTGCACCCACTAGGGAGGCAATAATCAAATAACAAATGTTGGTGAGGATGTGGAGAAATTGACACCCTGATACATTGCTGGTGGCAATGTAAGTGGGGCATCTGCTGTGGAAAACAATCTGGTGGTCCTTCAGAAGATTACATTGCTGACTCATGTTACCATATGACTCAGCAATTTTCGTCTAGGAATACCCAAGAGACACAAAAGCATATGAGCAGGTCAGACAAAAAAAACTTGTACCTGAATGTTTGTAGCAACATTGTGCATAATAGCCAAAAAGTGGAAACATCCTAAATGTTCATCAACTGATGAATGGGTAAATAAAATGTGATCTAGCCATACAAAGTAATATTATGCAGCCATTAAAAAGGAATAAAGTACTGATACATGTTGCAACATGAAGGAACCTTGAAGACATTGCAGTAAGTGAAAGAGGCAGGACCATCTATTGTATGATTTCATTTATTTATTTATTTATTTATTTTTATTTATTTATTTTTTGAGACAGAGTCTCACTCTGTCGGCCAGGCTGGAGTGCAGTGGCATGATCTCGCCTCACTGCAGGCTTCTCCTCCTGGACTCAAGTGATTCTCCTGCCTCAGCCTCCCGAGTAGCTGGGATTACAGGCATGTGCCACCACGCCTGGCTAATTTCCGTATTTTTAGTAGAGATGGGGTTTCACCATATTGGCCAGGCTGGTCTCGAACTCCTGACCACAGGTAATCCACCTGCCTCAGCCTCCCAAACTGCTGGGATTACAGGCGTGAGCTACTGTGCCTGGCCCTGATTCCATTTATTAAAACATATTCAGGGCTGTGTGTGGTGGCTCATACCTGTAATCCCAGCACTTTGGGAGGCTGAGGTGGGCGAATCACAAGGTCAAGAAATTGAGGGCCGGGCGCGGTGGCTCACGCCTGTAATCCCAGCACTTTGGGAGGCCGAGGCGGGTGGATCATGAGGTCAGGAGATCGAGACCATCCTGGCTAACAAGGTGAAACCCCGTCTCTACTAAAAATACAAAAAATTAGCCGGGCGCGGTGGCGGGCGCCTGTAGTCCCAGCTACTCGGGAGGCTGAGGCAGGAGAATGGCGTGAACCCGGGAAGCGGAGCTTGCAGTGAGCCGAGATTGCGCCACTGCAGTCCGCAGTCCGACCTGGGCGACAGAGCGAGACTCCGTCTCAAAAAAAAAAAAAAAAAAAAAAAAAAAAAAAAAAAAAAAAAAAAAAAAAAAAAAAGAAATTGAAACCATCCTGGCCAACATGGTGAAACCCTGTCTCTACTAAAAATACAAAAATTAGCCAGGCTTGGTGGCATGTGCCTGTAGTCCCAGCTACTCGGGAGGCTGAGGCAGGAGAATCACTTGAACCCAGGAGGTGGAGGTTGCAGTGAGCTGAGATCGCACCACTGCACTCCAGCCTGGCAACGGAGACAGTCTCAGTCAAAAAAAAAAAATTCTGAATAGGGAAATCTACCGAGACAAAGATTATATGAGTGGTTGTCAGGGGCTGGGGTGAGGATGTTGGGAGAAAGTGGGTACAGGGTTTCTTTTTGGGGTGGTGAAAATGTTCTACAATTGATTGTGGTAATGATGGTTGTATAACTCTGTGAATATACTAAAAATCATTGACTTGTACAATTTTTTTTTTTTTGAGATGGAGTCTCGCTCTGTCCCCCAGGCTGGAGTGCAGTGGCATGATCTCTGCTCACTGCAACTTCTGCTTCCCGGGTTCAAGCAATTCTCCTGTCTCAGCCTCCCGAGTAGCTGGGACTACAGGAGCACGCCACCATGCCCAGCTAATTTTTGTATTTTTCACTATATTGGTCAGGCTGGTCTCAAACTCCTGACCTCAAGTGATCCACCCGCCTCGGCCTCCCAAAGTGCTGGAATTACAGGTGTGAGCCACTGCGCGCGCCCGGCCAACTTGTTTTCTGCTTTATAGCACACTTAACCATCGCCTCTATTGTCACCATAACCCTGGAAGTGTGTCATGCAGACAGCATTTCCCTCATTTTATAGAGGAGGAAACTGAGGCTAAGGGAGGCTACGTGACTTTCACCAGCCTCAAAGCCAGCAGGAGTAGAGCTTGCAGTGCCCAATCCAGGCACAACTGGCAGTGCAGTGGGGGCCACTCTGGGCCTCAGCCCCCAGTCTAAGCCCAGCCACACCACCTGGAAGGTCCACTTTTCAAATGGATTACCATTTGAATTGGTGAGTTGTATGGTATGGAAATGGTACTTCAATAAATCTGTTAAAATAAAAACCAGTGTGGTGTTCGGGCCTGCAGTGTATGTCTGAGTGTGTCACCTGAGTGTGGAGGTGCTTAGAGAGTGCAATGCAGGCATCTTTTCTTCTTCTTCATTTTTTTTTCCGAGACACAGTCTTGCTCTGTTGCCCAGGCTGGAATGCAGTGGCATGATCATAGCTCATCACTGCAGGTTCAACCTCCAGGGCTCAAGCAATCCTCCCACCTCAGCCTCTCAAGTAGCTAGGACTGCAGGTGAGTGCCACCATGCCCAGCTAATAATTTTTATGTTTTGTGGAGATGGAGATCTTGCCATGTTGCCCAGGCTGGTCTTGAACTCCTGGCCTCAAGAGATCCTCCTGTCTTAGCCTCCCAAAGCACTGGGATTATAGGTGTGAGCCACCATGCCCAGCCTGCAGGTGCTTTTTTTTTTTTTTTTTTTTTTTTTTTGAGACGGAGTTTCACTCTTGTTGCCCAGGCTGGAGTGCAATGGCGCGATCTCCGCCCACTGCAACCTCCGCCTCCCTGGTTCAAGAGATTTTCCTGCCTCAGCCTCCCAAGTAGCTGGGATTACAGGCAGTCGCCACCATGCCCAGCTAATTTTTTTGTATTTTTAGTAGAGATGGGGTTTCACCACGTTGGCCAGGCTGGTCTTGAACTCCTGACCTCAGATGATCCGCCTGCCTTGGCCTCCCAAAGTGCTGGGATTACAGGCATGGGCCACAGTGCCCAGCTGCTTTTTAATGGGAAGTGGTATGAAGGGGTGGAGTGGGAGTGAGGCTTGGAGTCTCCAGGCATAATGGACGCCCCTCCTCCACTCCTGAACCTCGTGTCCAGAAGCAACAGCATGATCTGGCAGTGGGATTAGCTGCTTCAGGAGTGGAGCCCTGCCATAAATGCTGAGTATCCAATGCATAAATGCAGGGAAGGGGAGCTCTGCACCTGCTCTGGTCCAGGAGGGCTTCCTGTAGGAGGCTGAGCAGGAGCTGGTGGAGGTGACGAGGTGTGTTTGCACAGAAGGGTGTATGTGTGGAAGAGAGATTCCAAGGAGCAAAGGGCCAGAAAAAGAGGAATTGAGAGAGCAGCACCCACAGCTGGGAGATTAGCCTGTTCTCTGTCTCCCACCTGGTATCCATCCCCCAAGAAAGTCCCCAGCGCACCATGCCTCTCCCCTACTGCAACTACTGCATTCTCTTCCTCCTGTACCAGCCAGTCCCTCTCCTCTCCCCAGTCGGCAATATCTACGAGGGTCAGGATCCTGCAATCTCTAGCATCAGAAGAGATGAGGATTGGCCAGGCGCGGCGGCTCACGCCTGTAATCCCAGCACTTTGGGAGGCTGAGGTGGGTGGATCACCTGAGGTCAGGAGTTTGAGACCAGCCTGACCAACATGACAAAACCCCGTCTCTACTAAAAATACAAAAACTCAGCCGGGCTTGGTAGTGGGCGCCTGTAATCCCAGCTACTCTGGAGGCTAAGGCAGGAGAATCGCTTGAACCCGGGAGGCGGAGGCTGCAGTGAGCCAACATTGAGCCATTGCACTCCAGCCTGGGCAACAAGAGAGAATCTCCGTCTGAAAAAAAAAAAAAAAAAAGAAAGAGAGATGAAATTGTGTGCAGAACTGTGGAGGAGAGGAGCCTAGTGTCTGTGGGGCTTTAGGTCCTCCATCGCTCTGGCTGGGGGACTCACCGTGCAAAGCCCATGGAGAAAGGGGGCACTGGAAGTCCGTGCATGCATACTGAGATCTTGAAGAAACATCACCCCTTATCTGGCCGCAGAATGTGGGTGTCAGTGTGGTGGTGCTGTATGTGCATCTGTGTGTGTGTGTGAGTGTGCATGACTGTAGGTGTGTGTGCGGCATGTGATCAAATCCAGGTAACTGAGCATGACATTTGTGGCTGATTGTGTGCCTGTGTGTGTATCGGTGGGTGTGCAGTATTTGTGTGTGGTGTGTCTGGGTGTGTGGGGATGAGAAATGAACAGTAGCGATAATGCACATCAGCAAATATGTTTTAGGCCGAGCTCGGTGACTCACACCTGTAATTCCAGCACTTTGAGAGGCCAAAGAGAGCAGATTACTTGAGGTCAGGAGTTCGAGCCCAGTCTGGCCAACATGGTGAAACCCCATCTCTACTATAACTACAAAAATTAGCTGGGCGTGGTGGCCCACACCTGTAGTTCCAGTTACTAGGGAGGCTGAGGCAGGAGGATCACTTGAACCCGGGAGGCAGAGGTTGTAGTGAGCTGAGATCTTGCAACTGCACTCCAGGATGGGCGACAGAGCGACACCCAAAAAACAAAACAAAGAAACAAAACAAAAACACAACTAAATATATGTTTTAAACCTTCTCGTCAGTTTCATTTGCTCTGAACTATGTTCCCAGGTCTTGGCCAGAGGTTGCAAACTGCAGCCCAGGGGCAGAATTTTATCTGCAGTGAAAAGTTTTTTATCTGCCAGTACAAAATTTTATCTGCCAGTACAAAGTTTTTCTCAAATCTGAAATAGAATGCCTCTAGGTGGGGTATGCATACTTCACTTACTACTGGCATTCCACAACTACTCTCTTTTTTTCCCTCCCTCCCTGCCTGCCTCCCTCCCTCCTTCCTTCCTTCCTTCCTTCCTTCCCTTTCTCTCTCTCTCTTTTTTTTTTTTTTAGACAGAGTCTCTGTCACCCAGGCTGGAGTGTAGTGGTGCAATCTCGGCTCACTGCAAACTCTGCCTCCCGGGTTCAAGAGATTCTCCTGCCTCAGCCTCCCGAGTAGCTGGGACTACAGGCATGTAGCACCACGCCTGCCTAATTTTTGTATTTTTATTAGAGACAGGGTTTCATCATGTTGGCCAGGCTGGTCTTGAAATCCTGCCCACTTTGGCCTCCCAAAGTGTTGGGATTACAGGCATGAACCACTGCACCCACTCTCTCTTTTCTTAAAAAAAAAAAAAGTTCTGGACTGAGATAAAACACACCTATTCTCTTTTGTGTTTTAATTAAATTCTTAATTTTGAGAGATTTGTAAATTCACCAGCAATTGTTAAAAAAAAAAAAAAAAAAAGAAACAGATCCTGTAACCTTTACCTGGTTTTCCCCAATGATAACATCTTGGAAAATTATAGTATGATATTACCAGCCAGGTAATTGCATTGTCAGGATATTGACAATAGTAAGATATAGAACTTTCCTTCTCCGTAAGGATCCCTCCTGTTCCTCTTTTATAGCCATACCTACTTCCCTTCTAACTCAACCCCACTCGGGAGGTGGGGGTTGCAGTGAGCCGAGATGGCAGGAGATCGAGACCATCCTGGCTAACATGGTGAAACCCCATCTCTACTAAAAATGCAAAAAATTAGCCAGGCGTAGTGGTGGGCACCTGTAGTCTCAGCTACTCGGGAGGCTGAGGCAGGAGAATGGTGTGAACCCCGGAGGCAGAGGTTGCAGTGAGCTGAGATCGCACCACTGCACTCCAGCCTGGGCAACAGAGCAAGACTCCGTCTTATTGGGTTGTTTGTAACACAAAGGATAAATGCTTGAGGTGGATCCCTCTTTTACTTTGATGTGATTATTACACACTGAAGCCTGTACCAAAATATCCCACATACCTCATAAATATATACACTTACTATGTACCCACAAAAATTAAAAATAAAACAAAATTGTTAGTTAAATGGTCACAGTATGCCAATTAAAAGAGATTGAACCAAGTGCAGTGGCTCACGCCTGTAATCCCAGCACTTTGGGAGGCCAGACTGGTCTTGAACTCCTGGCCTCAAATGATCTGCCTGCCTCAGCCTCCCAAAGTCCTGGGATTATAGGCGTGAGCCACCATGCCTGGCCTCTACTCTTATTTTTTGGAGAGATTAAACAAAAAATAACGAATGGGGTTGAAATTTGTCAAATGCTTTTCTATGTCAATTGAAATGATGTGATTTTTCTTCTTTAGCTTGTTAATCAAATTGACTTTTGGATATTGAGCCAGCCTTATATGCCTGGAGCAAACTCGCTTGGTCATGGTGTGTACTTCTTTTTGTCTATTGCTGAATTCTATTTGAAAACATTTTGTTAAGGATTTCTGAGCCTATATTCATGAGAGAGAGTATTAATCTCAAGTTTTTTTTTTGTACTGTCTTTGTCTAATTTTGATATCAGGGTAATACTAAATAAAATGAACTGGGAAATGTTCTCCTTTCTTCTGTGTTCTGGAAGAGACTGCATAGAAATGGTGTATTAGGCCTTTCTTGCATTGCTATAAAGATATACCTGAGACTGGGTAATTTATAAGAAAAGAGGTTTAATTGGTTCATGGTTCAGCAGGCTTTACAGGAAGCATGGTGCTGACATCTGCTCGACTTCTGGGGAGGCCTCAGGAAGCTTTCAATCATAGCAAAGTCAAAGAGGGAGCAATCACGTCACATGGCAAAAGGAGGAAAAAGAGAGAGAGTGCAGGGGTATGTCACATACTTTTTTTTTTTTTTTTGAGTTTTGCTCTTGTCGCCCAGGCTGGAGTGCAATGGCATGATGTTGGCTCACTGCAACCTCTGCCTCCTAGGTTCAAGCGATTCTCCTGCCTCACCTCCTAAGTAGCTGGGATTACAGGTGTGCACCACCACGCACAGCTAATTTTTGTATTATTAGTAGAGACAGGATTTCACCATGTTGCCCAAGCTGGTCTCAAACTCCTGATCTCAAGTGATCCACCCACCTCAGCCTCCCAAAGTGCTGGAATTACAGGTATGAGCCACTGTGCCCAGCTGCCACACACTTTTAAATGACCAGATCTGATGTGAACCCAGAGCAAGAACTCATTCATTACCAAAAGGATGGCCCAAGCCATTGATGAGGAATCCATCTCCATGATCCATACACCTCCCATCAGGCCCACACCTCCAACACTGGGGATTACATCTCAACATGAGATTTGAGTGGGGACAAGCATCCTAACTATATCAAATGGTATTAATTCTTCTTTAAACGTTTGGTAGCATTTTCCAAAGAAAATTAGGCCTGTTGATTCTTTTCTGAGTTTTAAAATTGCAAATTTAATTTCCTCAATAGATATAAGGCCACTCAAATTATCTATTTCATAATAGATGGGTTGTTGTAGTTTGTGTTTTTTGGGGGAACTGGGCTATTTTAACTAAGTTGTTGAATTTATGCGTTCCCTTATTCATAGAGTTGTTCATAGTGTCCTCTTATTATCCTTTACGTGTCTGTAGGATCTGTCGTAATAGCCTGTGTTTCATTTTTTTTTTTTTTGAGACGGAGTCTTGCTCTGTCGCCCAGGCTGGAGTGCAATGGTGTGATCTCGGCTCACTGCAACCTCCGCCTCCAGGTTCAAGCGATTCTCTTGCCTCAGCCTCCCGAGTAGCTGGGATTACAGGCGCCTGCCACTATGCCCAGCTAATTTTTGTATTTTTAGTAGAGACGGGGTTTCACCATGTTAGTTAGGCTTGTCCTGAACTCCTAACCTCAGATGATCTGCCCGCCTCAGCCTCCCAAAGTGCTGGGATTACAGGTGTGAGCCACCATGCCCAGGCCCATGTTTCATTTCTATTGATAAATTGTGTCTTCTTTTTTCTGTTGGTCTTGCTAGAAGTTAGTCAATTTTACTGATTTTTTCAGTTACTTTTTTGTTTCATTGATATTTTTCTATGCAAAAAAATTTCTGTTTTCAATTTCACTAGTTTTTGCTCTTATCTTTATATTTCCTTCCTTCTACTTGCTTTGTATTTATTTGGCTCTTGTTTTCTAGGTTCTTCTATTCTTTATTTAGATTTTTTATAAAGATGGAGTCTTGTCTTGCTCTGTCACCCAGGCTAGAGTACAAAGGTGCGATCATAGCTTATTACAGCCTTGGACTTCTGGGCTCAGGCAACTTCTTCTTCTTCTTTTTTTTTTTTTGAGACAGTTTTGATCTTGTTGCCCAGGCTGGAGTGCAGTGGTGTGATCTTGGCTCACTGCAACCTCCACCTCCTGGGATCAAGTGATTCTCCTGCCTCAGCCTCCTGAGTAGCTGGGATTACAGGCGTACGCCACCACGCCCAGCTAATTTTTTGTATTTTTAGTAGAGACGGGGGTTTCATCATGCTGGCGATGGATTTTAGGTGTGAGCCACTGAGCCCGGCCAAAGGCTCAGGCAACTTTTGCCTTGAACTTCTGCCTCAGCCTCCCAAGTGACTGGGACTACAGGCATGCATCACCACACCTGGCTTTTTTTCTAGGTTCTTGATGTGACAGATTAGATTATTGATTTGGGACTTTCCCTCTTTTCTGATGTATGCATCTAATGCTATAAATTTCCTTATCAGCATTGCTTTATGTGCGTGCCACCATTTGGATATGTTGTATTTTAATTTTCATTTACTTAAGTGTATTTTTTGAAAATACACAGGAGGAAACCTATGATTTCCTCTTGAGCTATGGATTATTTAGAAGTATGTGGTTTGGTTCACAAGAGTTTGCAGATCTTCCTGTTATTTTCTTTTCTTTTCTTTTTTTTTTTTTTGGGATGGAGTCTCGCTCTGTCGCCCAGGCTGGAGTGCAGTGGCTTGATCTCGGCTCACTGCAAGCTCCGCCTCCTGGGTTCACCTCATTCTCCTGCCTCAGCCTCTGGAGTAGCTGGGACTACAGGGGCCTGCCACCACGCCCGGCTAAGTTTTTGTATTTTGTTTAGTAGAAATGGGGTGACACCGTGTTAGCCAGGATGGTCTTGATCTCCTGACCTCGTGATCCGCCCACCTCGGCCTCCCAAAGTGCTGGGATTACAGGCGTGAGCCACCGCGCCCAGCCCTCTTTTTCTGTTATTGGTTTCTAGTTTGGTTCCAGTGTGTGACAGAATATACTCTATATGATTTCAATTCTTTTACATTTGTTGAAATGTGTTTTTTGGCCCAAGATGTGGTCTATCTTGGTATATGTTCCATGGGCTCTTGAAAAGAATGTGTATTCTGCTGTTGTTGGGTGGAATGTTCTATAAAGGTCGATTAGATCCTATTGGTTGACAGTATTGAGTTCTATACCTTTGCTCTATTCTGTCTAGTTGTTCTATCAACTGTTGAAAAAAGCATTGAGGTCGAGCGCGGTGGCTGACACCTGTAATCCTAGCACTTTGGGAGGCCGAGGCAGGCGGATCACCTGAGATGGGGAGTTCGAGACCAGCCTGGCCAACATGGCGCAACCCTGTCTCTACTAAAACTACAAAATTAGCTGGGCATGGTGGCACATGCCTATAATCCCAGCTACTCTGGAGGCTGAGGCAGGAGAATCGCTGGAACCTGGGAGGCGGAGGTTGCAGTGAGCCAAGATCAGGCCATTGCACTCCAGCCTGGGCAACAAGAGCAAAACTCCATCTCAAAAACAAAAACAAAACAAAACAAGAGAAAAAGAAAAAAAAAGTGTTGAAGTCTCCAGCTCTAATTGTGGTTTTTTCTATGTTGTCTTTTCAGTTATGTCAATTTTTGCTTCACGTATTTTCAGCTCTATTGTTTGATGTAAACACACAAAGATTGCTATGTTTTCTTGGTAGATTGGCTTTGTAATCATTATATTATCTCCCTCTCTGTCTCTCATAATTTTCTTTGCTCAGAAGCCTACTTTATCTTATACTGGTGTAGCTACTCCCACTTTCCTTGGATTAATGTTTGCATACTATTTCTTTTTCCAGTTAACCTACCTATATTGTTACATTTGAAGTGAATTTCTTGTGGACAGAATATAGTTGGGTCCTGTTTTTAATTCACTCTTTCAAACTCATTTATTTATTTATTTATTTTTGAGACAGGGTCTCACTCTGTCACCCAGGCTGGAGTGCAGTGGTGTGATCCTGGCTCACTGCAACCTCAACCTCCTGGGTTCAAGTGATTCTCCTGCCTCAGCCTCCTGAGTAGCTGCCCAATTAACTTTTGTATTTTTACTAGAGACAGGTTTTCACCACGTTGGCCATGCTGGTCTCAAACTCCTGACATCAGGTGATCCGCCTGCCTTGGCCTCCCAAAGTGCTGGGATTACAGGCATGAGCCACTGCACTTGGCCTCAATCTCTTTTAATTGGCATACTGAGACCATTTACACTAACAATTTTGTTTTATTTTTAATTTTTGTGGGTACATAGTAAGTGTATATATTTATGAGGTATGTGGGATATTTTGGTACAGGCTTCAGTGTGTAATAATCACATCAAAGTAAAAGAGGGATCCACCTCAAGCATTTATCCTTTGCGTTACAAACAATCCAATTATAGCCTTTATTTTTATTTATGTATTATTTTTTTTGAGACAGAGTCTCGCTCTGTCACCCAGCGTGGAGTGCAGTGGTGCAATCTCGGCTCACTGCAACCTCCACCTCCTGGGTTCATGCCATTCTCCTGTCTCAGCCTCCCGAGTAGCTGAGACTACAGGCGCCTGCCATCACGCCTGGCTAACTTTTTGCATTTTTAGTAGAGATGGGGTTTCACCGTGTTAGCCAGGATTGTCTTGATCTCCTGACCTCGTGATCTGCCCAGTTCGGCCTCCCAAAGTGCTGGGATTACAGGCGTGAGCCACCGTGCCTGGCCTTTTTTTTTTTTTTTTTTGAGACGGAGTCTTACTCTGTTGCCCAGGCTAGAGTGCAGTGGTGCGATGTCAGTTCACTGCAACCTCCACCTCCCGGTTCAAGCGATTCTTCTGCCTCAGCCTCCTGAGTAGCTGAGATTACAGGCGCCACCATTACGCCTGGCTAATTTTTGTGTTTTTAGTAGAGATGGGGCTTCACCATGTTGGCCGGGCTGGTCTCGAACTCCTGACCTCAAGTGATCCACCTGCCTTGCCCTCCCAAAATGCTGGGATTACAAATGTGAGCCACCGTGCTGGCACTTTTAGTTATTTTTAAATGTACAATTAAATTACTATTGATGAGGCTGAACATGGTGGCTCACTCCTGTAATCCCAACACTTTGGGAGGCCGAGGCTGGTGGATAACCTGAGCTCCGGAGTAGAGGTTTCAGTTTTCTACAGAGCCTAGCCAACATGGTGAAACTCTGTCTCTACAAAAACACAAAAATCAGCCAGGCATGGTGGTGCATGCCTGTAATCCCAGCTACTCGGGAGGCTGAGGCAGGAGAATCGCTCTCACTCAGGAGGTGGAGGTTGCAGTGAGCCGAGATGGCATCATTGCACTTCAGCCTGGGTGACATGAGCGAAACTCTGTCTTAACAATAACAACAACAAAAACATAACATAAAATTTACCATCTTAACTAATTTCAGATGTACAGTTCAGTGGAATTAATATATTCGTAATGTTGTACAATCATCCCCAACATCCATTTCTATAACTTTTTTCATCTTGTAAAACTGAAACTGTATTTCTACTAAACAATGAAGCCCCATTATCTCTGCCCCTCAGTCCCTGGCAGTTACCATTCCATTTTTTTTTTTTTTTTTTTTTTTTTTTGCATTTGAGGGCATTAGTCTGTCAACACCATTCCACTCTCTGTCTCCACGATTAAAAGAATTTTTTTTTGTTTTACTCTTTTAAACATTTTTTAATAGAGATGGGGTCTTGCTATGTTGCCCAGGCTGGTCTGGAACTCCTGGGCTGAAGTGATCCTCCCACCTTGGCCTCCCAAAATACTGGGATAACAGGCATGAGTCACCATGCCTGGCCTCTGCCTCTAGGATTTTGACTACTCTAAATAACTCATAGAAGTGAAATCATATAGTGTCTTTTTTTCTGACTAGCTCATTTCACTTAGCATAATGTCCTCAAAATTAATCCATGTTGTAGCATATGTCAGAATCTCCTTTATTTTCTATTTATTTTATTTTATTTTTTCAGACAGTCTCACTCTGTCAAAATTAATCCATGTTGTAGCATGTCAGAATCTCCTTTATTTTCTATTTATTTTATTTTATTTTTTCAGACACAGTCTCACTCTGTCACCCAGGCTGGAGTGCAGTGGCTTGATCTCAGCTCACTGCAACCTGGACGGCCCAGGCTCAAGCAATTCTCCCACCTCAGCTTCCTGAGTTGCTGGGATTACAGGCACATGCCACTGTGCTTAGCTAATTTATTTATTTATTCATTTTACTTTTTGAAGATACGGGATTTCGCCATGTTGGCCAGGCTGGTCTTGAACTCCTCAGATGATCCGCCTGCCTCGGCCTCTCAAAGTGCTGGGATTACAGGCGTGAGCCGCCACACCTGGCCTCAAACTGTTTCTTTAACTTTTGAAAATTGTCCAATTTGCCTACCTTAAAGCCATTAGATTCTAGGTAAGGCCTGGTGACATGTGGAGTTAGCCACACCCCCTAGCTATGCTGGAGAGTCAGCCCTTATCTGCACTTCTGCCTGGTGTGTCCCAGGCAGGCTCCACACCCAGTACATAATTAAAATCCCTTACTTGCCAAGGTTTTCACCAAAAATAAAAGTTGCTAAGCATTAACATTGTAACATATAATTAAGACTACTGAAGAGGCCGGGTGCGGTGGCTCACGCCTGTAATCCCAGCACTTTGGGAGGCCAGGGTGGGCAGATCACCTGAGGTCAGGAGTTCAAGACCAGCCTGTCCAACATGACAAAACCCTTTCTCTTCTAAAAATACAAAAATTAGCTGGTTGTGGTGATGCATGCCTGTAATCCCAGCTACTCAGGAGGCTGAGGCAGGAGAATCCCCTTGAACCTGGGAGGCAGAGGTTGCAGTGAGCTGAGGTTGTGCCATTGCACTCCAGCCTTGGCAACAGAGCGAGACTCTGTCTCAAAACAAAACAAAACAAAAAACAAAAAGACTACTGAAGAAACAGTTTTACATGCAAGGTGTGTAAGAAAAGTAAAATATGTTTTTGGTAAAAAAATAAGATCGTAAGAAGGCATGGGAATGTGCATTTTTTTTCTGCCTAAAGTGTTAAAGGATTGTTTTAAGTAAGAAAAAAATCTAAAGGTTTAAACAAGTTTTGGAAGATTTATAAAAATTAATTGTAAGAGATTTTGTGTGTAACATATTGGCCAACGTTAAAAAGGTATTATTCAGTTTTTCCGGAAACTAAACGTTGGAACAGAAGCACAGCAGGGTTTTCTTAGAGCACTCATCTGCTCTTTCACAAAAAAATGTAAAGGGTTATAAAAGGTTTATAAGAATCTTACCTTATAGTTAAACATTAAAATTGGGCCAGGTGAGGTGGCTCATGCCTGTAATCCCAGCACTTTGGGAAGCCGAGGTGGGCAGATCACTGAGGTTGGGGGATGGAGATCAGCCTGGTCAACATGGTGAAACCCCATCTCTACTAAAAATACAAAAAATTAGCCAGGTGTGCTGGTGGGCACCTGTAGTCCCAGCTAAGCACCTGTAGTCCCAGCTACTTGAGAAGCTGAGGCAGGGGAAGCTCTTCAACCTGGGAGACAGAGGTTACAGTGAACCAAGATCATGCCACTGCACTCCAGCCTGGGTGACAGGGCAAGACTCCGTCTCAAAACAACAACAACAAACCCAAACATTAAAATTGGGTAAATATGTCCATAAGGTTTTATTAAAAATTGGGTTTGACATTAATAGTACATTAATATAAAGATGAAATTTGGCTAATTTGGTACAAAAATCATACAGGAAACATTGTCAAATATAAAATAGTGTTTTGCTTTATTTGGACTATGTTTGCATAAATGTGTTATTGGTATATGTTCCAAAGTTATGGGAAACTCCTATAATTCTAATATGACAGTGTATGTTATTAATAATTATAATTGTTATGTAAAATTTTGTGTGCCACAGAAGTAACCAAATTTCCTTATCATTTGTGGCTTTAATAGTGGCTGTGCTAAGACTTTTTATCATCCACAGACAATTGTTATCTTATTTTAATCCTCTTTAGAAGGTGGTTTATATTCAACTATAGAACTCTAGCAGGTGTTCTTAAATGCAGGTTTCTAATAACTTTGGAAATTGTAACATTAGAATAGAGGAAACAACTTTCGAAACGCTCATGAAGAGCTGGAATGTTCATAAATATCAAACAGAAGTTAACTGAATTAATGGAACCAATAGAAAACTGAAGTAATCTTTTTAACTTTGCTTAAAACGTTGCCGATCCTTTGTTTTGTTTTTCAGAGTCAAGGAAAGTTTTCTTTTAAGCTATTTACAGCTTGTAACAATTGAGTAAAGTATACTGCTATGAACAAAATTTGGAATGTATTTTCTATCTCTCTACCAAATTTCTCCAAAATTTAAAAACTAGTTGTGAGTATTCTTAACTTATGGCAATATAGTTATTGCATAAGTGCAATAAGAATCTGTTTTCTTTTGTAACAGGACACAGTTGAAAAAATTGGTTATTAAACCAAGGCTTTGACTGGAATGGTGTGTTTTCCTTTAAGGAATTATTATTATTATTATTATTATTATTATTTTGAGATGGAGTCTCGCTCTGTCACCCAGGCTGGAGTGCAGTGGCATGATCTTGGCTCACTGCAAGCTCTGCCTCCCGGGTTCATGCCATTCTCCTGCCTCAGCCTCCCAAGTAGCTGGGACTACAGGTGCCCACCACCACGCCTGGCTAATTTTTTGTATTTTTAGTAGAGGTGGGGTTTCACAGTGTTAGCCAGGATGGTCTCCATCTCCTGACCTAGTGATCCACCTGCCTTGGCCTCCCAAAGTGCTGGGATTACAGGCGTGAGCCACCATGCCCAGCCCCTTTAAGGAATTAAACTTGACTTATAAAGCCAATAAAAGCCCCATGGGGAATCGGCCTCATACCTTGCCTATAACAGTCCCTGTACAAGGCTACTGACCTGTGGTAAGTAAAGAATGTCACTTTCTAATAGGTCCAGAAGCTGCAAGTTATCTTGGGACCTCAAGAGGAAAGAAATGTACCCAACTCATAGGTATTTGAGAGTACAAACCCATGGCTGGGCTGGGCTTTAAAAAAGTCTTATCTAAAATTTCTTCTGTAGAACAGAGTTCCATCAAAGCCAATTTTAAAAGACCCTATGTGAAAAATAATTATTCTTGCTGCACTTTATACAAATAATCAGGCCAAGTATAATAAAGCAAATCAGTCTTACCATGATTTGTCTTTAGTAAAAATGGGAAACTGGAGAGAGAAATATTATGTTTCAAGAACTATGGTACACTTGTTATTAAATTCTAGTCTCATTAGTTGTTTTTAAATTTGTTTCTGCAATTTAGGCTAACTCTGCCTATTCCTGTGAACCAACCAGTGATCTCAGTGTTGCTCAGAAAAAAAAAAGAGGGGTTGGTAATATAAAAATCTGGATCAGTATTCTAATTTTGGGCAAATTAGAATTAGCTAACAACCCCGTATCAGCTTAGTTCCAACAGTTGCCCACTTCATGAAGAGCCTTCTAATTTCGTTTACTTGGAATAACTTAACTTATTTTGCTTTACTCTTGTGGAATATACTGCTGTTATACTCTTTGTGTAGGAATACAGGACAATCTTACTGAATGTTTTCTTAAACACTTTTTTTTTTTCGAGTCAGAGTCTCGCTCTTGTCCCCCAGGCTGCAGTGCAATGGCGAGATCTCGGCTCACCGTAACCTCTGTCTCCTGGGTTCTAGCAATTCTCCTGCCTCAGCCTCTCGAGTAGCTGGGATTACAGGCGCTTGCCACCACGTCTGGCTAATTTTTGTATTTTTAGTAGACACGGGGTTTCACCATGTTGGTCAGGCTGGTCTCGAAATCCTGACCTCAGGTGATCCACCAGCCTCAGACACCCAAAGTGCTGGGTTTACAGGCGTGAGCCACCGCACCCAGCTTCAAATTAAACACTATTTAATCTTCCAGATATCACTTTTTGTCAAAACTCAAGAGTTATGAATGGACCTTACCATACTGGTGCTTTCTGACTGAGCTCCTCTCTACTCTGAATGCAAGAGACCCTCATAGGTAGGCAGAAATATCGCCCCTATTCAGCCGGAAGAAGTTATAGAGGATGGATCTTCGTCCCTCTGCAACCCTTAGAATTAAGGGTTCTCTTATAAAAGGGAAGGGGGAAAATGTTGGAGGCGTGTGAACCAGAGCTCCATCTTTAACAGGAGCAGGGTAAAATGAGGCTGAGACCTACCATGCAGCATTCCCAGAGAGGAATTCTATGTCACAAGATGAGATGGGAGGTTAGCACAAGATACAGGTCATAAAGATCTTGCTGATAAAACAGGTTGCAGTGAAGGAGCTGGCTAAAACTCGCCAAAACCAAGATGGTGACGAGAGTGACCTCTGGTCGTCTTTACTGCTACGCTCCCATCAGCGCCATGACAGTTTACAAATGCCATGGCAATGTCAGGAAGTTACCCTATATGGTCTAAAAGGGGTAGGCATGAATATTCCACCCCTTGTTTAGCATATCATCAAAAAATAACCACAAAAATGGGCAACCAGCAGCCCTTGGGGCTGCTCTGTCTATGGAGTAGCCATTCTTTTATTCCTTTACTTTCTTTTTCCTTTTTTTTTTTTTTTTGAGGCAGAGTCTTGCTCAGTCGCCCAGGCTAGAGTGCAGTGGCGCAATCTCGGCTCACTGCAAGCTCCTCCTCCAGGGTTCACGCCATTCTCCTGCCTCAGCCTCCCGAGTAGCTGGGACCACAGGCGGCCGCCATCACACCCAGCTAATTTTTTGCATTTTTAGTAGAGAGGGGGTTTCACTGTGTTAGCCAGGATGGTCTGGATTCCCTGACCTCCTGATTCGCCCGCCTCGGCCTCCCAAAGTGCTGGGATTCCACGCGTGAGCCACCGCGCCCGGCCTATTCCTTTACTTTCTTAATCAACTTGCTTTCACTTTGCATTGCGGACTTGCCCTGAATTCTTTCTTGTGTGAGATCCGAGAACCCTCTCTTGGGTTCTGGACTGGGGCCCCTTTCCTGTAACAAGACCACGCCCACTTCTGTGACACTTGCACATCCCAGGTTGTGACCTGTATTTCTGACCCCCATAAATCTGGGGTTCCCATGACCCCCTCCTTGGTTTCAAGTAATTTGTTAGAGTGACTCACAGAACTCAAGGAAACACTTTACTTACATTTACCCATTTATTATAAAAGAGATATTACAGACCGGGCACAGTGGCTCGTGCCTGTAATCCCAGCACTTTGGAAGGCTGAGTTGGGAAGATCGCTTGAGCCAAGGAGTTTGAGACCAGCCTGGACAACATAGCCAGACCTCCTCTCTACAAATTAAAAAATATTTGTTTTCTACAAATAGAAAACACACCATTCCAGTGCATGGTGGCACACACCTGTAGTCTCAGCTACCAGAGAGGCTGAGGTAAGAGGATTGCTTGAGCCCAGGCGATTTAGGCTGCAGTGAGCCACGATCGTGCCACTCCCACTGCTTTCCAGCCAGAGCAACAGAGTGAGACTCCATTTCAAAAAAAAAAAGAGTATTACAAAGGATAGAGATGAAAGATGAACAGCCAGATGGAAGAGGTGCATATGGCGAAGTGTGGGCAGGGTGAGGAGGTTCCCTGCTCTTTCTGGTATGCCATCCTCCAAGCAGTTCCACAGGTTTTGCA
The DNA here is from genome assembly GCF_000001405.40 of Homo sapiens. NCBI lineage: Eukaryota > Metazoa > Chordata > Mammalia > Primates > Hominidae > Homo > Homo sapiens. The sequence continues at coordinate 73,792,711 of NC_000007.14, forward strand.
ACCGAGAAACTCCCAGAACCCTGTCCTTTGTGGGAATGGGGTGGGGGCTAGGAGGCTTCATTACATAGGCATGATTGATTGCATCACTGGCCAATGGCAATCAGCTCAGCCTTCAGCCTCTCCTCTCCCCAGAGGCTGAGGGGTGGGGCTGAGTGGTCCAACTCTCCAATCACAGCGTTGGTTCCCTTGGCAACCAGCCCCCATCCCGAGGCTATCCAGGAATCCACCAAGAGTCACCTCATCAGAACAAAAGATGATCCTACCACCCAGAAAATTCCCAGGGATTTAGGAACTTCTGTGTCAGGAACCGCGGGGGCAGAGACCAAATATTAGAACTAAAGATTCTCCCAGCACCCCTATCAATGAGGGTATTAGGAGCTCTGGCTCAAGAACTGGGGGCAGAGACCAAATCTATGTTGTTTACCATGTCACAGTGTCACACCCATTGCCTTTTACCTGGCTTATTGTACACATTTCAGTTACCCGTTCAGTTCCTGTAACCATCTGGGTTTGAGATCATTTGCTGGGCCTTTGCAGTTTGGTGTTTTGGCTCTGGGTCCCTTACTAGAAAAGAAGATGAGAAAAGGAAAAGAAAGGAATCCTGGCTGGGTACGGTGGCTCACACCTGTAATCCCAGCACTTTGGGAGGCCAAGGCAGGAGGATCGTTTGAGACCAGGAATTTGAGACCAGCATGGGCAACATAGCAAGACCCCAACTCTACAAAAACATTTTTTTTTTTCAAAAAAAGAAAGAAATCCAAGGGAACCTCAGTTTGGATTGGAGTGGGGGTAGGGACAGGGGTACTGCAGGTGAGAGGGGGCTAAAAGACCTCCATCCCCAGGCTCTGTGGGGTCATATGTTCTCATCAATCTCTTAAGTCTCCTTCCCAGGGTAATAGACACTGTTGACTTATAAGTTTATTTAAACGTGTAGGCCTTATCATATGCTTCATCCTAACAGCACAAAGTTAAACAAAGCAGCTTTCAAGGCCCAAGGAGAGAGAAGTTGATTTAAGATAGGGCCCTATCAGAGGTTACTCAACTGTTTCTGGCTCCGGCCTTATCACTGACAAAGGCCACGCTCCCTTGCCTGGGTGCGCCCTGAGCTCCAATGGAAAAGAGAAACTCCTTGAACAGACCTGTGGGTGTCAAGCAGCTGCCTTCTTCCCCAGCCAGCCCAGTGCCTGCTCTATGGGCTGTGACCACAGTGGCCATGGTAGCAGCGGGGGAGGCCACGCAGGGCTTCCTCTCACTGTGGCTGATGCCAGAGCCCACTGGCAGCAAAACAGTGTCAGTTCTTTTTTTTGTTGTTGTGAGATGGAGTCTTGCTCTGTCGCCCAGGCTGGAGTGCAGTGATGTGATCTCGGCTCATTGCAACCTCTGCTTCCCGAGTTCAAGCGATTCTCCTGCCTCAGCCTTCTGAATACCTGGGTCTACAGGCATGCACCACCTTGCCAGGCTAATTTTTGTGTTATCTTTTTTTTTTTTTTAATAGAGACAGGGTTTCACCATGTTGGCCAGGCTGGTCTTGAATTCCTGACCTCAAGTGATCCACCCACTTCGGTTTCCCAAAGTGCTGGGATTATAGGCATGAGCCATCGTGCCCGGCTGATTCGCCTCTTGATAAGCATCTAGATAGTTTCCAGTGGTTTTGCTGTGACAAATAAGGTGTGATGCACGTCCTTGCAAATACCTCCAGGTGCACATGTGTTCTCCTAGAAGTAAAATTGCTGGGTCATCAGGTAAACACACCTCCCACCTTCCCAATATTGCCAAATGATTCTCTAAAATGGCTGTATCCATTGACACTCCCTCGGCGTGTCAGAGAGGTTGTTTTTTTGCGTATCATTCTGTGGGTGTCCAGTGGCATCTCATTTTAACTTACATTTCTCTGATTACTAGTGTTATTGAGTATTGTTTCTATGTTTATTCATTTCAATGTTTTCTTCTGTGGGCTATTTATTTGTTTATGAGATGGAATCTCACCCTGTCACCCAGGCTGGAGTGCAATGGCAGGATCTTGGCTCACTGCAACCTCCACCTCCTGGGTTCAAGCGATTCTCTTGCCTCAGCCTCCCAAGTAGCTGGGATTACAGGCGCATGTCACCATGTCCAGCTAATTTTTTGTATTTTTAGTAGAGATGGGGTTTTGCCATGTTGGCCAGGCTGGTCTTGAACTCCTGGCCTCAGGGGATCTTCCCACCCTTCCCAAAGTGCTGAGATTACAGGCATGAGCCACTGCTCCCGGGTGGTTTCCTATTGAGTTGTTTGTCCTTTTCTCATTGATTTGCATAATTTCTTTTTTTTTTTTTTATTTTAGATTCAGGGAGTACATATGCAGGTTTGTTACATGGATATATTGTGTGATGCTGAGGTTTGGGCTTTGAACCCACAATTCAAACAGTGAAAGTAGTGATTTTTCAACCCTTGCTCTGTCTCTCCAACCCCAACCCCAGTAGTCCCTACTGTCTGTCATCCTTGTGTTTATGTCCACATGTACCCAATGTTTAACTCCCTCTTGTAAGTGAGAACATGTGGTATTCTGAGAATCTGGTATTCTCAGATTAACAGTCTTAACTTTCTGCTGAAGTGCCTGTTGTACCCCTTACCTAATATTTGTTTTTCTGTTTCTGTGTTAATTCACTTAGGATAATGGCCTCCAGCTGCATCCATGTTGCTGCAAAGGACATGGTTTCATTCTTTTTCATGGCTGTGTAGTATTCCTTGGTGTATATGAACCACATTTTCTTTATCCAGTCCACCATTGATGGGCACCTAGATTGATTCCATGTCTTTGCTACTGTGACTAGTGCTGTAATAAACATGCAAATGCATGTGTCTTCTTTTGCTTTTTTGAGATGTGTTCTTGCTCTGTTGCCCAGGCTGGAGTATAATGGCGAGATCTCGGCTCACTGCAGCCTCTGCCTTTCAGGTTCAAGTGATTCTCCTGCCTCAGCTTCCCAAGTAGCTGGGATTACAGGCGCATGTTACCATGCCCAGCTGATTTTTTGTATTTTTAGTAGAGATGGGGTTTCACCGTGTTGGCCAGGCTGGTCTCGAACTCCTGACCTCAAGTGATCTGCCCACCTCGGCCTCCCAAACTGTTGGGATTACAGGTGTGAGCCACAGTGCCCGGCCACATGTGTCTCTTTGGTAAAACAATTTATATACCTTTGGGTATATACCCAGTAATGGGCTTGCTGGGTAGAATGGTAGCTGTATTTTCAGTTCTTTGAGAAATGTCCACATTGCTTTTCACAGTAGCTGGACTAATTTACACTCCCACCAACACTGTATGAGTGTTCCCTTTTCTCCCCAACCTTGCCAAAATCTGTTATTTTTTGACTTTTTAGTAATAGCTCCCTGACTGGTTTGAGACAGTATCTTACTTTGGTTTTGATTTGCATTTCTCTGATGATGAGTGATGTTGAGCAATTTGTAGAATTTCTTTGTATATTCTGAGTACTAATCATTTGTTGATTATAACGGTTACACATATTTTCTCCCAGATGATAGCTTATCTTTGGCCATTTAGTTCTATGATTTTTTTTTTTTTGCCATGAAGTTTCCTTTTTGAGACATAAAATATATTTGATAAAGTCCTTAAAATGTACAATTTTATTTTATTTTATTTTATTTTATTTTATTTTATTTTATTTTATTTTTTCCGAGACGGAGTCTCATTCTGTCACCTAGGCTGGACTGCAGTGGTGCAATCACAGCTCACTGCAACCTTCACCTCCCAGGTTCAAATGATTCTCCTGCCTCAGCCTCCCAGGTAGCTGGGACTACAGGCATGCGCCACCATGCCCGTAAAATACACAAATCTTAAAGGTACAGCTTGATAAAATTTTTTTTTATTTAATTTAATTTTATTATTATTATTATTATTATTTTTATTGATTATTCTTGGGTGTTTCTCGCAGAGGGGGATTTGGCAGGGTCACAGGACAATAGTGGAGGGAAGGTCAGCAGATAAACAAGTGAACAAAGGTCTCTGGTTTTCCTAGGCAGAGGACCCTGCGGCCTTCCGCAGTGTTTGTGTCCCTGGGTACTTGAGATTAGGGAGTGGTGATGACTCTTAACGAGCATGCTGCCTTCAAGCATCTGTTTAACAAAGCACATCTTGCACCGCCCTTAATCCATTCAACTCTGAGTGGATACAGCACATGTTTCAGAGAGCACAGGGTTGGGGGTAAGGTCACAGATCAACAAGATCCCAAGGCAGAAGAATTTTTCTTAGTACATAACAAAATGAAAAGTCTCCCATGTCTACCTCTTTCTACACGGACACAGCAACCATCCGATTTCTCAATCTTTTCCCCACCTTTCCCCCCTTTCTATTCTACAAAACCGCCATTGTCATCATGGCCCGTTCTCAATGAGCTGTTGGGTACACCTCCCAGACGGGGTGGTGGCCGGGCAGAGGGGCTCCTCACTTCCCAGTAGGCGCGGCCGGGCAGAGGCGCCCCTCACCTGCCGGACGGGGCGGCTGGCCGGGCGGGGGGCTGACCCCCCCCACCTCCCTCCCGGACGAGGTGGCTGCCGGGCAGAGACGCTCCTCACTTCCCAGATGGGGTGGCTGCTGGGCGGAGGGGCTCCTCACTTCTCAGACGGGGCGGCTGCCGGGCGGAGGGGCTCCTCACTTCTCAGACGGGGCGGTTGCCAGGCAGAGGGTCTCCTCACTTTTCAGACGGGGCGTCCGGGCAGAGACGCTCCTCACATCCCGGACGGGGCGGCGGGGCAGAGGTGCTCCCCACATCTCAGACGATAGGCGGCCGGGCAGAGACGCTCCTCACTTCCCAGATGTGATGGCGGCCGGGAAGAGGCGCTCCTCACTTCCTAGATGGGATGGCGGCCGGGCAGAGACGCTCCTCACTTTCCAGACTGGGCAGCCAGGCAGAGGGGCTCCTCACATCCCAGACGATGGGCGGCCAGGCGGAGATGCTCCTCACTTCCCAGACGGGGTGGCGGCCGGGCAGAGGCTGCAATCTCGGCACTTTGGGAGGCCAAGGCAGGCTGCTGGGAGGTGGAGGTTGTAGCGAGCCGAGATCACGCCACTGCACTCCAGCCTGGGCACCATTGAGCACTGAGTGAACGAGACTCCGTCTGCAATCCCGGCACCTCGGGAGGCCGAGGCTGGCGGATCACTCGCGGTTAGGAGCTGGAGACCAGCCCGGCCAACACAGCGAATCCCCGTCTCCACCAAAAAAATACGAAAACCAGTCAGGCGTGGCGGCGCGCGCCTGCAATCGCAGGCACTCGGCAAGCTGAGGCAGGAGAATCAGGCAGGGAGGTTGCAGTGAGCCGAGATGGCAGCAGTACCGTCCAGCTTCGGCTCGGCATCAGAGGGAGACCGTGGAAAGAGAGGGAGAGGGAGACCGTGGGGAGAGGGAGAGGGAGAGGGAGAGGGAGCAGCTTGATAAAATTTTTACATTTGTGAATACGCATGTAACCAGCACTCAAATCAAGACCTAGAACATTTCTATAACCAAAAAAAAATCCCAAAACCCAAAGTGCTGGGATTACAGGTGTGAGCCACCGTGCCTGGCTGAGTTTTTTATATATTCTGATTACTATACATTTGTTGGCATTTTAGCTTATTTGAAAACTTTAAAAATTATATGTATGGTCTTGCAATTTTTTTTTTTTTTTTTGAGATGGAGTTTTGCTCTTGTTGCTAGGCTGGAGTGCAATGGCACTATCCAGGCTTACTGCAACCTCCACCTCCCGGGTTCAAGTGATTCTCCTGCCTCAGCCTCACAGGCATCCACGACCATGCCCAGCTAATTTCTGTATTTTTTAAATAGAGATGGGGTTCACCATGTTGACCAGGCTGGTCTCGAACTCCCGAACTCAGGTGATCCACCTTCCTTGGCCTCCCAAAGCGCTAGGATTACAGGTGTGAGCCACCATGCCCAGCTGAGTTCTTTATATACTCTGATTACTAGACATTTGTTGGCTATATGGGTTGCATTTAGCTTATTTTAAAACTTTAAAAATTATATGTATTGTCATGCAAGTTTTTTTTTTTTTTTAATGGAGTCTCACTCGGTCACCCAGGCTGGAGTGCAGTGGCACGATCTTGGCTCACTGCAACCTCCACCTGCCAGGTTCAAGCAACTCTCCTGCCTCAGCCTCCCGAGTAGCTGGGACTATAGGCGCGCACCACCACACCCAGCTAATTTTTTGTATTTTTAGTAGAGACGGGGTTTCACCGTGTTGGCCAGGCTGGTCTCAAACTCCTGACCCCGTGATCTGCCCACCTCGGCCTCCCAAAATGCTGGGATTACAGGAGTGAGCCACCGCGCCCAGCGTCATGCAAGTTTTTAATATGTCTATCTCCATCAATTTTTTCTTTTTCATGTATCTTTTGTGTCTTACTTAAGAAATATTTCTCTAAATCCAAGAAATGGAGGTATTCTCCTATAGTTTCTTCTAAGTGTTTTACAGTTATTTTCTTCACATTTAGATGTTTAACGACAAAAGATTCTTTGCTTGTCCAAACTTCAGTCAGGTTTCTGAGTCTTCTCCTAAGCCCATCCACGTACTTTCTTGTAAAACTCAGTTTTGGCAAGAGCCCTGCTGGGTCAGTTCAGCAAGAACGCTCCATCCTCAATATCTGATCATCCTTAGTATCTGATCAATTCCTCACCCTCCATGATACCTCACGTGATGTCTGATTACCCTGGCCTGTCTTCAGCAGCAATCCTGCTAGGTTGGTTTAGCTAGAATTCCCTTCATGCCTGATGTTTTCTCTTAGTAATTTTCCATCCACCTACTCCCACTCTGCTCCTGGGCTATAAATTCCCACTTGCCCATGCTGTATTCGGAGTTGAGCCCAATCTCTCTTCCCCACTGCAAGACCCTGGTGCAGTGGTTCCTATACCTATTGCGATGGTCCTGAAGAAAGTCTTCCTTGACATGCTTTAACATGTGTTATTGAATAACATTTTAACAGTTATGGTGCTGCAACTCAGATAGGACCAGATTCATCCCTGGACGTAGCTTCTCCCTAGGACATTAAGTGAGTGCCTTTGAAGTCTTTGTCTTCCTTCCTGACTGACTCATCAGGAAGTCAGACTCCCGAACCATTGCTCCAAATATCCGTTGAAGCAGGTAAGGACAGACTTTGATTCCTTTGTTGTTGTTGTTTTTTCTTGGTTTGAGACAGGGTCTCACTCTATCACCCAGGCTGGAGTGCGGTGGTGCAATCATAGCTCACTGCAGCCTCAAACTCCAGGGCTCAAGCAATCCTCCCACCTCAGCCTCCTGAGTAGCTGGGACTACAGGCACACCACCGTGCCTGGCTAATTTTTTATTTTTTGTTTTTTGTAGAGATGGGGTCTCACTATGTTATCCAGGCTGATCTTGAACTCTTTGGCTCACGTGATCCTCCCACCTTGACCTCCCAAAGTGCTGGGATTATAGGCATGAGCCGCTATGCCTGGCACAGACTTTTTTTTTTTGAGATGGAGTCTTGCTCTGTCACCCAGGCTGGAGTGCGGTGGTGTGATCTCGGCTCACTGCAACCTCTGCCTCCCAGGTTCAAGTGATTCTCCTGCCTCAGCCTCCCGAGTAGCTGGGACTGCAGGCATGCACCGCCCCGCCCGGCTAATTTTTGTATTTTAAGTAGAGACGGGGTTTCACCATGTTGGCCAGGCTGGTCTCGAACTCCTGACCTTGTGATCCACCCGCCTCGGCCTCCCAAAGTGCTGGAATTACAGGCATGAGCCACCGCTGGCACAGACTTTGATTCTTAAAGTATGGGTATATTTGCTGAAGCTGGGTTAGAGTCCCAGGTTTCTTTTGAAAGGTACTTTCTGGGCTGGAAGTCCTTCTTCCTGGCCCTCTGTGAGGCCTCCCTATTCTCTCTGTTCTCTCTATTGGATCCTGCTTCTCCCACGGGAAACTTTTCTGTCACCTGAAAGCTCTCTTCTCGAACTCCTGCTGACTCTATCCTCTGCCAACTGTGTACCCCACTGCCAGGCCCTTTTCCTCTCCACTCCAGCCCCTCAGTCTCTTGTACCTTAGACCCCCTACCCTTCACTGGGGGCTCTTAAGGAACTCAGCACCTCATTCCGCAAGCAAGCACCTGAAGCTGAAAATAAAATAACAACAACAAAAATAGAACTGTTTGAAAACTGAGACTGGGTGTGGTGGCTCATGCCTGTAATCCCAGCACTTTGGGAGGCTGAGGCAGGAGACTTCTTTGAGCTGAGGAGTTTTAGATGAGTCTGGGCAACATAGCAAGACCCCATGTCTATAACAAACTTAAAATATAGCCAGGTTTGAAGGCACACACCTGTGGTTCCAGCTACTTGGGAGGCTGAGGTTGGAAGATTACTTGAGTCTGGGAGGTCGAGGCTGCAGTGAGCTGTGACTGCACCACTGCACTCCGGCCGGCCTCAGTAACAGACTGAGACCTTGTCTCAAAAATAAAAAATAAAAAAAGCAAAACAAAGAAAAAGAAAACTGGACAAATGAAAAAATCTTAAAAGTTGCCTTCACAGATATTGGTAAAAATTTTTAGTCCTTACTGGGTTGGTAACCTTAATTTGTCCCATTTGTATCAGAAACATAATTGGATGTGAAGATAAACCAGTGAATTTATATTATCCTGGTTTACTGCCTCATGATTCAAATTTTTAAGATGAAAAGCTATAAGATCTGTTTACATCTGTCTGTATGTTTATGTATGTGTATATGTATGTATGTATGCATGTTTGTTTGTTATGTATACATGATATTTTTCTAACTTCAATGCTAATACAAAACGAAAATAGCAAATTGTCTTAGGGATAAATGCGCACTCAAACAAATTAAGTATTCATAAAATTATCAGAAAAATAAAAAACTGAACAATTTTTTTCAAGTTCACATGATCCAGGATAGTCTTTAGTAAATAAAAGTTAGTTTTAAAATTGTTGGTAAAATGAAAATAGGACTGTCTTCAGAACTGTTATCATTAAATACAGACATACAGTTTTTCCTGAGTATGCTGGTAAGATACGTTTGTGTTGTATTTGCTAGATGTTTAAGGTCATAAAGCTATAAATCTAACCTAAGAACAGAATGTACAAGAAAAATGAATTGCTTAATTGCTTTGTGCATGTCAGGACATAAAAGTTAAAAAAAAAAAAGAACCTTGTTTAACTTTTTAGTTTCATTGCTTTTGTGATGTTTTTGATACTTACCTGATTTATTAATAGGAAAAATACTTTAAAATAGTGCCTACCTTTGTTTAATGTTTCATGACATTTTTCATGAGCAATTAAACCGTAATTGCTGCGAATAAATAAATTAGGAGAATGTAGTAGAATAAAAATTTGTAAATGAACTTTTAAAAAATAATTATGCTTTAAAAGATGTCTACTTGAAAATAGTTTCAAAAATCTTTTTGTGACAACTTGCAACCTTAAAGTTGTGTTAAGTAAAATTGAGTAATTGATATTCATTAAAAATTTAGACTCAACTGTGGAAAAGAAATCTTGTCATGTGTGGTCAAAGCTGGCTAAGATTGGCTAGATTTATTTGTGAAGTTTTATTAAAAATTAGTTCTACTAGTACATTGATGCAAAAGTAGAATTTGGTCGTCTTTCTAAAAATTATGAAGTTTCCTTGAACTATTGGTCTGAGAATGTGAAGGGTTTTTTTTTTCCTTTAAGTAATTGGCCTAGAAAATAAAAATTTTATGTCTTATCAAGGGAATTTCTTGTTCTTGATGTTGTCTTTTATCACGTCTTTGGTTACTTAAGAAAACTAAATCTTCTCAATATCAAAAAACCTAAGTTTTTCTTCACAACTATGTAATCTGCTATATTTGCCTTTAAAATATTTTATTGTCACCAACATGGTGAAACCCTGTTTCTACTAAAAATACAAAAATTAGTCTGGCGTGATGGTGCGTGCCTGCAATCCCAGCTACTTGGGAGGCTGAGGCAGCAGAATTGAACCCAGGAGGCGGAGGTTACAGTGAGCTGAGATTGCACCACTGTACTCTAGCCTGGGCAACAAGAATGAAACTCTGTCTCAAAAAAAAAAAGTTATCAACACTTTGATTAGATAACCGAGATTATGTTTAATTAAGTGCTTTAACCCTTTTGACATTTTTTATAAACTTCCCAAAATCATATTCTAAATTAAGTCTTTTTAACTTCAAGTTAATTTTGGTATTTTCCAGTTGAGCCCCAGGATATCTCAAAAGGTATGTCTCTCACCTAGTAAAAGAAAGATATTAAAATAATTACACTTATTTCATATGTTAAATTATATAGGAAGCATTGTGAAATGAGAAATAATGTTTAACCTTGTTTGAGTTAAATTTGTATGGACATGTTATTAATATATGCTCCAGAAACTATAGGAAATTCCTAGAAATGTAGTATGTTATCAGTCATAATTTTGATTATTATGTTAAAAGGTTGTATGCCACAGAAATCAAATTTTCTTAATTGTATCACTATTATAATGAACTCTCATCAGATCTTTAACCATGCCATTTTACATCTTTATCATCCATAGACAGTTATTTTACTTAAATTATTCTGTAAAAGCATTTGCAAGACTTAGCTCCAGTTCAAAGTTGCTTCTTTGTCAAGGAAATTAATAAAAAGACTGTGTCAATTACCCTGGAATACAGGTTTCTGATAACTTTAAGATAATACCATTGGACTTGGTTAGACATTCCAGAACTCTAGTGAAAATGATGGGCTCATGAAACTGTGATCTCACGATCAAGCAGAACAAATATTAACTACGTGGATTGTAGTATCATATGGCTTCATGTATTAACTACATGAATATAAACTGATGAACATAATTTTCACGTTAAAAAAAGTTATTTTTGCCGGGTGCCAGTGGCTCGGCTCACATCTGTAATCCCAGCATTTTGGGAGGCTGAGGCGGACGGATCACCAGAGGTCAGAAGTTCGAGACCAGCCTGGCCAACATGGTGAAACCCCGTCCCTACTAAAAATACAAAAAAAAAATTAGCCAGGCGTGGTGGTGGGCACCTGTAATCCCAGCTACTTGGGAAGCTGAGGCAGTAGAATCACTTGAACCCGGGAGGCAGAGGTTGCAGTGAGCCAAGATCGCCCCATTGCACTCCAGCCTGGACGACAAAAGCAAGACTCCGTCTCAAAAAAAGAAAATTATTTTTATTTTCTTTATTTTTCTTTCTAACACTTCTCCCTCACCACCCATGAGTTTTTATTTGAAACATTGCTGGTTTTTTTGAATGTTTTATTTTCCAGATTTTCTTTTTTTGTTGAGACGCAGTCTTGTTCTGTTGCCAGGCTGGAGTGCAGTGGTGCAATCTCGGCTCACTGCAACCTCTGCGTCCCGGGTTCAAGCGATTCTCCTGCCTCAGCCTCTCAAGTAGCTGGGACTAGACAAGCTCCACTGCGCACAGCCAATTTTTGTATTTTTAGTAGAGACAAGGTTTCACCATGTTGGCCAGGATGGTCTTGATCTTTTGACCTTGTGATCTACGTGCCTTGGCTTCCCAAAGTGCTGGGATTACAGGCGTGAGCCACTGTGTCCGGCCTATTTTCCACATTTAAAAAAGTTTTTTTTTTTTTTTGCCTGGGTGCATTGGCTCATGCCTGTAATCCCAGCACTTTGGGAGGCCGAGGCGGGTGGATCACCTGAAGTCAGGAGTTTGAAACGAGCCTGGCCAACATGGTGAGACCCCATCTCTAGTAAAAATACAAAATTATCTGGATGTGGTGGTGTGCACCTGTAATCCCAGCTACTTGGGAGGCTGAGGCATGAGAATTGCTTGAACCCGGGAGGCAGAGGTTGCAGTCAGCTGAGATCGCACCATTGCACTCCAGCCTGGGCAACAAGAATGAAACTGTGTCTCAAAAAAAAAATAAAATAAAAAATAAATAAATAATTAAAAAGATGTGTTTCCCCCCCCCTTTTAAACTATCTATAGCTTACAGCAACTTGGCAAACTTTATTAGACAAAAATGGAAACATTTACTTTTTCTCCCTACCTAATTCCTCCAGAATTCAGAAGCTATTCATGAGTTTTTTTTTTTTCTTATCTACCTACAATCTGAACTAGCTCTTGAATTCTGTTTATTTTCTCCATCATCTGGCCACAACTCTTCAAACTAATATTTCCAATTTTCTCCCACCCTTCTGTTTTGGAATCACTGAAATTAAAACTGCTCTTTTCCTGAAGTCCTGCAAGCTGAAGCTGACAACTTGACATAAACTTCAGAGAAGCTGCCACAACAGTTTATGTATGGCCAGCCTTCATGATAGCCAAACAGCAAACCAGGGAAATCTGTCATTTTCCACTGCTTGCTGAAGATGGTTCAGGCCCAGCATCTAGAAATCTTCTGGAGCGGCTGCCCTTTGGATTTAGAAACTGAGTTTACAGTTTGTTCCCACTATTAACCTTGTTTTTCTTTTATTTTCATAGAAACTGAACTTCCCTTATTAAAAACCTGCTGACTTACACTTACACTATCTAGGAGAGCTCCACTAACAAGTCCCAACAGATGATTTTGCTGGTCCTTAATGAACCAGCTAAGATTGGCTAGATTTATTTATGAAATTTGATTAAAAATTAGTTCTGGTAGGCCGGGCGCAGTGGCTCACGCCTGTAATCCCAGTACTTTGGGAGGCAGAGGCGGGCAGATCACCTGAGGTCAGGAGTTTGAGATCAGCCTAGGCAACACTATGAAACCCCGTCTCTACTAAAAAAGTACAAAATTAGCCGGGCGTGGTGGCACATGCCTGTAATCCCAGATACTCAGGAGGCTGAGGCAGGAGAATCACTTGAACCTGGGAGGCGGAGGATGTGGAGGATGCGGTGAGCTGAGATCATGCCATTGCACTCCAGCCTGGGCAACAAGAGTAAATCTCTGTCTCACCAAAAAAAAAAAAAAAAATTAGTTCTGGTAGTACATTGATGCAAAAGTAGAATTTGATCTTCTTTGTAAAAATGACAAATTTTTCTTGAACTATTTGAGAATGTGAAGTGTTTTTTTTTCCTTTTAAGTAATTGGCCTAGAAAATAAAGATTTTGTATTTTATCAAGATAATTTATTGTACTTGATGACTGAACCAAAAACCGGACTTATATTGTTCAAAGGGAAGAAGAATGTCTCTTTCCTTTGAACAAGAAGGGGGACTGACAAAGATTCTTTGCTTGGCCAAACTTTAGTAAGATTTCTGAATCATCTGCACACTTCCCTGTAAAATCTAGTTTAAGCAAAAACCCTGCTAAGTCCGTTTAGTGAAAATCCTCATCCTTGACATCTGATCATCGTCAGTATCTGATCAGGTTCCTCGGCCTCCACCATGCCCCAGGTGATATTGGATCACCCTGGCTTGTCTTCAGCAAGAACCTGGTTAAGTCAATTTAGCCAGAATCCTCCTAACCCCTGATGCTTCCTCTTAGCAATTTTCCATCTGCTGACCCCCACCCAATCTACTTCTTAAGTATAAATTCCCACTTGCCCATGCTGTGTTCAGAGTTGAGCCCAATTTCTCTTCCCCGGTGCAAGACCCCATTGCAGTACCCCATTAAGTGTTCCTAATAGTGATTGCAATAATCCTAAATAGGCCAAGCATGGTGGCTCACGCCTGTAATCCCAGCACTTTGGGAGGCCAAGGCGGGTGGATCATCTGAGGTTAGGAGTTTGAGACCAGCCCAGCCAACATGGTGAAACCCTGTCTCTACTAAAAATAAAAAAATCAGCCAGGCATGGTGGTACGTGCCTGTAATCCCAGCTACTTGGGAGGCTGAGGCATAAGAATTGCTTGAACCCAGGAGGTGGAGGTTGCAGTGATCCAAGATCATGCCATTGCACTCCAACCTGGGCCACAGAGCAAGACCTTGTCTCAAAAAACAAACAGACAAACACAAAAAACAAACCAAAAAACACAACCAAAAACAATAGTCCTAAATAAAGTCTTCCTTACTGTGCTTTAACAAGTATCATTGAGGCCGGGTGTGGTGGCTCACGCCTATAATCCCAGTACTTTGGGAGGCAGAGGCAGGTGAACCACGAGGTCAGGAGTTTGAGACCAGCCTGACCAACATGGTGAAATCCTGCCTCTACAAAATTCTGTAAAAAAATTTTACAAAATGTTTTTGTAAAAATACAAAAAAAATTAGCCTGGGCATGGCGGAGTGTGCCTGTAATCCCAGCTACTCAGGAGGCTGAGGCAGGAGAATTGCTTGAACCTGGGAGGCGGAGGTTGCAGTGAGTCGAGATTGTGCCATTGTATTTCAGCCTGGACGACAAGAGCAAAACTCCGTCAAACAAACAAACAAACAAAACCCACAACAACAAAAAAACTCAAATATTATTGAATATTTTTCCTTAACATTAGTTTATTTCATACATATATACATTCATATAGATATGTGTTCATATATAACTATATAAAATCTATCCTATAGCCAGTCTGTCCAACACCCACACTTTTTTCCTTGGCTTAAGTTAGACATTGTCAGTTTTGGTTGCTTTCCATCAAAATAATCATATCTAGTACCTCTGCTATCTTCTATATGGAGGCCTTGGTCTGATTGGACAGACGTGGCCATGCCTTTGGGAGACGCTTCTGAAGGAGGCAGGCCTTGCCCCAGGAAGCCTCAGCCAGAAGGGGAAAAATAAGAAGTCATTGCTGCCGGGTGCAGTGGCTCATGCCTGTAATCCCAGCACTTTGGGAGGCCAAGGCGGGTGGATCACCTGAGGTCAGGAGTTCGAGACCAGCCTGGCCAACATGGTGAAGCCCCGTCTCTACTGAAAATACAAACATTAGCCAGGTGTGGTGGTGCATGCCTGTAGTCCCAGCTATTCGGGAGGCTGAAGCAGGAGAATCGCTTGAATCTGGGTGGCGGAGGCTGCAGGGAGCTGAGATCATGCCACTGCACTCCAGCCTGGGTAAGACAGAGCGAGACTGTCTCAAAGAAAAGAAGTCATTGCATATATAGGAAGCTCCAAACAGGTTTGAATCTTGGGTGCTCCGGCTGTGTATCCAGGTGCTGGGCTGTTCTGACAACTATGGCCATGGATTCCAGGGACTTCCTGGAAGGGTGATTTTCCAGTTAACTTTTGTTATACCGACATCTAGGCTGAGACACCGATATTTATGTGTGTTCTCAGAGACAGAGCCTAAAGTGGGGAGACAGTGTTGGGGGCAGGAGGCAGAAGAAGGAGGGGTGGGGGCAGCTGGTGCTCGTGGACAGGAAATTTCCTCTTAGAGCCTCCTGCAAGTGGGAAAACACCCACACCTTAGGTCCCTGTGACCATACAGTGCCTGGCCCTGGTGAGTTAAAACTCAATTTGAGGTGGGGTGTGGTGGCTCACACCTGTAATTTCAGCACTTTGGGAGGCAGAGGCAGGAGGATTGCTTGAGGCCAGGAGTTCAGGACCAGCCTGGGCAACATAGCGAGACCCCTGTCTCTCTTTTTTTTTGAGACGGAGTTTTGGTCTTGTTGCCCAGGCTGGAGTGTAATGGTGTGGTCTCGGGTCCCTGCAATCTCTGCCTTCTGGATTCAAGCGATTCTCCTGCCTCTCAGCCTTCTAAGTGGCTGGGATTACAGGCATCCGTCACCACACCCAGCTAATCATTGTATTTTTAGTAGAGAGAGGGTTTCACCATGTTGACCAGGCTGGTCTCGAACTCCTGACCTCAGTTGATCCACTTGCCTCAGCCTCCCAGAGTGCTGGGATTACAGATGTGAGCCACTGCACCCGGCCTGTATTTTTTTTTTGTTTGTTTTTTTTTTTGTTTTTTTTTTTTTTGAGACAGAGTCTCGCTCTGTCGCCTAGGCTGGAGTGCAGTGGCGCGATCTTGGCTCACTGCAAGCTCCGCCTCCCGGGTTCACGCCATTCTCCTGCCTCAGCCTCCTGAGTAGCTGGGACTACAGGAGCCCGCCATCACGCCCGGCTCAGTTTTTGTATTTTTAGTAGAGATGGGGTTTCACTGTGTTAGCCAGGATGGTCTCGATCTCCTGACCTTGTGATCCACCCGCCTCGGCCTCCCAAAATGCTGGAATTACAGCCGTGAGCCACCCGGCCTGTTTTTTAAAAAAGAAAAATACAGTCCAGCTGTGGGGGCTCACGCCTGTAATCCTAGCACTTTGGGAGGCCAAGGTGGGAGGATTGCTTGAGGTCAGGAGTTCAAACCAATCTGGCCAACATAGTGAGACCCTGTCTCCAAAAAAGAAAAAAACAAAAAAACCAAAAAACTACGTAACTCAATTTGTGTTTTTCTTCCCGTGCAAAAAACAAAAAAACAAAAAGCCACGTAACTCAATTTGTGTTTTTCTTCCTGTGCAGTGGGGTCACTGGCGTTCGCCCCTCCCCAGTTGCCATTTCCCTGTCTCTGTTGCCCCTAGTCTCCTTACCTTCTCTGTCCAGCTCCCTGAAGCCCCTAAGCAGCCTCTTTTTTTTGAGACAGAGTCTTGCTCTGTTGCCCCAGCTGGAGTGCAGTGGTGCCTTCTCGGCTCACTGCAACCTCCACCTCCCGGGTTCAAGCTATTCTCCTGACTTAGCCTTACAGGCACCTACCACCACTCCCAGCTAATTTTTGTATTTTTAGTAGAGACGGGGTTTTGCTGTGTTGGCCAGGCTGGTCTCGAACTCCTGACCTCAGGTGATTCACTCGCCTTGGCCTCCCAAAGTGCTAGGATTACAGGCGTGAGCCACCGTACCCGGCCCCCTAAGCAGCCTCTTAAACTGGCCATCTGAGAAGCAGAACTCTTGAGGTGAGGAGTTTGGTTTGGGGCTCAGAGGGCCGCGCGTGTGTGGCCTCTGTCTGTCCGGGGATGGGGTGGGCGTGTTTGGCTTTCGAGGTGGATTCGTGCTTGTGTGAGAGGGTGTGTGTTTCTCATTCCTGGTATCCTCAGTTCCGGGCGTGGCGTGTCCCTCCGTGTGAGTGACGGTGGGAAGGTGAGGTGAGAGTGGCCAGGGCGGGGTGGAACTGTTTTCTCTCGGCCCGTCCAGGTTGGCTGCTTTTGGGTAATTCCCAGGCTCTGAGATGTCACAGAGCCAGGACGGGAGGAGTGAGTCACCCCCACCATTCCGCCATTGCCCTGGAGAAGCTTCTTCCCTGTCCCCAGGGCCCGGTTTCACTGGGAGCCATAAAAAGGCCCTGCCCAAGCTTGGTTTCTTCCGTTTTCAGCCGGACCTGCTGAAACCAAGCCTGGGGGCTGCCTGGGAGCGTGCCAAGGGCACTGCCCAGATGGGGCCCAGCCCAGAGGGAAACCAGCCCAGCAGGGACCCAGCTCCAGCTAAGGCCAGAAACCAGAGCCCACCCTTGGGGGCTGTTCTGTTCCTGGTCTCATCTGGTTTATACATATATATATATACACATACATATATATATATATACACACACACATACACATACATATATATATATACACACATACACACATATATATATATATATATACACACACACATACATATATATATATATATATATATTTTTTTTTTGACACAGTGTCGAGCTCTGTCGCCCAGGTTGGGGTGCAGTGGCATAATCTTGGCTTAGTTCAACCTCTGCCTCCCAGGTTCAAGTGATTCTCCTGCCTCAGCCTCCTGAGTAGCTGGGACTACAGGCATGCACCACCATGCCCTGGCTAATTTTTGTATTTTTAACAGAGATGGGTTTTCACCATTTTGGCCAGGCTGGTCTCGAACTCCTGACCTCAAGTGATCCGCCCACCTTGGCCTCCCAAAGTTCTGGGATTACAGGCATTAGCCACCGCGCCTGGCCACATCTGGTTTATATCTTAAGCCCCTCTGCCCACCAGGAGCCCCTTCCCCTGCAGGACTATGCCCCAGGCCCCCTCCACTCCCAGACTCCCCTCTGTAAGCTCCCCTTTCTTCCCTGAGCCCCATTCCTCTCCAAGAGCCCCCTCCCCTATCTGAAGCTCCTCTTCTCCTGGAGACCCTTCCCCTCCCAGTTCCCCCGCACCCCCTCCCTCCACTGCCCCTCCCTCTTAAAGTCCCCTACCCTTCTGTCCTGTCACTTCCCTGCCCTCTCGCTCCCTGGGGTGGGAGGGCCTGGCTTGGCGAGGCGGCTAAGAGAGGGGAAGGGGCTCAGGGTGGGGGCAGGGCATGTCTGGGGTCTGCCAGCTTGTCTTGGCCTGGCTGGCTCTCTATTCCATTATGAACATGTGGCTGGGGTTTCTGCCATCCTCCCAGGCCCTGGTGGGGTGGTTGGGGCTGAGAGGGTGATGGGGAGGGGAGGAGGAAGGGGCCGCAATGCCAATCACATCACCCCAGGGGCTCAGAACAGCTCCCGCCTCTCCTCCTCCTCCCCTTCTTTCTCGCCCCCACCCCCCTCCCCACCTTCCAGAGCCCATTAGCCCAGGGCTGCAGTGACACCTGCCTCCACTGGGGATCCTCCCCTACTCCTGGGGCCATAGCTGCTCCCCCAAGGGTGGGTTACCCTCTTGCCTTTTGACCTTCCCAGGGACCTGGCAGTCCTGCCCCTGGGTGGCCACCTCTTCAGCCTCTCCCAGAGCCTTGGCCACACTTGCTGTGCCGTCCGCAAACACCCAAGGGGGCACCGTGCCCAGTCCAGGAATCAGGCAGCCATCACCTTCCCAGCCAGACCCTGGGAAGGATAGACCCACAGCCTTAGCCATATACAGAGCACTGGGCAACTTTTACTTTTCACCATGATGAGCAACTTGTCAAAAGAATTTGCAAACAGACAGGTGCGGTGGCTCCCGCCTGGGATTATAGGAGGCTGAGGCGAGGGGATCACCTGAGATCAGAAGTTCCAGACCAGCCTGGCCAACATGGTGAAACCCCATCTCTACTAAAAATACAAAAATTAGCCAGGTGTGGTGGCGTGTGCCTGTAATCCCAGCTACTCGGGAGGCTGAGGCAGGAGAATCACTTGCACCCAGGAGGCAGAGGCTGCAGTGAACTGAGAGCTTGCCACTGCACTCCAGCCTGGATGACAGAGCAAGACTCCGTCTCATTAAAAAAAAGAAGAAGAATTTCCAAATCCTACCTCTGGCTCACCATTAAAACAGCCAATTTGGGGGTGTTTGGGGCAGCCGGTTACAATTCTCCCTCTCTACCCCTCCACCTGCCACTAGCACAGGTGCGATTTTCAAAATTCCCATCAACGGGTGTGGGACACCCTGGATGCTGCAGTTCCCACAAGCAAACAGGCGAGGGCGACTCTAGGGAGAGTCACCGCGGCCGTGGGCTGGCCCAGCCTTGAGGAGAGCATTGACACACAGCGTTTGCCAGAACCATGGCCAGGGACGCTGCCTACTTGCTGGAGGTCCCTGCTCCTTCTGGACAGGGATTTATGGTTGGGTGCATTGCTTAGAATAGGAATTAGCTACCATTTGACTGACTTTTTGGTTTTTTGCTTTTTTCCCCATCTACGTCAAGTTCACTGACTTCATTATCTCTATTCTACTTTTGAGCTCATTCAAGGTTTTGTTGTATTATTATTATTATTTTAGAGGGAATCTCACTCTGTCGTCCAGGCTGGAGTGCAGTGGTGCGACCTCAGCTCACTGCAACCTCTGCCTCCCTGGTTCAAGCGATTCTCCTGCTTCAGCCTCCTGAGTAGCTGGGATTACAGGCACCCACCACCACGCCCGGCTAATTTTTGTATTTTTAGTAGAGACGAGGTTTCACCATGTTGGCTAGGCTGATCTTGAACTCCTAACGTCAGGTGATCCACCTGCCTTGGCCTCCAAAGTGCTGGGATTACAGACTTGAGCCACCGTGCCCAGCCTGGCTTTGTTTTATCATTGCGGTTATTATATTGTTCAGTTCTAAACTTTATTTAAATTTTTTTATTTTCATTTATTTATTTATTTTTTATACAGGGTCTTGTTCTGTCACCCAGGCTGGAATGCAGTGGTGCAGTCATGGCTCACTGCAGCCTCCTTCTGGGCTCAAACAATCCTCCCATCTCAGCTTCCCGAGTAGCTGGGACCACAGGCACAAGCCACCATGCCTGGCTAATTTTTAATTTTTTTGTAGATATGGGGTCTTGCTTTGTCACCCAGGCAGGTCTTGAACTGCTGGACTCAAGAGATCTTCCTGCCTTTGCCTCCCAAAGTGCTAGAATTACAGACATGTAAAATTTCTGTTTGGGGCTGGGTGCAGTGGCTCATGCCTGTAGTCCCAGCACTTTGGGAGGCCGAGGCGGGAGGATCTCTTGAGACCAGGAGTTTGAGACCAGCCTGGGCAACATAGCGAGACCTCATTTCTACAAAAAAATAAAATATTGACAGTGTGGTGGCTCATGTCTGTAGTCTTGGCTACTCTGGAGGCTGACGTGAGAGGATCACTTGAACCTGGGAGGTCGAGGCTGTAGTGAACTATGATCATGCCACTGTACTCCAGCCTGGGTGACAGAGGGAGACCCTGTCTCAAAAGAAAACAAAAAATTGTTTGGCTCTTCTTTACATCTTCTCTTCTTTGCAAAGACTTTCTATATTTCCATTGATTTCAAGAGTGTTGGCCTTTCTTGCAACATTTTGATAATAATTGCTTTAAAGTCTTGATCTGATATTTCCAATGTTTTGTCATCTCAACATTGACCACTGTTGATAGTCTTTTCTCCTGTGAGTTGAAATTCTCCCGGCTCTTTGTATGCTGAGTAATTTTGGAGTGTCTCCAAGATATTTTAAATATTAGGATATAGGAATCTGGATCTTTATACAATTCTATGGAGAATGTTGATATTTTTGTTTTAGCAGGCTGTGGTTTTTTTTTTTTTTTTTTTTTTTGGACATGCTGGACCTAGGAACCCTGAATTTCCACTACCTTGCTGTGTCTCCACACCCTTATCACAGCCCTGCGTCATCTCAGGCAGCTCTGACCACCTCCTGAATGTCCATGGCCTGACCAGAAGCCCTTGGAGAACTGCCCTATGGGTTTCTGAGTTCCTCCCTAGCATAAGTGAGTTTGGGGCTCAGTAATGTCTTGGAAACAAACTTGGGTAGACTTGATGCTTGTTATGGTTACACACCCTGGTTACACATTATGCTAAGTGAAAGAAACCAGACACAAAGCCTCTATAATATGTGATTATTGATTCCATGATTCTGGACATTTCATAGACCTATGATTCCATGCCTACTTTGAAATGTCCAGAATAGGCAAATCCATCATGACAGAAAGATTAATCACTTAGGGATATATGAAATATATGGAATAGGGATAAAGGGTTTGGAATTTCTCTTTTTGTTAAGAAACAGGGGCTTACTCTGTCACCCAGGCTGGAGTGCAGTGGCCCAGTCATGGCTCACTGCAGCTTCAAGCTTCTGGGCTTGGGCCAGGCACGGTGGCTCATGCCTGTAATCCCAGCACTTTGGGAGGCTGAGGCAGGTGGATCACCTGAGGTCAGGGGTTCGAGACCAGCCTGGCCAACATGGTGAAACCTTGTCTCTACTAAACATACAAAAATTAGCTGGGCTTGGTGGCATGTGCCTGTAATCCCAGCTACTTGGGAGGTTGAGTCTGGAGAATTGCTTGAAACTGGGAGGAGGAGGTTGCAGTGAGCTGAGATCGCACCCCTGTACCCCAGCCTGGGTGACAGAGTGAGACTCCATCTCAAAAACAAAAATAAAAAACCCCAAAAACTTCTGGGCCGGAGTGATCCTCCCTCCTCAGCCTCCAGAATAGCTGAGGCAGCTTTATTGAGCTATAACTGTTTACCAGTGGTTCTGGGTTCAAATTCTAACTCCACTAGCTGTGTGACTCTGGGTGAGTCACTTTAATCCACCAAGCTTCTGTGTCCTGCGGGTTAATAGTGTCTGTGGGGGGCCAGCCTGGCATTGGACAGGCATTCGAGAAGTGCTAATTATTGTTTTTGAAGCAGCTTTATTGACATAGAAGTCACATATCATACAATTCCCCCTTTCAAAATGCACATTTCAATGGCTTTTAGGATACTCACAGAGGTGTGCAACCATCATCACGGTCAATTTTAGAACATTTTCATCACTACAAAGAGAAACTACAAACAAGAGCTGGGTGTAGTGCCTTATGTCTATAATCCCAGCAGTTTGGGAGGCCAAGGTGGAAGGATCACTTGATGCCAGGAGTTCAAGACCAGCCTGGGAAACATAGCAAGACCCTGCCTCTACCAAAAAAAAAAAAAAAAATTTAACTGGGCATGTTGGCATGCACCTGTGGTTCCAGCTACTCAGGAAGCTAAGGCTGGATGGTCACTTGAGCCCCAGGAGATTAGGGCTGCAGTGAACTATGATCGCACCACTGTACTCCAGCCTGGGTGTCAGAGTAAGACCCTGTCTCTAAAAAATAAAAAATAGAAAAGAGCTGGGTGTAGCAGCTTACATCTGTAATCCCAGCACTTTGGGAGGCCGAGGTGGGCGGATCACCTGAGGTCAGGAGTTTGAGACCAGCCTAACCAACACGGAGAAACCCCGTCTCTACTAAAAATACAAAATTGGCTGGGCGTGGTGGTGTGCTCCTGTAGTCCCAGCTACTCGGGAGGCTGAGGAAGGAGAATTGCTTGAACCCGGGTGGCGGAGGTTGCAGTGAGCCGAGATCACGCCATTGCACTCCAGCCCAGGTATCAAGAGCGAAACTCCGTCTCAAAAATAAAAATAAATAAATAAATAAATAATTGTTACTGGCCTTGTCCTCCAAGATAAAAAGGTCTGATCTCTCCCCAGTCCATCCAGAACACAGAGAAGGGAAATAATTGGGAAGGTCATTTTGGACCAGACTCATCCATGGTGATGTTAGATGGGACAGGGAATGCCACATCCCCAAAAGCGGTGAAGCCAGACGTACAGGGTGCTGGGTCAGATGCTGGAGAGAGAGCAGGGAATTGTGGCTTTGGTGGTCACGGAGCTGGGGACATGGGGACAGGGAGAGCCTTGTGTGTGTGTTCGCTGGTATGACCCAGCCCTTGGGTAGCTCTGGGGCCTGGGCAAGGATGGGCTGGATGAGGAAGCCAGGCAAGGAAGCAGGTCCATCCTGCCTTGAGCTGATCGTCTGCTGCCTCTGTCCCCTTGCCGTCCCCGCACTGTCCCTGGGCTGGCACACCTGCACTGAAGCTCTTCTCAGCATCTCACCCTGAAGATTCTGGCTTCTCTGGATGACTTCGACCCTTTTGTGCTGCTATAAAGGAATACTTGAGGCTGGATAAGGTTTTTTTTTTTTTTATACTTTACGTTCTAGGGTACATGTGCACAACCTGCAGCTTTGTTAGATATGTAGACGTGCCATGTTAGAGTGCTGCACCCATTAACTCATCATTTACATCAGGTATTTGTCCCAATGCTATCCCTCCCCCTTCCCCCCAAGGCTGGATAAATTTATAAGGAAAGAGGTGTATTTGGCTCATGGTTCTGCAGGCTGTACAGGACGCATGGTGCCAGCATCTGCTGCTTTTTTTTTTTTTTTTTTTTTTTAGACAGAGTCTCATTCTGTTCCTCCAGAGCTGGAGTGCAGTGGTGCAATCTGGGCTCACTGCAACCTCCACCTCTTGGGTTCAAGCAATTCTCCTGCCTCAGCTTCCTGAGTAGATGGGACTACAGGTGTTCACCACCACGCCCAGCTAATTTTTGTATTTTTAGTAGAGACGGGGTTTCTCTATGTTGGCCAGGCTGGTCTCGAAATCTGCCTCTTTATGAGAGACAAGGTTTCACTCTGCTGCCTGGTGGGAGTGCAGTGGTGAGATCCTAGCTCACTGCTGCCTCCAACTCCTTGGCTCAAGTGATCCTCCCACCTCAGCCTCCCAAGTAACTGGGACTATAGGTGTGCACTGGTACACCTGGCTAATTAAAAAATGTCCTTTTTTTTTGAGATGGAATCTCACTACGTTGCTCCGGCTGGTCTTGAACTTCTGGGCTCAAGTAATCCTCCCCAGCCTTGGCCTCCCAAAGCTTTGGATTCACAGGCGTGAGCCACCTCGCCCAGCCAGCACCCGTTTATGGTGAGAACCTCAGGAAGTTTCCAAAGGTGTTTGCAGATCACATGATGACAGAAGAAGGTAGAGAGAGTTGGTGGGGAGTGGGGCAAGGAGGTGGCAGGCTCTCTTCAACAACCAGTTCTTGCAGGAACTAAGAGTGAGAACTCGCTCCCTTCTGCAAGAATGGTACCAAGCCGTTCATGAGGGATCTGTTCCCAGAACCCAGACACCTCCCACCAGATCCAACTCCAACACTGGGGATCAATTTTCAACACTGGGCTGGGTGAGGTGACTCAAATCTGTAATCCCAGCACTTTGGGAGGCCGAGGTGGGCGGATCACCTGAGGTCAGGAGTTTGAGACCTGCCTGACTAACATGGTGAAACCCTGTGTCTACTAAAAATACAAAAATTAGCTGGGTGTGGTGGCGCATGCCTGTAATCCCAGCTACTCAGGAGGCTGGGGCAGGGGAATCACTTGAACCCGGGAGACGGATGTTGCAGTGAGTCGAGATCACGCCATTGCACTCCAGCCTGGGCAACAAGAGCAAAACTCCATCTCGGGAAAAAAAATTTCAACATGAGATTTCAAGTGGACAAATATGGAAACCATAAACCATAGCACCGGCCCCTCCACCTCCAGTTGCCCTCTCTCACCTTCTTTCAGCCACACCTCCCAGGCCCCAGGTCCTACCCCAGCTCTCCCATGCCTCCGGGCCTTTGCCACATGTTTTTCCACCTAGGAGGTGAGTTCCTCCTACTCACTCACCTGACTCTCCCCTTCTTAATTTTTCTCTCCAGTTTTTATTTTGCAAACTTAAAACCAGGCTGGCTGGGCGCAGTGGCTCACACTTGTAATCCTAGCACATTGGGAGGCCAAGGTGGGTGGATTGCTTGAGCCCAAGAGTTCAAGACCAGCCTGGCCAACATGGCAAAACCCCATCTCTACAAATAATACAGAAATTAGCTGGGTGTGGTGGCATGTGCCTGTAGTCTCAGTTAGGAGGCTGAGGTGGGAGGGCCACCTGAGCCTGGGGAGGTTGAGGTTGCAGTGAGGCAAGATGGCGCCACTGCACTCCAGCCTGGGCAACAGAGTGAGACCCTGTATCAAAAAAAAAAAAAAAAAAAGAGGAAAAAAGAAAAACTTAAAAAGCTACAGAAGCCTGAGTGCGGTGGCTTGAGCCTGTAATCCCAGCACTTTGGGAGGCCGAGGTGGGCGGATCACTTGAGACCAGTTGTTCAAGACCAGCCTGGCCAACATGGTGAAACCCCGTCTCTACTAAAAATACAAAAATTAGCCAGGCGTGGTGGTGGGCGCCTGTAATCCTAGCTACTCGGGAGGCTGAGGCAGGAGAATCACTTGAACCTGGGAGGCAGAGGTTGTAGTGAGCCGAGATCACACCACTGCACTCCAGCCTGGGCAACAGAGCAAGACTCCATCTCAAAAAAAAAAAAAATCTACGGAAAAGTTGCAGGAATAGTCCAGTGAACTTTCAGATGCCCTTTGCTCCAGTTCACCAAACGCTAACATTACTATGGTTGCAGTCTATCTCTTCTCTCCCTACATACACGCACTTCGCTTTTTCCTGAACCATTTGAAAGCTAGATGAATACATCATGACAATTGACTGTCCAGAACTTCAGCATGCATCTCCTATGAACAGGACATTCTCCACCAGAGGTTCTGGAACTTGAGCAACGTTGAGTACTGAGTCCTGCCCGCTGGCTCCTTCAATGCCCCTTTACTGCCCAAGCAGAAGCCAGGAAGTCTCCCTAGAGGAGGTGAGGCTGGGGCTCAGCTTCCCTCCTTTCTTCCTTTGATTTCCTCCCTCCCTCCTTCCCTTCCTTCTTTCCTTTCTCTCTCCCTCCCTTGCTTTCTCCCTCCTCCCTGCCTCCCTCCCTTTTTCCTTCCTTCATCCCTTCCTCCCTCCTTCCTTTCTTCCTTTTTTTTTTTGAGATGGAGTCTGCTGTGTTGCCCAGGCTGGAGTGCAGTGGCACGATCTTGGCTCACTGCAACCTTCACCCCCCAGGTTCAAGTGATTCTTGTGCCTCAGCCTCCTGAGTAGCTGGAACTATGTTGAGTGCCACCACGCCTGGCTAATTTTTGTATTTTTAGTAGAGACGAGGTTTCACCATGTTGGCCAGGCTGGTCTGAAACTCTTGACCTCAGGAGATCCTCTCACCTCAGCCTCCCAAAGTGCTGGGATTACAGGCTCAAGCCACTGTTCCCGGCCTCTTCTTTCTTTCTTCCAGCTCTTATTTTTTAATTTATTTTTTAAATTTTTATTTATTTATTATTTTGAGATCAGGTCTCGCTCTGTTGCCCAGGCTGGAGTGCAGTGGTACAATCTCGGCTCACTGCAACCTCCGCCTCCCAGTTTCAAGCAATTCTTCTGCCCCAGCCTCCTGAGTAGCTGGGATTACAGATGCCTGCCACCACGCCTGGCTAATTTTTTTTGTATTTTAAGTAGAGACGGGGTTTCACCATGCTGGCCAGGCTGGTCTCGAACTCCTGACCTCAGGTGGTCTGCCTGCCTCAGCCTCCCAAAGTGCTGGGATTAGAGGCGTGAGCCACTGGGCCTGGCCTACAGGCTTTATTTTTAAGAACAGTTTCAGATTTATAGAAAAATTGAGAGGATCATACAGAGTTCTGTGTATCCCCACACTTTCTCCTACTATTAAAATCTTACATTAATACTGCCTATTTGTTTCAGTTAATGAACCAATGTTGATATCAATATTGATACAATGTTATTAACTGAAGTGTATGCTTTATATGGATTGCCACAGGTTTTTTTGTTTATTTATTTATTTATTTTTGACAGAGTCTGGCTCGGTCACCCAGACTAGAGTGCAGTGGTGTGATCTTAGTTCACTGCAACCTCCGCCTCCCGGGTTCAAGCAATCCTCCTGCCTCAGCCTCTCGAGTAGCTGGGACTGCAGGCACCCGCCACCACATCTGGCTAATGTTTGTACTTTTAGTAGAGACGGGGTTTCACCATGTTGCCCAGGCTGGTCTCGAGCTCCTGACCTCAAGTGATCCTCCCTCCTCAGCCTCCCAAAGTGCTGGGATTACAGGCGTAAGCCACCTTGCCCAGCCACACAGTTTTTTATCTAATGGTCTTTTTCTGTTCCAGGATCTCATCTGGGATCCCATATCACATTTATTTACATACAATTTACACTTACTTACATACTATTTACATTTATTTACACATATTTGCATTCGTTTACATATATTGATTTCTATGGCTCTTCCCCAGTGTTCTGTTTCTGCTTCAGGAGCCCACCCAGGACACCAGGTGACATTTAGTCATCACGTAACGACGGCTCCTCTTGGCTGCCACAGTGTCTCAGCCTTTCCTTGTTATGACGATCTTCAGGTTTTAGGAGTGCTGGTCAGCTATATCGCAGATGCTCCTGTCTTGGGATTTGTCTGATGTTTTTCTCATGATTAGATTAGGATTATGGGTTTTTAGGAGAAAGATCACAGGTAAAGTGCCATTTGCTTTACATTCTATCACGAGTATAGATTATTAGCATGACAAATAACTACTGATGTTGACTTTGATCTCCTGGCTGGGGCAGTGATTGCCAGCTTTCTCCGCTGTAATGTTACCCTTCCTGTGCTGCACCCCTTGGAACGAAGTCACCCTGTACAGCCCATACTCATGTTATTCTCCCCGCCATGAGGGCAGAAGTATCTGCATACATTTTTTGGAGTTTAAAAACTTCTTTTAAACTAAAAAAAACACTTTTTTTTTTTTCAGGCAGAGTTTTGCTCGTCGCCCAGGCTGGAATGCAGTGGCCCGATCTCGGCTCACTGCAACCCCCGCCTCCTGGGTTTAAGCAATTCTCCTGCTTCAGCCTCCCGAGTAGCTGGGATTACAGGCGTGCGCCACCATGCCCAGCTAATTTTTGTATTTTTAGTAGAGATGGGGTTTCACCATTTGGCCAGGCTGGTCTTGAACTCCTGACTTCAGGTGATCCACCCGCCTTGGCCTCCCAAAGTGCTGGGATTACAGATTTTTTTGTTTCTTCTTTTTTTTTCCATTTTATTTTATTTTTTTGAGACAGAATCTCGCTCTGTTGCCCAGGCTGGAGCACAGTGGTGCAGTCTCAGCTCAGTGCAACCTCTGCCTCCGGGTTTAAGTGATTCTCCTGCCTCAGCCTCCTGAGTAGCTGGGATTACAGGTGCCTTCCACTATGCCCCGCTAATTTTTTGTATTTTTGGTAGAGACAGGGTTTCACCATGTTGGCCAGGCTGGTCTCTAACTTCTGACCTTGTGATCTGCCCACCTCGGCCTCCTAAAGCGCTGGGATTACATGCATGAGCCATCACACCCGGCCTCCATTTTATTTTTGTTTTATTCACAAAGACCCCAATAACAACTATTTTAATTTTTTGTTGGTTGGTTGGTTTGTTTTTGTGACGGAGTCTCCCTCTGTTGCCCAGGCTGGAGTGCAGTGGCGTGATCTTGGCTCACTGCAACCTCCGCCTCCTGGATTCAAGCAATTCTCCCACCTCAGCCTCCCAAGTAGCTGGGACTACAGGCATATGCCACCACGCCCAGCTAATTTTTGTACTTTTAGTAGCAACGGGGTTTCGCCACGTTGGCCAGGTTGGTCTCGAACTCCTGACCTCAAGTGACCCACCAACCTGGGCCTCCCAAAGTGCTGGGATTACAGTTGTGTGGCACCACGTCCGGCCTAAAATCTTTAAAAAAATTGTTTTTTTTTTTTTGTAGAGACAGGGTCTTGCTATGTTGCCCAGGGTGGTCTGGAACTCCTGACCTTAAGTGATTCTCTCACCTGGACCTCCCAAAGTGCTGGGATTACAGGCGTGAGCCACCTCGTCTGGTCCCACCAGTGATTTCTGATTCCTCAGTGTGACTGCAAGGCCAGTGAGCCCCAGGCCCTGAAGACATCACACAAACTGAAGCCTGGAGGTTTTTATGGCAGCCAAAGCTTGGCAATGGCTGATGGGACAAGTGAGGGCCTTCCCTTCCTGATGTCCTGGGACCGCATATATCCAGGTCAGAGTGGGAGCTACAGGAAGGACTGACTGTGAGTTCTCTGCCAGCCTGCTGAGATGGCAAAGAATGGGAATGAAATTGACTGAAAGAAAATAAACATGGATGCTTGTTGCACGGATGTGGGTGAGGAGAGCCAGCCTGTATGGGGACATGGGGATGGAGACTGATGCTGGGGGGGTAGTGACACCAACTGGGTGGCAGCTGGCAGGCCCCTGGGCATCCACACTCCCCCTGCTCAGTTGGAGAGAAGCAAGAAAGCATAAAGGGAGGGAGGGAGGGAGGAAAAGAGGTGGGAGATGAGTGCTGTGGGTGAGCGCTGAAGCACACTTCAAAAGCTCAAGCCACAATGCTTACGCCCTGATATAAAAAGAGCATTGAGTTGAGCGTGGTGGCTTACGCCTGTAATCCCAGCACTTTGGGAGGCTAAGGCGGGTGGATCACTTGAGGTCAGGATTTTGAGACCAGCCTGGCCAACATGGCGAAACCCTGTCTCTACTAAAAATACAAAAATTAGCCGGGCATGGTGGCGGGCGTCTGTAGTCCCAGCTACTCTGGAGGCTGAGGCAGGAGGATCGCTTGAACCTGGGAGGTGGAGCTTGCAGTGAGTGGAGATCGCGCCATTGCACTCCAGGCTGGGTGACAGAGTAAGACTCTGCCTCAAAAAAAAAAAAAAAAAATTGAAAAATTACAAAGCTCAAACCTAATCACCAGTGTGGCTGCTCCTGGCCCCACCCTGCCTCCTGCTCCCCAGGGGAGGGGACAGGTCAGAGAGGGGTGTGCCCTTCCAGGGGCCTGAGATGATCCAGACATGGGAGCTGGCAGGGAATGAGGGCTCCGGCAGGGCTGGGTCAGTAGGTACACCTGGCAATAGGGCAAAGATCTGGCAGCTGGACTTCTTGGGCTCTGAGAAGGCAAGAGATTAGTATCTGTGTGTGACAGGAGAGGGCGTGGCTGGTGTCCACCCATCCATGCTGGGAGACGTGGGAGAGATGGGGCGGGGACACAGGGCAGGAGAGAGGCCAGGCCTGGGGCCTCTGTGCCGGGAGGGATAATACGATCTCTGAGTCACCCCGAAATGGGGTGAGATGGTGCTGATGATCCCGGATTCCTTGGTTTTGTCCCTGGCTCTGTCACTGCTGACTCATGGGCTGCCGACCTAGGAGTCTCCTGGTCAGCGTGCGGGTTTCTCTCAGCCTCTTGGTGTGTCACAGAAGCAGACAGCTTCTCTGTAAACCGTCATCCTCAGGGGTGTGCCCGGCTTCTGGGTTCTGTGTTCTGGCATCCTCCGATATTCCAAGAGGAAGCAGGATAGGACGATCCCAGCTCCTTGCTCTGCCTACTGGTGACAAGACCTGTCCTGGCCTGGGACCAGGGGGGCTTCTCTGGGAGTCCTGGTTGGTCCTGAGACAGGGACACCCTCCCAGTGAAGCCCTACCTCCTCTGTCCTCCATCACCCAGCCCACAGCAAGGCCACCCTCCTGACTCTCCCTCCAATTAACCCAAGCTCCTGGGTTGCGCCCTTGAGGCCCACACCGATGCTCCCAACTTACTTTCCAGCCCTATTCCCTCACCTGTCTGGCTTCCGACTCCTCAAGTTGAGTTTTCCACAGATACTTCCTCCCCACACACACACCCGTTTTTGTCCCTGCTACTCTCCTTTTGCGAGAGCTCTCTCCTCTTCATAGGTCTCTAAGCTTTTACTCACCCTTCAGGTCTCCTCTCCACCTGCCACCTCCTCCAGGAATCCTGCCTGGTGTGCCCCAGGTAGAGTTGATTTTTCACTCTCCAGTGCTCACACAGAGCTTGTTTTCCCTGCGTGGGAGCTGTTTATTTAAATTCAGGCTGGCCTGATTACACCCTGATGAGCTCCATGCCAGCCCTGGGCCTGGCCCAGTGCGCTCAGCATGTCCTTCCAGAAAGAATGAAGGAATAAAAAAAGACGAAGAGTAATAAATAGGAGAGTAGGGGTAGAGGATGAGCCCCAGAATCAGACATTAGGCAGGGTGTGGATACCAGTCTTGCCATTATTCTGGTGGCCCTGGAATGTCACATCAGTTCCCAGAGCCTTAGTTTTCTCATCTCTAAGATGGGAATGGGCTAGGCATGGTCACACCTGCAATCCCAGCACTTTGGAAGGCTGAGGCAGGAGGATCACTTCTTGAGGCCAGGAGTTCGAGACCAGCCTGGGCATCATCGGGAGAACCTGTCTCTACAAAAAAATAAGAAGTTAGCTGGGTGTGGTGGTGCACACCTGTAGTCCCAGCTACACCAGAGGCTGAAGGTGGAGGTTTTCTTGAGCCCAGGAGTTTGAGGCTTCAGTGAGCTACGACTGTGCCACTGCACTGTAGCCTGGGTGACAGAGCGAGACTTCATGTCTTAAAAACAAAAACAAGAGAACAACAATGATGCCCCTGCACTGTTTTGCAGTGAGATAAAATGACTTCCTGTTATTCAATGTTATCCGAAGGCATTTAGGTTAGTGCCTGGCCCCGAAGCAGGTGCTCAAAACATGGTTTACTGGCTGGCTTGCTCCCTGAGAGGCCAGGGCAGAGGTGCCTGGCAGGAGGAGGCTGCCCTGAATGGGGAGAGGGAGGGGTGGGGCTGGAGAGGATTGACTCCTCCATCAGATTAGAGGGTCTTCAGGAATTCCACCGCCCTTAGGTCCTCTTCCTCCCTCGCCTCTGGGAAATTGGAGTAAAATCCAGTAGAGACAGGACTGCCCTGAAGTGAGGAGGCGGGAGCCGGAGGGAGTCGGGGAGGTGGGTGGGAAGGAGGGTTTATGGACCTCCCTGTGAAGTGGGGGAATGGCCTGTGAAGGGCTGGACAGCTGGGTAGGATGGTGGGAATGCTGAAGGTCACGGTAAATACGGGCTTGCTAATTATTTATTTATTAGAGATGAGGTCTTGCTCTGTCACCCAGGTTGGAGTGCAGTGGCATGATCATGGCTCGCTGTAGCCTCCAACTCCTGGGTTTAAGTGATCTTCCTGCCTCAGCCTCCCGAATAGCTGGGATTTACAGGTGTATGCGACCATGCCTGGCTAATTAAAAAAAAAAATTTGTTTTTGAAAAAGGGTCTCACTATGTTGCCCAGGTAGGTCTTGAATTCCTGGCCTCAAGTAATCCTCCTGCCTCAGCCTCCCAAAGTGCTGGGATTACAGGCATGAGCCACCATGCCTGGCCAGGTGTTTTGAAACTGACAGACATAAACTGAAATCGATGCACCGATTTGGGGTAAAGTAATTTAACAACGGTCCTCTAAGTCCTGTCCCCTGTGTAAGCCTCCTCCCCTTCACACAGTCATCTCTTCTGAGTCTCTCTAACTAAGCTCTCTCACCGAGTCCCCTCCCTTTGCTCAGCCCCTCTCCCCATCCTTGCCACCAGAAGTGCCAGACCCTGGGACTCCAGCCAGGAGGCATCAGTATGGTCTTTCTTCTCTTCCTTAGAAGAAACCCCAGAGGTGGCCACCGCCCCCACCCACGGCCCACGTGGTGCCCAACCTGGGGGCAGCACCCGCTCAGCCAGTCTCGCCAGACTGGTCAGCCAGGCCTGCCATCACCCAGCACCAGGCCGAGGGGGTGGATGGTCCGCTGGTGTGGGCGGTCAGGCTGAGGGCCAGGGACTCTCCTGTTCAGCCTGGTGCCAGGACTCCAATCTGAGCTCAAGGACTTCAGAAAGAAATAGGATCTTGTTGCCTAAAGAAAGAAAAAAATTCCATCCTTTACTATTTTTTATTTTTTGAGTTGGAGTCTCACTCTGCCTCCCAGGCTGGAGTGCAGTGGCGTGATCTCGGCTCACTGCAAGCTCCGCCTCCCAGGTTCACGCTGTTCTCCTGCCTCAGCCTCCCAAGTAGCTGGGACTACAGGTGCCCACCACCATGCCCGACTAATTTTTTGTATTTTGAGTAGAGATGGGGTTTCACCATGTTAGCCAGGATGGTCTCAATCTCCTGACCTCGTGATCCGCCCACCTCCGCCTCCCAAAGTGCTGGGATTACAGGCGTGAGCCACCGTGCCCGGCCTACTGTTTTTTATTTTTTAAGAGACAGGATCTTGGTCTGTCGCTCAGGCTGGAGTGCAGTGGTGTGATCTCAGCTCACTGCAACCTCTGCCTCCTGGGTTCAAGCGATTCTCCCACCTCAGTCTCCCGAGCAGCTCCCGACCACAGGCACACGCCACCATGCCCAGCTAATTTTTAGTATAGACGGGGTTTCACCATGTTGGCCAGGCTGGTCTAGAACTCTTGGCCCAAGTGATCCTTCCACCTCAGCTTCCTAAAGTGCTGGGATTACAGGTGTGAGCCACTGTGTCCGCCCTAGGAATCAATTTAATATACACTGGCTTCCCTGGCTTTAGTCTTCCTGTTCCCAGAAGACGTGGAGTACGGGCTCTGGGAGCTAGACTGCTCAGCTCACAGAGATCTTTTTGGCTGCAGGACAGTGGTCCATCACTGGCCCTGGGGCTCAGATGCCAGCGGGAGCTTGGGGTTAGAAGGGAGACTTTGTTTTTGCCCCTTTGCTAGGGACTCCCAGGGAGCTGAACTCAGGGCAAGCTGCATGTGTGTGTGTTACAACTGGGGACTTGGGGCCAGGCGGGGTAGCTCACGCCTGCAATCCCAGCATTTTGGGAGGCTGAGGAGGGCAGATCACTTGAGGCTAGAAGTTCGGGACCAGCCTGGCCAACATGCTGAAACCCTGTCTCTACTAAAACTACAAAAATTAGCTGGGCGTAGTGGCGAGCACCTGTAGTTCCAGCTACTCGGGAGGCTGAGGCAGGAGAATCGCTTGAACCTGGGAGGCAGAGGTTGCAGTGAACCGAGATTGCACCACTGCACTATAGCCTGGGTGACAGCGACATTCCGTCTCAAAAAAAGAGAACAAAACAAAACAAAACAAAACAACTGGGGACTTGGCCAAGCCCCTGGAACTCTGGGGACAGGGGTCTGAAAAGTCCTAGCTCCCACCTGTTATGATCAGGATCCGAACTGCGCAGCAGCTGCTTTGCGTACGGAACTTTGCTCCCTCCTCTTGTTATTAAACTTTTTGGCTCACAAAGCATTTTTACTTCCTTCTCTCATTTCATGTGTATCTCAGACTGGGGAGTGGGCCCCAGTGTTCTCATTGTACAAAGGAGGAAGTTGGGGCTCAGAGATGGAATTGGCTTCTCCAAGGTCACAGGGCTGGTAGGATGGCTTATGGATACACAGCTTCCCAGCTTTTGTCCTGAGCTTTTTGGCTCATGAAGCATTTTCACATCCCCATCTCATTTCACGTCTGTTTTTGTTTTTGATCCTGGAGGGGGTGCAACATCCTCATTTTTACAAAGGAGGAAGCTGTGGCTCAGAGATGGTTCCTGGGCTGGAAAGATGGTTTATGGGGTGGGCAGAGATGGGTGAGCTGATCTGGTGGTTTTTATCCTTGATAGAAACCAGCAGGTGTGGCCAGGCGCAGTGGCTCACGCCTGCAATCCCAGCACTTTGGGAGGCCGAGGCGGGCAGATCATCTGAGGCTGGAAGTTTGAGACCAGCCTGGCCAACATGCTGAAACCCTGTCTCTACTAAAACTACAAAAATTAGCTGGGCGTAGTGGTGTGCGCCTGTACTCCCAGCTACTCGGGAGGTTAAGCCATGAGAATTGCTTGAACCCGGGAAGTGGAGACTGCAGTGAGCAGAGATCGTGTTGTCTCAAAACAAAAAACAAACAACAAAAACAACAAAAAACAACAACAAAAAACAAAAAAAAGCACGTGATCCAATTCTGTCAGCACAAAATCACACAGTGCATGTTATAAAGAAGAAAAAGAAAATAAATGAGTGCCAACCCTGTACTCTCTGACCCCAAAACCAAGGTGATGAATGGCAGATGTCTTATAAGGTGTTCCTGTAAAAGATCTTCGGGCTTTGGGAAGAGGGCCAGATGCAGGCCTAGAGGTAAATTTCCTTGTTTTCCTCTGCCTTAGGGCTATGGGAGCTGGAGCGGAGAGGAGAGAAGCACCTTGCCTTTGCTGGTGTTTTTCCCGCAGCAGGTGGGTGGGACTGAGCCAACGGTCTCTTGGCATCAACAAAGCATCAACAAATCTCTCTCCAGCTCCACTTGTGCTGAGCTACTGGCTGATCCCCAAGGACATCCTTCTGGCCTCTCCTTCACACCTGGGTCCCCTAGCCCTGCGTGAGCTCTGTGCTTCTTCCCCTGCCCTGTGTCTGCTCTATGCCTGGAGCCTCTGTACCTGCCCTCTCCTCAACCCCCAACCCCTCCCTGCTCTCAGCTCCCGATACGCGTGGCTATGCCTGGGAGGGAAGGACAGCTTCTTAGGGCCACAGGTGGACTGTTGTAGGGCTTGCATGCTCCCCTCCCCCATGCCTGCTTCTCCAAGTGGCACTTGGCTGTGTCCCAGGAAAGCAAGGGCAGGAAGTGGCAGGGCGGGGGCCGGGGGCCGGGGGGGCAGGAGGCGGGCGGGGGGTTGGGGGGGGCAGGTTCTGGCCATCTGGCCAAGTCACGTGTCTACTCAGAAAGCTTGTTAAAGGCTACCTGGCTGGGACCACAGGTAAGAGGCACCTGGGGAAGGAGGCACCCATGCTGGAGTGCCCACCCGTCCTGGGCAAGGCCCTGGCCTTCTCTGGGCTTCAGTGTACTCCTTTGAGCCAAGGCAATAAAAGTCCCTGCCCTGCTGACTGGCAGGAGGCTGTGATGAGGTCATCTCCAGGAAAGCACTTATCGCCAATCATGATGTTACTTATCTCTGGTGTTATTCAGCCCATAGGCTCTGTGTGTAGAGGGAGCCTTGTAAAGAAAGCCCCAGGGAGGCGTGGTCTGGGCAGAAACCATCTCTGTTTGCTTTGGTGTGTGTGCCTATGATGGGGGTCAAGGTATAGGAGTGTGATTTGAAACTGGAGAATGCTTCGTTCTTTCCATCATCAAACATGTCTTTTTTTTTCTTTTTTTTTAGATGGAGTCTCGCTCTATCACCCAGGCTGGAGTGCAATGGCGCGATCTTGGCTCACCGCAACCTCCATCTCCCAGGTTAAAGCGATTCTCCTGCCTCAGTCTCCTGAGTAGCTGTGATTACAGGCGTGCGCCATCACACCCAGCTAATTTTTGTATTTTTTAGTAGAGATGGGGTTTCACCATGTTGGCCTAACTCCTGACCTCGTGATCTGCCCATCTTGGCCTCCGAAAGTACTGGGATTACAGGTGTGAGCCACTGCACCCGGCCCAAACATTTCTTTTTCTTTTCTTTTGAGACAGAGTCTTGCTCTGTTGCCCGTGGCTGGAGTGAAATGGTGCGATTATAGTTCACTGCAGCCTCAAACTCCTGGCCTTAAGCGATCCTCCCATCCTGGCCTCCCAAAGTGCTGGGATTATAGGCATGAGCCGCAGCAACCACTCCTCACATTTCTTGAGCATCTGTGATGTATCAAGCCAGATGCTGGGCACTGAGGTTGCAGAAGGCATTGTTCCTGTCTTCTAGGAGCCCCAGGCTAGCAGGGAAGACGGATGTGTATAGAGTTAACCACAATACCAGGCCTCAACTTCCCGTCTGTAACACAGGTGGACCATGCTAGATTGTCCCAGCCTGCCCTGTGCTTCATTAGCCGGTCAACAGATCCATCTCAAATACCTCCCATGGGTACTCACTGATTGCTTTAACCCAAACCATGGCACTCTTGAAGACTTTCCCTCAGGAAGCTCAAGGACTATGCATCCTTCTGGGTCAGAACTGGACACACAGCCACCAGTGCTGGACAATGGCGGCGGCTCAGGGACACACTGGAGCCCTGGCCCCTGCAGAGCTCCCAGCATGGTTGGGAAGAGAGATGCAAAATGACCACACGGCGGGTGAGGAGGAGCTCCCTCGGTGCGGCTGGGATGAGCCCTAGACACTCTCAATCACCCCCACGATGACCCCTTCCCAGAGGTCCCCTCAGTCATCTGCCCTGAACCAAGCTCTTCCTGATCCTAGACCCTCCACCCTCCCTCTATCTTCCAGGGCTTGGTGACATTCCAGGCAGAAATTTCTGACCCTTTTACTTTGGTCCCTCCCTCCCCAGCCCAGTCTCTGGTCAAACTGGATTCCTGGCTGTTCCCAGAACGAGCTGCCTTTCCCCACCTTGCCACCTCTGCCCTTGTTCTCTCTGCCTGAATGTCCTCCTTCACTAGCCTCGCTGCCTTGCACATCTCTCCTGAGGGCTGTCATCCCAGAATGAGCTGCATTTGTCCAGCCTGGCCCACCGTCTACCAGAACGTCCTCCTTCAGCCTGTCCCACTGCCTTGCAAAACTTTTCTGGGGGACCTGTTCACGATGCCTTCTGTAGCATACTCCAAGAATCCGGCGCCCCCTGGAGTTGTGCCACACAGCACCCCTTTGCAGTCAAGCTCCCTCAGCACCACCACCTCCACCCTGGAAGAGTTCCCCTTCCCTTTGAAATCTCATGGGACTTTGCACCCACTCTGGCTTTATTGGAAGGCTTTGTATGTCTCCACAGGGTAAACACCCATTTACTGGGGTGATGATGTCTCCAGGATCTAGTTCATGTTTGTCGTTGGTGACTGGCCCCACCCAGTTCTGGGCAAGCAGGCTGGATCCCGGCAGGAACAGAGCCCACCAGCCTAAACTTCCATGGAGGTGGAGAGGGGACAGGCTTCTGTCTCTTTTTGGCTGAAGGTGCATCATGTCCAAGGCCCCTCTTCTAGCCAAGCAGAGAAGCTGGGTGATAAGGATGGGTGAGAGTGGGTGATGTACCCCGGAGTCCTGGCCTCCCGGCTCCTCACTCCCCTACACGTAACTTTATCCGGCCAATGCCGCAAAGACTGCTGGTGAGGCCAGATGCATGAGTGATCATACTCACAACAGTCGTGAAACTGCCAGTGATGAAACTGGTAAGGACAAGAAATGACAATAATCAAGGTGGGGTTTCTCGTGGACGTTTCCAAGACTTCATTCTCAAATTCTCTCCCTCAGGGTCCCCACCCTGTCCTCCCACCTAAGCCTGGAATGAGGGGGCACTGGCCTGTGGGGACCCTGGTCTTCAGGCTCCCAAACCTGGCTGGGTCTGGTTGCCCCCTGGCCTTAACCTGTGAACATCCAGCTGTCCCTGGGCTGTGATTCAGTGTCTGTCTCCCGGGTGACCTCAGCATGGGCTTTGAGGAAGGGGAGAGAGTAGTTTCTTCTGAGACTGGATAGTGACTCAGGGACCCGGGGCTGGGGCCTCAAAAGTGCCTTTGTTGGCCTGGGCTCAGGAATCCAGAGAAACTGGTCAGGAGGAGGCCCCAGTGACAAAAACCCCTCCCTCTGCCCCCGCCCCTCTGCCAGAGCCATATAACTGCTCAACCTGTCCCCGAGAGAGAGTGCCCTGGCAGCTGTCGGCTGGAAGGAACTGGTCTGCTCACACTTGCTGGCTTGCGCATCAGGACTGGCTTTATCTCCTGACTCACGGTGCAAAGGTGCACTCTGCGAACGTTAAGTCCGTCCCCAGCGCTTGGAATCCTACGGCCCCCACAGCCGGATCCCCTCAGCCTTCCAGGTCCTCAACTCCCGTGGACGCTGAACAATGGCCTCCATGGGGCTACAGGTAATGGGCATCGCGCTGGCCGTCCTGGGCTGGCTGGCCGTCATGCTGTGCTGCGCGCTGCCCATGTGGCGCGTGACGGCCTTCATCGGCAGCAACATTGTCACCTCGCAGACCATCTGGGAGGGCCTATGGATGAACTGCGTGGTGCAGAGCACCGGCCAGATGCAGTGCAAGGTGTACGACTCGCTGCTGGCACTGCCGCAGGACCTGCAGGCGGCCCGCGCCCTCGTCATCATCAGCATCATCGTGGCTGCTCTGGGCGTGCTGCTGTCCGTGGTGGGGGGCAAGTGTACCAACTGCCTGGAGGATGAAAGCGCCAAGGCCAAGACCATGATCGTGGCGGGCGTGGTGTTCCTGTTGGCCGGCCTTATGGTGATAGTGCCGGTGTCCTGGACGGCCCACAACATCATCCAAGACTTCTACAATCCGCTGGTGGCCTCCGGGCAGAAGCGGGAGATGGGTGCCTCGCTCTACGTCGGCTGGGCCGCCTCCGGCCTGCTGCTCCTTGGCGGGGGGCTGCTTTGCTGCAACTGTCCACCCCGCACAGACAAGCCTTACTCCGCCAAGTATTCTGCTGCCCGCTCTGCTGCTGCCAGCAACTACGTGTAAGGTGCCACGGCTCCACTCTGTTCCTCTCTGCTTTGTTCTTCCCTGGACTGAGCTCAGCGCAGGCTGTGACCCCAGGAGGGCCCTGCCACGGGCCACTGGCTGCTGGGGACTGGGGACTGGGCAGAGACTGAGCCAGGCAGGAAGGCAGCAGCCTTCAGCCTCTCTGGCCCACTCGGACAACTTCCCAAGGCCGCCTCCTGCTAGCAAGAACAGAGTCCACCCTCCTCTGGATATTGGGGAGGGACGGAAGTGACAGGGTGTGGTGGTGGAGTGGGGAGCTGGCTTCTGCTGGCCAGGATAGCTTAACCCTGACTTTGGGATCTGCCTGCATCGGCGTTGGCCACTGTCCCCATTTACATTTTCCCCACTCTGTCTGCCTGCATCTCCTCTGTTCCGGGTAGGCCTTGATATCACCTCTGGGACTGTGCCTTGCTCACCGAAACCCGCGCCCAGGAGTATGGCTGAGGCCTTGCCCACCCACCTGCCTGGGAAGTGCAGAGTGGATGGACGGGTTTAGAGGGGAGGGGCGAAGGTGCTGTAAACAGGTTTGGGCAGTGGTGGGGGAGGGGGCCAGAGAGGCGGCTCAGGTTGCCCAGCTCTGTGGCCTCAGGACTCTCTGCCTCACCCGCTTCAGCCCAGGGCCCCTGGAGACTGATCCCCTCTGAGTCCTCTGCCCCTTCCAAGGACACTAATGAGCCTGGGAGGGTGGCAGGGAGGAGGGGACAGCTTCACCCTTGGAAGTCCTGGGGTTTTTCCTCTTCCTTCTTTGTGGTTTCTGTTTTGTAATTTAAGAAGAGCTATTCATCACTGTAATTATTATTATTTTCTACAATAAATGGGACCTGTGCACAGGAGGAAATTTTATTGTCTCTGATTTCAACTGTGGAGGTGGGTGGGGAAGGGCTGGAGGCCTGGGTGCGGGGGTGGGGGGGGTCAGTCAGGGGCAGGACCACTGTGTTTTGGCCGGGACATAAACACTTAAAAAAAAAAAAAAAAAACGAGATCCAGGGAATTGTGAAAAATTGGAGCTGGGCCGGGTGCGGTAGTGAGCACCTGCAATCCCAGCACTTTAAAAGGTCGAGGTGGGAGGATCGCTCGAGGCAGGAGTTTGAGACCAGCCTGGGGAACATAGTGGCACCATCTCTACAAAAAGTTAAAAAAATTAGCTGGGTGTGGTGGCTCATGCCTGTAATCCCTGTACTTGGGGAGGTCGAGGTAGGCGAATTGCTTGAGCCCAGGAGTTTGAGGCTGCAGTGAGCTTTGATCGCACCACTGCACTCCAGCCTGGGTGACAGGGCGAGACCTTATCTCTTAACGAAAAAAAAAAAAAAATCGAAACGGGCCTCCAAGGTATCACCTTAAAAAAGAAATTAAATGGGCCCCCAAGGTATCACCTTGTCCACTGTATATGGGTTGGAGGGTAAACCCATATACAGAAAACAGCGTATGCCCGGGACCCCGGTGAAGGGTTGGGGACCCCAGGAGGGACGTCCCCACGTGGGCTCCCAGCTCCGAGGTATGGGCCACCTGCCACCCCCACCCCGCTGTTGTTGCAGCTTTGTCTGGGCAGTCAGGCTGGTCTGTTCCTCTTTGCTGAGTCACCCTACAGGTCCCCCTTCCCAGCCTTTGCACAGCCGGTCCCTGCTTCCAGCCTGGAATGTCCCTTTTCCCTTCTCCACCCTCTGGATCCTGCTCGTCCTGAAAGCCCAGCTCCCAGCCTCCTCCCCCATGAAGTCTTCCCATTCTCTTGGATGGAGAAATTATTATCAGCCCTGTTCACATCCCTGAGGTGCTGAGGGTCACCAAATGCCTTTCACCTGGAGGGCAGCCTTCAAGCCACGCCCAGAGCTCGGCATTCTGATCCCTTGATCGATGAGGAAACCAAGTGTGGCCCAGGCCCAGACCTACAGCTTGGGATTTTGGACTCCAAATTTGGGTGGGGGAGCTGTCCAGGACAGGACTTGGGCCTCAGCAACCACTTGGGCTTGGCCTTGGCCTTGAGTCTCTGCCCTGCTACTGTTGTGCAAAGCATGTTCCAAGCTTGCTCAGGCTTCATTTTCTTGTCAGTAAGTTAGAGGTGAGCGGACCCAGCACTCTGGAAGGAGGGATCCAGGGAGGCCCCAGGAAGGGGTCTTCTCCATCATTTCTTGCTTTTTTTCTTTTCTTTTCTTTTTTTTTTTGAGACAGAGTCTTGCTCTGTTGCCCAGGCTGGAGTGCAGTGGTGTGCTCTGGGCTCACTGCAACCTCTGCCTCCCAGGCTCAAGTGATTCTCCTGTCTCAGCCTCCCAAATAGCTGGCATGCACCCACGGCACCTGGCTGATTTTTCCAATTTTTTTTTTTTTTGAGACAGAGTCTCGCTCTGTCACCCAGTGGCACCATCTCAGCTCACTGCAACCTCCGCCTCCTGGGCTCATGCAATTCTCCTGCCTCAGCCTCGCAACTAGCTGGGATTACAGGGGTGTGCTACCATGCCCAGCTAATTTTTGTATTTTTAGTAGAGACAGGGTTTCGCCATGTTGGCCAGGCTGGTCTCGAACTCCAGACCTCAAGTGATCCTCCCGCCTCGGCCTCCCAAAGTGTTAATTTTTACAATTTTTCTTTAAGATAGGGGTCTCACTATGTTGCCCAGGCTGGTTTTGAACTCGTGGTCTCAAGAGATCCTCCTGCCTTGGCCTTCCAAATTGTTGGGATTACAGGTGTGAGCCACCACACCCTGCTACGTCTCGATTCTGGAACCCACAGGAACAGATGCCACTGTTTTCTGGGAGCTCATTTAATAGGCAGGGCATTTCTGAGGGGCAGGGTTGGTTCGGAGGTCCCATTTTACAGGGGAGGCAGAGGAGGCCCAGCAGATGGGCCCAGCTAAGGCCACATGGAGTCAGGGGCCAGCTGGGGGCTGGGGGCTGGATCTCACTTCCTCAACCTGGGTCGCCTTCCACTTTCGGTACAGGTAGACAATGCCGGAGATGAAGCCATCCTTGGCAGAGATGCCGGATACCACCTCCAGCTCGGAGGTAGCCAGCTCCCAGCGGTCCACAGGCGGTCCACAGGCCAGGCCACCAGGCCTTCCCACATCCCAGCCTGCTCCAGCCTGTCCAGGGTGGCCTCCAGAGCCTCCTTGTATTGAAGGTTGGACGAGTTGGTCCTGGTGGTCAGACACACCAGCCCACCTGGGGGAGAGGGGTAGGTGAGGTGGGGGAGGGGCAGGAGCCACAGTCCTGGGCCATCTCTGCTGGGGATGGTTGTCCCTTCAAGGCAAGAAATTCGACTTAAAAGATTGGGGACGCTCTCTCCCTCTCCCTCTCCCTCTCCCTCTCCCTCCTCTCCCTCCTCTCCCTCCTCTCCCTCCTCTCCCTCCTCTCCCTCTCCCTCTCCCTCTCCCTCTCCCTCTCCCCACGGTCTCCCTCTCCCTCTCTTTCCACGGTCTCCCTCTCATGCTGAGCCGAAGCTGGACTGTACTGCTGCCATCTCGGCTCACTGCAACCTCCCTGCCTGACTCTCCTGACTCAGCCTGCCGAGTGCCTGTGATTGCAGACTCGCGCCGCCACGCCTGACTGGTTTTGGTGGAGACGGGGTTTCGCTGTGTTGGCCAGGCCGGTCTCCAGCCCCTAACCGCACGTGATCCACCAGCCTCGGCCTCCTGAGGTGCCGGGATTGCAGATGGAGTCTCGTTCACTCAGTGCTCAATGGTGCCCAGGCTGGAGTGCAGTAGCGTGATCTCGGCTCGCTACAACCTCCACCTCCCAGCCGCCTGCCTTGGCCTCCCAAAGTGCCGAGATTGCAGCCTCTGCCCGGCCGCCACCCCGTCTGGGAAGTGAGGAGCATCTCTGCCTGGCCGCCCATCATCTGGGATGTGAGGAGCCCCTCTGCCTGGCTGCCCAGTCTGGAAAGTGAGGAGCGTCTCCGCCCGGCCGCCATCCGACCTAGGAAGTGAGGAGCACCTCTGCCCGGCCGCCATCACATCTAGGAAGTGAGGAGCGTCTCTGCCCGGCCGCCCATTGTCTGAGATGTGGGGAGCGCCTCTGCCCCGCCGCCCCGTCTGGGATGTGAGGAGCACCTCTGCCCGGCCGCAACCCCGTCTGGGAGGTGAGGAGCATCTCTGCCCGGCCGCCCCGTCTGAGAAGTGAGGAGCCCCTCCGCCTGGCAGCCGCCCCGTCTGGGAAGTGAGGAGCCCCTCCGCCCGGCAGCCGCCCCGTCTGGGAAGTGAGGAGCGTCTCCGCCCGGCAGCCACCCCATCCGGGAGGGAGGTGGGGGGGTCAGCCCCCCGCCCCACCAGCCGCCCCATCCGGGAGGGAGGTGGGGGGGTCAGCCCCCTGCCCGGCCAGCCGCCCATCCGGGAGGGAGGTAGGGGGGTCAGCCCCCCGCCAGGCCAGCCGCCCCGTCCGGGAGGGAGGTGGGGGCATCAGCCCCCCGCCCGGCCAGCCGCCCCGTCCAGGAGGGAGGTGGGGGGGTCAGCCCCCCGCCCGGCCAGCTGCCCCGTCCAGTAGGTGAGGGGCGCCTCTGCCCGGCCGCCCCTACTGGGAAGTGAGGAGCCCCTCTGCCCGGCCAGCCGCCCAGTCCGGGAGGGAGGTGGGGGGGTCAGCCCCCCGCCCGGCCAGCCGCCCCGTCCGGGAGGTGAGGGGCGCCTCTGCCCGGCCACCCCTACTGGGAAGTGAGGAGCCCCTCTGCCCGGCCAGCCGCCCCATCCGGGAGGGAGGTGGGGGGGTCAGCCCCCTGCCCGGCCAGCCCCCCCATCCGGGAAGTGAGGGGCGCCTCTGCCCGGCCGCCCCTACTGGGAGGTGGGGAGCCCCTCTGCCTGGCCAGCCGCCCCGTCCGGGAGGGAGGTGGGGGGGGTCAGCCCCCCGCCCGGCCAGCCCCCCCATCCGGGAAGTGAGGGGCGCCTCTGCCCGGCCGCCCCTACTGGGAACTGAGGAGCCCCTCTGCCCGGCCACCACCCCGTCTGGGAGGTGTGCCCAACAGCTCATTGAGAACGAGCCAGGATGACAATGGCGGCTTTGTGGAATAGAAAGGCAGGAAAGGTGGGGAAAAGATTGAGAAATCGGATGGTTGCCGTGTCTGTGTAGAAAGAAGTAGACATGGGAGACTTTTCATTTTGTTCTGTACTAAGAAAAATTCTTCTGCCTTGGGATCCTGTTGATCTATGACCTTACCCCCAACCCTGTGCTCTCTGAAACATGTGCTGTGTCCACTCAGGGTTGAATGGATTAAGGGCAGTGCAAGATGTGCTTTGTTAAACAGATGCTTGAAGGCAGCATGCTCGTTAAGAGTCATCACCACTCCCTAATCTCAAGTACCCAGGGACACAAACACTGCGGAAGGCCGCAGGGTCCTCTGCCTAGGAAAACCAGAGACCTTTGTTCACTTGTTTAGCTGCTGACCTTCCCTCCACTATTGTCC
Source organism: Homo sapiens (assembly GCF_000001405.40). Lineage (NCBI taxonomy): Eukaryota > Metazoa > Chordata > Mammalia > Primates > Hominidae > Homo > Homo sapiens. The sequence continues at coordinate 73,837,230 of NC_000007.14, forward strand.
TATGACCCTGCCAAATCCCCCTCTGTGAGAAACACCCAAGAATTATCAATAAAAAATAAATAAATAAATAAATAAATTTAAAAAAAATAAAAAAAAATAAAAAGTCAATCAATTAAAAATAAATAAATAAATAAATAAATAAATAAATAAATAAAAGATTGGGGACAAATAAACACTGTAACCTAATCCCATACATGTTACTGTGGAAACAAAAAGTGAAAATAAAACCTAATTAATGTTCCAATAAAAAAAAAAAAAAAAAAGAAAAAGAAATTCTTCCAGCTTCCTTCCCAGGGCAGTCTTTCTGTGTCTTTTACATTGGGAATTCCTTTTTCTTTCTTTCTTTTTTTTTGAGACCCTGTCTTGCTCTGTCACCCAGGCTGGAGTGCAATGGCATGCTCTTGGCTCACTTCAGCCTCCGCCTCCTGGGTTCAAGTGATTCTCCTGTCTCAGCCTCCCTTGCAGCTGGGATTACAGGCACGTGCCACCACGCCCGGCTATTTTGTATTTTTTGTAGAGATGGGGTTTTGCCATGTTGGCCAGGCTGGTCTCGAACTTTTGACCTCAGGTGATCTGCCCGCTGGGGATTATAAGCGTGAGCCACTGTGCCTGCCCACCCCCCCTTTTTTTTCTTTCTTGAGATAGGATCTCACCCTATTTCCTAGGCTGGAGTGCAGCAGAGCAATCATAGCTGACTGTAGCCTCCAACTCACGAGCTCAAGCAATCCTCCCACCTCAGCCTCCTGAGTAGCTGGGACCACAGGTGCTCACCACCACGCCTGGCTAATTAAACATTTTTTTTTTGTAGAGATGGGGTCTTGCTATGTTGTCCAGGCTGCTCTTGAACTCCTGGGCTCAAGGGATCCTCCTGCCTCGGTTTCCCAAAGTGCTGGGATTATGGGGGTGAGCTACTGTGCCTGGTGGGGAATTCTTGACGTAATTCTCCTGGATTGAGGAGACACCCTCCTCACCACTCACCACTCACCCACGCCTCTGCTGGAGGATGTGACTGTGTCTGAATGGACAGGAAGAAAGTTCCCATGTGGGCTTTGGATCTTGGGCTATCCCTTCACCTCTCTGGGCCTCAGTTTCCCAGCTGGCACAGAGAGGATGATTATCTAACATCACAGGAAGGCTGGTATGTGTGTTTGAAGTGCCCTACAGTAAGTGCCGGCTGAATGGCCTTGTCACCTCAGGTCCAGGCACCTATAGTGTGCGTGCCCAGGGTGGCCCCAAGTGCACTGAGAAGGAGAGATGGGGAAGCCCAAGTGACTGGTCTGGGAAGGTTTCCTGGAGGAGGGGGTAAGGAGAAGCAGGGTGTTGCTGATAGAAGGGAGCGCAGTGAGAGGAGAGGCTCCGGAGCAGGGGAGACTGTCACCCATGGGCAGCCTGATGGGGCTGAAGGGCTTAGCAAGCACAGGTTGGGCTAGGAAGTCCGATCCTGGCTGCTTCACCCAGTAGAAAGTTCCTGTCTTCTTGGGCCCAACTTCGACCTTTCCAGCTGACCCCATCCGTGTCCCTGCATTTGTCAGCCTTCAGGGCTCCCCAGATGCCTGCCCAGACCTGCCCAGGCTTAGCCACAGCCTCTGCTGGGCCTGGCAGAGACGGGAGGGAGAGGAAGCATTTTTACCTCTATGATTTCCTGTCCTGCAGCCAGCCAGCGCCTCCTCGTTCTCATGCTCAGCCCCTCTCCTTTCTGCCTTAGGGTGCACCCCATGTGGATTCCTCACCTGGTCTTGGAAATGCCTCTCTTCTCTACATTCATGGAGCAGGACCAGGCACAGTGGCTCATGCCTATAATCCCAGCACTGTGAGAGGCCAAGGCGGGCGATCACTTGAGGTCAGGAGTTCAAGACCAGCCTGGCCAACATGATGAAACCCCATCTCTATTAAAAATACAAAAATTAGCTGGGTGTGGTGGTGGGCTCCTGTAATCCCAGCTACTTGGGAGCCTGAGGCAGGAGAATCTCTTGAACCTGGGAGGTGAAGGTTGCAGTGAACTGAGATTGTGCCACTGTACTCCAGCCTTGGTGACAGAGCAAGACTCTGTCTCAAATTAAATAAATAAATAAATTCTGGGAGCAGTGAGCACTCACGGCTCTCGTGGGGCCACCTCTGACCAGGCCCTGTGCTCTCTGGCCCCTTCCTGGGCCCCAGTGGGTTGGAGATCAAGGCCCAGAGGGCAGGGTCTGAGCCCTCTGCCCAGAGCAGAACAAAGCGCTGAGCAAGAACACAGCAGGAGACGGGAAACACACCTGCCCGGGCAGCGCAATGTGCAAAGTTTACAAACGGTGCTCACAGCTCTCATCTCCCCTGAGCAGCCCCATTTCCCAGATGAGAAGACTGAGACCAGGAAAGAGAAAGAGATGCTCCAAAGGCAGTCTATGAATGAGTGAGGAAGCAGTGAGAGGAAGGAACAGAACTGAGCCCTCACTGTGGGTCAGGACCAAAGCAAAAACCTTAGAGACAGGATTTCACCTGATTCTCACTGCAGTCCTACGGGGACTGGATTGTAGCATTTATACCACCTGACTCCCAGACTGGGAAAAGGAGGCTGCAGAGGAGGGTGGAGTTGCTCCTGGTTGTCCATGGATAAGAGCCGAGCTGGCCACCTGTCTGCCCGGCCTGTTTGCCTGGGTCTGCTGTTGGTGGCTGGGATGTTAGGCTAGGCTGTGTGTGACGCTGGGCAGGACGCTGCCCCTCGCTTAGCCTGAGGGGCTCTGGGGCCTGTGTCTGCACTATGCACAGGGGAAGGTATATGGTGACGGGGGTTGGGGGTGGTTGGCTGGGCTGCTCCTCACCTGGCTTGGTGACATGTAGCTCAGGTATCGCATTGCAGGGCACCTGGCCGTCACTGAGGGCACCGACTATCAGCACCGCGTCGAAGGTCCCTGTGTGTGTGTGGGGGGGGGTGGGGACATGGTGTGATGCTTGGAAGGTACTTTGTCTATGGTGTGGCCTCAGACCACCCTAGGGGTGGGACGAGGCTACTACCCGCATCTGCAGGACCCAGGTCCCCTAGAGGATAAGGTAAGTATGGCCCAGTTCTGGGCTGCAGTCAGATCGTGGGGTGCAGGGTTGAGTGAGGGACTGGGAGCTTAGTGTGGGAGAGGGATGGAGGATCAGCAAGGGAAAGGGCTTCATGAGGGTGGGCCTCGGGGTGTGGAGGTGGGAGAGAAAGTACCTTCCGGGCTGGGCAGAGGCTCCTGGCCCAGGGTGCAGAGGCTGAGGCGCTGATAGAGGCCGGGGGCCTGGGCCTGTTCCAGCATCCCTGGGCTCCCATCCACCCCATGCAGCTGGAGGAAGCCTGGAGCCCGCAGCTGGGGTAGGGGTGGGAGACTCAGTCATGGTTCACACCTGCCACTTCCCGGCTGGGTCCCTGCACCTTGGCAGGGCAGTGGACTCTGCACTGAATGTGGCCCATGCATTTGCTTTTTTTAAATTTTTGAGACAAGGTCTCTCTCTGTCGCCCAAACTGGAGTGCAGTGGCGTGATCATAGCTCACTGCAGCCTTGAACTTCCGGGCTCAAGTGATCCTCCCACCTCAGCCTCCCATGTAGCTGGGACTACAGGCGTGCACCACCCTGCCTGGCTAATTTTTAAATCTGTTTGTAGAGACAGGGGTCTTGCTATGTTGCCCAGGCTGACCTCAAACTCCTGGCCCCAAGCTGTCCTCCTGCCTCGGCCTCCCATAGTGTGAGCCACAGTATGCCTGGTCCTGTCTCATGCATTTGAAACAGTGAGTCTGAGGTGTGGGGCAGGGTTCTGGGGCCAGGGGCAGTAGGAGATTTGAGGAAGTGCGGGGCTAAGGAGTAGGCAGGGGATCTGGAAGAGCCTCACCTCGGCAGCCACTAGGCCTGTGCCACAGGCCACGTCCAGGATCAGGGCACTGTGGGGCGGGCCTGGAAGGGCTTGTGTGAGGCAGTCCACTGCGAGGCGGGGCGCACGGTACAGCAGGGTGGCCACATCCTGGGGAAAGAGTGCCGGGCCTACAACACCGGTGCCCCAGTGTTTGGGGGATCTCCCTTATGGGGTGGTCTCAGAGTCTGCCAGGCTAAGCTGTGTGTGTTGGGGATCAAGCCTGGCTGGGGCTAGCGTGAGGGGACGCCCAGGCATGAGGTGCTTCCCATTGCTAAAGGGCCAGGACTGGAGAGTTAGCCCCCAGCCCACTGTACAGTAGACTCAGCCCTCCAGGGACCTTCTCTCCTGGCCAAGCGGCTCTCTCTGCTGAGTCCACATGACTTTTTTTTTTTTTTTTTTTGAGACAGAGTCTCCCTCTGTCACTCGGGCTGGAGTGCAGTGAAGAGATCTTGGCTCACTGCAACCTCTGTGTCCCGGATTCAGGCAATTCTCCTGCATCAGCCTCCAGGGTAGCTGGGATTACCAGGCGCCTGCCACCACGTGGGCCTGGCTAATTTTTGTATTTTTAGTAGAGTCAGGGTTGCACCATGCTGGCCAGGCTGGTCTCGAACTCCTGACCTCAGGTGATCCGCCCGCCTCGGCCTCCCAAAGGGCTTAGGATTACGGCTTGTGAGCCACCGCGCCCGGCCCCACAGTGACTTCTCAATAGCACCTCCTCCAGGCAGCCCCCCTCAGGAGGTCATGGCCCCTGATGGGGCTGCCAATCCAGAGCTGTGGGGCGGGTTCTGGAAGGGGCAGGACTGTAGGGTTCTTAGCCAGGCCTCACTTCGTCCTCACAGCCGCCCCCGGGTGCAAGGCTGATTCCCCACTTTACAGGTAGAAAAATGGAGGCTGGTCTAGTGGAGGCAAGGCCCCAAATGAGTTTACCTGGTCGTAGTCCGGAGCCCAGCGGTCATAGAAATGGAGCTTTTGGGCCAGGTCGGGGATGCCATGCGCGGCCCTGACCCGCGCCCGCACCTCGGGCAGGCTCCCACCCTCCTCCTGGGCCATGCTCCTGTGGGGACACCGTTGCCCTGTCTCGAGGTCCACCTCAATCGCCCATCCCCTCCTTTCCCCCTTCCCTCCTCCCCCTTCAGAGGAGGCTGCCAGGCCTCCTGCCAGCGCGACCCCTATCCCGGCCCCTATCCCAGATGGGGACACTGAGCGCAGAGAGGGCGGGCTTGGATATTTACACTCTGGGGCTGCAGGGCTGGGGGAAGGGCAAGGTGGGAGAAGGGGGTGCCCCGCGGCTGGAGGAAGGACCTATCTTCCTCTTTTCCGCCCTCCGACTGAGAGAGGGTCGGAGGTGGGCGACATCCGGAGCGAAACGGTCTCGAAGGAGGCCGGAGTCAGAACTCACCGCCAATCCAGCGCGCCTCGGGCGTGTGGGCAACAGGACTCGGGGCGGGGCCTGTGTTGCGACCCTGGCCACACCCTCACCGCCTGCCCGCAATGATTGGTTTTCCGCTGAGAGAAAATAGCCAGTCAAAGGAAGGCGCTGGCAGTCTGCCCGCCCCCCCCCCCCCCGCCAGCCAATGAGCTCAAGGCTTGTGGCCCTCCTCCAGCCTTGGTAGAGCAGGGACTGCGGAGATGTTTTCCTGCTGTGCGGGTTTAGGGGCTTCTCGGTGGTCTGGCCCCGGCCTCCCCCTCCACCGTCAGGTAGCAGCACCTCCACCATCCCCCTCCAACTGCCCTCCTGCCTCCTGAAGTCCTTTATGCTTCCTGAAAGCATGAGGTTTGTAGGCACTGGGGAGTCTCTGAATTCTTATGGGCAGGAGAGGGACCTAGGATTAGCTTTCATTTTTACTTTGTATTTATATTTACTTATTTTGTTTTATTTTTGTTTTGTTTTATGAGACAGGGTCTCACTCTGTCGCCCAGGCTGGAGTGCAGTGGCTTGACCATAGCTCACTGCAGCCTTGAACTCAAGCTCAAGCCAGCCTCCTGCCTCAGCCTTCTGAGTAGCTGAGTAGCTGGGACTACAGGTGCATGCCACCTTGCCCGGCTTTTTAAATTTTTATCTATTTATTTTTATCTTCGTAGTTTTTGTAGAGACAAAAAATGTTGTCCAGGCTGGTCTTAAACTCCTAGTCTCAAGCGATTCTCCCACCTCTGCCTCCTGGCAAATTTTATTTTAATAATTTTATTTTAAAAAACCGTACTGGCAAATTTTATTTTAATAAGTTAAATAGCCACATGTGGCTAGTGGCTACTGTATTGGACAGCAGAGAGAGTCTTGCGGCTGGAAGTGTGACCTGAAGATACGCAGCGTCAGCCTCCGTAACATCTTGGTTTCCTCTAGGAGATGCCCTAGGGAAGCTTGTGAGAAATGCAAAAATTAGGCCGGGGCGCAGTGGCTCACACCTGTAATCCCAGCACTTTGGGAGGCTGAGGTGGGCGGGTCACTTGAGGACAGGAGTTTGAGACCAGCCTGGCTAACAGGACAAAACCCCATCTCTACTAAAAATACAAAAATTAGCCGGGCGTGGTGGCGGGCATCTGTAATTCCAGCTACTCAGGAGGCTGAGGTGGGAGAATAGCTTGAACTTGGGAGGCACAGATTGCAGTGAGCAGAGACTGCGCCACTGCACTTCAGCCTGGGTGACAGAGCAAGACTCCATCTCAAATAAAAAAAAAAAGTAAAAATTCTCAGTTGACCTGGGACCTTCTGAATGAGAATTAGATTTCTGGGACTGGGGCCCAGAGTTTCTGTGTTTCTACAAACTCTGCAGGCGATTTCTAGGCAGCTGAAGGTTCAGAAGCGCTGGTCTAGAGGACCTGTGTTGGAATCAAGGGTTTGGGCAGGCAGAATTTGGCAGGCTGTTGCAGGTGTCCAGGCAGGAGGTGATGGTTGCATGACCTTGGGTAGAGGTCATGACTGCGGAGAGGAGTGGGTGATCTTCAGAGATGTTTAGGGGGTAGAAGTGTCGAAGTGTCAGAGATGTTTGAACCAGAGCAACTCCATCTTGAATAGCGGCTGAGTAAAATAAGACTGAGACCTACTGGACTGCATTCCCAGATGGTGAAGGCATTCTTTTTTTATGAGATGGGGTCTCGCTCTGTCACCCAGACTGGAGTGCAGTGGCTCAATCTCAGCTCATGCAACTTCCACTTCCTGCCTCAGCCTGCTGAGTAGCTGAGATTACAGGGGAAAGGCTTATCAGAAACTCAAAGAATAGGACCATTTGTCTTTCACCTTCCTGTGACCCGGAGCCCCCTCCCTGCTTCGAGTTGTCGCCACCTTTCTAGACAAAACCAATGTACTTCTTACATATATTGATTGATGTCTCGTGTCTCCCTAAAATGTATAAAACCAAGCTGTGCCCCGACCACCTTGGGCACATGACGTCAGGACCTCCTGAGGCTGTGTCACAGGCGTGCGTCCTCAATCTTGGCAAAATAAACTCTCCAAATTAACTGAGACCTGTCTTAGATTTTCTGGTTTTACAGGGTGATGAGTAGAAGGAACCCTGTAGCGTTGGAGGAGAGTGGGAGATATTAGAGTAAACTCATGGGTTTTAACATAAATAAATGGAAAGATATGTAAATAGACATACATGTATGTGTGTGTATTTGTGAGTTTCCTAGCTTTGTCTGCCAAAATGACCTAAACACAATTAACGCTTCAGTAGTAATCACCACAACGAGCATCCAGATCTGGTTCTAAAAATGCATTCTTGCCAGGTGCAGTGGCTCATGTGTGTAATTCTAGCACTTTGGGAGGCCGAGGCGGGTGGATCACTTGAGGTCAGGAGTTCAAGACCAGCCTGGCCAACATGGTAAAACCCCGTCTCTACTAAAAATACAAAAATTACCTGGGAGTGGTAGCACACGCACCTGTAATCCAGCTACTCAGGAGGCTGAGGCAGGAGAATCGCTTGAAACTGGGAGGCGGAGGTTGCGGTGAGCAGAAATTGCACCACTGCACTCCAACCTGGGCAACACAGCGAGACCCCATCTCTTTAAAAAAAAAAAAAAGCGTTATCAACTAAAAGGAACCAGAGCTCCTTAGAGAAACAGCTGATGAAATGACTGAAACGCTTGGGGCAGGAAAAGTATGAGATGTGCCTGAAACATCTTGAAATACCTCAAAGCACAAGCCTCCTCCGGTTTTTCTCCTCCTTGGCCCAGGAGCCTGTTCTAGCCTTGGGGCTGGAAGGCCTTTCTCTGACTCATCAAGTTTTATTTTTTTTGCCTCTAATCCTTTACTCCCCTCAAGTCTTAAGTTTTTGGAGCCTCAAAGCCTTTTCTGTGTCTTTTGCTGAAAATGACCCTCTCACTCCTGTGGGCGGAGGATTACCTAGGTGCCGAGGCAAGAGACTGAAGGCACAAACTGTTTCAGTATAATAAAGAAAATGGAATAAGAATAGTCATAATACAAATTAGATGTAGAGATGATCATGGACAATTATCAATCATTATTATAAACATTATTAATCATTAGCTTTTAATTACTAATATAACCTAGGAATAACTGGCAGGTATAGGGTCAGGTGCTCAAGAGACATTGTGAGAAGTGACCTAGAAGGCAAGAGGTAGCCTTCTGTCACGCCCACATAAGGGCTACTTGAGGGCTCCTTGGTCAAGCGGTAACGCCAGTGTCTGGGAAGGCACCCGTTACTTAGCAGACCACGAAAGGGAGTCTCCTTTCCTTGGAGGAGTCAGGGAACACTCTGCTCCAGCAGCTTCTTGTGGAAGGCTGGATATTACCCAGGCCTGCCCGCAGTCATCCGGAGGCCTAAACCCCTCCCTGTGGGGCTGTGCTTCAATAGTCATGCTCCCTGTTCACTTTCATGTTCCTCCTCTACTCCTGGTTCCTCTTTGAAGTTCGTAGTAGACAGCGATAGAAGAAATACTGAAAGTCTTAAAGTATTTGGTCTTTCTTATGAATGCATAGAAGAAAACGCTGACGTATGCTGCCTTCTCTCTCTCTGTTTCGGCTACCTAAGAGGGAAGGGCCCCCTGTCCTACGATCATGTGACTTGCTTCACCTTGTCAATCACTTAGAAGATTCACCCTCCTTACCCTGCCCCCTTGTCTCCTATGCAATAAATATCAGCACTTCCAGCCGGTTCAGGGCCACTACCGGTCTCTGCATCTTGATGGTAGTGGTCCCCCGGGCCCAACTGTTTTCTCTTTATCTCTTTGTCTTGTGTCTTTATTTATTACTATCTCTCATCTCCGCACACGGGGAGAACACCCGCTAAGCCCCATAGGGCTGGACCCTACATACTACGGGCCGTGGATATCAAGCTTCCCCTCCCACCAAGTCTAGTTGCTGCCAAAGTGACAGAGGGAGCTTGGGGGCTTGGGGAAGAGAAAACAGTTTGGGGTGGGAGATGTATTAAAATGATCCATTGGCTGGGTGCAGTGGCTCACACCTGTAATCCCAGCACTTTGGGAGGCCGAGGCTGGAGGATCGCTTGAGCCCAGGAGTTTGAGACCAGCCTGGGCAACATAGGAAGACCCTGTCTCTACAAAAAACTTCAAAAATTACCTGGGTGTGGTGGTACGTGCCTGTGGTCCCAACTGCTCAGGAGGCTGAGGTGGATCGCTTGAACCCAGGAGGTTGAGGCTGCAGTGAGCTAGGACTGTGCCACTGCACTGTAGCCTGAGCAACAGAGCAGACACTGTCTCAAAAAAACAAAAAAAAAAAAACAAAAAAAAACACGACAAAAACCAACCCCAAGTGGTTTAAATATTAGGGGTTTGGTATTTTTCTTACAGCAAGAAGGCCAGTGGTCAGCAGCACAGGGGCCAGGCCAGGGGCCCACTGATCTCACAAGGGCCCTGGTGCCAACCTCTCACTTGCCACATTGTGTGTTTGCACTGTTGGCTCCTTCTGGTCACAAATGGTGGCAGCAACTTGAACATTCCTTGCATCCTTACATTCAAAGCCCAAGGCAGGCCAGGTGTGGTGGCTCATGCCTGTAATCCTAGCACTTTGGGAGGCCGAAGTGGGTGGATCGCTTGAAGTCAGGAGTTCGAGACCAGCCTGGCCAACATGGCGAAAACCTGTCTCTATTAAAAATACAAAAATTAGCTGGGCATGCTGGCGGGCACCTGTAGTCCCAGCTACTCGGGAGACTGAGGCAGGAGAATTGCTTGAACCTGGGAGGCGGAAGTTGCAGTGAGCCAGGATTGCGCCATTGCACTCCAGCCTAGCAACAGAGCGAGTCCATCTCAAAGAAAAAAATACAAACAAAACAAAGCCCAAAGTAGGCTAGGAATGGCAGGAGCTTTTCCTTGTTTCTCCTTCCCTCCCTCCCTCCCTCCCTTCCTCCCTCCCTCTCTCCCTTTTGTCCTTTATATTTTTAATTTTAATTTTATTTTTTTGAGAGGGGTCTTGCTCTGTTTTCAGGCTGGAGTGCAGTGATACAATCCTAGCTCACTGCAGCCTCTACGTCCTGGGCTCAAGCAATCCTTCTGCCTCAGCCTCCTGGGTAGCTGGGACTCCAGGTGCTTGCCACCAAGCCTGGTTAATTAAAAAAAAAAAATTGTAGAGATGGGGTCTTGCTATGTTGCCTAGGCTGGTCTCCAATTCCTGGGCTCAAGCCATCCTCCCTCCTTGGCATTCAAAATGCTGGGATTACATGTGTGAGGAACCTACCTGGCCTTTCTCTTTCTTTCTATGGGAGGAGGGTATTTCCAGAAGCCACAGAAGCTGGGAAACTGTGATCTGGCACTTTGAGGCTCAGGTGTGGGGTGTGAGCTTTCCATCCAGGAAGGAGGGAGGGGAGAATGGCTTGTGGTACTGTTCCCAGACCAAACTGAGGGTCGGGCTGCTACTTCTTGTGGCCCAATAACGAGATGCACACAAACTGGGGAGGAAGAGAGTTTTTATTTCTGTAACCGTTTACAGGGAGAAGGCGTGGAAATTATCACCCGACTAACTCAAAGTTACAAAGTTTTCCAGAGCTTATACACCTTCTAAGCTATACGTCTATGTGTAAGTGTGCATTCATCTGAAGACATAAGTGATTAATTTCTTTTAATCCATGACTAAGGTCTGAGTCCCGAAGCTCTTCCTCTGGAACCTCAGTAAATTTACTTATCTAAATGGGTCCAGGTGCTGGGGTGATTCCTGTTATCTCCTGCTAAATCATGGAGGTTTGAGGAGTTCCTTCAGACCGCCAATAAATTTGTTTGTGGAGGCCTGGGGAGTTTCTTCAGACCCAAAATAAAACTTGCTTAATTCTAAATGGTCCTGTTAAGAATTCCTTCATTATTTTGTCGTGATTTAAGGCCCAGGAAAGGCCTGGGCAAAACTCTTGGTGGGCTTTTGTTACATCCCAGCCTTTGTATAAGGGCACTGGCTTTTAATATTTAAATTAACCACTCAGTCAGTACTGAAACAGTTGTTGGGGAGACCTGGCCTGCCACAGTGCGGGCTCCTGTGCTGCTCCTGGGGTGTGAGGGCGTGTGTTCCTTCATGTGCACCTGTGTGATGAGCGGGGAATGTTACAGGTGTCCATTTTGATGTGTGCAGGACCCAGGCCATGGAGAGCTTGGTCCCCAGGCTATGGACTCCCTCCCTTCCTTCCTTCCTTCCTTCTTTTCTTTTTCTTTCTTTCTTTTCTTTCCTTCCTTCCTTCTTTCTTTCTTTCTTTCTTTCTTTCTTTCTTTCTTTCTTTCTTTCTTTCTTTCTTTCCTTTCCTTTCCTTTCCTTTCCTTTCCTTTCCCTCCCTCCCTCCCTTTCTTCCTTCCTTTCTTCCTTCCTTCCTTTCTTGATGGAGTCTCACTCTGTTGCCCAGGCTGGAGTGTAGTGGTGCAATCTTGGCTCACTGCAACCTCTGCCTTCTGGGTTCAAGCAATTCTCCTGCCTCAGCCTCCCAAGTAGCTGGGACTACAGGCATGTGCCACCACGCCCAGCTAATTTTTTTTGTATTTTTAGTAGGGATGGGGTTTTGCCACGCTGGCCAGGCTGGTCTCAAACTCTTGACCTCAGGTGATCTGCCTGCCTCGGCCTCCCAAAGTGCTGGGATTACAGGCATGAGCCACCACGCCTGGTCTATGGACGTGCTTTCTAACCCTGAATGTGTAATGGGGAGTTGTGGCTTCAGATTTGCATTTTACCAAGATGGCTCCAGAAGGCGGCAGGGAGAGCCAGCTGGGTGAACCGCAAGTTCCGAGGCTGTTGCAGTTACTTGGCAAGAGCTGGAGTGTCAAGAGTCAGGGGCTGCTGAGGAGGGGGTGACCTTGGTGCTGATGGGGTGTGGGGGCTGTTGAGGACCAGATGGCAACTTCCCTTCCTTGGAGTTTTCTTCCTACCTCATCTTCTTCACCGCCTCCTCCTTGCTCTTCTCCTACCTCTAAGCTTAGGAGAGGCCCCCGGCTCTGTCCTGGGTCTTCTTCCTTCTCTGTGTACACCCACTTCCTAGGTGATCTCATCTAGTCCCGTGGTTTTAAATACTGTTTATTTGTGGGTGACTCCCAAATTGATGACTTCTAGTCTTGGCTCTCCCCTGAACTCTGGACTTGTTCACCCAGCCATGAAACTGACATCTCCTTGGAGGCCACAGGTCTGGCAACGAGCCCAGACCCGAGAGTGATTCTTTCCACTCCCAAATCTGCTCCTCTTCAGGGCCCGTCTCTGCAAATGCCCCTGAACCACCTTGCACTCAGGGGCTCAGCTCAAGCTGTTTTTCTCCCATCTCGCACCCTGTTCATCAGCAAATCCTGTGGACTCAAACTACACCAGCCAGGTGCGGTGGCTCACACCTGTAATCCCAGTACTTTGGGAGGCCAAGGTGGGTGGATCACTTGAGATCAGGAGTTCAAGACCAGCCTGGCCAACATGGCAAAACCCTGTCTCTACTAAAAGTACAAAAATTATCCAGGGATGGTGGTGCATGCCTGTAATCCCACCTACTTGGGAGGCTGAGGCAGGAGAATCACTTGAACCGGGGAGGCAGAGGTTGCAGTGAGCCAAGATCACGCCATTGCACTTCAGCCTGGGCAACACAGCAAGACTCTGTCTGAAAAAACTAAAAGAAAAAAAAGAAGAAGAAAATCTCAAACACACACAAAAGAAGAGACTAGTGTAATAACTCCCCATGTATTTCTTCATGAGCGTTTCAATAGTTAACAAACTGAGCCCAGCCAGAGTGGCGTTTTTACAGTATCCATCTGATGAGTTTACGCCCCTGCTTAAAACCTAAAATCCAGCTTCTTTCCTCTCCTTATCTGTAGCGTCTCTTTTCCTTGATCCGCCACTCTGGCCTCTGCTGTTCCTGGACTGTGCCAAGGCTATCACAGGGCCTTTGCACTATTTTCCAGCCGGGAAAATCCCCTCACCTCAGCCTCCCGAGCAGCTGGGACTACAGACGTGCACCACCACACCCAGCTAATTTTTTTTTGTATTTTTCGTAGAGGTGGGGTTTTGCCATGTTGCCCCACTCTTCCTTCAACTCTGCTTCAGTGGCTTTTTTTTTTTTTTGAGATGGAGTCTTGCTCTGTCGCCCAGGCTGGAGTGAAGAGGCGCGATCTCGGCTCACTACAACCTCCGCCTCCTGGGTTCAAGCGATTCTCCTGCCTCAGCCTCCCGAGCAGCTGGGACTACAGGCATGCACCACCAGGCCCGGCTAATTTTTTGTCTTTTTAGTGGAGATGGGATTTCACCAAGTTACCCAGCTGGTCTTAAACTCCTGACTTCAAGTGGTCTGCCCGCCTTGGCCTCCCAAAGTGCTGGGATGACCAGCATGAGCCCCCATGCCCAGCCATTTATGAGCTCTTTCTGTGTTGATGCTTGCGGACTGGGTTCGTTTTCACCACCGCTTAGTCATCCCTCAAGCCTCAAGCTGACACACCCAGCTGATACAGCTCCCCTTTCCTGGGGATAGGAAATAACATTGCCATGCACATGTCTCTTTGTTCACAAGTGGATGTTTCTGGAAGGAATGCTTTAACCCACTGGAGGGTAGTGAAAACAATTCAGCTGGTTGTGAAATAGAATGAACAGATATTAGAAGAGCATACTGCATGTAGTAGGAGTAATTATTGTTTTGTTAGGCTCTTGCTTCAGTTTCACATGTGTGTTTAATGAACAGCTTTGTGCAATACTTTTTTTTTCTTTTTTTTTCTTTTTAGAGACAAGATCTCACTCTGTCGCCCAGGCTGGAGTGCAGTGGCACAATCCTAGCTCACTACAGTCTCAACCTTCTGGGCTCAAGTGATCCACCTGCCTCAGCCTCCTGAGTGGCTGAGTTGACAGGCATGCACTATTATGCTCAGCTAATTTTTAAAAATATTTCATAGAGACTGGGTCTCCCTATGTGGTCCAGGCTGGTCTCCAACTCCTGGCCTCAAGCGATCTTCCCACTTTGGCCTCCCAAAGTGCTGGGATTACAGATGTGAGCCACTGCGTCCAGGCTGTTTAATACAATTCTTACCATGGGTGGCACCCAGAGACTAAAAACCAGAAGGGCACTACTGAATCAGGGTACAGGCAGTGTCTGAGACTCTGGTTAGCCTACAGAGTCATCAACGCACGTGTGCTGTAGACTTTTTTGTTTTTGCAAATGAGGGTGAGATCATATCTCACTGTGGTTTCAATGTGCATTCCTCCCTAATGACTAATGAGGTTGAACCTCTTTCCATCAGTTTATTGGCTCCTGGAGTTTCCTTTTCTGTGAATGGCTTTTGCTGTTGTATTCCATTGGGTCGTTTGATTTTTTTCCCTTTCCCTATTTTTAACTGACAAGGAACAACCGTATATATTAATGGTGTATGACATGACATTTTGATATAGGGATGTATTGTTGAATGACTAAGCAAGCCCTTTAACTTATGCATCACCTCACATACTCATATCATTAGTTTGCAGTGAGAACATTTAAAATCTACTCTCTTGGCAACCTTCCTCCCTTCCTTCCATCCTTCCTCCCTTCCTTCCTCCCTTCCTTCCCCCTTCCTCCTTCCCTTCCTCTCTCTCTTTCTTTCTCTCTTTTATCCCTCCCTTCCTTCCTCCCTCCGTCCTTTCCTTCTTTCTTTCTTTCTCTTTCTTTCTTCCTTTCTTCCTTTCCTTTCCTTTCCCTCTTTCTGTCTCTCTTTTCCCTTCCTTCCTTCCCTCCCTCCCTCCCTTCCCTGCTTCCCTCCTTCCCGCCTTCCCTCCTTCATTCTTTCCTTCCCTCCCTCCCTCCTGCCTGGATCTTGTTCTGTTGCTCAGGCTGGAGTGCAGTGGTGCAATCTCCACTCACTGTAACCCCTGCCTTCTGGGCTTAAGAAATCCTCCTACCTCAGTCTTCCAAGTAGTTGGGACCACAGGTGCGTGCCACCATGCCTGGCTAATTTTTGCGTTTTTTTTTTTAAATAGAGACAAGGTCTCAATATGCTTCCCAGGCTGGTCTCCAACTCCTGAGCTCAAGCAATCCACCTGCCTTGGCCTCCCAAAGTGCTGAGCGAGATTACAGGCTTGAACAACAGTGCCTAGCCAGCAATTTTCAAGTGTACACGAGATTGTTATCAACTATAGTTAGTGTGATGTACAACACATGTCTTGAACTCACTCCTTCTGGCTAACCAAAATTCCATGTGGGTCATTTAATTTTATCTTACTGATTTGTAAGAGTTCCTTGGATACTTCAGATTGTGGATACTGTTTGCAGCGTTGCAAACATTTCCCCCAGGCTCTCACAGCTTTTGGCTTTGCTTGGTGACTTGGGCCAGGGCAGTGGCGGTGGCTGGTGGTGGCCGTGAGGGGCTGCAGGACTTCTTTCAACAATATGGTTTACTATTTATTTATTTATTTATTTTTCTGAGACACAGTCTTGTTCTGTCACCCAGGCTGGAGTGCAGTGGCGTGACCTTGGCTCACTGCAACCTCCGCCTCCCAGGTTCAAGCGATTCTCCTGCCACAGCCTCCTGAGTAACTGGGATTACAGGCATGCACCACCACACCCGGCTAATTTTTGCATTTTTAGTAGAGACAGGGTTTCGCCATGTTGGCCAGGCTGGTCTCGAACTCCTGACTTCAGGTGATCCACCTGCCTTGGCCTCCCAAAGTGCTGGGATTGTAGGTGTGAGCCCCTGTGCCCGACCCACAGTATGGTTTAAACAGAGAGGTGAGGGGGCTTTGAGGAACATTTTATTTTTTCTTATTTTATTTCTAACTTTGTGAAACCCTAGGAAATGTCCTGGAAACATTTGCTTTAGGACATGAGACAAAAGAGCAGGTAGATGCCGGGCGTGGTAGCTCACACCTGTAATTCCAGCACTTTGGGAGGCTGAAGAAGGGGGATTGCTTGAGGCCAGAAGTTGAAGACCAGCCTGCGCAACATAGCAAGATCCTGCCTCTACAAAAAAAAAATTTTTTTTTAAATTAGCCAGCCTTGGTGACATGCATCTGTAGTCTACTCAAGAAGCTGAGGCGAGTCTGGGCGGGGTGGCTCATGCCTGTAATCACAGCATTTTGGGAGGTCAAGGCAGGTGGATCACCTGAGGTCAGGAGTTCAAGACCAGCCTGACCAACATGGTAAAAATCCCATCTCTACTAAAAATACAAAAAGTAGCCGGGACTGGTGGTGTGCGCCTGTAGTCCCAGCTACTCGGGAGGCTGAGGTGGGAGAATCGCTTGAACCTGGGAGCAAAGGTTGCAGTGAGCCAAGAATGTTCCACTGCACTGCAGCCTGGGTGATAGAGTGAGACTGTCTCAAACAAAACAAAACAAAACAAAACAAAAACAAAAATAAAAAGAGCAACTAGAGAAAGAGGGAGTGGATGAGGATGGGGCAGGGGTGCTGGGAGAATGTCGCAGAGAAAGGTCTAGGTGAGCTGGCAGAAAACAAATGTCTAAAAAGTTTGGTTCTGAACAAATTGGTTGATAAATGAATTGGTGAATGTTATGAATAATTTCCATTGCTTTTTGTTATATGTTGATTATTTTCAAATTTATTTAGGTATTTATTTTTGAGACACAGTCTTGCTCTGTCACTCAGGTTGGAGTACAGTGTCGCAAACACAGCTCACTGCAGCCTCCACCTCCTGGGCTCACGCAATCCTCCCACCACAGCCTCCTGAGTAGCTGGGACTACAGGTGTTCACTACCACTCCTGCCTAATTTTTGTATTTTTTTTTTTGGTAGAGACAGGGGTCTTGTTATGCTGTAGGGCTGGCTTTGAACTCCTAGGCTTAAGCGATCCTCCTTCAGCCTCCCAAAATGCTGGGATTACAGGTGTGAGCCACTGTGTCCGGCCTGCATTTATGCTTTTTTGTCCATTTCTCGGCACTTTATTTTGGGATGAATAATGTTTTTGAACCATGGGATGGTTTGACGACTTTATATCCCTTTTAAAACATTTTTAAAGTATTTCCATTCATTTTTATTCAAAAATTTTTGAATTAATTTTAAGGAAGCAAAGATTTTTCTTTACATTTGGCAGTGAGCTTTTTAAAATTCAAATTTCAAAATCATGTCGGGTGAATTCCATGTGAATTCCCATGTGAATTTCCATGTCGGGTGAAAATCATGTCCAAGTGAATTGCCTGAAAACTGGTTGCAATAATGATTTCCACACATTGGTTTGTGAATTAATAAAATTTTTGCACCCTGAGTGGTTTCTTTTTTACAAGTTTGCACTTATTTGAAAGCAATTTTGTCCCATTTGTAGCTTATTTTGTTTTGAAAAATTCTTGAGTTCCTTTTCCTTCACAGATACCGACTTCATTACTTATCAGCTCCCATACGCTGCCCCTCACAGGCTCTATTTCATTGGTTTCTCCCCGCAACTTTCCCTGCCTGGTTCTAAGTATTTTCCAGTTTTACAGATAATGAAATTTGGGGCAGGAGCTCTTGTAGCAGCTCAGTTCAAACCCAAGTTTGTCATCTCTGAATCTATTTCTTTAACCAGGATCCGGTCCTTCATACTTTCATTGCTTTTTGATCATTATTTTCGCATGTAATTGGCTTGGGTAAAACCATCTTCAGAAAGAAAAAATGCAGGCCAGGAGTGGTGGCTCACACCTGTAATTCCAGCACTTTGGGAGGCTGAGGTGAGAGGATCCCTTGAGTTCAGGAGTTTGAGATCAGCCTGGGCAACTTAGTGAAACCCCATCTCTACACACACACACACACACACACACACACACACACACACACACACACACAAACACAAATAGCCGGTTATGGTGGCGCATGCCTGTAGCTTAGCTACTCAGGAGGCTGAGGCAGGAGGACCATTTGAGGCCAAGAGTTCCAGATAACCTGGGCAACATAGCAAGATCCCCCTCTCTAAAATATTTAAAAACAAAAACAAAAAACAGAAAGAAGAAACACCAAGCTCCAATAAGTATACAGACATATTTATCCTTTTTGCGTATTTTTTGGCAAAAAAAAAAAGTGAAGATTTGAAACGAAATGAAGTTTTAACTTAGGAACATGACATAAAAAAAGATTTTGGTCCTGATCATTTCTCCGTGGTTTTGCCTCCAGCAACCCAGGCATGACGAGACCTGCACAGGGCAAACTCCTGGGGATGACGCGACGTTGCTGTTACCGGGAAACCGGCCTCGCAGGGCTTGGGGACCAAGCGAGTCTTTGGGAACTCTCCACCCACTAGCGCGGGGCGCCCAGGCGCGCCCCGGTGTCTGCTGCCCCCGTGCGGCCGCGCTGCAGTCCTGCACCCTCAGGGGGCGCACCTGAGAGCCGATGGGTACCCAGGCTGGCAGACCTCAGAGGTGGGCTTCCTGCTTCTCCTCTCATCCTGGGTCCTGGGGCGGAGAAGGGCAGAGGCCGGTGAACGGCGCCCCACTCCCCGCGGCGTTGTGCAAGGCAGCGGCTACTGATAACTGGGGTTTCCCGCCTGGTCCTCCCTGCTGCCCTGCAAAGTGAAACTCCAAAGCCACACAGAGCAATGGTGCATGGATGGCCTTGAACCTGGTGCTGAGTAAGAAAGAGAAGGGCGCGAGCGGGGGGAAGCTTTGGACTGAGGGTTCAAGGCTCCCAGTTGATTGATCTACGTTGGAGGCTCCTCCCACAGCAGGTCCTGCTACCTTCAGGTGCAACCTGGTAGGTAGGGCCGTTATTCATTTCTTTCTTTTTTTTGGACAGGATCTTACTTTGTCACCCAGGCTGGAGTGTAGTGGTGCAATCAGGCTTACTGCAGACTCGACCTCATGGGCTCAAGCGATCCTTCTGCCTCAGCCTACTGAGTAGCTGGGAACACAGGCACATGCCACCATGCCCGGCTAATTTTTGAATTTTTTTGTAGAGATGGGGTCTTGCTATATTGCCCAGGCTGGTCTCAAACTCCTGGGCTCAAGCAATCCTTCCACCTCTGCCTCCTAAAGCACTGGGATTGCAGGCCTGAGCCACTGCACCCAGCCGTCATTTTTCTTTTCTTTTCTTTCTTCTTTTTTTTTTTTTTTGAGACAGAGTCTTGCTCTGTCACCCAGGCTGGAGTGCAGTGGCATGATCTTGGCTCATTGGTTGCAACCTCTGCCTCCCAGGTTCAAGCAATTCTCCTGTCTCAGCCTCCTGAGTAGCTGGGATTACAGGCACGTGCCACCACGTCCGGCTAATTTTTTTGTATTTTTAGTAGAGACAGGGTTTCGCCATGTTGGCCAGGCTGGTCTAGAATTCCTGATCTGAGGTGATCCACCAGCCTTGGCCTCCCAAAGTGCTGGGATTACAGGCATTAGCCACTGTGCCCAGCCAGCTTTCATTTCTTAATTCAACAAATTTACACAGAGCTCCTTCTGTGCCCCTGGCACCGTTCTAGGCATGGGATGCAGCAGTGAGGCAGGTTCGTGGCCCTTGCCTTCAGAAGTGGCTTGGCAGGAAGGGGAGAAGGCAGGAAGATGAGAAGGTGATCCCGGGGTTTCTGGCTTGTGGACCTGCGTGGTTGGGACTGCTCTCCCTCAGTTAGCTTAGGGGACATCCTGAGTCGGTTTCACACCCCAGTGGAGGCTCCTGACCTCTGACACTAGGTATCCAGGCTTCTGTGGGCACCTGTTCCTGTGGTCTGGGCAGCCACAGAGCCACAAAGAGCCCTGGCTGGAGTCTAGCTTGGGGACTAAGACCAGGGCTTTGGTGGGGGCAGGGAAGGGCAGGTGACTAGAGCTGGGACTGAGACATGTGCCTAGCATTCCCATGGGGCTGCCCATAGGGGCTGTGGGACAGAGTGAGGTCTCTTCTGCTCTAGCTCCCACACTGACCACGGGGAGTGTGGTCAGTATGAGGCTGGAGATATCAGCTCAGCCTCTGTGGCAGTGGAGTTCTGGGGACAGGGATACCAGGTGATGGTGGTGGCAAACCAAAGAGAGGAGGGAAAACAAACTGCAAATCCCAGTCTCAGCCACCTCTCTTTCTTTTCTTTTCTTTTCTCCCTCCCTCCCTCCTTCCTTCCTTCCTTCCTTCCTTCCTTCCTTCCTTCCTTCCTTCCCTTCTTTTTTTTTTTTGAGATGGAGTCTTGCTCTGTCACCCAGGCTGGAGTGCAGTTGCCTGATCTCGGCTTACTGCAACCTCTGCCTCCCGGGTTCAAGAGATTCTCTTGCCTCAGCCTCCTGAGTAGCTGGGATTACAGGGATGCACCACTACACCCAGCTAATTTTTATATTTTTGGTAGAGACCAGGTTTCATCATGCTGCCCAGGCTGGTCTTGAACTCCTGGCCTCAAGTGATCCACCTGCTTTGGCCTCTGAAAGTGCTAGGATTACAGGAGTGAGCCACTGCACCCGGCTCAGCCACCACCTTCTGACCCCCAGCAATCCCTTTGCCTCTCTCCCCAAACCTACTCCTTCTCTTCCCCGCCCCCACTTGGTGGGCAGCGCTACTTTCTGCCTTTCACTCAAGTCTTCTGGGTTGGGGGTATCCCTGACCCCTGTCTCGCTTTACTTCTTTTCCTGTTCATTCCTCTGTTGGGATGCCTCTGTCTATGTGTCTTTCACATTTCTGTATGTCTTGTGAGTGAGGCACTAATGGATTGCCTTTTGCCCTGGACTTTCTTTTCTAGGATATCTGTATATCAGACAACCTTGGAAGACATAATGTCTCCTTCTGGGGCAAAAGGCAGCCCTGCTTACTGCACATTAGAAAAGATTTGGGTTTCCTGGCCAGGCGCGGTGACTCATGCCTGTAATCCCAGCACTTTGGGAGGCGCTGGCAGGCGGATCACCTGAGGTCAGGAGTTCGAGACCAGCCTGGCCAATATGGTGAAACCCCATCCCTACTAAAAATACAAAAATTAGCTGGGCTTGGTGGTGCGAGCCTGTAATCCCAGCTACTCGGGAGGCTGAGGCAGGAGAATTGCTTGAACCTGGGAGGCGGAAGTTGCGGCGAGTGGAGATGGTGCCACTGCACTCCAGCCTGGGCGACAGAGTGAGACTCCATCTCAAAAAAAGAAAAAAAGAAGGCTGGGCGAGGTGGCTCCCACCTGTAATCCCAGCACTTTGGGAGGCGCTGGCGGGTGCATCACCTGAGGTTAGGAGTCTGAGACCAGCCTGGCCAAGCTGGAGAAACCCTGTCTCTACTAAAAATACAAAAAAGTAGCCGGGTATGGTGGTAGGCGCCTATAATCCCAGCTACTTGGGAGGCTGAGGCAGGAGAATTGCTTGAACCCGGGAAGTGGAGGTTGCAGTGAGCCGAGATTGTACCACTGCACTGGGTGACAGAGCAAGACTCCATCTCAAAAAAAAAAAAAAAAAAAAAAAAAGAAAAGAAAAGATTTGGGTTCCCTAAACTCAAGCCACCTCTCCTGTAACACACCCACCTCAGATACTGCCAGGCATCATCTGGCCCTTGTCATATCACCCTGTGGGATTTGGAGCTCAAGGAATGAATGGAAAATGCTTATAACCTAGTTCACTGCTATTGCCATGAGTAACATTGTCTTTGATCTCTGACCTGGGAGTCTCATGTCTTCCTGTGGCAGCTGTGGAGCTCTGGTTGGCTAACTTGTTAGCATGAAATTGGGCAACGTCTCAGATCATCGTGGGTCTTGACATCCTCCAATTCTATCTGTTGTACCTGCTACAGATTTCTGGCATCTGTTGTCTCCATTTCCAGGGCCTCAGCCCTGGTCAAGGCTCCCATCATCACATGTCTAGGGGTTTATTTGTTCTGGATTCCTTTTTGCTGTCCCTACCCCAGAGTCCTCTGCCTTAGTTTCCATGCACACTGCTTGAGCCGCCTGCTGCAAGACCCCCACCCGACCATCTGCTGGAGGGCTTTCTCTGGTGTTTGTGCTGGTAAGATTGGAGGTTCAGCGGGAGTTAATGTCCAACAGGAAGCAGACAGGTCATGGAAGATAAATACCCCAGTATTCATGCTCCTTGGGTGGGGTGACTCTGAGGTGCGTTCTGCACCATTTTCCAGGGGATTTTGGGGATCAGCCCCGGTTGTCTGAACTCAAACCCTGCTCATGAACTCATCTGTCCTTGCCTCTCTTTCTTTTCTTTCTCTTTCTTTTCTTTCCTTCCTTCCTTTTTCTTTCTTTCTTTCTTTTTCTTTCTCTCTTTTTCTTTCTTTTCTTTCTCTTTCTTTCTTTCCTTCTTTTTCTTTCTCTTTCTTTCTTTTTCTTTCTTTCTTCTTTCTTTCTTTCTCTCTCTCTCTCTCTCCCCCTCCCCTCCCCTCCCCTCCCCTTCCCTCTTTTTATCACAGAGTCTCACTCTCTTGCCCAGGCTGGAGTACAGTGGCATGATCTCAGCTCACTGCAACCTCTGCCTTCTGGGTTCAAGCAATTCTCCTGCCTCAGCCTCCTGAGCAGCTGAGATTATAGGTGCACGCCACCATGCCAGGCCAATTTTTTTTTTTTTTTGTATTTTTAGTAGAGACGGGGTTTCACCATGTTGGTCAGGCTGGTCTCTGCTGAGACCAGCTTGGCTGGGGAGACCCTAACCCAGCAGCACTAGAGGAATTAAACACACACACACACACACACACACACACACACACACACAGAGAAATAAAGAGGTGTGAAGTGGGAAATCAGGGGGTCTCACAGCCTTCAGAGCTGAGAGCCTCAAACGGAGATTTACCCACGTATTTATTAACAGCAAGCCAGTCATTAGCATTGTTTCTATAGATATTAGATTAACTATAGATTAGATTAGATTCCCATAGAAGTATCCCTTATGGGAAACAAAGGGATTGGGCCCAAATAAAGGGATGTGTTTGGCTAGTTATCTGCAGCAGGAGCATGTCCTTAAGGCACAGATCACTCATGCTCTTGTTTGTGGTTTAAGAACGCCTTTAAGCAGTTTTCCGCCCTGGGTGGGCCAGGTGTTCCTTGCCCTCATTCCGGTAAACCCACAACCTTCCACCGTGGGTGTCATGGCCATCACGAACATGTCACAGTGCTGCAGAGATTTTGTTTATGGCCAGTTTTGGGGCCAGTTTATGGCCAGATTTTGGGGGCCTGTTCCCAACAGGTCTCAAACTCCTGACCTCGTGATCTGCCTGCCTCGGCCTTCCAAAGTGCTGGGATTACAGGTGTGAGCCACTGTGCCTGGCCCCTTGCCTCACTTTCTGACTTCCTATGGATGCTTGCAGGGCCCACTCCCCAAATAAACTCATCACCCTTCAATTTTTTTTCTTTGTTTAGAGATAGGGTCTTGCTCTGTCACCCAGGCTTGAGTGATCCTGGCTCACTGCAACTTCTATCTCCTGGGCTCAAGCGATTCTCCCACTTTAGACTCCTGAGTAGTTGGGACTACAGGTGTGCATGACCAAGGCTGGTTAATTTTTTTCTTTTTTTGTTTTTTTGTAAGACAGGGTCTTGCTATGTTGCCCATGCTGGTCTCAAACTCCTGGCCTCAAGCGATCCTCCTACCTTGGCCTCCCAAAGCATTGGGAATCCAGGCATGAACCCCGTTCCTAGGCGGCACTTGATTCCTGTTCCAAGATCTGGGGAAATCCGACCCGAAGGAAGCTTTGCTCTAAGACCTCCTTGGCCGTGTTGGGCTCAGACGTGGACTGAGGTTTCAGAGGAAGCAGTGGAGCGGCAGGAGCCAGGTAAAGGCAGTGGGTCACTGGCGGCAACCGGGTCCCCATGGTAACTTGGTCCCCACCCTGTGGCATCTGTGAGGTCACCCTGCTTCTCCCAGCTGGAGTAGGTGGGGGAGGCCAGACATGGAGGCCCTTCCTCCAGTCAGATCCAGCCTTTTGGGGATCCTGTTGCAGGTTACGAGGCTCTCAGTGCTGGTGAGTGGGGGCTGGGGGTAAGTGGGGTGGGGACCACACACCAGGCCCTTCACAGAGCCACCTCAGAGCTGCCGGGCCCAAGCCCTGCCTGTCCCATCCAGTGGAACGAGGTGGCTGCCTGCCTTCCAGAATAATCTGACATCTCCCAGAAGCCCCACTCCAAACTACAGTGCTGACATTTTCTTTTCTTTTCTTTATTTAGAGACAGGGTCTCGCTCTGTCGCCCAGCCTGGAGCGCAGTGGTGCCGGCTCAGCTCGTTGCAGCCTCCAACTCCCGGTCTCAAGCAATCCTCCCCCCTCAGCCTCCAAGTAGCCGGGACTATAGGTGTGCACCACCACGCCTGACTAATTTTTGTATTTTGTAGAGATGGTGTCTCACTACGTTGCCCAGGCGGGTCTCCAACTCTTGGCCTCACATGATCCTCCTACCTCAGCTTCCTGAGGTGCTGGGATTATAGGTGTGAGCCACCGCACCTGGCAGCATTTTCTCTATTGAGGGTCACTCCTATGGGTGAATCATTGTTTTTCCCATTCATTTTTTCTTTTTTTTGAGACAGAGTCTCGCTCTGTTGCCCAGGCTGGAGTGCAGTGGTGCGATCTCGGCTCACTGCAACCTCTGCCTCCTGGGTTCAAGCAGTTCTTCTGCCTCAGCCTCCCAAGTAGCTGGGACTACAGGCACGTGCCATCATCCCTGGCTAATTTTTTTTTTTTTTTGTATTTTTAGTAGAGACCCTGTTAGCCAGGATGGTCTCGATCTCCTGACCTTGTGATCTGCCCGCCTCAGCTCCCCAAAGTGCTGGGATTACAGACATAAGCCACTGCGCCTGGCTCATTCATCTCTCTCTCTTTTTTTTTTTTTCAGATGCAGTCTTGCCCTGTCGCGCAGGCTGCAGTGTAATGGTGCGATCTCGGCTCACTGCAACTTCCACCTCCAGGTTCAAGCAATTCTCCTGCCTCAGCCTTCCAAGTAGCTGGGATTACAGGCGTGCGCCACCACGCCCAGCTAATTTTTTGTATCTTTAGTAGAGACAGGGTTTCACCGCATTGGCCAGGCTGGTCTCAAACTCCTGACCTCGTAATCCACCCACCTCGGCCTCCCAAAGTTCTGGGATTACAGGTGTGAGCCACCGCACCTGGCCCATTCATCTCTTTTAAACATACACATGCTTGTGGTCGGGGTCACAACTCAGTCACACTTAGGAGGCCGAGGTGGGAGTATAGATTGAGCCTGGGAGGCCAAGGCTGCAGTCAGCCAAGATCATATAACAGGGGGCAGTTGAGAAAGACAGACACCATTAGATTTGCATCTTGGGACCGGGAGCTGTGGCTCACACCTGTAATCCCAGCACTTTGGGAGGCCGAGGCGGGCAGATCACCTGAGGTCAGGAGTTCCAGACCAGCCTGACTAACATGAAGAAACCTTGTCTCTACTAAAAATACAAAATTAGCCACGCGTGGTGGTGCATGCCTGTAATCCCAGCTACTCAAGAGGCTGAGGCAGGAGAATCGCTTGAACCTGGGAGGCGGAGGTTGCGGTGAGCCGAGATCCCACCATTGCACTCCAGCCTGGGCAACCCTGGGCAACAAGAGCAAAACCCTGTCTCAGAAAAAAAAAAAAAAAAAAAAAAAAAAAGATTTGCATCTTGGCTGTTTTACCCTCTAGCTGTGTGAATTTGGGCAAATCACTTCACCACTCTGAGCCCGTTTCCTCTCCTATAGAAATGATCTTGTGGGATCATGTGGGATATCATAGGTTTCCCTCCTCCCTGGTCTCAGCACCATAACCTGGGAGGTCCTATTTCCTAGCTCTACCCTAATTCTTCTCCCTGCTGGACCCTTTGGTCTCAGCATAGCTCCACCCTCCACGTCCCAAGCTCTGCAAATCCAGCCCGTGAGTGGGGGGTCTTGCAGCCAATCTCAGATGGTGGGGCCTGTGGACACGGGGATGGGGGGTCCAGGTGGGTGGATTGGTGTCACTCAAGGGCTGGGGGCTTTCCAGCTCTGATGAAGGGTCTCCAGGACTCAAGAACAGCTTTCCCCCACCTCACCCCAGTCCTGCAGCTTCATCTCAGTGAATGGGAGACACCGTTGTCCAACTCACCACCCAGATCAGAAATCTGGAATTCTTTTTTTTTTTTTTTGAGATGGAGTCTCACTCTGTTACCCAGGCTGGAGTGCAGTGGCACGATCTGGGCAAACTGCAACCTCCGCCTCCTGGGTTCAAGCAATTCTCCTGCCTCAGCCTCCCGAGTAGCTGGGATTACAGGCATGCACCATCATGCCCAGCTAATTTTTGTATTTTTAGTAGAGATGGGGTTTCACCAGGTTGACCAGGCTGGTCTCGAAATCTTGACCTCAGGTGATCCGTCTGCTTCGGCCTCCCAGAGTGCTGGGATTACAGGTGTGAGCCACCATGTCCGGCTGGAAATCTGGAAGTCTTTCTGGATCTCTCTCCTTCACCCTTCTCATTAGGTCTGTCGTGAATTATGTGACCCCTGCCCCATGTCTCTCACGCCTCCCTGCCCCTAATGGCATTGTCCTTTGCCCCAGCAGCCCTCCTGATGCCAGGGGACAACTGGTACAGAGGCAAAGCCCAGCTACTTGGAAGAAGACAAGTGACCTGGGTTCAAAGCCCACAGGATTGGGGTGGGGGATCGTAACATGGTAATAATAGCCATGAAACCTCCTTCAGTCTGGAGTATTGTAAATAATCATTTAAATCCAATGGAGGCCAGGTATAGTGGCTCATGCCTGCAATCCCAGCACTTTGGGAGGCTGAGGCAGGAGGATTGCTTGAGGCCAGGAGTTCGAAACCAGCCTGGATAACATAGCAAGACCCCGCCTCTACAAAAAAAAAAAAAAAAAAAAAAATTAGCTGGACTTAGTGAGATGCACCTATAGCTCCAGCTACTTGGGAGGCTAATGGGGGGAGGATTGCTTGAGCCTATGAGTTCAAGACCAGCCCAGGCATAATAAGAAGACTCCATTTCTTAAAAAAAAAAAAAAAAAAATTAGCCAGGCATGGTGGCATGCACTTGTGTGGTCTCAGCTTTTTGGAAGGCTGAGATGGGAGGGTTGTTTAAGTGTGGGAGGTCAAGGCTGCAGTGAGCTATGATGACACCACTGCACTCCAGCGTGGACAACAGAGTGAGATCCTGTTTCTTAAAAAAAAATATCCAATGGAAAGGAACCCAAATACAATATGAAACACCTTCTAATGTTCCCTTCTCAGAAGGGAGTCCTTCAAAGTGGACAGAGTTCATCCTTGCACCTGTGGGGAGCTGAGGCCTTGAGATGGGGATCTGACTCAAGGTGGTCCAGCAGCTTCACCTCTACAGTAAAAGTGGGGTTCCTGGCCAGGCGCAGTGGCTCACGCCTGTAATCCCAGCACTTTGGGAGGCTGAGGCGGGTGGATCATCTAAGGTCAGGAGTTCGAGACCAGCCTGACCAACATGGTGAAACTCCATCTCTATTAAAAATACAAAAACTAGCCAGGTGTGGTGGCAGGCGCCTGTAATCCCAGCTACTCAGGAGGCTGAAGCAGGAGAATCGCCCGAAACCGGGAAGTGGAGGTTGCAGTGAGCCGAGATAGCGCCATTGCATTCCAGCCTGGGCAACAAGAGTGAAACTCCGTCTCAAAAAAAAAAAAAAGAAAAAGAAAAAGTGGGGTTCCTGTCCCAGGAGGGTGATGATGGCTGACGGTTGTCTCTCTCTCTTCTTCTGCAGTTGGTTCAGAACCGAGATCACCTCTATAATTTCCTGCTCCTCAAGATCAACCTCTTCAACCACTGGGTGTCAGGGCTGGCCCAGGAGGCCCGGGGGTCCTGTAACTGGCAGGCCCACCTACCCCTGGGAGCTGCAGCCTGCCCCCTGGGCCAGGCTCTCTGGGCTGGGCTGGCTCTGATACAGGTCCCCGTATGGCTGGTGCTACAGGGACCCAGGCTGATGTGGGCTGGCATGTGGGGCAGCACCAAGGGCCTGGGCCTGGCCTTGCTCAGTGCCTGGGAGCAGCTGGGCCTGTCTGTGGCCATCTGGACAGATCTGTTTTTGTCATGTCTGCACGGCCTGATGTTGGTGGCCTTGCTCTTGGTGGTAGTGACCTGGAGGGTGTGTCAGAAGTCCCACTGCTTCCGACTGGGCAGGCAGCTCAGTAAGGTGGGTGGTCTCGGGGTGAGGCTGGGGTGTGGAGGGCAAACCTGGGGTACTGGGTGTGGTCAGGGCTGGCTGGGCTTGCAGGGGGGAGCCACAGCCAAGCAGTGTAACCCTATGAGCTCCTAAGGGCCACCTGCCCATCTGTCTCCCTGTTCCAGGCCTTGCAAGTGAACTGCGTGGTAAGGAAGCTCCTGGTACAGCTGAGACGTCTGTATTGGTGGGTGGAGACTATGACTGCCCTCACCTCCTGGCACCTGGCCTATCTCATCACCTGGACCACCTGCCTGGCCTCCCACCTGCTGCAGGCTGCCTTTGAGCACACGACCCAGCTGGCCGAGGCCCAGGAGGTTGAACCCCAGGAGGTCTCAGGGTCTTCCTTGCTGCCCTCACTGTCTGCGTCCTCGGACTCAGAGTCTGGAACAGTTTTGCCAGAGCAAGAAACTCCCAGAGAATAAATGTATCCCCATCTGCCTCTCCTGGTCTGGCCTAGCCTATGGTCTCACTCCCTCTTCCCTAATGGGCTGGAGAGATGTTGTGTGAGTGATGTGCATGTGTGTGCCTGCATGTGAGCCCAGGACTGCCTCTGGGAAGGAAATCACTTTCCGTCAGCATCTTCTATGGGCCAGATATCAAACATCTCAGACAATTTACTCATAATTTGGTTTAAATCTCCTAGCAACACAGGCATCAGGTTTGATTAGCACCATTTACAGCTGAGAAAATTGAGCCTCAGAAGGTTGAACTTTCCCAAGGTCACAGTCTGTCAAGGGCAGAACCAGCACTGGGTCTCTAGATTTTTTGTTTCCCAGAATCCTTAACTTTCTCTAGGTGCGTGCCCCTGGTTCTCAGAAGTATTGGTGCCCAGGGCTTTAGGGGAGATGGGCAGTTAGAGACTTTGGCCTCTGGGGGGTGCCAGGGCCTCACATTTCAGAGATTTAGAAAGCTTTGAGAAACAGTTGTGAGCCAGGCTTCAAGGAGCCCATTCATTCATGCACTTGGCCATTCATCCATCCACCTATCCACCCACTCACAAAGCCATCCACAGAACCATCCATCCACCCACCCACCAATCCATTCACCCACTCACCCATTCACCTGCCCATCTACTCACACATCCACCCATCCATCCCTCCACCCATCCACCCATCCATCCATCCATCCATCCATCCATCCATCCATCCATCCATCATCACCCAACAACCTATGCATTCATCCATCCATCCATCCACTGATCCATTTATCCATCCATCCATCCACCCAACCACCCATCCATTGACCCACCCATCTACCTACCCATTTAATTACCCATTCATCTATGCATTCATCCACCCATTCGTGCATCCATCCATCCATCCATCCATCCATCCATCCATCCATCCATCCACACACCCACCTATCCATCCATCTACCCACCCACTGATCAATTTACCCATATATCCATCCATCCATCCATCCTCCCAACCACCCATCCATTCACCCACCCATCTGCCTACCCATCCACTCACCCATTCATCTACCCATTCATCCACCCATTCATGCATCCATCCATCCATCCGTCTATCCATCCACCCATTCATCTATCCATCCACTGGTCCATTTGCCTATCCATACATCCACCCACCCACCCACCCATCCATTCACCCACCCATCTGCCTACCCATCCACTTACCCATTAATCTCCCCATTCATCAACCCATTCATGCATCCATCCATCTATCCACCCACTCATCCACCCATCCATCCACCCATCTATCCATCCATTCATCCATTCATCCATCCATCCATCTATCCATCCACTGATCCATTCACCCATCCATCCATCCATCCTCCCAACCACCCATCCATTCAGCCACCCATCTGCCTAACCATCCACTCACCCATTCATCTACCCATTCATCCACCCATTCATGCATCCATCTATCCATCCATCCATCCATCCATCCATCCACCCACCCACCCACCCATCCATTCATCCACAGAACCAACCACACCCACTCACCCGCTATCTGTTGAAGAGCCATCTGTCTCCCTGGGGAAAGGGGAAACCTATCCAGTATCTCAGCACTCCCCTAACCTGTGAGTAAGGACACAGGGTCCTGCTGCATGGGTGGCTGATGCTGCTGTGCCAGCTCAGGCTGTGATGCTTCCAATCCCCAAGACTCAGCCTTCAGGTGAGTGATTCTGCTGAGAGGGGAAGGGATGGTTTCTTGAGTGTTTGCAGTTACCTCTCACCTACTCCCAAGCCAGAGGGTGGTGGTGTGAGCGTGGCTCTTCTCCACTCGGGTTCCCAGCTCAGTGAGGGCCTCCCTTACAGCTCAGGGTGGATGTGGGTGAACTTCCAGACCCTTCCTCCAAGTCTAAGCAGCAAGGCTGTCCTGCTCTAGGAGGGACATCTGAGGGGTCCCATCTGGCCAACGAGGTAGAACATGTACCAGGAAGGACCTATAAGCACCTGGTCAGAGGGGTAACATGACTGGGATTCTAGAACATACACACAGCTTTCAGGGAAGCATGAGTGCAGGAGTAGGTGATGTCAGCTCTTTGCTGAGGCAGGGACTGGAGGAAAGGAGGAGGCCCCAGAGCAGTTTGGGGCCAAAGTGGGGATGGACAGGAATGTGGCCCAAGCCCCGTGGAGAAGATCTGGGCTTGGGGACAGAAGCTTGGATTCTGTGCCTCTGCCTCTGCCTCTGCCCGCCTAGGTCACTGGGTGTGACCTTGGATGAGGCTCTCTTTGCCCACTCTGGACTTCGGTTCCCATGTCTGTGCAATGCGGGATGGGTGGGGTGATCCCCGATAAGGGAGTCAGCATTTGGTTTGGTTTTTGTTTTTTTGAGACAGGGTTTCGCTGTCACTCAGGCTGGAGTGCGGTGGCATGATCTCCGCTCACTGCAGCCTCCACCTCCCAGGTTCAAACAATTCTTGTGCCTCATCTCTCGAGTAGCTGGGACTACAGGCGAGCGCCACCATGTCTGGCTAATTTTTGTATTTTTAGTAGAGACGGGGTTTCACCATATTGGCCAGGCTGGTCTCAAACTCCTGACCTCAGACGAACTGCCCACCTTGGCCTCCCAAAGTGCTGGGATTACAGGTGTGAGCCACTGCGGCTGGCCGAGAGTCAGCATTTGGGGTTCCTTGATGCCAGGCCTTGTTCCTCAGTGCCCAGGTAAGAGGTGGGGTGGGGCAGGAGAGGAGCAGTCCCCCTGTCTACGCAGCCTGCCAATAAGGCCCTACACTGGCTGACTTCTGGCTCCCTGAATCCCCTGTCCTGGAGTTATTGCTGCTTTTGCAAGATCTCTTCTAGGACTTGAATTCTTCCGGCCTTCCAAGGTCTCTGGCATCCTGGGGGAAAGGGAGAAGGCCAGAATCTCCCCTCGGCTGCCACTCACAATGGTGGGCACAGCAGAGGCCTTGGGGTCAGAGAGCCTTGGGTTTGGATGCTGGATCCACAACCTCTCAGCTGTGTAACCTTTGGCAATTTACTAAACCCTGAGAGCCTCAGTTTCCCCTCCTGTGATCAGGGTATAATCACAACACCCCAGATGTCACAGGGCTGTTGCCTGGTCTGTGCACGTGCGGTCCCCGCTCAGAGCAGGCATGGGAGGCTCTTGGGACCCCACTCCCTGGCTCCCCATCTCCCAGGCCTGCTGCCTTTCTGGGGGCTGCAGCTTCTGAGGCCCGGGGTGGGAGCAGTCAGTCCGTCTGTCTCAGGCCTGTGAGCATGGAGGGGCCCTGGCCTGCTGGAAGAAAACAACTGGTGGCCGGTGTCAGGGGGTGGACGGGGCATGGGCAGGGTGGGGGGAGCTGGCTGCAAGGCCAGCCAGCAGCTTCACGCAATCTGTCTGCTATGCAGTCCTGGGCCTGGCCTGTATTTATTTATGCTGAGCGTGTATTTATATCAGTCCCTTTTTCATTAATAGGGCAGGAAATGGCTGGAATTGTTACATACCTGGCGGGCCAGGGGTCCCACTTCGCCAAGACACACAGGGCCCTGGCTGCCCCGTTGTGATTGTAAGGGCCCCCCTCCTCAGTCTGCCCGCAGGCCCCGGCCCGAGTTCCTGGCCCTTCCCTGACCCCCCCGCCTCTTGTTTTGAGACCCTCTCCACCTCCCGGAGCCCTGGAACCCACATTCCCGGGCGAGGGGTTCATTTGCAGGCCTCTCCCTGTCCCCCGGTTCATCCTGACCTCATCCCAACCCCAGGAAAGGCTGCGGTGTTAGGGGCTGTCAAAGTGCGCACTGAAGGATGGGGGAGGGGCTGGTGAAGTCCACGCAGAGCAGCGGGAGTTTCGGGGAGAGATCAGGGTCGGGAGGGTTTGGGGATGGGATCCTGGCGCCCAGGATGGGGGGACTGGACAGAAAAGGAAATGAGGGGATACATAATAAGAGGGTTCCCCTGAGCAGAGGGGTGGTCCCACCCCCTGGGGCTTCGCTCTCCACCAAGCCCAGTCCCATCATGTAAGCATGGGTGGCCTCTGTCACTTGGGACCTGCCTAGCCCACCAGAGGGGTCTGTGTGTCTATCACCAGCCCCCCTGCTGCCCCAGGCCCAGTGGGGGATGGGGGCTCACTTCTGTCCTGCCTTCCTGCTCCCCGGTCTGCACACTGGGTTCAGCACTGAGCCAGCGTCTCTCTCCAGGCCCCAGCTCTTGGGCTCAGGCCCCAGGTGGGGCTGCCAGAGCTGAGAGGCGCGGCCCCTTCCCCAGAGCGCTCGCCTGACATAACCTATTAGCGCTTCTCGCTTCAATCCAGCTCCCCCAGCCAGCCTCCCCACCCAGGCCAGACTGTGCCGGTCCTGTTGTCTCTCTCCTGAGCTGCTTTGCCCCGACAGGGTGAGAAGGAGCTGGCAAGATGCCCGATGGCCCCAAGAGTAGCTGTGCCTGTTCGCCCCTCCCCTGCTAGGCTGCCCTATGGTCAGGTGGACTTGATCATTGACCTTGACCAGTGGCCGCTGTGGCCACGATGACTTCCTGTCTCAGAGTCCAGAGCTGGGGCCGCTGGACAGTCGTGGGACTGAAACTTAGAGGACAAGGGGCTTTCCTGAAGTCCTGCCCTGTGCCTCGGTCCTTGCCTTCTCAGCTGCACTTCTTTTTTTGTTTTGTTTTGGAGACAGTCTTGCTCTGTCCCCCAGGCTGGAGTGCAGGGGCACGATCTCAGCTCACTGCAACCTCCACCTCCTGGGTCCAAGCAATTCTC
This sequence comes from Homo sapiens, assembly GCF_000001405.40. Taxonomy (NCBI): domain Eukaryota; kingdom Metazoa; phylum Chordata; class Mammalia; order Primates; family Hominidae; genus Homo; species Homo sapiens. Next base: position 73,870,609 of record NC_000007.14, read on the forward strand.
CTGCCTCAGCCTCTTGAGTAGCTAGGATTACAGGTGCCCCGCCACCATGCCCGGCTAATTTTTGTATTTTTAGTAGAGACGGGGTTTCGCCATGTTGGCCAGGCTGGTCTCGGACTCCTGACCTCAGGTGACCCGCCCATCTCAGCCTCCCAAACTGCTGGGATTACAGGCATGAGCCACCGCGCCCGGACTCTCGGCTGCACTTCTAGGGGCTGATGGAGGGTGCTGGGGAGAGGCAGCTGACCTTGGGCAGCTGTTGGTATTGAGAAGGGGGCTGCTGGGAGACTTGGGGTTATTATCTAGGATGGAGGCCCTCTGGGTGGCAGGAGGGGGAGGCTGCAGGGTCTCAGGACCATGCTGGGGGCTAATGCAGGGGTCTCTGGGCTTCCCCAGCTGCCCCCCATATCTGTGCTAGATGGGTGAGGATGGCCGGGCACCTGGGAAGCCGTCGTGTCTGGGATCCCTCGGGAGGCTTTCTCCAGCCCCCTCCATCCAGCGCTTGCTTAGCAGTGGTAGTGCCTTCTCTTCTTTCACCCCTCTTCGCCTTTGACCCACCTTGGCTTGGGGTTGGGGGCTTGAGATCCCAAAAGTGCCTGGGATTGGGGGGTTAGCGGTCAGCCCCAAGTCCTCCACCTAGCAGGGCTCTTGCACTTCCTGGGTTGAGCAGGAGGAGGCTGAGGGGTGGGGCCCCCAGGGAAGGCTGGATTCTTTGAGATCCACCTGGGGCAGGACTGTGTCCCCTGATAATTCTCCTCCACAGTGAATGCAGCACCTCCTCCCACTGGTTGGCCAGGGCTGTCCAGATTACTTAATTGTGTGTGTCTGAGAGTGTCTGTGTGGGTTAGGGAGAGGAAGGCATTTCCCCAAGCCCCTCACCTGCAGCGGCCTGTGGCTGGAGGGACCCCAGACTCTCTACTCCTGTTGGGGGTCCTGCCTGTCCCTGGCTTGTGTGGCACTGGGCAGGTCCCTGGGCTCTGTCCCTGTTCCCGCCATGAGGGTGCCTGTGGGCTCTGCTAACTTCTGAGCCTGAGTGAACCTTGACCCCCTCTTGGACCAGGGCCCCGCAGGCGTGGATTGAGGCGCTGGAGAAGGCATGATCTGGAAGGCCCTGGGCCTGGGTGCTGCAGCTGGGCCCTACGGCTTCGCCTGCATATAGTGCACGCATCTGGATCTGTGTCCCGCCCCTCACCCCAGGCTCACATCTGGAGACCAAAACCAGCTAGCCGGCTAAACACAGAGCATCTGGGCCCCAAAGAGCCTGTTCCCAGGTTAACGTGGCCCATCTGGGCCCCTCGCGGCAGCTCCGCCCCGTCTCCACGGCAGAATGCTGGCTGCACATCTGGACAGCTGGAGCCCTGTGGTCACCCCGCCTCTCCCCGTGCCTAGCTGGGTCTGGAGTCGGTGCTGCCTGGGTTCCCTGTCCTGAGGCAGGGTCCTGTGTGCAGAGGGCTCATGGGGCTTCTCCTGGGTGCTGCCTGGGGAATAGATTAGTTTAGACATAATCTGGAAACAAGTCCCTTGCCAGGGGTGGTGACAGCAGCCACTCTGCACCAACACACCCGGCAGCCCCTTGGTAGCGCTTGAAAAAGCCTCTGAGGCCCCCTGGATCGCCTGGCTGCCCACGTCCTCCTGGGATGCCTCGGGCACAGCAGGGGGTGCCACCAACTGTTGGGGGGTGGGGCGCTGCACTGGGGTCCCCATCACGAAACTCACTTCACACAACCAGCCCTGCTGTCCCTTCCCAGGAATCCTCTCTTCTCCCTCCTTCCCTGCCAACACCCGTGCTTGGCACGGTAGAGGCTGGATGTCTCCCCAGGGGCCCCAGACTCAGAGAAGAAAGCCTGAGGACGAGGTCAGCCAAGGGCATCTGGAAGAAATGACCATCTCAGGCACAAAAGGCTGCCTGGGCAAAGACACTCCATGGGAACTGCCTGGTGGTGGCCTGGACAGGTTCCTTTTCGGTGGGGTTGTAGGCCCCTCTGACTTCACTAGGGACATGTGATCCTAATGAGCTAAAAGCACGTGGGAATCTTAAGTCACAATTGTGGTAGTGAGCTCCCCGTCATGGAGGGATCCAAGCTGGTGGGACTGCTCTCTGTCAGGAACATGGCAATGGTAGAAGTTATTCCTTCTTTCCTTCCTTCCTTCCTTCCTTTCTTTCTTTCTCTCTCTCTTTTTCTCTTTCTCTTTCTTTCTTTCTTTCTCTCTCTCTTTCTTTCTCTTTCTTTCTTTCCTTCACCTGTCTGCCTGCCTGCCTGCCTTCCTTCCTTCTTCTTTCCTTCCTTCCTTCCTCCCTCCTTTCTCTCTCTCTCTCTTTCTCCTTCCTTCCTTCCTTCCTTCCCTCCCTCCCTCCCTCCCTCCCTCCCTCCCTCCCTCCCTCCCTCCCTCCTTTCTTTCTTTCTTTCTTTCTTTCTTTCTTTCTTTCTTTCTTTCTTTCTTTCTTTCTCTCTTTCTTTCTTTCTTTCTTTCTTTCTTTTCTTAGATGGAGTCTCACTCTTGTCGCCCAGGCTGGAGTGCAATGGCGTGATCTCAGCTCACTGCAGCCTCTGCCTCCCAGGTTCAACCAATTCTACTGCCTCAGCCTCCAGAGTAGCTGGGATTACAGGCACGCACCACCACACCCGGCTAATTTTTTGTATTTTTAGTAGAGGTGGGGTTTCACCATGTTGGCCAGGCTGATCTCAAACTCCTGACCTCAGGTGATCTGCCTGCCTCGACCTCCCAAAGTGCTGGGATTACAGGCATGAGCCACCGAACCCAGCCGGCAGAGGTTATTCTTGCAAGGAGTCTGAGGCTGTGTGAGGCAACCTCCTAGCACTATGCTAAAGCCTTGTAACTCCAAGATTCAAGGATTCTGCGATGCTGCCTTCCCAGATTCTCAGTCTTCTAGGATAGGGGATGTGAATAGCCTTGGGGTGGAGGCCGGAGATTTGGCGTGCAGGGTTGGGGTGAGTGGGGGGTGAGGAGGGAAGCAGGGGATGGCCACAGCCCGTGGCCTGGAACTGGGGACCTTGCTGCCTGCCTGCCCGGAACAGTCTTAGCTCTGGTGCTGGCCCAGCCTCCGAGGCCTGGGTTGTGTTTGCAGAGCCTGGCGATCCTGCATCCTGTGGTCAAGCTTTATCGAAGCATCATTGGCCCAGATTGAAAGAAGTGCTTTATTGTAGCCTGCAGCCCGGAGGCCTGGAGCAACAGGCAATTCAAACCACAGAGCCCCATGCCTTCTCCCGCACCTCCTTACCCAAGGAAAATTTGAGTCAGCAAACATGCAGGATGAAGACACAAATAAAAAATAACGAGGGCTAGCATTTATTAAATATTCGCTATGGGCCAGATACTGTTCTGAGGGCTTTGCTTGTATTAACTCATTCCAGTCTCCCTGGGAGGGAGGCACTGTTGTTACCATTTAACCCATTTTACAGATGGGGAACCTGAGGCTTAAGTTCTGCTTGGTTATTGGGTAGCAGAGCTGGGATGCAAACCGGGAAGACTGGCTCCAAAGTCTGTGTCTCCCTCCCCCTTTTTTTAGACAAGGTCTCTGTTGCCCAGGCTAGAGTGCAGTGGCATGATCATAGCTCACTGCAGCCTCAAACTCCTGGGCTCAAGCAATCCTCCTGCCTCAGCTTCCTGAGTAGCTGGGACTACAGGTGTAAGCTACCACACCTGGCTAATATATATATTATATATATATATATATAAAATACATATTTATATTTTTTAGAGTTGGAGTCTCATGGCTGGGTGTGGTGGCTTATGCCTGTAATCCTAGCACTTTGGGAGGCTGAGGCGGGCAGATTGCTTGAGCTCAGGAGTTCAAGACCAGCCTGGGCAACATGGTGCAACTCCTAAAGATACAAAAGTTAGCTGGGCATGGTGGCATGCACCTGTAGTGACAGCTACTGAGGAGGCTTAGGCAGGAGAATCACTTGAACCTGGGAGGCAAAGGTTGCAGTGAGCCAAGATCACACCTCTGCACTCCAGCCTGGGTGACAGAGTGAGACTCCATCTCAAAAAAAAAAAAAAGAGATGGGGTATCACTATGTTGCCCAGGCTGGTCTCAAATTCCTGGAGTTAAGCGATCCTCCTGCCTTGGCTTCCCAAAGTGCTGGGATTGCAGGTATGAGCCACCATGCCTGGCCAAATCTGTGTCCTTGGCCAGGATGGACCACTGCTACATCCGGCCTCTCTGCAAGCTGGGGTGGGGTTGGGGAGACAGAAAGAGCAGAGAGAGGTAGACAGAGCCAGACAGTGAGAGGGATGGCGCTAAGGCCCTCAGAGGTGATGTCCCTGGGCTGTGCCCAGGAGGAGAAGCAGAATTGGCTGAGTTACCAGGATCATCTGTCCTATCTCCCCCAGGTCGTCAGACGAGGTGTCCAGGTGTGGAAGGGCAGTGTCCCACCTTGTCAAGCCTTCCAAAGTCAAACAAAGATGGGCTTTGCATGATCTGATTCCGGTGGCCAGGGAGCTGGGTTCCCCTGGCTCTTCTTTTTTTTTTTTTTGAGAGGGAATCTCGCTCTGTCGCCCAGGCTGGACTGCAGTGGCGCGATCTCAGCTCACTGCAAGCTCTGCCTCCTGGGTTCACGCCATTCTCCTGCCTCAGCCTCCCGAGTAGCTGGGACTACAGGCGCCCGCCACCATGCCCAGCTAATTTTTTTTTTTTTTGTATTTTTAGTAGAGATGGGGTTTCACCATGTTAGCCAGGATGGTCTCGATCTCCTGACCTCGTGATCCACCTGCCTCGGCCTCCCAAAGTGCTGGGATTACAGGCGTGAGCCACCGTGCCCGGCCTCCCCTGGCTCTTTTAAAGGGTGGGAATTTGGGGCTGCGGAGGGCCAAGAGGTCAACCTTGGAGGACCCACCCACTGTGGCCTAGTCTCCTGGGGGAGCACCTGACCCTGAGGTGAGGGTGCTGCCTGGGATTCAAACCAGAGGGTCTGACTTCAAAGCCTGTGTACCTCCACACTTTTTTTTTTTTTTTTTGAGATGGAATTTCACTCCTGTTGCCCAGGCTGGAGTGAAGTGGTGTGATCTCGGCTTACTGCAGCCTCTGCCTCCTGGGTTCCAGCAATTCTTCTGCCTCAGCCTCCGGAGTAGCTGGGATTACAGGCACGTGCCACCATGCCTGGCTGATTTTTGAATTTTTAGTAGAGACGGGGTTTCACCATGTTGCTCAGGTTGGTCTCGAACTCCTGACCTCAGGTGATCCACCTGCCTCAGCTTCCCAAAGTGTTGGGATTACAGGCGCAAGCCACTGTGCCCGGCCCACGCCTTTTTTTTTTTCTTTTCTGAGACGGTCTTGCTCTGTTGCCCAGGCTGGAGTGCAGTGGCACAATCATAGCTCACTGCAGCCTCAGACTCCTAGGCTCAAGCGATTCTCCCACCTAAGCCTCCCAAGTAGCTGGGACTACAGGTGCACATCACCATGACCAGCTAATTTTTTAATTTTTATAGAGATTGGGTCTTGCTATGTTGCCCAGGGCTAGTCTCAAACCCCTGGGCTCAAGTGATCCTCTCATCTCAGTCTCCTGAGTACCTGGGGGTGAAGGTATGTGCCACTTCGCCTGGCTAATTGTTTTTATGATCACCAGGGCTTCCAAGGCTGGGGCTGGGGGTCTCCCCTTGGGTGTGTGAGGGGGGCTTCCCTCTGTGTCTGCAGCTGTCTGACCTGCTAGAGGACCTACAGAGACAGAATGAGCAGAAAGCACCCTGGGGCCGTTGGCATCATCCTTGGACCATCCTGATGGACCTTCCCATCTCATCCCATCCGCAGGTATGCTCTAGCAACTTCTCTTGTCACCCAGAGTCCCCACCCCTCTCTAGGAAGCATGAGAGGTGCTCTTCACCGGGCCCTTCCTTCGTGCCAGGCACACAGAGAGGACTTCTCCGTGATGTGATATCCCACATACTCCCCACAACACCTTTGGCTGGAAGGTCCCAGTGTCATCCCCATTTTACGGATGAGGAAACTAAGGCTCGGAGAGGCAAAGTCATGTATCTACATAGCTGAGAAGCGGCAGAGCTGGGACTTCAGTGCAGGTGACTTCATCACCTCAGGGCTGTGTTGAGGTTGGCAAAGGGATGTCCCATTAGAGGGGATGGGAAGGGCTGCTGGGAGAGGACCCCAGGAGACATTGGAGTCTTTATCGGACATGGGGACAGGATCTCTGGTTTTGCAAACTATGCACTGATCCTCTAGTTTCCATGGTGGGGCGGCCACACGGCTGCAGGTGCATTTGGTGACGGGCCCCCTAGCCCATCCCAGCCATATGTGTGCCAATCTCCCGAGCCTTTAGTTTAGCCAAGGTTGGCATTTCCCAGGGGGAGTTTCAGCTGGGGACCAAGCAGAGCCGCCTGCCCTCCGATTCCATTGGTGTGTCTCTGTGGAGCTGCCTCATCGAGCCCCTAATTCGCACCTCGGCCAAGAGGGCCGAGAAGAAACTTCCCGCATTCCCCAAACTCCGGGTGTGGGACCAGGCTTCCCAGAGCCTTGGCGTGATGTCCCTGTGCCCCAGTTGGGCTCAGCCTGGCCTGTGGGGGCTGGCCCAGGGCCGAGGGCAGTGGAGAGGGCCAGCGGTACTGGGAGAACAATGGAGTGGAGGGAACAGAAACTCTCTGGGTAGCAAGAGCAGGGAAGGAGGCCAGGCCAGCAGGGGTTTCCAGACAGGCTGGGTCCTGGGGTCCCTGGGGCAGGGGGCAGAGGCAGGGAGAAAGGGGTCGCCCCGGCCATGCTTCCTGTGTGCTTTTGAGGTGCTCTGGCCCGGCCCTGCATGGGGAGACTGAGGCAGGAAGGACTAACATGGGCCCTGTCTTGAGGTCCTAGGGGCCTGGCTCTCCCTGGGGAGCTGTGGCCTGAAGGGGACAGAGGAGGAAGTTTCTTTCTTTTTCTTTTCTCTCTTTTTTTTGAGACAGAGTCTTGCTCTGTCGCTCAGGCTGGAGTTCAGTGGCACGATCTTGGCTCACTGCAACCTCCACCTCCCAGGTTTAAGTGATTGTCATGCCTCAGCTCCCCGAGTAGCTGGGATTACAGGCATGCACCACCACACTCAGCTAATTTTTGTATTTTTATTAGAGATGGGGTTTCACCAGGTTGGCCAGGCTGGTCTCGAACTCCTGACCTCAGGGGATCTGCCCACCTCGGCCTCCCAAATTGCTGGGATTACAGGTGTGAGCCACCGTGCCCGACCTCTTTCTTTTTCTTTTTTTTGAAACAGGGTCTTATTCTGTCACCCAGGCTGGAGTGCAATGGCATGATCATAGTTCACTGCAGCTTCCAACTCCCGGGCTCTAGTGATCCTCCGGCCTCAGCCTCCTGAGTAGCTAGTACTACAGGTACATACCGCCACGTCCAGCTAATTTTTTTTTTTTTTTTGTAGAGATGTAGTCTTGCTATGTTGCCCAGGCTGGTCTTGAACTCTTGGCCTCAAGCGATCCTCCCACCTTGGCCTCCCAAAGTGCTGTGATTCTGGTAAGGCTAAGATTAACTTGACTTTACACTGTTGAACTTGGTATTAGGAGGAAGCTGCTGGTTCAGCCCCTGGGCAGGGAATTGTGATGGGTTCAGCGCCCCTGCCTGGGGCTGGACAGAAGGCTCTGATTTTACCCCCAGCCACTCTGGCTACCCCTACAGTCTCTCAAGGTGGCCCTTCCTGGTCCCTCGCCCCACCCCAAGGGCCTGAGTACAGATGGGCACCCCGGGTCAGTCTGAGTCACCCTTCATGTCCCTTGCTATGGTCCTAAAGCACATGTCCAGCAGTGTTTAAGAGCCACCTGCCCTGTGTCCACCCCTGGTCCCCAGGACCGGGTCTCTCTGGACCTCGGTGCTCTGGTCGGTCACCCGGGTCCTGCCTGAGTCCCGCGAGATGGGAGACTAGTTCTCAAAGCGGCCTTGAACACCTGTGTCCCTGCAGCCTCGTTCCCTTGGGGATTGTCACACATGATCCCAACAGACAAGATGGCAAGACCCAGCATTGTTCTAGGTACCCCGGATGGGCCGAGTTTCTGGACGTGACTTTTTTTCTTCTTCTTCTTTCTTTCTATCTTTTTTTTTGAGACGGAGTCTCGCTCTGTCACCCAGGCTGGAGTGCAGTGGCGCGATCTTGGCTCACTGCCAGCTCCACCTCCCGGGTTCACGCCATTCTCCTGCCTCAGCCTCCCGAGTAGCTGGGACTACAGGCGCCTGCCACCACGCCCGGCTAATTTTTTGTATTTTTAGTAGAGATGGGGTTTCACCATGTTAGCCAGGATGGTCTCTATCTCCTGAACTTGGGATCTGCCCACTTCAGCCTCCCAAAGTGCTGGGATTACAGGCGTGAGCCACCCCACCCGGCCTTTTTTTTTTTTTTTTTTTTAAGATGGAGTCTCGCTCTTGTTGCCCAGGCTGGAGTGCAATGGCGTGATCTCGGCTCACTGCAGCCTCCGCCTCCCTGATTCAAGCAATTCTACTGCCTCAGCCTCCAGAGTAGCTGGGATTGCAGGTGCCGCCACCATGCCCGCCTAATTTTTCATATTTTTGGTAGAGACGGTTTTGCCATGTTGGCCAAGCTGGCCTCGAAATCCTGGCCTCAGGGGATCTGCCCACCTTGGCCTCCCAAAATGCTGGGATTACAGGCGTGAGCCACTGTGCCCAGCCTGGATGATGTGACTTTCGACTGTCAAATCAATGGCCCTGTTACCCCAAGCTCGCTCCCCGTCCCAGCAGCCCCTGGCCTCACAGCATGTGCATCTCTTTCCCTCTGGGAGCTGCCGCCCTGTGGGTCCTGCTGCCACCAGCCTGCAAGGGCACGATTAGGGTCACCTCCCCTCATCCCAACCCAGGGAGGTGGCTACCACCATTCACATATGGGGAAGGAGGGAAGGAGATGATGTATGACAGAAGCTCAGGGAGGTGGGGCCTGTCCACCTTCCGGGTGTGCCCTGGGGTGGGGGTTTCAGGCAGCCCTGCCTTCCTTTCCTTCCTGGGCTCAGCTGAGAGGGACTGGGGCAAAGGGCTTTTGTCATTTTCTCAACCCACAAACACTTCCGGATGCCTCCTCCATGCTGTTAACAGACTCCAGTGCCTGGGATCACTCACACCCTGCCTCTGCCTCAGTTTCCCCCTCTGAAGGGTGGAGCTGGCTTTGAGAGGGTGATAGACCTTTCAGCTTTTGCTTGAGTGAAGCCCACCTCTTGCCCCAGTGCCCATGACCCACCCACATCCCCAAAGCTGCAGGGCTTCCCGAGCTGGTCTTGGTCCCAAGCCGTGACCATGTCACTCTTACCCCGCCTGGGGCCAGCAAGCCCAGCTCTGGCCCCTCCCTGACGCCCCAAGGAGACTTGTGACAAACAGTAAGAGAGGGTCTCCTGGCTTCACCCTCTCTTCCAGAGGGAGCAAATTCTCCCAGACAAACCCAGCCCATCAACAAACCAGCGACCAAAACAAAGAGGCAGATTACGAAACCCAGATCGAGGGAAAGAGGCCACTCCGAGCTTTTCTCCAGGACAGGGGTTGGCGAAATTGGGCCAGGCCTGTGGGTCACAGCCTGCCTGGCCTGGACTATTTTTGTACCGTCTGGGGGGTGGGGGCTGATGAAATCCCAGCTGCATTTCACCAAAACACTTTCCCCTTAAGCCCGGGCTCCATGTGGTTCAAATTCATTGTCACTTAACTCATCACTCAAGGCTCTGAGCCGCATCCCTCCCCCTCCAAGAAAAAGACGAAAACACACAGTCTCTGGCATGCGGGCGAGGTGGGCGTGAGGGGCCATGACAAACAGACTGACTGTCTTGACCTTAGCCGCCCCTGGCCTCCTGCTCTCCATCTTCCTGGCCCCTTCCACCCCGTGCTTGATGTCCCCAAAGGCTAAGACAGGATGAGTTGCTGTCCAAGCTCCACTAGGGTTGAGTTGGGAGCCTGGACAGGGGAGGCAGTCACTGGATCACTGGTTCTCCCTCCCCTCCACAGCCCGCTGCTGGAAATGGGAAGCTGACATGTCCCAAAGGTCGATGCACTGGAATGCCCGGAGGTCATCCTCTGGGAGTGTCCACATATTTGTGAATGTGTTTGTGCCCATGAGCCAGGAGAAGCCGATCTTCTCTTGCCCCGTGTTGCTTTTCTCAATGTTGGCTCACAGCTGATGTTCATCACCTCAGGGCTGTGTTGAGGTTGGCAAAGGGACTTCCCATCGGAGAGGAAGGGAAGGGCTGCCGGGAGGGGACCCTGGAGGGCATTGGAGTCTTTATCGAATATGAGGACAGGACGTCCGGTTTTGAAACTATGCACTGATCCTATAGTTTCCATGGTAGGGCGGCCAGATGGCTGCAGGTGCATTTAGTGACAGGCCCCCTAACCTGTCCCAGCTATGTGTGTGCCAATCTCCTGAGCCTTTAGTTTAGCCAAGGTTGGCATTTCCCAGGGGGAACTTCAGCTGGGGACCAAGCAGAGCCGCCTGCCCTCCGATTCCATTTGTGTGTCTCTCTCCCCCATTAGACCGTGGGTCTCTCCGGGGCAGCGTTTAGCTGATCCACACTGGATCTCCAGTGCCCAACGCTAGGCTTGGCACAGAACCCAAGCGCAGCAAATGCTTGTGGAATGAATTAATACATTTTTCAAATCAAGTCAAAGTGCTGTTTTCATTATCTTTAGACCAGATTAAATTCAGAGCCACAGCTCTCCAGAAAAATACTGGCAATCTGGCTTTTGCATATTTCACTGTCAAGGAGAGAACTCCTTTTCTGAATTAGCCAGGAAGGCAAGCCCGGGTCCCTAGAGAGAGGCGACCCCTGAGCTCTCCCCTCTTGCCCACCTTGGGACACCTGTGACCCCTTTGGCTCTGATAACCCCTTGCTGGGCTGCCCCTCCAGCTTTGATCCCTGGTTTGCAGACCGAGGGAGCAAAAGGGTGGAGCTCTAGGAGTTTACTTTCCTGGGCAGGGTCAAGCAGTTCCTGATGCAGCAAAGTTGTTTGGGCGCAAACATTTCCCTGTATTGTCTGGCTTCAGAAGGCAGCCAAGAGTCTACGCAGGTGGGAGGGAGCTGAGGCAGGAGTTTTTTCTCTCTCCTCCACTCCAAAGAAGACAGGAGCCTCCAAGCCCCAAGGTGGGGGGTTAGGAGGTCATCTCACACCCTAGGCAGATGCAGAAGACCTAGGAGAGGACAGAATCAGGGGAGGGGGGTGGGGGACAGATGTCATATGTCCTACTGTGCAGAGTTGGGGAGTCAGGTGTAGACAGACATGAGCTGGTCTGAGAATTCAAGTCCAACCAGAGGACCAGGCTGTACCTTCCCCAGGGCATGCTGGGAGATGCCTCTCATTCCCTTGCTGGCTGGGCGCACCAGCCTACCTGAGGCTGTCTCTTAGACAGCTAAGGAATCTTTCCCCTCCTCTGAGGTTTCTGCTCAATGACACCTTTTCTGGGGACAGTGGCTCTGGAGATGGGGGATCCTGGAGGTTGAGAGAGGCTGAGCCTTCGTGGATCTCCAGTATCCCCTGCCTTCTATGCCTCTTTAGCAAGATGCTTCTCCAACTCCTGTTTTTCCTTCTCGGAACTCTGGAAGGATGCCCTCTGCATTTTGGATGTGTTTCCCAAGTGATGCTCCATTGACTATTACTTTGGGAGGGGGAAAAGCTTCTGGATCCAAGAAGCCTAGGAAACACAAAGTCAGACAGGCTATTATCTTGCAGGACTTATCAGAGCCTTGAATTTTTTTAATTTTTAATTTTTATTTATTTTTTAGAGACAGGGTCTTACTCTGTCACCCAGGCTGGACTGAATGGTGGAATTATAACTCACTGCAGCCTGGAATTCCTGGGCTCAAGCGATCCTCCTGTCTCAGCCTTCAGAGTAGCTGGGACTACAGGTGCATGCCACCAGGCCTGGCTATCTTGAATTGTTCATAGGGGCTTTAAAATACAAAAATAAGCTGGGCATGGTGGTGGGTGTCTGTAATCCCAGCTACCCAGCAGGCTAAGAGAAAATTGCTTGAACCCGGGAGGCGGAGGTTGCAGTGAGCTGAGATCATGCCACTGCATTCCAGCTTGGGTGACAGAGACTCTGTCTCTAAATAAATAAATAAATACACACAGACATACATAAAATAGGAGCTTTGACCTTCTAAGAAGGGACCCTGGTGCACAGTGTTTCCTGGACCCATGTGACACCAAAGTCATTTCTCCCCATGGGCTCTTTTTCAGGACATCTTCTGGGCCACACAGGTCGAGAGGATATCTCGGGAGTTACTGGACCTGAAATGTCAAATAACCCTGCAGAGGTGACAGCTGTGAGTGAAGATGCTTCTCTTTTTATGTTGAGTGAAACCCCTTTCAATATGGGCTGGAGCTGGCCACATGAGGTTTCCTGGTGTCGTGCAAGCGTGGAGATCCGGCCACACTCTTTCGTCTTCTCTTCCTTGGCCCTGAAGGGAGATGAGCCGGCAGGTGGACAAAATAAGGGGGTTGAGGCTGGATGCGGTGGCTCAAGCCCATAATCCCAGCACTTTGGGAGGCCAAGGTTGGCAGATCACTTGAGGCCAAGAGTTCGAGATCAGCCTGGCCAACATGGAGAAACCCCGTCTCTACCAAAAATACAAAAATTAGCCAGGTGGTGGGCACCTGTAATCCCAGCTACTCCAGAGGCTGAGGCAGGAGAATCGCTTGAACCTGGGAGGTGGAGATTGCAGTGAGCCAAGATCGCACCACTGCACTCCAGCCTGGGCGACAAAGCAAGACTCCGTCTCAAAGAAAAACAAAAACAAAACCAAACAAAAACCAAGGAGGTTAAGACAGACTATGTGCATCTCCCTAATCTGTCCCGGAGACAGAAGCCACAATTAAGTCACCTGTGGCCAAGACTGGGCAAGACCCAGGCAGCTGGGAAAGCCAAGAGGACTTTAGGCATCACGTTGCTCTGAAGTTCTGGAAAGGGCAATGCCAGCTTCAGGAGGGATCTGATTCAAAGGCCAGATTCAAGCCAGGTGCCGTGGCTCACGCCTGTAATCCCAGCACTTTGGGAGGCTGAGACTGGTGGATCATGATGTCAAGAAATCGAGACCATCCTGGCCAACATGGTGAAACCCTGTCTCTACTAAAAATACAAAAATTAGCCAAGCATGGTGGCGTGCGCCTGTAGTCCCAGCTACTCAGGAGGCTGAGGCAGGAGAATCGCTTGAACCTGGGAGGTGGAGGTTGCAGTGAGCCAAGATCACACCACTGCACTCCAGCCTGGGCAACAGAGTGAGACTCTATCTCAAAAAAAAAAAAAAAAAAAAAAAAAAGGCCAGATTCAGGGATGAGTTCACAAGATTCAGACCATGCTGGGTTCTCACCCTGCAGCTTCTGGTCCCCTCCTTGCAGCAGAAGTCCCGGGACGCCACTGCTGGGCTCAGCTCTGTCCCAGCCCCTGAGGTTCAGCCTGATCTTAGTTAGGAGATTTCCGAAGGAGCCAAATTCAATGTTCAGGGGCCTGGCATCCGAGCTTGGGTCCCTTTTTTTTTTTTTTTTTTTAAGATGGAGTCTCTCTCTGTCGCCCAGGCTGGAGTGCAGTGGTGTGATCTCGGCTCACTGCAAGCTCCACCTCCTGAGTTCACGCCATTCTCCTGCCTCAGTCTCCCAAGTAGCTGGGACTACAGGTGCCCGTCACCACGGCTGGCTAATTTTTTGTATTTTTAGTTGAGACAGGGTTTCACCGTGTTAGCCAGGATGGTCTCAATCTCCTGACCTCACGATCCACCCACCTCCCAAAGTGCTGGGATTACAGGCGTGAGCCACCACGCACAGCCTGTTTGTTTTTGAGATGGAGTCTCGCTCTGTTGCCCAGGCTGAGAGTGCATTGGCGCGATCTGGGCTCACTGCAACTTCTACCTCCTGGGTTCAAACAGTTCTTTTGCCCAGCCTCCCGAGTAGCTGGGGTTACAGGCATGTGCCACCACACCCGGCTAATTTTTGTATTTTTAGTAGAGACGGGGTTTCACCATGTCGGCCAGGTTGGTTTCAAATTCCTGGGCTCACCTCGGCCTCCCGAAGTGCTGGGATTACGGGATTACAGGATTATAGGCATAAGCCCCCAGTCCCAGACTCTTGTCACTACCTCCTATTGGCCTGGTAGACCACCTCCTCCCATCAGCTTTCACTGGGCCTCTTTGAGTCTGGCTGTACCCCAGGCCCTACCTGCTGGATGGGCTCTTGGCAGGTGAAGTTGCTGAGACCTGCTCCGTCTCTGAGGGAGTCAGCTGTCAGTCTTTCTCTATTCCACTCTGCAGCTCTCAACTATCCACAGGGCTTGGACACCAGATGGTCAAGAAGAAACCATTCTACTGAAGTCTGGGGATAAGACTGGGCTTTCTTAAAACTCATTTACTTACTTGTTCATTCATTCAGTTCATTCTTTCTCTCTCTCTCTCCTTTCTTTCTTTCCTTTCTTTCTTTCTTTCTTTCTTTTTCTTTCTTTCTTTCTCTCTCTCTCTCCTTCCTTCCTTCCTTCCTTCCTCTCTCTCCTTTCCTCTTTCTTTTCTTTTCCTTTCTTTTTCTTTTCTCAGTCTCACTCTGTCACCTAGGCTGGAGTGCAGTGGCTTAATCTTAGCTCACTGCAACCTCCGCCTCCTGGGCTCAAAAGATTCTCCTGTTTCAGCCTTCTGAGTAGCTGGGACTACAGGCAAATGCCACCATGCCTGGCTAATTTTTGTATTTTTAGTAGAGACGGGTTTTCCCCATGTTGCTCAGGCTGGTCTTGAACTCTTGGCCTCAAGTGATCCACCCACATCGGCCTCCCAAAGTTCTGGGATTATAGGCATGAGTCACCATGCCTGGGCTCTTTTTTATTTTTTCTTTTCATTTTTTATAAAAATAGAGACAGGGTCTCACTCTGTCACCCAGGCTGGAGTGCAGTGGTGCAATGATAGCTCACTGCAACCTCTGCCTTCCAGGCTCAAGTAATCCTCCCACCTCAGCTTCCTAAGTGGCTGAGAGAACAGGTATGTACCACCACGCCCGGCTAATTTTTAAATTTTTTTGTGGAGATGGGGTCTCACTATGTTGCCCAGGCTGATCTTGAACTCCCAGCCTCAGGTGATCCTCTGGCCTCAGCCTCCTGAAGTGTTAGGATTACAGGCGTGAGCCCCCATGCCTGGCCTGTTATTATTTCTATGGACATGTGTTAAGCTCTAAGTCAGTAGTTCTCAAACCTGAATGTGTGTGAGAATCCCCTAGAAGTCTTGTTAAAACAGACCACTGAGGCTGGGCATGGTGGCTCACATCTGCAATCCCAGCACTTTGGGAGGCTGAGATGGGAGGATGGCTTGAGGCCAGGAGTTTTAGACCAGTCTGGGCAACATAGAGAGACCCTGTCTCTACAAACTATTAAAAAAATTAGCCAAGTATGGTGCATGCCTGTAGTCCCAGCTGCTCAGGAGGCTGAGGTAGGAGGATCGCTTGAGCCCAGGAGTTTGAGGCTGTGGTAAGCTATGATTGCACCACTGCACTCCAGCCTGGGTGACAGCGCAAGACCCAGTCTCCAAAACAAAAACTACAAAAACATAAAACAGACCACCGGGTGTCATTTCCAGAGTTTCTGATCCAGTAGGTCTGGGCTGGGACTGATAATTTGCTTTTCTAACAAGTTTCCAGGTGATATGGAGCTACTGGTCGGGGGCCACACTTGAGAGCTGATCTCAGTCATTATCAGCTATTAACACCCGTGTGTGGATTAGCTTATCAGACCATGGAAACCAAAGACTTCCTCCCACAAGGGAGGTCTGGACAGAGTAAGGCTTGTGGAAGGACCAGGGCCTTGGGGGTGAGAGAGGAAACATTGCCAAGAGGCAGACAGAGGCCCAGAGGGCTGTCTGGCGGCACAGAGGACAGGCTTTGTCTTTTTCCTAGGCTGGGCAGGACCCCAGAGGTTAGGCTCTGGGACAGGAGGGAGGCGGGCAGGCCTGGGGAAGTCTGGGCAGCCCGTGCTGAACAGAGGCTGGGATCGGGCGGTGGGCCCGGTGCACCTGACCCGCGGGGCTGGGAACAATGGCTGGGCCGGCGTGGCCTGGCTTGCTGCCCCTGTTCATCTCTGTTTTCCTTCCCAGCTCCGATCTTCGCCGGCTCTCCTCACTCGCTCCCTCTCCGGCGGCCCATCCTGTCCGCTGGCCCCCAGACAGCACATTCCTTCATGCTGATCTCTTCCCGGTGGCTGTGAGTGCACGTTCTCACAGCGAGGCAGGGACTGGGGCCATGAGGAAGGGGGGCTCAGGTGGCCTTCCTGGGGGCCCTGGCCCCACATCCGGAGACCAGAGGGCACCTGGATGGGAAGGAGGAATAACCCCTCAGGCTCGGAGTCCTCCAGGACTCAGCTAGCCCTGAGGATTTGGATCATTTCCCCCCCAGTCCTTCATCTCTTGATATTAGGAGGTTGGGGGGTCCTGCACTGCTAAGCCTCCTAGCCCTGTGCCCTGGTGTGGTGACCGAATTGGCTGTATCCTCTGCAGAGCATGGCCCCTGTCCAGTAGACTCAGGACATTTTCTGCTTCTCATGGGGGCAGTGGCCCAATGCCAGGCTTTCCTTGGTCCCATCTGGGCCAGGACCTTCCCCTGGTTTCATCTCCCTTCCTTGAAAGACCCATCTGCAGCAGCGTGGAAGGATCCAGGCCCCCTCTGCCAGCCTTTCATTCACCCACGCAGAGGCAGGCAGGCTGTGCAGCCCCCACCCCACAATTTGATAAGCCTGAGCCAGGGAGGGCAGGGCTGGCCAGTGTGACAGCTCATGAGTGGCCGGTATCCTCTCTTCCTCTCCGGTACCTGGTGGCCCCAGTCCTGCTGCCCTGCCTGGCAGCAGAGGGGATGGGCTGGTGTCTGCTGTCCTGAGAGCCTTTCCTGGGCTGTCTGTACTGGGTCAAGGCTCTGCCTTGGGGTCAGGTTTAGTTTGAGGTCACGGTGAGGATCAGGGCTTGGCACTGGAGTCAGAGCTCAGCCTATGGCGGGCTCAGGAACCAGCCTGTTTCCAGGTTGGAGCTCAGTCTGAGTGGAGAGTTGGGGTTTGGTTTGGTGTGGAGCTCAAGGCTCTGTCTGGGGCAGGGATTGGGTTTGGTCAAGGGTTGGGATGAAGGCTAGTTTGGAGCCAGGGTCAGGGCTCAGTCTGGGGTAGGGGTCAGGACTTGATCTAAGATTGGAGTCAGGTCAGGGCTCAGCCTGGAGCCAGGGCTGGACTTCAGTGTGGGACAGGTGATGGGTTCTGAGAGGAGTTGGAGTTGGGATTCAGTCCAGGGTAGAGGTTAGCCTTGAGTCTGGGGTCAGGGTCAGGTTTATTCTGGGGTCACAGGGGCCACGGCTGGTGCTCTGTCTGGGGTTGCAGATGAGCTTGGCTGGCTTGGGTGTTGGTATCACTCTGGGTTTGAGTTCAAGGCTCAGATGGTGTCAGACTAGGACATCAATGTGTATTGGGACAGGCTGCTTGTGTGGAGCTGACAGGGGCAG
The DNA here is from genome assembly GCF_000001405.40 of Homo sapiens. NCBI lineage: Eukaryota > Metazoa > Chordata > Mammalia > Primates > Hominidae > Homo > Homo sapiens. The sequence continues at coordinate 73,888,037 of NC_000007.14, forward strand.
GTGTGTGTTGAAGGTGATCTTTGTCCCTCCTGTATTTGCACCCCCAGCCCCCAGCCCCTACAACCGGCTGGGACTGGGCTTGGTGGGTGGACAGACGGCTTCAGTCGCGTTCTCTCTCCAGCAAAATGTGCCTTCATGCCTGTGCAGGGCCTGAGGACACAGGGTGTGCCAGAGAGCACCTGGGCCCTCTCTGGGCCTCAGTTTCCCTATCTGAGAAGCTCAGTGTCTGGGAGCTGGGCTGAACTCCCGAAACCTGGACTGGCAGCCGTGTCAAGAGGATTGGAATGTGGAGGGCTGCTGGGTGGGGTGGGGGGCACTGCAGGAGCTCTGGCCTGGAGCGAGGTGGCTGGACTGGGCAGGGGGAGGGAGGGGCAGGCAGGTGGACAGTTCTTGGGAACCCTAAGATGAAGGTCTTCGCCGAAGAGACTCAGTCTCAAATAAATAAATACATAAATAAATAAATAAAATTACAAAAATTAGCCAGGCGTGGTGGCGCAAGCCTGTAGTCCCAGCTGCTCGGGAGGCTGAGGCAGGAGAATCACTTGAACTTGGGAGGTGGAGGTTGCAGTGAGCTGAGATCACACCACTGCACTCCAGCCTGGGAGACTGAGTGAGAACCTGTCTCAAAAAAGAAAAAAAGAAAATCTCTGAATCCATGTATGACCTGGAACCTCCCCCAAAACCTTCCTTCAAGTTGTCCCACCTTTCCAGACAGAACCAATGTACACATCAGTCGATGTTTCCCTATAACTTATGTCCCAGTAAAGTGTATAAAATCAAGCTGTAACCCATCCACTTTGGGTACATGTTCTCAGAACCTCCTGGGATTGTGTCATGGGCCTTGGTCACTCATATTTGGCTCTACTGTCCCTTAGTGGCAGATAGTGCCACCTCTACCTCAAAATGAGGTAGGAGATGGGACTTGATTCCAGAGGCGGGGCTTAGACACCAGACCAAATTGAGGACTAGCTAAAGCATGTCGGAGGCAGAACCTCTCCGTAAGACACGCCCACCCATGTGCCATGTCAGTTCACCATTGCCATGGCAACATCTGAAATTTACCACCCCTTTCCATGGCAATGACCCAGCAACCTGGAAGTTACCACCCACATCCTAGAAAAGTCTTCGTGAGCCACCCCTTAATTTGCATATAATTGAAAGTGGGTATAAAAAAATATGAGTGCAGGCCTGCCTCTGGACACACTGCTTATAGGATAACCCTGCTCTGCAAGGAGCTGCAGCTGTGCTGTCGCTGTTCACTGCTGCTTCAATAGAAGGTGCTGTTTAACACCACCACCTCCACCCTTGAATTCCTTTCTTTTTTTTTTTTTTTTGAGACGGAGTCTCACTCTGTCGCCCAGGCTGGAGTACAGTGGCGCGATCTCAGCTCACTGCAACCTCTGCCTCCTAGGTGCAAGTGATTCTCCTGCCTCAGCCTCCCGAGTAGGTGGGATTACAGGGATGCACCACCATGCCTGGCTAATTTTTGTATTTTTACTAGAGACAGGGTTTTGGCATGTTGACCAGGTTGGTCTCAAACTCCTGACCTCAAGTAATCCACCTGCTTCAGCCTCCCAAAGTGCTGGGATTACAGGTGTGAGCCACTGTGCCCAGCCTTTTTTTTTTTTTTTTTTTTTTTTTTTTTAGATAGAGTCTTGCTCTGTCACCCAGGCTGGAGTGCAGTGGTGCCATCTCAGCTCACTGCAACCTCCACCTCCTGGTTTCAAGTGATTCTCCTGCCTCACCCTCCCGAGTAGCTGGGATTACAGGCCATCCACCACCACATCTGGCTGATTTTTGTATTTTTAGTAGAGATGGGGTTTCACCATGTTGGCCAGGCTGGTCTCAAACTCCTGACCTCAAGTGATCTGCCCGCCTCAGCCTCCCAAAGTGCTGGGATTACAGGTGTGAGCCACCGCGCCCGGCCCACCCTTGAATTCTTTCCTGGGTGAAGCCAAGAGTGCTCCCGGGCTAAGCCCCAATTCTAGGACTTGCTTGCCCTGCATCAAAATGGCTTCCTTGGCACGGAGCCTCCCAGACTACACGGGGTGTGGCTTTCATGTCAGGGCACAGGAGTCACGATGGTGTGCAGGATTCTAGGTGACCCCAGCTCCTGTCCTGTAACTGACACCTGCCCTGCTGTTGAGCAGGGTCCCTGAACCACCCTGACAAGGGCTCCATCCATGGGCAGGGAGGTTGGAAGAATGGGAGCGGCACTTGGCTTTCGGTCCTCTTCTCGTTCTCTTAGCTCAGCCCCCTAAACTGGCCTCCTCCTGTCAAAGCCGCAGACACACAAGAGAAACCCCGATTGACGTCAGGGGAAGCGCCCACAGGGACTCTGTCTCTCCCAGAAATTTGGCTCCAGCGCCTGGCTTCGAATGGCTGTGGTTTTTAAAAGGTGAAAATGGCCAGTGGCCCTGCTTCTGTGTCTCCACCAAAACCTGGCTTGGAGGAAAGCAGGCTGGGGTCCTTGATCCTGGAGTTGGATGGGGGAGTCCCCTCCCTTCTCTCCTTCTCCCACTTCCTTGCAGACCCCCTCCTCCAGTGCCCTCCCTGCTGTCTTGACCCCCTGGCGCTCCCAGCATCCTCCTTCCTCCCGTCTCCTCTCCACCGACAAAGGCCGAGATCTTCCAGGTCCTTCCCAGTCCTGGCGCTCACTGCCTGGTGTCCTTGGGTTTGCAGGGCCTACGGATCTCTGGGCACTGTCCCCTCCGTGAACTCTCAAGGCCCTGTCTTTCTCCTCTTTGTGGCCCCCACATTTGGCCCAGAGCCTGACACAGAGTAAACGCTCAGTGAGCCTTTACTGGGTCCAGATGGAGGAATTCCTTCTTGAATTTGTCTTTGCTCATGGTCTACCCTACTTCAACGTTGACGTTTGATCCATTAATTTCTTTTATTTATTTATTTATTTATTTATTTATTTATTTATTTATTTTTGAGGTGGAGTCTCGCTCTGTTGCCCAGCCTGGAGTGCAGTGGCACGATCTTGGCTCACTGCAAACTCCACCCCTGAGGTTCAAGCGATCCTCCTGCCTCAGCTTCCCTAGTAGCTGGGATTACAGGCGTGCACCATCATGCCCGGCTACTTTTTGAATTTTTAATAGAGACGGGACTTCACCATGTTGGCCAGGCTGGTCTCGAACTCCTGACATCAGGTGATCTGCCTGCCTCGGCCTCCCAAAGTGCTGGGATTACAAGCATGAGCCACCAGGCCCGGCCAGAACCATTGATTTCTGGAAACCATTCTGTGCCACAAGCCTTGGCCACTGGGAGGAGCCAGGAGAGTCAAACAACGTAGCTCCTTGGAAGAGGCTGCCTGTCAGTCATGCCCTTGGTCAGCCTGACCTGGTCCAGCCGGAGGGTGGACTCTTCGTGCTGAGGGCTGGGATGGCCAGGCACATGCCGGGGTCAGCACACAGTCACTGGGCTCATCCTGCCTTCAGATGCCTAACCTGGGGATCAGAGCCCTTCTTTTGCCCCCCAGGGGACTCCCAGTCTGGGATGGACGGGAGAGAAGGACTCCACTTCTGCCTCCTGTCAGGAGCCTACTCAGCTTCTGCTGAAACCTCCTGGCTGCTGCTGGTGTCGGATTCCACCATCATCTGCCTGGACCGCATGGATGACGCCTTCCCTAGGTCATTCTGACCATGACCTTGTCCCGCCTAATCCCCTCAGTTTCCTATCGTTTACACAATATAATCCTTGCTGCTGACCCCGGCCGTCCACGCCTAGGCCTCCTCCCCTCTGTCTGCTAGCTGTTCCTCCAGCCCCTCCTGCAGCACCGACCCTATCTCTGGCCTTCACTGGGCTCCTCCTCAGACCTCACATCCCAGCTTAGCAGGCAGTAGCCTGCCTCTTTCCTCCTCAGGCACCCCACTTGGACTTGGGGGCTCCTAAGCCATGGCCAGTATCTGGGCAGCCCTGAGCCAGTCCTCAGAACCCTGCTGCAGGAGTGGCTGAGCTGGCAAGAGTCACTGTGTGATCTGGCCACAGCCAACATCCCGTGTCCCTATTGTATTGATGAGGCCACTGAGGCCCGGGGAGGGGAAGGGACAGTTTTGAGGTTACACAGGCAGTTACAGCTCACCCCCGTAGCCTCTCATTCTTCTTTGCCATTGCAAAGAAGAATTTTTTTTTTTAAAATAGATATGGTATCTCAATCTCTGACTCAGGCTGGAGTGCAGTGGTGTGATCATAGCTCCCTGTAGCCTCAAACTTCTGGGCTCAAATGATCCTCCCACCTCAATCTCCTGAGTAGCTGGGACTGCAGGGTCGTGCCACCACGCCGGCTAATTTTCTTTCTTTCCTTCCTTCCTTCCTGCCTGCCTGCCTGCCTTCCTTCCTGCCTTCCTGCCTTCCTGCCTTCCTTTTCTTTTCTTTTCTTTTCTTTCTTTCTTTTTTCTTCCTTTTTCTCTTTCTTTCCCTTTTTCTTTTCTTTCCTTTTCTTTCTTTCTTTCTTTCTTTCTTTCTTCCTTTCTTTCTTTCTTTCTTTCTTTCCCTTTCTTTCTTTTCTTTCTTCCTTCTTTTCTTTCTTTCTTTCTTTCTTTCTTTCTCTCTTTCTTTCTTTTTTTTTTTATAAGAGATGGGATCTTGCTATGTTGCCCAGGCTGGTCTCAAACTCCAGGTCTCAAGTGATCCTCCTACCTCAGCCTCCCAAAGTGCTAGGATTACATGCATGAGCCTAGCCTGTAATTTTCCTTCTGTTGATCTGTGACTGTCTCTACGTAGGGTCACTTGAGTGGGCTTCACAGAGGCCTTGCTTGGGGGGCAGTACACCTCTTCCAGGAAGCCACCACGATTTCTCTCCACTCCCCGGCTCTCTGAGCCATGCACATTGGCTGCCTTCCAGCTGTCCTGGAATCATGCCTGGCTCACGTTCCTACGAGCATCAACATCTGAAGCTGAATTCCACTTTCACCTCTGATGCTCTATGAACTTGGCAAGGCCTTGTCCCTTTTTCCCCCACTTTACCCATTTATAGAATCAAGGCATTGAACCTGCTGATTTTAGAGGTGCTGCTGTGGAATTAGGGTTTCGGTCAGGGAGGCTGAGCCCAGAGTCTTGGTGGACTCCGACTACCAGCACAAAGTGTAACTGCAAGAATTGAGCTGGGGAGGCAGCAATCCTGGGTGAGAATCCTGCATCAGCACTTGATAACCGTGTGGCCCCCAGCAAACTGCACGTTGGGCCCCAGTTTCCTATAAAATGGGGGAAACCAGCCAGACCGGGTCTCCATCAGGTGTTATTAAATACGATCGTGGCTTCGAAGGTGTTTGCTAAGTTAAACAGAGCCAAGCAGGAGGATGTGCAGCATGGGTCACCTACAGCACCCCATGCAGCATCGGGTTCAGGCAGATGACCACACGTGGCACCCTGCCGAGGGAACGTGGCAGGTGTCTGGATGCGGCGTCCCCAGGCGACTTGTGTGGGCAGTATTCCTGGCAGTGCATGCTGCGTTCCCAGCCGGTCCCACTGCTGGGCCGGGACAGCCCCCGCAGGAGGAGGCTGGGCTCCCCCTGCAAAACCATCCGTTGATGGGAGGGGTGGGGGGCCACCTGGCCCTGGCCCAGCCTGGCTAGCCTCCCATCCCATGTTTTGTTCACAGAGTTTGGAATGTCCTGGGACACAGAGCTCGGCTCCCTGGGGGGGACACTTGTGCCATTGCCTTGATCTCATCGCTGGACAGGTTTCTCCTTCATTCCAGCCCAGGACTCGGCAGGCTCCCAGCTGCAGCTGCTGCCAGGCCCAGTCCGTCTGTGTCTGTCCCAGCGCTGGCAGCCAGGAGTGTGCAGCTGGGAGTGGAGGGCTTCCCAGGGGAGGCTCCCCCAGCCCGTCTGCGTGGGCCCTGGGCACGCCTCCCAACTGGATCTCCCCAAGCCACTGCCAGCTGACCCTCTTCACAGACTCCTTGGTCTGTGACCTCAGACTCTGGGGCCCCAAGGGTAGTTTGGAATGATGTTCTCAGGACCCGGGGACTTGGGAAGGGCCAGAGCGTGCCAGCTGCCCTGGTTTCTGTTCCCCTTAGCAGGCCAAGCTATGCCCTAGAATGGGGCTCTGCCAAGTGTGTTGGGGAACAGGTGTTGTATATATTCTGCATGCACATGTGTGTAGAATTTCCCTGAACTCCCAGTGTTAAATATCCCTAGATTTGGGAGTGACATATAAGGTTGATTAATGGCAGGGTGAGGTTGGGGTGGAGGGCTAAGGAGGCTAGGGTCCTTGTTCAGGAAGGAGCCCATCCTTACCTGGAATGTATATTCCTGCTGCACCTGGCTCACTCTATCATGTGCCAGTCTGGGATGGCTGGGTACTCTACACCTTGACTTGGTCCTGTATGTCCAGCCACCGGCTGGAGAGAGGGGAAGCAGGGCTGGTCTTGTCGTCAGAAACATGGAAAGGTCTGAGCATGTGTGTTCATATGCATGAATATGCATTATTCTTGAGATCTCAGCTCTGGAAGGAGATCGATCCTTACCTGGCCACGGTATGCGCCTGGTGTGCCTAGCTCCCACCGTCTGCTGCTTTGAGATGGCTCAATAATGGTGCCTCACCTGGGCCCACCTGGCTGGGATATAGAGCCAGGGCACCACGATAAAACCAAGAGGAATAGTGCCTGGGGGAGATAGAGCCGAGGATGGTCCGCCGTGGTGTGTCCTTAGCATGGGCAATTCCTGCCCTGATGTAGGTCAGTATCCGCCTCAGGCTCGGGCAAACTCTTGTCTTTCCACATCATTAATGAGGAGACTAAATAAATCAGTCCCTCTGGAGGGCCCCCCAGCCCCTCAGGCAGCCTGGCTGAAGCTATTAATATTCCCCGTGTTTATGACCCCTTGGCCCTGCTGCCAGACTCCTCTCTAGCCATTGAAATTAATTTTGTGAATCAGAAAGAGGGGGAGTACAGCCTGTTGGAATCCAGGACGATGACATTTCCACCTCCCCCCTGTGGTGAGTCCCACTCACTAATTCTATAAAGCAGTCACCGGGCCAGCCCAGCCTAGGGCCGCCCGCCTGGCTGGGGCTGCCTCATGCCTCTGCTATGCTCTCCCCACAACCCCCAGGGAGGGGGGCTGGCCCCAGCCCCGATGATTCAGGCCCCCTGACACCTTGCACTGATGTCAGTGGGAATGGAGACCTCAGGCCCCAGGACCTCCTGGCCTGTTGCCTGCGCCCGCGCCCTGCACGGGGGTTGGCCCCGGCTCGTGCCTCTCGTGACCTTCCCATGGATGGGGCCTGGCTGGGAAACGAGGCCAGGCCAGACGGCCTCTCCCTCATGCTGTCCCCTTTCTGAGAGCTGCCCAAACTGGCGCCGGGCCGTCCCTTGGCCTCCTTGGGTTTCGAGGACTCATTCTAAAATTAATTTGGGGGAATTCAGGGAATTTGTGAGCAAGTTCCCAGAGAACTGTGGCTGCCCTGGGGGCAAGTGTCTCTCCTTCCTCCCACCCTCCCCCACTTTAACTTCCCCAATTTCCTATATGAGCAGATCCTCTTTGGGTAAACTCATTCCACAAAGGGCAGGGCAGGATGCCTGCATGCTGTACATTGGGGTAGGCTCTTTCCCCCTCCACCCCCACTATGAAGAAGTTTCCAAGAAGAGCTTTTCATTTAACATAGTCTCAAGTCATTTAAGATAAGATTTGCAAATATTTTCTCTCATTCTGTGGGTTGTCTTTTTCATTTTCTTCATAGTGTCCTTTGAAGCACAAAAGTTTTCAATTTTGATGAAATCCAATTTGTCTATTTTTTCTTTGGTTGCTTGTACTTTTGGCATCATATCGAAGACACCATTGCCAGGTCTAAGGTCACGAAGATTTACCACGATGTTGCCTTTTAAGAGTTTTCTTGTTTTAGCTCTTACATTTAGATCTTCACTCCATTTTGAGTTAATTTTTATATATGGTGTGAGGTAGGGGTCAAACTTCATTCTTTTGCATGTGGATATCCAGTTGTCTCACCACCATCTGTTAAACAGACTATTCTTTCCCCACTAAATGGTCTTGACACTGCTGTCAAAAATCAATTTACCACAATTGTAATGGTTTATTTCTCAATTCGATTCTATTGATCTATATGTCTATGTTTATGCCAGTAACACATTGTCTTAATTACTGTAGCTTTGTAGTAAGTTTTGAAATTAGGAAGTGTAGGTCCTCCAAATGTTCTTTTTCAAGATTGTTTTGGCTATTTGATGTTCCTTGAAATTCCATCTGATTTTTAGAATGGATTTTTTCCATTTTTGCAAATACACCACTGGGATTTTGATAGGCATTGCATTGAATCTGTTTTTGGTAGTATTGTCATCAGCTTTGGGTAGAATTGTCATCTTAACAATAACAAGCCTCTAATCCACAAACATGGGATGTCTTTCCATTTATTTAGATCTTTAATTTTTTAATGATATTTTGTAGCTTTCGGTGTACAAGTATTATGCTTCTTTTAAAACATTTTTTCCTAAGTATTTTATTTTTTGTTGCTACTGTAGATGGAATTGTTTTTTCTTAATTTCTTTTTTGGATTGAGTCATTGAAAGCAGAATTTGGCCTAAAGTATCAACATAAGTGTCATTTATGACTCAGCTTGTCAAGACTCCACTTGCATGAAGTGAGATCCACCTGTGACACTTAGCCTGGGTCAGTTGCTAACTGAGGTCTGCTCTATGACCCCATTTCCTGGCCTGGCCGCTGCTCAGATCCTGGCCTCTAAGGGAACATTTAAATTCTTAATCCTAAGTCTCCCTGCCTGCAGTGTCTCTCTGCTTGAGCCAATCTCCTCCCTCCTGCTCAAATAATTCTTCTAAACCTGATTGTGTCACTTCTCTGCATAAAGCTGCCAACAGCTCCCCATCATCTTATCCACAAGAAAATTCTGAGCTCTTTGGCCTTGTGTTTAGGACCCTTCATCCTTATTGAAGGCTTCAGTCTTTCAGCCAGCTCTGTAGGCCTTCTCCACTGAGATGTCCCAGATGTTGGAAAGTCAGGTTCAAAGGAGACTCGGTGACTGCCCCAACCTCAAGCTCCTCTTCCACTGTCTTCATCTCCACCTGCACCATCTCCATCCTCCTGCTTCCCCACAGGAACACAGCTCTCTTCCTAGATGCCTCCTTTTCCCACCTCACCTCCCTATACCTCATTATCAAGTTTAAATTTTTAAATTGTTTAAAAAGAAGTGCAAGACTTGTGCACCAAAAGCTACAAAACATCATTGAAAGAAATGAAAGATCTAAATAAATGGAAAGACATCCCATGTTCATGGATTGGAAGGCTTATGATTGTTAAGATGCCAATTCCACCCAAAGCTGACTTTACCTCCTAAAGCCCTCCTATGCCTGTGCCCTCTTCTTTACCTACTGCCACTTAGTTTAGATTTTATCTTGGCCTGATCACAGGCTACCAGAGTGATCTTTTTTTTTTTTTTGAGATGGAGTTTTGCTCTTGTTGCCCAGGGTGCAGCGCAATGGCATGATCTCGGCTCACTGCAACTTCTACCTCCTGGGTTCAAGTGATTCTCCTGCTTCAGCCTCCTGAGTAGCTGGGATTACAGGTGCATGCCACCACGCCTGGCTAGTTTTTGTATTTTTAGTAGAGACGGGGTTTTACCATGTTGCCCAGGCTGGTCTCAAACTCCTGACCTCAGGTGATCCTCCTGCCTTGGCCTCCCAAAGTGCTGGGATTACAGGTGTGAACCACTGCACCTGGCCGTCCACTCCCTTTTTTTGTCCTCACTCCTCTGCCTGCCCCCATGTGCCCTGCATCCCATGCTCCTTGCTGGTCCTTCTGTGTCGGGGAGCAGCATGGTGGAACCCCCCACTGCCTCTTCCTAGGCTTCCTTTGGGCTCCTCCTACCTACTTGCCCCTTCCTGCTCACCTTCTCTCCAGGACCGGGTTCAGCTCTCCAGCCTCCACCGCACGGGCTTCCAGTCCAGCCTGCTGCCACACAGGCTCTGGGGGTTCATTCTTCTTTTTTTTTTTTTTTTTGAGTCAGAGTCTTGCTCTGTCTCCCAGGCTGGAGTGCAGTGGCTAGATCTTGGCTCACTGCAACCTCCATCTCCCAGGTTCAAGCAATTCTTCTGTCTCAGCCTCCTGAGTAGCTGGGATTACAGGTGCCTATCACCACACCCGGCTAATTTTTGTATTTTTACTAGAGACAGGGTTTCACTGTATTGGCCAGGTTGCTCTCAAACTCCTGACCTCAAGTGATCTTCCCACCTCAGCCTCCCAAAGTGCTAGGATTACAGGCGGGAGCTACCCATCCCGGCCTCAGGGATCCATTCTAAAGCATCAAGCTTGTGATTCTTAGTGACCAGTCTCCCCTACTTGACTGGGAACTCCTTGAGGAAAGACATTCAGTTAGCTTTTCTTTTTTTCTTTTTTTTTTTTTTTGTCAGACAGAATCTCGCCCTGTCACCCAAGCTGGATTGCAGTGGCACAAACTCAGCTCGCTGCAACCTCCGCCTCCTGGGTTCAAACGATTCTCTTGCCTCAGCCTCTCGAGTAGCTGGGATCACAGGTGTGGACCACCATGCCCGACTAATTTTTCTATTTTTAGTAGAGACGGGGTTTCACCATGTTGGCTGGGCTGGTCTCAAACTCCTGACCTCAAGTGATCCTCCTGCCTTGGCCTCCCAAAGTGCTGGGATTACAGGAGTGAGACATGGTACCCGGCCTCAGTTGGCTTTTCTTAGGATCCTTAGAACCTGGCATGTGCCTGGCCCAAGGAGGTGCTTGATCTAAATTCAGTTTTAAAACTGAATTCTGGCTGGGCACTGTGACTTACGTCCAGCACATAAGTCTGGGCATAATCCTGACCTGTAATTCTAGTGCTTTGGGAGGCCGAAGCAGGAGGATCACTTGAGCCAGGAGTTGGAGACCAGCCTGGGCAACACAGTGAGACCCTCATCTCCACAAAGAATTTTAAAAATCAGTTGGGCATGGTGGTGCATGCCTATAGTCCCAGCTACTGGGGAGGCTGAGGTGGGAGGATCACTTGAGCCCAGGAGTTTAAGGCTGCAGGGAGCTGTGATCACACCCCACTGCACTCCAGCCTGGGTGACAGAGCAAGACCCTGTCTCTAAAAAAATTTAAAAAATTGAATTCTTTGAAAGATGACTTACTCTTTGCTTTCTTTTCGCCTAGAGATGAGACATCCCTAAGAGACACAAGGGTAGCCTGCTGTCAGGGGAGTATATGATTTTGTTTGTTTGTTTGTTTTGAGACAGAGTCACTCTGTAGCCCAGGCTGGCGTGCAGTGGCATGATCTCTGCTCACCGCAACCTTCACCTTCTGGGTTCAAGTGATTCTTCTTCCTCAGCCTCCGGAGTAGCTGGGATTATAGGCGCTCGCCACCATGCCCAGCTAATTTTTGTATTTTTAGTAGAGGCAGGGTTTTGCCATGTTGGCCAGGCTGGTCTCAAACTCCTGACCTCAGGTGATCCACCTGCCTCGGCCTCCCAAAATGCTGGGATTACAGGTATGAGCCACTGCACCCGGCCGAGTGTATGATTTTGGATTGTTGGGGAATGTGTTTGTATTATCAGTAGGGTAGATCCTTCTGGGAAGGGGTGTAGATATTGGGGGCTGGGGACAGGCAATGGAAACCTGCCCTCCTCTGGACAGCAATGTTGTGACCCAGTGGCAGGAGTGTTCCTTCATTCTGTGTCCCATCCCTTTCTTGTGGCCCTAGCATCCTGGGCACCCCATCACATGAACCTCTTTGTACGGTCTAGCTTGGTGCCTCAAACATGCACACCAGGCCCGGCCCCCGGCAGCTGGCTACGCAGGCTTGGAGGAAGCCACCCGTCCTCGTCGGGGTCTGAGCTCCAAGCCATACTTGGTTCCCGTCTCCGCCCCACGGTGCCTCCTGCCAGCGCCTAATCGCTTCCATCTGCCCCACTGACTCACAGGGCTGTCAAGGTTCTAAAAATTTCCAAATTCCTCCCCACCCTGCCCTTCCAGGATATTTCTCCAGCTCAGGCCCTTCAGCAGCTCTACCCACCAGCTGCTCCTTCTCACGTGGGCACACGGAGTCAGGAAGTGAGTGGCAGAGAGGGGCTTCTCCGACAGGCTGTGCAGGAAAGGCCTCTGGACCCCTCTTCCCCTCAGAGGAGACTATGACAGCAGCAGAGAACATGAAAGTTGAAAAACGGGTCGAAGGAACCAAGGAGAAAACCTATCCATTTTACAGACGGGGAAACTGAGATTCAGACCCAGTAGCAGACCAGGGTGGAGAATCCGGGCCTTGGGGCTCTGATCTAGGGCTGTCCTCTGCTGGGAATCCCCTGTACACCCCCAGCTCTCCCTTTGGGCCTCAGGAAATGCAGCATCAGCCCTGGTCCTCCCTTCCCCGGGGAGCAGAGCCACTTGGTGACCAAAAGGGGTCTCTGTATACCTCCCACGCCCCTGGCCTCTGCCCAGCCTGCTTCCCCCTCCCCACTCTCCCCCAGGACATAGCCTGAAGAAGTGTTTGTACCTAAACAGTATTTCCAGGGCAACTTGCATTCCCCAGGGGGTGGGTGGTGAGAGGCTTGGGGGAGGAATTGCTCCAGCTGCCACAGGCCCTGTGACCCGCAGCCCCTCTCGGTTGACGGGACTTGGGGCCTGGAAGCTGGTCTCACCCTTGATGTTGGAGAGGGCCTGAGGATGGATGCATGAACCACCCGGCTTCCTTGTATAATGCATCCTTCATGGATGAAGTGTGTGAGTGGGTGGGGACAGAGCCCAGAAGTTTCCTGAGCCCAATGAGGAACAGCAGCCCCCAGGGTACCCCCTTTCTTCTCCTGCTCCTCAGGGAGAGTGTCAAAGCCGGGACCCCCATCCTGGCAGTCCCTCCCCCGCATACACTGCCTCTTTCGAAGAGTCAGAGTCTTGCTTTGTCCTCCAGGCTGGAGTGTGCTGGTACGATCATAGCTCCCTGCAGCCTCAACCTCCTGGGCTCAGGTGATCCTCTCGCCTCAGCCTCCCCAGTAGCTGGGACTACAGGTGTGCACCACCACACCTGGCTAATTAAAAATTTTTTTTTTTGCAGAGATGGAGGTATCGCTATGTTACCCAGGCTGGTCTCAAGATCCTGGGATCAAGCCATCCTCCCAGCCTCTGAAGGCGTGGGAATTACAGGCCAGAGCTACCGTGCCCGGCCTCCCTGTTATTTCTCGGATGAAATCCTGCCCTGTTGGTGACACTTTCCAGGCTATGGATGGCAGTGCCTGTCTACCCCTCCAGTCCTTCTTCCTGCCATACGTGCCACACAGCTGCTCACAGACAGTCCCCACCCCTGCCCCACTGCCAGGCCTCTACCTAGCCTCTTCCCCATTCAAGCCCAGCTAGAGGGTCAGGCTTCCTCCTCCAGGAAGGCCTCCTTGGGCTGCCAGAGAGAGCTGCTCACCACCCTGAACTGAACCACAGTGGCTCTCTGCCACCCCAGAGCAAACCCAGGGAGGGGCCCCTGCCACCCTGCCCCATGGCATGAGAGCCTGGACAGGGCCAGGAGCCCACATCCCACTGGCCTGGGCCAGTGGGGCCTTTGCAGAGATGTCCTCAGAGAGTGTCCAGGCCTGGGGCCATTCTGTGCTGGAGTTCTCCAAGGCCCTGGATGGAAAGAGACAAGGCAGAGTGGTCAGCCCCAGGCAGGTGGGAGGTCAGAGGGCATGTCTTAGAGTGGGTGGCGTGAAGAGAGCTGAGTGGCAGGAGAAGTATGACCAGGGAGGGAAAGCCTGGGCCCTCTGCCATGCATGAACCCCCGTTTTCTCCATTGAGTTGCCTTCCCCACCCCTAAGCCCCTTTACTCCTCCTCCTCACTGTCCCGCCTCATTGAGCCCCACCCTCTTGTTAAGTCCCGTCTCCCAACTCCCCCTCCCCCTCAGGCGCCCCCAACTCCCCCTCCCCCAACTCCCCTCCTCCTAACTCCCCTCCTTCTCCCCCAGTGCCAGCTTGGCCCTCAGTCCCTCTGCTCCAGGTCCTGGGGCTGTGGCCTTTTCCCAGGATCTGACCTGGAGTCATGCACTTTCTGGGGAGACCTCCAGTTGCTCCCCCAGCCATGGCATGCCGGGAATGCAGCCCTACATATGCAGGCCCCCTTCAAGGCGGAAGAGGAGCTCGGGCTGGTGGACTTTCAAGGACTCATCAGAGAGCAAGCTCCGGCCCGGTCGGGCTGTCCTCCGGATCTGGCACCATCATAGGGGGGCTTGGCTGGGCGCCCAGGTGGGGAGAGGTCTCAGTGCTTGGATCCGGAATGAACCAGGGCTGGAATGTGCAGGGTCTGGCTGGGCCTCTGTCTCTCCCTTCACCCAAACCTCATTGATGCTCAGGGCTGAGGACCCATGTCCCTCTCCAGCAGGGGCTCCGGACCAGGAAGTTGGGGGTCCCTGGTTTGCACTGCCTCCCTGAGCTGGGGTCTCTGGGTGCTCCTCAGAGGAGCCTGGAGAGGATGAAGATAACTGTGCCCAGGTTTGCCGTCCCCGTCCCACAGGGCCAGGCTCTTTCCTGCCTTAGCCCATGTCATTCTCCAATGGCCCTGGGTTTTGCTATCATTCCCATTTTATTTTATTTTTTATTATTTTATTTTATTTTTGAGACAGGTTCTCTTTCTGTCACCCAGGTTGAAGTGGGGTGGCATGACCTTGGCTCACTGCAGCCTCAACCTCCTGGGTTCAAGCAATCCTCCCACCTCAGCCTCCTGAGTAGCTGGGACTACAAGTGGACACTACCACACCAGCTAATTTTTTTTTTTTTTTGAGATGAAGTTTTGCTCTGTCACCCAGGTTGGAGTGCAGTGGCACGATCTCGGCTCACCACAACCTCCGCCTCCCACGTTCAAGTGATTCTGCTGCCTCATCCTCCCGAGTAGCTGGGATTACAGGCTCCTGCCACCATACCCGGCTAATTTTTGTATTTTTAGTAGAGACAGGGTTTCACCATGTTGGCCAGGCTGGTCTTGAACTCCCGACCTCAGGTGGTCCACCTGCCTCGGCCTCCCAAAGTGCTGGGATTACAGGTGTGAGCCCATGGCACCTGGCAACACCGGCTAATTTTTTGTAGAGACAGGTTCTCACTTTGTTGCCCTGGCTGGTCTCGAACTCCTGGGCTCAAGTGATCCTCCCACCTCGGCCTCCCAAAGTGCTGGGATTACAGGTGTGAGCCACTGCACCTGGCCACTCCCACTTTACAGATGGGAAAACTGAGGCTTGGAGAGATTCAATAACTTGCCCAATGCCTTATAGCTGGTGAATGGCAAAGCCAGATTTTAAATCCAGTCCTTTGTCTCCTGGTCTGGGGGAACAGAGAATGAGGCAGAGAAAGAGAGAGGAATGTATGCCCTGTGTCCCCCATTCCCCTGGGCTGGTCATGGGTCCCTAGCGCTCCGTGGAGACAGGCTATAGCCAGGTGCCCAAGCCAGAGCTTGGGTGAGAGAATGGACCCAGGAGGAAGCCCAGAGGGGCCTGGAATTTGCCTCCCCACAGGCTACTGAGGCCAACCCTCCCAAGGCCAGCCAAATATCTCCCTGCTCCTCCATGTGGCTCTGTCTCAGTGACTTCCTGGAGGTCCTGGCGCTGCACATGGGATGGAAGGACGGGCTGGACTCAGCTTCGTTGCTTCCTGCGCCTTGGCCCTGTGGTCACCCAGAGTTACCTGTGGCCAGCCAAGGGGAAAGGGCACACCATGGAACCCCCTGCTGTAGGTGTCCCTGTCCCCATTTTCCAGATGAGGAAAACTGAGGTTAGAAAGGTGGAGAAGTACCAGGGTGGAGTCAGGAGTGAAATTCTCCTGGGTCTGACACAAAGCTGGAGCCCCGGGTGGCAGAGGCAGACCCACCCACACTGAGCCTCAGAGACCCAGGTCTGGGGTGATGACTGCGTGGGGAGAGCATCTTGGAGCCCTGGAGGAGGGGGACAATGCATTTTCATAGAGGACCGCCACAGCCTTGCAGGGAGTGGGGAGAGCTGCCCCTACCAGAGGCTCAACTGCTGCCTCCGCCCTGTGCAAACCTGGCCCCTCCCTGCCAAGAGACCCTGCTCCAAAATAACCTCCCCTCACCCATGGTCCAGCCCCAGGCTCCTGCTCTGAACCAAGGAACTCTTTGCACCTGACCTGGGAAGAACGGATTCCTCTGGGCCCAGGTGAGCCCACGGTGGGTGGGGACCTCGTACTCTCCTCCGACTCTCTTTCCTGGGCCGCCCACTTTGATGATCCAGTCTTCTCTTGTCACCCCTGATGGGGAGACAGGCCTTGCCCTGGGGGTTCTGATCTGAGGGAGGAGGTAGAGCTCTGGCCAGGAACCATGGTCTAAGGGGCATGGCCCTAGCCTGGGACGCTGGCCTTGGTGTGTGTGCACTAGTGAGGCTCGGGACACTTGGTTTTAGGGAGACACAGTCTTGCTCTGAAATGATGGTCTGACGGGGGAGGCACAGTCTTATCCTGGGAGCTCCAGGTTCATCCTGAAGTACTGGTCTGAGGGTGGGTGGGGGCGTGGCTTTGGTGGGGAACTGGGGGAGCTGGGGTTGGCAGTGGGAGGGAGTGGCTGGAGGCTGCTGACTTCTCTGTTCCTTGGCTGTTTGGGAGCTGGCTTCGAACTCCTGGCCCAGCCTGGGCTCTAGGCAGTGGGGATGGAGAGGGCCGGGCTCCCCCAACAAGGAAGAGGCTCATGGAGGGAAATAGGATCAGGGGTTTGGGGTGAGTGGCCTCGCTTGCCCCCGGACTCCTGGCCCTCCTTTTTTCCCTGGACACGGAGCAGGTGGCAGCCTTCCTCCGATGGCCCCACCCCAATTCTGCTGTCTGGGTCCCAGACGTGGCCTCAGTTTATGGGGTGATGTTCCCTCCCTGGCCAGGCTGGCTGCCACTTCAGACATGAACGCCCCCAACCTCGCTGAGGCCGGAGAACACAGTCTGCCTCCCCCAGCCCCAGCCACCCCCGCCCTGCTAATCCTGAGTGAACGGTGAGGCCAAGAATATCCTGCCTACTCTGGCGGGCGGGCGAGCCACGAAGCCTGCTGGAAGGGCATGAATCATGGTCCCTGCCTGCCAAGTGCTCACTTGGGATGTGTTCGAGGCTGGCTGTGCCCGGAGTTGACGGGGAGAAGGAAAGGGAGGGGAGCTGGCGGCTGGGATGGGCAGACAGAGCCACTGTGAAGGGAGAGACGTCGGTTGGACCCATCCCTGGTGGCAACACAGAAATTATGTTATAGAATGTCAGGATCCTGGAATTCCCAAGTATGGACTTTTCTGTGTTCTGCAGGCCTGAAATGCAAGATTTGTGAGACGCCATGTAACAAGCCCCCTACAGCACATGGAGGCCAAGGCCCCATTCTTCACATGGGGAAGTAGAGGCTCTCGGGGCAGAGAGGTCGGCTCTGGGTCTCTTATTGAGTCCAAGGTAGGGCCGGGCTGGAGCCCAGGCCTCCTCTTGCCTTGTGGTCGGAGGCTCTTCCCAACCCCTCTCGCTCCTGCTCTGCACCCCCTCCACCCTCACCACCATGACTGCGCTTCCTGGTCGATACAGAGGGAAGGAGGACCTGTGCCCAGCGGTAGTGTCGCCTGGGGCATGGGGTTGGGGGCGCCTCTTCTGCTGTCCTCTCTCACTCCAGGCACATCAGCTGCCCCATGGAGACTCCCGCGTATCCTGCTTCCCCATCCCCAAAACCCCCACGGCCAGCTGTTCTTCCCCTTTCTGCATCGCCCATCACCAAGGCGACCTGCACCATGTCTGGGCCTGCTCCTGCCGTCTGTCCCCAATAACTTGCTTATTCAGAAACCATCCACCGTGGACCAGATGTGCTCTGGACAGAGGGACCTCACCCAGGGCCCTCCTTTTGCTCTCCCACGCCTGCCAGTGTTTCCCAGCCCTCAGCACATGACCACGCTCCATTTTCTTTCTTTTTTGAGATGGAGTCTCGCCCTGTCACCCAGGCTGGAGTGCAGGGGCGCAATCTGGACTCATTGCAACCTCCTCCTCCCGGGTTCAAGTGATCCTCCTGCCTCAGCCTCCCAAATAGCTGGGATTACAGGCATCTGCCACCATGCCTGGCTAATTTTTGTATTTTTAATAGAGACAGGGTTTCATCTTGTTGGCCAAGCTGGTCTCAAACTCCTGACCTAGAGAGATCCACCCTCCTTGGCCTCTCAAAATGCTAGGATTACAGGCGTGAGCCACCACACCTGGCCCCACGGTCCATTTTCTCTCATTTAAAAATGTTTAAAAGTCCCTTGGCCACACTGGATGTCTCACGCCTATAATCCCAGCACTTTGGGAGGCCAAGGCAGGCAGATTGCTTGAGCTTAGAATTTGAGACCAGCCTGGGCAACATGGTGAAACCTCATCTCTACAAAAATATAAAAATTAGCCGGGTATGGTGGTGGGCACCTGTTATCCCAGCTACTTGGGGGCCTGAAGCTGGACGATGGCTTGAACCCAGGAGTTTGAGGCTGCAATGATCTATGATTGCACCACTGCACTCCACCCTGGGCGAGAGTGAGACCCTGTCTCAGGAAAAAAATATATATATATTTTAAAGACCCTTGTGAGGCCACGTTCAGTTCCACCCAGCTCTCTGTATCTCTTCCCAGCCAAGCTGCTTCAAAGAGTTGTCTACACTTTGTCTTTCTTTCTTTTTTTTTTTTTTTTTTAGACAGAGTCTCGTTCTGCCACCCATGCTGAAGTGCAGTGGTGTGATCTCAGCTCACTGCAACCTCCAACTCCCAGACTTAAGTGATACTCCTGCCTCGGCCTCCTGAGTAGCTGAGATTACAGGCGTTCACCACCACGTCCTGCTAATTTTTGTATTTTTAGTAAAGACAGGGTTTCACCATGTTGCCTAGGCTGGTCTCGAACTCCTGACCTCAGGTGATCCTCCCACCTCGGCCTCCCAAAGTGCTAGGATTACAGACGTGAGCCACCGTACCCAGCCAGTCATCTACAAAGTGCTGGGATTACAGGCGTGAGCCACCGAGCCCAGTCAGAGTCATCTACACTTCTTATTCCTCACTTCCTTACGGCCCACTCTCTCCAGAACTCTCTCCAGCCTGGCTTTTGTCCCCAGTCCTCCCCGGACAGATGGACAGACGGAAGCTGCAGCAACTCTTGTTAATGAGCGGTCGCTCCTCCTCCCTGACATGTGGTCCAAGCCACTGCGGAGCCTCTTGCTGCAAAGCCTCTGCCCGTGACAGTCTCTTCCTGCCTCTCTTCCAGAGCCTTCCTCTGATCTCCTCTTGCCCATCCCTTTCGTGTAGGTGGCCCTCAGATCTCATCTCAGACCCTTTCTCGAAGTCTGTTTTTTAATTTTGTTTGTTTTTGTTTTTGTTTTGGTTTTTTTTTTTTTGTTTTTTTGTTTTTGTTTTGAGACAGGGTCTCACTCTGTTGCTCAGGCTGAAGTGCTGTGGCACGATCTCAGTTCACTGCAATCCCCACCTCCCATGTTCAAGTGATTGTCATACCTCAGCCTCCTGGGTAGCTGGGATTACTGGCACACACCACCATGCCCGGCTAATTTTTGTATTTTTAGTAGAGACAAGGTTTCACCATGTTGGCCAGGCTGGTCTCGGCCTTCTGACCTCAAGTTATACACCTGCCTCGGCCTCCCAAAGTACTGGGATTACAGGCGTGAGCCCCCATGCCCGCCCTCAAGGTCCTCTTTCTGAGCCATTCCTCCATCCTGTGGCTTGACACCACACTCTCCCTGGGTCACCAGCCTGGTCCTCAAAAGGGCTCCAGGCCAGCGTGTCCAGAACCAGGCTGACGCCTCCACCCGGGGACCCATAGGCCCACATACCCCTAAGTCCAGGGCTAACTGATCCCCCAGCCCTGTTCCTCCCCTCATTGAGAGAAGGGCCCTGACACCTATCGAAGCACCCAGAGAGAGATGCTGGCATCATCGGAGGCTCCACCCTCCCCCTCTCCTCCACCCTCTGTCGCACTGGTAGACCAAGGCCAATCCACATGATCCACTGACTTCATTCTCTCCCTACTGCCACTGCCTTCATCCTAAGCTCATTCTATTTGGCTGGGGTATTGTAACATCCATGTCACCAGCTCCTGCGCCCTGCCCCTCCGGCTGGTTCTCCATAGGGAGCCAAAGGCTTGCATGAACTACTTCTCATGCAAACCTGACTGTGCCCCTCCTTAGCTCAGTGCCCTTCGCTGGCTCCCCACTGCCCTCCAGGTCCTGCCGGGCCCTCTGTGGTCTGGTCCTTTCCCATCTCTCCAGCCGGACGCAGGCCAATTCCCCCCCGACACCTTATGTCCTGTCCACCTCCCCGGGTTCATCACTCCCAACTATGCCTCACGGATCCTCGCTCCAGCTTCTCCCGACCATTCCTGCTGCCTGGAATGAACCTTCCTTCACTATTCCACAAAGCACCTTGCCAAGTGAAAAGCCCCCTCCTTGGTGAAGCGCCCCATGATCTTTCCCATTCCCGTGGCACCCTGTACTTACCACACCAGACGCCACCACTGCCCCACGGTGTTCCCCACCACATTGGGACCTCTTTGAGAGCAAGGCTGTGCCTAATCCTTCTGGCCTCTCCGCAAGGCCTGGAGCAGAGGGAGAGCAAGAATTTACTGAACGAGGCCAGGCGCAGTGGCTCACGCCTGTAATCCCAGCACTTTGGGAGGCCCAGGTGGGTGGGTCACTTGAGGCCAGGAGTTCGAGACCAGCCTGGCCAACATGGTGAAACCCTGTCTCTACTAAAAATACAAAAATTAACCAAATGTAGTGGCACGTTCTTGTAATCCCAGCTACTCTGGTGGCTGAGGCAGGAGAATCGCTTGAGCCCGGGAGGTGGAGGTTGCAGTGAGCCGAGATCTCGCCACTGCACTCCACCCTGGGTGACAAAGCCAGACCCTGTCTCAAAAAAAAAAAAAAAAAGAAAAGAAAAAAAAAGAGTTTACTGAACAAACAAATGAACGAATGCAAGAATAATGAATGAATGATTCCCTGAGGGTCTTAGTCCTGTCTTTGGGGACCCTCCTGAGATGGCGCCATCTGAGTCCAGGCTGCACTCCCAGCCCTGGGCCCTGGAAGGTCCAAGTTCTCAATGTTTCTGAGCACTGGTAAGTATGGAAAAGTTTTGCTCCTCCGGGATTCTTAACTCCATGGGAGAGGTCAGGGTGGGTGGGGGCCTGGGAGCCAGGAGGGCTGGCAGCAGGGGGAGGGGAGGAGGAGGAGTCAGGGGACCAGACACTTGGCCGTGTCTCTGGTGGCAGCAGGGTCTTGGAGCCCAGAGAGGGGCATGAGACCTACCTTCTCACCCTGAGCCAGCCCTGCCCTGGAAGCCCAGGCCGGGAAACCAGGGGGTGGGGAAGCCAGGGGAGAGATGGAGTTTGTGCAACGGCATTCAATGTGTTTGCAAAAAAGGGGAAATGGAAAAAATGTTAATTTACTTTTGATGGTGCCCTGGGGGGTGGGGACATACATGACTGTGGAGTCTCCAACTGCCACCCCGTTCAGCCCTGCTCTGGACACTCAAGGGAGGGAGGGAATGTGAGGGTGAAGGGTGAGATGTTCCAAATACCCTGTCCCTGAATCTCCCCCTTACACCCTGTCACTGAGCCAAATAATGCTCTGTCCATGAAGGAAGTCCGCTCAGGGCTTCTAGAACCACGTGCCTTTCAGCTGAGCAAAGGCTGCAGACCAAGGAAGTGGGACCAGCCGGCTCACTGCTTTTGTCCCCCCTAGGAGGGCCTGTGGCTCTAGAAAAGATCCCCAGCTGGGAGGTACCAGCCCCTTCCAGCGTGGGGGGTCTTGAGCCTGGTATCACCTGAAACTCCCATGATCCTTGCCTCAGCCCCTGAGCCTGGACGCTGGGGTCCAGCCACGACCTGGGTGCCAGGAGCCAGCTGACTTCTCAGCAGCTGTGTGGACTCCGTGGAATCATCTCCCTTCTTGGAGTCTCCGTGTCCTCCTTGGGAATGTGGAGGTTCCTTAGGAGGGAGTTCCCATTCCTGGGCTCAGGGGGATGTAGGACACCAGTGCTTGGCTGCAGAGAGGGGTGGGTGGGAGCTTTAGGTGGGAGGCGGGTGGGGAAGGGATGACCAGGGGCTCTGACTTCCCAGTCCCACCACTTAGAGCTGGAGGTTCTGGACTGCTCAGCCCCAGATCTCAGGACTGTTGACCTTCCTGTGCAATCTCTGCCCATCCCTTTACCTGTCACTTTTGGAGAGGTGACGGCAGGAACACAGTCCCTCGGCTCCTTCATGGTGATGGTTTTGGGTGGGAACGGCTGGCAGGGCCTCTGTGCCTTGGAGCCACCTCAGCTGCCGCCACCTCACACCAATGTCACTCACTCAATGCACTCGCCGAGGTTCTTCTGACCTTAAGACAATGCTGTGGGTGCAGATCTTTTACATGGGAGGAGATGCCAGGAAGCATGGGTAAGAGAGGGAGGCAGGGAAAGGAATAAAAGCCAACAAAGGGTTTGCTAATGAGCAGTGGAGACCCAGTGCCCCAGGGACCTTCCAAAGCAGCACTGCCCAGTTGAACTTTGTGTGATGATGGAACTTCTTAGTCTGCCAATGCAGATTGTCCAGTATGGTAGCCGGTGGAGCTACCGAGTACTAGAAACGTACTAGAAATGTAACTAGTGCAACTGCAGAAATGAAACAAATTTATAGACTTTTATTTATTTGTTTGTTTTTAAGAAAACAGGGTCTTGCTTTGTTGCCCAGGCTGGAGTGCAGTGTTGCCATCACGGCTGACTGCAGCCTCAACCTCCTGGCCTCAAGCGATCCTCCCATCTCAGCCTCCCCACTAGCTGGGACTACAGATGCACGCCAGCACACTTGATTAATTTTTTTTTTATTTTGTAGAAATGGGATCTTGCTACATTGCTCAGGCTGGTCTCGGACTCCTGGGCTCAAGTGATCCTCCTGCTTCAGTCTCCCAAAGTGTTGGGATTACAGGCGTGAGCCATGGTGCTGAGCCTTAGCTTAGCCTGTCTTAAATGTGCTCAGAACACTTACATTAGCCTTCAGTTTGTCAAAATCATTGAGCGCAAAGCCTAGTTTGTAATAAAATGTTGAATTTCTCATGTAATTTATTGGATACTCTACTGAAATTGAAAAATGGGAGGGTTTTATGGGTACTTAAAGGACAGTTTCTACTGAATGCATATTGCTTTTGTCCCATCATAAAGTTGAAAAAATCATAAGTCAAACCATGGTAAGTCAGGGACCATGTGTATACATTTTTTGGGTCCAGCTTTTTTCACTCAGTATAATATTTTTCGACATTCATGTATGATTCTGCATATATTTTGTTCTGAGTACTATCGCACTATATGGATATATCATCATTTATTTTCCACTCTTCTGGGTACGGACATCTGGGCTGTGTACAGTTTTGTACTGTTAGGAATAAAGCTGCCTTGAATATTTGTGTTCAAGTGTTTGTGTAGATGTATATTTTTAATTTCTGTTGGGTAAATGCCTAGGAATATGTAGAATTATGCACTGTATGGCAGGTGTACGACTAACGCTTTTTTTTTTTTTTTTTTTTGAGATGGAGTCTCACTCTGTCGCCCAGGCTGGAGTGCAGTGGTGCGATCTCGGCTCACTGCAACCTCTGCCTTCCGGATTCAAGCGATTCTCCTGCCTCAGCCTTCTCAGTAGCTGGGATTACAGGCACACACCACCACGCCTGGCTAATTTTTGTATTTTTAGTAGAAACAGGGTTTCACCATATTGGTCAGGCTGGTCTCGAACTCCAGACCTCGTGGTCCGCCCGCCTCCGCCTCCCACAGTGCTGTGATTACAGGCGTGAGCCACCACGCCCGGCCACGACTAAAAAACTGTCAAACTGTCTGCCGGGGTGGTTGCTACCAGTTTACAGTTCCACCAACGATATATGAGAGTTTTCATTCATCCATAACCTCTGCAACATTTGGTGTTGTCATTTTCTTTTTGTGTTTTTGAGATGGAGTCTCTCTCTGTCACCTAGGCTGGAGTGCAGTGGCACGATCTTCACTCATTGCAACCTCCACCTCCTGGGTTCAAATGATTCTCCTGCCTCAGCCTCCCAAGTAGCTGGGATTACAGTCATGCACCACCACACCCAACTAATTTTTGGTATTTTTAGTAGAGACGGGGTTTCACCATGTTGGCCAGACTAGTCTCAAACTCCTACCTCGCATGGTCTGCCTGCCTCGGCCTCCCAAGGTGCTGGGATTACAGGTGTGAGCCACCGTGCCTGGCCCCTAATCATTTCCATTTTAGCCTTTGTACAAAAGTTCTCCGAAGATGAATTTGGAAGAAAGAGACTATTCCAGTGAACAGTTTGCAAACCCAGAAGACACAGCCTTCAGTGTCAAAGAAGATGTGCATTCCAGAGAACCAAGGGAGGGCTCAGGTTTTACAGCAAAAGTTCCCGCCCAGGTTCCCAATCGTGTTCGTTTATGCAAATGAAGGATTGAAACTTGCTTAGTTCTGATTGGTTGGTTCAGGTGAGCTCTGGAGTCCCAAAGTTGAACAGAGGCGGGAGTTTTTGAGGAGCATAGAGTGCCTCTAGTTAGCAAATGTCAACTTGGCTCTATTTTAAATTTAGGCCCAGTTAGCCACTCAAGATCCATCTTGAAGCTTTGGCTCTATCAGGTTCACATTGGTTCACAAACCATTCTAATGGGAATATAGTGGTATATTGAGTTTGTGTGTGTGTGTGTGTGTGTGTGTGTGTGTGTGACGGATTCTCACTCTGTCGTTAGGCTGGAGTGCAGTGGTGCGATCTCAGCTCACTGCAACCTCTGATTCCCTGGTTCAAGTGATTCTCCTGCCTCTGCCTCCCGAGTAGCTGGGATTACAGGCAGGCACCACCATGCCCCGCTAATTTTTGTATTTTTAGTAGAGATGGGGTTTCACCATGTTGGCCAGGATGGTCTCAAACTCCTGACCTCATGATCCGCCCACCTCAGCCTCCCGAAGTGCTGGGATTACAGGCGTAAGCCACCACTCCCGGCCGTATATTGAGGTTTTAATTTGCATTTCCCCAATGACCAATGATGTTGAGTGCTTTCGAATGTATTTATTAATGAATATTATAGATACTCATCATTTGTATATCAACTTTGGTAAAATGTCTTTTCAAGTTCTTTGTCCATTTTATTTATTTATTTATTTTTATTTTTTTGAGACAGTCTTGCTCTATTGCCCAGGCTGGAGTGCACTGGTGCAATCTCGGCTCACTGCAACCTCCGCCTCCCAGGTCTAAGCGATTCTCCTGCCTCAGCCTCCTGAGTAGCTGGGACTACAGGCACCCGCTACCACGCCCAACTAATTTTTGTATTTTTAGTAGAGACGGGGTTTCTCCATGTTGGCCAGGCTGGTCTCAAATTCCTGGCCTCAAGTGGTCTGCCTTCCTCGGCCTCCCAAAGTGCTGGGATTACAGGCATGAGCCACTGAGCCCAGCCTTGTGGACTTTTTCTTGTTGAGGAAGTTTGCTTTCATTCTTAGTTGATTTTTTTAATCATAAAAGGAGCTGGGTGATGTCAAATGCTCTGTCAGCATCAACTGAAATGATCATGTGTGTGTGTGCTTTTTTTTTTCCCCTTCCTTTCATCCTATTCATGTGGTGTATTATATAGCTTGATTTTCATGTGTTGAACCACTCTTGCGTTCTGGGGAGAATTCACATTGGTCGTTGGTCATGGTGTAAAATTCTTTTAACATGCCGCAGACTTTGGTTTGCTAGTATTTTGTTGCATCTATACTCATGACAGATATGAATCTGTAGTTTTCTCATAGTGTCTTTCTCTGACTTTGGTATCAAGGTAATGCTGGCTTCATAGAATGAGTTGGGAAACATTCTCTCCTCTTGCAATTTTAGGAAGAGTTTAAGAAAAAATTGGCATTTTTTTTTTTATTCAAACGTTTGGTAGAATTCACCAATGAAGCGACCTTGTCCTAGGCTCTTCTTTGTTGAGAAGTTTACTATTAATGATTTGATTTCTTTGTTTTCTTTCTTTCTTTCTTTTATTTTTTTTTTAGATGGAGTCTCGCTTTGTCGCCCAGGCTGGAGTGCAGTGGCGTGATCTTGGCTCACTGCAAGCTCCGCTTCCCAGGTTCACGCCGTTCTCCTGCCTCAGCCTCCCGAGTAGCTGGGACTACAGTTGCCCACCACCATGCCCGGCTAATTTTTTGTATTTTTAGTAGAGACAGGGTTTCACCATGTTAGCCAGGATGGTCTCAATCTCCTGACCTCGTGATCTGCCTGCCTCGGCCTCCTAAAGTGCTGGGATTACAGGCGTGAGCCACCATGTCCAGCCTGTTTTCTTTTTTTCTTTTGAGACGGTGTCTTGCTTTGTCACCCAGGCTGGAGTGCAGTGGCATGATCTCAGCTCACTGCAACCTCTGCTTCAATGGGTTCAAGCCATTCTGGGTGGTTAGTGTCAGAATTGAATTGATTTTTTTTTTTTTCTGAGACAAGATCTTGCTCTGTTGCCCAGGCTGAAGAGCAGTGGCGTGATCATAGCTCACTGTAGGCTCAACCTCCCAGGATCAAGCAATCCTCCCACCTCAGCCTCCCAAGTAGCTGGGACTATAGGTGCGCCACTACACCTGGCTAATTTTTTTTTTTTAAGATCGGGTCTTGTTATGTTGCCCAGGCTGGACTCAGACTCCTGGGCTCAAGTAATCCTCCTGCCTCAGCCTCCCAGCATGCTGGGATTACATTCATGAGCCACCACGCCCAGCCTGAATTGAATTGTTGGACACCCAGTTGGTGTCTGGAGAATCAGGCTATTGGTTGTCGGTGTAGAAAATACCCCAGTCCCTGCTTCTTGAACCCTAGTCTTCCTGTCTTCCCGAGAATTCCATGGGCTTGCTCTGCCAGGTCCTCCCTGCCCTTCTGAACTCTCATTTGTCCCTGTCTTGATTCTCCTGAAGCCCTGGATGGGCCTTCCCCCAAGACCCTTCTGGACTCCATCTATATTACGGTTAGGCCATCACCTTAGCCATCTTATGCCCTTCTGAGGCTTTGACCGTCAGTCCAGTGAAGATGGCATCCAAGAGTCTCCATTCAGCCCTTTCTCATTCTTTCTTCCTTCCTTCTGTCCTTCTCTCTTTTTCTTCCTTCTGTTCTTCTCTTTTTTTTTTTTTTTCTGATGGAGTCTCACTTGGTCACCCAGGTTGGAGTGCAGTGGTGCAATTTTGGCTCACTGCAACCTCCACTTCCCAGGTTCAAGCAATTCCCCTGCCTCAGCCTCCCTAATAGCTGAGACTACACGTGCATGCCACCATGCCCAGTGAAGTTTTGTATTTTTAGTAGAGATGGGGTTTCACCATGTTGGCCAGGCTGGTCTTGAACTCCTGACCTCAAATGATCCTCCTGCCTCGGCCTCCCAAACTGCTGGGATTACAGGTGTGAGTCACTGCACCCGGTCCTCTTTTTTTTCTCTTTCTCCTCTCTCTCTCTCTCTTTCTTTTTCTTTCTCTCTCTCTCTGCCCTCCATTCCTTCCTTCCTTCCTTCCTCCCTCCCTTCCTTTTCTATCTTTCTTGTCTTACTCTGTCACTGAGGCTGGAATGCAGTGGCACCATCATAGTTCGCTGCAACCCTGAACTACTAGGCTGTAATGATTCTCCCACCTCAGCCTCCTCATTATCTGTAACTACAGACACACACCATCATGCCTGGCTAATATTTTAAGTTTTTTGTAGAGACAGGTTCTTGCCATGTTGCCAAGGCTGGTCTCGAACTCCTGACCTCAAGCAGTCCTCTCACCTCGGCCCCACAACGTGTTGAGATTACAGGTGTGAGCCACTGTGCCCAGCCCCTGCCTTCTCTTCTAAGAGTGGGCCAACAGTCAACTGCTTGGTGACATCTCTACTTGGGTGGCCCCAAGTCCCTCACAATCCATGCTTTCCCAACTGTCCTCTCCATGATCCCCCCGATGAACCTCCCTCTCTGCACCCACCTCAAACACTGCTTCACTTCTCTAGCCACACAGATATGGATCCCCCTCTTCTTTCACTATGCCCATTTTCTTTTCTTTTCTTTTCCTTTTCTTTTTTTAAATTTTTTATTTTGAGACAGTCTCGCTCTGTCGACCAGGCTAAAGTGCAGTGGTGCAATCTCGGCTTACTGCAACCTCCGCCTCCCGGGTTCAAGTGATTCTCCTCCCTCAGCCTCCCGAGTAGCTGGGACTACAGGTGCGTGCCACCATGCCCAGCTAATTTTTGTATTTTTAGTAGAGATGGGGTTTCACCATGTTGGCCAGGATGGTCTCAATCTCCTGACCTCATGATCCGCTCACCTCGGCCTCCCAGAGTGTTGGGATTACAGGTGTGAGCCACCACGCCCGGCCTGTGCTACTCCCATTTTCTTACCTCCAGCAACCAAGCTGGATGGAGAACCCAAGCCCTGTCCCCGGCAGCTTTCGAATGTCTTAGAGAGCCTCCCCTCCTCTCCAGCTTCATGGCCTCCACTCTAGTTCAAGTCTCAGCATCATTCTTCAGCACTTGCCTCCTTGCCAGTCTCCTGACCTCCAGCCTCACCTTTGCTAACTAACTTGGCCTGAAGCTCCAGACATGGTCCCCAAAGCCAGCCCTGTGTGGCTGCCTTGGTGAGGCCACGCTCTCGAGGCCCTAGCTCTCGGGCCTGGGCTGAGGCTAAGTCAGCCCCAGGCACCGTTCCTTAGCACAATCATGCGTGGCAAACACACTTTGCATCTGGGGCGTGCAGACAGGTTTTTCAAGTTAGGAAATTGGAAGGGACTCCAGCGCCCATTTGCAGTTCAGAGCCGGCGAGATGCAGGAGTGTCCTTCTGTGTGAGCTCATCTTTCCTGGGGTGGCGGGGCTCAGGGCTGAGCGGGCTGGGGAGACGAGTTGGAAAATTTCACACTCAGCCTCGCCACTTGGCCAGCTTCTGCGTGTTTGGCAGCTCAGGTGACTTGTGGTGGGGGCCCTCGATCAACACTTCCATCCCGTAAGTACTGCCGGGGCTGGGGCCACCTCCAGATGGGTCACAAACGGGGGGCCTGGGGGGAACCCCCAGAGACAGACTCTAGTAGGAGGGGCTTATGCTGTTTTTGGGGAAAAGAGATTGACAAGGAAACAATGAGAGAACAAGATTAGAGGGACTTTTGGAGGGTGCAGGGAAGGTGTTATCAATTGTTTGACTTGGGTATGCTAATTTATTTGTGCTGAAACGTGTCCACAACCCTTTGGAAGAAACACAGTAATACATCTCCAGTCAGGCGGTACCTTATCATGGTTAAGAACACAGCTCTAGGCCTGGCGCGGTGGCTCATGCCTGTAATCCCAGCACTTTGGGAGGCTGAGGCAGGCGGATCACGAGGTCAGGAGATTGAGACCATCCTGGCTAACACAGTGAAACCCTGTCTCTACTAAAAACACAAAAAATTAGCCGGGCGTGGTGGCGGGCGCCTGTAGTCCCAGCTACTTGGGAGGCTGAGGCAGGAGAATGGCGTGCACCCGGGAGGCGGAGGTTGCTGAGCCGGGATCACACCACTGCACTCCAGCCTGGGCGACAGAGCAAGACTCTGTCTCAAAGAAAAAAAAAAAAAAAAAAAAAAAGAGCACAGCTCTAGAGCCAGACTGTAGCCAGCTCTGACGCTTGCTAGCTGTGTGACCTCAGGCACATTGCTAAACCTCTCTGTGTTTCTATCTCCTCATCTATAACATGGAGAGAATATCATCCCCCTACCTACCTACCTACCTACCATGTGGGTCATCAAACACATTCATACAAGTGAACCATTCATAACGGTCCCTGACACCTCCACAAATGTTTTCATCTTCATCATCATCATTATTATTTTTAGAGACAGGGTCTCCCTCTATCATTCAGGCTGTGGCACGCTCATAGCTCCCTGCAGCCTCCAACCCCTGGGCTCAAGCCATACTCCTGCCTCAGCTTCCCAAGTAGCTGGTACTACAGGCACATGCCACCATGCCCAGCTAATTTTTATTTTTTATTTTTTTGAGACAGAGTCACTCTGTCGCCTAGGCTGAAGTGCAGTGGTACCATCTCAGCTCCCTGCAACCTCCGCCTCCTGGGTTCAAGCGATTCTTCTGCCTCAGCCTCCTGGTAGCTGGGATTACAGGCGCCTGCCACCATGCATGGCTAATTTTTGTATTTTTAGTAGAGACGGGGTTTCACCACATTGGCCAGGCTGGACTCGAACTCCTGACCTTAGATGATCCGCCCACCTCGGCCTCCCGGAGTGTTAGGATTACAGGCATGAGCCACTACGCCCAGCCTAATTTTTAATTAAGAATTTTTTTTTTGTAGAGATGGGGGGGTCTCACTATGTTGCCCAGGCTGGTCTCGAACTCCTGGGCTCAGTGATCCTCCCACCTCGGCCTCCCAAGGTGCTGGGATTACAGGTGTGAACCACCATGGCAGGCATAATCATTATGATACTGACCTCTCCACCCATGCCCTCCCTCCATGCCTTTCCAACCTCGGTCCCACAGTGGTACTCCTGCCCTCTCTGTCTACCCTGGGAACTCTTTTTCTTCCTTCAGACTCAGCTCAAAAATCACCTCCTCTAGGAAGCCTTCCCCAGCCTTTCTCTTTGCTGCATCAACACTTGCTCTTTTTTTTTTTTTTGAAACAGGGTCTCACTCTGTCGCCCAGGTTGGAGTGCAGTGGTGCGATCTCAGCTCACTGCAACCTCTGCCTCCCGGGCTCAAACTATCCTCCTGCCTCAGCCTCCTGAGTAGCTGGGATTACAGCACTATTCCCTGATAATTTTTATATTTTTGGCATAGATGGAGTTTTGCCATGTTGCCCAGGCTGGTCTCGAACTCCTGAGCTCAAGCCATCCTCCTGCCTCGGCCTCCCATAGCGCTGAGATTATAAGTGTGAGACACTGTGTCCATCCCCAGTAACCACTTAATAAGTTTTTTCAATAAATAATTGAATGAATTAATGATACATGAGAAGAAAACATGCAATAGAAGGAGATTGATATTAAATTCTGAAACGTGGCAGTGCAATGCGGGATCTGACCAAGCATAAATTGGCAGTGAAGTTGCCCAGAGCCTAGGCCATGGGGAGGCAGTGTTGTGAAACCCTGTGGGTGGTGGTGGTCAGGGTGGGCTTCCTGGAGGAGGCGGAGTGGTAGTGACTAGCCCAAGCTGGCTCCAGCCAGCCACAAACATGTCAAGTGCTGTGGGACTGGCAGCTGTTGCTGCATGCTTTGCCCTGGGCCATTCTGCTATGACTCGGGTCAGGGGAGACTGGCAGAGTATCATCTCCCGCTCGGGTCCAGGGAGTGGGCCCAGATGGGAGACAGTGATGGTGAGGACCAGCCCCATGCTGGAGACACACGGAACATTTTAGAGTGGATTTCATGCCTCGGCCCTAATGTGGACCGGCTCTGCTTTGGTTCGGAAAAACAGACGTCTCCCTCCAGCCTCCTGAAACCAATTGGAAACAAACCTTCCTTCCCAGCCCTTCCCCCAACATCTGTAGAGAGGCCAACACCCAATCAGAATGAGACAGAACAAAGCAGGAGAGGAAAACAAGGGGCTGGGGACCCAGCTCCCTGCAGTGAACGAGCGGAGAGCTGGCTTCCTCTCGGTGGCTGGAAACCTGGTTGTCTGAACACACCTGTTGGCCTCTCTGGAGCCCCACTCCCTGACCGTCTCCTCAACCTCTCCGTTGATTAGGGAGGCTGCAGACAGGTCCCGCCACAGCCGCACTTCCACTCCATGTCACTGATGGCCTGCAGGCTGCCCTGTGCCTATAAAGGCCATGTTTGTTGCCTGGCACAAGAGGGCACCTGCCTTCCACCCTGGCCCCAGCCCCACTCCTAATGCCCCCTCTGTCCCCCCGTGGTCTCCTGGCAGTCACCCAGGTGAGGCCAAGAGGGCCTGGTATCTCCCGGCCCACTGGATTCACAGCCCTCCCCTCCCCTCCTCCCCCCCTCCCCACTGCTGCCTGGGTGACCTTGACCCAGTCCTTACATCTCTGAGCCTTGGTTTCCTGATTGGGAAAATGGGGTGCGTGAGAGTCACCCCTTGTGTGAGGTGGGAGGAGGCCCAGATGAGAGGGCACATGGGAAGGTACACATTTGAATTGTCTCTGTTCCTTGACATTTGTGTCCAACTCTGGGCTGCCCCTGCAAGAATCTCCCTGGATCCCCAAGATTCCTCAACTCAGTACCATTCAGCACTTCCCATGCACAGCTGGTTATAGTTATGAGCCTGTTTATTTCAAGTGCAGCATTGGAGGCCAGAGGTCTAGGTTTGAGGCCCCTGCTGCACTACTGTGGTCTCCCTGAGGCCCAGAAGTCATCCTCGATGCTCCCTCTACGCCCCGAGTTCTTCCTTTGTGAGTGGGAGATGGTTATAATCACGCCCACCTCCCAGACTTCTAATGCGGTGCAAATGGGATCGGTGCACGCAAAAGCACTTTGTCACCTATAAAAAGCTCTTGGGCACTGTTGCTGCTTTCTGGTTCTACTTGGATGTAAGTTTCCTGTGGGAAAGACCTGCTTTTTGCCAAGCCAGGGTGGTGGAGCGGGGGTCCCAGACAGGTGTCCAGGAAATTGTCCTGCTGGGCCTGGTCTGAGGGGAGGTCTGTACGTCTTGCTGGGAGCAGGCCCAGGGGCACTGGCCTCCCCATGATGCACAGAACCCACAGGGGCGCAGGCAGAGGCAGGGGAGGTGGCAGTGGTGACCCTTTGGAGTGATTTCCGGCCTGGCCCCCGGTCTAAAGACATCCAGATGGTGTCTTGAAGAAGTTACCCAGGAAGCCGGTTGCCAGACATGAGGGCCCTGGAAGGAGGTCCAAACACACAACCAGGGGACACCAGAGGACACATCTGATCGCTGCGACGAGAAAACAGTCGAAACGTGGGATCACCCAAAGCCCGGCTAGAAACCGTCAAAATATAAACACCCTCGGGGAAACAGCACAGTGATCAGATTATGAGAGATGCAGTGCCAGAAACATTCTAAATGATTGAATTATGAAAATTCATTTTTGAAAATGAAGGAAAAAGGGCAGCCTGGTGCGGTGGGGCTTGGGAAGGATGTCTGCCCGAGGGGCACGCCCAGGCGGGGCTGAGGCCGCGTCACCACCCGGCCCCTGTGCCAGCAGGAAGCCAGACCCTGAGCCAACATCGGTCAGACCCTGACACCTCAAACACCATGCTGAAGAGTGTGTTATCTAGAAGACAGAGGGGAGCTGTGGAGGGCGGTTAAACAGGGAAACGCTGCACCCAGATGTTTGGACACAAGTGGTGGTGAAGGAAAGACTGGCTGGGGTATTCCTTAAAGCAAGCAGCTAGAACGAGTGCAGTGGCTCATGCTTGTAATCCTTGCACTTTGGGAGGCAGAGGTGGGAGGATGGCTTGAGCCCAGGAATTTGAGACCAGCCTGGGCAACATAGGGAGACCCTGGATATATATACAGTTGGGGTTGAAAGTAGGGTCGAGACCGGAGATTCAGTCTTGGGAGTTGCCTGAGGTCAGGTTTCTCAGAAGTAGACCCTGAGATGCCTTTTTTTTTTTTTTTTTTTTGAGACAGGGTCTCGCTCTGTCACCCAGGCTGGAGTGCAGTGGCATGATCATAATTCCCTGCAGCCTCCAATTCCTGGGCTCAAGTGATCCTCCCGCCTCAGCCTCTGGAGTAGCTGGGACGACAGGTGTGCATGCATCACCATGCCCAGCTAATTTTTCATTTTTGTAGAGACAGGTTCTCACTGTGCTGCCCAGGCTGGTGTCAAACTCCTAACCTCAAGCAATCCTCTCTGCCTTGGCCTCCCAAAGCACTGGGATTACAGGCATGCGCTGCCACGCCCAGCCATATCTCTCTGTCCTGGGGAGGCTGGAGCCTGTAGAGGAAGTCTCCAAGACTCCCGTGTAGACATTTGGATATAGGCAGCTGGGGCCAGCAGGTGAGACCTGTCTACCATTGCCTGGAGAGCATGAGTTGCACTTGCCCTGAGGTCAGGCCTCTCTCTGTGGCCACCATCCTGTAGGTCTGAGAGTCCCAGCAGAATAGAGACCCCAGCTGCTGCTGCTGCTGTACATTTTTGTGCTGGGGGCAGGGGTTGTCTCAGACTGTGGCAGGGAAGAGTGAGAACTGGAGGCTCCAAGGGTGAGATGCCTCAGCCTGGAAAATCACATCACGAGCTTGAGGCTGGCCCCGGGACAAGGCAGGCAGAGTGCTGAGAGGCTGACGGTCCAACAGGCGGCCAGTGCAGGCAGAGAGATTAATTCTTGGAAAGTAGAAACCCTCAGCGGGGCTGCAGTGGGTCTTTGAGCTGCTGGCGAGCCCGATGCTGGCTTTGGGGCCATCCAGAGTGGTGAAAACAGAGTGACTGGAGATTCTGGCCACCTCGCGGTGTGGACAGGACCGTGAGGTCCAGAGGACAGGGGCCATCTCACACAGGCTATGGCAAAGCTGGAACAGGGGCCCAGGTATCCTGGCTCCCGGCCTGGCTTCTTTTCTTTCTGCCAGGCTGCTGCCTCTTCCAAAAGGGAGAATCCACGTGGCATTTCTCCTTGATTCTGGATGGGATAAGACAGTGTGCAAAGTGGGTTTCCCTTCCTAAGCACCCTTTGGTGGGGTGATCTCAAAACCCTCTCTGCTCTCTTCATCCCTGGAAGCTGGCTTTGCCAATTTACTTTATTAAAATTTTTTTGTTTGTTTTTTGAAACATTTTAAGAAATAATTTTAAAATTACAGAAAAGTTGCAAGAGTCGTACAAGGAACTCCCTGCTAATTTTTTTTTTTAACCTGGAGTCATCGCTTGTTTAAATTTTGCCCTCTTTTCTTTTCTTTTCTTTTCTTTTCTCTTCTCTTCTCTTCTCTTCTCTTTTCTCCCCTCCGCTCCCCTCCCGTCCCCTCCCCTCTCCTCCCCTCTCCTCTCCTCTCCTTTCTCTCTCTCTCTCTTTTTTTTTTTGACGGAGTTTCACTCTTATTGCCCAGGCTGGAGTGCAATGGCACGATCTCAGCTCACTGCAACCTCTACCTCCCAGGTTCAAGCGATTCTCCTGCCTCACCCTCCTGAGTAGCTGGGATTACAGACATCTGCCGCAACGCCCGGCTAATGTTTTGTATTTTTAGTAGAGATGGGGTTTCACCATGTTGGCCAGGCTGGTGTCGAACTCCTGACCTCAGGTGATCCTCCCGCCTAGGTCTCCCAAAGTGCTGGGATTACAGGCATGAGGCACTGCACCCAGCCGAGTCCAACATTTCTTTACGGTTCCTTAAGATACAATTTAATATTGTAAAATGCACATGTTTTAAGCATATAACTTGATAAGTTTTGACAAATGCACGTATTTGTGCTACCCACAGCACAATTGCCTTGGTCTGCTCAGGCTGTCATAACAGAATACCACAGACTGGGTGGTTAAAAGAACAGACTTCTTTCTTACAGTTCTCAAGGCTGAGAAGTCCAAGATCAAGGTGCTGGCAGATTTGGTCCCCAGCGAGGGTCCTCTTTCTGGTTTACAGATGGCCGCCATCTTGCTGTGTCCTCACATCGTAGAAAGAGAGTGAGCTCTGGTCTCTCTTCCTCTTTTCATAAGGATATTGATCTCATCATGGAATTCCCAACCTCATTAATCCATTTAAATGTAATTACCTCCCAAAGGTCTCATCTCTGGATACCATCATATTGTGGAAGGTTAGTGCTTCAATGTGTAAATTGGCAGGAGACAAAAGCATTCAGTTCCTAACACCAGTCAAGACAGAGAAAAGTTTTATCATTCTAGAATGTTCTCTAGGGTAACTAACTAGGGGTGGAATAGATGGGCGATAAGGAGAGTGGATGTTTAACCGAACAAGAACAGCCAAGACTCAGCTTACAGTGTTTGTGTTATTTTACATTTCTACCAACAGTGGATGAGGTTGTTGGTCTATGTTCTCACCAAATTTGGTGTTGTCAGTCTTTTAAATTTTAACCTTTAGAGAAGAGTCATACAGTCAATAGCCTTTTTTAGCTTGACCATCCTAATAGATACACAGTGGTGTCTCACTGTGATTTTAATTTGCATTTTCCTGCTGACTAATTATGTTGAGCTTGTTACCATTTAGACAACTTCATTAGAGAAGTGTCTAATATTTAGGTGACTTGCCTGTTTTTTTTTAATTGGGATCTTAATTTTTTTAAATTATTGATTTGTAGGAGCTATTTATATATTCTGGATACAAGTTCTTTATCAGATACACAGTTTGTGACTATTTTCTTATAAGTCTGTGGTTTTTATATTAATGTTTTTATTGATGACTGTTTTTTACAATTGTGGTTAAGTATACATGACATAAAACGGATTATCTTAACCATTTTAAAATGTAAAATTCGATGGCATTAAGTACATCCACAATATTGTGCAACTATCACCACTATCATACTCCAAAAGGGCATCCAATACCCATTAAGCTGTCACTCCCCAATCTCCCATTTTCCCACCCCTGACAATCAATAACCCATTTTCTGTCTCTATGGATTTGCCTGTTCTGGATATTCATATTAATAGAATCAACAGTAGGTCGCTTTTTGTGTCTAGCTTTTTTCACTTAGCATAATGTTTTTCAAGGTTCATGCACTTTGCAGAGTGTATCAAAATTTCATTCCTCTTTAGGGCTGGATAATATTTCATTGTATGGGTAGACCACAATTTGTTTATCCATTCATCCATTGGTGGATATTTAGGTTGTTTCCACCTTCTGGCTATTGTTTTGTTTTTGTTTTTGTTTGTGTGTGTTTTTCAGCTCCTTCAGGGTCTGACTTTTGGGTATTTTGAATAGTACCGCTGTGAACCTTCACGTACAAGTTTTGTTTTTTGGGGGTGGGAACGGAATCTCACTGTTGCCCAGGCTGGAGTGCACTGATGTGATCTCTGCTCACTGCAACCTCCGCCTCCTGGGTTCAAGCGATTCTCCTGCCTTAGCCTCCTGAGTAGCTGGGACTGCAGGCACGCACCACCATGCCCGGCTAATTTTTTTTTCTTTTTTCTTTTTTCTTTTTTTTTTGAGACGGAGTCTCGCTCTGTCACCCAGGCTGGAGTGCAGTGGCATGATCTCGGCTCACTGCAACCTCTGCCTCCTGGGTTCAAGCAATTCTCTTGCCTCAGTCTCCTGAGTAGCTGGGACTACAGGCACGTGCCACCAAGCCCAGCTAATTTTTGTATTTTTTTAGTAGAGATGGGGTTTCACTGTGTTAGCCAGGGTGGTCTCGATCTCCTGACCTCATAATCTACCCGCCTCAGCCTCCCAAAGTGCTGGGATTACAGACATGAGCCACTGCAACCAGCCAACAAGTTCTTGTGTGAACTCATGTTTTCAGTTCTCTTGGGTGTATATCCAGGAGTGGAAACATTGGGTCATAGGGCAATTCTATGTTTAGCTTTTTGAGGAACTGCCACACTGTTTTTCACAGAGGCTGCACCATTTTGCATTCCCACCAGCAGCATGTG
The DNA here is from genome assembly GCF_000001405.40 of Homo sapiens. NCBI lineage: Eukaryota > Metazoa > Chordata > Mammalia > Primates > Hominidae > Homo > Homo sapiens. The sequence goes on from NC_000007.14 coordinate 73,925,406, forward strand.
AGAACTCCAATTTCTCCAGACCCTCAACAAAATTTATCTTTCTTTTTTTTGAGATGGAGTCTCACTCTGTCACCCAGGCTGGAGTGCAGTGGCACAATCTCCGCTCACTGCAAAGCTCTGCCTCCTGGGTTCACGCCATTCTCCTGCCTCAGCCTCCCAAGTAGCTGGGACTACAGGTGCCCGGCTAATTTTTTTGTATTTTTAGTAGGGATGGGGTTTCACCATGTTAGTCAGGATGGTCTCGATCTCCTGACCTTGTGATCCGCCTGCCTCGGCCTCCCAAAGTGCTGGGATTACAGGCATGAGCCACCACGCCCAGCCTCATTTTTTAATTATAGTCATCCTCATGGGTATGAAGTAGTGTCTTATTGTGGTTTTCACTTACATTTCCCTAATGATTAATGATGTTGAACATATTTTCACGTGCTTTTTGGAAATTTGTATTTTTTCCTTATAGAAATGTCTATTCAAGTCTTTTGTCAATATTTTCATTAAGTTGTTTGTCTTTTTTTATTGAGTTTTGAGAGTATATACTCTGGAAACTAGATCCTTATTAGCAATATGCCTTGAAAATATTTTCTGTCATTCTGTAGGGTTTTTTTTTCACTTTCTTGATAGTGTCTTTTAATGAATGTAAGTTTTTTATTTTGATGAAGTTCAACCTATCTATTTTATGTTTTGTTGCTTGTACTTTTTGTGTCATATCTAGAAAATCATTGCCAAATCCAAGGTCTTGAAGATTTACCTCTGTTTTCTTCTAAGAGTTTTATAATTTTAGCTCTTACAGTTAGGTCTTTTATCCATTTTGAATTATGGTGTCAGGTAAAGATACATGAGGTGAGGTAAAGGTCTAACTTTGTTTTTTGGCATGTGGACATCCAGTTGTCTCAGCACCATTTGTTGAAGAGACTATTCTTTCCCTCATTGAATGATCTTGACACCTTTGTTGGAAATCAATTGACAATAGATGAACTGGCTTTTTTTTTCTGGATTCTGAACTCTATTTCGCTGGTCTATATGTCTGTCCTTATGGCAGCATCACAAAGTCTTAATTACTGTAGCTTTGTAAGTAAGTTTTGAAATTGGAAAATTTGAGTCCTCCAACTTTGTTCTTTTTCAAGATTGTTTTTGGGTATTTGAGATTCACTGCATTTGCATTTGAACTTTAGGATAAACTTGTCCATTTCTGTGAAAAATGGCAGTAGGAATTTTGATAGGGATTGCATTAAATCTGTAGATCGTTTTGGTGGGTATTGCCATCTTAACAATACTGTTTTCCAATCCATGAACATGGGATGCTTTCCCATTTATTTAGGCTTTCTTTAATCTCTTTCAACAATGTTGTGTACTTTTCAGCATACAAGTCTTGCACCTGCTTTGTTCAATTTATTCCTAAGTGTTTCATTCCTTTTGAAGCTATTGCACATAGAATGGCTTTCTTTTTCTTTTGTTTTTTTTGTTTTTTTTTTTTTTTTCCGAGATGGAGTCTCACTCTTTCACCCAGGCTGGAGTGCTGTGGTGTGATAGAATGGCTTTCTTAATTTTATTTTTGAATTGCTTATTACAAGTGTATAGAACAGAGTTCTTTATTCCCCTACTCTGGCACTACCAAGCCACACCAGGGGCATAAACTGTCATCACCACAGCCACCTCTGAGGTTGACAGTGGGAGACTGTAGGCACTAAGCAAAAAGTTGCAACATTCTCCCAACCAAAATTTAACAGGTTATTTCTTAATTAAGCACTCTTTTAGTTGTTGTAAGTTTTTTTTTTTTAATTTCAGAGTTCCAAAACAGTTGAATCCGATACTTTTTGCCAGCTTAATTATTGCTTTAGTGGACTGATGGATTTCTGGAGTTCCTTACTCTGCTATTTTCAGTGACATCACTCTGCATGCCTTATTTTAAAACTGCCAATCTATTTTCCCAAGTGGTTGTATCATTTTACACTCCCACCAGCTACATATGAGGGCTTACAATTAAAATGTTTAAGTAATCAAAGTGCATCTTCAAGTCATATACTACTTCATGTGCAGAGTAAAAACTTTTCACCAGTATACTCTCAATCCCTCCCTCTGCTGGTGCTGTCTCTGCCATTCCTTTTACTTTTACATATGCTACAAATATACAATTCATTGCCACTATTTTTGCTGTTAGACAGTCAATTATCTCTTTTTTAGACAGACTGTATTTTTCTCTTTCTCTTTCACTCTCTCTTTTTTTGAGATGGAGTTTCGCTCTTGTCACCCAGGCTGGAGTGCAATGGCGCGATCTCAGCTCACTGCAACCTCTGCCTCCCAGGTTCAAGTGATTTTCCTGCCTCAGCCTCCCAAGTAGCTGGGATTACAGGCATGTGCCACCATGCGTGGCAAAATTTTTTTTTTTTTTGTATTTTTAGTAGTGATTGGGTTTCTCCACATTGGTCAGGCTGGTCTCGAACACCCGACCTCAGGTGATCCACCCACCTCGGCCTCCCAGTGCTGGGATTACAGGTGTCAGCCACTGTGCCTGGCCCTCTTTCACTCTCTTAAGAGAAAGGGTCTCACTCTGTCATTCAGGCTGGAGTGCCGTGGTGTGATCATGGCTCACAGGTGAGGTCTTGCTATGTTGCCCAGGCTGGTCTCGAACTCCTGGCCTCAAGCAATCCTCCTGCCTTGGCCTCCTAAAGTGCTAGGATTACAGGCGTGAGCCACTGCACCCAGCCTAGACTATTTTTTAGAGCAGATTTAGGTTCATAGAAAAACTGAGCAGAAAGTACAGAGAATTCTCATATTGCCCCACCCCCACATACAGCCTTCCCTGCTATTAACATCCCTCATCACAATGGTATATTTGGATATACCAGAGTTCATACTTGACACCATAATTCAAAAATAGAAAAAAGACCTAAATGTAAGAGCTATAATTATAAAACTCTTGGAAGAAAGCAGGGGTAAACCTTCATGACCTTCAATTTGGCAATGATTTTATACTCAACCCATGAACCTACATTAATACATCATTATCCCCCAAGTTCACAGTTTCCATAGGCTTCACTCTAGGTGTTATACATTCTATGGTTTTTTTGTTTTGTTTTGTTTTGTTTTGTTTTGAGATGGAGTTCCCCTCTTGTTGCCCAGGCTGGAGTGCAATGGCGTGATCTCGGCTCTCTGCAACCTCTGCTTCCTGAGTTTAAGCAATTCTCCTGCCTCAGCCTCCCCAGTAGCTGGGATTACAGGTGTGAGCCCCACACCCAGCTAATTTTGTATTTTTAGTAGAGACAGGCTTTCACTATGTTGGCCAGGCTGGTCTCAAACTCCTGACCTCGGGTCATCCGCCCGCCTTGGCCTTCCAAAGTGCTGGGATTACAGGCATGAGCCACTGCGCCCGGCCAACATTCTATGGGTTTTGACAAATGTATAATGGCATGTGTCCACCGTTGTATAATAGTATCATACAGAATAGTTTCACTGCCTGAAAAATCCTCTGTGCTCTGCCTATTCATCCCCTCTCTCCCCTGGCAACCGCTAACCTTTTTTTTTTTTTTTTTTGAGATGGAGTTTCATTCTTGTTGCCCAGGCTGGAGTGCAATGGTGCGATCTCAGCTCACTGCAACCTCTACCTCCCTGGTTCAAGCGATTCTCCTGCCTCAGGCTCCCAGATAGCTAGGATTGCAGGCATGCGCCAGCATGCCTGGCTAATTTTGTATTTTTAGTAGAGACAGGAATTCTCCATGTTGGTCAGGCTGGTCTTGAACTCCTGACCTCAGGTGATCCACCTGCCTCGGCCTCCCAAAGTGCTGGGATTACAGGTGTGAGCCATTGCACACGGCCACCACTAATATTCTTACTGTCTGCATAGTTTTGCCTTTTCCAGAATGTCATATAGTTGGAATCATAGAATATGGAGCTTTTCCAGATTGGTTTCATTCACTTAGTAATAGTCATTTAAGTTTCCTTCATGTCTTTTCATGGCTTGATAGCTCATTTCTTTTTAGTGCTGAAAAATATTTCATTGTCTGAATATACCACAGTTTATTTATCCATTCACCCACTGAAGGACATGTTGGTTGCTTCCAAGTTTTGGCAGTTATGAATAAAGCTGCTATAAACATCTCTGTGCAGGTTTCATGGGGACATAAATTTTCAACTCATTTGGGTAAATGCCAAGTAGCGTGATTGCTGGATAGTTTTTTTTGTTTTGTTTTGTTTTTTGAGATGGAGTCTCGCTCTGTCACCCAGGCTGGAGTGCACTGGCATGAGCTGGGACTACAGGCCCCCACCACCACGCCTGGCTAATTTTTTGTATTTTTAGTAGAGATGGGGTTTCACCGTGTTAGCCAGGATGGTCTTGATCTCCTGATCTCGTGATCCACCCGCCTCAGCCTCCCAAAGTGCTGAGATTACAGGAGTGAGCCACCACGCCCAGCCTAGTTTGTATTTTTTTTTGAGACAGAGTCTCGCACTGTCACGTCGCCCGGGCTGGAGTGCAGTGGCGCGATCTCAGTTCACTGCAACCTCCGCCTCCCAAGTTCAAGTGATTCTCCTGCCTCAGCCTCCCGAGTAGCTGGGATTACAGGCATGTGCCACCACGCCCGGCTAATTTTTTGTATTTTTAGTAGAGAACGGGGTTTCTCCATGTTGGTCAGGCTGATCTCGAACTCCCGACCTCAGGTGATCCGCCTGCCTCGACCTCCCAAAGTGCTGGGATTTCAGGTGTAAGCCACTGAAACTGGCTTGTATTTAGTTTTTTAAGAAACCACCAAATTGTCTTCCAAAATGGCTCTACCAATTTGCATTCCCACCAGCAATAGATGAGGGTTCTTCTACATGTTTTGTTACATGTATACCTAAGTATTTCATTTTCGGGAGAGCTAATGCAAATGGGAATGTATTTTTCATTTCAAATTCTACTTGTTCCTTGCTGATATATTGAAAAGCAATAGATGGCCGGGTGCGGTGGCTCACGTCTATAATCCCAGCACTTTGGGAGGCCGAGGCGGGCAGATCATTTGAGGTGAGGAGTTCGAGACCATCCTGACCAACATGGTGAAATCCCATCTCTACTAAAAATACAAAAAATTAGCCAGGCGTGGCAGTGTGCACCTGTAATCCCAGCTACTCGGGAGGCTGAGGCAGGAGAATCACTTGAACCCGGAAGGCAGAGGTTGCGGTGAGCTGAGATCGTGCCACTACACTCCAGCCTGGGTGACAGAGGGAAACTCCATCTCAAAATAAATAAATAAATAAATAAGAAAAAAGAAAAAGAAAAGCAATAGACTTCTATGTGGTAGCTTTACATCCTGTAACCTTGCTATAATTGCTTCAGTTATCTTTTAGAACCATCAAAATTAAGAAAAAAATTGTAACTACCTTTGTTTATGCCATTTCAAGCACTTTCTATTTCTTTGATAGATACAAGTTTTAACTGATGTCATATTCCACCTGTCTAAAGAACTTCCTTTACTATTCCTTCAGTGCTGGTTTGATAGTAATAAATTCTAAGCTTTTGTTTGTCTGAAAAATATTTTATTTCCTCATTTTTGAAAGCTATTTTCACTGGCTAGAAAATTCTGGCTTCACAGTGTTTTTTTGTTGTTGCTATTTTTCTGTCAGTACTTTAACAATATCATACCAATTGACTCTGGTTTGCATTTTTTTTTTTCTGATGTAATACTCATCTTTGTTTCACTGTATATAATGTGTCTTTTTTCTCTGTCTGCCTTCAGTATTTTTGCTTTATCTTTGGTTTACAATAGTTTGAATATTATATTTCTAGGTGTTTGGTTTTTTAAAATTTATTTTACTTTTGTTTTTGTTTTGAGATGGAGTCTTGCTCTGTTGCCCAGGCTGGAGTGCAGTGGCGCGATCTCGACTCATGCAAACTCTGCCTCCCAGATTCAAGCAATTCTTCTGTCTCAGCCTCCCAAGTAGCTGGGATTACAGGCATGCACCACCACATCCGGCTAATTTTTGGTATTTTTAGTAGAGACGGGGTTTCATCATGTTGGCCAGGCTGGTCTTGAACTCCTGACCTCAGGTGATCTGCCCGCCTTGGCCTCCCAAAGTGCTGGGATTACAGGTGTGAGCCACCGTGCCCAGCCTTATTTTTAATTTTGAATATATATTTTTGGAGACAGTAGCTCACTCTGTTGCCCAGGCTGGAGTGCAGTGGCATGATCACAGCTCATTGTTACCTTGACCTCCTGGGCTCAAGTTATCCTCCTGTCTCAGTCTCTCAAGTAGCTGGGACTACAGGCATGCACTGCCATGCTTGTCTAATTTTTATTTTTGTAGAGATGGGGTCTTGCTATGTTGCCCTGGCTGGTCTCGAACTCCTGGGCTCAAGTGATTCTCCTGCCTTGGCCTCCCGAACGGTTGGGATTACAGGTGTTAGCCACTGTGCCGGGTCATGTTTGATTTTTTAATGAATTTATTTTATTAGAAATTCTTCTTGGGTCTGTCATTTAGCATATTAACGATACTGAAAAATTCTCAGTCATAGTTTTTCCAGATTTTTTTCTTCTTCCCTATTCTTATCCTCTGGTATTCCAATTGCATATATGAAATGTTTGATATTGTCCCACTCCTCTTGGATACTATGATTTTTTTCTTTCCACTCTTATTTTTCTTTGTGTTTCAGTTGGTGTGTTTTTTATTGACTTACCTTCAAGTTCACTGATTCTTTCCTTGGTTGTGTTGGATTGATGGACAAACTTATTGAAGGCATTCTTTTTTTTTTTTTTTTTTTTTTTTGAGATGGAGTCTCGCTCTGTCACCAGGCTGGAGCGCAGTGGTGTGATCTCGGCTCACTGCAACCTCTGCCTCCAGGGTTCAAACAATTCTTCTGCCTCAGCCTCCCGAGTAGCTACAATTACAGGCATGTGCCACCATGCCCAGCTAATTTTTGTGTTTTTAGTAGAGACGGGGTTTCACCATGTTGACCAGGATGGTCTCTATCTCTTGACCTCGTGATCTGCCCGCCTCGGCCTCCCAAAGTGCTGGGATTACAGGTTAAAGGCATTCTTTATCTTTTATCACATTTTCTGCTCTTAGCATGCCCATTTTCTTCATGTTATAATTTCCATCTGTCTATTGAAATCACCCACCTGTTTATACATTGCATTTATATTTTCCACCAGAGTCTCTAAACTATTACTCATAGTTATTTTAAATACCCTTTCAAATCATTACCATCTGGGTCACCTCTGAGTTTGGTTATGTTGCTTGCTTTCTTTCTTGACAAATTGACTGCTTTTTCTTGCTTTTATGTGTGTCTTATAATTTTTGATTGAATATCCAACATCATGAGTAAACAGTAGCGATTGAAGAAAATAGTATTTATGTTCAGAAATGCACGTCTCTTTTACTGCCACGCAATTATTGTTGGGGATTTGGGGTTGGGCCAATCTAATTAGAAATTAAGTTGATTTGGGGTTTTGTTGTTTTCATTACTGTTTCCCTCAGAGGCTATTGGTCCTCACCTCTAGTCTGTACCAGTGATAGAGGCTTCCTCCAGTTTCCTGCCCTGCCCCCAAACTTTCTCATGAGAACCTGGTGGAGGTATGTGGAGAAGAGTTGGCTAAAGTAAGTGTGAGCTTCCCTTGTGTGTTTTGCTTCCAAGGATTCTGTACTCTCATACTGGTCACACCCAGCACTTAGAAACTCATTCTAAACTTCATCGGAATCCTTCTTGCCCACATGAATACCACCTAGTATCTTTCCCCCTCATGCTCTGCTACAAGTAAGTCAGTGCTTTTGGCCTGTCTATCCTTTGAGGCACTTGTTCCTCCTTGGATTTCAGGTTGTTTTGTTGCCATACAACCTCAAAAATATGATAGGTTCAAGAAAGTATGATTTTGTGGTTTATCTTGCTTTATCTTGTTGTTAGGGTGGGAATGTGTCCCAGTCCATTCCATTGTAACAGAATACCATGGCTTATAAACAACAGACATTTCTCACAGTTCTGGAGGCTGGGAAGTTCAAGATTAAGGTGCTGGCAGCTTCAGTGTCTCATGAGGGCAGCTTTCTGGTTCATAGACAGCCATCTTTTTTTTTTTTTTTTGAGACTGCGACCTCTCCCTCCTGGGTTCAAGCGATTCTCCTGCCTCAGCCTCCCAAGTAGCTGGGACTACAGGTGTGCACCACCACGTCCTGCTAATTTTTGTATTTTTAGTAGAGACGGGGTTTCACAATGTTGGCCAGGATGGTCTCAGTCTCTTGAACTCATGATCTGCCTGCCTCCACCTCCCAAAGTGCTGGAATTAGAGGCATGAGCCACCGTGCCTGGCCCTGACAGCCATCTTTTTGTTGTGTCCTCAAATGGCAGAAAGGGGAGGGATATTGGTTCCATTCATGGGGGCTCTGCCTTCATGACCTAATCACTTTCCAAATGCCCTGCCTCTTAATACCATTATCTTAGGGGTTAGAGCTTTAACATACAAATTTGGGGGAGACATAAACATTCAGCCCACTGCAGAGTGATACTCTTTCCACCTTTATTTTTATTTTTATTTATTTTTATTTTTTTGGAAGGAGTTTTGCTCTGTCGCCCAGGCTGGAGTGCACTGGCACGATCTCGGCTCATTGCAACCTCTGCCTCCTGGGTTCAAGTGATTCTCCTGCCTCAGCCTCCCAAGTAGCTGGGACTACAAGCATCTGCCACCACACCCAGTTAATTTTTCGTATTTTTAGTAGAGACGGGGTTTGGTCTCGATCTCCTGACCTCGTGATCCACCTGCCTCAGCCTCCCAAAGTGCTGGGATTACAGGTATGAGCCACCGCACCCAGACCCACCTTTCTATATTCTTGGTGGAAGCAGAATTTCCCTTACTATCTTTTAATATCTATATGATCAATAGAGATATTCCTTCTTTTGTTCTTGTTATTGGTAAGTTATGTTTTCTTCTCTTTTTTTGTTCAGTGTTGTTATAAGTACATCAGTTTTATTAATCTTTTTAAAGAACTTTTTTTTTTTTTTTTTTGAGTTGGAGTCTCACTCTATCTCCCAGCCTGGAGTGCAGTCATGTGATCTTGGCTCACTGTAGCCTCTGCCTCCCGGGTTTCAGTGATTCTCCTGCCTCAGCCTCTGGAGTAGCTGGGACTACAGGTGCGTGTCACCACGCTCAACTAATTTTTGTATTTTTAGTAGAGACGGGGTTTCATCATGTTGGCCAGGCTGGTCTCAAACTCCTGACCTCAAGTGATCCGCCTGCCTCGGCTTCCCAAAGTGCTGGGATTACAGGCGTGAGCCACCGCGCCTGGCCACATAACTCTTGGTTTTGTTAGTTTTCTCTATTGTTTGTTCTCTAATTCACTGATCGCTCTTTTTAGCCGTAGTATTTCTTTCCTTTACTTATTTGTGTTTCATTTGCTTATATTTTCTAGCTTCTTAAGGTGGCAATTTAATTTATTACTTTTCTTCTTAAAGTTTTAAATCCAGGCCCTGCGTGGTGGCTCACGCCTGTAATCTCAGCACTTTGGGAGGCCAAGGCAGGTGGATCACGAGGTCAGGAGGTGGAGAGCATCCTGGCTAACACAGTGAAACGCCCTCTCTACTAAAAATACAAAAAATTAGCCAGGCGTGGTGGCCACGCGCCTGTAGTCCCAGCTACTTGGGAGGCTGAAGCAGGAGAATTGCTTGAACCTGGGAGGCAGAGGTTGCAATGAGCCAAGATTGTGCCACTGCACGCCAACCTGGACAACAGAGAGAGACTCCATCTCAAAAAAAAAAAAGTTTCAAATGCATACTATTGAGCCATACTTCAGGTACAACAAACTGCATCCAGTTAAAGTATATAACTCAATGACTTCTCGTAGATATATATCTCAAAAAACTGCCACCACAATCAACACATAGAACTTTTTTGTTATCCCTAAAACCTGCCCCTTGTCCCTTTATAGTCAGTTCCTCTGTGGGAAGCTGGATAATGTCCTTCCCTAAAGATATCCATGCTCTAATCCCTGGAACCTATGAATGTATTAATGTTGTGTGGCAAAAAAAAAAAAGACTTTGCAGATGTGATTAGGTGAAGGGTCTTGAGATGGGAAGATTCTTCTGCATTATCTGGGGGTGGTGGGGGCTAAAAGCAATCACAAGTGTCCTTATAAGAAATAGGCAGAGGGAGATTTGGCAGAAAATGAGAAGGCAGTGTGATCACCGAGGCAGAGATTGGAGTGACGCAGCCACAAACCAAAGAATGCTGGCAGCAGTCCAGGTGTGGTGGCTCATGCCTGTAATCCCAGCACTTTGGGAGGCTGAGGCAGGTGGATCATGAGGTCAGGAGTTTGAGACCAGCCTGGCCAACATGTTGAAAACCCATCTCTACTAAAACTACAAAAATTAGCTGGGTATGGTGGTACATGCCTGTAATCCCAGCTACTGGGGAGGCTGAGGTAGGAGAATCACTTGAACCCAGGAGGTGGACGTTGCAGTGAGCTGAGATCACACCATTGCACTCTAGCCTGGACAACAAGAGCAAAATTCCATCAAAAAAAAAAAAAAAAAAAAAAAGGCATGCAGGTGGTCACCAGAAGCTGGAGGTTTCTCCCTGGGGTGTCTCCAGAGGGATCCCACACAGCCCTAGTGACACCTGCATTTGGGCTCAGCAATAATGATTTTGGTCAGCTGGCCTCCAGCAATGTAAGAGGATACATTTCTGTTCTTACAATCCATCAAGTTTGTGATAATTTGTTACAGCAGTCACAAGAAATGAATATACTTTCCTTTTTCCCAGCCCCTGATGATGACTGATTTAATTTTTGTTACTACAGATTTATTAGCATCTTATAGTATTTTATATAGATGGAATAATATAGCATGTATGTGTCTTTTGCAAAATGATTTTAACATTTATTCATGTTGTTGCATGTGTCATTAGTTTATCCCTTTTTTGTTTTGAGGACAGAGTCTTGCTCTATTGCCCAGGCTGGAGTGCAGTGCTGTGATCTCGGCTCACTGCAACCTCCACCTCCCGGGTTCAAACGATTCTCCTGCTTCAGCCTCCTGAGTAGCTGGGATTATGGGCACACATCACCATGCCCAGCTAATTTTTGTATTTTTAGTAGAGATGGGTTTTACCATATTAGCCAGGTTGGTCTTGAACTCCTGACCTCCGGTGATCTGCCTGCCTTGGCCTCCCAAAGTGCAGGGATTACAGATGTGAGCCACTGTGCCTAACCTGTTTATCCATTCTTTTGATGGACACTTGGGTTGCTTCCACCTTTGGATATTATGAATAAAGCTGATATGAACATTTTTGTACATGTCTTAGTATGAACATATACTTTCATTTCTCTTGTGCAAAACCTAGGAGTGAAATGACTAGGTCGTACGGTAGGTATATATTTTAGTTTTTAAAAACCTGCCAAGCTGTTTTCCAAAGTGGCTGTACAATTTTTTTTTTTTTTAGATGGAGTCTCACTCCGTCCCCAGGCTGGAGTGCAGTGGCGCGATCTCGGCTCACTGCAACCACCCTCTCCTGGGTTCAAGGAATTCTCCTGCCTCAGCCTCCTGAGTAGCTGGGACTACAGGTGCGTGCCACCACGCCCAGCTAACTTTTGTATTTTTAGTAGAGACGGGGTTTCACCATGTCAGCCAGGATGGTCTCAATCTCCTGACCTCATGATCCACCCGTCTCAGCCTCCCAAAGTGCTGGGATTATAAGCATGAGCCACCGCGCCCAGCCTATACTGTCTTATTAATAACATTTCCATCAGCAGTGTATGAGATTTCCAGGCACTTCCCTTCTGGCTAATGTTTGGTTTTGTCAGCCTTGCGAATTTTAATTGTTTTGGGGATATATAGTAATAACTCAAAGTTTTAGTTTGCATTTTTCTGATGACTCATGATGTTAAGGACTTTTTCATGTACTTATTGGCAATTCACATATCTTCTTCAGTGAAGCCTGTTTAGGACTTGCCCATCTTTTTAAAAATTGGGTTGCTTACCTTTTTTATTAATTCATATGTTTTTTTCATATAATCTGAATCTTTTGTGAAAAATCAATTTCAAAATTTTTTCTCCTAGTTTGCAGATTGCCTTTTCATCTTCATTTCATTTCATTTCTTTTCATTTTAGGAGAAAAAGGGTTTCACGCCGGGCGCGGTGGCTCATGCCAGTAATCCCAGCACTTTGGGAGGCTGAGGAGGGTGGATCACCTGAGGTCAGGAGTTCAAGACCAGCCTGGCCAGCATGGTGAAACCCCGTCTGTACTAAAAATACAAAAAATTAGCTAGGCTTGGTGGTGCGTGCCTGTAGTCCCAGCTACTCAGGACGATGGGGCAGGAGAATCGCTTGAACCCGGGAGGTGGAGTTTGCAGTGAGCCAAGATCGTGCCATTGCACTCCAGCTTGGGCAACAAGAGCAAAACTCTGTCTCCAAAAAAAAAAAAAAAAGGAAAAAGGAAAAGGGTTTCACTCAGTTGCTTAGGTTGGAGTGCAGTGGTGCAATCATAACTCACTGTAGTCTGGAACTCCTGGGCTCAAGCGATCCTCCTGCCTCAGCCTGCCAAGTAGCTAGGACTACAGGCATGCACCACCATGCCTGACTAATTAAAAAAAAAAAAATTTGTTTTTTAGAGACAATGTCTGGCTACATTTCCCAGGCTGATCAGTCTAGCTAAAGGTTTGTCAATTTTGTTGATCTTTTCAAAGAACCAACTTTTGGTTTTATTGATTTTCTTTAATCTTTTATTCCTCTGTTTAATTTTTTCTACTTTATATTATTTCCTTCTTTCTGCTTCCACTGCGCTTATTTTGTTCTTTTTTATACTTTCTTAAGGCAAAATGTTAGATTATTGATTTGAGATCTTTCTTCTTTTTAAATGTAAATATTTGTAGCTATAAATTTCACTCTGGGCCCTGCTTTCCCTCTGGCCCACAGATTTTGATATGTTATGTTTTTGTTTTCATTTCATTGTTTTGTTTTCATCTCTGTCTCTCCATATATATATATATATATATATATATATATATATATATATATATATATATATATATATATATTTTTTTTTTTTTTTTTTTTTTTTTTTTTTTTAAGACCGGAGTCTTGCTCTGTCACCCAGGCTGGAGTGCAGTGGTGCAATATCGCCCTGCAACCCCTGGGCTCAAGTGATCCTCCCACCTCAGCCTCCTGAGTAGCTGGGACCACAGGTGTGCACCCCCATGTCTGGCTAATTTTTTGTATTTTTTGTAGAGATAGGTCTTGCCATGTTGGCCAGGCTGATCTCAAACTCTTGGGCTCAAGCAACCTGCCTGCCTAGGCCTCCCAAAGTGCTGGGATTACAGGGGTGAGCAAGCGTGCTCAGACTCAAAATATTTTCTAATTTACCTTGTGATTTTTCTAATTTACTTCCTACTCTGACCTACTGGTTATTTAGAAGTATGTTGATTAATTTCCACATATTTGTGAATTTTCCAAATATCTTTTTGTTATTAATTTCTGATTTCATTCCATTGTGGTCAGAAAACGTATTTTGTATTATTTCAGTTTCAAAAAATTTATTAAGATGTATTTTATGACCTAGCATATAATTTATACTGGAGAATATTACATGTGCACTTTAGAAGAATGCGTATCATACTGTTGTTGGGTAGGATATTCTATAGATGTTCGTTAGGTCTGGTTGGCATACATTCTGTTTTTTTTGCTGATCTGATATCTAGTTGTTCTCTTTATTATTAAAAATGGAGGCCAGGCATGGTGGCTCACACCTGTAATTCTAGCACTTTGGGAGGCCAAAGCGGGTGGATCACCTGAGGTGAGGTGTTCGAGACTAGCCTGGCCAATATGGGAAAACCCTGTCTCTACTAAAAATACAAAAATCAGCCAGGCATGGTGGCGTATGCCTGTAATCCCAGCTACTCAGGAGGCTGAGGCAGGAGTATCGCTTGAACCTGGGAGGTGGAAGTTGCAGTGAGCCGAGATCGCGCCGCTGCACTCTAGCCTGGACAACAGAGCAAGACTCCATCTCAAAAAAATAAAATAAAATAAAAGAGTATTGAAGTGGCTAAATATTATTGTTGCATTGTTTATTTTCCCTCCAATTACTGCAGTTTTTGCTTCCTGTACTTTGAGGCTCTGTTTTTGGATGCATATAGGCTTACAAATGTTATATCTTCTTGAAGGATTGACCCTTTTGTCATTCTATAACATCCTTCTTTGTCTCTATAATAACATTTTTTTTCTTAAAGCTAATTTTTTTCTGGCATTACTATAGCCACTCTAACTCTCTTTTGGTTACTTTCTGCATGGAATATTTTTTCCGTTCTTTCACTTTCAACCTATTTGTGTTTTTAAATCCATTCTGCCAATCTGTGCCTTTTAGTTGGAGAGTTTAACCCATTTAATTTAATGTAATTAATCATAAGGATTTACTTCTGCCAGTTTATATGTCATTTGCCTTTTTATTCTTTGGTTCTTTCATTACAGCTTTCTTTTATGTTTTCTAGATATTTTCTAGTGTACCATTTTAATTCCTTGTTACTTTTACTATATATTTTTTAGTTATTTGTGTTTGCCCTGGGGATGACAATTAACATCTTTATTTATAGCAATGTAGTTTTGTGGGTTTTTCCTTATTTTTTCTTTTGAGACAGGGTCTCACTCCAATTTGCCCAAGCTGGAGTGCAGTGGCATGATCTTGGCTCACTGCAGCCTCTGCCTCCCAGGGTTAAGCAATCCTACCTCAGCCTCCTAAGTAGCTGGGACTAAAGACATTCATCACTGTGTCTGGCTAATAGTAGTTTTGATTAATACCAACTTAATTTCAATAGTATATAAAATTTTGCTGCTATATAACTTCATTGCCCTCCCATGCTGTTCTTGCTCAAATTACATCCTTATACATTGTATTCCCTTCAACATAGATTTATAATTATTGCTTTGTGCCATTGTCTTTGGAACCAGATAGAAAAATAGGAGTTACAAACAAAAAATATATTTACCCTGTCTTTTATATTTAACTAGGTAGTTGTCTTTCCCTGTGTTCTTTATTTATTTGTGTGGATTTGAGTTACTGGCTAGTGTTATTTCATTTCAGCCTGAAGGACTCCCTTTAGCATTTGTTATAGGACAGGTGTGCTAGGAACAAATTCTCTCAGTTTTTGTTTATCTGGGAATGTTTAATTTCTCCTTCATTTCTGAAGGATAATTTTGTCAGATACAGCATTCTTGGTTGATTTTATTTTCTTTCACCTCTTTGAATATATCGTCCTGCTCCCTCTGGCCTTCATGGTTTTTTTTATGAGAAACCAGCCATTAATCTTATTAAGGATGCCTTGTATGTGATGAACCTCTATTCTCACGCTGCTTTTAAGATCCTCTTCTTAACCTCTGACAATTTGATTATGATGTATCTAGGTATGGATCTCTTTGAATTTATTCTAGTTAGGGTCTGTCGAACTTCTTAGATGTACAGATTATGTTTTCATCAAATTTGGGAATGTTTGTCCATTATTTCTTGAAAAGTTCTTTCTTCCCCTTTCTCTCTCCCTTCTTCTGAGACTCCTATTATGCATATGTTGGTGTGCTTTATGGCATTCCGTAGTTCTCTGAGGCTCTGTTCATTTTTCTTCATTCTTTTTTATTTTTTCTGTTCATCTGACTTGATAATTTCAATTGACTAATCTTCAAGTGTGCTATTTTAAAAAATCTTCTTGCTTGAATCTGTGGAGCCCTTCTAGTGAATTTTTCATTTCAGTTCTTGTACTTTTCAATTCCAGAACTTCTATTTCCTTCCTTTGTATGATTTCAATCTCTTTTTTGATATTCTCTATTTGGTGAGGTAGTGTTCTCATGCTTTCCTTTAGTTCTTTAGACATGGTTTCTTTAGCTTTTTGAATATATTTAAAATAGTTTATTTAAAGTCTGTCCAGCCTGTAATCCCAGCAATCTGGGAGGCTGAGGTGGGTGGATCTCTTGAGGTCCGGAGTTTGAGATCAGCCTGGCTAACATGGCGAAACCGCGTCTCTACTAAAAATACAAAAAATTAGCTGGGCATGGTGGCGCACACCTATAATCCCAGCTACTCAAGAGGCTGAAGCAGGAGAATCACTCGAACCTGGGAGGCGGAGGTTGTGGTGAGCCAAGATCACACCACTACACTCCAGCCTGGGCAACAGAGTGAGACTCTGTCTCAAAAATAAAATAAAATAAAAATAAATAAATACAGTCTGTCTAGAAAATCCAATGTCTGGGCTTCCTCAGGAACAGTTTTTATTGATTGCTTCCGATTTGCCCTGACCCCACCATCTATAAGTCATACTTTTGTATTTCTTTACCTGCCTTATAATTTTTTGTTGAAAACTGTACATTTTGAAATATTATAATATACAACTCTGGAAATAGGATTTCCTCTTTATCCCCAGGTTTTGTCATTGCTTCTGCTTATCGTGGTCATTATTGTTTGTTCAGTGATGCTGAACAAATTCTGTATTCTTTGTCAAGCATGGCCACTGAAGTCTCTATTCCAGCTAATGATTAGACAAAGATGTACTTGAGCCTTTCTGGAACCAAGAAATCTCCCAGCCTTTGCCGAAGAGTATGCAATCATCCTTGGACATGTCTATAGCCTCCTGGATTCCCAGAATATGTTGGAGCTGTCAAATCCCTTATGGACATTTCATTCTTGACCTTTCTTGCCAAGCTTTTTGGTTAGGCTATTGTTTGCTCCATTGTTATCCAATGACTCAGGCAGCAGTGACTAAACATTTGCCTGCAAATGTTTTTGATAAACACCTTCACCATCTACCCCAAGGTAGTGGCTCTAGCACTGGGCCAGCTCTGAGTTAGGCAAAATAAAGACAAGCATTCTGAGCTGATCTTACAGGGAACCACCAGACTGGTCAAAATAACTAATTACATTTCTAGGTGAATGAGGTTCATTCTGCTCCAGCAGAATGTGGACTGTTATTTTCAAAGCTACCACTGAGCTGGAGGAGTGGAGGATGGGACTGGGGTAAGTTCAAACACCACAAACCTTGCTGTTCTTACTGAGATTCAGCTGTTTTTCATGAATAAGCGCTCCTGGGTTGCTACAAGCCTTTGGTTAATTTCCAGAGTTGCAAAAAATTGATTCTGACAGGCTTTTGCAAGTTTTTTTTTCTGTTGTTTTTATCTAAAAGTAGAATTTTGGAGTTTCTTTTTTCTTTTCTTTTTTTTGAAACAGAATCTTGCTCTGTTGCCCAGGCTGGAGTGCAGTGGCCTGATCTCAACTCACTGCAACCTCCACCTCCTGGGTTCAAGAGATTCTCCTGCCTCAGCCTCCTGAGTAGGTGGAACTATAGGCACGTGCCACCATGCCTGGCTAATTTTTGTATTTTTAGTAGAGACGTGGTTTCGCCATGTTGGCCAGTCTGGTCTCGAACTCCTGACCTCAAGTGATCTGCCTGCTTCAGCCTCCCAAAGTGCTAGGATTACAGGTGTAAGCCACTGCACCCGGTCAATTCTTTGTAGTCTGCTCATCCTGTCTTTCACTCATCTCCCCCTCCCAGTGAATAATTGGTCTGTTTTCCATCACTATAGTGATGGAGATGCTAAAATGAGTTAGCATTTTCTAAAGTACTGCTGCCAATAGAAATGTTAGGGGAGTCATGTAGTAGTTTTCCATTTTCAGTAGGCACATTAAAAAGTAAAATAAATTCGACTTTAATAATATATTTAACCCACTATATTCAAAATATCATTTCAACTTGTAATCAACATGAAGAATTATGAATTCTTTTACTTTCCGTTTTGAAAAGCACCGGCACTTCAAAATTCAGTGTGTGGTTTATAACTTAAAGCACATTACAACTCAAAAACTACATTGTCATCAGAGCAGAGATATCTTTTTTTTTTTGTTTTGAGATGGAGTCTCTCTCTGTTGCCCAGGCTGGAGTGCAGTGGCACAATCTTGGCTCACTGCAACCTCCATCTCCTGGGTTCAAGTGATTCTCCTGCCTCAGCCTCCCAAGTAGCTGGGATTCTAGGCTTGTGCCACCATGCCTGGCTAATTTTTGTATTTTTAGTAGAGACGGGGTTTCACCATCATGGCCAGGCTGGTTTCGAACTCCTGACCTCAAGCGATCTGCCCACCTCAGCTTCCCAAAGTGCTTGGATTACAGGTGTGAGCCGCCAGCCCCAGCCAGCCCAGGAGTTTGAGACCAGCTTGGGCAACATAGGGAGACTCCATCTCTACAAAAATAAAATAATTTAAAAAATTAGTGGCACATGCCTGTGTTCCCAGCTACTCAGGAGGCTGAAGTGGGAGGGTCCCCTGGGCCCAGGAGGTTGAGGTTGCAGTGAGCTATGATTGTACCACTGTACTCTAGCCTGGGTGGCAGAGCAAGACCCTGTCTCAAAAAGAAAACAAATTTACAACAACAGAAAAATAGGTTTTGTTTTATTTTGCTCTAATACAGCCAAATTGTTATTTATCATGAAATTTGCAATAGAGAGGAGGAGGTGGCAGGAAAAAAAAGAAATTTGCAATATACCTTCTTTCAGTCCTTTTTTTTCCCTTTCCTGTTATACGTCTACTTGATTCTGCCTCAATAGTATGACTTTGTTTACATTTTAAATTTTTATTTTTTATTTTTTTGTGAGACAGAGTTTCACTCTTGTCACCCAGGCTGGGGCGCAGTGACACAATCTCAGCTCACTGCAACCTTTGCTTCCTGGGTTCAAGCAATTCTCCTGCCCAAGTAGCTGGGATTACAGGCACCCGCCACCATGCCCGGCTAATTTCTGTATTTTTAGTAGAGATGGAGTTTCACCATGTTGGCCAGGCTGGTCCCGAACTCTTGACCTCAGGTGATCTGCCCTCACAAAGTGTTGGGATTACAGGCGTGAGCCATCGAGCTCGGCCTGTTTTAAATTTTAAAATGCATCTGTACTTGTTTTTTAAACTGCAAAAATGAATTAATTAAATCATAATGAAAATAAGAGTATTGTAATTTTTCCTACCCATCACAATGTACATAAGCATCACCATAACTAGCGCTATCTACATAAAATATTCAATCAATATACATATTACAATATTACAATGGTACATAGAAAATATTCAATTTGAGGCTGGGGTTGGTGGCTCAAGCCTGTAATCCCAGCACTTTGGGAGGTTGAGGTGGGTGGATCACCTGAAGTCAGGAGTTCGAGACCAGCCTGGCCAACATGGTGAAACCCTGTCTCTACTAAAAATACAAAATTAGCTGGGCGTGGTGGCATGCACCATAATCCCAGCTACTCAGGAGGCTGAGGCAGGAGAATCGCTTGAACCTGGGAGGTGGAGGTTGCAGTGAGCCAAGATTGAGCCACTGCGCTCCAGCCTGGGTGACAAGAGCGAAACTCCATCTCAAAAAAAAAAAAAGAAAGAAAATATTCCAGTTGAATCAGATCATTGACATTGACTAGATGTGTCAATGTCATGTACGCCTAGTACATAATACTAGAAACAATTGCATAAGCCCAACTCTCATACCACAGTGCAAAAATAATATAACACAGTCATGAAAGAAATGCAGTTCTACCAAAATGATAAAGTTGTTTAATGGAGAAAATATTTTATTTTACTTTCATTTTAAATTTTAAATTAAGTAAAATTTAAAAGTCAGTTATTTTGCACTAGTCCCCTATCAAGCACTCAGCAGCCACATGTGGCTAGTACCTTCTACGTTGTACTACGCAGTTCTAGAATTTCATATAAATGGAATCATTTACTGTATGCTCTTTTTGGCATCTTTCATTCAACATAATTATTCTAAGATTCATGCATGTTATGTGTATCAATAGTTCATTCCTTTTTCTTGCTAAGTAGTACTCCATTGAATGGATATACCACAATTTTTTAATCTATTCATCCTGTTGATGGACATTTAGGTAGTTTTTAATGTTTGGCTATTACCAATAAAGATACTATGAGCATCTAGATCATAGTGTTTGTATGGACACATGCCTTCATTTTTCTTCAATAAATAACCTGGCAGTGGAATGCTATGTCATCTGGTAGGTATATACTTAATCTTTTAAGCAACTGCTAAATTGTTTTCCAAAGTGGTTGTACCATTGTGCACTCCCACTAGCATTGTATGAGAGTTCCAGTCATTTTATATCTTTGTCAGCACTTATATGAGCAGCCCTTTTAATTTTAGCCATTCTAAGGAGGTGTTTAGTGGTATCCTCTTGTGGTTTTAAGTAGCATTCACTAATGACCAATCATATAAAGCACTTGTTCATATACTGTACCTGTTTTGCCTTCTTTGGAGAAGTGTCTGTTCAATTTTTCCCCCACTTTGCCTGAGGAAGTTGGGGAAATAGACTAACTGTTGAGTTTTAATAATTCTTTATATATTTTAGGTACAATTCCTTTGTTGAGTATATGTTTTGTAAAGATTTTCTTTCTTGGGGCTGAGCACAGTGGTTCATACCTGTAATCCCACCATTTGGGGAGTCCAAGGCAGGAGGATCACTTGAGGCCAGGAGTTCGAGCCCAGCCCAGGCAACATAGTGAGACCTTGTTTCTACAAAAAAAAGAAAAAGAAATAAAAAAACTTAGCCAGGCATGGTGGCATATACCAGTAGTCCCAGCTACTGAGGAGGCTAAGGTGGGAGGATCACTCGAGCCCAGGAGGTTGAGGCTGCAGTGAGCTGTGATTGTGTCACTGTACTCCAGCCTGGTTGACAGAGTAAGTCCATCTTAAAAAATAATTTTTTCTTTCTGTAGCTTGTCATTTCATTTTAATAGTAATCTTTCAGAGAACAAAAGTTTATCATTTTAATGAAGTCCAATTAATCTTTTATTTTGCAAATTGTGGTTTTGATATTGTATCTAAGAACTCTTTGCCTAACCTAATGTCACAATTATTTTCTTCTATGTTTTCTTCTAAAAGTTTTAGTTTTACTTTTAGATCTGTGATCTTTTTGAGCTAATTTTTTTTTGCATAAGCTTTGAGGTTAGGTTGAAGTTCATTTATTTTTGCCAAATAATATGCAATGTTTCAGCACCATTTGTTATAAAGATTATACTTATATGGAAATGTCTTTGCGCTTTTGTCAAAAATCTGTGGGCTGTATTTCTGTGTGTCTATTTCTATATTCTTTTGCATTGATGTATTCTGTTTCATTCTATTGCATTGACCTGTGTCTCACTGCCAATACTACACTGTCTTAATTACTATAGCCTTATAGTAAGTCTTAAATTCAGGTAATATGAGTCCTCCAACTGTATTCTTATTCAAATTTGCTCTGGCTATTCCAATTCCTTTGCATTTACATATACATTTTACAACCAGCTTGTATATATCTACAAAAATCCTGCTCAGATTTTGATCTGTGTTTTGTTAAATCTACAGATCAGTTTGGGGTGCAGTGACATCCTACCTATATCAAGTCTTCTAATCTGTGAACATGGTGTGCCTCTTCGTTTATTTAGGTCTTTCTAGATTTCTTTTCTTTCTTTCTTTCTTTCTTTTTTTTTTTCTTGAGACGGAGTCTTGCTCTGTCATCCAGGTTGGAGTGCAGTGGCGCGATCTCAGCTCACTGCAAGCTCTGCCCCCTGGGTTCACACCATTCTCCTGCCTCAGTCTCCCGAGTAGCTGGGACTACAGGCGCCCGCCACCACACCCGGCTAATTTTTTTGCATTTTTAGTAGAGACAGAGTTTCACCATGTTACCCAGGATGGTCTCAATTTCCTGACCTCATGATCCGCCCGCCTTGGCCTCCCAAAGTGCTGGGACTACAAGCTTGAGCCACCACGCCCAGCCAGATCTTTCTAGATTTCTTTTAAAAGCATTTTGACATTTCTAGCATAAATATTTTGCACATGTTTTGTTAATTTTATACCTATGTATTTCATTGTTTTGGTGTTTTGTAAATGACGTTTTTAAAATTTCAGTTTCTAATCTTTTGTTGCTAGCACATAAATACACAATTCTATGTTGCAAACTTAACAAACTTATTTATAGTTATAATATATTTTTCTTTCTGTAGATTCCTTTTTTTCTTTTTCTTGAGACTGGCTCTCACTTTATTGCCCAGGCTGGGGTGCAGTGTCGTGATCACAGCCCACTGCAGCCTCGACCTCCCGGCCTGAAGGGATCCTCCCACCTCAGCCTCCTGAGTAGCTGAGATTACTGGTGTGCATCACCTCACCCAGCCAATTTTTTGTATTGTTTGTAGAGACAGGGTTGCACCATGTTACCCAGGTTGGTCTTGAACCCCTGGGCTCAAGGGATCCACCCACCTTGGCCTCCCAAAGTGCTGGGACTATAGGTGTAAGCCACTGCGCCCAGCCTCTTTCTGAATATTTCTTGAGATTTTTTCCCTTCCCCTTCCCCTCCCTTCCTTTTTCGAGACAGGGTCTTGCTCTATCACCCAGGCTGGAGTGCCATGGTACAAACATGGCTCACTGCAGCCTTGACTTCCCAGGTTCAAGTGATCCTCCCACCTCAGCCTCCCAAGTAGCTGGGACTAAAGGCATGCCACCATGCTTGGCTACTTTTATTTTATATTTTGTAGAGATGAGGTCCTGCTATGTTGACAGGGCTGGTCTCGAACTCCTGGACTCAAGTGATCCTTTTGCCTCAGCTTCCCAAAGTGCTGGAATTATAGGCATGAATCACCACACCCAGCACTTGGGATATTCTATGGTGACAATCATAAGTTCTGTGAGTAGGGACAGTTTTAATTCTTCCTTTTCTATCTGTATGGTCTTTATTTCTTTTCTTGCCTTATTGTCCTACTTTGGTCTTCCAGTACAATGTTGAACAGGAGCAATGAGAATGAACATCCTTACCTTGTACCTTAACTTGGGGGAAAGCATTCCGTCTTTTACCAGTATGACTTTAGCTCTGGATTTTTAGAGATGTCCTTTATCAGGTTGAGGAAGTTCCCTTTTATTCCTACTTTGATAAGAGTTTTTATTTAGCATGGATGTTGAATCTTCTCAAATGCTTTTTCTGCATATGGTCATATGATATATTGATATGATCATATTGATATATTGATTATTTTAAGAAATGGATACATTGATCAATGTATTGATATAATTAGATGTTTTTTCTTCTGTTAATAAGCGGTTAATAAGAAACACTGCATTGATTAATTTCAGATATTGAACCAGCCTTGCATTGCTGATATAAAACTGCCTTTGTTGTGATTTATTACTATTTTATATATTGATGCATTCAATTTGCTACTTTTCTTGAGGATTTCTTTTGTCTATGTTCATACAGACTATTGGTCTGTGTAGGCTTCTGTTTTTGTACTAGCATAGTCCAGTTTTGGTGTAAAGGTAATGCTGGCTTTATACAACAATTTTGGAAGTATTCACTCCCCTATTTTCTGGAAAAAAAAAAGTGTAGAATTGTTGTTTTTTCTTTTTTAAATCTTTAGTAAAAATTCTCTGCAGAAATTATCTGGGCCTTGAGATTTCCTCTGAAAGGTTGTTTTTTTTTTGACAACAAATTCAATTTCTTTAATAGTATGGGACTATTCAAATTATCTATTTTACCTTGTGTGAGTTTTGTAGTTTGTGGTTTTTGAGAAATTGGTTCATTTCATCTAAGTTGTCAAATTTATGAGTATAGACTTGCTCATAATATCCCCTTATTATCCTTCTAACACTTGTGAAATTTGTAGTGATATCATGTATTTCATTCCCAATATTGATAATTTATGTCTTGTTTCCTTTCTTTTCTCTCTCTTTTTTTTTTTTTTTTGTTATTTGGCTAGAGGTTTAGGAATTTTACACATCTTTTCAAATAATTAGCTTTTGGTTTAATTGGTTTCGCTATTGTTTTCAATTTCATTGGTTGCTGCTCTTACCTTTGTTACTTCCTTCTTTGTGCTTGCCTTGAGTTTATTTTACTCTTCGTTTTACAGTTTCTTGAAACAGTTTAGGTTATTGATTTGAGAACTTTCTTCCTCCTCCTCCTCCTCTTCCTCCTCTTTCTATTTCACTTCTTCTTCTCCTCCTTTTCCTTCTCTTTCTCTTTTTCCTTCTCTTTCTCTTTCTCCTCCTTCTCCTCTCCTTCTCCTCCATCTCCTCCCCTTCCTTCTGCTTTCTTCTTCTCCTGTGACAGCGTCTCACTCTGTCACCTAGGCTGGAGTACCATGACGGAATCCCAGCTCACTGCAGCCTCAAACTCATGGCTGAAGTGATTCTCTTGCTTCAGCCTCCCGAGTAGCTGGGACTACAGGTATGTGCCACCACACCAGGCTAATTTCAAAAAAAATTTTTGTAGACACAGCATCTTGTTATGTTGCCTAGGCTAATCTTGAACTCCTAACCTCAAGCAATCCTCACACCTTGGCGTCCCAACATGTTGGGATTACAGGTGTAGGCCTCTGTGCCTAGCCTCTTATTTTCTAATATAATCATTTAATTACATAAATTCCCCTTTAATTTGGCTGCATCCTGTATATTTTGACATGTTCTATTTTCATTTTCATTCAAATTAAAGTATTTTCTACTTCTCTTGAGACTTCCCCTTTCACCCAGGATTATGTAGAAGTGTGTAGTTATTTTCTAGGCATTTGAATATTTTTTAGTGTTCTATTACTGACTTCTAGTTAAATTCTATTATCATCAGAAAGCATACTTTATGTAATTTTAAATTATAAACACTTTTTTGGGTTTATTTTATGACCAAGGACATGGTCTATCTCAGTGAATGTTCCATGTGCTTTTTTTTTTTTTTTTTTTTTTTTTAGAGATGGGTCTCGGCTATGTTACCCCAGCTGGAGTGCAGTGGCTGTTCCCAGCACAATCATAGTGCACTACAGCCTCCAACTCCTGGGTTCAAATGATCCTCGTGCCTCAGCCTCCTGAATAGCTGGGATTGCAGGCACGTGCCATCATGCCTGGCTATGTGCCTTCAAAAAGACTACAGTTGTGGATGGGAGTGTTTCATCAGTGTTAGTTGGTTTATGATTGTGTTTAGTTCTATATCCTAGCTGATTTTCTATCTGTTCTGTCCATACCTGAAGAGGAGCATTGGTGTTTCCAACTATAATTGTGAATTTGTCTTTTTCTCCTCAAGTTCTGTCAGTTTTGCTTTATATATTTGAGGTTCTGTTTTTAGATGTGTATACATTTTAAATGGTGTTGCCTTGGGTCTTTACCATTATGTAATGTCCCTCTTAATCTATAGTAAATTTCCTTGCTTTGAGGTATACTTTGTCTTATGTAAATATAACCACTTCGGTTTTCCTTTGACCAGCATTTACATAACATATCTTTTTCCATTTTTAAACTTATAGCCTACCTATATTAAAATGTATAGTCAGACCAGGCGCAGTGGCTCATGCCTATAATCCCAGCACTTTGGGAAGCCGAGGCAAGCGGATCACTTGAGGCCAGGAGTTAGAGACCAGCCTGGGCAACATGACAAAACCTTGTCTCTACCAAAAATGCAAAAAAATTAGCCAGGTGTGGCAGCGCGTACCTGTAGTCCCAGCTACTCAGGAGGCTGAAGAACGAAGATTGCTTGAACCCGGGAGGCAGAGGTTGCAATGAGCCAAGATGGTGCCACTGCACTCCAGCCTGGGTGAAAGAGCAAGACTCTGTCTCAAAAAAATAAAATAAAATAAAACAAATAAAACAACAGCAACAACAAAATGTATAGTCATGTCTTTTAAAAAAAAACTCTTCTGTCAATCTTTGTCTTTTAGTTGGTGTGATTAGAACATTTACATTCATTGTTATTGTTGATGTACTTGGATTTAGGTCTATCATTTTATTCATTATTTTCTGTTTGCTCTCTATGTTTGTTTGTTTGTTTGAGACAGGAGACAAGGTCTTGCTCTGTCGCCCAGGCTGAAGTGCAGTGGTGCGATCTCAGTTCACCGCAATCTCTGCCTCCTGGGCTCAAGCGATCCTCGTGCCTCAGCCTCCTGAGTGGCTGGGACCACAGGCACCCACCACCATGCCCCACTACGTTTAGTATTTTTAGTAGAGACAGGGTTTCACTGTGTTGACCAGGCTGGTCTCAAACTTCTGGCCTCAGGTGATCTGCCCGCCTCGGCCTCCCAAAGTGCTGGGATTACAGGCGTGAGCCACTGAGACCGGCTGCTCTGTTTTTTTATTCCTCACTGTTTCCTTTCCTGCCTTCTTTTGGGTTATTTGAATATTGCTTTAGTATTCAATTTTAATTTATCACTTGATTATTTTACTATATCTTTTTGTATAGTATTCTTTTAGTGGTGGCTCTAAAAATTACAATATGTACACCAAACTTTTTACTTTCTGCTTAGAATTAATATTTTACTACTTGTAAAATGTAGGAACCTGGCTATCGTGTAGGTTCCTTTCCCCTATCCTTACTATGTTGTAGTTATCAGATTATTCCATCTACAAACATTGAAAACTCCAGTAGAATCTAAAACTGTTCTAAAAAATAAAGCTTATTTTTAAAATACTTATTAGACAATATTATACTTTTTGCTTTCAATAATCATACATATTTTAGGCTGGGCGCAGTGGCTCACGCCTGTAATCCAAGCACTTTGGGAGGCTGAGGCAGTGGATCACCTGAGGTCAGGAGTTCAAGACCAGCCTGGACAAAATGGTGAAACCCCATCTCTACTAAAAATACAAAAATTAGCTGGGCATGGTGGCGTGTGCCTGCAATCTCAGCTATTTGGGAGGCTGAGTCAAGAGAATGGCTTGAACCCAGGAGGCAGAGGCTGCAGTGAGCCGAGATTGCACCACTGCACTTTAGCCTGGGTGACAAAGTGAGACTCAGTCTCAAAAAAAAAAAAAAAAAAAAGTCACACATATTTCAAAGAACTTAAGTGGGAAAAATAGTCCATTTTATGTGCCCAGATATTTATCATTTCTGTTGCTCTTCCTGAGGTTTCAAGACTCCCTCTGGTATTATTCCTCTCTTGAATAAATAACTTTCTTTAGCATTTCTTTTAGTATAGTTTTGCTGTCAGTGGATTCTCTTAGTTTTTCTTAATCTCAAAATGTCTTTATTTTACATTCATTCCTGCGGGATGTTTTTACTAGATATATAATATTCTGGGTTGACCTTTCTTTTCCTTCAGCACTTCCATGGGTTGTGTTATTTCCTTCTGGCCTTCATGGTTTCAGATGATAAATCCCTAGTCGTTCAAATAACTGTTATTATCTACGTGATATGTCATTTTTCTGACTGTGTTCAAGATAGTTTCTTTGTCTTTAGTTTTCAGCAGTGTGATTATGATGTGTCTGGGTACGGATTTCTTTGAGATGATCTTAACTGGAGTTTGCTAAGCTTCTTGAATCTGTAAGCTTTTTTATTTTTCCAGGTTTCAGAAGTTTTAAACTATTATTTCTTCAAATATCTTTTGCACCACATTCTTTTACTCTGTTGAGACTATTTGTTGTTGCTGGTTTTTTTCCCCCCAATCTGTTTCCTCTCTGTAGTTCATGTTGGATAATTTTTTTTTTCTTTTTTGAGACAGGATCTCATTCTGTCACCCAGGCTGGAGTGCAGTGGTGCGATCACAGCTCACTGCAGCCTCGACCTCCCCAGGCTCAAGAGATCCTCCCATCTCAGCCTCCCAAGGAGCTGGGACTACAGGTACCCACCATCCGCCCATCTAATTTTTTTTTTGTATTTTTCAGAGATGGGGTTTCACCATGTTGGCCAGGCTATTCTCAAATTCCTGGGCTTAAGTGATCTACCACCTTGGCCTCCCAAAGTGCTGGGATTACAAATGTGAGCCATCAAATAACGTTTTAAAACCTGTTTTCAAGTCTACTAGCTCTTTCTTCAGTCATACACATTGTGCTACTGAACTCATTGAGTTAATTGTAAAACTCGATGATTGTATATTTTCAGTTCTAAAATTTCTATTTAGTTCTTTTTTGTATCTTCTATTTTCCTGTTGAGGGTTTCTATCTTTCTCCTCATTTAAAAAATATTTTCCCTTAGAAAAGTAGTTAAATAGGCCAGGCATGGTGGCTCATGCCTGTAATCCCAGTACTTTGAGAGGCTGAGGGGGGCGGATCACCTGAGGTCAGGAGTTTGAGGTCAGCCTGGCCAACATGGTAAAACCCCGTCTCTACTAAAAATACAAAAAAAAAATTAGCCAGACATGGTGGTGCACACCTGTAATCCTAGCTATTCAGGAGGCTGAGGTGGGAGGATTGCTTGAACTCAGGAGGCAGGGGTTGCAGTGAGCCAAGATCGCGCCACTGCACACTCCAGCCTGGGTGACAGAGAAAGACTCTGTCTCAAAAAAAAAAAAAAGAAAAAAAGAAAAATAGTTAAATAGCTACTTTAAAATCCTGGTTTGATAATTCCAACATCTGTGCCATCTTGTGGTTGGCATCTGTTAATTATCTTTTTCCATGTAAGATGTTTAGATTTTCCTAGTTCTTTATATATTGGATAATTTTGAATTGTGCTTTGGATGTCTCAAACATATTGTTATGTGGTTCTGAGTCTTGCTTAAATGCTATGGAGAAGTTTAATTTAAAAAAAAAAAGACAATGAATTTGGTTAGGTTCAAGCTGCAACTTCCTACCTGCACTCTGTGAGCTGTTGTTACAATGTCAGTTTACTTCCCAAATACTTTGCAGTACTATTCAGATATGTCCTGAGTAAAAAAAAAAAAAAAAAAAAAAAGTCTTTTTAAAAAGATGAGCAAATCTCTTTTTTTTACCATGCAGTGGCCAGCCTGGAACCTGGGGAGTGGTCCGTCCTGTAATTTCTTTCTGAAAGCCTGTGCTGTTTAGGGTCAAATGCACACACACACAGCTCAGGGGTGAGCAGAGGAGTTTATATAAATTGTTTATCAAATTGTCATCTCTAGCTCCCTCTTCTCATCAATTTCACTGACACTTTTCAGCCCCCAAGGGCCCCTCCGTAGTCCTCTATAAAGCCAGGGCTTCAGTTTCTCTGCTCTGCCACATACTTCTTATGACTGTGTCTTTCTGCAGTGCCAAGTGGCAAGAGCATAGAGAGAAAGACAGCAACAGGAACCCCTCCAGCAGTCTTGGGCCACAGACTCTTGAGAGAAGTGTTCCCTCTCAAAACATTTGGTGGCTCTCCAACTGCTTTTGCCTGTCTCACCGTGTCATGGGATTGCCTGGAAGCTGGGGCAGCAGGGAATGGCAATTAACACCGAAAACCAACCAACCAACAAAAACAACATCACAAAACACAAACTGGGGCTGTCTCCATTCTTCCTGATCTTCAGGGGACCCTGAACCACCAATAGAGAGCTTCTCTTAGAGCTCTTTCTGTCTGTACCTGGTTTACCATCTTAGCCTCCTGAGTGGTTGGGAACCACAGGTGCACGCCACCAAGCCCAGCTAATTTTTATATATATTTTGTAGAGATGGGGTCTTGCTGTGTTGCCTAGGTTGGTCTCAAACTCCTGGCCTCAAGAACCTCGGCTTCCCAAAGTGCTGGGATTACAGGCATGAGCCACCATGCCTGGCCAAAATTTTAATTTTTTATGTAAATCTTTCTGATAAAAATTTCAGGTCCGATGGCTCAACTGGTAAATCCTATCAAATAATTAAGGAGGGAGTAATACGAATCCCACCAAAACTTTTAGAAAACATAGAAGAGAACACTTCCTAAGTAATTTTATCAGGCCAGTGTTAACTCTGATACCAAAACCAAACACCTAACAAATAGACCAGGAGTCAGCAAACCATGGCTTGTGGGGCCAAACCAGACTACGATCTGTTTCTGTAAATAAAGTTTTATTGAAACACAGCCACAATTATTAAAGTACATACTGTCTCTTCCTATTTTCCTATTACAGTGGTTGAGTAGTTATAGCAGAAATTATATGACCTGCAAAGCCTCAAATATTTACTGACTCTTTACAGAACAAGGTCTGCTGGTCCCTGATATGGACCAGCAGCCTTCATGGAAAAAGATGCAAAAATGCTTTAGAAAGATTAGCAAGTCAAACCCAATAAATAAAAGAGATAAAATATCAAGGTCAAGTGAAATGTATTCCAGAAATACAATGTTGCTTTAACAAAGAAAACAAAAATAAGCCAATGTAACGCAATATATTAGCAGAAGAAAGGTTTAAAATGCATGATCATCTCAATAGTTGCAGAAAAGAAGCATTTGATAACATTCAGAATCCATTCATTATTATAATTTTTTTTTGAGAGAGAGAGAGTCTTGCTCCATTGCCCAGGCTGGAGAGCAGTGGTGTGATCTCGGCTCCCTGAAACCTCCACCTCCCAGGCGCAAGCAATTCTCGTGCCTCAGCCACTCCAGTAGCTAGGACTACAGGAAGGCGCCACCATGCCCAACTAATTTTTGTATTTTTAGTAGAGATGGGGTTTTGCCATGTTGGCCAGGCTGGTCTCGAACTCCTGGCCTCAAGTGATCCACTCCTCAGCCTCCCAAAGTGCTAGGATTATAGGCATGAGCCACCGTGCATGCCCCATTGATAATTAAAAAAAGAAAAAAAAAAGAATTCAGCAAACTAAATATAAAAGGGGACTGTCTCAACGGCAAAAAATATAGCTACAAAAACTTAAAGCTAATGTCTTAATGGGTAAAGTATGAATGATTTCTCTCTAAGATTAGAAACAAGGCAAACATGTCCACTCTCGCTGTTTGCATTTAGCATGGTACTGGAGGTTCTAGCTTGTGCAATAATAAAAGAAGAAAAAATAAAAGGCATACCAATTGGAAAGGAGGAAGAAACACTGTCCTTATTGCAGACAACATGATCATCTATGTAGAAAATCCTAGGAAATAGGAAATAAGCTACTAGAACTAATAAGTTAGCAGAACAAAGTGTCAATTGAATTTCCATATGCTAGCTCAAACAGTGGGAACTGAAATTTTAAAAAGAAAGTCATTATTATTATTATTATTATTATTATTATTATTATTATTATTATTTGTCTCCCAGGCTGGAGTGCAGTGGCACAATCTCAGCTCACTGCAAACTCCACCTCCCGGGTTCAAGTGATTCTCCTGCCTCAGCCTCCCGAATAGCTAGGATTATAGGCATGCCTCACCACGCGTGGCTAATTTTTGTATATTTAGTAGGGATGAGGTTTCACCAGGTTGGCCAGGCTGCTCTTGAACTCACAAGCTCAAGTGATCCGCTGGCCTCGGCCTCCCAAAGTGCTGGGATTACAGGTGTGAGCCACCAAGCCCGGCCTAAATCCCACCCCCTTTGCTCTGGCTCTTGATCTCATTGTATCAATCTCTGCTTCCATTATCACATCTCTTTTTTCTGACTCTGACCCTCTTGCCTCCCCGCTTACGAGAAACTTTGCAATGGGACCTATCCAGATAATCCAGGATAATTTCTCCACCTCAAGATCCTTAATTTAGGCTGGGTACAGTGGCTCATGCCTGTAATCCCAGCATTTTGGGAGGTTGAGGCGGGCGGATCTTTTGAGTTCGGCAGTTTGAGACCAGCCTGGCCAACATGGTAAAACCCCATCTCTACTAAAAACACAAAATTAGGTGGTTTGTCTTTTCATTTTCTGGGTGCTTTGAAACAAAGTTTTTGGCCAGGTGGGGTGGCTTATGCCTGTAATCCCAGTGCTTTGGTAGGCTGAGGTGGGAGGATCACTTTGAGGTCAGTAGTTCAAGACCAGCCTGGAAAATATAATGAGACCCGCCCCCTGCTCCCCATCTTTACAAAAAATCAAAAAAATTACCTGGGCATGGTAGCACATGCCTATATGCCTGATGATGTGCCAGCTAGGCAGGAAGATCACTTGAGCCCAGGAGTTCAAGGTGCAGGGAGCCATGATCACTTCACTGCACTTCATCCTGGGCAACAGAATAGGACCTTGTCTCAGGGGCTGGGCGCAGCGGCTCACGCCTGTAATCCCAGCACTTTGGGAGGCTGAGGTGGACGGGTCACGAGGTCAGGAGTTCCAGACCAGCCTGGCCAACATGGTGAAACACCGTCTTTACTAAAAATACAAAAATTAGCCTGGCATGGTGGTGCGTGCCTGTGATCCCAGCTGCTCGGGAGGCTGAGGCAGGAGAATCACTTGAACCTGGGAGGCTGAGGTTGCAGTGAGCTGAGATTGCGCCATTGCACCCCAGCCTGGGTGACATGGGTGACAGAGCAAGACTCCATCTCAAAAAAAAAAAAAAAAAAAAAAAACAAGAACAGAAACCCTGTCCTTACAAAAAAGGAACAAAGAAAAAAAAGAATACAAAGTTTTAAATTTTGATGAACTCCAATTTATGAATTTTTTCTTTTATTACTTGTGCTTTAGGTGTCATATCTAAGAAACCATTGCCTAACTCAAGGTCATAAAGATTTATACTTATCTTTTCTTCTAAGAGTTTTGTCGCTTTAGCTCTTATATTTGGGTCTATGATCTATTTTGAGTTAAGTTTTGTATATGGAATGAGGTAGGGGCTCAAATTCATTCTTTTGCATGTGGATATACAGTTGTCTCTCACCATTTGTTGAAAAGACTAACATTCTTGTCAAAAATCAATTGACTGTGAATGTGTGGGCTTATTTCTAGAGTCTCAATTTTATTCTATTAATCCAATGTAGATTCTTAAGTCACTACCATGATGTTTTCATTATTACAGCTTTCTAGTAAGTTTTAAAGTCAAGAAATGTGAGTCTTCCAATTTTTTTCATCTTTTTCAAGATTATTTTGTAATTCTGAGTCCCTTGCATTTCCATATGAATTTTAGAAGCAGCGTGTCAATTTCTACAACAGAGGCAGCTGAGATTTTGATAAGGATTAAATTGAATCCATAGATCATTTTAGGGATTATTGGCATTTTAACAATATTAAGTCTTCCAATCCATAAACACAGGATGTCTTTCCATTTATTTAGGTCTTCTTTAATTGCTGTTTCTTTTTTTTTTCTTTTGAGACGGAGTCTCACTCTGTCACCCGGGCTGGAATGCAATGGCACAATCTTGGCTCACTGCAACCTCCACCTCCTGGGTTCAAGCGATTCTCCTGCCTCAGCCTCCCTGGTAGCTGGGATTAGAGGCAGGCACCACCATGTCTGGCTAATTTTTGTATTTTTAGTAGAGACGGTGTTTCACCATATTGGCCAGGCTGGTCTCGAACTCCTGACCTCAGGTGATCCACCTGCCTTGGTCTCCCAAAGTGCTGAGATTACAGGCGTGAGCCACTGCACCCCATCAAGACTTCTTTAATTTCTTTCAACTGTGTTTTGTGGTTGTCAGAGTATGTCTTGTGCTTGTTTTATTAAATTTATTCCTAAGTATTTTATTTTTATGTTATTATAAATGGAATTGTTTTCTTAATCTAATTTTTTGGATTGTTCATTTCCAAAAAATATAACAGATTTTTATATATTTATCTTGTATTCTACAACCTTGCTGAACTCATTTATTAGTTCTAATAGTTGTGTGTGTGTATATATGTCTGTGTGTTTGTGTAATCCTGAGGATTTTCTCTATACAAGGCCACATTCTCTGCAAATAGAGGCAGTTATACTTAATCCTTTCTAATCTGGATGCCTTTATTTCTTTCTCCTGCCCTGGCTAGAACATCTGATGCAATGTGGAATATAAGTGTTGACAGGGGACATTCTTGTCTTGTTTTTGATCTTAGGAAGAAAGCTTTCTACCTTTCATCACTGTGTATGATGATAGGTGGGTTTTTATGGATGTCTTTTTTCAGGTTGAGAAATTATCCTTCTATTCCTAGTTTGGAGATTGTTTTTATCACAAAAGGGTGTTGGATTTTGACAATGCTTTTTCTACATCTATTGAGACGATGATATGGTTTTGCCTTTTATTCCATTAATAGGGTGTATTAACTGCATTGATTTTTGTACACTGAGGCAAACTTACATTCCTGGCATAAATCTCACTTGATCATTGGTATATAATCCTTTTTGTATGTTAGTGAATTCATTTTCTAGTATTTTGCTGAGAATTTTTTTGTCTTTATTTGTAAGAATTATTGGTCTATAGTTTTCTTTTCTTGTTTTGTCTTTGTGTGGTTTTGGTGTCAGGACCTCAGAATGAGTTGGAAAATTTCCCCCCTATTTTTGGAAAGGTTTTTGGAGGATTGATATTAATTCTTCTTTAAATGTTTGGCAGAAATCATCAGTGAAGCCATCTGGTCCTGGGTTTTTCTTTGCAAGGAGTTCTTTTGTGTTTGTTTTGCTTTGTTTTGTTTTGTTTTAATTATTAATTCAATCTCTTGTTATAGATATTTTGAGATTTTTAATTTCTTTTTGTGTCTGTTCTAATAGCTTGAGGCTTTGTAAGAATTTGTCCCTGGGATACAATTGTTCATAGTATTCCCTTATAATTCTCTATCCTTCTGTAAGGTTAATAGTAATGTCCTGGCTGGGCGCAGTGGCTGACACCTGTAATCCCAGCACTTTGAGAGGCCGAGGCGGGTGGATCACCTGAGATCAGGGGTTCGAGACCAGCCTGGCCAACATGGTGAAACCCCATCTCTACTAAAAATACAAAATTAGCCGGCTGTGTTGACGTGTGCCTGTAATCCCAGCTACTTGGGAGGCTGAGGCAGGAGGATCACTTGAACCCAGGAGGTAGAGGTTGCAGTGAGCCGAGATTGTGCCACTGCACTCCAGCCTGGGCAACAGAGCAAGACTCCGTCTCAAAAAAAAAAAAATAGTAATGTCATTTCTTCCATTCTCAATTTTAGTAATTTGAATTTTTTTCTCTTTTTTTCTTGGCAAGTCTAAAGATTTGTGAATTTTGTTGATCTTTTTGAAGAACCAACTTTTTGGTTTCATTAGCTTTCTCTATTGCTTTTCTGTCTCTATTTCATTTATTTCCCCTTAATCTATATTATTTCTTTCTTTGTATTTGCTTTGAGTTTAACTTTGTTCCTCTTTTTCTTGTTTCTTAGGGTAGAAGTTTAGGTTATTGATTTGAGATCTTGCTTCATTTTTAATATAGGAATTTACAGCGCTATGTTTTCCTTCTAAACTTCTATTTATTCTTGAGCCAGTTTTGGTCATTTGTGTCTTCAAAGAATTTGTCCATGCTACTTGAGCTATCAAATGTACTGGCATGCTATTGCTCATAACATTCCCTTATTATCTGTTTCATGTACACAGAAGCTTTAGTAATGTCTCTTCTTTCATGACTAATATTGATAATGCAGTATTCTCCATTTTTGGTTTAAAGAATATAGCTTGAGTCTTATCAGTGGTGGTGAGAGACTGTGGTGGCCCTATGAGTCCCACCTCCTGCCATCACACCTTTGTGTGGCCTCCCCTTGAGCGTGGATGTGACTTGTGACTTGCTTCTAAATCATAGAATATAACACAGGTGAAGGCATGTACATGATGACGTGTATGTGATTACATTATGTAAGATAATAATCCATCTTGCTAGGACACTCTTGTCCTCCCCACCATACACCTAATGGCTTTGAGGAAGTAAGCTGCCATGTGGCAAGGAGATGGGAGTGGCCTCTGGCTGACAGCCAGGTGGAAACTGAAGCTCTTGGTCCAGCAGCCTGCAAGGAACTGAATTCTGTCAACCACCACATGAGTTAGAAGTCGATTCTCCACCAGTTGGCCTCAGATGAGACACCTTGATTGCAACTTAGTGAGCTAGAAGCAGAGGACCTAGCTAAGCTGTGCCTGGACTCCTGGCCCCCAGAAACTATGAGAAAATAAATACATGTTGTTTAAAGCCACTGTTTGCGGTGGTTGTGTTGCTACACAGCAATAGATAATGAATACATCAACACTTGGACTTTTCAAAGAAACTGCTTTTGGTATCAGTGATTTTCTTCATTATTGGTTCATTTTCTATTCAATTGATTTCTGCTTTTTATGATTCGTATTTTTCTACATCAGGTTTAATTTGCTCTTTCATTTTCTAGCATGTAAGGTAGACCCTTGGCTGGGTGCAGTGGCTCATGCCTGTAACCCTAGCACTTTGGGAGGTCAAGGTAGGAGGATTACTTGAGCCTAGGAGTTTGAGACTAGGCCTGACAATATAGCAAGACAGTGTCCCTACCAAAAAAAAAAAAATGAATTAATTAAAAAATTAGCTGGGTGAAGTGGCATATGCCTGTACTCCCAGCTACTTAGGAGGCTGAGGTAAGAGGATTGCTTGAACCTGGGAGGTCGAGGCTGCAGTGAGCTCTGGTTGTACCACTGCACTCCAGCCTGGGCAACAGAGCGAGACCCTGTCACACACACACAGACACACACACACACACACACAGGTAGAACCATCACTCATTTATTTTAGAGCTT
Organism: Homo sapiens; assembly: GCF_000001405.40. Classification (NCBI taxonomy): domain Eukaryota; kingdom Metazoa; phylum Chordata; class Mammalia; order Primates; family Hominidae; genus Homo; species Homo sapiens. The sequence goes on from NC_000007.14 coordinate 73,961,563, forward strand.
TCTTCTTGTGTATAACAATTAGAGCTATAAATTGCCCTCAAAGCGTTGCTTAAGGCTGCACCCCTCAAATATTAATAGGTTGTTTTTTCATTTCTATTTAATTCAAGATATTTTCTAATTTCCCATGCGATTTCTTCTTTGACCTATGGGTTATTTAGAAGTATGATAATTTCCTAATATTTGCAAATTTTCCAGATCTTAGAACTCACTTTATTTCTCTTCTCTTGGGGATCACGTCTCAGCACTGCCTATGGTTCACATCAGACAACTGCCGCTTCACGTATTTTGTTTGGTTTTCCAGTTTTTAAGATAGAAGGATCAATCCAGTTCCCGTCGTTCCATGTGGCTAGATGCGAAGTGATATGTTTGGGTTTAACTCTACCTGCTTGCTATTTGTTTATTTGTTTCCTCTGTTCTTTGCTTATTTTCCTACCTTCCTCTTTTTTTTTTTTTTTAACGAAGTCTCCCTCTGTCACCCAGGCTGGAGTTCAGTGGCATGATCTTGGCTCACTGCAGCTTCCACTTCCTGGGTTCAAGTGATTCTCATGTCTCAGTCTCCCGAGTAGCTGTGATTACAGGCGCCTGCCACCACACCCAGCTAATTTTATTTATTTATTTATTTATTTATTTATTTATTTATTTATTCTGTAGAGGCAGAGTTTGCTCTGTCACCCAGGCTGGAGGGCAGTGGCGCAATCTCGGCTCACTACAACTTCCACCTCCCAGGTTCAAGCAATTCTCCTGCCTTAGCCTCCCAAGTAGCTGGGACTACAGGCGCACGCTACCACACCCGGCTAATTTTTTTGTATTTTAGTAGAGACGGGGTTTCACCATGTTGCCCAGGCTGGTCTCGAACTCCTGAGCTCAGGCAATCCACCCGCCTCGGCCTCCCAAAGTGCTAGGATTAAAGGTGTGAGCCACCACACCCAGCCTCCTACTTTCCTTTAGATTGAAGTTTTTTGTTTGTTTTGGTTTTTGTTTGCCATTTTTTCACCTTTTACCTATAAGCTATTTCTTTGTGTGTGTGATTATCCTAGAGTTTATAATTTGAATCTTTAACTTTTCACAATCTACCCTTAAATTGCATTTAACACTTCATGAATAATACAAGAACCTTACAGCAGCATACTTTGATTTCACTCTTCCGTCCTTTATGCTATTGTAGTCATGCATCTCGGAAGTTATAAACCCCACAATACACTGCTATTTTTTTCTTTAAACAATTCCTTTTTTTTTTTTTTTGAGACAGAGTTTCACTCTTGTTGCCCAGGCTGGAGTGCAATGGCGTGATCTTGGCTCACCGCAACCTCTGCCTCCCGGTTCAAGCAATTCTCCTGCCTCAGCTTCCTGAGTAGCTGGGATTACAGGCATGTGTCACCACGCCCGGCTAATTTTGTATTTTTAGTAGAGATGGGGTTTCTCCTTGTTGGTGAAGCTGGTCTCGAACTCCCAACCTCAGGTGATCTGCCCACCTCGGCCTCCCAAAGTGCTGGGATTACAGGAATGAGCCACTGCGCCCAGCCAATTATCTTTTAAAGAAATGAAAATAAGAGAAAGTATCTCTTACATTAGTCCACATATTTGCCATTCCTAGTGTTTTTCATTGTCTTGTATCTCATGCTTATGTGTATCTTTTTCCTTTAGCCTGAAATTTTAATTTTATAATTTTTTGTAGTGCAATTTCTGCTGGGCAATAAATTTTCTCACCGTTTGTTTCTTTAAAAAATACCTTTATTTTGTCTTCATTTAGGGGAGACTATTTTAACTGAGTAAAGAATTCTAGGTTAATAGCTTCCCCCCCAACCCCAGCACTCTAAAGATGTCATGTTATTGTCCTCTAGCTTTCATTGTTTCTGACAATAAGTCAGCAGTCATTCTTATCTTTGTTCCTTCTACATAATGTGTCATTTCGCCCTCTGGCTGCTTTTAAGATTTTTCTCTTTATTTTTGGTATTCAACAACTTGATTGTGATATGTTTTGGTGTGGTTTTCTTTGAATTAATATTTATTCTTCTTGGAGCTCTTTGAGTTTCTTGGATCTTTGGGTTTATGATTTTAATCAAATTTGCAATTTGAAGAAAATTCAGCAATTATTTCTTCTGCCTCTGGTACTCCAGTTATATGTGTGTTGGATGGATTAATATTGTCCTACAGGTCACCAAGCCTCTGTTAAAATTTTTTTGGCTTGCTTTTTTCCCTCAGTGCTTTAGTTTGGATATATTCAGATTCATTGATCTTGTCTTTGTAGTGTCAAATCTGCTGTTAAGCTCATCCTATATTTTTTTATCTTAGACATTATATTTTCAGCTCCAGCAGTTCCATTGGTTCTCTTTTAAATCTTCTATTTCTCTCCTCATTATGTTTGTTTTCCCTTTAAAATCTTGAACATATTTCTATAGCCAATTTAAAGTCTTGCAAACTAATTTGATCACTTCTGGATCTGTTTCATTGATTTTTTAAAAATTACAAGTCATATTTTCCTACTTCCTCACATGTCTGTACATCCTTTTACAGCTTTATCGAAATACAGTTTACTTTACCATACAATTCATTAATTTATCATGTATACTTTAATGACTTTTAGTATATTCACAGAATTGTACATCCATCATCACAATCAATTTTACAATATTTTCCTTATCCCTAAAAGAAGCCCTCATCCCCCAATCCCTCCATTCTGCCCCACCCTCAGCCCTAGGCAATCACCAATCTACTTTTTGTCTTTAGAGATTTGTCTATTCATATAAATGGAATAATACCATCTTTGATTCTTTGTGACTTAACATCATGTGTTCAGAGTCCATCCATGTTGTGGCATGTATCAGTTCTTGTTTCTTTTCATTGCCAATAACATTCCATAGTATGGCTATAGTAAGTATTGATTGGATGGTTAATATTGTGATGTTATGCTATTCTTGTTCCATCCATGGCAATTTTATGACACAAATATGACTCTCCCTACTTTACGGATGAGGAAAGTGTGTCTCAGATAGAAGGCCACACAGTGGGTGGAACTCCTAGGAAGTTGGTATAACAGAAAGGACATGGCCTTACCCTAAGGGGAGAGGCATAGGCATGCTTTGCAAAAGGTCGGAGGGAAGACATAGGGAGCTCCCCCAAAAAGTAAGTCTGGTGAGGGAGGTACAACCATGCTTTGGAAACTCTGATCTGAGTGGGGCATGGACCCTTCCCTGAGAAGCCCCAATCAGAGGGGGAAGCTGTGACCCTTTCTTGGGCACTGTGACCTGAGGGGAGATGTGGTCCCACTTAGAAAAGCCCCCATTCATCAGGCCTCTCTTGATCAGTGGAGGTCAGCAGGCATGGGCCTGGGTCCTAAGGCACCTTCAGCTCTCCGGAGGGCCTGCCAGCACAGGGCACAAGGCCACATCTGTTTGCAGGAAGCTGCTACTCAGACAGGGCCAGAAGTGATGCCAGGCACAGAGCCGGAATCCCAAAGCACCCAGTCTGGGCTTTGCCCACAGCTGGGACCCAGAGCTGTCCAATGACTATGACAGCGCCTAGTCAGTGGGTGCTTATTCATATCCGCTGGGTGGTAGTTGGGCCACCTGCCTCCAGCTCTGCAATCCCCTCTCCCTGTACCTGGGGCCTCTTGTTCTCTCACCTGTGGGTTCAGCTTCACTCCAGGCTCAAAGACCAGGAGGCTGCCCAGAGATTAGGAGGGATTTAAGCTTTTTTTTTTTTTTTTTTTTAAATGAGGGACAGGGTCTTGCTCTGTTGTGCAGGCTGGACTGCAGTGGTGCCATCATAGCACACTGCAGCCTCCAACTCCTGGGCTCAAGCGATCCTCCCACCTCAGCCTCCAAGTAGCTGAGACTGTAGGTGTGTACCACCACTCCTGGCTAATTTTTAATTTTTTTTTTTTGAGACAGTTTTGCTCTTGTTGCCTGAGCTGGAGTGCAATGGTACGATCTTGGCTCACTGCAACCTCTGCCTGCCAGGTTCAAGTGATTCTCCTGCCTCAGCCTCCCTAGTAGCTGGGACTACAGGCATGTGCCACCACGCCCAGCTAATTTTGTGTTTTTAGTAGAGACAGGGTTTCTCCATGCTGGTCAGGCTGGTCTTGAACTCCCGACCGCAGGCGATCCGCCCACCTCAGCCTCCCAAAGTGCTGGGATTACAGGCATGAGCCACCGTGTCTGGCCTAATTTTTAAATTTTTTATAGCCATGCAGTCTTGCTATATTGCCCAGGCGGATCTCAAACTCCTACTGGGCTCAAGTAACTCCCCCACCTCAGCCTCCCAAAGTGCTGAGATTATAGGCAGGAGCCACTGTACCCAGACCAAAAAGCAGAGGTTTTCTTATCAGGATAATGTAATGTTCTAAAATGGACTGTGAGGCTGGGTGTGGTGGCTCATGCCTGTAATCCCAGCACTTTGGGAGGCCGAGGTGGGCTGATCACTTGAGGTCAGGAGTTCAAGACCAGCCTGGCCAATATAATGAAACCCCGTCTCTTCTAAAAATACAAAAATTAGCTGGGCATGGTGGCATGTGCTTGTAGTGCCAGCTACTTGGGAGACTGAGGCAGAAGAATCACTTGAACCCAGGAAGCGGAGGTTGCAGTGAGCTGAGATCACGTCATTGCACTCCAGCCTGGGCGTCACAGCAAGACTCCATCTCAAAAAATAATAAAATAAAATAAAATAAACTGTGGAAATGATTGCACAACCCTGTGAATATATTAAAAACCACCGACTCAATTGTACACTTTAAATGGGTGAATTGTATGGTGTGTGAATTTTATCACAATAAAGCTATTCTTTTAATAAAAGCAATAAGTGCAAAATTGTGTAAGGATATGGGGTTGGCCATAGGAGGGATCTTTGCTGACTAATGGAAGGTGGGGTGGACCTCAAAAATCCAGTTACTCAACTACCTCATTTGCCAGTGGAGTTGGCCCTGATTCTTGCCCAAGGGACAGGGTGAGTCGGGATTGAATGGGGGGTCTCTGGACTCTGGGCCTGGGGGTCCCTCCAATACCTCCTGCGGCCTCCCTGGCCACCCCATCCCCTGGCGTCCTTCCCTTTGGCAATTTGTCCCATGGGTGACAAATTGCACCCATGACCTGTCTGCATTCCGCCCCTACCCTGCCTGCCTGGTCAGTTGGTCTGGACCCCCAGAGGTCTTCCTCCTGCCAAGCCAGTGTCCTGGGTGGACCCAGCTTGGGTGGAGAGATGACATGTTTTGTTCTCTGGGCAGGAAGGGTCAGGAAATTGAGTCTGACACCTGGCAAGGCCCACAGCCTGGGCAGCGAGTCGGGAAGGCCGGCCCATGCTCCCAGCCAGGCTTCTCCAGTCCAGCCCTTCGCTGGGGTCCTGGCGGTGCCCAGAAGTGGGCACGCCCGGGGAACCGTGAGTGGCAGGCTGCCCGTAGATAATGGAAAAGTCCAGGCATCGATCATGGAGGGCCTGACAGGTCTGTGTTCGTGTTAACAATAGGAGAGGCATTTGAGAGCCAGAGGTGGTGGGATTCCCAGCGGCTGCCTTGGAACACATGCGTGGCTACCTCTGGAGCTTTTGCCACCATGCTGCCAACAAGACCCCCAGACACCCTTGCCTCAGGCGTCTCCACCAACCTCATCCTCCCCTCTCCTGACAGCTCTCCACAGGCCAAACCACTAGACCCAATGTCCCCCTTCCAGCTTTCCTGTGTAATTCTTTGCAGACCCTCTGCCTGGCCCTGCCTCCGCTCCTCATCACCCCCAGCGGCTCAGGGCTGCTTTGTGTCTGCTCAGGAAGGCCCTTGCAATCCTTCCCGGCTGTGGCCAGGGCCTTGCTTTGTGTTTGAATGGGAGGGCCTGTCCCCAAGCACTGGCTTGGAAACTCCTATCCCATCTGCTGTCTGGCTCCTGCCTGGTGTTCACTCACATTAGCTAAGCCTGGGGGGCCACTGGATCCCCTTCCTGCCTATTGTCTTGTGGACAGCCAGGTGCTCTTCAGGGATCCTGACTGCTTGGGGGAGGCTGCTGGGACTGAAATGGTTGGAGGAGGCTGCTGGGACTGAAATGAAGGGATCCACTCTGTGGCTGGGTGAGCTTCGAGATTCATGGAGGGATGTCAGTCAAGAGCTCTTCTCATGACCCACAATGGCATCCCCATCCCACCATTGCCACAGCCAGTGTCTTCACCATCTTTATCATTTCTTCCACCATCACCTCCATCCTCACCTCTGTGTTCACCTCCATCCTCATCTCCGTTCTTACCTCCACTCTCACCTTTATCCTCACTTTCATCCTCATCTCTATCCTCACCTCCACCTTCACTTCCATCCTTACTTCCACCTTCACCTTCACACCTGTCCTTACCTTCATCCTCACTTCCACTATCTTCACCAACTCCACCATCATCACTGCCACCATCACCCACCCAGCCTCCAGGTGGGTCTCCTGCCATCACTAAATGCTTAATAACCAGGCATGGGTCTGGACAGAGAGGTGACCCTGGATGATGGGTGTGGCCAGGCTGCAGGTCCTGCCTGCCTTGTGGCTCATGTCTGCCTATGAGCTGGGACTCTTTTCTTGCATGGCAATGATAGCAGATGGCGGAGGTCTGTGCCGACTGGCTTGGCACCTGCAATCAATGCCTGCAGATCTGTGGATGGCTCACCATCAGGGCCACCTGGCTCATGGAGGCCCAGGAGCCTTGTACCCCTTACTTCAGATCTCAAAGAAATCAGGAAATTCCAGGAGGAGGGAAGAGCTAAAAGCAGAAGTCAGTGCTTCAGCTGTGCCATCGACTCAGGGTTGCCTCCAAAAGTCACTGCCTCCTCTCCAGGCCTCCCTTTCTCATCTCTAAGATGAAAAGAGCAGCACTTCCTCACGTTCACAGAGGGTGCAACAGGGCGCAAGGTATGTCCACAGGCTCCTGTCTCCTGAGGGAGGACTTCCCAGCAGGGCTTCTGTCTCAGACCACCTGGGAGCATTTCCAGCCCCCACCTCTCAGCAGCCTGGAGACCCTGAGGAAGTCACTCACTGTTTCTGCCAAGCACCAGCTTCCTCATCTATCAACAGAGGATAAACAATACACTCCACCACTTAATCTACCACATAAGGGCATCTTAAATGGTTGGTTATTATTATTATTTTTAGACAGAGTTTTGCTCTGTCACCCTGGCTGGAGTGCAGTGTTGCAATCATAGCTCACTGCAGTGTCAGCCTGCTGGGCTTAAGTTAAGGGGTAGAGGCTATGCAGATTACCTGAGCTCATTCACATATAGCAGTTGCTTTCTTTTTCCTTTTCTTCTTTCTTTCTTTCTTTCTTTTTTTTTTTTTTTTAGTGGCAGGTTCTCACTCTGTCACCTAGGCTGGAGTGCAGTGGCAGTCTCGGCTCACTGCAACTTCTGCCTCCTGGTTCAAGCGATTCTCCTGCCTCAGCCTCCTGAGTAGCTGGGATTACAGGCGCCCGCCACCACACCCAGCTAATTTTTGTATTTTTGGTAGAGATGGGGGTTTCACCATGTTGGCCAGGCTGGCCTCAAACTCCTGACCTCAAGTGATCCTCCTGCCTTAGCCTCCCAAAGTGCTGGGATTACAGGCATGAGCCACCATGCCAGGCCCAGCACTTGATTTCAATTCTCACTTGTGAGCAGGCAGGCAGGGGTGGTGTAGCCCCACTTTTCAGAGGGAGGCACAGAACTGGCAGGGGTGGCATGGACTCAGGGGGAGAATTTCCTGAGGTCATCCAGTCTGAAATGACAGCACAGGGATTTGGGGCCAGGCCGGGGCCTTCTGGTTCCTTTTCTAACCTCCTGCTGCTTTGGGACTATGTGCCTGATTTCAAGGGGGCACACAGGGATGCTGAGGCCCAGCCCCTGCCCTGGAGCCCATGGCTGGGCCAGGTAAGGGGGAGGTTAGGCTCATGGCAGCTGAGCAGGGCTGGGAGGGAGGGAGCAACTCCAGGCCTGACAGCAGGACTTGGCAGAATGTCCTTGGGGAGTTCAAGGGCAAGAATGCTGGGAAGGGATGGGCTGAGGTGGGTGTCAGGGAACCAGGAGGCCTTGGAAAACCAGAGAAGAGGAAGAAGGGGGTCTCAGGAGAGGCTATCTGATCAGGCAAGTGTTGGAGACCTGAGAAGTCACTGTGTGGGGTGGGGGCTCTAAGAGCATGAATGCCTGGCCAGTAAATAAGGAGGATCTTGGAGGCTGTGTGTGATGGCTCACACCTGTAATCTCAGCACTTTGGGAGGGCAACGCAGGTGGATCACTTGGGCGCTAGGAGTCGAGACCAGCCTGGGCAACATGGTGAAACCCTGTCTCTCAAAAAAAAAAAAAAAAATTAGCTGGGTATAGTGGCACATGCCTGCAGTTCCCACTACTCAGGAGGCTGAGGTGGGAAGATAGCTTGAGCCCAGGAGTTCGAGACTGCAGTGAGCTATGATTGTGCCACTGCACTCCAGCCTAGGCGACAGAGCAAGACTCTGTCTAAAAAATAAAAGAACGATCTGGGATCCTTAAAGCCAAGCACTAGGAGGGTCCTCGGAGCCCACCAGCACATCCACATCATTCAAAGGAGAATCAAAGCCAGAGAAGAGCAGGGCAAGGACAGAGTCAGAGCAGATACCTAGGCTTTTCTCCTTCCTGCCATCCTGAGCTGATGCTCTTTTGCACTATCAGCAAAATGGTCCGATGTCCATGGAGATTGGTACTCCAGGACAAGTCCCAGGCTTGCTTCCCTTCCTGTCCTTGTTGTTTTGGGTCCAGGGGTCTAGGAGTCTTTCACTAGATGAAGCCTTTAGAACAGGACAGTCAAGGCTGGGCATGGCAGCTCACACTTGTAATCCCAGCAATTTGGGAGGTCGAGGCAGGGGGATCACTTGAGGTCAGGAGTTTGAGACCAGCCTGGCCAACATGGTGAAACCCCATCTCTACTAAAAATACAAAAATTAGCCAGGCATGGTGGCATGCACCTGTAATCCCAGCTACTCGGGAGGCTGAGGCAGGAGAATCACTTGAACCACGAGGCAGAGGTTGCAGTGAGCTAAGATCATGCCACTACACTCCAGTCTGGGAGACAGAGAGCGAGACTCCGTCTAACATCAGGATTCTTGGCAGCAGTTCTGCCAGGAGAGCCACCCTCCTGTGCCACAGTCATGCCTGCCTCACCTTCATCTAGAGCTGCCCCAGACACTTTATGTCATAGTGGAGAAACTGAGGCTCGGGCTTGGCAACCACACAAGGTGCACAGCGAAAGCAGAGCTGGGAGGATTCAAGGTTCATCCGACGCCCCTGAGACGTGCACGGAAGCCCCCTGTCCCCATCCACTCCTCCCAGGGCCCATGGGGGAAGGCTGGATGGTAATCTGGGGAGGAGATGGAAAACAAGATGAGCAGATGCTCAGCCAGCCAGCCGCCTGTGGGCCAGGGCTGCCTGCCACCCCCAGCCCAGCCTGCTTCTGCCAGGGCCTGGTGCCTGCTGCACCGCGGGTGGCCAGAACGCCCGGCTCCCCAGGCCATCGCCCTCTCTCCCCATGGTCCAGGCACAACTCCCACGCCAGTGGGCCTGGGTGCCTGGAGCACCATCCATAAGCCAGCCCTGGGTCCATGCCAGCCGCAGCCAGCCATGGGGCTGAGCAGGCAGCTGGCGTCTGGACACAGAGCCTCACTGAGCAGGGGGAGTGAGGCCTCTGGGGCTGCCTCTGGGGCCGGGGTTGGGCTTGGCTCCCCTGCTGCCCAGCGCCCACCAAGAGGTGAGGAGAAGGAGATGAGATCTAAGGTAGGAAAGGGGAGCTGGGGACTGGCAGTAAGTGGGTGTTTTAGGGGAGACTTTCTAGGTGAGAGGAGGTAAATGGAGGTCCACATACCCAAATATATCCCACTGGGTGGCCCCAGTCACTCATCCTCTGCAAGTCTCCCCCGATCCTCTGGGTGTCTCATCTCAGCAGGTGAAACTGAAAGTCTCCCCAGAGTCCAGGCAGCCCTCTATAACCACCCCCCTGACTTTCAGTTCCACTCCATCATGAAATTTGGTTCACAATTTTCCAGACAGCTTGTGCTCTCTCTCTCTCTCTTTCTTTCTCTCTCTCTCTCTCTCTCTCTCTCTATCTCTGTCTCTCGCTCTCACTCTCGCTCTCACCCTGCAGCCACGTGGCAGTGTTTAAGCACAGACCTCTCCATCCCTTACTGGGATCATTGCACCAGCCTCTGCCAGAATCCCCTGCCACCAGGCTCACCCTGCCTGTCCAAACCCCTCGGCAGTCAGGGTGAGCGTGCGAAAGTGGCAAGTCCAACCGTATGATTGTGTCCCCTGAGCCTGATGCCCTTCCCCAGCTTCCTGTGTACTGCAGAGAAAGTTCCAGCTCCTTAGCCGCATAGTCAAGGCTCCTGGAGTCTTGGCCCCTAAGGCATCGGTGCTCTCTGGGTCCCTCTCCCTGTGCACCTCACCTGCCTTCCAGGTGAGGTGACTCCTGGAAAGTCTTGGCTGTTCAGCAGTGCCCCTGCAGCCCAGGCCTGGAATAGCCTTCTCTCAAGATTTGGCTAAAACATCCCCATCTCCATGAAGCATTCACACCTCCTCCCTACCTCCTGCCAGCCTGAGGGAGTTGACCACCCCCTCGAGGCTGCCCACTTAGGCTGCTGTGCACCCATGTGACACCCATGTGACACCGGTGTGACACATCGACTGTTACACTGGGGGCACCGATTTGGGTCTTAGCCTGTCTTCTTCACCAATATAAAACCTCCTAGGCCAGGCACAGTGGTTCACACCTGTGATCCCAGCACTTTGGGAGGCTGAGGCGGGCGGATCACGAGGTCAATTGTTCAAGACCAGCCTGGCCGACATGGTGAAACCCCGTCTCTACTAAAAATACAAAAATTAGGTGGGTATGGTAGCGCGTTCCTGTAATCCCAGCTACTTGGGAGGCTGAGGCAGGAGAATCGCTTGAACCTGGGAGGTGGTGGTTGCAGTGAGCAGAGATTGTGCCATTGCACTCCAGCCTGGGCGACAGAGCAAGACTCCATGTCAAAACAAACAAAAAACAAACAAAAACCTCCTAGGGGCAGGCATCAGCCTGGTTTCCTTTTTTCTGTGGCCCCAGTGTCCAACACTGGTCTAACGGGGCCCTGGGGACACATTCATTCATTCCTCCACTCTGTACTTTGGAGGTATTTTTTGAAGATCAGACGCATTGTCAGGCAGGACAGCCATGCCCCAAACCACAGAGTCCGGGGGCAGCTGATGGGACCTAGGAGGCGAGGAGAGGCATGGGTTATCAGTGTCTGATGGAGGCAACCCGGCTCCTGCCCCCAGGGAAGCCTGCTCCGGGGCAGCCTAGAGCATAGGATGGCGTGGGCTGGAATTTAAGCCCTACCGTCTCCTAGCTGTGTATTCTGAGTAAGATGCTCACCCTCTCTGAGCCTCCGTTTCCTCGTCTACGAAGCTGGGTGACGCCATTCCCCACCAGGGTAGTGTAAGCAATGATTTGGGCTGAGAAAGCACATAGTGGGTCACTTTGCATCCCATTCTTCCAGAGATTCTAGTTCAATGTGGAACACTTGGGGCCCATCCTCAAGCAGGGATTGGGGACCTTCCAGCCTGTAGAAGCCCCACTCATGTGCCCCTGTGGGAATGCAAGGGTAGTAGGTGGTCCTGGAAGTCCCTGACCTGAGAGAGGTGGCTGCCTGAGTTGCGGGTACAGGGGGTACCCTCCTGCCTACAAGCTGCCACAGGCCCTCGCCCTCTGCCCTCCTCAGCAGCCCTGCAGGGACCAGAACCGGGCACACCCAGCCCTGGCCCTGAAGCTGTTGGCAGGGCCAACCCTGTCCTTGATCCTGGCCCTGTGCCTGGCATCCCTCTGGCACTTCCCGGGCACCGGCTTCCTGCGGGTGGATGCAGGCTCATGCCTGTGCCAGCTGGCCCTTCAGGAGCTGAAGGTACCTGGAGCCAGACCCATGCCTGCTGACCCTCCCAGGGAGGCCTGATGAGTGGGGCCTGAGGATTGGGACCACATCTCTCCCCAGGCTCTGAGGGTCCCTGTCCCCAGCTGCCACCCTTGACTAGGGCTTCTTAGGGAATGGCCTTGTGTCCCACACCACCACCTCCCCACTAGACTAGACTTTCTGGGCCAGAGCTGTGTCTCCTCACTCAGACCCCTTCCCAGAGCATGAGGGTTTCTTTCCCATTCTGACTTCCTTTTTTTTTTTTTTTTAAGAGACAGGATCTTGCTCCGTATCCCCGGCTGGAGTGCAGTGGTGCAATCATAGCTCATTGCATCCTCCAACTCCTGGGCTCAAGTGATTCTCCTGCCTCAGCCTCCTGAGTAGCTGGGATTACAGGCGTGCGCCACCATGCCCTGCTAATTTTTTATATTTTTAGTGGAGATGGGGTTTCACCATGTTGGCCAGGCTGGTCTCGAACTCCTGACCCCAAGGTGATCCACCCGTCTCAGCCTCCCAAAGTGTTGGGATTATAGGGGTGAGCCACCACACCCGGCCCAAATTCCATACTTTTGAGACATTTCTTAAAGATTAAACACATTCTTAGGCAGGACAGCCATGTCCCAAACCACAGGGTCTGGGGGCAGCTGAGGGCACCTGGGAAGCAAAGAGAGGCGTGGGTTATTGACGTCTGATGGGGGCAACCCAGTGTTTCCCACAGATCCTCCTGGCTGAGGTGGCCTGGTGGGCAGGCCGGGGGCCTGTGAGGAGGCGACTGCTTTAAGGCCTGGACTGCATGGGGTGCTGGACTGCTGGGGGAACAGGTGGGGAGGAAGAATTTCTTGGGTGCAATAGCGGGCATGAGGATGTGGGAGTCAAGTTCAGCTCCCTGGCTTCTGGCCCAGGCAACCGAAGCGGTTCCTGGGAGGACACGTTGGCAGGAGAGGTGATGGGGGCTATTCAGGGCCTGTACCTGCAAGGCGAGAAGTCCAGCGTGCTGGTGCAAGAGCAAGCATCCACCAGGGGTAGAGGCCGAGAAGTTGGGGCAGTGCAGGTGGCATTGCGTGTGTGAGGTCGCCAGGGGAGGGGGGACATTCTGAGACTGAGTCAGGGTGACCCAGGGGCGAAATAAGGATGAGAGCAGCTACTCGAGAGGCTGAGGTGGGAAAATCACTTGAACCTGGGAGGCGGAGGTTGCAGTGTGCAGACATCGCGCCAGGGCACTCCAGCCTGGGTGACACAGCGATACTCTGTCTCAAAAACAAAAACAAAAAGTATGGAATTTTACTTTCTTGCGGCCCCCAGACCCTGTGGTTTGGAACATGGCTGTCCGGTCTAAGACTGTGTCCCCAGGCCCACAGGCGTGCTCAGAAGGGTCTGTGGGCTCCCCAAGGCCGGCCTGCCCTGGCCTGAGGCCCCCCTCTCTGCCCTCCAGCACTTCAACTCCATGCAGAGCCCTCACACACCCCTGGAGTTTTCCAGGTGGAAATTCTCCTCAAAGGCCCTCTCTGATTCTACATGTTCAAGGCATCTTGTCTCTGGGCCTACCACCTCCAACCCCCAGCAGGCCTGTGGGGTCCAAGATTGCGCCTCCCCACCAGAGCTCTGGGCCCTCCTCCCAGAGGGGGCAGTGGCCAAGGAAGGAGACAGGCCTCCCGGTGACCCCTGCCCACCTCTCCCTTCTCCCCACCAGTTCCAGACACATTTTCAATTTATCTTTCTGTGTTGTTTATTGTGCGGAGGCCAGGCCTCCCGGCCAACTCTGAGCTGGACGGGCCAGCCATGGTCCGAGACGTCCGTCCCAGCCAAGCCCGGAGCAGCCCCCGGTCTGCCGTCCCCTCAGCCGCCCCCGAGCCAAGCGGGCCCTGAGCTCTGTCCCGGCCGCACGCTCTTTATGAAGCCCCAGGGCCCGTCTTCCCTATTGTTTGCCTGTGTTTACAGCCTTGTGATTTTTTTCCAGGTGATGCCCCAGTCTGGAGGCGGCCTCCATGCCATCCTGCTGCGGCCTCTCTCCCTGCCCCCGGCTTCTCATCAATCATTTCATGGAGCTTTTTGCTGCGGCCGGGGTGGGAGACCAGACACCCACAGAGGAGCAAGCGAGGGCTCGGTGGGCGAGCTTGCTGGGGAAATGGCACTCTTTCTGCTGCACGCTGAGGGGGAGTGTGTGCATGTGTGTGCATGCACATGTGCATATGTGTATATGTGTGCATGTGTGTATATGTCTGTATGCATATATACATGTGTGTATGCGTGTATATGTCTATATGCACATGTGTCTGTGTGTGTGCATGTGTGTATATGTCTATATGGATGTGTGCATATGAGCATAAGTGTGCATGTGTGTATATGTCTATATGCACGTCTGCATGTGTGTGTGTACCTGTGCATATTAGGGTTTACAGGAGGCTCATTCCACCCCAGAACCTGCCGATGAGACCTTCCCAGGACAGCTAAGGACACAGGTGGGAAGTGTTCTGCTGTCCTGTGCAGGAAGGGGCTGAATTCTCAGGGTATCCCCAGCCCTCCTGAGAACTGCAGCCCAGGCTGGACTTCCAGGCCAGCTCTCCTCTGCGCAGGTGTATGCCCTGAGCCAAGTCCCCATCTTGCTGGGTCTCAGTTTCCCCTGGGGTGAAAGGGAAGTTGTATTGAACCCGGCCTTATAGCTTTGGACTTGGAAAGGCTGTGCCAGGCCCTGGCTGCAGTTCTAGGGCCTGTCTGTCCCTCCCTCCTTCAGCTATGGTTGCTGATCTTCAGGGCTCTTCCCAGACCAAAAGAAAAAGAAAAAAAACACATCTGTACAGATACATGCAAAATTCAGTAAGTTCCCCAAAGTCCCTCTGTGAATCTTCTAGTTAAAAACCTGCTTTATGGGCCAGGCGCAGTGGCTCACGCCTGTAGTCCCAGCACTTTGGGAGGTCGAGGCAGGCAGATCACCTGAGCTCAGGAGTTCGAGACCAGCCTGGCCAACATAATGAAACCCTGTCTCTACTACCAATACAAAACTTAGCGAGGTGTAGTGGTGCGTGCCTGTAATCTCAGCTACTTGGGAGGCTGAGGCAGGAGAATCGCTTGAACCTGGGAGATGGAGGCTGCAGTGAGCTGAGATTGCACCACTGCACTCCAGCCTGGGTGACAGAGCAAGACCCTGTCTCAAGAAAATAAAAACAAACCCTGTTTTATGGAGCTGGACAGAAAAGTCCTCAGGAGGCCCAGAACTTTCTGTAGCAAATGCAAAGGGGATGGCACTCACCCTGATATTCCCAGAAACGATCAAGAGACCCAGGGCTGCCCCTCAGGACCATCTCCAGGAAACAAAGTCAAAGGCAGTTCTCAGACAGCCTGAGGCCACGGAGGGGCTGGGTAGTCCTAGCCAGGGAGGGTGATTCGAGGTCGCACGTTGGCCCTGGATGGTTTGATGGAAAAGGAGGGTAGCCCTTCCCAGCTCTAGAAATTCAGGACTGGAGTGGTCATATTGCCGCTGGGCGGTCCTGGGCTGAGGCACCCGCACTGGTCCCCTGGTTGAGGTATAGACCAGAGACCACAGTTGGAAGGGATTCTAACTCTAGGGCCGAGGGGAGGGAGCGCGGGGACTGTGCAGGAGGACGCCTCCACCCCCGCAGTGCGTGTGCAAGATGGCAGGGCTCTGCAGCGCTTTCTCATTCTTTATGGTGTGCTGACAGCCAGGCAGAGCTGCAGAACACTTCCTAAGCCCATCTCTGTCCCTCGGGACTGGAGTTCTAAAGGCTGGCCATGGCGGTCAGATGACTATCCCCTGGGGCTCCCGAAAGCAGGGCCAGAAGGTTTGCAAACTCCTGGAAGACATCGATTCACAGGGCCACCTGCCCAGGGCTCCTCCCTGTGCAGGCGGGGGCTGAATTCCCAGGGTACCCCCAGCCCTGCTCAGAGCTGCAGCCTCTGTACCCCTGTGGCCCCCCAGGGCACCCCACCTTGCACCAGTCCCTGGAATCTGCACACTGGAGAACAGCCCCGGGCCCTCTGGGGCTGGCTGAAGAAAGGGCAGGTGGGACAGTAGTGGCTGAAAAGGGAGAAGTGTTGCCCCAAGGACATGGCACCCAGGACGTGGACATGGGGCAACCATCTCCGGGGCTTTCTGACCCTTTCTAACCCATTTCCACAGATCTGAGCCGGCAGGGGCCTCCCCCGAGAGACCTTCAGAGCCTGGGGTGATCAGGCTGGATTATCCTCTCTCCCTGTTCCCCCCACCTGGCTGCTGCAGACCTGAGAAACTTCCACCTGTCTCATACCAGCTGAGGGTGTCTGAGCAGCTGACATCAACCCCACAGATCTCCTGGACTGTGCTGGAAGGTACAGACAGGCAGGGAGGTTTCCCAATGGGTCAGGAGACCCTGACCCCATAAATCAACTGATCCTCAAGAGACAGGCTGGAGGGAGGGATGGTTCTAGAGAACCTGGCTCCTTGTTCTTCCCTGTGACAAAATCTGGCACCAGGAAGAGTTTAAGTGTGCAGGTGTGTGTGTTCAGGCATGTGTGTGCAGGCGTGCGTGTGCAAATGTGTGTGCAAGTGTGTGTGCAGGCATGCGTGTGCAAGTGTGTGTAGGCATGTGTGTGCAGGTGTGCGTGTGCAGATTGTGTGTGCAGGTGTGCGTTTGCAAGCGTGTGTGTGCAGGCATGTGTGTGCAGGTGTGCGTGTGCAGATTGTGTGTGCAGGTGTGCGTTTGCAAGCGTGTGTGCAGGCATGTGCGTGCAGGTGTACATGTGGAGGCATGTGTGGTCAGGCATGCATGTGCAGGTGTGTGCGTGTGCAGGTGTGCGTGTGCATGAACATGACTGTAAACTGGGTGCCCTTTCCCCTTCAAGCCTGTGGGTCTCAGTCCAGAGTCCACAGACAGCGTTAGAGCCTTGCCTGTGACTCAGAGGCAGGCCTTTCTCAAGCCGCCGTGCCGCCGGGTCGGGGGGAGGTCTGGGCCATGTGGCTACATCTGGGAGTCCAAGTTCAGGGCCAAGGATGGGCAACCAGCCCGTGCTCCCCGGTACACACCCATGTCCAACATCGCTCTCAGATGGCCCACCTTTCAGAGGAAGGAGGACCGGAGTTTGCAGGTCTTGGGAGAGTCCATGAAACACTGATACATACATTTATGTTCTTCCAAATCTGTAACAAAGCACACGAAAGAGAGAGCCTGCATTTCACGCATCTTAAACCACAGCCATGGAGCCCGTGCAGCTCATTCCCATTTATCATCCTTCCTGTGCACTAGAAACGTTCTGCGTCTCCACCAAACCCCCCATCCCCACCCCGCCCCCCAACCTGGCTTCAACCAGACGCTCGTAAATCTGTTTCTCTTGTTCCACACGAGCTGCCTGGGAAAAGGCCCCATTTGCTGCGTCTGCTCCTCCTTCCAAATGCTCGACGCCTTTGAGATTTTATGATTTCGGGTTATTGACTTGGCCTCCTGGGTCCCCCGTGGTAGGCGGCTGTTTGGGAGAGCGGCTGGAGGCTTTGGGTGACCTCAGGTTCACCCCTTGCCTAAACAGCGTTGGGGAGATGGTGCAAAAGACCTGCTGCTGCTGGCGGGTCCCGGGGCCTCATGTGGGAGCTCCTTATGGGGGCACAAACCCTGACCTGGGGCTAGCCTTCTGTGTCCCAACTCAGGCCCTGCACCCCACCCATTCTGAGCTTCTGGGCTCATTTCTCCCCAACTTCCTGAATCTGTGTTGCCAAAACCTCAGCTTCTGCTTCCCTTCCCAGCCTTAGCTCCTCCTCCCACTAAGAGCTCCCAAGGGAAACAGCCATGCGGTTGATGCAGGGCAAGGTGTGCAAAGGTCGTTCACTCCACAGCCAGGCCCCAGCCTCATCTGCGTCATGCTGCATGCTGCCACCAAGTGGCGGGGCTGGTTATTAGCTGGTATGGCCTGGAAGGGTGGTGCAGGTGGTTAAATATGTTGATTGACATTCAGAATGAAGGAACACCTGCCTTTGCCTGGAGGAAGCCCAGTCAAGAGGCAGAAGCAGGCAGGCAATACTAGAGCATTCTAAGTCCAGTGTTCAGGGTCACCGTGGCGCACACCTGTAATCCCAGCTCCTTGGGAGGCCGAGACGGGTGGATTGCCTGAGCTCAGGAGTTTGAGACCAGCCTGGGCAACATGGTGAGACCCCGTTTCTACTAAAAATACAAAAAATTAGCTGGGCATGGTAGTGCTTGTAGTCCCAGCTACGCGGGAGGCTGAGGCAGGAGAATCGCTTGAACCCAGGAGGCGGAGGTTGCGGTGAGCCAGGATCATGCCACTGCACTCAAGCCTGGGCGACAGAGCAAGACTTTGCCTTCAAATTAAATAAATGAATAAATAAATAAATCCAGTGTTCAGTAGTGTTCAGCAGGACTTGGGGCTTGGAGGAACCATCAGCCCTATCCAAGGCTCTTGGGGTGGGAAGAGGGGACAGCTTCTAAGTTAACCCCTGAAGGACCTATAACAAACCCCAAAGGTTGTATAGCAGGCGTGTGGCTCACTTGTAGAAATCCCAGGACTTTGGGAGGCCGAGGCAGGCGGATCACCTGAGGTCGGGAGTTCAAGACCAGCCTGGCCAACATGGTAAAACCTCGTCTCTACTAAAAATACAAAAATTAGCCAGGTGTGGTAGTGACTGCCTATAATCCCAGCTACTCAGAAGGCTGAGACAGGAGGATCGCTTGAACCCAGTACACGGAGGTTGCAGTGAGCCAAGATACCGCGCCACTGCACTCAAGCCTGGGCAACAGAGTGAGACACTGTTTCCAAAAAAAAAAAAAGGTTGTAGTGACAGAAAAGATGGATGATGAGTGGTACTTCCAGACAGAACCAGCAGCATAAGGAAAGCCCTCAGGCGAAAGAGACGTTTGATATGTTTGGCAAATGGGTTTTAGTGTCCACAGAACAGGGAGATGAAAGCTGGAGACATGGACTTTGGCCAGTTGTCATCTACAAAGCTGGGCCAGAGGGGCTGAGGTTTGCCTGGGGACAACAGTGTAAGCAGGGGATGACAGGATTAGATTTGAGTTGTAGGCTGGGCGCGGTGGCTCAGCCTGTAATCCCAGCACTTTGGGAGGCCGAAGCAGGTGAATCACTTGAGGTCAGGAGTTCGAGACCAGCCTGTCCAACATGGTGAAAGCCTGTCTCTACTAAAAATACAAAAATTAGCTGGGCATGCTGGTTCATGCCCGTAATCCCAGCTACTTGGGAGGCTGAGGCATGATAATTGCTTGAACCCAGGAGGTAGAGGTTTCAGTGAGCCGAGATCACCCACTGCACTCCAGCTTGGGCAATAGAGCAAGACCCTGTCTCAAAAAAAAAAAAAAAATGGAGTCATAGCAAACCATTCTTCAATGAGGAAAGCCGACTGGGGAAGAAGCTTTCCCCTACCATACGCCATACACCAAAATTAATTCTAAATAGGTCACGTAACTATTTGTAAAAGCTAAAATGATAAAACATTTCCAGAAGAAAACTCAGGGGAAAAAGAATTTTAGTTACTTTGGGCTTGGTAAATACTTTGGAAATACAATACAAAAAGCACAAAGAATACAAAATACACACACACACACACACACACACACACACACACACACAAATTGAACTTTACCCAAACAAAAAACTTTAGCTCTTCAAAGACACTATTTAGAAAATGATAAAGGCCAGGCATGGTGGCTCACACCTGTAATCCCAGCACTTTGGGAGGCCAAGGTGGGAGGATCACTTGAGGCCAGGAGTTTGAGGCCAGCCTGGGCAACTTAGTGAGACCCTGTCTCTAGAAAAAAAAAACTTTTTTTAAGTAGCTAGGTACAGTGGTGTGTGCCTGTAGTCCTAACTACTTGGGAGGCTGAGGCAGGAGGATACCTTGAGACCAGGAGTTCGAGGCTGCAGTGAGCTGTGATTGCACCACTGTACTCCAGCCTAGGTAACCGTGTGATACCCTGTTGAAAGAAAGAAAAGAGGAGAGAGAAAGAAAAGGAAGAAGAAAAGAAGGAAGGAAAGATGGAAGGAAGAAAGGAACAAAGGAGGGAGGGAGTGAAGGAAGGAAGAAAGGAAGGAAGGAAGGAACAAAGGAGGGAGGGAGTGAAGGAAGGAAGAAAGAAAGGAAGGAGAGGGAGGGAGGAAAGGGAGGGAGGAAGGAAGGAAAGAAGGGAGGAGGGAAGGAAGGAAGGAAAAAATGATAAAGAGATGCACCACAGACTGAAATGTTTTTTTCAGTTGTATTTAGACAACTCAATGCTAGGAAGAAAAACAACCCAATTTAAAAATGGGGAAAACCTGGAACTCTCCTTCATGACCGGGGGTTGTGGAAGAAAACACAGCCACTTTTGAAAACCTTTTGGCAGTTTCTTAAAATGCTAATCATACACCTACCAAAAGACCCAGCCACTCCACCCGTAGGTATTTCCCAAACGACGTGAAGACGTCTTTGCACACATTATACATGAATATTCATAGCGGAGTTATTTGCAAAAGCCAAAAACTAAAAACAACCCAAATATCCATCAAGGGGTAAAAGGATAAACAAATCCGGCTATGAGCATATAATGAAACGCGACAGCAATAAAAAAAAGAATGAAACTATTGATACATGCCGCAACATGGATGCGTCTCAAAATCATCACCATGAATGAAAAAAGCCAGACAACAAAAAAGTATGTAAGATTCTGGAAATTGCAAGCTAATCTATAGTGACAGCAAAGCTCATCAGGGGTCCTTTGGGGATAGGCGTGAAGGATTTGGGAGTTAGCAGCATCTCTTCTCGTGGTTCTCAACTTTGGCTGCAGATTAAAATGAGAGCTTGAAAGGTTTTAAAAATAATGATGCCTGGGCTCCACCCCTAGACCAATAGAATGGCCAAGGGTTCTGCCTGGCCTGGAATTTTTCCAATACACCCCTGGAGATTCCAGCCTGTAGCCCAATTGATACTGACCATAGCTGGTAATTGAAGAAAGGGAACAAGGTGAACCGCAGCCCACAGGAGGGTGTGGGGAGTGAGAAGAGAGGAGGACCCAGGACTGAGCCTTAAAAAGCCCCAACTTTAAGGGCTGGAAAAGGGAGAGTAGCGAGAGATGGGAGTAACTGGGGAAGGAGCAGCCTAAAGAGAGGGGAGGAAAATCAGAATGCAGGTCACAGAGTTAAAGAGAAAATGGATTCACAAAGTGGGAAGTTAAGACTAGTGTGAATGCGAGGTCAAGAGATCGAGACCAGCCTGGCCAACACAGTGAAACCCTGTCTGTACTAAAAATATAAAAATTA
Source organism: Homo sapiens (assembly GCF_000001405.40). NCBI lineage: Eukaryota > Metazoa > Chordata > Mammalia > Primates > Hominidae > Homo > Homo sapiens. The sequence continues at coordinate 73,982,701 of NC_000007.14, forward strand.
GCGGGGCGTGGCGGCACGCACCTGTAGTCCTAGCTACTCAGGAGGCTAAGGCAGGAGAGTCGCTTGAACCTGGGAGGTGGAGGTTGCAGTGAGCCAAGATTGCACCACTGCACTCCAGCCTGGCGACAGAGTGAGACTCCGTCTCAAAAAAAAAAAAAAAAAAAAAATTAAAAAACTAGTGTGAGTGGCCGGGTGTGGTGGCTCACGCCTGTGATCCCAGCACTTTGAGAGTGGATCACCTGAGGTCAGGAGTTCGAAACCAGCCTGGGCAACATGGTAAAACCCCATCTCTACTAAAAGTACAAAAATTAACCAGGCGTGGTGGCGCGCTCTGTAGTCCCAGCTACTTGGGAGGCTGAGGTGGGAGAATCACTTGAACCCAGGAGGTGGATGTTGCAGTGAGCCGAGATTGTGCTACTGCACTCCAGCCTGGGTGACAGAGCAAGACTTCGTCTCAAAAAGAAAAAAAAAAAAAAGCTAACATGAAATGCTGCAGCAATTTTGAGTAAAATAAGGAGTGAAAAGGTTCACAAGATTGATCCACAGAAAGGTCATCGGTGAACTTGAGCTGAGGAGTTTTGGTGGAATAGGAGTGATAGAAGCCAGGTTGGAGGGGATGAAGGAGGGAAGTAGTAAGTGAAAAGTGTAAACAGTGAACACAGACAATTCTCAAAATAACTTTACTTTGGGCAGGGCATGGTGGCTCACACCTGTAATCTCAGCACTTTGGGAGGCCGAGGCGGGGAGATTACTTGAGGTCAGGAGTTCAAGACCAGCCTGGGCAATATAGAAAGACCTCATCTCTACAAAAGTTTTTTGTTTTTATGTTTTGTTTTGTTTTTTAATTAGTCAGATGTGGTGGAGTGCACCTGTAGTCCCAGCCACTCAGGAGCCTGAGGTGGGAGGATTAGCCTCAAACTCCTTGAGCCCAGGAGGTTGGGGCTGCAGTGAGCCATGATTGCGCCACTGCACTGCGGCCTGGGCAAGAGAGTGAGACCCTATCTCTTAAATTTAAATTTTAAAAAAAAGAGACAGAGTGGCTCCCTACGGATGGCCACTGCAGCCCCTGCCTCCCCCTGAGGCAGGGCCTTGGGCCCATCTGGCTCCCCTCTGGTGGCTCCCCTCGCGGCCATGGCTGGACGCCGGCCCGTCACGCAGCCTGTGCTGACAGATTGGGTGTCTCCCGTGCACCAGCGGCTGCCGCTAAGTGGCTTTCTGGCAGGGAGTCAGGGGTCACCTCATCCTCGCTCTGTTCAAAACAGCACTGGCCTCTTTGGGGGTGCCTCCCACGCCTGTCTGCTGCACGAGGGTGTGTTTAGTGTCAACTCTGCGATCCAGACCCTGCCTGGTGACTCTCGGGGGAGCAGCCTCAGGAGCCCGTGGCCCCCGGGGCAGCTGGCTCCCAGGCCAGAGGGGCAGGGGTCCTGCACTCATGAGCTGGCAAGTCTCGCCACGTGTGACCACTGTATGCCACACATGCAAGGACCATGTATGTCCCAAGTGCCAGTTTCTCGGTCTCACTCTCTAAAGTCAGGCCCCTGGCTCTGGGCAAGTCATTGTTCTCAGAATTCTTCTTCTTTTTTTTTTTTTTTTTTGAACTAGAATCTCACTGTGTCACCCAGGTTGGAGTGCAGTGGCGCAATCTTGGCTCACTGCAGCCTCGACCTCCTGGACTCAAGCAATCCTCCCACCTCAGCCTCCCTAGTAGCTGGGACTACAGGTGCACACCACCATGCCTGGCTAATTTTTGTAATTTTTTTTTTTTGTAGAGGTGGGGTCTCGCTATGTTGCCCAAGCTGGTCTCAAACTCCTGGACTCAAGCGATCCTCTCACCTTGGCCTCCCAAAGTGCTGGGATGACAGGTGTGAGCCACCGTGCCCGGCCTAGAACTTTTCTTAACTTCATGCAGTGTGTGTCCTGCTAGGGGATGGGGTGAGCTGGAGACTGTGATCCCCTGGGGTCAGCGAGGTTTGGAGAATGATCACAGGGGTTCCCAGGCCAACCTCACCACCTCTCAGCTGAGTGACCCTGGGCGAGTCAGTTCTCTTCCCTGGGACTCAGTCTTCTCCTTTGAAGAAAGGGGACAAGAGAACCTAGGACGTCATAGGACTTCAGCAAATGTCAGTCCCTTTCCCCCACACTCCACACGTGACGTCCCCTGAGATGTCTGAGTCTGGGCAAGTGTGCTGTCATAGTTTGGGGGGTGGCCTGGTCCCGTGGCTTGTCCTGCTCAGCCAGCAGCCCTCGGCTGGCTCAGTGTGGGAGGTTCAGACACGGCCTCAGTTCTTGACAAGCGCCTAGCCAGAGGGGAGGCAATTTTATTCCAGTGTGATGAGCACTAGTAGAAGATATGTTAGAACAGAGGGACCGCAAGGACCAGGCGGAGATCAAGGAAGGCTTCTTGGAGGCGACATAGGAGCTGGCCTGCGAGGCTGAGTGGGAATATTTTGGGTAGAAAGGAGACCACTAAACAAGCATTTCCGACAGAGGAACCAGCTCGTGAAGAGGGAAGGTGGTTGTGTGCTGGGGAAACAAATGTGGTTCTCCATGGTCATAACAGAGGATGCCTGGGGCGTGGGGGGCAGAAAGTCAGCCGGAAAAGTGGGGACCTGAGTACCGGGGAAGCTGGGATGAAGGAGCCTCCCTCTGCAGGTAGGGACAGGGCCCTCTGAAGCCGGGGAGGGGATGGGGAAATGGGGAAGGGACCAGAGTGGTGTGCTCAGAGACCACCTGCCTTCGTATCACCCGAGGAGTCACAAAATGCAGACTCCAGGGCCTGGGGCTCCACCGTTCCAGCTCTGTTGGTTGCAAAAAACCTAAGAGGGGAGAGAGACAGCCCCGTCTTAGCCTGGTCAGGGCCTGGGGCAGTTTGGAGACTGTTTGCTGAGGGCAACTGAGGTCGCAGTGAGCCAGGCAGGCCCTGGGGTGCCCACCGCACACCCCATCTGTGCCAGGCTCCCAGCTCAGGGCACCGGTGGGCACTCCAGTGATGTTCCCTGGCAGGCGGAGGGCTCATTTCTCGCCTCCTTCTGAGGCAAGGAGGGCAGATGTTGAGCCTCTGGGGTCCTTGGCCCAAGGCTGCAGGTCCTGGCTGCTCACAGCCAGCGGGTGGAGCCCTGTCCGGCCAACACACTCGCTCTTTGTCTACGTCTCAGCAGGGGAAGGTACCCGGGGTGGTGTCCGGCTGGGTGGGTGTCCAGGCTTTGGCAGCAGTGCCAGCCTTCCATCCGGCCCTGGAGACGCCCCCCATGAGTTCCGGGGTTGCTTGGAGAGGTCAGGATGGGCAGAAATTTGCAGGGGCAGGGAGCTGGCACCGGGGTTGGAGAGGCCTTGGGCAGACGCAGCCCCTCCACCATGGCAGGGAGCTGGCCTCAGGCAGCAAGGCACTGCGGGTGCCCCAGAGACACAGACAGGCTGCGTCAGGCTGAACCCCAGACCAGCTGAGCCAGGGTGGCAAATCCCATGTCCGCTCCAGACAGCCCTGGGGCTCTGAATCTGCACTTGGGAGCGTGCAATTGTCTCCTCCAAGACTCTGGTGGAGGGGATTTGAAATAATCCCAGCTCAGGGAGGGTGGGGCTTAGGGACAGGGCCCAGGGAGGGTCCAAGGGCACCACGGGGGGTTTGCCACCTGAGCCCAGGGATCAGGCAGGGCTTGGCCAGCGCTGAGCACCCTAAGTGCCTGGCACGGGCTGAGACTCAGGGGCCGGCTGTGCCTCTCCTGAAGCCGTCCCTGTTGGCGGGCAGGCGGGTGGGGCAGGCTGGGGGCTGGGCGCGGCCTCTCATATCTTCCCCGTTACTTCATCCATTTTGTTCCCACTGATCCCTTGTTTATCTCACTGGGAAGGCAGCCGCGGTGGAAGACGGGGCCAAGGGAAAGGCCAGAGCCTGGGTCGTCTCCAGCCTCACTCGCCCTCCTCCCTCACCTGGTCCCTGAGCTGAGAACCAGGGCCCGGCCTGAGAACCTCCAAGGCAGCACCCAGAGGCCGGGTCTGCACCGTGCCCTGACACTGACAGGCTGTGTAACAACGGCTGAGAACTAACCCTCTCTGGTTTTACTTTCTGTAAGTGACTTGGGAGGTTGTTCTGAATGACCTTTGAGAAGGATGAATAATTGGTATTAATAAGCCTGTCATTTCATAAGCATCTACTCTGTGTCCAGCCCTGTGCAGGTATCTGGAGTCTCCTCTCTCACCCAATGCTCCCAAGTCCCCAAGAATTACCATTATCCCATTTTACTTATTTATTATTTATTTGTTTATTTATTTATTTATTTTTTGAGACGAAATCTCGCTGTGTGGCCTAGGTTGGAGTGCAATGGCGCAATCTCGGCTCACTGCAACCTCCACCTCCTGGGTTCAAGCGATTCTCCTGCCTCAGCCTCCTGAGTAGCTGGGATTGCAGGTGCCCACCACCAGGCCTGGCTAATTTTTTGTATTTTTAGTGAAGACGGTGTTTTGCCATGTTGGGCAGGCTGGTGTTGAACTTCTGACCTCAGGTGATCTACCCGCCTCGGCCTCCCAAAGTGCTGGGATTACAGGCATGAGCCACCGCAGCCGGCCCCATTTTACTTATTTATTTTTAGAGGCAGGGTCTTGCTCTATCACCCAAGCTGGAGTACAGTGGCACAAACATAGCTCACTGCAGCCTTGAACTCCTGGACTCAAGTAATCCTCCTGCCTCAGCCTACCAAGTAGCTGGGATAATACACCACCATGCCCGGCTAATTTTTAATTTTTTTTTTTAGAGATGGGGTCTGGCTATGTTGCCCAGGCTGATCTCAAACTCCTGGCCTCCAGCCAACCTTCTGCCTCGGCCTCCCAAAGTGTTGGGATTATAGCCGTGAGCCACCATGCCCAGTCCCACTATCCCATCTTAGAGATGAGACTGAGAGAATGGCTGGGAGTCCCTCCAGCTGGCATCTTGCAACTTGAATTGTTGAGGTTTCAGGTGCAGGCGTGTCCCCAGATGGTTGTGGAGATGGAGATCAGGTTGGAGAAGACCCTCTGGGGAGTGGGGATTGGCATAGGAAGTGAGGGCTGCTGTGGGCAGGGGATGAAAGCCCAGTAGGGCCAGTGTGGGAGAACGTCACTTAGGAAGCTACCAGAAAGATATGCCAGACTCCTACCAGGCCTTGTCACTGCAGAGCCCCTGGCAAGAGAGGGACGTTTGTGGACCCCGGAGGCTTGCGTGGGATGGACCTTAATCTCCACTGTCTTCCCTGGAAGATCACCCCTTTAAAGGCAGGGCAGTGGGAGCAGGTGCCGTGGCTTAAAGCAGGCCTGTCTGAATCCTTAGCAGCGATCTCCAAGGGCACCATAACCTTGCAAGAAAGAGGCTGCCAGGCCTACATCAGATGCAGAAACCAGGGCGCAGAGTAGGTGAGTAATCTGCTTAGAGCCACACAGCTATGAGTAGCAGATCCAAGCGCAACCTGCCTGTCCCGGGAGCTTGCGGGCTAGCTAGACCTTTGCTGCCTAGAAGACCCTCTTGTGAGTCCCCTCCCTGGGCTCAGCAACCCAGGAGGCCATGACTTCTGCCTGGGTCCTAGGGCTGGAGCCTCGGTGTCCCCTTGTCTTCTTTCCTTTTGCGACTTGGTTTTCCAGTCTGTGAAATGGGGTGGGTGCGTCCAACTCCAAGCCGCCTGTCTCTGCCCTGGGTCCTGGAGCCTGGAGGAGGAATGAGGTCATGTTTGTCTAGGGGCTAGAGCATCTTGGACGGAGAAACCTCGGCAAAGACAAAGGCCCATTGTCCCCCTTCCCCGGCCTTCTGCCAGCTCCCTCCCCAGTCACCAGACAAGGCCAGCCCTGCCCACAGCCCCCAGAGGCTGCCACGCACCAGTATGGGGTGACTCAGTGCCCCCTCCCTTCCCATTGGTTGACGATGCCTGGAATCCCACCATCAGAGCTTTGTAAGGTTGCTGTGGGATGGGGGAGTGGGGGAGGCAGAAAAAGACAAGAAGGTGGTGAGGGCCTCTGGCTTGCGGATTTCAAAATTAGACCTTTATGATGGGCTTGGGTGGGAGATCAGGCAATAATAAATAATAAAAACAACAAATTTCACACTTGCTTTTCAGTAGCTTTGGCATGAAACCTTTATAAGCATTATCTCAATGAATGCTCTCCACACCCCTAAGGGAACATTGTTCGTTACTCCATTCCACCGACGCAGAACACTCACATAACTAGTAGATATGGATGGCAGCGGCGGGGTTCAAACTGGAGTCTACGTGGTTCTATAGAGTTCTGCAGGGCTAGGTGTGATGGCTCACGCCTGTAATCCCAGCACTTTGGGAGTCTGGGGCTGGAGGATTGCTGGAGGCCAGGAGTTGGAGACCAGCCTGGGCAACATTAGCAAGACCCTGTCTCTATAAAAAGTTAAAAATTAGCTGGGCATGGTGGCATGTGCCTGTAATCCCAGCACTTTGGGAGGCTGAGGATTGCTTGAGGCCAGTTCAAGACCAGCCTGGGCAATATAGCAAGACCCAGTGTTTATAAAAATTTAAAAGCCAGGCGTGGTGGCATATGCCTATGATCTCAGTTACTTAGGAGGCTGAGGTTGGTGGATGGCTTGACCCCAGAAGTTCAAGGATGCAGGGACCTGGGATCCCGCCACTGCACTCCAGCCCGGGTGACAGAGACCCTGTCTCTAAAAAACTAATAGAGCTCTGCAGAGCAGACCCGGGGGTGGGGGCTGAACTAGGGGGACAGGGAAGGGGGACAGGCCCATGGCCTGGAGCTCACAGCAGTCAGGGGATCCCAACAGAGATATGGACACCTTCCCACTGAGGCTGTGGACAAGGCTGAGGTCCTTCATTGCTTCAGAATGAAGTGGTTGGGGCCAGGCGCAGTGGCTCAAGCCTGTAATCCCAGCACTTTGGGAGGCCGAGGCGGGCAGATCATCTGAGATCAGTAGTTCAAGACCAGCCTGACCAACATGGAGAAACTCCGTCTCTACTAAAAATACAAAATTGGCCAGGTGTGGTGGTGGTGCATGCCTGTAATCCCAGCTACTTGGGAGGCTGAGGCAGGAGAATCGCTTAAACCCGGGAGGCAGAGGTTGTGGTGAGCCGAGATCACGTCATTGCACTCCAGCCTGGGCAACAAGAGAGAAACTCCGTCTCAAAAAAAAAAAAAAAAAGAAAGAAAGAAAAGAAAAAAGAAAAAAGAACGACGTAGTTGGAGCGAGTCAGTTCTGCTGCTGGGAAGGTGGTGCTGGCCCCAAGAAGGAGGGGCTAGAGGATGCTCGAATAATTTCAGTGCCTTGAAACACCTCATGGGCCACACATGAGCAGAGGCCACAGGGGAACAGGGGTGACTTCTGTAATTCTGAGGCCCACGGAGCTCTGTCAGTCATTAGCCATGCAGGACAAATAACAGCTCGAACATAACGCGTCCAAAAGTCAACTCTTGGTTTCTTCTCCAACCTGCCCCTCCCTGTGACTTCCCCATCTCAGGAAATGGCACCATCGTCTGCCTGGTGGCTCCGGCCAGAAAACTGGGAGGCATCTTTGGATCGTCCCGCCCTCACCACCCACACCCCGGCCACCGCCAAGACTCGTCAATTCTACCTCCAAAATAAATCCCAAATCCACTTCCCTCTGTTCTCGCTGCCACCCCTGTGTCAAGTCACCACCAGCTTGGCCCTGGAGGCCAGCACAGCCTCCTCCCCGCCTCCCTGCCTCCTCTCTACCCCCTCCAGCCAGAATAACCTGCGGAAAATGTAAATCAGGCCCCATCTCATTCTCCTGCTTAAACCGCCCCTTTCCCCAAGGGCTTCCTGTTGCACTTGCACCAAAATCGACACCCCCCAAATGGCTCTGAGGTTCATCATGACCTGGTGCTGCCTCACATCCCCCAATTTCACTGTCCCCCAATTCTTTTCCCCTGGAATCTGTGTGTTTGCATATGCTGTTCCCTCTGCCTGGATGCTCTTCCCTGCAATTCTTTCCCCACTGGTCCCTTCTCATACTTTAGGTCTCAGCTTGGAGCTTACTTCCTTTCTTTTTTTTGAGACAGTGTCTCACTCTGTTGCCCAGGCTGGAGTGTGGTGGCACAACCTTGGCTCACTGCAACCTCTGCCTCCCGGGTTCAAACGATTCTCCTGCCTCAGCCTCCCGAGTAGCTGGGATTACAGTTGCCTGCCACCATGTCCAGCTAATTTTTGTATTTTTAGTAGAGATGGGTTTCACCATGTTGGCCAGGCTGGCCTCGAATTCCTGAGTTCAAGTGATGCACCCACCTTGGCCTCCCAAAGTGCTGGGATTACAGGTGTGAGCCACCACGCCTGGCCAGAGCTTACTTTCTTCAGCAACCCAAACTAGATTTCCCCCAGTCTTTTCCCTCAGAGCCCCTCGTGTGTCTTCTTCATGGGAATTCACCTTAATTTATAATGACATGTTCACCTTTTGTCTCTGCCACCAAACTGTAAGAACCATGAGGGCAGGAGCCTTATGCGTCTCACTCACTGCTGTGCCCATGGGAGGCACTCACATCGTTGAATGAATTTGCAACTGATAACAGCGTGAGAGCGTAATGACGTAATATAATAATAACAGCATTAGACCCTGTCTCTAAATGAAAAACATTTTTTCAAGCAGCTAGTACTTATGCAGTGCTTCTCCTACTGGATCTAACTCAAACACCCTATGAGACAGGGAGTATTACTGCTTCCCATTTTTCAGATGTGGAAACTGAGCCTCAGAAGATGGGTTGGCTGGCCAGGCACCGTGGCTCACACCTGTAATCCCAGCACTTTAGGAGGCCAAGGCAGAGGGGATCACTTGAGGTCAGGAGTTCAAGACCAGCCTGACCAACATGGTGAAACCCCATCTCTACTAAAAGTACAAAAATTAGCTGGGCATTAGTAGTGCATGCCTGTAGTCCTAGCTACTTGGGAGACTAAGACAGGAAAATCACTTGAACCCAGGAGGCAGAGATTGTAGTGAGTCAAGACTGCGCCACTGCGCTCCAGCCTGGGCCACAGAGAGAGACTCTGTCTCAAAATAAATAAATAAATAAATAAATAAATAAATAAATAATGCCTGGAGCCCATCTTCCCTTGCTGGGAAGCATCAAGTCCCTCCTCATGGCTGGGACAGAGAGCGAGAAGTGGCAGGGCTGTCACTGGACAGACAGTGATGGTCCTTCCAGAGCCCACAAAGGAGCTGAGGCTCCATCCTGCAGGACAGGAGACCGTGAGGTCATCAGGCAGCAGAATGACAGGGCTTCCTCTGTAAGCTAGGGGGATGGAGTGAGGGTGGCAGGGAGGCTGAGGACAGCATGGATGCCTGGGAAGTCTGGGCAAATGCCGTCAGTGATCCCCGGCCGCCCTTGGTCTGGATGGTCCAGATGGCCTGGGCCAGTTGTTTGCTCTTGGGGGCTTCCCTGGCATGACCAAGCCCCCTGGAGAGGGGCCTGGGCAGCAGACAGGGTGAGGGCTGCCTCCCCAACCCAGACCTGGGAACGTCCGGGCTGGCAGAGGGCCCGCTGGAGGCTGGTGAGAGGCCCACTTACCATGACGGATAGGGGCCCCGTCAGGCCGCGCCAATTAGGCAAGATGGAGTGCCAGGACAGGGCTATAAATATCTTGGCCGCCGACTGGCCCAGGAATGTAAATGGTGTTGCTCAACAAGCAGGGAAAAATGTTCGGTTCAGACAGGATGGGTTTTTTGTGTTTTAAAAACATGTTCTGCTCTCCACGAAGACTTCGAGGTGGGCGGCAACGAGGCCGGTGCCCGAGGGCTGGCTCCTTGTCCAGTCCCGCCTGGGGCAAGGGCCCACGAAATCAGTCTTGCAGGGGAAGTCCCTGGAAGGGCCAGTGCATTTGAAGCCCAGAGAAGGCCTGAACCTGGCTTGAAACTTTGTCCCTGGTCACAGGGGACCCTGGGTGAGGGAGCAGCCTAGCCATCTGGTTTGGGGACACGCAGCCCAGTCGGCTATCAGGGGCACCAGCGGCGGGTACAATCGTCTCCCAACACTGGCTCCTCTTCAGAGGTCTCTGCCCTGTTGTGGGTGTGTGGCTGGACAGGGCATCGTGTGTAGGTTACCGGACAGGCAGAGAGAAGCGAGGGCCGAGGGAGAAGGGCAGGCACTTGGCGTGGCTGCAGTGTGGGTGCACTCACCCCTGCGGGAGTGGTACCGCTTCTGCAGAGGGCACGGGAAACCTTACAACTGATGCACCTTGTAATCGATGACTTTTTTTTTTTTTTTTGAAATGGAGTCTCGCTCTGTTGCCCAGACTGGAGTGCAGTGACATGATCCCAGCTCACTGCAACCTCCGCCTCCTGGGTTCAAGTGATTCTCCTGCCTCCGTCTCCTGAGTAGCTGGGATTACAGGCACATGTCACTATGCCTGGCTCATTTTTGTATCTTTTAGTAGAGATGGGGTTTCACCATGTTGGCCAGGCTGGTCTTGAACGCCTGACCTCAAGTGATCTGCCCCCCTTGGCCTCCCAAAGTGCTGCGATTACAGGCGTGAGCCACCATGCCCAGATCATTTTTATATTTTTTTAATAGAGATGGGGTTTCACTATATTGGCCAGGCTGGTCTCGAACTCCTGACCTCAAGTGATCTGCCCACCTTGGCCTCCCAAAGTGCTGGGATTACAGGTGTGAGCCGCTATGCCCTGCTAATTTTTGTATTGTTTTAAGTAGAGATGGGGGTTTCACAATGTTGGTCAGGCTGGTCTCGAACTCCTGACCTCATGTGATCCACCTGCCTCAGCCTCCCAAAGTGCTGGGATTATAGGCGTGAGTCACCGCGACCAGCCCCAAAGGAGCACTTTTGTGGGAGACCAATGGGTGCATGAAGCCAAGGGAAAGTGCATTTGCGGAACTCCAAGGGTGTGTGGTCTTGTGCACAATCAAGGGAGTAAGTGTTCCTAAAGGTGTGACTTGTGTGACCATCCAAAGGCTGCCGGGGCGGGGGGATCCCAGAGAGCACAACATGGCAATCACGAAAATATGTTGGTGTCATTTCTCGGTCTTCAAAAATGACGGACACTGCTGGTCGCTGTGGCTTCCTCCTACGCGTTCGGTCACTCCTGCACATGTCCGCAGTAGTGGTGCTCTCGGGGACCCCCTCGCCACCCCACAATACCGCTCACCACATGGCCAAACAGGTTCGTCTTTTTCCATGTGATTTCTTCTTTTGCTAGAACATTTATAAAACTTCTTAGGAAATTTAAGGAATGTTAAGGAAGTTAAGGAAAAGTTATGAACGCTTTTCCAGAGGCTAAAAAAGAATTCAATTTATTTCCTACTAGCTAGTCTAGAATTTTATTACATATTTATGTAAGTTTTAACTTTATAATCTGTCTGGAGGTCATTTTAGTGTTAGATATAAAGCGTTAGCTTATTTGCTTCCACCTCAAATGCCTGCCCCATTTCCCATTGTTGTGTAGTGCTTGTGTTATCATGGATTGCATTTTTATGTAGGATTGGTTCTTATACATAATCGCTGCTTTGTAACCTATTCCAACGGTGCGTATCCCTGATCTCATTCCAGCATCACGCTATTAAATGTTTGTTCCCTTAGACTATGTTTTATGGAAGAGTTTATAGCACAGTAGTTAAGATTATGGGCTTTGAAGTCAAACTGGCGGAGATCCACATAAGACCTTTGCCTCTTAATAAATGTGTGACCTTGGGCGAGTTACCTCACAGTTCCTCATCTGTAAAATGGACTTCTGGGAGGTTGAAATGGTTTAGTTCTGTGCCTCTGCCCAAATCTCATGTCAAATTGTAATCCCTAAAGTTGGAGGTGAGGCCTGGTAGGAAGTGATTGGATCATTGCGGGGGGATTTCCCCTTTGGTGCTGTTCTCGTGACAGTGAGTGAGTTCTTGTGAGATATGGTGGTTTAAAATGTGTAGCACCTCCCTCTCTCTCTCTTCCCCTTGCTACGGCCATGTGAAGACGTGCCTGCTTTCCCTTCACCCTTCTGCCGTGATTGTAAGTTTTTTGAGGCCTCCCCAGCCACGCTTCCTGTATAGCCTGTGGAACCATGAGCCAATTAAACCTCTTTTCCTTATAATCACCCAGTTTCAGGCATTTCTTTATAGCAGTGCAAGAATAAACTAACACAGAGGCCTGCAGTATCTCCCTCACACATTCAGAACAAATTGAGAACTAGATATAGACATCAGATGGCTGATAATAAGGCTGATAAAACATCAGCCTTATTATTGAGTAGAGGTGGTTGCTATCCACTGCCACAACTTGTATTTAGCATTGCACTGGAGTTCCTAGCCAATGCAATAAGACAGGAAAAGGAAATGAAAGGGATAATGATGGAAAAAAAAACAAGACAAAAAACAAAGCCTCAGTGGGCTTCCTGACATTTGCCCCTGCTTTAGATAGACTCAAGCCCCCTAGTCACAGGTAGTACCAGACCCCCTAGATCTTCACCACACACACACTTTCTCAGATAAACCCTATGCCCAGAAAATTACTATGGAGCACAGCAGAAAATACTGAGAGAGGAGACACAAGGATGGAAAGCAAGGACAGGAGTGTTCCTTTAGCAAAAGTCCTTTCACATATGAGGTAGAGGTGGTGATGGAGACTCCCCCAGCAACAACCTCATCTAGGGCCGTAGTGAGCACAGGTTGGTAATCTCTGTGAAGCACTTGGCTTGGTGCTTGCCACACTTGTAGGTGTACAGTAAATGCTGTTCTTAATATCAGTATGTGCAAGGTCTTACTTCATTTCATTTCTCCTCTTGTCCTGGAATTCTAAAACAGTTGTCATTGGTGTTTTCTTTTAAATGAAATGTAGGATCGTTTGGTGATGTTCTAAGAAAAAATATTTCCAGCTGAGCACAGTGACTCACGCCTGTAATCCCAGGGCTTTGAGCCTGAGGCAGGAGGATGGCTGGAGGCCAGGAGTTCAAGATTAGCCTGTGAAGCATAGCAAGACCCCGTCTCTACAAAAAATTTTCAAATTAGCTGGGCTTGGTGATGTGCACCTGCAGTCCCAGCTACTCGGGAAGCTGAGGGAGGAGGATCACTTGAGCCCAGAAAGTTGAAGCTGCAGTGAGCCATGATCACCCCACTGCACTCCAGCCTGGGCAACAGAGTGAGACCCTGTCTCAACTTTCCTCCAACCCTTGGCTGCCCCCCACTCCTTACCCTACATCAGCATGTAAATGATTCTGGGGGATAGGGTAGGAATTAATCCCAAACAGAAGGAACTAGAAGGATAGCCTGCAAAACTCAGAGAAAGGGAAGCTTGCACTTTAGTACAAAGCTTGCACTACAGAGGAGTCAAGGGTCAAGTGCATAATGAGAGTGGCAGGGCCTGGCCGAGGTGGGCAGGGAGAGGTCAGTGGGTTCCAGGGAATTTGAGGCCCATGACTAAGCTGCCTCAGGGGGGCTGATGGGCAGGTATTATAAGCAGGTTGCAGAGGAGAAAAGAGGCTCTGGAAAAGCCAGGAGGTGTAGACAGCCAGGTGGGCTCACCAGGTATGACGATGTGGGCACAGGAAGTGAAGGTTAAAGCCAAGAGTGGCACAGTCTCCTGGGGATGCTGAGCCCATGTCCCAAGGTCGGGGTCCTGGTTCCAGTGTCCAGCTCTAACCCCAGCCACTGTGTGTGTCTGGGCAAGCTGCCAACCCTCTCTGGGCCTCAGATTCTCTTTGTCAAAGGACAGGCACCTCTCTGTGCCATGATGCTGTGAACCTCTTCCCTGCTGATGGGGTATCCCTACACCCCCAACCCACTCTTCCTCTTCCAAGACAGCCTGAGGCTAGTTTCTCTGCCCTGTTTTCCCACCAGTGACCCAATATCCTCCCCATCTTTTTTTTTTTTTTTTTTGAGACAGAGTCTTGCTCTGTTGCCCAGTCTGGAGTGCAGGGGTGTGATCTTGGCTCACTGCAGCCTCCGCCTCCTGGGTTCAAGTGATTCTCCTGCCTCAGTCTCCCAAGTAGCTGGGATTACAGATGTGCACCACCACACCTGGCTAATTTTTGTATTTTTAGTAGAGATGGGGTTTCGTCATGTTGGCCAGGCTGGTCTCGAACTCCTGACCTCAGTATCTCCCCCATCTCTGAAAAGGAGAAACACTTGGGTCTCCTGGTTCCCATGCCTCCCTGCTCACAGCTCCATGGTCCAAGAACTTCTAGGGTAGCAGCCCCTCTGTTCCCCTCTTCACCACCCCCCCAGCCCCTGTTTTCATTCATTCGTTAGTTTAGCCAATCTCCACTGTCCTTCTTATGTACCTGGGCTTCCCCAGTCCTTAGGAAAACAAAGAAAAATAAGCCAGAGACGCAGCCACCTGGAGCTCATGGTCTACTGGGGGACCTTTCATAGACAAGCCCATTCTTTATTCATTCCAGAAATGTTTTCTGAGTGGCCGCCCTATCCCTGGAACAGGAAAACCACCGGTGGGCACACAGACCCAGCCTCTGCTCCTGGGGGGCTTCCAAACTGGAAGTCAGAGAACCAGGAAATCACGACATATAGGATGTGGGAGAGCCCAGGCCAGAGTTGGAGATAACAGAAGGCTTCCTAGTGGAAGTGATGTCTGAGTGAAGACAGTAGCTGAGCAGACATCAGCCAGCCACAGTCGCAAGAGAAGAGAGATGAGGAAGAGAGGGCTTCAGGAGAGGGACGCCAAGTCCTGGCTCAGAGGGGAACAAAGTGGCTTAAGGCCGGGGGAAGGGGGAGAAGATAGCTGGAGCAGAGCTGGAGAAAGAGAGCTGGGGGTGAGATGGGCGCAGTAGTCTGGAGCCAGATATCACAGGGCCCTGCGGGCACAAAAGGGATTTTCTGTTATCCTACAGCTGGTGGGAAGTTACTGGTTTTAGGCAAGTGGCATGATGAGATTTACATTTCTTTTTTCTTTTCTTGAGACAGGGTCTCACTCTGTCACCCAGGCTGGAGTGCAGTGGTGCAATCAAAACTCACTGCAGCCTCGAACTCCTGGGCTCTGCAACCTCCGCCTCCCAGGCTCAGGTTATCCTCCCACCTCAGCTTCCCAAGTAGCTGGGACTACAAGCATGCACCACCATGCCTGGCTAATTTTTTTTTTTTTTTTTTTTTTTTTTTTTTTTTTTTTTTACTTTTCATAGGGATGGGGTCTCACTATCTTGCCCAGGTTTGAACTCCTGGGCTCAAGCAATCCTCCTGCCTCGGCCTCCCAATCTGTTGGGATTACAGACATGAGCCACTGCACCTGGCAAAGATTTGCATTTCTATACATCAAGCTGGGCTGGACGTGGTAGCTCATGCCTGTCATTCCAGCATTTTTGGAGGCCAAGGCAGGAGGATTGCTCAAGCCCAGGAGTTCAAGACCAGCCTGGGCAACATAGTGAGGCCCCCATCCCTACAAAAAGTTAAAAAAAAAAAAATTAGCCAGTCATGGTGGCATGCACCTGTGGTCCCAGCTACTCAGGAGGCTGAGGCAGGAGGATCACTTGAGCCCAGGAGTTGGAGGCTGCAGTGAGCTAGGATCACACCACTGCACTCCAGCCTGGGCAACAGAGCAAGACCCTGTCTCAAAATAAATAAATACCAAAAACAACAATGCTATCAGGTTGGGCTGCATGGAAGTCACTGCTGACCTGGGTGAGAGTGTTTGGGTGGCGGGTGGGGGCCAGAGCCAGGCAGGAGCCGGCCAAGGAGTGAGCAGCAGGTGAGAAGTAGAAACACGTGTGCAGACAGCTCTTTGAAGAGTTTGGCCGTGACAGAGAGGTGAGAGATGGGGCAGCCAGAGGTGGGAGTGGGGTTCAAGAAGGGGTTTCTTTTATTTTGTTCATGGAATGCTTAAATGCCAACGAGAAGGGGCCAATAAAAGGAGGCGTGGCTGGAACCCTAAAGGTGGTTCGTGGGCTGAGACGTCTGAGC
This sequence comes from Homo sapiens, assembly GCF_000001405.40. NCBI lineage: Eukaryota > Metazoa > Chordata > Mammalia > Primates > Hominidae > Homo > Homo sapiens. The sequence continues at coordinate 73,998,544 of NC_000007.14, forward strand.
AGGTGGAGGGGAGGGAAGGGGAACCAAGCATGGGTGGGGTCACCCTTTGGCAGAAGTGGCCTCTCATCCACAGGGAGATGGCCATAGACTTGGACATTTGGAGACACAAGGGTAAGGACAGTCCCCTAGAGCTAGCCTGAGGCTGAGGACAAAAGGTCAGAAATTCTCAGACAGCGCTGGGCGCGGTGGCTCACACCTATAATCCCAGCACTTTGGGAGGCTGAGGAGGGCAGATCACTTAAGGTCAGGAACTCGAGACCAGCCTGGCCAACATGGTGAAACCCCATCTCTACTAAAAATGCAAAAAAAATTAGCTGGGCGTGGTGGCGCACGCTTGTAAATTACCCCTGCTACTCAGGAGGCTGAGGTGGGAGAATCGTCTCTTGAACCCGGGAGGCAGAGTTTGCAGTAAGCCAAGTTCGCACCATTGCACTCCAGCCTGGGTGACAGAGCGAGGCTCTGTCTCAAAAAAAAAAAAGTTCTCAGACAGTGAAGGGGGTATGGAGGATTGCTGTGCAAGAGCTCAAACAGAGGGAAGCCCAAAACCAGCTGGGGTCTGGGCCACAAGTCATCATGAGCCGGGCTCAGAGGACACGGTAGACCTGGAGCCAGGTCTCAGTCTGGAGTTGGAGTTAAGACGTAGGCCAGGTGTGGTGGCTCGCGCCTGTAATCCCAGCACTTTGGGAAGCTGAGGCGGGTGGATCACTTGAGGCCAGGAGTTTGAGACCAGTCTGGCCAACATGGTGAAGCCTGTCTCTACTAAAAATACAAAAATTAGCCAGGCAAGGTGGCTGGCACCTGTAATCCCAGCTGCTCGGGAGGCTGAGGCAGGAGAATTGCTTGAACCTGGGAGGTGGAGGTTGCAGTGAGCTGAGATGGCACCACTGCACTCCAGCCTGGGTGACAGAGCAAGACTTCATCTCAAAAAAAAAAAAAAAAGACTCAATCTGGGATCAGAGAGGGCTCTGCCCAGAGTCAGGAGCAGATGGTGAAGGCAAGGCCAGAGCCCCCCACCCCTGAGGTCCATCCTGAGCTCAGGGTCCAATCCCTGGTGGTCCTGAGGTTGAAGATAAGCTCCCTGAGCTGCTCACCCTTCGGGTGGCCGACCTGGCCCAGCTTCTGTCCAGGAACCTCCTCAGCCCCGATCCCAAGGGGAAATGCCAGCCCAGACCCCACTCTTCCTTTAGGCCAGGAGGGCCCCCCAAAACCCAGGCCCACCCTCCCCAGCAGCCGGGCCACGAGCCGAGTCCCGCCCTACCCAGTCCAGGGTGAGAATTCCGGCCACACGCCCCTGTGATGTGGTCACGTTGGAAAAATGTTAATCAAATATTCTCCTCCGTGTTTCTTTTCTTTCCCAGGCTGAATTCCTAGAAGACAGGAATTTATGGTGTGAGAGCTCCAGTCCCCGCAGACCCACTGCCAAGGTCAACAGCACGAGGCGGGCATCCCTGCCAAGTGGGGAGTGGAGTCGTGGCTTTAGGAGTTGGTTGCAAGGAAAAACCAAAGTACGTGCATTAAAAAAGAAAAAAAAAAAAAAGAAATCCCTTCTCTCCCTCAAGTTCCCAAACTGGGGCTTAAACAAGGTCTCCCAGCATGGCCCGGGCAGGCCTCTGGTCTGGGAACAGAGTCTCCCTTGGAGATAGGGCCTGCGACGCTGTCACGGGGGCGTCCCTCGGGTCCCTGGAGGGTCTGGAAGTTGCTCCTTCTCTCAGACCAAAGCTCAGCAGCTCAGCCTCACGGGGCGGCGGGTGGGGGGGGGCGGGGGCGGGGGCAGGATCTCCGTGGTGACCCCACCTCTCTGGCCAACCCAGGGCAGTTGACATGAACACAACACATATCATCCTGGGCCCTGTCACCAAGCCCCCTGAGGTGGGAGCCTGCTTCATCTCATCTCGCCTCTGCCATCTTGGTTCTGGGGTCTTGACTCTCCAGAGAGCAAGCTCCTCGCAGACTCGGGCACCAAGGTCTCTGGCAGCAGAGAGACTGGGGATGCTGCCTGTAGTAGCGGAGGGGAGGTGAGGAGGGGGCTGGAGACCACCCAGACTCAAACCCAGATGACCCGATGCTGGGAAGATAGCCTTGGCCCCAGCCCCGAGCCCCGCAGGTGTAACTGAGCATCCACGTGTCACCCATCTGCCTGACACGTGCTGAGTTCCACTGTGTCCCGGGCACCTGGAAAAAGGGGAAACCAAGGCAGAGGAGGCCTCACCGCCAAGTGGGGCATGGAGGAAAGACTGATGAAAAAATGGAGGTGACTGTCACATGAGAACCAGGGGGCTGGAGGGACTGTGGGTCCCCGGAGGAGAGAGCGGCCGCCCTGGGGCTGCAGGGGAGGACGCTGGTTTGAGAAAGCTTTCTGAAGGGAGTTGCACCCTGAGAGGGGCCAGAGTTCACCAGGCGGACACGCAGTGGGAGAGGGGGCTTGCTTGGAAGGAACATTCCAGCTGAGGCCAAAGCATGTGCAAAGGCCCAGAATGTTTATACCTTGGTAAGACTTTTCATATAAATAAGTTCTCAAATCCAAAAAACAAAACGGCCTCTGGCAAGCCACATGTCTGGGTTTCTTGCTTGGAAAAGGAAGCCCTGCCCTGCCCCAAGCCTGGGACCACGAGAAAGTGGGGCCTGACACTTCTCAGGTCCCTGCCCCCTTCCCTGGCAGCCACACAGACAGCACCACACCGTGCACCCCCCAAGAGAGTCCTCAAGCCCTGTTCTGTCTGTCCCCTCCTCACTGCCTCACACCAACAGCCTCCTCACCGTCACCTCACTCCTGCTGGGCGCCTCCTCAGGCCCAAGCACCAACTCCAGCCTGTTCTCTGCCCTGTACCAGGAGGCTGGGGAGTAGACAAGGGGCAGCCTCCTGGAGTCCAGGGTCCTTCCAGGGTCTCTACTCCCTGAATGCATGGGGTAGAGAGAGTCAGAACCTCCAGCTTCTGTTTTTTGTTGTTTTGTTTTGTTTTGTTTTCCCCAAGACAGGGTCTCACTCTGTTGTCCAGACTGGAGTGCAATGGCTCATTGCAATCTCCGCCTCCTGGGTTTAAGCGATTCTCCCGTCTCAGCCTCCCTAGTATCTGGGATTACAGTCTCCCGCCACCACGTCTGGTTAATTTTTGTATTTTTAGAAGAGACGGGGTTTCACCATGTTGGCCAGGCTGGTCTCAAACTCCTGGCCTCAAGTGATCCACCCGCCTCAGCTTCCCAAAGTGCTGGGATGACAGGCGTGAGCCACTGTACCCGGCCTGTTTTAGTGTTTAAATCTCTTTTTGGCCCTGGAGTACAGAGGTTTTATTTATCCAGTCCCTTTTATTCCCATCATTCCTAACCCACCACCCACACCCACAGGCAACCTTTCCAATGCATTCAAGGTGTGCCCTTTCATTCACGTGCGTTCTTGTAAAACAAGGATCACTCATGGCTACTAATGGGGACGGATCTTCCTTTTGGGGTAACTCACATGTCTCAGAACTAGATAGAGGTGAGTGTGCTAAATGCCACTGAATTGTACCCTTTACAAGTGGTTCATGGTTAACTTTATGTTATGTGAATTTTACCTCCATTTCTTAATATGTGTATCACTGTTTTGGAGGAGTTTTGATTTACCCAAGTGGAACTGGGCTATGGATTATATTTCTGTCTTACTCTTTCTTCTCAGAGTCTGGTGTTTTTTTTATTTGTTTTGTTTTTTTGAGACAAGGTCTTGCTCTGTCTCCCAGGTTTGGAGTGCAGTGTGTGATCCTAACTCACTGCATCCTTGAACTCCTGGGCTTAAGCGATCCTCCCGCCTCAGCCTCCTGACTAGCTGGGACTACAGGTGCATGCCACCACACCCGGCTAATCTTTTTAAAAAAATGTTTTTGTAGAGATAGGGTCTCAATATGTTGCCCAGGCTGGTCTTGAATTCCTGGTCTCAAGCGATCTTCGCACCTCAGCCTCCCAAGGCACTGGGAATACATAGCAAGACCTCATCTCTACAAAAATAAACAATTAGCCAGCTGTGGTGGCTCGTGCCTATAGTCCTAGCTACTTGGGAGGCTGAGGTGGGTGGATCGCTTGAGCCCAGGAGTTCAATGCTGCAGTGAGCTAGGTCACACCACTGTACTCCAGTCTGGGCCACAGATGGAGAACCTGTCTCTAAAAACAAAAACAAACAAAAAAGTAAGATTCTGAAGTTGCTAGAACAAATTGTGGGAGAAGATCTTTTGACACAGAAGTGAAGGACTCCTGAAACAAAACCTCAAAAAATGCATAAACCAGAAAGCTTCCCCCGCCAGCCTCCTGCCTCACCCAGAGGAAGTGGCGTTTCCTCCCGGACGCCGGCCTGGGCGCTGCCCACCTGGTGAGTCATGGGCCACTCTCTTCTGAGGCTGGCGGCCTGGCCCGCCCTTCCCGTCGGTACCCAGGAGGGAGCACAGCCTGCAATGGCCGCCTTATCTCACCCTCGCCCATGGCCCCGCAGACATGAGGTCAGGGCCGGGGATGTAATGAGGGTGGGAGGTGGGAGGCAGTGGAGGGTCAGGGAGAGGTCAGAGGTCGCTGGCAAAGCTGTTGCTGCACTTTGGAGGTGAGGGTGGGGGGCAAAGCAGACCCTTAAGGGACCTCAGCCAGGCCCCAGGGCTGGGGGTGGCAAGAGGTTCGTGTCATCACAGTGTGGCCGGGTCAGGGGAACAGGGACAGGTGCCCCAGGCCAGGGGAGAGAGGGCCCCAAACCCCAGCCCCTTCCAGAATCTTATCTCCAGGGGAGAGAGGGACCCAGATTAGGATTTTCTATCTAAGACAGTCCACACCCCTACCCCTTCCAGAATCTTATTTCCAGGGAAGGGAGGGCCCCAGATTAGAATCTCCGATCTGAGCCTGTCCTCACTCCCAACCCCTTCCAGAATCTTCTTTCCAGAGGAGAGAGGGCCCCAGATTATGATTTTCGATCTGAGACAGTCCACACCCCTACCCCTTCCAGAATCTTCTTTCCAGGGGAGAGAGGACCCCAGATTAGGATCTCCGATCTGAGACGGTACGCACCCTCTACCCCTTCTAGAATCTTCTCTTGTTTCTCCAATGGCCCTTTGAGGCCAATCCCCTTCTGGCCAAAACACACGGCCAGACAAGAAAGCCATTGAGAGAACAAGCAAGGGTGTGTCTGTGCCCACTGGGGTGTCCCCAGAGCTCTTTGGGCATCTGTGTCTTACCCCTTTCATCATCCAACAAAGGGTGACTCAACACCAGCACCAGCCCCGCGCCTTCGTCCCGGGAGGGCTGAGTCCTTCTGCGGCGTTGGGTCTGGGTCCCAGGGCTTGCCAGTTCTGCCGATGCCTGTCACCTGGGTGCAAGCCTGTGTGTGGGCCCACATGTGTGCCTGCAGATGTCTCTGCATGTGACATGTGCATGCCAAGTGTCCAGCTGTCTATCCCTTATGCTTAGTCTCTGAGTCTGGGCTGACTGTGCTGATGGCACTTTTTCCAAAGGTTCCTGGTAACTGGGACAAGTCAGTGTGTCCTCCAGCTTGTTGTCAGGGGTCCCTGGGCAGTGCTAGGCAGCAGCTTTTGGATGGGCAGTCAGTCGGTCAACATATGTTTATTTTGGGGTGTATATAGGCGGTCCTGGGGGCTTGCTGTCTCATCTGCCTCCATCCACCGGTCTGCAGGGACTGCAAATGAGGACATAGTTGTCCCCTCTGGCCGGTGTTGCTGTGTGTCTCTGTAGTTAAAGGTGTACCCTGGAGCCCTTCCCCTTCCCTGGGTGCCTGGTTTGTGGGGTTTCTGTCCTGGGTTAGCAGGGGGCAGGGGGACCTAATCCATGGTCAATACCTCCCTCCACCTCACTCCCCAGCAGAAAACCCAAATGTGCATGGAGAAAGAGCACTGGCTCAACTGTCCCCAAAGTATAGAGACAGATGATTAATAGATGCATACATACATGTGTATATGTATGTATACACACACATCCATCCATCCATATGCATACATACACACACATCCATACATGTACATACACAGATATGATATCACATAGAATAAAATACTCCAACTGACGTCTGAACTTTTAATTAATTTTAATTTTTTTTTTTTTAGTATTAGCATTATTATTTTTTGAGACAGGCTCTCACTCTTTCACCCAGGCTAGAGTGCAGTGGTGCGATCTCAGCTCACTGCAGCCTCCACTTCCCAGGTTCAAGCGATCCTCCCACCTCAGCCTCCCAAGTAGCTGGGACTGCAAGTGTGCTCCAGCATGTGTGGCTAATTTTTGTATTTTTTGTAGAGACAGGGTCTCATTAACTTACCCAGGCTGGTTTCAAACTCCAGGGCTCAAGCAATCTACCTGCCTCGGCCTCCCAAAGTGCTAGGATTACAGGTGTGAGCCACAGTGCCTGGCCTGAACTTTTAAATCAAGATTTTATTTATTTATAATTATTTTATTTCATTATTTTATTTTATTTTTGAGGCGGAGTCTCACTCTGTTGCCCAGGCTGGAGTGCAGTGACACAATCTCAGCTCTCTGCAAACTCCACCTCCTGGGTTCAAGTGATTCTCCTGCCTCAGTCTCCCAAGTAGCTCGGATTACAGGTGCCCGCCACCACACCCAGCTAATTTTTGTATTTTTAGTACAGACGGGGTTTCACCATGTTGGCCAGGCTGGTCTCAAACTCCTGACCTCAAGTGATTTGCCTGCCTCAGCCTCCCAAAATGTTGGAGGTTACAGGCGTGAGCCACCCCGCCTGACCTAAGATATTATTTATACAGAGACATGCACACAGCGTATGTGAACTTGCATCAGATCGAATGGGAATTTTCACAAACCACACACATTGCTGTTGACAGCACTCAGATCAACATGCCAGCCCCTCTGACCCCCATTTCCCTTATTCCCCTCCCAGCCCCCAATCTCCCCCTAAGAATAGCCATTGCTCTGACTTCAGCATAGATTCCTTTTGTCATTTTTTGATTTGATGTAAATAGAATCCTAGATTATCTACCCTTACGTTTCAGATTCATCAAAGCTGTTGCATGATTTACTTTATTTTATATTATTTTAGCCTGTGCATTCCCACGACTCTGCCCCTCTCCCGCCGAGTTCTCAGGAGCCCACCACTGGGAAGAAAATCCTAGGGGAGGCCAGGCATGGTGGCTCATGCCTGTAATCCTAGCACTTTGGGAGGCCGAGGTAGGAGGATTGCTTGAGGCCAGGAGTTCGACACCACCGTGGGCAACATAGCAAGACCCTGTCTCACCAAAAACTACAGAGAAGAGTAACCAGGCTTGGTGGCATGCGCCTGTAGTCCCAGCTACTCGGGAGGCTGAGGTGCGAGGATTGCTTGAGCCCAGGAGGTCGAGGCTGCAGTGAGCTGTGATTGCACCACTGCATCCCAGCCTGGGCAACAGAGCGAGACTCTGTCAAAAAAAAAAAAAAAGAGAGAGAGAGAAAGAGAAGGGAAGGGGAGGGGAGACAGAGAGAGAGAGAAAGAGAGAAAGAAAGAGAAGAGGGAAGGAAGGGAGGAAGAGAGGAAGGAAGGAAGGGAAAAATTCTAGGGGAAGACTTTGCAAGGAAACAAACATCTCTAGCTCTGTGAAGCTGTGATCCACCAAGACAGGATATGGCCTCTGGGGCTTCTGTTGAGCTCCCAGATCTATGCCTCGGGCAATGGGGAATGAGAGACCACAGGGATGGGTCTTAAGCTTCCCCAGACCTTCCTTCGTCCTTCCAGGAATGCGCCAAGCAAAAGCAAGCTAAGAGCAGGTGCTGGGAGCAAACAGCTGCCTTGCAGGCAGGACGAGGAGCCTCTTAAGTCTGCAGCCCTATTGGAAAGGCTGGAAGGAGAGAGCTCCCATGGATGGAGAAGCAGCCTCAGATCCCCAAACTGTCTGCACCTCCCTCTAAGACAGGATGGTGTCCGTGGGACAATCGACCCATGTGCTCTCTTCCCAAGCCCTGGGTCTGTACCATGCCTAGGGACACAGATGTGGGCCACATTCCGCTGTCCAGACAACTTTCTTCTTCTCCTCTAAGGCCCAGATTGAGTGACACCTCCCCTGTGATGCCAGGTTGACCCTCTGTCCCCATCTCCCCTAGACCCCTGCAGCTCCTTCTCCAGGACCGCTGGTGCCCGCGCCCAGTTCCGTTTCTTACGTAAGAGGTGATGCCCCCAGGGTCATTCCAGGGTGCAAATCTGTCTATGTCACCCTCTGTGGAAACCTCCCATGGCTCCCAGTGACCTCCACTAACGCACTCCTACTCCTCCGTTCTGCAGGATCTGGGCCCCCTGGCCTGGTTTCTTTCCACTCTGCCCTCCCAAGCTCCCACTCCAAGCCTCGCCTGCTATTTCTTGTCTTTGTACTTTTTGGATTGGGGCCAGCTGATTGCAGTGCTCCCTGCCCGCCTTTAAACTAGCAAAGTTCTCTTTGTCTTCAAAGACTCGGCTGAAAAATGCCTTTCCTCCAGGAAACCTTCCTTGATGGCCCAGGCAGGGCTGGTGCCTCATCTGACCTCTCATACTCCCCACGCATGGGCCCACAGGGTCTGGGCTGGCACAGGGCCCTGGATGTGTCCCTCCATGGAGAGATGTCAGGGAGCCCTGGCCAGATGGCCCAAATGATGAATGTCTCCCAGGGATGTGCCAGCCTTTCCTCCACACTGGGCCAGCAGGTGTCAAGGCAGTGGTGATGCTTTGGGACCAAAGCCAACCTTGGATAGCTCCTCTGATTTGAGCTTCCTCTGAGCCCTCAACTGCCCCCCTACCAGGATCCCACAGCCTCCTAATAGAGCTCCCCACCTGCCTCAGCTCATTCTCCACTTGGCAAGCAGAGAGCACCTGCTCACATGCAGATCTGTGATGCTCCCTGCCTCAAACTCTCCATGGCTCCCCAGTGCCTCAGGACAAAGTCTTGGTCTGGTTCCCAGTGTCTGCTGCCCCATCCCCAGCCCTCACTCTATCAGAGAAAATAGGGCAGGTCCCCAAACTGTCACCCCCTTGAGCCCTTGTCCCCCACATTGCCTCCACCTGGAGAACTCATTCTACCCAGCCACTGGCCACCAGCACTCTATAAACCATTCCTGTTCTCTCTGACTGCTCCACATCGGTCCCCCTGCAGTACCTCTTGCCACCCGTCCTGGGCCATGAGACACTTTGGGGCACTGCTTTTCACTTGTCTATCACCCACTCCAGGCTGTGGACTCAGGGCCGAGGCTCTACTTGGCTCATCTCCATGCCTGGGCCTGGCACACAGTAAGTGTTGAATGAATAAGTGAACGCGCCTATTTTATAGACAAGGCACATGAGTCCCAATACAGCAGCGACAGTGACTCTGGGCCACAGTGGAGTGCAGGCACGGGGCTTCTACGAGACATCCTCTGAGGGTGTGAGCTGGTTTCTGGGCCCCCTGAGATGTGGGACCATGATCCGCCCACTCCCACCTCACTCCAGGTCAGGCCCCAGCAGGGAACAGCAGATTCGACCACCCCTCTAGGACCAGGAGGAAGGTGACCCCTGGAGCCATCTTTGGGGACCTTTGAGAACACTTCTAGGGCCTGGATCACCCAGGGCACCTGTTCTGCAGAGCCAGGAGCTTCTGGACAGGCCCCAGGCTAACCTCAGGGCCCCTCTCTGCCTCCAGGCAGGGCAAAGGTGGGCAGCGCCAGGAGGGTGCGGTAGGAGCCAGAGGCGTTGGGGAGAGGCCAGCCTGATTTATGAGGCAAGCAGGGATGGGATCACTTGGCAAGGTGGGCATGCACGACAGACCCTCAGAGATAAGAGCCCAGAGGTATGCAAGCGATGTAAACAGCTGGGAGCGGGCACCCCAGCTCTCCCGTACCAGCCAGAGACACCCAGACCGGGGAAGGGCAAAGCAGCCATCTCAGATGGAAGAAGGCCCCATGGCCTCCCAGGACCGGGCCTCACTCCTGCTCCAGCCAGCCCGGACCCCTTGTTCCACGTCATCATTTCAACCGTGCCTAACTCTGCATCCTCTCTCAAGGCAAACCTAGTCTCAGAATTTTTCCTGGGTCCTTCAGGGCCCAACAACACTGCACCAGAGCAGGCCACCCCACCTCTCACTGACACCACCGCTTCCATCTTCCAGACCTGATTGTGTCACTTTGCTGCTGGGTCCCTGCTGCCTTCAGGATGACACCCAAGCCCCTTAGCCTGGACGTGAGCCCCTCATGACCAGACCCTGCCAGCCTCTCCTCCTTTGCAGTTCATCATGGCCCTCCTTAAGCTCAGCCATCCTGACCTCCTGCACTTTCCTGAGTGTGCCCAGCATTTCTTGCCACCTCTGGGCCTTTGCAGACGTGATGCCTTGGCTCTAATAGCCTTCTCTGCTCTGATCTGCTGGTGAACTCCTATGCAACCTTCAAAACCCATCTCATAGGTGCCCTCCTCCAGAGTCATTCCTGCCTCTCTAAGGTAAGGTAGGGGCTGCCTTCAGCTCCTGCGGCACCCTCATCCCAATCCAGTCCTCTCAGTCATAGTACTCAGCATTCTTGCAAGCCTGCTACTCTCTTGATGGGGGCTCTCCAGGGCGAAGTCCTCAGGAATGCCCTCTGCAGGTCCCTGACCTCCACCTTGCGCTGTTGAGGACTCAGAATCTCCAAGTTCATGGCTGGGCGTGGTAGCTCATGCCTGTAATCCCAGCACTTCGGAAAGCAGAGACAGGAGGATCACTTGAGCCCAGGAGTTCAAGACTAGCCTGGGCAACAAAGTAAGACCCCATGTCTACAAAAAAAGTTTAAAAAATTAGCCAGGTGTGGTGGTGTGTGTCTGTGGTCCCAGCTACATGAGAGGCTGAGGTGGGCGGATCACTTGAGCCCCGGAGGTCGAGGCTGCAATGAGCTATGATTGCACCACTGCACTCCAGCCTGGGCGACACAGCAGAACCCTGTCTTAAAAAAAAAAAGAATCTCCAAGTTCAAAGCTAAAGGCTCCCACCTTTTGTGAAGAGGCCCTGCACCAAGAGGAAAAAGATCCAGCATCCAACATAGTCCTCCGCTCCACACACACACTCTCTGCAGTCCCCGCTAACTCAGCCCTGGGCCAACAGACAAAAGTACCCTGGCTATGACCCTTCCTCCTGCCTCAAGTCAGGCGGATTGCTTGAGGTCATGGTCACGGCGGCCATGTGAGGGGAATGACCGGGCCCACTGACAGAGGAGGAAACTGAGTCTGGAGGTGGGGAGACATATCTACCCACGCCTACAGCAAACAGTGGGAGAGCAAGCTGTTTGACTCCCTAAAGCAGCCCTTTGTCGAGAGTAGGTTGAGGACATACCCACTCCGGGGACACACCAGCTGGTGCCTGGGCAGGACAATTGGCAAAGCATGCTCAGTCAGGGGACTGGCAGTTGCATGCAAGGACCTGGAATGCACCGCTGCCTGCCCAGGGCTAAGGACACACATCGGCAGGGTCATACCAGTTGTCCCCGTGGAGCAGGGAGATGGATGTACAAGCTGAGCGCCCTGGCAGGAGACAGAACCAGGGCATGGGCTGTGTCATAGGCCGGGTGGCCACAGACAGCCTGTGTGGACGGGAACACAGCTGCGGGCCCACGACACAGCCACGCGGCGGTGTACCCAATGCAGACCCCTGTGATTGTGTGCGTGGCCCAGACTCCACTGCAGATGGTGGCAGAATGTGGCCAGTGTCACCCTGGAGGGAGAATAGGGGGTTGGGAGCAGGTGGGAGCACATGACCCAGTCTGGGGTCCCTAAAAGCAAGCAAGTCCTGAGCGCAGGTTGGATTTGGACAGGACAGGGATGTAGGAACTACATTCTACCCAGGGGGAGTCAGGGAGCAGAAGCCCCTCCACAGGGGGAGGTGGAAGAGAGAGAGCCCCAGGAGTTCAGGGACCCCTACCAGAGCCAAGCTGGAGACCTCCCCCCAGGGGCTGGGCAAACGCACACAGCCCTCTGACGCCAATCACCTCTGCCACCAAGCCCAGCAGCCACAAGGCAGGACTGTGCGTGCCGCCGCAAGCCCCCACCACTGCAGACAGCTGTGACCCCCTCCTCGCTGGCTTCCCACCGGAATGCACGACTTTGGAAGGAGACTGTGTCATCCAAGAAACATTCTATGTTTTCCTTGGTGCGTGCTCTGGGAACGGGGCAAGAACAGCCGTCCACATGGCCGTTTGCATGCTTGGGCGGCTGCCGGGCCGAGGGCCACCCATGCCAGTAGTGTCCTCACTCCGGTGGGGCCTGGCCTCAGCAAAGCCACTCCCTGCACCACCTGCCTGGGAAACCTGGGGGAACATCTCTGGGGCTGGGATCTAGAGGGAAAGAATTTGCAGGGAAGAGAGGTCACCCCCGCACCCAGCCCCCAGCTCTGCTGACCAAGCACTGTCTTTGACAGAGAGACACCCTGGGAGACAGATGGGGTGCAATAAGCACAGCCACAGCCCTCTGAGCCTCAGGCTTCCTCTCCATATAATGGGCTCTCTCACGGCTCTGAGTCTCGGCAGTGGTGGGCTTCCTTGGGGACCCAATGGTGGCAAGGGAGAGAGTGTTAAGGACCAAGCAGCTGCCAGCCTTTCCCCCCACTGCCCCTCTGGCCCTCAGAAATGCCTCCCACCTAGGCAGCAGGTCTGGGTGTCACTGAGCCCAATGCATGAGGTGGCTGACATCGTGCACCCACCGACCAGCCAGTCCTGGATTTGCCCGCAGTAGAGCCTGCAGAGGGGGTGGCAGGTGGTACCTGCCCGCCAGCCCCCAGTCCTGGCCAACCACCCACGCTTCAGGGGTTAACTGCACACTCCAGCCCACTCCTGTTTTCAATTTGGACACAGTGGACCAAGCTTAAGGATTTGCACGTTTCCTTGAACATTTCTCGGCTGGGGTCCGAGTCAGGCGGATTGCTTGAGGTCAGGAGTTCGAGACCAGCCTGGCTAACAGGGTGAAACCCCCTCTCTACAAAAAAATACAAAACTAGCCAGGCATAGTGGCACATACCTGTGGTCCCAGCTACCCGGGAGGCTGAGGTGGGAGGATTGCTTGGACCCAGGAGGTTGAGGCTGCAGTGAGCTGTGATTGTGCCACTGCAATCCAGGCTGGGTGACCAAGAAATAATATTACTTTATTTTCTTTAATTTTATTTATTTATTTATTTATTTATTTATTTATTTATTTACTTTGAGATGGAGTTTTGCTCTTGTTGCCCAGGCCGGAGTGCAATGGCACGATCTTGGCTCACTGCAACCTCCACCTCCCGGGTTCAAATGATTCTCCTGCCTCAGCCAAGTAGCTGGGATTACAGGAGTGCACCACCATGCCTGGCTAATTTTTTGTATTTTTAGTAGAGATGGGGTTTCGCCATGTTGGCCAGGCTGGTCTCAAACACCTGACCTCAGGTGATCCGTCCGCATAGGCCTCCCAAAGTGCTGGGATTACCGGTGTGAACCACTGTGCCCAGCCAGAATATTACCTTAATCAAGCCTCTAGATATAACAGCCAGCTTCTCAGAACACAAATAATAGAATTATATATTACTCCGGGGGGGGTGGATGGTGAAGCTCTGCCCCCAAGACCAGCAGCACCAGCTGCCCCTGCCTGGGTGGCCACTTTACAACAGCAAATCTGGAGGTCGTCCTGGCCCGTGGGCTCCCAATGGAGCCCGAACAGTGGCTTTGACAGATGAGGAAGCCGAGACCCACTGAACAGAGGGAGTGTTCTTAAAGCCAGGGACACCCGGCGCAGAGCCCATGTGGGGCTTGGGGAGCCCAGGGGACTTGTCCCTTGGTCTTCCGCTGAGCAGCTTTGAAGAGGGCGCATATTCTGGGAGTTAGAGACCCAGGTTGGAATGGGCCTGTCTCTGCGTCTCTGGGCCTCGAGTCCCCTACCTTGGGGGCACAGGTGTGTATCTGGGGCCGAGGGGATACTGAGGCTATGCCCTTGGAGACTGGCTCTCTCCAGCTGGCAATCTCATTCAGGGATTCTGGGACTGAAAATCCTCCAGGGCTGGGCGTAGTGGCTCACGCCTATAATCCCAGAACTTTGGGAGGCCGAGGCAGGCAGATCACTTGAGGTCAGGAGTTCAAGATCAGCCTGGCCAACATGGTGAGACCCCCGTCTCTAGCAAAAATACAGAAATTAGCCAGATGTGGTGGCAGCCGCCTGTAATCCCAGCTTCTTGGGAGGCTGAGGCAGGAGAATCACTTGAACCTAGGAGGAGGAGGTTGCAGTGAATCAAGATCATGCCACTGCACTCCAGCCTGGGCGACAGAGTGAGACTCTGTCCCAAAAAAAAGAAAAAAGAAAAAGAAAATGACCTCTCAGTGCCTAGGATGGCAGCCCCCAGGTTCAGGCCCTCAGCTGGAACCCCTGGGGCTGTGAATGAGGTGTGAGGAAGGCGGGGCCTCCAGGCAGCTGGAGTGCAGGAGGGAAGCTGGGCTGGACCTGGGATCTCTGGACCCGCGAGGCCTGCCCGACCTGCCTGCCCCCTGCCCAGAGCGTCTACCTTGGCCTGGCTCTCACCCAGTAGGTGGAGGCCCAGGGGCCTGGAATCAGTCACATCCGGCCCAGCCGTCTAAACAGGCCTGAGGCCCCAGAGCCCGCCGGGCCCAAGGGGAGCCCAAAATAACATCTGAGTCAGCATCCCTGCAGACACCCCCATCAGCCTGGGCCCATAGGGAGGGGCCTAGAGGCGGCCCAGACGGGGACCAGGCCAGGTCAGGCAGCCACCTGCTCTGGCGGGGCCCAGCCAGCGGCCAGCATGGCCCAGGGACATTGGAATTAGCCAAGTGGGGAGAGGGAGATTGGAGAAGAGAAGGGGGCGGCCCTGCCTGAGGTGGGCTCCAGTGCGAGAGAGACAGGGCTGTCTGCAGATGGTAGCAGTTCAGTGCAGCCAGTGTCACCCTGGGGGGAGAATAGGGGGCTGGGAGCAGGTGCAAGCACATGGCCCAGTCTGGGGTCCCTAGAGGCAAGCAAGTCCTGAGTGTGGGTTGGATTTGGACAGGACAGGGATGCGGGAACCACATTCTACCCAGGGGGAGTCAGGGAACAGAAGCCCCTCCACAGGGGGAGGTGGAAGAGAGAGAGCCCCAGGAGTTTAGGGACCCCTACCAGAGCCAAGCTGGAGACCCTCCCCCCAGGGGCTGGGCAGACACATATAGCCCTCTGACCCCAATCACCTCTGCCACTACAGCCCAGCAGCCATGGCCAGGCCTGTCCGCCCCATACTAGCCCTGCCAGACACAAAGGTGGCCCCAGCAGAAGGGACTGTCTGCACTGAGGCATCCACGTCATCCTACCCATCCCTCCAGGTGAGCACAGCCCCCAGGAGACCCAGAGGAGCTAAGATTCCAACACCAGGGCAGGGCGGGCCTGAGATCAGGGACAGGTCCTAGGCCAGAGTCCTTCAGCATCAGTCCATGTGATCTCGACTCCTCCCCAGAGGCGGCCGCAGGAGCGAGCTGGTCCAGGCCACACTGTGTCCTCAGGTCCCCGGGTGGGTGGCTCTGGTCAGTCCCTTTGCTTTACAACTGTGAGGTCGCCCTGCCTCCCATGGCCAAGCTGGGGCAGAGGGCGGATACCTGAATCCCTGCTGGCCTCCCAGCTTAATCCCTCAGCTTTCCTGAGAATGGCTCTGCTGTTCTTGGCCAAGGGCCTCCGCTGAGCCTGGCACAGCCTCGGCTTGGCCCTCACCAGCGAGTGAGGGCTTGGCTGGGGCCCAGCCAGGGCGGTGGACATGATTGAAGCTAGAACATGGGGCCTGGCGGGCGGTGGAGGTTCACTTGGACCCCAGGGAGTGGCTCTGCCGCAGGGTCGGGACTCACCTCCTGGGGCCCCTCTCATCTGACAGAAGCTTCAGGGCCTTCTCCGAGCCCACCTGGTCCAGAAAACATACAGACCCTGCTCCTTCACTCCCCTGAAACAAATCTGGGTTTTCCCACAAGGAAAGAAGCAGAAAGTTGAGAACAAAACCCTGGTTCTCCCTCCTGTTACAGGCCTTGATCGAGTCTCTACCATTTCCGAGGCTCAGTGCAAAGCTCCACGTAGAGGATGCAGAAATGAATTTTCTATGGAGCCCCAGGACGGGGCCACACCTCTTTTTACTGCCCCAGTTTCTCCAAACGGCCCTGAACCAGGGATCTGAGCAGGGCTGTAGCTAAGATTTTGCTGAGCAGCTATTTTGTGCTTGCATGCATGCAATGTGCTTGAGCTCCCTGACTCCCTGCCACACCCTCTCTAAGAGATGAGGAAACTGAAGCTCAGGGAGGGTACCTTGCCCAAGGTCAAAGTGCCCAAAGTGGAACAAGAGGGACTTGAACTTGCGCCATGTGGACTCAGAGCCTCTGCTTTTAACCACAGGGGTGTAGTGGGAAGGGGGTGTCTGGGGAAGGGCGTGTCTGGGGAAGGGCGGAAGGTCCTGAGGCCGGCTCAGAGGGAGACAGGCATTGCAGGTGGGCAGAACCAGGGGAGGACCGAATGGTGCTGAATGGTGCCCGAACAGTCTCCAAGGACCATCATAGAAACCCAGGAGCCCCCCTGGTCCATTTCATTAGTGATTTGTGTTTTCACATCTTTTCATTTACAGGCCTTATTTGGGGACCTCTTTCTGCAAAGGTACTTGGAGAGAAACAGTACAACCTCAGAACCCCAGTTACCCACCAACTTCCTTTTTTATTTTCTTTTTTTTTTTTTTTTTTTTTGAGACAGGGTTCAATCTGTCACCCAGGCTGGAGTGCAGTGGCACGATCTCAGCTCACTGCAACCTCCACCTTCCAGGCTCAAGCGATCCTCCAGCCTCAGCCCCGCCAAGTAGCTGAGACTACAGGCACACGCCATTAAGTCTGGCTAATTTTGTGTGTGTGTGTGTGTGTGTGTGTGTGTGTGTGTGTTTTGTAGAAATGGGGTTTTGCCATATTGCCCAGGCTGGTCTCGAACTCCCGGGCTCAAGTGATCCGCCCACCTTGGTCTCCCAAATTGCTGGGATTATAGGCATGAGTCACCACACCTGGCCCCAAGTTCCATTTTTTAAAAATTTTATTATAATCCCACCCCAGGAACAGCTGGCTCACCAGATGGTAAGTGACTATCCCGTGAGATGGCTCCATTAAGTCCATACATTGAATATTGGAGTCAAGGGAGAAACGCAGAATTAGGCAGACATCAGACTAGATTGGATTCACCATCATATTCTCAATGCTCAGCACAGGAACAGAAATTAGTAGTTGCTAAATCAATATTTGCTGAATAAACAAGTAAGTGCCTTTCTGTTAAATGGGTAATAGCCAAGCTTCTAAACTATCTTATTATCATTATTATTATTTTTTTTCTTTTAGAAACAGAGACTCACTCTGTTGCCCAGACTGGAGCGCAATGACGTAGTCATGACTCACTGCAGCCTTGAGCTCCTGGACTCAAGTGAGCCTCCTACCTCAGCCTCCTGCATGGCTGGAGTACAGGCATATACCACCATACCCAGCTAATTGTTTTGTTTGTTTTTTGCAGAGATGGGGGTTTCGCTATGTTGCCCACGCTGATCTCTAACTCCTGGCTTCAAGGAATCCTCCCACATCAGCCTCCCAAAGTGCTGGGATTACAGGCGTGAGCCACTGCGCCCAGACAAACCATCTCTGTTAATTGATGCCTGAGTACCATTGAATGAATCATTTAAACTCTACTTTGGATTAATCCTAATAAGGGATTTAGACTAGATCAGGGTCATTTAAGACACAAAGTATAGGCCATACCTCCCACTTCTTGCTCCCAGCAGACATGACCCATTGACTGTGTGATTCCCGTCTGCTGAGACTGGATATCCTCAGAATCCTTCTTAACACCACTTCTGATGGCCATTGCCCATCAAACACAGTTGGTGACGGAACCTATCTGCCATACTGGTTGGAATGAGCTCCCCCAGCCCATTAAAGAGAGAGGCAGCTGAGAGAAATCCAGGCTGTAGGGAGAGTTTAGGGAGGAGTAAGGAGGGACTAGATAAGATGCTCTTTTTTTTTTCTTTTTTCTTTTCTTTTTTTTTTTTTTTTTTGAGAAGGAGTCTCCGTCTGTCACCCAGGCTGGAGTGCACTGGCACGATCTCGGCTCACTGCAACCTCCACCTCCCATGTTCAAGTGATTCTCCTGCCTCAGCCTCCCAAGCAGCTGGGACTATAGGCATGTGCCACCATGCCTGGCTAATTGTATTTTTAGTAGAGACGAAGTTTCACCTTGTTGGCCAGGCTGGTCTCGAACTCCTGACCTCAAGCAATCTGCCTCAGCCTCCCAAAGTGCTAGGATTACAGGCGTGAGCCACCTCACCCAGCCAGGGCTCTTTAAAGATTCCTAATTCCGGGCTGGGCACAGTGGCTCACACCTATAATCCCAGCACTTTGGGAGGCTGAGGGGGGCGGATCGCTTGAGGTCAGGAGTTCAAGACCAGCCTGGCCAACATGGCGAAACCCCATCTCTACTAAAAATACAAAAGTTAGCGGGGCACAGTGTCAGGCACCTGTCATCCCAGCTACTTGGGAGGCTGAGGCAGGAGAATCATTTGAACCCAGAAGATGGAGGTTGCAGTGAGCCGAGATCGCACCACTGCACTCCAGCCTGAGTGACAGAGTGAGAGTCTGTCTCAAAAAAAAAAAAAAAAAAGAAAAGAAAAGAAAAAGAAAGAGAGATTCCTTATTCTGGTCTGGGGACCCTCAGAGTTCCATGAATGGGTGAGCTTCTCCACCACCAGGAGAGGGAACACAAAAACCCACATGGAGAAAGGATGGTGGCCCCCAGCTTGCTGCCTGAATCCTAACAGGCGTTGGAACCAGCTCTCAGCCTGAAAACCACAGGCAGCTCAGAGCTTTTATTAATTCCAGGGGCTGGAGGAAGGGCTGGGGCCCTCGAAAGAGGCTGTGCAGCTGACGACCCAGGAGGGAAGAGTTTTTTTTCCAAACGCTGAGGCCACCACGCTTTGGGAAGGGTGAGGGTAGACAGGCCAAGTCCTGGCTCTGGGGGGATTTAAAATGCTGTGTCAACGTAGGTCATAGACCTAATTGTGAAAGGGAAAACTGTAATGTTTCTAAAATAAAGCTTAACAGATTATCTTCATGACCTTCAGGTGGGCACAGATTTCTTAAACAGGACAGATGAAGCACTAACCCCTAGAGAAAAGACGGATACATTTGACTTTGTTAAAATTAAGGAATTGTAGTCATCAAAAGACAGCATTAAAAGTAAGGCAAGCCAGGCAGGGTGGCTCATGCTCATAATCCCAGTGCCTTGAGAGGCCAAGGTGGGAGGATCGCTTGAAGCCAGGAGTTCAAGGCCAACCTGGGCAACATAGCAAGACCCCCATCTCTACAAACAATCAAAATAAATATAAATAAAGGCAAGCCAAAGATTGAGAGAAGATCTTTCTCACACAGATAGCTAACTGCAGAATTGTATCAACATAAAGAACTCCACGCATCATAAGGAAATATCAATCCTATTTTCAAAAATGTGCATAAGACGTAAAAAGTCACTTCACAAACAAGGATAATCAAATGCCCAAAAAGCGTGTGAGAAAGTGTGCGCCATCATTACTCATCAGGGAAATTAAAGTTAAAATCACACTGGGAGCCCAGCGCAGAGGCTCCCGCCAGTAATCACAGCACTTCGGGAGGCCAAGATGGGAGGATCACTTGAGGCCAGAAGTTTGAGACCAGCCTGGGCAACATAATGAGACCCCAAGTCCAAAAAATTTAAAAAGTAGCCGGGCGTGTTGGTGCACACCTGTAGTCCCAGCTACTCGGGAGACTGAGGCGGGAGGATCACTTGAGCCCGGGAGGCTGAGGCTGCAGTAAGCTATGATAGCACCACTGCACTGCAGCCTGGATAACAGAGCAAGACCCTGTCTCAAAAATAAATAAAATACTCTTATGAGTTGCATTAGCAGTTGCGTGAGCAGATGTCATCTGGCAAAAGTCAACATGACAACATGCACACACAGTGCCTCACATCCACAGATATACTGACACAGAGACACACACAGACACACTCACCCTCACTGCTACATCCCCAGCAGGCTTCAATCTCCTCTGGGAGGGGCAGGGGGCAGGAGGAAGACCATCCAGGCTGCCCCGGTGATTTCAAGGAGAGAGCACAAGGCAGAGAAAAGCAGTGTCTGCCCAGAGCCAAAAGCCAAAACCTGCATGAGGGGCCAGGGGGACCACCCCACTGAGCATGCTTCTTCCTCTGGGAGCTGGCAGGAGAGTTCAGGCAGCTGGATCTCTTCTGGATAAACAATGTAATGCAAACCCAGGGAATGAGAGCCTCAGACCCTGCAGGAGTAGACCCCGGGGTGCAGAGAAAGATGCAGACAAGAACATGGGGAGATGGACAGAGAGGGAGACAGAGATGCAGAGAGGGGTGGAGGCCGGGCGCGGTAGCTCACGCCTCTAATCCCAGCACTTTGGGAGGCCGAGGGGGGTGGATCACTTGAGGTCAGGAGTTCGAGACCAGCCTGGCCAACATGGTGAAAGCCCATCTCTACTAAAAATACAAAAATTAGCCGGGCATGGTGGTAGGCACCTGTAACCCCAGCTACTCAGGAGGCTGAGGCAGGAGAATTTCTTGAACCAGGGAGGCGGAGGCTGCAGTGAATGGAGACTGTGCTACTGCACTCCAGCCTGGGTGACAACCTGAGCGACAGAGCGAGGCTCCATCTAAAAAAACAAACAAAACAAAACAAAAAAAGAAAAAAGATTGAGGGGGATAATAGCACCACTCTGCTTGTCTGGAGATTAAACCAGTTATTGTAATAGAGGCTCCCAGCATGGTGCCTGACAACCAGTAGGAGGGCAGTTCAGGCTGAAAGCTAAAGCCATTTCTCGCCTCCTCCAGGAAGCCCTCCTGGACTGACCCCATCTGGCACTGCTTCTGCCTGACCTCCCGCCCTAATCCCCATTATCACTTTCAGGTGGTTTTTTTTACACCAGTGAATTCCCATACACAGTTCAGGGTAGGGGGACAAGGGCTCCCACCAATTTGGGCTCATGGAAGACGAGTAGGTAGCCCAGCATGAACCAAAGAAAGGGCCGGGGACAATCACATGCCCCTTGCCGGGCATCATACTCAGACCGTCTAGTAACACAGTGTGACTTGGAAGGACCTCTTAAGAAGTCAGTGGAAGTGGGGGCTTTTCTCCTAACCAGGATATTTTGAATATGGGTCTGGGAGGGGCCCCCAACTCCGGAAACCCACCCTTCCAGCCCAGGCACAAACCTAAATCAGAGAGGTTTGCTTTCAGGAGAGGGCAAGGGAAGGTTTGCAATGAGCGTGCTGATGGTTGAGAAAGGAATCAGGGCATCTGCAGGTCTTAGCTCCAGGATATTCCCTTACTGCACTTGGGGCTGGGAGGAAGGAGGAGGCCCCCTCCCTCTCCCAGTTTCCCACAAGTCTTCTGTTATGGGCTGAATTGTGTCACCCCAAAATTCACGTGTTGTCCTCTGAGTCCCCCAGGACCTCAGAATGTGACTGTATTTGGAGATAGCGTCTTTTTTTTTTTTTTTTTTTTTTGAGACAGAGTCTCATTCTGTTGCCCAGGCTGGAATGCAGCAGCCTGATCTCAGCCTCCCAAGTAGCTGAGATTACAGTTGTGCACCACCAGGCCCGGCTAATCTTTGTATTTTTGGTAGAGACAAGGTTTGCCATATTGGCCAGGCTGGTCTCAAACTCCTGACCTAAAGCGATCCACCTGCTGTGGCCTCCCAAAGTGTTGGGGTTACAGGCGTGAGCCACTGTGCCTGGTCCTGTCCTTGGGATTCTGAGGATCTGAACCCATTGATTGTCCCCCTGGGAGTCTGGAGGGCTTATGGGGCCAGGAGCAGACATGGCCCCACCTGAGAACCATGACCCCACCTGTGATCCAAGCTGGGGGCCCAAGACCTCAGCACCAAGCTCTTATCTGCTTGGCAGGAGACTGACCTGTGACCACCAAGGGGGCTAGGGAAGTGTGTAGCAATAGAGGTCTCCCCCCATCCCTATTCATTTTTTTTCACTCACACATTCACTCAGCTGCATTGCAGATGCTTGCTATAGGAATGACAACAGCCCTCAGGGTAGACAGAGAGAATGATGTGTAAATAGTCATGGCAACCGTGCCTTTTAGACTTTTTGACAGTGCTGAGCCGAAAAACAATTCATCACGATCCAGTACACACATGCAAACACATAAACTTAAACAACGGTGTAGGCCAGGCGCCATGGCTCATGCGTGTAATCAGGCCGAGGCGGGAGGATCGCTTGAGGCCAGGAATTTGAGACCAGCCTGAGTAAGATACTGAGACCCTGTTCCTTTTTTTTTTTTTAATTAATAACTTTAAAAAAAATTAGCCAGATGTGGTGACATGCACCTGCAGTCCCAGCTACTCAGGAGGATCACTTGAGTCCAGGGATTCGAGGCTGCAGTGAGCTATGATCGTGCCACTGCACTCCAGCCTGGACAACAGAGCAAGACCCTGTCTCAAAAGATAGGAGAAAGAAGGAAAAAGAAAAAGCGCAAGAGACAGTGCTAAATTTGATCACTTGCGCTTATTCTATTCTATTCTTTTCTATTCTATTTCACTCCATTCAATTCTATGACAGCCCATCCCATCTGAAAATCCTGTTCCTGGCCGGGCACGGTGGCTCACACCTATAATCCCAGCACTTTGGGAGGCCGAGGTGGGCAGATCGCTTGAGGCCGGGAGTTCGAGTCCAGCCTGAGCAACATGGTAAAACCCTGTCTCTACCAAAAAATACAAAAATAAGCTGGGCACAGTGGTTCCTGCCTGTAATCCCAGCCATTCAGGAGGCTGAGGTGGGAGAATTGCTTGAACCCAGGAGGCGGAGGTTGCAGTAAGCTAAGCCTGGGTGACAGGGTGAAACCCTGTCTCCAAATAAATAAATAAATGAAAATGTCATTCCTGGCCCACTAAAGTGATTCCAAGCCTCACTAATGGGTCACAACCTGAAATTTGAAAGGCGCTGATTGAGTGAAAGTCCTTCATAGGAGCCCTGAGGTGACCCGGGCCAAGTAGGAAGGACCAGCGTCCTCTGAGAGTCTGTTACCGGCAGGCTTTAAGCAGGGCACGGACACATGGGGTCTGTGCTCTCAGAAGCTCCCTGCAGGCGGCTGTGTGGGTGGGCAGGAGGACAAAGGCTGGGTGCCTGGTCAGGGCTGCCTTCAGCCTTCCTGCTTTTGCGTACACCACCGGAAAGCAACTCCCTTTGGGAGACGGGAACAGGATTCAGCTCCAGCATCGACTCCTCCAGGAAGCCTTCCTGATTGCCTCCCCTCCTGCAGGCTCTGACCCTCCGTTCCCAGGACTGCAGGTGCTGTTGTCCTCTATGCCTGTCTCCCCTCCCCAAACCCAATGCCTGCCAGAGCAGGCCACTCAGAAATGTGGAGAACAGAATGAACAAGGAAGTGGATCACCCCAGGCCCAGCAGGAGCCCCTGGCCCAGCCTCGCCTGCCTCCCACCCAGCATCCTGGCAGCTGCCCTGCCCGCCCTGCAGGACCCGCCTGGCGCCACAGGGATCAGGCCAGCTGAGGGTTCCGGGCATGGGTGGAGGGCTCTGCCCAGGGCGGGGAGCAGCCGAACGTGGTGTGGGGACGGAGACGGGCAAAACCAGGAGGAAGAGAGCTCCCCCGACCCGGCAGTGTTCCCGGCTCAGGCGCTTGGAAGGGCTCCTGAGCATGGAGGGCTGCGGGAGGCCAGGGAGATAAGGGCTCGAGGGAGGGCGCTTGGGTGGGGTAAGAGCTGTAGCAGCTCTGCCCACTGGTTCCTAGAGCCAGCTCAGGGGAGCAGGCAGCTCGGCCCTGGGTCCCACAACATGTGCAGCCCAGGGAAGAGAAGGCTCTGCTTTCCAGGTGTGGAGCCGAACAGAGATCATCGCTCCACCCTAAAGCAGTGTGGCTGGAGGAGTGAAATACTCTAGAGGCTTGAGCTCCAGGTCACAGTGCCTTTGGGTGACCTTCCGCTGGTCATGTGTTTCCTCAAGGATCCGTTTCCTCACCTGTGTGGCAGGATAGTTTATTGAGTCATGAATATCTGTTCTTATCCACCCTATAACCCTCCCCTCTTGCCACTTTCCAAGCGGCTCTCCACGTTGCAAGCAAAAAGCCGCCGAAAGTCATCTTTGAGATGAGAGTGAGTATCTTAGACTGGAAGCATCTCCTGCCAGCCCGGAGATGACAGAATGTCCTGCAGGCCACTCCCTTGGAAGCACCTCTGGAGGTGGTCCAGCCCCGAGCTTCCCAGCCTCAGATTCCAGCACAGTCTTGGGGTGCACACGAGCACACAGGCTCCAACAAGGGAGTCAGGGAGTCAGGGCCCCTACTATCTCCAGGCTCCATCTAAGATGCCTGGATTTTGGTGGGGGGTGGAAGTGGAGGAAGACAGACCCAGTAACTGGGATGGAATTCACTGCCACCTACCCGTGTGACATTGGCTTAAATTAAATTAAACAGATCTAAGGCAGACACCAAGATGCTCTTTCTGGTGGGGCCGAGTTTATAGACAGGACTCCTAACCCTTCTGCTTGTTAACCGGCATAATAATATCCCCATTGGAAAATGGAAGTGTGCTTTGCAAACGGTCAAGTGTCAAACAAACAAGAGGCGTGCTCTGGACTCCTCCATCCCGGGTCCCATGGGAAGGGGGTGCACAGAGGAGGGCCGGCTCACGATGTTCCCCTCTAGATGGCAACAGACAGCCCGTGAGGCACTGTAGGAACAGCACAGGGCAGAACAGCCCGTCCGGGACACCCACCTCCCCACCCCCGGCTCACACTGGCCAAAGATCCAGACTGACAAATGACTCAGACACACAAACGCCCGGGGCTAAGAGGAAACACGGCATGGCCCGGAGGTTGCAGGGGGCAGCACTCACAGGGATGGGGCTTTCTGCTATGCCTACCCCTCCACCCAGCCATGATCAGTGGCCTGAAATGGTGTCATGGACCCCCTCCCATGTTTGAGCACTTGCTGTATACCAAATTCTTACAGATATGTTTGTACTCTTAAATGGTTATGAAGATCCTGTCTTCATAGGACGAAACCAGGGATTCTAGGGGTCAATTACTGTTGATGTCACCATCCTTCATTATTATTAGATAATCTGGCCAAACTCATACACTAATCAACATCAGTCCCCATCACAACCACAACAACGACTGCTGACCCTTCCGAACCCACTCCCAGCCTGGGGGGTTGCAGAAGCACCGAGTTCCAGAATTTCAGCCTCCCTCCCACAACGTCCAACGCACCCCCTCGAAGCACAGCCTGTCCTTCTTTTGAGCTGGCTCTGTGTGATGAAGGGACACCCAGCAAATGGCCCAGACCCATGGGCATTCGATCTATTTTCGGTTGCAGTCCCTTTACCTCTGACACCTGTGCCTGCGCCAGACCCCTTCCTTTCCTGGCCGGCCATCCGAGGGGTCCCTGGTGGCCTCTGGGAAGAGAGGAACTGCAGAAGTCCCTTTCATTTTCCAGCTGAGGTGCTGGCTCTGGGCCGATGCTGCCGGGCACCCCACAGGAGGTAGCCGCCCTCTCTGGCTCAGTCACCAGCACGAGGGCAGGGCCACTCCTTTGGGGCTGCTTGTCACGGGTGCCCTTTGCCAGCCTCCAAGGACATCCTTCCTTCTCTGTCCCTCTCCCCTGTCCTCAAGCCCCGTCCCATTTTGAACCTCTGCATAGCAGGATTCAGATTCCCTTCCAAGCGCATCAGAACTAAGGCTAGCTCTGGCTGGGCATGGTGGTTCACGCCTGTAATCCCAGCACTTAGGGAAGTCGAGGCGGGAGGATCACCTGAGGTCAGGAGTTCAAGATCAGCCTGGCCAAAACGGAGAAACCCCGTCTCTACTAAAAATACAAAAATTAGCCAGGCGTGGTGGCGCGTGCCTGTAATCCCAGCTACTCAGGAGGCTGAGGCAGGAGAATTGCTTGAACCCGGGAGGCGGAGGTTGCAGTGAGCCAAGATCGTGCCACTGCACTCCAGCCTGGGTGACAGAGAAAGACTCCCTCTCAAAAAAGAAAACAAACCACCAAAAAAGAACTAAGGCTAGCTCATCTCACCAGTCCTTTATGATCTAAACCAGTGCTGTCCCCGGTGGCAGCTGCTGGCCACATGTGGCTAATGGAGCACTTGAAATGTGACAAGTCCAGATTGAGACGTACCCTCGATGCAAAATACACACCAGTTTTAAGACCTGGTACAAAAAAGAATGCAAGATATCTCAATAACTTTTATTTTGATTGGATGTTGAAAGGATTATACTTTAGATATGTTGTGTTAAATATATTACTAAGAATAGTTTTACTTATGTTTTCTTTTATTTCATATGGCTACTAGTAAATTTAAGATCATAGGAGGGGCTGGATGCGGTAGCTCACACCTGTAATCCCAGCATTTTGGGAGGCCGAGGCGGGCGGATCACCTGAGCTCAGGAGTTTGAGACCAGCCTGGCCAACATGGTGAAATCCGGTCTTTACTAAAAATACAAAAATTAGCTGGCAGTGGTGGCGGATGCCTGTAATCCCAGCTACTCGGGGGCTGAGGCAGGAGAATTGCTTGAACCTGGGAGGCAGAAATTTTAGTGAGCGGAGATCACGCCACTGCACTCCAGCCTGGGTGACAGAACGAGACTCCGTCTCAAAAAAAAAATCTGAACTTTGTCTGGATAGCGACGGAGGGTGTCTGAGCAAAGCACGATGTTCTCAGAGCCATCCAGAGACTGGGAACTCTGTCCTACCAAAATGGGTGCACCCAGAGGAGCTGGAAGATAGAGATGCCCTGTGGGTGACTCATCTGGTTGCCCCTTGGTGGCACTGAGCCAGGCAACAAGCGGGAAAGGCTTGTCAATGATAACGGCAAGACCAACGATCACCAGGCAGCCAGGTGCACCCGGTAGCCCTCTGTGGGCAATTCTGCATGTATGACCTTATTTAGTCATACAGCTAGGCAAGGAGGTGACACTAAGCATTTGAGTACTGATGGGGTCTTGAATGAACAAGTAAATGAATGAATGAATGGATGGTGGCCGATGACTGTCATCTCTAGTTCTTACATTATGTATCTTATGCATCAGACTACACGGCATGGATATTCAGTGCAATGGATTTGATTGTGAATTGAGGCCCCCTTTTGCAATCTTGTTGCATGTTATGTTCGTGGAGCTCCTGCAATGAGCAGAGGCTGCTAAGCAGAAGCAGCGCACAGGCTGGGGGCAGGACACAGGGCCCCCGGCCTCAGGGGAGAGGTCTGTTCCAGCCACCTCAAGTCTATTCCTGTGAGTGCCCCTCCACACCCCTCCTGGATCCCCCCACTGCAAACTCTCTCCCCCTGGCTCCGGACTCTCTCCCCGTCCTGGAATTAATAAAGACTCTGTGCAGACTGCGGTTTGCAAGTCTGAAAGCTGGTTCCTGCCCGTGTCACTGCCTCGAGAAGAGAGGGGTCCAGCTCCCCACAGTAGCCCCTGCCTTCCTCCTTCCCAGGCAGGCGGAGGCACGCAGATATACCATTGACTTCCCCTCCCCTGCAGCAGGCACATCCTGGGCATCGAGCTTCAGACCCTGCCCCTGAGCAGCCCCTAACCCCACCAACAAAGGGTGGCTTGGGGGGGCTTTCACCCCAGCATAATCTCCATCAGCTACCCTCAAAGCACCCCCAAATAAACACACACCGTAAGTAAGAGCTGTACACTGGCTGTGTGCGTACATCTTCAAGACAATTCTCCCAGCATGCCCCTACCTTCCAAAATTCCAGAGCTGCTCCCTCCAAAGACCCAGGGAAAAGGAAGGGTTTGTCCAGGGTCCTGGGGTGGCCCCGTATAGACCAAAGCCTGATAGCTGTCCTAGAAGCAGAGTACTTGCAGAGCGAGTGACGGCAACTGTGGTATTGACACCAGTCCTAGCACCAGCTGAACACAGAGCATTTTTGATCTAGCAGAAATACAAGACCACGTTGTATTTGTCTTTGCAATAATCTCTTAGCTAGGAATACTGATCACCTGTAGACAGATAAGGAAACTGATGCTCTGTGGAGAGGTTTTCCTACCAGAAAGGCTAGAGCCAGAAATTTACTTCTAGGTCCACCAATACCTGCCTTTGACCAATGCCTGCATTTGACCTTTCCACGCTGAGCCACCCCTGCTGGCACTCCAGACTGCCACAGTGCTCCTGCCTCCACAAGGGGTCTTTAACTCATCCCTCGGAGCCATCGTGGTGCAGGGAAAAGCCCACAGGGCGTGTGGCTTCCATGCTGTTCCCTGACTGGCTGTGACCTAGGACAAGGAACAAGTTTCCCTCTCCTATTCTCTAGGTCTCACATTTCTTCTCCTCTAGCAGTAGTGGGAAGTGAGGGGTGGGGGACACGACCCTCCCCTGTTCCATCCCACACTCCAACCCCCAAAATCCCCCAGGGTCCCCGTCCAGCTCAGTCCTGGGGGCAGAAATGCAGAGTTCTCCAGGAACGTGGTCCCAGCTGTTTCAGTGCAGGCCGCCCCCTCCTGGCCACCAGCGGAATGTCAGCCTTCCCAGAGGGGCCGGGAGAACAGCAGTCGAGAAGCTCCCAGACTGGTGTGGGCGCTAGCTGTGCTCAGCGTGGGGATGGGAGGTGACCCAGTGATAATGGGAAGCTGGGCTGCCTGTCAGTCTGCGGGGGGCTCCCACCTCCCTGTTCCCCCACAGGGCACCTGGGGATCCAGCCTGATTTTTACCAGACCCTGCGGCCTGCATGGGGCTGGGTATAGGGCTGTGACCTTGACCCATGCAGAATAGAACCCTGTGTGTCGGGATCCTCCATGTGCTCCAGATGCCCCTGGGGACAGCACCAACATGGCCTTAACTCCCAAGCCATTCCCCTGCCTCTAACCCCCTGGCATCTGCAGGCATCCACCCCAGACCCACCCAACACCTCCTCCCCAGCTTCAGGCGCTAGGCAGAGACCTTGGCCCCTGCAGAATGCAGCCCTGTCCAGGGTCCCCTACCTTCCCCCCAGATCCCTCCCAGAGCAATACCAACCCGGGCCTACCTTCCAGGCCATTCAACCTGCAGCCCCCCGGCCTCTGTAGACATCGCACCCCCCAAACCCCCAGACCTGCCCAATGCCTCCCCTCCCCAGCTTTGGGCAGAACCTGTCTCTAGCCAGACCTGGGGGTGTTGGGGAGTCTGGAGGGCCGGGGTGGGGGCTGAGGCGCGGGACAGCTGGCCCGTATCCTCACACTGGGCCCGGGGCCCAGCCGGAGGGGCGGGGGCCTGGCCACTCGGGCCTTGGCTGGGGCTGGGATTTTTGGCCTGGCCGCCAGGCCCTCCCTTCTGCTTCCTCTCCCGAGGGCTGTCCTGGCAGAGGCCCCCCTCGCTCTTTCTGGCGGGAACAGGGCCAGCAGCGAAAGAACAGTCGCAGAGGGAAAGCGGGAAAGAGATGGGGGAAAGTGTGTGTGTGTGAGTGTGTGCTTGTGTGCATGTGTGTGCGTGTGTGTGTCAAGGAAAAAAGCTCGCAGTCCAGCAGCCCGGGCCTGGGAGGCTTGTGAGCCGGGCCTTTCGTAATTGTCCCCTCCCCGCGGCCCCCTCCCCCAGGCCTCCCCCCTCTCCCGCCCTCCCGCCCGCCCTCTCTCCCTCCCTCTTTCCCTCACAGCCGACGAGGCAACAATTAGGCTTTGGGGATAAAACGAGGTGCGGAGAGCGGGCTGGGGCATTTCTCCCCGAGATGGCGGGTCTGACGGCGGCGGCCCCGCGGCCCGGAGTCCTCCTGCTCCTGCTGTCCATCCTCCACCCCTCTCGGCCTGGAGGTAAGGACCCCTCGCCCCTGTCCCCAGCGCTGCCCACAGCTGCGGGCCCTTTGGGCCAGGTGACTAGACGCTCAAGGGGGAGACCTTCGTCCCTGGGAACTGCAAGGGGTCCCAGGTGGGAGCCCCTCAGCCACTGGGTCCTCGGAACTGCCCCTCCCAGGAGCCAGCCCCGTGCCCAGGAGGAACCTGTCAAAGAGACACCCTCGACTCAGAATAGTCCCAGCCCAGCATCCAGGCTTTGCTGCCCTGCGAGGGCTGAGGGGGCCCCTGCTCAGGTGCCCGGGTGCCCGCCCTGTAGGGGGATCAGAGCATCCTGGGGGAGGGCCCAGCGGGAACCCCTGGGTCTGGAGACACCACAGTCTGCACACCTGTGGACACAGCTGGGGTGCACACCAGCCCTGGGGACAGGGAACCTGGGCTTGATACCAGCTCAACCGCAGTGAGCTGTGTGACCTCAGCAGGTTCCTTGACCCCTGGGAAGCCGGGATCCCCCCGTCAGGAAGGTCAGGGCTCCGCTGAGGATGGGTTTGCAGGTTGGGAAGCTGCTGCTGTGTTCTCCCTGCTGAGGCAGGCAGGGACTCCTGGTATGCATTTGTGTGTGTGTGTGTGTGTGCATGCACACAGGAATGAGCGTGCTGTGTGCTCGTGTGTGTATGTGTGCATGCACAGGTGTGCATGTGTTCAGATGCCCGGCTGTGTCACTGAACAGGGAAAGGGATTTCTGGAGGGGTACATATGTCTGCTCACAGGTTCATCCTTAGGCAGGTGTATGCGTATGTTTGGAGGAGGTATATGAAGCTGCTCCTTAGTGTGTGCAAAAGTCTGCCACCTGACAGACATGTAGACATGTACACATGTAGACATGGGCGATCTGGCATCCAGGTGTGACACTGGTGTGGACTGTCACTGTGTGTGTTATGGAGTGTGTACATCTGTGTGTGTGAATGTGTGTGCGATGTGGCACGCAAGCATGGAAAGGCGGGCTGGAGAAGGTGTCTGTCTCCTGGCAGAGGCAGTGTGGCTGAGACAGAGGCTGGAGTGGATCCTGGGGCACTGCTGGGCCATCTGCTATGTGCCCCAACCCAGGCACAGTTGGTTATGGGGTTTGAGGGTGTGCCCTGTGGGGCTGCTATGCCGCGGCCAACGGGGGAGGACAGAAGAGGCTCCCGGGCATGGGAAAAAGGAGGGCATTTGGTAGGGGGGTCTGGGTGGAGTCTGGTTTCCTCGGGAGTCCTCCTTGCCATGAGAACCAAACGCTGAGTGGGGGGCGGGAGGGCCACGGGGTGGAGTCAAGGGCCTGGGCAGGAGCTGCAGCTGTTTCCGTGAGATTGAACAGCTTCCTGTGCAGGGTCCGCTGCTGGACCTGGATGAGGCCAAGGGACATGGGTACCCACAGGCGGGCCCCAGCAGGGGCAACGAGCCAGGGCCTGAAAGCAGCAGCCCCGGGTCCGTCTCAGCCTCCTCCCCAGGTGTAGCCCCCAAACACCCAGCCACCCTTCTTCCCAGATGGGGCCACCACCTATAGGGTGGCAGTTCATCATCAAGGAACCTTGAGAATTAGAAATTATTATCATCACTTGACAAACAAGGAAGCTGAGGCTCCGGCAGGCTAAGGCAGTCCCCGGGGGTTAGTATCAGCCAGCTCTCTGCCCCAGGTCAAGGGGCAAGGGGGTTAGGAGTGAGCTAGCAGGCAACATTTGGGGAGGGGAAGGCTTGGGGCTGAGTCCTTAAAGCAGGCATGCCCTAGGCAGAATCAGCTCTCTCCTTGTGTCCTCAGTGACACCGCTAAACGCCCAGCTGGCCTCACACTTTGCAGAGATCAATCTCAGCTCTGTCCCAGGTGGCTGGACTTGCTAGGTCCAAATAAGGGGTGTGTGAACTGATGAGCTCGTGTGGGGTTTTGCACAGAAGTGCTACTGAAGTCTGCAGAGGTCGGGGAGCCAACACAGGGAGTGGAGCGCTCAGTCACATGCTCACTGCCACTCACCTGGCTGTCCTGGGGGAGCCTGGCTTCTCCCTCAAGGAGGAGGGTGTCACTTATGCAAGTTCAGCGGCTCCAAGGAAGGAACCCTGTTGCGGGGGTGGGGGAGCAGGAGGAGGGGACAAGCCGCACAGCTCCCAGGCTGTTTCAAAAGTGAGCATGAGAAATTAACCCAGGGATAATTCTTCCCCATCCCCCAGAAATAGTATCAGGGATTTTTTTTTTTTTTTTTCCTGATTTCAGAACTGAAGATGGTTTGGAACAGAGGTTTCCTTTTCTTTTATTTTCCTTTTTTATTTTTATTTTTTTACCTTTTTTATTTTTTTTAAATTGAGACAGGGTCTCGCTGTGTTGTCCAGGCTGGTCTGAATTCCTGGGCTCAAGTGATCCTCCCACCTCCGCCTCCCAAAGTGCTTGGATTACAGGCATGAGCCACTGCCTCTTTTTAAATATTTTTTTAATTATTGTTTTCCGTCCTTAAGTAGGAACAGGGGTTTTCAACCTGGCTATCTATTAGACTTCCCACCCAAGAATCCCTGCTTGCTTTGGTTGGAGAGGGACCTGGACACAGACTTTTCAGGCTTCCCAGGTGACGGTGGGGTCGCCAGGGCCAAGAAGCACTGGTTTAGAGGTCGATCCCGCTCTGTGTGTCTGCCGAGGCCCCGGCATGAGGGCAAATGTGCCCTGTGTGGGAGGGGACACAGTCACCCAGTGGAGGACAGCTTGTTTTTGAAAACCCTTGGCAGCCTTCTGCATGCAAACAACAAACAGCTTCGTGTGGTCTTATCTGCTCCCCAAGCCAGCCCCCTGGACTTTGGTTTGGCAAAGCCCCCTGCCAAGATCGGCTGGCCCCAGGCTCGCTCCCAAACAGGCTGCTTCCAGCTCTTTGAACCTGGAGCCCAGGGCCCAGGCAAATGGCCCTACATGTGACTTGGGGTCAGCTGGGGGTCCCAGACCAGGCTCTTCAGCTCACTGGTTCTCCATTTCCCTGGCTGCAAAATGGGGAGAAACAGCCCTGCCTGAAGTACCTCCTAGGGCCAGTGAGAGCTTCTAGCAATGTAATATCTGGGGGGAAAAAAAGCATCAAATAAAAGGACCGTGGGAATGGGCATTTTTAAAATAATCTATTCTCTTATTCAGAGTCTGCTAATTTGGGCTCATGGATCCTTGTAATTAGTGCACATTGCTAAGGTTTAATACTCCCTCTCACTACTTACACCATGTTTTGTCTAGTGGAGGGGCAGCTAATGTGTAAATAGATGTGCAATGATGAAAGAAGCAGACAGGACTCGGTTGGGGGTGGCCAGAAGGAGCCTTGAGAAATCCAGGAAGGCTTCCCAGCAGAAGTGACATTTGAGTTAAACCTAAAGAGAAAAGTAAATGGGGCCAGGTGCAGTGACTCATGCCTGTAATCCTAGCACTTTGGGAGGCCCACATGGGCAGATTGCTTGAGCCCAGGAGTTTGAGACCAGCCTGGGCAACATAGGAAGGCCCCCGTCTCTATTTAAAAAATAAATGAATATTTAAAAAGAAAGAAAAAGAAAGAAAGAGAGAGAGAGAGAGAGAAAGGAGAGAGAGAGAGACAGAAAGAAAGAAAGGAAGGAAGGAAAGAAGGAAGGAAGGAAGGAAGGAAGGAAGGAAGGAAGGAAGGAAGGAAGGAAGGAAAATGTTGGAGGACCTGTCTGTGGATGAGGGGTAAGTCCCCAGACTACAGGCCCTGGCAGGCAGAACTGAAGAGACAGAAGAGCAGATTCTCGATTGGAGGAAGCCCTGTCTGCAGTTAGTGCTGACAGCATTTGGAGGTGGTGATTTTCCCATCATGGGAGGTATGCAAGCAGAACACGAAGGATGTTTGTGGAAGGAGGTCCAGCCCAGGCCAGAAGACTATTATGATCCCTGAGAGTCTAGGATCGTGATTCTAAGATGCAAGAGACAAGTTCCACCCTGGGCTAGTCGGTGAAACATGCCAAAACCACATAAAACAAGACAAGTGTTCTCCAGGCCAACTGCTTAGGGCCAGCTGAGCAGCACAGTCAGGGAGAGCCGTGGGCTCGGGAAAGGCAGGCGGGAGAGTCTGAGCTCAGCCCTGGTGCGGGGGTAGGACTTGGACAGAGGCAAGGACATTCCTGGCAGGAGAAACGGCTTGTGCCAAGGAGTGGAGGGAGAAGTGAGGATCGCCACGGGGCCTGGGGAAGCAGCTGTTACCTTTTCAAAGTCCTTTCCAATTTCCAGCTGCTGTCATTTTATTCTCACCTCTCTCACTTGCAGAGAGGCAGGAATCCTTCGTAGCCCCTAAACCTTCTCCATTTCCTCATTGCAAAGTGGGGATTAAAACCTCGGGCTCCCCAGGCCGTCAGGTTCAGGCATGAAGTTTGGCAAATGCCACCATCATCAGGGTCTGAACGGTGGGGGTGGAGAGTGGGGACAGAGGAGATCTGGGGGAGGGGAAGCTAAGTCTTCCCCCCAGAAAGTGCCTGGGGTGCAGGAGGGCAGAACCCCAGGAGAAAGGAAGTCAGGGTTCAGCCAGGCCCAGGGGCTCAACAAGCCCAAGGCAGGGGGACTCCCAGGGCAGATGGGGATGAAACAGGTTAGAGCTGGATTCACAGACAACCACCCTGCCACCCCTCTACTTAATTCACCCATCATGTATTGAGTAACTACTGCATACCTGGCCCTGGGCCACGGACTGTGCAGTGAAATGGGAAAAAATGAAACGTAAGTGCCACTGTCTTTTTATTTTTGAGCAATTACTGTCTGCCAGGTCCAGAAGAGGACATAGCCTATTACTTGAACCCTTTTACAACTTGCAGCAACCTTGCAACCTTGCAGCAACCTTGCAACCTTGCAACAACCAAGTGATTATCTGCCCCATGTCACAAAAAAGGAAACCGATGTTCAGAGAGGTTGAGTGACTTTCCCAAGGTCGCACAGATGGTAAGAAGCAGCGAAGGCAGAATTAGAAGCCAGAGGGGTCTGTTCTGAGCACTTTGCTCTTCCCCCCACCTCCACCACACTGTTCCCTGCAGTCTGCTCTGGAGCCAGAGAGTAGAGAGGAAGGGAGAGAGGCACGTGAAGAATGAGGGAGAGGGGGAGAAAGAGGAGGAAGGAGAGAGGCCGAGGCAGAGAAAGACGCATAAGAGACTGTTGAGAGCTGGAGGCCGGAGCCAGGGAAGGCATCAGAGGCCCGAGGCGGGCCATGTGTGTGCTTGGCAGCGGATGACAGGGCCCAAGTGCTCCTTCTCAGCAGGCCCAGCCCCCCTGGGGCCACCACTCCGAGCCTTGAGGTTCTGACCAGATTACTTGCACACTTCAGGCCTGGACTGCAGTGCCTGAGGAGCCACAAGCCCTGGGAGGGGGTGGCGCCGGGGTCTTGGCTCCGGTGGCTGTGACAGCTCCACAGCCCTGACCCTGCTGGGCTGCAGCTGAGGCTGACAGGGCCCTGGGGCCAGCAAGCCCAGCTGTGCAGCGTCGCCAGGCCTCAGAGGCCAGACGTCTGGCCGCGAGGCCTCCCTGGACACATTGCAGAGACACCCGTTCCCCCAGCCCCGCCCATGCCCCACGGGGCTCCCGGCCCCTTTCAGCAAAAGCAGTAAGGGAGGGCTGGGCTGGGGCGTTGGCAAGGTGGCTTGTCAAGCTCAGAGGGGGGCCTTCTGAGGTGGAGGCAGGGCCCCCGGTTTGGGACCCTGTCTGTTGCCATGGCGATGGCTCAGGCAGGGTCTGGATCCAGCATCACAGCGTTCCCCAGTGAGAGCTTCACTGGTCCATGGGGACTGAACTCGTGATCCTGTCTGGCCGGTGAATTCGCTTTTCCTTAGGAAACTATTCACTGTGCTCATTCATGGCGTCCCCCTGCGGCCCCGGCGCCTCCTAAGACAGCCCGTGTCAGACGGCCAGAGCCCCACCCAAGCTCGGCTGCCCAGTGGCTGAGGACGCTGACCTCACGCCGTCCTATCAGTGTGGGAATGGCTGCATTTGTGCTGGCAGCTGCACCTCCTTAATGCTCGCTGTAGCAGCCCAGCCTGCCCTTCCCAAAGCTCTGGCCTCTACCCGGCAGCTCAGCTCGGGAAGGGAGTGGGCTGCCTGGTGAGAGGTGCTCAGACCCAGTGTCTTCCACCCCAGGCCCTCTCCCTGACTCCAGGGAGAACCAGGTAACACAGCAAGAACAATCATACTCTAAGGACTGGCAGCAGGGCGCAGGGGCCTGTCATCCTAGCACTTTAGGAGGCCAAGGCAGGAGGATCGCTTCCAGGAGTTCCAGACCAGCCTGGGGAACATACTGACACCCCATCTTTACAAAAAAATCAATTAGCCAGATGTGGAGGTGCACGCCTGTAGTCCCAGCTACTTGGGAGACTGAGGCAGGAGAATCGCTTGAACCTAGGAGGCAGAAGTTGCAGTGAGCTGAGATCTTGCTACTGCACTCCAGCCTGGGTGACAGAGCAAGACTCTGTCTCAAAAATAAAGCACTGGCCTGAGCTTCAATCCAGGCCCCGTCTCTTTCCAGCTGTGTGGCCCCAGGCATGTCCCTTAACCTCTCTGAGCCTGATTTCATGTCTTAAGATGATAGTCTCTGGGAGCGGTGGCTCACACCTGTAATCCCAGCACTTTGGGAGGCCGAGGCAGGCAGATCACTTGAGGTCAGGGGTTCAAGACCAGCCTGCCCAACATAGTGAAACCCTGTCTCCACTAAAAATACAGAAATTAGCCGTGCTTGGTGGCATGCACCTGTAATCCCAGCTACTCAGGAGGCTGAGGCAGCAGAATCGCTTGACCCAGGCAGACGGAGGTTGCAGTGAGCTGAGATCCCACCACTGCACTCCAGCCTGGGTGAAAGGCCAAGACTCCGTCTCAGTCTCAAACAAAACAAAATGATGATAGTAAGCCCTGCCCTTCCAACTTCACAGGCCGATTTCAAAGAGCAAGAATGAGAACACACTTTGTAAACAGAAACTGCTCTGGAGACAAGCAATGTCATTATTGCCATCAGCATTATTCTTGTTTCCATGTAATTGTGGGTTTTGCCATTGAAAGTAATGGCAAAAATCGCAGTTACTTTTGCACCAGCCTAATAGTTCTGGCTCCTGGAGGACTGACTCTACCTGTTTCCTTTCAGGGGTCCCTGGGGCCATTCCTGGTGGAGTTCCTGGAGGAGTCTTTTATCCAGGTAACGTACATGAAACTTCCACACACCCAGGTCATGCGGATGATGCTGATGTCCATAATAGATGCACATTTTGACACTACAGAAGGTAGGAACATTGACACGCCTACCAGAAGTCACACCCACTTAAAAATGCAATTAACAAGACATTGATTTACAGCTATTAAGAGCATACAGGCTGGACATGGTGGCTTATGCCTGTAATCTCAACACTCTGGGAGGCAGAGAAACAAGGATTGCTTGAGGCCAGGAGTTTCAGACCAGCCTGGACAACATAGTGAGATCCCCCTCTCTACACACACACACACACACAAATTTAAAATTAGCCATGTTCTGCATTGAGAAAAATGAAAATGAAGTATAGAAATTAAAAAAAAATTAGCTGGGCATAGTGGTGCACGCCTGTAGTCCTAGCTACTGGGGAGGCTGAGGCAGGAGGATCACTTGAGCTTAGGAGTTCAAGGCTGCAGTGAGCTATAATAGCACCACTGCACTGAAGTCTGGGTGACAGAGTAAAACCCTGTCTCTAAAAAGAAAAGGGGAAAAAAAGAAAAGAAAAATCAAAAGTAATACTTTCAATACTTAAAAAGTATTTGAGGCCAGGCACGGTGGCTCAAGCCTGTAATCCCAGCACTTTGGGAGGCTGAGGCAGGCGGATCACAAGGTCAGGAGATCAAGACCATCCTGGCTAACACGGTGAAACCCTGTCTCTACTAAAAATACAAAAAATTAACCAGGTGTGGTGGCGAGAGCCTCTAGTCCCAGCTACTCGGGAGGCTAAGGCAGGAGAATGATGTGATTGAACCCAGGAGGCGGAGCTTACAGTGAGCCGAGATCGCGCCACTGCACTCCAGCCTGGGCGACAGAGGGAGACTCCGTATAAAAAAAAATTAAAAAATTAAAAAAAGCATTTGAGTGTACAGAAGTGACCTGGAAGTGGGGAGAGACGCCAGCACTCCCCCAGATACATACTGACACTGGACTACTGGCCAAGCAGAAGAGAAAACCGAGGCTTGCAGAGAGCAGGTCTTGCCCAAGGTCACGTAGTTAGGCAGAGGTGGATTCAGCCATAGCTGGGGGTGGCAGCGGGCTTGCCTGGCAGAAGTACCGATGATCTCTCTTTCTCTTTCTCTCCCCCCACAGGGGCTGGTCTCGGAGCCCTTGGAGGAGGAGGTGAGCTCAGAAACCACACTTGTTCATCACTGAAAGGGCCTGGGTTTCACCCGAGCCACATGCATCCTCAGACCTGAGAACCCTGGGAGACCCGAGCATCAAGGACTCCCTCATTTCACAGACAGCATCCAGGCGGTGGGAGGAGGCTTCTTTGAGAACCAGAACCCATTGGCCTTCCCAGTCCCTCCCCTAGACTTTATGTCTGGTGCCCTCTGCCTTCCTATTTCTTCTTTTTTTTGGTGGGGGAGGACGGGGGGACAGAGTCTCGTTCTGTCGCCCAGGCTGGAGTGCAGTGGCGTGATCTCAGCTCACTGCAGCATCTGCCTCCCAGGTTCAAGTGATGCTCCTCCCTCAGCCTCCCAATTAGCGAGGACTACAGGCGCGTGCCACCACGCCCAGCTTATTTTTGTATTTTTTCTAGAGACAGGGTTTCATCATGTTGGCCAGGCTGGTCTCGAACTCCCAACTTCAAGTGATCTGCCTGACTCGGCCTCTCAAAGTGCTGGGATTACAGGCGTGAGCCACCTTGCCCGGCCCCTTGCCCGGCCCCTTCCTATTTCTTTTTATCCTCAAAAACCTCCCTGCCAAGCCGGCTGAGCAGGCACCATCTTCTTTTTTTTTTTTTTGAGACAAAGTCTTGCTCTTGTCACCCAGGCTGGAGTGCAGTGGCGCGATCTCAGCTCACTGTAACCTCCACCTCCCAGGTTCAGGTGATTCTCCTGCCTCAGCCTCCTGAGTAGCTGGGATTACAGGCACATGCCACCACGCCTGGCTAATTTTTGTATTTTTAGTAGAGACAGGGTTTCACCATGTTTGCCAGGCTGGTCTCAAACTCCTGACCTCAGATGATCCGCCTGCCTCAGCTTCCCAAAGTGCTAGGATTACAGGCGTGAGCCACCACCCCCAGCCCATCATCCCCTTTTGAGGCTGAGACTCTGGGACTCAGAGAGTATAAACCACGAGTTAGAAGTAGAGCTAGGTTCCCAGGGGCTCCAAGTCTGAGCGGGAGGACCTGGGGTGTGTGATTCCACACTGCCCACACTTTGCCCGGGTTGGGGGTTGGATAAGTAGTAGATGGATAAGCTGGGCCACCCCATTCACTATCTTCTCTTCCCTCTGCAGCGCTGGGGCCTGGAGGCAAACCTCTTAAGCCAGGTAAGACCCAAGGCCTCGGAGCATTGAGAGACAGCGAGGGAGCTGGGGAGGGAGGAGCCTACCCAGCTGGGAATGGGACAAGGAAACTAGGAACAGGACAAGGAAGCCAACGGGCAGGAGGAAGGAGGGAGGTGTGGACACCGATTAGCCTCCCAAGGATGAGTAGGCCGGGGCCAGGTCCCAGGGCTTCCAGGAACAAGAGGCTGGAAGCAGCTCCATGTCCTCCCTGTGTGAGGGCGTCTAGCATCTACCCTACATGTGCATGTGTGTTCACCCAGCTGTCCAGAGACTCCTCTCTGCAAAGGAGAGGCTGTTAGAGGCAACATCAGGGATTGCTCCGGTTCCAGTGGCCTCCAAGCCTTACATGACCCTCGGGAGCTCAGACACAGATCCTCAGCCCCAGACTTCCCCTGAGTGGTCCCCTAGCCCTTGACCCCAGACCAATACCCCAGATCACCCTGACCTTGATGCCATTCTGAGCCCTTCTCCTGACTCCAGATGGAGCACTGGTCTCAAGCCAAAGCTTAACCCCAGCCCAAGCCCTGAGCCTAATCCCAGGCTGAACCCTGACCCTGCTGACCCTGGTCCCACAGGACCCCCAATCCTGGCCTTAGGCCAAGCCCTGACCCCAAGCCCAAGCTGAGCACCGACCATGGCCCCGGATAAGCTCCCCTCCTAATCTCAGGCCCTTTCCAGCTGTGTCCAGACCACGGAGTTTTCCAGTAAGAAGGTGTGGCCGGATCTATCCTGGCCTCGCCCAAGGGGCTGGGATCTGCCACGAGGGTCCACTCTCAGCTCTGGGGAATGCACCCCCAGGAAGGAAGGTGGGGCAGGTCCCTCCGGGAAATACTGGCGGATAAGGAGCAGGTGGAGGAAACAGCGTCTCTGTCCAGATTGATGGTCCCTCGGCATGAGACGCTCCACATGTGACTTTGGCCGCCCCACACCCTGAGCTGTGTTGCCCTGGCTCAGAAGCCCAAGTCTCCAGGACACAGTTTAGATGTCCAAGAGCTCTTATGAAATCCTGATAGTTGATAATCCAAGTGCAAATGAATCTTCAAGACCCAGATTCCCCTGCGCTAAAAGTCCATCTGGGTTGTGAAACACCAGGGCTGGAGCCAGGAGAGGCGGGAGAACGGGGTGCCTGGGGTCTACAGGGCTCTGCAAGGCCAGGAGACCCTGGGAGCTTGCCACTTATCCCCGCCAGCACCTATACCCTGTCTTCCTGGAGCAGG
Organism: Homo sapiens; assembly: GCF_000001405.40. Classification (NCBI taxonomy): domain Eukaryota; kingdom Metazoa; phylum Chordata; class Mammalia; order Primates; family Hominidae; genus Homo; species Homo sapiens. The sequence goes on from NC_000007.14 coordinate 74,038,975, forward strand.
TGAGGGTTCTTAGCAGGGTCTTTGACGGTGAAGAGAGGACAGGGGAGATGATAGTGGTGCAGAGGTGTGGAGGTAGGTCTGTGCTTGGCCTAGAAGACCCAAATTGAGGAGGTTGTGCCTGCAAAGCTGGAGGGTACATTCATTGATCCCACTAGGAGCAAGAGACACATAGCAGGTTGTGGTTAAACACCAGAGGAAAGACAGACAACTCCCTACGAAGTTCCAGGATGTGTAGTTGCAAAAGTGAAGCTTTTGTTAATGAAAGATTTAGGTTAGACTTCTGAAAGAACTTCCAGCTCAGGGTGAAGGAGTCAATCCAAAGGAAAGTCAGAGCATCTCCTTCTGATAAAAAGGGCAGTGTTTCCAGGCAAGGGGCTGGATTCCATGACCTCCCCGAAGACTCAGGGCTACAGAAGGGTCGGCAGAGCCCCCATGGCACCCCCAGGGAGGCCCCCACATCCGGGCTGCCAGGACGTCTGGGCCTGCCCAGGCAGGATGGAATGGAGCACAGGCAGCGCGTGTCATGCTTGGGAACAATTAATCCCTTGGTGACAGAGGGTGGGTGGCCTGGCAGCTGCTTTTCCACGTGGGCGCCACCACAGGTCCAAGCTGGCCCTGCCCTGCCTCAGCTCTCAGCGGGGGACCAGGCAGCTGGAAGCCTGCACACCCAACACCCTGAGCACTAGCCAGAGGCCAGCCGCCCACTGAGAGGGGCACGGGCATGGACAAGAAGGAACTGGGAGCACCCACTGTGTGCCCTGGGTAGGTTGCACAACTAGGTGCTTTCTGCACACATGCTCACTGGTCCCAGCAAGGCAGGTGATATAATGGCCATTTTGTAGATGGCAAAAACTAAGCCTCATCGGAGAGGCAAATTGACCTGCTTGTGCTCATGGAGGCTGGGTAGCAGCAGCAGGGTCTGAATCTAGAACTCTCTGACTCTAGAAAGAAGGAGGATGGAGCTGGCCAGGTCCCTGGACTCCCAGCTGTGGTCAGCCCCTCCCCGCTTTCTCCTCCTTTCCAGATGCTAGAATCCTTGGGGCATTTGGGGCAGGTGAGTGCAAAGGAAGGAGGGCAGGCAGAGACAGAAGTGGTCAGGCCACATGACAGGATGCTCAGGCTGGGATCATGGGAAAAAGGAAGATGGCCCCAGAGAAGCTGCCTGCCCCCCACTGCAGCCCCAGCCTCTTCTCACTTCCTGTGCAGTCCTCAGCTTCCCCTCCCAGCCCCTCTGTGGACAGGAAAGGTCTGAGCATGTCCCTTGCCCTCTCAGAGCTCAGGAAACATGCCTGGCTTGAGAGAAGCGACTGCCAGCGCAGGTGGGTCTGGCCCGGGTGCTGGGAAGTGACTCCTGCCTGATCGCCAGGCACTCCCGCCCGGAGGCAAAGATGCTTCTTACATGAGGCTGGCTGAGTTTCAGAGGGGTCCAGCTCCCACTAGTAGGAAATGAGGGACGAGGAGTGGTTAGTAACGGAGACCACACCCAGGGAAAGCCAGGGGGGACCTCTCCAGGGTACAGCAGGCTCCATGTTTGGGATCCATCCCTGGAGAGGACTCACCCCTGAGGCTCAGGACTAGCACTTGTAGGAGAGATCGTCACATAATTAGAAACAAACCTGGCATGGTTGTGAACTCTGACCTGATGGCCCATTGGTCCTGGCCAAGGCAGTGGAATGTCTCCCGCAGTGGGAGACGAAGCGATTGGGCCCAGATGTGGGGAGGAGAGAGCCAGAGGGACCCATTTGGCGTCTCATAAACATCTTAGTAGGAGGCTCCTGGGCTGCAGGGCAGGCTGGATGGAAGGACAGATGGGTAGTGGGGACACAGGAGTTCCCCGATGCAGGTGAAGGGGAGGGGACTGAGTCAAGAGATATCTGCAAGGAAGCAGAAGAGAGACCTCACTGGCCTGGGGTGAGGTCTCGCTCACGGACTCTGCTCTGTCCCAGCCCTTGCTGAAAGCCCTGCTGAATCTTGTTAGCCAGCAGGGCTTCTAGGAGAAGCACAGGCCTGGCCCAGGCTTGTTAGGGATCGGTGCAATGACACCTGCACTGCACATAGTAGTCGCTCACTAAACTACTGGTGGATGCTATTTTATCAGGATCGACCCTGAGCATCACAGGCTTAGGGACCAGCCTAGGGACCTGAGTGGCTGATCACAGCACTGCCCTAACTCCAGGAGACATTTCCCACTCTGGGCCTAGGAACACTGCCTACACTCCTGTCTCTGTTTCTTATCCACAGTTCCCGGAGGGCTTGCGGGTGCTGGCCTTGGGGCAGGTGAGTGCTGACACCCAAGAAAGATATCCCCTGTGGGGACCAGCCCCTGAGCTCAACCCAGGGCTGGTATGCAGCACGGTCATGGAACAAGGGTGCAGGCCAGGTTCCGTCCTGGGCACTGACGGGGACTGATGCTGATACCAACTGCCCCAAGCAGCTGCCCAGGACATGAGGAAATCACAGCTGAGTACCTGGGTTCCTTTATAACATAGTAGTGAAGGCTGCATGGAGGAAGCCCCATGGACCAAGGAAGCCCAAGGGAGTCGCTTAACTCAGCAGGGGTTCAGGAAGGCATTCTAGAGGAGGTGGGTGGGGAAATTTGACCCCAAAAGATCCATGCAGTTTTCAGGAAGGCTGAAGTGAGAGGATCCCTTGAGCCCAGGAGGCTGAGGCTTCAGAGAGCTATGATCATGTCACTGCACTCCAGCCTGGGCGACAGAGAAAGACCTCATCTCTTTTGTTGTTCTTGTTGTTGTTGAGACAGAGTCCCACTCTGTCACCCAGGCTGGAGTGCAGTGGCTCAGTCTCAGCTCCCCGCACCTGGTGCAGTTGATCTCAGCTCACCACAACCTCCACCTCCCCGGTTCAAGTGATTCTTGTGTCTCAGCCTCCCAAATAGCTGGAATTACCAGTGTGCACCACCACGCTCGGCTAATTTTTGTATTCTTAGTAGAGACGGGGTTTCACCATGTTGGCCAGGCTGGTCTCGAACTCCTGGCCTCAAGTGATCCACTCACCTCGGCCTCCCAAAGTGCTGGGATGACAGGCTCAAGCCACCGTGCCCAGCCACAAGACCCCATCTCTAAAGGGAAAAAAAAAAAAAGAGCCATGCAGTTTTGTCAGAGCTGTCTAACACATTAACCTCGGCACACAATCTAGTTCTGGTACTTAGGCGCGGTGGCTCACGCCTGTAATCCTAGCACTTTGGGAGGCTGAGACGGGCAGATGGCTTGAGCCCAGGAGTTCGAGACCAGCCTGGGCAACATGGTAAAATCTTGTCACTACAAAAAATACAAAAAAAAAAAAATTTGCCGGGCACAGTGGCATGCACCTGTAGTTCCACCTACTTGGAAGGCTGAGGCGGGAGGATTGCTTGAGCCTGGGTGGTTGAGGCTGCAGTGAGCCAAGATCGCACCACTGCACTCCAGCCTGGGTGACAGAGTGAGACCTTGTGTCAAAAAAAAAAAAATCCATTACCGGTGAGCAGTGCTCACATGGATGTCCTGCAGGCATTGATGTCTGGCAGAGAGCGGAAGAGCCTCCAATGTGCTTCCTGAGTGGGGCACAGCCAGGCAGGGCCAGAGCGTAGGAGTCTTCATAGGTGTGGTAGCTCAGGACCTCACCCCATCCTCCCCTCCGCAGGGCTCGGCGCCTTCCCCGCAGTTACCTTTCCGGGGGCTCTGGTGCCTGGTGGAGTGGCTGACGCTGCTGCAGCCTATAAAGCTGCTAAGGCTGGTGAGTGGTGCTCTTTGGGACATGCCACAAGCCCTCTGGCTTCCGTGGGGCCCTCCGCTTTGCAAAGAACCTTCCCTCAACTCAGGCTTGGGAGCCGGGTGGGTGGGATTGTCAGTTGCAATCTACTGGGGCTCAGGGAGGCAGCTAGCTGTGCCCAGTCTGAAGGTGAGTTAGTAACGGGGCCAGACCTCAATGCTGGGCCCTCAGCATGCAGCCCCGGGCCCTTCTGCCTCCCCACTGTTCCTTACGCAATGCCTCACCTGTCCTGGCTCTGCAGGCGCTGGGCTTGGTGGTGTCCCAGGAGTTGGTGGCTTAGGAGTGTCTGCAGGTACGATGGCTATCCCCGAACTCCCTGGGTCAAAGTTGCAGGCCTGGGTGGAGCCAACTCTGATGCAGCCCCTTCTGTGCCAGGTGCGGTGGTTCCTCAGCCTGGAGCCGGAGTGAAGCCTGGGAAAGTGCCGGGTCAGTGCGGAATCCCTGGGGCTGGAGGACAGAGGGCAGGGAGGGGCAGAGGGCAGGGAGGAACAGAGCCCTCTCCATGCCACTGCACTTGGGGAGGAAGGGCAGGGCCTGGCTTCAGTCGGGCAGAGAAACTAGCCAGGCTGGTGCCTGCGTCTGTGAAATGGGGAGGAGGGGCCTGGCCCACTTCCCGGGCCCTTCTCCCGGGATCTTGGGGTAGAAAGAGACGGGCTCTGTGGCAGGCTGTCGGGCGACAGATGGGGAAACTGAGGCTCAAAGAGGCGAGTCAGTGTGGAAGGGCCTGCAGCGAGTCCCGGCAGAGCTGGGGGAGCCCCGTGTCCTCTGACTCCCCATCTGGTACTCGTTCTGCCCCACCAAGCCCTTTAGGAAGTGACTTCAGGTTAAACAAAAGACTGCCTGAGTCTACGCAGCAGGGAGGGACATCTGGAAGCTGTTAGCCAGAGGTGGGCTGGCCCAGCCATGTAAACAGGCTCCAGGAGACGGAGATAAATCCACACACCGAAGAGTTTGCAGATGACTTCCGAAACTCGTGGGAGGAGGGTTGTGGCCACCCCACGTCTGTCCCTGGCTGCCCCTGTCGGGCACAGAGGCTGTGGGTTTGAGGGCCTTGGAGCTGCCTGGGTGGGAAGGGCTGGGGAGGGGTCCCTGGAGGCTGAGCTGCTGCTAGTAACTTTGCTTTCTTTTGGCCACAGGTGTGGGGCTGCCAGGTGTATACCCAGGTGGCGTGCTCCCAGGTGAGAGCAAGGAGGGAAACAGGGACTCTATAGGAAGAAAGCAGCCAGGACGCAGTGGCTCATGCCTATAATCCCATTGCTTTGGGAGACTGAGGCAGGAGGATGGCTTGAGGCCAGGAGTTTGAGACCAGCCTGGGCATCATAGTAAGGCCCTCGTCTCTACAAAAAAATTTAGCCAGGCATGGTGGTGTGCACCTGTAGTCCCAGCTACTCGGGAGGCTGAGGTGGGAGGATTGCTTGAGCCCAGAAGGTCCAGGCTGCAGTGAGCTACGATGGTGCCACTGCACAGCAGCCTGGGTGACAGAGCAAGACCCTGTCTCAAAACAAAGAAAAAGAAAAAGGAAAAGAAAAGCAGCCCCCTCAGCCTCCCTAGTACCCCCCTCGCCTCCCCGAAAAGCAGAGGCCACCAGAAGCCCTGGGTCCTGACCTGAGCCATTTCCCCAAACTCCAAAGCTCAGGCTAACAGACATAAGGTCCCTGGCAGTCCGTCCATCCCCTGAAGGTCAACCAGCCTTCCTGCACCCCACCCAAGCCCTGATCCCAGGCACAGACCATCATCACAGCCCGAGGCGGGCCCCCGAGGACAGATCCCAGTGTGACCAGCTATTTCCCAAAAGCTGTGAGTCACCAAGGGGCCACCCAATGAGTCTGCCCTGCAGGAGACCCTAAAGAGCTGCCCCTCACCCTCCTTTCCCCTGCCAGGGCCTGACCACCCCACCCAACATGTGACCTCCTGAATTCCCCCAAAAGCCCAGATTTAGGCTGTTATGTGGGATTTGCTGATGGAGTGGCCCTTCCTCCCTCTCTCCCCCACTACGCTGAAAGCCAAGGCTGCCCAGCCCCAGGGGAGACAGGAGAGGTGGAAGACGCTGGCATGGTCCCAGCTGTAGCTGGATGGCTGCTTTGGGGGTCTGGGTTGTGAGCGAGAGCCCCAGAGAGCATGGGCCTCCCTGGTCTACGGGCGAGTGGCACCGCGCAGCAGCTGTCCCTCTCTTTACCTTTTCTGCGGAGGGTGGTCGAGACGGCTTTTGTGATTAACTCCAGCATAGAGATGAGGCTGACTGAGGCACCAGCTCACATGGCTGGGAAATAGGATTAAAACTCAGATCTTCTGACCTTGAGCCAGACAGGGAAGGAAAGTCAGCACTAAACAGGTCCTTTCTCCACCCACCCCGTGAGCCGTGCCTGTCACTGACAGTCAGTCCCAAGGGAGGTCAGCTGGGGGACCCGAGGAGGGGAGGGGTTCCCAGCAGGGCCTGCAAGGCCTGCCTTCCTACACTCACTGCTTTGTCCCCCGGCAGGAGCTCGGTTCCCCGGTGTGGGGGTGCTCCCTGGAGTTCCCACTGGAGCAGGAGTTAAGCCCAAGGCTCCAGGTATGCAGCTGTCTGGACAGAGGGCTGATGGCAGGGACTCTCCAACCACCTTCTGGCCCCGGGTGTGAAATGGGGTGGGATCCTGGACTGGCTCAGGGCCCTCTGGGTGACACTTTTTATGTTCCAGCCCTGGGCAGCCTGGTGCTGAAAAACCTCAGAGTGTGGCTGGGCACACTGGCTCACACCTGTAATCCCAGTATTTTGGGAGGGTGAGCTGGGAGGATCGCTTGAGCCCAGGAGTTAAAGACCAGCCTGGGCAACATAGCAAGACCTTATCTCTACAAAAACATGATTAAAAAATTAGCCGGACATGGTCACACACACCTATGATCCCAACTATTCAGGAGGCTAAGACAGGAGGATCTCTTGAGCCCAGGAGATCAAGGTTGTCGTGAGCTATGATCACACCACTGCACTCCAGCCTGGGCAACAGAGACCCCGTTCCCCCGCAAAATAAGAAAGAAAGAAAAGAGGGCCAGATGCAGTGGCTCATGCCTGTAATCCCAGCACTTTGGGAGGCCGAGGTGGGCGGATCACCTGAGGTCAGCCTGACCAACACGGTGAAGCCCTGTCTCTACTAATAATACAAAAATTAGCTGGGCGTGGTGGCCTGCACCTGTAATCCCAGCTACTTGGGAGGCTGAGGCGGGAGAATCGCCAGAACCTGGGAGGCAGAGGTTGCGGTGAGTTGAGATCACCCCATTCCACCCCAGCCTGGGCGACAAGAGCGAAACTCCATCTCCGAAAAAAGAAACCCCAGAGTTCATGTGAGCGCAGCATGCGATGACTGGTCTGGGAAGAACTGGCCATTCCTTGGGCCTCCTGGCCCCTTGGTGCTGTCTGGCCCAGTGTCCACAGTTCCAGGGCTGTAGTGACAGCTTTTTATCATTACAGGTGTAGGTGGAGCTTTTGCTGGAATCCCAGGTGAGGCAAGGCTGGTGGGAGAAGCAGGGTGGCCAGCCAGGCAGAGGCTCTGGCGTTGGGAGGGGTTGGGCACCCAAGATCCCATCCAAGCCTGCCCAATTTCTCCCACGCCTGCAGAGCCAGGTCTTGCAGTGGCTGTAGCACAAAGTGGCACCCATCCCAGGCCTGCTCCCCCCACTGGCATAGCAGCCCAAAATTCAAAGGAGTCCAGAAAACCCTCCAGCCTGTGCCAAGGGCTGCAGGCCCAAACTGGGGCCCAGGCCCCAGGAGGGAGAGAATCCCGTAGCTTCCTGGAGGAAGTGGCCTGTCACTGGGAATTTCTCAACTGACCCATGATGGAGATTCAGGGAGTCCCTCGAAGCAGGATGGTTTCTGGATGCTGTAGCAAGCTCCTTCTGTCTGAGCAGAAAGTGGAGTGGGTGGCGGAGGGTTTGGAAGGGGGTGCTGGGACCTGAACTTGCTCTCTTTATTCCCACAGGAGTTGGACCCTTTGGGGGACCGCAACCTGGAGTCCCACTGGGGTATCCCATCAAGGCCCCCAAGCTGCCTGGTAAGTCAGAGGGACGGTTCAAGATGCACCACTCGGCCGGGTGTGGTGGTTCACACCTGTAATCCCAGCACTTTGGGAGGCTAAGGCGGGCAGATCACTTGAGGTCAGGAGTTCAAGACTAGCCTGGCCAACATGGCAAAACCCCGTCCCTACTAAAGATACAAAAATTAGCCAGGTGTGGTGGCATAGGCCTATAATCCCAGCTACTGGGGAGGCTGAGGCAGGAGAATCTCTTGAACCCAGAAGGCAGAGGTTGCAGTGAACTGAGATCGCGCTACTGCACTCCAGCCTGGGTAACAGAGTGAGACTCTCCTCCAAAAAAAGAAAAAGAAGAAAAAAAAAATGTACCACTCACTGCACCTCCCTGCACAGAAGTCAGCCTGGGTACAGGTGTCTCTGGTGGCAGGGAAGGGGTGTTGAAGCCCCTGTATGGTCACCAGCCAAGGAGAGCATGGGAAAGTCATCTGCAGGTATTGAACTCACACACACACGCTCATGCACAGAGACCCATAGTCCCGATCTGAAGCTATTAGGCTGGTGGAAAGGAACACGGTTCATTGGAAAGATCCCTCTAACATCCACCCACTCGTGCTCCCGCCCCTACCTCTGCAATCAGCTTAGACAATAAGATGCTTTCCACTGAGGAGGGGGTGTAAGGAAAATACTCAGACTCCAGGGCCATGATGGGGCTTGAATTTGTAGGGGGATGGGTGTTCCATGGGCCTCGGGGGCAGAGGTGTCCTCTCCCTCCTTCACCCAGCGCCTTTGCTCTCCTGGGAGCAGCTCAGGACCCTGATGTGGGAGGTCTCAAGCTTTAGCACCTGTGGGGGTAGATCTGTCCACCCAGGTTGGTGGGAGCCCAGCAAGGCATGGGGCAGCCCCTGAGTTTGCTCTGTCCTCTCTCCAGGTGGCTATGGACTGCCCTACACCACAGGGAAACTGCCCTATGGTGAGTGAGACCCTTCTAGACTGTGGGCTTCCAGCTCTTTCCCTCTCCAGGGTCCTAGCAAGGGTGCTGTGCTTCCAGCCCTGGGCCAGGAGAGCACCTCGCTGGGGCAGGGTTGGGGTCTTGGAGTGGGAATCTCAGAAGGAAAGGGCATGGAATTTGGACTCAGCATGGGTCTCCATCCCTGCCCTCCCACCTATCAATAATGAGACCTTAAGTGAGCTGTGTTGCTTCTTTGAGCCTCTGTGTTCTCATCTGTAAAATGGACATAACAACTCCATACATGTGTTTGTATTTGTTTTCACTCTGGCTGGGGGTGACAGGTGCAGACTCAGGACAGCTTGGGCCCCGAGGGCAGAGCAGGGGGAGGGGGAGGGCAGCAGTGGTGATGTCTGCACAGATGACCATCAAGCCTCTCTGTTTTGCAGGCTATGGGCCCGGAGGAGTGGCTGGTGCAGCGGGCAAGGCTGGTTACCCAACAGGGACAGGTAAGGAAAGCCTCACGTCACTTCCAGCCAAGGGAGCACTGATCTTCCAGGCTCCAGAGCCCTGGGGTGGGTGAGGTTCCCTCCTGAAAGCAGCAGCCCACCCTGCATCCAGACCCTGGTCCAAACCTGGAGCAGGATCCTGGGGGAGGAGTGGGGCAGCTCCATCAGCCTCTGCCTACTCTGAAGCTCCCATGTATACCCACATGTCAGTGGATTGGCTCTCTTGGGGCTGGGAACAAGTGGGCTCTGGAGATACAGGAGCACTGTTTCAAGGTCTCTCCCCTCTGCTTCCTTCCCCCAGGGGTTGGCCCCCAGGCAGCAGCAGCAGCGGCAGCTAAAGCAGCAGCAAAGTTCGGTGAGTGCCCCTGGAGTCCCCACCTGGTGGCCTCCAGGCCCCTAGCCTCTCCATTCCCATTACTATTGACAGCCTGCCTCCAAAGTGGCCCCTACATACCCCCATTTACTCAAAATTTTCAACATCACCCATCTATCTATCCCTCCCTCCAACCATTCTTCCATGCATCCATGTATCCATTCATCCTTCCATCAATCTATTACTTTCTCCATCCCTCCCTCCATCCATTCCCATTCCTCCATGCATCCATCTATCCATCCATCCATTCATGTACTCATCTGCCCATCCATGCATCCATCCACTCATCCGTCCATTCATTCATCCATCCATCTCTCCCTCCATCCATTCATCCATCCATCCATCCATTCCTCCATGCATCCATCTATCCATCCATCCACTTATCTATCCATTCATCTACTTATTTACACATCCATGCATCCATCCATCCATCCACTCATCCATCCACTCATTCATCCATCCATCTCTCCCTCCATCCATTCATCCATCCATCTATCCATCCATCCATCCATCCATCCATCCATCCATTTCTCCATGGATCCATCTATCCATCCATCTGTCCACACATCCATCCATCCATTTATCCATCCACCCACTCATCCATCTATCCATTCATCCACCCATCCATCACTACCTCCCTCCATTCATCCATCCTCCATTCCTCCATGCAGCCATCTATCCATCCATCCATCCACTTATCCACCCATTCATCCATCCATCAATCCCTCCCTCCATCCATTCTTCCATCCATCAATCCCTCCCTCCATCCATTCTTCCATCCATCCATCCACGCATCCATCCATTCCTCCATGCATCCATCCATCTATGCACCCATCCATCCATCCCCTCATCCATCCATCCATTTATCCATCCATCACTCCCTCGCTCCATTCATCCATCCACCATCTATCCATCTATTCCCCCATATACCCATTCATCCATCCAACCATTCCTCCATGCATCCATCTATCCCTCCATCCATTCCTCTAGGCACCCATCCATCCATTTCTCCATGCATGCATCCATCCTTCCATCCATCCTTCCATCCATCCATCCACCATCTATTCCTCCATGCATCCATTCATCCATCCATCCATTCCTCCATGCATTCATCCTTCCATCCATCCATCCACCCATCAATTCTTCCCTCCATCCATTCTTCCCTCTATCCATCCACTCATCCATCCATTCTTCCCTCTATCCGTCCACTCATCCATCCATTCCTCCATGCATCCATTCCTCCATGCATCCATCTATCCATCCATCCATTCATCCATCCACTCATCCATCCATCCATTTACCCATCCATCCACTCAATCCATCCATCCATCCATCCATACATCAATCCATACATCAATCCACCCATCCATCACTCCCTCCATCGATTCTTCCATCCATCCATCTGCCCATTCTTCCATGCATCCCTCCATCCATTCCTCCATGCACCCACCCATCCATTTCTCCATGCATGCATCCATCCTTCCATCCATTCATCCATCCATCCATCCATCCATCTATTCCTCCATGCATCCATCCACCCATCCATCCATTTCTCCATGCATCCTTCCATCCATCCATCCATCCATCCATCCATCCATCCACTCACCCATCTATCCATCCATCCATCCATCTACCCATCAATTCTTCCTTCCATCCATTCTTCCCTCTATCCATCCACTCATTCATCCATTCTTCCCTCTATCCATCCACTCATCCATCCATTCCTCCATGCATCCATTCCTCCATGCATCCATCTATCCATCCATCCATTCATCCATCCACTCATCCATCCATCCATTTACCCATCCATCCACTCGTCCATCCATCCATCCATCCATCCATCCATCAATCCATCTATCCATCACTCCCTCCATTGATTCTTCCATCCATCCATCCATCCATCTGCCCATTCTTCCGTGCATCCCTCCATCCATTCCTCCATGCACCCATCCATCCATTTCTCCATGCATGCATCCATCCATCCATCCATTCCTCCATGCATCCATGCACCCATCCATCCATTCACCCATGCATTCATTCATTCATTCATTCATTCATTCATTCATTCTTTCCTCCATGCATTCATCCATGCCTCCTTCCTTCCCTCCCTCACTGCCTCCTCCCACCCATCCATATCAGAGATCAGGGACAAACAAGAGTTCTCTTAGAGAATATAGCCACTGTTGTGGGAGTCAAGAAACGGGAGGCATTTTTTTCTACCTGAGGAAAGTTAGAAAGGCTTCCCAGAGAAAGTGACATGTGATTTAGGCCTTAAAAATAAAGATGGAGCTTACCATGTGGTTAAAACAGGAAAGAGGAGGCCAAGCAGAGGGAATGGGTACCACGGTGGTTAGAAAGATAATTTTAGGTGGTGCATATATAAGCATTTAAAATATTTAATAGTTATGTATCAATTTAATGTGTACTATAAAAATGTTAACTCACTGCTCAGGTCAGTGAGTTCTTGGCTAGCATGGCTGCAGATGGAACGTGGTATTCCTGTGCCCGTGCAGTGGGTGGAGTGGGCATCTGTCCCCTGCCCCAGGTAGTGCCCACCTCAGGGTCAGACCACTAGGGCTGAAGTCCTCCTTCATCCTCAGCCCCAGGGAAGCCCTTTCCTTATCTCCCCACCAGCCCGAGAGAGCGAGAATGTGGGGAGAAGCCTGAAGCTGGGCCTCCCAGTGGAGGCCCCGCAGGCCCCCCTCCCAGCACCCGAGGCTCCTTGGCCCCAGCGGCTGGTGGGGACGGCTGCAATGTGGGAGCGGGAGAGCAGGGCTGTGAGGGGCTGCCAGAGCCAAGCAGCCAGGCGCTTGGATTACAAACTTGGCTGCATCTTCGGAACACAGGGAGAGGAAGTCTTGAACATTCCTGCAGGGGACCCTCTGGCCCAGGGAGCGGCCACTTGTGGTTTCTCAGTATGTGGCAGTGATTAGAATGGGATTTGTCTGAAAACATACAAGTCCCTTAATGAGTGTGTTGAAATGGACACTTTGGGGGAGAGTCAAGGAACAGTGGAGTGGGGTGGGGGCCTCCCCAGACAGGCCCATCTGGAGACACCCGGGCCCCATTCCTGGATAAGATCACACTGGTGAAAACGCCGGCGTCTAAGTGGCCATCCTGCCTGTCCTCAGGAGGGTCCTTGGGAAACTACATTGCACTGTCCCCATCTCAACAGGTGCTGGAGCAGCCGGAGTCCTCCCTGGTGTTGGAGGGGCTGGTGTTCCTGGCGTGCCTGGGGCAATTCCTGGAATTGGAGGCATCGCAGGTAACATCTGTCCCAGCAGGGGGCGGGTGTGTCCTTGAGATGGCCACAGGGCAAGGACCTCACCCTCTGTGGCTGTGTTTTCAGGCGTTGGGACTCCAGCTGCAGCTGCAGCTGCAGCAGCAGCCGCTAAGGCAGCCAAGTATGGTGAGTGCCTCCCGGGGTGGCAAGTCCACGGCTCGGGCCCCTGCATAGACCTCGGAGACCCTAGCCGCAAAGCCAGATGGACTTGGCCTTTGTTCCTTCCCAAATATGCATTGTTCATGCCTCCTTACCTTTGCCCCTTCTGATCACTCTACCTGAGATGCCATCTCTATTGTTTTGCCCTGATTAACTCAGCAGAGGGAGGGGACCCTGCAGAGGGGACATGGCTCCTCCCACTCCATCCCCTCCAGGGCCAGCCCACAGGTGTCTGCTGCATCAACTAAATGGGTGCCCAGTGGTGAGAATTCTGACTGTGCTTTAGGAATAGATCACATTCTAGCTATGCACAGTGGCTCACGCCTGTAATCCCAACAATTTGGGAGGCTAAAACCAGGAGTTTGAGACCAGCCTGAGCAACATACTGAGACCCCATCTTTCCAAAAAGTATTTAAAAATTATCTAGGCATGGTGGCACATGCCTGTGGTCCCAGCCACCTGCAAGGCTGAGGTGAGAGGATTGCTTGAGCCTAGTAGTTCAAGGCTGCAGTGAGCTATGATCATGCCACTGCACTCCAGCCTGGGTAAGTGAGAATTTGGTTCAAAAAAAAAGGAAAGAGAGACAGAAAGAGAGAGACAGGAAGGAAGGAAGGAAGGAAGGAAAGAAGGAAGGAAGGAAGGAAAGACGGAAGGAAGGAAGGAAGGAAGGAAGGGAGGGAGGGAGGGAAGGAAGGAAATGAAGGAAGGGAGGGAGGGAGAGAGAGAGGCAGGAAGGAAAGAAAGGAAGAAACAAAAGAGAGAAAGAGAAAGAAAGAAAGGGAAAGGAAGGAAGGAAGGAAAAAGAAAAGAGGGAGGGAGGGAGAGAGAGAGAGGGAGGGAGAGAGAAAGAAAGAAAGAGAGAGAGAGAGAGAGAAAGAAAGAAAGAAAGAGAAAGGAAGGAAAGAAAAGAAAAGAAAAAGAAAGAGATCACATTCCTCCAGCTCACTGATTCAAATCCTAGAGCTCTTTAGGGACCCTCTTAGTCTCTCCACATCTCTCTGATGAGTAGGATCCATGCAGAGGAAATGTCAACCCACCTGCAATCCTGCATTCAGGACCAACTGTCACTTCCATACTCTACTAACCACCCTTCTAGCCCCTCTGAGGTTCCCATAGGTTAGGGGAACAATGCTTTTTCTTCCACAGGAGCTGCTGCAGGCTTAGTGCCTGGTGGGCCAGGCTTTGGCCCGGGAGTAGTTGGTGTCCCAGGAGCTGGCGTTCCAGGTGTTGGTGTCCCAGGAGCTGGGATTCCAGTTGTCCCAGGTGCTGGGATCCCAGGTGCTGCGGTTCCAGGTGAGCTGGGCTGTGTGTGTGTGTGTGTGTGTGTGTGTGTGTGTGTGTGTATTAGAGAGAAATATTGAGACTATTGCCAAAATTTTTGCATTCTCCCTAACACCATAACCATCTGCCCATACCCTTGACCACGTCTCATCCCCTCATCTTCTCTTCCTTGGGCTATACCAATCTCCTTATTAGCTTCTAATCAGTATCATATTTTCCAATTGACCTTCTGGCTATCAGTGTTCTCTGGGGGGCAGGAACCGTGTCTTTTTCAACTCCATGTTCCTAGCCCTTAGCTGAGTAGGTGTTCAGTTTATGGTGGATAAAACGGTAAGTGGGTGGATAGATGGATAAGTGGATGAATGGGTGGGTGGATGAATGAATGGATGGATAGATGGGTGGGTGGATGGATGGATGGGTGGATGGGTGGGTGGATGGATGGATGGGTGGATGGGTGGGTGGATGGATGGATGGATGGATGAATAAGTGGATGGATGAATGGGTGGATAGATGGGTAGGTGAGTGGATGTGTGGGTGGATGGGTGTGGGATGGATAGGTGAGTGGATGGATGGGGGCATGGATGGATGGGAGGATGGATGGAAGAATGGATGAATGGGTAGATGGATGAGGGATGGATGGATGGGAGGCTGAATGAAAGAACGGGTGGATGAATGGGTAGATGGGTGGATGAATGAGCACATGGTTGGAGGGGCAGATGAATAGACGGGTGGGTGGAATGGTGGGCAAGCAAATGCAAAATGGATGGTTGGCTAGATGGTTAGATGAATGGATAGATAGGCAGATGGGATAAGTTGGCAGATAGATGAGTGGACAGAGAGTTAGGTGGTTGGGTGGGTGGATTGATATCCAAGGATAGACAAATGGACAGCCGGGAGCAGTGGCTCACGCCTATAATCTCAGCACTTTGGGAGGCCAAGGTGGGCGGATCACCTGAGGTGAGGAGTTCGAGACCAGCCTGGCCAATATGGTGAAATCCCATCTCCACTAAAAATAGAAAAAAATTAGCCAGGCATGGTGGTGGGTGCCTGTAATCCTAGCTACTTGGGAGGCTGAGGCAGGAGAAGTGCTTGAACCGGGGAGGCGGAGATTGCAGTGAGCTGAGATCGCGCTATTGCACTCCAGCCTGGGTGACAAGATTGAGACTCCATCTCAAAAAAAAAAAAAAAGACAAATGGACAGGTATAGAGGTGGGTCATTAGGTAGATGGATGATGGGGGTGGCTGGGTATACAGATGGGCAGGTGGGTGGACATCAGTGCATAAATGGATGTGTAGCCAACTCTATGTTGGCATGAAAGGAGATGGCCCAACACACAGATGGGTAGACAGAGGGATACATACTACACAGCTCTCCTCCAATCTCTCCTGAGCATTTGTGTCCCTTTTGGTCTCTCCAGGGGTTGTGTCACCAGAAGCAGCTGCTAAGGCAGCTGCAAAGGCAGCCAAATACGGTGAGTGCTATGCTGACAGCTCTGCCCCACCCTGTCCTGGCCTTTACTTGCCAGAACTAAAGGACCCTCCTCTACTTGCCCAGAGAAGGGAAGTGACTTGCCCAAGGTCACCGAGCAAGTCACCAGCAGGCCTCAGGACAATGTCTCCCCCATTTGTCTCCCACCACAGGGCCATGGGGCTGAGTGGCGGGAAAGTCCCAGGATGGCATTCCCAGTGGGGACAGTGACCCTGAGCTTCCCTGCTCTGGCCAAGGCCCTCTCAGAGGAGCCCAAAACTGCCTGGGGATGTGGATTCTGCCAATAGTCTCTCTGCATCCAACAAAGGGGGTCTTCCCGAAGTGCTCAGAGAGGAGAGGGGCCAGAGGAGGACTGAAGAGTGTCAGTAAAGGGCTGGGTGCAGTGGCTTACACCTGTAATCCCAGCAATTTGGGAGACCAAGGTAGGAGGATTGCTTGAGGCCAGGAATTAGAGACCAGCATGGGCAAAATAGCAAGACCCTGTCTCTACATAAAATGCAAAAATTAGCTGGGCATAGTGGCATGTGCTTGTTTGTTCCAGCTACTTGGGAGGTCAAGGCAGGAGGATTGCTTGAGGCCAGGAGTTTGAGACCAGCCTGGGCAACATAGCAAGACCCCATAAATAAAATAAAAATAAAAATAAAAAATAAAATAAATAAAAAATAAATGAAAAATTTTAATTTTTTTTTCTTTTTCTTTTTCTTTTTTTCTGAGATAGAGTCTCACTCTGTCGCCCAGGCTGGAGTGCAGTGGCATGATTTTGGCTCACTGCAATCTCTGCATCCCAGGTTCAAGCAATTCTCATGCATCAGCCTCCCAAGAAGCTGGGATTACAGACATGCACCACCATGCCTGGCTAATTTTTGTATTTTCAGTAGAGACAGGGTTTTGCCTTGTTGGCCAGGCTGGTCTCGAACTCCTGGACTCAAATGATCCACCTGCCTCGTGGATCCCAAAGTGCTGGGATTATGGGCATGAGCCACTGCACCCGGCCAAAAAAAAGAAATTTTTTTTTTTTGAGACGGAGTCTTGCTCTGTCACCCAGGCTGGAGTGCAGTGGCGTGATCTCCGCTCACTGCAAGCTCCACCTTCTGGGTTCAAGTGATTCTCCTACCTCAGCCTCCCATATAACTGGGATTACAGGTGCCCGCCACCACGCCCGGCTAATTTTTGTATTTTTAGTAGAGATGGGGTTTCACCATATTGGCCAGGCTGGTCTCGAACTCCTGACCTCAGGTGATCCACCTGCCTCAGCCTCCCAAAGTGCTAGGATTACAGGCATGAGCCACTGCACCCGGCCCCACATTTTTTTTAAAGGCTTCATGGTGGAGGTGCTGGGGACCCAGGCATCCCAGTTTTCTGTCTTTTATGGACAAGGCCTGGGGGAAATTTACATCCTCTTTCCCAATCCATCAGCATCCCTCAGAGCCCGCCCAGCCTCTCTCACTGAGCTTCTTTTCTACTTGGCTCCCTTCCCTCTGCAGGGGCCAGGCCCGGAGTCGGAGTTGGAGGCATTCCTACTTACGGGGTTGGAGCTGGGGGCTTTCCCGGCTTTGGTGTCGGAGTCGGAGGTATCCCTGGAGTCGCAGGTGTCCCTGGTGTCGGAGGTGTTCCCGGAGTCGGAGGTGTCCCGGGAGTTGGCATTTCCCGTGAGCCTTAGTCACACCTGGGGACATGGGTTGAGAAGGGATGGGGGCTTCTTGTCTGCTCGGCTCTGCAGGGGCAGTGGGGACTGTAGATCGGGCTTGAATGTGCTCAGGGAGGAGTTGGGGGAGAAGAAGGGAGGTCGTATCCATGCCTTACAGGGCAGAAGAGCTTTAAACACGGCTCGGAGGAGACCCAGGCACGGCTTCTGAGGGTCTCTTTCTTTCTCGTTTCCTTGTAGCCGAAGCTCAGGCAGCAGCTGCCGCCAAGGCTGCCAAGTACGGTAAGTGCCCCTGCCCTGCCTGTCCCCAAGTCCTGCTCTCCCGCGGGGCTCAGGGTCCAACCTCAGGGCAAACTGGCTCCCAGGCCTCCAGGACTGAAATGGCCTGGACCAAGGTCACGAGGCCCCTGCCCCATCTTCCAAAGCCACACTCCACTCTTACTGTCCTTTTCAGATGCCCCCTGTTAGGACTGTTGGTCACTGGCTCATCACCCCACCCCCCACCCCCAGAATTGAAGGTGTCTGGCAGGGTTGGGTGGCTGATGCCTGTAATCCCAGCACTTTGGGAGGCCAAGGCAGGTGGATCCCTTGAGGCCAGGAGTTCGAGACCAGCCTGGCCAATATGGTGAAATGCTGTCTGTACTAAAAATACAAAAATTAGCTGGGCATGGTGGCGGGCACCTATAGTCCCAGCTACTTGGGAGGCTGAGGCAGGAGAATGGCTTGAACCCGGGAGGTAGAGGCTGCAGTGAGCAGAGATTATACCATTGCACTCCAGCCTGGGTGACAGAGCAAGACTCCAACTCTAAAAATAAAAAAAAAAGAAAAAGAAAAAGAATTGAAGGTGCCAGGAAGCCATTCTCTTCTTCCTCCGATTCTCCCACCCACCCTTGCTCCCCCAAAAAGTGAGTACTGGGAGGGGCAAGGCTGAAAGTTCTCCACTCCCCGAGGTGCTGCAGGAGCAGGAGTGCTGGGTGGGCTAGTGCCAGGTGCCCCAGGCGCAGTCCCAGGTGTGCCGGGCACGGGAGGAGTGCCAGGTGAGCTGTGTCTCCAGCCCAGAGATGGGTTTGGTTTGTCTCATGGAAGGGTCCCTGGAGTTGACCAAGGTCGACTGCACCATTTTACAAATGGGAAGACTGAGCCTAGAGATGGGAAGCAGGGAGGGGTGTGAGAGATTACTCTCTCACCCCTTCTCTTCACACCTCCAGGAGTGGGGACCCCAGCAGCTGCAGCTGCTAAAGCAGCCGCCAAAGCCGCCCAGTTTGGTAAGTCCCCCTCACCCCCGCCACTGGCTCACGGAGAACTGCTTTCTCCTGTGCCCTGCTCTGGGGTCTGACCGCCCAGCTTCCTGTTCCTTTCCACCCCACTTAAGCTGTCACATTCTGGGGTGGGCCCTCCTTAGACCTTTTGGCCCACTGATGAATGACCTCTAGGAGTGTGGGTGATGTTTCTGATTAGGGGAGCAGGGTGAGCAGTGTGAGCCTCCCTGTTCCTAAAGCCCCTGGTGCCTCCCAGGCTATTGGGGACCTGACCTCATGCTGAGCTCCAGCTCCCCTTGAGGGACTCCAGTTCTCCCCCTTCTCCTTCTCTTTCTCCTTCTCCTTCTTCTTCTTGTGCTCCTCTTCCTTCTTCTTCTTCTTCTTTCTTCTCCTCCTCCTCCTTCTCCTTCTCCCTCCTCCTCCTTCTCATTCTTCTTCTTCTCCTTCCTCTTCTTCTCCTCCTGCTTCTTTTCCTTCTCCTCCCTCTTCCTCCTCCTCCTGCTTCTCCTTTCTTCTCCTTCTTCTTCTTTCTTCTTCTTCTTCCTCTTTTTCTCCTTCTTTCTTCTTCTTTCTCCTTCTTCTTCTTCTTCCTCTGCTTCTTTCTCCTCCTTCTTCTCTTCTCTTCCGTCTTTCTTCTCCTCCTTTTCCTCCTTCTTCTTTCTTCTCCTTCTCCTTTTTTCTTGAGATAGGGTCTAGCTCTGTCACCCAGGATGGGGTACAGTGCCACAATCATAGCTCACTACAGCCTCAACCTCCCAGTCTCAAGCAGTCTGCCTGCTTCCGCCCCCCAAGAGCTGAGACCACAGGTGCCCACCACCATGCCTGGCTAATTTTTTAATTTTTTTGTAGCGACAGCGGTCTCACTATGTTGCTCAGGCTGGTCTCAAACTCCTAGGCTAAAGCGATCCTCCTGCCTCTGCCTCCCAAAGTCCTGGGATTACAGGCGTGAGCCACCACACCCGGCCTGCAGTACTTCTTGTTCCCCATCTCTTGCTACATTTGAGGGCCACCCTGGCAGCCCCAGGTGCCCACACTTTTCTGAACATGGCAAATCGTGGCAGCACCAATTGTAGAGCTCAACTGTATGTCAGGCCCTGGGCATGGGGTCTGTAGGCCTTGGCCCTAGGGACCTGTGGGCTGAAAGGTTCAGATCAGAATCTCTAGGACTGAATAGGCCAGAGAGCATTTCGACTGCAGGTCTGCTGAGCCCCATATTCTCACACACAGCAATCTTTATTATTTATTTATTTGAGACGGGGTCTCACATTGTCGCCCAGGTTGGAGTGCAGTGATGCCGTCAGCTCGCCGCAGGCCTCAAACTCCTAGCTTAAGCCATTATTCCCCCTTAGTATCCCTAGTAGCTGGGGCTACAGTCACATGCCACCATGCCCAGTTTAAAAAAAAAAAAAATTGTATGCGATCCTCCCACATTGGCCTCTCAAAGTGCTGGGATGACAGGCATGAGCCAACGTGTCTGGCCTACAAAAATCTTACAGAGTTGATTTTATTTTTCCCATTTTACAGATGTGGAAACTGAGGTTCCCAGAGCTTAAGTAACTTGCCTACAGTTGCACAGCTAAATGGTGGCTGAGCTGAGATTTGAACCCAAAGCCTTTCTGTCTTACAAAGTCCCTTATATAATGTAAATCTGCCTCCATCAGCCTCAAATCTCCAAGGGGTCCTTGTCACTGAAAAGGTTAAGAACTCCTGGCCAAATGCAGCAGCTCACAACTATAATCCCAGAACTTTGGGAGGCCAAGTCGGGTGGATCACCCAAGGTCAGGAGTTTAAGACCAGCCTGGCCAACATGGTGAAACCCTGTCTCTACTAAAAATACAAAAAAATTAGCCGGGCATGGTGGTGCGCACCTGTAGTCCCAGCTACTCAGGAGGCTGAGGCAGGAGACTCACTTGAACTCGGGAGGTGGTGGTTGCAGTGAGTCGAGATCACGCCATTGCACTCCAGCCTGGGCGATAGAGTGAGACTCTGTCTCCAAAAAAACAAAGTTATGAACTCCTGAGCCTGCACACACTTCATATTAGGGAGGAGGAAGCTGAGGCCCAGCAAGGGAAAGTAACTGATCCAGGGTCACACAGCAAATCTATGCCAGGGCCGAGGCTCCAGCCCTCTTTCCATAAGCTTCTGTCCTCTTTGATCAGGTCTTGGTTAATGATCAGCTCTTCTCAATCTTGCAGGGTTAGTTCCTGGTGTCGGCGTGGCTCCTGGAGTTGGCGTGGCTCCTGGTGTCGGTGTGGCTCCTGGAGTTGGCTTGGCTCCTGGAGTTGGCGTGGCTCCTGGAGTTGGTGTGGCTCCTGGCGTTGGCGTGGCTCCCGGCATTGGCCCTGGTGGAGTTGCAGGTGAGTTTCATGAGTCAATGAGCCTGAGGGGCCCCCGAAGCCTCCATGGGCCCCGCCTCCATCTCTAATCCCCCTCTCTCTCCCTCCCTCAGCTGCAGCAAAATCCGCTGCCAAGGTGGCTGCCAAAGCCCAGCTCCGTGAGTGCCTCGCCCACCTTTCTCTCCTCTCCCCAACGATCTCAGAGCTGGTTAGGGGCAACAGCCAGGGAGGAGGCCGCTGCTTGGATCTGGGCCCCTTCCTCTGGGACTAGGCTCAGCTCCCTGGGCAGGACACCTCCTTAGGGGCATGCTCCCTGCCTGCTGTCGCCACCACTGCCCTCTGTCTGCAGGAGCTGCAGCTGGGCTTGGTGCTGGCATCCCTGGACTTGGAGTTGGTGTCGGCGTCCCTGGACTTGGAGTTGGTGCTGGTGTTCCTGGACTTGGAGTTGGTGCTGGTGTTCCTGGCTTCGGGGCAGGTGCAGATGAGGGAGTTAGGCGGAGCCTGTCCCCTGAGCTCAGGGAAGGAGATCCCTCCTCCTCTCAGCACCTCCCCAGCACCCCCTCATCACCCAGGGGTGCATAGTAAAATCCTTGTTAGGTTCTCCTAAGCATCTGGGGGTAACAGATAGCGGGAGGAGGGCAGACCAGGCCAAGGGACCCCAGGCTGCCCAATTGCAGAGTATCTGCCTCCTCAGTAGAGGGGTGGCAGGGCTCCAGACTGAGAAAAAGCCTGCCCTCCAACCAGGGAAGGAGCAGGTAGATCAGCCTGGCTCCCCTTCAGCAGTGCTCTGTGGCCAGGGGACCACTAGGAACTCCAGTTCTTCACCAGCTGGTGACTGAGCCCCACTCTGTGCCCAGCCTCAGGCAGTCCATGCTAGGCCTGGGGAGAGAAGGAAGGGGCAGACGGAAGGTGGAGGCACTGTTCAGCCCTAAAGCTCTGTGCCTGTACAGCTTCAGGGCTTTGAGGAAGCAATAGAGGCCAAGGAAGTCAGGGAGGGCTCTCTAGAGGAGGCGGCAGAACTCCCAGGCACAGAGCTCGGCTCCTGACCACTCCCCAACTTTTCTTTCTCCCCAGTACCTGGAGCCCTGGCTGCCGCTAAAGCAGCCAAATATGGTGAGTGCACCCCACAACCACTTGTGGCTCCCTTGCCACCACACCATCCCTGACAGCACAGGACTGGGGTGGTCACAATAGAAAAAGGCAGTTTCGGCCGGGCGTGGTGGCTCACACCTGTAATCCCAGCACTTTGGGAGGCCGAGGCAGGCAGATCACCTGAGGTCAGGAGTTCCAGACCAGCCTGAACAATATGGTTAAACCCCATCTCTACTAAAAATTCAAAAATTAGCCAGGCGTGGTGGCGGGCACCTGTAATCCCAGCACTTTGGGAGGCCGAGGTGGGCAGATCAACTGAGGTCGGGGGTTCCAGACCAGCCTGACCAATATGGTGAAACCCCATCTCTACTAAAAACACAAAAATTAGCCAGGTGTGGTGGCGGGCACCTGTAATCCCAGCTACTCGGGAGGCTGAGGCAGGAGAATCGCTTGAACCCAGGAGATGGAGGTTGCAGTGAGCCGAGATCACGCCACTGCACTCCGGCCTGGACGACAGAGCGAGACTGTATCTCAAAAAAAGAAAAGAAAAGAAAAAGAAAAAGGCAGTTTCTAGGACACGTTTATGACAGTTTAAAAACCTGGCCCCTGCCCACTAAATGCTTATGGTGCCTTCAACCCCTGTGACCACCAAAAACACCCTTGAAATCCCAGTTGCCCCCCAGGAGGCAATTCCACCATCCCTAAGCTTGCCCTGACCCTGACAGTTACATGGTCCCTGTGTCCAGGAAGGGACTGGGCCTGCTGTGGGTATGAGGAGTCTGGGCAGTCTCTGCCTCCACCCCAGCTCTCTGGCCCGAGCAAAGGAGCTGGTATTCCTCATCTGGGCACCCCGGGCCCCCGCCCGCCTTCCTGTCCTGCCAGCAGGACCGCTCCCACCACGAGCCAGCCCAGAGGACGTGGCAGTCCCACAGCCTCTGCACTTGGCGCTCTGGCAGCCCTGCCTGGCCAGACCCACGCTGTCTGTAGCCCCTGAATTCCTGGCCTCCTGTGAGCAGCGTTGGTGGGAGGTGGAAGACTCCCCCAGGGATCCACCAACCAGCCGGGCAGGTCCACTTGGGGCCAGTTTCTACCTCGGAAAATCCTGGCTTCCTCAGCGCCGACCCCCAGCAGCCCTGGCCTCCTCCCCTGCTCACTGCTGACTGCTTGGCAGGCCTGAGTCAACAGACATTGCCAGGGAAACAGAGTGACGTCATGTGGTGGAGCCGCGAAGGGCGCAGGCTCCCCAGCCACTTCCCGTCCCTGAAGCCCTGAGCACACTGCTTAACCTCTGCTCTGCCTCAGCGTTCTCATCTGCAAAATGGGAATGACAATAGTGCCTACCTTTCCTGCTGCAATGCATAAAAAATGGGCTGCTAAGTGTGAAGCACTCAAAATGTTAAGTGCCTGCTGTAGATACTATTACCGTTGTTTGTTTGTTTGTTTGTTTGTTTTGACAGAGTCTTGCTCTGTCGCCCAGGCTGGAATGCAGTGGTACGATCTTGGCTCCCTGCAGCCTCCATCTCCCGGGTTCAAGTGATTCTCCTGCCTCAGCCTTCCAAGTAGCTGGGATTACAGGCGCCCGCCACCACGCCTGGCTAATTTTTGTATTTTTCGTAGAAACAGGGTTTCACCGTGTTGGCCAGGCTGGTCTCAAACTCCTGACCTCAGGTGATCCACTAGCCTCAGCCTCCCAAAGTGCTGGGATTACAGGTGTGAGCCACCGCACCCGGCTTACAAAAGAACTTTTAAGGCCAGGCACAGTGGTTCACACCTTCGGGAGGCTAAGGCAGGAGGATCGCATGAGCCCAGGAGTTGGAGGCTGCAGTGAACTATGATTGTACCACTGCACTCCAGCCGGGGTGACAGAGCAAAACCCCATCTCAAAATGAAACAAAATATGGACTGGACTTCCTGTCCACTGCTCCTCCACAGTGTCACATGGCCCCTGCCACCTGTCTGCTTGCCTTGTGTCCCTGGGGCAGGGAGACCCATCGTTCAGAAATGGAACACTCATTTTCCCTCCTCTCCCCGCAGGAGCAGCAGTGCCTGGGGTCCTTGGAGGGCTCGGGGCTCTCGGTGGAGTAGGCATCCCAGGCGGTGTGGTGGGTGAGTTGAAACCCCAGGAGGGGCAGGGTGGGGAGGGAATCTAACCAGTACAGAGTGCCTCCCTGAACTCGGTCTGTGTTCCCAGGAGCCGGACCCGCCGCCGCCGCTGCCGCAGCCAAAGCTGCTGCCAAAGCCGCCCAGTTTGGTGAGCACTGGGTGGAGGTGGGAGCTGCCGCCAGGCCCCCAGGCCCCCAGGGTGTGGGAGGAGCTTCTGACCAGGCACTGTAGACTCAGAGTCCCTGCCCCAGACACCTCCTGGCTCCACTGTGCCATCGAAGGCCAGGGGAGACCTCAGGCTCCACCTGTGTCCCCAGAGGACACCTCCGCCCTCCACAGGCCGAGGCTTCAGTCCCACCTTTCTGACCAGCGGAGTCTAATGCTCAGCTGTCTCCACAGGCCTAGTGGGAGCCGCTGGGCTCGGAGGACTCGGAGTCGGAGGGCTTGGAGTTCCAGGTGTTGGGGGCCTTGGAGGTGAGAGTTGTTCTGAAATCAGTGAGTGTGTGTGGTGTGTGTATGCGAGACAGAGATGGAGACAGAGACAGAGACAGAGACTTTCGTTCCCACCCCTGGCACGTCTTTGCTCAAGATGTCCTCTTGGCCAGGTGCGGTGGCTCACGCCTGCAATCCCAGCACTCTAGTAGGCCAAGGTGGGCGGATCACTAGAGGTGAGGAGTTTGAGACCAGCCTGGGTGACATGGCGAAACCTCATCTCTACCAAAAATACAAAAATAAGCCGGGCGTGGTGGTGGGCACCTGTATTTCCAGCTACTTGAGAGGCTGAGGCCAGAGGATCGCTTGAGCCCAGGAGGCAGAGGCTGCAGTGAGCTGAGATGGTACCACTGCATTCCAGCTTGGGCAGCAGAGTGAGACCCTGTCATCTAAAAAAAAAAAAGAAAGAAAGAAAAGAAAAGAGGCCAGGCATGGTGGCTCACGCCTGTGATCCCAGCACTTTGGGAGGCTGAGGTGGGCAGATCACGAGGTCAGATCAAGACCATCCTGGCTAACACAGTGAAACCCCGTCTCTACTAAAAATACAAAAAATTAGCTGGGCGTGGTGGCAGACGCCTGTAGTCCCAGCTACTCAGGAGGCTGAGGCAGAAGAATGGCGTGAACCTGGGAGGCGGAGCTTGCAGTGAGCCGAGATCGCGCCACTGCACTCCAGCCTGGGCGACAGAGCGAGACTCCGTCTCAAAAAAAAAATATATATATATATATATATATGTATGTATGTATGTATATAAATTAGCTGGGCATGGTGACACACGCCTGTAATCCCAGCTACTCGGGAGCCTGAGACAGGAGAATCACTTGAACCCAGGAGGCAGAAGTTGCAGTGAGCCAAGATCACGCCGCTGCACTCCAGCCTGAGCAACAGAGCAAGACCTCATCCCAAAACAAAATAAAAACAAGAAATGTGGCAAACGGGAGCTGGGGCTATCCCTTGCCGCCAGGGTCCCAGTCCTCCCCCTCTCCTCTCTCTTTCAACCCACCTGACCACTGCGGTGGGAGTAAATTAGGAGAATGATGGTTATGCCAGTTCTCCAAGAAAGAAATCAAAGCTTGGAGAGAAATTGCTTTCCCTAAGTCTCCACCATGGTGGCCGACCTTGTGTGGCCATTTCCCCCTTTCTTGGGCTGTCATTGTGTCTCCCCCTGTAAACTAGCCTGCACAGCTCTTCCTGTGAGTGCCACAAGACCAGACACACAGTAGGAGCTTAACAATTAAGACTTTTGGGGCCGGGCATGGTGGCTCATGCCTGTAATCCCAACACTTTGGGAGGCTTAGGTAGGTGGATTGCTTGAGGCCAGGAGTTCAAGACCAGCCTGGACAATGTAGCAAGACCCCCCCCCACCACCACCTCTACGAAATATTTAAAAATTAGCTGGGCGTGGTGTGTGCCTGTAGTTTCAGCTACTTGGGAGGCTGAGGCAGGAAGATCACTTGAACCCGGGAGTTCAGGGCTGCAGTGAGCTGTGATCAAGCCACTGCATTCCAGCCTGGGCAACAGAGCAAGAAGCTGGATAGATGAAGGAGAGATGGGGGGATAGACTGGGAGGATGAGTCCATGGGCAGACGGTAAAGGGTGAGTAGGTCAGAAGACAGGGCCTAGCCAGGTGCAGTGGCTCACACCTGTAATGTCAGCACTTTGGGAGGCCGAGGCAGGTGGATCACCTGAGGTCAGGAGTTCGCGACCAGCCTGGCCAACATGGTGAAACCTGTCTCTACTAAAAATACAAAAATTAGCCAGGCGTGGTGGTGGGTGCCTGTAATCCCAGCTGCTCAGGAGGCTGAGGCAGGAGAACCGCTTGAACCCAGGAGATGGAGGTTGCAGTGAGCCGGGATCGCGCCACTGCACTCCAGCCCAGGCGAAGGAGTGAGACTCTGCCTCAAGAAAAAAAAAAAAAAAAAAGACAGGGCCTGACAGGTGGCATTGGCATTCCTGAGCCGTCATGTGCCTCATCTCCCCAGGTATACCTCCAGCTGCAGCCGCTAAAGCAGCTAAATACGGTGAGTTCCCCTCTGATGCCTTCCTGCCAGTGGCCTGCACCCCCTGCCATGCCCATCGCCACCCTCCCCCAGCCCAGCTCAGGCCTCCCTCTGGCTCCCCCTACCCCTGAAGATCTTGTCTGGGACATTCCTTAACCCAGAACCCAGCAGGGATATCAGGGCCTCTTCCCGATGGGGGTGTCTTATCCTGACCCCACCTGCCTCTTCTCAGGTGCTGCTGGCCTTGGAGGTGTCCTAGGGGGTGCCGGGCAGTTCCCACTTGGAGGTAGGGGTGGCCAGCTCTGCTACGTAGTCCTCAGCTCTGTCCCGATCTAGAGGGGGCCTGTCCATCTAGCAGTGGGGACTCCCAGAGCCCATGTCCACACAAGGACAGGAGACTGGGGCTGGTGAGGGCACTTTAGGATTGCAGATGTACTGGGCAAACGGGCAAGCTATAAGGTTGGGGACAGTGCCAGGCTGAGCTCAGGGTTGAGGCCATGAGGTGCCACACCTGGTTGCTAGGTGGCGGCATGTTGTGTTGAGAAAGCCACTCTGGCTGTAGTGAGGGGGATTGGCTGGGCGTGGTGGCTCACGCCTGTAATCCCAGCACTTTGGGAGGCCTAGGTGGGTGGATCACTTGAGGTCAGGAGTTCGAGACCAGTCTGGTCAACATGGTGAAACCCTGTCTCTACTAAAAAAAATGCAAAAATTAGCCAAACGTGGTGGACGCCTGTAATCCCAGCTACTCGGGAGGCTGAGGCGGGAGAATCACTGGAGCCTGGGAAGCGGAGGTTGCAGTGAGCCAAGATCGCACCACTGCACTCCAGCCTGGGTGACAGAGCAAGACCCCATCTCAAAAAAATAATAATAAAATAAAATATAAAAAATTATATAGTGGGGGGGATGGAGAGGAGGTGATCCCAGACAGAGGTCTTGGGTGAGCCAGTGCAGGCAGAAAGTGATGAGGCTGGAGTCAGTTTCCACCCCTACCAACCCACCAACCTGAAATCTCTCCTGCAGGAGTGGCAGCAAGACCTGGCTTCGGATTGTCTCCCATTTTCCCAGGTATGCCAGGCTCCCTGCCCCTGGGCCCTGCCCTGGAGCTGCAGCCACCTCCTCCCTCCTCTCCTGTGCCATCTCCTGCTCAGAAGGGCTGAGCCAGCACCCAGGGGTGGACCCCACAGCCTCAGGTCACACGAGGCTGGACCCCGAGCTGAATGTAGAGCCTCCCCTCCTTCTTGCTGACCTCTTATAAACACAGGGAACATTTGCTTTTTAAAAACACAGTTCATGGCCAGGTGTGATGGCTCACACCTGTAATCCCAGCACTTTGGGAGGCTGAGGAGGGCAGATCACCTGAGGTCAGGAGTTCAAGACCAGCCTGGCCAACATGGCGAAACCCTGTCTCTATTAAAAATACTAAAATTAGCCGGGTGTGGTGGCTCACGCCTGTAATCCCAGCCCTTTGGGAGGCCAAGGCAGGTGGATCACGAGGTCAGGAGATGGAAACCATCCTGGCTGAAACGGTGAAACCCCGTCTCTACTAAAAATACTATAGTCTTCTTTTTTTTTTTGAGATGGAGTCTTGCTCTGTTGCCCAGGCTGGAGTGCAGTGGCACGATCTTGGCTCACTGCAACCTCTGCCTCCTAGGTTCAAGCGATTCTTCTGCCTCAGCCTCCCAAGTAGCTGGGACTACAGGCATACACCACTACGCCCAGCTAATTTTTGTATTTTTAGTAGAGACGGGGTTTCACCATATTGGCCAGGCTGGTCTCGAACTCCTGACCTCGTGATCCGCCCGCCTCGGCCTCCCAAAGTGCTGGGATTACAGGAGTGAGCCACCACGTCCGGCCGTCTCTACTAAAAATACAAAAAATTAGCCGGGCATGGTGGCGGGCACCTGTAGTCTCAGCTACTCGGGAGGCTCACGCAGGAGAATGGTGTGAACCCGGGAGGCGGAGCATGGTGTGAACCCGGGAGGCGGAGCTTGCAGTGAGCCGAGATTGCGCCACTGCACTCCAGCCTGGGCGGCACAGCAAGACTCCGTCTCAAAAAAAAAAAAAAAATTAGCCAGGTGTGGTGGTGCACGCCTGTAATCCCAGCTACTCTGGAGGCTGAGACAGGAGAATTGCTTGAACCCAGGAGGCGGAGGTTGCAGTGAGCTGAGACTACACCACTGCCCTCTAGCCTGGGTGATGACAGGGCAAGACGATTGCGTCTCAAAAAAAAAAAAAAAAAAAAAAAAAAACCTTCAGAGGCAGATGTCTGTTCCTGCCCCACTCTCTGCTCACTGCCACCAGGTGGCGGTAAGGAGCCATATCTGGCTCAAGCAGGGTTAGGAACTGCTCCGGGCCGCGCTACTAGACAATGGTGCCTTACCTAATACAGACTGATGCCTTGAAACAGGGTTCACCCATCAGACTATTCCCAGGAGGGGGTAGGAATCCTGGGTTTGAGTCCCAGCTCAGACACTATGTGGATAAGACCCTCTCTCCCTCTACTGGGCCTTGATTTACTTATCTGATGCCCTCTCAGATGTATGGGTCCACCCCACTCCCTGAGAGGGCCGTCTCCTGCAGACACTGACTCTCCCTTCATCCCATGTTCCTTGATGGAGCTGCTCTTAGCCTTTCCCCGAAAGGCTTCTTGGAGCAGTGGAGCCAGGAGCCAGTGCCAGGCCCCGTCCTTCCCCAGCCAGGCCCCATGACCTGCCCCCTTTTCTGCGAGCGTTGGTTTCATCCAAGTAATATCTTGGGGGCTTCTCCCGCCCCATCTGTCCAGTGGAAGTTGATGGCATGGATCAGGTCTGAGTTTGGCCTGGGGCCATGACTTGGCTTCTCTTGGCTTCTTGGAGCCTCCATTCGAGTGGGTCAGAGCAGGCGGGGATTAGAGCCGAAACTGAGAGGGGCCGGACTCACAGTGATGTGCACCTCCTCCCGTCCAGGTGGGGCCTGCCTGGGGAAAGCTTGTGGCCGGAAGAGAAAATGAGCTTCCTAGGACCCCTGACTCACGACCTCATCAACGTTGGTGCTACTGCTTGGTGGAGAATGTAAACCCTTTGTAACCCCATCCCATGCCCCTCCGACTCCCCACCCCAGGAGGGAACGGGCAGGCCGGGCGGCCTTGCAGATCCACAGGGCAAGGAAACAAGAGGGGAGCGGCCAAGTGCCCCGACCAGGAGGCCCCCTACTTCAGAGGCAAGGGCCATGTGGTCCTGGCCCCCCACCCCATCCCTTCCCACCTAGGAGCTCCCCCTCCACACAGCCTCCATCTCCAGGGGAACTTGGTGCTACACGCTGGTGCTCTTATCTTCCTGGGGGGAGGGAGGAGGGAAGGGTGGCCCCTCGGGGAACCCCCTACCTGGGGCTCCTCTAAAGATGGTGCAGACACTTCCTGGGCAGTCCCAGCTCCCCCTGCCCACCAGGACCCACCGTTGGCTGCCATCCAGTTGGTACCCAAGCACCTGAAGCCTCAAAGCTGGATTCGCTCTAGCATCCCTCCTCTCCTGGGTCCACTTGGCCGTCTCCTCCCCACCGATCGCTGTTCCCCACATCTGGGGCGCTTTTGGGTTGGAAAACCACCCCACACTGGGAATAGCCACCTTGCCCTTGTAGAATCCATCCGCCCATCCGTCCATTCATCCATCGGTCCGTCCATCCATGTCCCCAGTTGACCGCCCGGCACCACTAGCTGGCTGGGTGCACCCACCATCAACCTGGTTGACCTGTCATGGCCGCCTGTGCCCTGCCTCCACCCCCATCCTACACTCCCCCAGGGCGTGCGGGGCTGTGCAGACTGGGGTGCCAGGCATCTCCTCCCCACCCGGGGTGTCCCCACATGCAGTACTGTATACCCCCCATCCCTCCCTCGGTCCACTGAACTTCAGAGCAGTTCCCATTCCTGCCCCGCCCATCTTTTTGTGTCTCGCTGTGATAGATCAATAAATATTTTATTTTTTGTCCTGGATATTTGGGGATTATTTTTGATTGTTGATATTCTCTTTTGGTTTTATTGTTGTGGTTCATTGAAAAAAAAAGATAATTTTTTTTTCTGATCCGGGGAGCTGTATCCCCAGTAGAAAAAACATTTTAATCACTCTAATATAACTCTGGATGAAACACACCTTTTTTTTTAATAAGAAAAGAGAATTAACTGCTTCAGAAATGACTAATAAATGAAAAACCTTTAAAGGAAACTGTGTCTTAGCTTCCTTCGTATGATTTAATCTGCCTTCAACTCGCTGGCCTGGATGGGGATAAGGGCTCTGCTTCAGGGAACCTCCACCACCCACAGTGTATTTGAGAGGTTGCCCAACCAAAAGCCCCTGCTGCTGGCTTCTGGGGCATCGATCTTTCTCCAAGTTTGGCTTGTACTTTAACAATGAGGCCAGGAGTTTGAGACCCACCTGGACAACATAGCTGTCCAGTGGAGAATCACTTTGTACCATATAGCTACAAAAAAAAAAAAAATTACCCAAGATTGGTGGTGGTGCATGCCTGTGGTCCCAGCTACTCAGGAGGCTGAGGTGGGAGGATCGCTTGAGCCCAGGATTTCGAGGCTGCAGTGAGCTATGATTGCGCCACTGCACTCCAGCCTGGGTGAGACAGCAAGATCCTGTCTCGAGAGAGAGAGAGAGAGAAACAGAAAGAGACAGAGAGGAAAGATGGCTGACCTAAGAAAATGCAGAAGACAGTCAAAGGTAACCATTTTCCTCCGAAACAGTCCCCTCTGAGGAAGACCCACTCTCATGCGTGGCCATGTAAGGCCATTTGGCTTGAGAAGTTTAAGAAGTGATACCCAGCAGCAGGTTCAGCTCCACCCTTACTCAGATGCACCCATTCCCATTCTGGCCCTTCCTCCTCCCCTTGAGGCCAGAAATCCGTGGGGCCCGGGAATGTGTTCACCTGCAGCCCACATCCCTACCTCTAGACCACGCTCTGGATACCAGATACTGGAATTCCCTTCCCCAACCACCAAGCCCACTTCCAGGGCTCACTCAGCCTCAGGCCTGTGCCACCCTCCTGAGAGCGGGCCCCGTGCTGAGTGTGCACACCTCTAAGCCAGAAATGTGGCAACAGAGCTGTTCGTGGGGAGTGTGGGTGGGGCTCACCATGCAGACTGGAGCATATGTGGGTTTGCATACGAGGATCCTTGCGATCCCAGAAGGAGCTGGGAGGGAAAGAGAAAGCTGGTGGAGGGTATGCTCAGAGAGAGCTTCCCAGAGGACAGTAAAGGGCAAAAAACATTTTACCAGGCAAAGAATAGAACAGAGAGGAGGGTCAGGCCTTTCAGGCAGAGGACAGGACAACTAGATGTCTGGTAGGAGAGGGCAGTGCTGAGGACTTATGGAGGATGATCAGGAGGGGGTGAGCGGCGTGGTTCAAGGAGATGCACAAGAGGGTTGCTGTAATAATCCAGGGAGGGGTGACACAGCCTGCCCTAGAGTGGTGACAAAGTAGATCCATCCATCCATCCATCCACCCATCCACCCACCCATCTGTCCACCTACCCACCCATCAACCCACCCATCCACCCACCCACCCAACCATTCTTCCATCCATCCATGTCTCCTTCCACCCATCCACCCACCCACCCATCTATCCACCCACCCATCCATCCATCCATCTATCCACCCATCCATCCACCCACCAGTCCATCCATCCATTCATTACTTCACTCGACAAAAATATCCATTGCTGGTTTTTCCTCAGGTCTCCGGCCTCTAAAAGTCAGTAAGCCCCAGCATTCAGGCCTGTGGACTCCCTGTCTTGGTTTCTCATAGCTTGCGGTTTTATTTATTTATCAGAGACAGGGCCTCAGTCTTTCGCCCAGGCTGGAGTGCAGTGGTGCTATCACAGCTCACTGCAGCCTTAAACTCCCAGGCTGGAGCAATCCTCCCAACTACAGGCACATACCACCATACCCAGCTAATTTTTAAATTTTTTTATAGAGATAGAATCTTGCCATGTTGCAGCCAGGCGTGGTGGCTCATACCTGTAATCCCAGCACTTTGGGAGGCCGAGGCAGGCGGATCATGAGGTCAGGAGTTCAAGACCAGCCTGGCCAACATGGTGAAACCTCATCTCTACTAAAAATATAAAAATTAGCCGGGTGTGGTGGTGCATGCCTGTAATCCCATCTACTTGGGAGGCCAAGGCAGGAGAATCACTTGAACCCAGGAGGCGGAGGTTGCAGTGAGCCGAGACCGTACCATTGCACTCCAGCCTGGCGACAGAGCGAGACTCTGTCTCAAAAAAAAAACAAAGAATCTTGCTATGTTGCCCAGGCTGCTCTCAAACTCCTGGCCTCGGCCTCCCAAAGTGTTGGGGTTACAGGTGTGAGCCACCTCAGCTGGTTGCTCGTGGCTTTAAATATTTAATACGACCTATTCATTGGTGACTCTCCAATTGACATCTCCAGCATGACCGCTCCCCTGAGCCCAGGACTTGCACATCCAAGGCCAATTCTAACATCTCTACCTAGAAATCTCATAGACATGGCCTAGGTAGCGTGGTTTTCCCTCCCTGCCTTTCCCATCTCAGTAAAGGGCAGCCCTACTCTTCCAGAGGTTCCGGCCTGCAACTCTGTAACCATCTCTGACTCTGCTCTTCCCTCACTCCCCACAGCAGATTCACCAGCAAATAATACGGCACCACCTTCAGAATATATCCAGAGTTGGCCAGGCACACTGACTCACACCTGTAATCCCAGCACTTTGGGAGGCCGAAGTGGGCAGATTACCTGAGGTCGGGAGTTCGAGACCAGCCTGACCAACATGGAGAAACCCCGTCTCTACTAAAAATACAAAAAAATTAGCCAGGCATGGTGGTGCATGCCTGTAATCCTAGCTGCTCAGGAGGCTGAGGCAGGAGAATCACTTGGACACGGGAGGCAGAGGTTGCGGTGAGCCGAGGTCACACCATTGCGCTATAGCCTGGGCAACAAGAGCGAAACTCTGTCTAAAAAAAAAAGAATATATCCAGAGTCCTACCACGTCTCAGGGCTAAGCCACAATCCCCAGTATCTCTTGCCTGAATTACTGAAATAGCTCCCTGAACCCCTTAGTTCTCCCCTGGCTCCCCTTCGGCCTTCTCTCCACTCAGCAACCAAAGCAATCTTTTTTTTTTTTTTTTTTTTTTTTTTTGAGATGGAGTTTCACTCTGTTGCCCAGGCTGGAGTACATTGGCGTGATCTCAGCTCACTCAACCTCTGCCTCCCGGGTTCAAGAGATTCTCCTGCCTCAGCCTCCTGCGTAGCTGGGACTACTGGCATGTGCCACCATGCCTGGCTAATTTTTGTGTTTTTAGTAGAGACAAGGTTTCACCATGTTGGCCGGGCTGGTTTTGAACTCCTGGCCTCAAGCGATCCTCCTGCCTCTGCCTCCCAAAGTGCTGGGATTACAGGTATGAGCCACCACATCTGGCCCAAAGCAATTCTTTCAAAGCATAAGTCAACTCGGGTCATGCATCTACTCCAAGTCCTGCAGTGGTTCCTGTCTCACTCAGAGACAAAGCCAGAGGCCTTTCTATGGCCAAGAAGCCCCTACTTGCATGGCAGCAGCTCTCCTGACCTCACATTCTGCTATTCGAGCCATGCGGTCGCCCTGGCCATCTTACTTTTCCTTGAGTGCAACAGGTCACCCACTGCCAGCCTTGGCATCTGCTATCTCTTCTGCCCAAAACGCCCTTTCATCAGCTATCTGTGTTTCTGGCTCACTCAGCTGCTTCAGGTCTTGACTCAGGTGT
Source organism: Homo sapiens (assembly GCF_000001405.40). Taxonomy (NCBI): domain Eukaryota; kingdom Metazoa; phylum Chordata; class Mammalia; order Primates; family Hominidae; genus Homo; species Homo sapiens. The sequence continues at coordinate 74,073,458 of NC_000007.14, forward strand.
CACCTTCTCAGAGTGTCCTACACTGACACCTTTCTAAAATTGCAAATTGGGCTGGATGCGGTGGCCTGTGCCTATAATCCCAGCACTTTGGGAGGCTGAGGTGGGAGGATCACTTGAGGCCAGGAGTTCAAGACCAGCCTGGGCAACATAGCGAGACTCCATCTCTATTTAAAACATAAATAAAATTGCAAGCTGCACCCTCCTCCTCTGCTCATTACTCCCTCACCTGGCTCTACCTCCGTTTTGTGTTTTGTTTTGTTTTTTGAGATGGAGTCTCACTCTGTCGCCCAGGCTGGAGTGCAATGGCAAAATCTCACCTCACTGCAACCTCTACTTCCCGGGTTCAAGCAATTCTCCCACCTCAGCCTCCTGAGTAGCTCGGATTACAGGCACCCGCCATCATGCCTGGCAAATATTTTTTGTATTTTTATACAGACAGGGTTTGACCATGTTGGCCAGGCTGGTCTTGAACTCCTGACCTCAGGTGATCCACCCTCCTTGGCCTCCCAAAGTGCTGGGATTACAGGCATGAACCACCGCGCCCAGCCTGTCTCTGCCTTCTTTGACTCCAGAGCACCTGTCACCATAAACAAAATATATTTTACTTCTTTGTTTTCTGTCTCTCTACACCAGACTGTAAACTCTAAGATGGGCACTGCTTTAAGAATAACACAGCCTGGACACAGTGGCTCATGCTTGTAATCCCAGCACTTTGGGAGGCCGAGGCAGGCAGATCACTTGAGGTCAGGAGTTCAAGACCAGCCTGGCTAACATGGCAAAACCCCAACAACAACAACAAAAATTAGCTGGGTGTGGTGGTGCATGCTTGTAATCCCAGCTACTCTGGGGACTGAGGCAGGTGAATCGCTTGAACCCAGGAGGCAGAGGTTGCAGTGAGCCAAGATTGCGCCACTGCACTCCAGCCTGGGCAACAGAGCAAGACTGTCTCAAAAAACAGAAAAAAAATTTTTTTAAAGACCCTATCTCCAAATACAGTCATATTCTGCAGTATTGGAGTAAATGCTTCAAGATATAAATTTTGAGGAGACACAGTTCCACCCCTAAGAGTTACCTCATGGAAAAAGGGTCTTTGTAGTTGTGATTAAGTCAAGGATCTTGAGAGATAGGGAGATTATCCTGCTGGGCCCTAAATGCTACATAGGTATTCTTATGAGAAGCTGGGGCTGGGCACAATGGCTCACACCTATCATCCCAACACTTTGGGAGGCCAAAGCAGGAGGATCACTTAAGCCAGGAGGTCAAGGCTGCAGTGAGCTATGATTGTGCCACTGCACTCCAATCTGGGTGACAGAGTAAGACCCTATCTGAGGAAAAAAAAAATTGGAAAATCTAGATAAAATGGATAAGTTCCTAGAAAGCCACAGCCTGCCAAGACTGAATCATGAAGAAATAGAAAATCAGCATAGACCAATAGTGAGTAAGGAGATTAAATCAGTAATAAAAAGTCTCCCAACAGAGAAAAACCCAGGACCAGATGGCTTCACTGGAGAATTCTAACAAACATTTAAAAAATTAACACCAATCCTCCTGAAACTCTTCCAGAAAACTGAAGTAGAGGGAACACTTCCAATCTCCTTCTAAGAGGCCAGCATTATTCTAATACCAAAGACACAAGAAAAGCAAACTATAGGCCAATATCCTTTATGAACATTGATGCAAAAATCTTCAACAAAATACAAGCGAACCAAATTCAATAGCAGATTAAAAGGATTATACACCATAACCAAGTGGAATTTTTCCTGAAATGTTAGGATGTTTCAACATATGAAAATCAATCAGTGAAATATAACATATAAACAGAATGAAAGACAATTACATGATCATCTCAATTGCAGCAGAAAAAGCAGCAAGATCCAATAAACTTTCATGATAAAAACATTCAACAGACTAGGAATAGAAGCAAACCACTTCAACCTAATAAAGGCTACAGATGAAAGCCCACAGCTAACATCATACTTAATGGTGAAAGACTGGGCTTGAGTGGTGGCTCACACCTGTAATCCCAGCACTTTGGGAGGCTGAGGCAGGCAGATCTCTTGAGCCCAGAAGTTCGAGACCAGCCTGGGCAACATAGCGAAGCCCTGTCTCTACAAGAAAATATAAAAATAAGCCGGGCATAGTGGCACATGCCTGTAGTCCCAGCTGTTCAGGAGGCTGAGGCAGGAGAATTGCTTGAGACTGGGAGGTTGAGGCTGCAGTGAGCCATGATCATGCCACTGCACTCTAGCCTGGAAAACAGAGTGACACCCTGTCTCGAAAAAAATAAAAAGGACTTAAAGCTTTTCCTCTAAGATTAGGAATAAGACAAGGATGCCTACTCCTATCACTTCTATTCAGCATAGTATTGGAAGTCCTAGTCAGAACAACTAGGCAAAAAAAAAAAAAAAAAAAGAAATTAAAGATATCCAAATTGAGAAGAAAGAAGTAAAATTATCTCTGTTCACAAATAACAGACTCTTATATGTAAAAACTCCTAAAGATCGAACATGCCCACAAAATTAGTTGTGTTTCCACATCCTCACAATGAACAATCTAAAAAGGAAATTAAGAAAACAATTCCAGGCCGGGCGCGGTGGCTCACGCCTGTAATCCCAGCACTTTGGGAGGCCGAGGCGGGCGGATCACGAGGTCAGGAGATTGAGACCATCCTGGCTAACACGGTGAAAACCCATCTCTACTAAAAATACAAAAAAAATTAGCCGGGCGTGGTGGCGGGCACCTGTAGTCCCAGCTACTCGTGAGGCTGAGGCAGGAGAATGGCGTGAACCCGGGAGGCGGAGCTTGCAGTGAGCCAAGATCGTGCCACTGCACTCCAGCCTGGGGGACAGAGCAAGACTCAAAAGAAAAAAAGGAAACAATTCCATTTATAATAGCATCAAAAAGAATAAAATACTAGAAATAAACCTAACCAAGGAAGTGAAAGATTTGTACACTGAAAACTGTAAAACACTGCTGAATTAAATTAAAGAAGACACAGGTAAATATAAAAATTTACATCCATGTTCATGGATGGTAAGACTTAATTGTTAAGAGGCCTGTAGTACTCAAAACAATCTACGGTTTCAACACAATTGCCATCAAAGTCCCAATGGTATTTTTTGCAGAAACAGAAAATTTCATCTTAAACCTCATGTGAAATCTCAAGGGACTCCAAATAGCCAAAACAATTTTGAGAAAGAAGAACAAAGTTGGAGGACTCACACTTTGTGATGCCAAAACGTATTACAAAGTTACAGTAACCCAAACAGTGTGATACTGGCATAATGACAGACAAACAGACCAACAGAACAGAATATTTATAATGGCTCAGAAATATTAATAAAGCCTCGTGTATATGATTAAATGATATTTGACAAGATGCTAAGACCATTCGGTGGGGAAAGAATAGTCTCTTCAACAAGCAATGTTAGTGGCCAGACACAGTGGCTCATGCCTGTAATCCTCACACTTCTGGGAGGCCAAAGTGGGAGGATTGTTTGAGCCCAGGAGTTCGAGACCGCCCTGAGCAACATAGACAGATCCCATCTCTCTTTAAAAAAACAAAAAACATAACAAAAAAGCCAAATTTTATTGGGAAAACTGGATATCCACATACAAAAGAATAAAGTGGCCGGGCACGGTGGCTCATGCCTGTAATCCCAGCACTTTGGGAGGCCGAGGCAGGCAAATCACAAGATCAGGAATTCGAAACCAGCCTGGCCAATATGGTGAAACCCCATCTCTACTAAAAACACAAAAATTAGCTGGGCATGGTGGTGGGTGCCTGTAATCCCAGCTACTCAGGAGGCTGAGGCAGGAGAATCACTTGAACCAGGGAGGCAGAGGTTGCAGTGAGCTGAGATCATGCCACTGCCCTCCAGCCTGGGTGACAGAGCGAGACCCTGTCTCAGAATAAAGTCTGGGGGCCGGGCACGGTGGATCACACCTGTAATCCCAGCATTTTGGGAGGCTGAGGCGGGTGGATCACCTGAGATCACAAGTTTGAGACCAGCCTGTCCAACATGGTGAAACCCCGTCTCTACTAAAAATACAAAAATTAGCCGGGCCTGGTGGCATGCACCTGTAAGCCTAGCTACTTGGGAGGCTGAGGCAGGAGAATTGCTCGAACCTGGGAGGCGGAGGTTGTGGTGAGCTGAGATCATGCCACTGCACTCCATGGGCAACAGAGCAAGACCCTGTCTCAAAAAAAAAAAAAAAAGTTCGATCCTTATCTTACACCATATACAAAAAATAACTCAGATTAAATAACTAAATGTAAGACCCAAAACTATAAAATGCCTGAAAGAAGACACAGCAGATTGATTTCAGGATTGATTTCCAACAATCTGATTTCAGACTTCTGGCCTCCAGAACTGTGAGAAAATAAATGTCTTGTTTTCAGCCACCAAGTTTCTGGTAATTTGTCATAGCAGCCAGGGGAAACTGATATAGTACAGTGAATAAGTAATAACTCTAATGCCAGGTAAATCGGTGCTATGAAGATAAAAAGCCCGGGAGGAGAGTTACAAGGAATGTTATCACCCTAACTTAGGATGGTTAATGGACCTGGCCTCAAGTCAAAAGCCCTGTAACAACCACGTACTTGGGAAGTTAGAACAGCAGAGAGGTGCACCACGATTTTTCTTCTTTTTAATTAGAGAAAGGGGCCAGGCGCGGTGGCTCACGCCTGTAATCCCAGCACTTTGGAAGGCCGAGGCGGGTGGATCACCTGAGGTCAGGAGTTCAAGACCAACCTGGCCAATATGGTGAAACCCCGTTTCTACTAAAAATACAAAAATTAGCCGGGTGTGATAGCATGCGCCTGTAATCCCAGCTACTCAGGAGGCTGAGGCAGGAGAATTGCTTGAACCCAGGAGGCAGAAGTTGGAGTGAGCCGAGATTGCACCATTGCTCTCCAGCCTGGGCGACAGAGCAAGACTTGGTCTCAAGCAATCCTCCTGCCTCAGCCTCCCAAGTAGCTAGGACTACAGTCACGTGCCACCATACCTGGCTAATTTTTTTTTTTTTTAGAGATGAGGTCTCGCTATGTTGCCCAGGCTGGTTTCAAATTTCTGGCCTCAAGGGATCCTCCTGCCTTGGCCTCTCAAATGGCTGGGATTACAGGTGTGAGCTACCATGACTGACCATCATGATTTTAACAAAACTGACAGGAGAATAAAAATAAGGGCAAAGTAGTAGCCAGAGGCTAGGTCCCATAAGCGCAGAAGCAGGGACCTTAGGGTTAGAAAGCAAAGGAATGTCACACATGTTCAGAGGCTCTGCAGGATGACAGGGCATAGGGACATGACTTGGGAGGCTGTTGCTCTAAATACCTAACTAGGCCAAGAAGGAGGGAGAAGTGCTGGAATTCTGGATGTATTTTACATATAGAGCCAATAGGATTTGCCAATGGATCAGAGGCAGGGAGTCAAGAGAGGGAATGGGAGCAGTCATGCCATATAGTACACCTGTAGTTCCAGCAGCTAGGGAGGCTGAGATGGGAGGATCGCTTGAGCCTGGGAGGTCAAGGCTGCAGTGAGCTTTGATCGTGCCACTGCCCACCAGCCTGGGTGATAGAGGAAGATCTTGTCTCAAAAAAAAAAAATGTCTGTGAGTTTAAACTAAATTACTGGATGATGGTGGTGTCATTTACTGAGATAAGAAACACCTGGGGAGGAACTATCCGGGCACAAATTATGAGCTCTGACCTGGACACATTAAGTATGAGGTCCCATTTGCCATCCAAGTGGAGATCCCAAATAGACATTCGGGTTCTTGTGTCTGCAGTTCGAGGAGAGGTCAGAGGAGTCACCAAGCCATGCATCTGAGTGAGCTCACGCAGAGTGGGCGAGATGTGAGCAGGCAGGGTCTGACAGCAGGGATCCCATGACGCCAGCCTGCTTTGCATGCTAGGACAGCTCAGGCTCTGGCCCTGCCTTCAACAACAGCCTTGGGCTCACGTTACAGCAGCATCCCCAAGGAGCCTCCTGCTTGTCACTGGCTTGTGTCCAGCCAGGCACAAATTTGCAACTGGGCAATTCTAACCTCTAGAGTGAGTAAGCCATTCCCATGGGGCGCTCAACTCCTCATAGAAAAAACTTTTATTGGCCGGGAGTGGTGACTCACACTGTAATCCCAGCACTTTAAGAGGCCGAGGTGGGATGATCACTTGAGGTCAGGAGTTCAAGACCAGCCTGGCCAACATGGTGAAACCCTATCTCTACTAAAAATACAAAAATTAGCCAGGCGTGGTGGCAGGCACCTGTAATCCCAGCTACTCGGGAGGCTGAGGCAGGAGAATCACTTGAATCCAGGAGGCAGAGGTTGCAGTGAGCCGAGTTAGCGCCACTGCAGTCCAGCTTGGGCAACAGGGCGAGACTCCATCTCAAAAAAACAAAAACAAAACAAAAAACTTTTATCAGGCCGGACTCAGTGGCTCATGCCTATAATCCCAGCACTTTGGGAACACAAAGTGGAAAGGATCAATTGAGCACAGGAGTTCGAGACTAGCCTGGGCAACATGGTAAGACCCCCCCCCATCTCTACAAAAGATAAAAATTAGCCAGACGTGGCGTGTGTGCCTGTGGGTCCACCTACCTAGAAGTCTGAGGTGGGAGGATCACTTGAGCTCAGGAGTTTGAGGCTGCAGTGAGCTACGATCGTGCCACTGCATTCCACCCTGTGTGACAGAGTGAGACCCTGTCTCTCTTAAAAAAAAAAAAAAAAAAAAGTCCAAAAATCCTTTTTGCAGCCAGGCGAGATGGCTCACATCTATAATCCCAGCACTTTGGGAGGCCTAGGTGGGCGAATCGCCTGAGGTCAGGAGTTCGAGACCAGTCTGGCCAACCTGGTGAAACCCCATCTCTACTAAAAATACAAAAAATTAGCCAGGCATGGTGGTGCACACCTGTAATCCCAGCTACTTGGGAGGCTGAGGCAGGAGAATTGCTTGAACCCAGGAGGTGGAGATTGCAATGAGCTGGGATCGTGCCACTGCACTCCAGCCTGGGAAAGAAGAGCAAACCTCCATCTCAAAATAAATAAATAAATAAATAAATATAAATAAAAAGCAAAAATCCTTTTTGCTTTCAGCAAAAAAAATCTTGCATGAGCAATGTAACTGAATATGTCAGATCTGATGTTTCACCTGGAACTGTGGCTGACAAGGAGCTCCTACAAGGTGTGGAAGTGCCAGCTCCATCTTTTCGCTCATCTGGGTGTGTTAGCATCTTCTTTTTTTTTTTTTTTGTTTATTTGTTTGAGACAGGCTGTACAATGGCATGATCAGAGCTCACTAGAGCCTCCAAATCCTGGACTCAAGCGATCCTCCCGTCTCAGCCTCCTGAGTAGCTGTGACTACAGGTGCACACCACCACTCCCAGATAATTTTTTTTTTTCCGAAGAGATGTGAGGGGGTCTCACTATGTTGCCCAGGCTGGTCTTGAACTCCTGACCTCAAGCGATCCTCCCAGTTCAGCCTCCCAAAGTGCTGGGATTACAGGTATAAGCCACTGCACCCAGTCTGCATCATCTTCAATCTGTGCTTTCTTTTTTTTTTTTTGAGATGGAGTCTTGCTCTGTCACCAGGCTGGGGTGCAGTGGCGCAATCTCGGCTCACCGCAACCTCCAACTCCCTGGTTCAAGCGATTTTCCTGCCTCAGCCTCCCAAGTAGCTGGGATTGCAGGCACGTACCACCATGCCCAGCTAATTTTTGTATTTTTAGTAGAGACGGGGTTTCACCATGTTGGCCAGGATGGTCTCGATCTCCTGACCTCACGATCCACCCGCCTCAGCCTCTCAAAGTGCTGGGATTACAGGTGTGAGCCACCACGCCAGGCCCAATCTGTGCTTTCTTTGCAGGAATTGTTTTCAACTATGAGTCCATTCTGTGAGGGTTAATTTAGTCAAAACTGGATAACATCACTCAACCAAGCTGGCTCAGGCTCACAGCCCCTCCAGGCCACTATGCACTTCTCTGCCCTGCACTGTGGGCACAGCATCAACATGGCCCTGCCCGCTGCATCCAGACGGGATTGGTTAACGGGAGGCAATGGAAGAATAAGAAGAGCAGGGGAGTCAGATCAGAATAGCCCTTCTGGGCCCTCTTCCCCATGAGTCCCCCAGAACTGGGGACCCCTCTTGCACAGCTCCTCTCAGGCAGGCCTCTCCTCCAGGGACCCCCTCTATGCCCCCTTACCCTGGGCTGGTAACTGCTGCCACCCCTCCAACTGTGCCAGTCCTTACTGATCTCCTTTAATCCCCCCTCCCCAGTGCATTGCAAACATCCCCTTTATCAAACTCTCCCCAGTTAGCCCCACTAAGTGGCACTTTCTGTTTCCAGCCAGGGTCCTGCCTGGTATATGCCCTACAGCCAAGTTACAAGGCTCTCATTCCCCTCTCTTTCCTTCCCCTTTTTTTCCCTCCCTATCTTTTTTGACAGGGTCTCTGTCACCCAGGCTAGAGTGCAATGGTGCAATCATAGCTCACTGCAGCCTCAACCTCCTGAGGTCAAGTATCCTCCCACCTCAGCCTCCCAAGTAACTAACTACAGGCATGAGCCACCATGCCTGGCTAATTAAAAAAAAAAAAAAAAGTCTGGGCGCGGTGGCTCACGCCTGTAATCCCAGCACTTTGGGAGGCCAAGGTGGGTGGATCACCTGAGGTCCAGAATTCGAGACCAGCCTGACCAACATGGAGAAACCCCGTCTCTATTAAAAATACAAAATTAGCCAGGTATGGTGGTGCATGCCTATAATCCCAGCTATTCCAGAGGCTGAGGCAGGAGAATGGCTTGAACCCGGGAGGTGGAGGTTGCTGTGAGCTGAGATCGCACCATTGCACTCCAGCCTGGGCAACAAGAGTGAAACTCCATTTCAAAAAAAAAAAAAGTTAGAAGAGACAGGGTTTCACTTCATTGCTTAAGCTGATCTCCAATTCCTGGCCCCACGTGATGCTCCCACCTTGGCCTCCCAAAGTGCTGGGATTATAGGTGTGAGCCACTGTGCCCAGCCTTCTTTCTCATGAGAAATTAAAAATTCTGGCCAGGCGTGGTGGCTCACACCTGTAATCCCAGCACTTTGGGAAGCCGAGGAGGGTGGATCACCTGAGGTCAGGAGTTCAGGACCAGCCTGGTCAACATGGTGAAACCTCATCTCTACTAAAAATACAAAAATTAGTCGGTCATGGTGGTGCACGCCTGTAATATCAGCTACTCGGGAGGCTAAGGTGGGAGAATTGCTTGAACCTGGGAGGTGGAGACTGCGGTGAGCCGAGATCCCGCCACTGCACTCCAGCCTAGGCAACAGAGCGAGACCGAATCTAAAAAAAGAAAAAAAAAATCTAGTATTTTCTTCCCACCCCACGTAATTGTTTTGCACCCAGGGGTGAGTGCCCCCCACTTTGCAGACGTGCCTAGACCTCTCCCCACAAACATGATGACTAGAGTTGGAGCTGGGCTAGCGCTGCCTCTTGTTCACTGGGTTCACGTGGGCACGTGGCTCCACTCCGGTCACTGCTTCCTGGGCAGAGGGATGACGTGGAAGGTAGACCTAGGGGGGACAGGGTTGCTTCCTGCCCATGTCCAGCATTCTAGAATTGTCCACATCTAGGCAGGGCGTTCCACCATCAGTGCTGGACTGGACCACCCAATTCCTTTGGACGCTTGACTCAGCCCAAACCCGTGCTCCCTCCAGGACCCTGGGCAGGGCAGCCCCAGCTCCAGGTAATCGGCACTGAGAAGAGTACACCTGTCACCGCCTGGCAGGGGCTCGCTCCTTTCTCTGGTGCTGCTCATTCGCGAGGCCTGAGACGCGGACCGTCACCTTCCCCGGGCCCAGCCTGGCCTCAATGCAGGCCTCAGAGAGAGGGACAAAACCCGGCCCGCCTCCCTCCCCTCCCCAAGGCGACCACCAGTGTCCTGGGGGTCCACAGGGCCTCTCCAGCTCTGATCCGAGTTCCCGGCTGCAGCTGGTTTGGGTCTGTGGGGGCCTCGCGCAGGGAAGCGGAGGCCCCTTCTCTAGGCTCCTACATCCTCCTGGCCTGCCCCAGCAGAGCTAGCGGCCCTCCGAGACAGCTGGGCCTCGCAGCTCCCAGCCGAGGCCTGTCGCTGGGAGAAAGAAGAATGAATGAAGGGCGGAAGGGGCGGGGAGGGGCGGGGCGCGCCGCGCCAGCTCGCGGCGCCCCCAGGCCGGGCCGCAGCGGGGCGTGGCCTCTAGAGGCGTGGCCTTGGGCGTGGGGGCGGGGTTTTCTGGTGGGGGCGGGGCCGCGCAGGGCCGTTCCCGCCGCCGGCCGCCCGCGCCCCGCCCCCGTGCCGCAGCTCACAGGCCCCGCCTCGGTCCGCCCCTCCGCTCGCTCCCCAAGCCGCCGCGGCGCCGAGCCGGTTTCCCCGCCGGTGTCCGAGAGGCGCCCCCGGCCCGGCCCGGCCCGGCCCGCGCCCTCCGCCCCCGCCTCCCCGGGCCGGCGGCGGTGGGCGAGCTCGCGGGCCCGGCCGCCCCCAGCCCCAGCCCCGCCGGGCCCCGCCCCCCGTCGAGTGCATGAGGTTGACGCTACTTTGTTGCACCTGGAGGGAAGAACGTATGGGAGAGGAAGGTGCGCGGGCCGCGGGGTGTGGGGCGAGGGCCTGGAGGGGGTGCCCGGGGCAGCGTGGGGCACGGGAGGGGGCCGGGTCTGCCAGGAGGCCGCGCCCCTGCCTCCTCCGGGATGAGCTCGTCCTTACGAAGCCCGCAGGCCCCTCCCTGTCCCCCTCCCGCCCGGGATCCCCCTCCCCGGCCCCCGGCGAGCTGCCCTCCTGCGGGTCTGGGGGCCCCTGGACCCTTTTTCCTCCTCCCACGTCCCCCCGCGAAGGACTCCCAGACACTGCCCACCCCGCGTCGGCCTCCATCCGCGTGCTCTGTCCACCACCCGGGCCTCGCCCTGGGGCCACCCTTTATCCAGTCTCGGAAGAAAGAGCGGCTGGGGAAGCCGCAGCCCCGGGTCCCAGTGGCCGCCGGGCGCCTGCCCGGCTCTGTGACCTTGAGCCAGGCGCTGACTTCCTGGTCCTCAGTTTCCCCTTCTGTACATTTGGAAACTGGGTAGTTGCCCCCCCGGTGTCGGTGATTGGGGGCCAGATGGGTAGAGCGGAGATAGGCGTCCAGGAAGCCGGAGGCCGTGTACTGCGGGAGCCTCATCCACTCTCCCTGTCCGTGCCCCAAACCCGGTGCCTGCCCTCAGTCTTGGCTGGGAGCATGACTCATCCTAACCTCCTCTTTAGCCCCTTCTCCCTCACTGGGGCCCAAGGCGCAGTACTGCACTGCAGTTAGGGTTCAAGGACTCCCCCAGCCTAGGACAGGGTCTGGGGGCCCCTCCTTGGATCTCCTTCGCTGACCTGTCACTTAGATCCACCTGGCCCCAAGGCAGGGCCTGACTCCACACCTCCCCCTGCCACCAACTCTTCCCAGGCCCATGAAAACCTGATTGGGGTAGGGGCCCACCTTCCTGTAGCCCCTGCCTACCTAAGGTACCTGCGTCTTCACAGAGGGTCAGGCTGTTGTGGCCTTGGGACCTAGCTATGTGACTGGGCAAGCCATGCCATCTCTGGGGCTCAGTCTCCCCTTCTGTACAGTGGAGAGGGGCAGGTCTGGGGCATTTTCCAGGGCCCACCAGCTCCAAGGGTGCCAGGCCCCAAGGATGACTAAGCATGCCTGTGGCTGGCTAGAGGAGGTGCCAGGCCTCCCTGGGACAGGTGTCTGGGAGTACCCAGGTCTGCAGCCCCCTCCCCTTGCCAAGCCAGGGCATTCATTGCCAAGGATCTGTTAGGGCCGGCACCTCCAGGCTTCCTGCCCTTGACCTCCCAGCTGGCTTCAGCCCAGGATGCACTAATCCAGCCCTGTCCAGTCCCTGCCTTTGAAGGGCCCTCTTAGTACTTCTTCCTGGGCAGGAGAGGGAAGAAAGGAGGCTGTGATAGGAATGTCACCCACTGCCTTATCCCTAAAGCCACTGCTTCCTTTCTCCTCATTTACCTTGCCAGATCCAATGCTATAGCGGGAGGATGGACCTGATCCTCCTCCTAAGCTGATACATAGGGAAACAGGGCCAGAGAAGCTTGGCAACCTAGTCAGTATCTCAGCAAGACTCAGGCCAGCGCCCTTTCTTCTCCTATTTGGCACAGCGACTGCCCTGCCTGGGCGCTGCACATGTGCAGTGTGCGAGGATTGGTGCAGGTGTAGGTATATGTGGGGTGGGCAGGGCAAGCTGGGCCTGCACCAGATCACACTTCCTGAGAATGCTTCCCAACTCCCTTCCCACCCTGCAGGAAGCGAGTTGCCCGTGTGTGCAAGCTGCGGCCAGAGGATCTATGATGGCCAGTACCTCCAGGCCCTGAACGCGGACTGGCACGCAGACTGCTTCAGGTAGGGTGGGGTGCCCAGGGCCTGTGTTGCCCTAAACAAGGCCTGCCAGAGAGGACAGGCTGGTCAAGGAATGGGGGAGGCCGGGATATGCCTCCTGGTGCCGTCCCCTATTGTGACTTCGTGGCCTTAATTTACCATTTATGACATGAGGTGTTTTGACTAGAAAATCCCTACAGGCCTTCCTGTTGTCATTTTATTTATCTATTTTTTTTTCTTTTTGAGACGGAGTCTCGCTCTGTCACCCAGGCTGGAGTACAGTGGTGCGATCTTGGCTCATTGCAACCTCTTCCTCCTGGGCTCACGCAGTTCTCCTGTGTCAGCCTCTGGAGTAGCTGGGATTACAGGCGTGCACCACCACGCCCAGCTAATTTTTGTATTTTTAGTAGAGACGGGTTTTGCCATGTTAGCCAGGCTGGTCTGAAACTTCTGACCTCAAGTGATCTTCCCACCTCAGCCTCCCAAAGTGCTGGGATGACAGACATAAACCACCGCTCCTGGCCTCATTTTATTTTCTTTTATGTATTTTTCTTTTTTCGAAATGGTCTTGCTCTGTTGCCCAGGCTGGAGTGCAGTGGTGCCATCTCGGCTCATTGCAACCTCCATCTCCCGGGCTAAAGTGATCCTCCTACTTCAGCCTCCCGAGTAGCTGGGATTATAGGTATACACCACAATGCTCAGCTAATTTTTTAAATTTTGTGTAAAGACAGGGTCTCACTATTGAGACCCAGGCTGGTCTTGAACTTGTGACCTCAAGCAATCCTCCTGCCTTGGCCTCCGAAAGTGCTAGGCTTACAGGCGTGAGCTAACGCCTTGGCCTCTGTTGTCATCCTAGATCTCTGAGATCTAAATCTTAGAGAGGATGGGAGAGACCTCCAATTGAGCCAGTGCCTGCAATTCAGCCCCCTGCTGGCACCCAGACAGGGGGAAGAGTTGGAAGGAATGTCCCTCCTGCCTTCTGGGTGTTCATGCTCTTGCAGGGAGGGAAGACAAACCAGGCCTTAAGGGAAACCAGGCCACCCTCAGTGTCTTCCAGGCTGCTTGCGAACATGCATAACCCAGTCACACCAGCCCCAGTGTCCAGACACACACCCACAGGTAGGAAGAAAGTAGGGTCAGGGTTGTGGCGGAGGATAAAGAGTACATGAGGACCTGAAGGTCACCCAGTAGGACCATCCTGAGAAGCCAGGAGCAGGGGTCTACCTGCCTTGAGCCAGAGCAGGGCCAGAGCAGGGGTCTCAAAGGATGTGAGATTTCCTGGGTAGAAAAGTAGAGTGGAGGTGGGGCGTGGTGGCTCACACCTATAATCCCATCACTTTTTGGGGCTGAGGTGGGCAGATCACTTGAGTTCAGGAGTTCGAGACAAGCCTGGGCAATATGGCAACACCCTGTCTCCACTGAAAATACAAAAAATTAGCCGGGCGTGGTGGCGCATGCCTGTAGTCCCAGCTACTCAAGAGGCTGAGGTGGCAGGGTTACTTGAGCCTGGGAGGTGGAGGCTGCAGTGAGCTATGATCGCACCACTGCACTCTAGCCTGGGCAATAGAGCGAGACCCAGTCTCAATTTTTAAAAAAGAAAGAAAGAAAAACAAATGGTGTGGGAGAGAATTACAGGCATAGTCACCAAACAGCAAGGTTCAGGGGAGAAAACTCCATAAAAGGGTAGAAGGTGAAGCTTCTGGGATGCCCAGCAGGGGTCAAGACATCCACCACTAGGACTTTATTTTAGGCTTCTGCCTTGGTTTATTTTTTGGTTTTTGGTTTTTTTGAGACAGTCTTGTTGTGTCGCCCAGGCTGGGGAGCAGTGGCGCGATCCCTCCTCACTGCAACCTCCGCCTCCCAGGTTCAAGCGATTCTCCTGCTTCAGCCTCCCAAGTAGCTGGGATTACAGGTGTGCACCACCACGCCCGGCTAAGTTTTGTATTTTCAGTAGAGATAGGGTTTTGCCATGTTGGCCAGGCTGGTCTCGAACTCCTGACCTCAAGTGATCTGCCCGCCTCAGCCTCCCAAAATGCTGGAATTACAGGCATGAGCCACTGCACCTGGCCTCGGTTTGTTTTTTTGTTTCTTCTTTTCTTTTTTTTTACACAGGGTCTTGCTGTGTCACCCAGGCTGGCGTGCAGTGGTGAGATCATAGCCCACTGTAGCCTCCAGCTCCAACTGGTTCAAGCGATCCTTCTGACTCAGCCTCCCAAAGTGCTGGGATTACAAGCATAAGCCACCATGCCCAGCCTGTTTTTTCTTTTTTAGGAATAACGTCTAACGTTTTCTAACATTCAGTAAGGGACAACCCCTGTTCTAAGTACTTTGCATAGTTAGATATTAGTGCTGTCTTTGTTTTGCCAGAGAGAAAATTGGGACACAGAGAGGTTAATTCTCTTGATGAAAGTCACACAGCCAGTGAGTGAAATGAACACACTCAGTGTGGCTGAAAGGAGACAGACAGCATGCCCTGGGATTCTGCATCAGGTGCTCAGAAAGAGGCCTTCGGGGGGCAAGAGGGCTCTCAACAGGCAGAGGAAACCATCTGCACAGCGGTGGGATGGTGCGGACTGCTGAGGGAACAGGAACAGTTCCCTTGGAAGGAACAGAATAAGCTGAGGGATCCAACAAGAAACAAAGTTGAGACCGATTCGTGAAGGGCCTTGAATGCCAAGATAAGGAGTTTCAGAAGTCAGGATGGGGGTGGTGGCTCATCCCCGTAATCCCAGCACTTTGGGAGGCCGAGGCAGGCAGATCACTTGACCCCAGGAGCTTGAGACCAGCCTGGCCAACGTGGTGAAACCCCCGTCTCTACTAAATATTCAAAAATTAGCCAGGCATGGTGGCACATGACTGTAATCCAAGCTACTCGGGAGGCTAAGGAAGGAGAATCACTTGAACCTGGGAGGCGGAGGCTGCAGTGAGCTGAGATCACGTCACTGCACTCCAGCCTGGGAGACAGAGCGAGACTCCATCTCAAAAAAAAAAAAAAAAAAAAATAGAAGGGAGTCGGCAGAAAGCCAGGGAGGGGCTGGGGTGACATGCTGTTGAAGAATGCCATCCCAGTGGGCCGGTGGTGGTATCTAGGCAGGGAAGGGACTGTCCCAGTAACTCAAGGGTCTGAGCTCATAGGACCTGACCTGGGACAGTGACTGAGGATGGAGAGAATTTCAGGCAGAAGGGACAGTTTTTGGTGAGTATTTGTCATATTGGCTACCATGCATTGAGCACTCTTCATGCTAATTTGTTAAATCTTCATCATAACTCTATGAGGGACTGTATGTGCCCAGTTTGCATGGGAGAAACAGAGATTCCATGCAATCAAGTGCCTCGCTGAAGGTTGTAACATCTAGAGCTGGGACTAAAACCTTCTCACTCCACATCGCCACAGAGTAGGAAAGGCAGGGGCTGGCGGTGGCACATGCCTATAATCCCAGCCCTTTGGGAGGCGGAGGCAGGTGGATCTCTTGAGCCCAGGAGTTTGAGACCAGTGTGGGCAACATAGTGAAACCTTGTCTCTACAAAAAAATTAGCTGAGCATGGTGGTGGTGCCTGTAGTCCCAGCTACTCAAGGGCGCTGACATGGGAGGGTTGCTTGAGCCTGGGAGGTGGAGGTTGCAGTGAGCTATGATCACACCACTGCAAGCCAGCCTGGGTGACAGAGTGAAATCCCATCTCAAAAAAAAGAAAGAAAGGAAGAAAGAAAAAGACAGGGGCTTCGGGGAGGGCATGGGCACTGGCGAATGGCAGGGTGGAACCTGAAGCCATCTGGTTTTCTAACCTGGGCACTGGGGAGTTGGTGGTTTGTTGACTCTGATGGAATTGGGGGTCATGTTGGGGAGGAGACATGCTCATCTGTGTTGAGCTGGAGGGGACATGGGCTATCCATGGTGGCTGTGTCCTGCCCAGAGCTAGCCATGGGAGCCTGAGTCCAGTTGGAGGTAGGAAAGTCAGAAAAAACGGCCGCCTCGGAGCTGGCCCTGAGATGGTGAGTGGGATTTGTGATAGGGCCAAGACGAATGAAGGGAAGAACTTTGGGGACCCCTGTGTCTGCGGTGAGGGGGGAGATGGAGCCTTGGGTGATGGAGAGAGGGTCAGGAGTAGAGCCACAGAAGCCACAGGAGGGAAGCCGTGTTACAGGATGGGTGTACCTGGCTTTGGAGTGGCCTGTCCCAAATCACTCACCAGGAGAGGGGTGAGTCCCCAGGTCAGGGCAGTAAAGAGGAGGCATGTTTGTGCTGTCCCTGGTGTAGTGAAACTCAAGAAGGAAGCCAGGTGCAGTGGCTCACGCCTGTAATCCCAGCACTTTGGGAGGCCAAGGCAGGCAGATCACCTGAGGTCGGGAGTTTGAGACCAGTCTGGCCAACATGGTGAAACCCCATCTCTACTAAAAATACAAAAATTAGCCGGGCCTGTTGGTGGGCGCCTGTAATCCCAGCTACTCAGGAGGCTGAGGCAGAAGAATCGCTTGAACCCGAGAGGCAGTGATTGCAGTGAGTCAAGATCGCGCCACTGCACTCTAGCCTGGGTGACAGAGCAAGACTCCATCTCGAAAAAAAAAAGTCTCAATATGGGGAAAGATCCACTAGAAGTAAGAGCCATGGCTTCTACCTCGTGGCTTGTGGGTGTGATACTCCCAACAGTCCCCAAAGCTGGTGGTCCTCACCGCGTGACAGTGAGCAGAGCAGCTCAGAGGGGGTCACTGCTCACCTGGGTGCATGGCTGACCACAGCCAGGCTGGCTCTCAGTGGGATGCCCAAGGTGCTAGACTCTGCTTAGTCTCCCTCGGGCCCTGGGCTTGAGGCATTGGGCCCGGCCCAGACCTCATTTCATGCACTGAGACCTTTGTTCCAGGGCCCCTCACCCCTCTGAAGGTGTTCGGGCAGGGGCAATGTGATAAGGCCATGAGGGGTCTGCAGCCTCCAGCCCCACTGGGGAGGTGGCCAGTGATTTCCACTTTCCTGGCCCCTCTGCATGCCCCTCCCAGTGGAACTTCCTAGGGTCCCTGAGTCAGTCACTTGCAAATAATTATGGCGTGCCCACTCTGCATTAGGCCCCTCTCACAACAACCCAGTAAGGGGGTGCTATTTATTTATTAAAGCGATTTTTTTTTTGAGTCTCGCTCTGTCGCCCAGGCTGGAGTGCGGTGGCGCAATCTCGGCTTACTGCAAGCTCTGCCTCCCGGGTTCACACCATTCTCCTGCCTCAGCCTCCCAAGTAGCTGGGACTACAGGCGCCCACCACCACACCCGGCTAATTTTTTTTTGTTTGTTTGTATTTTTAGTACAGACGAGGTTTCGCTGTGTGAGCCAGGATGGTCTCGATCTCCTGACCTCGTGATCCGCCCACCTCAGCCTCCCAAAGTGCTGGGATTACAGGCGTGAGCCACCGTGCCCGGCAATATTAAAGCGATTTTAAGGCCAAGGCTGGTAACTCACGCCTGTAATCCCAGCACTTTGGGAGGCTGAGGCAGGAGGACTGCTTGAGGCCAGGAGTTTGAGATCAACCTAGGCAACATAGTGAGACTCCATCTCTACAAAAAAATTAGCCAGGCGTGGTGGTGCGTACCTGTAGTCCCAGCTACTCAGGAGGCTGAGATGGGAGGATCATTTGAACCCAGGATGTCGAAGCTGCAGTGAGCTGTGATCACGCCACTGCACTCTGGCCTGGGCAACAGAGCGAGACACTGTCTCAAATTTTTAAAAAGCGATTTTACAAATGAGGTGCAGAGTTCAGTCACTTGCCAAAAGTCTCACAGCGCGTGAGGAGTAGAATCAGGACTCGAACCGAGGCAGCCTGGCTTCAGAGCCTACAGTGTAACCACAGCTTAGTCCCACACCTCCCAGACCAACAGGGTCCCTGCCTTCTAGTGGGCAAGACACTCAGTGAACAAATGTAGTGTCAGGTATTGGGGGACAGCACTCTCAGGAAGTGATGTTTAAGGGACAGAATTGAAGGGAGCAGTGTTTAGAGGATGTCGGGGGTAGGGCCGGTGCATGTGCAAAGGCCTTGGGGTGGGAATGTGCTTGGCACAACTGAGGACCACAAAGCCAGCGTGCGGGAGTGCAGTCAGTGGCCAGGGGTGCATAGAGCCTTGTGGGCCCCGTGGAAGGTGCCGTTGGCTGTACAGCTTTTTTTTTTTTTTTTTTTTTTTTTTTTTGAGACAGAGTCTCGCTTTTGTTGCCCAGGCTGGAGTGCAGTGGCGTGATCTCAGCTCACTGCAACCTCCGCCTCCCGGGTTCAAGCGATTCTCCTGCCTCAGCTTCCTGGTAGCTGGGACTACAGGCGCCCACCACCACACCTGGCTAATTTTTGTGTTTTTAATAGAGACGGGGTTTCACCATGTTAGCCAGGCTGGCCTCAAACTCCTGACCTCAAGCGATCTGTCTACCTCAGCCTCCCAAAGTG
The DNA here is from genome assembly GCF_000001405.40 of Homo sapiens. Lineage (NCBI taxonomy): Eukaryota > Metazoa > Chordata > Mammalia > Primates > Hominidae > Homo > Homo sapiens. The sequence continues at coordinate 74,092,232 of NC_000007.14, forward strand.
CTGGGGTTACAGGCATGAGCCACTGCGCACAGGCAGCTGTGCATCTTTGAATGTCATAACCTGAGCATCTGAGAGCTGCTCCTGTCCCCTGGCCCCTGCTCTTGAGGAAGTCCCACGCTGATAGGACAGACAGGGTCATAAGTGCTGTGATGGGGGCCTGCAGGCTGCTGGAGGGCTCAGCCGGGACCAGATGCTGCCCCTCTTTGTAGAGTGGGACAATTGCTGCAGGCCCATGGGACCTCTGGTATTAGCCCTGAGGGTTGTCACTCCGGGGCCTGCCCCTTTCTGTGTTCTGACCTCCCAGCCCCTTGCAGGCCCTGCCTCCCGGAAGGTTATGACCAGGCTTGGACTGGTCCAGGCTTCCCTTTGGCTCACATACTGCCTCTGCGAGGTCCCCTCCAGGAAGCCTCCTGTGCACAACCCCCAGGGCTGCCGCATCCCTGGTAGCATCTCCTTGGCAGCTGGGTGGGCTGGCCCTGGGCAAGGAGGGCTGAGCATGCTGCTGGCCTGTGGGGTTGGAGCAGCGGCGGGATGCAACCTCCCTTTCTTCAGGGGACCTTTTTGGCGAAGACAAACTGTCCATAGGAAGTCGACCTCTGTTCCCTTGGGGGCAGCAGTGGAAGAGGCAGCTGCTTTTGAGCTTGTCCCTGTCCCCAGAGAAGCCTGAGGCCTTCAGTGCCGTTGCCAGGGCCGAGGCTGAGGAGCCTACAGCGTGTGTTCAGGACTGAGGGCCAGGGACGGGCCACAGGCTCCCTGCCTGGGGTCCAAGCCTAGATCGCTCGCTCCCCACCCGCACCAAAGCCCAGGCAAAGGGTGCTTCAGCCACTTCCTGTTGCAGGCTCAGACCAAGTCCCCTGGCACCCACGCGGCTGCAGCCTCCTCCTGTGCGCTGCAGCCACGCTGGCCCCACCCTCTGCAGCCTCCAATCCTGAGCCCCTGAGGGAGGATGGGGAAGCAGCTGGTCTGGCCACCCCTGCCCTCCCTTAGACCTCCAGAGCCCCCAGTGTAGCCACAGAGGATGCTGTTGGCTTCAGCCCCAAGAAGACGCCGCTTCCTCCAGAGGGCTAAGTAAGTGGGAATCCCCCTCCCTACTTGTCCTGGGCTCCAGGCAGGGCCCCTGGTGTAAGGCCTGGGGCTGGAAGCCGACCCACCTAGGTCCAGGCTCTGGGGCAGAACTGAAACTCCTTGGTTACTGTCGGCTGCAGCCTGGGAGCAGGCCACTGCCAAAGCTGTGGGTCCTTCCAGGACAGTCTCCCCATGAGGCCGGTCCTCCACCTGCTGTTTCTTCACACCTGGTGGCCAGGGATGTGGCCCTGGGTAGAACGATGATTCTCCACTCCTGTCATTATGGAAGCCACCGCTGTCTCCCAGCCCAGCCAGCCACCTGGGCTGCAGAGCACCCCTTTCATGCCCTCCGGGTGCCTCCCCCTTCTCCTGCCCCAGCCTGGCTTTGTCCTACCCTGCTCTCAGGGAGGGGTACCCTGGAGTGGGGCCAGGGCATGGCTCTCCCCCGAGGGAGTTCCTCTCTGGCTGTCCCCAGGGCAGCTCTGCACAGCCTCAGTACCTGGCGCACCTCCCTTGACATCCTTCTTAGGGACAGTCAGGCACTCTGTGTGGGGCACTCAAGAGAGCCAGGCCCGTCAGCCTCTAGCTCCTGCCAGAATGCAGGCCTGAGGGGTGAGGGGCGGGGCAGGGGCAGGGACAGGAACTCCGGCGTGCTCTCCATCCGCAAAGGTTCACTGAGGCCCCGAGCCCCAGCCACTGAGCCACCAAGTCAGCCTGGGCCAGGCCTGGGTGCCCTGTCTGCAATGGAGGCAGAGACGGGGTCTCGGGGCAGTTCTGAGGATGCTGGGTGCACAGCGGGGGCCTCGCCGGCAGGAATCACTTATGCTCTCTCCTGGGCCAAGCTTTGTGGATGCCCAGCCTGGGGCCGCGGGGAGCTGGCAGGTCAGTGGCAGACACTGGTGGGCAGACCTAGTGTCTGGTAGAACAGGCATCAAGGAAGTGGTGACCGGAGGGAAGCCAAGTGCACTCAAACCCTCGGGTGAGTCATCACCGCCGGGTCTTTCACAGCTGCTGAAAGTGAGCAACAGTGATGAAGGTTTGTGAGTTTCTGCGTGAGCGAGTGAATGGACCAGTAGCAGTTTCCAGGTTGTGGAAGAGCGTTCCCTCCCCGGGATGGGGACACTTGGTTACAGCAATTCCTAATCCCCCACCCACCCACCGCCCACTGCAGAGGTATGCGGGGGCCCTGCTTCCTGCAGGCAGGAGTGAGGGGCACTCCTGTGATGTGGCACCCCTGTGACCGAGGTCATGTGTGATCGGTGTAAGGGCAGGAAGCGAGTCATTGGTCTGCACCAGGCGTGGGGGCTTCTGCGAGGGCAGGACCCAAAGTCGGCCTGGCCTCCCGGCTGCAGCACTCCTTTCCCTTTCGAATTAGGTTAGAGCCCTGGGACGGGAGGTGCCCTGTAGACCACCCCCCTCACCAACTTCCGTCCTCCGCCCCACCCCCGCGGTGATCCGGTGAACTGCCGGCCCCCTGCTGTGCACCGAGTGGGGCAGTGACCCTGACGTGGCGTCTCCTGCCGCCCCTGCCACCGCCACCACCTCCGGTGGCCCAGCCTCCGCATTCCCCACCCCCATGGAGGAATGCACCAGGCCTCCCTTCCTGGATGCACCCCTCACCCACATGCTTCCAAACCCTGGCATTTTCTGCTCCCCCTTTACTCCCACCCCTTCCCCTAGGCTCCCAGACAAAGGGGAAGTGGCTGGATCCTCTTAAAGGGACAGTGTCCCACCAGCTTACTGCTGAACTCCCCTCCTCAACCCCAGTTCCCTAGTTACAGTTAATTAGCATTAGCAGACAGCCCATGAGTGATACCCATGCAGGCCCCAGGCTGTGGAGAGTTTCCTGGGTAGGAAACAGCCCTTAAGGTCCCTCATCTCATCCAGGTCCCAGTCTTTCCTACCTGCCTCTCTCCTAGATTGTGGCCCTTTGGAGCCTGGTTCTTCTGTCCCTGTGTGACCGACACATAGCACCCAAACAGTGGCAGAGCGGGACGGACCCCCTAGCCTGTTCTCTGTGTGGGTCTGTACCCTGACCCAGACATGCCCCCCCACAGCAGGACCCAGGGGGGCACATGTGTGCCTGCGGGTTCACTGGGGCACCCGCATTTGGTTTATTTTATTTTTTAGAGAGAGGGTCTTGCTGTGTCACCCAGCTGGAGTGCAGTGGTGTAATCATAGCACACTGCAGCCTTCAACTCCTGGGCTCAAGCGATCCTCCCTCCCCAGCCTCCCTAGTAGCTGGGAGTACAGGACCCACTGTATCCTGGCTAATTTTTTAATAATTTTTTAAGAGATGGGGTCTTACTGTGTTGCCCAGGCTGGCCTCAAACCTCTGGCCTCAAGTGATCCTCCCACCTTCGCCTCCTGAAGTGCTGAGATTACAGGCATGAGCCACCATGCCCATCCCAGACTGACATTTCTATATTTGTTCATCCTGGCTGGGCAGGGCTGCTGGTCCCCACCCCACCGGGATGCTTGGCTGGGAAAAAGCCGGGAATGTAGGTCTAACCCTGGCCTGTGTTGTGGCACCTACAGCCTGGCATTCCTCCCCATCTGCCCTTCAAGGCCCCACCAACCAGGCCTCCTTGGTAGCCTCTAGTGAGGAAACAGGCGAACCGTGGCTTTGATGACCCTGCACACCTGGGGATTCTCCTCTATTTTTCTTTTTCTTTTTTTTTTTTTTGGAGACAGAGTCTCACTCTGTCGCCAGGCTGGAGTGCAGTGGCACAATTTTGGCTCACTGCAACCTCTGCCTCCCAGGTTCAAGCGATTCTTCTGCCTCAGCCTCCCGAGTAGCTGGGATTACAGGTGCCCACCACCATGCCTGGCTAGTTTTTGTATTTTTAGTGGAGACTGGGTTTTGCCATGTTGGCCAGGCTGGTCTCAGACTCCTGACCCCAAGTGATCTGCCCACCTCGGCCTCCCAAAGTGCTGGGATTACAGGTGTGAGCCACCGCTTTGGGAGGCCGAGGTGGGCGGATCACGAGGTCAAGAGCTCAAGACCATCCTGGCCAAGATGGTGAAACCCCATCTCTACTAAAAATACAAAAAATTAGCTGGGCATGGTGGTGTGTGCCTGTAGTCCCAGCTACTCAGGAGGCTGAGGCAGGAGGATCACTTGAACCTGGAAGGCAGAGGTTGCAGTGAGCCGAGATCGAGCCACTGCACTGCAGCCTGGCGACAGAGCAAGACTCCGTCTCAAAAAACAAACAAAAAGAAAACTTGTTCTAATTCTTACAAAGGTGCCTGTAGCCGAGGCAGGGGCCCAGGTGAGGTGGAGGAGGGCGGGAGTGGACGTCTCAGCCCGGCCCCTCTCCTGCAGGTGTTGTGACTGCAGTGCCTCCCTGTCGCACCAGTACTATGAGAAGGATGGGCAGCTCTTCTGCAAGAAGGACTACTGGGCCCGCTATGGCGAGTCCTGCCATGGGTGCTCTGAGCAAATCACCAAGGGACTGGTTATGGTGAGCGCCCCCTGCCTTGCACACTCACCTGGGGTGGGGGTATCCAAGCAGACCCCATGCTCCAGGTCTCTCTCCCATCATTGTCTCTCCTGGTCTCCTTTTTGCTGGTCTTTGGAGCTGCTTTCTGAGCCTGACTGTCTGTCTGTATCCCTCAGCGCCCCCATCTATGGAGCCAGCTCTGTCCAGGAGCTCAGCAGCTGGCCAGCCGGGTCCCTGCAGTTGTTTTTTTGGTGACACCCTTGGAAGAGGCCTAGGGGAGGATCTGTGGGGGTTGTTGGGTCTGCTGAGCTGGGCTGTTCCCTCCTCACCCCCGCACCAGGTGGCTGGGGAGCTGAAGTACCACCCCGAGTGTTTCATCTGCCTCACGTGTGGGACCTTTATCGGTGACGGGGACACCTACACGCTGGTGGAGCACTCCAAGCTGTACTGGTGAGTGCCTTGGCCCCTCCCTGAGCCTAGGAGGCCCACCTGTGTCACAGATCTGCAAGGGTGCTGACTCTCCCACACCCGGGCCTCCTGCCCTTTCCCATGGGGTGAGGTTTGTTGGGGCAAATGTTCATATCTCCTTTCCCATCCCGGCATGGAAACAAGTGAGAAATAACACACAGAAGTCAGTGTGAAAAAGCCTCAGACGGCCAGGCATGCTGGCTCACGCCTGTAAACCCAGCACTTTGGGATTCCGAGGTGGGTGGATCCCTTGAGGCTAGGAGTTCAAGACCAGCCTGGCCAACATGGTGGAACCCCATCTCTATTAAAAATACAAAAATTAACCAGGTGTGGTGGCGGGTGCCTGTAATCCCAGCTACTCAGGAGGCTGAGGCAGGAGACTCTCTTGAACCTGGGAGGTGGAAGTTGCAGTGAGCCAAGATTGCACCACTGCCCTCCAGCCTAGGCAACAGAGCAAGACTCTGTCTCAAAACAGAAAACCTCAGACGTCAGCTTTCTTACTGGCCATGACTGCAGCATGGTGCTGGCACAAACCACCAGAGGTGGGGTGGATGCCACAAGTTAAGGACACCATCCCCAGCATAACTGCTCCCTCTTTAGACACCAGCCACAAGTTCAGGGGTCCCCAACCCACTCACACTTCTGACCGACTGGCTACAAATTCAGGGACTCCCAAGACCCTGCCAAGTTTGATCGTTTGCTAACAGACTCACAGAACTCAGGAAATCCTCCATTTTTATCCCAGTTTTATTATGAAGGACACAGCTCAGGTCCGACCAAATGAAGAAGCATCTCCCCTCCCTCCCCTAGCACATCAATGTGATCACCAACCAGGAAGCTTCACTGAGCTTCAGCAGCCAGAGTTTTTATTGGGATTTCATTACATCGTCATGACTGATTGAGTCATTGGCCGTATGATCAAGCTTAGTCTCTAGCCCCCGTTCTTGGAGGTCAGGCTGGATGAAAGCTGCAACCCTCTTCAAATCACATGATGTATCTTTGCGGGGCTGAGTCATCTCATTAGTATCAACTCAGGAATAGTCTGAGGGGCTCATGAATAACAAAGATACCCCATTCCAAGGACTTAGAGTCTCCCTCCCAGGAATCAGGACAAAACCCAGACAGATTCTTTCTTATACAACACTGATCAAGCTGGATTAGAGGACAACGTGGCTTGATCCCAGATGGGCTTTTAATGACTTCCTCCTGAACTGGATTTATCCTCAGGCCTTGTCCTGGCCGCCTTACAGGATCACAGCGAGTAGACAGACCCGAATGACTCAGAGGGACGAGGGCTGGCTGGGCACGCACAGTTCCTGCTCCCAGTTCCATAGGAAGAGTGAAAGAAAAGAAAGCTGGCCAGGTGCAGTGGCTCACCCCTATAATCCCAGCACTTTGGGAGGCCAAGGCAGGCAGATCACCTGAGGTCTGGAGTTTGAGGCCAGCCTGGCCAACATGGTGAAACCGTCTCTACTAAAAATAAGAAATTAGCCAGGCATGGTGGTGCGTGCCCGTAATCCCAGCTACTCAGGAGGCTGAGGCAGGAGAATCGCTTGAACCCAGGAGGCGGAGGTTACAGTGAGCCAAGATCACACCACTGCACTTTTGGACAATTGCTAGCTTTCCTTTTCTTTTGAGACAGAGTCTTGCTTTGTCACCCAGGCTGGGGTGCAGTGTTGTAATCAACAGAGTGAGACTCCATCTCAAAAAAAAAAAAAAAAAAGGAAGGGATTGGGGGAAGAGCCTGGGGCTGGGGGCTGCAGAGATGCTGAAATTGATGACGCCCTTGACACTCTTTTCTTCCCACCCCGGCGGCTCTTGCAGCGGGCACTGCTACTACCAGACTGTGGTGACCCCCGTCATCGAGCAGATCCTGCCTGACTCCCCTGGCTCCCACCTGCCCCACACCGTCACCCTGGTGTCCATCCCAGCCTCATCTCATGGCAAGCGTGGACTTTCAGTCTCCATTGACCCCCCGCACGGCCCACCGGGCTGTGGCACCGAGCACTCACACACCGTCCGCGTCCAGGGGTGAGTGGCCGGCCTGCCGAGGCTGCCGTCGGTGTGGCTATGGCTGTTGATGTGGGTGGCAGAGTCTGGCACTGGGGGCCCTGAAAATGAATGGGCGAGTGTTTGGGTACAGATGGGGCCCAGTTCTGACAACCTGGTTTGCCAGATTTCTGGCCCAGTCATTCCTCTGAATACCATTACAAATGCCAGATACAATAAAAAGACATTTTCAACCGGGCATGGTGGCCCACACCTGTAATCTCAGCACTTCGGGAGGCCGAAGTGGGTGGATCACCTGAGGTCAGGAGTTCGAGACCAGCCTGGGCAATGTGGTGAAACCCCGTCTCTACTAAAAATACAAACGTAGCCAGGCATGGTAGTGTGTGCCTATAGTGCCAGCTGCTTGGGAGGCTGAGGCAGGAGAATCACTTGAACCCAGGAGGTGGAGGTTTCAGTGAGCCCCGACTGCCATTGCACTCCAGGCTGGGCAACAAGAGTGTAACTCTGTATCAAAAAAATAAAAATAAAAAAAACACACTCAAAAAATAAAAAGACATTTTCTTTAGTCCATGTCTGATCCAACAAGAAAGAGGAGGAACCAAGTCAAGAATGAGTGAAGAAGCTGGGCGCAGTAACTCACACCTGTAATCTCAGCACTTTGGGAGGCCAAAGTGAGAGGATCACTTAAGGCCAGAAGTTTGAGACCAGCTTGGGCAACATAGCGAGACCTGCATGTCTACAAAAAAAAAAAAAAAATTAAAAATTAGCCAGGCATGGTGAAATCACTGAACACATAAAGGCTGGGCATGGTTGCTCACACTTATAATCGAAACACTTTGGGAGGCTGAGATGGGAGGATCACTTGAGGCCAGGAGTTCGAAACCAGCCTGGGAAACATTGTAGTCACAGCTACTTGGGAGGCTGAGGCAGAAGGATCTCTTGAGCCCAGGAAGTGGCTACAGTGAGCTATAATTGCACGACTGCACTCTAGGCTGGGCAATGGAGCAAAACCCTGTCTCAAAAAAATGGGGCAGGGCTGATAAAGATTAGATTACTGTGTGACTTTGAGCAGCTGCTTTCTCTCTAGGCTTTGGGGGTCTGTTTGAACAATGAGGGAGTTGGATACCTTGGAGCTTTCTAAGATTTCTGTGGCGCCTTTATTGACACCTTGAGAAGTAGCATGCAGTGTTTCTACTTTTGGGCAATTGGTCACTTCTTTTTTTTTGAGACAGTCTCACTCTGTCGCCCAGTCTGGGGTGCAGTGGTGTGATACCAGCTCACTGCAACCTCCACCCACAAGGTTCAAGCAATTCTTGCACCTCAGCCCCCTGAGTAGCTGGGACTACAGGTGACCACATGTGGCTAATTTTTGTATTTTTAGTAAAGACAGGGTTTCACCATGTTGGCCAGGCTCGTTTCAAACTCCTGGGCTCAAGTGATCCTCCCTTCTCGGCCTCCCAAAGTGCCGGGATTACAGGTGTGAGCCACCGTGCCCGGCCCAAGTGCTAGCTTTCTCTCTCTCTTTTTTTTTTTTTCGAGACGGAGTCTCGCTCTGTCGCCCAGGCTGGAGTGCAGTGGTGTGGTCTCGGCTCACTGCAAGCCCCGCCTCCTGGGTTCACGCCATTCTCCTGCCTCAGCCTCCCGAGTAGCTGGGACTACAGGCACCTGCCACCATGCCCGGCTAATTTTTTTTTTATATTTAGTAGAGACAGGGTTTCACCATATTAGGCAGGATGGTCTCGATCTCCTGACCTCGTGATCCGCCCGTCTCGGCCTCCCAAAGTGCTGCGATTACAGGCATGAGCCACCACGCCCGGCCCTACCAAGTGCTAGCTTTCATTTGACGCAGTGAATGTTTCTTGTACACCTGGCAGGTGCCTGGCACTGCATAGGCACTGTTGAGATGTGAAGGTGGCCCTGGGGACAGAAAATTATACTGGGCTTGACTGTGTGTCTCCATCCCTTGACATCAGCCAAGCCAGCAGCTGCTTTACATACATGATGAGCAGACAGCTGCTTGAAAGAGATGAGGAAACTCCCAGACCAACGGCTCTTACCAGAGGGCCAAGGGAGGTCCCCACAGAGTCAGAGGCTGCAGCTGGTCCCTGAAATCCAGGCAGAATTTTAGAAATGAAGACAGTCAGCTGGGTGCAGCGGCTCATGCCTGTTATCTCAGCCACTTCGGAGGGCTGAGGTGAGAGGATTGCTTGAGCCCAGGAGGTGGAGGCTGCAGCAAGCTATGATGACACCATGCATTCCAGCTTGGGCGACAGAGCGAGACCCTATCTCTAAAATAAAAATGAAGAAGACAGTTAATGACGTCTCCTCCCTGTCTGCCTCACTGGGTAAGCATTCGCCCAGCCAACATCTGGAACATCCCAGTTCTGCAAAGAGCCACACCCTTCCCAGAAAGAGCCCAACTTGCCAAAGATTTACTTATTTGTTTTAAACTGGTTTTAGTTGACCGCTTTTCATTTTGTGTATAGCAGCGTTTTAAGGAAGGTCTAATTTATCCAGGCCACCTGCTGCTTTAGCAAACCAAGGGAGAGGATGTGAGATTCTAAGGAATTTACATATGTATGTCATATATATATATATATATATATAGACACACAATTTTTTTTTGAGACAGGGTCTTGCTCTGTCATACAGGCTGGAGTGCAGTGGCACAATCATAGCTCACTATAGCCTCAGATGCCTGTGCTCAAGCAATCCACTCACCTCGGCCTCCTGAGTAGTGAGACTACAGGCACACACCACCACACCCAGCTAATTTTTTAATTTTTTGTAGAGACTGAGTCTTGCTGTGTCGCCCAGGCTAGTCTTGAACTCCTGGGCTCAAGCAATCCTCCCACATTGGCTTCCCAAAGTGCTAGGATTACAAGCGTGAGCCACTATGCCTGGCTTATTTTTAAGGTTATATGCATGCAAAGCCTGTATCAATGAAAATATTTTCTTTGGTTTTTTTCAACTTTTCATCTTCGCATTTTGCAGATTTATAGAAAATTTGCTAAAATAATAAGTCCATTGAATACATACACACCCTTCACCAAGGTTCACCAATTCGTAACTGCCATATTTGGGAGTTATATGTGTGTCTCTCTATATATACATATATGGATACAGATACATATACATGTTTAGTGACTTGTTTATATTTGTACATACATGTACATGTTGTTATTTATTGATCGTTTGGGAGTAAGTTGCAGGGATCATTGACTCCCCCACAATTATGCTAGATATTCTCAAAAGAAGGACCTTCTCTTTTTTTTTTTTTTTTTTGGAGACAGGGTATCACTGTCATTGAGGCTGGAGTGCAGTGATGCGATCACAGCTCACTGCAGCCTCAACCTCCCAGGCTCAAGTGATCCTCCCACCTCTGCCTCCCAAGTAGCTGGGACTACAGGCACGGGCCACCACGCCTGGCTAGGCATTCTGTTATGTAATTATCAATTGTATCTTATAGTTCAGTGATCACATTTTGGAAATGTAACATTGATACCATTATCTAATACACAGACCATATTCAAATTTTGCCTATTGTCTCTATACTGAACTACTGAGCTGTCCTTTATAGCAATCTCCCCCTCATCCACAGTCCAGTCCATGATCAACATTGCATTTAATCGTCATGTGTCATCAGTATCTTTTTTTTTTTTTTTTTTGAGACGGAATTTTGCTCTTGTTGCCCAGGTTGGAGCGCAATGGCGCAATCTTGGCTTATTGCAACCTCCGCCTTTGGGCTTAAGTGATTCTCCTGCCTCAGCCTCCTAAGTAGCTGAGATTACAGGCGTGCACCATTATGCATGCCTAATTTTTGTATTTTTATTAGAGACGGGGTTTTACCATGTTGCCCTGGCTGGTCTTGAACTCCTGACCTCAAATGATCCACCCACCTCAGCCTCCCAAAATGCTGGGTTTACAGGCATGAGCCACTGCGTCTGGCCATTTCCTCAGCCTTTCATTGCCCTTCATGATCTTGACATTTTTGAAGTGTACAGGCCAGTCATTAAAGTAAAATGTTTTTCCTTTTTTTTTTTTTTTTTTTTAAAAAGAGACAGGGTCTCACTGTGTTGCCCAGGCTGGTCTCAGACTCCTAGGCTCAAGTGATCCTCCCGCCTCAGCTTCCCAAAGTGCTGGGATTACAGGCGTGAGCCATCGTACCTGCCCTCGCATTTGGGTTTGACTGATGTTTCCTCTTAGGGAGACAGGCTCTGCAGGTTTGGCCTGATACTGCATAAGTGATCCTCTGTCCTTCCGAGTGGATCTTGCCAGGAGACATATGATGTCAGTGTGCCCTTTGCTGAGGATGTTCACTTTGATTACTTGTTTTTTCTGTACTGTAAGGATTTTTTTCCCTTTGTCATCAATAAACCATTTGTGAGATTTGAGTCTGTAAATATCCTGTTCCCAAAAACCCTTCCCCAAATGATTTGAGCATCTATTGATGATTCTTGCCTGTAGCGATTATTACTAGGGTGGCTACCAAATGCTGAATTTCTAACTCTGTTCTTCCTTCTGCATTTGTTACTGTAAGGAAGAGCTTCTCCCCCATACGAGAATAGTCTTTTTGTTTGCTTGGTTGTTTTTTTGAGATAGGGTCTCACTCTGTTGCCCAGGCTGGAGTGCAGTGACATGATCATAGCTCACTGCAGCCTCGACCTCATGGGCTCAAGCGATCCTCCTGCCTCAGCCTCTCGAGTAGCTGGGACTACAGGCAGCACCACCATGCCTGGCTAATTTTTTATTTTTTGTAATGGTGAGGTCTCACTATTTTGCTCAGGCTGGTCTCGAACTCCTGACCTCAAGTGATCTTCCCACCTCAGCCTCCCAAATAGCTGGGATTACAGGAGTGTGCCACCATGCTCAGCTAATTTTCTGTAAAAAATGTCATAGAGATGGGGTCTTGCTATGCTGCCCAGGCTGGTCTCAAACCCCTAGTCTCAAGCAATCCTCCCACCTTGGCCTCCCAAAGTGCTGGGATTCCAGGCATGAGCCACCACACCTGGCCCTGTTTTTCTTAAAGTTCTCAGTCTCCTCTCTGCCTTACCCCCATCCCCTTTTCCATCTCCAGGACCTAGGGCAGAGACAAAGTGAGCATTCCCTAAAAAGCTTTTATGAGGCAAAATGAAAACCAGCTCACGCCTATAATCCCAGCACTTTGGGAGGCCAAGGTGGGTGGATTACCTGAGGTCAGGAGTTCAAGACCAGCCTGACCAACATAGAGAAACCCCATCTGTACTAAAAATACAAAATTAGCCAGGCATGGTGGCACATGCCTGTAATCCCAGCTACTCAGGAGCCTGAGGCAAGAGAATCACTTGAACCTGGGAGGCGGAAGTTGCAATGAGCCGAGATCACTCCATTGCACTCCAGCCTGGGCAACAAGAGCAAAACTCTGTCTCAAAAAAAAAAAAGAAAAGAAAAGAAAACCAGGTCCCTAACACCGAAGAGTTAAAAGAAATAAGTAAATTTGGCAAATTGGTCTTTTTGTGAGTTAGCTTATAGGCAACTGATCGAGGGTCTCTTTCCCGTCTTCACCCTGCAATTGTGGCTCAGGGCAAGCTGCCAGCTCCCTCCTGCCAATGCAGGAGCAATAGAGCTTGGCCTCCTCTTGCAGGGCGAGTTTGGGAGTCAGATATGAAGCCACTAATCCGGGACCTTTTTGGGACCCAAGGCACTCATCTGCCCCAAGCATACCAGGCAGGCCAGGTGCAATGACTCATGTCTGTAATCCTAGCACTTTGTTTTTGCGACGGAGTCTCGCTCTGTCCACCCAGGCTGGAGTGCAGTGGCAGAATCTTGACTCACTGCAACCTCCACCTCCCAGGTTCAAGCAATTCCTGCCTCAGCCTCCCAAGTAGCTAGGACTACAGGCGCCCACTGCCACGCTCGGCTAATTTTTGTATTTTCAGTAGAGACGGCGTTTCACCATGTTGGCCAGGCTGGTCTCAAACTCCTGACTTCAAGTAATCCATCCACCTTGGCCTCCCCAACTGTTGGGATTACAGGTGTGAGCCACTGCGCCCGGCCAGTCCTAGCCCTTTGGGAGGCTAAGGCGGGCGGATTGCATGAGCTCAGGAGTTCGAGACCAGCCTGGGAAATGTGGTGTAACCCCGTCTCTACTAAAAATACAAAAAAAATTAGCTGGGTGTGGTGGTGTGCACCTGTAATCCCAGCTACTCAGGAGGCTGAGGTACGAGAATCGCTTGAACTCAGGAGGCAGAGGCTGCAGTGAGCTGAGATTGTGCCATTGCACTCCAGCCTGGGTAACAGAGTGAGATTCTGTCTCCAAAAAAAAAAAAAAAAAAAATTCGAGACCAAACATACCTGGGATTTGGAAGGATAGATCTGTTCCCCCAGGGTGGAGACAATGGTCCATTGAATGGGAACAGCTGAGCATCTTGTGTGGGTGGCCAGTGCCTACAAGCGTGCCACCTTTCTCCAGCTCACACCTGTGGCAGACATCAGTAATTGATTACAGAATTCCTCCCCTGAAACCAGAACTCGGTGTTCTGGCCATCTGCTACTTCCCAGTCACACGAAGTAGAATCCTCCACCTGCTCACCCTGGATCTGGTGCCCTTCGCCTTGGTTTCCTGTTGGGGCTCTGAGGGACAGGTGGGCACTGGCCTGACCCCTGCCTTACCCACAGAGTGGATCCGGGCTGCATGAGCCCAGATGTGAAGAATTCCATCCACGTCGGAGACCGGATCTTGGAAATCAATGGCACGCCCATCCGAAATGTGCCCCTGGACGAGGTACGGTCCTGAGTCTGTGGGGCAGGACGGGAGGTAGTGCCTTCATGCCTAGCCCCCTCCCCACTCCACCCCCATTCACATGCCTGCTGTCCCCAGATTGACCTGCTGATTCAGGAAACCAGCCGCCTGCTCCAGCTGACCCTCGAGCATGACCCTCACGATACACTGGGCCACGGGCTGGGGCCTGAGACCAGCCCCCTGAGCTCTCCGGCTTATACTCCCAGCGGGGAGGCGGGCAGCTCTGCCCGGCAGAAACCTGTCTTGTAAGTCAGCCTGCTCCTCGGTTCAGCTGGGTGCTTTCACTCCTGCTGGGGCTCAGGGGCTGTGGGACCTAGGTCGGGGAGCCAGCCCTGCACAAATGCAGCCCAGGCTTGAGCCAGGGAGGTGGAGGCTGCAGTAAGCTGTCATCACACCACTGCTCTCCAGCTTGGGTGACAAAACAAGACCCACTCTCAAAAAAAAAGAGGAAACACACATTTTTTAAAAAGCCGGGGACGGGGCCAGGCGTGGTGGCTCATGCCTGTAATCCCAGCACTTTGGGAGGCCGAGGCAGGTGGATCACCTGAGGTCAGGAGTTCAAGACCAGCCTGGCCAACATGGGAAACCTCATCTTTACTGAAAATACAAAAATTAGCCGGGCTTGGTGGCAGGTGCCTGTAGTCCCAGCTACTCAGGAGGCTGAGGCAGATGAATCACTTGAACCCAGGAGATGGAGGTTGCAGTGAGCCAAGGTCACGCCACTATACTCCAGCCTGGGCAACAGTGTGAGACTCTGTCTCAAAAAAAAAGAGGATGACAGAGCAGGATCTGAGGGGTTGAGGGGAGCTGGGGGCTGCCACTAGAGCCAGGATAGGCCGAGACACTGGGATGGGCAGCCTTTGGACTGTCCCAGGCGGGCCCTCCCAAAGCAGGGGGTGATTGCATAGACTGGCATGGACAGGGGCATGCAGGCAGGAGGAGGAAGGGGCAGGGCCTTGGCCGGGTGCTACCTGTCCCCCGGTGGCACTTGGCACCATGTGTGCCCCCCAGGAGGAGCTGCAGCATCGACAGGTCTCCGGGCGCTGGCTCACTGGGCTCCCCGGCCTCCCAGCGCAAGGACCTGGGTCGCTCTGAGTCCCTCCGCGTAGTCTGCCGGCCACACCGCATCTTCCGGCCGTCGGACCTCATCCACGGGGAGGTGCTGGGCAAGGGCTGCTTCGGCCAGGCTATCAAGGTACAGAGCATGCCAGGGTCTCAGGGGACAGTCTGGGTGGGACCCCTCCATCCTCCTTCCTTCCCAGTCTATGGAAACACAGTGGAAGGGGTATCTGGCTTCCAGACTCCCTGGCCAGTGCCCTCTCCTCCCTTGGCCTCCTGGAGCTAATTAGGAACAGGGGACCTCCTACAGGTAGACTGAGACCTTATGTGCGGGAGGTCATTGAAAGGTGGCTCCTAGCCAGGCACAGTAGTTTATCCCTGTAATCCCAGCACCATGAGAGGCTAAGGCTGTAGGATCGCTTGAGCCCAGGAATTCAAGACCAGCCTTGACATCATCTCTACAAAAAATTTAAAAATTAATTGGGTATAGTGGTGCATGCCTGTGGTCCCAGCTACTTGGGAGGCTTAGGCAGGAGGATTGTGAGCCAGGAGTTCAAGGCTGCAGTGAGCTATGATCATGCCACAGCACTCCAGCCTGGGCAATAGAGCAAGACCCCATCTCAAAAAAAAAAAAAAAAAGACAAGGGATTAATACATCCCATCCACTTGGGTATTTGGGAACATCCCATGCACAGCCTAGAGTATGAAGCCATCTGCACATCTCCCTGGCAGTCCTGGGGTGGAGATGGGGCTTCCTAGAAGGCGGGCTTACAGCAGAGCTTCTGTCTTCACACCTCTGTGTCCCACACGCAGGTGACACACCGTGAGACAGGTGAGGTGATGGTGATGAAGGAGCTGATCCGGTTCGACGAGGAGACCCAGAGGACGTTCCTCAAGGAGGTCAGTGAGCGGAATGCCCTCTTCCCTCCAGAGGGACTTCCAGGTGCTCACCCCTGCCCCATCAACACAGGTCGGAAAAGGGCTCTGGGAACCATTGAAAGAAGAGCGAGCAGGCCAGGCATAGTGGCTCACGCCTGTAATCCCAACACTTTGGGAGGTTAAGGAGAGAGGATACTTTGAGACCAACCTGGGCAACATAGCAAGACCCCGTCTCTACAAAAAAATTTTAAATTAACCGAGCTTGGCAATGTGCACCTGTCATCCCAGCTACTCGGGGGGCTGAGGTGGGAGGCTCGCTTGAGCCCAGGAGTTGGAGGCTGCAATGAGCCATGATCGCACCACTGCACTCCAGCCTGGGGAACAAGGCAAGACCCTGTGTCCAAAAAAAATAAAAGTAACTGCATTGGTCGGGCATAGTGGCTCACGCCTGTAATCCCAGCACTTTGGGAGGCTGAGCCGGGCGGATCACCTGAGGTCAGGAGTTCGAGACTACCCTGGCCAACATGGCAAAACCCCGTCTCTACTAAAAATACAAAAATTAGCCCAGCATGATGGTGGTGAGTGCCTGTCATCCAGGCTACTCAGGAGGCTGAGGCAGGAGAATTTCTTGAACTCAGGAGGCGGAGGTTGCAGTGAGCCAAGATCGTGCCGCTGCCCTCCAGCCTGGGCGACAGAGTGAGACTCCTTCTCAAAAAAAAAAAAAAGAAAAGAAAAAAGAAAGTAACTGCAGGCAGGGGACTGGGAAAAAGAGCATCGCTGGGGGTGGGGGCAGCTCAAGCAGAGGGCACAGGACGCCAGAGGGTGTGGCAGAGGCAGGAGAGGGGAGCTGGGGGTTCCGTATCTTTGAGACCGCCTACAGCCCCTGGTGGGATGGAAAAGGGAGAAGCAGACCCAAGCACAGCTGGGACCACACAGAGCCCGGGCCCAGCCTGTTTGTGCCCCGCCAGGTGAAGGTCATGCGATGCCTGGAACACCCCAACGTGCTCAAGTTCATCGGGGTGCTCTACAAGGACAAGAGGCTCAACTTCATCACTGAGTACATCAAGGGCGGCACGCTCCGGGGCATCATCAAGAGCATGGTGAGTCCTGGGCAGAGCCAGCCACCCCCGCTGTGCGGCCCCGGGCAAAGCAGCTCCCTCTGTGAGCCTCAGTCTCATCTCTTCAATGGGGGGAAGCCACAGGGGTCTCAAAGGCCCTCTGAACCCTGATTCCTAATCAAAAAGGGGAGCGACTGACTCCATCTAAAGCTAGGAAAGGCCAGGTACAATGGTGCACACCTGTTATTCTGGCACTTTGGGAGCCCAAGGCAAGAGGATCACTCGAGGCCAGGAATTCAAGGCTGCAGTGAGCTGTGATCTCACCACTGCACTCCAGCCTGGACCACACAGCAAGACCCTGTCTCAAAAACTAAAATAAAATTCAGAGCTTTCCTTAAGGATTTGAATAAAATTACAAATCCATCTTTAGAAATAAAGTGCTCAGGCCAGGTGCAGTGGCTCATGCCTATAATCTCAGCACTTTCAGAGGCTGAGGCCAGCAGATCACCTGAGGTCAGGAGTCCAAGACCAGCCTGGCCAACATGGTGAAACCCCGTCTCTACTAAAAATACAAAAATTAGCTGGGCCTGGTGGCAGGCACCTGTAATCCCAGCACTTTGGGAGACTGAGGTTGGCAGATCACCTGAGGTCAGGAGTTCGAGACCATCCTGGTAACCCGTCTCTACTAAAAATACAAAAAATTAGCCGGGCAAGGTGGCAGGTGCCTGTAGTCCCAGCTACTCGGGAGACTGAAGCAGGAGAATGGCGTTGAACCCAGGGGGCAGAGCCTGCAGTGAGCCAAGATCGCACCACTGCACTCTAGCCTGGGTGACAGCGAGATTCCTTCTCAAAAAAAAAGCACTTGGAGGAAGCCTCACAGAGCCCTGTGCTGGACCACACCCTGGGGATCCAGTCCTGGCCTCCAGCCCCATTTCTGTACCACCCTGAGACCATGGGATCTTCCTCAGGTTGGATTACCTTGTATCCAAGGTGTGGACCCTATGGGCTCCTGCTAGGTGTAACTTGACACAACGGGTTCCGTTGTCAGGTGCAATTTAGAAACTCTGGGCTAGGCCAAGCGCAGTGGCTCACACCTGAATTCCCAAACTTTGGAAGGCCGAGGCAGGAGGGTCACTAGAGGTCAGGAGGTCAAGACCAGCTTGGACAACATAATGAGATCCCAATCCCATCTCTACAAAAAAAATTAAAAAATTAGCCAAATGTGGTGACACATGCCTGTGGTTCCAGCTCCACAGGAGGCTGAGGCAGAAGGATCACTTGAGCACAGGAGGTCGAGGCTGCACTCCAGCCTGGGTGATAGAGTGAGACCCTGTCTCAATAAAAAATAAAGATCTCCAAGGGGATGAGGTTTGAGAATGAGGCGTCTCCCCCAAATGATTTGAGCCCAAAGCCCCGTTCTCCTGGCATGGCTCAGTGCTGCCACTGCGCAGGTGACCTTGCTGGGCCCTTCTACCTCTTACCTGTCTGTGAAAGTAGGTTCTAATTTTTTAAAAACCTAGAAAGATGAGTTTTTTGTTTTTGTTTTTGTTTTTCCCGAGATGGAGTTTTGCTCTTATTGTCCAGCCTGAAGTGCAATGGCGTGATCTCGGCTCACTGCAACCTCCACCTCCCAGGTTCAATCGATTCTGCCTCAGCCTCCCGAGTAGCTGGGATTACAGGAGCCCACCACCACACCCGGCTAATTTTTGCGTTTTTAGTAGAGACAGGGTTTCACCATGTTGGTCAGGCTGGTCTCAAACTCCTGACCTCGTGATCCAACCACTCTGACCTCCCAAAGTGTTGGGATTACAGGCGTGAGCCACCACACCTGACAGAAAGATGAGATTTTATAGAAAATAAATATAGCTTGTTTTCTCAGAGGAGGCAGATTGGGAGCTATAGAGGAATATCCCTGCTTAGAGTTTGAAATCAGTTCTGTTAGGAAATAATGTTTGTAGGGGCCGGGTGCGGTGGCTCACGCCTGTAATGCCAGCACTTTGGGAGGCTGAGGCAGGTGGATCACTTGAGGTTAGGAGTTTGAGAACAGCCTGGCCAACATGGTGAAACCCTGTCTCTACTAAAACTACAAAAATTAGCTGGGTTTGGTGGTGGACACCTGTAATCCCAGCTACTTGGGAGGCTGAGGCGAGAGAATTGCTTGAGGCCGGGTGCAGTGGCTCATGCCTGTAATCCCAACACTGGGAGGCCAAGGTGGGCAGATCACCTGAGGTAAGGAGTTCAAGACCAGCCTGACCAACATGGTGAAACCCCGTCTCTACTAAAAATACAAAAAATTAGCTGGGTGTGGTGGCGCATGCCCATAGTCCCAGCTACTCAGGAGGCTGAGACACAAGAATCACTTGAGCCCCGGAGGCGAAGGTTGTAGGGAGCTGAGATGGTACCACTGCACTCCACCCTGGGTGACAGAGTGAGACTCCATCTAAAGAAAAAAAAAAAAGGAAATAATGTCTGTGAGCTGTGTTGACTCATACTCCTTAGAAGCAGACAGTTGTGGGTGCCCGAAGAAATCGGGGTGTTGGGGAGCCCAGGGACCCTCTAGGACGCTTGCCTCTTCCTGCCTCTGTCTCATGCAACCATCCCTGCCATCGGGGCCCCCACCGGCCCCACCCTGGCCATTCTTTCTCCATCCCAGGACAGCCAGTACCCATGGAGCCAGAGAGTGAGCTTTGCCAAGGACATCGCATCAGGGATGGTGAGTGAGCCGGGTGCTCTAGCTCCATTCATAATCCCACCAGGAATTTGCAAACAGAACCCACAAAGAAGCTTTGAAAGAGGGCAGAGGGGGTCGATGGGAGAGTGGGAAGAATCGTCCCGACTGGCCTGATTGGGGTGGGAGCAGAGGGAGTTCCTGGGGAGCCAGGATGGGCTGGGGTCCCTCTGCACAGCTGCCCCCTGACTCCCGTGTCCCCGTCCCTAGGCCTACCTCCACTCCATGAACATCATCCACCGAGACCTCAACTCCCACAACTGCCTGGTCCGCGAGGTGAGTACCAGGGCCCCACGTGGCTGGGTGTCAGGAGACAGCAGGAGCCCATCCAACCCCAGCCTCAGGGCCTTCCCAGAACTGGAGGCCCCTCCATGTTGCCTCCATGACTTCAATTTGAGGTGGGGGTGGGGGGCAGCAGCCCGTGGGGAAGAGCGCAGGGTCAGGAGGCAGACAGACCTGGGTTTGAGTCCTGTCTCTGCCACTGACTCATGGTGGACCATCAGAGTCCCAGGCTGGTAGGAGGGTCTCATAAATCAATGAAGGAGAAAGTGACATGTAAGCTACAAAGGACCAGGACCGTGGTCTTCATAGAGCACAGCCCATGGCAGAGTGGCCATGGGCTACACCAGACAGCACCAGCATCTGGGGGCCACAGAGTGGGGGCATAGGCGTATGGGCTGGAGTGGTCAGGGCAGGCTTCCTGAAAGAGGAGGCTTGGCCAGACACAGTGGCTCACACCTGTAATCCCAGCACTTTGGGAGGCCGAGGCAGGCGGATCACGAGGTCAGGAGATCGAGACCGTCCTGGCTAACATGGGCACTGTGGCTCACACCTACAATCCCAACACTTTGGGAGGCCGAGGTGGGTGGATCACTTGAAGCCAGGAGTTCAAGACCAGCCTGGCCAACATGGCTAACACGGTGAAACCCCATCTCTACTAAAAATATAAAAAATTAGCCGGGCGTGGTGGCAGGTGCCTGTAGTCCCAACTACTTGGGAGGCTGAAGCAGGAGAATGGTGTGAACCCGGGAGGCGGAACTTGCAGTGAGCCAAGATCGCGCCACCGCACTCCAGCCTGGGTGACAGAGCGAGACTCCATCTCAAAAAAAAAAAGAGGAGGCTTTAGGTGGATATTTAAGCAGGGGACGGGCAGGCAAAGAGCCCAGTGTCTAAGGATTGTCAAGGGAGGAGAGCCCGGTTCTCCACCAAAAGCACAGGAGCGAGTAACCATGCCCATCTGGAGAGGTGGTGTATTCGTGTCCTGGGGCTGCCATCATGAAGTACTGTGAACCAGATGGCTCAAAACAACAGAAATGTGCTGGGCACAGTGGCTCACACCTAAAATCCCAGCAATTTGGGAGGCCAAGGCAGGTGGATTGCTTGAGCTCAGGAGTTTGAGACCAGCCTGGGCAACATTACGAAAGCCCATCTCTGCCAAAAATACAAAACGGAATAGCCAGCCGTGGTGGCATAAGCCTATGGTCCCAACTACCTGGGAGGCTGAGGTGGGAGGATCACTTGAGCCTGGGAGGTAGAGGTTGCAGTGAGCCAAGATTGTGCTACTCTACTCCAGCCTGGGAGACAGAGCCAGACCCTGTCTCAAAAAAACAAAACAAAACAAGGTCAGGCACTGTGGCTCACGCCTGTAATCCCAGCACTTTGGGAGGCCGAAGTGGGTGGATCACTTGAAGCCAGGAGTTCAAGACCAGCCTGGCCAACATGGCAAAACCCTGTTTCTACTAAAAATTCAAAAATTAGCAGGCATGGTGGCGCATGCCTGTAATCCCAGCTACTCGGGAGGCTGAGGCAGGAGAATTGCTTGAACCCAGGAGGCAGAGGTTGTAGTGAGCTGAGATTATGCCACTGCACTCCAGCCTGGGTGATAGAGTCAGACACCGTCTCAAAAAAAAAAAAGCATCACATGGCAAGAGGGGCTGACAAGAGACCCCCAAACTGACCATTATACAGACCCACTCTTGTGATAACTAACCTGGTCCCTCAATAACCCATTAATCTGTTAATTCATACAGAGCCCTCATGACCCAATCACCTCTTACAGGCCCTGCCTCTTAATACCGTTAGAGTCAGGCCAGGCATGGTGACATGGGCCTGTAGTCCCAGCTAGTTGGAAGGCTAGGTGGGAGGATCCCTTGAGTCCAGGAGGTAAATGTTACAGTGAGCTCTGATTGTGTCACTGCACTCCAGCCTGGGCAACAGAGCGAGCCCCTGTTTTTAAAACAGCAACAAGCCAGGCACAGTGGCTCACGCCTGTAATCCCAACACTTTGGGAGACTGAGGCAGGCAGATCACTTGAGGTCAGGAGTTCAAGACCAGCCTCACCAACACAGTGAGACCCCTCTCTACTAAAAATACAAAAATTAGCTGGGCGTGGTGGTGGGTGCCTGTAGTCTCAGCTACTCATGAGACTGAGGCAGAATTGCTTGAACCCGGGAGGTGGAGGTTGCTGTGAGCCGAGATCACGTCACTGCACTCCAGCAACAGAGTGGGACTCCATCTCAAAAAAAATAAAAAATAACAGAGATCTGTGTTGGCTTACACCTGTAATCCCAGCACTTTGGGAGTCCAAGATGGGCAGATTGCTTGAGCCCAGGAGTTTGAGACCAGCCAGGCAACATGGCAAAAAAATAAAAAAATTTGTCTCTACAAAAAAATTAAAAAATTAGCTGGCATGGTGGTGAGTATCTATAGTACCAGCTACTCAGGAGGTGGAGGTGGGAGGATCGCTTGAGCCTGGGAAGTTGAGGCTGCAATGAGCTGTGTTCGTGCCACTGCACTCCAGCCTGGGCCACGGGAGGGAGACTCTGCCTCAAAAAAAAAAAAAAAAAATCAAACCCGAAAAGCAAAAAACATAGACCTCACCTGCTTATTGGGAATATTCAAGATAAAATTAGGCCAGGCACGGTGGCTCACGCCTGTAATCCCAGCACTTTGGGAGGCCGACGTGGGCGGATCACGAGGTCAGGAGATCGAGACCATCCTGGCTAACACGGTGAAACCCCGTCTCTACTAAAAATACAAAAAATTAGCTGGGCATGGTGGCAGGCGCCTGTAGTCCCAGCTACTTGGGAGGCTGAGGCAGGAGAATGGCGTGAACCTGGGAGGCAGAGCTTGCAGTGAGCTGAGATCGTGCCACTGCACTTCAACCTGGGCAATAGAGCAAGACTCCAACTCAAAAAAAAAAAAAAAAAGATAAAATTGGGCCAGGTATGGTGGCTTACTCCTGTAATCCCAGCACTTTGAAAGGCTGAGGCAGGTGGACCACTTGAGGCCAGAAGTTGAAGACCAGTCTGGGCAACATAGCAAGACCCTATCTCAATCAGTCAATCAACCTAAATAAATAGTAAATCTGGTGGCATGCCAAGCACAGGACCTGGGTCTATAATCAAAATTCCTGTCTTGATGGGCACAGTGGCTCACACCTGTAATCCCAGCACTTTGGTAGGCCACAGTGGGTGGATCACCTGAGATCAGGAGTTCGAAACCTGCCTAGCCAAGTATGGTGAAACCCGTCTTTACTAAAAATACAAAAATTAGCCAGGCATGGTGGCAGGCGCCTGTAATCCCAGCTACTCGGGAGGGTGAGGCAGGAGAATCGCTTGAACCTGGGAGGCGGAGGTTGCAGTGAGCCGAGATCGCGCCACTGCGCTCCAGCCTGGGTGACAGAGCAAGACTCCGTCTGAAAAAAAAAACAAAAGAATTCCTGTCTTCTCTCCGAAACAAAGCAGCATCAGTGCCCCCGCAGGTGGGAGGGAGCGCTTGCAGGAGGGAGCAGTGGGTCCGCCACGACGGTCTGGGGAGCAGGTGGGGAGGGGGCAGAGGGTGCAGCGTGTGGTGGGAGGGAGGAAGCCACACTGCTATCTTCAGGTGCTTCCCGCAGCTCCATTTGCAAAGAGCGGATGGGTTTGGGGAAGGAAGGGGTCCCCACCCTGTGCCAATACAGCGTATCAGAGGTATGTTCTCTGGGCTGTCTACAGGTTGGCTTGGGGTCCTGGGGAGGGGCAGGCCAAGCGGGCAGTACTAGGATCGGGTCCCAGCATGACCCGGCTTCACCTTCCCAGAACAAGAATGTGGTGGTGGCTGACTTCGGGCTGGCGCGTCTCATGGTGGACGAGAAGACTCAGCCTGAGGGCCTGCGGAGCCTCAAGAAGCCAGACCGCAAGAAGCGCTACACCGTGGTGGGCAACCCCTACTGGATGGCACCTGAGATGATCAACGGTGAGTGGTTCAGCCCTGCCCATCATGGCCCTCACGGGAAGCCATGGGGGAGCCCAGGAGAGCTGTAACCTCCCAAGCCCCTGGCCCCTCCCAGCCTCCTTGGCTCTTCAGTTACCCTGTGGGTCCTGTTGCTCCTATAACACACTTAGTGGCAGCCAGGCACGGTGGCTCACGCCTGTAATCCCAGCACTTTGGGAGGCTGAGGTGAGTGGATCACCTGAGGTCAGTAGTTGGAGACCAGCCTAGCCAACATGGTGAAACCCCCATTCTTTACTAAAAATACAAAAATTAGCTGGGCATGGTGGTGGGTGTAATCCCAGTACTGTAGTACTGTAATCCCAGCTACTAGGGAAGCTGAGGCAGGAGAATCGCTTGAACCTGGGAGGCAGAGGTTGCAGTGAGCCGAGATCGCGCCATTGCACTCCAGCCTGGGTGACGAGCGAAACTCCATCTCAAAAAATAAATAAATAGAAGACACTTAGTGGCTTAAATAAATGATCATACAGTTCTGGAGTCTGAAGTCCAGCGTCAGCCTCACCGGGCTGAAATCAAGACGCCGGTAGGGTGAGCTCCTTCTGCAGGCTCCGGGGCACCTGTTTCCTGACCTTTTCTGGCTCGTGGAGGCTTCCTCATTCCTCCTGTTGCTGCCCCCTCCTCTGTCTTCAGGGCTGGCTGCAAAGCATCTTCTCTTCTCTGATCTCTGCATCCATCCCCGCATCTCTTTCCCTGGCTCTAACCTTCCTCCTTTTTTTTTTCTTTTTTAAAGAGGGTCTCGCTCTGTTACTCAGGCTGGAGTGCAGTGGTGCCACCATAGCTCACTGCAGCCTCAACCTTCTGGGCTCAAACTGTCATCCCACCCCAGCCTCCTGAATAGCTGGGACCACAGGCATGCAACACCACACCCAGCTAATTTTTTTATTTTTTATTTTTTATTTTTTTTTGAGACAGAGTCTCGCTGTGTCTCCCAGGCTAGAGTGCAGTGGCGTGATCTCAGCTCACTGCAAGCTCCGCCTCCTGGGTTCACGCCATTCTCCTGCCTCAGCCTCCCGAGTAGCTGGGACTACAGGCGCCCGCCAACACGCCTGGCTAATTTTTTGTATTTTTAGTAGAAACGGGGTTTCACCGTGTTAGCCAAGATGGTGTCGATCTCCTGACCTCGTGATCCGCCCGTCTCGGCCTCCCAAAGTGCTGGGATTACAGGCGTGAGCCACCGCGCCTGGCCAATTTTTTAAATTTTTAATAGAGACGGGGGTATCACTATGTTGCCCAGGCTGGTCTCAAACTCCTGGCTTCAGGCGATCCTCCTGCCTTGACCTTTCAAAGTGCTGGGATTCCAGGCATGAGCCACCATGGCCCTCCATCCTTCTGATAGGGACCCTTACGGTGACATTGGGCCCACCTGGATAATCCAAAAGCAGCCCTCCATCTCAAGACCCTCAACTTAATCCCATCTGCAGAGTCCGATGGAAGGTGGGACGTATACAAGTCCCAGGGATCAGGACGCAGTCATCTTTGGGGATCATAGTTCTGCCTCCCACAGGGTCTGCTTCCCTCAGTCCATTTCTTTGCTGTCAATGGTCCTATATATGCCCAGATTATAGGTTATAAAGTCCTTCTACAAGCAGGTGACACATGAACACAGGTTCAGGGCAGGCAGACCCCAGCCATCACCTCATCATAGTTAACCTAGTTAAATTAGCCTGGCATGTGGCGTGGTGCCTAATGCCTGTGGTCCCAGCTACTCAGGAAGCCAAAGCGGGAGATTTACTTGAGCCAAGGAGATCAAGGCTGCAGTGAGCTATGATCATACCACTGCCTTCTAGCCTGGGCAACGGAGTGAGACCCTGTCTCAAGAAAACAAAAAATAGGCCAGGCACAGTGGCTCACACCTGTAATTCCAGCACTTTGGGAGGCTGAAGCAGGCGGATTGCTTGAGGCCAGGAGTTCGAGACCAGCCTGGCCAACATGGTGAAACGCTGTCTCTACTGAAAATACAAAAATTACCCGGGTGTGGTGGCACAGCTACTAGGGAGGCTGAGGCAGGAGAATCACTTGAACCCAGGAGCAGAGGTTACATTGGGCCAAGATTGCACCACTGCACTCCAGCCTGGGCAACAGAGGAAGACTGTGTCTCAAAAAGAAAAAAAAAAAAACCTTCCTGTAATCCCAGCACTTTGGGAGGCTGAGGTGGGCGGATCACGAGGTCAAGAGATTGAGACCATCCTGGTCAACATGATGAAACCCCATCTCTACTAAAAATACAAAAAAATTAGCTGGGCGTGGTTGCACGCGTCTGTAGTCCCAGCTACCCGGGAGGCTGAGGCAGGAGAATGATGTGAACCCAGGAGGCGGAGCTTGCAGTGAGCCGAGATCGCACCACTGTACTCCAGCCTGACGACAGAGTGGGACTCTGTGTCAAACACACACACACACACACACACACACACACACACACACACACACACACAGAGTTAACATAGCCCGCAAAGAAGACTATAAAACAGTCTTAGTGGCCGGGCGCAGTGGTTCACGCTTGTAATCCCAGCACTTTGGGAGGCCGAGGCAGGTGGATCATGAGGTCAGGAGTTTGAGACCAGCCTGGCCAACACAGTGAAACCCCATCTCTACTAAAAATACAAAAATTAGCTGGACATGGTTTCGGGCGCCCGTAATCCCAGCTACTCAGGAGGCTGAGGCAGGAGAGTTGCTTGAACCCAGGAGGCAGAGGCAGGAGAGTTGCTTGAACCCAGGAGGCAGAGGTTGCAGTGGGCGACAGAGCAAGACTCTGTCTCAAAAAACAAAAAAGTCTTAGTGTTTCCTATGTTTAGGGATTAGTGTGAGGATTAAAGGTTGTAAACTCATTTCCACCTAGTTGGCATTCAGTAAATGAGAATTGACATTTAGTACTAATTGTTTCGGGTATTTTGTTTTTTGTTTTTTGTTTTTTGTTTTTTCTGAGACCGAGTCTTGCTCTGTCATCCAGGCTAGAATGCATGGTGCGATCTCGGCTCACTGCAAGCTCCGCCTCCCGGGTTCACACCATTCTCCTGCCTCAGCCTCCCACGTAGCTGGGACTACAGGCGCCCGCCACCACGCCTGGCTAATTTTTTGTATTTTTAGTAGAGACGGGGTTTCACCATGATCTCGATCTCCTGACCTCGTGATCCACCCGCCTCAGCCTCCCAAAGTGCTGGGATTACAGGTGTGAGCCACCGTGCCCGGCCAGTTTTTTGTTTTTGAGATGGAGTCTTGCATTGTCACCCAGGCTGGAGTACAGTGGCGTGATCTCGGCTCACTGCAACCTCCACCTCCTGGGTTCAAGTGATTCTCCTGCCTCAGTTTCCCTAGTAGCTGGGATTACAGGCACCTGCCACCATGCCTGGCTAATTTTTCTATTTTTAGTAGAGATGGGGTTTCACCATGTTGGCCAGGCTGATCTTGAACTCCTGACCTCAGGTGATCCACCCGCCTCGGCCTCCCAAAGTGCTGGGATTACAGGTGTGAACCACTGTGCCCGGCCATGTACCGATTATTTTTAACATCATTAAGTAGCTGGTATCATTCCCATTTTACAATAAGGAAACTGAGGCTCAGAGAGTCTGTGTCAGTTTCCTGAGGTTGCTGTAATAAATTGTTAGAAACTTGATTATTTAAAACAGCAGAAAATGGTCAGGCACAGTGGCTCACACCTGTAATCCCAGCACTTTGGGAGGCCGAGGCGGGCAGATCACTGGAGGTCAGGAGTTCGAGACCAGCCTGGCCAACATGGTGAAACACCATCTCTACTAAAAGTACAAAAATTAGCTGGGCATGGTGGCAGGCGCCTGTAATCCCAGCTACTCGGGAAATTGAGGCAGGAGAATCGCTTGAACCCAGGAGGCAGAGGTTGCAGTGAGCCACAATCGTACCACTGCACTCTTGCCTGGACAACAAAGCAAGACTCCATCTCAAGATAAAATAAACAGCAGAAATTTATTCCCTCTTAGTTTTGGAAGCCAGAAGGTTGAAATCCAACAGGGCTGCGCTCCCTCCAGGGCGATCTAGGGGAGAATGCATTCCTTGCCTCTTCCACCTTCTGGTTGTTTTGCATTCCTGGGCTTGTGGCCGCATCACTCCAGTCTCCACCCCTGTCTTCACAGGGCCACCTCCTCCTCTTCTGCTGTGTCTTCTCTGTGTCTCTCTCAAGAGGGCATTTGCAGTGGCATTTGGGGCCCACCCAGATCATCCAGCATCATCTCATCTCCAGATCCTTAACTTAATCCCATCTGCAAAAGACCCTTTTTCTGACCCAGTAACATTCACAGATTCCAGAGACCTGACATGGTTCCCTTTTGGGACCAGCACAGAGTTCATGACTTGTGCAAAGTCACGCAGCTGATCGGTGCCTCGAACTCCTTGTCCAGGGCTCTGCCCCTTGCTCCTCAGAGCTCCCAAAGGCTTGCTCAGACCTGGTGGGGTTGGGGGAAAGAGCCTAAGCCTGGGTTCCCATAGAGGTTGCCGGCATCTGCCTCCTGGGCCTGGACCTCCCGGCCGGGGCATCCTCCCAGCTGGCCTGGTCCCCTGCCTTTTGGCATCCCTGGCACCCCCATGTGTTCATCTGCTGACAGTCGGTCTCTTTATCCAGGCCGCAGCTATGATGAGAAGGTGGATGTGTTCTCCTTTGGGATCGTCCTGTGCGAGGTAGGTCCAGGGTTGGGTAGCAGCGGTGTTGAGGCCTGGGCTCCTCCCCACTCACCCAGGCTGCAGGCTCAGCATCTGCAGGGGCCTCATGCCAGGAAGCCTGCCCACAGCAAGGCATGGGCTGGCCCCCATGGGGTACTGCAGTCAGGCTGCAGCCAGGCCCAGTGCCACCTGCCCTCAAACCACCTGGATGGCACCCAGATGCCCAGGCTGAGGGCCCCCTGGAGTAACTGCCGGGCCTTGTACTGGACAGATCATCGGGCGGGTGAACGCAGACCCTGACTACCTGCCCCGCACCATGGACTTTGGCCTCAACGTGCGAGGATTCCTGGACCGCTACTGCCCCCCAAACTGCCCCCCGAGCTTCTTCCCCATCACCGTGCGCTGTTGCGATCTGGACCCCGAGAAGAGGTGAGTGGGGTGGGGCCCTGGCCTGGGAGACGGTGGGGCCGATTCCCGGGACAGCCAGACCCACCGTTCCCCACCCACCTGTCACCCAGGCCATCCTTTGTGAAGCTGGAACACTGGCTGGAGACCCTCCGCATGCACCTGGCCGGCCACCTGCCACTGGGCCCACAGCTGGAGCAGCTGGACAGAGGTTTCTGGGAGACCTACCGGCGCGGCGAGAGCGGACTGCCTGCCCACCCTGAGGTCCCCGACTGAGCCAGGGCCACTCAGCTGCCCCTGTCCCCACCTCTGGAGAATCCACCCCCACCAGATTCCTCCGCGGGAGGTGGCCCTCAGCTGGGACAGTGGGGACCCAGGCTTCTCCTCAGAGCCAGGCCCTGACTTGCCTTCTCCCACCCCGTGGACCGCTTCCCCTGCCTTCTCTCTGCCGTGGCCCAGAGCCGGCCCAGCTGCACACACACACCATGCTCTCGCCCTGCTGTAACCTCTGTCTTGGCAGGGCTGTCCCCTCTTGCTTCTCCTTGCATGAGCTGGAGGGCCTGTGTGAGTTACGCCCCTTTCCACACGCCGCTGCCCCAGCAACCCTGTTCACGCTCCACCTGTCTGGTCCATAGCTCCCTGGAGGCTGGGCCAGGAGGCAGCCTCCGAACCATGCCCCATATAACGCTTGGGTGCGTGGGAGGGCGCACATCAGGGCAGAGGCCAAGTTCCAGGTGTCTGTGTTCCCAGGAACCAAATGGGGAGTCTGGGGCCCGTTTTCCCCCCAGGGGGTGTCTAGGTAGCAACAGGTATCGAGGACTCTCCAAACCCCCAAAGCAGAGAGAGGGCTGATCCCATGGGGCGGAGGTCCCCAGTGGCTGAGCAAACAGCCCCTTCTCTCGCTTTGGGTCTTTTTTTTGTTTCTTTCTTAAAGCCACTTTAGTGAGAAGCAGGTACCAAGCCTCAGGGTGAAGGGGGTCCCTTGAGGGAGCGTGGAGCTGCGGTGCCCTGGCCGGCGATGGGGAGGAGCCGGCTCCGGCAGTGAGAGGATAGGCACAGTGGACCGGGCAGGTGTCCACCAGCAGCTCAGCCCCTGCAGTCATCTCAGAGCCCCTTCCCGGGCCTCTCCCCCAAGGCTCCCTGCCCCTCCTCATGCCCCTCTGTCCTCTGCGTTTTTTCTGTGTAATCTATTTTTTAAGAAGAGTTTGTATTATTTTTTCATACGGCTGCAGCAGCAGCTGCCAGGGGCTTGGGATTTTATTTTTGTGGCGGGCGGGGGTGGGAGGGCCATTTTGTCACTTTGCCTCAGTTGAGCATCTAGGAAGTATTAAAACTGTGAAGCTTTCTCAGTGCACTTTGAACCTGGAAAACAATCCCAACAGGCCCGTGGGACCATGACTTAGGGAGGTGGGACCCACCCACCCCCATCCAGGAACCGTGACGTCCAAGGAACCAAACCCAGACGCAGAACAATAAAATAAATTCCGTACTCCCCACCCAGGTCCTGCGTGGCGATGTGTGTCTGGGGCCCTGGGGAAATAGTCAAGGTAAGAGGAGTTAGTCTTCCCTGACCAGAAGACAAGGATGAGTGTGGTGGCTCATGCCTGTGATCCCAGCACTCTGGGAGGCTGAGACAGGACGATCCCTTAAGCCCAGGAGTTCAAGACCAGTCTGGACAACATAGTGAGATCCTGTCTCTACAAAAATTTTTTTTTAATTAGTTGGGCAGAGGCCAGGTGTGGTGGCTCATGCCTGTAATCCCAGCACTTTGGGAGGCAGAGGCGGGTGGATCACCTGAAGTTAGGAGTTCAAGACCAGTCTGGCCAACATGGTGAAAACTCGTCTCTACTAAAAATACAAAAATTAGCCGGGCGTGGTGGCACATGCCTGTAGTCCTAGCTACTTGGGAGACTGAGGCAGGAGAATCGCTTGAACCCGAAAGGCAGAGGTTGCAGTGAGCCGAGGTGGTGCCATTCCACTCCAGCCTGGGAAAGAGCGAGACTTTGTCTCCAAAAAAAAAAAAAAAAAAAATTGGCAGGCCAGGCACAGTGGCTCACACCTGTAATCCCAGCCCTCTGGGAGGCCGAGGCAGGAGGATCTCCTGAGGTCAGGAGTTTGAGAACAGCCTGACTGACATAGTGAAACCCCATCTCTACTAACAATACAAAATTAGCCAGGTGTGATGGCACATGCCTGAAATCCCAGCTACTTGGGGGGTTGAGGCAGGAGAATTGCTTGAACCCAGGAGGCAGAGGTTGCAGTGAGCCGAGATTGCACCATTGCACCCCAGCCTGGGCAACAAGAGCGAAACTCCATCTCAAAAAAAAAAAAAAAAATTAGTTGGGCATGGTGGCATGCACCTATAGTCCCAGCTACTCAGGAGGCTGAGGTGGGAGGATCCTTTGAGCCCAAGAGATCAAGGCTGCAGTGAGCCATGTTTGCACCACTGCACTCCAGCCTGGGCAACAAAACAAGACTCTGTCTCAAAAAAAAAAAAAAAAAAAAAAAGGCAGGGATGGAGGGGGGAAGAGAACACAGCCCAGTTTTAGGTGGAGCTGAGGTGGTGGCCCAGCCAGGACAAGTGAAGAGTCTTCAGAGGCTGGGTTTGGAGGGCCGTGCATATTCCGGAGGTACTGCTTTCATACTTAAATGTTTTCTTGTAAAACTCACACCTGTAATCCCAGCACTTTGGGAGGCCAAGGTGGGCGGATCATCTGAGGTCGGGGGTTCAAGACCAACCTGACCAACATGGAGAAACCCCGTCTACTAAAAATACAAAAAATTAGCCAGGTGTGGTGACACATGCCTGTAATCCCAGCTACTCGGGAGGCTGAGGTAGGAGAATTGCTTGAACCTGGGAGGCGGAAGTTGTGGTGAGCTGAGATCGTGCCATTACACTTCAGCCTGGGCAACAAGAGCAAAACTCCATCTCAAACAAAACTAAACTAAACTAAACTAAAGGGTTCTATCGAGAAGATGGGCTGCACGTGATGGCTCACACCTAGACTCCCAGCGCTTCAGGAGGCCGAGGTGGAAGGATCACTTGAGGCCAGGAGTTCAAGATCTGCCTGGGCAACATAGCAAGACCCTGTTTTTACCCAAAAAATAAAAAAATTACCCAGATGCTGTGGTGTGTGCCTGTAGTACCAGCTACTGAGAGGCTGAGGCAGGAGGACCGCTTGAGCCTGGGAGGTCAAGGCTGCAGTGAGCTGTGATCGTGCCACTGCACTCCAGCCTGGGTGACACAGCAAGACCTTGTCTCAAAAATAAATAAAACATTTTAAAAACACACTAGGTATTGCAAATACAGGGCATTTAATTTGGTTTTTTGTTTCTGTTTTGTTGTTGTTTTGAGACAGGTCTCACTCTGTCACCCAGGCTGGACAGCAGTGGCACAGTCATGGCTCACTGCAGCCTCAACATCCCAGGGTTGAGTAATCCTCCCACCTCAGCTTCTCAGGTAGCTGACTATAGATACACGCCACTACACCAAGTTAATTTAAAGAAAAAAAATGTGAGAGGCCAGGCGCAGTGGCTCACGCCTGTAATCCTGACACTTTGGGAGGCCGAGGCAGGCGGATCACCTGAGGTCAGGAGTTCAAGACCAGCCTGGCCAACATGGTGAAACCCCATCTCTACTAAAAATACAAAAATTAGCCAGGTGTGGTGGCAGGCACCTGTAATCCCAGCTACTCGGGAGGCTGTGACAGAAGAATCATTTGAACCTGGGAGGCGGAGGTTGCAGTTAGCCGAGATCACGCCATTGCACTC
The DNA here is from genome assembly GCF_000001405.40 of Homo sapiens. Lineage (NCBI taxonomy): Eukaryota > Metazoa > Chordata > Mammalia > Primates > Hominidae > Homo > Homo sapiens. The sequence continues at coordinate 74,124,797 of NC_000007.14, forward strand.
CAGCCTGGGTGACAAGAGTGAAACTGCCTCTCAAATAAAAGTTTAGAGGCAAGGTCTCACTTTCTTCTCTAGGCTGGCCTCAAACTCCTGGGCTCAAGCAGTCTCCTGGGCCTCCCAAAGTGCTGGGATTACAGGCATGAGACTCCATGCTCAGCCACATTTAATACGAGAATTTTTTTGTTTTGTTTTTTTGGTTTTTTTTTTTGAGATGGAGTCTCGCACTGTCACCCAGGCTAGAGCTCAGTGGCACGATCTCCGCTCACTGTAAGCTCTGCCTTCCGGGTTCACACCATTCTCCTGCCTCAGCCTCCCGAGTAGCTGGGACTACAGGCGCCCGCCACCATGACCGGCTAATTTTTTTCTATTTTTAGTAGAGACGGGGTTTCACCATGTGAACCAGGATAGTCTCGATCTCCTGACCTCATGATCCACCCATCTCGGCTTCCCAAAGTGCTGGGATTACAGGCGTGAGCCACTACACCCAGCCAATACAAGGAAATTTTTACATGGCTGTTGAAAGACAGAGGAAAGGCCAAAAGTGGACACTTAGGTAACCCAGAGATGATTGCAGGAGAGAGCTACCACCCTCGGTGGGGGGATTGAAGGGGAGAGGTGATCACTTGAGTTATCTAATGTTGCATAGGGAAGTCACCTCTCAACTTGGTTGCTTAAAGTAACAGGGATCACTCATTGCTCATGATTTCTGTTTTTTTTTTTTTTTTTTGAGACGGAGTCTCGCTCTGTCGCCCAGGCTGGAGTGCAGTGGCACAATCTTGGCTCACTGCAAGCCATTCTCCTGCCTCAGCCTCCCAAGTAGCTAGGACTACAGGCGCCCGCCACCACACCTGGCTAATTTTTTGTATTTTTAGTAGATACAGGGTTTCACCGTGTTAGCCAGGATGGTCTCGAACTCCTGACCTCATGATCCGCCCGCCTTGGCCTCCCAAAGTGTTGAGATTACAGGCGTGAGCCACCGCGCCCAGCTTGATTTCTGTTTGTCAAGAATTTGGGAGTCATTTTGGTGGGGAATTTGTATGTGGGGGTCTCTCCTGGGGCTGCAGTCCTTTGAGGGTGTAACTGGGGCTGAAGTTCCCTTCCAAGAACCCTCATATGTGGCTCACTCACATGGCGGGCAATTTGGTGCTAGCAGTTGATTCTACAGAGAAAAACGGGCTTGAGCCAATGTGCTACAAGCCAATACTATGACACCAGGCTTTTGGTTTTTTGTTTTTATGATTTATGTATGTATTTTTTTTTTTTTTGAGACAGAATCTCATTCTATCACCCTGGCTGCAGTGCAGTGGCACAATCTCGGCTCACTGCAAGCTCCACCTCCCAGGTTAAAGGGATTCTCGTGCCTCAGCCTCCCTAGTAGCTGGGACTACAGGCGTGCACCACCATGCCTGGCTAATTTTTGTACCTTTAGTAGAGACAGGGTTTCACTATGTTGGCCAGACTGGTCTCAAACTCCCGACCTCAAGTGATCCACCTGCCTCAGCCTCTCAAAGTGCTGGGATTACAGGTGCAGGCAACCATGACTGGCCGTTTTTTTTGTTTTTAAAGTTGGGGTCTCACTATGTTGTCCCGGCTGGTCTTGAACTCCAAGGCTCAAGTGATCCTCCTGCCTCGACCTCCCAAAGTGCTAGGCTTACAGTCATGAGCCACCATGCCCAGCTGACGCCAGGCTTTTCAGAAAAGAATAGCTTTATTGCAAGTCAACCAGTAAGGAGACAGAAGTCTAGCTCAAATCTGTCCCCCTGTGCTGGCTTTAAGGCGGTAATTTTATTAGGAAAGGTTTAGGGGGTGGATTCTGATATTAGGTGATTGGCGGAAGCAAAGGGGAGGCCTGGAAAGTGCTCAGGCATGCGCAGTTCCCTCTTCATGTTATCTCATGGGGGGCATGTGCAAATTCCGGGGGTGGTTAGTATGTAACATGCACTGGAAATTCGGGCTGTGACATCAGCAAGCTTGTTCTGTGCAAACTGCAGTTGGCCATATTGGTCCCAATCTATTTCAGCCAGCGTGTTAATCCCACCAGCAGATGAATTTCAGCATTTCTGCAAGTCGTTTCTTTTTTTATCTGCCATCCTGCAAACTGGAAAATTTCTGCTAGTCACTGGTTTCTTTAACTCTTTGGGGCACGGTTTCACTGGTAGGAGGCCTCAGTTTATCCCATGGGCCTCTCCATAGGGCTACTTCAGAGTCCCCACAGCAGCCTCCAGAATGAATATCCCAAGAAAGAAAAGAAAAGTGCCACTAGGGGCCGGGTGTGGTGGCTCACGCCTGTAATCCCAGCACTTTGGAAGTCTGAGGCAGGAGGATCCCTTGAGCCCAGAAGTTCAAGCCAGCCTGGGCAATGTAGGGAGACGCCATCTCTACTAAAAAAAAAAAAAAAAAAGAAGAAGAATTTAGGCCGGGCGTGGTGGCTCACGCCTGTAATCCCAGCACTTTGGGAGGCTGAGGCAGGCGGATCACGAGGTCAGGAGTTCGAGACCAGCCTGGCCAAGATGGTGAAACCCTGTCTCTACTAAAAATACAAAAATTAGCCAGGCACGGTGGCGGGCGCCTGTAATCCCAGCTACTCAGGAGGCTGAGGCAGGAGAATTGCTTCAACCTGGGAGGCGGAGGTTGCAGTGAGCCAAGATCGTGCCACTGTACTCCAGCCTGGGTGACAAAGCAAGACTCCATCTCAAAAAAAAAAAAAAAAAAAAGAAAGAAAGAAATTAGCTGGGTATGGTGGCACACACCTGTGGTCCCAGCTATTTGGGAGGCCAAGGCAGGAGGATTGGTTGAGCCCAGAAGGTCAAGGCTACAATGAGCCAGATTGTACCATTGCACTCCAGCCTGGGCAACAGAGTAAGACGCCATCTCAAAAAAAGAAAAGAGGCCAGGTGCAGTGGATCACACCTGTAATCCCAACATTGTGGGAGGCCAAGACAGGATCCCTTGAGGCCAGGAGTTTGAGACCAGCCTGGCCAACTTGGCAAAACCCTGTCTTTACCAAAAAATACAAAAATAAGCTGGGCGTGGTGGCCCACTCCTGTAATCCCACCTACTTGGGAGGCTGAGGCGGGAGAATCACTTGAACCTGGGAGGCAGAGGTTACAGTGAGCCGAGACTGCGCTATTGCACTCCAGCCTGAGCGACAGAGCGAGACTCCGTCTCAAAAAAAAAGAAAAAAATTACCACAAGCGCAGCTCTGGGTGCATTGCTTATGAATTAACTCCTGCTTTGCAAGGAGCAGCTCTGGTTCAATAAAAGATTGCTGTGTAACACCACCAGCTTACCCTTGAATTCTTTGAGTGAAACCAAAAACCCTCCCAGGCTAATCCACAATTTGGGGGCTTAGCTATATGCCTGTATCGGTACTAATTGTCTTCATTATTGTAGCTTTGTTGTAACTTTTGAAGTTGAGAAATGTGAGCCTTCCAACTTTGTTTTTCTTTTTCTAGACTGTTTTGGCTATTTGAAGTCCCTTGAATTTCCACAAGAATTTTTTTTTTTTAAGTGCCAAGATCTCAGCTCACTGCAACCTCTGCCTCCCAGGTTCAAGCAATTCTCCCAACTTAGCCTCCCAAGTAGCTGGGACTAGAGGCATGCACCACCATGCTAATTTTTGTGTTTTTAGTAGAGATGGGGTTTCACCATGTTGTCCAGGCTGGTCTCAAACTCCTTGCCTCAAGTGATCCACCCACCTCAGGCTCCCAAAGTGCTGGGATTATAGATGTGAGCCACCATGCCCAGCCTCCACATGAATTTTTAGGATGAGCTTGTCAATTTCTGAAAACAAGCCAGCTGGGGATTTGTTTGTTTAGACACAAGATGTCATTCTGTCACCCAGACTGGAGTGCAGTGGCACAACTCCTAGCTCACTGCAGCCTGGAACCCCTAGGCTCAAGTGATCCTCTCATCTCAGCCTCCTGAGTACCAGGGAATACAGACACATGCCACCATGCCCTGCTAATTTTTTAATTTTTGTAGCGACATGGTCTCAAACTCCTGCCCAACCAGGCTGATCTCTTTTTTTTTTTGAGATGGACTCTCACTCTGTCGCCCAGGCTGGAGTGCAGTGGCGCAACCTCGCCTCACTGCAACCTCTGCCTCCTGGGTTCAAGCGATTCTCCTCCCTCAGCCTCCCGAGTAGCTGGTGGGCATGGGCGCCTGCCACCATGCCCGGCTAATTTTTCATATTTTTAGTAGAGATGGGGTTTCACCATGTTGGCCAGGCTGGTCTCGAACTCCTGGCCTCAAGTGATCCTCCTGCCTCAGCCTCCCACAGCACTGGAATTACAGGCATGAGTCACTGTTCCCGGTCCAGCTGAGGATTTTGACAGGGATTGGTTTATGTCTATATGTGAACTGGGGAGTATTGGAATATTGACATCGTAATAATATTAAGTCTCTCAGGCCAGGCATGGTGGCTCACACCTGTAATCCCAGCACTTTGGGAGCTCGAGGCAGGTGGATCAATTGAGGTCAGGAGTTCAAGACCAGCCTGGCCAACATGGCGAAACCCCGCCTCTGCTAAAAATACAAAAATTAGCCAGGTGTGGTGGTGTGTGCCTGTAGTTCCAGCTACTTGGGAGGCCGAGGCAAGAGGATCACTTGAACCTGGTAGGCAGAGGTGGCAGTGAGCCTAGATTGCACCACTGCACTCCAGCCTGGGTGAAAGAGCAAGGCTCTGTCTCAAAAAAAAAAAAAAAAAAAAGGAAGAAGGAGGAGGAGGAGGGGGAGAAGGAGAAGGGGAAGGAAGGAGGAAGGAGGAAGAAGAAGAAATACCTGAAACTGGGTAATTTTTTTTTTGAGAAAGGATCTTGCTCTGTTTCCCAGGCTGGAGTGCAGTGGCACAATCTTGGCTCACTGCAACAACCACCTCCTGGGTTCAAGCGATTCTCATGCCTCAGCCTCCTGAGTAGCTGGAATTGAGATGTGCACACCACGCCCAGCTAATTTTTATATTTTTAGTAGAGACGCGGTTTCATCATGTTGGCCAGGCTGGTCTCGAACCCCTGACCTCAGGTGATCAACCCACCTCAGCCTCCCAAGTGCCGCAATTACAGGCGTGTGAGCCACTGCGCCCGGCTTCAAAAGTACCATTTAATGGCTGACAATTACTTGCCCTGAAATGTGAAACAAAATTCATTTACTACATTGTTTTTAAGATAGCACCTGACCTTCAGTAATCGGAAATAATGATTTCCTATAAATAAAAACCACTGCAGTGCTTTTAGTGATTAGTGTACATAGAGTTTTTCCCCTGGCTGTGACATCATATTATTAAAAGCATTAAGCACCTGGAATTCATGCTGTAGTTGATTTATAAGTTACATAATGTACAAAGCTCCTTTTATAAGAATGTTTTGTGGTCACAATTACTTCAAAACCCAATTACATTCAAATAATCTAATAGCTCATGCTTTGGCAATTATAGAAGTGTGATTTTGACACATAGAAATTTTATGAGGTTAGCAAATAAAAAACGCTATAAAAGAGGTGAACAATGGTTCCTCTGTTTAAATTTAGAGTGCAGCAATATTTAGGTAATATTTTTCAGTTAATATAATCAGCCTAGAATATAGCATTGTAAATCATACAGTGTTTTAGAAATACGGATCTAAAGAAGGTAATACCTTTTCCAAATTATAAAATTTTGGCAAATCAATACAGTACTTTGTAATACAATAAAACTATGTTTTTGTTGGAGTCATATATGACTTTAATCATAATTTCCACTGCAAAAGCACCACCTAAATACTAAATCAATTATGAAGGCTTTTCATGACAGTTTATAACAGAGTCAGTTGTTTTACACAAATTAATATGGCTTTTAAAAAATTATATAATTTCTTGGCCGGGCACACTGGCTCATGACTGTAATCCCAGCACTTTGTGGGGCTGAGACCAGCAAATTGCTGAGCTCAGGAGTTTGAGACCAGCATGGACAACATGGCAAGACCCTGTCTCTAAAAATAAAAATGTTTTAAAAGCTGCAGAGTTAACACAGTAGAGAAATCATGTGCATATAAAATATGCTACGTTTCCTTCTGGGATTGGTCCAAAACTGCTCACAAAAAACTTCAAAACTCTACTTTAAGAAGTTCCAGGCCGGGCACGGTGGCTCACGCCTGTAATCCCAGCACTTTGGGAGGCCGAGGCAGGCGAATCACAAGGTCAGGAGTTCGAGACCAGCCTGGCCAACATGGTGAAACCCCGTCTCTACTAAAAATACAATAAAAATTAGCTCAGCATAGAGGCGTGCGCCTGTAATCCCAGGTACTCGGGAGGCTGAGGCAGGAGAGTCACTTGAACCTGGGAGGCGGAGGTTGCAGTAAGCCAAGATCGCGCTACTGCACTCCAGCCCAGGCGACAGAGCGAGACTCTGTCTCAGGAAAAAAAAAAAAAAAAGAAGCTCCAATACCAAATTAAAGTCGTTTTTCAAGTATTGGTAAATCTTCCATAAACAGGGCAACACTTAATGATCAATAGATCATTCGACTAGGGCTTATGCTGGTGGATCTCTTTTGTTTAAAGCTCCAAACTCAGCTGGGCTTGGTGCTTCACGCCTGTAATCCCAGCACTTTAGGAGGCCAAGGCAGGTGGATCACCTGAGGTCAGAAGTTCGAGACCAGCCTGGCCAACATAGTGAAACCCCCGTCTGTACTAAAAATACAAAAATTAGACAGGCGTGGTGGCACAGAAAAAAAAAAGTCAATTATCCTATTTGGGGATTTAAATTATACTATTTTTTATTTTTTTGAGACAGAGTTTCACTCTGTCACCCAGTCTGGAGTGCAGTGGTACAATCTTAGCTCACTGCAACCTCCACCTCCTGAGTTCAAGCGATTCTCCTGCCTCAGCCTCCCGAGTAGCTAGGATTACAGGCACCAGCCACCACCTGGCTAATTTTTGTATTTTTTGTAGAGACGGGGTTTCACCATGTTGGCCAGGCTGGTCTCAAACTCCTGGCCTCAAGTGATCTGCCTGCTTCGGCCTCCCAAAGTACTGGGATTACAGGAGTGAGCCACCACACCACCTCGACCAGCCTTTTCCTCTATAAATTTAAAAAAAAAAAAAGGCCAGGTGCGGAGGTTCATGCCCGTAATCCCAGCACTTTGGGACGGATCACTGTAATTCCAGCTACTCAGGAGCCTGAGGCAGGAGGATCACTTGAACCCAGGAGTCGGAGGTTGCAGTGAACCAAGATTGCTCCACTGCACTCCAGCCTGGGCAACAGAGCAAGACTCCAGCTCAAAAACAAAGAAAAAAGAAAAAGGCCAGGTAAGGTGACTTACATCTGTAATCCCAGTACTTTGGGAAGCTGAGGCAGGAGGATTGCTTGAGCCCAGGAGTTCAAGGCTACAGTAAGCTAGTAAGCTATGATTGCACCACTGTGCTGCAGCCTGGGTGACAGAGCCAGACCCTGTCTCATGAAAAAAAAAAAAAAAAAAAAAAAAAAGAAAAGAAAAGAAAGGAAGAAAAGTGCCAAATTGTTTCTCAAAGCAGTTCTAGTGATTTATGGTCTCACTTGCAGTATATCAGATTCTTCGTTGTCCAGATCTTTTTAATTTTTTACAGACTAACAGGTACAATACAGTATCTTACTGTGGTACTAATTTGAGTTTCCCTGATTTCCTCTATAGTTGAGCATCTTTACGTGTTTAGTGGCCACTCATGTTTCTTCAGATCTTCTGCCTGCCTTCCTCCCTCCCTTCCTCCCTCCCTTCCTCCCTTCCTCCTTCCCGCCCTCCCTTCCTTTTTTTTTTTTTTTTTTTTTTTTTTGAGACGGAGTCTTGCTCTGTCGCCCAGGCTGGAGTGCAGTGGCGGGACCTCAGCTCACTACAAGCTCCACCTCCCAAGTTAAATCGATTATCCGGCCTCAGCCTCCTGAGTAGCTGGGACTACAGGCGCCCGCCACCACGCCCAGCTAATTTTTTGTATTTTCAGTAGAGACAGGGTTTCACCGTGTTAGCCAGGATGGTCTCGATCTCCTGACCTCATGATCCGCCCACCTCGGCCTCCCAAAGTGCTGGGATTACAGGCGTGAGCGTGAGCCACCGCGCCCGGCCCCTTCCTTCTTTTTTTTTAAAAAGAGAGACGGGTGCTCCCTTTGGCAGCAGATATACTAAAAAAGAGAGACGGGAAGGCCAGGCACAGTGGCTCACACCTGTAATCCCAGCACTTTGAGAGGCCGAGGCTGGTGGATCACCTGAGGTCAGAAGTTCGAGACCAGCCTGGCCAACATGGTGAAACCCCATCTCTACTAAAAATACAAAATTAGACGGGTGTGGTAGTGCATGCCTGTAATCCCAGCTACTCAGGAGGCTGAGGCAGGAGAATCAATGAACCCGGGAGGCGAAAGTTGCAGAGAGATGAGATTGTGCCATTGCATTCCAGCCTGGGCAACAAGAGCGAAACTACGTCTCAAAAAAAAAAATGCATAAGTTTTGTGAACAAATATTTCATAATTTTCTCTACTGAGGTCTTAGACTTTTTTTTTTTACATTTTACAGAATACTTCATATCTTCTTTGTCTCTCCCCTTTTTTTTTGCAATCACCTTGAAAACATTAAGATTCAGATGGTCCTCTAATTTTCCTGTCTCCTGTTATCCTTTGTGGTGTGTGTGTGTGTGTGTGTGTGTGTGTGTGTGTGTGTGTGTGTGTGTGTTTGAGACAGAGTCTCACTCTGCTGGACAGGCTGCAGTAGAGTGATGGCATCTCGGCTCGCTGCAACCTCCGCCTCCTGGGCTCAAGTGATTCTCCTGCTTCAGCCTCCCGAGTAGCTGGGATTATCGGCATGTGCCACCACCCCTAGCTAATTTTTGTATTTTTAGTAGAGACGGGGTTTCACCATGTTGGCCAGGCTGGTTTCAAACTCTTGACCTCAAGTGATCTGCCCACCTCAGCCTCCCAAACTGCTGGGATTACAGACATGAGCCACTGCGCCCAGCCTGTTATCCTTTGTTTTTGGAAGGAAGCATTTGAAAAAGAGTGACTCTATCTTGAATAGGGGCTGGGTAAGATGAGGCTGAGACCTGCTGGGCTGCATTCCCAGTAGGTGAGACATTCTTATTCACAGGATGAGACAGAAGGTTGGCAGGACTGGTATCACAAGATACGGGTCACAAAGACCCTGCTGATAAAACAGGATGCTGACAGGGCACAGTGGCTCACTCCTGTAATCCCAGCATTCTGGGAGGCTGAGGCGGGCAAATCACTTGATGCCAGGAGATCAAGACCAGCCTGGCCAACATGGTGAAACCCTGTCTCTACCAAAAATACAAAAATTACCCAGACATGGTGGCAGGCACCTGTACTCCCAGCTACTCAGGAGGCTGAGGCAAGAGAATTGCTTGAACTCGGGAGGCAGAAGTTGCAGTGAGCCAGGATCGCACCACTGCACTCCAGACGGGGCAACAGAGCGAGACTCCATCCCAAAAAAAAAAAAAAAAAAGAAAACAAAAACAGGACGCAGTAAAGAAGCCAGCCCCAAAACCCACCAACAGTGATGAAACTGACCTCTGGTCATCCTCACTGCTCATTATACACTAATTATAATACATTACCATGCTAAAAGACACTCCCACCAGGACTATGACAGTTTACAAGTGCCACGGCAACACCCGGAAGTTACCCTATATGGTCTAAAAGAAGGAAGAACCCTCAGTTCTGGGAAATCCCTGCCCTTTCCTGGAAAACTCATGAATAACCCATACTTCGTTTAGCATAGAATGAAGAAATAACTGTAAGTATACTCAGTCAAGCAGCCCATGCCACTGCTCTGCCTATGGAGGAGTCACTCTTTATTCCTTTCCTATTCTTTTTTTTTTTTTCTTTTTCGAGACAGAGTCCCGCTCTGTTGCCCAGGCTGGAGTGCAGTGGCACAATCTTGACTCACTGCAACCTCTGCCTCCCAGGTTCAAGCAATTCTCCTGCCTCAGCCTTCCGAGTAGCTGGAATTACAGGTATGCACCACCACACCCAGCTAATTTTTGTATTTTTAATAGAGATGGAGTTTCACCAGGTTGGCCAGGCTGGTCTCGAACTCCTGACCTCAGGTGATCCACCTGCCTCAGCCTCCCAAAGTGCTGGAATTACAGACGTGAGCCACTGCGCCCGGCTATTCCTTTATTTTCCTGATAAGCTTGCTTTCAGGTCGGGTGTGATGGTTCACATGTGTAATCCCAGCACTTTGGGAGGCCTAAGTGGCAGGACTGCTTGAGCCCAGAAATTCAAGACCAACCAGCGCAACATAGTGAGACCATATTTCTATTAAAAAAAAAACAAAAACAAAAAAAACTTGGCCAACATGACGAAAACCTGCCTCTACTAAAAAAATACAAAAATTAGCCAGGAATGGTAACACATGCCTGTAATCCCAGCTACTCAGGAGGCTGAGGCAGGACAGTCACTTGAACCTGGGAGGCAGAGCTTGCAATGAGCTGAGATCAAGCCACTGCACTCGAGCCTGGGTGACAGAGCGAGACTCTGTCTAAAAAAAAAATACAAAATAAAAAAAAGAACTTATTTATGTAACCAAATACCACCTGTTCACCTGTTCCCCAAAAACCTGTTGAAACAAAAATAAATAAATAAATATAAAGAAATAATTTTTATTTATTTATTTTATTATATTTTGAGATGGAGTCCCGCTCTGTCGCCCAGGCTGGAGTGCAATGGCGCGATCTTGGCTCACTGCAAGCTCCGCCTCCCGGGTTCACACTATTCTCCTGCCTCAGCCTCCCGAGCAGCTGGGACTACAGGCGCCCGCCACCACGCCCGGCTAATTTTTTGTATTTTTAGTGGAGACAAGGTTTCACCGTGTTAACCATGATAGTTTCCATCTCCTGACCTCGTGATCCGCCCACCTTGGCCTCCCAAAGTGCTGGGATTACAGGCGTGAGCCACTGCACCCGGCCCCAAGAAATAATTTTTTTAAAAGCTGGGGTTTCCAAAAACCCTCTCCTGGAGTTAGATAATTTTCTAGAATGGCTCACAGAGCTCAGGGAAATACTTTACTTATGTTAAGTAATTTTTTTTTTATTTTTTATTTTTTGAGACTCACTCTGTCGCCAGGCTGGAGTACAGTGGCGCAATCCCAGCTCACTGCAACCTCCACTTCCTGGGATCAAGCGATTCTCCTGCCTCAGCCTCCTGAGTAGCTGGGACTACAGGCGCAGGCCACCACGTCCAGCTAATTTTTGTATTTTTAGTAGAGACAGGGTTTCACCGTGTTGGCCAGGATGGTCTCGATCTCTTGACCTTGTGATCACTCGCCTCAGCCTCTCAAAGTGCTGGGACTGATTACAGGCATGAGCCACTGCACCCGCTGCAACTAGTTTATTATATTCAAATTTTTTTACTTAAATTTTTTTTTTTTTTTTTTTTTGAGACGGAGTCTCGCTCCGTCCCCCAGGCTGGAGTACAGTGATACAATCTCGGCTCACTGCAACCTCCGCCTCCAAGGTTCATGCCATTCTCCTGCCTCACCCTCCCGAGTGGCTGGGACTGCAGGCGCGTGCCACCACGCCCGGCTAATTTTTTGTATTTTCAGTAGAGACGGAGTTTCACTGTGTTAGCCAGGATGGTCTCAATCTCCCAATTCCATGATCCGCCCACCTGGGCCTCCCAAAGTGCTGGGATTACAGGCATGAGCCACCACACCTGGCCTTTTTTACTTAATTTTTAAAATAGGGATGGAATCTTGCTATCTTGCCCAGGCTGGTCTTGAATTCCTGGGCTCAAGTGATTCTCTCACCTCAGCCTCACCCTCTGTAGTAGCTCGAACTACAGGTGCACACCACCACATGCAGCTAAGTTTTTAATTTTCCTTTTTTTTTTTTTTTGAGACGAAGTTTCACTCTTGTCGCCCAGGCTGGAGTGCAATGGCGTGGTCTCAGCTCACTGCAATCTCTGCCTCCTGGGTTCAAGCGATTCTCCTGCCTCAGCCTCCCGAGTAGCTGGGACTACAGGCACCTGCCACCACGCCTGGTTAATTTTGTATTTTAGTAGAGACAGGGTTTCACCATGTTGGTCAGGCTGGTCTTCAGCTCCTGACCTCAGGTGATCCACCCGCCTTGGCCTCCCAAAGTGCTGGAATTACAGGTGTGAGCCACCACACCCAGCCTTTAATTTTATTTTCTATAGAGAGGAGTCCCATAATATTACCCAAGCTGGTCTCAAACTCTTGGCCTCAATAAATCCTCCCACCTCAGCCTCCTGAGTAGCTAGGACTACAGGAGTGCACCACCATGCCCAGCTAATGTTTTTATGTTTTGTAGAGATGAGGGTCTCATTATGTTGCCCAGGCTCGTCTTGAACTCCTGGGCTCAAGTGATCCATCCTCCTGCCTCAGCTTCCCAAAGTGCTGGGATTACAGGTGTGAGCAAACATGCCCAGCCTAATATTATTAATACATCGTAGCTGTCCATATTTATAGGGTGCATGTGAAATTTTGTTATGTGCATAGAAGTGAGATTGTAGGAACCAAGGAAAAAACTTCTGCTTCACCTTCTGAAGGTTTGCTGATAAATCAGCTCACAAAAGGCAGATTAATTAGAAAAAGGGGGATACAAATTGCATTCACACGTATCTGGGGAGAACCACACCACAGCGTGATTACCCACCACCCCAAAGGCGTTCAGACGCTTATATACCATCTTCTTTTTTTTTTTAAGTAGAGACTGGGTTTTCGCCATGTTGCCAGGCTGGTCTTGAACTCCTGCACTCAAGTGATCTTCCCCTCTTGGCCTCCCAAAGTGGCGCTGGGATTACCGCCATGAGCCACTGTGCCTGGCACTATATACATATATATAGATATGTATACATATCTATATCTATAGATATCTATATATCTATATCTATATGTATACATATCTATATATATAGACATGTGTATATATATCTATAGATATCGATATCTATAGATATAGATATACTATCTTGCAGATACAGAAAGAATAGGGGTTTGGATCCTGGTAAAACAGGTTATGGCAGGGGGAAGAAAGAGGAATTCTATTGAGGGGACATAAAAGATTACTGGGGGCTAGGCAGAGTGGCTCATGCCTGTAATCCTAGCACTTTGGGAGGCCAAGGTGGGCAGATCACTTGAGGTCAGGAGTTCGAGACCAGCCTGGCCAACATGGCGAAACCCTGTCTCTACTCAAAACACAAAAATTAGCCAGTCATGGTGGCACATAGCTGAAATCCCAGCTACTCAGGAGGCTGAGGCAGGAGAATCACTTGAACCCAGGAGGAGGAAGTTGCAGTGAGCTGAGATGGCATCACTGCACTCCAGCCTGGGTGACAGAGTGAGACTCCATCTCAATAAAAATAAAAATAAAAATAAAAATAAACATTGCTGGGGAGAATGAATGGATTTAGGAACAGAGATTAACTTGTACATAATTCTCTTTGGAATTTCAATGAGCCTGAGGGAGACATTATCTTGCGGAAGAGTCTGTTCAGGTGTGGTTCCATTCTTGATTTTATAGAAAGGAGAAGAAAAAAAAACAATTGTTTTCCTTGTTGAGGGGGGATGTCTGGATCTTAGGCAGAGAAAGTAACTTCAACTTCATCCTGTGCTGTGGGGGAAAAGACGGTCTTTTAGACACAGTTTATCGTTACTGCTGCTTTTCCTGTGTTTGGCCTATACCTTCCTGCCTCTTTGAATGATGGGTAGACCAGAGTTTGTGAGTCAATTTGTATTAGCTGTGTGATCTGGAGCAAGCTACTGTTGTCAGAGGAGTTTGAACCACAGTGATTCCATCTTGAATAGGGGGTGGGTAAAATGAGGCTGAGACCTGCTGATATTGACAGGAGGCAGCCAATTGCCTAGGCCAATAGGGGCGGGTCCGCGGTGAAACCCCACCTCCAACCCGAAGACGGTTTAAAGCCTGAAACTGAAGGTACAAGTTTAAACCTTAGACCGGATTGAGAGCTTACCTTCCTGTTTGTCGCGCTTTCCTCTGATTGATCCCCACCCTTCGCCTATTTTACATATACCCACCCTTTCCTAATTGGTTTTCTACTCTTTCTTTTTTTTTTTGACAGAGTCTCGCTCTGTCACCCAGGCTGGAGTGCAGTGGTGCAATCTCGGCTCACTGCAATCTCCACCCCCCGGGTTCATGTCATTCTCCTGCCTCAGCCTCCCCAGTAGCTGGGACTACAGGCGCCTGCTACCACGCCCGGCTAATTTTTTGTATTTTTTAGTAGAGATGAGGTTTCACCGTGTTAGCCAGGATGGCCTCAATCTCCTGACCTTGTGATCTGCCCGCCTTGGCCTCCCAAAGTGCTGGCATTACAGGCATGAGCCACCGTGCCCGGCGGTTTTCTACTCTTTCATGACCACCTTTGAGTAGTGTCTTTGCTTTAACTCACCTCATTAGCATAAACTCCAGTGTGATCAAAAGGACTCATTATAAATAACAAAAGACATTCCTCCAACTCCTGGACTTAAGGGATCCCTCAAGCAAGCCTCAGCCTCCTGAATAGCTGGGACTACTCCTTTTTGCATACTCACAAGCCAATCAGCACACACTCCCCACCCTGTGCCTATAAAGGCTCCAGACTCAGTCAGCAGGGGAAAAGACGACCTGACTTCGGGGAAGGCAGCCTGCACTTCCCATCCCCTCTCCAGCTCCCCTCTCCACTGAGAGTCGCTTTCATTGCTCAATAAAATTCTCCACCTTCATCATCCTTCAATCGTCCGTGTAACTTCATTCTTCCTGGATGCTGGACAAGAGCTTGGGACCCAGTGAGTGAGGATACCCAGAAAGGCTGTCACACTGGGCCTTTGCCCTCGCCTGTGAAGGGCAGCTGTCCCCATGTGATGAGGCAAGGGGCCAGCTGATCTGCTGACATGTCACCATCTGTGGACAGCAGAACTAAAGGAGCACTGTAATAACACCCCCTCTGCAGCTTCGGGGACACGGGCACCCTCACCTAGGTGCTGCTGCTTTCCCCTCAAGGTGACATGCCTGCTCTGGCCATGGGCCCTGCATACAGCTTGCTCCTGTGTTGGTGCCTGGAGAAGCCAGCTGGCCAGATCCCACACTTAGTCACTTGTGTGCTCCCTCCTGCAAGGGGTTGAGCACAGGGGGCTGAGTAGATGGGGCATCCCTTCCATGAGTCCAGCGAAGGTGCCTAGAAAAACCCTGCATCACCACTGAGCTACTTTCCCAGGAGGTGAGGCATTCCCAGTCACAGGATGACACAGGAGGGTGGCACAAGACATAGGTGACAAAAAACCTTGCTGATAAAACAGGTTGCAGCAAAGAAGCCGGCCAAAACCCACCAAAACCAAGGTGGCGATGAAAGTGACCTCTGGTAGGCTGGGTGCGGTGGCTCAACGCCTATAATCCCAGCACTTTGGGAGGCCCAGGCGGGCGGATCACCTGAGGCCAGGAGTTTGAGACCAGCCTGACCAACATGGAGAAACTCCGTCTCTACTAAAAATACAAAAAATTAGCTGGGCGTGGTGGCACATGCTTGTAATCCCAGCTACTCAGGAGGCTGAGGCAGGAGAATTGCTTGAACCCGGGAGGCGGAGGTTGCAGTGAGCCAAGATCGTGCCATTGCATTCTAGCCTGGATGACAAGAGTGAAACTCCATCTCAAAAAATAGAAAGAAAGTGACCTCTGGTCGTCCTCACTGCTCATTATGTGCTAATTATAATATATTAGCATGCTAAAGACACTCCCATCAGTGCCATGACAGTTTAGAAATGCCGTGGCAACATCAGGAAGTTACCCTATATTGTCTAAAAAGGGGAGGAACCGGCCGGGCGCAGTGGCTCATGCCTGTAATCCCAGCACTTTGGGAGGCCAAGGCAGGTGGATTGCAAGGTCAAGAGTTCAAGACCAGCCTGGCCAAGATGTGAAACCCTGTCTCTACTAAAAATACAAAAATTAGCTGGGCATGGTGGCGGGCGCCTGTAATCCCAGCTACTCCAGAGGCTGAGGCAGGAGAATTGCTTGGACCCAGGAGGCAGAGGTAGCAGTGAGCTGAGATTGCACCATTGCACTCCAGCCTGGGTGGCAGAGCAAGACTCTGTCTCAAAAAAAAGTGGGGAGGAACCCTCAGTTCCAGGAATTGCCCGTGCCTTTCCCAGAAAATTCATGAATAATCCACCCTTGTTGGGCATGTAATCAAGAGATAACTATAAAAAATATCCAGCCAGCAACCTTAGGGGATGCTCTGCCTATGGAGTAGACATTCTTTGTTCCTTTACTTTCTTTTTTTTTTTTTTTTTTGTGAGATGGAGTCTCACTTTGTCATCCAGGCTGGAGTGCAGTGGTGCAATCTTGGCTCACTGCAACCTCTACCTCCCCAGCTCAAGCGATTCTCCTGCCTCAGCCTCCCAAGTAGCTGGGATTACAGGCGTATGTCACCACGCCCAGCTAGTTTTTGTATTTTTTAGTGGAGACAGGGTTTCACCATGTTGGCTAGTCTGGTCTTGAACTCCCAATCTCAAATGATCCGCCCACCTTGGCCTATCAAAGTGCTGGGATTACAGGTGTGAGCCACTGTGCCCAGCCTATTCCTTTACTTTCTTAATATACTTGCTTCCACTTTACTCCATGGACTCGCCTGGAATTGTTTCTTGCGTGAGATTCAAGAACTCTCTCTTGGCTGGGTGTGGTGGCTCACGCCTGTAATCCCAGCACTTTGGGAGGCCGAGGCAGGTGGATCATGAGGTCAGGAGTTTGAGACCAGCCTGACCAACATGGGGAAACCCTGTCTCTACTAAAAATACAAGAAAATTAGCCGGGCGTGGTGGCACGTGCCTGTAATCCCAGCTACTCAGGAGGCTGAGGCAGGAGAATCACTTGAACCCGGGAGGCAGAGGGCGCCACTGCAGTCCAGCTTGGGCAATAGAGTGAGACCCTGTCTCAAAAAAAAAAAAAAAAAAAAAAGATTAAAAAAGAACCCTCTCTTGGGGTCTTGATTGGGACTCCTTTCCAGTAACAGTGTGAAAGAAAAATAAAATCACCAGACCCCAAACTCACTATGTCAAAGGGCAAAAAGCTAAGCTTAGGAACTGAGTCATACAGGAAACTGCATTTTCTTTTGTTCCTAACCAGATAGCTGCAAGATTGAATGCCACGTATCTCCACAGGTGGCTTCCCTCACCCTGACCATGTAAATTCAGCTTACCTTCACAGGTACAGGACAAATAAAAAAATAGAAATCTGGCCAGGCATGGGGGCTCACACCTGTAATTCCAACACTTTGGGAGGCTGGGGTGAGAGAATTGCTGGAGCTCAGGGGTTGGAGATCACCCTGGGCAACCCAGTGAGAGGCTGTCTCTACGGAAAAGATTTTAAATTAGCCTGGTGTGGTAGTGCACACCTGTAGTACCAGCTACTCAGGAGGCTGCATTGGGAGTATTGCTTAAGCTCAGGAGGTCGAGGCTCTAGTGAGGTGTGATCGCACCGCTGCACTCCAACCTGAGCAACAGAATAAGACCCTGTCTCAAAAAAAAAAAAAAAAAAAAAAATCATGGCCGGGCGTGGTGGCTTACGGCTGTAATCCCAACACTTTGAGAGGCCAAGGGATCACCTGAGGTCACGAGTTCGTGACCAGCCTGACCAACATGGTGAAACCCCGTCTCTACTATAGACAAAAAATTAGACAGGCATGGTGGCACATGCCTGTAATTCCAGCTACTTGGGAAGCTGAGGCAAGAGAATCACTTGAGCTGAGGCGGCAGAGGTTGCAGTGAGCCAAGATTGCACCATTGCATTCCAGCCTGGGCCACAAGAGTGAAACTCTGTCTCAAAAAAATAACAATAATTTTTTTTTTTTTTTGAGGTGGAGTCTTGCCCTGTCACCCAGGCTGGAATGCAGTGGCACGACCTTGGCTCACTGCAAGCTCCGCCTCCCGGGTTCACGCCATTCTCCTGCCCCAGCCTCCCGAGTAGCTGGGACTACAGGCGCCTGCCACCACGCCCGGCTAAATGTTTTGTATTTTTAGTAGAGACAGGGTTTCACCATGTTAGCCAGGATGGTCTCAATCTCCTGATCTCATCATCCGTCCGCCTAGGCCTCCCAAAGTGCTGGGATTACAGGTGTGAGCCACCGCGTCCGGCCAATATTTTTCTTTTTTTTAAATCATACTTCCAGGCCAGGTGCGGTGGCTCACACCTGTAATCCCAGCACTTTAGGAGGCTGAGGTAGGCAGATCACAAGGTCAGGAGTTCGAGACCAGCCTGGCTAACATGGTGAAACCCTGTCTGTACTAAAAACTACAAAAATTAGCTGGGCGTGGTGGCACACACCTGTAATGCTAGCTACTCAGGAGGCTGAGGCAGGAGAATTGCTTGAGCCCGGGAGGCGGAGGTTGCAGTGAGCTGAGATCACACTACTGCACTCCTGCCTGGGGGACAAAGTGAGACTCTGTCTCAGAAAAAAATAATAATAATAAATCATACTTACCCCCACCCTAAGACAAAAGCATAATTGACTTCTTCCTCTACTCTGTGTTTACTTTATCTTGTGTAAAATACAGATATATTTAGCACAAGATGAATTCATAATTGACTGTTCCTTTTTCCCTCCTTTCACATGTGTTAAAAGAAAAACTTCAGCCAAATTAAATTTAAGGGAGTTTAATTGAGCAATGAACAATTTGTGAATCGGGCAGCCCCCAGAATCACAGCCGATTCAGACAGACTCCAGTGCAGCCATGTGATGGAAGAAGATTTATAGACAAAGGGAAATGACATACAGAAGTCAGTGAGGTACAAAAACAACTGGATTGGCTACAGGTCGGCATTTGCCTTATTTGAATATGGCTCAAACAGTTGGCTACATCTGACTGGCCAAAACTCAGTGATTGGCACAGGGTGTGGGCTATGGCCGAGTTATACCTCCGCTTGTTACAGTTCACAA
Source organism: Homo sapiens (assembly GCF_000001405.40). NCBI lineage: Eukaryota > Metazoa > Chordata > Mammalia > Primates > Hominidae > Homo > Homo sapiens. Next base: position 74,143,689 of record NC_000007.14, read on the forward strand.
TGTACAGAAAAACCTTTAGGCCAAATTGAAATATGTAAAGAAGCAGCTTTAGGCTAAACTTGATTAACGTATGTAAGATGTGGATTCAGTGATCATGAATGAAAGCCTCACAGAAAGTGACCACTTATTTCACTACCTTCCCTAGTGTTTTTGTTGTTGTTGTTTGTTTTGTTTTGTTTTGTTTTTTGAGATGGAGTCTCACTATATCATCCAGGCTGGAGTGCAGTGAAGCGATCTTGGCTCACTGCAAGCTCCGCCTCCCGGGTTCACGCCATTCTCCTGCCTCAGCCTCCTGAGTAGCTGGGACTACAGGCGTCCGTGACCACGCCTGGCTAATTTTTTTGTATTTTTAGTACAGACGGGGTTTCACTCCGTGTTAGCCAGGATGGTCTCGATCTCCTGACCTCGTGATCTGCCCACCTCGGCCTCCCAATGTGCTGGGATTACAGGCGTGAGCCACCGCACCCGGCCACCTTCCCTCCTTTTTCATTTCTTTCCTCCTTCCCCTCCTGCCCACTCTTTCTCCTTTAAATATTGAAGTCCTCAAAACTCTCTGGAAAAGCCATGGGTCACAGATTTTTCTTTGGCTTGGGTCTCTTTTTCCTGGGCATGTCCTCAACCTTAGCAAAATAAACCTCTAAATTCATTGAGTCCCCTCCTCTCCCCTCCCCTCCTCTTCCCTTCCCTTCCCTTCCCCTTTCTTTGAGACAGGGTCTCACTCTGTCATCCAGGCCAGGGTACAGTGGTGCAAATGATAGGGACAAGAGGCAGGGAAATTCTGGGCAGAAGAGGGTGGGTCCCCAGAGAGGGCATTGCCCTCAAGCTGAAAAACCTGGAACTGCAGCCCAAAGTGAGAACTGACATCCCTGTTTTTTGTTTTTTGGTTTTTTTTTGAGATGGAGTCTCCCCTTCTGTCACCCAGGCTGGAGTACAATGGTGCGATTTTGGCTCACTGCAACCTCCACCTCCCGGGTTCAAGTGATTCTCCTGCCTCAGCCTCCCGAGTAATCCGAGCCGGGATTACAGGCACACACCACCACACCCGGCTAATTTTTGTATTTTTATTAGAGAAGGGGTTTCACTATCTTGGCCAGGCTGGTGTTGAACTCCTGATTTCGTGATCCACCCTCCTTGCCTCCCAAAGTGCTGGGATTACAGGCATGAGCCACCGTGCCCAGCCAACATCGCTGCTTTCCTGCTTGAATGTTGCCTTTTCCAAAACCACCCTTGACCTGCCCTGCCCCCAATCCTGTGCCCATAAAAACCCCAGGCCCAGCTAGCAGAGAGAGGAGAAGCAGCTGGACGTCAAAGACCATGGTTGAACATTGGAGAGAAGTGGCTTGACTTCAGAGGGACAGTTTGCTGGAGTAGCTTTGGAGGAGTATGGCCAGGGACAGCTGGACTTCAGAGAAAGATTACCTTCCTGCTCTGTCCCCTTTTCAGCTCCCCTTCCCGCTTAGAGCCACTTTCATCAGCAATAAAGTCTCCTGCATTTACCATCTTCAATTCATTTGTGTGACCTAATTCCTCCTGGACACTGAAAAAGAACTTGGGTGCCACGAGTGTGGATGCAAAAGGCTGTCACACCGATCCTCCACTAAGCTGTTAACACTTAAGCCATTCACAGACAGCAGAGCTAAAAGAGTACTCTAACACTGCCTCTGGGGCTTCAATAGTCTCCGGCACCCTCCGCTAGACACTATCATGGGGCTGGTATGGAGATGGCTCTTGCTGGCGCCTAAAAACTCTCGCCCCGTCTCCTGCACCTGCTCACCTGTGCTCCCTCTCCTGTGAGGGGTGGAGTAGTGAGTGAGTGGAGTTCACCCCTACCAGCACCAAAGCAGCTGGCTAGTTCTTAGGCAACATCCTGCTTCACAATCACAGCTCACTGCAACCTCCCACCTCCCAGGCTCAAGTGTTCCTCCTGCCTCAGCCTCCCAAAGTGCTGGGATTGCAGGCATGAGCCACCATGCCCAGCCAGTCATTTTCTTTGGTTTACACTACTTTACCTCCCTGAGCCTTATTTTCCCCAAATGAGAGGTAGAAACTCCTCTGTTGGGAGGATTAAATGAGATATGTCTCAAATTTTTGTTGAAAACTGGACATTTTATTTTATCTTATTTTACTTATTTTTGAGACAAGGTCTCACTCACTCTGTCACTCAGGCTAGAGTGCAGTGGTGCAATCTTGGCTCCCTGAAAGCTTAACCTCCTGGGCTCAAGTGATCCTCCTGTCTCAGCCTCCTGAGCAGCTGGGACTATAGGCTCCAGCCACCACACTTGGCTAATTTATTTTTATTTTTATTTTTTGTAGAGACAGAGTCTCACTATGTTGCCTAGGATGGTCTGGAACTCCTGGGCTCAAGTGGTTCTCCTGACTCGGCCCCACAAAGTGCTGGCATTACAGGTGTGAGCCATGGCACCCAGCAAAAACTGGACATTTTAAATCATGTATTGTAATTCTAAATTCTGATGTCCTGGTGGTAGCTGTTGTAGATTTTGACATTGTTGTTGTTTGCTGGTTGTCTGTTTGGTTGTTTAATAACTTGAAGCCACTAAAGGAAGCCTCTGTTTTGTTTTGTGATTCTTGCTTTTATTTTCAAGACTGGCTTCCTAGGGGTCCATCTCTGAATCAGCATTGCTTAGTGCCCAGCCACTGTTTGGTCAGAAGGTTTCCGTAAACACCTTGACACACTAAGCCTTCCTTGGTCAAGAGGACCTGTGAGGGGGGTTGGGACACAGGTTAAATTATTTCCTCAAGGGCGTTGACATTTCTTTCTTTTTTCTTTTTTTTTTGAGATGGAGTCTGTCTCTATTACTCAGGCTGGAGTGCAGTAGCATGATCTTGGCTCACTGCAACCTCTACCTCCCAGGTTCAAGCGATTCTCCTGCCTCAGCCTCCCGAGTAGCTGGGATTACAGGCGCCCGCCACCACACCCAACTAATTTTTGTATTTTAGTAGAGATGGGGTTTCACCACCATGTTGGCCAGGCTGGTCTGGAACCCTCGACTTCAAGTGATCCACCTGCCTCAGCCTCCCAGAGTTTGGGATTACAGGTGTGAGCCACCACACCTGGCCTCTTTTTTTCTTTTCTTTTTTTTTTTTTTTTTGAGATGGAGTTTCGCTCTTGTTGCCCAGGCTGGAGGGCAATGGCATGATCTCGGCTCACTGCAACCTCTGGCTCCCGGGTACGAGCAATTCTCCTGCCTCAGCCTCCCAAGTAGCTGGGACTATAGACATGCGCCACACGCCTAATTGTTTGTATTTTTAGTAGAGATGGGGTTTCACCATGTTGACCAGGCAGGTCTCGAACTCCTGACCTCAGGAGATCTGCTCACCTCAGCCTCCCACAGGTATGAGCCACCATGCTCAGCTTTATTTTGTTTTATTTTATTTTATTTTATTTTATTTTATTTGAGACAGAGTCTCGCTCTGTCGCCCAGGCTGGAGTCCAGTGGAGCTATCTCGGCTCACTGCAACCTCTGCCTCTCAGGTTCAAGCAATTCTCATGTCTCAGTCTCTCAAGTAGCTGGGATTACAGGTGTGTGCCACCACGCCCAGATAATTTTTTTATTATTAGTTTTAGTAGAGTCGGGGTTTTGCCATGTTGCCCAGCCTGGTCTTGTACTCCTGACCTCAAGATATCCACCCGCCTCGGCCTCCCAAAGTGCTGGGATTATAGGCATGAGCCACCATACCCGGCCTCTTTTTTTAATTTTTATGGATATGTGGTAGGTATATGTATTTATGAGGTACATGAGATATTTTGATACAGGCATACAATGCATCATAATCACATCAGAGTAAATGGGGTATCCATCATCTCAAACATTTATCATTTCTTTGTTACAAACATTCCAATTATGCTCTTCTAGTTATTTTTAATTGCATAATAAATTATTGTTGACTGCCCAGGCACAGTGGCTCACGCCTGTAATCCCAGCACTTTGGGAGGCCGAGGCAGGTGGATTGCCTGAAGTCAGGAGTTCAAGACCAGCCTGAACAACATGGAGAAATCCCGTCTCTACTAAAAATACAAAATTAGCCAGGTGCAGTGGCGCATGCCTGTAATCCCAGCTACTTGGGAGGATGAGGTAGGAGAATCTCTTGAACCCAGGAGACAGAGGTTGCGGTGAGCCGAGATCGCACCATTGCATTCCAGCCTGGGCGACATTTTGTATGACATTGCTTAACCATAAACTCTTCATTTGCTTTTGTTTTTCTTTTCTTTTTTTTTGAGACGGAGTCTCGCTCTGTTGCCCACGGGTTCCACCGTGTTAGCCAGGATGGTCTCGATCTCTTGACCTTGTGATCCGCCAGCCTCGGCCTCCCAAAGTGCTGGGATTACAGGTATGAGCCACCACCCGCGGCCTGTTTTTCATTTTATTGTCTGAGAATCCCTTGCAGCCTGGGGGCATAGATTCGGGGAATTCTCCCACTCCTCACTTTCTTTTCTTCCTTAGGAATATCTTGGCCAGGTGCAGTGGCTTACACCTGAAATCCCAGAACTTTGGCAAGCTAAGGCAGGAGGAATGCTTGAGGTCAGGAGTTTGAGACCCGCCTGGGGAACAAAGTGAGATCCTATCTCTATTTAAAAAATAAGAATAATGGCCAGTCTTGGGGGATCACTCCTGTAATCCCAGAACTTTGGAAGGCAGAGGTGGGAGGATCACTTGAACCCACAAGGTTGAGGCTGCAGTGAGACGAGATTGTTCTGCCACACTCCAGCCTGGGTGGCAGAGTGAGACCCTGTCTCAAAACAACAACAACAATTAAAAAAAAAAAAAAAAGAATATCTTTATTTCTGACTTGGGGGCTTGCAGGTGGCTGAACTATTTCTGTGGAATGATCTGGAAACCCACACATATGTGAAGCCAGGTCAGGGCTTTGAATTCTTTGAATTATCAGGCTGAGGCAGGCAAGTTTGTCACTCCTCAAGGTAGATGAACTCATGATCTCCAGTCTACCCTTTCACAGACTGTGTGGCTTTTCAAGGATCACATTTCAAAGGGATCTCAGGCACAATTTCCATTTGAACTGGGTCCAGATACAATTTCCATTTGAACTGGACCTCAATGTAGTAGTCTCTCATTGTCTGAAGTATCACTCGGAGTTCTTTGTCTCACAACCATGAAAATTAAGGAGCATGGGCACCAAGGATGAGGCTGGAGTGAAAGTTTAATAAGCTAAAGAAGAAAGCTCTCTGCCGTGGAGAGGGGGTCTGAAAGAGGCCATTATTATTTATTTATTTATTTGAGACAGAGTTTCACTCTTGTTGCCCAGGCTGGAGTGCAATGGCATGATCTCGGCTCACCACAACCTCCACCTCCCGGGTTCAAGTGATTCTCCTGCCTCAGCCTCCTGAGTAGCTGGGATTATAGGCATGCACCACCACACCCAGTTAATGTTGTATTTTCAGTAGAGACGGGGTTTCTCCATGTTGGTCAGGCTAGTGTCGAACTCTCCTCAGGAGATCCACCCACCTCGGCCTCCCAAAGTACTGGGATTACAGGCATGAGCCACCGTGCCCAGCCAAAAGAGGCCATTTTTACAGTTGAATGCAAAAGCTTTTATAAGAAACCAATGAGGGCTGGGCATTTCATTTACATAAGGTGTGAATTTCTCCTATCTCCACCCCATCCTTCTAATGCGCATGGGGGCCCTTAGCTTAATTTACTCCATATTGCTTTAATTTTTTTTTAAATTAGCCATATTTTGCAAAAAAAAAAAAAAAAAGTGCATACATCCTATAATGTCCTATTTTATCTAGTAACTCTAGCCTAGGGCCTCATCTCCTGACCTGACACGGGCATTAAAGCAAGCTCCTGGCCACTGACCCTCAGTGACCATTCAGAGCAGAGACGTGATCAATTCATTGCCTATCATCTGTGGCGTTTAGTTTCCTCTTTGTTTCTGGATTCCTAGGATTTCCCTTTCTTTCATGGGAGCTCAACTGGGCATTGAAAATAATTTTTTTTAATTGTATTAAACATTTCAAAGAGTTTCAATAGGAAGGTTTTCTGGTTCTCCCTGCCTGACAAATCAGAAACATATGGAGAGGTTTTTCAGTACATGTTTCATAGCCCTTCTTTCTCTGCCAAAATTCTGATATAGCCCCCTGGAGAACAACAAAATCTGGATGGAGTTTGGGCCAGAATTGGGGTGGGGTATAGATTGGCTCCTATGTGCTTGGAAAATAACTCACAACCCACTTTCCCAGTGTTGATTCAATTCTTTGTGTCTTAGACATTTTTTCTCATTTTGTTTTGTTTGAGACAGGGTCTCGCTCTGTCACCCAGGCTGGAGTACAGTGGCACAATCTTAGCTCACTGTAGTCTTGGCACCCCCGGGCTCAAGCCATCCTCCCGCCTCAGCCTCCCACATAGCTGGGACTACAGATGCGCACCACCATGCCTGGCTAAGTCTTTTTTTTTTTTTTTTTTTTTGAGACGGAGTCTCGCTCTGTCACCCAGGCTGGAGTGCAGTGGCGTGATCTCGGCTCACTGCAAGCTCCGCCTCCCAGGTTCACGCCATTCTCCTGCCTCAGCCTCCAGAGTAGCTGCTGGGACTACAGGTGCCCACTACCACACCCGACTAATTTTTTGTATTTTTAGTAGAGATGGGGTTTCACCATGTTGGCCAGGATGGTCTCGATCTCTTGACCTCGTGATCCACCCGCCTCGGCCTCCCAAAGTGCTGGGATTACAGGCGTGAGCCACCGCGCCCGGCCAATTTTTTGTATTTTTAGTACAGACAGGGTTTCACCATGTTAGCCAGGTTGGTCTTGATCTCCCGACCTTGTGATCCGCCCGTCTTGGCCTCCCAAAGTGCTGGGATTACAGGTGTGAGCCAGCACGCCCGGCCCTGGCTAAGTCTTAGACTTTTGTTTCCCCAACGTCTAACACAGTTTCATGGCCCATAGAAGATACTGAGTGCATGAATGAGGAATGCACGAATGACTCTTGGCAGACACTTCGTGGTCAGCATAAAAGAGGGAGAAAGCTGGCTGGGCAAAGTGGCTCACACCTGCAATCCCAGCACTTTGGGAGGCCGAGGCCAGTGGATCACGGGAGGCTGAGGCTGGTTCAAGACCAGCCTGGCCAACGTGGTGAAACCCATCTCTACTAAAAATACAAAAAATTAGTTGGGCGTGATGGCAGGCGCCTATAATCCCAGCTATTCAGGAGGCTGAAGCAGGAGAATCTCCTGAACCCAGGAGGCAGAGACTGCAGTGAGCTGAGATCGTGCCATTGCACTGCAGCCTGGGCAACAAGAGTGAAACTTCGTCTCAAAAAAAAAAAAAAAAAAGGGGGAGGGAGCGGATAAAGCTTATCTTGCATGTCTAATATATGATCAAACTAGATGGTACCCGATACAGCAGAGCACATAGTAATTGCTCGAGAAAGGTCATTATCCAGCAGAGCACAGTGGTTCATGCCTGTAATTCCAGCACTTTGGGAGGCTGAGGCAGGAGAATCATTTGAGGCCAGGAGTTCAAGACCAGCCTGGGCAACATTATGAGACCATCCCCCATCTCTACAGAAAAGTTTTTACAAATTAGCTGGGCATGGTGGGGTGTGCCTGTAGTCCCACCTACTTGGGAGGCTGAGGTGTGAGCATCACTTGAACCCAGGAATTTGACGCTGCAGTGAGCTGTGATTGCACTGCTGCACTCCAGCCTTGGTGGCAGAGTGAGACTCCAGATAAATAAATAAATGGAGGAGCTCACCACCATCCCCATGGGCTGAGCCAGGCTCGCACCACTGCACTCCAGCCTGGGCGACAGAGCGAGACCCTGTCTCAGAAAATAAAAAGAATTTTTTTTTTTTTTGAGACACAGTCTCGCTCTGTCGCCCAGGCTGGAGTGCAGCAGTGTGATCAGGGCTTACTGCAGCCTTGCACTTTTTGATGTTGTTGTTGTTCTTAGTTTCTTTGTTTGTGTTTAACGCTAAAAGATATTCTCCAGCAGAGAGCTGGTGCCATCAACAAGGAAAGAGAAAAAAGGAGAAGGGGCTCAAGTACTTGATACTTGATCACAGTCACGATATTCTCTAACAGAGAAGGCAGGGGCTTGATTTAAATAAGGCCGGGCACGGTGGCTCACGCCTATAATCCCAGCACGTTGGGAGGCTGAGGTGGGCAGATCACCTGAGGTCAGAAGTTCAAGACCAGCCTGGTCAACATGGCGAAACCCGTCTCTACTAAAAATACAAAAATTAGCCGGGCGTGGTGGTGGGCGCCTATAGTCCCAGCCATTCGGGAGGCTGAGGCAGGAGACTTGCTTGAACCCAGGAGGTGGAGGTTGCAGTGAGCCAAGATCGTGCCACTGCATTCCAGCCTGGGCAACAGAGTGAGACTCTGTCTCAAAAAAAAGAAAAAGAAAAAAAGAAAAAAATTTTAATACAAAAACAGCAATGACTGATTTTATGGAGAAGGCACTGGCCAGGAACAAATTCCCATTCCCACCCTTGAACCCTCCAAGAAGCTGGTGGTTGATAGCTTGTCGGTAGTGCTGCTGTCCTTTCTTCAGCCAGGGAGGGGTTCACAAAGTCGAGTGTGAGGCTGGAGCCCTCCTTACAGCTCTCATATTCCCTCTTACCAGCCCCTGTCCTCACATGGCTGCAATCTGCCCAAGCATCACACCCTTCCTTAGTGTCCGCAGAGAGCCTGCGGGGAACGGACAAGATCAACCCTGCCCCACAGGCACTCCCGATCTGTTTGGCAGGTCAAAAGGAAATCCATATGGCCCTTGAGAACTTGTTGAGGGACAATAGTTGTCACTGGGAAGGGGAATTGGATGGCCTGTTGCCCAGAGTATGCGGGAGACAAACTTTATACCATATACCCCTGGAAGGTTTTTGTTTTTTTTTTTTTTTTAGAGACAGAGACTCACTCTGTTGCCCAGGCTGGAGTGCAATGGTGCGATCTCGGCTCACTGCAACCTCCGCCTCCTGGGTGCAAGCGATTCTCCTGCCTCAGCCTCCTGAGTAGCTGGGATTACAGGCGCCCGCCACACCCATCTAATTTTTGTATTTTTAATGGAGATGGGGTTTCACCATGTTGGCCAGGCTGGTCTTGAACTCCTGACCTCAAGTGATCCCCCGGCCTCGGCCTCCCAAAGTGCTGGAATTATAGCTGTGAGCCACCGTGCCTGGCCTCATGGATAGTTTTTGAATCTTGCATATTGTGCAAGTAAACTTACTTTTTTTTTTTTTTTTTTTTTTTGAGATAGAGTCTTGCTCTATTGCCCAGGCTGGAGCGCAATGGCGCGATCTCGGCTCAGTGCAACCTCCACCTCCCGGGTTCAAGCGATTCTCCTGCCTCAGACTCCTGAACAGCTGGGACTACAGACGTGTGCCACCACACCCAGCTAATTTTTGTATTTTTAGTAGAGACGGGGTTTCACCAAGTTGGTCAGGCTAGTCTCAAACTCCTGACCTCGTGATCTGCCCGCCTTGGCCTCCTAAAGTGCTGGGATTACAGGCGTGAGCCACCGCACCCAGCTGTAAACTTACTTTTAAAAATAAAGGCTGGGCGCAGTGGCTCACACCTGTAATCCCAGCATTTTGGGAAGCCGAGGCGGGTGGATCACATGAGGCCAGGAGTTCAAGACCAGCCTGGCCAACATCTCTACTAAAAATACAAAAAGTAGCCTGGTGTGGTGGCACACGCCTGTAATCCCAGCTACTCGGAGAGACTGAGGCAGGAGAATTGCTTGAACCGGGGAGCCAGAGGTTGCAGTGAGGCGAGATTGCGCCACTGCACTCCAGCCTGGGCAATAGAGCCAGACTCCATCTCAAAAAAATAAAATAAAAACAACAGGCCAAGCCCAATGGCTCACGCCTGTAATCCCAGCACTTTGGGAGGCCAAGGTGGGTGGATCACCTGAGGTCAGGAGTTTGAGACCAGCCTGGCCAACATGGAGAAACCCTCTCTCTGCTAAAAATACAAAATTAGCCGGGCATTGTGGCACATGCCTGTAATCCCAGCTATTCGGGAGGCTGAGGCAGGAGAATCACTTGAACCCGGGAGGCGGAGGTTGTAGTGAGCTGAGATCGCGCTACTGCACTCTAGCCTGGGCAACAAGAGTGAAACTCCGTCTCAAAAAAAAGAAAAAAAGTCGTCCTGATCCTACTCAACTTTGTGCCCCACCCCCAAACTGGAAACGGGCAAGGCCTATTCCAAAGCCCTGAGGCTTCCTCTCCGGCCTGGCTGACCTCCAGGCTGGCTAATCCATTCATCAGCCACTTCCTAGGTCCAAATTCAAGGTATGGAATCCAGGCCAACCACTTCCTTCTATCTTGACCTCCACCAAGGACCTGGGAGACCTGGACAAGGGCAGGGTTAGAATGCAGGTTCCACGCCCTGGGATTAGGCTATGACCTGAGCCGTCCCAGCTACTAGGGCAGTGATGAGTTCCTCCTTCCTTTCTACGGCTGCCCTGTCCAGTATGAAAGCCTCTAGCCACATGTGGCTACTTAATCTTAAATGAAAAGTAATTCAAATGAAATATAATTGAAAAGTCAGTTCCTCAGTCACATTGGCTACATTTCCCAGTGCTTGATAGCTCAGCGAATAGCTCCCTGTGTATTTCTGATTTTGCATGCAAAATAATCTGGTCCAGGTGTGGTGGCTCACGCCTGTAATCCCAGCACTTTGGGAGGTCGAGGAGGGCGGATCACATGAGGTCAGGAGTTCGAGACCAGCCTGGCCAACATGGTGAAACCCTGTCTCTACTAAAAATACAAAAATTAGCTGGGTGTGGTGGCACACACCTGTAATCCCAGCTGCTCAGGAGGCTGAGGCAGGAGAATAGCTTGAACCTGGGAGGCGGAGGTTGCAGTGAGCCGAGATTGTGCCACTGCATTCCAGCCTGGGCAACAGAGCAAGAGTCTGTCTCAAAAAATAAACAAACAAACAAACAAATAATCTGAACATTTTCCCATCACAAAATCCTTAAAATGGTCAATAAAATGTAAGAAAAATTTATTTCGGCCAGGCGCGGTGGCTCACGCCTGTAATCCCAGCACTTTTGGAGGCCGAGGCAGGCGGATCATGAGGTCAGGAGATTGAGGCCATCCTGGCTAACATGGTGAAACCCCGTCTCTACTAAGTACACAAAAATGAGCCAGGCATGATGGCGGGTAGCCTCCGGCTACTTGGGAGGCTGAGGCAGGAGAATGGCGTGAACCCAGGAGGCGGAGCTTGCAGTGAGCCGAGATTGCGCCACTGCACTCCAGCCTGGGTGACAGAGAGAAATTCCATATCAAAAAAAAAAGAAAAAGAAAAATTTATTTCAAATTCACAGCTGCATTTCCAAGAAAGAAAAGGAAATCTCCAAAGGCAGAAACGAGAAAAGACTGATCCATGCAAAGAACAACTGGTGAGCTCTCATTGCTTCTGCCCCGGAGTGAGGATGGGGTGAGCAATCGGGGCTTATGTTTTGGTTATTTATTTATTATTATTATTGTAAGACAGGGTCTTGCTCTGTCACCCAGGCTGGAAGGCAGTGGCACAACCATAGCTCACTGCAGCCTCGAGCTCTTGGGCTCAAGTCATCCTCCTGCCTCCGCATCCTGATTAGCTGGGACAACAGGTGTGCACTAGCACAACTGGATAATGTTTTAAAGTTTTTGGAGAGATGGGGGTCTTGCCATGTTGCCTGGGGCTGGTTTTAAACTCATAGTCTCAAGCAATCCTCCTGCCTCTGCCTCCCAAAGTGTTTGGATTACAGGTGTGAGCCACCGCACCTGGCCAGGGCTTGTGTTTTATTTTTTATTTATTAATTAATTTATTTTTTGAGACAGAGTCTTGCTCTGTCCCCCAGGCTGGAGTGCAATAGCGTGATGTCAGCTCACTGCAACCTCCGCCTCCCGGGTTCAAGTGATTCTCGTGCCTTGGCCTCCTGAGTAATTGGGATTAGAGGGATGCGCAGCCACGCCCAGCTAGTTTTTGTATTTTTAGTAGAGATGGGGTTTTATCACGTTGGCCAGGCTGCTCTTGAACTCCTGATCTCAGGTGATCCACCTGCCTTGGCCTGCGAAAGTGTTTGGATGACAGGTGTGAGCCACTACACCTTGCCAAGGCTTGTTTTAAATCCCATGTGGGGTACGGGAGACAAGCGGAGGCCCACCTAAGGTACAGAGTTAGAACTGAGATCACTTCATCCTTCAGGAGCCACACCTTCACCAAAAGGACTGAAACCGTCCCCACAGGGTTGACAAGAACTGCACGCCCGGTTCCGGACAGAAATATTGTTATAATTAGCATCCTTCAGGCTGCACTTTGGCCTACTTCGTTGTTGCTAAATGTCACGTAGCACTAGTTCCTGACCATTGCATCCCATTGTTCCTACAGACAGGATCTCTGACACTAGGATCATAAGGCTTACTGTAAAGATTGCTTAAGATGTTTTTCAGGCCCCAAATTCCTGTGAAATAGCTAATACCAACCAGTTTGAGGATCCCCACAGAGAAACGGTATCAGCATAGAACACAGCTTCTTCCTGGGCTGGGGGCAGTGGCTCACACCTGTAATCACACCACCTGGGAGGCAGAGGTGGGAGAATTGTGTGAGCCCAGAAGTTCGAGACCAGTCTCTGCAACACAGCCAAGACCCTGTCTCTACCAAACAAACAAACAAACAAAAAAATCAGCTGGATGTGGTGGTGCAAACCTGTAGTCACAGCTACTTGGGAGGCTGAGGTGGGAGGATCGCTTGAGCCTGGGAGGCAGAGGTTTTAGTGAGCCGTGATCACACTACTGTACTCCAGCCTGGGTGACAGAGTGAGATTCGGTCTCAAAAAAAAAAAAAAAAAAAAAAAAAGAAAAGAAAAGAAAAGAAAAATTAGCGTGGTGACACATGCCTGTAGTTCCAGCTACTTGGAAGGCTGAGGTAGGAAGATCACTTGAGCCCAGGAGATTGAGGCTGCAGTGAGCTAAGATTGCTAAGATCGCGCCACTGCACTTCAGCCTGGGTAACTGACTGAGACCCTGTCTCAAAAAAACCAACAGAGGCTGGGCATGGTGGCTCATGCCTGTAATCCCAGCACTTTGGGAGGCCGAGGCGGGCAGATCATGAAGTCAAGAGATCGAGACCAGCCTGGCCAACATGGTGAAACCCAGTCTCTACTAAAAATATAAAAATTAGCCTGTAGTCCCAGCTACTTGGGAGGCTGAGGCAGGAGAATCACTTGAACCAGGGAGGCGGAGGTTGCAGTGAACCGAGATCGTGTCACTGCACTCCAGCCTGGGCGAAAGACCAAGACTCTGTCTCAAAACAACAGCAACAACAAAACACAGCTGCACCTCTCCTTGTCCCATGACTTTACTCTGCACTCTTCAACCAATCAATGACCTCCACACTTCAGCCCACTCCAAGACCCAGAATAGCCCCAGTCCGAAACTCCTGTGGAGGCAGATTTGAGGTTTCTTCCCATCTCCTTGTTTGGTGATTCTATGATGAAACACCTCTTCTCATTCTTATTTATTTATTTATTTATTTGAGACTGAGCCTCGCTCTGTCACCCAAACTGGAGAGCAGTGGCACGATCTTGGCTCACTGCAACCTCCGCCTCCCGGATTCAAGTGATTCTTGTGCCTCAGCCTCTTGAGTAGCTTGGACTATAGGCCTGTGCCACCACACTCTGCTAATTTTTGTATTTTTAGTAGAGACAGGGTTTCATCATGTTGGCCAGGCTTGTCTTGAACTCCTGACCTCAGGTGATCCACCCGCCTCAGCCTCCCAAAGTGCTGGGATTACAGGCATGAGACACTGCACCAGGCCTGAAACATCTCTTGCAACCTGGCATCTGGGCTTATTGACTTGCTGTGAGCATCAGACAACAGATCTATTACAGCTATAGGATCAGCTTGAGAACATGTACCCATCTACACAGAGAAGTGACAAGCAAGCTTATCCGTTTCAGCCTGAGAATTCAAAACTCCTAAGAAAAGGAGAATAGCTTGGAGCAATCTAGGGCCTGTGATGTAAGCAGGTCCAGAAAGACACGTGAATGGGAATTCAGGCATGACCCCCATACCCGCACCAACCCTCTCCCCTACCCTCCCTCCCTAATCCATGCCCAAGGGGCGATTTTTTATTTATTTATTTATTTATTTATTTATTTATTTATTTTTGAGACAGAGTTTGGCTTTTGTTACCCAGGCTGGAGTGCAACAGTGCGATTTCGGCTCACTGCAACCTCCGCCTCCTGGGTTCAACCGATTCTCCTGCCTCCAGCCTCCCAACTAGCTGGAATTACAGGGATAGACCATCATGCCTGGCTAACTTCTTTTGTATTTTTAGTAGAGACGGGGTTTCACCATGTTGGTCAGGCTGGTCAAACTACCTACCTCAGGTGATCCGCCCGCCTCGGCCTCCCAAAGTGCTGGGATTAGAAGGGTGAGCCACCATGCCCAGCTATTTTTATTTTTTTGAGACAGGGTCTCACTCTGTCACCCAGGCTGGAGTACAGTGGCACAATCTCAGCTCACTGCAACCTCTGCCTCTCGGGCTCAAGGGATCGTCCCACCTCAGCCTCCCAAGTAGCTGGAACTACAACTATGCACCACCACGCCTGGCTAATTTTTGTATGTTTTGTAGAGATGGGGTTTCACCATGTTGCTCAGGCTGGTCTCAAATTCCTGGGCTCAAGTGATCTGCCTACCTCGGCCTCCCAAAGTGCTGGCATTACAGGCGTGAGCCACCGTGCTGGGCCTGGGGCAATTGTTTAAAGTCATTTTCTTCCCAAGTTGCTGTCTCATCCATTATCTTTGTTTGTTTGTTCGTTTGAGACAGAGTTTCGCTCTTGTTGCCCACGCTGGAGTGTAATGGCCCGATCTTGGCTCACGGCAACCGCCGCCTCCCAGATTCAAGTGATTCTCCTGCCTCAGACTCCCTCCTAGTAGCTGAGATTACAGGCACCCAACACGACGCCCAGCTAATTTTTTGTATTTTTAGTAGAGAAGGGGTTTCACTATGTTGGCCAGGCTGGTCTCAAACTCCTGACCTCGGGTGATCCACCTGTCTCAGCCTCCCAAAGTGCTGCGATTACAGCTCCATTATCTTTAAATTCTCACAATCAGTGATACAAATAACAATGTGTAGCCAATCAATAGCTCACGTTATTGTCATATAAATTCCTGGTAACTAATTTAGGAAACTGCCTCTTCTTTTCCATTAAAAACCTCCTTGTGTTGGATTCCATGGTTCAGGCCTGTAATCCCAGCACTTTGGGAAGCTGAGGCAGAAGGGGGATTGCTTGATGCCAGGAGTTTGAGACCAGCCTGGGCAACACAGCGAGACCCTATCTCTACAACAAATTAAAAAATTAGCTGGGTGTGGTAGCACATGCTTATAGTCTGAGCTACTCAGGAGACTGAGATAGGAGGATCGCTTGAGCCCAGGAGTTGGAGGCTGCAGTGAACTATGATGGCGCCACTGCACTCCAGCCTGGGCAACAGAGCAAGACCCTGACTCAAAAAAAACCTATTTGTGGCCAGGCAAGGTGGCTCATGCCTGTAATCCCAGGACTTTGGGAGCCCAAGGCAGGTGGATCACCTGAAGCCAAGAGTTCAAGACCAGGCTGGCCAACATGGTGAAACCCCGTCTCTATTAAAAATACAAAAATTAGCCGGCTGTGGTGGCAGGCACCTGTAATCTCAGCTACTCAGGAGACTGAGGCACAAGAATCACTTGAACCCAGGGGGCAGAGGTTGCAGTGAGCCAAGATGGCACCACTGCACTCCAGTTGGGGTGACAGAGCGAGATTCCGTCTCGAAAAAAGAAAACGGCCGGGTGCAGTGGCTCACACCTGTAATCCCAGCACTTTGGGAGGCCAAGGCAGGCAGATAACCTGAGGTCAGGAGTTCAAGACCAGCCTGACCAATGTGGTGAAACCCTGTCTCTACTAAAAATACAAAAATTAGCTGGGTGTGGTGGCTGGCGCCTGAAATCCTAGCTACTCGGGAGGCTGAGGCAGGAGAATCGCTTGAACCTGGGAGATGGAGGTTGCAGTGAGCCGAGATTGTGCCATTGCACTCCAGCCTGGGCAACAAGAGCGAGACTCTGTCTCAAAAAAATAAAGAAAAGAAAAGTAAACAAAAAACAACCTATTTGTAACTGCTGCTTATCAGAGTGTACATTCAGGACAACTGGAATCTATGCTCCCAAGCTGTAACCCTCAAGCTTGCCCCAAATAAACTCTCTCCTTATATAAGTTTGTCCTCATTTATTGCTTTTAGGTTGACACTCCCAACCTTGCATCACATGGTTTCAGATACCTGTTGACTGGACAGGAGTGGTCCAGGAACTCCCTAGTCAACCACTGACAGAAATATTGAGCCCAGTTGTCAGAGGCGTTCAAACAAGAGCAGCTCCATCTTGAATAGGGGCTGGGTAAAATGAGGCTGAGACCTACTGGGCTGCATTCCCAGGAGGTTAAGGCATTCTTAGTCACAGGAGGAGATAGAAGGTCAGCACAAGATACACAAAGACCTTGCTGATAAGACAGGTTGCAGTAAAGAAACCAGCCAAAACCCACCAAAACCAAAATGGTGACAAAAGTGACCTCTGGTCATCCTCACTGCTCATTATACACTAATTATAATGCACTGGCATGCTAAATGACACGCCCACCAGCACCATGACAGTTTACGGATGCCATGGCAATGTCCAGAAGTCACCCTATACGGTCTAAAAAGGGGAGGAACCGTCAGTTCCGGGAATTGCCTACCCCATTCCTGGAAAACTCATGAATAATCCACCCCTTGTTTAGCATATAATCAAGAAATAACCGTCCAGGCACAGTGGCTCACGCCTGTAATTCCAGCGTTTTGGGAGGCCAAGGTGGGTAGATCACTTGAGGTCAGGAGTGTGAGACCAGCCTGACGAACATGGTAAAACCGCGTATCTACTAAAAATACAAAAATTAGCCAGGCGTGGTGGTTGCATGCCTGTAGACCCAGCTACTCGCGGGGGGGGGGGGGGGGGGTGGCTGAGACAGGAGAATTGCTTGAACCCGGTAGGCAGAGGTTGCAGTGAGCTGAGAATGTGTCATTGTACTCCAGCCTGGGTGGCAGAGCGAGACTTCATCTCAAAAAAAAAAAAAGAACCAGAAAAATAGCCAACCAGGCCTGGCACGGTGGCTCACGCCTGTAATCCCAGCACTTTGAGAGGCCGAGGTGGGTGGATCACAAGGTCAGAAAATCGAGACCATCCTGGCTAACATGGTGAAACCCTGTCTCTCCTAAAAATACAAAAATTTACCTGGGCATGGTGGCACACACATGTAGTCCCAGCTACTCAGGAAGCTGAGGCAGGAGAATCACTTGAACCTGAGTGGCAGAGGTTGCACTAAACCGCGATCATGCCACTGCACTCCAGCCTGGGTGATAGAGCAAGACTCTGTCTCAACAACAACAACAACAACAAAAAAGCCAACCACCAACCCTCGGGGCTGCTCTGCCTGTGGAGTAGCCATTCTTTATTCCTTTAGTTTCTTTTTTTTATTGTTATTATTATTATTATTGTTTTTTGAGACAGAGTCTCACTCTGTCACCCAGGCTAGAGTGCAGTGGTGCGATCTTGGCTCACTGCAACCTCCACCTCCTGAGTAGCTGGGATTACAGGTGTGCACCACCACACCAGCTAATTTTTGTAGTTTTAGTAGAGATAGGGTTTCGCCATGTTGACCAGGCTGGTCTGGAACTCCTGACCTCAAGTGATCTGCCTGCCTTGCCCTCCCAAAGTGCTAGGATTACAGGTGTGAGGCACCATGCCGGGCCCCTTTAATTTCTTAATAAATTTGCTTTCACTTTACTGTATGGACTTGCCCCAAATTCTTTCTTGCGTGAGATCCAAGAACCCTCTCTCGGGGTCTGGATAGGGACCCCTTTCCAGTACTACAATCTGATGATTCCAGGCAAAGCATGGAAAAGCTCTGAAGTCGTGTTCTCAACATCGAGGCTGCAATGGATTCTTTTTTTTTTTTTTTTTGAGACAGAGTCTCACTCTGTTGCCAAGACTGGAGTGCAGTGGCACGATCTCAGCTCACTGCAACCTCTGCCTCCTGGGTTCAAGCGATTCTTCTGCCTTGGCCTCCCGAGTAGCTGGGACTACAGATGCGTGCCACCACGCCTGGCTCATTTTTGTATTTTTAGTAGAGACGGGGTTTCACCATATTGGCCAGGCTGGTCTCGATCTCCGCCCACCTCAGCCTCCCAAAGTGCTGGGATTACAGGCATGAGCCACTGCGCCTGGCCAGCAATGGATTCTATTGGAGGAAAAGAAAATCAAGAACCATCCATCCACTTTGATGAGCTCACAGTGAGAAATGTCAAACATTTTGGGGCACAATCCACCAGGATTGAAACTCAGCAAACACAAGAATGAGAAACAGAAGAAGGAGAGGCCCAAAGTGTCCAGAATGTATGATAACCACCTGAAAAACGGGACAAAATAGAGCTATTAAAAATGATTTTATAAGGCCAGGCAAGGTGGCTCACACCTGTAATCTCAATGAAGTGGCATTGTTGTCTGTGGTAAATACCTGAGTTCATTGTCTCACACCAAGAGAGTCAAGGATACACAAGAAGTGAGTTTAACAGCAGAGGTCTAATAGGTGAAACGAAGAGAAAAGGGAATAGCTCTTTCTCCTGCAGAGACAGAGGGGCACTGGAGTGGGTTTTCTGATCTGTGGCCAAGTGCACGGGTTTTATAGACTGACTTGAGGAGGCTGTGTCTGATTTGCATAGGAGCCAAAGGTTGATTGGACCAGGTGTGCCATTTACAAAGCATGTAAAGAAGCTGGCCACTCACTCTAATCTTTTATTTTATTTATTTATTTAGAGACAGAGTCTTGCTCTGTCACCCAGGCTGGAGTGCAGTAGCGTGATCTCCGCTCACTGCAAGCTCCGCCTCCCGGGTTCACGCCATTCTCCTGCCTCAGCCTCCTGAGTAGCTGGGACTACAGGCGCCCGCCACCACGTCTGGCTAATTTTTTGTAGTTTTAGTAGAGACGGGGTTTCACCATGTTAGCCAGGATGGTCTCGATCTCCTGACCTCGTGATCTGCCCGTCTCGGCCTCCCAAAGTACTGGGATTACAGGTGTGAGCCACTGTGCCTGGCCCCTAATCTTTTATTATGCAGATGGAATCTCTACCCGGCGGGTGCCATCTTGCCTGTTCCTTACTACACACATGTTGACAAAGAAAAGGGAAGATGGAGCCGCCATGTTCAACATGCCTGTAAGCCTTTTCCTTTTGGCACAGCTGCAGGCATTCACTTGTGCAAGCTTCCAGCTTGCTTATCTGTGTCTGCAGCTCGATTTTACAGGCTGCTGTTTGTTAGAAAAGAAATTATTTTGGCCAGGCACAGTGGCTCACACCTGTAATCCCAGCACTTTGGGAGGCCGAGGCAGGTGGATCACCTGAGGTCAGGAGTTCGAGACCAGCCTGGCCAACATAGTGAAACTCCATCTCTACTGAAAATACAAAAATCAGCCGGGCATGGTGGCTCATGCCTGTAATCCCAGCTACTCGGGAGGCTGAGGCAAGAGAATCGCTTGAACCTGGGAGGTGGAGGTTGGAGTGAGCCGAGATCGCACCACTGCACTCCAGCCTGGGCAAAACTCAATCTCAAAAAAAATAAAAAAGGACAAGAAATGATTTTGGCACTGCTTTTTATTAAAAGGGAAACCTTACCAAGGACTTTCTTACTCTCCCTGTCTGCCTAAATAATTCCTTTTTAACTCCTGTATCACCAGCACTTTGGCAGGCCAAGCTAGGAACACTGCTTAAGCCCAAGAGTTCAAGACCAGCCTGGGCAATGTATGGAGACCTTGTTTCCACAAAAAATTTAAAAATTAGCTGGGTGTGGTGGTGTGCACCTGTGGTTCCAGCTACTCAGGAGGCTGAGGCAGGAGATCACTTGAGCCAAGGAGTTCGAGGCGACAGCTATGATTGTGCCATTGCACTCGAGCCTGAGCAACAGAGCAAGACCCTATTTCTCAAAATAATAATAATTTATAACAGTGTTTACCTTGGCGGGAAGGAGCATAAGAGAGCCTTCTGGAAGTCCTGATAATGTTCTGTGTCCTGGTGGAGATGCTGGTTACGTGGATTTATTCTGTTTTTTAACACTTAGGGAGTTTGTGTGATGTGTACACTTTTCTGGATGTATGTTGTAACCCAAGGAAGTAACTTAATAACCAATTAAAATAAAAATAGTAAGAAAGAATGAGAACGCTAAAAGAATAAGACATTGTGGGTAGCAGGGGAAGGTAGTTTTGTAGAAAAACTAAATACAACTTTTAAAAATAAAAATGGGCCAGGCACAGTGGCTCACACCTGTAATCCCACCACTTTGGGAGGCCAAGGTGGGTGAGCCACCTGAGGTCAGGAGTTCGAGGCCAGCCTGACCAATATGGGAAAACTACTCTCTACTAAATACAGAAAATTATTACTAAATCTACTAAAACGTCTCTACTAAATACAGAAAATTAGTGGGGTGTGGTGGCACATGCCTGTAATCCCAGCTACTTGGGAGGCTGAGGCAGGAGAATTGCTTCAACCTGGGAGGCAGAGGTTGCAGTGAGCCAAGATTGCACCATTGCACTATGGCCTGGGCAACAAGAGTGAAACTCCATCTCAAAATAAATAAATAAATAAATGAAATAAAAATAATAAAAATGGTGATGAAGGCCGGGCACAGTGGCTCACGCCTGCAATCCCAGCACCCTGGGAGACCAAGGCTGGCAGGTCGCTTGAGCTCAGGAGTTTGAGACCAGTCTGGGCAACATGGTGAAACCCTGTCTGTACCAAAAATACAGAAAATTAACCGGGCATGGTGGTACCTGCCTGTGGTCCCAGCTACTCAGGAGGCTGAGGTGGGAGGATCGCTTGAGCCCCAGAGACAGAGGTTGCAGTGAGTCAAGATCATGTCACGGCACTCTAGCCTGGGTGACAGAATGAGACTCAATCTCAAAAAATAAAAGCATAAATAATAAATAAAACCATTTTTAAAAAACATGAGGGAGCGGGGAAGGAGTCGAAAAACTATTGCTCACTTATCTCTCATGCATTCTTTCTAAAAGAACTGTAGGCCGGGCACAGTGGCTCACGCCTTTAATCCCAGCACCTTGGGAGGCTGAGGTGGGCGGATCATGAGGTCAGGAGTTTGAGACCAGCTTGACCAACATGGTGAAACCCCGTCTCTACTAAAACTACAAAAATTAGCCAGGCATGGTGGTGCACACCTCTAATCCCAGCTACTTGGGATGAGGCAGAAATTTAAAAATAATAATAAGTACTGCATTTATTCACTCCAAGAAAAGTAAAAGCTAAGGCCCAGAATGTGGCAAGGCAAGGGTTAAAAAGAAAAAAAAAAGGAACAAGTTTTCCTGTGCCTTGCCAAGCTCACTTCAAAGACAGTTATAACGCTGTCCAAATAGCCAAGGCCAAAGGAATGGGCTCCAGACAGCGCCCCCTTCCAGAGCAAGGTTGAAGGAAAAAAAGAGAAAGATTCTTTTACTGTTACTCGTTTCCCAGGCTTCTTAAGCATGATTATGTTTTACAAATGTCTGTATTTAGCGAGTTCTTGTTTTTCTTTCAACGCAGCTACAAGGTCACTAGCTACGCAGGGCCACAAGTTATGTTATGCTATAGATTACATGACCTGTCACTGTATGATTAACTACTTTTGTTTTGCCTCTGTAAGGCTGCTTATAAAAACCCCACTCGGTCTTTGTTTAATGTTCAGTTTTTTGGATGTCAGTCCACAGAGCCGGTGCGTACCTAAAACAAACAACAATTCTCCTGTACTCTGTATTGGTCTCTCCGTTCCTCAATTTACCACAACAGGGAGGTTGAGACAGGAGAATCACTTGAACCCAGGAGGCGGAGGTTGCAGTGAGCCGAAATTGCGCCACTGCACTCCAGCCTGGGTGACAGAGCAAGACTCCATCTCAAAAAACAAAACAAAACAAAAAAAAGAACTGTAGGCTGGTATGCTTAGTACCGTAGGTGGGAAGGAACACAGGGAGGCTTCCAGGGGTCCAGGTAATGTTCTGTGTCTTGATTGAGATGCTGGTTAATGGGTTTATTCCTGCCTAAGAATCGTAGGCAGGGCCGGGTGTGATGGTTCTCACCTGTAATCCCAGCTCTTTGGGAGGCCGAGGCAGGCAGAGCACCTGAGGTCAGGAGTTCGAAACCAGTTTGGTCAACATGGTGAAACCCCATGTCTACTAAAAATACAAAAATTAGCTGGGCATGGCGGCAGGAGCCTGTAATCCCAGCTACTCAGGAGGCTGAGGCAGGAGGATCACTTGAACTCGGGAGGGGGAGGTTGCAGTGAGACAAGATTGCGCCACTACATTCCAGCCACTACATTCCAGCCTGGGCAACAGGGTCAGACTCTGCCGTTTAAAAAAAAAAGAAATCGTAGGCAGGTATGCTCACTACCTAAGTAACCACGTACCACATCATTTGTACCTCATGCCTCAGCATCATGCAATATACTCATGTAACAAGCCTGCAAGTGCACCCCCTGAATCTAAAATAAAAGTTGAAATTTGTATTAGTCCACTTCCACACTGCTATGAAGAAATACCTGAGACTGGGTAATTTATCAACGAAAAGACATTTAATGGGACTCTCGGTTCCGCATAGCTGGGAAGGCCTCACAATCATGGCGGAAGGCGAAGGAGGAGCAAAGGCACATCTTCCATGGCGGCAGGCAGGAGAGTGTGTGCAGGGGAACACCCCTTTATAAAACCAGCAGATTGAGACTTATTCACTGTCATGAGAACGGCATGGGAAAAACCTGCCTCCATGATTCAGTTGGGTCCCTCCCATGACACGTGGGGATTATGGGAGCTACAATTTAAGATGAGATTTGAGATTTGGGTGGGGACACAGCCAAAGCACATCAAAATTATTTTTAAAAAGTAAAAATAGGCCGGGCACGGCAGCTCAAGCCTGTATCCCGGCACTTTGGGAGGCCGAGGCGGGCGGATCACCTGAGGTCAGGAGTTCGAGACCAGCCTGACCAACATGGGGAAACCCCGTCTCTACTAAAAATACAAAAATTAGCCAGGCGTAGTGGTGTGTGCCTCTAATCCCAGCTACTCAGCAGGCTGAGGCAGGAGAATTGCTTGAACCCGGGGGGCGGAGGTTGTGGTGAGCCGAGATTGCACCACTGCACTCCAGCCTGGGCGACAGGCGAGACTCCATCTCAAAAAAAAAAAAAATGTGATATAGGTCTAATAGGATTCTATCAGGAGAAAGAAAGAACTGGACTCACTGCTGCCTCCAACTCCTGGCCTCAAGTGATCCTTCCACCTCGGCCTCCCAAAGTGCTGGGATTACAGACATGAGCCACTGAGCCTGGCCTACAATTCTTTTAGAAAGGATTTGTGACAGATAAATAATCTCAGGTTTCTATGAATACATTTATTTTCGTTATTGAAGGATGATTAAGCTGGGTATAGAGTCTGTGGTTCGGCATTATTTCCCCATGGAATTTGTATGATGTTATTCTATTGTCTTCTGTTACTGCTTCTGTCATCGTCAGTCTTACAGTCAGGTAAACAGCATTTGTGTTCACTCTGGTAGCTCTAAACATTTTTCTTTTTGTCTTTGTTCTGCACTTTTTTTTTTTTTTTTTTTTTGAGACAGGGTCTCACTCCATCACACAGGCTGGAGTGCAATGGCACAATCCCAGCTCACTGCAACCTTCACCTCCCAGGTTCAAGCGATTCTTGTACCTCAGCCTATCGAGAAGCTGGGACTATAGGTGTGTGCCACCACGCCTGGCTAATTTTTGTATTTACAGTACAGGCGGGGTTGTTCTGTATTTTCATCATGATGGTTCTAAATATAGACAGGCTGGGCACAGTGGCTCATGCCTGTAATCCCAGCATGTTGTGAGGCTGAGGCAGGAAGATCACTTGAGGTCAGGAGTTTGAGACCAGCCTAGGCAACAGAGTGAAACTTCACCTCTACGAAAAATCAAAAAATTAGCCTGGCATGTTGCGTGCTTGTGGTCCCGGCTACTTGGGAGGCTGAGGTGGGAGGATTGCTTGAGCCTGGTAAATCAAGGCTGCAGTGAGCCATGATCACGCCCACTGCACTCAGCCTAAGTGACAGAGCAAGACCCTTTCTTTAAAAAAAATAATAATAATTTAGCAAAAATTTAAATTAATTATGAATAAGTAAAAATGACATGTATTTCTTTTAGAAGGGGTGATCTTAAAAAAATTAAGCACATGAGGCCAGGTGTGGTGGCTCATACCTGTAATTCCAGAGCTTTGGAAAGCTGAGGAAGGAGAATTGCTTAAGGCCAGGAGTTCGACACCAGCCCAGGCAACATAGCAGGATCCTGCCTCCACGAAATGAAAACATTAGCTGGGTGTGGTGGACACGTGTAATCCCAGTGACTCGGGAGGCTGAGGCAGGAGAATTGCTTGAACCTGGGAGGTGGAGGTTGCAGTGAGCTGAGATCGCACCACTGCACTCCAGCCTGGGCAACAGTGTGAGACCCTGTCTCAAAAAAGAAAAAAGAAAATAGAAAATCTCCGAATCCCTGTATGACCTGGAAGCCTCCCCCAAAAACCTTCCTTCAAGTTGTCCCACCTTTCCAGACAGAACCAATGTATACATTACATGTATTGATTGATGTTTCCCTATAACTTATGTCCCTGTAAAATGTATAAAATCAAGCTGTAACCAACTCACTTTGGGTACATGTTCTCAGAACCTCCTGGGATTGTGTTATGGGCCTTGGTCACTCATATTTGGCTCAGAATAAACCTCTTTATTTTTATCTATTTATTTGAGACAGGGTCTCACTCTGTCACCCAGGCTGGAGTGCAGTGGCGCCATCTCACTGCAACCTCCATCTCCAGAGTTCCAGCTATCCTTCCACCTCAGCCTCCAAGTAGCTGGGACTACAGGTATGTGCCATCACGCCTGGCTAATTTTTTTTTGTAGAGATGAGGTCTCACTATGTTGCCCAGGCTAGTCTCAAACTCTTGGATTCAAGTGATCCTCCCACCTTGGCCTCCCAAAGCACTGGGATTACAGCAGTGAGCCAACATGCCCAATTTCAGATATAGATATATAGATATATATATATATATATATATATATATATATTTTTTTTTTTTTTTTTTTTTTTTGAGATGGAATCTTGTTCTGTTGCCCAGGCTGGAGTGCAGTGGCACGATCTTGGCTCACTCAACCTCTGCCTCCTGGGTTCAAGTGATTCTCTTGCCTCAGCCTCCCAAGTAGCTGGGATTACAGGCACGTGTCACCACACCCGGCTAATTTTCGTATTTTTAGTAGAGACGAGGTTTCACCATGTTGGCCAGGCTGGTCTCGAACTCCTGACCTTGTGATCTGCCCGCCTCCACCTCCCAAAGTGCTAGGATTACAGGCATGAGCCACCACCGTGCCAGGCTAATTTCAGATTTTTTTAGATAATAGCCATATTATACCAATAAAACATCATTTCAGCACATTAAAACAGCATGAATAGTGATAACTGGTATTACTATTATTATTCCTGTTTTATAGACAAAGAACAGAGGGATTAAGCACCTTGCTGGAGGTCACACAGTAGCAGTAAGTGGCTTGGCTGGGATTTGAAGACAGGCAGTTTGAAATGCAAGCCCACAGGCTTCACCGCTGCAATAAAGGCCTCTGGGAGAAAGTGTTATCTGAGTTGGGCCTTTGAGAGCCACCCCAGGGCTCAAGGGAACTGGTGAAGCCTGGAATATCCACTCTGGGGAAGGGCTTAGGGAACAAATTATTATTATTTCTTTATTTATTTTTGAGATGGAGTCTCGCTCTGTTGCCCAGGCTGGAGTGCAATGGTGTGATTTTGGCCCACTGCAACCCCCACCTCCCGGGTTCAAGCGATTCTCCTGCCTCAGCCTCCCGAGTAGCTGGGATTACAGGCGCCTGCTACCACATCCGGCTAATTTTTGTATTTTTAGTGGAGACGAGGTTTCACCATGTTGGCCATACTGGTCTTGAACTCCTGACCTCATGTGATCTGCCTGCATCAGCCTCCCAAAGTGCTGGGATTACAGGTGTGAGCCACGGTGCCCGGCCAGGGAACAAATTATTAATAGGACCAAAGTTCATGAGGATAACCTCAGGAAAGGCTGACATTTAACTTTGCCATGGAAGCAGTCACAATGTATACAGAACTTTCTGGGGTTGGCCTCAATCCTCTGCATCCCAGGTGGAGGTGGGCTATGTGCTGGAGACCAAAAGAAGGGGGAAGTCCCTATAGATTGGAGGGTCTAGGAGTGTGGCCCGAAAGACTGGCCCCAGCTGCTGGCTGGGGAGAAAGGGGTATTAAGCCGGGAAGGAGGGGATGACCTGTGGTTGGTCCCAGTGCTGAGAAAGCCCCAGCCTTCCTAGAAAGTCTATTTTTTAATTTTTTAGACGGATTCTTGCTCTGTCACCCAGGCTGGAGTGCAGTGGTGTGACCTCGGCTCACTGCCACCTCTGTCTCCCGGAATCAAACGATTCTCCTGCCTCAGCCTTCTGAGTAGCTGGGACTACAGCTGTACGCCACCAAGCCCAGCTAAGTTTTGTATTTTTACCAGAGATGGGGTTTTGCCATGTTGCCCAGACTGGTCTTGAACTCCTGGCCTCAAGTGATCCACCAGCCTCAGCCTCCCAAAGTGCTGGGATTACGGGCATGAGCCACCACACACAGCCCTCCCTTAAAAAAAAAAAAAAAAAAAATTTATTATGTTTTTTGATAGGATCTCAATCTGTGGCCCAAGCTGGAGTGCAGTGGTGTGATCATGGCTCACTACAGCCTCAACACCCTGGCTCAAGTGATCCTACCATCTCAGGCTCCCAAGTAGCTGGGTCCACAGGCATGTGCAACCACACCTGGCTAATTTTTATTTTTTGTAGATTTGGGGTTTTACTATGTTGCCCCGGCTGGTCTCCATTTGCTGGGGTCAAGCGACACTCCCGCCTCGGCTTCCCAAAATGTTGGAATTACAGGTGTGAGCCACCATGCCCCGCTTTTTACTTTATTAATGACAAATTGCACCCCTTCTCCCACATGTAAGGCCCTGTGGGACATAACCCCCTTAACATGGCTCCTGTCCTTCAAGATCTCACCCTGAAGTGACTTTGGACTGGGACACTTTGGAAGTAAAAAAAATGTAAGGCCATTCAGGAATAAATATTAACGTTTCCTTTTTTTTTTTTTTTTTTTGAGACGGAGTTTTGCTCTTGTTGCTCAGGCTGGAGTGCAATGGTGCAATCTTGGCTCACCGCAACCTCCACCTCACAGGTTCAAGTGATTCTCCTGCCTCAGCCTCCCAGGTAGCTGGGATTACAGGCATGCGCCACCACGCCTGGCTAATTTGTCTGCCCACCTCAGCCTCTCAAAGTGCTGGGATTACAGGCGTGAGCCACTGCCTCCAGCCCTTAATGTTTCCCTTTGGTCAAATGCAATTTGATGCATTTTAAGAGTAATGGAGTAGCCGGGTGTGGTGGCTCAGGCCTATCATCCCAGCACTTTGGGAGGCCAAGGCGGGTGGATCACCTGAGGTCGGGAATTCGAGACCAGCCTGACCAACATGGTGAAACCCCATCTCTCCTAAAAATACAAAATCAGCCGTGCATGGTGGCCGGTGCCTGTGGTCCCAGCTACATAGGAGGCTGAGGTAGGATCATTGCTTGAATCTGGGAGGCGGACGTTGCAATGGGCCGAGATGGTGCCACTGCACTCCAGCCTGGGTGACAGAGTGAGACTCCATCTCAAAAAAAAAAAAAGTAAAAAAAGAGTAATGGAGTGGCCAGGCACGGTGGCTCACGCCTGTAATCCCAGCACTTTGGGAGGCTGAGGTGGGTGGATCACCTGAGGCCAGGAGTTCAAGACCAGACTGGGAAACACATGGAAACCCCATCTCCACCAAAAATACAAAAATTAGCCAGGCGTGGTGGCGCACACCTGTAATGCCACTTACTCAGGTGGCTGAGGCAGGAGACTGGCTTGAATGCTGGAGGCGGAGGCTGCAGTGAGCTGAGATCGTGCCACTACAGTCCAGCCTGGGCAACAGAGTGAGACCCTGTCTCAAAAAAAAAAAAAAAATGAGTAATGGAGTGGCCGGGTGCGTGGTTCCCACCTGTAATCCTGCAATACCACTACTTCGGGAGGCCAAGGAGGGAGAATAACTTGAAGTCAGGAGTTCAAGACCTGCCTGGGGGGCCGGGCACGGTGGCTCACACCTGTAATCCCAGCACTTTGGGAGGCCAAGGCGGGCGGATCACAAGGTTAGATCAAGACCATCCTGGCTAACACGGTGAAACCCCGTCTCTACTAAAAATACAAAAAATTAGTCGGGCGTAGTGGCGGGCGCCTGTAGTCCCAGCTACTCAGGAGGCTGAGGCAGGAGAATGGCATGAACCTGGGAGGCGGAGCTTGCAGTGAGCCGAGATTGCGCCACTGCACTCCAGCCTGGGTGACACAGCCAGACTCTGTCTCAAAAAAAAAAAAAAGACCCGCCTTGGCAACATGGCAAGACCCATCTCTACCAAAAACAAAAAAAAAAAGAAAGTAAATAAGAGTAATAGAGTAATGGGGGCAGGAGCATGGAGCAGGGGTCCAAGTTTAAACTGCGCAAGGAGAAGAAACCATTGGTTATTTTCTGAGCCATGTGCTAAGGTCAAAACTAGGTGACCTTGGGCAAGTCTCTTTCTCTCTGGGTGGTTCCACAGCTGTTAAACAGGTTTGGAAATTATTATCTACAGGTAAAGCACCCATAATGGTGCCAGACACCTTGGTAGGTCCCCAATATATATTGTGTGCCAGGAATTTTACATATTTACTAATTTGAATCTTTACAACACTGAAGAGGTAGGTGACATTATTATATAGATGAGAAAACAGGCATGTTAAAGCGGTTAAGCAACGTCCTCGAGGTCACTCAGCCAGTAAGACGTTAACTGAGCCTAGGTTCAATCTAGGTCTATCAGGCAGCAAAGTGTTTTATTACTTGGGAAGAAAAAGGCACAGAAAAATGAATAAGTGAGTTCAACACTATTAACTCATGAATTGATAATGCTCTGTCCATCTTAACACTGCTATGAAGGAGAAGATACTCAAATATAAAAGTTGGCAGGGCACAGTGGCTCATGCTTGTAATTCCAGCACTTTAGGAGGCAGAGGCAGGAGGACTACTTAAAAGCCAGTAGATCGAGACAAACCTGGGCAACATAGTGAGACTCTGTCTCTACAAATAAATGTTTTACAAAGCAAATTAGAGCCAGGCACGGTGGCTCATGCCTGTAATCCCAGCACTTTGGGAGGCCAAGGCGGGTGGATCTCAGTTCAAGACCAGCCTGGGCAACATGGTGAAACGCTGTCTCTACTAAAAATACAAAAATTAACTGGGTGTGGTGGTGCACGTCTGTCACCCCAGTTACTCGGGAGACAGAGGCAGGAGAATTGCTTGAACCGAGGAGGTGGAGGTTGCAGTGAGATGAGATTGCGCCACTGCACTCCAACCTGATTCTCCATCTCAAAAAAAAAAAAAAAAAAATGCAAATTAGGCGAGGTACTGCCCGCCTATAGTCCTAGCTACTCCAGAGGCTAAGGCGGCAGGATGGCATGAGCCCAAGAGGTCAAGGCTGCCGTGAGCTACCACTGTTCCACCGCAGTCCAGCCTGGGCGACAGAGCGAGACCCTGTCTCAACAACGAACCAATAAATACATAATAAAAAGTAATGGTTAAGCGGAAGATACCTAGGTACACATCACAACAAAATTCTATGAGGTTCTTTCAAAGTGTGCTTAGATAATTAAGGTTTGTCAACATCGTGGCATCCACAATTACTACCATCTCAATCACAAACCTGGAAATTTACCCGTGTAATTAATTCCCACTGCATAACCATGTTTTGTTATTGCTAGATGATGGAATCCACAACAGTATCCAATTCTTTTTCCAAGGCAACGACTTCTGCAAAAAACCGAGATGTGCAGTCTCTCTTGCTAAGTCACCGATCACCTATACTCTCTCCTCTCAAAACCCCCCAATACCCAGGCAGCGAGTAAGCCCTGGAAGGCAGGATTCGTGTCTGCATCCCACCGCCTCGCACCCCCTTCCGGGGCATCCTCATCGTGTGGCCAGCTCCTGCCTGGAGAAGGAGGTGGCCTTTACTTGGGTGTCACCCGGGGACCACTTGGGGGTCCAAGCGGGACAGGCCTCCGAGGTCCCCGCCATGTATGGAGGCCGAAAGGCAGCGTCCCAGGCGAACTGGAGAGGGAGTTCCCCCCAGCTCTCCAGGTCACCTCCCGCCGACGGACGGAAAGGCCGGCGCGCACGGGCGTGGTGCGGCGGGGATAGGAGGCAGCCACGGGCGCACCCCAGGGCCAGCACATAATGGGCCGCGTAGGCCGGGCAGGCGTCCAGCTGGGACGCCGCCGCACCACGTGGGCTGCAGAGCGCACGGGGCAGGCAGCTGCCGGTGGGCCCAGGGCCGGGCGCTGCGCGGCCAGCGTCCGTGCGTGCGTGCGCGCGCGCGCGTGCGCGTGCCTGCGTCCAAGGGATTTGCGATCAGGCGGCGCGGCGGACAGCCCCGGCGGCGGGGCGGGGGGAGTTATATTGCGGGGTCCTTCCTCGCTCACCCTGGTTCCTCTCGGAGCGGAGACGGCAAATGGCGGACTTCGACACCTACGACGATCGGGCCTACAGCAGCTTCGGCGGCGGCAGAGGGTGAGGCGGGCGTGCGCGGGCCCCGTCGGGGGCTGCGGGACCGGCGGAGTCGGGGCCGTCAGGGTGGCGGCCGTCCTGCGCTCAGCCGGGGCGGCGGGAGGCGGGGGCCCGCGGAGGCCTAGGAGCGGCGCCTGGAGGGCCGGGGCCTGGAAATGGCGCGCTCGGAGACGGGGCGGCGGCGGCTGGGCTCCCGGGGTCTTGCTTGCGGGGCGGATCCCTTCCACTGCCTCCCGCCAACGACAACGTGTTGGTTTTTGCCCTGCCTTGGCCGCGGCGGCGCCGATGCCCGGAGACGAGCGCCCGCTTCCAGCCCCATCCCCCCTACGGTAGGACCAGTGCGGGGCTGAGCTGTGGCGCTGGGGTACGGGCCACACGGCCTGCCCCGCTCCGGTCCCGGCCTCTTTCGCGGCCCTCTGTTGCCTGCCCGCCTTGCAGGCCCCTGGCCCCTTCGCCACGAGGCCGGCCGACTGGGGAAGGTCGGCAGCCAAGAGGGGCGATTCCCTTCCCCTTACGTGTGAGGCAGGGATTTGGCGGCTCTGGCCCGGGGATGGTACGACTCCTTGCGGGCGGGGGGAGACCAAGGAGATAAATCCATCGTAGCTTCTTTGTATTAATCTTTCTTGGGTCACAGTGCCTTGACAGGTGCTACGTGCTCTTTGGCACAATTTCATTTCTCCTTGGTTTCTCGCTCTGATCTGGAGAAGGAACCGCATTTAGCGTCGTCCTGATTGTTGTCAAATGCAGACAACTATGTATAATTGAAACACTTTGCTTAAAAGAAACATCTTTGAATAGAGAGCTCATGGTGTTTAATTCCAGGACTCTGCACTTTTTTTTATTTTATTTTTTAAATACAAGTTGCCTCGTTAGAATATAGGCTATGAACATCTTGCTGTTTGTCAAGGACACACTTGGGCTTTGTGTTTTCTTGCAGAAAGGATTACTTTCCCAGGATAACACCACAATAATACACACTGAGGTGTTCAGTCTCCTGGGTTGCAGTCCAAAAGTATCTTTGTTTGGTAAAGAATGATCACTTTTAATACCTTGGTTTGGGAACGGCTCAGACAAAAGCTTGTTTCGGGGCAGGAGTGTAGCTAATGTTCATGATACTGTAACGTGGAAGTGTGCCGGTGTAGGTGGAGCTATTGTCATTCCAAAGAACATTTTATTTGCTAATAAAAAAAGAAGTAAATGTTGGATGACATGAAATTATCGCCTTTGGGTTAGGTTTCTAAACATCAAATTTGTTCTCAAGTCATTTCGAAATTTAATAACTAGGGTTTTTTTTTTTTTCCTAGTTCCAAAAAACGTTCACAGAAGTACCCAGAAAAATTCTTCTTAAACAGCGTGGTCAATTTAAGTTTTAGTTGCATTGGGACTACAATAAGGTGACCTTATTAAACTGAGTGTGGGGATTTAAAAAAATTTCCTTCAGACACATTTGCCAGCTCTTCTGGTGTCAAATTTTGACATTTGGGGGTGCCAGGAACAATCAGAAGTAAAATTCTATTAAGATGCTATTAATTTCAAATCTCCACAGCAGATGAAAATATTAGCCATTTGCCCCAGGTGTACTCCAAAAACTGATAGGAGAGTTTCCTAGGTAGCACTGTGCATCACTTGAACTTCCTAATAGAAAGTCTCTTTACTGTTAAGCATCTTCTATGTCTCACTTACTTGGAATTTTCTATTTGGCTTCATATTAATGTGAAACTACATAAAGTATTGCTACTTTCAGAAGTAGTTTTAAAAACTTGTTGGTGAATTTACATATTCATTTATACATGTGTATTCTTTTTTTTTTTTTTTGAGATGGAGTTTCACTCTTGTTGCCCAAGCTGGAGTGCAATGGTGTGATCTCGGCTCACTGCAACCTCCACCTCCCGGGTTTAAGCGATTCTCCTGCCTCAGCCTCCCAAAGTGCTGGGATTACAGGCATTAGCCACCGCGCCCGGCCTCAATTATTTTAATTATGTCCACATGAACAAATGTCACTGCTTTACAATGCTTAAGCATCATAGAAGATTGCCACCTATGGAAAGCAGTTTTAACACTGCATTGTTTGGTACTTGTGTAGGCACCTTCTCCCTTGTCTAAAATGCCTCAGACAGGCTCGTACATCTCACCTCTGAATTACTTGGGTCACAGGTGAAAGAAATGGTAGGCCTAAAATGAACAGTTATCATCATAAAACATAGTTTGGTAGTTATACATCTTCCTAAGTTTATTTCGTAGTTGTGTTTAATAACCAGTGCAGTTGTCAGGAAACAGTATTGAACCACTGCTTTTTTCCCCCGAGCCTGTAAGGGCATGTCCCCAGCAGCCAGGGAGAGAACCAGGGACTGCATTGTTCAGCAAGCAAATCAAAACAAAATTCCAAATGATCAAGAGTTGATTGTACCAGATCTTGAATGGACTTTGTTTTGCAGTTTGCTAAATTATCTTTTTGAGGTTCCAGTTTCTCATCTACCATTGGCAGTAAAGTGCAGAGTAATACTGATTTTATATTTCTAATTGCAACAAAGCTATGAGTGCTTAGTGGAAAACCACCGATCCTGAGAATTAGGGTGGAAATTGGAGGTGGCAAGAATTGAGGTGGCTGAAATGGTGCCATCTAAAAACTGGCAAAACTCCAAATTTATTCTTTATCAGGATTCAGTTAGGGAGTTTAGAATTCTTTTTTAAATAGAGATGGGTTTCACTATGTTGCCCAGGCTGGTCTTGAACTCTTGGACTCAAGTGATCCTCCCGCCTCAGCCTCCCAAAGTGTTGGGATTACAGGCATGAGCTACCACGCCCAGCCTAGGAGTTTAGAATTCTAACCTTTGAATCTTTAAACTTAGCATGTCTGTCTAAATTTCTGAGCATATTTTTATCCAAAATTTTTATGGTGGTAAAATATACATAACATAAAATGTGCCACTTTACCCATTTTTCAGTATACATTTCAGGGATATTGAGTGTATTCGTAATGTATAACCATCACCACTATCCAGCTCCTTAACTCTTACAGCTTGTAAAACTAAAACCCTGTCCCCTTTGAATAGTAATTCCCTATTGCCCTCCTTCCCCCAGGTCCCTGGCAACCACCATTCTACTTCCTGTCTCTGAGCATATTTTAAGATTTGTATGTAATAGGAAGGAAAGCAGTGTATAAAAACTACAGCTAGTTTTCACTGATGCTAGGGCCTGTAAAGCTATTGAAAAGCTTATTTTAAAATGCTGTTTACATGTCAAATGTCAAGTCGTTTAGGTTTGTTATCCTTCTTCACTCCAAGTGTTCCATTGCTTAGTTCCAAACCATTATCCTCTATGAAAAGTGTTACCAGAAATATTTGGATTTGCTAAGAGGTCTCTGCATGACGGTTCATGTAAAAGCCCTGGCTTTGGAATAAGGCAGACCAGAGTTTCATCAGTTCAGCCATGTGTTAGTTGTGTGATCTGAAGTAAGTTTCTTCACCTCTCTGAGCCTCGTTTTCCCCACATATGAGTTAGAAACATGTATTTATTTATGAAATAGGCTCTCCTTCTGTCACCCAGGCTGGAGTGCAGTGGCAGGATCATAGCTCAGTGCAGCCTCGACTTCCCAGGCTCAAGCCATCCTCCCACCTCAGCCTCCCAAGTAGCTGGGATTACAGGGTGCGCCACCATGCCCAGCTAATTTTTGTATTTTTTTGTAGAGACAGAGTGTCTCTATGTTGCCCAGGCTAGTCTCAAACCCCTGGGCTCAAGGGATCTTCCTGCCTCAGCCTCCCAAGGCTCATTGTGTGAGCCACAGTACCCAGCCTTCAATTTATGTTTCTATTAGAAATTAAGCTTTGTGGCTGGGTGCAGTGGTTCATGCCTGTTATCCCAGCACTTTGGAAGGCCGAAGCAGGCGGATCACTTGTGGCCAGAAGTTTGAGACCACCCTGACCAACGTGGCAAAACCCCATGTCTACTAAAAATACAAAACGGGTGTGGCGGCACATACCTGTAATCCTAGCTACTTGGGAGGCTGAGGCAGGAGAATTGCTTGAACCAGGGAGGCGGAGGTTGCATTGAGCTGAGATCATGCCACTGCACTCCTCCAGCCTGGGCGACAGAGAGAGACTGTCTCCAAAAAAAAAAAAAGAAAAATTAAGCTTAGTGTTCTGGAAAGACTTCACAATTTTAAGGAGTCTCCCTGGAAGCTTAGAACGTACAAAGCAGACTCTGAATGTCTTTCCAGGATCACACTCTGGCTTCCAGCTTCCCCTGGAAGGTTCAGGAGAGTATTTGTCGCCTGGTTGCTTTTACATCATGCTGATTAGACCTGCACACCCGGGCATGAAATGAGTGTGATTGCATCATTTTCATAGAACCTAATGGCAGCTGTATGTACGTCTAAGACTTCTTTTGTGTAAGTCGAATGTTCTTCGAAGTTTCCCCACGTCATGATTTATGTGATTTTCCGTCTTGATCAGGACCTTCTGAAGGAGCTCAAGTATGTGGCTGCTCCACGGTTGATGAGTCTCTGGTTAAGCATGGCCTTCCAGTTCAGGGCTAGGGGGGCCGTCACCTCCCTTTGTTCTGCACATTCTTCTCCTGTCTTTCATGTATACTCACATTTTTGGAGCCTTCTGTGTACTCACATTTTTGGAGCCTTCTAAATGTCTGGCTTAATAGAACACAGCTGGATTCTCATACCTGCATCTGTCTCCACTCTTGGAATGTGTTGCTTTGGTTGACTTTTATGGAGCAGCTCAATCCTTGCACAGATAAATAGTTGGAAATGGGAGGAGTAATCAAATAATTCTGGATATTCATATTTGATTCTATACCAAAACTCAATAAGCAGTAGTTTCTATGAAGGTTAGTTGCAATGTGAAACCTAAAACCTTATCAATAAACTCTTCATACTTTTACATTAGAGTTCATCATTTGGCTGGGCGCGGTGGCTCACTCCTGTAACCCCAGGACTTTGGGAGGCCAAGGCGGGCGGATTACCTGAGGTCAGTAGTCTGAGACCAGCCTGGCTAACATGGCAAAGCCCCATCTCTACTAAAAACACAAAAACTAGCTGGGCATGGTGGTGGGCCCCTGTAGTCCCAGCTACTTGGGAGGCTGAAGCCATAGAATCACTTGAACCTGGGAGGTGGAGTTTGCAGTGAGCCCAGATTGCGCCACTGCACTCCCGCCTGGGCGACAGGGTGAGACTCTGTATCAAAAAAAAAAAAAAAAAGTCACTTTATCTTGTACTCCGACTGGATCCTTTACCAGTGCATACATTTGTAAGGTGTTGGTGATTTGGAAAGGACCTGTTCACTGAGCCAGGCAGAGCCATGCAGATGTTCCAGATGTTGGTACATTTTGTTATACAGTATCAAAGTCACATTCACCATAGCTGTTAGAAAAGTCTCTGAGTATTGAAAGACTGTCAGGCTTATGTTGATGGAT
This sequence comes from Homo sapiens, assembly GCF_000001405.40. Lineage (NCBI taxonomy): Eukaryota > Metazoa > Chordata > Mammalia > Primates > Hominidae > Homo > Homo sapiens. The sequence goes on from NC_000007.14 coordinate 74,179,864, forward strand.
ACAGGTTTTCCGAAACTCTTTTTTGCTTGAAAGCTTAAATTTTACCATTGGCAACAAATACTGTTATTTTGGCCAGGTGCTGTGGCTCATGTCTGTAATCCCAACACTTTGGGAGGCCATGGCAGGAGGATCACTCTAGCCCAGTCTGGACAATATGTCCAGACCTGGTCTTTTCAAAAATAAAATTAGCTGGTGTGGTGGTATATGCCTATAGTCCCACCTACTTGGGAGGCTGAGGCTAGAGGATCACTTGAGTCCTGGAGATTGAGGCTGCAGTGAGCAGTGATTGCACCACAGCACTCAAATCTGGGCAACAGAGCAAGACCCTGTCTCAAAACAAAAAACCCAAATACTGTTCTTTTACTTCAAGGAACAGACTTAACTTCATTTTTAAAAAACTTAGTACCCATGTCTGAATTAACCATAGTTTGTTCTATAGAAAGAACAGCTAGTTCAGCTTGTAGCTCAAGTGCTTTTCCTGCAGCAGCCATCATGCTTGTGTATGCAGCAGAAGTGCTTTGCGTGTTTCATAACATAGGGTACTAAAAAGTGGGTCACGATTCATTTTTACTGCTTTACCAAGGATATTCCTAATTGAAGCTGTGATTTTTCTTCCTATTTTAAATACTTCAAGTGCATGGTGGGAAAGCATGAGTAATGTAGTTTGATGCCCCTGCCTTCGTTTGTATTAACACAAAGACCTGTTGTGAGATCAGTATAGGTCTTTGCTTTATAAATGTGGAATATTGTGAACCATTCTGGGAACCATATTTTAAGGCATCAGCACACTGGAGCCTATGAAGAAGAAGGTGATAGTGGGGATGGCCAGGCTCTGAAACTTCATCTTAGGAGGAAGGGCTGAGCAGCTTCAGTGAGGACCTTCGAAAGAAGCCTCAGCAGCAGTGATACAGCAGCTCTTAAGTCTCTGGGACTGCTGAGTGGAAGAAAGGTGTGGCCCTCCAGGCCAGAATAGGACCAAAGGATTACATCTTGGCCTTCTTCAGAGACTGCACAAATGTAAAGAACTGCTGCTTGAGCTAAATAATTGTTTTTTTAATAGAGACAGGGTCTCCCTTTGTTGCCTAAGCTGGTCTTGAACTAGCCTCAAGGGATACTCCTGCCTTGACCTCCTAAAGTGCTGGGATTGCAAGCATGAGCCACCACGCCCAGCCTCAACCATTTTTAAGTGTACAATTTAGTGGCATGGAGTACCTTCATAGTGTTGTGTAACCATTGCCACTATCTAGTTCCAGAACCTTTTCATAATCCAAACAGAAACTCTATACCCACTAAACAACTCCATTCCTTTCCCAGTTTTAACCTCATAAACATTTTGGCTATTTCTGTTACATCTATCTTCCCTACTTTTGGGTGGAGGTGTGGGCTAGGATAATTTAAGGCTAATCCTAGTCACCTATCCTTCTAAAATAGTTCTTATTTTTTTAAATTTTAATCCTCATCTTTGTGTTGGTAAATATTACATACTTTAGAGCAATTTTTGTTTCAATTTTTATGGCTACCGTAGTAGATGTATCTTATATATTCTTTCTTTGTTTTTTTTGTTTTTTGTTTTGTTTTGTTTTCTGAGGCAGAGTTTTACTCTTGTTGCCCAGGCTGGAATGCAGTGGCACTATCTCGGCTCACCACAACCTCCGCCTCCTGGGTTCAAGCGATTCTCCTGCCTCAGCCTCCCGAGTAGCTGGGATTACAGGCATGTGCCACCACACCTGGCAAATTTTGTATTTTTAGCAGAGATAGAGCAGAAACAGAGGGTTTCTACATGTTGGTCAGGCTGGTCTCGAACTCCCGACCTCAGGTAATCTGCCTGCCTCGGCCTCCCAAAGTGCTGGGATTACAGGTGTGAGCCACCGAGCCCGGCCTTTTTTTTTGAGATGGAGTCTCACTCTGCCTCCCAGGCTAGAGCTCAGTGGCGCGATCTCAGCTCACTGCAGCCTCCGCCACCACCCCTCAGCCTCCCGAGTAGCTGGGATTACAGGCACCTGCCACTGTGCCCAGCTGATTTTTGTACTGTTAGTAGAGATGGGGTTTCACCATGTTGGCCGGGTTGGTCTTGAACTCCTGACCTTGTGATTCATCCGCTTCAGCCTCCCAAAGTGCTGGGATTATAGGTGTGAGCCACCACACCCGGCCTCTTACATACTTTTCATACTTGAGTATGTTTCTAACAGATAAGGGCTTCTTTTTTTTCTTTAACCAACAGTTTTTCCAGTACCCAGTGTTCAGTTTTTCCCAGTTTTTGCAAAGATGACTTTGTATAGTTGGATTGTTTGAATATGCAAAACATTACAGAAAAATGTAGAAAATTTAGAACACGAACCAAAGCATAATATAGTGACCTGTATACCCATTACCTACTCTTTAAGTGACCACTCTTCTCTATACTACTATGGTTTATAATAGGTAGTATAAATGGTATTTATCAAAGGCTTGACCTTTGAAAGCTTAACCATTTTTGATGATTGTCAAAAACCCAAATGTTACCTGTTTGTAGATATGGGGTTTTGCCGTGTTCCCCACGCTGGTCTCAAACTCCTGAGCTCAAGTGATCTCCCCACCTTGGCCTCCCGAAGTGCCGGGATTGCAGGTGTGAGCCATGGCGTCCGGCCAGTCATTTTCTTTGGTTTACACTACTTTACCCTTCTGGGCCCTACTTTCCCCAAATGAGAGCTAGAAACTCCTCTGTTGGGAGGTTTAAATGAGATGTGTCTCATAATTTGGAGGCATAGTCTTGCCCTGTTGCCCAGGCTGGAGTGCAGTTGCACAATCACAGTCCCAAAGTGCTGGGACTACAGGCCGGAGCCACATGCCCATGCCCAGCCTTGAGCACTCAACTTTCTGTTGCATCTACTTACTGGATACATCCCTACCCTCATAACATCTACTCTGTACATTGGCTTCTTTTTATAGTTACCCTCTCTCAGTCTCCTTTGACACCTACAGATCTTTTCTGGCTCACCCTAAGGGTTCAGTATTGGCCCCATCTGCCATCTGGAAGTGGAGTCCCACTTCTGTTGCTCTCTGCTGTGCTGCATATCCTGGCTCCCAACTGCTCCACCCTGGTGAAACTGTTCTCATTGCTATCTTCCAGATTTTCTGCAGTCCTTTGCTTGTGACGTGATTTCTCCTTTCCAAATTATCAGCTCCTTGAGGGCAGAAACCGAGTCTTAGGTTTGTGCCTTCTCTACATTCTCTCCACCCTTCATAGACATGCAGATACGTGGTTGATTTGAGTAAGGAAAAGTGATTTGCCTGTCAAGGATTTTAGTCACACTTGGAGCCGAAAGTAGGGTTTCCTAAATTACTGAGGCTGTAATTGACTACTTTAATCTTTCATAATCAATAGACTGTCCCTAATGGGCAGTAGAAAGGACACTGCTCAGTAGTGGCAGGGAGTTTGCAGCACAGACCTTGACTTCAGGTGTCCTGAATTGGCACGCTCTGCTGATCTGTTCCTGTTCTACACGCACTCCTGCCAGCCCAGTGTAGCCTCAGGCCTGTTGGGTCTACCCAGGAGCATGGCAGAATTATATAGCACTTGGTACTTAGGAAATGTTTTTATGGTCAGTTTTAAACTTATAAAATCAAGATTGAAATATAACAGACAAGAAAACATAGGTACAGAGGTAATTTGGCAGAGGTCCTACATCAAGCTAGCTAAGGTGTCAAGTGAACCTGTTCTCCCATGTGTTGTTATTGATCTGTGTAGGAATGTACTGAATTTCACGAAACACAGCTTATTTATTTAGGTAGTAGTCCCCCAAACTTGAATCTAGTGAAAGGTGGCAGACATTTTAGCTCAGAGTTTTCTGACATTTGATTTTGTAAATGAATCGGTGGGTAACAGATCTGTGTCATCCTATGTGATGTGATGTGATGTCATCCTATGTGATGTGTACTCTGGGGTACTCACATCCTATGTGATGTGTCTCAAGTGACTGTCACACAGTGGACACTTTACCAGTGCTAGCTTGAATGAGGTCTACCTCCATGGCCCAGCCCTGCTGCCCCCTAGTGATTTCATTGAATGGGATGAAAAGGTAAAAAGTGCTTAAGACCTGTAGAAGGGACTACATCAGGTAGGGTATGGGAATATTTAGGACTACTTTGGTAATTATTGAAAAGTCTAGAGTATTAAGCCACTGGTGGTTTTGTGAGGCACGAGTGAGTTGAACAGTTTGGTGGGCTTTGGTGTATCTTTGCTCCAGAATTATATCACCAGTTAGCTGTTAGGTGCTGCCATTTGGTAACGTGCCAACTTTTCAAAAATGGTTTGCCCCAAACTAGATTTTTCTATCTTCTCCAAAGCCAGAGCCACCTTCCTGTCCTAGTGCATTTTTAGCAGTGCCCCGTCATCTTACTGGCATTCACCTGGGCTTCCTGTGCTCAATCAGGGGTCAAGTCTGGCCTGATCTCAGTTCCACAGTTCCTCTACTCTGTAAGTTCGAGCACAATTAGCAAGCCTTCGCACCTCCATTTTCCTTACTTAGCAACTACATCAAACACCCGAGAGTTTATCATCTCTCTTCATCCTCACCCTCCTTTTTAGTTTTTATGTATATGTTACACATTCATACACACAAACATACCTGCATATATACATGTGTTTTATACGTCCCACACAACTGTGAGCTGCTTACATACAAGACAGTCTTTTAACATCATTACGCATCACTAGATGTTTAATGTTGAGTAATGAATTTAAACTGTTTTTAACATTGACCCTCCATTTTTATGGTTTTCCACATGTTTATACTGTATCTTGTTTTTTGTTTGTTTGGTTTTGTTGTTGTTTTTTGTGCTTTTTTGTTTGTTTTTTGTGTTTTTTTGTTTTTGTTTTTTTGAGATGGAGTCTCGCTCTGTAGCCCAGGCTGAAGCGCAGTGACACAGTCTCAGCTCACTGCAAGCTCCACCTCAGCCTCTGAAGTAGCTGGGATTACAAGTGTGTGCTACCACACCTGGCTAGTTTTTGTATTTTTAGTAGAGACGGAGTTTTACCATGTTGGCCAGGCTGGTCTTGAACTTCTGGCCTCAAGTGATCCACCCACCTTGACCTCCCGAAGTGCTGGGATTACAGGTATGAGCCACTGTGCCCCGCCTTTTTGTTGTTGTTGTTGTTTCTTCAGTTGGAGACAGTCTCCTTCTGTCACCCAGGCTGGAGTGCAGTGGTGCCATCACAGTTCACTGCAGCAACAACCTCCTGGGCTCAGGTGATCCTCCCACCTCAGCCTCCCAGGTAGCTTGGGACTACAAGTGTGGACCATCACTCCCGGCTAATTTTTTGTATTTTTTATAGAGATGGGGTCTTACTGTGTTGCCCAGGCTGGTCTTGAACTCCTGGCTTTAAGTGATCCTCCCGCCTCAGCCTCCCAAACTGTTGGGATTACAGGCATGAGCCACTGGGCCCGGCTTTATACTGTAACTCATATATTTATTATCCCGTCCTAAATAGTATCTTACTGAAAATATTTTAGGATTTATGATTTCGGAGATATCAGCGATAGAGTACTATTGGCAAAGGTTATTGAAATGCAAAGTAAGTCACATTTACTAGGCCCGAAAAGATGGGAGAAGTGGGCAGGTAGGATGCAATTCACTTGTAAACCTATTTTCTGGTGGTCTTAGAACAGAACGTGGAACTTCCTATTGGAAAGTACCGGAATTGTGAATTATGAAACTTAAAAGCTTTTTTTTTTTTAACCATCAAAGAATCATCACAGCTTGGTTGACCCTTCTACTTTAGAAAAATGCTTTAATGAATAATATTTGTCTGCAAGACACCTGGAATTTATCTTCAGGAAGAAGTGGAATTTCCATTGTGTTTCTGGCAGTATGTAGATGAAAGACCAGGTTGCTCTCTAAGATGGATATTAATATTTCCCCTGCAAAGAGGGTGACTTTGGGCAGGTCTTGGGTTGTTGTGAAGGATCTCATTTATTTGAACGCATTTCCCGTTTAGAAAAAAAAACTGCAGTTGGCTGCCAGCACGGTATTCTTGGAGCAAACAGGAAATGGGTTAAATGTCTGTTTCAAAAAAAAATCACCCCCTTAATTTTTTTTTCCTCCTGAGTTTTCCAAACGTTTTATTTTGGAAATTTTCAAATCTACAATAAGGTTGAAATAATGGTACAGTTGGATGACGCTAGTGGATGCAGAAGTGACTATTCTGCCTTGTTTGCTGAATCCTTGCTGTATACCGGCACACATGCCCTTTATGCTGACCTGCTTGAAAACAAATGTTGGCCATCTTGGCACTTCACTTCTAACGACTTTAAGTCGTTCCTGGGGCATTCTTATGGCAAATATCGTTTAATATAATAATCTATTTATACTATATTCTGATGTCTTTTTTTTTTTTTTGAGATGGACTCTCGCTCTGTCGCCCAGGCTGGAGTGCAATGGGCTCACTACAACCTCCACCTCCTGGGTTCAAGCGATTCTCCTGCCTCAGCCTGCCCAGCAGCTGGGATTACAGGCATGCACCACCACACCAAGCTAATTTTGTATTTTTAGTAGAGACAGGGTTTTACCACATTGGTCAGGCTGATCTTGAACTCCTGACCTCAAGTGATCCACCCACCTCGGCCTCCCAAAATGCTGTATTAGGATTAACTCAGTTTTACAAATAAAATAAAGCTTAGAGAAGTTGAATAACTTCTCAAGGTCATATGCTAGTAAGTGACAGAGGCTAGATTTAAACCAATACCTATGCAGAGTAAACGACGCTTGATACAGCTGAGGAGATGACATCGAGGTTGAAATGGATTGGTAATGCACGCCATACGCATGTATTTGAGGACCCTGTGAAGTATTGCACGAGAGTGTTAGGTACGTCAGTACTTGCTGTGTGACATCTAAAATTTTTATTAGGACATTCTTATGCCCATAATCAGGCAACAAGGAGAAATTTTTTTTTTTTTTTTTTTTTTTTTTTTTTTTTTTTTTTTTTTTTTTTTTTTGAGACGGAGTCTCTGTCGCGTGAGCTGAAGTGCAGTGGTGCGATCTTGGCTCACTGCAGCCTCCGCTTCCCAGGTTCAAGCGGTAGGAGAAATAATTCTATTATGTATGAATGTGTTAAACGTAAACAACTTCAGTAATCCTTCTTCTGAATACAACATTACTTCTAGACTGTCCATTTCTGTATTTCTTAGAACCACGGTGTGTGAAGGAGGGTACTTGCTTAGGTTTTAGGATGTAAATACTGCAGATACAGATTCTGAGTGAATAGGAGAGAAGCAGTTGTCTTAGGAAGGTGTGTTACGTTTGGGCTGGGCATGGTGGCTCACACCTGTAATCCCAGCACTTTGGGAGGGTGAGGCAGGCAGACCACCTGAGGTCAGAAGTTGGAGACCAGCCTGGCCAACATGGTGAAACCCTGTTTCTACTAAAAATGCACAAATTAGCCAGGTGTGGTGGCACATGCCTGTAATCTCAGCATCCTTAGGAGGCTGAGACAGGAGAATCTCTTGAACCCGGGAAGCAGAGGTTCCAGTGAGCCAAGATTGTGCCACTGCACTCCAGCCTGGGTGACAGAGTGACAGTCTGTCTCAAAAAATTTTTCTTTTCCTTTTTTTTTGTTTCTCCAGCCATTCTCTGTAACAGTCTTGTGGTACATCGAGCAGAGTGCCTCACCTGGGGCGCTGGCGGCGTAGCTCAGCGGAAGACCGCTTTACTTGTTTTGCTTATTCCACTCTGGGCACACTTGAATCCTGTTTGTCTCCCCTCCTAGGTCCCGCGGCAGTGCTGGTGGCCATGGTTCCCGTAGCCAGAAGGAGTTGCCCACAGAGCCCCCCTACACAGCATACGTAGGAAATCTACCTTTCAATACGGTTCAGGGCGACATAGATGCTATCTTTAAGGATCTCAGCATAAGGAGTGTACGGCTAGTCAGAGACAAAGACACAGATAAATTTAAAGGTGAGTTTGGGGGATTCTTATTGTATATTACTGTAAAGTGTAGGGGAGGATGGGAAGGGGTTCTAAATAAAAATAGATTTGTGAACCAGAGGCTGTAATCAAGAAAGTGTTTTAAACATTTGCCTGGTCTAAGTGGCCGAAAGAAACATAACTCTTCAACTCATAGGTCTTCAGTTCACTTAGGGGAAAATGTTTTGTACACAGTGTAGTTCATAGAAATACATGGCATATGCCCAGGTTTGTGAGCCTGACCTCTACAGCAGTCCTGTCTGCCAGTAAAGGAGTTCCCCAGGAGAGAGAGGAATAGAGCCGAGGACTCTTAGGCACATTCCTCCTGGAATGACTCGTAGATTTTCCTTGGTAGTTAATCCAGTAATCATATGGTACTGTCATCCAGTAATCATAAAACCCAGAAGAGAAGCAGCCAGTGCTGTCAGTATGCATTTGTAAATTTGGAGAGTGTGCTTGGGAGGGCTGGCTGAGATTTCAGATATGGTGTCTATAGGTCGTGTGTCTGCAGGGTGCGGGAGCAAAGAGCAGGAAGAAGAAGGGATCCGAGCAGCATTCTCCTGCCTGCAGGGCTTCCTGAAGGAAGTGTGCCTGCTGTGTAAGTGCACGATGCTAGGACCCAGGATGTTTGGCCCGCATAATCCACCCAAAAGCACATCTGTGACAAGTATGGGGTAACTTGGGGCGGGGAGCTGTGCCAGCAGTCGAGAAGGCCTTGCTGACCTGGGTGGTTTTGTGTGTCGGTGGCACTCTTACTCTTTTTGACTTCAGAATCTGAAGCCACATGTAGTGTGTAATCAAACAGTGAAAACAAATATATCAGTTACACTTGTGAAGTAAGCTCCAGGAAGCATTAGGAACTAAACTTTGGGTTGGAGTGTGTGGGTGAGCCTAGCCTTTGGGCTGGGTCAGTCGCTGCAGGCTTTGGAGTTTGGCTCATGAAGGACCATCTTCATTTGAGCAGCTCTAGAAGATGAGATTGGGTGTCTGTTGCTTCTGTGAAGTTGGGGGTAGTTTTCTCCATTATTCTCAACATTGAATCCACTTAGGGAGGAAACCTGGGGGGACATCCCTCCAGCCAAGGCAGTATGTTCTTAACACACAGTTGGTAAACAGGGAAAGTTTGGACTCAGGCCTTTAGAGCACTTGCGGTCTAGTGGGCTTCAAAGATGAAGTGTGATTATTAAGTTATTATACACAGGGCAAGGACGCTGGGGGAGAGGGGATGCAGGGTGTAGTGCCAGCATCTGGGGAGTAATGAACTAGATTTAGACTCCAGACAGCAAGGAAGGGGCAATGTCAGACCCCTGGCATCAGGGACACAGGTTGTCAGTAACAGGTACTTGGACCCAGGCTGCCTGTCTTTTAATTAACATTCAGAGAAGAATGCCCTGATTGCCAAGGATATATTTTCAGCTTTGTGAAGCAAATTTTATGTCAGTTACCTGAGTAGTAAGTTAAATCGGCACTTTAAGCCTCTTTCTTCAGAGCATTTTAGGTACCAAGTTTGAAATCTACGAAATCTAATCCTCACTTAGATTAAATAGTCATTCAGAAGTCAGAAGAGCTCTGCAGATGGCCTGAGAAAGGTTTGAATATTATGGTTAAAACATTCAAGAAGAAAGCTTTCTAGAAACGCAGCTGCTATTTCAGTGCATGTTCAGTTAGCATTTTCTGACTGATAAAATAGAATTGAGAGGGAGGAATGCCAGTCAGGGTTCTATCTATTGAAAGGCTCTCCTAGTCTGCCATCATCTAGACAACAGAATGGTAGTTGTGACGTGGAGAAGTAGTATGAATAGGATCTTCCCACATCTTTAACCCAGAATTACTTGAGGAAATCGGGGTCTTCTTTTCTTTTCCAGGATTCTGCTATGTAGAATTCGATGAAGTGGATTCCCTTAAGGAAGCCTTGACATACGATGGTGCAGTAAGTATCCTCGGGTTTTCTCTGTCATAGCAGTTGAGATTGTTTTCTTTGCCAATACTTACACTATTTTCCCTTTATCATTAGCTGTTGGGCGATCGGTCACTTCGTGTGGACATTGCAGAAGGCAGAAAACAAGATAAAGGTGGCTTTGGATTCAGAAAAGGTGGACCAGATGACAGAGGTGATTGGTTCTTCTAAAGCTGAACATCATAAAGATTTGCAGTATGCCTACCAATTCCAACTCGTGAACGTTCCTAGTAGAACTCGATTATCTCATAGGTGTGATAGGTTCTCGTGAGCTCTTAAAAGTTTGCGTAAAATCCTAGAAAGAATGGCTGATGCTTCTGCAAGCCTGGCGTTTTTTGTTTTCTGTTGGAAGCAAAAGCTCTTAAAATGATTTCATTGAACCTTCCATCACTTGAGTTGTATGTCTTCCAAATGAATTTTTCCATGTTTGCGCAGCAAGGTAATGACACGACCTCAACTTTATCTTTTTTGTGTATCCTCAGGAATGGGTAGCTCTCGAGAATCTAGAGGTGGATGGGATTCCCGGGATGACTTCAATTCTGGTATCAGTATTTAAAGTATCACCACTTAATTTTTCCTAGGAGCCTTGCTGCTGTTCTCTGTTTCTTACGAGTAGCCCGCCTGGCCGGACTACTTATTTAGTTCCTTTAACAAATACAACTCTCCTGCAGGGTGCCCAGGCATGCAAGTAAGCCTCTGTTAGAGCCTGTGGGGGCAGGACTTGAGCCCCATGCACCTTGTGTGGTCACCTTTGTTAGCCTGCAGCTCCTTGGATGTGTACGGGCCTGGGTCCTTGAGCTCGCTCAGCAGTCTTTCTCAGACTCTAGCCCAGGGAAACTCCTCTGTGGTTTTGTGTATGGCACCAAGAGAAGTACTGTTCCTTCTGGAAAACATAGGATAGAGGTTTGGGTTCTTACATGGTGAAAGGTAGTCCTGATGGCCCTTTTTTTTCTTGGAGGATTGTGGGGAGGTCCAGTCCCTTGATGGTGGACCTGATGCACTTCGCCGTTCTCTTTCTTAGCCAACCCAGGCAGAGCAGCTGGTGGTATAGCACAAAGCATCAGTCCACACGCCAGGCCTCTGCCCTGCAGGGTGATTTTAAGCATTTTTATCATCTTTACTTTCTGTTTTTAAATTACAAAAGTATAATTTTTTATATATGCACATGATAAAAACTTCAGTTGTAACCCAGAAAGGTAGGAAGAGAAAAACAAATTTGTTTTCTTTCCCGCAAACTTGGGATGTGCTGTCAATGCTGTGCTGTATAGAACGTCAGCACCCTCCCCCCATCAAAACAAAACCGGTGTAAAGTAGTGGGTGAGTATGGGAGGGACTGGTGCACGCTGTCTTGTGAGTCTGAGATTTTTAAAAACTCAGCTTTGGCTGAACAGGTGACGACTACCTGTTGAATAATATAGTTCTTAAAAGTCCTGTAGCCAGTCAGAAATGAGCTTATTCATAAAAGTGCAGTATGGTGAAGTCAATCTGTAATTTTATGTATAAGCTAGTCTCTGATTGAAACATGCAGCAGCTGTCTTCTTAGAGCCAACCAGCAGCTCAGGGAACGGCCTTTCCCCTGCCAGTTTGGTATTCGCAGGTGTTATAGAAGTTGCCCACATACTAACGTCTTTCTACCCTTGGCTTAGCTTGGCCACTGGCGCTCAAGCAGAGACACAGTGAACACGGCCATGGCCTGGCCGCCACCAGTTCTGGTGGGAACTGCAGTGTTTTGGTGACATCTCAAACCCTATGTGGGCTCACTCGATGGAGTAATGGCTAATTTGATACTTTATACGTTATTTGCGAGAGTAGATCTTTTTTACTTTTTAATAGGATGGTGCTATTTTTTTTAATGATACCTGCTCATGTAAAAAACAAAATAGAGCAACAGAAAAGTACCAAGAAAGCAAAAACATTTCATCATCAGAAATAGCCAGTGTTAAACTAAGCTTTGTAAAGAAAACTCTGAAGATTCTCATGAATAGTTTGCTTCCTAGAAACCCACCAACAGATTTTTTGTTGTTGTTTTTTTTGAGACGGAGTCTTGCTCTGTTGCCCAGGCTGGAGTGCAGTGGTGCGATCTCGGCTCACTGCAAGCTCTGCCTCCTGGGTTCATGCCATTCTCCTGCCTCAGCCTCCCAAGTAGCTGGGACTACAGGCACCCACCACCACGCCCGGCTAATTTTTTGTATTTTTAGCAGAGACGGGGTTTCATCATGTTAGCCAGGATGGTCTCGATCTCCTGACCTCGTGATCCACCTGCCTCGGCCTCCCAAAGTGCTGGGATTACAGGCATGAGCCACCGCGCCCGGCCCCCACCAACAGATTTGATGAGAGATCCTTGTTCATCTGCTTCACCAGCGTGGTGTGAGCTATTTGTTTCACGCTAGACATTGGTGGTCGAAATCATTTAATCTCATAGTAAAGGGTGTAAATTTACTTTGTACTCACGTGGAAAGGTACACTTCACAGTTTAGTTTGGGGGAAACGTGAAGTTAAATGTTTTAATACTAACTAGGCTTGTTCACTGAACTGTGTAATGTGGGTAAAATACTTTGTAAAGGACCTTATACTCGACTGTATGCCTCCCAGTGTATTTCCCCTAAAGCAGTGCTCTTATTGGTCTAAATCTGTTCAGACTTGCTTTCATTACTTGGTTTGTTAAAATTTATTATTTAACTCAGTCTCTGAACTGGGTGTGAGATCCCTTGGTTTCCAAAACCCTTGCCACCTTTAAAGAATAGAAATCGGCCCCCACCACAGGTGATGCAGTCAGCGCTTATCATTGGAGGTGGTTCTGTGGAGTTGCTAGAACACTGAATGAGCCCGTGCGGTGCTGCTCCTGTGTGCTACAGATCACAACATTTTCGTCAGCTGATCATACCTAACATTGCTTTATGTGACTTTTTTTTTTTTCTTTTTTTTTTTTTTGAGACAGAGGCTCACTCTGTTGCCCAGGCTGGAGTGCAGTGGCATGATTTCGGTTCACTGCAATCTCCGCCTCCAGGGTTCAAGCGATTCTCCTGCCTCAGCCTCCCAAGTAGCTGGGATTACAGGCGCACACCACCACACCCAGCTAATTTTTATATTTTTAGTAGAGACGGGGTCTCTCCGTGTTGGTCAGGCTGGTCTCGAACTCCCAGCCTCAGGTGATCTGCCCACCTCTGCCTCCCAGAGTGCTGGGATTACAGGCGTGAGCCACCACACCCAGCCTATGTGACCTTGATTTTAAAGACGCCTCATTTAATGTTAGTGTTGATTCATTTAATAGTGTTAACATTGAACTCAGGGCCAGCTGTAGTAAGTAGTCTGTGGTGCCATCATTTCAGCCTGTTAGAAAGCTCATCCCACACCGGTTTTGTCTGTAAGACACCTGACAGCCAGCCTGCACTTAAGAACAGCAGACAGCACTTCACACTGCACCTGGGGCCACTTCAGACAGCGATGTCACCAGAAAAAGCCCAAAGGGCAAAACACCCGACACTCATCGTGAAAAGACTTGACAGCTAATAACTGAAACAGGCAGAGCATTATCGTTTTCTGCCTCAGCTGGGATCGTCGCATCTGTGCAGGTCCAGGACTGACTGGAGAAATGCTGCTGGTATCTAGCTTGGGATTACACATGAATTTTAGCGACTGGGTGGATTTGCAAATATGGGATCTGTGGATAATGAGGATGACTGTATAGTGCATACTGCGGGCTCTGGGGGTTCTTCTCAAAGACAAGCTCCCTGAAAGCTTGGAGCCTTGGCACCACTCTCGCAGAGAGTAGCAGTGGCACCCCCTGAGTGCGCAACCAACAGCAGCAAGCTCATTTGTTTAATTATGGTTTAACTTCTTTTCGCCAGTTTTTTTTTTTTTTCCTTGAGACAGAGTCTCACTTCATCACCCAGGCTGAAGTGTAATGGCACGATCTTGGCTCACTGCACCCTCTACCTTCCAGGTTCGAGCGATTATCCTGCCTCAGCCTCATGAGTAGCTGGAACCCCAGGCGTGCGCCACCATGCCCAGCTAATTTTTGTGTTTTTTGTAGAGAGTGAGTCTCACTGTGTTGCCCAGTCTGGTCCTGAACTCCTATACTCACCTCCCACCTCAGCCTCCCAAAGTGCTGGGATTACAGGCGTGAACCAGTCTTTTTACCAAATTTTAACATCAGTAGGTTATACAGTTAAAGTTTAGCTTTCACTGAAGTACAAGCCTGAAGGCCCCTTAAGACCATTGAGAAAATACTCTTTCCTCCTACACACCAGTGGGAATTCAGCATTTCTAAATGAGATGCAGTTTACTTCTGCCAAGAGCCCACTTAGCAGGCACACAAATGAATGGGGAAAGAACGCTTTGCCCCCACAGGAGGCGCCGGTGGGGGTGAGGCGCTGTGCTCTCTGCTCATGCCCCTCTGTGTAGGGCATGGCCAATTTCGGATAACTGCTTTGTTTACCACACAGGTGCTTTGCTTGTAGAATGGCCCACACCTAAAACGCAGCCAAAACAGGAAAATTGGGACTTTGTGTTTTTATTTTGTCTTCATATAGCGTTTTCTTGTGATTTTTGTGTTCTGAGTTGTAAATACTTCTAAATTTCAGGTTTATCTTTTAAAATAGCTGTATAGATTTCTATTAGAAAATAGAGTTCAACCTGCTTTGAGGCTTTCTTGTTTTGCTTAAGCCGTATTAAAATACAGTTTCGTGGTATTAATATTTTTCTACTTTTCATGCAAGCTGAGCATGTAAACAGCTCGTTTGTTTGCTCTCCTAAGATCTTGATTCCTTTTTCTTTGGGAAGTCTGTTAGCGCTGTCATTACTCCACACATTGGCATTTGGACCCACTTTTAACACACTTTATTTTGGAGAGACTTCAGATAGTGGACAAACTAAAGAATTTAAAATGAAACTCAAACAATTCCCAGAACATTATTCTATAAGCAGCTTGGAGACGATAGTTTGAAAAGTAATTCAGTGTCCTGTTTCTTCCTCAGGCTTCAGGGATGACTTCTTAGGGGGCAGGGGAGGTAGTCGCCCAGGCGACCGGCGAACAGGCCCCCCCATGGGCAGCCGCTTCAGAGATGGCCCTCCCCTCCGTGGATCCAACATGGATTTCAGAGAACCCACAGAAGGTACGGGCTCATGTGTCAGTGGAGGGCATCTTGTCCTGATGGGATGATCATGGCCGGTTCACACCCCGTGGGGACTTGGCGTTCTACGGCACACAGAGTTGTCGGCATAGATCCCCACGTTCTCTGGAATAGCAAGTTCACCTTGGTCATTAGAGCATCTGCTGTTGGGGTAGCAGGCCAGGTGAATTTTAGAAAGTGGGCTGGTTTGCTGACAGCAACATCAGCATGGTCGTTTTGCTGGATATGGAATGGGATCCACACTCTGACAAACTCTGCTTTTTCTCCCCCAGAGGAAAGAGCACAGAGACCACGACTCCAGCTTAAACCTCGAACAGTCGCGACGCCCCTCAATCAAGTAGCCAATCCCAACTCTGCTATCTTCGGGGGTGCCAGGCCTAGAGAGGAAGTCGTTCAAAAGGAGCAAGAATGAGCCTGCGGTTGGGAGGGAATGGGGCGTGGGGGGTTAGAGCAGGACCACAGCCTGGTGAGTCCCCGGGCAGCCGTCCTGCAGCCGCCACTCCTGCGCCTGCCATTGGCCTCCTCACAGCGGAAACACAGCTTGTGAGTGCATGTCAGCTGTTAACAAGTGGTTTTTAGTACATTCTGGGCTTTGCTGTATCTATCTAGTGCCTGTTTGTGCGTTTTTTTCTTTCTTCCGCTGCTTCCCCATTTTCCTTCTGTCCTTTTTCTCCTGCTCCTTGTTTTCCCAGCAGCACATGGGGTTCCTCGGAGGAGCAGAGGTGGCCGCCGTGGGGGGGCGTTTGGGCTGCGGTGCTGCGTCATTTTTCCTTTGCTTTCTCTTTACTTTAGACACTGGCCCAACTCCAGGCGTTTCCTTTCATTCCCTCAGTGCTTCTCTTCTGACCTGCATGTTGAGTTCTGTATTGCTGGGGCTTCCAACAAAAACCAGAGTCACTGACAGAGGGAACAGCAGAGACCTTGTTGGTATTCAGCTGTGATGGATATAGAGAATCAGAGGCACCTTGTTTTCACAACTAGGATAAAAATATCTGCAGGGTCCTTTCCATTCCTATTTAGAGGGAGTCCTGGCTCCATGACCCCCTCCCGAGTGGACTGTCCAAGCAGATAGGCTCACACGAGAAACAGTGAGGCTGAAAGGGGGGGCTATGGAAGAGCGGTAGGGAGTCCACGGAGAAGATGCAGTGAATGCTTGCATGCATTCACACGTGTGTGTGTCCCAGCTAGTTCACTCCTTTCGCCGTGCGTGGTGGAGGCTGGCCTCTCTGGCTGGGTGCAGTGAATGGCCAGCGGGTTTCTTTTCTGCTGGGCCAAGGCGCTTTGGGGGTGGAGGGGGTGGTGCTGGTGCTGCACTGGGCTGACTGCGGCGCTGACGCAGCGTTTCCCCCCATCCCTGTTGCCTGTGTGTTGTGTGGATCTGTTCCTAGTATAGGCAACATAATGAGATACTGTGCTTCCCACCTCCCCTTCAGTTCAGAGCCAAAATGGGTCTAGAATCTGGCACTTTACTCATTTCCTTTGATAAATTGTACTATGCAGAGCTGTCAGGAACCTTCAGATAGCAGTAGAGGACTGCAGCTGTCTAGGTCTGCGGCCACATCTTGGGGACACACTGGACTGTTCCCATGTGCAGGGTTCAGCAGTTATGTGGGAGTGCTAGGGGTTAGGCTTTTGAGCTTGAACGCCTGCGTGTGAACAGATGAAAAATCCTTCAGTACCCAAGTCCCAGTCTGTCCTATGGGGAGCAGTTTGGGGGCGGCCGGCAGCAGGAGCCTGGGAAAGAGGCCCTCGCCAGGTGATGGCAGGGCCAGGGTGGCCTGGGGCACCCAGCGGAATGTGCTTAGTATTTGGTCACCAGCCGTCATCCTGGGCTTTTCCTACTGTGTCTTGTTACAAGGCCTCAGCAATCCACAGAACTCTCTCTCCTTCCTTCCACCTGTCAGCTTCTCTGCTTCTGAGATAAGAACCATTTGTGTAACACCAACACTTAACTTCAGAAAGACATGCATTATGTGGTGTAATCAAACCCGATGCTTTCAGATGACCTACTTACATCTTCAATGTGGATAAGATAAAGAACAAAACACATGCATCTAAACTGCTGGGCAATCCAGTTGACTTTTAAATGTAAGAATGGAATTCCAAACACTTAACACATTCAGCTATATGACAGAAAGTAAATCTATGGATATGGTATTTTGTGAATGATCTTTTAAATAAAAGAAAACCTTACGTAATATTTAATGCTTGCCTTTATTTTTGAGTTCTTTTTAGCTGCTCATGGAATGTAACAATTTTAAATTTGGGAAGCACCATTGAAATGGAAGAGTCTTCCTGTCATTTTAATTCTGGGATGAGTGAAGTTATTTTAAAAGCTGGTGATGATTAGAAATAGGATGCCAATTTTTTCCCCTCACTTGCTAAAAATGTCCTTTTCCCAACCAGGCAGAAACCTTGAAAGTCTGGCTGTTTTTGGTTAGGTAAAGGAACATTTTTTTCCCAAGATGGAAGAAATCAAGCATTTACACAACATGTGGCTTCTTTTAACAACTGCTTGTAAACGAAATTCTAGGTGCCCCTCATGGCTGGGAGGGCTGCTGCTTCCTGACAGCAGATCCTGACTCTGGGGAGGTGCTGCTATAGGTTGGTATTGGATAGTGTTAAAATTGACTTAGGCAGACAAAGAAGAGCTGAGTGGGCAAGGTGCGGGGCATGAATGCGTGTTTGGCAAAGTCCTGGCTGACTTTGGAAGGGCCTGGCCAAGGCAGACCTTGCCTACCTTGAGGTAGGAGCATTGTCTGGTGATGGAGGACCCCGGACCACGACTAAATTTTAGTAAGGCAGGCAAGGGCTGTTCAGGTGGGAGCCTAGAGTAACTCTTTTGCTTCAACTACTTTCTACCCAAGAGTAGGTGGTAGAGAGGACCGGTGTTTCAGAGACAGGGTCTCCCTCTGTCACCCAGACAGGAGTGCAGTGGCGTGATCTCGGCTCACTGCAGCCTCCGCCTCACGGGTTCAAATGATCCTCTTGTCAGCCTCCCAAGTATCAGGGACTACAGGCACCCACCACCATGCCTAGCTAATTTTTGTATAGTAGAGATGGGGTTTCACCATGTTGACTAGGCTGGTCTCAAACTCCTGACCTCAAGTGATCCACCCACCTCAGTCTCCCAAATTGCTGGGATTATAGGCACAAGCCACCATGCCTGGCCCTGACATCTATTTTTAGTTGGTGATTTCTAGGGAATAGCCTGGTTTTCTCAATGAAGGACATTACTTAACAGAGATTAAGTCTAGAACAAGAAGAGCTGATTAACCTAGAACACGGGTTGACCTTGCCTTTAGGGTGGTGAAACGGCCTAAAACCTGAAGGAAGACTTCCCAGGGAGCTGGTCACTGGGGCCAGGCTCACTGGGCTTCTCTGAAGTCAGACCCTGGCCACATCTGGATGTTTTGTTTTTTTGGTTTTTGTTTTTTTTTTTTTTTTTTTTTTTTTTGGTGAGATGGAGATTTACTCTTGTTGCCCAGGCTGGAATGCAATGGCACGATCTCGGCTTACTGTATCCTCCACCTCCCAGGTTCAAGCGATTCTCCTGCCTCAGCCTCCTGAGTAGCTGTGATTATAGGCATGGGCCACCACGCGCGGCTAATTTTGCATTTTTAGTAGAGACAGGTTTTCACCGTGTTGCCCAGGCTGATCTCGAACTCCTGACCTCAGGTAATCCACCTGCCTCTGCCTCCCAAAGTGCTGGGATTACAGGCATGAGCCACTGCGCCTGGCTGGATGTTTTAAGATTTTATTTTATTTTGTATTTATTTTTCTTTGAGACAGAGTCATGCTCTGCCACCCAGGGTGGAGTGCAATGGTGTAATCTCAGCTCACTGCAACCTCCGCCTCTTGGGTTCCAGCGATCCTCCCACCTCAGCCTCCCTAGTAGCAGGGATTATAGGCACATGCCACCACGCCCAGCTAATTTTTGTGTTTTTAGTAGAGATGGGGTTTCACCATGTTGGGCAGGCTGGTCTCAAACTCCTGACCTCAGGTGGATCCACCCACCTTGGCCTCCAAAGGGCTGGGATTACAGGCGTGAGCC
Organism: Homo sapiens; assembly: GCF_000001405.40. Lineage (NCBI taxonomy): Eukaryota > Metazoa > Chordata > Mammalia > Primates > Hominidae > Homo > Homo sapiens. The sequence goes on from NC_000007.14 coordinate 74,198,951, forward strand.
ACTGCACCTGGCCTATTTCAATTTTTGTAGAGGTTTCACCATGTTGCCCAGACTCTTCTCAAACTCCTAAGCTCAAGAGATCTTCCCACCTTGGCCTCCGAAAGTGCTAGGATTACAAGCATGAGCTACCACGCCAGGCCAATGCTGAGATGTTTTAAGTCACTTTCTCATTTGTGAGGTTGACAGACTCATGAACACTTCCAGTCTTAAGGGTTTTCCTAGACTGGGCTCGGTGGCTCACGCTTGTAATCCCAGCACTTTGGGAGGCTGAGGTGGGCCGATCACGAGGTCAGGAGATCAAGACCATCCTGGCCAACATGGTGAAACTCCATCTCTACTAAAAATACAAAAATTATCCTGGCGTGGTGGCACACGCACCTGTAGTCTCAGCTACTCGGGAGGCTGAGGCAGGAGAATCGCGTGAACCCGAGGGGGAGCTTGCAGTGAGCCGAGATCGCGCCACTGCACTCCAGCCTGGGCGACAGAGCAAGACTCAGTCTAAAAAAAAAAAACAAGTCTTCCCTTTGCATGTTTTGGTCATGAAAGAAAAATAATGAATACTATGTACTTAAAATTATAACCTACTGTTCCCCATCTGTAAACACCCTGTAACTCTGTAAAATACTGAATATACAAATCAAAGCACACTATTTCACTGCGGCAGGTTCTTCGGTACTCGGTTTGGACACTGCAGATAACCTATATCCTGTTCTTTCCTTCACCGTGGGAGACGAGGTAAGCGGCTGAGCTTGTCCTTCTAAACGAGATTGGGATGGCGGGGGTGTCAGAGGAGGGTTTCAGGTAGCCCAGAAATTCTTTAAATTGCACCTAGATTCCTTGGAATCGGTAGAAGTCTTTCTCATGCATTATACTCTGAAGTTAAGAATATGCTCACCAGAGGCTTGGCGAGGTGACTCATGCCTATAATCCCAGCGCTTTGGGAGGCTGAGGCGGATGGATCACTTAAGGTCAGCAGTTTGAGACCAGCCTGGCCAACATGACAAAACCCCATCTCTGCTAAAAACACAAAAATTAGCCGGGCATGGTGGCTCACAGTTCCAGCTACTAGGGAGGCTGAGGCAGGAGAATCACTTGAACCCAGGAGGTGGAGGTTGCGGTAAGCTGAGATTCCACCACTACACCCCAGCCTGAGTGAGATTCCGTCTCCAAAAAAAAAAAACGATAGCTTTAGTCAGCTTTAAGGAATGTATGAGGCTAGGTACCGTGGTCACGCCTGTAATCCCAGCACTTTGGGAGGCCAAGGTGGGGAGATGGCTTGAGGTCAGGAGTTTAAGACCAGCCTGGGCCTAGCATAAAATTTTTTTTAAAAAACGGTGATAAAATATATACAATATAACAGGCCTGGGTGTGGTGGCTCACCCCTGTAATCCCAGTACTTTGGGAGGCCGAGGCAGGCAGATCACCTGAGGTCAGGAGTTTGAGACCAGCCTGGCCAACATGGCGAAACTCTGTCTCAACTAAAAATACAAAAATTAGCCAGGTGTGGTGGCTCCTGCCTGTCATCCCAGCTACTCGGGAGGCTGAAGCAGGAGAATCGCTTGAACCCAGGAGGTGGAGGATGCAGTGAGCCAAGATTGCACCACTGTACTCCAGCCTGGGCAACAAGAGTGAGACTCTGTCTCAAAAAATAATAATAAAAATAAAAAAATTTTAAATTTAAACATTAAAATTTAAAAATTTTTGTGGGGCCAGGCACGGTGGCTCATGCCTGTCACAGCACTTTGCCAAGGTGAGTGGATCACTTGAGGTCAGGAGTTTGAGACCAGCCTTCCCAACGTGGTGAAACCTCATCTCTACTAAAAATACAAAAATTAGCTGGGCGTGGTGGCAGGCGCCTGTAGCGCCTGTAATCCCAGCTACTCAGGAGGCTGAGGCAGGGGAATCGCTTGAACCTGGGAAGTGGAGGTTGTGGTGAAATGAGATCGTGCCATAGCACTCCAGAGCTGACACTGTCTAAAAAAAAAATTGTGTGTGTGTGTGTGTGTGCATAGTAGATGTATATATTTATGGGCTACATGTAATGTTTTGATACAGGCATGTAATATGAAATAAGCTCATTATGGAGAACGGGCATCCATCCCCCCAGGCATTTATCCTTTGAGTTACAAACAATCCGATTACATTAAGTTATTTTTAAAATATACAATTAAGATATGATTGACTATAGTCACCCTGTTGTGCTATGAAATAGTAGGTCTTATTCACTTATTCATTCTTTTTTTTTTTTTTTTTTTTTTTTTTTTTTTTTTTTTTGAGACAGAGTTTCGATCTTGTTGCCCAGGCTGGAGTGCAGTGGCGCCATCTCAGGTCACTGCAGTCTCCACCTCCCGAGTTCAAATGATTCTCCTGCCTCAGCCTCGTGAGTAGCTGGGACTACAGGTGCGTGCCATCACACCAGGCTAATTTTTTGTGTGTTTTTAGTAGAGATGGGGTTTCGCCATGTTGGCCAGGCTGGTCTCAAACTCCTGACCTCAGGTGATCCACCCGCCTCCCCCTCCCAAAGTGCCGGGATTGTAGACGTGAGCCACCACCAGCCCATTCTACTTTTTTTTTTTTTTTTTTTTTTTGAGACAGAGTTTGGATCTTGTTGCCCAGGCAGGAGTGCAGTGGCGCCATCTCGGCTCACCACAACCTCCACCTTCCGGGTACAAGCGATTCTCCTGCCTCAGTCTCCCGAGTAGCTGGGACTACAGGCGCGCGCCACCATGCCCGGCTAATTTTGGTATTTTTAGTAGAGACAGGGTTTCACTATGTTGGCCAGGCTGATCTCAAACTCCTGACCTCGTGATCCACCCACCTCAGCCGCCCAAAGTGCTGGGATTACAGGCTTGAGCCACCGCACCCGGCCGGCTCTACTTTTTTTTGTACCCATTAACTATCCCCACCTCCCCCCACAAGCCTCTACTACCAGCCTCCGGTAACCATCCTTCTAGTCTCTTTTTTTTTTTTTTTTTTGAGACGGAGTCTCGCTCTGTCGCCCAGGCCGGATTGCGGACTGCAGTGGCGCAATCTCGGCTCACTGCAAGCTCCGCTTCCCGGGTTCACGCCATTCTCCTGCCTCAGCCTCCCGAGTAGCTGGGACTACAGGCGCCCGCCACCGCGCCCGGCTAATTTTTTGTATTTTTAGTAGAGACGGGGTTTCACCTTGTTAGCCAGGATGGTCTCGATCTCCTGACCTCATGATCCTCCCGCCTCGGCCTCCCAAAGTGCTGGGATTACAGGCGTGAGCCACCGCGCCCGGCCCCTCCTAGTCTCTTAAGTCCATGAGTTCACTTATTTTGACTTTTAGATCCCACAAATAAGTGAGAACATGCGATGTTTGTGTTTGCTTTGTTTTCTTTTCTTTTTGAGACGGAGTCTCGCTCTGTCACCCAGGCTGGAGTGCAGTGGCACGATCTCGGCTCACTGCAAGTTTCGCCTCCTGGATTCACGCCATTCTCCTGCCTCAGCCTCCTGAGTAGCTGGAACTACAAACGCTCGCCACAACGCCCAGCTAATTTTTTGTATTTTCAGTAGAGACAGGGTTTCACCGCGTTAGCCAGGATGGTCTCGATCTCCTGACCCCGTGATCCGCCCGCCTCGGCCTCCCAAAGTACTGGGATTACAGGCGTGAGCCACCGCGCCCGGCTGATGTTTGTGTTTTTGTGCCTGGTTTATTTCACTTAACATAATCTCCAGTTCCATCCATGTCGTTGCAAATGGCAGGATCTCATTCTTTTTGGATGGCTGAATAGTACTCCTTTGTGTATAAATACCACATTTTCTTTTTCCATTCTTCTGTTGATGGACACTTAGATTTCTTCCAAATCTTGGCTGTTGTGAACAGTGGCGCAATAAATATGGCAGTGCAGGTATCTCTTCGAGGTACAAAATTCCTTTCTTTGGGGTATATACCCGGCAGTGGGATTGCTGGATCATATGGTAGCTCAATTTTTAGTTTTGTGAGGAACCTCCAAACCATTTTCCATAGTGGGTGTAGTAATTTATGTTCCCACCAGTAGGGTACAAGGGTTCCCTTTTCTTCACATCCTTGCCAGCATTTGTTATTTATATCACAGTTCAAAAAAATAATGTAATATACCAAAAACGATTGAGTTGTGGGGAAAAAAAAATATAAGTGCACTAGAATTTATGCAACTGAACAGGAACTGTCTAGTTTGTTGTCTTTTTTTTTTTTTTTTTTGAGACAGGGTGTCATTCTGTCACCCAGGCTGCAGTTCAGTGGCGTGATCTCGGCTCACTGCAACCTCCACCTCCCGGGTTCAAGCGTCAGCCTCCCGAGTATCTGGGATTTACAGGCGCAGCCGTGCATTGAAAGTAATGGTAAAAACCACAATTACTTTTGTGCCAACCTAATACCATCCCACACCAGTGTCCCACAGTCACACCCCCCCTTGTGGTTAAACTTTCTCTCAGCAGCTGTTGAAAAGTTTTTCCTCTCTCCGATAATTCTGCTGATGGCCGCAAGCATTGGGCTTCTGTTTTCTGTGGCAGGAGCAGTTCTGCTCTTAAAAGGGAAGGATGTCCCAGGCAACTTTAGGGATATGGGTTTAAAAAAATGTTTTAAAGGGAAGGCTTAGGTGCGTTAGCTCTGTAATCCCAGCACTTTGGGAGGCTGAGGCCTGAGGATCGCTTGGGTCCGGGAGTTCAAGACCAGCCTGGGCAATGGAGTGACACCCCTCCCTATCTCTGCAAAAAAAAAAAAATAAAGACAATTAGCTGGGCACAGTGGTGCATACCCGTAGCTCCAGCTACTCTGGAGGCTGAAGTGGGAGAATTGCTTGAGCCCACTTGGCTGAGGCTGCAGTGAGCTGAGATCACAGCAGTGCACTGCAGCCTGGGTGACAGAGTGAGATCCTGTCTCTAAAAAAAGAAAGTAAAAGAGGGTGGGGAGGGAAAAGAGAGAGAGAAAGAAAGAAAGAAAAAGAGAGAGAGAGGAAAGAAAAAAAGAGATAGAAGAAGGAAGGAAAGGAAGGAGAAAGAAATAAAAAGAGAAGAGGAAGGAAGGAGAGAGGGAAGGAAGGAAAAGGAGGGAGGGAAGGAAGGAGGGAGGGAGGGAAGGAAGGGAGGGAATGAGGGAAGGAGGGGAGGGAAGGAGGCAGGGAGGGAAGGAAGGAAGGGAGAGGGAGGGAAGGGAGGGAGGGAATGAGGGAAGGAGAGGAGGGAAGGAGGCAGGGAGGGAAGGAAGGAAGGAGGCAGGGAGGGAAGGAAGGAGGGAGGCAGAGGGAGAGAGGGAAGGAAGGAGGGAGGGAAAGAGGAAGGGAGGGAGGGAGGGAAAGAGGGAGGGAAGGAAGGAGGGAGGGAGGGAGAAAGGGAAAGGAGGGAAGGAAGGAAGGAGGGAGGGAGGGAGAAAGGGAAAGGAGGGAAGGAAGGAGGGAGGGAGGGAGGGAGAAAGGGAAAGGAGGGAAGGAAGGAGGGAGGGAGGGAAGGAAGTAGGGAGAGAGGGAAGGAAAGAGGGAGGAAGAAAGGGAAAGGAGGGAAGGAAGGAGGGAGAGGGAAGGAAGGAAGGAGGGAGGGAGGGAGAAAGGGAAAGAGGGAGGGAAGGAAGGAGGGGGGAAAGGAAGGAGGGAGGGAGAAAGGGAAGAGATAAAGACCAGGGCCAGCTCTTAACCAAAGGGAAAAGGGCGAAGCAAGTCTGTAGGGCTCAAGAAGGGAAGCCTACAACACCTAGTTATTGTTACCTGGAGACAAATGTGCAACGATCTGATCCCAGCTGGGGTGAACAAAGAGAAAATAGACCAGCAACCCAACGCGTTATTGGTGGCCTTTGGAAAGACCTGACCCCCAGTCACCAGTTTAGATCCCTTCCCAGGGGAAGTGAAACTCCTCCTTTTTGGTTATGGGGCGAGTCCCCTTCATTGCTCCACTGCCGCCTTCTCATCTATTCCAGAAAACATCCTGGGTATGGGCTCGCTCTGTCACCGCAGGCTGGAGTGCAGTGGCGCGATCATAGCTCCTGGTGCACCAACACGCCCAGCTAATTTTTATAATTTTTTTGTAGAGACCGGGTCTTGCCATGTTGGCCAGGCTGGTCTTGAACTCCTGGGCTCGATCCTCCTGCCTCAGCCTCCCAAAGTGCTGGAATTACAGGTGTGAGCCACTCTGCCGGGCCCCCACTTTATTTATTGTCCCTAGGGTAAGAGCATGTCAACCTTGATGCTATCACACAAATTATAGACTGAGACGCATATAGCATTCTTGCCTGTTCTGGAGGGCTGCCTCTCATTATCTTGCTGGAACATGCATCCTCTTTTCCTATGACGGGCAAGCCCTGGGTCTGGACAAAACAGTGCAGAGATCTACCCCTCTCCCAGCTGTGCAAGACCAGACTTATTGGCTGGGTGCCGTAGCTCACGCCTGTAATCCCAACACTTTGGGAAACTGAGGCAGGTGGATCACCTGAGGTCAGGAGTTCGAGACCAGCCTGGCCAACATAGTGAAACCCAGTCTCTACTAAAAATACAAATATTAGCTGGGTGTGGTGGTAGGTGCCTGTGATCCCAGCTACTAGGGAGGCTGAGGCAGGAGAATCGCTGGAACCCAGGAGGCAGAGGCAGAGGTGAGCCGAGATCATGCTACTGCACTCCAGCCCGGGTGACAGAATGAGACTCCATCTCAAAAAAAAAAAAAAAAAAAAAGACCACGCTTCTGTCTGTAAGATCGTTTTGCATATGAGGTCCTTTCACAGACCATTTCCCTCCAGCACCTACCAGTGCCCAGGCCCGTGAAGGAAGCAGGGAGCTAGAACAGAGCAGGTAGGCTGGGTGCGATGGCTCATGCCTGTAATCCCAGCACTTTGGGAGGCTAAGGTGGGAGGATCACTTGAACCCAGGCATTCAAGAACAGCCTGGGCAACACAGTGAGACCCCATCACTACAAAGTTTTAAAATGAGCCAAGCACAGTGGCCTGCACCTGTAGTCCCACCTACAGGCGAGGCAGAGGTGGAAGGATCACTTGAGCCCGAGAGTTGGAGGCTGCAGTGAGCTATGATCTTGCCGCTGCACTCCAGCATAGGTGACAGAGCAAGACCCTGTCAAAAAAAAACAAAAACAAACAAACAAAAAACAAAAACCAGAACAGACTGGGTGCAGTGTAATCCCGGCACTCTGGGAGGCCGAGCAGGCAGATTACTTGAATCCAGGAGTTTGAGACCAGCCTGGCCAACATAGTGAAACCCCGTCTGTACTAAAAGTACAAAAAATTAGCCGGGCGTGGTGGCAGGTGTATGTAATCCCAACTACTCAGGAGGCTGAAGCAGGAGAATTGCTTGAACCCGGGAGGCAGAGTTTGCAGTGAGCCGAGATCGCCGCACCGCTCTCCAGCCTGGGTGACCAAGCAAGACCCCATCTAAAAAAAAAAAATGAGAAAAAAAGAAAGAAAAAGAACAGCAGGTAAGTCCTGTCCAGGTGCATAGTCTGGGGCTGGAGGGAAACAGATGCAGGTTTGTTCCCATTGTGTGAGGAGGAGCCAGTCAGGGGGTCCCAGCAAGGAAGCCAGGCTTTGGCCTCTGGGTTCAAATCCAGCTTCACCTCTGTGAGCCTCTGTCTTCTTACCGGTTACCGTGGGAAGGAAACGTGGTCCTGAATCCAGTGCACTTGGCATTGCTGGATGGAACAAGGGAGGGTGGCGGTTGCTCGCACAGGCACAGGTCTGGGCGTCTGATGGCCCTAGCTTCAGTCCTAGTCCGGCCACAGAGGGAGGCAGGGTGAGCTCCTGACACGGACGCCTGCAGAATCTCTCAGAACCGGTCTCTGGAGCATGTGCTACCCTCCTTGTCCACGAGGTGGCAGCAGCGGGCCTAGCCGCTCGTCTCCGCGGCCACCTCTTTCTGGCCAGGCCGGGACACCGCGGCCAAGGCTAAAAGAGAAACCTAGCCCCAAGCTGAGAGTGGGACCCCAGAGCCAGGGTCCCAGGCCTAGAGGCGTCCAGGACTGGGGGCCAAGGTTCTGAAATGCCAGACATATAGGAGGTGGGGGACCGTCATGCTCTTCCCTGGTGTCTCCAGCAGGTGGGATAAACACCGGGTTCAATGGGACCAGGCGCGGTGGCCTCACGCCTGTAATCCCTGCACTTTGGGAGGCTGAGGATGGAGGATCGCTTAAGGCCAGGAGTTCAAGACCAGCCTGGGCAACATAGTGAGACCTTGTCTCTACAAAAAAAAAAAAATACAAAAATTAGCTGGGCGTGGTGGCATGCACCTGGGGTTCCAGCTAACTCTGGAGGCTGAGGTGGGAGGATCGTTTGAGCCTGGGAGGCAGAGGTTGCAGTGAGCTGAGATTGCACCACTGCACTCCAGCCTGAGTGACCGGGTGAGACCCCATCTCAAAAAAAATTTTAAAAAAGGGGAAAGAACAGCAGGTAACCTCTATCCAGGTGCACAGTCTGGGGCTGAAGGGAAACTGTTGCAGGCTTGTTCCCATTGTGTGAGGAGGAGCCAGTCAGGGGGTCCCAGTGAGGAAGCCAGGCTTTGGGGTCTGGGTTCAAATTCAGCTTCACCTCTGGACCGAGTGAGACCCTGTCTCAAAAAAAAAAAAAAAAAGCAGGCGAGGAATAGAGACAGAGGGTCAGACAGCAAGAGTCCCAGAGGATGAGACAGATGGACACAGAGACAAAGGATGCGGGATGTAGGTGGGCAGGGCAGGGACAGAGAGACCCCTGCAGAGGCCACGAGGGCAGGGCAGATGGAACAAGTGACCAAAGACAGGTGGAGGAGTGGACGGCACGAGTGTCAGAGGCTGCAGACAGCGAGGGCGCTAAAGGGTGGGAGAAGGAAGGAGAGCCCTGCTCCACCCCAGCCTTGGGGGTCTCATCACCCCACTGCACAGATGAGGCTCCTGGCATCGGGGTGCAGAGAACGGCTCATAGCACAGGCAGAGGGACCACAGCCCACTCCTGCCCAGCGGTGCTCCTGTGCCCAGCCCTGGGGTGGACACCGTGGCTGCCATCCACACAGACATGAGGACCGAGTGAGATAGTTCCCTGTGGAGGCCAGGATGCTCTGGCACCTGAGGTCAATAAAGCCACATCCCACAAGTGGGTGGACTGCCTTGTGCTATTGACCATTAAACAGCTGCCCAAGGCCATTGAGCTATTAATTAAATAATAATTATTATTATTTTAAATTTTTTTGTTGTGTTTTTTGGGTTTTTTTGTTTTTGTTTTGTTTTTTTGAGATGGAGTCTCGCTCTGTTGTCCAGGCTGTAGTGCAGTGGCACGATCTTGGCTCACTGCAAACTCCGCCTTCTGGGCTCAAGTGATTCTCCTGCCTCAGCCTCCCAAGTAGCTGGGATTACAGGCACCCACCATCACACCCGGCAAATTTTTGTATTTTTAGTAGAGATGGGGTTTCACCATTTTGGCCAGGCTGGTCTCAAACTCCCGACCTAAATAAGGTGATCCACCTGCCTTGGCCTCCCAAAGTGCTGGGATTACAGATGTGAGCCACCACGCCCGGCCTATTTATTGTTTTTACAGACAGACAGGGTCTTGCTGTCCCCCAGGCTGGAGTGCAGTGGCAGAGTCACGGCTCACTGCAGCCTCCAACTCTTGGGCTCAAGAAATCCTCCCGTTTTGGCCTCCCAAAACACTGGGACTACAGGTGTGTGCCACCACACCCAGCTAATTAAAAAAATTTTTTTAGAGATGGGGTCTCGTTCTGTTGTCCAGGCTGGTCTCAAATTCCTGTTCTCAAGCGATCCTCCTGCCTCAGCCTCCAAAAATGTTAGGATTGCAGGTGCAAGCCACTGCACCTGGCCTCTATCTCCCTGTTTCTTGCTCTCTCCCCATCTGTGTGTGTCTCTGACAGTCTGTGGCTCTCTGTATCTTTCTGTGTGTCTCTCTGTGTGTGTCTTGGTCCATCTCATGCCCAGCTAATTTTTAAATTTTTTGTAGAGATGGGGTTTCACCATGTTGGCCAGGCTGGTCTTGAACTCCAGACCTCAGGTGATTCTCCTGCTTCAGCCTCCCAAAGTGTTGGGATTACAGGCATGAGCCACCGTGCCTGGCCCATGGGTATGAATTTCTGCCTGTGTGTGTCTTCTTCTTTTTTTTTTTTTTTTTGAGATGAAGTCTTGCTCTGTCACCCAGGCTGGAGTGCAGTGGCGCTATCTTGGCTCACTGCAACCTCCACCTCCTGGGTTCAAGCAATTCTCCTGCCTCAGCCTCCCGAGTAGCTGGGATTACAGGCACCCGCCACCACACCCAGATAATTTTTGTATTTTTGGTAGATATGGGGTTTCACCATGTTGGTCAGGCTGGTTTTGAACCCCTGACTTCATGACCTGCCTGCCTTGGCCTCCCAAAGTGCTGGGATTACAGGCATGAGCCACCGCGCCCGGCCCATGGGTGTGAATTTCTGCCTGTGTGTGTCTTTTTAGCGTATGTGTGTCTCCATATCTGCCATCTGCAGGAGCACCTCAGTTTCATTATCTTGCTCCCTGTCTATTGGAGTGTATCTCTCTTCCTCTCTGTGTGACTTTTTGTGTTTATGTGTGTGTTTAGTGTGTGTCCATATTTTCCTGTTCTCTTGTGTCTCTCTGCTGTGTCTCTCTCTTTTTCTTTCTGTTTTTTGAGACGGAGTCTCCCTCTGTCACCCAGGCTGGAGTGCAGTGGTGCGATCTCGGCTCACTGCAACCTCTGCTTCTGAGGTTCAAACGATTCTCCTGCCTCAGCCTCCCGAGTAGCTGGAATTACAGACACATGCCACCATGCCCAGCTAATTTTGTATTTTTAATAGAGACGGGGTTTCACCATGTTGGCCAGGCTGGTCTTAAACTCTTGACCTTACGTGATCCACCCGCCTCGGCCTCCCAAAGTTTTTGGATTACAGGTGTGAGCCACCTCGCCCGGTCCTATCTCTCTTTCTTCTCTTTCTCCCTCTCACTTTGTTTCTCTTCTCTCTCTCTCTCCCGCCTCCTTCCCCCGTCTCCCCTCCCTTCCCCCCACCGCCCTCTTCATAGCTGAGCCTGTCCGGCAGTGCGGCGGATGTACGGATGATTCAGTGGCTGGCAGGAAGCCCGCCCTGCCCGCCCGCCAGTGTCAGTGGTGTTGGCATCAGCTTGGGCAGGTGTGCGGGCTCAGGATGGGGCGGCCGTGGTGAGGAACCCTGGACTCTCAGGTAAGCCTTTCCCAGGGGTGCCTCAGTCCTCAGGCTGTCCCCCATCCCCCAGGAGCTCCTGGCCCCACTGGGTGGGGTGGGAAGAGGCCTGGATGCCTGGCGCCCCCTCCCGCAGCCCCACTCTCACCCTGGCACCAGGCTCTGTGGCACTTCAGGGGTCAGTTTGTTTCTGGGCTTCTGGCCACTCTCTTGCCCTCGCCTTCCCCTGTCCAGCCTGTGTAGCCTTGGGACATCCCAGGGTGGTCCCATCATTGCCAGAGACTGGTGAAGTAAGTGGCCGAGAGCCAAAACAGTGGCTGCCCTGGCCTGGGAGCCTCGGTTTCCTCATCCGTGAAATGGGACTGTAACCCCCTACACAGGTCAGGGGAAAACGGTGGGATTACAGGCCAGGGCCCAGGTCTTGCCCCAGGTCAGGTGAAGAACCCCCACTGCCTCCCTGCCCAGCCCCCTACCTGGCCCTCAACTCTGTCCCTGGGACCAGGGCTGCTCAGGCCCCTCCTGCACCCGCCCGCCTCCCTCTCTCCCTCCCAGCTAGGCTCATTTGAAGCCCAGAGTTATTTGGAAAAAGCAACAGGACCAGCCGGGCACGGTGGCTCAACCTGTAATCCCAGCATTTGGGGAGGCCAAGGCGGGAGGATCATTTGAAGTCAGGAGCTGGAGACCAGCCTGAGCAACATAGTGAGACTCCCATCTCTTTAAAAAATAAAAATAAAAAAATATAATTAAAAACTAAATGAAAAAACCAACAGACCCCAGAGCAGAGTCCAGTGGATAAAGCCATCCAGGGCTTCAAGCCAGGCTGCCCCCTCCCCAACCCCAGTGTCCCCAACCACAGCTCAGCTCGGAGAAGGCTGGGAGAACCGGCAGGGTGGTCTCGAGCGTCCTTCCAGGCGGGATTCAGACACTGTAGCTCCTCCAGCCCAGCCCCGAGAACTTCCCCGAAGCCAGCTCTTGGCAATCGTTGTTCATATGAAAACTGCCCACTTCCCTTTAGTGCTATTTTGGCCTCTGCAGAACCGTGGTCTGTGGCAGCCCCCACTCCCCACCCCGCCCAGCCCTGCCGGCCCCTGGGGGCCTCAGAGGGTCCACCCTCCGCTCCCTCCACCTCAGCCCACCTGCTTTCAGAACCTGGATGGGAGAGTGAAAGTGAGAGCGAGACAGAGACACAAAGGGAGACAGAGACAGAGAGAGAGCACAGAATTTTTTTAAACGGAGTCTCACTCTGTTGTCCAGGCTGGAGTGCAGTGGCGTGATCTCGGCTCACTGCAACCTCCACCTCCCAGGTTCAAGCAGTTCTCCTGCCTTACCCTTCCAAGTAGCTGGGGACTACAGGCACGTGCTACCACACCTGGCTAATTTTTTATTTTTTATTTATTTTTTATTTTTTGGAGACAGTCTTGCTCTGTCTCCCAGGCTGGGAGTGCAGTGGTGCAATCTTGGCTCACTGCAAGCTCCACCTCCCGGGTACATGCCATTCTCCTGCCTCAGCCTCCCGAGTAGCTGAGACTAGAGGCGCCTGCCACCACGACCGGCTAATTTTTTGTATTTTTAGTAGAGACGGGGTTTCGCCATGTTAGCCAGGATGGTCTCAATCTCCTGACTTTGTGATCTGCCTGCCTCGGCCTCCCAAAGTGCTGGGATTACAGGTGTGAGCCACCGTGCCTGGCCTAATTTTTTATTTTTAGTAGAGACAGGGTTTCACCATGTTGGCCAGGCTGGTCTTGAACTCCTGACCTCAGATGATTTGCCCGCCTCAGCCTCCCAAAGTGTTGGGATTACAGGTGTGAACTACCGCACCCGGCCAACAGCGCAGGATGTATTCAGTCTGGGGGCAGACACATGACTGTTTGTTAAATTTCATTTTTTGTTTTTAGAGATGGGGTCTTGCTCTGTCACCCAGGCTGGAGTTCAGTGGTGTGATCTTGGCTCACTGCAGCTTCCAACTCCTGGGCTCAAGCAATTCTCTTGCCTCAGTGTCCCAAGTAGCTGGAACCACAGGCATGTGCCACTGCGCCTGCCTAATTTTTTCATTTTTTTGTAGAGACAGGGCCTTGTTACATCGTCCATGCTGGTCTCGAACTCCTGGCCTCAAGCGATCCTCCTGTCTCGGCCTCCCAGTGTTGAGATTACAGGCGTCAGCCACCACGCCCAGCCTGATCCCATTTTATTTATTCATTTATTTAATTTATTATTATTATTATTATTATTTTGAGATGGAGTCTCACTCTGTCTCCCATGCTGGAGTGCACTGGCGTGATCTCAGCTCACTGCAACTCACTGCCTCCTGAGTTCAAGTGATTCTCATGCCTCAGCCTCCCAAGTAGCTGGAATTACAGGCTTGCACCTCCACGCCTGGCTAATTTTTGTATTTCTAGTAGAAACAGGGTTTCACCATGTTGGCCAAGCTGGTCTCAAACTCAAGTGATCCTCCTGTCTCAGCCTCCCAAAGTATTGGGATTACAGGTGTGAGTCCCTGTACCCAGCCCGACCTCATTTTATAGATGAGAAAACTGAGGCGGGGGGCTCTCAGGCAGAGGCTAGATTTGGTCCCATGAGCCCTCCTGCAAGACAAGTTGCTCCAACCTCACAAGCCTGAGATGAACTTGGGCCATGCTGGAGGGGTTGGGGGTACACCCCGGGTTGGGGGCACTGAGGCAAGGAGAGTTTCGAGGAGGGAGAAGGGCAGTGCCCAGGCGGGCCATGGGGAAGAGAGAGCAGAGCTTTCCTCGGACAACCTCCCGGGGTGACGTGGGTCGTGCCAGTCACACGGCTCAGAAATTCACTTGTTCCCACTGACTCACTTGGCTTTTGGGGAGAGGCCTGGTGGCTTCTCTGTGATGCGCCTCTTACAGAGGCTCAGGGCCGCATGGAGATTCCCTGTCATCTTACCGCAGGGATTTGGGAAGTCCAGAGAGGTCCTGAGACTTGTCCAAAGCCACACAGCTTTCAAGGGGGACAGCCCAGGTCCTGGTGGACCTCAGGGGGATCCCAAGGCAGGAGGTAGGCAGCCTGGAGCTCCTCCATTATTATTATTATTATTATTGAGATAGAGTTTCGCTCTTGTTGCCCAGGCTGGATGGAGTGCAGTGGCGTGATCTCAGCTCACTGCAACCTCCACCTCCTTGGTTCAAGCAATTCTCTGCCTCAGCCTCCTGAGTAGCTGGGATTACAGGCGCCCACCACCACACCTGGCTAATTTTTTGTATTCTTTTTTAGTAGACACAGGGTTTCACCATCTTGGCCAGGCTGGTCTTGAACTCCTGACCTCATGAACCACCCGCCTCAGCCTCCCAAAGTGTTGGGATTACAGGCATGAGCCACTGTGCCCGGCCATTTTTTTTTTTTTTTTTTTTTGAGATGGAGTCTCGCTCTGTTGCCCAGGCTGGAGTGCAGTGGCATGATCTCGGCCCACTGCAACCTCCACCTCCTAGGTTCAAGTGATTCTCTTGCCTCAGACTCCTGATTAGCTGGGATCACAGGCGTGTGCCACCACACCCGGCTAATTTTTGTATTTTTAGTAGAGATGGGGTTTCACCATGTTGGTCAGGCTAGTCTCGAACTCCCGACCTCGTGATCTGCCCGCCTTGGCCTCCCAAAGTGCTGGGATTACAGGCGTGAGCCACCACGCCCTGCTGGAGCTCCTCCCTTTTAAGTCCTGTTTACTGCTCCAAGCCTCACCTTCCCCAGCTGTGGGATGGGGAGAAGCCCTCCTCACTGGTGGCCAGGGTGGGAAGAACACGGCGGGTGGGGGAGAGTGGACACTCGGGAGTGTTGGCTCCACAAATGCCCACCATACTCAACCCCTTCAGAGACCCCACCACCCTCAACTCTGTCCCCAGCCATCTCCAGGGGGCCAGGTCTCCTTATTATTATTTTTTGAAACGGAGTCTCACTCTGTTGCCCAGGCTGGAGTGCAGTAGCATGATCACAGCTCACTGCAGCCATATATATGTATATATATATATATATGAAAAAATATATATAAATATATATATATGAAAAAATATATATAAATATATATATGAAAATATATATATAAATATATATATGAAAATATATATAAATATATATATGAAAATATATATATGAAAATATATATAAATATATATATGAAAATATATATGAAAATATATATATGAAAATATATATGAAAATATATATATAAATATATATATATGAAAATATATATATAAATATATATATGAAAATATATATATAAATATATATATGAAAATATATATATAAATATATATATATGAAAATATATATATAAATATATATATATGAAAATATATATATAAATATATATATATGAAAATATATATATAAATATATATATATGAAAATATATATATAAATATATATATGAAAATATATATATAAATATATATATATGAAAATATATATATAAATATATATATATGAAAATATATATAAATATATATATGAATATATATATATATATATGAAAATATATATATATGAAAATATATATATAAATATATATATGAAAATATATATAAATATATATATGAATATATATATATATATATGAAAATATATATATATGAAAATATATATATAAATATATATATGAAAATAATATATATAAATATATATAAATATATATAAAAATATAAATATATATAAAAATATATAAATATATATATATAAACATATATATATAAATATATATATATATATTTTTTTTTTTTTTTGTATTTTTTTTGTAGAGATGGAATTTCACCGTGTTGCCTAGGCTGGTCTGGAGCTCTTGATCTCAAGCGATCCTCCCTGCCTCGGCCTCCCAACGTGCTGGGATTATAGGCGTGAGCCACCGCTCCTGGCCAGGGTCTGTTCCTAGTTGCAACAGTTCTTGGAAACCCACTCGAGAGGGCCACGCCTCCATTCACCAGGCCACGGTGGGTGGTGTGCGTATGTTTTGCTGAGGCCTGGTCATCACGCTGTGGCTCCAAGGCTGGGACCAGCCACAGACCGAGAAGCCGGTCAGGTGCCAGCCAGAGATTCAGGGCTCCCTCCCTCTGAACATCCTGTCTTTAGCCCATCCTTGGCATCCCAGCTCATGTCATCCCAGCCACCTGCAGCAGTGCCCTAGGGCCCCATCCCTCTGCGGATCATGCTCTTGGGCCACCTCCTCCAAGAAGCCTTCCCTGACCTCCCTCCTCCCAGCTCCCACCACAGGCAGAATCTGGGCTTGCAGTTGTTTCAGGAATGGAAGCCCCATTCCCAGGTCCTGGGGGGACCCCAAGGCAGGAGGTGGGCAGAGAGGGGTCCTGCGAAGCATAGAGGAGCCCTGAGTTGCTCTGGGGTGGGCGAGGGCTTCCGGGTGCGTCTGCGTGAGTGGTGGCCACAGACTGTCACCTCCAGGAGCCAGGGTGGGTTTACTGGAGGCAACCCACTGTGGGTTGATGGGCAGAGCCAGGGTTAGGGGCAGGACACTGGGGCCTGAATCCCATCTTTCCACTTAGCAGACGTGAGCTCTCTGGCCTCAGTTTCTCGATTTGTGAAATGCAGTGAACCTCGTCCTCAAAGGGCAGTTGTCTAGATTAAGCGAGGCTGTGTGTAGGGCTGTGTGCGTGCACATGGGGCTGTCTTGTGGGCCCCCAGAACCTTCCAGCACTTATCAAGGGTGAAGATGGCCCACAGGGCAGAGGTGTTGGTTTGGGGTCACATGGGGTGAACAGGACTGGTTCTGTCCTTGCCCAGTGCAGGAGCGGGGAGGGGAGGTGGTGTTTCCGCAGCCTAGGCTCAGGTATGGGGCTGTCCGAGCACAGTGGGGGTGTGGGGTAGGATTCCTGAAAAAGGGGCCCCTTGCTCACGGGCACCTCCCATTTCAGCATCACAAGAGGCAACACCAGGAGCCAACATGAGCTCGGGGACTGAACTGCTGTGGCCCGGAGCAGCGCTGCTGGTGCTGTTGGGGGTGGCAGCCAGTCTGTGTGTGCGCTGCTCACGCCCAGGTAAGCGGGGGTCTCGGGGACGTGATGGGGAGAAGGTGTGGACAGTGCATCTCAGAGGCCCTCTCAGGCCCAGACGTGGCTGTGGTCAGAAGAGGTGGTCAGATGAACCTCGTGATGTGACCCCTGACCCCTAAACTGCCCCCTGAAGACAATGGTCAGGTGCACCCGAGGGCTTTGGCTTTGCTGGGTCAACTGTGGTATCTCGAGCCAGAGAGATTGCCCCAGACGAGGGAGGGGAGGCGAGGTTGCCTGTGGCATCCACTTTTCTAGCCTCTCCTCTTCTAAAAAAGGGTGAGCAAATACCCTTTTTTCTTTTTTTTGGACAGAGTCTTGCTCTGGTCTCCCAGGCTGGAGGGCAGTGATGCAATCTTGGCTCACTGTAACATCCAACTCTCGGGTTGAAGCGATTCTCCTGCCTCAACCCCCTGAGTAGCTGGGACTACAGGTGCCTGCCACCATGCCTGGCTAATTTTTGTGTTTTTAGTAGAGACGGGGTTTCCCCATGTTGGCCAGGCTGGTCACGAACTGCTGACCTCATGTGATCCTCCCGCCTCGGCCCAAAGTGCTGGAATTACAGGAGGGAGCCACCACACCTGGTCCCAAATATTCTTTAATATCAGGTGGCCGGTGATGATTGACAGTTTGGCCCCCAAGTCCTGTCTGAGTCCTGCTGGAGACAAGACATGGCGGGGGGTGTCTGACCTCAGGTCGCAGCTGCTCCCAGACCCTTTGCTAATCCTGGCCTTTTCTTGCAGGTGCAAAGAGGTCAGAGAAAATCTACCAGCAGAGAAGTCTGTGAGTTGCCTCGATGTCCCTAGCCTGGTGTATTCATGTGCCCTGGGCATGGACGTCCTCAAGGGAATTCCTAGCACCCCATCCTTCACCCCTTCACTCACACCTCCTCCGTGCCAAGTTCTAGTGGGTCCCTAGCCATCAGAGAAGGGAGAGAAAGTGTCCAGGGGCTGTCCAGGCCCTGCTGTAGCTTGGGTTAGGGAGGGCTTTGGGAGGCGGGGACGCCTGGGCTGTGGGGCTAGCCACTCTTCAGCTTGCCTGTGAACCCCTCCAGAAGTCCAGGCATCTGGCCAGGCACGATGGTTCACACCTGTAATCCCAGCACTTTGGGAGGCCAAGGCAGGTGGATCACCTGAGGTCAGGAGTTTGAGACCAGCCTGGCCAACATGGTGAAACCTCATTTCTACTAAAATACAAAAATGAGCTGGGCGTGGTGGTGGGTCCCTCTACTCCCAGCTACTCTGGAGGCTGAGGCAGCAGGATCACTTGAACCCAGGAGGTGGAGGTTGCAGAGAGCCGAGATTGTGCCACTGCACTCCAGCCTGGGCAAAAAAGCAAGATTCCGTCTCAGAAAAGAAAAAAAGAAAAGAAAAAAAAAATAGAGGTCCACCAGGCACCTGTGTCCTCAGCCTCCCTTTGACCCCAATCCCCAGGGGCTAGTCCGCTCTCCCCTTGCAATGCAAGAGACAGAGAACCCGGCACAGGGTGAAATGTGAACGTTGTCGGAGACTCCCCTGGAAAAAACTGCCGGAGCTCAGGGGAGGATGTGGGCAAGTCCCTCGGGGGACCAGGGAAGGACTGTGAGAAAGACCCAGGGAAGGGCAGTGGGTTCGACACTGCAGACTGGGGCTGAAACCCAGAACAACCCAGGCACATGGGCAGTGGCCACAGGTGTCCTTTGATTAAGAGAATGGCTGTGGGCCCAGGAAACCTTGGAGGTCCATGTGCACCCCCGAGCAGTCACTCATGACCCACACACGCACACCCGCACACACATCCTTCCTCATTTCCTTTTGCAACTGAAAAACCACAGTGAGATTTGAAAATAGAATCTTCCCATCCTTGCTCATCGTGGGCCAGGGTTAGACCTTTCTGGGTCTTTCTGGCCACGTGGCTTTCTGGCCGCCTGCAACCTCCCCCGATGCCCCCCATGCCCTTGACTCCTCGGACACTTCCCCTCTCCCCTCAGGCCCTGCCCACCCCCAGCCCCCTGATTGATCTTAGAGCCATAGATGGTCAGGGCCAGACTCAGCGTCCCCATGTGGGAGGTGGAGGGGAGCTGTTTGGTCTTCTCCCTGGAATGCCTGTGCCTGCCTCTCCATCTGTCACCTCGGTTGGGCTCAGTCCCAC
Source organism: Homo sapiens (assembly GCF_000001405.40). Lineage (NCBI taxonomy): Eukaryota > Metazoa > Chordata > Mammalia > Primates > Hominidae > Homo > Homo sapiens. The sequence continues at coordinate 74,218,212 of NC_000007.14, forward strand.
CAGCCTGCATGAAGCGACTGCTGTGAGCACAGGCTCCGTTCCTCTGTTGCTTCTCCCAGGAAGCCACGTCTGACTGACTCTCTCCTGTGGATTTAGGGTATCTCTCCTAAATCAGGTCACCCTGAGCCCCAGTCTTCAAGGAGCTTGGAAGGCTGGGCCAGGTACCCATTCTGGTTCAGAGGAGGAGCCCCCAAACCTGCTTTAATAATGAGCTAATCCACTCCATTATCTGTAATGGCAGCTTCCATTTTCAAGAGCACCTCATGGTCCAAGATGGCAGCTGGGGTGCCGGCCCTCATCTCTGCATTCCCAGCAGCAGGAAGAAAGAATGAACAAGGATACAAAGGGTGTCTCCCAGTTGCCAGTGCCCCCGTTTAAAAAGATTTATTGGAAATATCAACAACCTTGGCTTGAATCTCATAGACCAGAGCTTAATCCATGGCCACACTTTGGTGCAAGGAAGGCTAGGAATAGTCTATTATTTATTTCTTTATTTATTTAGAGATGGAGCCACATTTACTTTTGTTCAGGCTGGAGTGCAGTAGAATGATCTTGGCTCACTGCAACCTCTGCCTCCTGGCTTCAAGCGATTCTCCTGTCTCAGCCTCCCGAGTAGCTGGGATTACAGGCATGCGCCACCATGCCCAGCTAATTTTTGTATTTTTAGTAGAGACGGGGTTTTCTCCATGTTGGTCAGGCTGGTCTTGAACTCCCAACCTCAGGTGATTCGCCTGCCTTGGCCTCCCAAAGCCCTGGGATTACAGGTGTGAGCCACCATGCCGGGTCTAGAGTGTGTGCTTTTTTTTTTTTTTTTTTTTTTTTTTTTTTTTTTTTTTGAGACGGAGTCTCGCTCTGTCGCCCAGGCCAGACTGCGGACTGCAGTGGTGCAATCTCGGCTCACTGCAAGCTCCGCTTCCCGGGTTCACGCCATTCTCCTGCCTCAGCCTCCCGAGTAGCTGGGACTACAGGCGCCCGCCACCGCGCCCGGCTAATTTTTTGTATTTTTAGTAGAGACGGGGTGAGTGTGTGCTTTTTTAAGGAATTGCAAACGCTCCCTGGGACCAGCAGGTGGGAGGCAGCCTCATCGTCACTCCTGGCTGAAATAATTTACCCCAAGTCATTGCTGGGTCCCTGAGCACCTGCCTTCATTCACCCTCATGCCCCAGAATCTCAGGGCTACCTCCACAGCCCTGTCCACAGACCCCTCCTGACCCGTCTCCAGGGGCCTGGGACCCACCGGCAGGATGTGGCCCTGTTGAGGCCATGTCAGGGATGGGTCTGGCTGAGAGCCGGGCTCCAGCCCAGGGCCCTGTGTGAGGGTTGGGCACCCAGTGCACGGAGGGGCCAGAGAATGGGGATAGCATGGGGAGCCGTGAGAATGAGGCCTGAAAGGGCAGCAGTTCCTCCCCACTGTCGCCCCAGTCCGTCCCTCTGCTTTCCCTCCTCATCCCTGCCTGTCCCTCCCTCCTGTCCCTGTGTTCTTGGGCTGTGGGAGTCCAGGCCCAGGCTCAGCACAGCCCATGCATTTCCAGGCGTGAGGACCAACAGAGCTTTACGGGGTCCCGGACCTACTCCTGTGAGTCTCCAAGTGTCCCCGGGTTGGGCTCTGGGTTGGGGGTGTCCCTATCAAGTTATCTCGGTCCCCATTGACCTGAGACCGTGGCCAGGCCTGATGTGGGGGGATGATGGGGTGAGGGGGCTGGGCTAGCTGGGGGCCCAGCCAACACCCCACTTCTTGCCCTTTGTAGTGGTCGGGCAGGCATGGCCAGGACCCCTGGCGGACATGGCACCCACAAGGTAGGTCACAGTCCCCCAGGAAGTGACAAGAATGAAAGTCCTGGAGGTCCTCACCTGGTGAGCCCAGGTCAAGACCTCCCTCCCTCCCCGAGTCCCAGAGCTCCAGGGCTCAGCTATGAAGGCCCCACAAGGGGTATGGGGGGATGTGTCCTGGGGGGCCTCTCCCCTACAGCCCCTCCTTTAACTCCCTCCTTCCCCCTCCCTGCAGGAAGGACAAGCTGTTGCAATTCTACCCCAGCCTGGAGGGTGAGTGGCACAGGGCAGGGACAGGGACAGGCCTAGCCAAGCTGGGACTAAGACAGGCGAAAACCCCATGGGACAGGCGTCGTGCAGTGGGGGCTGCGGGGCCAGGCGAGGCCTCCCCAGGAGAGACACACAGGCTGGGGCAGGGCAGGCTCCTGGAATCGGCCTGGCAGGGGGAGGGTGCACACTCGCACATGCCCCACTGAGGGGACAGGGAGCACTGCAAAGGCTCAGACACGGGAAATAGCTGGCCCTGCCTTGGGCTGCAGCACCCGAGCTGGGTGCAAAGCAGGGGCCAGGGGAGAAAGCAATTAGCTGGGTCTTTCTTCCAGATCCAGCATCTTCCAGGTACCAGAACTTCAGCAAAGGTAGGTAGGCTCCTGGAGAAAGGGGGAGGCCATGGTGGGGGCCACACCCAGGGGCTCAGGCCCAATTCTCGCCTCCTCCCGCAGGAAGCAGACACGGGTCGGAGGAAGCCTACATGTGAGTGACCTTGATCCTGTCCCCCCTGCCTCGCCTCTCCCCCTGCCCCACCTCTCCCCCTGCCCCACCTCTCCCCCTGCCCCACCTGCCTGCCACAGCCCTGGGCTTCCTGGTCCAGGAACCACCTCTTGCACTAGAACGAGGCATCCAGGTTCCCCTCCTTCTCCTGGCAGGCAGGCATTGGGCGACACTGTTGTCTCTTAGGTAACCCTGGGTTTGGGGGACTGGACTTTGCCCTGCTCTGGGACACAGAGTGTCAGGGGCGGGGGATAGAGACTCATTCAGCATCACCCAGTCAAAGACAAGCTACAGGACACCCAGAATCCCTCGGGGGTGTTGCATCATCTCACAGATGGGCAAACGATGGGGAATGGCCTAAGGTCACATAGCAAGGTGGCTCACCAGGTGCGGTGGCTCATGCCTGTAATCCCAGGACTTTGGGAGGCCAAGGCAGGCAGATCACCTGAGGCCAGGAGTTCAAGACCAGCCTCGCCAACATGGTGAAACCTCATCTCTACTAAAAATAAAAAATTAGCCAGGCATGGTGGTGCGTGCCTGTAATCCCAGCTACTCGGGAGGCTGATGCAGGAGAATCGCTTGAACCTGGGAGGCTGAGGTTGCAGTGAGCCGAGATCATGCCACTGTACTCCAGCCTGGGTGACAGAGACTCTGTCTCAAAAAAAAAAAAAAAAAAAAAAAAAAAAAGTGGCTCCAGCCCCTGGTGGCTCAGGGGTCCCAGGAAGTGGGGGTGGGGGAATCAGAGAGGAGATCCTGGCAGACCCCCATGGCCCCCAAGAGGAGCAATGGTGGGAGCAGCCCTGGCCTCACCGCCCCCTTATGGAGCCCCCAACCCGATCTCCAGCCTGCCCTGAAACCTGTGTTGTATATGTTTTCTTGGCCAGAGACCCCATTGCCATGGAGTATTACAACTGGGGGCGGTTCTCGAAGCCCCCAGAAGGTGAGGCGAAGGACAAAGCCGGAGGTGGAGGAAGTGGTGTGGGAGCTCAGGGCAGAAGCCATACCTCCAGGCAGGAGAGGAGGCTGGGCCTGGGTTCGGGTAAATCGGCAGAGCCGGTTGGGTGGACAGAAGGAGGCTGGTGCTGCAGGCGGGGGCCAAGAAGGGATAGGGGGCGGGCGGGTCAGCGTGGGAGAGCTGTGGGCACAGGGCGTGGGAGAGAGGAGTGGGCCACAGGGCAGGGAACTAGAGGGCTGGCTTGGGGAGGTGGGGGGAGGCCAGGTCCTTGTCAACGAGGACTGAGCATCTTCTCCTGACCCCAGAAGGTACCTGGGATGGTGATCCCTGCAGGCTCTGAGGCCACCAGAAACCTGGTCGCTGAATGCCTTTGCTTTATAGGAAGGGCAACTGAGAGGCCGGGTGTGGTGGCTCACCCCTGTAATCCCAGCACTTTGGGAGGCTAAGGTGGGTGGATCACCTGAGGTCAGGAGTTCAAGACCAGTGTGGCCAACATGGTGAAACCCCATCTCTACAAAAATACAAAAAAAAAAAAAAAAAAAAATTAGCCAGGCATGGTGGCACATGCCTGTAATCCCAGCTACTTGGGAGGCTGAGACAGGAGAATTGCTTGAACCCGGGAGGCGGAGGCTGCAGTGAGCCAAGATCGCACCATTGCACTCCAGCCTGGGCAACAGAGTGAGACTCCATCTCAAAAAAAAAAAAAATCCCCCCAAAAAAGGGCAACTGAGGACTCAGGGTGGGCAGTGCCTGCTGAGAGGTGCATGGGCCTGCGGTTTGAATCCAGCTCCATGACCTGGCTCCTGCCTGGACCATACTGGGTAGGACCATGGTGTTGGGGGGTCCTCTTCTGCCCCCCACCACTGCCACCTCCATTTTTTTTTTGAGACACAGCCTTGCTCTGTCACCCAGGTTGAGTACAATGTCACGATCTTGGTTCACTGCAACCTCCGCCTCCCGGGTTCAAGCGATTTTCCTGCCTCAGCCTCCCGAGTAGCTGAGATTACAGGCGCCTGCCACCACGCCTGGCTAATTTTTTGTATTTTTAGTAGAGACAGGGTTTCACCATATTGGCCAGGCTGGTCTTGAACTCCTGACCTCAGGTGATCCGCCCGCCTTGGCCTCCCAAAGTGCTGGGATTACAGGCATGAGCCACCCCGCCAGGCTGGCAGTGCTCATTTCTTAGGACCCCCAACATCACTGATGGATTTTGGGTGGGGCATCAGTCAGAGCCCAGCTTCCCCATTACAAGGCCAAGATGGGGTGCCAGGCGCTGAGGTGCCATACTCAGCCTGGGTCCCCGAGCAAAGCATCCTCAGCCTGCCCTGCCCTATCTGGAAGAGTCCAGCCCCTTCCCGGCAGTGGCTCTAGGGAGAGCTCCTGATTATAGAGATGAACCCCTGAGGCTGCCCCTGCCTCCCTCCCTCTCTCCAGCCACCCGGCATGGGCCTGAATTGCAGCCCCCGCAGAGTACCCCCTCCAGAGTGCATATGGAGGGGATCTCAGAAGACAGAGGCTGGACACAGTGACTCACGCCTGTAATCCCAACATTTTGGGAAGATTGCCTAAGCTTAGGGGTTCAAGACCAGCCTGGGCAACACAGCGAGATCCTCTCTACAAACAATTTTAAAAGTTAGCTGGGCGTGGTGGTGCATGCCTGTAGTTCCAGCTACTCAGGAGGCTGCGGGGTAGGAAGATCGTTTGAGCCGGGAGTTGGAGGCTACAGTGAGCTGACTTTGCCAGTGCTCTCCAGCCTGGGTGACAGAGCAAGACCGTCTCAACAAGAAACAAAGAAGACAGAGGAGCTCAGGGCTCAGGGAAGAGCATGCAGGGGCACCAGGCCAGCACCCATTAGGAAGCTCATCCAGAAGAAGGCTTGAGGTCCCGGGGGACCCAGAGGGCTAGGGCTTGGCGGAAGAGGTCCCCTGCAAAGGGAAGGCAGGACAGAGCGGGAGGATGAGCCAGGCTTTGCAGGGTCTGCCCACACCCCCGTGCCCACTCCTCTCTCTCCTGCAGATGATGATGCCAATTCCTACGAGAATGTGCTCATTTGCAAGCAGAAAACCACAGAGACAGGTGAGGCTGCCCAGCCAGAGGCAGGCTGGGGCTGGGAGCAGCAGGCCTCCTTGGCCAGGTGCCCCTGCACTCCCCACTGCTCAAAGGCCGCCCCCACTTTGAAGCCTGAAGGCTCTCGGATCCCCAGGTACCTTTCGGTAGAGCCTTGCCCCTACTATCCTCGGAGGCAGCTCTATTGGCTCCTGGTGCCTCTGTGGGACTGAGCCAAGGGGGGCCTATTCTCCCTCTCTGCAGGTGCCCAGCAGGAGGGCATAGGTGGCCTCTGCAGAGGGGACCTCAGCCTGTCACTGGCCCTGAAGACTGGCCCCACTTCTGGTCTCTGTCCCTCTGCCTCCCCGGAAGAAGATGAGGAATCTGAGGATTATCAGAACTCAGCATCCATCCATCAGTGGCGCGAGTCCAGGAAGGTCATGGGTAGGTGGCCGGGAGAAGAGGCAGGGTGGTCCACTTAGGGCAGGCTTGAGGGACTGGCCTGGAAGGGCAGGCTGAAAGTGGGCTTCCCTCCAGCCAGTCCAGCTAACCCCGCAGTGATGCCTGGGTGCAGGAGCAGCTGCAGAGACCTTGAACCACACAGGACGGCCCTTGGCAGCCGCCCAGCCTCCAGGGTGGGGTCAGGTCCTCCCGGGCAGGCCGCCCCATCCAGCTGCATGCATGGAGTAACGCATTCACCTGCTCTCACAGCAGGACGATCTCCGGCAAATCCCAGAGACAGGACAGACACACACCGCCAGGACCTGTCGGGCGTGGCATTTCCCGCGGGCTGTTTTGTGGAGTCTGGGGGTCTGAGTCTGGGGGAGCAGTCATGGGTGTCTCCATGTGAACCACTCGATGACCTGTCTGCCCGCTGGTCCACAGGGCAACTCCAGAGAGAAGCATCCCCTGGCCCGGTGGGAAGCCCAGACGAGGAGGACGGGGAACCGGATTACGTGAATGGGGAGGTGGCAGCCACAGAAGCCTAGGGCAGACCAAGAAGAAAGGTACAGCCCCTGCTCTCCAGCTGCCGTGGGCCAAGGATTGGAGGTCTTGCCAAGCTGCAGGACCCCCAATCCAAGGGAACAGCCGAGAGTGTGGGTGGAGGGGCCATGGTGGGGGCTACAGGGTGCACCCATGGGTGCTCCAAGAGGGCAGCTTGGCGACTCTGTTCCTCTGTTCTGGCCAGGGGCGTCAGGCAGGGAATTCTGGTGACTTCAGGGGCAAAGAAGTGGGCACCGGGTGGGTCTCCCAACTCCACTGCATCCTCCTGGCTGCGACCTTGGACCAAGTGACAACCTCCCAGAACTTAGTTCCTCACTTGGTGCCCACCTCTCAGAGAAGACATCGCACACACGGCCGGGCACGGTGGCTCACGCCTGTAATCCCGGCACTTTGGGAGGCCGAGGCAGGCAGATCACCTGAGGTCACGAGTTCGAGACCAGCCTGGCCAACATGGTGAAACTTCATCTCTACTAAAAACACAAAAAATTAGCCAGGCATGGTGGTGGGTGCCTGTAGTCCCAGTTAGTTGGGAGGCTGAGGCAGGAGAATCATTTGAACCCTGAAGGCGGAGGTTGCGGTGAGTTAAGATCACATGCACTCAACCCTGGGTGACAGAGCGAGACTCCGTCTCAATAAATAAATAAAAAAACAGACATTGCACACAAAGCCTCAGCCCAGCAGGCACTCGGTCAATGCTGGAAACAGACAGGAGGCAGGGACGTTGGGAAATGTAACAGTGGCTGAGACGCGCTGAGGAGCCACCGCAGGCCAGTGAGATGGTGCGGCGCTAAGCGCTCACACGTGCACCATCTCTTAGCACCCAAAGCCACAGAGCAGTTAAGCCACCTGCCCAAGGCCACATCTTGAAGTAAGGGGAGGAGGAGATGGAATCCCCAGTGGTCAGACATCAGACATCAAAGCCTAGGCTGGGTCTACTGCTTGGGAAGCACGATGGACCCCCAGAGGGCCTTGAAGGCTGCCCAAAGTCCCCATCTGGGAGACCCAGGCCGTCATCTCAGCGAGCAGGCTGGAGGGTGGAAACCACAGTGAACCTGGGTGGTCAAGAGTCAGCCCCAGAGGCAGGTGCAGGAGTTTGAGCCAAATGTGCAGAGCCCCACGTCATTCATTCAACCAGTATCCACTGGGCCCCTGCTACGGGCAAGTCCTGCTCTAGGTGCTGGGAACACCAACATAAAGAACAGCAAACCCCTGACCCCTTAGAACTTGCATTCTGGTAGGAGAGAGAAAACAGATAGGGCTGGACACAGCGGTCATGCCTATAAATCCCAGCACTTCGGGAGGCTGAGGCGGGAGGATCCTTTGAGCCTCTGAGTTTGAGGCCAGCCTGGGCAACATAGCAAGACCTCTCTCTCTACAAAAACTTTTTTTTTTTTTTTTTGAGACAGAGTATCACTGTCACTCAGGCTGGAGTGCAGTGGCGCCATCTCGGCTCACTGCAACCTCCACCTCCTGGGTTCAAGCGATTCTCGTGCCTCAGCCTTCCAAGTAGCTGGGATTACAGGCACACGCCACCATGTCCAGCCTCTATAAAAACATTTAAAATTAGCCAGGCATGGTGGTGGATGCCCTAGAGTCCCACTGACTTGGGAGGCTGAGGTGGGAAGATCACTTGAGCCTGGGAGGTCAAGGTTGCAATGAGCCATGGTTGCTGCAGTGAGCTGTGGTCGTGCCACTGCACTCAAGCCTGGGCAACAGAGCAAGACCCCATCTCAAAAAAAAAATTTAAAAATTAGCTGGGCATAGTGGTGTGTACCTGTAGTCCCAGCTACTTGGGAGGCTGAGGCAGGAGGATCGCTTGAGCCCAGGAGTTCAAGGCTACAGTGAGCTATGATTGTACCACTGTACAGCCAGGATGACAGAGTGAGACCCTGTCAAAACAACAACAACAACAAGAAAACAGATAAGAAGACATGGCATGTTCACTGGTGGTAAGTCTGGCAGAGAGAAACAAAACAGGGAAGCGGGGCAGGAAGTAGTGTGGGGTTGTGGGCAAGACGCAGTGTTGCAATTTAAGGAAGGCGGCTAGGGAAGCCTTTCAGAGCTCCCTTCCTCACCCCATCTGGGGGAAGGACATCCAGGCAGAGGGGACAACAGAGGCCCCAGGGTGGAGTGAGCCCCACAGGTCTGAGCAAAGCCAGGGGCCAGGGAGGAGCAGGTGAGGGGAAACTAGTGGAGGTCGAGGCCGTTGGTGGGGAGGCTGACCAGGCAGGGCCAGCACTTGGGGTTTTACTGCATGAGATGGGAGGGAGGGAGGGAGATAGAAAGGTTGTTTTTTCTTTTTTTTTTTTTTTCGTTCCTGTCGCCCAGGCTGAAGTGCAATGGTGCAATCTTGGCTCACTGCAAACTCCGCCTCCTGGGTTCAAGCGATGCTCCTGCCTCAGCCTCCCGAGTAGCTGCGATTACAGGTGTCTGCCACCACACCCGGCCAATTTGTATTTATTTTATTTTATTTTGTTTTTTGAGAGGGAGTCTCGCTCTGTCACCCAGGCTGGAGTGCAGTGGCGTGATCTCGGCTCACTGCAACCTCTGCCTCCTGGGTTCAGGTTTCTCTTGCCTCAGCCTCCCGAGTAGCTGGGATTACAGGCACACGCCACAACACCTGGCTAATTTTTGTATTTTTAGTAGAGATGGGGTTTCACCATGTTGGCCAGGCTGGTCTCAAACTCCTGACCTAAAGTGATCGGCCCACCTCAGCCTCCCCAAGTGCTGGGATTACAGGCATGAGCTACCATGCCTGGCTAATGGGAAGGTTTTGTACAAAGACTGGCTGGATGTTTCTAATTCAATTTTTCTGGCTGTTGGGCAGACAAATGGGTACTGGGAGAGTGGGTACAGGAAGCCCAGGAAGGACCCAGGCACTGGTGCCATCTGGGCAAGGGGTGGCAGCAGTGGAGACAGGGGTAGGCAACATGGTGAAACGCTGTCTCTACATAATATACAAAAATTTGCCAGGTGTAGTGGCGCATACGTGTAGTCCCAGCTACTCGGAGGTTGAGGCGGGAGGATAGCTTGAGTCTAGGAGGTTGAGCTGCTGTGTGAGCTGTGATTGCACCACTGCACTCCAGCCTGGGCCACAGAGCAAGACGCTGTCTCAAAACAAAAACAAAAAGAAGAGGCCAGGCGCAGTGGCTCACGCCTGTAATCCCAGCACTTTGGGAGGCTGAGGCAGGCTGATCACCTGAGGTCAGGAGTTCGAGACCATCCTGGGCAACATGGGGAAACCCCATCTCTACTAAAAATACAAAAATTAGCCAGGTGTGGTGGCGTGTGCCTGTAATCCCAGCTACTCGGGAGGCTGAGGCACGAGAATCACTTGAACCTGGAAGGAGGAGGTTGCAGTGAGCTAAGATCGCACCATTGCACTCCAGCCTGGGCAACTACGTCTTAAAAAAAAAAAAAAAAAAAAAAAAAAAAAAGCCAGGCGCGGTGGCTCACGCCTGTAATCCCAGCACTTTGGGAGGCTGAGGCGGGCGGATCACAAGGTCAGGAGATCGAGACCATCCTGGCTAACACAGTGAAACCCCGTCTCTACTAAAAATACAAAAAATTAGCCGGGCATGGTGGCAGGCGCCTGTAGTCCCAGCTACTTGGGAGGCTGAGGCAAGAGAATGGCGTGAACCCGGGAGGCAGAGCTTGCAGTGAGCCGAGATCACGCCACTGCACTCCAGCCTGGGAGACAGAGCAAGACTCTGTCTCAAAAACACAAAAACAAACAAACAAAATGGGCCAGGCGTGGTGGCTCACGCCTGTAATCCCAGCACTTTGGGAAGCCGAGGTGGGCGGATCACGAGGTCAGGAGATCGAGACCATCCTGGCTAACATGGTGAAACCCTGTCTCTACTAAAAATACAAAAAAAAAAAAAAAAAATTAGCTGGGCGTGGTGGCGTAGTCCCAGCTACTTGGGAGGCTGAGGCAGGAGAATGGCGTGAACCTGAGAGGCGGAGCTTGCAGTGAGCCGAGATCGCGCCACCGCACTCCAGCCTGGGTGACAGAGTGAGACTCCATCTCAAAAAAAAAAAAAGAAACCCAGTTATTGATGTGCGGCTTCTGTTCTCAGCCAGGAGGCAGGCTCAATGGTGTCCCCAAACCAGTGGTTATGGTTCTCAGGAACAAAATACTGATCAAGGCAAACCTCCTTCTACAAACTTTCCTCTTCATTTAAGGAGCCAAGGCAAAGAGGGACCACTGTGCTCATGGACCCATCGCTGCCTTCCAAGGACCATTTCCCAGAGCTACTCAACTTTTAAGCCCCTGCCATGGTTGCTCCTGGAAGGAGAACCAGCCACCCTGAGGACCACCTGGCCATGCGTGCACAGCCTGGGAAAAGACAGTTACTCACGGGAGCTGCAGGCCCGTCACCAAGCCCTCTCCCGACCCAGGCTTTGTGGGGCAGGCACCTGGTACCAAGGGTAACCCGGCTCCTGGTATGGACGGATGCGCAGGATTTAGGATAAGCTGTCACCCAGTCCCCATAACAAAACCACTGTCCAACACTGGTATCTGTGTTCTTTTGTGCTATGAATTTGGATTCCTAATTGCTATTGTTGGTTGCTGGGGTTTTAAATGATTGATAAGCTTGTACAGTTAACTTATAGAGGGGGAGCCATATTTAACATTCTGGATTTCAGAGTAGAGATTTCTGTGTTGTCTCCTAGAAAGCATTACATGTAGTTTATTTCAGCATCCTTGTTGGGTGGGGCCCTGGCTCTCTTCCCCTTTGGTGGGACCTCCCCTTTCTTTGGGCTTCAGTTCACTCAGGAAGAAATGAGGCTGTCGCCATCTTTATGTGCTTCCAGTGGAAATGTCACTTGCTACAGACAATAGTGCATGAGAGTCTAGAGAAGTAGTGACCAGAACAGGGCAGAGTAGGTCCCCTCCATGGCCCTGAATCCTCCTCTGCTCCAGGGCTGGCCTCTGCAGAGCTGATTAAACAGTGTTGTGACTGTCTCATGGGAAGAGCTGGGGCCCAGAGGGACCTTGAGTCAGAAATGTTGCCAGAAAAAGTATCTCCTCCAACCAAAACATCTCAATAAAACCATTTTAGTTGAAAAGCAGTGATTATCCTGTGTCTCCTTTCTCCTGCTTCAGGTAAAAAACCTTTTATAAAAATATAAAAATTAGCCGGGCCTGGTGGTGCATGCCTGTAGTCTCAACTACTTGGGAGGCTGAGGCAGGAAAATCACTTGAACCCAGAAGGTTGCAGTGAACTATGATTGCATCACTGCACTCCAGCCTGGGCAAGAGGGAGACCTTGTCTCAAAAAACATAACAAAACACGGCCAGGCACAGTGGCTCACGCCTGTAATCCCAGCACTTTGGGAGGCTGAGGTGGGTGGATCACGAGGTCAGGAGATCGAGACCATCCTGACTAACACAGTGAAACCCGTCTCTAATAAAAATACAAAAAAATTAGCCGGGCATGGTGGCGGGCACCTGTAGTCCCAGCTACTTGGGAGGCTGAGGCAGGAGAATGGCGTGAACCCGGGAGGCGGAGCTTGCAGTGAGCCGAGATCGCACCACTGCACTCCAGCCTGGACGAAAGAGGGAGACCTTGTCTCAAAAAACATAACCAAACACAAAAAGCCTTAAGGGAATGGCGGCCACAGCTCTTGTTTAATAAAAAGGGACCCTGAGAGCATCAGGGCTGCGGATGGGATCTTAGTTCCCAAGTCCAGCCGTCTTTCTGGGATGGCCCAGGGACTCTTCCCATGAGAAGAAATTAATGCGACAAGTTAGGAAATCAGAAGAAACATCTAGAACCCAACTGCCGCCCACCTGTTACTTCACATCCTGAAGTCCTGACTGTACAACCTCAGGGACAAGTTTCTCTTCCTTTTTTTGTAAGAGTCTCGCTCTGTCGCCCAGGCTGGAGTGCAATGGCACCATCTTGCCTCACTACAATCTCCACCTCCTGGGTTCAAGCAATTCTCCTGCCTCAGCCTCCTGAGTAGCTGGGATTACAGGCGTGCGCCACCATGCCCAGCTAATTTCGTATTTTAGTATTTCGTATTTTAGCCACCGTGCCCAAATGGGCCAGGCATGGTGGCTCACACCTGTAATGCCAGCACTTAGGAGGCTGAGGTGGGAGGATCACTTGAGGCCAGGAGTTCGAGACCAGTCCCAGCAATATAGTGAGACCTCATTTCTACAAAAAATTTAATAATTAGCTGGGTATCGTGGTACATGCCTGTAGTCCCAGCTACTCAGGAGGCTGAGGTAGGAGGATCACTTGAGCCCAAGAGGTTGAGGCTGCAGTGAGCCAAGATTGGCCCACTACACTCTAGCCTGGGCGACAGAGTGAGACCCAATCTCAAAAATCAAAACAAAACAAAAAGGGAAAAAAATAGTATCTTACCAAAAAAAAAAAAAAGGCAATTCTACAAATTAGTACGAAATTCTTTGGGGAATTCTAAAGCAAGCGCAAAGAGTATGGTCTAGAACACAGGAAGAGCATCACGGTGTTTTCCTGAGGGCTGGGCTGCATCTCTCCACTCTGCCGCCCTCTCTGAAAGGCTCGCCACCTGGCCATTCTGAGAAATCAGTCTAAATAGGAAAGACAGCAAACCCTGCCCTCGCCCTGGGGAAGTGGCGCCTTCAGGCTTCTAGAAGAACCGAGATGAGCTTGTGGGTCTACTATCTAATCGCCTTTTCTACTTGTAGGCTGCCAAGGCCCGTAGAGACAGGAAGCTGGTTTTTCTCGAGGCTTCACATGGTCACCTTATTGCCAACAAACACTGCAAGGCTTTATTAGCTAAAATGTCAACCCACACACAGATCAGAGACCGCCCTCAGCTTCTCTGCGCCTTTCCGCCCCGTCACCGCATCAATGGGGTGGAGGCCAAACTCAAACACTTGCGGGGCACAGACGTCCCAGAAGCAAACATGCAAGTCACGGGAGTTTATTTATTTAATTTTTTTCCCCAGATGGAGACTCTGTCGCCCAGGCTGGAGTGCAATGGTGTGATCTTGGCTCACTGCAACCTCCACCTCCTGGGTTCAAGCGATTCTCCTGCCACAGCCTCCCGAGTAGCTGGGATTACAGGTGCCCGCCACCACACCCAGCTAATTTTTATATTTTTAGTAAAGACAGGGTTTCCCCATGTTGGCCAGGCTGGTCTTGAACTTCTGACCTCAGGTGATCCACCTGCCTCGGCCTCCCAAAGTGTTGGGATTACAGGCGTGAGCTACCGTGCCTGGCCAGCCACTGGAGTTTAAAGGACAGTCATGTTGGCTCCAGCCTAAGGCGGCATTTTCCCCCATCAGAAAGCCGCGGCTCCTGTACCTCAGAATAGGGCACCTGTAAGTCAGTCAGTGAAGTCTCTGCTCTAACTGGCCACCGGGGCCATTGTCTTCTGACACAGCCTTGCCAGGAGGCCTGCCATCTGCAAAAGAGAGTTCACTCCTTCCGCTATTTTCATGTGAGTGTATCCAATTTCCTGAAAAACAAACCAAATTCAAATCTGGTTAATAAGTGGGGGAGTTCTTTTTTAAAATCTGAACTGAAAAAAATAAAAATAAAAACAGAAACAAACTGAACTAATGGTTTTTTCAAAATCAGCATGAGGAATTCCAACCCCAGCCGGAAAATGAATGCTAAGATGCAATGGATTATGTTTACCTAAAGTTCTATTTATTTCTTAAAAGGATGCTGATAGTTCTTTCAAAGAAACTGTTAAGAAAATGGGTGGGGCGAGGGGGGGCGGGGTGGTGGCACGGAAAGCCAGGCTAGAGGAAAATATTTATATATCTGATAAAGAACTTGCATCCAGACTGTATAAAGAATTCTCAAAAATTCAGTAATAAAGTCCAGGCGTGGTGGCTCATGCCTGTAATCCCAGTACTTTGGGAGGTCAAGGCAGGTGGATCACGAGCCCAGGAGTTCGAGATCAGCCTGACCAACATGGTAAAACCCCATCTCTACTAAAAATACAAAAATTAGCCAGGTATGGTGGCGCACGCCTGTAATCCCAGCTACTCGGGAGGCTGAGGCAGGAGAATCACTTAAACCTGGGAGGCGAAGGTTGCAGTGAGCTGAGATAGTGCCACTGCACTCCAGCCTGGGCAACAGAGCAAGACTCCATCTCAAAAATAAATAAGTAAATAAATTCAGTAATAAAAATCAAACAACCCAATTAAAAAATGGGTAGATTTAGACCTGGAGCAGTAGCTCACACCTGTAATCCCAGCATTCTGGGAGGCTGAGGCAGGAGGATCACTTGCCCAGAGTTGGGCCTGGGCAACATAGCAACACCCAAACTCTACGAAAAAAAGAAAATAAAAATGACCCAAGTGTAGTGGCACATGCCTGCAGTCCCAGCTACTCGGGAGCCTGAGGTGGGAGGATTGCTTGAGCATGGAAGGTTGAGGCTGCAGTGAACTATGATCGCACCACTGCACTCCAGCCTGGGTGACAGAGCAAGACCCTGTCTCTCAAAAACATAAAAAAGGTAGGCCAGGCGCAGTGGCTCACACCTGTAATTCTAGCACTTTGGGAGGCCGAGGCGGGAGGATCACTTGAGCCCGGGAGTTCAAGACCAGCCTTGGCAACACGGGGACACCCCGTCTCCACCAAAAATATAAAAATTGGCCGGTCTTAACATGATCTCTAAACAAAAAATACAGTACAATTAAAATAAAAAATGTAAAAATTTTAAAAAATGGGTATATATGAACAGATGTTTCATCAAAGAAGATTCTGGATGGCAAACGAGCACATGATTAAATGTTCAGCATAGTAATTAGGGAAATGCAAATTAAAGGCACAATGAGATCTCATCACATGCCTATTAGGTTATTTTGTTGTTGTTGTTATTGGTTTTTTTTTTTTTTTTTTTTTTAAGATGGAGTCTCACTCTTGTCGCCCAAGCTGTAGTGCAGGGGTGTGATCTCAGCTCACTGCAACCTCCACCTCCTGGGTTCAAGCGATCCTCCTCCCTCAGCCGCCCGAGTAGCTGGGATTACAGGTGTAAGCCACTGCATCCGGTCATTACACACCTATTAGAATGGCTTAAAAACCAAACTGAGCACTCCATGTGGTGGCTAGGTTGAGGATCCTCCGGAATGCTGGTGGGAATGCACGTGCTGCAGCCACTTCGGAAAACCGTTTGGCAGTTCCTTATCGAGTAAAACATACACTTATCATTTTCCCAGGCAATTTCACCCCTGGGAACTTACTTGGGAAAAAGAAAAACTTAACATTTGCATTCACACTAATCCATATATGCAAATGTTTACACTGGCTTTATTCACAGTCACCACAATCTGTAAACCCAAATGTCCTCCAGCTGATGGACAGATAAGCAAACTGTGGTACACGCACAGGATGGATTACTTCTCAGTGATAACACGGACTGACTCATGGATAGAAGTACCAGCGTGGACACATCTGAAAGGCATTTCTGCTACAGTGAAAGAAAGAAGCCAAACTCACAAGGCTAAGTTCTACATGATCCCATTTATATGATATTCTGGAAAACTGTATCCCATGAAACAGAAACTACATCGGTAGTTTCCAAGTGGTAGTCGGGGAGGGGGCTGGCTTCAAAGGGACACATGAGTTGTTCTGGGATGACAGATTCTGCATCCTGATGGTGATAGTGTTTGCATGACTGAGTGCGTTTGTCCTGTACCTAACAGGCTGAATTTTACTCTATGTAAATTAAACCTCAATTAATCTAACCTTGAAAAATCAATCAATCAGTCAATACACAAGAGAGCCTTGAATGAAGAAAATCAGAACTGTGTGAAACAAACTTGGTCCTCAGGACAATCAGCCACGTTGATCTAGTTTGGACGTCTGTCCCCTTCCAATCTCATTTGGAATTTGGTCCCCAATGTGGGGATGTTTGGGTCATGAGGAAGATCCCACGTGAATGGCTTGGTGCCCACCCCAAGGTAGTGAGTGAGTTCTGGATCAATTAGGTCCCTGGAGAGCTGGCTGTTCAAATGAGCCTGGCACCTCCCTCCGTTCTCAACAGGTGGTCTCTGCATGCACAGGCTCCCACTTCCCCTTCCAACATGAGCAGAAGCAGCCTGAACCCCTCCCTAGAAGCAGATGCTGGCATCATGCTACATGTACAGCCTGCAGAACTGTGAGCCAAATCAACCTCTTTTCTTTCTACATTACCCAGTCTCTGGTATTCCTTTATAGTAACTCAAAGGAACTAAGACACAGCCTCCCTCCCACTGCAGTTGGGAAACACTGAGCACCTTCTAGATGCCAGGCCTGTGAGCAGAGAAAGCGAAGCCAGGGCCCACAGTCTTTTTTTTTTGTTTTGAGACAGTCTCGCTCTGCTGCCCAGGCTGGAGTGCAGTGGTGCGATCTTGGCTCACTGCAACCTCCACCTCCCAGGTTCAAGCGATCCTCCTCCCTCAGCCTCCCAAGTAGCTGGGATTATAGGCGCTTGCCACCACACCCAGCTAAGTTTTGTATTTTTAGTAGAGATGGGGCTTTGCCATGTTGGCCAGGCTGGTCTCAAACTCCTGACCTCAGGTGATCCGCCCACCTCGGCCTCCCAAAGTGCTGGGATTACAGGCATGAGCCACCACGCCCAGCCATGCCCAGCTAATTTTTGTATTTTTAGTAGACAGAGGCTTTCACTACGTTGGCCAGGCTGGTCTCGAACTCCTGACCTCAGGTGATCTGCCCACCTCGGCCTCCCAAAGTGCTGGGATTACAGGTGTGGCCCACAGCACCCGGCCACTATGGGCCACATTCTTGAGGACAGAGGCATTTCTACATTCTCACCGACCTTGATAAACTCCAGTTTCAGGTATTCTGCCATTTGGAAAGTTTTACACACTCGAAAGATGTTGCCAATGATATCTTCTGGTGAGTAGCCCAGATGCCACAAGTGAGCAAGAATCTAGACAAAGGAGACAGAAAAGGCTGCTTACCACTTTAAACTGTAAGAAGACATGTGATTTTGAGACTCACCACAGCTGGTGGGGCCCACCCTTCAGGTCACATGGGGGTACCTTAACTGATTTTCATGGCAGATAGAGAGATAACATTGCAAATGTATTGTTGTTTTGCTTAAATATTTTTTTTTCAGTAATATAAAGATAAGAGTCTTGCTATATTGCCCAGGCTGGTCCCAAGTTCCCGGCCTCAAGCAATCCTCCTGCCTCGACCTCCAAAAGTGCTGGGATTACAGGCATGAGCCACTGAGCCCAGCCTATCGCAAATGTGTTAAGCTGTGTTGCAAAATGGTCTACTACCACACCCATGTAATCTCTTGATCCGGAGCTCTTAAAATGCTTTATTAATCTGATGACTAGGTATAGCAAAGTGGAAAAAGCAGACCATTCATCTGCTAGCTTCATCCAGCTGCAGTCCCAATGCAACCTCTGCAGGACGAGCCTGGAGCACACCCTGACTGGGTAATCCCAGCCTCCTGCTTCCCACCCACCCTGCCCCACCCAGGCTGCAGCGTCTGGAGGCAGGCCTTTTTGCCTTTGTTTTGGCATCTTGGGGTGAATTCAGGAGGCAGAGAAGCTCTGTGCCCACAAATCTGAAGGCTTTCTTCAGGTCTACTCAGGGACCCTGGGCCTGGGTCTCTGCTCAGTCTCCCCGCCTTGCACTCCGGTTTCACATTGGGTGGAACTATGCCCTAAACCCAGTCAACTTCCAACCTAGTTTGTTAGGGGGTAGGCAGAGGGAAACCATGACTGGATCAATGACCTTGAACCACACCAACCACACCACACCCATGTGGCTTGAGGTCGCCTGAACCCCAGCCACATCTGCTGGAATCTGCTCACAGCACTCAGTCCCATTGTGAGGCTAGAATCTTCCTGCTCCCTCCTCTCCTGGCTAGCTGGGGGCTGCTGGATCCCAGAATGCCTGTGCCTATGAGAATGGATGGGGACACTTCCCCTTAACTGGAGAGAAGATGGCTTCCCTGGAGAAGGAGCTAGGCTGGTCTTTCCTCCTGACTTTGGCTGACAAATTTCTCCTGCAGAGGATATAATTACAGGAGAAAAACACCATTTTGAATTCTAGTTCTACTGCTTTTAAACCATGACTTAGGGCTGGGCATAGTGACATGTGCCTGTAGTCCCAGCTACTTGGGAGGCTGAGGTGGGAGGATCGCCTGAGCCTGAGAGGTAGAGGCTACAGTGAGCTGTGACCGCGCCAGTGCATTCCGGCCTGGGCAACAGAGTAAGACCCTGTTTCTACATAAATAAATAAATAAATAAATAAACAAACACAGTGATTTAGGACAAGGAATTCAGCCTCTGAATCAGTTTTCTCATCAGTAAAGTGCACCCAACTCCTAGCATAATTTTTTTTTTCCAGTTCCTAGACAGATTAACACATAGCATGATATTAATAATTTTTTTTTTTTCCTGAGACAGGGTCTCACCATCACCCAGGCTGGGGTACAGTGGCGCAATCACAGCTCACTGCAGCCTTGACCTCCAAGGCTCAACAAATCCTCCTGCCTCAGTCTCCCAAGTAAGATTTCAAGAATGAATGGAGTGATGTGTATAATGTCCCTGGTACCAGAAGGGCTCCCGCTCTCCTCTGCCCAAGAAGTGAGCGGTTCCTCTGCCAGGACGGGGGGAAGGAGGCCAACCTTGTAGGCTTCGTCAATGTTGGCATTCACACAGTGCTGGATCATCTCCTTTACCAGCAGTGGGTGGGGCTCGTCACAGACCTGGCCAAAGGGAAAGGAAAGGCGGTCAGGGGCTAGAAGGGACAATGTGAGCGGGGAGGCCCCAACAGACCGACTTCCAGGCAATCTATGGGTAAAACTTCTCAACCTGTTGTTTTCATCAAATTCTCCAGCAACCAGGATGAGTTTGGGGAATGCTCCTCTCACCATCAAAGAGAAGTGCTTCCGGCACCAGGAAGATAAATTTCCCAAACATAAGACAGATGAACAAGAGAGCAACCAAGGGCCTGTGAAGGATGCTCACTTGGGGACAGCTTTAAAGTCACAAGTCATCTGTCTTAGATCACTTGGGGGGTCAGTTGCCCAGAACCACTTGGAATTCACTTTAGAACTGGGAGGTCTTTTGGGCCAATTCCCACCTCCACCCCGGAGTAGGAACTGGCCTTCCCTACAAAAGGTCCCCCAGCCTCAGCCTGACACCCTAAACAAGGGGTCAGGCTACTCCAGCAGGCAGGTGCATGGTGCTGGGGACTCCGTCCTCCCTGCAGCATTCTCCGCAGTGGCATGAGGCTCTGCCTCTGGTACAATGTCGACCCCTACATCTTCCCAATGAAAGCCTCCTGATGGCTCCAGAGGTCACCCACACCTGCCCTTGCCTTTTCCCGGTGGAAGCCATGGTTTCCTGAGCCCTCAGTGACCCTCCAAGACAAAACAGGGCCCGAACCATCACCCCTGTTTCTGAGCGGGCCTCCCCTTCCTAAGTGGCCTCGAAAATGCATTCACTGCCCAGATCTACCCAGATGCTTCAAAAATCGCTTGTCTGTTGTCCACAAACCTGGTAAGAAACAGCTATAGGCTGAAAGCTTGGACAGCCCTTCCCAGTTTCTTCCCCCAAATAAGGGGGAAGTGAATCTCTCAAATGGCATTTAGACGCGGAGTTATCAGGATGCGGAAGCAGTTTTCAAAAGAATTCCCAAGAGAAAAATGTTTTGCTGACATGGGAGAGTAAGTGAGAAACCTTTTCCTCAGCCTGGCTTTGAGGGTTACTACCCACCCTCCAGGGGCAGAAGTGGGGAGCAGGGCACAGCATTGCAGAAAAAACCCAGGGTGTGGGGTCTGAAGGCTACTGGGGAACAGCACAGTGCTCCTGCCTGCCCTTTAGGGGCCAGGGGATCCCCTGGGCCCACGTCATCACCCACAATGTGATGGTGAGAACCTCTGTGCAGGGAAGTCGCTGGGATCAAATAAGACACGTCAGAAATTGCTCGACCCTGGGTCTGATGCATCCGTGGTCCTCCCTCACCTACCACACACAAGTGACGTTCCAGGTCCCCCGAAACTCTCCAGCTTGTGCAGCAAAGCAGCAATAGGGAGAGGACAGACGGGAGCAGGGTGGGCTCCCTGGCACCCACAAGAGCAGCTAGATGTCCGTCCCCACTGCCAGCCCAGCCCTTCAGCCCCACTGGCCCCCACAGGGAAGCACGGCTTCTGCTGACAGTACCACCCACACTAGCGCTTGTACCTTGAACACGTTCTCACTGTTAATGAAGCCAAATCCTGAGAAGGTGGACTGCAGGTTGTTCAGCGCCTGTTCAGGAGCAAACACATGTCAAGGATGATTTTTATATTTATTTCTTTTTGAGTAGAGACAGGAGTCTCGCTATGTTGCCCAGGCTGGTCTCGAACTCCTGGGCTTAAGCGATTCTCCCACCTCCGCCTCCCAAGTGCTGGGATTACAGGCATGAGCCACCGCACCGGGCCAAGGGTGACTTTTTTTTTTTTTTTTTTTTTTTGAGACAGAGTCTCACTCTGTCACCCAGCATGGAGTGTAGTGGCACAATCTCGAGTCACTGCAATCTCCGTATCCCAGGTTCAAGCGATTCTTCTGCCTCGGCCTCCTGAGTAGCTGGGATTACAGGCACCCACCACCATGCCCAGCTTTTTTTTTTGAGACAGAGTCTCGCTCTGTCGCCCAGGCTGGAGTGCAGTGGTGCTATCTCAGCTCACTGCAAGGTCCGCCTCCCAGGTTAATGCCATTCTCTTGCCTCAGCCTCACGAGTAGCTGAGACTACAGGCGCCCACCACCACGCCTGGCTAATTTTTTGTATTTTTAGTAGAGATGAGGTTTCACCATGTTAACCAGGCTGGTCATGAACTCCTGACCTCGTGATCCACCCGCCTTGGCCTTCCAAAGTGTTGGGATTATAGGCGTGAGCCACTGTGCCTGGCCATGCCTGGCTAATTTTTTAATTTTTTTTAGTAGAGATGGGATTTCACCATGTTGGCCAGGCTGGTCTTGAACTCCTGACCTCAGGTGATCCTCCTGCCTCAGCCTCCGGGGTGACTTTTAAAGCTCTGCCCTTCCCTGCCTCTCTTCTTGGAGTCCGAGCTAGACAGCCCACTGTCCCAGGAGGGTGCCAGGTCTCTGTCTCTTTCTCTTGTTGTACCTTGTGCAGCTGTCACTTCCCTCCCCTTCCCCATGGAAGGGGCATGGCAGGCACAGGATGCCCACGCCTGAATGGTAGCAGCCCACATACCTGCCTCATGTCTCCCTGGGCCGTGAAGATGATGGCTTCTAGGCCGTCATCAGTGTAGGGTACCCTCTCCTTCTCGATAACATTCATCAGCCTGGTGAGGATCTGGGCGTCGGTCAGCTTTGTGTACCGGAGGACTGCACAGCGGGACTGAATGGGCTCTGAACAGAGACGGGACAGTAGTGAGGCTTCCCTGCAGAGGCCGGCATCATCCTGCTAGCTCTTTGGTCATAAGGCTGCAGCTGCACAATCCACACAGCCCCAGGCACTCAATAGAGACTTGGTAGGCCGGACACGAGGGCTCACGCCTGAATCCCAGCACTTTGGGAGGCTGAGGCGGGAGGATCACTTGAGGACAGGAGTTTGAGACCAGCCTGGACAACATGGTGAAACCCCATCTCTACTAAAAATACAAAAATTAGCTGGGTGTGGTGTCGCACGTCTGTAATCCTAGCTACTCAGGAGGCTAAGGCAAGAGACTCGCTTGAGCACGAGAGTTGGAGGCTGAAGTGAGCCAAGATCACACTACTGCACTCCAGCCTGGACAACAGAGCGAGGCTGTGTCTCCAAAAAAAAAAAAAAAAAAAAGAGAGAGAGAGAGACTTGGTAAACACAGGGTGATATGTCAAGGTGTCAACCAATAAGCAATGACAGAGGCCTCAGTTGGCACTGCCCACATGGCCTTGGCTAGCCACGGCTTCCAGACGGGGAAATGATCCTCCAGTAGAAACACATCCATGTGCCTGCCACAAGCTGTTAGATGAGTCAGCCCTGGCCCAGGTGGACTCTGGAATTGGTGTGTGCTGGATGTTGGCCCTTCTGGGCACATGACAATTCAATCTGAATGGGCCAACCCAGTTTCTTTCTTTTTTTTTCATAGACAGGGTTTTGCTGTTGCCCAGGCTGCTCTCGAACTCCTGGCCTCAAGTAGTCTTCCTGCCTCAGCCTCCCAAAGTGCAGGGATTACAGGTGTGAGCCACCATGCCTGGCCAGTTTCTTTCTTTCTTTTTTTTACTGAGACCAAGTCTCTCTGTTGCCCAGGCTGGAGTGCAGTGGTGTGATCTAGGCTCACTGCAACCTCCACCTCCCAGGTTCAAGTGATTCTCCTGTCTCAGCCTCCTGAGTAGCTGGGATTACAGGCGCACGCTATCACACCCGGCTAATTTTTGTATTTTTAGTAGAAATGGGGTTTCACCATGTTGGCCAGGTTGGTCTCGAACTCCAGACCTTAGGGGATCCACCTGCCTCGGCCTCCCAAAGTGCTGGGATTACAGGCATGAGCCACTGTGCCCTGCCAAATCAAGACCTAGGAATGCATTTTTCTCCATTTCATTGCTGGCATCTGCAAAGTGGAGAATACTTCTCATTAAACTCCACGAGCTCTCCACTAGCATGGTGCCTGGCGGCTACTAAGAACCAGAGTTAAGCGTTCGGTGAATGGGTTAATGAATCAATGCACAAATCAGTGCGATTTTGGGAAGGGAAAAGAATGCAAAGGATTCTTGACACTGCTGAGAGCCCCACCAGGGCTGGTAGCCATGACTTTGTGGGTGCCATATTTGGTAATGCGCTCGTCGGCAACAGCGGCCTGGGTGGCAAGGGGGTTGTCAGATGGATGAGCTCATATGGTTGGGGTTCAGCAGGGCAGAAGTGAGGCAAAGAAAGCGGCTGAGAGAGCAATGAAAAATGAGGAAAGAGGACAGCTGGGCTGTGCAGGCAGCCTGTGTCAGAAAGAGAAGGATGGGCCAGCCGTGGTGGCTCACGCCTATAATCCCAGCACTTTGCGAGGCCGAGGTGGGCAGACCACTTGAGGCCAGGCGTTCTAGACCAGCCTGGGCAACATGGTGAAACCTCGTCTCTAAGAAAAATACAAAAATTAGCCTGGCATGGTGGCACATGCCTGTAATCCCAGCTACTGAGGAGGCTGAGGTAGGAAAATCACTTGAATCCAGGCAGCGGAGATAGCAGTGAGCTGAAATCGCAACACTGCACTCCAGCCTGGGCGACAGAGCGAGACTCTCTCTACAAAAAAAAGAAAGAGAAGGATGTGAAACCAGCAGGAAGTTGACAGACTAGAGCACTCTTGGGACCTGGGGCGGGACAAACCCATGCAGAAGCAGACAGGCTGCAGGGAGGGAGGTGGAAGGGCAAACAGTAAGGTTAGAGAAAAGACGGACTGCAGGATTTGAGAGAGGAGCTTCCCGGAGGCAACAAATTCCAATGTACAGATACTGCCTATACCAAGTACTCAGAGCACATGAATAGCACAAGAAGGTATCTGGAGAGCGACTGTGATCGTGACACCGTGCAGGGGACATCAACAACATCCTTGTGCCTCCAAGAGTGCAAGAGGGTGATAGAACTGGGGCTCCAATCCCAGCTGCTCTTGCACTTGCTCTGACTTTGGGGAAACTACTCAACCTCTCCAAGCTCGTTTTCTTTCTCTTTTTTCCTTAGATCCTAAACATCAGGATAAGCTCCAGTTTTCTCATCTCTAAACTGAAGCGAATAATACCTCCTCATAGGATTATGTAAGATTAAATTTAAAAGTTGATTACAATGGGAAACATGTGCATAATATATACAATTTCTCCTTGTCAATTAAAAAAATATAAATTTAAAAACTTGATTATATAGTGCTTGGCCCATGCTACACAATAAAAAAATCCCTACTCTTCCAGCGCTAAAGAGCCAAGGCGAGGCCAGGTGCAGTGGCTCACATCTGTAATTCCAGCACTTTGGGAGGCCGAGGCAGGCGATCACGAGGTCAGACGTTTGAGACCAGCCTGGCCAACATGGTGAAACCCCATCTCTTAAAAAAAAAAAAAAAAAAAAAAAATTAGCTGGGTGTGGTTGTGCGAGCCTGTAATCCCAGCTACGCAGGAGGCTGAAGCACAAGAATTGCTTGAACCTTGGAGGTGGAGGTTGCAGTGATCTGAGATCGTGCCATTGCACTCCAGCCTAGGCGACAGAGTGAGACTTTGTCTCAAAAAAAAAAAAAAAATCCAGGTGTGGTGGCACAGGCCTGTAGTCTCAGCTACTGGGAGGCTGAGGCAGGAAGACCACTTGAGCACAGGAGTTTGAGGCTGCAGTGAGCTGTGATGGCACCACTGCACTCCAGCCTGAGCGAAGAGGGAGACCACATCTATAAAAAAGAAAAAAGCCCAGTTGAGCACCACGTGGCCCCCAGCCACCGAAAGCTCCCACTCACCGATGATCTTATCCGAAGCATTACAAGCAAGGGCGAAGCGAGTGGTTTTAGAGTAGATTTCCATGGTTCTCCTCAAGGCTTGCTGGGCTCCGTCGGTCATGCTGAGAAGAAAAACACAAGTTTGCAAGTGGGACCCAGAGACCATGTGACACAAATCGTTCCCTATACAAAAACCCAGGACATAAGACACATCCAATGTCCTAAATGAGGGTCTCATTGGAAGTACGCAGGCCATCCCTCTAATGCTAACACCTGCAGGCCGCTCTCTCAAAGACTGTGCAAACAGCATTTAGTACCTACAGCATCAGAACAACCCTCAAGTGAAACTCACGAAAACCACGATCTACAAGGGCTGCCATCACACTTGTGGGAATTGGTTCTCTCCAGTCCTTCATGACACAAATTCAGGAGAACAATCATGACACCAGCTGCCAACTTTTCTTTCTTCCTTTTTTATTCTTTTTTTTTTCTTAAAGAGACAGGTTCTTGCTGTCACCCAGGCTGCAGTGCAATGGTGGAATCATAGCTCACTGCAGCCTCGAACTCCTGGGCTCAAGCAATCCTCCCATCTCAAAAGGCTGATGCGGGAGGACCGCTTGAGACCAGGAGTTCGAGACCAGCCTGGGCAACAAAGTAAGACCTCTATTTCTACAAAAAATTTTAAAAAATACAAAAAAGCCTGTTTACCAGATTATCATAATGTAGAGCAATGCCTACAACATTAAAAGGAAAAACCAGGATACAAAAATTATATATATTATGATCTCAACTGTGTAAACATTGATAGTATATAAAAAGAGAAGAAAAAAAGCAAGTTATTAATGGCCAGGCATAGTGGCTCATGCCTGTAATCCCAGCACATTGGGAGGCCGAGGCAGGTGGCTCTCTTGAGGTCAGGAGTTCAAGACCAGCCTGGCCAACACAGCAAAACGTCAACTCTACTAAAAATACAAAAAAAAAAAAAAAAAAAAAATTGTCTGGGCGTGGTGGCGCACGTCTGTAGTCCCAGCTACTCGTGAGGCTGAGGCAGGAGAATCACTTGAATCCAGGAGGCAGAGGTTGCAGTGAGCCAAGATCATGCCACTGCACTCCAGCCTGGGCAACAGAGTGAGGCTCCACCTCAAAAAAATAAATAAATAAAAAGGCAGCAAACTATTAATATATTCTAAATTTTCTTCAAAGAACATGAATTACTGCCACATTAAAAAAAAAAAATTTTTTTTTTGAAACAGAGTCTTGCTCTGTTGCCCAGGCTGGTGTGCACTGGCACCATCTCAGTTCACTGCAACCTCTGTCTCCCGGGTACAAGCGATTCTCCTGCCTTGGACTCCTTAGTACCTGGGATTACAAGCACCATTGCATTCCAGCCTGGGCGCCACCATGTCCGGCTAATTTTTATACTTTTAGTAGAGACGGGGTTTCCACGTTGGCCAGGCTGGTTTCGAACTCCTGACCTCAAGCAATCTGCCCGCCTCGGCCTCCCAAAGTGCTGGGATTACAGGTGTGAGCCACCGCACCTGGCCCTAAAAAAAATTTATTTCGCCAGGCACAGCACCTCATGCCTGCAATCCTAGCACTTTGGGAGGCCGAGGCAGACAGATCACTTGAGGCCAGGAGTTTGAGACCAGCCTGGGTAACATAGTGAGATCCTGCCCCTGTGAAAAAAAAAATAGCTGGTTGCAGTTGCACAAGCCTGTAGTCTCCGCTACTTGGGAGGCTGAGGTGGAGGATCATTACAGCCGAGGAGTTCAAGGTTGCAGTGAGCTATGACTGTGCCATTGGACTCTAGTCTGAGTGATATAGTGAGACCCTGTCTCAAAAACTACAACAAAAAACAACGTTATAGGGTTAGGGTTCTATATTCTTTTCTTAATGTCATTTCAATTTTTTTTTTTTTTTTGAGATGGAGTTTCGCTCTTGTTGCCCAGGTTGCAGTGCAAATGGCATGATCTCAGCTCACCACAACCTTCGCCTCCGGGGTTCAAGCAATTCTCCTGCCTCAGCCTCCCAAGTAGCTGGGATTACAGGTATGTGCCACCACACCTGGCTAATTTTGTATTTTTAGTAGAGACGAAGTTTCTCCATGTTGGTCTCCATCTCCCGACCTCAGGTGATCCGCCTGCCTCGGCCTCCCAAAGTGCTGGGATTACAGGCATGAGCCACCGAGCCTGGACTCAGATTCTTCATTTATACCAACCGAAGTGTTGTGATGGTTGCACAACATTGCAAATGTACTAAATGCCACTGAACTGTATACTTCAAAATAGTTAAAATGGTAAATTTTGGGCCGGGCGCAGTGGCTCACACCTATAATCCCAGCACTTTGGGAGGCCGAGGCGGGCGGATCATGAGGCCAGGAGATCAAGACCATCCTGGCTAACACAGTGAAACCCCGTCTCTACTAAAAATACAAAAAAATTAGCTGGGCGTGGTGGAGGGCGCCTGTAGTCCCAGCTACTCGAGAGGCTGAGGCAGAAGAATGGCGTGAACCCAGAAGGTGGAGCTTGCAGTGAGCCAAGATTGCGCCACTGCACTCCAGCCTGGGCGACAGAGCAAGACTCCGTCTCACAAAAAAAAAAAAAAAAAAATTTATGGTTAATTATGTCCATTTAACCACAATAAAAAAATTTACAGGCCAGGCACAGTGGCTCACACCTATAATCCCAGCATTTTGGGAGGCCGAGGCGGGTAGATCACCTGAAGTCAGGAGTTCGAGACCAGCCTGGCCAACATGGCGAAACCCCATCTCTACTAAAAATACAAAAATTAGGCCAGGCTCGGTGGCTCATGCCTGTAATCCCAGCACTTTGGGAGGCTGAGGCGGGCGGATCACGAGGTCAGGAGATTGAGACCACCCTGGCTAACATGGTGAAACCCCTTCTCTACTAAAAATACAAAAAATCAGCTGGGCGTGGTGGTGCATGCCTGTAGTCTCAGCTACTCGGGAGGCTGAGGCAGGAGAATCACGTGAACCCAGGAGGCGGAGGTTGCAGTGAGCTGAAATCGCACCACTGCACTCCAGCCTGGGAGACAGAGCGAGACTCTGTCTCAAAAAAAAAATAAATAAATAAATACAAATACAAATACAAATACAAATACAAAAATTAGCCGGGTGTGGCGGCAGATGCCTGTAGTCCCAGATACTTGGGAGGCTGAGGCCAGGGAACCGCCTGAACCCGGGAGGCGGAGGTTGCAGTGAGCAGAGATCACACCACTATACTCCAGCCTGAGTGACAGAGAGAAACTCCATCTCAAAAAAAAAAAAAAACAAAAACCCTCATTTAAATTATTAACGTAAGAGATGCTGAAACCAGCACATTAAATGAATGACTATCTTAGACAAATGTTTGTAAGTTACTTAATAAAGATAAGATTTAAGGTGCAGGCCCCTATTAAATTGCTTGTGGAAGATATGATAAGCAAATCTACCATAAAAGTGCTTTTTATCCTGATTGAATAAAACCGAAAAAGAGATTTAGAGATCAAGGTCAAAATACATTTGGCAAAGCACTCTACCTGTCTGCTTCATCCAGAATGATGATCTTATGTCGGCCTTTGGGAAGAGTGACTTTTTGTTGAGCAAACATTTTAATTTTATTCCTCACAACGTCAATGCCCCTGAAAGAATGACAGGTTTTTACTGGCACCTTCTGAGACCAATTCAGTTGCCTTCACAAGGACTTTTAAACAATCGGTATATCAGGGACTGTGAGGCCCAATTTCCATTTTTGAGTTTTTTTGGGGGGCAATTGTAACTATTTATAAGGATTGAGATTTTATGGCATTTGTTCTTTCTTGGAGGTCTTTCAAAGAACAAAGAAAATATACACTTTTTTTTTTTTTTTCTTCAGACAGGGTCTCGCTGTGTCATCCAGGCTGGAGTGCAGTGGCCCTCTTGGCTCACTGCAAGCTCTGCCTCCCAGGTTCAGTGAGCCGGGATCACGCCACTGCACCCCAGCCTGGCGATAATTCGTCTCAAAAAAAAAAAAAAGCCTCATCCTTCAGTTTTTTAACTGCATTGCTTGAGATACCATATTATCTTTCAAAAGATGTAATAGAAGTGCAGATATACCACCTTTGTTATCTTGTAAGCTTTCACTAACCACAGCCAAGAATTCAAAATTTTTCATTCTCTACCCACAACAGGAAAGAGAAAAAAATTGAGAGGAGGACTCTTCCTAATTATTAGGTGAATCAGAAAATAACTGCAATGTAGGCCAAGCATGGTGGCTCACACCTGTAATCCCAACACTTTAGGAGGCCAAGGTGGGCGGACCACTCCAGGCCAGTTTAAGATCAACCTGGCCAACACGGCGAAAATCCATCTTTACTAAAAATACAAAAATTACCTGGGCGTGCCCGCGCACGCCTGTAGTCCCGGCTACTTGGGAGGCTGAGGCACGAGAATCGCTTGAACCCAGAAGGCAGAGGTTATGGTGAGTCGAGATCGTGCCACTGCACTCCAGCCTGGGTGACAGAGCAAGACTCTGTCTCAAAAAAAAAGAAAGAAAGAAAAGAACAGAACAGAACAGTACAGAACTGCAGAGACACCAATAGCAACATTCTAAATGCTACTGATGGTGAAATTGATCAATAAGCAAAATCTCAGACTATGAATCTTCAGATGCCAATATCCTCCAGACATTTTCCCTAACTGAAGAATCAAGGAGTGAACAATATGCAGCTGTCCCTTGGTGTTCCTGGGGACTGGTGCTAGGCCCTTCCTCAGACACCAAAATTCACTTTTGCTCAAGTCCCTTATATGAAATGGTATAGTATTTGCATATTAACTTATACACATCCTCCAGAACACTTTATTTTTACTTTTATACAGAGATGGGGTTTCATTATGTCACCTAGGCTGGTCTCAAACTCCTGGACTCAAGCGATCCACCTGCCTCAGCCTCCCAAAGTGCTGGGATTATAGGCATGAACCACCATGCCTGGCCGGCCTTCCATACACTTTAAATATACAGGCTGAGTATCCCTTATCCCTAATGCTTGGGACCAGAAATATTTCAGATCTGGGTTTTTTTTTCACATTTTGGAATTTTGCATTATATTTACTGGTTGAACATCCCAGTGTAGTGGCTCACGTCTGTAATCCAAGCACTTTGGGAGGCTGATGCAAGGAGGATCGCTTGAGTCCCGGAGTTCGAGACCAGACTGGGCAACATAGTGAGATCCCGTCTCCACAAGAAAAAGCTGGCATGGTGGCATGTGTCTATAGTCCTAGCAACTTAGCAGGCCAAGGCAGGAGGATTGCTTGAGGCTAAGGGTTTGAGATCAGCCTGGGCAACATAGTGAGATCCCATCTCTACAAAAATTTTTAAACTTGAAAAAAGAGAAAAACTAGTTGGTTTTTTTTTTTTGGAGATGGAGTTTTGCTCGTCACCCAGGCTGGAGTGCTCAACGGTGCGATCTCAGCTCACTGTAACCTCCTTCTCCTGGGTTCAAGCAATCCTCCTGCCTCAACCTCCTGAGTAGCTGGGATTACAGGCACCCAGCACCACGCCCAGCTAAGTTTTGTATTTTTAGTGGAGACGGGGTTTCACCATGTTGGCTAGGATGGTCTCGAATTCCTGACCTCAGGTGATCTACCTGCCTCGGCCTCCCAAAGTGCTGGAATTACAGGTGTGAGCCACCATGCCTGGCTGAGAAGAACAGTTTTTGAAAATTTCCATGAAAACAAAAAAAATAAACCGGCAAGTTGACAAGTGAGCAACGCTCTTTCACTGGGAAGGGGTGGAGGAAATCACATAGCTGGCAAGGCTTCGCATACAACCCAATGCTGAGAAAGGTTGTTTCTGTAACAATTCTCAATGCAGAGCACCCGCCCCCCTACAGGTCTGACTCTAAGACCTACCTGTCATTTGAAGCATTGAGTTCCAACATGGCATCTTTGAGTGCTGGGCCCAGCAGGGCCCGGGCCAAGCACAGAATGCTTGTGGTCTTGCCGGTTCCTGGAGGGCCCTGGGAATGAGATCTCCAGTAAAGACTTCAAACCACCAGAAGGACCTCAGGTAGCTCTTGAGTTATGTTCACTGCTGTTTGCATCTCCGTCACCTCTGACCCCTGCATTCCACCCACAGCACACACAGATCAATACAGCTGGCCGGAGACAGTGGCTCACACCTATAATCCCAGCACTTTGGGAGGCCAAGGCGGGCAGATCACCTGAGGTCAGGAGTTCAAGACCAGACTGGCCAACATGGCGAAACCCCGTCTCTACTAAAAATACAAAACTTAGCTGGGCGTGATGGCAGGCACCTGTAATCCCAGCTAGTCGGGAGGCTGAGGTACAAGAATCGCTTGAACCTGGGAGGGAGAGGTTGCGGTGAGCAGAGATTGCACCACTGCACTCTAGCCTGGGTGACAGAGTGAGACTCCGTTTCAGAAAAAAAAATAAATAAATAAATAAAAAAAAATACAGCAACCAACCCCAGGCCTCCCAACTAGAGTGAAACACTTCCCTTTGCCGGGGGAATGGGAAGGGGCTCTCCAGGGAGGCAGCGCTGTGCACAAGAAAGCAGTTCAGCGGACAGTGGGATGAGACATGGAGACACTCAACAGGCCCAGGGCTGGGTACTCACCGCAATGATGATGTTGGGCACATTTCCTTCCCTTGCAAAGACCTACGGCGAAAATGATCATTAAAACCGGTTAAAACTTGCTTCTGGATGACTACATAAAAAAGATAGAAAAAAGAACAAACAAGCAGGTTAAAACTCGGCTGAGCACAATGGCTCAGGCCTGTAATCCTAGCAGTTTGGGAGGCCAAGGCAGGACAATCACTTGAGGCCTGAGGCCAGCCTGGGCAACACAGTGAGACTCTGTCTCCTCAAAAAATAAACAAAATTAGCCAGGTGTGGTGGTGTGCTCCTGTACTCCCAGCTACTCGGGAGGCTAAAATGGGAGGATCGGTTGAGCCTGAGAAGTGGAGGCCGCAGTGAGCTGTGACTGCACCACTGCACTCCAGCCTGGGAAAGAGTGGGACCCTGTCTCAAAAACAAAAAAAAAAAAACACAAAACCTGGTTAATTTGTAAGCTTTAGGAGCTGAATCTCCCCAGCTACACAGCCTGTGTAGTAAACGTGGCTACAAATTTATCCACATGGACTGGATGCCCCATGGAACTCTCACCTCAAGTTCTTTTTATTCTTTTAGAGATGCACTCTGGCTGTCACCCAGGCTGGAGTGCAGTGGTGTGATCAAGGCTCACCGCAGCCTCCAATTCCCAGGCTCAAGTGATCCTCCTGCTTTGGCCTCCCGAGTAGCTGGGACTACAGGTACTCACCTCGGCATCTTCAAAACTGAACACTTCATTCTCCTGTACAAACCTGAGGCCCCACCCATGTTTCCCACCATGGACTGTCTATGCCATGAAGTTGAGGTTGCCATCATCTTGGTTTGGCCTCATCCTCACCCTGAGTACTTCAATAACCAGGGCTTCACCATCCTCCTCCTTCGTCTCCAGCGTCCTTTACTTCTCTCCATCCCTTCTCTCCATCCCGGCTACCACTTTCTTAAGCCCATTATCTCGTCTGATTGCTATCAATGGGCCATTAAGTGGTCTCCATGCTCCCATTCAAATCCATTTCCCATCCTGTAACCACGACCACTTTCCTAAAGTACACACCTATTAAAACATTTTTTTTTTTGAGATGGAGCTTTGCTCTTGTTGCCCAGGCTGGAGTACAATGGCACAATCTCGGCTCACTGCAACCTCCGCCTCCCGGGTTCAAGCGATTCTCCTGCCTCAGCCTCCTGAGTAGCTGGGATTACAGACGCCCACCACCATGCCTGCCTAATTTTTATTTTTAGTAGAGACGGGGTTTTGCCATGTTGGCCAGGCTGGTCGTGAACTCCTGACCTTAGGTGATCCACTCGCCTTGGCCTCCCAAAGTGCTGGGATTACAGGTGTGAGCCACCACACCCGGCCCTATTAAAACATTTTTCCCTAACTGAAATCCTTGACTCCTCCCTGCCCTCACTATGAAGCCCAAACTCTTTTTGTTTCTCAAAGTAAGGGTGTCCACTCTGTCACCTAGGCTAGAGTGCAGTGGCGTGATCATAGCTCACTGCAGCGTCAAACTCCTGGGCTCAAGGGATCCTCCTGCCTTGGCCTCGAGTAGCTGGGATTACAGGCACTTGTCACCATGCCCAGTTTGAACCTCAGACTCTACAGGCATGTGCCACCACACCCAGCTCATTCTTAAATTTTTTCGTAGAGACTGGTTTCACCACATTGCCCAGGCTGATCTCAAACACCTGGCCTCAAGTAATCTGCCCGCCTTAGCCTCCCAAGGTGCTGGGATTACAGGTGTAAGCCACTGTGCCCAGCCTTAGGTCATCTTTTAAAAACCTACTCAAGGCCGCTCGTGGTGGCTCACGCCTGTAATCCCAGCACTTTGGGAGGCCGAGGCAGGCGGATCACGAGGTCAGGAGTTCAAGACCAGCCTGGCCAACACGGTGAAACCCCATCTCTACTAAAAATAAAAAAATTAGCCAGGCGTGGTGGCGTGTGCCTGTAGTCCCAGCTACTGGGGAGGCTGAGGCAGAAGAATTGCTTAAACCCAGGAGGCGGAGCTTGCAGTGAGCTGAGATGGCGCCACTGCACTCCAGCCTGGGCGACAGAGCGAGACTCCATCTCAAAAAAAAAAAAAAAAAAGGCCGGGCGCGGTGGTTCACGCCTGTAATCCCAGCACTTTGGGAGGCCGAGGTGGGCAGATCACGAGGTCAGGAGATCGAGACCATCCTGGCTAACACGGTGAAACCCCATCTCTACTAAAAATACAAAAAAAATTAGCCAGGCATGGTGGCGGGCGCCTGTAGTCCCAGTTACTCCGGAGGCTGAGGCAGGAGAATGGCGTGAACCCAGCAGGCAGAGCTTGCAGAGAGGCCAGATTACGCCAATGCGCTCCAGCCTGGGCGACAGAGGGAGGCTCCATCTCAAAAAAAAAAAAAAAAAAAAAAAAAAAGGCCAGGTGTGGTGGCTCACGCCTGTAATCCCAGCACTTTGGGAGGCCGAGGCGGGAGGATCATGAGGTCAGGAGATTGAGACCATCCTGGCTAACACGGTGAAACCCCGTCTCTACTAAAAATACAAAAAATTAGCTGGGTGTGGTGGTGGGCACCTGTAGTCCCAGCTACTGGGGAGGCTGAGGCAGGAGAATGGCATGAACCCGGGAGGCGGAGCTTGCAGTGAGCGGAGATCGCACCACTGCACTCCAGCCTGGGCGACAGAGCGAGACTCTGTCTCAAAAAAAAAAAAAGCCACTCACCTCTAGCCTGCTCACGGTGTCTTCATTCCCGACAATTTCATTCAGCTTTACTGGCCTATATTTTTCAACCCTGTTAAGAAAATGCATAAAAATGCTGACATGGTTATCTTCACACTACCCCACAAAAAGCACCTAAGGGTTATCCTGAGAGCTTTGTTAAAAAATTACATACATTCAGTACAACTATGCCAAATGGTTGCAAGTTTTAAATGTAATAAGATGACAGCCAGGCGCAGTGGCTCACACCTGTAATCCTAGCACTTTGTGAGGCTGAGGCGGGTGGATCAATTGAGGTCAGGAGTTTGAGCCCAGTCTGGCCAACATGGTGAAACCTCATCTCTACTTAAAATACAAAAATTAGCTGGATGTGGTGGTGTGCGTCTGTAATCCCAGCTACTTGGGAGGCTAAGGCACAGTAGCTCGAACCTGGGAGGCAGAAGTTGCAGTGAGCTGAGATCATGCATGCCACTATACTCCAGCCCGGGCTACAGAGTGAGACTCTGTTTCAAAAATAAATAATAAATAAATAAAATGTAATAAGATGCCCAAGTGCCATTTGAAAAGTTAAAGGCATGAGAATTGTACAGCATAGGCTTCAAACCTGCCACAGCAGAGAAACACCTGTTGCTGCTGGAGCACGGCCAGCACAGGTCATCTGGAGCAATGTGACACTGTGCTGCAACCCTGTCCGCCCGTCACAAGAGGCCCAGCACATACAGCACTGACATCATTTGGTGTGACAACATGGGTGCAACCAAGCTCCTTTCTCATCCCTTACCTGCCAGTTTCTTTTCTTTTTTTTTTTTTTGGAGACAGAGTTTTGCTCTTGTTGCCCAGGCTGGAGTGCAATGGTGCGATCTTGGGTCACTACCAACCTCAGGTGATCTGCCCACCTCAGCCTCCCAAAGTGCTGGGATTACTGGCGTGAGCCACCATGCCAGGCAAGGATTACCTGCCAGTTTCTGCAGACGTGTGCCAAATACACAGCATAGCTGGCTAGACACCGTAGGCCTAGGCTGGGTACAGTGGCTCATGCCTGTAATCCCAGCACTTTGGGAAGGCGAGGCGGACGGATCACTTGAGATCAGGACTTCGAGACCAGCCTGGCCAACATGGTGAAACCCAGCCTCTACTAAAAACACAAAATTAGCAGGGTGTGATGGTACATGCCTGTAATCCCAGCTACTAGGAAGGCTGAGGCAGAATTGATTGAACCAGGGAGATGCAGGTTGTAGTGAGCAGAAATCACACCACTGCACTCCAGCCTGTGTGACAAAGTGTGACTCCATCTAAAAAAAAAAAATTAACTGGGCATGGTGGTGCGTGCCTGTAGTCCCATCTACTTAGGAGGCTGAGGCAGGGGGATCACTTGAGCCAAGGAGCTGGACATCAGCCTGGGCAACACAGCAAAACCCCCGTCTTGATTTTTTTAAAAAAATTTCAAATGTAAATGTTATTGAACCTAACAGTCAAAATATTATTTTCAACATGTAATCGATATTTTTTTTAAAAGATTGAAGTTTTTGAAAACACTAGGTCATACACTACTATACACAAAAACTTTTGAAAAAACCAACTAGGTCAGAGTAGGTGGCCACCCGGGGTAGCCCTAATTGTCATAAGCATTGTAGTGAGCGAGACTCCGCTCGCAGAGTTTAGACCGGCCACTCTCGATCCATGTCCGTCGCCTTCTTGAAATCATCTCGATGCCACCCGGGGCCTCCTCCTCCCTCGGGATTCCCCAAAACGAGCCCCTGACCCCCGAGTTTCTCCGGAGCACGGCCCGCCACTCGCCCACCCTCACGTCCAAACGCGCCCATTCTTTACGGCCTGGGACCTCACCACGGCAGTTCGTAGTGGCCGGCGCTGCCGGGGGCCTTGCTGAAGGCAGGGGCAGGGTCAGAGTCCTGGGCCTCCACCTCGCCCGCGCCACCACAGACGGCCTCCACCTCCATTCTCGCGCCTCCTCTTCCCGCCACCCGAGGCACCGCCCCTTGACGCCGCCA
Source organism: Homo sapiens (assembly GCF_000001405.40). Classification (NCBI taxonomy): domain Eukaryota; kingdom Metazoa; phylum Chordata; class Mammalia; order Primates; family Hominidae; genus Homo; species Homo sapiens. Next base: position 74,254,435 of record NC_000007.14, read on the forward strand.
CGCAAGCCCCGCCCCCTGGCTTCCGCCGGGCGCGAGCGGAAGTTACGTACCCGCGCCTCTCTGTGCCTGCGAAGAGGGTTCCGGTGGTGCCCTGGCGGCCATCGCTGGAGGCCGCGGTTGCTATGGGAGACCTGGCGCCCGGCCTGGGAGCGACAGGAAGGCGAGCTGTGGCCGCGACGCCTTCCGAGAAAGCAGGTCGCTCTCGGAACGGACGTTTGTGTGTGGTTTCTGTGGAAGATCCGCTCCGCGGCGGCGTGGGAGGAGCAGGGCCTGGAGGGGTTGCGGCCAAACGCGGGCTTCGGTGTTGGGACACGGACAACGCTGGCGTCCGGGCGCTGCTGGGCAGCGGGGTCCGGGGATGACGTCTGGGGCTGCCCGTGCCCACTTTTCCAGATTGCTCTGAATGTCCTAGTGAGCTGCTCCCGTTGGGTAGGCTCCTGCGCCTCAACCGCGCTCGGTACTCGACGTTTATTATCAGGGAATTCTCGGCTGCAAGATGGGAATTCCACCCCCACCCCATTTTGCAGAGGAGGAAACTGAAACCGTCCTTTTGTCAGATGAAATGCAATGTTCATTCCAGGAAAATAGGGACTCAAGGCCGGTGCGGTGGCTCACCCCTCTAATCCCAGCACTTTGGGGGACAGAGACCGGAAGAGCGATTAAGCCCAGGAGTTCGAGACCAGCCTGGGCAACAAAGTGAGATCCCCGTCTCTACAAAAATAAAAATTAAAAAAGTAGCCGGGCGTGGTGGCGCGCACCTGCAGTTCCAGCTACTCAGGAAGCTGAGGCGGAGGAGTGCTTGAGCCCAGGAGGTGCAGGCTGCAGTGATCTCTGATCACACCACTGCACTCCAACCTGGTCTGCAGCAAGACCCTGTCTCAAAAAAGAAAAAGTAAATACTTCAACCTTGCAAGGGTTTTGAGCATTCTTATGGGCTGTTTTTCTACCCAATCTTTCCTCCCATAGCCCAAATTGTCATAATATTCAATAATGATGATCCCAGAACTTTGGGAGGCTAAGGTGGGAGGATCCCTCAAGCCGAGGAGTTTGAGACCAGCCTGGGCAACATGGTGAGACCCCATCTCTACAAAAAAAATTTTTTAAATTATCCAGTTGTGGTGGTACGCGACAGTAGTCCCAGTTACTCGGGAGGCTGAGGCAGGAGAATCGGTTGAGCCCATGAGGTTGAAGCCACAGTGAACCATGATCAAGTCAATGTACTCCAGCCCCGGGGGACAGAGTGAAATCCTGTTTCTAAAAAAATAAGAAGAAAAGAAAGTAGGTACTTCAGATTCACAAGTGCTTTGACCATTCTTTGTTTTGTTTCTTGTTTTTTGTTTTTGAGATGGAGTCTCACTCTGTCACCCAGACTGGAGTACAGTGGTGTGATCTCAGCTCACTGCAATGTCAGGCTCCCAGGTTCAAGTGATTCTCCTGCCTCAACCTCCCGAGTAGCTGGGACTACAAGCGTGTGCCACCACACCTGGCTAATACTTGTATTTTCAGTAGAGATGGGGTTTCGCCACGTTGACCAGGCTGGTCTCAAACTCCTGACTTCAAGTGATCCGCTTGCCTCAGCCTCCCAAAGTGCTGGGATTACAGGTGTGAGCCACCGCGTCTGGCCAAGCAGTTGGTTTTAACGATAGTATTAACGTATACAGATTCACAACTTAACACAGTGTTTTTCTTTCCATGTAATTTGGAAAAAATGTTTGAATTGGCCATCTCTCCCCTATTCCCCCTTTAAACTGATGGAGCGGTCTTGTCTGTTTTTTCAATCATTATTCACAGGTCTTTTATTTTTCCGGAGGAGAAAATACACACTCCTCTTGAAATATACACTTTTCTTGAAATGTCTCCGCGGTTTTTCCATAGGATTGTTCCTTTGTAATCTTCATGTTTTCCTTGTAATCACTATGACACACATCCCTCCCATCACATAACACAGTTTAGAAACTAATTTTTAATAAGTACAGAACACGGTTCCTTTCATAATTCTCCAAAAACCCCCACTCTACAGGAGGCCTTTTGGCGCTGCTAGGGCTCTCCTCTAACTGATGGAATGCCAGGAGAACCAGAGATGGAGGTGACTCTTAGGGCAAAGCTGCACTGTCAGGACATTTCTTTTTTTTAGACTGAGCCTTTTGTGACCTATTGGACTTGGGCCCAAACAGAGCTCAGAACTTAAAAACTCCAGCCGCTCCCCTGGGACTGAAAAACAGCAATGTTGGGGAACCAGGGAGTGCTGGGGAAACCACAGGCTCTTGTGAAAGGGCATAGAGTAGCCACGGAGAATTCCTCCCAGCAAATCCTTCAAATCTCAGGAAATTAAATACACACTGAGGCTAAGCTCCCAGACTGTCATCACAAGAGGGCAAGGCAGTTATACACCAAGAGGAAGCATGTAGAAAGGAAATAAAATTGAAACCAAAATCCTCTTTCCCCAAATCCAGAGGCTTCCAATCAAATTGTCAGAGAAGTCAGGCAACACATCTTAGTTTGAATGACACCTTGACTTTCACCGTTAGCTTACTTCCTGAGTTATGTTGCAGGATGTAAGGCTGAAAATCTGCTGGCGTGCCAAGATCAGGACTACAGGATAGCCTGGTTTTCTCTCTGCCCACTCCAGCCTCCATTGGCCCAGAATGTCATGCACACTTGATGCTGTTTGCCTTGTTTACATTGAATTTTAAAAGTTCATTATCTTAGTCTGGGCCTGGTGGCTCATGCCAGTAATCTCAGCACTTTGGGAGGCCCAGGCGGGAGGATCGCTTGAGACCAGGCGTTTGAGCCCAACCTGGGCAATGTAGCAAGACTCCTATCTCTATAAAAAAAAGAAAATTTAGGCCAGGTCGGTGGCTCACGCCTGTAATCCCAGCACTGTGGGAGGCCGAGGAGGGCCGATCACGAGGTCAGGAGTTCAAGACCAGCCTGGCCAGCATGGTGAAACCCCATCTGTAGTAAAAATACAAAAATTAGCTGGGCAACAAGAGCGAAACTCCATCTCAAAAAAAAAAAAAGAAAATTTATTATTTGTTTTCAAGTGGATTTCTTTGTGATTTTAAGCTATTTTTTGTTTTTGTTTTTATTTTTTTTTTATTTTGAGATGGAGTTTCGATCTTGTTACCCAGGCTGGAGTACAATGGCATGATCTCGGCTCACTGCAACTTCCGCATCCCGGGCTCAAGCAATTCTTCTGGCTCATCCTCCCATGTAGCTGGGATTACAGGCATGTGCCACCACACCCAGCTAATTTTGTATTTTTAGTAGAGACGGTGTTTCACCATGTTGGTCAGGCTGGTCTCAAACTCCCGACCTCAGGTGATCCGCCCACCTCAGCCTCCCAAAGTGCTGGGATTACAGGCGTGAGCCACCATGCCCAGCCTTTATTTATTTTTTGAGATGGGGTCTCACTCCGTCACCCAGGCTGGAGCACAGTGGCATGATATCGGCTCACTGCAACTTCTGCCTCCTAGGTTGAATAGATTTTCCTGTCTCAGCCTCCAGAGTAGCTGGGATTACAGGTGCATGCCACCATGCCCGGCTAATTTTTGTATTTTTAGTAGAGACAGGGTTTCACCATGTTGGCCAGGCTGGTCTCGAACTCCTGGGCTCAAGTGATCCACCTACCTCTGCCTCCCATAGTGCTGGGATTACAGGTGGGAGCCATCGCACCTGACTAATTTTTGTTTTTAAATGGTGATGCTATCATTTAAATAAGTGTTTCAGGCACTGCGGTCTTCCATCCCATTTATAGTTTTTCTTTTTTCTTTTTTTTGAGACGGAGTCTTGCTCTGTCACCCAGCGTGGAGTGCAGTGGTGCGATCTCGGCTCACTGCAAGCTCCACCTCCCGGGTTCATGCCATTCTCATGCCTCAGCCTTCCGAGTAGTTGGGACTACAGGCGCCTGCCACCACGACTGGCTAATTTTTTTTTTTTTTTTTTTTTGTATTTTTAGTAGAGATGGGGTTTCACCATGTTAGACAGGATGGTCTCGATCTCCTGACCTTGTGATCCACCCGCCTCGGCCTCCCAAAGTGCTGGGATTACAGGCGTGAGCCACTGCGCCCAGCCCCATTTATGGTTTTTCTAACATTTTCGTTAGCATTTTTAAAATTAGGTGCCCTGCTCATCTTCTCTGTGTCGTTCCAGTTTTAGTCTGTGCACTGCCGAAGCGAGCACTTTGTAGCATTTTCAATATTGAGAGGCACAGTGTGTACAGAAAAAACATTTCCTAGATATATCTACAGTATAAGGGTGTCTCATCTGGGTAAAATTTGTCCCCGGGTATTGCTCTGATTAGATTTATGGAATTCAGAAGCTGGTTGGAAATCATGTAAGCAGCACGTTTTCTGCCTTTAACAAATATTGACTGAGTGCCTAGAGCGGCTGGGAGGGGCACAGGAGCTTCCATTGTAGGGAGGGAAACTGACAGCAAGCGGCCAATGTTATGTTTATTTCAATGTAATTATGGGTCGGGTGCAGTGGCTCACGCCTGTAATCTCAGCACTTTGGGAGGCTGAGGCGGCCAGATCACCTGAGGTCGGGAGTTCGAGACCAGCCCAACCAACATGGAGAAACCCCATCTCTATTGCAAACACCAAATTAGCAGGGCGTGGTGGCGCATACCTGTAATCCCAGCTACTTGGGAGGCTGAGGCAGGAGAATTGTTTGAACCCGGGAGGCAGAGGTTGCAGTGAGCTGAGATTGTGCCACTGCACTCCAGCCTGGGCGACGAGAACAAAACTCCGTCTCACAAATAAAATAAAATAAATAAAAAAAAATTATGATCAGTGTCAGAAAAGGGATTGGTGGGTTGTTAGGATATCAGCAATAGGCTAACACCTCACTTGGGAGGTCAGGAAGGGCTTTGATGGGAAGGGGCATTTGGCCAGAGATGTGAACCCCCAATCTGAGATTTGAACGCCTATTGGCTTTGCCTGGAAGGACCACCTAATATCCTGTTCTGCCTCCCATTGCTCCCTACACTAACACCATGTTTATTTCTTTCTTTCTCTCTCTCTCTCTCTTTTTTTTTTTTTTTTTTGAGTTGGTCTTTTTGTATTGCCCAGGCTGGAGTGCAGTGGCGTGATCATAGCTCACTGCAGCCTTGACCTCCTGGGCTCAAGTGATCCTCCCACCTCAGCCTCCTGAGTAGCTGGGACCATAGGCACATGCCACCATGCCTGGCCAATCTGTTAATTTTTTGTAGAGACGTGGTCTCACCTTGTTGCCCAAGCTGGTCTTCAACTCCTGGGCTCCAGCGATCCTCCTGCCTCAGCCTCCCAAAGTGCTGGGATTACAGGTGTGAGCCACTGAGCCCAGCCCCTGTTTGTTTATTATTTTTCTTACCCACAATCTATATTTAGCTGGATTTGTTGCCTTGTTTACTGTTTGTTTCCCCACTAAAATGAAAATTCTTTGAGAAAAGGAACTTTCTCTGTCCTGTTCCCATTGTATCCTCATTGCCTGTAGTGGCCCAGAGAGAGGCCCCACATTTCCTGAAGGCACGAAGGGATGAGTGACAGCAGAGCTGGGGCACACGGTGGTCTGATCAGCCTCGGAGGGGTGGGAGTGGGGGCGGGAGAGAGATGATCAGCCTGGGACGGGTGGGAGTGGGGGTGGGAGAGAGATGGAGCCTGCAGGGGCCAGATCGTGCAGGGTGAAGGCTAATTAGGAGTGGTGAGAAGCGCTGGAGGAGGTGGGGCAAAGTGACATGATGCAGTTTGGGTTTTAGATCATTCTGGTTGCCAAAGGCGGGGTGTGGAAGAAATATGTGTGGAAGTATTGGGCTTTGCTTTCTGATCTTTTAATCTCTAATTCTTTTTATTTTTTATTTATTTATTTATTTATTTTGAGACGGAGGCTCGCTCTGTTGCCCAGGCTGGAGTGCAGTGGTGCTATCTCGGCTCACTGCAAGCTCTGCCTCCCGGGTTCATGCCATTCTCCTGCCTCAGCCTCCCGAGTAGCTGGGACTACAGGCGCCCGCCAGTACGCCCAGCTAATTTTTTTGTATTTTTAGTAGAGACAGGGTTTCACCATGTTAGCCAGGATGGTCTCGATCTCCTGACCTCATGATCCGCCCGTCTCAGCCTCCCAAAGTGCTGGGATTACAGGCGTGAGCCACGGCGCCTGGCTTTTGTTTTTTATTTTCTGAGACGGAGTCTTGCTCTATCACCCAGGCTGGAGTGCCGTGGTGCGATCTCAACTCACTGCAACCTCCGCCTCCGAGGTTCAAACAATTCTCCTGCCTTGGCCTCCTGAGCAGCTGGGATTACAGGTGCCCACCACCATGCTCAGCTAATTTTTGGATTTAATTATTAAATTATAGAACAATTCAGGCCGGACTCGGTGGCTCATGCCTGTAATCCCAGCACTTTGAGAGGCCAAGGCAGGTGGATCATGAGGTCAAGAGATGGAGACCATCCTGGCCAACATGGTGAAACCCCGTCTCTACTTAAAATGCAAAAAATCACCTGGGTGTGGTGGCATGTGCCTGTAGTCCCAGCTACTCGGGAGGCTGAGGCAGGAGAATCGCTTGAACCTGGGAGGTGGAGGTTGCAGTAAGCCAAGATTGTGCCATTGCATCCAGCCTGGTGACAGAGTGAGACTCCGTCTCAAATAAATAAATTAATTAATTAAATTTAAAAAATTGTTGAATGAATGAATGATCCTAGGGGGTTTCAGAAATACAGACGTGATGAGATAAATTAAAATTTTATATTAGTCTTTTTATGTAGCATTCATACATAATCTTTATAGATTTGATATATTACGGATTTGAAATCCTTATGACAACTTCTCATATTAGTGTCCAACGGGAAATTTATGATTCTAATTTAAAATGTAAAGTTGAATCAATTAAGTTAAACTTGTGATTTTAGATTGAAATCTCACTAGCTGTATAAATATTATTAGGATATTTAAGATAACTTGAGGTTCAACATATTATAAGTTTTTTAGCCAGGTGTAGTGGCGTGTGCCTATAGTCCTAGCTGCTTGGGAAGCTGAGATGGGAGGACTAATTGAGCCCAGGAGGTCAAGGCTACAGTCAACAGTGATTGCACCACTGCACTCCAGCCCAGGCAACAGAGCAAGACCCTGTCTCAAAAATAAAAAATAAAATACTACAAGCTTAGTTTATTAGATTTATTAGATATATTTGAACTGGGTGCAGTAGTTCACGCCTGTAATCCCAGCACTTTGGGAGGCTGAGGTGGGCGGATCACTTGAGGTCAGAGTTCGAGACTAGCCTGGCCAACAGGGCGAAACCCCATCTCTAATAAAAATATAAAAATATTAGCCAGGTGTGGTGGCGCACACCTGTAGTCCCAGCTACTCAGGAGGCTGAGGCAGGAGAATCGTTTGAACCTGGATGCAGAGGTTGCAGTGAGCCAGGATTGCGCCACTGCACTCCAGCCTAGGCGACAAAGTGAAACTCTATCTCAAAAAAAAAAAAAAAAGATACATTTGAGTACTTGGAAGATTTGTCAGATAACCAAGATACTCGAAAAGGAAATCAATCAAATATATTTAATTTGTAAAAGTAGTTGAAAATGTTTAAAAGAACTTAATCACTAGGAGTTTTGAGACCAGCCTGGGCAATGAAGTGAGATCCCACGTCTACAAAAAAAATTTTTTTTAATTATCTGGGTGTGGTGATGTATGTCTTCTCGGGGAGGCTGAGGTGAGAGGATCACTTGAGTCCAGGAGTTAGAGGCATCTGTGAGCTATGATCGCACCACTGCACTCCAGCCTAGAGAAAGAGCAAGAAGACCCTGTCTCTAAAAAAAAAAAAAAAAAAAAAGAACTTAATTATATTGTACCCAAAAAGGTTTTGTTTTGTTTTTTTGAGACGGAGTCTCGCTCTGTCACCCAAGCTGGAGTGCAGTGGTGCGATCTCGGCTCACTGCAACTCTGCCTCCTGGGTTCAAGGGATTCTCCTGCGTCAGCCTCCTGAGTAGCTGGGACTACAGGTGCCCACCACCACACCGGGCTAATTTTTGTATTTTTAGTAGAGATGGGGTTTCACCATATTGGCCAGACTGGTCTTGAACTCCTGACCTTGTGATCCGCCCGCCTCGGCCTCCCAAAGTGCTGGGATTACAGGCATGAGCCACTGCGCCTGGCAAATGTTTTTTAAATTTGTAACTTTCATGAGTTAAACAAAAACTTAAGTAATTTTTTTTTGAGACGAAGTCTCGCTCTTGTTGCCCAGGCTGGAGTGCAGTGGCGTGCTCTTGGCTCACTGCAACCTCTGCCTCCCCAGGTTCAAGTGATTCTCCTGCCTCAGCCTCCCAAGTAACTAGGATTACAGGCATGCGCCAACACACCTGGCTAATTTTGTGTTTTTAGTAGAGATGGGGTTTCACCATGTTAGTCACGCTGCTCTTGAACTCCTGACCTCAGGTGATCCGTCCGCCTTGGCCTCCCAAAGTGCCGGGATTACAGGCGTCAGCCACGGCACCCGGCCCTTAAGTCATTTTTTGAATAAAGTTTTCAGTGCACAGAAGTCATCCTAGAGCACACCAGAAACCCCACATTCCTGGGGGAGTTGCCACATTGTATTCCGAAGGGTTGTCGTAGGGCACACCCCTGCCAGCCGCACACAGGAGGTAATTCTGTTCAAAGGCTATTCAAATACTCCAATACTGTTATTACCAATGAGAAAACTGAGAGCTAACTACGGAAATGCTGTAAGGCCGGGTGGCCAGTGCTGCACTGAGTCAGCCTGGATCTCCGCCTCCCGGCTCCCCACGTCGGGCAGCTGCCTCTCTGCCAGCTGTCCCTGGTGTCCCCTTAATGAGTCTGCAGCTGGTGACAGTCTTCAGGCCCCGCTGAGGCTTAGTGACTATCACTTGTCCTGGGTAGAAGGGGTTGACATTGACTCCTTGCAATCCCCACTGGAGGTTGTTATTATTCCATTACAGGTGTGGAAATTGAGGCACGTGGTACCCAGAGTGACTTGGTGGGTAGGAAGCAGATCCTGGATGGTCTAACCCAGAGCCCGTGCTCCTCACTATGTCCAACCAGCCACTCTCCCGTCCACCTCTCTGAAGTCATCTTGGCCTCGCCAAGAGCTTCCTGGGCGCCTTGGTGGGCTGGGGTTAAGGCCACTGTATCCGCAAAGAAGGCACGTCCACCACCCGAAAGATCCTCCCTCCATGCCTGTCTCCATCTCTGCCTGAATCTCTCTCTGCATCTGGTGCGTGTTGCTGAGTGTGTACAGGCTTTCTCCCGTGCTACACTTAACTAGGTCACAGGGTGACCTCTGATCAGGCTCTCTCCGCAAGCATCCAAGAGAAGGCAGCAATTTGACAAGGACAGCCCTGGCTATAGAGCTGGGATGGGACTCAGACACAGCCAATCTGCAAAGGACTGGCCCACGGGAGGACAGTTCTGGGTTCACCATAGTGGGAGATGCAAAAATGAGTTAGACGAAAAGTGCCCGGTCTGAGCGTCCTGGCAGGCACACGGGTGTCCACGCCCCTCTGCTGGGTAGGAGCTAGAGGGCACTGGGAGGGAAAAGTCACCGTGTCTGCAGGGCCCGGGCACCCCGAGGTATGACCTTTGAGCTGGGCCTTCAAAGGAAGCAAGCTCACGTTCAAATCTGGTGTCCCTGAGCAAACGTGTCCAAAGAGGACATGTCTTTTACATTTTTACACCCCTCACAACCCCTTATCACCCTGGACAGCTCCATTTTTAGGGGCAGGAGAAGATGTCTACCCAGGACTTTTAAGATGCATCTTTTATATATTTTTAAATTTATTTTATTTTATTTTATTTTATTTTATTTTATTTTATTTTATTTATTTATTGAGACAGAGTCTTGCTCTGTCATCCAGGCTGAAGTGCAGTGGCGCCATCTCAGCTTGCTGCAACCTCCGCCTCCCAGGTTCATGTGATCCTCCTGCCTCAGCCTCCCAAGTAGCTGGGATTATAGGCACCCGCCACCATGCCCAGCTAATTTTTGTATTTTTAGTAGAGACGAGGTTTCACCATGTTGGCCAGGCTGGTCTCGAACTCCTGACCTCAAGTGATCTACCCACCTCAGCCTCCCAAAGTGCTGGGATTACAGGCATGAGACATTGCACCCAGCCAAGATACACCTTTTAAAAGACATCTTTCTCACAAGGTGGTGTTTTAAAGTGGATAAGGCTCATGATTTCAAAAGCTCCTGTCCTACGTTTTAAGCAAATCCTAAAGAGTAGTACTTTAAAAACTCTCCCAGAAACTACTCTACATAAATACATGTTCCGGTTAAGCGCCCACTGTATGCAAAGTTTTTCATGTTAACTATTTTGTTCAACTTTAACAATTTGGAAACTTTGAAAATTGCTTTACGCACTTCCTTGCCATCTTTTTTTGGAGACAGGGTCTAGTTCTGTTGCCCAAGCCGGAGTGCAGTGGTGCAATCACGGCTCACTGCAGCCTCGACTTCCTGGGCTCATGCAGATCCTCCCACCTCAGACTCCCTAATACCTGGGACTACAGGCACACGCCACCACGCCCAGCTATTTTTTTTTTTTTTTTTTGTAGCAATAAGGTCTCCCTATATTGCCCAGGCTGATCTCAAACTCCTGGGTTCAAGCGATCCTCCTGCTTTGGCCTCCCAAAGTGTTGGAATTACAGGCGTGAGCCACTGGCCTGGTCTCTTGCCTTCTTTGAAAACGAAAAGGGTACAGGACTTTTCCTGATGGTATAGAGGTCAAATGTTTATGCATCATGATGTGGGCTGACCCCAGAGACGATGGATGGGAGACAGGCTGCTCCCCCCACACTATACGGCCTAGGTCATAGGCTGTTTGGATTCTTTACTTCTAATTTTAGTCTGTTTACTCATCTAAGCATTCCCTCCTTCCTGTCCTCAGTGAGCACATCAGCCCTGACCTTCCTGCAACCACTTTTTTTTTTTTTTTTTTTTGAGACAGAGTCTCGCTCTCTTACCCAGCCTGGGGTGCAGTGGTCCAATATCGGCTCACTGAAACCACTGCCTCCCGGGTTCAAGCGATTTTCCTGCCACAGCCTCCTGAGTAGCTGGGATTACAGGCGCCTGCCACCATGCCCAGCTAATTTTTTTTTTTTTTTTGAGACGGAGTCTTGCTCTGTCGCCAGGCTAGAGTGCAATGGCGCGATCTCGGCTCACTGCAACCTTTGACTCCCTGGTTCAAGTGATTCTCCTGCCTCAGCCTCCCGAGTAGGGATTACAGGCACGTGGCACCACGCCCAGCTAATTTTTGTACTTTTAGTAGAGACGGGGTTTCCCCATGTTGGCCAGGATGGTCTCGATCTCCTGACCTCGTGATCTGTCCGCCTCGGCCTCCCAAAGTGCTGGGATTACAGGCGTGAGCCACCGCACACCACCTAATTTTTGTATTTTTAGTAGAAATGGGGTTTCACCATGTTGGCCAGGCTGGTCTCGAACTCCTGACCTCAAGTGATCCGCCTGCCTTGGCCTCCCACAGTGCTGGGATTATAGGCATGAACCACCATGCCCGGTCACCTGTGGCCCCTTCTAAATCTGATGAGGGGTGGGGGACTAGAGAGCACCAAGCTCAGTTCATTTTATCCCATTTATCCCTCCACCAATGGTGGATGAGAGCCAAGAATGCATTTTTTTTGGTTTACTAATCTCCTGTGCAAATATATACATGTAAATATATCACAGTAATACATATTACATGTATACATATAAATATATTACATGCAATAGATATTACATGTATATATATAAATGTATTACATGCAATAGATATTACATGTGTATATATATGAGTGCTATTTCAATTTGCTTTTTTTGGAGACAGGGTCTCACTCTGTCACCTGCTGGAGTGCAGTGGTGCAATCACAGCTCAATTCAGCATCAACCTCCTGGGCTCAGGGGATCCTCCCATCTCAGCCTCCCCAGTAGCCAGGTCCACAGGCACACATCACCATGCCTGTATTTTTTGTAGAGATAGGGTCTTGCTATGTTGCCCAGGCTGGTCTTGAACTCCTGGACTCAAGCAATCCGCATGCCTCGGCCTCCCAAAGTGCTTGGATTATAGGCGTGAGCCACCGTGCCCAGCCTGTTTCAATTTTCATTGTCTTGTAGAGCATTTTACTATGTGTGTCGACCTTTTGTAGTTCCTCTTCTGTGACTTGTCTGCCCATTTTTCTTTTCTCTACAAATCGTACATTAAATTTGTCAGTTTCTAGCAATGCTTTAGAAGTATACACTCTTTGACCCAGAAGCCCGCTTTTAGAAACTTGTCTTACATAAATGCTTACACATGTGCACAAAGATATATATGTACTAGGATGTTCATTGCAGCAGCTTAGAATGGGGGAAGAGGGGAAGGAAATGAGATAAATGCCCATCAGTGTCAGAATGCATAGGTAAATTATGGTACATTCATACTATACAGTCACTGAAAAATGAAGGCTGTCTGCCTGTACTGACAGGGAAAGAGGTCTCTGTGACCCCTAAAAAAATACAGTCCAGAAAAAGCAGCATAGACTCCTGATAGAATCCTGTGTGTGTGTCTGTGTGTGTGTGTGTGTGTGTGTGTTTCCCTCAAGACAGAGTCTCGCTCTGTTGCCCAGGCTGGAGTGCAGTGGTGCGTGCGATCTTGGCTCACTGCAACCTCCGCCTCCTGGGTTCAAGCGATTCTCCTGCCTCAGCCTCCCGAGTAGCTGGGATTACAGGCGCACACCACCACCAGGCCGGGGTAATTTTTTGTATTTTTAGTAGAGACAGGGTTTCACCATGTTGGCCAGGCTAGTCTTGAACTCCTGACCGCGTGATCTGCCTGCCTAGGCGTCCTAAAGTGCTGGGATTACAGGGGTGAACCACCACGCCCGGCTGTTTTTTTTTTTTTTTTTTTTAATGTTTCTTTGGGAGGCTGAGGTGGGAAGACCACTTGAGCCCAGGAGTTCCAGAGTAGCCTGGGCAACATAGCAAGGCTCTGTCTCTATAAAAAATAATTTAAAAAAATTATTAGGCCAGGTGTGGTGGCTCATGCCCGTAATCCCAGCACTTTGGGAGGCTGAGGTGGGCAGATCACTTGAGGTCAGGAGTTTGAGACCAGCCTGGCCAACATGGCGAAACCCCGTTTCTACTAAAATACAAAAATTAGCCAGGCTGAGGCACGAGAATTGCTTGAACCTGGGAGGCAGAGGTTGCAGTGAGCCAAGATCATGTCACTGCGCTCTAGTCTGGTGACAGAGTGAGACTCTGTATTAAAACAAAAAAAATTAGGTGTGGTGGTGTGTGCCTGTAGTCCCAGCTACCTGGGAGGCTGAGGCAGGAGGATTGTTGGAGCCCAGGAGTTCAAGACCAGCCTGGGCAACATGACAAGACCCCATCTCTAACAACAACAACAAAAATTAGCTGAGCATGGTAGCATGTGCCTGTGGTCCCAGCGACTTGGGAGGCTGAAGTGGGAGGATTGCTTGACCCCAGGAGGTCAAGGCTGCAGTAAGCCATAATTGCACCACTACATTCCAGAGCCTGGGCAACAGAATGAGAGCATATCTTTAAAAAAAAAAAAAAAAAAAAAATGCAGGGTCAGCGGGCTGTGAGTGGGGATTGAGGACTTTCCTACCAGAAACCTGAGTGCCCCAGCATGCCCTTTTTAGGCTGTTTAGCAGGTCGGGGTTTTTTTCTTCTTCTTCCTGATGGGTTATCTGTGACATGAGATATTTTGACAGCGAGCCCACTTTAAGCTAAGAAGTTCTATACTGAAAAAAAAACAAACATCTACATGTCCACGCAGGATCAGTTAGGGAGTGATTAACTGCGTATAAGAAAAGATGACACCTCACCTAAGTAGCTTGACATTCCTTTTCAACAGCAATCTCATTATTCTCAAAACAAGGTTGTATCCACCATTCCAACACCATATCCACTGGAAATACAGCGGTGCACCTCGGTCTAATCTGGCCAGCTGGTGCTCCAATTTGGGAGGTGTATTTTATGTTCCTAACCCCAGAAATCTCCAAGTGTGGGTTTCATTACCTGTAGAAGGTGCCGTGGGCATTTTAAACCATGCTCTGTTTTTAGCACGCCTGCTTCTGTGCAGACACGCTCACCACATTCTTCGGGAAGCCCTGAGAGTGTCTATTCCAAGAAGGTCGTATCTCACAGGTAGAAATGTTTTCCTCGTACCTGAGGCTGTTGGATGCTGGGTGTCATTCTGAAAATCCTAAACCAGGCTGGGCAGCATACACCCACAGTCCCAGCTACTTGGGAGGCTGAGATAGGGGGTGGGGGGTATTGCTTGAGCCCAGGAGTTCGAGGTTGCAATGAGCTCTGATAGCACCACCGCACTCCAGCCTGGGTGATCCAGCACGGCCCTTCTCAAAATCAAAACAAAACAAAACAAAAAAAGGCCAGGCACGGTGGCTCATGCCTGTAATCCCAGCACTTTGGGAGGCCAAGGTGGGTGGATCACAAGGACAGGAGTTCAAGACCAGCCTGACCAACATGGTGAAAACCCCGTCTCTCACTAAAAACACAAAAATTAGCTGGGCATGGTCGCGGGTGCCTGTAATCCCAGCTACTTAGAAGGCTGAGGCAGGAGAAACGCTTGAACCTCCCCCTCCAAGGTTCAAGCGGTTCAAAAAAAAAAAAAGGAAAATTCTGAATCTTTGAGATTCCAACCAAGACAACAATTTATACTCCAGGGACTATCCTAGGTTCAGGGATGCACTGCGCAGGCTGTGGGGTGAGAGGGTGGGACGAGATACCATCAAGAAACAAGGCTGGGCGCGGTGGCATCAAGAAACAAGGCTGGGCGCGGTGGCTCACACCTGTAATCCCTGCACTTTGAGAGGCTGAGGCGGGTGGATCACCTGAGGCCAGGAGTTTGAGACCAGCCTGACCAACATGCGGAAACCTCGTCTCTACTAAAAATACAAAAATTAGCTGGGCATGGTGGCGGGCGCCTGTAATCCCAGCTACTTGGGAGGCTCAGGCAGGAGAATCACCTAAACGCAGGAGGCGGAGGTTGCAGTGAGCCGAGATCACGCCACTGGACTCCAGCCTGGTTGACAGAGCGAAACCCTGTCTCAAAAAAAATAAATAAATAAAAATAATAAAAGAAAGGAAGGAAGGAAGAAAAAGAAAGAAAGGAAGGAAGGAAGGAAGGCAGGCGAGCAGGCAAGTCGGCCGGCCAGGTGTGCTGGTGGGCGCCTGTAGTTCCAGCTACTCCGGAGACTGAGGCAGGAGAATCACTTGAACCCCGGAGGCAGAGGTTGCAGTGAGCCGAGATCGAGCCACTGCACTTCAGCCTGGGCGACAGAGTGAGACTCTGTCTTAAAAAAATAAAAAATAAAAAAAAATAAGGGACCTCAATGATTGGGAAAATGGAATGCACCGGGAAGGTTAAGCAATCAATATCCCCTGACTCACTTCAAGGGCACCGGAGTCCCGGACTCATCGCCCATCAGCGGCACAGCCTGTCTATGCCCCAACCCCAGCCTATAACAGGCACGGAGGTGGGCGGGTCCCCAGGTAATCATAGTCCTGGGTGTCTCGACTTTAGCCCGCCCCTGCCCAAATACCACCTTTCCCCCGCCACCACCCGCAAATATTTACATCCTGTTTATGCCCAGGCCTCCCAGGGCCTCAATTTCATGAATAAAATATGAGTTTCTAGGCCGAGCCAAGAAGGAAAGAAACCCCCGACAGCTGGTGGAACCAGAGGCAGTTTAATGTTTCGGTTGCTGTCGCCTCCCGCGTGGTATTTGGAGGAAATTTTAATTGGCAGGTCAAGGTGATTTGGGAGGGAGACTTTGCTTTTCCCTTCTCCTCTCCTCTCCTCTCCCCTCCCCTCCCCTCCTCTCCCTCCCCTCCTCTCCCTCCCCTCCTCTCCCTCCCCTCCCCTCCCCTCCCTCCCCTCCCCTCCCCTCCCTCCCTCCTTTACCCTCCCCTCCCTCCCCTCCCTCCTCTCCCCTCCTTCCTCTCCCCTCCTCTCCTCTCCCTCCCGGGTTCACGCCATTCTCCTGCCTCAGCCTCCTGGGTAGCTGGGACTACAGGTGCCCGCCACCACCCCCGGCTGATTTTTTTTGTATTTTTAGTAGAGACGGGGTTTCATCGTGTTAGCCAGGATGGTCTCGATCTCCTGACCTTGTGATCCGCCTGCCTCGGCCTCCCAAAGTCCTGGGATTACAGGCATGAGCCACCACGCCCGGCCCTCTTTTATTTTTTTGATGGAGTTTCGTTCCTGTTGCCCAGGCTGGAGTGCAATGGCGCGGTCTCAGTTCACTGCAACCTCCTTCTCCCGGGTTCAGGTGATTCTCCTGCCTCAGCCTCCGGAGTAGCTGGGATTACTGGTGCTCACCACCACACCCAGCTAAATTTTAAAATATTTTTAGTAGAGACAGGGTTTCACCATGTTGGCCAGCTTGGTCTTGAACTTCTGACCTCAGATGATCCGCCCGCCTCGGCCTCCCAAAGTGCTGGGATTATAGGGGCAAGCCACCATGCCCGCCGCCACCCCGCCCCGCCCTTTTTTTTTGTTTTTTTTTGAGACAGGGTCTCCCTTTGTCACTCGGGCTGGAGTGCAGTGTTGCGATCTTAGCTCACTGGAGACTCCAACTCCTGGGCTCAAAAGATCCTCCCTCCTCCCACCTCAGCCTCTCAAATATCTAGGACTACATGCACGCACCACCACGCCTGGCTAATTTTTTGACTTTTTATTTTTTGTGTTAAGATGGAGTGCATTTTCTACACTGCTATCTGGGGGTCCTGAAAGGAAACTACTGAGCTTTATTTATAGGTCTGTTTCCTGAGAAACTCACTTATCCTGAAATGTCAAAGTTAAGCCAGAGTGTGCTGTTTAGAGATAACCTTGTCCAATGTCCTCATTTTAGTATTTCATTTATTTATTTATTTATTTGAGATGGAGCCTCGCTTTTTCACCCAGACTGCAGTGCAGTGGTGCAATCTCGGCTCACTGCAACCTCTGCCTCCCAAATTCAAGCAATTCTCCTGCCTCAGCCTCCTGAGTAGCTGAGATTACAGGTGGGCAACACCACACGGCTAATTTTTGTATTTTTAGTAGAGACGGGGTTTCACCATGTTGGCCAGACTGGTCTCGAACTCCTGACCTCAAGAGATCCATCCGCCTTGGCCCCCCTAAGTACTGGGATGACAGGCATGAGCCGCCTGGCCTGTGGGTGTGAATTTCTATATTTTAAAAAATTGGCTGGGCATGGTGGCTTATGCCTGTAATGCCACTATGTTGCACAGGCTGGTCCCGAACTTCTGGGCTTACGTGATCCTCCTGCCTTGGCCTCCCAAAGTGCTGGGATTATAGGCATGAGCCACTGCACTCAGCCTATTTATTTATTTTAGAGACAGAGTCTCATTCTGTTGCCCTGGCTGGACTGCAGTAGCACGATCACAGCTCACTGCAGCCTTGAACTCCTGGACTCAAGCCATCCTCTCACCTCAGCCTCCTCAGTAGCTGGGACTAGAGGCTCGCACCGCTGCACCTGACTTAGTCCTATTTTTATAGATGAGAAAAGTGGAGTGAAGCCGGAAGAGATTTGCCTCAAACCAGGAAGTGCCTCAGGAGGGATCTGAACCGCCAGACCAGGACTTCTAACCTCCACTGCTTCCTGGACAGGCTTTCATTTTAATTATTTTTCTAAATTGGGAGGGAGTCTTACTGTGTCACCCAGGCTGGAGTGCAGTGGTGTGATCTCGGCTCACTGCAACCTCTGCCTCCCGGGTTCAAGTAATCCTCCTGCCTCAGCCTCCCGAGTAGCTGGGACTACAGGTGCCCACCACGAAATCCGGCTGATTTTTGTATTTTCGGTAGAGATGGGGTTTCACTATGTTGGCCAGGCTCGTCTCGAACTCCTGACCTCAAATGATCCACCCGTCTTGGCCTCCCTAAATCCTGGGATTACAGGCGTGAGCCACCCTGCCTGGCATCATTTTAAATTCTGATCTAAACAAAAAGTGCTCCAAACTTCCCTCCTTTTCAAAGTGGTGTCACCGTGTCAGCAACCTGAAGAAATCATTCTTATGGGAAAGAAAGTTCTGGTTTAGGATTGCTGACGGAAAACAAAACAGGAAGTCAAGCATTCCCAGCTGACATAGACCATCTGGGAATGTACTAGAATCAGTCCTGCTGTGGGCCAGGCTGTGTGGTGTGTGCTTTACCCTGGCTTCAGAGGAGAGAGGAGAGGGATTCAAGACTGCAGACAGCCCTGAGCCAGATCTGTCCTCCCAGGGGAGTGGAGGATGGGCCACGGCCACATCTGGGCTGAACCAGGAGGCATGGACAGGAAGCTAGAACGGCAGAGACCAGAGGGGCCACCATGCTAATGGGGAAGTGGTGTGGCTGGGGGATGGGGGCCGCAGACCTCAGGGTTGGGGAATGAGTCAACTGCGAGGGCGTTTGCACCAAAGGAAGGATGGAAAGCCTGCCTGGCCCTGGCTGGTTAGACACTAGGAATGCCCTGTGGTTTCCTAAACTCTACTCCAGCCTCTGGTACAAACAAATCCCTGGCAATCCTCGCTCTGTGTGAGTGACAATCCCTGTACTCTACTGTAAACTTCCAGTGAGCCAGGCACTGTGAGAGGAGCCCTATAAAAAAAGGAGACTGGCTGGGGGTGGTGGCTCACGCCTGTAATCCCAGCACTTTGGGAGGCCGAGGCAGGCAGATCATGAAGTCAGGAGATTGAGACCATCCTGGCTAACACGGTGAAACCCCATCTCTACTAAAAATACAAAAAATTAGCCGGGCATCATGGCGGGCGACTGTAGTCCCAGCTACTCGGGAGGCTGAGGCAGGAGAATGGCGTGAACCCGGGAGGCGGAGTTTTCAGAGAGGTGAGACAGTGCCACTGCACTCCAGCCCAGCCTGGGCAATAGAGCGAGACTCCGTCTCAAAAAAAAAAAAAAAAAAAAGAGAGAGAGACCTCGGTCAGGCGAGGTGGTCACACCTGTAATCCCACCATTTTGGGAGGCCGAGGCAGGTGGATCACCTGAGGTCGGGAATTTGAGACCAGCCTGGCCAACATGGTGAAACTTCACCTCTACCAAAAATACAAAATTAGTTGGACGTGGTGGTGGGTGCCTGTAATCCCAGGTACTCGGGAGGCTGAGGCAGGAGAATCGCTTGAATCCGGGAGGCAGAGGTTGCAGTGAGCCGAGATCGTGCTATTGCACTCCAGCCTGGGCAACAAGAGCAAAATTTCATCTAAAAAAAAAAAAGGTTTTTCTGTAGAGATGGGGGTCTTGCTAGGTTGCCCAGGCTGGTCTCAAAATCCTGGCTTCAAGCGATGCTCCAGCCTTGGCCTCCCAAAGCACTGGGATAGGCAGGAGCCACCATGCCTGGACATAGGACCAAGATTCTATATTTTTTTCCCATAATCTTTTTTTTTTCTTCCTTTTTCTGATTTCCAGTGGGGTTGGATTTTGCTCAAAATTTTTTTTTTTTTTTTTTTTTAAGATGGAGTCTCACTCTGTCACTCAGACTGGAGTGCAGTGGCATGATCTCGGCTCACTGCAACTTCTGCCTCCTGGGTTCATGCAATTCTCCTGCCTCAGTCTCTCGAGTAGCTGGGACTACAGGCACACGCCACCACACCTGGCTAATTTTTATATTTTTAGTAGAGACGAGGTTTCACCATGATGGCCAGGCTGGTCTCGAACTGCTGACCTCAAGTGATCCACCCGCCTCGGCCTCCCAAAGTGTTGGGATTATAGGCATGAGCCACCACGCCTGGACTTAACTCAATTTTTTTTCTTATTTTTTTGACCTTGAGGATGAGGATTCTGAGCAAAGCTGCACCACCCCATCCCATATCCTCTGTCTTTAAAAAAACACCCTTGGGGCTGGGCACAGTGGCTCACACCTGTAATCCCAGCACTTTGAGAGGCCGAGGTGGGCGGATCACAAGGTCAGGAGATGGAGACCATCCTGGCTAACACGGTGAAACCCGTCTCTATTAAAAATACAAAAAATTAGCCAGGCATGGTGGCGTGCATCAGGAGGCTGAGGCAGGAGAATCGCTTGAACCCAGAAGGCAGAGGTTGCAGTGAGCTGAGATGGCACCACTGCACTCCAGCCTGGGCGACAGAGCGAGACTCCGTCTCAAAACAAAACAAAACAAAAAAAAACACCCTTGGGCTGCCAGTGTCTGATTTCCCAGGGAGTTCCCCGGGACCTGGGTCTGATGTGTCATCTGATTTCTTACTTGAGGCAAAAAAAGTAAGGACAGGGATGAGGAGTTCCAAGTATCTGTGGCCTCAGCCTGGTTGGACTGTGGGTAGGAGAAGGAAGGAGTATTCCGGAGAACCAGTTGCAGCCATGGAAGAGGGGTTTCCTGGGGAAACAGGATTTTTTTTTTTTTTTTAGACAGAATCTCGCTCTGTTGCCCAGAGTAAGTGCAGTGGCACCATCTCGGCTCACTGCAACCTCTGCCTCCCAGGTCCAAGCGATTCTTCTGCCTCAGCCTCCTGAGTAGCTGGGACTACAGTGTGTGCCACCATGCCCGGCTTATTTTTGTATTTTTAGTAGACAGGGTTTCACCATGTTGCCCAGGGTGGTCTCAAACTCCTGACCTCAAGTGATCTGCCCCCTTGGCCTCCCAAAGTGCTGGGATTACAGGCATGAGCCACGGCGCCCGACCCCAATTCCACTTTTTTTTTTTTTTTTTTGAGACGCAGTCTTGCTCTGTCGCCGAGGCTGGAGTGCAGTGACGCGATCTCGGCTCACTGCAACCTCAGCCTCCCAGGGTCAAGCGATTCCCCTGCCTCAGCCTCCCTAGTAGCTGGGACTACAGGCACACACCACCATGCCCAGCTAATTTTTTGTGTGTGTGTTTTAGTAGAGACGGGGTTTCACCATGTTGGCCAGGATGGTCTCGATTTCCTGACCTTGTGGTCCACCCGCCTTGGCCTCCCAAAGTGCTGGGATTACAGGCGTGAGCCACGGTGCCTGGCCCTAACCCACATTTTAAGAAGGCTGGAATATGACTTTGGAAGAAAAGCTTGGGTTGTGCTTGCAGGGACACGCACCTGCCTGCAGGGGACACTGTGGGTGGCTGCCAGCAGGGCACATGCAGGGTGGGAGACCAGGGCCAAGGGCACGCCGAGCGCAGGTGACCTGCAGAGCCAGGCTCACTGGTGGGACCCAAAGGTGCAGGAGGCCAGGACCCAGGGGCACAGCTGGTCCTTGGAGACAAGTCCCAAGCTGAGCTGGCTGCCACCTCCACCCCCACCACCCAGCAAGGCAGGGATCATTTCACAGCCCACCACATCCAGACATGCAGCTGTTCAGGTCCAAGAAGCCCATCTAAGTAGAGGGGCTTTCTTTACCCGCCTGTTTCCCTCTCCATCTCCAGGGGGCCTGCGGTGGGTTCCTGGCCTCTCCAGATTGCCAGAGATAACCTTCAGTTCCCTATTTCCTAAAATGAAGAAATTGAATTGAAATGTTCCAGGGTCCTCTAGCATCCTAACATACTGATTTGTGTCATTTATAGATTTGTTATTTAAAGCAAGCATGTCTCACTCTAAGTTACTTTCCCTGAAAACTTGGATTAAAAATAAATCTGTATTTTAAATTCATAACTACAGCTTATTTACCACTCTTCTGAAATTACTTTGCAAAGTGAAGGATCACTTTGCAAAGTGAAGCTCACTTTGTAAAGTGAACAAACTTAATTTTATCAGGAAAAAAAAAAAGCAGCAGCTGGGTGTGGTAGCTCATGCCTCTAGTCCCAGCTATTTGTGAGGCTGACGCAGGAGAGCTGCTTGAGGCCAGGAGTTCGAGACCAGCCTGGCCAACATGGTGAAACCCCATCTCTACTAAAAATACAAAAATTAGCTGGGCGTGGTGGCACATGCCTGTAGTCCCAGCTACTCGGGAGGCTGGGGCAGGAGAATTGCTTGAACCCGGGAGACGGAGATTGCAGTGAGCCGAGATCGTGCCACTGTATTCCAGCCTGGGCGACAGAGCAAGACTCTGACTCAAAATAAATAAATAAATAAAAATAAAATAAAAAAGAAAGAAAAGAAAAGGGAAGAAAACCAAAATTCAGCTAAGCAGGTATGTTTAGGGAGGGGAGGGAATGGAGAGGGGAAACTAGGGGATTCCAAGATACCTGGAAAGTTCTATTTCTTGAGCCAGGCGTCCTTCACATAGGTGTTTATTTTCTTATCCTGAAGTCATGCCTATACATTGGAGAGCCACTTCATATGTACGTTATTTTGTAATCAAAACCAAAAGCAATTTACCATACACGTGCACCTCCCCCACCTCATCTTCCAAACCTAGGACCAGCACGCTGGGGGAAGAAACCTGTATAAAAGTCACCCAAAGGAGTGGGGGACAGAGACCAGGACTACACCCCACCCCACCCCACCCTGACTTAGAGACCTCCACCCTGCCCTCACCCTGAACAAGAAACCCCTCAACCCATCCGTACCCTGGTTTAGAGACCCCACCGCCCCCTTCACCCACCTGGAGCCCCTGCTGTGACTGGGGTCTCAGTGATTCCATGGGTCTCCTGGGTGCGAATCCCAAACCCAGGGCAAAGGGACCAGAGGGACCATCGGTCTCCAGCCCCAGTGCTTCCTTCCTGATGGGGAGTTGTCAGGAATGTCAGTGGTGAGAGGGGACTCATGACACACCGGCTTTCTTCTCTAGGCCTCAGGCCGACAAGAAACTTGGAGAGACAGCAGCTTGCAGCTGAGTGTGGGCAAGCGGGCACCCTTGATGCAGTAGAGGAGTTGCTGTGCTAGATACTGTTGGGCATCCTTTTTTTTCTTTTTTTTTTTTTTTTGTGAGACAGTCTTGCTCTGTCGCCTAGGCTGGAGTGCAGTGGCGCGATCTCGGCTCACTGCAACCTCCGCCTCCTGGGTTCAAGCGATTCTCCTGCCTCAGCCTCCTGAGTAGCTGGGACTACAGGTGCCCACCACCACACCCGGCTAATTTTTTTTGTATTTTTAGGAGAGACAGGGTGTCACCGTGTTAGCCAGGATGGTCTCCATCTCTTGACCTCATGATCCGCCCACGTCGGCCTCCCAAAGTGCTGGGATTACAGGCGTGAGCCACCGCGCCCAGCCTTTTTTCTTTTTTTAAGACAGACCCCCTGTCACCAAGGCTGGAGTGCAGTGGCACGATCTTGGCTTGCTGCAGCCTCCACCTCCAAACCTCAAAGCCATTCTCCTGCCTCACCCTCCCAAGTAGGTGGGATTACAGATGTGCGCCAACATGCCTGGCTAATTTTTGTATTTTTGGTAGAGATGGGGCTATGCCATGTTGGCCAGGCTGGGCTGTTGGGGGTCCTTTGGCAAGGAAAAACTGCTTGATTTGTGGCAGCCCCCCTGACTTCCTCCAGGGCCTCTGACCCCAGGCCTGGGGGCATCCGCATGTTTCACAGGTGACTGTGTCTTTGCAGCCTGCACCTGTGCTCAGGGAGCAGGAATTCCCAGAGTGAATGGGTTTGTGTTTTCACTCAAGGACTGTCCCCAGAGGAATTCAAATGAGAATCTACATTCAATAAATGTACGGGTGTATAGACTTAACATATCGGAAACTGAGTCACAAAGGAAGATATTGCACCCCACTTTGCCCCATAGCAGAATGACCCAGCTCCTCGCTTAAGACTGTAGCTGAGGCGGGCAGATCACCTGAGGTCAGGAGTTCGAGATCAGCCTGGCCAACATAGTGAAACCCTGTCTCTACTACAAATACAAAAAAAAAAAAAAATAGCCAGGCGTGGTGGTGAGCACCTGCAATCCCAGCTACTCGGGAGGCTGAGGCAAGAGAGTCGCTTGAACCCAGGAGGCAGAGGTTGCAATGAGCCAAGATCATGTCTCTGCACTCCAGCTTGGGCAACAGAGTGAGACTCTATCTTAAAAAAAAAAAACAAAAAACTGTAGCCCAAACCAAGCCACTGAAAAGAAGTAAACATCTGGCGAGGCCAGGCACGGTGGCTCATGCCTGTAATCCCAGCACTTTGGGAGGCCAAGGTGGGTGGATCACCTGAGGTGATCGAGACCAGCCTGACCAGCATGGTGAAACCCCGTCTCTACTAAAAATACAGAAAATTAGCCGAGCCTGGTGGCACATACCTGTAATTCCAACTACTCAGAAGGCTGAGGCAGGAGAATCCCCGGGAGGCAGAGATTGCCGTGAGCTGAGATTGCACCATTGCACTCCAGCCTGGGCGACAAGAGCAAAACTCCATCTCAAACAAAACAAAACAAAACAACAACAACAACAAAACATCTGGCGGGGTGCAGTGGCTCATGCCTGTAATTTCAACGCTTTGGGAGACTGACGTGGGAGCATCATTTGAGCTCAGGAGTTCAAGATCAGCCTGGGCAACATAGCAAGACTTCGTCTCTACAGAAAAATTTAAAAAATTAGCCAGGCATGGTGGTCCTTGCCTGTAGTCCCTCCCGCTTATCTGGGAGGCTGAGGTGGGAGGATCACTTGAGCCCAGAAGTTCCAGGCTGCAGTGAGCTATGATCGTACCACTGCACTCCAGCCTGGGCAACAAAGCAAGACCCTCATCTCTAACAAAAAAAAGAAATAAAAGAATTTTGTTTGGCTGAATTCATTTTCACCCTGGGACCCTGGTTGATTTCTTTTCTTTCTTTCTTTTTTTTTGAGACGAAGTGTCACTCTTATACCCCAGGCTGGAGTGCAATGGTGCAATCTCGGCTTACTGCAACCTCCACCTCCCATGTTCAAGCAAGTCTCCTGCCTCAGCCTCCGGGAGTAGCTGGGATTACAGGTGCCTGCCACCACGCCCAGCTAATTTTTGTATTTTTAGTAGAGACGGGGTTTCACCGTGTTGGCCAGGCTGGTCTTGAACTCCTGACCTCAGGTGATCCACCCCCCTTGGCCTCCCAAAGTGCTGGGATTACAGGCTTGAGCCACCGCGCCCATTTTTTTTTTTTTTTTTTTTTAGACAGGGTCTTACTCTGTTGCCTAGGCTGGAGTGCAGTGGTGTGATCTCCACTCACTGCAACCTCCACCTTCTGGGTTCAAGTGATTCTCGTGCCTCAGCGTCCCAGGTAGCTGGGTTTTACAGCATGAGCCACTGCACCCAGCTAATTTTCCTATTGCTCTGGTGGATTTCAGTGGTGCTTGTGGTTAGCTGGGTGGGCTCCAGGGGCCTGGGAAAGGACGGGCTTGGGCTCCAAATGCCCTTCACACTCCCCGGTGCATCTCCTCCTTTCCAGATCTTCCTTTAGCTCCGTGTTTGCAAATCTTCCACTGACTCATTCGACTGCCAAAGTGGAAGAATGGAATCACAGGAAGCTGCATTTGGGAAGGCTGCAGAGCCCAGTCCCCAGATCTGCTGTCCTCCCACCCGGATAGTCACAGATGACGTTTGCAAGTGTGACACAGTCCCGTGGAAATTCCTGGTGCATGAGTCAGCTTGAGCTGCCATAGTAAAATACCACAGGCTGAGTGGCTCAAACAACACAAAGTTATTTTCTCACAGTTCTGGAGGCTGGAAGTCTAAGGTCAAGGTGTTGGTGAGGTTGGTTGCTCCTGAGGCCTCTCTCCTTGGCTTGCAGGCAGCTGCCTTCTTGCTCTGTCCTCATATTGCCTTCCTCTGTGCATGCAAATTCCTGGTGTTTCCTCCCCTCCCCTCCTCTCCCCTCCCCCTCCCCCCCCCTTTCTCTCTTTCTCTCTTTCTTTCTTTCTTTCTGGGTCTCCCTCTGTTGCAGTGACCCAATCATGGTTCACTGCAGCCTTGAACTCCTGGGCTCAACCAATCCTCCAGCCTCAGCCTGCTGAGTGGCTGGGACTACAAGCATGCACTACCATGCCCGGCTAATTTGTTTATTTTTGTAGAAACGGGGTCTCATTATGTTGCCCAGGCTGGTTTCAAGCTCCTGGCCTCAAGCAGTGCTCCCACCTTGGCCTCTCAAAGTGTTGGGATTACAAAGCCAGGTGCAGTAGCTCACGCCTGTAATCTCAGCACTTTGGGAGGCCAAGGTGGGCAGATCACCTGAGGTCAGCAGTTTAAGACCATGCTGGCCAACATGGTGAAACCCTGTCTCTACTGCAAATACAAAAATTAGCTGGGCGTGGTGGCATGTGCCCATAATCCCAGCTACTCGGGAGGCTGAGGCAGGAGAATCGCTTGACCTGGGAGGCAGAGGTTGCAGTGAGCTGAGATCGCGCCACTGAACTCCAGCCTGGGCGACAGAGTGAGACTCCCTCTCAAACAAACAAACAAACAAAGTGTTTAGATTACAGGTGTGAGCCACTGCACCCAGCCTCCTCCTCCTCTCTCTCTCTCTTTTTTTTTTTTTTTTCTGAGACAAGGTCTCTCTCTGTTGCCCAGTCTGGAGTGTGATCATAGCTCATTGCAGCCTTGACCTCCTGGGCTCAAGCAATCCTCCCACCTCACCCTCCTGAATAGCGGGTACTGCAGGCATGCACCATCACACTCAGCTAATTTTTTAATTTTTTTAGAGATGGGGTCTCACTGTGTTGCCTAGGCTGGTCTCAAACTCCAGGCCTCGAGTGATCCTCTCACCTCGACCTCCCAAAGTACTGGGATTACAGGTGTGAGTCGCCGCATCCGGCTGGAGCCCAAGTCTTCTGACCTTCTGGTTGGCCTTATAAAAGGCCCATCTCCTATGTTCTCTTCTCAGCCTGCATTTGAGGTCCTGACATCAGGCTACTGGGAGCTGACGCAGGACCTTAGGCTGATGTCAACATTCCTTCATGCATCCAGTGGCACACAAGGGTGGCCTGGACAGATGGATCATGCCCTTGGTGTGCTCACAGTCTGGGGGTGGGGCGATTCCCAAAGGGTTAGAATTACTCCAGGAACCTCAGTTTGCAACGTCGGCTGTGAGTCCAGAGTTGCAAACAGGTCAATGAGCGAGCAGAAAGGACTCTGAGGTCTGAGGCCACATGCTGGTGTTCCTCCCTGCCCAGGGCACCAGCCCAGTGACCCTGCAGGGAGGGTGGAGGGGAAGCCCTAATGAAAGAGAAAAAAAAGCAGCAGCAGCACATGACAGGGAAACTGAGTCACGGAGCAGGCCCCAGGAGGGTTTGTGTAGAAGCTGCCTTCAGCTCCAGGGTAGAGGGGGACAGGCGCCGGCTCACTGATGACATTCACGGACATCCTCCTGCCAAAGACACAAAAACTTCATTTTGGCCATTTCCTCCTCTCTTCCTTGCTAAATCTTATTATTATTATTATTATTTTTGAGATGAGGTCTTGCTCTGTCACCCAGGCTGAAGTACAATGGCACAATCATGGCTTACTGCAGCCTCAACCTCCTGGCTCAAGCAATCCTCCTGTCTCAGTCTCCTGAGTAGCTGGGACTGCAGGTGGACACCATCACACCCGGCTAATTTTCTTATTTTTTTTTTTTTTTTTTTTTTTTGAGACGGAGTCTCGCTCTGTCGCCCAGGCTGGAGTGCAGTGGTGGGATCTCGGCTCACTGCAAGCTCCGCCTCCCGGGTTCATGCCATTCTCCTGCCTCAGCCTCCCAAGTAGCTGGGACCACAGGCGCCCGCCACTACGCCCGGCTAATTTTTTTGTATTTTTAGTAGAGACGGGGTTTCACCGTTTTAGCCGGGATGGTCTCGATCTCCTGACCTCGTGATCCGCCCGCCTCGGCCTCCCAAAGTGCTGGGATTACAGGCGTGAGCCACCGCGCCCGGCCTAATTTTCTTATTTTTTGGTAGACATGGGGTCTTGCTATGTCGCCCAGGCTGATCTTGAACTCCCGGGCTCAAGCGGTCCTCCTGCCTCAGCCTCCCAAAGTGCTGGGATTACAGGTGTGCACCATTGCGCCTGGCCCTTGCTAAATCTTTTATCAGAGCTGATCGCTCTGGACTAAGATTGTGGCGTCTTCTTCTTCTTGCCCAATCAACATGAAAAGGCAAGTGTGAAATGCTTTGTACAGAAACAGTCCCTCTGCCCTGCACTACCTGACAGGTGTCCCCCTTCTTTTTTTTTTTTTTTTTTTTGAGCTGGAGTTTTGCTCTTATTGCCCAGGCTGGAGTGCAATGGTGTAATCTTGGTTCACTGCAGCCTCCGCCGCCCGGGTTCAAGCAATTCTCTTGCCTCAGCCTCCTGAGTAGCTGGGATTACAGGCACCCACCACCACACCCAGGTACTTTTTAATTTTATTTTTTATTTTTATTTTTTGAGGCGGAGTCTCGCTCTGTCTCCCAGGCTGAAGTGCAGTGGCACGATCTCGGCTCACTGCAAGCTCTGCCTCCCGGGTTCATGCCATTCTCCTGCCTTAGCCTCCCTAGCAGCTGGGACTACAGGTGCCCGCCACCACACCTGGGTAATTTTTGCATTTTTAGTAAAGATGGGGTTTTGCCATGTTGGCCAGGCTGGTCTCAAACTCCTGACCTCAGGTGATCTGCCCACCTCGGCCTCCCAAAGTGCTGGGATTATAGGTGGGAGCCACTCACCCGGCTTAACATTCCTTTAGGGACACAAAAGAATGTCGATTTTCACAGTGGGACAGCAGGCTTGGACAAACAAGCATGCCCTTGTCCCTGGCCCTGTGAAGCTTGGCTAATTACCCCCTGCCAGGACACTGGGAGCTTTCGGAGGCAGACAGCTGAGGTCCGCCTTGCACCTCAAGTGCAGGCAGCAAAACCCTCGTCCCGACATCAGAGGCGTCGGGGCTAGGGTCCCTCCTGTTGCTGGGAGGAGATGGAAACCCAGAGTGTGGGGATCCCGTTCTCAATGACTTGCTTTTTCTCAGCTCACACCTAAGGTCCAGACCATCTCCTCCCATCTGTCACCATGCAGTCCCCGTATGGCCTAGGGAACCAGGCTTCAGGTCTAAAATTCGTCTCTCCACTGCCTAGAACCCTCCAGGGCTCCCCATTGCCCTTAGGAAAAAGCCCAGTTTTACAGCCCTGCCATACAAGGCCCTCCCTGACTGAGTCCTGCCACTCCTCTGCCCTCATCTTGGTCCCCATTCCCTGGCCACTTGAGCTCTTCAAGGTTCTTCCCACCGTCAGCCTCCGCCTGCCACATCCATCCTTCAAGACACACCTAGGCTGTCACCTCCTCCGGAAAGCTGCCCTTAAGCCCCACACTTAAAGAATTAAATGTTTGTGGCCCAGGCCAGGTGTAATGGCTCACACCCGTAATCCCAGCACTTTGGGAGGTCAAGGCGGGTGGATCACCTGAGGTAG
Organism: Homo sapiens; assembly: GCF_000001405.40. Lineage (NCBI taxonomy): Eukaryota > Metazoa > Chordata > Mammalia > Primates > Hominidae > Homo > Homo sapiens. The sequence continues at coordinate 74,283,595 of NC_000007.14, forward strand.
GGAGTTCAAGATCAGCTTGGCCAACATGGCGAAATCTCGTCTCTACCAAAAACACAAAAATTAGCCAGGCGTGGTGGCAGGTGCCTGTAATCCCAGCTACTCAGGAGGCTGAGGCAGGAGAATTGCTTGAACCCAGGAGGCGAAAGTTGCAGCAAGCCAAGATTGTGCCACTGCACTCCAGCCTGGGTGACAGCGAGACTCCATCTCAAAAAAAAAAAAAAAAAAGTATCAGAAGGATGCAAAAGAACCCAGAAGAGATGCCCCCTTAGACCTGGCCTGAGAGAGAAAGTGTGGTTTTGCAGAGGAGTCCTGGGAGCAGCCCTGCAGGAATCAGGGGAGAAAGAGCCCAGCCTGGTCCAGGGCAGTGTCCCCGGGCAGATGGCTCCTGGAAACTCGGAATAAACAAGCTTCAGTGCGTGTCACTGCCTTGGGCCGGGTGACATAACGCACAGATGTGCAACCATAGGACTCAGGGACTGCGGGGCTAAGTGAGTAATAGCAGCTGTGGAGGACGGTCTTGAGGCTGGAAACTGACAGACTGCAGAGGGGCCCTTAGCCAGCACCTTTAGAGACTTCCCCCAGCAGGAGGAAGTTGGGAGTGTTTTCCCTAAGTGAGGAGCGGTGGTGCGTGCCTGTAATCCCAGCTACTTGGGAGGCTGAGGCATGGAGGATTGCTTTAGCCCAGGAGTTCAAGACCAGCCTGGGCAACATAGCAAGACCCTATATCAAAACATAAATAAAGCTTTTTAAAATTTTTGCTGGCCTTTGCTGGCCCACTTCTCTTGCAATAACAAGGTCTGAATAAGCAGGCTTTGCTTGTTCTCTTTGGGGTGGTCTTCATTTATCAACACAATCCATGCGAAGTTTTTTTGTTTTTGTTTTTGTTTTGAGACAGAGTTTCTCTCTTGTTGCCCAGGCTGGAGTGCAATGGTGTGATCTCGGCTCACTGCAACCTCCGCCTCCTGGGTTCAAGCGGTTCTCCTGCCTCAGCCTCCCAATTACCTGGGATTACAGGCATGAGCCACCACACCCGGCTAAGTTTGTATTTTTAGTAGAGAAGGGGTTTCTCCATGTTGGTCAGTCTGGTCTCGAACTCCCAACCTCAGGTGATCTGCCAGCCTCCACCTCCCAAAGTGCTGTGATTACAGGCGTGAGCCACAACACCCGGCCTCATGCAGTTTTAAGCTTAAGCTTCTCTCGTAACAATCCTCAGCCATGTCAGCTTTCCTTCACACAGCAGGGGAGGCCTTGTTATCTTCCCTTGGGAAATCCGGGGAGGCTGCATAGAAAAAGCCCCCATGCATCTTGGAAACCCCCAACGAGGGGAAGTCCCCCTATCACCTGGCAGCAGAGAGCTACTATGGCCTTCCTTTACCACTGGGCTGTTTCCACTAGCACTGTACCAAGCCAGAGGGAAGTACCGGAGCTTCCTCCAAGACCGATATACCCCAAGGTGGGGAGAACTGGATAAAGGCAAAGTCCATGCAGTTGAAAGTAAGGGTGTGGCCACCGGCGTGATAGCCTTAGCTGGTATCTCCGTGGTGATGCAATTCCCAGCCTGTGCCACCTGCCACCCTGTGCAGCCTCTGCTCTGCTAGGCAGAAAGGTCACAGCAACATCCAATCATTTCAGCAGAAGCGGTTTGGGTTTAAGTTTCTTTTATTAGTCCCCAAAGCAGCACATGCCTGTTGCAGAAAAATTCAGAAAAGGGAAGAAAAAAGTCCCACGGATTCCCCCCACCCAAAGCCCACCACAGTTACCAGTTTTTTTGAGACAAGGTCTCACTTTTTCACCGAGGCTGGACTGTAGTGGTACGATCTTGGCTCACTACAACCTCCGCCTCCCGGGTTCAAGCGATTCTCCTGCATCAGCCTCCTGAGTAGCTGGGATTACGGGCATGTGCCACCATGCCTGGCTAGCTTTTTGTGTTTTTAGTAGAGACAGGGTTTCATCATGTTGCCCAGGCTGGTCTCCAACTCTGGGGCTCAGGCAATCCTCCTGCCTTGGCCTCCCAAAGTGCTGGGATTACAGGCATGAGCCACCACAACTGGCCCACAATTTTAAAAATAAAATAAAATAAAATGGGATCTTGCTCTGTTGCCCAGGCTGGAGTGCAATGGTATGATCATAACTCACTATAGCCTCCAACTCGTGGGCTCAAGTGATCCTCCCACCTCAGTCTCCCCACTCGCTGGGATGACAGGCATGAGGCACTAAGCTTGGCTCCATATCCGCAGTTTCATGAAGTGTATTTTCCTGGTGGGTGTAAATACGTAACTGTTTCCCCACATTATAACAAATGCCTTGTAAACAGCAGTTCAGACACTGCAAACATATCCCATCCTGTAGCTGTCCTATGGATTCTAAAATGAAAAATAAAAAAATAAAAATAGGCCAGGCGTGGTGCCCAGAGCCTGTAATCCCAGCGCTTTGGGAGGCCGAGGTGGGAGGATCACTTGAGGCCAGGATTTCGAGACCAGCCTGGGCAACATAGAAAGCCTCTGTCTCTACCCCTGAAAAAGTAAAATAATAAATAAACAAATAAATAAATAAATAAATAGTATACCAGAGAGATCGCCACCTGCAAAGCAGCCCAGGCCTCTCCCGTGGCTGGCCCATTGCAGGCCTCAGAGAATTCAGCTCTGGCTCGAAAATTATTCCCAACTCTCTCTTCCCATGAAAAATCCTCCCGTGAGGCTGCTGGTCACAGCCGGCGTCAGCAAGAAAATGACCAAATCAGCAGTTTCAGTGGAGACAAAAGGCCTGGGTGAGAGGTCGGCTGGGAGAACACCCCCTCCAGATCCCCCCGCCTGCCTCCCCACCCATCACGGAGGCCTGATGCCAGGGCAGGGGCCAAGGCCAGGACCCCAACCCTCACATCAGACAGCATCAGGTTCATCTACTGAAAGAAGCAGAAAAACTCGAACGCAAACTTTTTTTTTTTTTTTTTTTTGAGACAAAGTCTTGCTCTTGTTGCCCAGGCTGGAGTGCAATGGTGCGATCTCAGCTCACTGCAACCTCCGCCTCCCGGGTTCAAGTGATTCTCCTGCCTCAGCCTCCCAAGTAGTTGGGATTACAGGTGTGTGCCACCATGCCCGGCTAATTTTTTGTATTTTAAGTAGAGACGGAGTTTCACCATGTTGGCCAGGCTGGTCTCGAACTCCTGACCTTGTGATCCGCCCGCCTTGGCCTCCCAAAGTGCTGGGATTACAGGTGTGAGCCACTGTGCCCGGCCCCCCAAATGCAAACTGTAACAAGACAGAAGCCTGTCTTCTCTCATCTGGAGCAAGAACAAAAGGTGTCCCTCTCAGGTGACTTGCTCTTTGAAGCTCCACTCACCAGCGGCCAGGTAAGGTCTGTTGACCGCAGGCTGTTGCTCTGAATAATACTGGGGGCCATCAGTGAGGGAGGCAGTACCTGTGAAGGTTGGGGGCCCCTGCCTACCTCCTGAGGCACATGTGGGAGGCTAGATCTGCTGGGCAGGGGCTGGTGAGCTCAGGTACATCCCAGCAAGACCCATGTCACCTTGGCAAATCCCTGCCCCATCCCGTCCCGTCCCGTCCCATCCCATCCCATCCCTTCTGTTGCCCAGGCTGGAGTGTAGTGGTATGATCTCCACTCACTGCAACCTTCGCCTTCTGGGTTCAAGCCATTCTCAAGCTTCACCCTCCCGAGTAGCTGGGATTACAGGCATGTACCACCACACCCAGCTATTTTTTGCATCTTCTGTAGAGATGGGGTTTCATCACGTTGGCCAGGCTGGTCTCGCACTCCTGACCTCAGGTTATCTGCCCGCCACCACCTCCTAAAGTGCTGGGATTACAGGTGTGAGCCACTGTGCCTGGCTGGTTTATAACTGTTGATATACAGGTTATGCATCCCAGCCACAAGGAACAATTAGCTCCCTGTTTCCTGAACACTGCCCTCTCCACCCTGAGTCCCCTCCCTCCCTATGGGTTCACACCTCCTACAGAAGCCCAGTCTTTCTGGAGTTCACTCTGAACCTCCTCCCTTATTAGTCTCCAAGTCTGGCTCTCCACACCAACTGGGCACCCCCTCAGGGCTGACCCCATGCCCAGCCTCCATCATTACAGCATTGCATGTTCGCTGAACTGAATTGAAACACTCTCCCCAATTTACAGATGGGGAAACTGAGGTCAAAATGTTTAGGCCAGGCACGGTGGCTCACAGCTGTAATCCCAGCACTTTGGGAGGCTGAGGTGGGAAGATCATCTGAAGCCAAGAGTTTAAGACCAGCCTGGACCCCAACATAATGAGACCCCATCTCTATAAAAAACACAAAAAATTAGCCGGGCATGGTGCATGCCCGTAGTCCCAGCTACTCTGGAGGCTGAGGCAGGAGGATCATTTGAGCCTGGGAGTTTGAGGCTGCAGTGAGCTGTAATCACACCACTGCACTCCAGCCTGGGTGACAGAGTGAGACCCCTTCTCTAAAAAAAGGTTCACTCACTTCTCAAAGATTATGGATACCAAGACAGTTGAGGGGTGGTAATGTTAACTTAGTAAGTTCATTCATTCATTCAACAAATATTACTGGATGTCTACCCTCTGCCAAGCATTGCACTGGGTCCCTTAGGGGATAGGAACAAGATCGTATGTGGCACTTCTCTCCCGCAGAACAGTGGTCTCACCATACAGACCACAACCTCCCCCAACACCCACATTCCTGCACTCAAGGGAAAAGCAGGGACATTTAAGCTGTGCTTTGAAGGGGGAATATGATTTGTCAAACAGAGAAAGGGGGCAGGGCAGGACTGGTAGAACGGCCAGCTAGGTCAAAGGCATCCAGGCGAGCTTATCAAGGGGGGACAGAGGGAAACCAAGCCACAGAAGCCAACCGCAGCCTGGGCATGGACAGGGGCTGGGGCTTGGTCACTGTTTAGTTCCTGAGCTGTCACTTGGCATCTGCCTCTCCACGCAGGAGGGGACCTGGCAGCTGCCTCAACTCCTCTGAAATAGCAGTACATGCATCCTGTCCTGGGGAGGGTTCATTTGTATCTTGGAAGCTGATCACCATGAGATCCTTTTTTTTTTTTCTTTTGGGACGGAGTCTCGCTCTGTCACCCAGGCTGAAGGGCCGTGGCTTGATCATGACTCACTGCAGCCTCGACCTCCTGGGCTCCAGCGATCCTCCCACCCCAGCCTCCCCAGTAGCTGGGACCGCAGGCGCGCGCCCAGCTAATTTTTGTATTTTTTGTAGAGACGAAGGTTACGTTGCCCAGGTTGTTCTCGGACTCTTGGCCTCAGGCGATCTGCACGCCTTGGCTTCCTGAAGTGCTGGGATTACAGGCGTGAGACACTGCCCAGGCTATGAGATCCTTGATAACCATGAGACCCTGTGCCACAGTTCCCCACCCACGCTGGCCCCAACACAGACCTGAAGTTTTCGCCCCAGCTGCACTGTCCCCCTCCTCATCCTTTCTGTCCAGCGCCAACAGCATCTCACCTTCCCAAGCTGCCGTCCTTCCCAATGACCAGAGACATCTTTGCAAGCATAGCATGGCTGGAGGATGCGTTTCACCAAACGCGATGTAAGCACCACCAGGTGCCCAGCGCGGAGGTGGATGTGGGCGAACCCTGGACGCCCCACAAAGGACAGCTGCGGCCTGGGAAGGGAAGGAGATGGAGCGGGGAGAGGGGGAAGAGGTTGCTCCGCGTTTTCCGCCCGCCCGCCTGCTTTCCGCGAGGCACTGAGGCCTGAAAACCGCGAGGCCGCCCACGCGCGCCTGACCCGCCCCCCCCTCCCGCCCGCCCCAGGCCCCGCCCTCCCGCGCCCGCCCCTGCGCCGGCCCCTTTTGTTCCCTCCCGGAGCCGGGCCGCTGGCTCCGCTGGCTCCGCTGGCTCCGCGGGCGCTCAGCTCGGCTCGGCCGCGGGGCGCGCAGGCGGCTGCTGGGCGGCCTCGGTGCGCGCCTCCCGCCTTCCCAGAGACGTGGCGCGAGGCCCGGGCCCTGAGCACCTATCGCGGGGATCCCCGGCGCCAGGAGGGGGTGCAGCCGGTGGGCAGCGCCGCGCAGGGAGGGGCCGCAGCATCCTCGCCCCCCAGCGCGCCCGGGCCCGAGAGGAGGAGGCCGGGGCTCTCCGGGCCTCCCGCCGCTTAGCCTGATGCTGGAAGGACGAAGGTAGGGGCTGCTGGAGGGGCCGAGGGAGGGGGTCGCGCGGGCAACAAAGGACGGAGAGATGCGGGGGGCGGCGGCCTGGCCGAAAGCGGGGCTGCGGGCCCGGAGGCATTGTCGGGGCGTGGGCGGGGGCGGGAGGGTTCGAGGCCGGCCGGTGGGCGTGGGCGGGAGCTGGCTGGGGTGTGCCCCAACTTCCCCGTTGCTTGTAGGAGAGGAGGGGGCACTGCTTGGGGTGCCAGGGTTGGGGGCTATTCCCGGGCTGCGGGTCCCCCTGTTGAAGGCATCACCAGCCTCATCGGGGTCCCTACCCTCGGACGGGGGTTTGGCCCTTCTGTTGGAGGGTCGCCCGTACCCCCTTCCAAGGGCAGAGCAAGACGGCTGGACGCGCCGCAGGGCTCTCTGGGCTCACAGAGCCTGGGGAGCACAGCCTGGTGGGCGCGGCCATGCAGCCCCCATCTCCAAACCTGGGGTCTGGGAGAACAGGGACTGCCCCCCTCTCCTCCCTGCTACACCCTCTGGGGTCGCCTGGCCGATGGCCTTTGCAAAACTTGGTTGAAGTGCTTGGCTGAGGTGGGGTAGGAGGAGATTGAGGCGGGCGGCTTCTCTCAGGGGGTGTCCCCCCAAGCTGGCGCTGGTGGCTGGTGAGGCAGCAGATTTTCTGCCCTCCTCCCGGGGAGGGGCGGCGGCCGCGGAGGATGCTTGGCTGAACCTTCAGGGCCCGCCCGTTTGGACCTTTCAGGCAGAGCTTGGGCCGAGCGGGTGCCCACTGGGCACTGCCACGCAGGCCCCAGCCCCACCCTGGGAAGGACGGGCAGAGGGAGCACCTTGGGGGGAAATCACCCACCCAGCAGTGTGTCCCCCAACGTCTGAGACCCCTCCTCTCACTTCTGGGTGAGAAGTGGGGGTCTGGGATGAGGGGGTCTGCCGTCACTCTTGCGCGATGCCTGAGGGAGGTGGGTGGGGTGGCCTAGGGCTGTGGGCAGAGGAGGAGGAGGGTGCGGGGAGCACCACGTGTGTGCTTCAGAAGCCTCTTCCCTTTCGGTTGTAAATGTAAACAATAAGCCCTTCATTCAGCTGCTGTTACCTGGCCTGGCACTTCTAGGGGCTGGCTGGTCCACAGGACAGCAGCCTCGGTGTCCCCAAAAAGTGCAGCCCCGGGGGTTGATGAGTGCATTAGTGGGGAAGCTGGGGGCATAGAGGGGGTCCCCTGGAGGATGGGGCAGACCAGGAAGCTTCATAGAGCATCTTGCAGAAGTTTGCTGCCAGGTTGCCTGAAGGGGGTTTCGTGCAGGAGAAATAGCGTGAATAAGGGCTTGGAGTCAGAAAAGGAGGCTATTGGGTTAGAGAAACAGCTTAGGATTTAAGGAACTTAGACCTGCGTTGAGCACAGGATGCATTCTTGTCTGCAGTGCCTTGCGGGGGAATGATGGGATTCTGGCTTCAGGACAGGTGGAGGCGGTGGAGATGGAGAGGGGCTCCAAAGGCAGAAGAGGCAGGTGGAGGCGCCTGGGAGGAGCCTCCTCCACACACACCTGTGTGCACCTGCAAACTCCAGCCCTCAGCACCGTGCAGGCTGGGAAGGTGGTGCCTGGAATTCTGCACTCAGAGCCCAAAGTCCCAGCAGGGGGAATTTACTCCAAGGAGCAGTAATCGCTTTCCGGCATCTGCTGTCTACCTTGGCGGTGAAGAGTTCAGATGCTGGAGCTTAACAGCCCGGGTTCAAATCCCAGCTCTGCCACTCCCTAGCTATGTGACCTTGCACATTGCATCTCTCTCTGCCTCGACATCCTCATCTGTAAAATTGGGATCCTTATGGTATCTGGCTTTTAGGGTTGTTAGGAGAACTGTGTGCCCTGTGACAGAGTAGATGTCCTATAAGTGTTGTTGCTGCCGTACAGAGTGGCTTCCTGGCCCCACTCACACACGTTTCAGGGAGAGGAGGCTCGTGCCCCTTCCAGGCTGTTTGTCCTTCTTCAGCACCCTTGCTGGTTAGCCCTGACCCGGCACCTGCTGTTCTCTGCCTCACTGCAGCCTCCTCCCTGGTCCTGCCTCCCTTGGTGATAGAAAGGCCATCTCCCCACAGCCCCAGTTGTCCCTGCTCCCCACCTGGCAGGCCTGCCCACGTGTGGTCCCCCAGTTCCCTCTTGGCCTCCCCTCCTGGCCCTGCCACCCTGACAGTTGATCCTGCCCTCTTTTTTTTTTTTTTTTTTGAAATGGAGTTTCACTCTTGTTGCCCAGACTTGAGTGCAATGGCGCGATCTTGGCTCACTGTAACCTCTGCCTCCTGGGTTCAAGCAATTCTGCCTCAGCCTCCCAAGTAGTTGGGATTACAGGCATGTGCCACCATGTCCGGCTAATTTTAGTATTTTTAGTAGAGACGGGGTTTCACCATGTTGGCCAGGCTGGTTTTGAACTCCTGACCTCAGGTGATCCACCTGCCTCAGGCTCCCAAAGTGCTGGTATTACAGGCGTGAGCCACTGCACCCAGCCAGTTCTGCCCTCTTGACACCACCTGCTCTACCTCCACTTCCATACACAGGGGAGGGAAGCTGCATTTGTGACCCTCAGATTCCCTGCTCATTGGTTCTTGTGAGAACTTCAGCTTTTGTGCAGGTTGAAAAAAAAAGTATATATTAAGTGCTTACTTTGTGGAGAATTGTTCTGAGCTTTTTTGAGACAGCATCTTGCTCTGTCGCCCAGGCTGGAGTGCAGTGGTGCCACCTCGGCTCACTGCAACCTCCACCTCCCAGATTCAAGTGATTCTCCTGCCTCAGCTTCTCGAATAGCTGGGACTACAGGCCCATGCCACCAAGACTGGCTAATTTTTTGTAGTTTTAGTAGAGGCAGGGTTTCACCATGTTGATCAAGCTGGTCTCAAACTCCTGACCTCAAGTGATCCGCCCACCTTGACCTCCCAAATTGCTGGGATTACAGGCGTGAGCCACCACGCCTGGCCTGGTTCTGAGCTCTTTAAATTCATTCCTTCATTTGTGGATATTTTAATAAGGTTGCCTACATTTTACAGATAAGAATATCCTGGCACAAAGAGGTGGCTGTGTCTGCCCTTGATGGATTTGCTAAGCACCTACTGTATGCCTGGGAGGCATGCTTCCTTCGGCCACACCATTCTACCCACCCTCTTCGGGTTCATGTCCCTGAACAATTATGATTCTGCCTTCTCAGACACCTATCCCTTTTGCTCAGGTGCAAAGTCCAAACACGCTATCTAGCTTTTAGGGTCCGCCCCCAGTTGGCTGTATCTTTCCACTGCAGCTCTCCCCATGCTCCCAGGCTGGGCACACCCAGGCTTGCCTCACCTAAGGCTGACGTGGCCCCTTTAATAAACTGTGAGGAGTGGGCATGGTTTGAGGAGCAGGGCTGGCTTTGAGGGTGGTGTGGGGGTGCCCTCCGATCCCATACCTTTGGGATTATTTTGTTGCAAGGAACAGGAACCTGCTTCAATTAGGTTAAGTGAAAAGGGACTTAAGAGTGGAGAACAGAGAACTTGTGCAGCAAACAATTGGAGGCGACCTGGCCCCCCGGGACCCCGGAAGCTGGCAGGCAGCTCCTCCTCTGGCTTTCCTCTCTGTGGACTGCGGTTTCATTTTTTCGGCCTCTCTCAGCGCATCTGTCCCGTCTCCTTCTCCTTTCCCCTACAGGCTCCGTCTCCTTGGGTTGTGAGTGTGGCTGTGTTGAATGGGGCTGTAGCCTGAGTCCACGGGACCTCCCAGTGGGGGTCTCCTTCATCTTGGGGTGCAGAGAGACACTGATTGGTCCAGCCTGGATGAGGAAGCCCACCCGCCTCTGCTCGGCTAGTGGGGGGGCAGGTCACGTGGTCTCTGGGGCTGGCACAGTTGGGATAATTGGTTGGCTGCATTGATGATGAAGGTTGTGTGTTAGGTGAGGACCAGCAAATCTGGGCATTCAGGGAGTTCATGAGCTGATGGGGGAGGCAGACCCGTGGTCAATTAGCCATTGTGCCACAGGATGTGGGACTTGCAGCATGATTTGTTGAAAGAAACCAGAGTGCACTGATCAGGCCAGTGTGGGGAGGAGAGGACAGGTGGGATGGCCAGGGCTGCCTGCCACTGGCTTCCCCCAGCCCTGCCCCGGGACAGGAGGAGGCTCTCTCCTTTCAGGACCTGGAGATTTGGGTCCAACCGGCAGCGTGGGACTCGGGCTTTTTTTTTGTTTTTTTTTTTGAGATGGAGTTTCGCTCTTGTTGCCCAGGCTGGAGTGCAGTGGCATGATCTCAGCTCACCACAACCTCTGCCTCCCGGGTTCAAGTGATTCTCCTGCCTCAGCCTCCTGAGTAGCTGGGATTACAGGCACGCGCCACCACGCCTGGCTAATTTTTGTAGTTTTAGTAGAGATGGGGTTTCACCATGTTGGCCAGGCTGGTTTCGAACTCCTGACCTCAAGTGATCTGCCCGCCTTGGCCTCCCAAAAGATAAGGAGTTCAAGACCTAGTATTACAGGCGTGAGCCACTGCGCCCAGCCAGAGCCTCCTATCCTGGCTCTTCTCACTGGGCTGCAAGGCTAGGGCCGTCACAACAGAACCAGTAATACAAAACTCATGTTTGCAGAGGAAATGCTTCAAAATGTTAATGAAACGTTTCCCTTCTGAATAGAAGGCAGAACAGGCCAGATGGTTTTTATTAACGAGGCCTGAATTTAGGACCTTCTCTACTTAACGGCTTCTGTCTTGATGGAGCGTTTCTTGCTCCATGGCTGGGATCATACCTTCCACTCTAGCCTGAGCCCTGAGCGACACCCGCTCCCGATTCATTTCCCTCCTTTGCCTTTTTGGTCCCTTGGGATGAGAGGGCGGAATTTCCGGCTCACCAGGAGGAGCGCCTGGTTTTTCAGCGTCACCCCCGTCACCCTGAGGTCTCAAGCTGGTCTGCCCTTGCCTGTAGCTAAACCTGGCTGATGCTGCCCTAGCTCCTTTTGGGGGTGCTCCAGCCCCTGCCCACCTCACAATGTGCAGCATTGAGCTTCCACAAGCTTTTACTAAATTGGGAAGACATCCGCCCTGCTTCCTGACAATGTAAACAATATCAGCCCTTTCCAGAAACATTTCAAGGCCAGACACTTTGATGCCTAGTGGAGCTGTTGGCTGGGCAACGGCTGCATATTGATCTGAAGGTTATGCAGGGAGGCTGGGCTCTGGTGTGGTGGGTGGGGTAGTCTGAAGGGCTTCCTGGAGGAATAGAACTGGGGCTAGGTTTTGTTTTGTTTTGTTTTGAGACAGGGCCTGGCTCTGTCACCCAGGCTGGAGTGCAGTGGCGTGATCTCGGCTCACTGCAGCTTTGACCTCCCAGGCTCAAGCCATCATCCCACCTTAGTTAGCCTCTATTAGCTGTGATTACAAGTGCATGTCACCATGCCCAGCTAATTTTTATATTTTTTTGTAGACAGGGTTTCACCGTGTTGCCCAGGGTGGTCTCAAACCCCTGAGATCAAGCGATCCTCCCACCTTGGCCTCCCAAAGTGCTAGGATTATAGGTGTGAGCCACTGCACCCAGCTGGGGCTGAGTTTTGAAGCATAGGTGGGCTTGAGGCAGTTAAGGAGGGCATTCATGATGGGGGCAAAGGGAGAAAAGTTGAGAAGCTGGGGCAGCAGGGAGTAGAGTGTCTGTCTAGGGGCTCAGTGAAAAACTCACCATTCTCCCACATTGAGTGTGAAGTTGGGGGAGTTATACTGGCGGCGGGGAGAAGTAACGTTGGATGTCTGGGTTTTTTGCCACCTCGTACCTTTCTACTTCGCTAGCCTGTTCCCTTTTGTAATGTAGGCTGTTCCCTGCACAAATCCATTCATTTGTTTCTTTACTTTGCTCATGTTCAGCTTCTTTGGAGCCAGGGGCCACAGAGGAGAGGGAAGACATCTGAAAGGGGCTTGTGTGTTCTTCATCTGATTCCAGAAAGGACTTGAGGTGATTTACAAAGATAAACGCAGTATAACCAGATTAAAAGTAAATGAGAAAATTAGGCCAGGCATCAGGGCTCACGCCTGTAATCCCAGCACTTTGGGAGGGCAAGGAGGGAGAATCACTTGAGCCTAGGAGTTTGAGAGCAGCGTGGGCAACAGAGCCAGACTTCATCTCTACAGAAAATTAAAAAATTAGCTGGGTGTGGTCCCAGCTACTCTGGATGCTGAGGCAGGAGGATCTCTTGAACCCAGGAGTTTGAGTCTGCAATGAGCTATGATCGTGCCACTGCACTCCAGCCTGGATGACAGAGTGAAACCCTGTCTCCAAAAAAAAAAAAAAAAAAAAGCGTTTTTATAGAGATAATCAAGTTCAAATGAGGTCATTTGGGCCCTCATCTAATATGACTGGTGTCCTCATCCAATATGACCATTGTCCTTGTAAGAAAAGGACATTTGGACACAGGCATGTTCAGAGGGAAGACCACAGGAGGAACCAGGGAGAAGACAGCCATCTACACGCCAAGGAGAGAGGCCTCCGAAAAAAACAACCCTGCTGTGCCCAGCACGGTGGCTCAAGCCTCACGTCTGTAATCCCAACACTTTGGGAGGCTGAGGCAGGCAGATCACCTGAGATAAGGAGTTCAAGACCAGCCTGGCCAACATGGTGAAACTCTTGTCTTTACTAAAAATACAAAAATTAGCCAGATGTAGTGGCATGCACCTGTAATCCCAGCTACTCGGGAGGCTGAGGCAGGAGAATCACTTGAACCTGGGAGGCAGAGGCTGCAGTGAGCTGGGATTGCCACACCACACTCCAGCCTGAGCAACAGAGCGACACTAAGAGGGCCGAGCACGGTGGCTCACGCCTGTAATCCCAGCACTTTGGGAGGCTGAGGCAGGCAGATCATGAGGTCAGGAGTTCAAGACCAGTCTGGCCAATGTGGTGAAACCCTGTTTCTACTAAAAAGATAAAAAATTAGCCGGGTGTGGTGGTGTGCACCTATAGTCCCAGCTACTCGGGAGGCTGAGGCAGGAGAATTGCTTGAACCCGGGAGGCAGAGGTTGCAGTAAGCTGAGATCGCGTCACTGCACTCCAGCCTGGGTGACAGAGTAAGATTTTGTCTCAAAAAAAAAAAAAAAAAGAGAAAAGAAAAAGAAACCAACCCTGCTGATACCTTGGCCTTGGACTTCCAGCCTCCATAGCTGTGAACGCTACATCTCTGTTGTTTAAGCCACCTAGTCTGTGGTCCTTTGTAATGACAGCCATAGCAGACTAATATAGTCCCTAAGACCAGCATTTGTTCCCTTGCAGACACCATCGTCCCCAGTTACTTGCTGATCAGCAGTGGGTCGCCTTTCTGACACAGGTATCTGGGCTCCTGGCTTGCTGCTTTCTCCTTGGAGTCTGTGTCCTCAGTCAGCTTGGGCCTGGGGTGCAGGGGAAGAGATGCATCTGTACAGCTGCGGAATCCTGGTGTAAGCTCAAGAGAGCCTCTAAGGGCAGCTGTCCCAACAAGAGCAGGGACCAGCTGGGTGTGGTGGCTCACACCTGTAATCCTAGCACTTTGGGAGGCCAAGGCAGGAGGATTGCTTGAGCTCAGGAGCTTGAGACCAGCCTGGGCAACCTAGCAAGGGCCCATGTCTACAAAAAATAAGAAAGAAATAACTGGGCTTGGTGGCGCCTGCCTGTAGTGCCACTGGGGTGGGAGGAGCTGAGGCAGGAGGATTGCTTGAGCCTGGGAAGTTGAGGTTGCAGTGAGCCATGATTGTGCTACCACCCTCCAGCCTGGGGGACAGAGCAAGATCCTGTCTCAAAAAAAAACCCAAAAAACCGAATAAGAAAACAAAAGCAGGGCCCCCCCTTTGAGAGGAAGCCTCAGCCTCTGTCTACTTGAACCCCTCCAGTGATGGGGGGCTCACTGCCTGTTCCTTTGTTTGTGGGACCTACCCCTGGGAACACTCCATGCCTTGCGTGCTTAGGGGACCAGCCTTTCCAGCACGACCTGTCAGTTGGAATGTTGATCTGCTTCTCTCTGTCCTTCCCAGAGATAGCTCCAAGCAGGCTGGGTGAATGTGGCTATGGGGTGTGAACAAGGCACTGTAAGAATCCAACTCGATGGGAGGAGGACGAGAGTAGCGGAGGAGGGCATTTTTTTCTTTTTTTTTTGAGATGGAGTCTCGTTCTGTCACCCAGGCTGGAGTGCAGTCGTGCCATCTTGGATCACTGCAACCTCCACCTCCAGGGCTCAAGCGATCCAGAGGAGGGCACTTTAATGCATTCATATATTCACTAAACATGTATTTTTGAGCTCCTCTATGGTCTGGGTGCTGTCCTAGGTACCGAGAACCCAGCAATGAACAAGATATGCAAAGATCTTGCCCTCCTAAAGCTGCACCCACGGTCCGGTGCAGTGCCCACGCTTGCAATCTCAGCGCTTTGGGAGGCCGAGGCAGGAGGATCACTTGAGCCTAGGAGTTCGAGACCAACCTGGGCAACATAGTGAGATCCTGTCTCTTCTTTTATTTATTTACTTTTTTTTGAGACACAGTTTCACTCTGTTGCCCAGGCTGGAGTGCAGTAGCGTGATCTAAGCTCACTGTGATCTCCACCTTCTGGGTTCAAGCAATTCTCATGCCTCAGCCTCTCCAGTAGCTGGGATTACAGGTGCCTACCACCACACCCTGCTAATTGGTTTTTTTTTTTTTTTTTTTGTATTTTTAGTAGAGACAGGGTTTTGCAGTGTTGGTCAGGCTGGTCTTGAACTCCTGATCTCAGCTGATCCACCCAGCTCGGCCTCTGCAAGTGCTGGGATTACAGGCATGAGCCACCACACCTGGCCCCTGTCTCTATTTTTATTTATTTTATTTTATTTTATTTTATTGAGACAGAGTTTCACTCTGCTGTCCAGGTTGGAGTGCAGTGGCGTGGCGTGATCTCGGCTCACTGCGGCCTCCGCCTCCTGGGTTCAGGCGATTCTCCTGCCTCAGCCTCCCAAGTAGCTGGGACTACAGGCACGTGCCACCACACCCAGCTAATTTTTTGTACTTTTAGTAGAAATGGGATTTCACCATGTTGGCCAGGCTGGTCTCAAACTCCTGACCTCAGGTGATTGTCACCGCCAGCCTCGGCCTCCCAAAGTGCTGGGATTACAGATGTGAGCCACTGTGCCCAGTCTGTTTCTATTTTTAAAAAACGTTTAAGTAAAAAAGTTGCGCCCAGTGAGAGGAAGGGCATTCTAGGAACCCGGCATGGCACGTGCAAAAGCCTGGACGTGTGACCTAGTGGATATGAATGTGGGTGGGTGTCTGTGGCTTTCAGCCAGAATTTGATGACTAACATGCAGTTCCCTTTCTGGAAGCAACAAAAGAAAAAACACTGATGTTGAGGCCAGGTATGGTGGCTCACACCTGTAATCCCAGCACTTTGGGAGGCTAAGGCAGGATGATCACTTGAGCCCAGGAGTTGGAGACCAGCCTGGGCACCTTGGCAAAACCCTGTCTCTATAAAAAATACAAAAATTAGCCAGGTACAGTGTCTATAATCCCAGCTACTCAGGAGGCTGAGGTGGGAGGATTGCTTGACCCCAGGAGTTTGAGGCTGCAGTGAGCTGTGATTGTGCCACTGCATTCTAGCCTGGGCAACACAGCAAGACCCTGTCTAAAATAAATAAATAAATAAATAAATAAATAAATAAATAAATAAAGGCCCTGCCTTGAAGGCTTATTAGTGACTGTCCTAATCCCTGGGCCACCAAGTTCTGTTCCTCCTCCACTCTCCCCACCCATAGTAGTGTGCTGGGCTGCCCCTCAGGGGCATAGCAGGTGCTCATGGCCTGCTGGGTTCATCTTTTCTCCAAGCCACCACACCCTGGAGTGGACCCTGGTTTGCACCCTGTCGCCTCTGGCTGGGGCCGCTTATGCCACTCAGGGACCAGGCCTGAACCTCAGTGGGCTCAGCCTCTTCCCCAGCCCTTGCCTGCAGGAGAAGGTGTGGGAGTGAGAGCACCCTGGGGTGCTGACTCGAGGCCCTTCTTCTTCTTCTTTTTTTTTTTGAGACGGAGTTTCGCTCTTGTTGCCTAGGCTGGAGTGCAATGGTGTGATCTCGGCTCACCGCATCCTCCACCTTCCGGGTTCAAGCGATTCTCCTGCCTCAGCCTCCCAAGTAGCTAGATTACAGGCATGTGCCCCCATGCCCGGCTAATTTTGTATTTTTAGTAGAGACAGGGTTTCTCCATGTTGGTTAGGCTGGTCTCGAACTCCTGATCTCAGGTGATCCACCTGCCTTGGCCTCCCAAAGTGCTGGGATTGCAGGCATGAGCCACTCCACCCAGCTTTTTTTTTGGACGGAATTTTGCTCTTGTTGCCCAGGTTGGAGTGCAGTGGCACGATCTCAGCTCACTGCAACCTCCGCCTCCTGGGTTCAAGCGATCCTCCTGCCTCAGCCTCCCTGGTAGCTGGGAATTCAGGTATGCACCACCACACCTGGCTAATTTTTGTATTTTTAGTAGAGATGGGATTTTGCCAGTTTGGCCAGGCTGGTCTCGAACTCCTGACCTCAAATGATTCACCCGCCTTGGCCTCCCAAAGTGCTGGGATTACAGGCATGAGCCCCCACACCCAGCCTCTTCCCACCTTTTGTAGTCTCCAGCGTCTATTATTCCCCTCTGTATTTTCATGTATACCCACTGTTTAGCTCCCACTTAGAAGTGCAATCATGTGGTATTTGATTTTCCGAGTTGTTTTCTAGGGATAATGGCTCCCATCCATGTTGCTGAAAAAGACATGATTTCATTCTTTTTTTTTTTTTTTTGAGACGGAGTCTCGCTCTGTCGCCCAGGCTGGAGTGCAGTGGTGCCATCTCGGCTCATTGCAAACTCCGCCTCCCAGGTTCACGCCATTCTCCTGCCTCAGCCTCCCAAGTAGCTGGGACTACCGGCGCCCGCCACCACGCCCGGCTAATTTTTTTATATTTTTAGTAGAGACGGGTTTTCACCGTGTTAGCCAGGCTGGTCTTGATCTCCTGACCTCATGATCCACCCGCCTCGGCCTCCCAAAGTGCTGGGATTACAGGCGTGAGCCACCGTGCCCGGCCTGATTTCATTCTTTTTGATGGCTGAGTGGCATTCCGTGGTAGACATATACCGCATTTTCTTTATCCAGTCCTCCCTTGACGGACACATATGTTGATTCCATATCTTTGCTCTTGTGAATTGTGCTGTGATCAACATACCAGTGCTGGTATCCTTTGGATAGAATGAATCATTTTCCTTTGGGTAGATGGCAATTAGTAGGATTGCTGGATGGAAGGGCCATTCTATGTTCAGTTCTTTGAGAAATCTCTGCACCATTTCTCATAAAGGTTGTACTAATTTACATTCTTACCAACAGTGTATACGCGTTCCCTTTCCTCCACATCCTCTCCAACATGCATTGTTTTCAGGCTTTTGAATAATAGCCAGTCTTACTGGCTTAAGATGGTATCTCATTGTGATTTTAATTTGCATGTTCTGATGATCTGTGATGCTGGGCATTTTTTATATGGTTCTTGGCCGCTTGTATGTCTTCTTTTGTGTGCACTCTTTTTATGTCCGACTTCTTTCACTTGAGATTGTAATTGCAAGGTCCTTACACATCATTGCATGCAGTTGGCATTCATTCATTCTCATTGCTGTATGTTATTCTATTGTGTGAACAAACCACAACTTATTTACTTATTATTATTATTGTTATTATTATTGAGACGGAGTCTCGCTCTTGTTGCCAGGCTGCAGTGCAATAGCGTGATCTCGGCTCACTGCAACCTCCACCTCCAGGGTTCAAGTGATTCTCCTGCCTCAGCCTCCCGAGTAGCTGGGATTACAGGCACCCGCCACAATGCCCGGCTAATTTTTTTTTTTTTTGTATTTTTGGTAGAGACGGGGTTTCACCATGTTGGCCAGGCTGGTCTCAAACTCCTGACCTCAGGTGATCCGCCCACCTCCACCTCCCAAAGTGTTGGGATTACAGGCGTGAGCCACTGCGCCTGGCATTGTTTTTTGTTTGTTTGTTTTGTTTTTTTTGTTTTTTTGAGACAGAGTCTTGCTCTGTTGCTAAGACTGGAGTGCGCTGGCGTGATCTCGGCTCACTGCAGCCTCTATCTCCTGGGCTCAAGTGATCCTCCTGCCTCAGCCTCCCAAGTAGCTAGGATTACAGGTGCCCTCCACCACACCAGGCTAATTTTTGTATTTTTAGTAGAGATGGGGTTACACCATGTTGGCCAGGCTGGTCTCGAACTGCTGGCCTCAAGTGATCCACCCGCCTTGACCTCCCAAAGTGCTGGGATTACAGGCACGAGCCACCATGCCTGGCCTTATTGACTCATTCTAATGGTAATGGATGTGTGGGTTATTTTCAGCGTTGGACCTTTTTTTGTGGCTGGTGGTTCTGAGCATGCCAACTCTGTGTGTGTGTCTAGCTCCCGCGAGACAGACAGGCTGGGCGTTCCCAGGGCCCTGTGGTCCCTCAGGCTGTTGGCAGGGCAAGGAAGATGCCTCCTTTATTTTTTATTTTTTTTATTTTAAAAATTTTTTTGAAATAGAGTCTTACTCTGTCACCCAGGCTGGAGTGCAATGGCGCGATATCAGCTCACTGCAACCTCCGCCTCCCTGGTTCAAGCGATTCTCCTGCCTCAGCCTCCCAAGTAGCAGGGATTACAGGCGCACACCACCACGCCCAATTAATTTTTGTATTTTAGTAGAGATGGGGTTTCACCATGTTGGCCAGGCTGGTCTCGAACTCCTGACCACAGGTGTTCCACACACCTCAGCCTCCCACCAGGCCTGGCCAGAAGATGCCTCCTCTAAAACTGAGGAACCACAGCCCTGAGCTCGGACATAGTGAGAAAGGTAGCATGTGGGACCGGAACCCAGGCTTCTAGACTCAACCCTTGCTTGTCTCCCAGCTGCAGGTGCCAGAGAAGTTGGGGTTTGACTGGGGCACTTGGCCTGGGTCTGTCCTGCCCTGCTCAGCCCAGGAGCCCAGAGCCCTGCACTGTGTAAACCTGGTCCACACTATCCACTGTGGTCTTGC
Source organism: Homo sapiens (assembly GCF_000001405.40). Taxonomy (NCBI): domain Eukaryota; kingdom Metazoa; phylum Chordata; class Mammalia; order Primates; family Hominidae; genus Homo; species Homo sapiens. The sequence goes on from NC_000007.14 coordinate 74,302,732, forward strand.
CAGTTTCATCTCCCTCCCTCCTGTTTGAAGCCACGTGGGCTTGTGGAGCCTGGGTTCCAGCCCTGGATCTGCTGTGATGCTGGGGCAAGGCCCTATCCCCACGCTGGCTGTCAGCTGTCCCCACTATCTGGATGGCCGCCAGGCCAATGGGTGCTCTCAGGGCAGCTCGGGATTTATCCCCACCCCATTCTTCCTGGGGCTCCCTCGTACCTCTACTGCTGGCCAGCAGCTGTGTGTGTTGCCTGCACAGCTGGGGCTGCAGCTCCCCGCAGGCCTGGCAGAGAAGACTGACCAAGTATGGGTGGAGACAGCAGTACAGACAGCCGGGCACCCTCCCATCAGCTCTCCCAGGCCTGAGGGATAGTGGGTATAAGGCTCAGAGCTTCAGGTTCCGCCTCAGAGCCGGCAAGACTCACAGGGAAGGGGCCGTCCAGCCCTGCCCTCTTCTTGCCCTGGTCAGGGAGGATGTGGAGACTCTAGCTTCACCACTGGGTGACCTAAGTCAACCTTCTCAGATTCCCTGAGCCTTGGGCAAATGCAAACAAAGCTGTGTGGGATGGATGGGCAGTGGGGTCCGTGGAGCAGGTGAGGTGCCAGCCTGGAGTGGTGTTACACCCAAGACCCCCTGCTGGATTCTGCATGGTGCAGGATTGGGGTGGGACTGGCATTCTAGTGCATGTGTGGGCATTGGGGTGCTGGGTAGGGCTTGGGGAGCCCCCTTCATGCTCAGAGAAGGGCTCACCATTGGCTCAGAAAGCCTGGCCTGGCAGTGAGCATTTTGGGGTCCTCTCTGTTGGGGGCTTGCCTCTTGGTGGCTGTGCAGTGGAGATAATGTTTCCTTCTCCCTCCCCTTGTGTCTCTTATTTTTTTTTTTTTTTTTTTTAGAAATAGGGTCTTAGGTCAGGCGTGGTGGCTCACGCCTGTAATTCCACCACTTTGGGAGGTGAAGGCAGGCGGATCACCTGAGGTCAGGAGTTCGAGACCAGCCTGGCCAACATGGTGAAACCCCGTCTCTACTAAAAATACAAAAATTAGCCAGTTGTGGTGGTGCACTCCTGTGGGCTCAGCTACTTGGGAAGCTGAGGCACAAGAATCGCTTGAACTCAGCAGGCGGAGGTTGCAGTGAGCTGAGATCGTGCCACTGCACTCCAGAATGGGTGACAGAGTGAGACTCGGTCTCAAAAAAAAAAAAAAAAATAGAGTCTTGCTCTGTGGCCCAGGATGGGGTTCAGTGGCAGGATCACAGATCACAGCTCACTGCAGCCTCAAACTTCTGGACTCAAGCAATCCTCCCACCTTAGCCTCCTAAGTAGCTGGGACTACAGGTGTGTGTCACCATGCCTGGCTAATTTTTTTTTTTTAATAGGAGGTGAGGTCTCACTGTGTTGTCCAGGCTGGTCTCGAACTCCTGGCCTCAAATGATCTTGCCTTGGCATCCCAGAGTGCTAGGATTGCAGGCGTGAGCCACCGTACCTAGCCTATCTTTATTTTTCTTTTAAAAAAATGATTAAGAAGCCGGGCATGGTGGCTCATGCCTGTAATCCCAGCACTTTGGGAGGCCAAGGCAGGTGGATCACCTGAGGTCAGGAGTTCAAGACCAGCCTGGCCAACATAGTGAAACCTCATCTCTACAAAAATACAAAAATTAGCTGGGCATGATGGCAGATGCCTGTAATCCCAGCTACTCGGGAGGCTGAGGCCGGAGAATGGTTTGAACCCGGGAGGTGGAGGTTGCAGTGAGCCGAGATCACGCCATTGCACTCCAACCTGGGTGACAGAGGGAGACTCTGACAAAAAAACCTGGGCGACAGAGGGAGACTCTGACAAAAAAAAAAAAAAGTTTAAGAAATCTGTTAGATATTCAAAGGAGTAGACAGGATACATTGAACACCCATGTGCACCCCATAGGGCTAGGAAACAAACCTTAGAAATATAACAAAGGCTGGGCATGGTGGCTGATGCCTGTAATCCCAGCACTCTGGGAGGCTGAGCCAAGAGAATCACTTGAAGCCAGGAGTTCAAGACCAGCCTGGGCAACATAGTGAGATCCTCTCTTTACATAAATTAGCCGGATATGGTGGCATACACCTGTGGTCCCAACTACTCGGGAGGCTAAGGAAGGAGGATCACTTGAGCCCAGGAGTTCAAGGCTACAGTGAGCTATGATTGCATCACTACACTCTTGCCTGGGCAACAGAGGGAGACCCTGTCTCCAAAAATAAATAAATGAATGAATGAATAAATAAATAAATAAATAAAGTCCCCAGTTACCCCACCCCAGTCCCCTCCCACCACCAAACCACCCCTCCCTGCTCTTACAATGGAGTTCATCCTGTGGGTGGCTCCAGGGCAGGCAGGCCAATTGCCAGGGAGGACCCTCTAGGGGACCATCCATCCCTCCACTGTACACTTACGTTCCCTGTCCAGCCCAGGCACTGTGCCATCCGTGCCCACCCACCCACTGCTCTGCCCCCTCTCCAATACTTGGCATTGCCAGGCCTTTTGACTTGCCCATTGGATGGGGCACCCTGGGTTTGCATTTTCCTGTTCCTGGGGAGGCACAGCAGCTCTCTGTCTCTCAGCTGGTGGGTTGTGCAGCCTGGCCTCCCCCGCAAAGGCTGGTCCCATTCCTGCCCACCTGTCGTTGGGTTGCCCTCAGGTTTGTGCCCTGTGGTTGCTTTGAGTTCTCTGCTGCAGCCCCTACCTCCCCCCACCTCCCTCCCAGTGTCCCCTCTCTGTCCCAGATCAGGCCTCATTTTGTTTGTTGTTTGTTTGTTTTTGAGACGGAGTCTCACTTTGTCGCCCAGGCTGGAGTGCAATGGCACCATCTCAGCTCACTGCAATCTCTGCCTCCTGGGTTCAAGTGATTCTCCTGCCTCAGTCTCCCAAGTGGCTGGGATTACAGGCATGCGCCACCACGCCCAGCTAATTTTTCTATTTTTAGTAGAGATGGGGTTTCGCCATGTTGCCCAGGCTGGTCTTGAACTCCTGACCTCAGGTGATCCTCCTGTCTTGGCCTCCCAAAGTGCTGGGATTACAGACATGAGTCACCGCACCCGGTCACATTTTAGGGATCTGCTTCCATCTCAGCAGCCCCCAGCTGGCTTCTCTCCCTGCACCCCAACCCCCCCCCACCGCCCCTGCTGCCAGTTCACCATCATCCTCAGCTCCCAGAGCGGTCTTGCTGGTGTGCTTGTCTGATTGTGGGGGACCCCTGGCTTGGAGTCTCTCTGTGGCCCCTCATCCCCTCAGCCTGATTGCTGGGGCACGTCCAGGAGACCCTGCCTGTCTCTCATACTCTCTAGATCCCCTGCTGCCTTCCAGCCCCACCAGATCCTTGGGTGTTGGGTGGACCTGGCAGAGTGTGGTCAGTTTCCTTTGCGGGATCCCAGACCCTCTGCCCCGCAGGTGCTGCCTGCCCAGGCTCCCGGTTACGGGTCCCTTGCTCCTCCGAGAGGTGCTGTTGTGCCTGGTGCCCTAGGGCTTGTGGCATGTGGGCAGGGGCTGTGCTGAGCCTACCTCTGGGGCCTGATTGTGGGGACTGCGGGTTACACCTCAGGAAGTGTGGGCATGAGCACCCCAGCTGCTGGGACCCCCGAGGGCCCTGGAGAGAGTGGGCTCTGGTGAAGGCTGGATGTGACCCACCCCAGCCAGCAGCAGTGTCCCTGCCAAGCACCTGCCCCTCCGGGAGAGAGCCACGTCCGGGGTCTCTGCAGGCGTGCCCGCTTCCTGGCTCCTGCCTCCCTCGCCCCAGGATGAGGCTGGCCCGCCAAACCAAGATGGGCTTTCCACTGCTCTATTTGGCACCCGTCCCCCTCCGCCGGGGCCCTGATTGGCAGAGTTCCGAGGCTGCAGCCCGCCACCCCCGGGCAGCTGAAATGGAAGGCGTGAAATGCAGCCGGGGCTTGTCTCTGGGAAACGGCATCGGAGGGTGGCACAAAAGGGGGACTGTTGGTCTGAATGCCACCCCGCCCTCGCCTGTCCGTCCTGTGCACCAGGGCCTCCAGAGAGTAGTGACAGTCCCCTTCCCGAGCAGCCGGGCATACTCCTGGGGTGTCTTCTCTGCCTCACTCCCAGGAGGTGGTGACACTTGTACCCCATTTTACAGGTAATGAAACTGAGGCTCTCTCTGGGCCAAGGGCTCACAGCCACTCGGAGAAAGTCTGGGGTTTGGAGCTGGGACTGCCCCAGGCTTCCCCGCCTCCCACGTCGGCCACAGTGTGGCCAGAGGCCAATTTATCATCAAGTCCCAGCGTTTTCCAAGAATCCCTCTCTCTTCCTCTGTCCCACCAGCACAGCTGAGTCACACGAGGGCAGGTGGCCTCCCCCTTCTTCCTGTTCACTATTCTCCCCTCTCCCCTTCCGGGTGCTCCTCGGGGACAGGGGGGCTGCTCCCCCTCTGCACCCTTCTCCCCCTCCCACAGCAAGGGTGGCCGGGCCTGACTGAATGCCGCCTTGGTTCTCCTCTCCTGCCAGCTCTTTGGTTTCCTTTGTGAGCCGTGGCAGGCGGACGCTGTCCCCAGAGGCCAGGGGGCTCACAAATGTTATTCCAGGGCTGGGCTCGGCAGGATGGGAGGTAGGGAAGGGCCAGACCCGGGTCTGATTCCAGGACAGCCACTTAGCAGTGTGTGACTTTGAGTCCCCGAACTTCTCTGCACTCGGGAAGCTCCACCTGTCAGAGGACCTCTGCCTTGTGCAGGGGCTGGGGAGGACATGAGGCCACATTCGTGCAATGCCTGGTAGACAGTAGGTTCGTTTTTTTGTTTTTGGTTTTGTTTTGTTTGAGTGTCGATCTGTCGCCCAGGCTGGAGTGCAATGGCACCATCTCGGCTCACCACAACCTCCGCCTCCTGGGTTCAAGTGATTCTCCTGCCTCAGCCTCCCTAGTAGCTGGGACTACAGGTGCCCACCACCATGCCTGGCTAATTTTTTTGTATTTTTAGTAGAGACAGGGTTTCACTCTGTTGGCCAGGCTGGTCTCAAACTCCTGACCTTGTGATCTGCCCGCCTCAGCCTCCCAAAGTTCTGGGATTACAGGCATGAGCCACCGTGCCCGGCAACAGTAGGTTCTTCATACTGGAGGCTGCTGGGGGGTGGTTCAGGAGGGCTGGAGGTTAATTTTGGGAGCGTTCCCTGGGAGTAGTGTTTCTGGGGATTTGTGTCCTCTGGGCGGCTGTAGGTGTGTTGTCGTGGGAATTCCAGATCATGGCTCTGTGCCAGGCACCATGGCTCAGGCTGGGTTCCCAGAGAGGAGAGACTATGGCCCTGCCTGAAGTTGCCTGTAAGCTCCCAGGTGGCATGACGAAGACAGACAAGAACAGCATACTCTCTCCTCCTTGGCTCCACATGTGATCCTGAGGTCTCTGTGGGCCGAAGGTCCTGAGAGACTTCCTGGAGGAGGTGGCATCAGGCTAGGTGTCAGTAGGTAATGCAAATAGGAGAAGTGAAGCAGGTGGGAGAAAAGACACAGGTGGCCTCTGGGAGGTGGGACAGTGTCAGGCGGGTGGTAAGGACTGCAGGGTCATCTGCAGGAGCCTCCAGTGCCAGGGACAGGGTTCTCACGCCTGATCTCTGCCTCAGAGGGGATGCTGGCTGGTTGGGAGGCCAGACCGGCTGTGTGATGACCTGTGGTGTCTGACCAGCTGGGCTGATCACCACAAGCCACTCAGACCTGAGTGCTATGTCCTAAGGAGGTGAGAATGGTGTCCTGGACTTCTCACCTCTTGGGTAAGTATCATTCATTCATTCATTCATAATCTAGTTTGTTTATTTATTTATATTTATTTATTTTGAGATGGAGTCTCGCTTTGTTGCCCAGGCTGGAGCATGGTGGTGCGATGTCAGCTCACTGCAACCTCCGCCTTCCGGGTTCAAGCGATTCTCCTGCCTCCACCTCCCAAGTAGCTGGAACTACAGGTGTGTGCCACCACGCCCAGCTAATTTTTGTATTTTTAGTAGAGACAGGGTTTCACCACGTTGGCCGGGCTGGTCTCAAACTCCTGACCTTCAGTGATCTGCCTGCCTCGGCCGTCTTTTCATGTGCTTATGGGCTGTTTATATATCTTCTTTGGTGAAATGTGTATTCAAAGTGCTGAGATTACAGGCGTGAGCCACCATGCCCGGCCCTTTTTAAAAAATTTTTTTAACTTTTTTAGAGACAGGGTCTCACTCTGTCACCCAGGCTGGAGTGTGGTAGTGTGATCACAGCTCACTGCAGCCTCAACCTCCTGGGCTGAAGCAATCCTCTCACCTTAGCCTCCCCAGTAGCTCGGACTACAGGCATGCACCACCACACCTGGCTACATTTTGTATTATTTTGTAGAGATAGATTTTCGCCATGTTGCCCAGGCTGGTCTCAAACTCCTGAGCTCCAGCAATTCACCCACCTCGGCCTCCCAAAGTGCTGGGATTACAGGTATAAGCCACTATGCCCGGCCTCTCCCATCTTAAGTGTATGGTTTGGGCCCAGCATAGTGGCTCACACCTGTAATCCCAGCACTTGGGGAGGCCAATGCAGGTGGGTCACCTGAGGTCAGGAGTTTGAGACCAACCTAGCCAACATGATGAAACCCCGTCTCTACTAAAAATTAATTGTATGGTTTGATGACTTCTAGTATAAACATAGAGTTGTGCAACTATCACCACACCCCAGTTTTAGGACATTTCTACTACCCAGAAAGTTCTCTGTGCCCATTTGCAGCCAATCTGTGTTTCCAGGCCCAGGCAACCACTAATCTGCATTCTGTGTATACGGTTTTGAAATTTCATATGAACGGATTCATACAATATGGAGTCCTTCGTGTCTAGTTTCTTCTACTTAGCAAAATGTTTTAAACATTCATCCGGCCGGGCGTGGTGGCACACGCCTGTAATCCCAGCACTTTGGGAGGCTGAGGCGGGTGGATCACCTGAGGTCAGGAGTTCGAAACCAGCCTGGTCAACATAGTGAAACCCTGTCTCTACTAAAAATACAAAAATTAGCCGGGCGTGGTGGCACACACCTGTAGTTCCAGCTACTTGGGAGGTGGAGACAGGAGAATCGCTTGAACCCGGGAGAATCGCTTGAACCTGGGTGACAGAGCGAGACTCCATCTCAAAAAAAAAAAAAAAGCATTCATCTATGTTGCACATATCAGTAGTTCTTTATTGCTAAGAAGTATTCTATTATATAAATATACCACTTTGGGCCAGGCATGGTGGCTCATACCTTTAATCCCAGCACTTTGGGAGGCTGAGGTGGGGGGAATTGCTTGAGTCCAGGAGTTCAAGACCAGCTTGGGCAATATGGCAAGACCCTGTCTCTACAAAAAAAAAAAAAAAAAAAAAAAAAAAAAAAAAAAAAAAAAAGTTCAGCCAGGCGTGATGGCGCATGCCTGTAGTCCCCTACTGGGGAGGCTGAGGTGGGAGGATTCTTTGAGCCCAGGAGGTCGAGGCTGCAGTGAGCCATGATCATGCCACCACACTCCAGCCTGGGTGACAGAGACCTGTCTCTGTTCTAAAATAAAAATGAAGACTGGTCATGGCGGCTCAATCCTGTAATCTCAGCACTTTGGTAGGCTGAGGCAGGAGGATCCTTTCAGTCCAGGAGTTCGAGACTAGCTTTGGCAACATAGTGAGACTCCAGCTGCAAAAAATAAAAAGTTAGCTGGGCATGGTAGCACTCGCCTTTGGTCCCAGCTACCCAGGAAGCTGAGGTGGGAGGATCACTTGAGCCCAGGAACTTCCAGGCTGCAGTGAACCATGATTGCACCACTACACTCAGCCTGGGTGACAGAGTGAGACCCTGTCTCAAAAATAAAAATAAAATTAAAATGAAAAACAGCTGCCCTACTTTTGTTTGTACAGGCACTGGTTGATGGAGATTTTACTTTTGGGCTGTTATGAGTAAAGCTGGTATGAACACTTGTTTATAAAACTTTCTATGGACACATATTTTTGCTTCTCTTGGGTGGTTGGGTTATATGGGAGGTGTATTTTTAACTTTCTTTTTTTTTTTTTGAGACAAGGTCTCACTTTGTCATCCAGGCTAGAGTGCAGTGGCACAATCTTGGCTCACTGCAACCTCTGCCTCCTGGGTTCAAGCGATTCTTGTGCCTCAGCCTTCCAGGTAGTTGGGACCACAGGCACACGCCACCATGCCCTGCTAATTGTTTTTGGATTTTTGGTAGAGATGGGGTTTCGCCATGTTGCCCAGGCTGGTCTCCAACTCCTGGGCTCAAGCTATCTGCCTGCCTCGAGCTCCTATTTTTAACTTTTTTTTTTTTTTGAGACGGAGTCTTGCTCTGTTGCCCAGGCTGGAGTGCAGTGGTGCGATCTCAGCTCATTGCAAGCTCTGCCCCCTGGGTTCACGCCATTCTCCTGCCTCAGCCTCCCGAGTAGCTGGGACTACAGGTGTCTGCCACCACGCTCGGCTAATTTTTTGTATTTTTAGTAGAGATGGGGTTTCACTGTGTTAGCCAGAATGGTCTCGATTTCCTGAACTCGTGATCTGCCCGCGTCAGCCTCCCAAAGTGCCGGGATTACAGGCATGAGCCACTGCACTCGGCCACTATTTTTAACTTTTTAAGAAACTGCCCAACTGTTTTCCGAAGTGATTGTACCATTTTTTATTTCCACCAACACTACGAGCATTTCAGTTGTTCTGCATCCTCATCAGCACTTGGTATTGTCAGCTTTTCAAATTTTTAGCCATTTCCCTTGATGGGAAGTGGTATCTCTTGTTTTGATCTGTATTGCCTGGATGAGTAATGATGTTAGTCATCTTTTCATGTGCTTATGGGCTGTTTGTATATCTTCTTCGGTGAAATGTATATTCAAACCTTTCACCCATTTTTAATTGGGTTGTTGTCTTCTTAGCAAGTTGCAGAGTTCATTATGTTTCCTGAATACCAGCCCTGGCTGGGCGTGGTGGCTCACACCTGTAACCCCAGCACTTCCAGAGGCAGAGGCAGGAGGATTGCTTGAGCCCAGGAGTTTGAGACCAGCCTGGGCAATGTAGCTAGACCCAGTCTCTACAAAAAATAAAAAACAATTAGCCAGGCATGGTAGGGTGCACCTGTAGTCCTAGCTATCCAGGAGGCTGAGACGGGAGGATTGCTTGAGCCCAGGAGTTGGAGGCTGCAGTGAGCTATGATCGTGTCACTGCACTCCAGCCTGGGCGATAGAGCAAGACCACATCTCAAGAATAAAAAAAAAAAAAAAGAAAGAAAGAAAAAGAAAAGAATGCAAGTCGGGCCAGGCATGATGGCTTACACCTGTAATCTCAGCACTTTGGGAGGCTGAGGCAGGTGGATCATTTGAGGTCAAGAGTTCAAGACCAGCCTGGCCAACATGGTGAAACACCATCTCTACTAAAAATACAAAAATTAGCCAATGTGGTGGCAATGGGACGCCTGTAGTCCCAGCTACTTGGGAGGCTGAAACAGGAGAATCACTTGAACCTGGGAGGCGGAGATTGCAGTGAGCTGAGATTGCACCACCTGGGTGACAGAGCAAGACTCCGTCTCCAAATAAATAAATAAATAAAATAATGAAAGTTTGTTATTAGATACGATTTATAACTGTTTTCTCTGTGGGAGGGATTTTGGGCAGAGAAGAGGCCCTGGTGGGGGGGCGGGGGTCAGGAGGCGGAGGGAGTTCCTTGCACCTCACTTGAGTCTCAGCAATGCTCTCCCTTCTCTGCATCTGGAATTCCTAGGTGAGAGGGTCCCCCAGCTGAGCCACGGGAGCAGGAGGCTCATTTGGTCACCCACAAGGTGGGATATTTACTGTCACCAGAGACCATCCCCACTCACCTTTGCTGGCATTGGAAATGCTGACCCAGCCTAACCAAGCTCTCGGAGAGCTGTGCCCAAAGCTCACAGTCCGGCTCCCTCATTGAACAAGCCACCAGGAGGGCCAGGTTCTGAGGACGAAGGGAGCAGCCTTGTACCCCAGCATGATTGACTCCCGGCCCCCAGAATTCCCGGGGCACCAGGGGCGTTGGAATGTTGGATTTAGCAGCCCTGAGGGCCAGGGCTGGCAGGCATGCCCAGTGCTCTCGTGGGCGCACCCCGGCATGTCGGCTCCACTGCTGTGTGCCTGGGGGCAGCTTGTTTTCCTCTGCTCTTAAAACTGCCAGTCTGAGGGAGGAAGTGATCCTTCACTCGGATGTGCCAGGACAGGTAGTAGCATTGCTGACTCATCGGATGCCCTCACGCACATTCCTGACGCGAGCATTGTGGGTTGGCATCTGTATTCATCAGAATTTTTTTGGAAATGCAAATGACATTGTCCCTCAAATAGGTTTAGGAAAAAAAAAAAGGCCAGGTACAGTGGCACACACCTGTAATCCCAGCACTTTGGGAGGCTGAGGTGGGAGGATTGCTTTACCCCAGGAGTTTGGGACCAGCCTGGGCAACATAGTGAGACCCTGTCTCTACAAAAAACTTGTAAACTTAGCCGGGGCAGGGGATGGTGGTGGTGGCATGCACCTGTGGTCCCAGCTACTCGGGAGCCTGGGAGGTTGAGGCTGCAGTGAGCTGAAATTGTACCACTGCACTCCAGCCTCCAGCTGGAGTGGCTCACGCCTGTAATTCCAGCACTTTGGGAGGCCGAGGGGGGCAGATCATGAGGTCAGGAGATCGAGACCATCCTGGCTAACATGGTGAAACCCCGTCTCTACTAAAAAATATAAAAAATTAGCCAGGTATGGTGGCAGGTGCCTGTAATCCCAGTTACTCGGGAGGCTGAGGCAGGAGAATGGCATGAACCCGGAAGGCAGAGCTTGCAGTGAGCCGAGATTGCGCCACTGCACTCCAGCCTGGGCGACAGAGTGAGACTCCATCTCAAAAAAAAAAAAAAATGAAGAGCCCAAGTGGCCAGCTTCAGGCTCAGCTGGATCTAGGCCCTCCTCGGGACTCAGCTGTGCTGTCTCTGTGTTGGCACCGTTCCCTGGCAGGCTCTCCCATGCGGTAACCAGGATGGCCCCTGCAGCTTCTGGCTTCCATCCTACACCCAGGCAGCCCCAGAGCAGGGAGAATTCTTCCTAAAGGTTTCAGCCACAGCCTAGGCCCTGAGACGCCTCACCTGATCTTCTCTGATGGCCAGGCCTGCATTATGCATCCCCTCTAGGAGTGGGAATCGGGTCAACCCACATAAGTCATATGAACCAAGGATGGGGAAAATGTAGGCTGGGAGCAGTGGCTCATGCCTGTAATCCCAGCACTTTGGGAAGCCGAGGCGGTAGAATTGCCTGAGGTCAGCAGTTTGAGACCAGGCTGGCCAAGATGGCAGAAACCCCCTCTCTACTAAAATACAAAAATTAGCCGGGCCTGGTGGCGGGCGCCTGTAGTCTGACTTACTCAGAGGCTGAGGCAGAAGAATTGCTTGAAACCAGGAGATGGAGGTTGCAGTGATCCAAGATCGTGCCACTGCACTCCAGCCTGGGTGTCAAAGTGACTCTGTCTCAAAAAAAAAAAAAAAAATTGGGGAAAAGGGACCGGGTGCGGTGGCTCATGCCTGTAATCCCTGCATTGTGGGAGGCAGAGGTGGGAGGATCACTTAAGGTCAGGCGTTCAAGACCAGCCTGGCCAACATAGTGAAACCCCACATCTACAAAAAATACAAAAATTAGCCAGGCATGGTGGCAGATATCTGTAGTCCCAGCTACTCAGGGGACTGAGGCAAGAGAATCACTTGAACCCAGGAGGCAGAGGTTGCAGTGAGCTGAGATCATGACACTGCACTCCAGCTTGGGCAACAGAGTAAAACCCTGTCTCTAAAAATAATAATAATAACAAAATGAGTGAAGAAAAGGTTTCTTCAAAATCTGTGACCACAGATATGGCTGGACAGACAAGGGCATCTCCTGTATCAGAGATTTCCTGTGTTTCCGAGGTCCAGACATGAGGATGCTTTTGCCTGGAATCCTCCATCCGACTATGGTGCTCTGAATTTTCTCTCCCCATTGGACGGTGCTCCCCAGGGCAGAGGCCGAGTCCTGCCTGCAGCTCTGGGGCAGAGATGGGGCCTGGCTCATGGTGAGCCTTCTGGAAACATTGGGTGCAGGAAAGTTTGTGAGTATAGGATAGTGGGGAAGAGGCCTGGGGGTGGGGGGCTTGTCCACCCCTCCGGCCCCCTGCAGCCAGTCCCATCTTGCTGCCCCCTGACCCCCTAAACAGATAGCATCATGCCTGGAGGCTTTGCTCCTCTCCAGAGTCCCTTTTGTAAAGCGCTGGTGCTCCTATAAGCTCTTCTGTGCTTCATCATAAGGACACAAAGCTGGCCGGGCGTGGTGGCTCACGCCTGTAATCCCAGCACTTTGGGAGGCGAGGCGGGAGGATCACTTGAGGTCAGGAGTTTGAGAGCAGTCTGGCCAACATGGCAAAACCCTGTCTCTACTAAAAATACAAAAATTAGCCGGGCGTGGTGACGGGTGCCTGTAATCCCAGCTACTTGGGAGGCTGAGGCAGGAGAATGGCTTGAACCTGGGAGGTGGAGGTTGCAGTGAGCCGAGATGCTGTCACTGCGCTCTAGCCTGGGCGAGAGAGCGAGAGTCCGTCACAAAAATACATTTAAAAAAATAATAAAGACACAAAGCTTTTGATTCTGAGGTTACTGTACTAGCAAGCATCACACACTTTTTTTTTTTGCCATGATTAATATGTAATCTTTGCTTTTAGCCCTTTTAAAAATATTTTGTTTTTATTATTTGTAGAGAACAGGGTCTCACTATGTTGCCCAGGTGGGTCTTGAGTTCCTGGGCTCAAGTGATCCTCCTGCCTTGGCCCCCCAAAGTGCTGGGATTACAGACATGAGCTACCACACCTGGCCCTTGTTTTTTCTTTTTTTCTTTTCTTTCTTTTTTCTTTTTTTTTGAGATGGAGCCTCACTCTGTTGCCCAGGCTGGAGTGCAGTGGTGCGATCTCGGCTCACTGCAGCCTCCTCCTCCTGGGTTCAAGTGATTCTCCTGCCTCAGCCTCCTGAGTAGCTGGGATTACAGGTGCCCGCCAACATGCCCAGCTAATTTTTGTATTTTTAGCAGAGTTGGGGTTTCCGCCACGTTGGCCAGGCTGGTCTCAAACTCCTGACCTCAGGTGATCCGCCCACCTCAGCCTCTCAAGGTGTTGGGATTACAGGCGTGAGCCACCTCTCCCAGCCCTTTTTTTTTTTTTTTTAAATTTTAAATTCTGGGATACATGTGCAGGATGTGCAGGTTTGTTACATAGGTAAACGTGTGCCATGGTGGTTTGCTGCACCTATCAACCCATCACCTAGGTATTAAGCCCAGCATGCATCAGCTATTTTTCCTGATGCTCTCCCTCCCCCCGCCCCCACAACAGGCCCCATTGTGTTGTTCCCCTCCCTGTGTCCATGTGTTCTCATTGTCCAGCTCCGACTTACAAGTGAGAACATGTGGTGTTTGGTTTTCTTTTCCTGTGTTAGTTTGCTGAGGATAATGGCTTCCAACTCCATCCATGTCCCTGCAAAGGACATCATCTTGTTCTATTTTACGACTGCATTTTTTTGTTTTTGTTTTTGTTTTTGTTTTGAGACAGAGTCTTGCTCTGTCACCCAGGCTGGAGTGCAGTGGTGCCGTCATAGCTCACTGCAGCCTTGGCCTCTCAGGCTCAAAAAATCCTCCCACCTTTGCCCCACAAGTAGCTGGGACTACAGGCATGCGCCACCACGCCTGGCTAATTTTTTATTTTTTATTTTCTGTAGCGACAAAGTCTTGCTACGCTACCAAGGCTGGTTTTGAACTCCTGGCCTCAAGCAATCCTCCCACCTTGGCCTCCCAAAGTGTTAGGATTACAGGTGTGAGCCACTGCCCCCAGCCCTTTTAGGGCTTTTTTTTTTTTTCTTTTGAGACAAGAGTCTCACTCTGTTGTCCAGGCTGGAGTGCAGCAGCGTGACCTCGGCTTACTGCAACCACCGCCTCCTGGGTTCAAGTGATTCTTGTGCCTCAACCTCCCGAGTAGCTGGGACTACAGGCATGTGCTACTAAGCCTGGCTAATTTTTGTATTTTTAGTAGACACAGGGTTTCACCATGTTGGCCAGCCTGGTCTTGAACTCCTGACCTCAAGTGATCCACTCGCCTCAGCCTCCCAAAGTGCTGGGATTACAGGCATCAGCCACTGCACCTGGCCCCTTTTAGGGCTTTTAATGACCATAGTCAGCATGCAGCTCACGCTTTGAAAAGGTTTTACTCTGTCACCCAGGCTGGAGTGCCCTGGAGCTCACTGCAGCCTCAAACTCCTGGGCTCAAGCGATCCACCAGCCTCAGCCTCCCAGAGTGCTGGGATGACAGGCCACTGTACCCAGTCTAAAAGTGGTCTTTGTTGCAAACAGTTTGATGGATGCTCTTGGGATAGAAGATGAAACATCTTTCAATTGTAATAAATTTCTGCAACCAAATAAATAAAGACACAAAGCTTTAATGGTGGGAAGGCAGGCAGAGGTCATGGCTAGATGACGGCCTGGTGTGGAGTTGAGGCAGGTAACTGCACACCAGGATATAAGAGGGTAAGGCAATAGCCTCTCTGTGTGTTTGTCCTGCCCATGCAGTAGAGGGGGTGCGTGCTGGGATGGTGAGTCTGAGAGCGGGAATCTGGCCTGTGCGGCAACGGGAGCAGTGAGCTGATAGGTTAAATCGGGTGTTGCCTCGTCCAGCCCACCTCAGGAGGGATGTGTGTTGCTTGATGGCCCTTGAGGGTCTGGGGGCCATTGGGAAGTGATGATGTGATCTCTCCTGTCTCTGCCCGCAGGTGAGTGAAGATGGCAGAGAGGACGTGACCAGCACTCACCCTTGTCCACCTGCCCAGTGGCACCGCCATGCAGAAGCCCAGCGGCCTGAAGCCCCCCGGCCGTGGGGGGAAGCACTCCAGCCCCATGGGCCGGACATCTACTGGGTCAGCTTCATCCTCGGCGGCGGTGGCCGCTAGCTCCAAGGAAGGTACGTGGCACACCAAGGATGGGGGGTGAGGGGACTGGCTACATGGGATGAGTGTTCTTCTGGAAGAGCCCCAGGAGCACAGGCCACTCTGTGACCAATCTGATGGGGGACGCTGAGTGTCATGAGCTCCTGTAATGGGGCCTGATCAACACTGGGAGGTTGGCAGAGGTTTCCCCAGGGAGGGGACATGGGCGCTGAGGTCTGGAGGGTGAATAGGTGATTCACTAGCTGAAGAGGAAAAGGTTCAGGTACGGTGGCTCACGCCTGTAATCCCAGCACTTTGGGAGGCTGAGGCGGCTGGATCACTGGAGGTCAAGAGTTCGAGACCGAAACCAGCCTGGCCAACTTGGTGAAACCCCATCTCTACTAAAAATACAAAAATTAGCCAGGCGTGGTGGCAGGTGCCTGTAATCCCAGCTACTCGAGAGGCTGAGAGAGGAGAATCGCCTGGGCAACAGAGTGAGACTCTGTCTCAAAAATAAAAAAAAAAAGAGGGAAGAGTATTCCAAGTAGAGGGAACAGCACATGCAAATGCTCAGAGGCAGAAAGGAGCGTCATGCGTACAGAAGAGGGAGAGAGCGTGGGGGTGGCTGGGGCAGTCTGCTGCAATGCAGGTGGACCTGGGTGACTTGGAGGTGTGCGGGGAGTTTCATTTTCATCCTAATAATGAGAGCTACGGGAGGGTTTAAACCAAGATGAGTATGATGGAAGGAACTAGCAGCAATTTCTTACCTATTCTCTGCAGTTTAAAAAACTGTAATTGAGCTGGGCATGGAGGCTCATGCCTGTAATCTCAGCACTTTGGGAGGCCGAGGTGGAAGGATCACTTGAGGTCAGGAGTTCAAGACCAGCCTGGGCAACATGGGAAAACCCTGTCTCTGCTAAAAATACAAAAATTAGTCGGGCATGGTGGCGGGCGCCTATAGTCCCAGCTACTTGGGAGGCTAAGGCAGGAAAATCGTTTGAACTCAAGAGGAGGAGGTTGCAGTGAGCCGAGATCACACCACTGCACTCCAGCCTGGGCTACAAGAGTGAAACTCCATTTAAAAAAAAAATGACGATCGTTTGTTACTTATCACTTTGATAAATGATGCTGTGATGAACATCTTTGTGCACAAAGCCTGGCTTTGATGATACTCCAGCCAGCAGGATAGGTCACTGCCCATCTTATCTGATTGGTACAAAGTTTGGAGAGACAAACACAGCTGGGGCCAGACTGGACAACCTGGGTCCTGGGGAAGGGGGTCAAGGAAAGTTTGAGCCAAAATCATGGGCAGTTGGCAGGACAGGGTCCCTGGCAGAGCCAAATGGGCAGCGTGAAAGGGCGAGGAAGCTGCAGGGTGAGGCCCGTCGGCAGAAGCCCATGGGAAAGGCCTGCCCAGTGCAGCCTTGTGAAGGCCCAGGCTCTGCTCTAGGGTGGCAAATCCTCTCCAGCAGTGAGAAGCCAGACAAGAGAAAATTCGGGGGATGAGGTGGGGTGGGGAAGAGGTGTTCCACGTGGAGGGAATGGGTGATGCAAAGGCCCTGAGGCTGGAATGAATTTGATTTGTTAAGAAAGAAAAAGGCCGGGGACGGTGGCTCATGCCTGTAATCCCAGCACTATGGGAGGCCAACACTGGAGGATCACCTAGGTCAGGAGTTCGAGACCAGCCTGGCCAACATGGTGAAACCCCGTCTCTACTAAAAATACAAAAATTAGCGGGATGTGGTGGCACCTGTAATCCTAGCTACATGGGAGGCCGAGGCATGAGAATCGGTTGGACTTAGGAGGCGGAGGCTACAGTGAGCCGAGCTCATGCCACTGTACTCCAGCCTGGGCAACAGAACAAGACTCTGTCAAAAAATAAAATAAAATAAAGAAAGAAAGAGAAGCCAGCATGGTGGCTCACGCCTGTAATCCAGCACTTTGGGAGGCTGAGGCCAGAGGATCACTTGAGCCTAGGAGTTCCAGACCAGCCTGGGGAACATAGTGAGACCCCAGCTCTACAAAAAAAATTTTTTTAATTAGCCAGGCATGGTAGTGTGTGCCTGTAGTCCCAAGTACTCAGGAGGGTGAGGCAGGAGGATTGCTTGAGCCCAGGGGTTGGAGGCTGCAGTGAGCCATGATCACACCGCTGCACTCCAGCCTGAGTGACAGAGTGAGACCCTAAAAAAAAAAGAGAGAGAGAAAGAAGAAAAGTCTGGATGGAGAGGAGTGTGAAAAGAGGTTAGGGAGGGCAGCCAGGACAGATCTGAAGGACACAGGGTTTGGGTTTGTTTTAAGAGTGGTGGGGGCTGGGCACAGTGACTCAAGTTTGTAATCCCAGCTCTTTGGGAGGCTGAGGCGGGAGGATCACTTGAGGTTAGGAGACCAGCCTGGCCAACATGATGAAACCCTGTCTCTACTAAAAATACAAAAATTAGCTGTAATCCCAGCTACTCGAGAGGCTGAGGCAGGAGAATTGCTTGAACCCGGGAGGCGGAGTTTGCAGTGAACTGAGATTGCGCCACTGCACTCCAGCCTGGGCAATAGAGTGAGATTCCATCTCAAAAAAAAAAAAAAAAAAAAAGAAAGAAAAAGGAAAAAGAGCAGTGGGGGCCGGGCACAGTGACTCAAGCCTGTAATCCCAGCACTTTGGGAGGCTGAGGCAGGAGGATCGCTTGAGCAGTAGAGTTTGAGTCCAGCCTGAGCAACACAGCAAGACCTCTCATCTCTACTTAAAAAAAAAATTAGGCACGGTGGTGTATACCTGTGGTTCCAGTTACTTGGCAGCCTGAAGTAGGAGATCCGCTTGAGCCCAGGAGGTCGAGGCTGCGGTGAGTTTTGATCACACCACTGCACTCCAACCTGGGTGACCCAGCGAGACCCTGACTCAAAAACAAAACAAAAAAAGGATGGTGGGAGCGGCTGGAGGATACCAATGGAAGAGTGATGGGACCTTGTTCACATCCCTTGGGCCACTGTGCAGAGAACGGATTGTAGGGTTAAGAGCCAGGTGGGGATACCAGTGAGGAGGCTGTGGTTATCCGGGGGAGGGAAGGGCTCATTACCATGCGTGGGCAATCAGGGAAGACTTCCTGGAAGAAGCGTGAATGAGCTCAGCCTTGATAATGGGGGCAGGGCAGTGGGTGGAGTTTGAAAATGAGAAGAGGAGGAGGAGGAAGGATCTGCAGACAGTGGGGGAAGGTCGTGAGTCAAGGCACCCAGTGGGCTGAGCTTGGTCCAGTGAGGAGTGAGGCTGTGTAACCTAATGGCTAGAGAAGGGCACCCGCCCAGCCCAACCCTGGGGCTGGGGCATGGCGTGCAGCGAGAGAGTCTTATTGAACCTTCTGGGTACTTTCCCCTTTGTTCCTCCCCGATCTAGAGAGGCCCAAATTCTGGCTGTGATCCAGCTCTCATGCCCCTCCTAGCCCTGCTCCTGCTGTGTGACCCTGGGAGAGTGACCTAACCTCTCTGAGCCACAAATGGGATAATAGCATCTCCCTAATGGGATCAAGCGAGTTAATGAACATGGAGTGCCTGCAGGTAGAAAACTCATTAAAGATTAATTTCTTTCCCTTTCACCCATCCATCATCTCATTACAGGAAAATTTGAAAGTGATAAAAGAAAAAAACGTCCATTATCCTTTAACCTTCTCCCTTCCCCCTTACCACTTAACCTCATCACTGCACAGCCTAACCAGGATTCCGTGAAGGATGGACCATGTTTATCGTGGTCCCACAGGATTCTAACAGAGCTGAGCATTTCCTATTGCCGACATTGGCAGTTCCTGAGTTTTAGCCATTGTCATGTTGCAGCGCAATTACTTTATTTTATTTATTATTATTATTATTTTTTTTGAGATACAGTCTCGCTCTGTCACCCAGGCTGGAGTGCAGTGGTGCGATCTCGGCTCACTGCAACCTCCACCTCCCGGGTTCAAGTGATTCTCTGTCTCAGCCTCCCAAGTAGCTGGGATTACAGGCGCCCGCCACCACGCCAGGCTAATTTTTTGTATTTTTAGTAGAGACAGGGTTTCATCATCTTGGCCAGGCTGGTCTTGAACTCCTGGCCTTGTGATCCCCCCGCCTTGGCCCCCCAAAGTGCTGGGATTATAGGTGTGAGCCACCGCGCCTGGCCTTTATTTTATTTTTATTTTTTAATAAAAAATAAGCGTGCAGTGTTTATAAAGTCTGCAGTAGTGTACAGTCATCAGTCATGTCCTAGACCTTCACATTCACTCACTCACTCACCCAGAGCCGCTTCCAGACGTGCAAACTCCATTCGTGTTAAGTGCCCCAGACAGGTGTACCCTATTTTCTTTTCTTTTTTATTTTTATTATTTTATTTTATTTTTCCTTTTTTTTTTTTTTTGAGACAGAGTCTTGCTCTGTCGACCAGGCTGGAGTGTAGTGGCACGATCTCACGATCTCAGCTGATTGCAACCTCTGCCTCCTGGGTTCAAGCGATTCTTCTGCCTCAGCCTCCTGAGTAGCTGGGACTACAGGCATGTGCAACAACACCGGCCAATTTTTGTATTTTTTGGAGAGACGGCGTTTCACCATGTTGGCCAGGCTGGTCTCGAACTCCTGACCTCAAGTGATCCACTGGCCTCGACCTGCTAAAGTGCTGGGAGTACAGGCGTGAGCCACTGTGACCGGCCTCCATTTTTTAATCTTTTTTTTTTAAGAGACAGGATCTTGGCCAGGTGCTCATGCCTGTAATCCCAGCCCTTTGGGAGGCCAAGGCAGGCAGATCACCTGAGGTCAGGAGTTCGAGACCAGCCTGGGCAACATGGCGAAACCCCATCTCTACTAAAAATACAAAAAAATTAGCCTGGCATGGTGGTGGATGCCTGTAATCCCAGCTACCCAAGAGGCAGAGGTTTCAGTGAGCCGAGACCACACCACTGCACTCCAGCCTGGGCAACAGAGTGAGACTCCGTCTCAAAAAACAAACAGACAGGAGACAGGATCTCATTATATTGACCAGGATGCACCTCCTGGCCTCAAGCAATCCATCCTCACACCTTGACCTCCCAAAATTCTGGAATTACAGGCGTGAGCCACTACACCTGTCCCATTGTTTATCTTTGTTTTTTGCTGTTGTTGTTTGTTTTTTTGAGATGGAGTCTCGCTCTGTCACCAGGCTCAAGTGCAGTGGCGCGATCTTGGCTCACTGCAACCTTCGACTCCCTGGTTCAGGCGATTCTCCTGCTTCAGCCTCCCAAGTAGCTGGGATTACAGGCACACACCACCATGCCCAGCTGATTTTTGTATTTTTAATAGAGATGGGGTTTCACCATGTTGGCCAGGCTGGTCTTGATCTTCTGACCTTGTGATCCACCTGCTTCGGCCTTCCAAAGCGCTGGGATTACAGGTATGAGCCACCGCGCCTGGCCCGTTTATCTTTTAAAACTTATTTTTACTGTACCTTTTCTATGTTTAGCTATGTTTTATTTATTTATTTATTTATTTATTTATTTATTTATTTATTTATTTGAGATAGGGTCTCGTTCTGTTGCCCAGGCTGGAGTGCAGTGGCGTAATCATAGCTCACTGCAGCCTCGACCTCCTGGGCTCATGCGATCCTCTTGCCTTGGCCTCCTAAGTAGCTGGGACCATAGGCAGGTGCCACCATGCCTGGCTAACTTGTAAATTTTTTGTAGAAACGGAGTCTTGCATTTGTTGTCCTCATTGGTCATGAACTCTTGGGCTCAAGCGATCCTCCCACCTCAGCCTACCAAAGGGCGTGAGCCACCATGGCTGGCCTAGATATCTTTTTTTTTCCTTTTCTTTTCTTTTTTTTTTTCTTTTTTGAGATAGAGTTTTACTCCATCGCCCAGGCTGTAGTGCAGTGGCATGATCTTGGCTCACTGCAACCTCCACCTCCTGGGTTCAAGCAATTCTCCTGCCTCAGCCTCCTGAGTAGCTGGGATTACAGGCACCCATCACCATACCTGGCTAATTTTGTATTTTTAGTAGAGATGGGGTTTCACCATGTTGGCCAGGCTGGTCTCCAACTCCTGACTCAGGTAATCTGCCTGCCTCGGCCTCCCAAAGTGCTGGGATCACAGGCATGAGCCAGTGCGCCTGGCCCTGGCCTAGATGTCTTATGTTCAGATGTACAAACACTTCCCCTCGTGTTACAGTTGCCTTCAGCATTGAGTACTGTAACATGCTAAATAGGTTTGTAGCCTAGGAGCAGTGGACTAGACCATATAGGTTTGTGTAAGTACACTCTGTGATGTTCACAGGACAACAAAATCGCCTAATGATGCATTTCTCAGATGGTATCCCCGTCGTTAAGTGATGCATGACTGTATTTCCTTCCAGTCTTTTTTCCTATTACACAAGTTGTGGTTTTATTTATTATTTATTTTTATTTTTTGAGATGGAATCTCGCTCTTTCGCCCAGGCTGGAGTGCAGTGGCACGATCTCTGCAACTTCTGCCCCCTGGGTTCAAGCGATTCTTCTGCCTCAGCCTCCCAAGTAGCTGGGATTACAGGTGGCCGTCACCATGCCCGGCTAATTTTGTATTTTTAGTAGAGACAGAGTTTCGCCATGTTGGTCAGGCTGGTCTCAAACTCCTGACCTCAGGTGATCCTCCCGCCTCGGCCTCCCAAAGTGCCGGGATTCCAGGTGTGAGCCCCCGTTCCTGGCCACAAGTTGTTTTAAACAGCTAGATTGTGCATTCTACTTTTTCTCATCTTATTGCATCCTATGGGAAGCACCTCCCTGTGCTACTGTGATATCACCTGCTGTCATCTGAATGGTTCCCTGGAGGGAACGGACTGTAGTGTGGTGTGTGGCGTGCCACCTGCTTCCTAGTCACATTGCCCGGTGGTCTGGGGATGGGGACAAGGACTGGGTGGTCGGACTGCCTTGGGCCTCCACCCTCAAAGCTGTCCCAGAGAGAGAAAGTGTCCCTCCGAGAATCCCCAATTGACAGGGGAGCCACACCTTGTGCCTGACCTTGGAGATGGTGGCAGCAGAGGCTGTGGCTGGGCTTGGTGGTGTCCTCTCCCTTCACTGCACCCCGGCTGCTGCCTTTGCAGGGCAGAACTAGACTCCCAGGCTGGGGAAGGAGGTGGCCAGCCTGGAGCAAAACCGAGTTGGCTGAGACAGCCAAACTCCAGGAGAGAGAAAGGGAGAATTCTGCTGCTTTTGTTCCTGTTCCAAGATCTTGAGAAAAAAAAAAAAAAAAAAAAGCCTCTGGGAAGAGTGACAGGTGGAAGAGCCAGGGAAGGACGGTCCCCCCAGTCCTGTTGGCCCTTCGGGCTCCCTCACCCACCCATGCAACTGTCCATCTGTTCTCCGAGGGGCTGGAGGCGGCCACATCCATCAGAGGCTGGGACCCTGGGCAGTGGGCAGCTCGAGATGTGTGTGGCAGAGGCCGGGGCCTGGCAGTGGTTTGTGGGGAGGGGAGCACGCTGGAGTCTGCTCTGGGAACGGGGTTGTGGCTGCCTCCCAAAACATGAGCTCAGCCTCCGGCAGAGGATCTGGCCAAGGGACAGGGCCTGGACTGGTGCCCTTGCTGCCCACCCAGTGGAGAGGGGAGGGCCTGTATCCTCAGAGCTGTGCCACACAGGGAGCAGCATTTGAGGGGGACCTTTGAGAGGGTCTCTCACGCTAGGAGGTGGTGCAGGGCTACAAGGGAGAGGTGGTCAGAGCAGGTGGGCAGGAGGGCGGTTTGGGATCCACCTGGGGGCAAAGTCCTGGGTGGAGCAGCGTGGCGAGGGACAGCCTGGCCGGGTGTGACCGAGCACACCTGGAGGCTGGTGCAGACAGGGTGGTCAGGGACGGCCTGGCTCCAGTGGTGACATTGGAGCAAGGATTCAAGTGATGAGCAGGAGTCGCCCCAGCTGCCGTTCAGGGAAAAACATCCAGGCAGAGGGAACAGAGGCTGCAAAGGCCCTGAGGGCCTGGCATGGTGGCTCACGCCTGTAATCCCAGCACTTTGAGAGGCCGACGCAGGTGGATCACTTGAAGTCAGGAGTTTGAGACCAGCCTGGCCAACATGGTGAATCCTCGTCTCTACTAAAAATACAAAAATTAGCTGGGCGTGGTGGCACACATCTGTAATCCCAGGTACTTGGGAGGCTGAGGCAGGAGAATCGCTTGAACCCGGGAGGTTGAGGTTGCAGTGAGCTTAGATCACGCCATTGCACTTCAGCCTGGGCAACAGAACGAGACTCCATCTCAAAACAACAAAAAAAAGTTGGGGGGCTGGGCTGCAGTGACCTGGATCCTGGGTGAGGACTGATGGGACTGATGAGCACAGGGGCCAACCATGTGCCATTGTTTTCATTTTAAAGATGAGACCATTGGCTGGGTATGGTGGCTCATGCCTGTAATCCCAGCTCTTTGGGAGGCCGAGGAGGGCAGATCACTTGAGGTCAGGAGTTCGAGACCAGCCTGGCCAACATGGTGAAACCTCGTCTCTACTAAAAATAACAAAAATTAGCCGGGCGCGACGGCACATGCCTGTAATCCCAGCTACTCAGGAGGCTGAGGCAGGAGAATGGCTTGAACCTGGAAGGCAGAGGTTGTAGTGAGCCAAGTTTACACCATTGCACTCCAGCCTGGGCAACAAAGGAAGACTCTGTCTCATAAAAATAAAGATGAGACCACCGAGGCTTGGAGTCTCAGCTGCGTTGCCCAGGGTTACAGGGCCAGAGCTGAGACTCATGCCAGACTGAGCGCCTGCTGCCTCCCCAGGGGTGGGGTGCCTGGGGGACCAAGTCCAGTATCAGCCCCACACATTTGGCTCATGCCCCAGACAGGTGGATGGGAGGAGGACATACCTGTTCCCATTAGGTTGGTCACAACTGTCCCCTAACATTCCTGTGGCCTTGCCTCATGCTGGGGATCCAGGAGATTGAGGACAAGTATGTGTGGGAGTGTTACCCACCCTTAGACGGGGAGTTGGGCTATGTGAGGCAAGGCCCACCTCCTATATGCTATCCTCAGCTGCTCTCTAGTACACACACAGGGCTGGGCCCAGAGCATTTTTTTTTTTTTTTTGAGACGGAATCTCTCTCTTTCACCCCGGCTGGAGTACAGTGGCGCAATCTCGACTCACTGCAACCTCCACCTCCTGGGTTCCAGCGATTCTCCTGCCTCAGCCTCCCAAGTAGCTGGGATTACAGGCATGTGCCACCACGCCTGGCTAATTTTTGTATTTTTGAGTACAGACGGGGTTTCACCATATTGGCCAGGCTGGTCTTGAACTCCTGACCTCGTGATCCGCCTGCCTCGGCCTCCCAAAGTGCTAGGATTACAGGCCTGGGTCACCGTGCCTGGCCTGTTTTTGTTTTTGAGATGGAGTCTCACTCTGACACCCAGGCTGGAGTGCAGCGGCACGATCTCAGCTCACTGCAACCTCCACCTCCCGGGTTCAAGAAACTCTCATATATTGCTGGTGGGAATGTAAAATGGTACAGCTGCTTCAGGAAAGTTTGGCAGTTCTTCAAAGTTTGTTTTGTTTTTTGAGAGAGAGTCTCGCTCTGTTGCTCAGGCTGGAGTGCAGTGGTGCAATCTTGGCTCACCGCAACCTCCACCTCCCAAGTTCAAGCAATTCTTCTGCCTCAGCCTCCCAAGTAGCTGGGATTACAGGCATGTGCCACCACACTCAGCTAATTTTTGTATTTTTAGTAGAGTTGGGGTTTCACCATCTTGGCCAGGCTGGTCTCGAACTCCTGATCTCAAGTGATCCACCTGCCTCGGCCTCCCAAACTGCTGGGATTACAGGCGTGAGCCACTTCACTCGGTCAGCATTGTGGTTCTAGTTCACTGAGCTCAATGTCCCTGTACCCCGTGAGTGTTCCAGACCTTGGCACCAACCTGAAGTGCCCGAGGTGGGGCCCCCACCCCCACAGAGGATGGTGCCTTTCTCTTTCCTTTCCATACATTTCTAGGAGCCTTCCCAGCCCCAGGAGAGCAGGTAGGATTGTCCCCATTTTAAGTGACTTGTCTGAGATGTTGGGCAAATTCGTCCCTTCAAGGGCAACTTCTCGGCTCTCCACTGACCACATCCTAAACTTTTTAATGGCATCAGGACGGGGAAGCCAAGCCCGCTCTTCTGTGGCTGGTGGGGGTGGGGGCAGGGCTGCCTCCTAATGTCCCTGACGTGGTCCAGGATCGATCTGACGGGGCGGGGGTCCGGCTGCCAGCACCTGTCTGCCTGCCTGGTGGCCTGGCCACGGGCTTCTCCATGGGGAGCTGGCTCTGTTCTTTCCAGGGTAAGCCATCCGGGCCGCTCTTGCCCTGGGTTCCCCGGCCGCCTCTGCTGAGCAGAGACTCTGTTCTCCTGGTTTGGGAGGAGGGGGCACAGAAGTGGGGTTTGGAGTTCCATTTGGTTCAGGAAGAATGCCCAGCAGAGCCTGGGATTCAGGACGGTGTGGGCTGCTGGAGGGAGGAACCCTTCTTTAGGGCTGGATGCTGCAGAGGCTGGGCCTGGGGTGACCACAGGAGAGAGGTGAGTTTCAGACGGACCCCTCCCTGGTCGGGGTGGGCTGGGGGATGTAGACTCGGTCCTCCCTGGAGCAGGCATGGACTGAGGGGTGGAAACAGGTTGGGGTGGACCCAATGCGGGGACTGCCGGAGGGAAAGTGGCCTCTTCAAGGAATGCTGTGGAGACCCCATTCCTTCCTTCGTAACCTCTGCCTTTGAGCACCTTCGGGAGAGAAAAGGAGGCTCAGGAGAGAAAGCCATTTGAGATTTTTGGGGCACTGATGCATGTTCCTTTGGGGCCACCAGGAAGCGGGAGTCAGGTGTGTGGCCCGTCTGCATTTCAGCCCAGGGGGTCCAGGGGATGAGAGGGGAGTTGGTGTGAGTCCACCTCCTGGGGCTCATGTTCTGGGGGTGTGCAGACATGCACCCCAGTTAGCCTGGGAGTCAGGTTGTGCAAACCAAGGGGGAACAGAGCCCCATGGGGTTGGGAGGGAGAGAGACACAGTGGGCCCCTTGAGATGGCTGCAGATGAGGGGATGTGGAGTTGCTATGGACGGGCATGAGGACTTCCTTAGGTGATCCTAAGGGTAAAGTGCTGTACTCAAGGCAGAAGGATGGAGCTTTGCCTGAAACAGCCTGCTTGATGCCTGTGGTATTGGTAAAATGCCTTTTTTTCTTTTCTTTTATTTCTTTTGAGAGGGTCTCACTCTGTCACCCAGGCTGGACTGCAGTGGTGCGATCATGGCTCACTGCAGCCTCCAACTCCTCTCTCAGCCTCCCAAGTAGCTGGTGCGCACCACCATGCCCTGCTAATTTTTGTATTATTATTTATATATATATATATTTTTGAGACAGAGTCTCATTCTGTCGCCCAGGCTGGAGTGCAGTGGTGCGATCTCAGCTCACTGCAAGCTCCGCCTCCCGGGTTCAGGCCATTCTCCTGCCTCAGCCTCCCAAGTAACCGTTAGGCACCCGCCATCATGCCTGGCTAATTTTTTTTTTTGGTTTTTTTTTTTTTTTTTTTTAGTAGAGACGAGGTTTCACTGTGTTAGCCAGGATTGTCTCGATCTCCTGACCTCGTGATCCGCCCTCCTCGGCCTTCCAAAGTGCTGGGATTACAGGCGTGAGCCACCGCACCCGGCCATTTTTCTATTATTTTATAGAGACAAAGTCTCGCTATGTTGCCTCCTGAGCTCAAGTGATCCTCCCGCCTCGGCCTCCCAGAGTGCTGGGATAACAGACATGAGCCACCACACCCGGCCAGCATGATGCTATATTAAGAGCACCTCTCATTCCCAGAAGCACCCGGGTTTGAATGTTAAATCATGTGGTCGCCTTATTTATAGCCCCTCCTTTGTGGTCACCGTGCTCATTGGTACATCAAAGGCTCTGAAAAGTCCTGCAGACAAGTACCCTTCACTTTGTTGAAGTTGCTGTTTCTCAAGCTTCTTTGAACTTGGAGGTTAAATTGTTTGTTTGTTTGTTTGTTTGTTTGTTTTCATAATACCTAGGAACAGCCTGTGGAGCTATGTTCTGTGGAACATTTAAGAAGGAACCAGATCCTAGCAGAGGACACTTTTTTATCTGCCCCCAAACCACTGGGGCAGAGGGCTGAGTTCATCACACATTCACTTCATCACATGTCAACATTGTGGGTCCCTGCAAGGTCCCTCTTGGTTATTTTATTTATCTATTTATTTATTTATTTATTATTTGAGACAGAGTCTTGCTCTGTGGCCCAGGCTGGAGTGCAATGGCACGATCTCAGCTCACTGCAACCTCTGCCTCCTGGGTTCAAGCAATTCTCCTGCCTCAGCCTCCCGAGTAGCTGGGATTACAAGCGCGCGCCACCACACTGACTAATTTTTGTAGTTTTAGTAGAGACGGGGTTTCGCCATGTTGGTCAGGCTGGTCTCGAACTCCTGGCCTCAAGCCATCCGCCTGCCTTGGCCTCCCAAAGTGCTGCAATTACAGATGTGAGCCACTGCATCCGGCTATTTTTTATTTTCTATTATTTTTACTTTTTTGTAGAGATGAGATCTCTCTATGTTGCCCAGGCTGATCTTGAACTCCTGGCCTCAAGCGATCCTCCTGCCTCAGCCTCCTCAGTAGCTGGGACTACAGGCTTGAGCCACTGTGCCTAGCTTCCTCTTGGTGTTTCTTTTCTTTTTTTTTTTTTTCTTTCTTTTTTGAGATGGAGTCTCGCTCCCGTCACCCAGGCTGAAGTGCAGTGGCGCAATCTCGGCTCACTGCAATCTCCACCTCCTAAGTTCAAGCGATTCTCCTTCCTCAGCCTTCCGAGTAGCTGGGATTACAGGTATGCGCCACCATGCCTTGCTAATTTTTGTATTTTTAGTAGAGATGGGGTTTCGCCATGTTGGCCAGGCTGGTCTCGAGCTTCTGACCTCAGGTGATCCGCCTGCCTTGGTCTCCCAAAGTGCTGGGATTACAGGTGTGAGCCACCACACCCAGCCGGTGTTTCTTAATTGATTCATTTTTTGTTGTTCCCTATTCCTCTTCCCCTACCCCCAGGCCACCATGCCCTGTGCTGGATGTCGGGATGCTCCTGAACTCTGCTGTGTCACCAAGAATCACATCATAAACACTGTCCTACATAACCTGGACAAATAATGTTTTAAAGGTTGCTTAATAATCTGAATAATGTGACCATAATTTATGTAACTGCTCCTTGGTTTGGAGGCTCTTAGATTCAGTTTTTTATTTTTGTGAAGGTCAAAATAGTGAGTCAGTTTTTCCTTTTCTAAATTATTTCCTTGGGAAATAGACTAAAGAGTGCATTCCTTATTTTATTTTTTCTTTTAAAACATATTAAGATTTCTGGCTGGGCACTATGGCTCACACCTGTAATCCTAGCACTTTGGGAGGCTGAGGTGGGTGGATCACCTGAGGTCAGGAATTCGAGATGAGCCTGGCCAAAATGGCAAAACCCCGTCTCTACCAAAAATACAAAAAATTAGCCAAGCATGGTGGTACACGCCTGTAATCCCAGCTACTCGGGAGGCTGAGGCAGGAGAATCACTTGAACCCAGGAGGTAGAGGTTGCAGTGAGCCGAGATCATGCCACTGCACTCCAGCCTGAGCGACAGAGTGAGACTCCATCTCAAAAAAAAAAAAAAAAAAAAAAAAAAAAAATTCAGGTGAGCCTCTGAGCCCTGAGAAGGAGGCATAAATGAATTAGGAGTGATTTCTTCCGTGGAATTGCTAGACTGGGGGAAGGATGAGCCAGTAGAGCAATGGCGATTTGCAACCTGAGTGCATGGGTGGTTGCAGGGCCTCCTGAGATATGGAGGATGGTGGAGGAGCTTTGGCAAGAGCTGAGGAAGGAGGTCATGTGGGTTCAGGATGTTGGGTGTAAGGTCCTGGAGGAGGCAGGTCTTGATCCTGACTGAGGTGAGCAAGAGGGGATCAATTTGTTTCTTTCTTTCTTTTCTTTTCGTTTTCTTTTTCTTTCTTTCTTTCTTTTTTTTTTTTTTTTTTTTTTTGAGACAGAGTCTCACTCTGTCTCGCCCAGACTGGAGTGAGTGCAGTGGCGTGATCTCGGCTCACTGCAGCCTCTGCCTCCTGGGTCCAAGTGATTCTCCTGCCTCAGCCTCCTGAGTAGCTGGGACTTTAGATGCCTGCCACCACACCCAGCTAATTTTGTGTTTTTTAAGTAGAGACGGGGTTTCACCATGTTGGCCAGACTGGTCTTGAACTCCTGAACTCAGGTAATCCACCCGCCTCAGTCTCAAAGTGCTGGGATTACAGGTGTGATCCACCACGCCCAGCCGGGATCAGTTTCATTCTACATCTTCCTGTGTCATTTGAATCATTTACAAGGAGAGTGTATTTGTGTCTTAAAGAAAAAAATGTGGTCACATGTAGGCAGTAGCTAAAGCTGTAGCAGTTGGTAGATTATTGTGGTGGGTGGGGGGCACCATGTAGATCGGGGTCCCCTGCTACTGATCAGAGAAGAAGGTTTGTTGTTGTTGGGGTTTTTTGTTTTTTGGAGATGGAGTTTTGCTCTTTTGCCCAGGCTGGAGTGAAGTGATGCGATCTCGGCTCACTGCAACCTCCGCCCCCCAGGTTCAAGTGATTCTCCTGCCTCAGCCTCTCGAGTAGCTGGGATTACAGGTGCCCGCCACCATGCCAGGCCAATTTTTGTATTTTTAGTAGAGACGAGGTTTCACCATGTTGACCAGGCTGTTCTTGAACTCCTGACATCAGGTGATCTGCTCACCTCAGCCTCCCAAAGTGCTGGGATTCCAGGCATGAGCCACTGTGCCCCGTGTAATTTTTTTCTCAGAGGCAGTGTCTCCCTATTGCCCAGGCTGGATTGCAGTGGTGGGATCATGCCTCACTGCAGCCTAGAATTCTCTTTTTTTTTTTTTTTTTTTTAGAGATGGGGTCTTGCTATGTTGTCCAGGCTGGTCTTCAACTCCTGACCTCAAGTGATCCTCCTGCCCTGGCCTCCCAAAGAGCTGGGATTACAGGCACAAACCACCATGCCCAACCAGGGTGATGAGTTTTAGATAAAGCAGTCAGGAAAGGCTTCTCTGAGGAGGTGAGGGAGCCAGCTCTGTAACTTTCCTGGGGCAAGAGGTCGTGGGAAATACCCACACCCACATCATTCGAGGTGGAGCCCTCCCTCCCGCTCCCCCGGGTACCACATTTTGGGTTCCTTCCTCAGTTACGCACATGGCGTGGCAAGCTGAATTGTAGTTGCTGGCATCCCCACTCCACCCCCTTGCCGGGCCCCGTTTGGCCATGCCTCTTGTCCAGTGTCTGACACAGAGTCTGGCACCTAGTAGGTCCTCAGGAATTGGGGTCCCTCCTGATGAGATTGAGCAGGAAAAGCCAGTCCCCACCTCCACAGGCAGGGCAGGACCCGCGTCCTCGCAGGCGGAGGGGAGAATGCGTCATCTGGGCGCCCTTTTTATCCCCACCGGCTGCAGGACCACGCCACCAGCTGCAGCCACCCTGCACCGTGTCCTTAGGCCCTTGTCATGCTTTGAACTTGAAACTTGCAGTAAATTCCTTTGTGGCTCTTGTCTGGGTGGGAATCACTGTCTGGGGAATAAATCAACTGCATGTAGGAGGTTTATTTTAATTTTTTTTTGAGACAGAGTCTTGCTCTGTCGCCCAGGCTGGAATGCAGTGATGCGATTTCAGCTCACTGAAACCTCCGTCTCCTGGGCTTAAGCGATTCTCCTGCCTCAGCCTCCCAAGTAGCTTGGATCACAGGCACCTGCCACCACGCCCAGCTAATTATGGTATTTTTAGTAGAGATGGGGTTTCACCATGTTGGCCAGGCTGGTCTCAAACTCCTGACCTCAGGTGATCCACCCACCTCGGCCTCCCAAAGTGCTGGGATTACAGGCATGAGCCACCTTGCCCAGCCTATTTTAATTCTTTTGGAGATGAGGTCTCGCTCTGTCGCCCAGGCTGGAGTGCAGTGATGAGATCATGGCTCACTGCAGCCTCCACTCCCTGGGCTCAAGCAATCCTCCTGCCTCAGCCTCCCGAGTAGCTGGGACTACAGGAGCGAGCCACCATGGCTGGCTAATTTTTGTATTTTTTTGTAGAGACAGGGTCTCACTGTGTTACCCAGGCTGGTCTCAAACTCCTGGCCTCAAGCAATCCTCCTGTCTCAGCCTCCCAAAGTGCTGGGATTACAGGCATGAGCCATGGTGCCCAGCCTCATGTGAGGTTTAAGTCTGTGTTGCTGGGCCCAGCTGGAAGTCACTAGTGGCTCTTTGCCTTCGCGGGGGTTTGCTGGGGAACTCAGAGGGCAGTGAGGCCCAGGCTGTGCCCACAGGGAGCTCCCAAACAGCTTGCCTTTGGCCTGCGAGGATATGGACCGAGGAAGCTCCTGTTAACCAGGTTTCAAAAACTCCATCGTATATACATTGGCTCCCCTGGGAGGAGACGTAGGACATGGAGAATGTCAGCGCTGGAAAGGACCTTAGCTATTTCTGACCTAGTCCTTTGTTATGTCATGGAGAAACTGAGGCACACATCTGGGAAGGCCAGACTTGGCTCGCCCTGGCCAAGCCAGTATGTCACTGATGACTCCCTGGAGGGATAGGGAATTTCCCATGGTTTCTCAACTGCAGGAAGCTGAAAATGTCTCAGCGTGCATGGAATTTGATGAGCGTTTTGTCCCTGTGATGCGGGGGCAGCCGAGAGTCCCACTACTCAGAGGAAGAATGAAGCGAAGTATCACGTGCAGTTGCCATGGGCTCGTGGCTTGGATTTTTGCAGCTGTTGAAACAACTGGTCCCTGGGCCTGTGACCCCTGGGAGGGGAGGGAGTCGGGGAGAGATTACCTGAGGGTCCGCCTGGGCCCGGACAGCTGGGGACAAGGACAGCTGAGCAGGCAGCTTCTCACCAAGAATAGCCATGCTGGGTCACCTTCGACCTGGGGACCCTTCTCTGGGCTCTAAGCACAGAGGGCAGGTAGAAACAGACCTTAGCTGGGCTACAGTGGTTCTGTTCAGTTAGCAGAGGTCACAGAGCTCTCTCTGCATAGGAAAGTGCCCTAGAAATGGATATGGGGTAGGAGCTGGCACCTGCCAGGCACCCACTGTGCGTGTGGTCAAGAGGGAGGGTTCTGGCTGGGCGTGGTAGCTTGCACCTATAATCCCAGCACTTTGGGAGGCCAAGGCAGGAGGGTCACTTGAGGCCAGAAGTTTGAGACCAGCCTTACCACATGGCAAAACCCCGTCTCTAATAAAATACAAAAAAAAAAAAAAAATAGCCTGGTGTGCTGGCACGCACCTATAATCCTGGCTACACTGGAGGCCGAGGCATGAGAATTGCTTAAACCTGGGAGGCGAAGATTGCAGTGAGCAGAGATTGCACCATTGCACTCCAGCCTGGGGACTCCAGCCTGGGCAACAGAGTGAGACTCTGTCTCAAAAAAACAAAAGAGGGAGGGTTCTGAAGCCAGACTAGCTGGGTGTCCTACTCGGCCTGAGTGACCTTACCCTCTGTTTCCAAATCTGCAAGGTAAAAATATGATGTATTCTTATAATGAATAGCCCAGCGTGGTGGTGCATGCCTGTAATCCCAGCTACTCGGGAGGCTGAGGCAGGAGAATCACTTGAACTCAGGAGGTGGAGGTTGGAGTGAGCCGAGATTGCACAAGTGTACTCCAGCCTGGGTAACAGAGCGAGACTCCATCTCAAAAAAAAAAAAAAAAAAGTGCCCTGTCCATTGAGGAGCATGCAGTTGGCACTTCATAAATGCAGCTGCTATCTTAATTATTTTATTTTGTTATATTTATTTTTTGTAGAGACAGGGTCTTGCTATGTTGCCCACACTGGTCTTGACCTCCTGGGCTCAAGTCATCCTCCTGTTTCAGCTTCCCGAGTAGCTGGGATTACAGGCTGCATAACTGCACCTGGCTTATTTATTCATTTATTTATTTATTTATAAGAGATGGGGGTCTTGCTATGTTGTGCAGGCTGTTCTTGAACTCCTGGGCTCAAGTGATCCACTTGCCTCAACTTCCCAAAGTGCTGGGATTACAGGTGTGAGCCACTGTGCCTGGCTTATTTTCCTTCCTTCCTTCCTTCCTTCCTTCCTTCCTTGCTTCCTTCCTTTCTCTTTTTTTCTTTCTTTTTTTCTTCCTTCCTTCCTTTCTTTCTTTTCTTTCTTTCTTTTCTTTTTTTTTTTGATGGAGTCTCACTCTGTCGCCCAGGCTAGAGTGCAGTGACGCGATCTCGGCTCACTGCAACCTCCGACTTCCGGGTTCATGCCATTCTCCTGCCTCAGCCTCCTGAGTAGCTGCGACTACAGGCGCCCACCACCACGCCTGACTAATTTTTTATATTTTTAGTAGAGACAGGGTTTCACCATGTTAGCCAGGTTGGTCTCAATCTCCTGACCTCGTGATCCGCCCGCCTCGGCCTCCCAAAGTGCTGGGATTACAGGCGTAAGCCACTGCGCCTGGCCTCTCTTCTTTTCTCTTTTTTCTTTTCTATTCTTTTCTTTTCTTTCAGATAGAGTCTTGCTCTGTCACCTAGGCTGGAGTGCAATGGTGCCATCTTGGCTCACTGCAACCTCCGCCTCCTGGGTTCAAGCAATTCTCCTGCCTCAGCCTCCCAAGTAGCTGGGACTACAGGCATATGCCACCACGCCTGGCTAATTTTTGTATTTTCAGTAGAGATGGGGTTTCCCCATGTTGGCCAGGCTGGTCTCGAACTCCTGACCTCAAGTGATCCGCCCACCTTGGCCCCGCAAAGTGCTGGGATTATAGGCGTGAGCCACCATGCTCAGCATGAGACTGGGTAATTTATAAAGGAAAAGAAGTTTAATGGACTCACAGTTCCATGTGGCTGGGGAGGCCTCACAATCATGGTAGAAGGCAAAAGGCACGTCTTACATGGCGGCAGACAAGAGAGAATGAGAGCCAAGCAGAAGGGGAAACCTCTTATAAAATCTTCAGATCTCGTGAGACTTATTCACTACCACCACAACAGTATGGGGGAAACCACCCCTGTGATTCATTAAGCTCCCACTGGGTACCTCCCAAAACGTGGAAATTATGGGAGCTACAATTCAAGATGAGATTTGGGTGGGGACACAGCCAAACCAAATCAGTCCTGCTGCCTATTGTCTGGGAGCTCAGGTGAAGCACCTGATATCTCTGAGCCTCAGTTTTCTCATCTGTGAAATGGGGGCAATTGGGGATCAGATGAGCTATCGTATGTTAAGCTCTTAGCACAGAGTCTCATGCAAGCCTGTGATTACTATGGTTGTTTGTTTTTTTTGTTTTTTTTTTTTTTGTTTTTTTTTGTTTTGTTTTTTTTTTTTTGAGACAGAGTCTCACTCTGTCACCCAGGCTGGAGTGCAGTGGTGCTGTCTCGGCTCACTGTAACCTCTGCCTCCTGGGTTCAAGCAATTCTCCTGTCTCAGCCTCCTGGGTAGCTGGGATTACAGGCACCCACTACCACATCCGGCTAATTTTTTTGTATTTTTAGTAGAGACGGGGTTTCACCATGTGGGCCAGGCTGGTCTTGAACTCCTGACTTCAGGTGATCCGCCCACCTCAGCCTCCCAAAGTGCTGGGATTATAGGCATGAGCCACCAAACCTAGCCACCCTTCCACTTTCCGGGGTCTGTGGACCCTGAGGCCTTAGGCTGGGCTGCAGCTTGGGGAGGGGAGAAAGGGGGAGGCCCAGGAGAGAGTTAGGAGGGTTTTCTTTCCTGTCCCAAGAGAGACAGAAGGGGACATCTTTATGCAAGAAGTCTGTGGCTGTGTCCCTCTATTAGGAAATAGGCTGGTAGCCTTTTGTGGGCCCTGTAACCGTCTGAGGGCGAGGATGGGGGTCTCGGAGACCACTTGCACAACACCTAGGTCCCACATAGGGGCCACAGGGGGTCTCGGGTCAACAGCTGAGGGCCTGAGCCCACCTGGTGGGGGGGTGGCTTGTAATCCTTGAGAACGGGTTCCTCCCTGGCCCAGGACTTACAGTTTCCTTGAGAAGTGGAAAGCCATTGCTTCTTTTTTTTTTTGTCTTTTTAAAAATGAAGTCTTTCTCTTTCCCCTAGGCTGGAGTGCAGTGATGTGATTTCAACTCACTGCAATCTCCACCTCTCGAGTTCAAGTGATCCTCCCACCTTAGCCTCCTCACTAGCTGGGATTACAGGCACCTGCCACCACACCTGGCTAATTATTTTATTTTTAGTAGAGATGGGGTTTCACCATATTGGTCAGGCTGGTCTTGAACTCCTGATCTTAGGTGATCCGCCTGCCTCGGCCTCCCAAAGTGCTGGGATTACAGGCATGAGCCACCGTGCCCGGCCTGGAAACATTGCTTCTGAGGGCGTACTTTCCTGGGGACGCTCTGGAGGGCTGGAAGAGTAGGGGGAGACCTGAGGAGGACCTGCCCAAGACCACACAGCCAACCATTCCTGCCTCGGTTTCCATGGCAAGACCATGTCTCTACAAAAAAATACAAAAATTAGCCCAGTGTAGTGGCAGGTGTCTGTGGTTTCAGCTACTCGGGAGGCTGAGGTAGAGGATTGCTGGAGCCCAGGAAGTCAAGACTGCAGTGAGCCACCATATCGCCAATGCACTCTAGTCTGGGTGACAGAGCAAGACCCTGTCTCAAAAAGTAAATAAACAGGGGTTGGGTGTGGTGCCTCACGCCTGTAATCCCAGCAATTTGGGAAGCCAAGGCGGGCGGATTTCTTGAGGTCAGGAGTTCGAGACCAGCCTGGCCGAGATGGTGAAACCCCATCTCTACCCAAAAATACAAATCAGCCACCTCCCAACCCTAGACTCTGTGCTCCTGGGGCCACCCAGGGGCCAGCCCTAACAGCCACCTCTTTCCCTTTCCCTCTCCTTCTCTGCAGGCTCCCCACTGCACAAACAGTCATCTGGACCCTCC
This sequence comes from Homo sapiens, assembly GCF_000001405.40. Taxonomy (NCBI): domain Eukaryota; kingdom Metazoa; phylum Chordata; class Mammalia; order Primates; family Hominidae; genus Homo; species Homo sapiens. The sequence goes on from NC_000007.14 coordinate 74,338,483, forward strand.
TCCTCCCCGGCCGCAGCTGCTGCCCCCGAGAAGCCGGGCCCCAAGGCGGCGGAAGTGGGGGATGACTTCCTGGGGGACTTTGTGGTGGGCGAGCGGGTGTGGGTGAACGGCGTGAAGCCAGGCGTGGTGCAGTATCTGGGAGAGACGCAGTTCGCACCGGGCCAGTGGGCTGGCGTGGTGCTGGACGACCCGGTGGGCAAGAATGATGGCGCGGTGGGCGGCGTGCGCTACTTCGAGTGCCCGGCCCTCCAGGGTATCTTCACGCGGCCCTCCAAGCTGACCCGGCAGCCCACGGCCGAGGGCTCGGGGAGTGATGCCCACTCCGTGGAGTCGCTGACTGCCCAGAACCTGTCATTGCATTCGGGCACGGCCACGCCCCCGCTGACCAGCCGCGTCATCCCCCTGCGGGAGAGCGTCCTCAACAGCTCCGTGAAGACTGGCAACGAGTCGGGATCCAACCTCTCAGACAGCGGCTCTGTGAAGCGGGGCGAAAAGGACCTGCGCCTGGGGGACCGCGTGCTGGTGAGTGCGGGCAGTACTGGGCTCTGGGCCCAGCTTCCCTTCCCTCCCCTGCTCCGCCCCACTTGGCGAAGCTGGACCCCCCTGGGCTGGGCAGGGTGGGGACTCGAAGGGGGCTCGGACAGGGTCCAGCCTGGGACACCCATTCCTTATCAGGACCATACAGAGTGACAAGAGAGACAGGTAATGTGGGCTCTGGAGACTGTTGCTGTGTGACCTTGGGCAAGTGTCCTAAACTTTCTGGGCCTCGCTCTTTCTATCGGTAAAATGGGATATTTATTTATTTACTTATTTTACTTATTTATTTATTTATTTATTTTTGAGATGGAGTTTTGTTCTTGTCGTCCAGGCTGGAGTGCAGTGGCGTGATTTCAGCTCACTGTAACCTCCACCTCCCAGGTTCAAGCAATTCTCCTGTCTCACCCTCCCTAGTAGCTGGGATTACAGGCATGTGCCACCACGCCCGGCTAATTTTTGTATTTTCAGTAGAGACGGGGTTTCACCATGTTGACCAGACTGGTCTTGAACTCCCGACCTCAGGTGATCCACCCGCCTTGGCCTCCCAAAGTGCTTGGATTACAGGTGTGAGCCCCAGCGCCCTACCAAAATGGGAATTTTAATCGTACTTCAGTCATAGTTGGAGATGCATTAAAACGTATCACTCATTTAGACAGTGCCTAATACTAAGTACCCATACATTTTGGCTATTATTGATATTATCTATTGATCCAGCTCATCCACATGCATGTGCCAGGCATGTACTGGAAAAGGCTGGGAACTGGAGTTCTCAAGACCCCTGGTCCTGGCCAGGCACAGTGGTTCGTGCTTGTAATCTCAGCACTTTGGGAGGCTGAGATGGGAGGATCACTTGAGCCCAGGAGTTCAAGACCAGCCTGGGCAACATAGTGAGACCCCATCTCTACAAAAAAAAATACAAACAAAATTAGCCAGGCATGGTGGCATGACCCTGTACTCCCAGCTACTCAGGAGGCTGTGGTGGGAGGATGGCTTGATCCTGGGAGGCAGAGGTTGCAGTGAGCCAAGATAGTGCCACTGCACTCCAGCTTGGGTGACAGAGCCAGACCCTGTTTCAATAATAATAATAATAATAAGGCCAAGCACGGTGGCTCACACCTGTAATCCCAGCACTTTGGGAGGCCAAGTCGGGCAAATCATCTGAGGTCAGGAGTTTGAGACCAGCCTTGCCAACATGGCGAAACACCATCTCTACCAAAAATACAAAAATTAGCTGGCTGTGATGGCGTGTGCCTATAATCCCAGCTACTTGGGAAGCTGAGGCAGGAGAATCACTTGAACCCAGGAGGCAGAGGTTTCAGTGAGCCGAGATCATGCCACTGCACTCCAGCCTGGGTGACAGAGTGAGACTCTGTCTCAAAAAAGCAATAATAATAACAGTGGTAATGGTTATAACCCCTTGCCCAGGGCCAGGAGGTGCAGACACCTTATCAGCTACAACTCGAGTGATCAGTGTTATTGAAGTTGAGAGAATTGGGTCACTGGAGCTGACAGCTTCCTGCCAGGGGCCCCTCTTCTCCACTAGTCCCAGCTGTTGGGGCCAGGTTGGAAAGGGGACAGTGACCCCCAAGTCTTCTAGAGTCTGAATACAGCAGTGACCTGGGTTGGTGGTAGTCAGGTGGATGGGACAGGGCTGTGTCTTGCTGTCCAGCCAGGCTGTGGTGGCCTTGGGCTAACCCTGCACCTGGGACCACAGTGTTGGGAAGAGACTCATAGGGTACAGGGAAGGCCCTGACATGGACTTCTGGGCCTGGGGTGTGAGGAGCTGTCGGTGGGGCAGGGGTCCCTGTGTCCTGTCTGCAAGGCTTCCTGGGGGAAGGTGGTTGGTCATTCCAACCCGAGGTGGGGAGCACAGGCTTGGAGCTCCAAAGCCGAGTGGAGAAGGGCAGGGGGTCTGGGGACCCAGAGCAGGGATCCCCAAAGCATATTGCTGCCTGGGATCCTCCCTTCCTGCTCTGAGAACCTGGCAAAGGTTTCTCCTGGAGGTTTCTGGGAGGAGCCTTTGGGGTTGTGGGTAGGGGAGCGAGAGGTAATGTTTACACCCATGGCCCCGTTGAATCTTCAAGCCTGTGCTGTGATGCTGCGATGTGGTTTTATCATCCTCACTTTATGGATGGGGAAACTGAGGCTCAGGGAAGTTTTTGTTTGTTTGTTTTTTGTTTTGTTTTGTTTTTCTAGTCTCACTCTGTTGCCAGGCTGGAGCGCAGTGGTGCGTTCTCGGCTCACTGCAACCTCCACCTCCCAGGTTCAAGCAATCCTCCTGCCTCAGCCTCCCGAGTAGCTGGGGCTACAGGCACGCACCATCACGCCCTGCTAATTTTTTGTATTTTTAGTAGAGATAGGGTTTCACCATGTTGGCCAGGATGGTCTTGATCTCTTGACCTACCCACCTCGGCCTCCCAAAGTGGTGGGATTACAGACGTGAGCCACCGTGCCCAGCCTCAGGAAAGTTTAATAACTTGTCTGAAGTGACATGTGACAAGTGCCTGCCCACTGTTCACTGAGTTGTATTTCCTGTCTGCCCTGCCCTGGCCATGGTGAGGGCTCTGCTTTTCTTTTCTTTTTTTTTTTTTTGAAACAGGGTCTTGTTCTGTTGCCCAGGATGAAGTGCAGTGGTGCAGTCATAGCTCACTGCAGCCTCAAACTTGGACTCAAGCAATCCTCCTGCCTCAGCCTCCCAAGAAGCTGGGACTACAGGCCCATGCCACCATACCTGGCACCACGCCTTTGCTAGCCTGGTTCCTCTGGACAGAACTTCCCCTGGGTGACCTGGTGGTGAGCGTGGCCAGATGTAGTCCCTGCCCTCCAGCCATCTCCAGCTTACAGGAGAGAGACCACGAGGCCAGTGATCGCAGACATCAGTGTCTCCCTACAGAGTCTGCCAAGTGTGCTGTGGTGCTCTCAGAGCCTGGCCTGGTGGGGAGGCTGCCCCGAGGAATGGTTCCCCCGAGGGCAGAACTTAGGGAATGGCCTGGCATTGGCCTAGTGATGTGGGGCCAGAGCATCGTGCCAGGCAGAGACCCATGGCCTGAGAGACTAGAGAAACTGTGAGAAGAGGCCTGGCATGGTGGTTCACACCTGTAATCCCAGCACTTTGGGAGGCTGAGGCAGGTGGATCACCTGAGGTCAGGAGTTCGAGACCAGCCTCACCAATATGTTGAAACCCTGTCTCTACTAAAAATACAAAAATTAGCCGGATGTGGTGGCACGTGCCTGTAGTCCGAGCTACTCGGGAGGTTGAGGCAGGAGAATCGCTTGAACCTGGGAGGCGGAGATTGCAGAGAGCCGAGATCACGCCATTGCACTCCAGCCTGGGTGGCAGAGCGAGACTCTGTCTCAAAAAAAAAACAAAAAAAAAGAAACTGAAAAGAGCAGGGAGGCTGAGTGGGCAGTGGGGGAAGCCAGGGAAAGATCACATCCCAGAGGCTGACCTGGGTGACCCCACAGGGCCAGGGACCTGGGATGGAGCCAGGGCTTTGCTCTAAGAGCTGAGGTAGCCATGGAAGCTGCAGCTGTGTGACAGGTTCATGGGTTAAGGACATCACACCTGCTGCTTGGTGGGGATGGGATCGGAGGAGGCAAGAGTGGAGCAGGGGCCGTGTGCGGTGGCTCACACCTGTAATCCCAGCATTTTGGGAGGCCGAGGTAGGCGGATCACTTGAGGTCAGGAGTTCAAGACCAGCCTGGGCAACATGGTGAAACCTCACCTCTACTGAAAAATACATGGTGGCCGGGCGCGGTGGCTCACGCCTATAATCCCGGCACTTTGAGAGGCTGAGGCAGGCGGATCACGACGTCAGGAGATCGAGACCATGGTGAAACCCCGTCTCTACTAAAAATACAAAAAATTAGCCGGGTGCAGTGGCGGGAGCCTGTAGTCCCAGCTACTCGGGAGGCTGAGGCAGGAGAATGGCGTGAACCTGGGAGGCGGAGCTTGCAGTGAGCCAAGATGGTGCCACTGCACTCCAGCCTGGATGACACAGCCAGACTCTGTCTCAAAAAAAAAAAAAAATGGTGACGGGCGCCTGTAATCCCAGCTACTCAGGAGGTTGAGGCAGGAGAATTGCTTGAACTCAGGAGGCGGAGGTTGCAGTGAGCTGAGATGGTGCGGCTCCACTCCAGCCTGGGCAACAGAGCAAGACTCCGTCTCAAAAAAAAAAACAAGAAAAAAACCCAGAGTGGAGCAGGAACGGCAGGGCCCAGGAAGGAGGCTGGACTCCTGGACCCCTGCACCATCCTGTCCAAGGAACTTGTTTTGGGACCGTCACTCTGCTCTTCCTCCTGTGGCTCCCAGGAAAGCCAACCCCATCCAACAGGACCTGGGCAAACAGCTTAGTCTCCCTGACCTGTCCTTCAGGATCTCCGGGGTCTGTGGGCACCTACTGGGGGTGGGTACAGCAGGGAAATCAGGCCCAGGTCTGTGATATTGGGCAAGTCACTTACAGAGCCTCATCTTCATTCATTCATTCATTCATTCATTCATTCTCCATGTGTCTGTTCAGCAAAATGGCCATGGCCCAGCACTCTTGTTTTGCTTTATGCTTTTATGGAGAGCATTAAGAGAGCTGATGGCAGCCGGGCACGGTGGCTCGTGCCTGTAATCTCAGCACTTTGGGAGGCCAAGGCAGGCGGATCACTCAAGGTCAGGATTTGGAAACCAGCCTGGGCAACATAGCAAGACCCCGTCTCTACTAAAAATACAAAAAAAAAAAAAAAATAGCCGGGCATGGCGGTGCATGCCTATGCTCCCAGCTACTGGGGAGACTGAGGTGGGAGGATCACTTGAGCTCAGGGGGTCAAGGCTGCAGTGAGCCACGATGGGACCACCGCACTCCAGCCAGGGTGACAGAGTGAGACGCTGTCTTAAAAAAAAAAGAGAGAGAGAGAGAACTGGTGGATGTGAGGATGAGTCATAGTCTGCAAGGAGCTATGGCTGTGCACAGTCTGACTAATGTCGTGGGAGTGCCCTGGGCATGGGCCTGTGACCCTGTTGGGGTGGGAAGTGGAGGCTCTGGGGGTTACTGACCAGCCCAGATTGCTCCCTGGATTGGGGAGCAGTAGGTTTAACCCTAGTTTGATCCCGCCTGGCATTCCCTCTGCACCTGCTCTCCCTGCAGGGAGTAGATGCTTCTGACCATCTCTGGGTGTGGTGTGCAAGAGAAGGGCATGAGGTGGGCACTGCCACTGCCCTAGAAGTGTCTGCTAAGCCCTGGCCTGTCTGCAGGGTTGGCAGCAGCAAGGGGGCTGGGCTATCTTGACCTTAGCTTCTCAATCTTTAAGTAGATTGCATCCTATGGTTGAAACACTGCTTTCTGGGAGGGCATACCTCACACTGGGCACTGTGCCTAGCATGGTTTTTTTTGAGACAAGGTCTTGCTCTGTCACTCAGGATGGAGTGCGGTGGTGTAGTCATAGCTCACTGCAGCCTCAAACTCTTAGGCTCAAGCGATCCTCCTGCCTCAACTTCTCGAGAATCTGGGACTACAGATGTGCACCACCATGCCTGCCTAATTTTTTTAATTTTTATTATTTATTTATTTTTTTTGCAGAGATGGGGGTCTCGCTACATTCCTCAGGCTGGCCTCAAATTCCTGGCCTCAAGCGATCCTCCTGCATCAGCCTCCCAAAGTGCTGGGATTACAGGCATGAGCCACTGAGCCCAGCCTAATCGAGGATTTAGGCTAGGGAAGAGAAAGGACATTCGAGGTTGGAATTACAGAGCAGCAGGATCCAAGACTGATTGTGTAGACAGAGTGGCAGAGACCTGGTGCCAGAGAGGAGGGGCTGAGAAAGCAGTCCCACCTGAAGGCCAGAGACCAGAGAGAACAACCCAGTCTCACAGACGGGCCTCCATGGCAGAGACACCAGGGCCCTACCCAAGGAGGAGACAGAGGAGGGTGGGATCTGGTCTGGAATCAAGCCCAGCTGGGATTGAGAAGGCCACAGAGTGTAGTAAGAAGAGGTCCACCTGTCTCTTTCACTCCCTGGCTACTCTGAACTTCAGTCTCTTCTTCCATGAATGTGGTAACAGTACCCGCCTCATGGAAATGTCAGATTTGGAATTCTTGTCTTTCATGTGCCAGGCACATGTAGTTGGCCCTAGGAGATGGTGGGACAGGAGCTAGTTTTAATTGGGGAGCTGGATTTACTTAGGCACAATGAGGCATACTTGGGGTGTCAAGAGAAATTAACATTTTATTTCTTTAATTTTTTTTTAGACAGAGTCTTGCTCTGTCGCCCAGAGTGGAGTATAGTGGCGCGATCTCGACTAACTGAAAACTCTACCTCCCAGGTTCAAGCGATTCTCGTGCCTCAGCCTTCCAAGTAGCTAGGATTACAGGCATGCGCCACCCACCTGGCTAATTTTTGTATTTTTTAGTGAGACAGGGTTTCTCCATGTTGCCAGGATGGTCTTGAACTCCTGGCCTCAAGTGATCCACCCACCTCAGCCTCTTGAAGTGCTGGTATTACAGTGAGTCCAGAAGTAAAATGAAATTAACATTTTAGAAAGTCATAGGCCAGGCATGGTGGCTCATGCCTGTAATCCCAGCATTTTGGGAGGCTGAGGGTGGGTGGATCACCTGAGGTCAGGAGTTCGAGACCAACCTGGCCAACATGGGGAAACATGGGGAAACCCCGTCTCTGCTAAAGGTACAAAAATTAGCCGGGCATGGTGGCAGGTGCCTATAATTCCAGCTACTCAGGAGGCTGAGGCAGGAGAATCGCTTGAACCCGGGAGGCGGAGGTTGCAATGAGTTGAGATCCTGCCATTGCACTCCAGCCTGGGCAACAAGAATGAGACTCTGTCTCAAGAAAGCAAGAGAGAGAGAGAGAAAGAGGAAGAAAGAAATATTTAGGTTCAGATAAACATGGTAAATAAACATACACATTTATTTTCAATCTCTCCTGAATTTGCACTAGAACAACACTGAAGAGATGTTTGGGTTTTTTCTTTTTTTGAGATGGCTTCTTGCTGTGTTGTCCAGGCTGGAGTGCAGTGGCATGATCCTAGCTCACTGCACCCTCAAACTCCTGGGTTCAAGCGATCCTCCCAACTCATCCTCCTGAGTAGTTGGGACTACAGGTGTGTGCCACCACACCCAGCTAATTTCTTAATTTTTTTTTGTAGAGAGGGGTCTTGCTATGTTGCCCAGGCTGGTCTTGAACTCCTGGGCTCAAGCAATTCTCCTTTCTCAGTCTCCCAAAGTGTTGGGATTACAGGTGTGAGCCACCACATGCAGCTATGAAGATAAATTTTTTTAAAAGAGCTAGTGGTAGGGGAAGAGGAGAAGCAATCAGTGTCCATCCGGAAACCCTAGATGTTCAGTAACTGGCCGCATGTTGGCCTCTAGAAATGAGGCTGCCACTGGGGCCAGGAACAGAATTGGTTTAAAAGTCTTTGCATCTGGGCACAGTGGCTCACGCCTATAATCCTGGCATTTTGAGAGGCCAAGGTGGGTGAATCACTTGAGGCCAGGAGTTCAAGACCAGCCTGGCCAACATGACAAAACCCCGTCTCTACTAAAAATACAAAAGTTAGCTGGGTGTGGTGGCGCACGCCTGTAATCCAAGCTCCTCAGGTGGCTGAGTCAGGACAGTCACTTGAACCTGGGAGGCAGAGGTTGCAGTGAGCTGAGATCACGCTGCTGCACTCCAGCCTGGGAGACAGAGTAAGATTCTCAAAAAAAAAAAAAAAAAAAAAAAACAAAACACTGGCCATGCACAGTGGCTCACACTTGTAATCCAAGCACTTTGGGAAGCTGAGGTGGGAGGATTGCTTGAGCCCAGCAGTTCCAGACCAGCCTGGGCAACAGAGTGAGACCCTGTCTCTACAAAAAAATAAAAAATAAAATTATTCAAGTGTGGTGTCGCATGCCTCCAGTCCCAACTACTCAGGAGGCTGAGGAGGGAGGACTGTTTGAGCCCAGAAGTTCGAGGCTACAGTGAGCCATGAATGCACCACTGCACTCCAGCCTGGGTGACAGAGGGAGACCCTACCTCTAAAAACAAAACAAAACAAAAAGAAAAACACCTTAGATCCCTTGCCCCGTCCCCGTTCCTGCCTTGCCTGATGACTACTCGTTGCCTGGTGACTGTTCCCCTTGCCTGGTGACTGTTCCTCTAGCTGATGTCTGGTATGGACACTTGGTCTCCTGAGAGGATGACAGAGAATTATTGGATAGAGGGGTCCCAGGCAGGAGGGACTGAAAAAGGTAGATGAAGTGAACATGTGTATTCTTTTTCTTTTTAAGATGGAGTCTCACTCTGTCGCCTAGGCTGGAGTGCAGTGGTGCGACCTCAGCTCACTGCAAGCTCCGCCTCCCGGGTTCACGCCATTCTCCTGCCTCAGCCTCCCGGGTAGCTGGGACTACAGGTGCCCGCCACCACGCCTGGCTAATTTTTTGTATTTTTAGTAGAGATGGGGTTTCACTGTGTTGGCCAGGCTGGTCTCGATCTCCTGACCTCGTGATCTGCCCGCCTCGGCCTCCCAAAGTGCTGGGATTACAGGCGTGAGCCACCGCGTCCGGCCAAACGCGCTGTACTCTAAGTCCCCCTTACCCCCACGCGGCTCCCTGAGCCCTGGCGGCCACGCCTACTCCCTCTACAATGGAGATTACAGGAAACTTCTCTGGAGAAAACAGCTGGTCCTCTGAGAAATAAGAGAAGGTGATACAGGCATTAAATATGAACAAAAACGCCACTGAATATGTGACTATGAATATTCATGAGCATGAATATTCATGTTGTATAAATATTCAGCTCTGGGAAATGAAAAATATCACAGAAATAAGAAACTGCACAGAAGTGTTAGAAGATAAAGATAAGAAAATATTTCAGGAACTAGAACAGAAAGGAAACAGCCCAGGGGCGGGGGCTCACACCTGTAATCCCAGCACTTTGGGAGGCCAAGACGGGCGGATCACTTGAGGTCAGGAGTTCCAGACCAGCCTGGCCAACATGGTGAAACCCCATCTCTACTAAAAATACAAAAACTAGCTGGGCGTGGTGGCAGGTGCCTGTAGTCTCAGCTACTCGGGAGAATGAGGCCGTAGAATTGGGAGGCAGAGGTTACAGTGAGCCGAGATCATGCCACTGCACTCCAGCCTGGGGAACAGAGTGACTCCATTTCAAAAAAAAACAAAAACAGGAGCCAAAAGAGAAGAACATTAGAGAACCTATTTACAGAAAAGAGGAATGGAGAAAAAGGAGGGGAGAAAATCAAATAATTAATTCAAGAAAATTCCCCAGATTGATAAGGGTGTTTCTTGATTGAAAGGGCCCCTAGGAGCCCAGGACAGTGGATGGAAAAAGGCTCACATCAAAGCACCTCATTGTGGCTGGGTGACGTGGCTCATACCTGTAACCCCAGTGCGTTGGGAGGCTGAGATGGGAGGATCCCTTGAGCCTAGGAATTTGGGATCAGCCTGGGCAACATACTGAGACCCTGTCTCTTAAAAAAAGAATGAGAGGGCCGGGTGCGGTGGCTCACGCCTGTAATCCCAGCACTTTGGGAGGCCGAGGCAGGTGAATCACAAGGTCAGGAGATCGAGACCATCCTGGCTAACACGGTGAAACCCCGTCTCTACTAAAAATACAAAAAAATTAGCCAGGCATGGTGGCGGGCGCCTGTAGTCCCAGCTACTTGGGAGGCTGAGGCAGGAGAATGGCATGAACCCAGGAGGCGGAGGTTGCAGTGAGCCGAGATTGCACCACTGCACTCCAGCCTGGGCAACAGAGCGAGACTCTGTCTCAAAAAAAAAAAAAAAAAAGAATGAGGGTAGCAAGAGAATTCAAAACAGATGTTCACACAAAAACTTGTACAAGTAGGTCAGGCGTGATGGCTCATGCCTGTAATCCCAGTACTTTGGGAGGCCAAGGCGGGCAGATCACTTAAGCTCAGGAGTTTGAGACCAGCCTGGGCAACATGGTGAAACCTCGCCTATACAAGAAAAAATTTAAAAAAATCTTGTACAAGAATATTCATAGCAACATTATTCATAATAGCCAAAAAGTGGAAGCAACCCAATTGTCCATCAACAGATAAATGGACAAGCACAATGCATTCTGCCCATGCCATGGGATACTATTTGGCCACAAAACGAATGAAGTACTGGTCGGGCATGGTAGCTTACGCCTGTAATCCCAGCACTTTGGGAGGCCAAGGCGGGCAGATCACAAGGTCAAGAGACCGAGACCATCTTGGCCAACATGGAAAAACCCCGTCTCTACTAAAAATACAAAAATTAGCTGGGCGTGGTGGCACGTGCCTGTAATCCCAGCTACTAGGGAGGCTGAGGCAGGAGAATCACTTGAACCCAGGAGGCAGAGGTTGCGGTCAGCTGAGATCGTGCCACTGCACTCCAGCCTGGCAACAAAGCGAGACTCTGTCTCAAAAAAAAAAAAAAAAAAGTATGTATGTGTGTGTGTGTGTGTATATATATATATATATATATATATATATATATATATATATGTAAATAAAAATTAAAAATCAGTGGGGTAGTGATACCTGCTGCAATATGATTGGACCTTGAAAACATGATGCTAAGTGAAAGAAGCCAGACACAAATGGCCACATATTGTGTGATTCCATTTCCTTTTGAGATAAAGTCTCACTCTTGTCACCCAGGCTGGAGTGCAATGGCACAATCTCGGCTCACTGCAACCTCTGCCTCACAGGTTCTCCTGTCTTAGCCTCCGGAGTACCTGGCATTACAGGCGTGCACCACCACGCCCCGCTAATTTTTCGTATTTTTAGTAAAAATAGGGTTGCACCATGTTGGCCAGGCTGGTCTTTAGCTCCTGACCTCAAGTGATCCACCTGCGTCGGCCTCCCAAAGTGCTGTGATTACAGGCATGAGCCACTGCACCCAGCCGTGTGATTCCATTTCTATGAAGTGTCCAGAAGAGACAAATCTGTAGCGATAGGATAGAAATAGACTAAGGGTTGTCAGGGGCTGTCAGGAAGATGGAACAGGCAGTGATTTCTCCTGGGTATGGGGCTTCTCTTTGGGATGATGGTTATTATTTTTTGAAATGGAGTCTCACTCTGTCACCCAGGCTAGAGTGCAGTGGCGCAATCTCAGCTCACTGCAACCTCCGCCTCCTGGGTTCAAGCGATTCTCATCTCAGCCTCCTGAGTAGCTGGGATTATAGGCGCCCACCACCACGCCCAGCTAATTTTTATATTTTTAGTAGAGATGGGGTTTCACCATGTTGCCCAGGCTGGTCTCAAACTTCTGAGCTCAGCTGATCCACCCACCTTGGCCTCCCAAAGTGCTGGGATTACAGGTTTGAGCCACTGTTCCTGGCCTGTATGTTTATTTTTTATTGTTGTATTTTATTTTTTATAGAGATGAGGGTCTCACTATATTGCTCAGGCTGGTCTCAAAGTCCTGGCCTCAAGTGATCCTCCTGCCTCAGCTTCCCAAAACACTAGGATTACAGGCATGAGCCACCATCTTTGGGCCCTATATGTTTTAAAATGGTTAAAATGGTAAATTTTACATTATGTGAATTTTTACCTCCATTAAAAAAAAGAGTGAGCCAGGCACAGTGGCTCACGCCTGTAATTCCAGCACTCTGGGAGGCTGAGGAAGGAAGATTGTTTGAGGCCAAGGGTTCAAGACCAGGCTGGGCAACATAGTGAGCTCTCATCTCTACTAGAAAATGTTCAAAAATTAGCTAGGTATCGTGGTGTGTTCTGTAATCTCAGCTACTTGGGAGGCCAAGGCAGGAGGATCACTTGAACTCAGGAGTTCAGGCTGCAGTGAGCCATGATCGCACCACTGCACTCCAGTATGGGTGACAAAGTGAGAGCCTGTTGAAAGAAAGAAAGAGAGAGAGAGAAAGAAGGAAGGAAGAAAGGAAGGAAAGGGAAGGGAAGGAAGGGAAGGAAAGGAAGGAAGGGAAAGAAAGGAAGGAAGGGAAGGAAAGGAAGGAAGGGAAGGAAGAGAAGAAGGAGAGAAAGAAAGAAGGAAGGAAAGGGAAGAGAAGGGAAGGAAGGGAAGGAAGAGAAGAAAGAAAGAGAAAGAAAGAAAGAAAGAAAAAGAAGGAAGGGAAGGGAAGGAAGGGAAGAAAGAGAGAGAGAAAGAAAGAGAGAGAGAGAGAGAGAAAGAAAGAGAATAAAATATTTTGGCCAGGCACGGTGGCTCACGCCTATAATCTGAGGCAAGCACTTTGGGAGGCTGAGGCAAATGGATTGCTTGAGCCCGGAAGTTTGAGACCAGCCTGGGCAATGTGACGAAACCCCATCTCTACAAAAAATAGCCAGGCGTGGTGCCCTGTGCCTGTAGTCCCAGCTACTTGGGAGGCTGAAGTGGGAGGATCGCTTGTCCAGGAGGCCAAGGTTGTGGTGAGCCGAGATCACGCCACTGCATTCCAGTGTCAAAAAAAAAAAAAAAAAAAAAAGAATAAAACATTTTCAGATATAGAAAGCTCGAAAATTTACCTCCTCGTGCATCTTTTCTTAGAAAGCTGTGGGAAGATGTGCTCTACTAAAATAAGTAGTAAACCAGCCAGACGTGGTGGCTCACACCTGTAATCCCATCACTTTGGGAGGCTAAGGAGGGCAGATCACCTGAGGTCAGAAGTGCGAGACCAGCCTGGCCAACATGGCGAAACCCCGTCTCTACTAAAAATACAAAAATTAGCCGGGCATGGTGACAAACGCCTATAATCCCAGCTACTCCGGAGGCTGATGCTGGAGAACCGCTTGAACCTGGGAGGCGGAGGTTTCAGTGAGCGGAGATCGCGTCATTGCACTCCAGCCTGGGCGACAGAGTGAGACTCCGTCTCAAAATAAATAAATAAAATAAAATAAAATACAATAACATAACCTAAAATAAGTAGTAAACCAAGAAAGAAGAGTCAGGGGATCCAGAAAACAGGAGCAAGCCCAGGACAGAGGTGAAATGGTTGACAGGAGACTCCAGGCCAATGGCCGCACTCCAGAGAGGCCAGCAGCCAGCCCAGCTGGGAGTGGGTCCCGGGAGAGACATCTTCAGAAAGAACTTGATAAAATTCCCAATGCCTCTGAGCATCTTGGCAGGAGATTTAGACTATTGAAAGAGTTGGGGTTGAATTAGTATTGAGACTATTAAAACTAGGCAGACAGGCCAGGTGCAGTGGCTCACACCTGTATCCCAGCACTTTGGGAGGCCAAGGCAGGTGAATCACTTGAGGTCAGGAGTTCGAGACCAGCCTGGCCAACATGGTGAAACCCCATCTTTACTAAAAATACAAAAAAATTAGCCGGGCATGGTGGTGCATGCCTGTAGTCTCAGCTAATCAGGAGGCTGAGGCAGGAGAATCACTTGAACTCGGGAGGTGGAGGTTGCAGTGAGCTGAGGTCGTGCCACTGCACTCCAGCCTGGGCGACAGAGTGAGACTCTGTCTTAAAACAAAAACAAAAACAAAAAAAACACTAGGCAGACAATCATCAAAGATAGTTATTTATAGGAAAAAAAAATTTCTGGAAAGGAAAAGTAACTACAATACATCATCCTCATCTATGAGTACTATCTACTTAGTCATAGTACTGCAATCCTGGAGTCAGATCAAAATTTAGATATGGAATACAAAAATTAGCTGGGCGTGGTGGCGCGCACCTGTAGTCCCAGCTACTCAGGAGGCTGAGGTAGGAGAATCAACACTGTCTCAAAAAAAAAAAAAAATTTTTAGATATGGACCAGGTGTGGTGATTCACACCTATAAATCCCAGCCCTTTGGGAGGCTGAGACAGGAGGATTGCTTGAAGCCCGGAGTTCCAGACCAGCTCAGGCAACATATCAAGACCCTGTGTCTACAAAAAATTTTTAAAAACTTAGCTGGGTGTGGTGGCACATACCTATTGCCCCATCTACTCAGGAGGCTGAGGCAGGAGGATTGCTTGAGACCAGGAATTTGAGACCAGCCTGGGCAACATAGCAAGATCCTGTGTCTACAAAAAATTTTTTAAAAACTTAGCTGGGTATGGTGGCACACACCTATAGTCCCAGCTACTCAGGAGGCTGAGGTGGGAGGATTGCTTAAGCCCAAGAGTTTGAGGCTACAGTGAGCTATGATTATACCATTGCACTCCAGCCTAGGCAACAGAGCAGGACCCTATCTCAAAAAAAAAAGAAAAAGAAAAACTGCTTTTAGGGTTACCATTTATTGAAGCTCTAGTATATACTAGACACCGTATATACAGTACTTAATTCTCACGAAAACCCTTTTTTTTTTTTTTTGACTCAGAGTCTCGCCCTGTTGCCCAGGCTGGAGTGCACTGGCGCAATCTCGGCTCACTGCAAGCTCCACCTCCTGGGTTCATGCCATTCTTCTGCCTCAGCCTCCCGAGTAACTGGGATTATAGGTGCCCACCACCAGGCCCGGCTAATTTTTGTATTTATAGTAGAGACGGAGTTTCACCATGTTGGGCAGGCTGGTCTTGAACTCCTGACCTCAGGTGATCTGCCCACCTTGGCCTCCCAAAGTGCTGGGATTACAGGCATGAGCCACCATGCCCAGCCCCGAAAACCCTTTTACAGATGAAGATGCTGAGGCTCAGAGAGGTTAGATAACTTGCCTAGGCACACACAGCTTCTAAGTGACAGAGTTTGAATGCAGGTCTGTGTGTCTGTCTTCAAAGCCTGTGCCCTTGCCTGTGTCAGCCCTGGGAGGCACTGGTTAACCTGTCTCCATCTCAATCATCCTTAGGTGTCTCTCCCTCCCCACTCCTGGCTCCCGTGTCCTCTGCATGCTGGAAGGGATGGATGGGATAAGCCTGGGCTGGGTGCCCCTGCCATCTCTGCCTGTGCCACTGCATCCTCTAGACCTGAGTCTCCCTGTGTGCCGACAGGTTGGCGGGACGAAGACTGGCGTGGTGCGGTACGTGGGGGAGACAGACTTTGCCAAGGGCGAGTGGTGTGGCGTGGAGCTGGACGAGCCCCTTGGGAAGAATGATGGGGCGGTGGCGGGCACCAGGTATGGTGGGCTTCTTCTGGGGAGTATGGGAGGGGGCTCCTCTCCCCAGGGTGGGCGCAGGGGATGGAGATGGGACATTGGAGGAAGCGAGTGTCCAGCATGTAGTGTCAGACACCATAAGTCCTTTCCCATTCCCTCCTTCCCAACAGCCCACTAAGCTGGGTAGTGGGATTATCATCCCATTTTACAGATGAGAGTATGGAGGCCAGGAGGTCATTGTTCAAGGTCGCACAGTCACAGGCAAGCGCCAAGAGAATCTGTCCCCGTGTTCTCTTCTTTGTGTCACTCATGTCTAAGTGGGGTGGGAGCCCTCAAAAAGGAGAGGGAGGCTGCGTGCAGTGGCTCATGCCTGTAATCCCAGCCTTTTGGGAGGCTGAGGCAGGTGGATCACTTGAGATCAGGTGTTCGAGACCAGCCTGGCCAACATGGTGAAACCCCGTCTCTACTAAAAATACAAAAAATTAACTGGGCATGGTGACACACGCCTGTAATCCCAGCTACTTAGGTAGCTGAGGCACGAGAATCACTTGAACTGGGGAGGCGTCGGTTGCAGTGAGCCAAGATCGCACCACTGCACTCCAGCCTGGGTGACAGAGTGAGACTCTGTCTCAAAAAAATTAGCCAGGCATGGTGGCATGCACCTGTAGTCCCAGCTACTTGGGAGGCTGAGACATGAGAATTGCTGGAACCCGGGAGGCGAAGGTTGCAGTGAGCTGAGATCACGCCATTGCATTCCAGCCTGGGCAATAGAGCAAGACTGTCTCAAAAAAAATAATAAAAAATAAATAAATAAATAAATAAAAGGTGAGGCAGCAGTCCCTGTCATCTGGCATTGGGGTCCCCTGAATGACACATGAAATAATCAGACAATGCCCAGCGCTATATGGCCAGAGGCAGGCCTCACAGATGGGTTCCAGGTCTCACAGCATCTCTGATGAAAAGGAATTGACTGCTGGCGTTGCTGGGTTAGGAGGGTCTAAGGCTGTGTCTGGGCTTATGGTAGGTGGGGGAGTGATGTGGTAAGTGGACCATGTCTGTCACGGATGTGGACTAAGGTGAGGCCACCTGAGTCCCTGTGCAGTCCCTGTACTGGAGTCTGTGGTTGAGACGAGGCTGTGACTGCTTTGAGCAGGAGTGGTCACCATGGCACAGGGGAAGAGCTAGGCTTGGACCAGGCCTCGAAAGAAGGTAGGGTTTCCTTTTGGAAGAGGCTTGAGAGAGGCTGTGCTAGGCAGGGGCTGAGAGCACAGTATGAACAAAGACCTGGAGGTGGGAAAAGGCAGAATGGGGCAGCGGTTTCAAGTGAATCAGAAGCTGGATGGGGGCCAGGCATGGTGACTCATGTTTGTAATCCCAGCACTTTGGGAGGCTGAGGCTGGAGGATCACTTGAAGCCAGCAGTTAAAGACTAGTCTGGACAATATAGCAAAACCTCATCTCTACAAAAGATACAAAAATTAGCTGGGCGTAGTAGCACACACCTGTGGTTTCAGCTACCTGGGAGGCTGAGGTGGGAGGATTGCATGAGCCCAGGAGGTTGAGGCTGCAGTGAGCTATGATCGCACCGCTGCACTCCAGCCTGGGTAACAGAGCCAGACCCTGTCTCGAAAGAAAGAAAAAAACTGGATGGGCCCAGTTCTCGTGGTCCAGTGTGGAATCCGTGACCAGAGAGGTCTTGACAGAAGACGAGAATCCAGGGTTTCCATAACAATGCTTTGCCTTCCTGTTTGCAAGATGAATGTTTCTTTTGACTCACTTTTGCTTTCAGAATTCAGGGGTGGGTTGGACAGCAGTCCCCATCCCACCCCAAGGTTTCTCTTTCAAGCTTTTGCTTCTCTATGCAGGGATTCTGTGGGCAGAGAGCTGATGGGAATCCTTCATTCTGGGGATGGTCTGAGGGTAGCCTGAAAGTGGGGCTGCAGCTGTGGCTGGGGTCTCTGAACAGTCTGTGGGAGCCAAGCTTAGCGGGTGTTGGAGCCCAGCACACTGGAGGACCAGTCTCAGCTTTGCTGCGTAACCAGCTGTGTGACTGTGGGCAAGTTATTTAACCTCTCTGAGCCTAAATTTTCTCATTTGTGAATGTAGATAACTTTGGGGGATGGAAATGAGCATTCATTTAAAGAGACTGGCACAAAGTGGGTCCCAGTAATTATTTCCTACTTCCAAGAGTATTCTCATTGGCTGTTCACAGCTGCAGAGACTCTCAGACCCTACTCACCTATATCCTTTTTTTGAGAGTCCTATCTCTCCACCTGGAAGATTTCCACCTTGGAGTGTCTTTCCACATGGGCCCCAAGGAGGTGTCTTTCTCTCTTTCTGCCAGGCTCTGAAGAGGCAGAGGAGGCAGGGGAGGCTCTCCAGGCTTTGGGGCCGTGACAGCAGCTTGGGTCTCTCCTGCTTCCACAGGTACTTCCAGTGCCCACCCAAGTTTGGTCTCTTCGCGCCCATCCACAAAGTGATCCGTATCGGCTTCCCATCTACCAGCCCAGCCAAGGCCAAGAAGACCAAGCGTATGGCCATGGGTGTGTCAGCACTGACCCACAGTCCCAGCAGTTCCTCCATCAGCTCCGTCAGCTCTGTGGCCTCCTCCGTGGGGGGTCGGCCCAGCCGCAGTGGCCTGGTGAGGGTGGGGCTGCAGAAGGGGATTCTCTGGTGTGCGTTTGGGAGGGGTGAGGATGTAAGAGATCCAGGTGTTCTGGTCTGCCCCTGACTTACTCTAGTTCCAGTTTGGGATTTTTGAACAAAGAAGAAAGTGCATATCTTTTAATAGGGAAAATTGAGCCATTTACCTTTATTGCTGTTTTTATATAACTGATTTATTGGAACCCTAAGCCTTTCTCTGGAAGTTAAGGAGGGTTATACAGATGCAGGGCAGGGAGTTCAGAAAGGTTGGCATCAAACCCTGGATGAAGGGAAAAGAGGAGGCTGCTTGGTGGCTATGGGCAGAGGGCATTCTGTCCAAACCCAATCTAGGATTGGAGGTTCCTCCTTTCCCAGGAAAAAGTGGCCAAAGTGAGGGAGTCAGAGGCTCTGGCTATCAGGAGCTGACTCTCCTGAGATGGGGAGTTTCCTGAATCTCAAACATCAAGATTCCCCGCTGGGTGAGTCAGCAGGGGCCAGGATGTCAGAGTACTGGCAGGGGAAGAGCAGGACCCTGGGAGTCAAGGCACTTGGGCTCCCACCTGCTATGTTGCTGTAGATTAGGCTGGACAGAGCCAGTCTGCCCTGCAGTGCTTCAGATCCCTGAGACCCGCCTGCATCCACACCTTCCTGCAGCTCACGGAGACCTCTTCACGCTACGCCCGCAAGATCTCGGGCACCACGGCCTTGCAGGAGGCACTGAAGGAGAAGCAGCAGCACATTGAGCAGCTGCTGGCTGAACGAGACCTGGAACGGGCTGAGGTGGCCAAGGCCACAAGCCACATCTGCGAGGTGGAGAAGGAGATTGCCCTGCTCAAGGCACAGCATGAGCAGGTGAGTGGCAGGTGGGGCTGGGGGCAGAGCTTCTCCAGCCAGCCTCATAGAGTCTCACCCACTCAGAGCGGAGACCCTGGAGGGGGTGGGTGCAGAGAAATATGAAGATAACACAAGCAGTACCTGTCCCCCGCTTTCCAGAGATAAGCCTCAGTGACCTGGTGAATTTCCTTCCAGTCTTTTCTGCCTATGTATAAGGATACATACACCTACTTTCAGAATCTGGTTACAAGCTTGTATATCCTGCTTTTTAATTATTTATTTATTTATTATTTTTCTTTCTTTCTTTTTTTTTTTTTGACGGAATCTCATTCTGTCACCCAGGCTGGGGTGTAGTGGTGCAATCTCGGCTCACTGCAACCTCCACCTCCTCGGTTCAAGCGATTCTCCTGCCTCAGCCTCTTGAGTAACTGGGATTACAGGCATGTGCCACCATGCCCAGCTAATTTTTGTACTTTTAGTAGAGACGGGGTTTCACCATGTTGGTCAGGCTGGTCTCGAACTCCTGACCTCGTGATCCACCCGCCTTGGCCTCCCAAAGTGCTGGGATTACAGGTGTGAGCCACTGCAAGGGTTTTTTTTTTTTTTTTATGAGACAGAGTCTCACTCTGTTCCCCAGGCTGGAGGGCAGTGGTGCAATCTCAGCTCACTGCAACCTCCACCTCCCAGGTTCAAGCGATTCTCCTGCCTCAGCCTCTCAAGTAGTTGGGATTACAGCACCTGCTACCAAACCAGGCTAATTTTTGTATTTTAAGTAGAGATGGGGTTTCACCCTGTTGGTCAGGCTGGCCTGGAATTCCTGACCTCAAGTGATCTGCCTGCCTTGGCCTCCCAAAGTGCTGGGATTACAGGTGTGAGCCACCATGCCCAGCCCTGCTTTTTTATTTTTTTAAAATATTTTTAATATAGGGATGGGGTCATGCTGTGTTGGTCAGCCTGGTCTCGAACTCCTGGCCTCAGGCAATCCTTGGCCTTCCAAAGTGCTAGGATTACAGGTGTGAGCCACTGCACTTGGCCTAATCTGCTTTTCTTCCCCGGCTACTTATTATACTGCAAGCATTTTCTAGGTCCTGGCAAATTCCTCATCATTCTTTTTTTTTTTTATTTTATTTTTTTCTTTTAGAGATAGGGCCTTGCTTTGTTGCCCAGGTTGGAGTGCAGTGACGCCATCATAGCTCCACTCCTGGGTTCAAGTGATCCTCCCACCTCAGCCTCCTGAGTGGCTGGGACTATAGGTGCACGCTACCACATCCAGCTAAATTTTGTATTTTTTTGTGGAGACGGAGTCTTGCTATGTTGCCCAGGCTGGTCTGAAACTCCTGGCCTCAAGTGACCCTCCCACCTTGGTCTCTCAAAGCACCGCGATTATAGGCATAAGCCATCGTGCCCCACCTCTTCCCCATCTTGATGTCTGCATTGCTGTCTATCACAGGCTTTGTCCTTACTGACATCTGACGTGACTAGTCCCCTGTTGTTTAGATTATTTCCCATTTTTCACTTTTTTTGAGACAGAGTCTCGCTCTGTCACCCAGGCTGGAGTGCAGTAACACGATCTTGGCTCACTGCACCCTCTGCCTCTGGATTCAAGCAATTCTCCTGCCTCAGCGTCCTTAGTAGCTGGGACTACAGGTGTGTGCCACCACGCCCAGCTAATCTAATTTTTGTATTTTTAGTAGAGAAGGGGTTTCACCATGTTGGACAGGCTGGTCTTGAACTCCTGGCCTCAAGTGATCAGCCCGCCTCGGCCTCCCAGTGTACTGGGATTACATGTGTGAGCCACCGTGCCCGGCCAATTTTTCACTCTTTCTACATATCACTGCAGTAAACTTTTTTTTTTTTTTTTTAATGTATGACTGTCTACATTTCAGGTTTCTTTTTTTTTTTTTTCTTTTTTGAGGCAGAGTCTCGCTCTGTCGCCCAGGCTGGAGTGCAGTAGTGTGATCTTGGCTCACTGCAAGCTCCGCCCCCCAGGTTCACGCCATTCTCCTGCCTCAGCCTCCCAAGTAGCTGGGACTACAGGAGCCCACCACCACGCCCAGCTAATGTTTTTTGTATTTTTAGTAGAGATGGGGTTTCACCATGTTAGCCAGGATGGTCTCAATCTCCTGACCTTGTGATCCGCCCGCCTTGGCCTCCCAAAGTGCTGAGATTACAGGCAGGAGCCACTGCACCCGGCCCATTTCAGATTATTTTTTTGAGCAGATTCTAGGGTTGAATTTCAGGAAAGTGACTCCTTGCCCCAAGCCTTGGGGCTGCTGCTATCTCGTGTCTGGTTTTTTCTCTGATGTTTGTCTCCCGTGGGAGAGTTCCCTTCTGGGCCTCTGTCCCCATCTGGGGTCTGGCTTGCCCCTCCTTGGATGCCAGGATCAATAGGCCAAGTTCATGGCTGTGCTTTGATGGAGCACAGACAAGACAGCAGGTTTGCAAGATAACAGGTCTTAGGCTCTTGTGGGTTGAGGCGGGAGGCAGGTACTGAGGGCAGGTGGGCCTAAGGGTCCTGCCTCTGCCTCTCTTGTTCCTACTGGGTCCCCTCCTTCACACCTAGGCCCACTGTGCATGCCCGGCAGGTGCCAGCAGGGAAGTTGGGGTGACTGGGGTTCCAGGCCCTGCTCCTTGCCTGTCTCCCACCACACCACCAACCTGGACCCCATACCCCGGAGCATGCTGACCCTGTCCTGGCCTTCCTTGGGGGCCCAGTATGTTGCAGAAGCCGAGGAGAAGCTGCAGCGAGCCCGGCTGCTCGTGGAGAGCGTGCGGAAAGAGAAGGTGGACCTGTCCAACCAGCTGGAGGAGGAGAGGAGGTACGTGCTGGCCCACCCTCGCCCTGGCCCTGAGTCCCCTTAAGGAGGATGAGGAAGAGGGCAGGCTTGGGAATAGCGGACCCAGGTTCCAGTCCTGCCCCTGTCACTGCCTCTGGCTGTGTCACCCTGGACTGGTGACATTAACTCTTGGGCCTCAGTCTTCCTATCTGTAAAGTGAGGTGTTGGTCCTGTCTTCTGCAGGCAGTTGGGAGAACTCTTCATATAACTGGAGTAAAGCACCCAGCACGGTGCCGGGCACAGAGGGACACCACATTTTTAAAAATTTTTTTGAAACAGGGTCTCACTCTGTCACCCAGGCTGGAGTACAGAGCCACAATCACAGCTCACTGCAGCCTTGACCTCCAGGGTTCAAGTGCTCCTCCCACCTCAGGCTCCTGGGTAGCTGGGACCACAGGCGTCCCCCACCACGCCTGGTTAATTTTTGTATTTTTTGTAGAGATGGGGTTTTGGCACATTGGCCAGGCTAGTCTCGAACTCCTGACCTCAGGCTATTCACCCGCCTCGGCCTCCCAAAGTGCAGGCATGAACCGTTGTGCCTGGCCTTGGAACACCGCATTTGTTCATTGCATAGAGTTCACTGTTCCTGCACTCTCCAGCAGAATATTGAGAAGAGGAATAGGCTGGGGGTGGTGGAAGGGAGGCTGGTTATCACACCAGGTGTCCCTGGGGAGCCGTGCACCAGGAAGAAGGCTGAATGCCCCACCCCTCCACCATGAGCCAGTTCACACTCACAGTGCGCCCCTCCCCAACCCTGGACTGAGACCTGTGAGTGGAGCTCACAGCTCCTGTCCTGGGAATCCATTTCCCCTTTTTTCCCTCCCTCCCTCCCTCCATTCATTCCTTCCTTCCTTCTTCCCTCCCTCCCTCCCTCCCTTCTTTCCTTCCTTCCTTCCTTCCTTCCTTCCTTCCCTCCCTCCCTCCCTTTTTCTTTCTTTTTTTCAGAGTCTTGCTCTTGTTGCCCAGGCTGGAGTACAATGGTGCGATCTCGGCTCACTGCAATCTCCACCTCCCAGGTTCAAGCAATTCTCCTCCCTCAGCCTCCCGAGTAGCTGGGATTACAGGCATGGCCACCAAGCCCTGCTAATTTTTGTATTTTTAGTAGAGATGGGGTTTTACCATGTTGGCCAGGCTGATCTCAAACTCCTGATCTCAGGTGATCCACCTGCCTCAGCCTCCCAAAGTGCTGGGATTACAGGCGTGAGCCACCGCGCCCAGCCTCCTTTATTTTTCTTTTTTGAGACAGGGTCTCACTGTGTCACCCAGGCTGGAGTGCAGTGGTTTGGCCATGGCTCACTGCAGCCTCAACCTTCTGGGCTCATGCGATCCTCCCACCTCAGCCTTCCAGGTAACTGGGACTACAGGCACACGCCATCATGCCCAGCTAATTTTTTGTATCCATTCTCATTTTACACATCAGGAAACTGAAGTTAAGAGAAACAGCAGCCAAGGGACTCCTGAAATGCCCTGTGTCCAGGTGTCAGCCCTGTGCTGTGTGCTTCGCTGGTGTCATCGCTTTCAAGGCCAGATGCAGTGGTTCATGCCTGTAATCTCAGCACTTTGGGAGGCCGAGGCAGGCGGATCACCTGAGGTCAGGAGTTTGAGACCAGCCTGGCCAACGTGGTGAAACCCTGTCTCTACTAAAAATACAAAAATTAGCTGGGCATGGTGGCAGGTGCCTGTAATCCCAGCTACTCGGGAGGCTGAGGCAGGAGAATCGCTTGAACCCAGGAGGTGGAGGTTGCAGTGAACCGAGATCACACCACTACAGTACAGCTGGGTAACAGAGCGAGGCTCCGCCTCAAAAAAAAAAAAAAAAAGTCACAAGTGGGACCCATCTCCCCTGCAGCCCTCCAACCAAAGACACCAGGCGGTGGGGACTCTGGCCGACTTGGTCCTGGGTCACCTCCTTGTAGGACACAAAGCTGACAGTGGACAGAGGTTTGCCTTGGCCTGGGATCCTCTCTACCTCCTAGATGATGCCCAGATACCTACATCTCCCTCCCCTGTCCCCAGGCAGCAGCCAGCCCCCATCCCCAACACCCCCACTTGGGTCTGTTCTGTGGGCTTTCAGCTGGCACCTGCGCTCCATAAGCTGTTGTTACTGTCGGATTCAGGGAGATGAGGGTGTATTTATATTTGCCTGAGACAGCCATAGTGGCCTACACATCTGGTTCCCATGGCGATGTGCCTGACGCCAACAAACACAGATCTTTTTTTCTTTTTCTTTTCTTTTTTTTTTTTTTTTTTGTTTCTTTAGACAGAGTCTCGCTCTGTCACCCAGGCTGGAGTACAGTGGTGTGATCTCGGCTCACTGCAACCTCCACCTCCAGGTTCAAGCAATTCTCCTGCCTCAGCCTCCCAAGTAGCTGGGACTACAGGTGCGCATCACCATGCCTGGCTAATTTTTATATTTTTAGTAGAGACAGGGTTACACCATGTTGGCCAGGTTGGTCTTGAACTCCTGGACTCAAGTGATCCACCCGCCTCGGCCTCCCAAAGTGCTGGGATTATAGGCAGGAGCCACTGTGCTCAGCCACAAACACAAGGCATCATGGAGTTTTGTTCAGAAGGGGCCTGGGTGCAAGTCTCTGCATTGTCCTGTGCTTGCTGTGTGGCCTTCGGCAGGTCGCCTGCCCTCTCTGGGCCTCATTCCTCATTGCTATGCCGAGAGCTGTTAGGAGGCCCTAGGAAGAGCAGCTTTGAGCTTTTTTTTTTTTCCCCCAAGATGGAGTTTCGCTCTTGTTGCCCAGGCTGGAGTGCAATGGCACGATCTCAGCTCACCGCAACCTCTGCCTTTTGGGTTCAAGCCATTCTCCTGCCTCAGCCTCCTGAGTAGCTGAGATTACAGGGATGCGCCACCACGCCCCGCTAATTTTGTATTTTTAGTAGAGACAGTTTCTCCATGTTGGTCAGGCTGGTCTCAAACTCCCGACCTCAGGTGATCCGCCCACCTTGGCCTCCCAAAGTGTTGGGATTACGGGCGTGAGCCACTGCAACTGGCCCAGCCTTGAGTTCCTATGTGTGGCTGTAAGGTGGGGTGGGCCTGTGTCTCTCCCCTGCGCTGTCTTGACAGGTGTGTGACAGAGTGTGTCTCCCTGAGGGTAGCCCTGATGCCTGGGCATTCCACATCCAGGGGCAGCCCTGGGAGTGGGGATTGGGTCTCTGACCCCCAGTTTTGAGGCCTGTGATGAGAACAAGATCAACAGCAAAGGAAGCCCACTTTCCTTCTCTCCTTTCCTTCCTCCCCACAGGTTGTTCCTTGTGGTAGTGTCTGTTCCCCGCAGTGATGAAAACAGTGTTGTCAGCTGGGCGCGGAGGCTCACGCCTGTAATCCCAGCACTTTGGGAGGCTGAGGTGGGCAGATCACTTGAGGCCAGGAGTTCGAGACCAGCCTGGCCAACATGTTAAAACCCTGTCTCTACTAAAACTACAAAAATTTTTTATTGAGGTTGCATGCCCAGTGATGTATGCCTGTAATCCCAGCTACTCAGGAAGCTGAGGCAGGAGAATTGCTTGAACCGTGGAGGCAGAGGCCTCAGTGAGCCGAGATCACACCAATGCACTCCAGCCTGGGCAACAGAGCGAGACTCTGTCTCAAAAAAAAAAAAAAAAGGGAGGGAGGAAGGAAGGAAGGAAGGAAAGAAAGAAGGAAAGAAAACAGTGTTGTCACTCACATCCCCGGGCCACCCTGCCCTTTATTTTATTTCCCACCACCCTGGGGAGGAAGGGTGTTGCCTTAAACACTGCCATTCTGGAGTTATTGGTGGTTCTTCCTAGAGTGCAGGTCAGCAGGTTGGGAGGTCTAGAGCTTTCCAGGACTGTGGGACATTTTGATGGCCTCGCCTCTGGATTCTGGGCCATTCTCATGGCCTTGCCTCTCTCTGCTGTTGCTCATTCGGTGAATCCCGTTGCTCTGGGCAAAGCCAGGTCAGCCACCTCTTTCCCTCCCCTGCAGGAAGGTGGAGGATCTGCAGTTCCGCGTGGAGGAGGAGTCCATCACCAAGGGAGACCTGGAGGTAACAGTCAGAGGCCCCTTCCCTGGGCACACTTAGCACCGGTGCCTGGCCCTTGCTAGGGCAGATGGTTGTGAGGTCCAGCAGCACCTCTAGGCCCCCCCGGGGAAGGGGCTGGGGGGGAAAATGGGGAAGGATCAAAGGTCTGATGTCTGAGGTGTTAGTGGCTCAGCCCCAGGAGCCCCCCAGGGAAGCTGTGCTCCCCGTGTCAGCAGCTGGATGGGGTGGGCAGGACGAACCCAGGGCAGGGCAGATGGGGGGCTGGGCCCCAGGATAGAGTGGCTGAGGTCCCCTGTCCCTTCTTCTTAGGCAATAGCCCTAAAGGTGCCCCTTCGTTCATCTTGGATTCCAGGTAAAATTTTGGCTGAAAGTAGCTTGCTGAGTCACAGAATTTATAGGTAGGAAAACTGAGGCTCAGAGACCAAGGGAGCTGGGTATGGTGGCTCACACCTATAATCCCAGCACTTCAGGAAGCCAAGGCAGAGGATCACTTGAGCCCAGAAGTTCAAGACCAGCCTGGGCAACGTAGCAAGATCCCATCTCTACAAAAAATTTAAAAAGTTAGCCAAGCATGGTCATGTGCACCTGTGGTCCCAGCTACTCAGGGAGGCTGAGGCTAGAGGATCGCTTGAATCTGGGAGATGGAGGCTGCAGTGAGCTATGATTGCGCCTGTTTTTTGTTGTGTGTGTGTGTGTGTGTGTGTGTGTGTGTGTGTGTGTGTGTGTGTGTGTGTGTGTGACTGTCTCAAAAAAAAGAATGGATGTTGGGGCACAACCCAGCGTCAGAGCCTCAGCCCAGCTCAGCATGTTCTAATTAAGTTTCCCTCTTGGCCAAGGGGCAGGCCATGTGGTTGCTCCTGGCTGACTTTTCCATTGGCAGTTGCTCTCCTGCAGGGGTTGGATGGACTTCTGGGAAAAGCACCTGTATTTGCCAGGAACAGAGACCCCCCTGTGCCAGCTGCAGTCACCATGGGGGCTTACTGAAGGGCTGTAGGAAAGGTCACAGCCTCCAAGGGCAGGCATTTCAGGGGACTGGAGCCAGAAACAGCATCGGGAGCTAAGCCCATCCATGTGCCCCTTACTCAGGGTCTCCTTCCGATCTGTGTCTGAGGTCAGGCTCCTCCTGTCTGTTTCCCACTGTGTTTCTCGGCTCTGCTCTTCTCCCAGCCCCGCCCACTACCTACCAGCTGTCATTGAGAGAGGCTCTGATTGGTCCCAGGGATAGCCAATGGGCTGGCTGGCTCTGGATAGGGGTCCACCCCGGATCCAGCCGGCCCTGGCTGGGAGAGGCAGGGGGCGGGACAGACAGTGACAGCTAAGTCAGTCCAAAGGGCTGCAGAATTCCCCATGCAACGTTTTATTGTAGCAAACTGAATTGTGATCATATTCATGGCAACCAGAAGGCAAAATGACCAAAGTCCCACTCATCCCCTCATCCCCACCCTTTTTTTTCTTTTTTGGAGACAGGATCTCACTCTGTTGCCCAGGCTGGAGTACAGTGGCACCATCTGGGCTCACTGAAGCCTCCACTTCCTGGGCTCAAGTGATGCTTTGCCTCAGCCTCCCAAGTAGCTAGGACTACAGGCGTGTGCCACCACACCCAGCTAATTTTTGTATTTTTTTTTGTAGAGGCTGGGTCTCACTATGTTGCCCAGGCAGGGTCTCGCTATGTTGCCCAAGTGGGTCTCAAACTCCTAGGTTCAAGCAATCCTGCCTCAGCCTCCCAAAGGGCTGGGATTACATGCATGAGCCATCACATCTGGCCCCCACCCATCTTAAAAGTCAGAAATAAAAGCCAGAGCCCCTCCTTGACCTCCTGGCCCCCTCCGCTTTATCACCCCACCTCTCTGCCTGTCTTTATTGCAAAACCCCCAGAAGGTTATCAGGCTCATGGTCTTCCCTCCTGTCCACACTGCCCCAACTACACAATGAGATGCCCCCATTCCAACTCCCCAGCCTCCTCTGCTGGCGTCTCCTCCTTCCTAATCTCTGAACATTGTCCCATCCAAGGGCTCAGTCCCAGGTCCGTTCACCCCTTGTCCACACTCACCCTGAGAGCTTCCAGTCTGTGGCCTCCATGCCCTGGAATGAGCCCCTGTAAGATCCACAGTCTTCCCCAAGCTCCCTGTACCATGCCCATTTGACATCTCCACCCAATTGAGGAAGAAGCAAGCACCTGTATCAATTTCCTGGGGCTGCAATAATGCACAGCCACAAATGTGTGGCTTAAAACAGCACAAACATATGCTTTCGCAGTTCTGGAAGCCAGAAGTCTAAAATAAAGGCTGGGCGTGGTGGCTCACGCCTGTAATCCCAACACTTTGGGAGGCCAAAGCGGCGGATCACTTGAGGTCAGGAGTTTGAGACCAGCCTGGCCAACGTGGTGAAACACCGTCTCTACTGAAAATACAAAATTAGCTGGGCATGGTGACGGGCGCCTCTAATCCCAGCTACTCCGGAGGCTGAGGCAGGAGAATCACTTGAAATTGGGAGGCGGCAGTTACAGTGAGCCGCGATTGCGCCACTGCGCTTCAGCCTGGGCAGCAGAGTGAGACTCCTTCTCAAAAAAAAAAAAAAAAAAAAAAAAGGCCTGAAATCAAGGTGTTGGAGAATCTATTCCAATCTAGCTTCCAGGAGGATTGCCGGCAGCCCCTGATGCTCCTTGGCCTGTATAACTGCATCAGGCCAGTCCCTGCCTCCTGTCACTTTGCTGCCTTGCCTGTGTGGCACTTTACTTGAACATCTTATGAAGACAGCAGTCACTGGATTTAGGGCCCACTCTAATCCAGTCCTAATCCAGTATGACCTCATTTTAACTAACTACATGTGCAAGACCCTATTCCAAAGAAGGTCACATTTGTTCTTTATTTTGTTTAAAAAAAATTTTTTTTTTTTTGAGATGGAGTCTCGCTCTGTCACCCAGGCTGGAGTGCAGTGGCGCAATCTCTGCTCACTGCAAGCTCCCCTTCCCGGGTTCATGCCATTCTCCTGCCTCAGCCTCCCAAGTTGCTGGGACTACAGGCATCCACCACCATGCCCGGCTAATTTTTTGTATTTTTAGTAGAGACGAGGTTTCACCGTGTTAGCCAGGATGGTCTCAATCTCCTGACCTCATGATTCGCCCGCCTCAGACTCCCAGACTGCTGGGATAACAGGCGTGAGCCACCATGCCTGGCCTATTTTGTTTAATTTTTATACAGATGGGTTCTCACTATATTGCCCAGGCTGGTCTCAAACTTCTGAGCTCAAGCGATCCTCCCACCCTAGCCTCTCAAAGTTCTGGGATTATAGGTGGGAGCCACCATGCCTGGCTAAGGTCACATTCTGAGGTTCTGAGTGGGCATGAAATTTAAGAAGTCACTATTCAACCCAGGACCACAGCCCAAATTGAACATGTCCTAACCACATCTATCCAGGCCTCCCCTAACACCACCCCCCTTACGGTTCCCATCTCAGATATTGGCCCCCAAATCCACACAGTTGGCTGGGCATGGTGGCTCACACCTGTAATCCCAGTGCTTTGGGAGCCTGAGACAGGAAGGTTGCTTGAGCCCAGGAGTTTGAGACCAGCCTGGGCAACATAGCAAGACCGTGTTTCTACAAAAATATTTTTTAAAAATGCGGGCATGGTGGCACATGCTTGTAATCCAAGCACTTTGGGAAGCCAAGGCGGGAGGATTGATTAAGCCCAGAAGTTCGAGACCAGCTTGGGCAACATAGGGAGACCTTGTCTCTACCCAAAATGGAAAAATTATCCAGGTATGGTAATGCATGCCTATGGTCCCAGCTACGCGGGAGGTTGAGGTGGGAGGATCGCTTGAGTCCGGGCAGTTGAGGCTGCAGTGAGCTGTGATCACACCACTGTACTCCAGCCTGGGCAACAAAGCAAGAGCAAGACCTTGTCTCAAAAAATAAAAAATAAAGGCCGGGCGCGGTGGCTCACGCCTGTAATCCCAGCACTTTGGGAGGCCGAGGTGGGCGGATCATGAGGTCAGGACTTTGAGACCAGCCTGACCAACATAGTGAAACCCCGTCTCTAGTAAAAATACAAAAACTTAGCCGGGCCTGGTGGTGGGCGCCTGTAATCCCAGCTATACAGGAGGCTGAGGTAGGAGAATCGCTTGAACCTGGGAGGCGGAGGTTGCAGTGAGCCGAGATCGCGTCATTGCACTCCAGCCTAGGCGACAGTGCGAGACTCCATCTCAAAATAAATAAATAAATAAATAAATAAAAATAAATAAAATAAATAAAAAATAAAAAACAAAAAAAGTCCTTTTGACCTTACCTCCAAAATCATGCACATCCGCACAGCTGCTTCCCTGGACCAGGCCCTAGCACCATGCCATGGATAGCCCTCTCCTTCGTCTTCTGTTCCTCCAAAGTCCATTCTCCACACTGAATCTAGTCTTTTTTAAAAATATCGTTTTCATTTTTAATGTTGGAAATTTTTAAGCCTATACAAAAATAGAGAAGACAGTATAATGAACTTTCATTTACCCATCACTCAGCTTCAACAGTCATCAACTCACCGCCAGTCTTATTTCAGCCATGCCCTGACCCAGGGCCCCCTCCCACATCCCAGACGTCATATGGCCAAATATTTTTAAAATGTAAATCAGGCCGGGTGCAGTGGCTCACACCTGCAATCCCAATACTTGGGAGGGAGAGGTGGGAGGGTGGTCACTTGAGGCCAGGAGTTAGAGACCAGTCTGGGCAGCATAGTGAGACCCCATCTCTACAAAAATTAAAGTATTCTGGCTGGATGTGGTGGCTCACGCCTATAATCCCAGCACTTTGGGAGGCCAAGGCAGGTGGATCACTTGAGGTCAGGAGATTCAGACCAGCCTGGCCAACATGGTGAAACCCTGTCTCTACTAAAAATACAAAAATTAGCTGGGCATGGTGGTGGGCACCAGTAATCCCAGCTACTCAGGAGGCTGAGGCAGGAGAAGCGCTTGAGCCAGGGAGGCGGAGGTTGCAGTGAAACAAGATCACACCACTGCACTCCAGCCTGGGCAACAGAGTGAGACTCTGTCTCAAAAATAAAGTAGAAACAAAGAAACAAAATAAATAAAATAAAAAATCCACCAGGCATGGTAGCACGCCTGTAGTCCCAGCTACTTGGGGGGCTGAGGCAGGAGGATCCTTTGAGTCCAGGAGGTTGAGGCTACAGTGAGCTATGATGGCGCCACTGCACTCCAGCCTGGGTGACAGAGCAAGACCCCATCTCTAAAAATAAATAAATAAAAATTTTTAAAATATGGCTGGGTGCGGTGGCTCACACCTGTAATCCCAGCACTTTGGGAAGCCAAGGCCAGCGGATCATTCGAGGTCAGGAGCTCCAAACCAGCCTGGCTAACATGGTGAAACCCCATCTCTACTAAAAATACAAAAATTAGCTGGGCATAGTGGTGCTTGCCTGTAATTCCAGCTACTCGGAAGGCTGAGGCAGGAGAATCGCTTGAACCCAGGAGGCAGAGGTTGCTGAGCCAGGCTCCCTCCACTGCACTCCAGCCTGAGTAACAGAGCGAGACTCTGCCTCAAAAAAAAAAAAAAAAAAAAAAAATCCAGGCACGGTGGCTCATGCCTGTAATCCCAGCACTTTGGGAGGCCAAGGTGGGCGGATCACGAGGTCAGGAGCTCCAAACCAGCCTGGCTAACATGGCGAAACCCCATCTCTACTAAAAATACAAAAATTAGCTGGGCATAGTGGTGCTTGCCTGTAATTCCAGCTACTCGGAAGGCTGAGGCAGGAGAATCGCTTGAACCCAGGAGGCAGAGGTTGCTGAGCCAGGCTCCCTCCACTGCACTCCAGCCTGAGTAACAGAGCGAGACTCTGCCTCAAAAAAAAAAAAAAAAAAAATCCAGGCACGGTGGCTCATGCCTGTAATCCCAGCACTTTGGGAGGCCGAGGTGGGCGGATCACGAGGTCAGGGGATCGAAACCATCCTGGCTACCATGGTGAAACCCTGTCTCTACTAAAAATACAAAAAATTAGCCGGGCGTGGTGGCGGGCGCCTGCAGTCCCAGCTACTCGGGAGGCTGAGGCAGGAGA
Organism: Homo sapiens; assembly: GCF_000001405.40. Classification (NCBI taxonomy): domain Eukaryota; kingdom Metazoa; phylum Chordata; class Mammalia; order Primates; family Hominidae; genus Homo; species Homo sapiens. The sequence goes on from NC_000007.14 coordinate 74,370,368, forward strand.
ATGGTGTGAACCAAGGAAGCAGAGGTTGCAGTGAGCCAAGATCGCGCCACTGCACTCCAGCCTGGGCAACAGAGCGAGACTCCGTCTCAAAAAAAAAAAAAAAACTAATTTAAAAATAAAAATGTAAATCAGATCCTGCCCCTTTCCTGCTCACACATCTAGCACTGAGACACTAGATATCATCTAGGCTCTGTAGAGTGGGCCAGAGAAGACCCCCAGGGCCCAACCCTCCCCCCCACCACCACCCCCCTGCCTTGTCCCAGCCCTGTCTCACACCCCTGCCCCTAAGTTATCATACACCAGGCTTTTCTCTTTCTGGAACACCACAAGCTGTGTCCTGCCTCTGAGCTTTTGTACACGCTAGTTCCCCGGCCTGAAACACTTGCGCCTCTTCCTCTTGTGCCTGCCTTGTACAAGGAGTCCTTCTTATCCTTCAGAACTCACTGTAAATTACATGTTTCCTCTATTTCACGTTCATTCCAGTTACTCTCTCCCCAGTGCTCTGTTCATAGTGCAAATCACAGTCTGGAATGATCTTCACTATTCTTTTATGGTTTGCATCTGCCTCCCCACCCCCCAGAATATAAACCCGTTGAGGGGCCAGGCGTGGTGGCTCACACATGTAATCCCAGCACTTTGGGAGGCTGAGGTGGGCAGATCACCTGAGGTCAGAGGTTCAAGACCAGCAAACATGGTGAAACCCCGTCTCTACTCAAAAATACAAAAGTTAGCTGGGCATGATGGTAGGCACCTGTAATCCCAGTTACTCGGGAGGCTGAGGCTGGAGAATTGCTTGAACCTGGGAGGTGGAGGTTGCAGTGAGCCGAGATCGCGCCACTGCGCTCCAGCCTGGGTGAAAGAGGGAAACTATGCCTCAAAAAAAAAAAAAAAAAAAAAAAGGTTGAGGGGAGGAGTCCTTTGGAGTGGGACCGAATGAAGTTGCCCTTGAAATTGCGAAGCTGGAGGCTTTTTCTTGCCTGTGCGGGCTACCAGTTCAGTGTGTAGGATCATGCACCATCTATGAGGGTTCCAGACAGGGCTGTTGTGCCCACCGACGGGGATAGGGGTGGCTGGGATGGAGCTTGTGATTTTCTGGAAGAGACATGCTGACTTCTTGTTGGCACTGGAACACACTGCCAGGAGGGAGGCGGGGGAGGGAGGGAGAGGAGAGAAAGAGAGAGGGAGGGACACAAAGAGGGGAGACAGGAAGGGAGAGAGGGGAAAAGAGAAGGAGAGAAGGAGGGAGGGAGGGAAACAGGGAGGGGAATGGAGAGAGAGAGGGAGGGAGAGAGGGAAAAAGAAAGGAGGGAGAGAGACGGGGGGGAGAAAGAAGAGAGAGAAAGTGGGAAGGAGAGGGGAGAGAGAAAGGGAAGGACAAAGAGGGAGAGGGAGGAGAAGGAGAGAGGAGGGGAGAGAGAGAACTTTTTTTGTTGTTCCTTAAGGAAAATTCAAGAAATAAAATAGGCCAAAGGACATAATCATCTCAATGTCTCTTAATGAATTGCAGGAGTATTTCTAATCAGGTGATGTCCGTTTACACCTTCACCAATAGACAAGCTTCCGGGGTTTTATTACAGGTTTCACACCTAGAGGCTGTTTTGCTAAGCCCCGCCCCTTCAGAACTGCCCTGCAGCTGCTTTAACCCCTTCTCTCCTGGAGTATAAAGAGGACCCTCTGGCTTCTCCCTAAGATGAACTTGGGTCTCCAAACTGCTCCCAATGTCCTCACCCTCCCAGCTTCCCTTCCAAGATCTGTTCTGTGAAATGCAAAAGCCAGTCTTGACACCCTGAGAATGCTGGCCTTTGTCAGCAGATGAAGCAGATATTGTCGAGCTGGGACAAAAGTGCCCTTGTGATTTGTGGAGACCAGGCGTCCTCTGTGGGGTCCGGTGGGGTGGGCAGCAATGGGGCCCGGGAGTGGGAGGCACAGCCCGGCCTCCACCAAGGAGGCTGGGGCCAAGAGGATCGTGAGGGGTCGGGTATATTTTGGAAACATCTTGCGTGTTATGGGTTCTTGCACTTTTAGCACAGGCCTTGGGGGGGGGGGGGAGTCGAGCGGGAATCCCGGGGTCCTTTATTTATTCCTCATCCTGTGGGTCTCCTGTGTGGAGGATGCTTTGCCTACAACCAGTGACAGCCTGCAGGGGAACGGGAACAGGATGGGCCCCTCCCCAGGAGCAGATCCTTGATGAGGACCTTCAAGGTCAAGGGCTGCTGGTTGGGGGTTGGGGGGGACAGAAAAGCGAGGTGCCCATTGCTACCCCAAGCAGGGGCCAGCGAGGGAGGATGGCTTGCAGGCCCCCACCCCCCACCGCCCTACACTGACCCAGCCGGGACACAGCAAGGGGTGGGCATGAGGCCCCACACCCCTCGCCTCCCCAGACTTCCTCTCTTTCGCTGAGCAATTCTGGCTCATGAATCTACTCTCCTCGCCTTGTTCACGGAAGATGACGCCTCCTCTCTCTCTCTCTCTCTTTCTCTCTCTCTCCGGCTTCTTCTTCCCTGTGCCCCCCTCCCTGCGTCCCCGCCCCCACCCCCCCACCGTGTCCACCCTGGGTGGACCAGACCCAGACGCAGCTGGAGCACGCGCGCATTGGGGAGCTGGAACAGAGCCTGCTACTGGAGAAGGCGCAGGCCGAGCGGCTGCTCCGAGAATTAGCGGACAACAGGGTAACCGCGCCACCGCACCCGCCTGGCCCGCCAGCCACCTTGCCCTTTGATGCCCCCTCTGGCTTCTCTGTTTCATTATTGACTCTCTTTCTTTAGCTGCTATCATCTTTTTTATTTTTATTTTTTATTTTTGCATCCCCTTGGAGGAGGGAAGTCAAGATTTAGAAATGTGCTTATGTGGCCGGGTGCGGTGGCTCACGCCTGTAATCCCAGCACTTTGGGAGGCTAAGGAGGGTGGATCGCCTGAGGTCAGGAGTTCGAGACCAGCCTGGCCAACATGGTGAAACCCCATCTCTACTAAAAATATAAAAATTAGCTGGGCGTGGTGGCTCATGCCTGTGATCCCAGCTACTTGGGAGGCTGAGGCAGGAGAATCGCTTGAACCTGGGAGGTGGAGGTTGCAGTGAGCTGAGATCGTGCCACTGCACTCCAGCCTGGGTGACAGAGTGAGACTCCGCCTCAAAAACAAAACAAAAAGAAATGTGCTTATGTTCCCTGGCTCAGTGTTGCTTATTGGGGTGGAGTTGGGGGTGGGGGTGGTCTTTGTTTTTTGGGACTTGGCTCCCCAGCTTATTGCCCCAGCAGCTGAGAACGTCCTGTGAGACCCCCCAGTCTCCCCGATGCATTGCCATGACAAAGTGTTGGAGTTCCTGGGAATGTCCTGTCTCTATGTAGGCAGACCTAGAAACCACTGATCCATGTCTCCTGTCTCCCCAGCTGAGGAGGCTGGGGAGAGGAAGGAGGTCAGGAACTGCAGATCTCTTCCCGGTTTCTCTGGCCCAGAGAGCCTGAAACATGGGTGCAGGAGGGGGCTGGGCTGAAGGACCTGGGGCTGAGGAAGGGGTGGGGCTTTTGAGGGAGTGGAGGTGTCCCCAGGGAATGGTGTTATAATGGGTCCTGGAGCCATGGAACAGCTCTGCTTGTGGGTGAGGCTTCCAGACTCCTAGGGCATGGTTCTGAGTCCCTGCTCCAGGCCCCACAGTCCCCTCCAGGCTTACCATGCACGCCTGGGACCCAGCACTCTGTGCAGGCACTCACATGCGAACAGCCAGCCGGCCCCCCAGCAGTCCCTCTGAGAGCAAGCAAAAACAGGCAGCAAGTGATGACTGGAAAAGCACCCCATAAACAGTATGTAGATGTAGAAGGAGCAGTGGTCAGTTTCTGCATGTTGGTCTCCGTGCACAAGTGGCTGTGTGCATGTGTGCAGGTGTCCAGAGACACACAGGGTCCATTTGCACACACTGGCCATTGCTCAGTGACCATGTGCTTGTACGGTACACACTCATGTGCATGAAGACTGAACGCACAAACTGACCCAGTCACGGCGGACCGGCCGGAGCCCTCCAAATGCATCTTGATCTAGGGTTCAACCTGATGAAAACACAAAAACAGGGCTGGGTGTGGTGGCTCACACCTGTAATCCCAGCACTTTGGGAGGCCAAGGTTGGTGAATCATCTGAGGTCATCTGAGGTCAGGAGTTCAAGACCAGACTGGCCAACATGGTGAAACCCTGTCTCTATTAAAAATACAAAAATTAACTGAGCGGGGTGGTGCACGCCTGTAGTCCCAGCTACTTGGGAGGCTGAGACAGGAGAATCATTTGAACCGGGGAGGTGGAGGTTGCAGTGAGCCGAGATGGTGCCACTACACTCCAGCCTGGGCAAGAGAGTGAGACTCCATCTCGAAAAAAACAAAAACCAAAAAACAAAACAATAAGTTTATTGAACTAAAGGATACCTTCAGAAACAAAATGTTTAAAGCTTGTAATAGATTTAAAGCTTGAAAATATATCATTTTCATATCTATGACCATCAACGTGATCAAGGTGGTTTTTTGGAGAATGGAGCCTCTAAGAGTTTTTTGTTGAAAGATGGGTCTGGGAGCACCCTCTTCTGCTTTAAGCATTAAACTGGACCCTTCTTGGCCACTGCCTCCAGCCAGCCCCTTGGGCTGGATATCCTTCCTAAGGCAGGATAATGCAAAATTCACTGTGGCCTCTGTTCTTTAAAAAGAATGTTAACAAAAAAAAAATTTCTTAATAAAAATACAAAGAACTTTAACTCAGTTGGGCATGGTGGCTCATGCCCATAGAGTCCCAGCTGCTTTTGAGGCTGAGGCAGGAAGATTGCTTGAGCCCAGGAATTTGAGGGTACAGTGAGCTATTATTGCACGGCTGCACTCCAGCCTGGGCAACATAGCTAGACCCCCGTCTCTTTTAAAAAAAAAAAAAATGCTGGGCGGTGGCTCATGCCTATAATCCCAACACTTTGGGACGCCAGGGCGGGTGGATCACTTGAGGCTAGGAGTTCGAGACCAGCCTAGGCAAAAGAGTGACACCCCATCTTTACTAAAAAAACACAAAAATTCCCCAGGCGCATGGTGGTGCATGCCTGTAGTCCCAGCTACTCGGGAGGCTGAGGCAGGAGAATCGCTTGAACCTGGGAAGTAGAGGTTGCAGTGAGGTGAGATCACGCCACTGCATTCCAGCCTGCGTGACAGAGCGAGACTCAAAAAAAAAAAAAAAAAAAAAAAAAAAGCTGTAACCTCAAATAGGTGGTTTCTTTTAACCACCAATTTGTCCAAGCCACCTAGGTAGAGGAGTGGCGACAGTTGGCTCTGAATCTTTGGGGTACAGCCAGGGAAGTCTTTCTGGATACTGTGATGGGCCAGGCCTCTACATCCAGCCAGCACTCAGGAGGGAGTGAGCGCCTTTCCCTTCCCATGACCTCCACCTGCTGGGGCTGGTGCCCTCGAATGGACGCCCCCTACCCGGCCCCCACCATTGTGCCCTCCTTACCTTCCAGCCAGCCAGCCAGCCCGCTGATCCCTGTCTCCCTCTCTCCCCACAGCTGACCACAGTGGCCGAGAAGTCGCGCGTGCTGCAGCTGGAGGAGGAGCTCACCCTGCGCCGAGGTGAAATCGAGGAGCTCCAGCAGTGCCTGTTGCACTCGGGTCCCCCACCTCCGGACCACCCAGACGCCGCCGAGATCCTGCGGCTACGGGAGCGGCTGCTCTCGGCCAGCAAGGAACACCAGAGGGAGAGTGGGGTGCTGCGGGATAAATACGAGAAGGCCCTGAAGGCCTACCAGGCGGAGGTGGACAAGCTCCGCGCGGCCAACGAGAAGTACGCACAGGAGGTGGCGGGCCTGAAGGACAAGGTTCAGCAGGCCACCAGCGAGAACATGGGGCTAATGGACAACTGGAAATCCAAGCTGGACTCGCTGGCCTCGGACCACCAGAAGTCCCTGGAGGACCTCAAAGCCACCCTGAACTCGGGCCCAGGCGCCCAGCAGAAGGAGATCGGCGAGCTGAAGGCAGTGATGGAGGGCATCAAGATGGAGCACCAGCTGGAGCTGGGTAACTTGCAGGCCAAGCATGACCTGGAGACCGCCATGCACGTGAAGGAGAAGGAGGCCCTGCGAGAGAAGCTGCAGGAGGCCCAGGAGGAGCTGGCTGGGCTGCAGCGGCACTGGCGGGCCCAGCTGGAGGTGCAAGCCAGCCAGCACCGGCTGGAGCTGCAGGAGGCCCAGGACCAGCGCCGGGATGCCGAGCTGCGTGTGCACGAGCTGGAAAAACTGGACGTGGAGTACCGGGGCCAGGCGCAGGCTATCGAGTTCCTCAAGGAGCAGATCTCGCTGGCCGAGAAGAAGATGTTGGACTACGAGCGGCTGCAGCGGGCAGAAGCCCAGGGCAAACAGGAGGTCGAGAGTTTGCGGGAGAAGCTCCTGGTGGCTGAGAACAGACTCCAGGCGGTCGAGGCCCTGTGCTCCTCCCAGCACACCCACGTAGGCGCCTGCCCCTCCTGCTGGGGCGGGAGGGTCGGGCTGGGGAGGGCTTGGCCTTTTGCTGACCTCTGTTCTGCAGCCCAGGAAGCATTTCCCTTGTCCCCGAGAGCATGCCTGGGGCAGTCAAGGAAGGGGTCACCTGGCTTAGAGGAGGAGGAGCTCCTTGGCCCTCTGTTAGAGGGGCAGTGCGCCCTGGTGACCAGGGAGAACCGAAGCTGGTCTGAGCTGACCTGGCTGCATCCCCCCGCACAGAGCAGACCTGGAGAGATGGGACCTCCGTGCAGAGGACGGGCTTTGATTTACCCATACATGTCTTAGGGTGCAGGGCTCCTAGGACCCGGGACCTCAGACCCTGTGCCCTGGGGCTGGCACAGACCTGAAGGCAAGCTCTGCCTATCCCCCTGGGGGCACCCATCTCCAACTTAGAAGCTCACCTGGGGAATCAGCGGCAGCCCCCTTTCTGCCAGTCCTAATGAGACTTTAGCAACGGTGCCAACGAGTACTTCCCCAGAATGTGGGAGTTCCCGGAGTGGGGTCTGGAAGGCTAGAGGGGGTGGCCCTAAAGAGGTCGCTGTCACCAATGTCAATTTTGCTCCAAATCTAGAAATTCCTTAAGCATCTACCCCTTCTTCCTTCAGCTGAACCCATCCTCCCAGCCCCTCTGAGGAGGTCAACACCCAGGTGGGCTGTGCCCACTCCACCAGGGCCAGGAAGGGCCTTTTGAGTGGCTCTGGGTACCACGTCTTATGCCAGGCCCTATGTGACTCCATTTCACCTTAACATCCTTAGATTGATACTGGCTCCATTTCACAGGTGAGCAAACCAAGACTTTCCCAGGTCCACAGCCTCTCAGTGGCAGAGATGTTCAACCCCATTCCCTGTGGGGCTGACAGAGAGTGCCCAAGACAACAGGAATTAATTCATAGGAGGGATGGCTAGCAACGGACTCTTGCCTGTATACAAATTGTACTCAGAGATTCTTGAGTTTCCAGTTCCCCCACATACATTTTTTTTTTTTTTGAGATGGAGTTTTGCTCTTGTTGCCCAGGCTGGAGTGCAGTGGTGGGATCTCGGCTCACTGCAACCTCCGCCTCCCAGGTTCAAGCAATTCTCCTGTATCAGCCTCCCAAGTAGCTGCAATTACAGGCATGCACCACCACGCCCAGCTAATTCTTATATTTTTAGTAGAGGTGGGGTTTCGCCAGGTAGTCCAGGCTGGTCTCAAACTCCTGACTTCAGGTGATCTGCCCGCCTCGGCCTCCCAAAGTGCTGGGATTACAGGCGTGAGGCACCATCCCTGGCCTTTTTTTTGGTTTTGTTTTTGAGACAGGGTCTTGTTCTGTCTCCCAGGCTGGAGTGCAGTGGCATGATCATGGCTCACTACAGTCTCAACCTCCCAGGCTTGAGCGAGCCTCCCACTTCAGCCTTCCAAGTCGCCAGGACCACAGGTGTGCCCCACCACACCTGGCTAATTTTTATAGTTTTTGTAGAGATGGGGTTTCCTCATGTTGCCCAGGCTGGTCTCAAACTCCTGGGCTCAAGCTGTCTGCCCGCCTTTGCCTCCCAAAGTGCTGGGATTACAGGGAGTAGGTACTGCACCTGACCACCCTCATGTATATTCAAACCAGAATTTAGGGGTGGGTGTGGTGGCTCACACCTATAATTCCAGCATTTCGAGAGGCTGAGGCAGGAGGATTGCTTCAGGCCAGGAGTTTGAGACCAGCCTGGACAACATAGTTAGACCCCATCTCTACAAAAATAAAAAATTAGCCGAGTACAGTGGTAGTGTACCTGTAGTCCCCAGCTACGCTGGAGGCTGAGGCAAGAGGATCACTTGAGCCCAGGTGTTTGAGGCTGCAGTGAGCTATGATTGCACCACTGCACTCCAGCCTGAGTGACAGTGTGAGGCTGTGACTCAAGAAAATACACAAACCAAAAAAACCCGAGAATTTAGCATGTGGGCAGTAAGTTCTCAGGACTAATGAATCCAGGGGGCTTTTTTTGTCTAAAAGGAAATCTTTTTGCATCATGCCTTGAGGTCCCTTGTAATGGCCTTCCTGCCCCTTCTCCCAGGAAGGGATTTTGTTTTTTAGCAAGTGCTCTTCCAGGATCCTGGGCTGAAAGAAAAGGAAGAAACCCAAATTAGCTTACGTGCACATGGCCTGATTAGCTGTTCAGGGCAGGCAGAAACAGCCTGCAACTCAGGAACTGAATTCCCTGAGCGGGGAGGTTTGAGGTTGCTGTGGTTCCACAGAGCATGGGGGACAGAGGCCTGAGGATGCCTCCCCCAGTCCCTGCCCCTCATTCACAGGTGCCCTTGGACCAAGAAGTAGTAGTGGCCCCAGAAAGCCCATCTCCTGGCCGGGCGCGGTGGCTCACACCTGTAATCCCAGCTACTCAGGAGGCTGAGGCACAAGGATTACTTGAACCCGGGACGTGGAGGTTGCAGTGAGCCAAGATCGTGCCACTGCACTCCGGCCTGGGCAACAGAGGGAGACTCCGTCTGGAAAAAAAAAAAAAAGCCCATCTCTTGATTTTCTGTATACACTGGGGCTTAGTCTAAACGCATATGTCCCCATGTTCAGAGGTTTAGGCCTAAGCACAACTGGACTTTTGGTCTCAGGTAGTAAATATGGGAATTTTAAAAATTATTTTAGTGGCCAGGTGCTGTGGCTCACACCTGTAATCCCAGCACTTTGGGATGCCAAGGCAGGTGGATCACCTGAGGTCAGGAGTTTGAGACCAGCCTGGCCAACATGGTGAAAACCCGTCTCTACTAAAAATACAAAAAATTAGCCGGGCATGGTGGCGGGCGCCTGTAGTCCCAGCTACTCGGGAGGCTGAGGCAGGAGAATCGCTTCAGAGTCCTGGAGGCAGAGGTTGCAGTGAGCCGAGATCACGCCACTGCACTCCAGCCTGGGCGACGGAGTGAGACTCCATCTCAAAAAATAATAATAAAAAAACCCCAAAATTAGCTGGGCGTGGTGGTGGGCACCTGTAATCCCAGCTACTCGCTCGGGAGGCCGAGGCAGGAGAATCGCTTGAACCCGGGAGGTGGAGGTTGCAGTGAGCTGAGATTGAGCCATTGCACTCTAGCCTGGATATCAGGGCGAGACTCCTTCTCAAAAAAAAAGAAAAAGAAAAATTTAGTGTGAGCCTCATTACTGCATCGTATATAAATTATGATCCAAGGGGCTTAGTTCATTACAACTAATTGAGACTCAAATGGGACTTGGGATGTATGAACAGAAGTATGAGGGGCAGGATGATAGAGGTGACTGCCTACTCAGCTCTGTGCTTCCCTGATCTGCAGTGCCAGACTCTGGCTGGCTCGGAGGACAGCCAGCCTGGGCAGGAGACTGGAAACTCCTGCCAAGAGTGGCAGGGAGCCTATTGGTTGTGTTTTGACTTTTGTCATAGTGATGTGTGCCAGGCTGATTTTTTTTTTTAATAGGTCTTTTCTTCTTTGGCCTCTGGGTTTATTATTAAAAAGAAATGTTGGAGAGAAAGAAGCTAGCATTTAATGAAGTCCCTCCAGGAGGTGGCCCCAAGCACGCTGTGCACACACTAACCCAAAGCAGCCAATATTTGTTTGATGGATGGGAAACTGAGGCCAGAAGTCTTGTCTCTGGGAGACAGAGAAACAAATTCCCAGGACAAATTTCTGTAGGCATTGCAGGGAAGGAGCCATCTGTTTAATATAATAAACATTTTCAACAAAGGAAGGGTAGGAGGTATTCATGTATAAGCTGCACAGGCGGCCTTCAGCAGAGCTGGGTGCAGAATGGGGGTCCTCTGTTGTCAGGGAGGTCCGACTGAGGACGTCTGCACTCCCTGCCACCGCAGCAAGTCCCTGAGTCCGTCACTGAGGTCCCCCTTTGTAGGAGTAGGGTGTGCAAACTGCAGGTGTGCTTGCTGGGCTGGCTGGGGCTGGGGCCAAGGGGCAGAGGTGAGCATCCCCCTTACAGGGGCTCTTTTTGCAGATGATTGAGTCGAATGACATTTCAGAGGAGACGATCAGGACGAAGGAAACTGTGGAGGGTGAGTGGCCACCAGGCCGGGCGGGACTCTGGGCTCTGGGAAGAGGCTGGCTGGCTCTGCCTTCCTGCTGGGTCACATTTTGGTTTGCATCATCTGCCATTTGGTAAGAGTCACCTCCTGTGTGCTGTGAGCTATGTACTCCTGCAAGGGAGGAGGCCAGTTTACGGAGGGATAGGCATTGCACCAGCCTTCCAAGTTGCTGTCTTTTTTTTCTTTTTCTTTTGAAACAGATTTAACGGAATAGTAAACTTAATGGAATATCAAACCTTATTATTTGTTTGGTTTATATTTTATTTTTATTTATTTATTTAGTTTATACTTTACTTTTATTTATTTATTTATTTTAGACGGAGTTTCGCTCTGTCGCCAGGCTGGAGTACAGTGGTGTGATCTCAGCTCACTGCAACCTCCAACTCCCTGGTTCAAGCGATTCTCCTGCCTCAGCCTCCCGAGTAGCTGGGATTACAGGCATGCACCACCATGCCCAGCTAATTTTTGTATTTTTAGTAGAGACGGGGTTTCACCATGTTGACCAGGGTGGTCTCGATCTCCTGACTGCGTGATCCGCCCGCCTTGGCCTCCCGAAGTGTTGGGATTACAGGCATGAGCCACCGTGCCTAGCTGGTTTAAACTTTAAAAACAGGTCTAAACTTCAAATGGTTCAAAGGGCATATGGCAAACTAACTCTTCACTGTTCTCTATTCTTCCCTCCCTGAAGGCGCAGTGTTAGCTTCTTTATATCCCCTTTCCAGAAATATTTTGTGCAGGTACGAGCAAGCAAGTGACACAAATGGTACCATATCTTCCATTCTTTCAGCTCCTTCATTTATTCCATTTAACAATGTATCTTGGAGAGGGTTCCTTATCAGTAGTACATTCTTTTACAGGGTACAGAATATTCCATTGTGTGGAGGTACCATTGTGTATTTAGCTGGTTTCCGATAACAATCACAGATTGTTTCCAGTCTTGGTCAGTTACAAAGATGGTAGACTGTTTCCAGTCTTGGTCAATTACAAACACCACTGTAGAAAATTACCTTGACTTCCATTGGGCTCAACCAATTTTAATTCCCACCAGCTGTGGTTGAAAACCTGTTTCCCCTCAAACTCCCATCAACAAAACGTTTGATCAGACTTTGTGATCTTTGCCAATCTGAAAGGTAAAAGGTGTAACTTCAACTCACCTTTCTCTTATGTGGATGAAGTTAAGAGGTATTTCTATTTGCATTTTTTTTTTGAGACGGAGTTTCACCCTTGTTGCCCAGGCTGGAGTGCAATGATGCGATCTCAGTTCACTGCAACCTCCGCCTCCCAGGTTCAAGCAATTCTCCTGCCTCAGCCTCCTGAGTAGCTGGGATTACAGGCATGCACCACCACGCCTGGCTAATTTTTGTATTTTTTTTTTTAGTAGAGACGGGGTTTCTCCATGTTGGGGCTGGTCTTTTTTTTTTTTTTTTTTAAGACAGAGTCTCACTCTGTTGCCCAGGCTGGAGTGCAGTGGCACGATCTCAGCTCACCACAACCTCCACCTCCCAGGTTCAAGCAATTCTCCTGCCTCAGCCTCCTGAGTAGCTGGGACTACACGTGCATGCCACCATGCCCTGCTAATTTTTTTTTTTTTTTTTTTTTTAGTAGAGATGGAGTTTCACTATGTTGGCCAGGCTGGTCTCAAACTCCTGACCTCATGATCCTCCCGCCTTGGTCTCCCAAAGTGCTGGGATTACAGGCATGAGCCACCATGCCCGGCTTCTATTTGCATTTCTATTTGTGTCTTTTGACCATTTTTTTCTGATTGGGTTATTGATCTTTTTGCTGATTTTTAGAAGCTCTTTATGTATGACATTGCAGACATTTTCCCCACTTTGTCATTTGCCTTTTTACTTTTTTCTTATGGTGGTGTTGGCCATGCAGATATTTAAAAAATCAGGCCAGGTATGGTGGCTCACACTTGTAATCCCAGCACTTTGGGAGGCTGAGTTAGGAGTATTGCTTGAGCCCAGGAGTTCAAGACCAGCCTGGGCAACATAGTGAGACCCTGTCTCTACAAAAAATACCCCCCTCCAAAAATTAGCCAGGTATGGTGGCATGCAGCTATAGTCCCAGATACTTGGGAAGGTGAGGCGGGAGGATCTCTTGAGCCCAGGAAGTGGAGGCTGCAGTGAGCTACGATCATGCCACTGCACTCCAGCCTGAGCAATAGAGTGAGACCCTGTCACCAAAAAAAAAAAAAAAAAAAAATCAATTCTTTTTTAGTTTAAAAAATGTATCCAGTGGTTTCTTCTGGTACTTTTCTGTCCTATTTTCTATGCTGAAATCTCTGATCCATCTAGAATTCATCCTTATATAAGTGTGAGATAAGGATCCATTTTTATTTTTTCCCAAAGGAATACCCACTTATCCCAACACTATTTTTGAAAATGGTCATTTTCTCCCCCCAACCCTCATTGATTGGAATTACTAACCTTATTGTCCTTAAATTCACTTATGTAATTGACTCTATTTCTGGACTTTTGTTCTATTCCAATGACTTGTTATTCTCTTCATGTGCCAATTCTATAATGTTTTAATTAGTCAAGCTTTGTCTATGTTGTAATTTCTGGCATGGCTTGTTCTTCTCTGCTTTATCAAAATTCTCTTGGCTATTGTTTAAAAACTAAGCTGAAATTAACATAAAATAGACATGTGCAGGTTTGTTATAAAATTAACAAATGAAAAAAATTAACATAACATACAATCAGCCATTTTAAAGCAAACACTTCAATGGCATTTAGCGCAGTCAACAATGTAGTACACCCAGCACTTCTATCTGGTTTCCAAAACATTCTCATGGGCTGGATTTGGTGGCTTACACCTGTAATTCCAGCACTTTGGGAGGCCCGGGCAGGAGAATTGCTTGAAGTCAGGAGTTCAAGACCAGCCTGGACAACATGGCGAAAACCCATCTCTACAAAAGAAAAGAAAAAGAAATAAAGAGAAAACAAACATTCTCATCATCCCAAAAGGAGAACCCATACCCACTAGCAGTGCTTCTCCATCCTCCTCTCCCCCCAGCCCATCACAACCACTAATTTACTTTCTATCTCTGTGGATTTATCTATTTGGAACATTTCATGTCAGGAGTTCGAGACCAGCCTGGTCAAAATGGTGAAACCCAGTCTCTACTAAAAATACAAAAATTAGCTGGGCGTGGTGGTGTGCGCCTGGAATCCCAGCTACGCAGGAAGATGAGGCAGAGAGAATCACTTGAACCTGGGAGGCAGAGGTTGCAGTGAGCCAAGATCGCGCCACTGCACTCCTGCCTGGGTGACAGAGTGAGACTCCATCTCAAACAACAACAACGACAACAAAACAAAACAAAAAAGAACCTCATTCTTTTTTGTGGCCAAATGATATTCCATTGTATGGACATACCGCATTTTGTTGATCCATTCCTCAGCTGATGGGCATTTGGGTTGTTTCTACCTTTTGGCTATTGTGAATGATGCTGCTAAGAACATAGATATGCATGTACTTGTTAAGTACCTGTTTTCAGTGCTTTGGGGTATATACCTAGAAGAGTAGAATGCTAGGTCATATGATTTTTTTTTTTTTTTTTTTTTTGAGATGGAGTCTCACTCTGTCACCCAGGCTGGAGTGCAGTGGTGCAATCTTGGCTCACTGCAACCTCCGCCTCCCAGGTTCAAGCGATTCTCCTGCCTCAGTCTCCTGAGTAGTTGGGATTAAAGGTGTGCGCCATCACGCCTGGCTAATTTTTGTATTTTTAGTAGAGACAGGGTTTCGCAATGTTGGCCAGACTGGTCTTGAACTCCTGGCCTCAATCGATGCACCTGCCTCGGCCTCCTGAAGTGCTGGGATAACAGGCGTGAGCCACCGCGCCTGGCCTCATATGGTAATTCTGTTTAAATTTTTGAGGAACTGCCAAACTCTTGGGTATTCTTGCTCATTTTTATAAGTGACTTAGAATCGGCACATCTAGTTCCACCAAAATTTTAAATCAGGCTGGGCGCAGTGGCTCACACTGTAATCCCAGGACTTTAAGAGGCTGAGGCAGGAGGATCACTTGAGCCTAGGAGTTCAACACCAGCCTGGGAAACATAGTGAGACCTTGTCTCTTCAAAAAATAAACAATTAGGCTAGGCGCGGTGGCTCATGCCTATAATCCCAACACTTTGGGAGGCCGAGGTGGGTGGATCACTTGAGGTCAAAAGTTCATGTCCAGCCTGGCGGACATGGTGAAACCCTGTCTCTATTAAAAATACAAAAAAAAAAAAAAAAAAAAAAGTTAGCCGGGTGTGGTGATGCATGCCTGTAATCGCAGCTACTCAGGAGGCTGAGGCAAGAGAATTTCTTGAACCTGGGAGGTGGAGGTTGCAGTGAGCTGAGATGGCGCCACTGCACTCCAGCCTGGGTGACAGAGCGAGACTCTGTCTCCAAAAATATAAAAAATAAAAAATTAGCCAGATGTGGTGGCACATGCCTGTGGTCTCAGCTACTCGGGAGGCTGAGGAAGGAGGATGACTTGAACCCAGGGGGTCGAGGCTGCAGTGAGCTATGATTGCACACTCCACTCCAGCCTGAGCAACACAATGATAACCTGTCTCAAAAAAAAAAAAAAAAAAGGTTAAAATCGTGTTGGTATTTTTAGTGGTATTACATTCCCTTTATAAATTAACTTGCAGAAGGTGGAGATGTTTCTGGGTACTTGGCATCCATTCTGTCCTTTATGGCTGTGAGGAGCACCCAGGCTTGAATACACAAGACCGGTGACCTAGGCACTGTTAGCACTGTTAGCACTGTTATTGTTCTCCCTGTTTTTCACTTGAGGGGACTAAGGCTGTGACAGGTTACCTAAGACCACATAGTGTCGGGTCTTCTTTTTTTTTTTTTTTTTTTTTTGAGACAGAGTTTCGCTCTTGTTGCCCAGGCTGGAGTGCGATGGTGCGATCTCTGCTCACCGCAACCTCTGCCTCCCAAGTTCAAGCGATTCTCCTGCCTCAACCTCCCAAGTAGCTGGAATTACAGGCATGCACCACCACGCCCAGCTAATTTTGTATTTTTAGTAGAGATGGGGTTTCTCCATGTTGGTCAGGCTGGTCTCGAACTCCCGACCTCAGGTGATCCACCTGCCTTGGCCTCCCAAAATGCTGGGATTATAGGCATGAGCCACCTCGCCCAGCCTCTTTTTTTTTTTTTTTTCTTTTTGAGACCGAGTCTCGCTGTGTCGCCCAGGCTGGAGTGCAATGGCGCTATCTTGGCTTACTGCTGCCTCTGCCTCCCGGGTTCAAACGATTCTCCTGCCTCAGCCTCCCGAGTAGCTGGGATTACAGGCACCTGCCACTATGCCCAGCTAATTTTTGTATTTTTAGTAGAGACTCGGTTTCACCATGTTTGTCTTGAACCCCCTGACCTCAGGTGATCCGCCGGCCTCGGCCTCCCAAAGTGCTGGGATTACAGGCATGAGCCACCACGCCCGGCCAGTGTCAGGTCCTCTTCTTCAGGAGGGGTTACCCAGCGAGACGGCTGGAGTGAGGAAGAACTTGGACCCTGGAGGCCAAGTGTGACCCCGTCACAGAGCTCCTGTGGGAGGGCCATGGCCCTACCCACTGCTGCTTTGGTCCAGGAGCATTGATGCTTCTCGTCTCTCCTCTCTCCCCTAGGCCTGCAGGACAAGCTGAACAAGAGGGACAAAGAGGTGACAGCCTTGACCTCCCAGACCGAGATGCTCAGGGCCCAAGTAAGTGGTAAGTCTCCCTCCCGCAGGGCAGATGCGGGGGGCTTTCACTGGGGCCGTGCCATTCAGCTGCCAATTAAGCATGGAGTGGGTCAGGGCCTGGCTTAGGGTCCCCTCCCCGACTCTGCTTTGAGAAGAAAAGGGCTGGCTGGTCGCGGTGGCTCGCGCCTGTAATCCCAGCACTTTGGGAGTCCGAGGCAGGCGGATCACCTGAGGTCAGGAGTTCGAGACCAGCCTGGCCAACATGGTGAAACCTCGTCTCTACTAAAAATACAAAAATTAGCCGGGCATGGTGGCATGCACCTGTAATCCCAGCTACTCGGGAGGCTGAGGCAGGAGAATCGCTTGAACCTGGAAGGCAGAGCTGCCAGTGAGCCGAGATGGCGCCACTGCACTCCAGCCTGGGTGACAGAGCGAGACTCCATCTCAAAAAAAAAAAAAAAAAAAAGGGCCAGGGCCAGGTCACCTGCACCAGACAGACATGTACCTGGGGAGCAGTGAGTGGCCCACATGTGGTCCATCCTATAATGCCTCCCCGCCAGCTTCTGTCCCCAGAGCCAGCTCTGTGTTCTCTGTGTCCTGAAATTCTATCCATTCTATCCCAGGTTCCCTCTTTCTGGTCCTGAAGACTTTCTGGTTTCTCTCTCTCTCTCTCTTTTTGCTTTTGTTTTTGAGACAGGGTTGCACTCTGTCACCTAGGCTGGAGTGCAGTGGTGCAATCTCAGCTCACTGAAACCTCCACTTCCCGGGTTCAAGCGATTCTCCTGCCTCAGCTTCCTGAGTAGCTGGGATTACAGGCGCACACCACCACACCCGGCTAATTTTTGTATTTTTTTAGTAGAGATGGGGTTTCGCCATGTTGGCCAGGCTGGTCTCCAACTCCTGAGCTCAGGTGATCCACCTGCCTTGGCCTCCCAAAGTGCTGTGATTACAGGTGTGAGCCACCACGCCCGGCCCCTGGCCCTGCTTCTTGTTCACCAGAACACCAGTGGTGGTGGGCATGAGACAGCCCCCCTCCTCGGAAATGGTTGCCAACCTGTCTTCTGTCCATCCCCCAGTACAAGGCAGAATTGGCCCCAAAAAAGGTCAGTGGACCTCAGACTCCTCCAAGGCCAAGGTGAAGGTGAAGCTTTTCCTAATCCAGGCGACAGTGTAAACACACGTGTGATATCGCTCCCCACACCAGGAGCCCAAGCAGCTGCTGTGCTTGGCGAGGATTGATCTGTTTATTGTACCTGTTCTCTCAGGCCCCTTGCCACCTGGCTTGTAGGGACAACTGAGACCAATGGTGCTTTTAAAATTATGCAGTGGAGGCCGTGAGCGATGCTCATGCCTATAATCTCAGCACTTTGGGAGGCCGAGGAGGGAGGTTTGCTTGAGGCCAGGGGTTCGAGACCAGCCTATGAAACATTGTGAGGCCTCATTTCTATGAAACATACAAAAATTTGGCCGGGGCTGGGCATGGTGGCTCATGCCTGTAATCCCAGCAGTTTGGGAGGCCGAAGCGGGTAGATCACCTGAGGTCAGGAGTTTCAGACCAGCCTGGCCAACATGATGAAATCCCGTCTCTACTAAAAATACAAAAAAATTAGCTGAGCGTGGTAGCGTGCACCTGTAGTCCCAGCTACTCAGGAGGTTGAGGCAGGAGAGTCACTTGAACCCGGGAGGTAGAGGTTGCAATAAGTCGAGATTGTGCCATGGCACTCCAGCCTGGCAGCGGAGTGAGACTCTATCACACACACACACACAAAAACAATTAGCCAGGCATGGTGGTGGGCACCTGTAATCTCAGCTACTTGGGAGGTTGAGGCAGGAGAATTGCTGCAACCTGGGAGGCGGAGGTTGCAGTGAGCTGAGAACATGCCATTGCACTCCTGGGCCGACAATAGCAAGACTCCGTCTCAAAAAAAAAAAAAAATTTGGCCGGGCACCGCGGCTCACATCTGTATCCCAGCACTTTTGAAGCCAAGTTGGGTGGATTGTTTGAGGTCAGGAGTTCGAGATCAGTCTGGCCAACATGGTGAACCCCATCTCTACTAAATATACAGAAATTAGCCAGGTGTGGTGGCACATGCCTGTAGTCCCAGCTACTTGGGAGGTTGAGGCAGAAGAATTGCTTGAACCCAGGAAGCGGAGGTTGTAGTGAGCCAAGATCGTACCACTGCACTCTAGCCTGGGTGACAGAGTGAGACTTTGTCTCCAAAAAAAAAAAACCGCCAGGTATGATGGTGCACTCCTGTAGTCCCAGCTACTCAGGAGGCTGAGGCAGGAGGATTGCTTGAGCTCAGGAGTTGGAGGCTGCAATGAGCTATAATTGTGCCACTGTACTCCAGTCTGGGTGACAGAGCCAGACCCAATCTCTAAAAAAACCGTCAAAACTATGCAGTGGGGTATGTCACCTTCATCCCCTGGGAGAATCAGCGCCCTGCCCAGGTCTTTGCCCTTGGGTGGGACAGAAGCTCACGTGTTCCCAATCCTCTTCCTCCCTTCCCTGCCGGCTGACCCCAGCGCTGGAGAGCAAGTGTAAGTCAGGCGAGAAGAAGGTGGACGCCCTCCTGAAGGAGAAGCGGCGCCTGGAGGCAGAGCTGGAGACCGTGTCCCGGAAGACCCATGACGCCTCGGGCCAGCTAGTCCTCATCAGCCAGGAGCTGCTGCGGAAGGAGCGGTGAGGCGGCCGTGGGGCCGGCTGGGTCCTCCCTGTGGCCCTGGCCCTTGCTCCTCTTCTTGACATTAGCTCATGTTATCTTGGGGCAGAGAGGGGGATAGAGCTGGTGGGCCAGGTGGCCGATCTCGAGCGATCACCCTGCTCTCCTCTAAGCTCCGATAAAGTCTCCAAAGCCTCTACACTGTTTTCCAAGCAGAGCTTATAGAAAAGAGTAGGGCCAGGCACAGTGGCTCATGCCTGTAATCCCAGCACTTTGGGAGGCTGAGGCAGGAGGATTGAGCCCAGGAGTTCAAGACCAGCCTGGGCAACATAGTGAGACCCCTATCTCTAAAAAAAAAAAAAAAAAAAAAAAAATTAGGCTGGGTGCAGTGGCTCACACCTGTAATCCCAGCACCTTGGGAGGCCGAGGCAGCCGGATCACCTGAGGTCAGGGGTTCAAGACTATCCTGGCCAAAATGGTGAAACCCTGTTTCTACTAAAAATACAGAAATTAGCTGGGTGTAGTGGTGTGTGCCTGTAGTCCCAGCTACTCAGGAGGCTGGGGCATGAGAATTCCTTGAACCCGAGAGGAGGAGGCTGCAGTGAGCTGAGATCATGCCACTGCACTCCAACCTGGGTGACCAGAGCAAGACTCCATCTCAAAAAAATAATAATAATAAAGTTTTTTTTTTTTCTTTTAATTAGCCAAGCCTGGTGGTATGCACCAGTAGTCCTAGCTACTTGGGAGGCTGAGGCAGGATGATCTCTTGAGCCCAGGAGTTCGAGGCTGCAGTCAGCTATGGCATACCACTGCACTCCAGCCGGGGCAATAGAGCAAAACCCTGTCTCTTTAAAAAAAAAAAAGAAAGAAAGAAAGAAAGAAAAGAGAGAGAGAGAGAAAGAAAGAAAGAAAAAGAAAGAAAGAAGAAAGAAAGAAAGAAAGAAAGAAAGAAAGAAAGAAAGAAAGAAAGAAAGAAAGAAAGAAAGGATTAATGCCTCCCCAAAATGTTTGGTCTCAGGGACCCCTTTAAACTCCTAAAAATTATTGAGGATCCCCAAAGAGCTTTTGTTTGTTTATTCTATATTTACCATATTAGAATTAAGACTGAAAAAGTGTAAGATACGAATCCATCTTAAAATAAGAAGCCAGGCCAGGCGTGGTGGCTCACACTTGTAATCCCAGCACTTTAGAAGGCTGAGGCAGGAGGATCACTTGAGCCAAGGACTTTGAGACCAGCCTGGGCAACATGGCAAAACCCCTCTCTACCAAAAACACAAAATTTAGCTGGGCATAGTAGCATACATCTGTAATCCCAGCTACTCAGGAGGCTGAGGTGGGAGGATCACCTTAGGTGGCAAGTCGAGGCTGCAGTGAGCCAAGGTCTTGCTACTGCACTGCAGCCTGGGCGGTGGCAGTAAGACCCTGTCTCAAAAAATAAAATTAATAAGCCAATTGCATGTAACATAAGTAGCATGCTTTTGATAAAAAGTAACTATTTTCTGGCGGGGTGGGGGGGGTGGGTGGGGGACTGGGCGGGGTGGCTTCTGCCTGTAATCCCAGCACTTTGGGAGGTCGAGGTGGGCAGATCACCTGAGGTCGTGAGTTCAAGACCAGCCTGTCCAACATGGCGAAACCCTGTCTCTACTAAAAATACAAAACATTAGCCAGGCGTGTTGGCAGGCACCTGTAATCCCAGCTACTCGGGAGGCTGAGGCAGGAGAATCTCTTGAACCCGGAAGGCGGAGGTTGCAGTGAGCCGAGATTGCGCCACTACACACCAGCCTGGGCAACAAGAGCGAAACTCCATCAAAAAAAAAAGTAACTATTTTCCAAAACAAAAAATATTTACTGGGAAGAGTGGCATTATTTCAAATTTTTGCAAAATCCTTGAATATTGGGGCTTAATAGGAGAAACTAGATTCTGGCATCTTTTTCCATGTTCCATCTTTGCAATTTGCTCTTTTGGTTGAACTATGTTCTAAAAATCTGATCTTACATAGATATGTAGTTAGAAAACAAAGGAGTATTTGAATGTCCTTTTCAAATCATGGTTAGTATTTCTACTAGCCCCAGAAAAAACCTATTGTATTCTGAAGAGAAGTAATGAAAATAGTTTTGTTATTATTACAAAAATAGTTTTGAGCCATAGATCCCTTGAAAAGGTTTTAAGGGACCCACTGGGATTTCCTCAGAACACACTTTAGCATCCAATGAGCTAGATTCAGTCGATAGACATGGTTTGTGTGGTCCCTCTGAGCCTTTAAGAAATTAGACTAACAATTAAAAATCAGAAGATGGGGCCAGGCGCAGTGCTTCACCCCTGTAATACCAGCACTCTGGGAGGCCAAGGCAGGCAGATCACTTGAGCTCAGGAGCTTGAGACCAGCCTGGTCAACATGGCGAAACCCCGTCTCTACTAAAAATACAAAAATTAGCCAGGCATGGTGGCACACACCTGTAGTCCCAGCTACTCAGGAGGCTGAGGCAGGAGAGTCACTTGAACCCGGGAGGCAGAGGTTGCAGTGAGTCGAGATTGTGCCACTGCACTCCAGCCTGGGCAATAGAGTGAGACTCTGTCTCAAAGAAGAAGAAGAAAAAAAAAGGTTAATTAATTAAAGAAAATAAAAATCAAATGTTACAGAAAAGCCAGATTTCTCCACATTCCCTTAAAAAATGGGAAGATCTGGCATGGCATGGTGGCTCACACCTGAAATCCCAGCACTTTGGGAGGCGGAGACTGGAGGATCACTTGAGCTCAGGAGTTCAAGACCAGCCTGGGCAACACAGCAAGACCCCATCTCTACAAAAAAATAGAAAAATAGCTGGGCGTGGCTGGGCGCAGTGGCTCACGCCTGTAATCCCAGCACTTTGGGAGGCCGAGGCAGGCAGATCACGAGGTCAGGAGATCGAGACCATCCTGCCTAACACGATGAAACCCTGTCTCTACTAAAAATACAAAAAATTAGCCAGGCTTGGTGGTGGGCACCTGTAGTCCCAGCTACTGGGGAGGCTGAGGCAGGAGAATGGCGTGAACCTAGGAGGCGGAGCTTGGAGTGAGCCAAGATCACGCCGCTGCACTCCAGCCTGGGCGACAGAGTGAGACTCCATCTCAAAAAAAAAAAAAAGAAAAGGAAAGAAAAGAAAATAGCTGGGCGTGGAGCACACGCCTGTGGGTCCCAGCTACTCAGGAGGCTGCGGTAGTAGGATTACTTGGGCCCAGGAAGTGGAGACTCAGTAAGCCATGATCATACCACAGCCTGGGCGACAGAGCAAGACCCTGTCTCAAAAAACAATAAGTAAAAGGCTGAGTGTGGTGGCTGCTCACGCCTGTAATCCCAGCACTTTGGGAGGCCGAGGCAGGTAGATCACCTGAGGTCAGGAGTTCGAGACCAGCCTGGCCAAGATGATGAAACCCCATATCTACTAAAAATACAAAAATTATCCAGGTATGGTGAAGCACGCCTGTAATCCCAGCTACTTCAGGCAGGAGAATCACTTGAACTAGGAGGTGGAGGTTGCAGTGAGCCAAGATCGTGCCATTGCACTCCAGCCTGGGCAACAAGAGTGAAACTCTGTCTCAAAAATAATAATAGTAATAAACACAATTTTAAAAAATAACAAATGGCAAGACCTAACAACACAGGACAGACTTCCAGCATGGCGATCACCCCATCATAGCTGGGGAGCCCCTGCCCCCTTCTGATGGGCGTGGGCCCCCTGAGTCTCCTGGGGAGGCCCCACTTTCCCTTCATTATTTTTCTTACTCCCAATTCCCCAGCCCCTGTAAGCATTTGCTTTTTTTTTTTTTTTTTTTGAGACGGAGTCTTACTCTGTTGCCCAGGCTGCAGTACAGTGGCGCGATCTCAGGTCACTGCAACCTCCACCTTCTGGGTTCAAGCGATTCTCCTGCCTCAGCCTCCCGAGTAGCTGGGATTACAGGCGCCCATCACCATGCCCAGCTAATTTTTAGTAGGGACAGGGTTTCACTGTGTTGGCCAGGCTGGTCTCCAACTCCTAACCTCAAGTGATCTGCCTGCCTCTGCCTCCCAAAGTGCTGGGAGTACAGGCATGAGCCACCGCACTGGGCCCAGCATTTGCATTTCTTTTTTTTTTTGAGATGGAGTTTTGCTCTTGTTGTCCAGGCTGGAGTGCAGTGGCACAATCTCTGCTCACTGCAACCTCCACCTCCTAGGTTCAAGTGATTCTCCTGCCTCAGCCTTATGAGTAGCTGGGATTACAGGCATGTGCCACCATGCCCGGCTAATTTTGTATTTTTAGTAGAGATGGGGTTTCTCCATGTTGGTCATGCTGGTCTCGAACTCCCGACCTCAGGTGATCCACCCGCCTCAGCCTCCCAAAGTGCTGGGAATACAGGTGTGAGCCACTCTGCCGGGCCCAGCATTTGCATTTCAACCCAAGTTAAAGGAATCTCTTTGAAGCACAGACATCCTTTTGTAAAAGAAGAAATGCTACCTCCTTTCCTTCTATACAGATTAAGAGTTGCTCTAGCTACATTTGCTACAAATCTAACACCTTTCTAGAAACTGTAGCCCTGCCCAGGAAGGAAACAGATGCGATGAGGCAATCTAGGAATTTTCCAGAACAACACTGCCCTCTGCAGATGCAGCCTGTGTTTTTCCAGTAGGAACAAACCAGCCAGGACCCTGGCCAGGGTTCCAGGGCTGCCCTCCCTCCCCTGTCTCCCATCCTAAGTGGAAAAGTTATTATTGGTGCCCTGCCTGGTCTCACTTTCTCCGAGGAAGCTTTCCGCCCTATCTCAGCCGCAGGATGCCCCTCCGCTGAGTCTCGATAGAACTTCCTGGAGTTTTGGGTCTTTATCCATTGTCTCTGAATTTTCCCTGTCATCTGAAGCCACATTTCCTCTTTCCCAGAGGGCCTCATCCCCGTCTCCCTGCTGTCAACAGCTGTCAACAGCCTC
This sequence comes from Homo sapiens, assembly GCF_000001405.40. Classification (NCBI taxonomy): domain Eukaryota; kingdom Metazoa; phylum Chordata; class Mammalia; order Primates; family Hominidae; genus Homo; species Homo sapiens. The sequence continues at coordinate 74,394,179 of NC_000007.14, forward strand.
CTTCCATCCTTCAGCTCTCATCAGTTATGAGATTCCTCCCTTCTGGGATACCTTCTTTTTCTTCTTATTTTTTTTTTTTTTTTTTTTTTGAGATGGAGTTTTGCTCTTGTTGCCCAGGCTGGAGTGCAGTGGCACAATCTCTGCTCACCGCAACCTCTGCCTCCTGGGTTCAAGCAATTCTCCTGCCCCAGCTTCCCAAGTAGCTGGGATTACAGGCATGCGCCACCATGCCGGGCTAATTTTGTATTTTTAGTATAGATAGGGTTTCTCCATGTTGGTCAGGCTGGTCTCAAACTCCCGACCTCAGGTGATCCACCTGCCTCGGCCTCCCAAAGTGCTGGGAGCACAGGCGTGGGCCACCGCCCCGGGCCCAGCATTTGCATTTCAACCCGAGTTAAAGGAATCTCTTTGAAGCACAGACATCCTTTTGTAAAAGAAGAAATGCCATCTCCTTTCCTTCTATACAGATTAGGAGTTGCTCTAGCTACATTTGCTACAAATCTAACACCTTTCTAGAAACTGTAGCCCTGCCCAGGAGGGAAACAGATGCGATGAGGCAATCTAGGAATTTTCCAGAACAACACTGCCCTCTGCAGATGCAGCCTGTGCCTTTTCCAGTAGGAACAAACCAGCCAGGCCCCTGGCCAGGGTTCCAGGGCTGCCCTCCCTCCCCTGTCTCCCATCCTAAGTGGAAAAGTTATTCTTGGTGCCCTGCCTGGTCTCACCTTCTCCGAGGAAGCTTTCTGCCCTGTCTCAGCCACAGGATGCCCCTCTGCTGAGTCTCGATAGAACTTTCTGGAGTTTTGGGTCTTTATCCATTGTCTCTGAATTTTCCCTGTCATCTGAAGCCACATTTCCTCTTTCCCAGAGCCTGGCCTCATCCCCGTCTCCCTGCTGTCAACAGCTGTCAACAGCCTCCTTCCATCCTTCAGTTCTCATCAGTTATGAGATTCCTCCCTTCTAGGATACCTTCTTTTTCTTCTTCTTTTTTTTTTTTCTGAGACGGAGTTTTGCTCTGTGACCCAGGCTGGAGTGCAGTGGCGCAATCTTGGCTCACCGCAACCTCTGCCTCCTGGGTTCAAGCAATTCTCCTGCCCCAGCCTCTCAAGTAGCTGGGATTACAGGCATGCACTACCACGCCCAGCTAATTTTGTATTTTTAGTAGAGATGGGGTTTCACCATGTTGACAGGCTGGTCTTGACTCATGACCTCAAGTAATCTGCCCGCCTTGGCCTCCCAAAGTGCTGGGATTACAGGCATGTGCTACCACACCCAGCTAATTTTTGTATTTTGAGTAGAGATAGGGTTTTGCTATGTTGGCCAGGCTGGTCTCAAACTCCTGACCTCAGGTGATCTGTCCTCCTCAGCCTCCCAAAGTGCTGGGATTACAGGCATAAGCCACCATGCCTGGCCAGAGATACCTTCTTTTTGGCCAGTTTGCTAAGTCCAGTTCATTCTTCAGGGCTTAGCACATTGTCACCTCTTCCTTGAAGCCTTTCTTGATTGATACAGGCCACCGTGGGCTCCTCCACACTCCTGCAGTGCTTAGGATGGAGGTGGGAGATCAGCTAGGAATGCTTTGGTGACAGTGATGTCACATCCATCAAACAGCAGATTAAAGTAGCAGAGATTTCCTTTTCTTACATAACAAGAAATCTGGAGGTAGCTGTGACTGGCAGTTGGTTCAGGAGCTTAAGATCTCAGTGCCAACACCTTTGCAGTGCTCCCCGCCTCATGATTGCAAGGTGGCTGCTGAAAGTCCAGCCATCACATCATACATCATAGCAGAAAGGAGGAGGAAAGGGAAGGGAGCTGTGCCAGCAGATTTCCACTGTTCTCTACCCGTGGCCACCTAGTAAGGGAGTTTTCCCCTCTGTAGTAGTTGCAGGCAAGGGAAAACGCTAGGGCATAGGGGTGCATGTGCTCCTGCCTATGCCCATGGCAGGCATTACCAATCGATCACTGCACTGTTTCCTGCAGACCCCAAATGTGGCCTCAGAACCATTATCATCATAGTACTCCAGGTAGATCCTGTCAGTTGATTAAGAGGTGACATGGGAGATAAAACCCATTTGACATCAGGTATTTAAAATGTCTTGCTGGCCAGGGGTGGTGGCTCAAACTTGTAATCCCAGCGTTTTGGGAAGCCAAGGCGGGAGGATCACTTGAGGCCAGGAGTTCAAGATGACCCTGGGCGACATAGCAAGACCCTGTCTCTATTTTTTAAAAATAGATAAAATGTCTTGCCTCATGAGATTTCTTGGGTAAATGTTTTGGGGTTATGTGTGTGTGTGTGTGTGTGTTTTAATTAAACAAATATATTGTCTTTTCTTTAAAAATTTTATTTATTATTATTTTCTTTGAGACAGCCTTGCTCTGTTGCCCAGGCTGGAGTGCAATGGCACGATCTTGGCTCACTGCAACCTCCACCTTCCAGGTCCAAGTGATTCTCCTGCCTCAGCTGCCCGAGTACCTGGGATTACAGGCACTTACCACCACGACTGGCTAATTTTTGTATTTTTAGTAGAGATGGGGTTTCACCATGTTGGCCAGGCTGGTCTCAAACTCCTGACCTCAAATGATCCGCCCACCTCGGCCTTCTGAAGTGCTGGGATTACAGGCGTGAGCCACTGTGCTCTGCACTCCCCCCACAACAACTTTAAAAAGTACTCTAGGAAAGGTCAAGTCCTCAGGACCATCCCAGCCCCAAATCCTGGCCCCTCTTGGGCTTTGGTTGAATTGTGTCTACTGTGGCCCCTCGTGGCACAGATGCCATCTAGTAGCCCATGTCCCCCACCAGTTGGTCAGCCCCTGGACACTTGGCAAATTGCTAGAGTGTGGGAGCTGGAGGAGCCAGGGCTGAGTGCAGTGGTTCTGTGCCCGCCTCACCCCCAGGAGCCTGAACGAACTGCGGGTGTTGCTGCTGGAGGCCAATCGTCACTCCCCAGGGCCGGAGAGGGACCTGAGCCGTGAGGTACACAAGGCTGAGTGGCGGATCAAGGAGCAGAAACTCAAGGATGACATCCGGGGCCTGCGTGAAAAGCTGACCGGGCTGGTATGTGGGGTAGGGGTGGCCTAGGGGCAGGGGCACTAGTCCGGGTGGGGCTGGGCTAGCCTTGCTGTCAGGCCATGGAGACTGGAGACCTCCTGGAATGACCCCAGGGACAGCTGAGTCATGGTGAGGATTTGAAATCTTCTAGGACCACAGGCAGGTGGAGGGACCCTGGCTAGCCGCTTTTGCAGACATCATGGCTGCCTATGTGGCAGTCTGTGTGATACGGTGCAAAGGAAAACTTCCTATCTGACCTGTCCAGAGGCAGGATGAGCCAATACAGGTAAAGAGCTCCCTGTTCAGAGGAGTAATCAACCACAAGCCAGTTCCTTGCTCAGGGTCCTGCAGTGGGGCTTCACACATCAGTCTCAGGAAGGAGACAAGAACTTGAAAGTCTACAGCAAGCCTGGGATTCTGGGTGGCTGAGTTTTTTTTGTTTTTTTTTTTTTTTTTTGAGACAGAGTCTCGCTCTGTTGCCCAGGCTGGAGTGCAGTGGCGCGATCTCAGCTCACTGTAAGCTCTGCCTCCCTGGTTCACACCATTCTCCTGCCTCAGCCTCCCAAGTAGCTGGGACTACAGGCACCCGCCACCACGCCTGGCTAATTTTTTTGTATTTTTAGTAGAGACAGGGTTTCACCGTGTTAGGCAGGATGGTCTCGAACTCCTGACCTTGTGATCCTCCTGCCTCGGCCTCCCAAAGTGGTGGGATTACAGGTGTCAGCCACTGCGCCCGGTCGAGATTTCTTTTCTATTATGAATAGGAACCTGACTTCACTGAGTCTGCAGAGACGGGTTGGGGTAGGCAGGTGATGCTGGTAGCATAGCACAGGACCATCCCCATCCCTTGGCCAGGCGCAATGGCTCACACCTGTAATCCCAGCACTTTGGGAGGCTGAGGCAGGCGGATCACTTGAGGTCAAGAGTACGAGACCAGCCTGGCCAACATGGCGAAACCCCATCTCTGCTAAAAATACAAAAATTAGCCGGGCATGGTGGAGTGTGCCTGTAATCCCAGCTACTTGGGAGGTTGAGGCAGGAGAATCACTTGAACCCAGGAGGCGGAGGTTGGAGTGAGCTGAGATTGCGCCACTGCACTGCAGCCTGGGCGACAGAGTGAGACTTTGTCTCAAAAAAAAAAGAATAAAGAAACCACCCCATCCCCATCCCATCCTCCTGTGATGAGCACTCAGGACAAGCCTGAGCCTGGTGAACGTCACGATATGGAGGGCGTGGGGTCCAGGAGGACAGGCCCTTGCCTGGGAAAGCTGTCCTGAAGCCCCCCACCACCCTCCTGCCCAGACATTGGGCTCAGCCACTGTAGAGGTGATGGAAGGAGAGCAGGGCCCAGCCCTGGGCAAGGGGGTGGTTCACAGGCTGGAGGGAGGGCCTCAGCGCCACCGACCCCCTATATCCGGGAGTAGGCCCTTGGCCCTCAGGGTTCCGGGATAAAGAGCATCACTCTGGCCACACACCCAGACTGTGGCTGTGGGGGTCACTGAGTCCTGCCGGCCTTCAAGTCCTGGCCTATCTGGCTAGCAGGGGTTGGTGGCTGCACCCTCTGTGGTCCCTGTGGCTCAACAGAAGATAAGCCCCTGGGGTTGGCACGGACTGGGGAGTCTTGAATACCCCCAGGGGCTTCCCTAGAGCCTTGTAGGAGTGCGCAGTGCTGAGCTCAGACTGGTGCCCATGGGGCACAGATTGGTCAAGTTTACTTGGGAAGTGGCGGCCTCTGCCCCAGGGTAGCCTCTTGTCTCATCATCTCCCTGCACTGTGTCCACGGGAGAACTTGGGAAGCCTTGGTGTGTGGGTAGAAGCCTCTTGATTTCAGGATGGAGGTTCTGTTGGGAGGTGGTTTGGAGGGTCAGAGCAGGCAGGACTGGGCAGTGCTGAAGGATGGAGTTTGTGCAGGAGCGAGGAGGCTGGCGGGCCTTGGGGCAGGTACAGCTCTGGGTGCCATGGTGGGGGTGACTATGGAGAGGAGGAACCTCATAAGACAGTTGGGTGGGGGCAGTGTAAGAAGAAGGGTGCTGGGTGCGGTGGCTCATGCCTATAATCCCACTGCTTTGGGAGGCCAAGTTGGGAGGATGGCTTGAGGTCAGGAGTTCGAGACCAGCCTGGACCTCATAACAAGACCGCATCTCTACAAAAAAAGTTAAAAATTAGCCAAGTGTGGTTGCATGCCCTGCAGTATCAGCTACTCGGGAGGCTGAGGTGGGAGGATCACTTGAGCCCAGGAATTGGAGGCTGTAATGAGCTGTGATTGCACCACTGCACTCCAGCCTGCACAATAGAGTGAGACTCAGTCTTTTTTTGGGGGGGGGGGGGTGGGGACCAAGTCTCACTCTGTCGCCCAGGCTGGAGTGCAGTGGCATGATCTTGGCTCACTGCAACCTCCACCTCCCGGGTTCAAGCGATTCTCCTGCCTAGGCCTCCAGAGTAGCTGGGACTACAGATGTGAGCCACCACACCCTGCTAATTTTTGTACTTTTAGTAGAAATGGGGTTTTACCATGTTGACCAGGCTGGTCTCGAACTCCTGACCTCAGGTGATCTGCCTGCCTCGGCCTCCCAAAGTGCTGGGATTACAGGCGTGAGCCACCAGGCTCGGTCTCTGTCTCTTTTTTTAATTATTTTTAAAGGCAAGGCTGGGCGCAGTGGCTCATGCCTGTAATCCCAGCACTTTGGGAAGCCGAGGCGGGTGGATCACGAGGTCAGGAGATTGAGACCATCCTGGCTAACACGGTGAAACCACGTCTCTACTAAAAATAGGAAAAAATTAGCGGGGCGTGGTGGTGGGCCCCTCCCAGCTACTCAGGAGGCTGAGGCAGGAGAATGGCATGAACCCGGGAGGCGGAGCTTGCAGAGACCCAAGATCGCGCCACTGCACTCCAGCCTAGGTGATAGAGCGAGACTCTGTCTCAAAAAAAAAAAAAAAAAAAAAGTCAAGAGGGATGGGGTCCTGGGTTCCCCACTTGGAGACCATGGAGCACCTCACAGAGGCCTGAGGGACCTCTGGGTGATGCCCAGGCTTGGAACCCAGAGACAAAGTGAGGCTGGAAGACTTTCCTGCCTAGAGTTGAGACGCCCACCAACACACACACGCACACTCATGTACTCTTCCACTCTCCTGCCACTTCCAGGACAAAGAGAAATCCCTGTCGGATCAGAGGCGCTACTCCCTCATCGACCGGTCCTCGGCGCCCGAGCTTCTGCGGCTGCAGCACCAGCTGATGAGCACGGAGGACGCCCTGCGGGATGCGCTGGACCAGGCTCAGCAGGTGGAGAAGCTGATGGAGGCCATGAGGAGCTGCCCTGACAAGGCCCAGGTGAGCCGCGGCTGACAGGGCCCACCAGGAGGCAAGCCACGGGGCAGTGTCCTCGGAGCCCCCGTCTGATGCGGGAGGCAGCCTTGTCTTTAAAACCCCAGTCTGAGGAGGTAGGGAGCTCGTCCCAGGAACCTGGTCTGAAGGGGGAGGTAGCCCTGTCCCAGAAACCCTGGTTTGAAGAAGGAGGCAGCTCTGTCCTGGGAACCCCAGTCTGAAGGGGGAGGCAGCCCTGTCTCAGGAACCCGGGTCTGAATGGGGAGGTAGCTCTGTCCCGGGAACCCCTGGTCTGAAGGGGGAGGCAGCTCTGTCCCAGGAACCCTGATGTGAAGGGGGAGGCAGCTCTGTCCCAGAAGCCCCCGGTCTGAAGGGGGAGGTAGCTCTGTCCCGGGAACCCTAGTCTGAAGGGGGAGGCATTTCTGTCCTAGGAACCTTGATCTGAAGGGAGAGGCAGCTCTGTCCTGGGAACCCTAGTCTGAAAGGGAAGGCATCTCTGTCCCGGGAACCTTGATCTGAAGAGGGAGGCAGCTCTGTCCCGGAACCCTGGTCTGAAGGGGGAGGCAGCTCTGTCCCGGGAACCCTGGTCTGAAGGGGGAGGTGGCGCTGTCCCAGGAACCTCCATCAGAAATGGGAGGCAGCCCTGGCCCAGGAACCCTGATCTAAAGCGGGAGGCAGCTCTGTCCTGGGAACCCAGCTGAAAGGGGAGGGAGCCCTGCCCTCTGGAACCCCCAGTTCAAGGGGCACATGGCTTTGCCCTGAGGAGCTTAGACTAAGAAGGAAGATGCAGCCTTACCCCTAGAGGCTTGGTCTTTGGGGGTGCTGGGAGCCCCAGGCTGAAGGGGTTGGAATTTGGAGCCTGAGACGGTCCCATGGGAAGACCTCGCCATCTAGTGGGAAAATCGGGAACTGCTGCCTGGTGCACCTGGCTCAGTGTCTCCCCTAACTCTTCCAGACCATCGGCAATTCCGGTTCTGCAAACGGCATCCACCAGCAGGACAAAGCTCAGAAACAAGAGGTGAGGGGCGCCTCGGGCCTCCCAGGTCCCTCCCGTGCAGGCAGACCTCTCTGGAGAAAATCCTTGAAACGTCACTAAGAATACACACAAAGATGCATTCTGCAAGAAGCTTTACAGTAGGGTCCCTCAGGGAGGGTGCTGTTGCAGGCAAACTTGATTCCAGATTCACCCTGCTCTTTTTGATTTGTGTTTTCTTCCCTTCTTAAAAAAGTTATAGGTTGGGCGCAGTGGCCCACGCCTGTAACCCCAGCACTTTGGGAGGCCAAGGCAGGAGGATCATTTGAGCCCAGGAGTTTGAGACCAGCCTGGCCAATATGGTAAAACTCCGTCTCTACTGAAAATACAAAATTAGCCGGGTAGGGTGGACAATATAGCGAGACCCTCTCTCTATTAAAAAAAAAAAATTTTAAAAAGGCTGGGCACAGTGGCTCATGTCTGTAATCCCAACACTTTGGGAGGCCGAGGCCGGTGGGTCACTTGAGGTCAGGAATTTGAGACCAGCCTGGCCAATATGGTGAAACTCCATCTGGCGGGCGGATCACAAGGTCAGGAGATCAAGACCATCCTGGCTACCACGGTGAAACCCCATCTCTACTAAAAATACAAAAAAAAATTAGCTGGGCGTGGTGGCGGGCACCTGTAGTTCCAGCTACTCTGGAGGCTGAGGCAGGATAATGGCATGAACCCGGAAGGCGGAGCTTGCAATGAGCCGAGATCGCGCCACTGGACTCCAGCCTGGGCGACAGAGCGAGACTCCATCTCAAAAAAAAAAAAAACCAAAAAAAAAAAAAAATACAAAATTAGCTGGGTAGGGTGGCGCACACCTGTAATCCCAGCTACACGGGAAGCTGAGGCAGGAGAATCGCTTGAACCTGGCAGGTGGAGGTTGCAGTGAGCCGAGATCGCACCATTGCACTCCAGCCTGGGCAACAAGCACAAAACTGTCTCAAAAAATAGTAATAAAAATTTTAAAAATTAGCTAGGTGTGGTGGCGCATGCCTGTAGCCTCAGCTACTCAGGAGGCTAAGGCAAGAGGATCACTCAAGCCCAGGAGTTTGAGGCTGCAGTGAGCTAGGATTGCGCCACTGCACTCCAGCCTTGGTGATAAAGTGAGACCCTGTCTCTAAGAAGAACACAGAAAGAGAGAGAACCTAGTTCTGACTGCAGAATCCCTGGAGCACAGATGCTCGCTAGAAACAGGAGCAGCACAGCCACAGAATCTGCCAAGCTCCAGACACAGGCAGGGTTATGTGGGCAGAGCCAGCCTCAGAGGAGTTAGTGTGATTTTGTCCTCCTGGCCTTGTTCTCCTGGCCACCCTGCGAGACACATGGGGTCATCCCAGTTCACAGATGTGAAAACTGTCCAGGTGCAGTGGCTCACACCTATAATCCCAGCACTTTAGGAGGCCAAGGCAGGTGGATCACTTGAGGTCAGGAGTTTGAGACCAGCCTGGCCAACATAGCGAAACCCCATCTCTACTAAAAATACAAAAAAAAAAAAATCATCTGGGTGTGGTGGCACATGCCTGTAGTCCCAGCTACTCGGGAGGCTGAGGCAGGAGAATCGCTTGAACCCGGGAGGCAGAGGTTGCAGTGAGCCAAGATCGTGCCACTGCACTCTAGCCTGAGCAACAGTGAGACTGTCTCAAAAAAAAAAAAAAAAAAGAGAGAGAGATCCAGCCCCGTACAGGCACTGAGGGCTCTTTGTAAAACCTGCTTCTGGCTGGGCGCAGTGGCTCATGCCTGTAATCCCAGAACTTTGGGAGGCCGAGGTGGGTGGATCATGAGGTCAGGAGATCAAGACCATCCTGGTCAACATGGTGAAACCCCATCTCTACTAAAAATACAAAAATTAGCTGGGCATGGTGGCGCATGCCTGTTATCCCAGCTACTCAGGAGGCTGAAGCAGGAGAATCGCTTGAACCAGGGAGTCGAAGGTTGCAGTGAGCTGAGATCAGACCACTGCACTCCAGCCTGGCGACAGAGCAAGACTCCGTCTTAAAACAAACAAACACACAAACAAACAAAAAACCTGCTTCTTCCCCTCGGCTCCGCTTCCCATCAGCACCTCCCACCCCACCTGCTGTCTCACACAGCCACAAACACACAGCAGGGAGACACTTCCTGCCTCAGGGCCTTGGCACATGCAGTTCGCTCTATGCTCCTCCCCCACCCGGCCCCAACTCCTTTCCTCCCTGACTCCCCTCTGGCCGCCTGGCCCTCCAGGCTCTCTGAGACCCTTGCTGATGATGCCCTTTACTCTCTCTAGGACAAGCACTGATCCTGAGGGGATACTGTGGAGCAGCCCAGTCCACACCAGAGCCCCACGCGGCTGCCCGGCAGTACCTCCTCCAGGCAGGAGCCGGGACTGTCACTTTGGAGACAAAACAGTGTTTGTAACAATAACGTACTCACCGCCGCGGACAATCCCCCACCCCGATCCCTCGCCAGACCAGGACGCTTCCTCAAGCCCAGCCTTCTACAGAGAGTGTGAACGGTACAGCCCCGGCCTGACCCGGGGACCTTCAGCCTGGACACCCGGCAGCTTCTGGAGTTTGTCAGTGGAGGCAGAGGGGATCCGGCCAGGCCCCTCTGTCCAGAAGGAGCTGCCCTGAGGACCATCTTAGCGGCCCTGTCCTCTTTTTCCGCCCATTCTCCCTCGGGTCTCCCCAGAGGGGCCGGCGGGGGCTGGGGAGGGGGTAAGTTTATCCATGCAGACACCAAGGGGGAGCATCCAGTCTTTAAGAGCCAAGTGGGGGCCCCTTTTCCGAAGCCACTTCCAGGCCAAGGCAGTCGCCAGGGCTTCTTGTCCCCACCTTCTGAACCTTCTTCAAACAGTAGTACAAGCTCCCCTCAGCCAGCCTGCCTGCCCAGCGAGGCCCCCAGGTTCAAGGTGTTGGCGGGGGCGGAGGGCAGGGGAACGGGATCCTTCTCCCGCTGCCCACCAACACCAACACACACACACCTCTAAGCTGCTGGCCGAAGATGTCACCAAGGCCAAAGACACAGTATTATGAAGGTTTGGAAACCCCTCTCCTCACCTCCCACCGTGACCTTGGGCAAACCCTGGCTCGGAGCCCAGGGCAGAGGCAGCTCAGAGTGGAGGCTCTAGGCAGGTTTGACAAAGGTCAGTAATACGGTTTCCCCTGGGGTTGACCAGATGTTCCAAAATATCTGCATCCACCTGGAGATGCAGCTAAGTGGGTCCTTATGTACACACCACGTTCACACACACACAGAGGGACCACGTGTGCACGCATGACCGTGTGGGTGGCGGCGTTTGCTGTGAACCACGCTCAGGCCACACAGAGACACATACTTGGTTTCTGGGACTGAGACCCAGGCCTGGCAGGACCGTGCCTACAGATACTGCAAACGTTCCTACAGCCTAGAGGTGCGTATACACACCCAAGTACACGCAGCCAGGCATTCAGGGGTGTGTTTGCCACATGGAGCATCCCTTCCTGGTCTTGCCAGGCACCTGCACAGAGCGTCTCCAGCCCCATCTCCTAACGGGGGCTGGGGGTAAGAGAAATCTAACTGCGCTCCCCCAACCCCTCGCCCTGCCATCTTCCCCTCAAGCCTGCTAAGTTATCCCAGGCCTGTGCGTGGTGGAAAAAGCCAGCCTTGGCCCTGCAGCCTCCACCTCGCCGCTGGGGGACCAACAGGTTGCTTACAGCTTTGCACCCCGGCATCAGCACAGGGGTCCCTGCCCCACCCTCCGGCAGCTCAGGGAGTGTTTTCCTGTGAGGCCTCCCCCATCAGTGGACCAGAGGGAGAAGCCCGATGCCCCATCCCGGCTTTCCCGTAACGCACAGGACACGTGTGCAATTCATAGGAACGGCCCAGATCGCCCTCATGAGTGCCACCTGGTACAGGTAGGTGGCGCTCACGTTCCTGCCCAAATGCAGCCCATCGGGGAGTCACAGTCAGTCCCCCCGGCCCCCCTCCCAGTCCCTGTTGGCTTTCGGTAGCTCTCGCATGCAGTTCTATTAACAGCCGTCTAGAAGCGATGCTTTAGTGGCCTAACCCAGGGTCAAATACAGCTCTTTCTAGCAAAATCAGGCAGCTCTGCCCCATCGGTAGGGGCACCGATTAGTCTACTAACAGCCAGAGGTCCATCTAGCAGGGTGCCGGGAGGAGCTGAGCCCCCGGAGGTGGGCTCCTGGTGACGGGTGTCCAAGAAGCGGTTTCCTTGGGAGCTTCTGCCTCCGTGGGCCTCTCAGCCCGCCCCGTGTGGCCGCCCGGGTGTGGCTCAGCCATGTCCCCTCCCCAGGTCCTTCATTCACCCCTCCCCTCCCCACAGTGGAATTGTTGAAGTGTGGCGAGTCTGTGCTCGGGACAATAAAGCTTGTGACAGGTCCAGGACCCCGGCAGTTGGCTTGTCTCCTCCTCTCCGTGGGGACCCCGGGCTTCTCGATCTCTCCCAATTCTTGGGCACCCTGGTGCCAGGAGATGGCCCCCGATCCTGCCCTCTGCCAGCTCATTCCTTCCCAGGTAGGCACGGCCTCAGAGGGGCTGGAGCTGAAGACATCTGGGGCTGTCCTTGTCCCAGGAGAGGCACCTTAGCAAGGACAGGCAGAGGACAGACCCAGAAAGGCTGCCAGAGAGGGCTGGTCCTGGGTTCACATTTGAACCTGCTGGAGGGATAAGTAGACCTGCAAAAAAAGTCAATGGAAACGGTAACGGATCCGCTCACACACGTGTGATGAGTCCGAGGCGGTTTCCAGCTTCAGTGGGCAAATTCCGGTTCCCGCAGCAGGCTTTCCGGAGATCAGATCAACAGCACGACGTGTTGCAAACTTTGTGGTCAAATAGGCTTTCAAGTGGAGGTTGCCCCCCTGGAAGAGAGAATGAGAATTTTTTTTTTCTCCCCAAGATGGAGTTTCACTCTGTCACCCAGGCTGGAGTGCAGTGTCACGATCTCTGCTCACTTCAACCTCCGCCTTTCAGGTTCAATCAATTCTCGTGCCTCAGCCTCCCAAGTAGCTGGGACTACAGGTGCGTGCCACCACACCTGGCTAATTTTTGTATTTTTAGTAGAGATGGGGTTTCACCATGTTGGCCAGGCTGGTGTTGAACTACTGACCTCAAATGATCTGCCTACCTCGGCCTCCCAAAGTGCTGGGATTACAGGAGTCAGCCACCACATCAGTTCCTCAAAATGTGTTCTTTAAAATTATTATTATTATTATTATTATTTTGTAGAGACAAGGGTTTCACTCTGTTGCCCAGGCTGGAGTGCAGTGGCGCGTTCTCAGCTCAATTCAACTTCCACCTCCCAAGTTCTTGTGCCTCAGCCTCCTGAGTAGCTGGGACTACAGGCACATGCCACCACACCCAGCTAATTTTTGTATCTTTAGTAGAGACCGGGTTTCACTATGTTGGCCAGGCTGGTCTCAAACTCTGGACCTCAAGTGATACGCCCGCCTCGGCCTCCCAAAGTGCTGATGTTATAGGCATGAGCCACTGCACCTGCCATTTTTGTTGTTGTTGTTTTGTTTTTGTTTTTTTTTAGACATAGGGCCTTGCTCTGTCACCAAGGCTGGAAGGCAAAGTCTCCATCATAGCTCACTGCAGCCTCCAACTCCTGGGCTCCAACAACCCTCTCACCTCAGCCTCCCAAAGTGTTAGGATTACAGGCATGAGCCATTGCGCCTGCCCAACTCTTTTTTAACTCTTTGATTTTGAGATCATTTTAGACTTACAGAATAATTGCAAAAAATAGTGGCATTCCCATACATTCTTTCCCAGCTCCCCCTGACATTAACATCGCACATAACTGCAGTACAATGACCCAAACTAGAAAACGAACATTGGGCCAGGTGGCTCATGCTTATAATCCCAGCACTTTGGGAGGCCGAGGCGGGAGGATCACTTGAGCCCAGGAGTTCAAGACCAGCCTAGGTAGCATACCAAGAACGTTGTCTCTTTAAAAAAAAAAAAAAAAAGCCGGGCATGGTAGCTCATGCCTGTAATCCCAGCACTTTGGAAGGCCGAGGCTGGTAGATCACCTGAGGTCAGGACTTTGAGACCAGCCTGGTCCACATGGTGAAACCCCTGTCTCTACTAAAAATACAAAAATTAGCCAGGCGTGGTAGCGTGCGCCTGTAATCCCAGCTACTTGGGAGACTGAAGCAGGAGAATCGCTTGAACCTGGGAGACTGAGGTTGCAGTGAGCCAGGATCGCGCCACTGCATTCCAGCCTAGGCAACGGAGCAAGACTACATCTCAAAAAATATATAAAAAATAAAAATAAATAAACAATTACCTGGGTTTGGTGGTATGCACCTGTAGTTCCAATTACTTGGGAAGCTGAGGCAGGAGGATCGCTTGAGCCCAGGAGTTTGAGGCTGCAGTGAGCCATGATCACACCACTGCACTCCAGCCTGGACCACAGAGTGAGACTCCAACTCTAAAAATAAAAAAATCAAAATGGGTAAAGGATCTGAATACATCTTGCTCCAAAGAAGATGTACAAATGATCAATAACACATGAAAAGATGCTCAACAACATGAGTCATTAGGGAAATGCAAATCACAACCACAAAGAGATACCACTTCATACCCACTAGGATGCCTAAAACTTTTTAAAAGATAGTAGCAAGTGTTGACAAGGATGTAGAGAAATTTAAACTCTCATATATTGCTGGTGGGAATGTAAAATGGGGCAGCTGCTTCAGAAAAGTTCGGCAGTTCTTCAAAATATGTTTTGTTTTGTTTTGTTTTTTAAGACGGAGTCTCACTCTGTCGCCCAGGCTGGAGTCCAGTGGCACGATCTTGGCTCACCGCAACCTCTGCCTCCCAGGTTCAAGTGATTCTCCTGTCTCAGCCTCCCAAGTAGTTGGGATTACATGTGTGTGCCACCACACCCAGTTAATTTTTGTATTTTTAGTAGAGACAGGGTTTCGCCCTGTTGGCCAGGCTGGTCTTGAACTCCTGACCTCAAGTGATCCACCCACCTTGGCCTCCCAAAGTGCTGGGATTACAGGCGTGAGCCACTGCACCAGTTCCTCAAAGTATGTTTGTTTACTTTTTTTTTTTTTTTTTTTTTTTTTTTTAGAGACAGGGGTCTCACTATGTTTGTTGCTCAGGCTGGTTGTAAATTCCTGGGCTCAAGCAATCCTCCCGCCTCACCCTTCCCAAAGGGCTGGGATTACAGGCATGAGTCACCATGCCCAGCCCCAAAATGTTAAACACAGAATTACCATATGACCCAGAAGTTTTACTCCTAACTATATACTCAAGATAAATTAAAGCATTTCCACAGAAAATTGTGTACACACATGTTCATAGCAGCATTATTTGTAATAGCCAAAAAGTGGAAATAAAGGTCCAATCAACAGACAAATGGATAAACCACATGTGGTCTATCCATATAATGGAACATTATTTGGCCATAAAAAGGAATGAAACGGCCAGGCGTGGTGGTTCACACCTGTAATCCCAGCACTTTGGGAGGCTGAGGCAGGCAAATCACTTGAGGTCAGGAGTTCGAGACCAGCCTGGCCAACATGGTGAAACCCCATCTCTACTAAAAGTACAAAACAATTAGCTGGGTTGGTGGTGTGGGTCTGTAATCCCAGCTGTTCAGGGAGCTGAGGCAGGAGAATGGCTTGAACCCGGGAGGCAGAGGTGACAGGGAGCCAAGATCACGCCACTGCACTCCAGCCTGGGCAACAGAGCGAGACTCCGTCTCAAAAAAAAAAAAAAAAATAGAATGGGCCGGGCGCAGTGGCTCAAGCCACCAGCACTTTGGGAGGCCAAGACAGGCAGATCACAAGGTCATAAGATCGAGACCATCCTGGCCAACATGGTGAAAACTCATCTTTACTAAAATACAAAAAATTAGCCACGCGTGGTGGCGCACGCCTGTAGTCCCAGCTACTTGGGAGGCTGAGGCAGTGGAATCACTTGAACCTAGGAGGCAGAAGTTGCAGTGAGCCGAGATTGCACCACTGTACTCCAGCCTGGCGACAGAGCAAGATTCTGTCTGCCCCCCCACCAAAAAAAAAAGAATGAAACACTGATATTTGCTACAACATGGATATACCTCCAAAGCATCCTGTTAAGTGAAAACAGGGAGACACAGTCACGTACTATATGATTGCACTTACGTGAAATATCCACAAAGACGAATCCATGGAGAACAGGCAGATTGCCGATTGCCAGAGGCCAAGGGCTAAGGAAAAAATGGTGAGGAACTGCGTGATGGAAATGTTTTGGAATTCACCTGACCAAGAAACAGTAAAAAACAACAAAAAGGAAGGAAATGGTAGAGGTGGTAGCTGTATGACATTGTAAATGTACTAGGGCCTCTATGCAGTGATTAAATTAACGTTATGTGCCCTTCACCTCACTAAGATACTTTCTGAAAAAGAAGCTGGGCGCTGTGGCTCCTGCCTGTAATCCCAGCACTTTGGGAGGCCGAGGCGGGCGGATCACAAGGTCAAGAGATCGAGACTATCCTGGCCAACACAGTGAAACCCCGTCTCTACTAAAAGTACAAAAATTAGCTGGGCGTGGTGGCAGGCGCCTGTAGTCCCAGCTACTAGGGAGGCTGAGGCAGGAGAATGGCTCAAACCCGGGAGGCCGAGGTTGCAGTGAGCCAAGATCGCACCACTGCACTCCAGCCTGGTGACAGAATGAGACTGTCTCAAAAAAAAGAAAAAGAAAAAGAAAGCTATCCTTGTCTACTAACAAGGAAACTTAAAAAAAGAAGAAAAGGCTGGACATGGTGGCTCATGCCTGTAATGACAGCACTTTGGGATGCTGAGGTGGGGGAGGATTGCTTGAACCCAGCAGTTCATGATCAGTCTGGGCAACACAGTGAGACCTCATCTCTACAAAATATTAAAAATTAGCCGGATCAGTCGCCATGGCTCAAGCCTATAATCCCAGCACTTTGGGAGGGCGAGGCAGGCAGATCACTTGAGCTTAGGGGTTTGAGACCAGCCTGGGCAACATGGTGAAATCTTGTCTCTCTATAAAAATATTTTTAAAAATTAGCAGGGCATGGAGGCGGGTGCCTGTAATCCCAGCTACTTGGGAGGCTGAGGCACGACAGTCACTTGAACCCAGGAGGCAGAGGTTGCAGTGAGCTGAGATCACACCACTGCACTCAAGCCTGGGTGACAGAGCAAGACTCCATGGGGGGAAACAATGAGCCAGGTGTGGTGGTGCATGCCTGTGGTGTATGCCCAGCTACCTTGGAGGCTGAGATGGGAGGATCACCTGAGTGTGGGAGATTGAGGCTGCAGTGAGCTGTGATCATACCACTGCACTCCAGCCTGGGCAACAGAGTGAGACCTTGTCTAAAAGAAAGAAAGAGAGAAGGAGAGAAGGAGAGAAGGAGAGAAAGAGAGAGAAAAGGAAAATGAGGGAGGGAGGAAAGGAAGGAGAGAGGGAGGGAGAGAGGGATGGAAGGAGGAAAGGAAAATCTAGCCGGGTATGGTGGCACACATCTGTAATCCCAGCACTTTGGGAGGCCAAAATGAGAGGATAGCTTGAGCCCAGGAGTTAAAGGCTGCAGTGAGCCATGATTTCATCACTGCACTCCGGCCTGGGCAACAGAGTGAGACCCTGTCTCAAAAAAAAAAAATTACATTATGATAGTTGCCATGGTTTCACATGTATACCAGTATGAAAAATTATTATTTGTTAATAATAACATCAAAGGCCGGGCATGGTGGCTCACACCTGTAATCCCAGCACTTTGGGAGGCCAAGGCGGGCAGATCACCTGAGATCAGGAGTTTGAGACCAGCCTGGCCAACATGGTGAAACCCCATCTCTACTAAAAATACAAAAATTAGCTGGGCGTGGTGACAGGCACCTGTAATCCCAGCTACTTGGGAGGCTGAGGCAGGAGAATTGCTTGAACCTGGGAGGCGGAGGTTGCAGTGAGCTGAGATCGTGCCATTGCACTCCAGCCTGGGGGACAAGAGCGAGACTTCATCTCAAAATAATAATAATAATAATAATAATAATAAATAAAAATAACAATAACACCAAAGTGTATTAGGAATACAATTTGGAACAGTAATAAATGAATATTTTTAATGGTTCAAATAATTTCAGGGAAAAAACTCAATCAGTGCAATTTATCATGTTAACAGAATAAAGTAGGAAAAACCTACCAAGAACTGTTTGAGCAACTGCACTAGACTGCAGGGTGTGGGCAGAGGGTGAATGAATCTGTTTGATGTCACTTGATTTAAAAGTTGTACGGGGGCTGGGAGCAGCTCACGCCTGTAATCGCAGCATTTTGGGAGGCTGAGGCAGGTGGATCACTTGAGGCCAGGAGTTCAATACCACCCTGGCCAACATGGCAAAACCCCGTCTCTACTAAAAATACAAAAAAAAAAAAAAAATTAGCTGGGCATGGTGGCGGGTACCTGTAATCCCACCTACTCAGGAGGCTGAGGCACGAGAATCGCTTGAACCCGGGGGGGGGCGGAGGTTGCATTGAGCCAAGGTTGTGCCACTGCACTTCAGCCTGGGTGACAGAGTGAGACTCTGTCTCAAATACAAAAAAAAAAAAAAAAAAAAAAGTGAAACTGTTTTTAAAAAAAAACAGTAGGGGATTGAATGTGGATCTAGGGGGCCAGCAACAGCTGGCTGGGTCTGTGGTTCAGCAAGATCAGCCTGGATTGGGGCTCCAATCTGTTCCTGTTTTCTCACCAGCAGTTCCACTGTGCTGTAAGGCGTTAGTAAAGGGATGAGTGAAGGTTGGAGAGTGCTCTTATCTGCTATTATCCCTCGCCTCCACTAAGATTCTGACATCTGAGGCTGAAGAAAATGACAAGACTATCCGGGCGGGGAGGCTCATGCCTGTAAACCCAGCACTTTGGGAGGCCAAGGCAGGTGGATCACTTGAGGTCAGGAGTTCGAGACCAGCCTGGCCAATATGGCGAAACCCTGTCTCTACTAAAAATACAAAAATTATCTGGGGGTGATGGTGCACATCTGTAGTCCCAGCTACTCTGGAGCTCTGGAGGCTGAGGCAAAAGAATTACTTGAACTCGGGAGGTGAGGTTTCAATGAGCTGAGTTCTCGCCACTGCACTCCAGCCTGGGTGACCGGGTGAGACTGTGTCTCCAAAAAAAAAAAAAAAGAAAGAAAGAAAAAGAAAATTACAAGACAGCCCAGACCCCAGACCCTGCTTGAGGTTCCACAGTGAAAAATACCCAGATAGAGCACACTCTTAGGAAATATTCTCCCAGGGGTGGGTGCAGTGACTCATGCCTGTAATCTCAGTGCTTTGAGAGGACAAGGTGGGAGGATCACTTGAGTCCAGGAGTTTGAGACCAGCCTGTGCAACATGGTGAGACCCCATCTCTACAAAAAAATAAAACAATTAGCTGGGGATGGTGGTGTGCACTTGTAGTCCCTGCTACTAGCGAGGCTGAGGCAGGAGGATCACTTGAGCCCAGGAATTGGAGGCTGCAGTGAGTTATGATCGTGTCACTGCACTCCAGCCTTGGTGACAGAACAAGACCTTTTTTTGAAAAAGAAAATATTCTTCCAGGAAAATCTAGAAGACATGACATCTCAGACATTTGAAAATTGTAAGCATTATGGATAGAAGAAACCTGGATATGGTGATGATCTTTATTTAGTGTGAGCTATGCAAAAAAAGTAGCATGATGGCTGGGCCCAGTGGCTCACACTTGTAATCCCAGCACTTTGGGAAGCTGAGATGGGAGGATCACTTGAGCACAGGAGTTATAGACCAGCCTGGGCAACATAGCAAGATCCCATCTCTATAAACAAATGTGGTTTTTTGTTTGTTTGTTTGTTTGTTTGTTTGTTTTTTAATTAGCCAGGCATGGTGGCACATGCCTATAGTCCCAGCTACTCTGGAAGCTGAGGTTGGAGGATCGCTTAAGCCCAGGAATTGGAGGCTGCAGTGAGCTATAATCATGTCAACTCACTGCAGCCTGGGCAACAGAGTGAAGCCTTGTCTCTAAATAAAAACATTAAAAATAAAAGAATCTAGAATGTAAACCACACGGCGAGCTTACATATTCCAAATGCCTAGACTTGTGCCTGGATTCATGCTCAACAAATAATTTGTTGAATAAATAACACACAAAGAAAATAAAAAGTCTTGGCCGGGCGCGGTGGCTCACGCCTGGAATCCCAGCACTTTGGGAGGCCGAGGCAGGTGGATCATGAGGTCAGGAGATCGAGACCATCCTGGCTAACATGGTGAAACCCTGTCTCTACTAAAAAATACAAAAAATTAGCCAGGCGTGGTGGTGCGCGCCTATAGTCCCAGCTACTCAGGAGGCTGAGGCAGGAGAATGGTGTGAACCCAGGAGGCAGAGCTTGCAGTGAGCCGAGATCATGCCACTGCACTCCAGCCTGGGCGACAGAGTGAGACTCCATCTCAAAAAAATAAATAAATAAAATAAAAAGCCTAACATAGGTCTAATCGGGTGGCAAAGAAAATAGAATTGAAGAAAAGCATTATTTAAAGAGGAAACAGCTGAGAAACTTCCAGAATTGATGAAAGATGTGAATGCAAAGTACAAAGAAATCCAGGCCAGGCGCGGTGGCTCACGCCTGTAATCCCAGCACTTTGGGAGGCCGAGTCAGGCAGATCGTTTGAGGTAAGGAGTTCAAGACCAGCCTGGCCAACATGGTGAAAACCTGTCTCTACTAAAAATACAAAAATTAGCCAGACTTGGTGGTGGGAACCTGTAATGCCAGCAACTCGGGAGGCTGAGGCAGGAGAATCTCTTGAACCCAGGAGGCAGAGGTTGTAGTGAGCTGAGATCGCACCATTGCACTCCAGCATGGGTGACAAAGTGAGACTCCAGCTCAAAAAAAAAAAAAAAAAAGAACTCCAAATATTATAAATAAAAAGAAATCCAGGCCAGGTACAGTGGCTCACGCCTGTAATCCCAGCACTTTGGGAGGCTGAGGCAGGCGGATCACCTGAGGTCCAGAGTTCGAGACCAGCCTGGCCAACACGGTGAAACCCCGTCTCTACTAAAAATACAAAAATTAGCCAATGTGGTGGCACCACCTATACTCCCAGCTACTTGGGAGGCTGAAGCAGGAGAATCGCTTGAACCCAGGAGGTGGAAGTTGCAGTGAGCTGAGACTGTGCCACTGCACTCCAGCCTGGGTGACAGAGACAGACTCCATCTCAAAAATAAATAAATAAATAAAAATAAAAGGAAATACACATCTACGCACATTATATAAAATATAATTGGCAGAATGCCAAAGGCAAAGATCCAAGCAGGATTCACAGGGCATAGTCTTAACAGCAACTTTATTTTTCTCTCCCAATTTGTCCTTAAACCTCTCCAAGTAGGGGTTGACCTGCCCGTTACTGGAGAAAAACTTGGACAGGCCCTTCCACTTCATCATGCTCTCAAAAAGTGGGCGAGGCTGGATGCGGTGGCTCATGCCTATAATCCCAGCACTTTGGGAGGCAGAGGTGGAAGGATCGCTTGAGGTCAGGAGTTCAAGACCAGCCTGGGCAGCATAGCCAGACCCCAAAATCTAAAAAAAAAAAAAAGCTGGGCATGGTGCTACATGCCTGTGGTCCCAGCTACTAGGGAGGCTGAGGCAGGAGGATCACTTGAGCCCAGGAGTTCAAGGTTGCAGTGAGTTATAACCATGCCATTGCACTCCAGCCTGGGCAACAGAGCAAGACCCTGTTTCCAAAAAAAAAAAAAAAGAATCGCAAACATAGCCTCAATTCAGGACCTAAAATCTTAGGCACCCATCCACTGCCAGGGAGGGATAACAAGCTCTCCAAGGAGGCCCACCCCGCCTATGAGGCTTCAGCTGGGGGATGGCAACCCCACCCTCGCCTGGAAGGTGGGATTCGCCACACAGCTCTGTCCAAACCTGTAGTTCTCAACCGGGGATACTTGCCCCCTCGGGGACATTTAGCAATGTCTAGAGACGTTATTGGTGGTCACAACGGGGGCATGCTACCGGCATGTAGGGAACAGAGGCCAGGAATGCTGCTAAATACCCTACGATGCATAGGACAGAGCCCCGGAACAAAGAATTATCCCACCTAGAGCCTCAATAGTGTGAGGTTAAGACAGTGCCCTAAAGCAATTCTCCTCGCTCATTTTTTCTCATCACCAACAGCTGGGGCCTCCTTTTATAAATTCTGATGTAGGTGAATTGCCTAGTACCACCTTATAACTCACAGGACTGTAGATTTGTGATCAAGAGGCAGCTTCAGCCAGGTGTGGTGGCTCACACCTGTAATCCCAGCACTTTGGAAGGCAGAGATGGGAGGATCGCTTGAGGCCAGGAGTTTGAGACAATCCTGGACAATATAGTGAGAGTCCCATCTCTACCAAAAATATATATATATTTATATATTTTTAAATATATATATTTTTAAAATATTATATATATTTATATATTTTTAAATATTTTATATAGATATATATTTTGTTGCCCAGGCTGCAGTGCAGTGGTGCGTTCTTGGCTCACTGTAACCTCCGCCTCCCGGGTTCAAGCGATTCTCCTGCCTCAGCCTCCTGAGTAGCTGGGATTACAGGCGCCCACCACCACGCCCAACTAATTTTTTCGTATTTTTAGTAGAGGGGGGGTTTCATCATGTTGGCCAGGCTGGTCTCGAACTCCTGACCTCAGGTGATCCACCTGCCTCTGCCTCCCAAAGTGCAAGGATTACAGGCATGAGCCACCGCGCCCAGCCTATATATATATATTTTTTTTTAACTGGCCAAGCACAGTGGCACACTCTGTAGTCCCAGCTATTCAGGAGGCTGAGGCAGAAGGATTGCTTGAGCCTGGGAGGTCGAGGTTGCAGTGAGCTATGATTGTGCCACTGCACTCCAGCCTGGGCAACAGAGCAAGACCCTGTCTCAGAAAAAAAAAAAAAAAAAAGGCAGCACCTTGCAGCAGCTGAGACCCAAGTTCCAACTCTGACTTGGGCAGTAACCAGCCTGTGGCCCTGGGCAGAGCCCTTCCCTCCCCAGCTTCAGTTTTCTCATCTATAAAGTGGTAACATAAGCCCCAGGCAGGGGTCACAGCTGAACATCTTGGGAATCATGGTTTGGGTAGGGGTTGGGGGGACATCCTTCTCTGGGTCACTCCTGGGATGTGGCCCTGGGTCCAGCTTTGGGAAAATTAAATAAAGCTTGGAGCATCAGTGTTTTGGGGGTGGGGATTGAACCAGTGTGGTCTGAAGCAGGGGGCGGGGTGTCCTCATGACCCTTCCGCCCCAAGGTTCACAGTACTGGCCTTTGGAAGGCATCTCCATGGCATGGGGTTATGGCGACAACCACTGCTGCAACCCTCCCCCTCCAACACAGTGTCTGTCTCATGTTGAGGGAAGCTCAGAAACCGGGACTTCTAGGCCAGGCGCGGTGGCTCACGCCTGTAATCCCAGCACTTTGGGAGGCCGAGGAGGGCAGATCACCTGAGGTCAGGAATTTGAGACCAGCCTGGCCAACATGGTGAAACCCTGTCTCTACTAAACATACAAAAATTAGCCAGGCACAGTGGCTCATGCCTGTAATTCCAGCACTTTGGGAGGCCAAGGCAGGCAGATCATTTGAGGTCAGGAGTTCTAGACCAGCCTGGCTAACAGGGTGAAAACCCATCTCTACTAAAAATACAAAAATTAGCCGGGCGTGGCGGCAGGCGCCTGTAATCCCAGCTACTTGGTTGGCTGAGGCAGGAGAATGGCTTGAGCCCAGGAGGCGGAGGTTGCAGTGAGCCCCGCTGCACTCCAGCCTGGATGACAGAGCAAGACCCCGTCTCAAAAAAATAAACTGGGACTTCTCTTGCCCCACTTCTCTTTGCTCTGCCTGAGAGGGAGACATTGATCAAACCCTCCAGGTCTGATCGGGAAACATTTGCCTTCTCCTTTTGTGGGGTCCTGGGGTGAAGAACAGGAGGGGAGGCTGGAGGGTGGGTGACACCACGCACCCCTGGGCGGCAAGAGACCCACCAGCCAAGTCTTGCCTGTGATGCCTCCCATTTACCAGCAGGTGTCACCCTCGGCCCTCTCACTGCGGCTTGTCCATTCCACCCTCTGTCCAGACTGGGCTTTAGGGCTGCAAGGCTGGAGACACAGGCCAGCTTTGCACGTGGGAGCAACAACGGGGACCCAGGTGTCCCGGCTCCTAGTCCCAGAGCTCCCTGTCCCTGTTGCCTCCCAGACTTGGTTCAGGCCTCTCTGTGAGTATCCGTGTGTGTCCACACTTCCATCCCTGGGAGAGAGGCCGGCCAGGGCGTGGACATTCATTCCCTCTCTGGGACCGTGCCGGGCCAGGACTGTCCTGGCCTCCCTCCTCCCGCACAGCACTGCCTCCCCTCCCCGCAGGCTGGGCTCCCTCCACAGAGCTGACCCTGGCCTACTTTCTCAGTCCTGAACCCTCCCATCACGTCCCCCTTGCCAACCTCAGCTGGGCAGTCACCCTGGTCCCGCTCCCACTCCCCAAGAGAGGCTGGGAAGTGTTTTGAGACTGAAGTTGGGGTCCAGTGTAAATTCAGAAGGAACATGGTATAGGACGAATAACCAGGATGCTCACTTCTAGAAGCTTCTCTGGAACCTTGGGTAAGGCTGTGGGCCCTTTCTCTGGAGCTACCAGCAAAGGGAAGGACTTGCTGCCTCCAGGGTGGCTCCAGCCCCGTCTAGACCCCCTCCCAGCCACCCTCTCCCGCTGCCACAATTTCCAGCTGGCCCCACGCACAGCTGTGCCTCGGTTTCCCAGCAGCCCCAAGCCTGGAGTTCACCAGGAGCACCTTCACAGCCCCGCACCGGGTCCGCAGCCTGGGGTCCATCATATTCATCACACTCTGGGCCCTGTCCCCCACCCCCAGCTCAGGCCTCAGATCCTGCCTCCAACCCCACACCCCCAGGCCTTTCCAAGTGACCCACACACATGCATGGGCACACACACACAGATACATACACACATACACAGAGACACACATACATGTACACATCATATATATATACACGCACACAGAGACACATATAAACATGCACACACGTACACACATACATGTACACACGTACACACATGCATACACATATACATACACAAACACATACATACACAAACACTATAGACACGTACACAGACACACACAAATACGTACACATACACAAAAACTCATACACATACACAAACACGTACATACACAGACACACAAACACTACAGACACATGTACACACGGACAAATACACATACACACAGACACACATACATGTACACATATACACATGTACACAGGTACACACGCACATACACACGTTACACACAAAGAGATGTATACTCACATACACAAACATGCACATATATACACACAAACAATATACATACACATACACATACACACACGCATATACATGCATATACATCCACACTTGTGCACACATACACACATGCACACACACACACTTTTTCTTCACGGCCTGCAGAGACGCGCCCATCGGGGACTTGATTCACACCTCTCTCCCTAGAGGGGAGTGCTCTGTGTGCACCGCAACATATCTCTAACCTCTTTTTTTAAATTGACAAAAATTGTATCTATTTATGGTGTGCAATATGATGTTTTGAAATATGTATAAAGTGTGGACCAGCTACATCAAGCTAATTAGCATATGCATTACCTCATTTGTCTTTTTGTGGGGAGTGTGCTGAGAACGCTTAAAATCCACTGTCTTGGTACTTTGCAAGTTTAGAACACATTGTTATCAAGGATAGCCACCATGTTGTACTTGGATCTCTTGAACTTAGTCCTCCTAACTGAAATTTTTGTGTGTTTTTTTCCTTGTGTGTGTGTGACAGAGTCTCACTCTGTTGCCCAGGCTGGAGTGCAGTGGTGCAATCAGCTCACTGCAGCCTTCATCTCTGGGCTCAAGCCGTCCTCCTGCCTCAGCCTTCCAAGTAGCTGGGACTACAGGTGTGCACCACCATGCCCAGCTAATTGTTTGTATTTTTAGAGAGATGGGGTTTTGCCATGTTGCCCAGGCTGGTCTCGAACTCTTGGGCTCAAACGATTGGCCTGTCTCAGCCTCCTAGATTGCTGGGATTACAGGCATGAGCCACCACTGCCACCCCCACATCTCTGACTCTCAGCCCAGGGCGTGGCACACAGGTGCCCACGAGTGGCTGTCAGACGGATTGATCAATTCCACCACTGCACAAACTTCCATCTTCAATCTTGCACTCCACCTCAACTGCTCTCCCAGAGCTCCAGACACTGCCAGGTTGCCCCCGCATCCTGACAAACTGTCCTCTTTCTGTACCCTTTCCAAGTCATCTAATTGTCCTCATTTTTGTTTTTTTTTTTTTTTTTTTGTAATTTGAGTTTATTTGACCATCTTGATCCGAAATGTTCAAGCTTTTGGCTATAGTTTTCTTCATTTATTTATTCAATATTTTTTAGTAACTCTATTAATTAATTGATTTCCTTCCTTCCTTCCCTCCCTCCCTCCTTCCCTCCCTCCCTCCTTCCCTCCCTCCCTCCTTCTCTTCTTCCTTCCCTCCTCCCTCCCTGCCTCCTTCCTTTCTGCCCACCCACTTTCTTTCTTTCCTTCTTTCTTTCTTTTTCTTTCTTTCCTTTCTTTCTTTCTTTTTTCTTTCTTTTTCTTTCCTTCCTTCTTTCTTTCTCTTTCTTCTTTCTCTTTCTTTCTCTCTTTCTCTCTCTTTCTTTCTTTCTCTTTCCTCCCTTCCTTTATCTCTTTTTCTTTCTTTCTTTTTCCTTCTTTATTTTGAAGTGGAGTCCCGCTCTGTCACCCAAGCTGGAGTGCAGTGGCGCAATCTCTGTTCACTGCAACCTCTGCTTCCCGTGTTCAAGCGATTCTCCTGCCTCAGCCTCCCAAGTAGCTGGGATTACAGGCATGCGCCACCACGCCCAGCTAATTTTGTATTTTTAGTAGAGTCAGGGTTTCACCATGTTGGTTAGGCTGGTCTCAACTCCTAACCTCAGGTGATCCACCCAGAATTGTTTTCTTTAAAACAACTTTTCTGTACTGGACATGGTGGCTCACACCTGTAATCTGGCACTTTGGGAGGTCGAGGCGGGAGGATTGCTTGAGCTTAGGAGTTCGAGACCAGCCTGGGCAACATGGTGAAACCCCAGGCATGGCGGCACATGTCTGTAATCCCAGCTACTGGGGAGGCTGACGTGGGAGGATCACCTGAGTCCAGGAGGCCGAGGCTGCAGTGAGCCATGATCATGCCACTGCCCTCCAGCCTGGATGACAGAGCGAGACCCTGTCTCAAATAAATAAATAATAAATAAATAAATAAAGCTGTTTTTCTTTCTTTCTTTCTTTCTTTCTTTCTTTCTTTCTTTCTTTCTTTCTTTCTTTCGTTTGTTCTTTCTTTCCTTCCTTCTTTCTTTCTTTTATTTCAGTCCTCTTTACTTGAAAGTTTATCTCTTGTTCAGAAAATAAATATGGGCCAGGTGCGGTGGCTCATGCCTGTAATCCTAGCACTCTGGGAGGCTGAAGCAGGAGGCTCACTTGAGCCCAGGAGCTGGAGATCAGTCTGGGCAACATAGTGAGACACTGTATCTTTTTGGGGATTTTTTGGACAGAGTCTTGCTCTGTCGCCAGGCTGGAGTGCAGTGGCGTGACCTTGGCCCTCGGCTCACTGCAACCTCTGCCTCCTGAGATCAACTGATTCTCCTGCCTCAGCCTCCTGAGTAGCTGGGACTACAGGTGTGCGCCACCACACCCAGCTAATTTTTTTGTATTTTTAGTAGAGACAGGGTTTCACCATGTTGGCCAAGATGGTCTCAATCCCTTGACCTCGTGATCCCCCTGTCTCGGCCTCCCAAAGTGCTGGGATTACAGGCACGAGCCATCACGCCCTGCCTGACCCCCAGTATCTTCTTAAAGAAAAAAGAAGAAAAGAAAAGAAACAAGATATTCTTTCTCCCTAATGCCAGTTCTTCATCTGCGGTCCCCTTCTCTGCACCGTCTCTCTGTCTCCTGGGTGGTCATCTCCATCTTCTCAGACTTACGTCTTTAATGTTTGTATTTTTAATCTTTTAATCCCAGACCTGAGGCATTGATCATCTATCTTCTTAAATCACATTTATTTTGTCACTTTATCATTATTTTAAACCTCTTAACTTTTATCTCTTGTGGAGAGTAACTTTTAAGACCAACTTCATAGCTTTTCATTTTAATTTTGTATTTGCTGATTTTAACTTTGTAATACACATTAGCCCTCTCATTTATAAGGTATTCATCTTATTGGTGCTGCTAGTCTTTTAATTTCTTTTATCTGAACTATTTTTCATGATTATAAAGAAAACTCTTGATTTTAAATCTTTGCTGGCTTTTTTTTTTTTTTTTTTTTTGAGACACAGTCTCACTCCATCGCCCATGCTGGAGTGCAGTGGAGTGATCTTGGCTCACTGCAACCTCTGCCTCCTGGGTTCAAGCAATTCTCCTGCCTCAGCCTCCCACATAGCTGAGAATACAGGCATGCGCCACCACGCCCAGCTGATTTTTGTATTGTTAGTAGAGGTGGGGTTTCACCATGTTGGCCAGGCTGGGCTCCAACTCCTGACCTCAAGTGATCCGCCCTCCTTGGCCTCCCAAAGTGCTGGGATTACAGCCGTGAGCCACCATGCTTGGCCTGGCTCTTTCATATCCTGAGCCTGAAAGTCCTTTTTTTTCTCAGTGATTACTTTTTAATCTTCCAGGCATTCATTCAATCCTCACAAAACTCTATGTGGCCACCCCTGTTTGTGTGTTGTTGTTGTTGTTTTTGTTTTTTTTTAGAGACAGGCTCTCACTCTGTCGCCAGGCTTGAGTACTGTGGTGTAATCATCACTCTGCAGCCTCGACCTCCCGGGCTTAAGCGATCCTCCTGCCTCAGCCTCTTGAGTAGCTGGGACTACAAGCACACACCACCACACACAGCTAATTTTTAAATTTTTTGGCCAGGTGCTGTGGCTCATGCCTGTAATCCCAGTGTTTTGGGAGGCTGAGGTGGGAGGATTGTTTGAGCCCAGGAGTTCAAAGCCAGCCTGGGAGACATAGCAAGACCCTGGTCTCTATGAAAAAAAAAGTTATATGTATAACAGGCCAAGGTGGGCTCTGTTGTCAGGCTGGAGTGCAGTGGCGCAGTCTTGGCTCACTGCGACCTCCGACTCTCAGGTTCAAGCGACTCTTCTGCCTCAGCCTCCCGAGTAGCTGGGACTACAGGTGCACGCCACCACGCCCATCTAATTTTCACATTTTTAGTAGAGACAGGGTTTCACCATGTTGGCTAGGACGGTCTTGATCTCTTGACCTCGTGATCCACCCACCTCAGCCTCCCAAAGTGCTGGCATTACAGGTGTGAGCCACCACGCCCGGCCTTATAATTTTTTAACTTCCTGTAGATATGGGGTCTTGTTCTGTTGTCCAGGCTGGTCTCAAATGCCTGGCCCCAGGCAATCTTCCCACCTCAGCCTCCCGAGTAGCTGGGATTAGAGGCATGAGCCACTGCAGCTGGCTGAGGGAGGGCTTTGGAGAAGAAAGGGCAGAGGTAAAGGGAGAGAAGGACTGGGCAGTGTGTTGAGTGGCTCAGAGCAGCCACTCGGCTCCCTATTCAAGGAGAAGTGTGACATTCCGTGGCAAACTGTGACGAATCCACCTCTCCAAAACCCCGTTCAAGTTTGCTGTTCTCAGAGAAATAGGAAATTCTGCCATCTTGGTTTGGATTCCCCAAAAGCAGAGCCAGAGAATTTGGGTGCCGTGGTTTGGGAGGTGATCCCAGGACACCTGTGAGGAGTGGGATGGGGAAGAAGCCACTAAAGGGGGCATTTATGACCAAGCACGGTGGCTCACACCTGTAATCCCTGCACTTTGGGAGGCCGAGGCGGGAGAATTCGTTTGAGCTCAGGAGTTCAAGACCAGCCTGGGCAACACAGTGAGAACCCATCTCTATTAAAAATTTTAAAAATTACCTGGGTGTGGTGGCTCACACCTGTGGTCCCAGCCACTCAGGAGGCTGAGACAGGAGGATCGCCTCAGCCTGGGAGGTTGAGGCTACAGTGAGCTGTGATCACGCCACTGCACTCCAGCCCGGGTGGCAGAGTGAGACCCTGTCTCAAAAAATAGTAATAGTAATAAATAAAAATTAAAAAAAAATAAAGGCTGGGCACAGTGGCTCATGCCTGTAATCCCAGTACATTGGGAGGCCAATGTGGGCAGATCGTCTGAGGTCAGGAATTTGAGACCAGCCTGGTCAACATGGTGAAACCCCATCTCTACTACAAATACAAAAAATTAGCCGGGCCTAATGGTGCATGCCTGTAATCCCAGCTACTTGGGAGGCTGAGGCAGGAGAATCGCTTGAACCCGGGAGGCAGAGGCTGCTGTGAGCCGAGATCGTGCCAAGCCTGGGCGACAGAGCAAGACTCCATCTCAAAAATAATAATAATAATAATAAATAAAAATAAAGAGTGGGGTTTATGGGCTGGGCATGGTGGCTCGTGCCTGTAATCCCAGCACTTTGGGAGGGCCGAGGCAGTTGGATCACCTGAGGTCAGGAGTTTGAGACCAGCCTGGCTAACATGGTGAAATCCCATCTCTACTGAAAATACAAAAATTAGCTGGGCATGGTGGTGGGTGCCTGTAATCCCAGCTACTCAGGAGGCTGAGGCAGGAGAATTACTTGAACCAGGGAGACGGAGGTTGCAGTGAGCCTAGACTGTGCCACTGCACTCCAGCCTGGCCGACAGAGTGAGACTCTGTCTCAAAAAAAACAAAAACAAACAATCATAAAGAGTGCGTTTATGAGCAGGTGAACTTTGGGGGCAGCTGGGGATGGGTCTGGCTGGGAATCCTCCATGAGGCTGGGGACGGGATGCCTCAGGCTTGTAGCTGGGATGTGTTTGGTTGGCAACTCCACCCCCCAGTGGTTGAGGTTCCCCCGGCATTCAGCCAGACTCCCTCCGAGAGAACAGATCTGTTTCCTCTGTGCCCAGGGTCTGCCACTGTGCCCTGCCCGAAGCAGGTGCTCTATGTGATGCTAGCGGAGACATGGACCTCAGAAGCAAAGTGACTTCAGATCCCCAGGTGCCTTATGGAGCACCAACAGTCACTTCAGCCCCACACAGGGAACTCCCGGGGAAGGAGTCGTGGGTCACATAGGGAAGACAACACAGTCCCTGCCCTCTGGGAGTGCCCAGCCCTGCTGAGGAAAGGTGACCTGTGTCAGCGCCCACTGGCCAGGCATCATGCCTGTGTCCAGCACATGTGGAGTTATTAAGGTCCCCCTATAATCTGTAATCCCAGCACTTTGGGAGGCTGAGATGGGAGGATCGCTTGAGTTCAGGAGTTTGACACCAGCCTGGGCAACATAGCAAGACCCTGTATCTAAATAATAATAATGATAATAATAATTTTTTTAAAAAAGGAAATGCAGGTATTCAGGGACAGCCAGTCCTGTTTGCCCAGCTCTGTGCCAGGCCACATATGGGACTAGGAGGCACAGGGGCTGAGAAAGAAAGGGACATGGCTGGGTGCAATGGCTTAAACCTGTCATCCAAGCACTTTGGGAGGCCAAAGTGAGAGGATCACTTGAGGCCTGGAGTTTGAGACCAGCCTGGGCAACATAGTGAGACCCGTATCTACAAAAAATAAAAAATTAGGTGTGCATGGTGATGTCCACCACTAGTCCCAGCTACTTGGGAGGCCGAGGTGGGAGGATCACTTGAACCTAGGAGGTCGAGGCTGCAGTGAGCTGAGATTGCACCACTGCACTACAGCCTGGGTGACAGAGCAAGACTTTGTCAAGAAAAAGAGAGAGAGAGAAGAAAAAAAAGAGGGAGGGAGGGAAAGAGGGAAGGAGGGAGGGAGGAAGAAGGAAGGAAGGGAGGAAAGGAAGGAAGGAAGGAAGGAAGGAAGTCCATCCTAACTCTTTTTTGTTTTTTTTCTTGAAACGGAGTCTCACTTTGTCACCCAGGCTGGAGTGCAGTGGCTCGATCTCAGCTCACTGCAAACTCCACCTCTCAAGTTCAAGCAATTCTTGTGCCTCAGCCTCCCGAGTAGCTGAGATTACAGGCATGCATCACCATGCCCAGCTGATTTTTTTTGTAGAGACGGGGTTTCACCATGTTGGCCAGGCTGGTCGCGAACTCCTGACCTCAAGCGATCTACCCGCCTCGGCCTCCCAAAGTGCTGGGATTACAGGAGTGAGCTGCCGTGCCCGGCAACTTCTTTTTTTTTTTTTCTTTTAATTGAGATGAGGGTCTCGCTATGTTGCCCAGGCTGGTCTGGAACTCCTGGGCTCAAGCAATCCTCCCACCTTGGCTTCCCAAAGTGCTGGGATTACAGGCGTGAGCCACTGCGCCCAGCCTCCATACTAACTCTTGATGAAGCCACAGTCCAGGGAGGGAGATGGGAGCTTCCTAGGAGAAGGGAACCATCTGAGAGGCTCAAGTCATGTGGTCAATGGAGACAGGAAGGGAGGAAGTAGCTCAGAGAAGCAAGAAATCTAGGATGACTTCCTGGAGGAGGCAGGTTGAGGCTGACATCTGGAGAACAGAATGGAAATGTTTCCTGGTGGCCCCAGCCCTCAGGGACCATGGCCCTGGCTTGCCCCACTTTTCCTCTTCTTGTACTCCCGTGAGGATCTGCTTTCCCCAAATACTCCAGGAGCTCGTAAAGCCTACATGATCCTGCTGTGTGAGATACAGGGACCAGGTCTAATTCCAGCACTGAAGCCCTGAATGGCCTTGGGCAAATGTCTCCCCTTCTCTGAGTCTCCATGTCCTCATCTGTTAAATGTGCTCATCATGCACTTTACCCTTACACATTTGTTGTGGGGCTAAGGAGATCATGTGTGGTTTCTGAGCCAGAAGTGAGCAAAGCTCTGTAGTGATCACACCACCCAGCCCCCTTAATTCACTGATAGGGAAACGGAGGCCCAGAGAGGCAAAGGTCACCGGGACAGCTACATCAACTTTCTTTTTTTTTTTTTTGAGACAGTGTCTCACTCTGTTGCCCCGGCTAGAGTACAGTGGCGCAATCTAGGCTCACTGCAACCTCTGCCTCCCAGGTTCAAGCAATTCTCCTGCCTCAGCCTCCTGAGTAGCTGGGACTACAGGCACGCACCACCACGCCTGGCTAATTTTTTTTGTATTTATAGTAGAGATGGGGTTTCGCCATATTGGCCAGGCTGGTCTCGAACTCCTGACCTCGTGATCCACCCACCTCAGTCTCCCAAAGTGCTGGGATTACAGGCGTGAGCCACCGCGCCTGGCTTTACATCATCTTTCAAGCCCTGGCTCAAAGGCCCTTTCTGGTGCCTCCAGGCCAAGCTGGTTGCTTCTGGCTTTGCTGTTTTTGTTTTTTTTTTTCTTTTTTGAGACAGAGTCTTGCTCTTTTGCCCAGGTGGGAGTGCAGTGGCGAGATCTCAGCTCACTGCACCCTCCACCTCCCGGGTTCAAGCAATTTTCCTGGGCTCAATCAGGCTCCACAAGCTGTGCCTGCGACTGAGCCTCCGGAACGAAGGGAGTGTGCCCTTCTCCTGAGAAGCTGGGTTTCTCCCAGGGTTGGTGGCGGGGAGGTGGGGGGGTCCCAACCTGGGGAGGTGGGGGTTGCTGTCTTCTTTGGCACCTCAGAAATGTTAATTGAGGGAAATTATGCAAAGGAGCCTGGATTGGAAATGCTCATTTGGACCTCAACAAGGTGGCTACGTTAAAAATAGCAAGAGGGGCTGGGCGCGGTGGCTCACGCCTGTAATCGCAGCACTTTGGGAGACAGAGGTGGGTGGATCGCTTGAACCTGGGAGTTCGAGACCAGCCTGGGCAAAACCCTGTCCCTCCTAAAAATTAGCTGGGCGTGGTGGTGCGTGCCTGTAATCCCAGCTATTCAGGAGGCTACTCAGGAGGCTGAGGCGGGAGAATCACTTGAATCCGGGAGGCAGAGGTTGCGGTGAGCTGAGATTGTGCCACTGTACTCCAGCCTGGGCAACAGAGCGAGACTCTGTCTCAAAAAAAAAAATGTCTAGAGGAAGGAGTTAAGTTTGGGATTGGAGAGAGGATGCCAGGCCCTTTGTCCTATGAGGTCCAGGCTCCTGGGCCCCTGAAGGGTCATCAGGCCTTGCAGCCTGAGCATGGACCCTGGCTCTAACAGTCTGTGACCCCCACTGCACTCCTGCCCGCTCTAGTTCCTGCGGTACGGCCCTTTCACATTGTGGACACCCAAGCAACAAATCTAACAATCAGATTGGTAGCTGACACCTGTAATCCCAGCACTTCGGGAGGATCACTTGAGCCCAGGAATTCAAGACCAGCCTGGGCAACAGAGACCCCCGGTCTCTACAAAATAAAATACAACAATTAGCCGGGTGTGGTAGTAAGTATGTGTATTCTCAGCTACTCGGGAGTCTGAGGCCAGAGGATCACTTGAGCCTAGGAGGTGGAGGCTTCAATGAGCTGAGATCACACCACTGCATCCAGCCCGGGTGACAGAACAAGGCCCTGTCTCATATAAAAATATTTAAAACATTTTTTTAATCAGATATGACCATGTCAATACTCTGTATATAACCTGCTAAGGCTCCCCATTGCCCTCAGGATAAAGCCAGGCCTCTTAGTCCTGCACTTAAGGCCTGTCCTGCTGGGTCTCTTAGTCTCATCTCCTACCACATCTCACTGTTACCAGGAGCTCCATCTGCCAGCACCTCCCTTCGGATCCCCCAGCCTCACCCTGACTCTGAGCCTTAGCACAGGCCATTCCTGCCGCCTAGAACATCAGCTCCTCTTTGTCACCAGAACAGCGACATCATCTTTCAAGCCCCGGCTCAAAGGCACTTTCTGATGTCTCCAGGCCAAGCTGGTTGCCTGGCTTTGGTTTTTTTTTTTTTTTTCTGTTGTTTTTTAGATGGAGTCTCGCTCTGTCACCCAGTCTGGAGTGCAGTGGTGCAGTCTTGGCTCACTGCAACCTCCACCTCCCGGGTTCAAGCAATTCTCCTGCCTCAGCCTCCCAAGTGGCTGGAATTACAGGCATGCACCACCATACCTGGCTAATTTATATATATATATATATATATATATATATATATATATATTTATTTATTTATTTATTTTGAGACAGAGTCTCACTCTGTCACCCAGGCTAGAGTGCAGTGGCGCTATCTCGGCTCACTGCAACTTCTGCCTCCCGGGTTCAAGTGACTCTCCTGCCTCAGCCTGCCGAGTAGCTGGGATCACAGGCATGCACCACCATGCCCAGCTAATTATTTTTTATTTTATATACATATATATTTTGTATTTTTAGTAGAAACAGGTTTTCACCATGTTGGCCAAGCTGGTGTCGAACACCCGACCTCAAGTGATTCACCCACCTCGGCCTCCCAAGATGTGGGGATTACAGATGTGAGCCACTGCGCCTGCCCTGGGTTTGCTGTTTCTCCAGCACCTTCCAGAGGCTTCTCCTGTAGCACATGCTCTTGGGATTTAGGTGTCTGTGGGTTTGGATGTCTTAGACTACGTGTTCCCTGAGGTCAGAAGCTGTGTTCAGAACATCACTGGACCTAGCCCAGCTGAGAACCAGCTCCTCCATCCTGCCCAATGTCTGGGGCATCTGATGGCAAATGACCCCAGGGCTGCCTCCCTGTGCCCTGCCCTGCACCTCCCCTTCAGAGACAACTGAACCAGGCCCTGGTGACTTGCCCCCCCGCCCCTGCCCACACCTCATCCTGTCCTCAAGGGCACTTGGGGGACGGGAGGGACGTGTGGAGGGAGGCTGGTTATTAATTAAAAACCAAGTCATGCACAGATCCTGCTTCATTCCAATAAAAACCGTCAAGGGTATTAATTACCAGATCTGGCGATAGACGCGGGTTAGGTTTACTCAGGCCCGGTAAGGATGCTGGTGGCCAGAATATCAATGAGCACCCGGGCTCCTCGGCTCTGGGCCCTGGGCTGAGCACGGGCTGGGCAGGCGCGGGGCACCTTGGGGAGGACGAATTGTGATGAAAATAACACCGATGCCACTAAATGCTTCTCAACCAGCACTTCCCGAGTTCCAAGCAGGGGGCCACATACCATTGCTACATGCCTGATGTCATCTCACTCCCGAAAGCCTTGTGAAATGGATTCTATTTTTATCCCCATTTTGCAGCTAAGGGCATTAGGGTACAGAGAGGTTTTGTAATTTGATGGGGTCACACAGCTGGCAAGGGGCAGTGCTGGGATACCAGCCTGGGCTCTTTTTATTTTTGTTATATTTATTTATTTATTTTTTAGGACAGGATCTTGCTCTGTCACCCAGGCTGGAGTGCAGTGGCACAATCACAGCTCACTACAGCCTCGAACTCCTGGGCTCAAGCGATTCTCCTGCCTCCACCTCCCGAGTAGCTGGGACTACAACGACATGCCATCACGCCTGGCTAATTTTTTTTTTTTGAGATGGAATTTCACTCTTGTTGCCCAGGCTGGAGTGCACTGGTACGATCTTGGCTCACTGCAACCTCCACCTCCTGGGTTCAAGTGATTCTCCTGCCTCAGCCTTCCGAGTAGCTGGGATTACAGGCACCCACCACCATGCCCTGCTAATTTTTTGTATTTTTAGTGGAGACAGGGTGATGCCATATTGAGCAGGCTGGTCTCGAACTCCTTACCTCAGGTGATCTGCCCACCTTGGCCTCCCAAATTGCTGGGATTACAGGCATGAGCCACTATGCCCGGCCATGCCCAGCTAATTTCTTAGTAGAGATGGGGTCTCGCTATGTGGTGCAGGGTGGTCTCAAACTCCTGGCCTCAAGCAGTCCTCCCGCTTCAGAAGCCTCCCAAAGTGCTGGGATTACAGGTGTGAGCCACCATGCCTGGCAGCCTGTGCTCTCAAAGTCCCAGAGGAGCTGGGCTGCGTCATCAAAGCAACCCTTCCTTGGACAAATGGGGAAACCGAGGCAGGAGAGAGCATCACTTGCAAAATCACACATTGGAGGAATGTCGACCATGTCCCCTGAGGCCCAGTGTAGGACTCTCCTCCCACCAGACTAAGTGTGTATATGTTGGGGTGGGGATCCTTGCCAGAAAGGGAGGGGTGTGGCCGGGTGTGATGGCCCACGCCTGAAATCCCAGCACTTTGGGAAGCCGAGGCGGGTGAATCACCTGAGGTCAGGAGTTTGAGACCAGCCTGGCTGATGTGGTAAAACCTCATCTCTACTAAAAATACAAAAAAAAAAAAAAAATTAGCCAGGCATAGTGGTGGGCGCTTGTAATCCCAGCTACTCGGGAGGCTGAAGCAGGAGAATCGTGTGGACCCGGGAGGAGGAGGTTGCAGTGAGCCGAGATTGCGCCACTGCGCTCCAGCCTGGGTGACAGACTGAGATTCTGTCTCAAAAAAAAAAAAAGAAAGAAAATAGAAAGGGAGAGGGTGTAGGGGCCCCAGATAGGCCAGGATTTGGGGGTCAAGGCCACCTGCCACTTCCTGTCTCCCTCCTCACCTGCCTCCCTCCTCCCTTCATCCATCCATCCTCTCCAAACCCTCAGCAGCCCAGCACTCCTCTGTGTCAACCCTGGAAGGCGGTCTCAGCCCGGCACAAGTCCCCAGCGGCATTAAAATAGGCCTGACCTAAATACAAGCACAATGCCAGCGCTGAAAACACGGCTGTGTCAGCGGAAACTCCAGCTGGGTAGGAAAAAAAAATACACTTTGGGATTCAAGCCATCACCCCACCCCAGAAAGGGGGCCGGGCTGCCCCAGGGCCAGGGCCAGTGCCACCTACAGGACCCTGAGCACCCATAGTTCCCTAAACGTCCCCAAGTGTGGCAAAGTGGCGGAGGGGAGAGGACTCTGCTTCTGTGGCCTGACAGACGGCAAGCTCACAAGGGGGTCAGGCAGCCCTCAGCAACCACTGCTATCACTCCGGGGAACTGAGGCTCTGAGAGGGGAGGTGGCCACCCGAGGTGGCACAGCTTATAAGTAGCAGGAGTGGGGCAGCCGCTTGATTTCCAGGCAGGAAGAGGAGAGGGACAGCAAACAGGCTCCTAATGCAGAAGCTTGGGCCTGTGACTCAAAACAGGTATTAAGTAAACACGTTCTATCAAGAGGCCATCCATGCCTGTAATGCCAGCACCTTGGGAGGCCAAGGTGGGGGATCACTTGAGGTCAGGAGTTCAAAACCAGCCTGGCCAACATGACGAAACCCCTTCTCTACTAAAAATACAAAAATTAGCCAGGGGTGGTGGTGCGCACCTATAATCCCAGCTACTTGGGAGCCTGAGGCACAAGAATTGCTTGAATCCAGGAGGTGGAGGTTGCAGTAAGCTGAGATCGTGCCACTGCACTACAGGGTGAGACTCTGTCTCAAAAAAACAAACTGAAAAAAAAAAGAGGCCATTGACAGCCTTGAAGACCTTACTTTTAATTTTTATTTATTTATTTATTATTATTATTATTGAGATACGGTCTTGCTCTGTCACCTAGGCTGGAGAGCAGTGGCGCGATCATGGCTCACTGCAGACTTGAACTCCTGGGCTCAAGTGATCCTCGAATCTCAGCCTCCTGAGCAGCTGGTTCTACAGGCACATGCCACCACACTCAGCTAATTTTTTGTATATTTTGTACAGATGGGGTCTCTCTATGGTGCCAAGGCTGGTCTCAAACTCCTGGCCTGAAGCGACCCTCCCACCTCAGCCTCTCAAAGTGCTGGGATTACAGGCATGAGCCACTGTGATTGGCCTGAAGGCCCTAAGTTTCTATTCAAACCAGAACTTGGCCGGGCGCAGTGTCTCATGCCTGTAATCCAAGCACTTTGGGAGGCTGAGGCAGATGGATCACCTGAGGTCAGGAGTTTGAGACCAGCCTGGCCACCATGTGAAACCCCCATCTCTACTAAACATACAAAAAAATTAGTCATGCGTAGTGGCGCACACCTGTAATCCCAGCTACTCGGGAGGCTGAGGCACGAAAATTGCTTGAACCTGGGAGGCAGAGGTTACAGTGAGCTGAGAGTATGCCACTGCACTCCAGCCTGGGCGACAAAGTGAGACTCCGTCTCTAAAAAAATAAAAATAAAACTGAGCAGGGCACGGTGGCTCAAGCCTATAATCCCAGCCCTTTGGGAGGCTGAGGCAGGTGGATCACCTGAGGTCAGGAGTTCAAGACCAGACTGGCCAACATGGTGAAACCCCGTCTCTACTAAAAATACAAAAATTAGCTGGGCATGGAGGCACACGCTTGTAGTCCCAGCTACTCAGGAGGCCGAGGCAGGAGAATCACTTGAACCTGGGAGGCAGAGGGAGCCTGTGTGACAGAGCCAGACTCTGTCTCCAAAAAAAAAAAAAAGAAAGAAACACATTATTTGCACATGAGGCACAATATGAATTGTGTAGATTCGGCGATTCTGCTCACGAGTAAAATGCTCTTATAGCTACATTTAAAGCCAGCATTGAACGATATAAAGATAAATGGTAAAGAATGAAATAGTAAAAGACTAATCATTTAGCATTTTAATGTTTCTGTATTAAGAACGACATTAAATGGCAAATAGCAATTTTTTTCAAAATCATGATGTCAAGAGAGAGTCAGCCCAAGGATGAAAGGAAGAAGTTTTGTATTTTAGCACCTTCGAGGACACATTTTTCCTGCTTTTTGAACAATGTGCCCCACACTTTCCTCTTGCAGTGATGTAGCCAACCCTGGCCCTGGAGCTGCACCATTCGGGGTAGGGAAAGAGAAGCATGTCTTCAGTGGTTTTCTTTTTCTTCTTGTTGTTTTTGTTTTTGTTTTGTTTTGTTTTTTGAGACAGAGTCTTGCTCTGTCACCCAGGCTGGAGTGCAATGGCACAATCTCGGCTCACTGCAACCTCTGCCTCCCGGGTTCAAGCGCTTCTCCTGCCTCAGCCTCCTGAGTAGATGGGATTACAGGGCACCTGCCATCATGCCTGGCTAATTTTCTTTTTTTTTTTTTTTTTGGAGACGGAGTCTTGCTCTGTTGCCCAGGCTGGTACAGTGGCGCGATCTCGGCTCACTGCAAGCTCTGCCTCCCAGGTTCAAGCCATTCTCCTGCTTCAGCCTCTCAAGTAGCTGGGACTACAGGCGCCTGCCACCCCGCCCAGCTAATTTTTTTGTATTTTTAGTAGAGACGGGGTTTCACCATGTTAGTTGGGATGGTCTCGATCTCCTGACCTTGTGATCCACCCACCTCGGCCTCCCAAAGTGCTGGGATTACAGGCATGAGCCACCATGCCCAGCCGCTAATTTTTGTATTTTTAGTAGAGATGGGGTTTCGCCATGTTGGCCAGGCTGGTCTCAAACTCCTGACCTCAAGTGATCCACACGACTCGACCTCTGCCTCGGCCTCCCAAAGTGCTGGGACAATAGGCATGAGCCACCACGCCCGGCCGGGTGGTTTTCTTTTTCTTCTTTATTCAGTTCTTGGCAAACTAGAATAAAGAGGGGCCTCCTGCCCCCAGACCTACCCTGTCCTGGGGCTCGTAGTAAAGAGGTGGCAAATTTTCTGCTACATTTCCGGCAGGCTGGGATCCCGGGCAGCAGGGAGCCCAGACGTGTGAGCGGCAGAGCTGAGGCTGGCTGAGGAGGAAGGGCTCTGTCCTCTTTACAGAGGAATCTCATTCTCCTGGCCTTGTGGCTGGCCCACCTGACGCTCCCCAGATGGCACAACCATCCCCATCCTGAGTATAGGAAACGAAAGTTTGAGGACCGGGTGCGGGGCTCACGTCTGTAATCCCAGCACTTTGGGAGGCCATTGCGAGAGGATCGCTTGAGCCCAGAATTTCGAGACCAGCCTGGGCAACCCAGTGACTCTCCATCTCTACAAAAAATAAATAAATAAAATTGGCTGGGCACATGCTTGTAGTCCCAGCCACTCAGGAGGCTGAGGTGGGAGGATCATTTGAGCCTAAGAGGTGGAGGCTACAGCAAGCTGTGATCGAGCCACTTTACTCCAGCCTGGGTAACAGAGTAAGACCCTATCTCTAAATAAACAAATGAATAAAGAAACTGAGGTTTGGGCAGAGAAGGTGATAGGCAGAAAATGCTGTGACTGCATCATATATGCAGATGTACACAGGGCAGGTGGGGTCCACAGAAATGGGTCACACACAGGGGTGACTCCATCTAACCCAGCACCTTTCCCAGTGGTGGCCCAGTTAGGGAGCCCAGCCGGGTAACACCAAGCATGTGAGGGCCAGGGCAGCTGGGAACCTGAGCCTGTAGAACCCCGGGGCTTCCAAGAGGCCAGCCCAGGAAGGTGAGTGGGGCTGGTAAGTATTCCCAGGGGTTGGGCCTAATTTTTTGTTGTTGTTTTTGTTTTGAGACGGAGTCTTACGCTTGTCACCCAGGCGGGAGTGCTGTGACTCAATCTTGGCTCACCGCAACCTCCGCCTCCCGGGTTCAAGCAATTCTCCTGCCTCAGCCTCCCGAGTGGCTGGAATTATAAGTGCCCACCACCACACCCAGCTAATTTTTGGATTTTTAGTAGAGATGGGGTTTCACCATGTTGCCCAGGCTGGTCTCGAACTCCTGACCTCAGGTGATCCCCCTACCTCGGCCTCCCAAAGTGCTAGGATTACAGGTGTGAGCCACTGCACGTGGCCTAATTTTTAATGTTTAACTAGAGACGGGGAGAACACTGACTCTTACTAAGTTATTCCGGGGAGGAAGCTGAGCCAGCCGGCAGTGGAGACAGCTCCTGGACAGCAACCTCTCTCTGGGCCTTCTGGGTTGTTTCTCCCAAGTAGACAGCAGGAGCTGAGTCAGAGCCCTGCCCTGGTGTCCCTCCTGAGCCCCCAGCCCCTTCACCCGCCTCTCACAGCTCCTGCCTTTAGCCACTTGTTCCAGCAAAGCCCTGGCAGCCTCAGACTCTGGGTCAGGTCGTATGCTGGGTGCAGGGACTCAGAGAGCCCTCAGACAGGGCCCCTGCTGGAGAACCTCATGGTCCAGTGGGAAGGCAGATGGTTTCAAAGCACTGTGGGCTTGGGAGGCCCAGACAGGCACCTGACCAGCCTGAGATCAGGGGCTCCTTCCTGGAGGCAGTAACCTGGGAGGTGAGCCCGCAGAGGCGAACAGAGCATTGCCGGGCAGACAAGAAGGCAGGGAGGACACCTACCGAGGTGGCCACTGTCTAAGACCCTCAGGGTTCTCTGAGTGCTGGCTGGTGCTGACATGTATATCTGCCCAACAGCATCTCCAGGACCAGCCCCCAGTGACCCGTGGAAGATCATGCCTCTCTAGCGCTCTGAGTTCAGGCTGTTTGTGCTGCTGTGACAAAATACCTGAGGCTGGGCACAGTGGCTCACACCTGTAATCTCAGCACTTTGGGAGGCCAAGATGGCAGATCCCTTGGACCCGGGAGTTTGAGACCAGCCTGGGCAACATGGTGAAACCTGTCTCCACCAAAATATAAAAATTATCCCGGCATGGTGGTGCATGCCTGTAGTCCCAGCTACTTGGGAGGCTGAGGTGGGAGGATCCCTTGAACCCGGGAGTGGGAGGTTGCAGTGAGCTGAGATCATGCCACTGCACACCAGCCTGGGTGACAGAGTGAGACACCCATCTCAAAAAAAAAAAAAAGAATTATATTAAAAAAAACCCATAAAAATAAAAACACAAAATAAAAAAATATTTTAAAAGACAAAATACCTGAAACTGGGGAATTTATAAAGAACAGAAATTTATTTTCTCATGGTTCTAGAGGCTGGGAAGTCCAAGATCAAGTAGCCAGCAGGTTCACTGCCTGGGGAGGGCCCTAGTCTCTGCTTCCAAGATGGCACCTTTTGGCTGCATCCTGCGTGGGGGATGAACTCTGCTCACACATGGCAGAAGGTGGAAAGGCAAAGGGTCCTAAGCTAGTTCCCTCCAGCCCTTTTATAAGGCACCAATCTGTAGGCTCATGCTCTCATGACCTAATTACTTCCCAAAAAGACCCCACCTCTCAATACCACCACCACAATGAGTAAGTCTCAACATGAATTTTGGAAGAGACATCATCATTGAAATCATAGCATTCTGCTCCTGGGCCCCCAAAACTCATGTCCTTTTCACGTTCACATATGACATACATTCATTCCAGCCAGGCACAATGGCTCACGTCTGTAATCCCAGCACTTTGGGAGGCCAAGGTGGGAGGATCACCTAAGCCCAGGAAGTCGAGGCTGCAGTGAGCCACAATTGCGCCACTGCACTTTAACCTGGGCAACAGAGTAAGACCTTGTCTCAAAACAAAACAAAACAAACAAACAAACATACTACTCATTTTATCCCAGTAGCCCTGAAAAGCCTTAACTGATTCTAGCATCAACTTTAAAGTCCAAGTCCAAAGTCTCATCTAAATATTATCTACCTCAGATATGGGTAAGACTCTAGGGTGTGTTTCATCCTGAGGCATCAATATGCCTCCTGCTGAGTCTATGAAATCAAACAAGTAAAGTGCTTCCAAAAGACAACAGTGGGCCAGGTACAGGACAGATGTTTCCATTCCGAAAGGGGGAAGTAGGAAAGAAGGAAAGGATTGAAAAAAAAAATAGAATAAGGAAAGAAGGAAAGGATAATAGATCCTAAGTAAGTCCCAAACCCAACAGGGCAAACAACATTAAATTTTCCTGCTCTGTCGCCCAGGCTGGATTGCAGTGGTGCTAGCATAGCTCACTGCAGACTCAGCCTCCTGGGCTTAAGTAATCCCCTGGCCTCGAGTGGCTGAGACCACAAGAACATGCCACCATGCCCAACTAAATTTTTTTTTTTTGGTAGAGGTGAAGTCACACCATGTTGCCCAAGCTGGTCTTGAAATCCTGGGCTCAAGCAATCCTCCCAGCTCAGCCTCCAGAGCAGGTGGCACTATAGGCGTGTGCCACCACACCTGGATAATTTTTTTTTTTTTTGAGACAGAGTCTCACTCTGTTGCCTAGGCTGGAGTGTAGTGGTGCAATCTTGGCTCACTGCAACCTCCACCTCCCAGGCTGAAGCAATTCTTGTGCCTCAGCCTCCTGAGTAGCTGGGATTACAGGCATGAGCCACCACACCCTGCTAATTTTTGTATTTTTAGTGGAGACAGAGTTTTGCCATGTTGCCCAGGCTGGTCTCAAACTCCTGGGCTCAAGTGATCCACCTGCCTTGGCCTCCCAAAGTGCTGGGATTACAGGTGTGAGCCACCGTGCTCGGCCTCTTATTAATCTTCTTATTACCCTTGGTATTTTTTCTCTCTCTCCCTTTTTTTTTTTTTTTTTTTTTTTTTTTTTTGAGATGGAGTCTCACTCTGTCATCCAGGCTGGAGTGTGATGGCGTGATCTCAGCTCACTGCAACCTCTGCCTCCCGGGTTCAAGCGTTTCTCCTGCCTCGGCCTCCTGAGTAGCTGGGATTAGAGGCGCACACCATCACACCTGGCTAATTTTTCTATTTTTGGTAGAGACGGGGTTTCACTATGTTGGTCAGGCTGGTCTCAAACTCCTGACCTCATGATCCATCCGCCTCAGCCTCCCAAAGTGCTGAGATTACAGGCGTGAGCCACCGGGTATTTTGTCTTAAACACACTTTTACAACCTGGCCAGTCTGAGAATTTTTCAAATCTTTATTCTGCCTCCCTTTTTATTATAAATTCTGTCTTTAGTTAATCCCTCTCTTGTTGCATTTTACTATCAGCAGTTAAGAGCAACCATGTAGCACCCTGAACACTTTGCTCAGAGATTTCCTCCAACAAATATATTAGTTCATCACTCTTAAATTCTACTTTCCACAAAGTAGTAGGACATGAACAAAATTCAGCTAAGTTCTTTGCCATTTTGTAACAAGGATGACCTTTTCTCTGGTTTCCAATAAAATATTTCTCATTTCTGTTTAAGACCTCATCAGAATTGCCTTTACCATCCACATTTTTACCACCTTCTGATTATGACCACATACGTAATCTCTAAAAACATTAAGGCTGTCCCTGCAGCTTTCCTTTTCTTCTGAGCCTTCACCAGAATAGCCCTTTACAGACCAGCCTCTACCTATTAGTCAGTTTCAAAGCTGCTTTCACATTTTTAGTTTTTGGTTATACAAACACCCGACTCCTGGTACCAATTCCTGTCTCACTCTGTTTGTGCTGCTATAATAAAATACCTGAGACTGGATAATCTATATAAATAATAGAAATTTATTTCTAATAGTCTGCAAGCTGGGAATGCAAAGATTAAGGCACCAGCAGGTTTAGTGTCTGGGGAGGGCCCCAGTCTTTTCTTCTAAGATGGTGCCTTGAACACCATGTCCTCACATAGCAGAAGAGCTGGACGGGCAATAAAGGGCCTACACTAGTTCTTTCCAGCCCCTTTGT
This sequence comes from Homo sapiens, assembly GCF_000001405.40. Classification (NCBI taxonomy): domain Eukaryota; kingdom Metazoa; phylum Chordata; class Mammalia; order Primates; family Hominidae; genus Homo; species Homo sapiens. The sequence goes on from NC_000007.14 coordinate 74,438,833, forward strand.
AAGGCACTAATTCATTCACAAGGGTAGAGCCCTCATGAGTTCACAAGGATAAAGCTCTCAATCACTTACCCCAAAAGGCCCCACCTCCTAATACCACTACAATGGAGATGTTCAACATGAATTCTGGAGGGGATACCATCATTCACATCATAGCAAGGCCGTAGATAGGCCCACACACCACCCCTCATTTAACCAATAAAAATCTATTGAGCCGGGCATGGTGGCTCACGCCTGTAATTCCAGCACTTTGGGAGGCCGAGGCAGGCAGATCACCTGAGGTCAGGAGTTCGAGACCAGCCTGACCAACATGGAGAAACCCTGTTTCTACTAAAAATACAAAATTAGCTGGGTGTGGTGACGCATGCCTGTAATCCCAGCTACTTGGGAGGCTGAGGCAGGAGAATTGCTTGAACCCGGGAGGCAGAGGTTGCAGTGAGCTGAGATCACGCCATTGCACTCCAGCCTGGGCAAAAACTCTGTCTCAAAAAAAAAAAAATCTATTGAACTTGGCTGGGTGTGGTGGCTCACGCTTGTAATCCCAGCACTCTGGGAGGCCGAGGCAGGTGGATTTCTTGAGTTCGGGAGTTCGAGACCAGCCTGGCCAACATGGCGAAACTCCGTCTCTACTAAAAATACAAAAATTAGCCAAGCTTGGTAGTGCACGCCTGTAATCCCAGCTACTTGGGAGGCTGAGGCAGGAGAATCGCTTGAACCCAGGAGGCAGAGGTTGCAGTGAGCCGAGATTATGCCACTGCCCTCCACCCAGGGCAACAGAGCAAAGCTGTCTCAAAATCTATTGAAAAATCTATTGAGCTTCTTCAGGCAGTGTTTTAGAAGCGAGACATAGATCAGAGAACAAGACAGACCAGAGCTCTGCCCTCATGGGGGCACCCAGCTGGAACGGTATGAGAAGTTGGAGAGAGATAATTTCAGTCATCAGAGGTGACAGGAACCGCCAGGTCCCACAGGGCTTCAGATGGAGAAAACCTAGACAGACTGTTTCTCAGAGCTGAATGTTGCTTTCAGGGAGCTTGAGCAGGAGACCCAGAGGTCCAAAAGAATTGTGGAGCACTTCTAAGGAGGTCCCAGCAGTCAGGGGACTGGAGATCCAGGGCAAGCTTCTGAACAAATTAGAAAGTGGCCCTGCTCGGCTGGGCCCAGTGGCTCATGCCTATAATCCCAGAACTTTGGAAGGCTGTGGCGGGCAGATCACAAGGTCAGGAGTTCAAGACCATCCTAGCCAACATGGTGAAACCTCGTTTTTACTAAAAATTCCAAAAAATTAGCTGGGTGTGGTGGCGTGCACCTATAGCCCCAGCTACTTGGGAGGCTGAGGCAGGAGAATTGCTTAAACCTGGGAGGCGGAGATTGCAGTGAGCCGAGATTGTGCCATTGCAATTCAGCCTGGCAAAAGAGCGAGACCCCATCTGGAAAGAAAGAGAGAAAGAGAGAAAGAGAGAGAGAGACAGAAAGAGAGAAAAGAAAGGAAAGAAAGAAAGGAAGGAAGGAAGGAAGGAAAGAAAAAGAAAGAAAGAAAGAAGAAAGAAGAAAGAAAGAAAGAGAAAGAAAGAAAGAAGGAAGGAAGGAAGGAGAGAAAAGAGGCCCTGCTCTAGGCAGATACTGTAGTGGGGTGCTAAGCCTGATGAGCTGACCAGTGGGGGCAGGTCCACTCCACTGAGACTTGGTGAGCTGAGTGTATCTGCACTTGAGCTTCCAGTTTGACCCTGGAGCACAGTCTGCCTAACCCCTAAGCCCTGGCTCAGCAGGTCCCCAGGCTGAGATCTAGACATCCGCTATGTCTGTCCTCTCAGGTTCCTGGAATGCTTTCCCCCTGGGCCACTTAAGATACAGGGGTCTGGGGCAGGGGCCAGGTCGTGCTCCTGACCTCAGGTGATCTGCCCACCTTGGCCTCCCAAAGTGCTGGGATTACAGGCATGAGCCACCGCGCTTGGCCTAAATTAACACTTTCATCTTTGATGCACCCTCTGGTCCCATGACTGCCTGGGCATTCCCAAGGTCCCTCCCCCAAAACTTTCCTTTTTCCTTTTCTCAGGAGTCCCCTTCTACACTCTAGTTATGTCACTGCAGAGGCCTTCTCTGTCACATGCACCTCTCAAGGGGCTGGTGGAGAGAGGCAGGCAGCTCAGGGACAGCGGGGCTATGGGGACAACTTCCAGATCATAGAGACGGGAGCCTTGTGCCTCTTTAAAAAAAATTTTGTTTTGACCAGGCATGGTGGCTTATGCCCGCAATCCCAGCATTTTGGGAGGCCAAGGCAGGAGGATTGCTTGAGGCCAGGAGTTCAAGACCAGCCTGGGCAACATGGTGAGACCCCCATCTCTGCAAAAAATACAAAAAGCTGGTCATGGTGGTGTGCATATGGTCCTGGCTGCTCAGGAGATTGGGGTGGGAGGATGGCTTAAGCCTGAGAGTTTGAGGCTGCAGTGAGCTGTGATCGCACCACTACACTCCACTAGGTACCCGAATTGAGACCCTATCTCAAAAAATTTTATTTTTTGGATTGGAAGCAGTGGCTCATGCCTGTAATCTCAACACTTTGGGAGGCTGAGACAAGAGGATCACTTGAGGCCAGGACTTCAAGACCAGCCTGGGCAACATAGCCAGACCCTGTCCCTAAAAAAATTTGTAAATTAGCCAGGCGTGGGGATGCATGCCTGTAGTACAAGCTACTCAGGAGGCTGAGGCGGGAAGATCACTTGAGCCCAGGAGTTTGAGGCTGCAGTGATCTATGATTTCGCCACTGCATTTCAGCTGGGGTGACGGAGTGAGATTCTGTCTCTAAAAAACATTTTAAGCCACACAAACACCACTTAAGTGTCTGTCCACCCCTGCGAGGAGCTGAGGTGGTCCCTGTAGTCCTGACCAGCTTCCTAGTTCCTGGAGGATCCCCAGGTTGGGCTAAGTCCTCAGGGCCAGGGTCACCTGGGAGGGTAGGGGGTAGGCTGTCCCTGGGCTGGGGGCCTCAGCTGAGGGATCAGAAACAGGTCATCTGCGAGCTTTCCCGGGGCTCTGAGAAGTCATGGCCCCACCGCCTCCATGTGAGCCTGCATTCTCTGCTCATTTATTTATTTTCAGAGCAGGAAAGTGGATTTGAAACGCTCCTTCTGAATGTTTACCCCTGGGGGAATGTCGGGTTTATGAATAATGCAGCATGTCAGGGACTGGGGGCCCCGTCGGGCTCCATCCTGTCCCAGGAAGGCTGGGAAGTTGCCACAGACGGGCCCTGGACAGATTCCTGCCCCACCACTTGCTGCTCTGTGAGTCTCGGCGAGTCTCTCTAAGACTCAGTGTCCCCAGCTATAAAACAGGGGAGTAGCCAGGTGCAGTGGCTCATGCCTGTAATCCCAGCACTTTGGGAGGTCGAGGCGGGTGGATCATTTGAGGTCAGGAGTTGGAGACCAGCCTGGCCAATATGGTGAAACCCTGTCTTTACTAAAAATACAAAAATTAGCAGGGCATGGTGGTGTGTGCCTGTAGTCCCAGCTACTCTGGAGGCTGAGGCAGGAGAATCGCTTGAACCCAGGAGGCAAAGGTTGCAGAGAGTCGAGATCGTGCCACTGCACTCCAGCCTGGGCAACAGAGTGAGACTCTGTCTCAAAAAAAAAAAAAAAAAAAAAAACAAACAAAAAAAAAAAACAAGGGTGTCTGGCCAAGCACGGTTGGCTCATGCCTGCAATCCCAGGACTTTGGGAGGCCAAGGAGGGAGGATCACTTGAGTCTAGGAGGTCAAGACCAGCCTGGGCTGGCTGGGCACTGTGGCTCACGCCTGTAATCCCAGCACTTTGGGAGGCCAAGGCAGGAGGATTGCTTGAGGCCAGGAGGTCAAGACCAACTTGGGCAACATAGCGAGACCCCATCACTACAAAAAATACAAAAATTAGCTGGGCGTGATGGCATGCATGTGGTCTCAGCTGCTCAGGGGACTGGGGTGGGAGGATGGCTTTAGCCTGGAAGGTTGAGGCTGCTGTGAGCTGTGATTGCGAGGATTGCTTGAGCCCAAGAGTTTGAGACCAGCCTGGGCAATAAAGCAAGACCTCATCTCTAAAAAAAAATAAAAAAAATAAAAAAATTTCTTTTTTAAATTACTTTATTTTATTTATTTATTTTTTTTGAGATAGTCTCACGCTGTCGCCCAGGCTGGAGTGCAGTGGCGCTATCTGGGCTCACTGCAATCTCCACTTCCCGGGTTAAAGTGATTCTTCTGCCTCAGCTTCCCCAGTAGCTGAGACTATAGGCATGTGCCACCGTGCCTGGCTAATTTTTGTATTTTTTTTTTTTTTAAGACGGAGTCTCACTCTGTCACCCAGGCTGGAGTGCAGTGGCGCGATCTGGGCTCACTGCAAGCTCCGCCTCCCGGGTTCTTGCCATTCTTCTGCCTCAGCCTCCTGAGTAGCTGGGGCTACAGGCGACTGCCACCACGCCCGGCTAATTTTTGTATTTTTAGTAGAGATGGGGTTTCACTGTGTTAGCCAGGATGGTCTCGATCTCCTGACCTTGTGATCCACCCACCTCGGCCTCCCAAAGTGCTGGGATTACAGGCGTGAGCCACTGCGCCTGGCCTAATTTTTGTATTTTTAGTAGAGATGGGGGTTCACCATGTTAGCCAGGATGGTCTTGAACTCCTGACCTCAGGTGATCTGCCTGCCTCGGGCTTCCAAAGTGCTGGGATTACAGGCATGAGCCACCGCGCCCAGACAAAAAAGAAAGAAAGAAAGAAAGAAAGAAAGAATCCTTTGGAGCAGGGTGGAGAGTCAGGCTGGGAGCAGCGGAGGAGCCACAGGGCCACAGGACCCCAGGCACACGGCACCCCTGTCTCCACCCCCTCCTTCAAGCTCTGAGAGGCAGTGACCTCACGCTACTTCCTATCACAATATTTACCAACAGCGCTGCAATTGAGCCAGGCAGCTTGGCAATTATAATCATGTTATCATTATTGCTGATAATCCTGATCATAAGCATAAATTATAAACAGGATCAAGCCGCAGCGGGTAGGAGCAGGCGGCGGAGACACCTCTGGGAGGGTGTGGGAGTGAGACTGGCCTCCCTTCCCACTCAGCCCCTCCTGGCCCCTCCTGCTTCTGGCCAAGTATTCCCTCCTGAGGTCCGGCCCAGGGATACTGACCATGACTCCAGGTGGGCCTTTTCCTGCCAGGGTCCCGGGGCTGTCCTGACCACCTCTCACGGAGCCCCGCTATGCCTCACACAAACTATTAAGGTGCAATTATTGCGGAGACGGTCGTTCCAAATTGATCTTTCAGTTACTCCACAGCTGCAACCATGGAGACGGCCCCAGCTCAATTACATGCCTCTCTCTGTTCTTTAAAGATTGCAGCGGAGGAGAATCGGAGAAGAATGAGGCAGTGGTACCGGGCGCAGGGATGCCGAGAGGCAGAGGCGACGGAGCCACAGACGCGGGATGGGGGCAGATAGAAAGCAGGGAATATGGAGACCCCCAGAGACAGAGAGACAGAGACGGCAGAACTAACCGAAATGGAGAGACAAGCTCAGAGATACCCCAGGAGAGACACAGACCAGAGACAGAGAGAGACAACAGATCTGAGGTAGCTGGGAGAGATACAGGGTCAGAGATGGAGGTCAGGGAATGACAGAGAGCTGATGTAGACAGACAGACAAAGGCAGAGAGATTGGAAGCAAGAGGGCTGCACAGGAAGGATCAGAGGCCAAGGCAGAAACAAGGGACTGGAAACAGAAGCCCCTCTATATCCCCTACATCTTTTTAAATTGTTTTTCTTTGGAGACAAGGTCCGGATTTATTGTCCAGGCTGGAGTGCCATGTTGTGATCTTTGCTCACTGCAGCCTCCACCTCCCAGGCTCAAGCCATCCTCCCTCAGCCCCCCAAGTAGCTGAGATTACAAGTACGTACCACCATGCCCAGCTAATTCTTGTATTTTTAGTAGAGATGGGGTTTCACCATGTTGCCCAGGCTGGTCTCAAACTCCTGGGCTCAAGTGATCCTCCTGCCTCGGCCTCCCAAAGTGCTGGGATTGGAGGCATGAGCCACTGTACCCGGCCACCCTGCTACATCTTACATCATGAGAGGACTACATAAAAGACAGCAACAAACAGGTGGAGAGAAACAGAGAAAAACAGACCAACGAGTCACCCGACAGCAGACTGATGAAGACCGTTTTCAGTCATTCATTCATGCATTTGTTCACGCAGCAAACGTTTGCAGAGTTTACCATAGTTGGTGCCGGGCACGGGGGACGCCAAGGTGCTCACAGACTCCTCAAATCCGCCCCCACATGGAGCTTAGAGTTTAACAGGTGAGTCAGACAGGGATCAAATAGGCACTCAAGCAACATAAAACTTTCACTGGGGTTGGGCGCGGTGGCTCACACCTGTAATCCCAGCACTTTGGGAGGCCAAGGCAGGAGGATCGCTTGAGGCCAGGAGTTTGAGACCAGCCTGTGCAACATGGTGAGGCCCCATCTTTACAGAAAATAAAATAATTAGCTGGATGTGGTGGTGTGTACTTGTAGTCCCAGCTATTAGAGAGGCTGAGGCAGTAGGATCGCTTGACCCCAGGAGGTCAAGGCTGCAGTGAGCCATGATCCTGCCACTGCATTCCGGCCTGAGCAGTAGAGGAGCTAAGGCTTGGTGGGGCGGCCTGGGGAGGCGGTCAGGAAGGCCGAGGAGGACCTGGGTAGAGGCAGAGTGAAGGCAAAAACATCGTGCAAAGGCCACTCTCATTCACTAATAGAAAGCAAAGGTTTGGATCCAAAGTTCTGGGATCACAGGCATAAGCCACCATGCCTGGCCCTCGGAAATAAATATTCTAGAAGGCCGGGTGCAGTGGCTCACATCTGTAATCTCAGCACTTTTGCGAGACTGAGGCAGGAGGATCACTTGAGGTCAGAAGTTTGAGACCAGCCTGGCCAACATGGTGAAACCCTGTCTCTACTAAAAATACAAAAATTAGCCAGGCATGGTGGCAGGCACCTGTAATCCCCAGCTACTCCGGAGGCTGAGGCAGGAGAATCGCTTGAACCAGGGAGGCAGAGGTTGCAGCGAGCTGAGATCGTGCCACTGCCCTCCAGCCTGGGCAACAGAGTGAAACCCTGTCTCAAAAAAAAAAAAAAAGAAATATTCTAGTACGTGCTGCAACTCCTGGCCCAGTGGGTCTCTGGTGTGGAGGGGAGGGCAGCATATTGAGTTGGTTCTTTATTCCCATAGGGCTGGAGGGACGTGGCCTCGGCATCCCCCACTCCCTCCCCAAGCTGAATAGGGTGCCCTCTCTGGCCCCCGTGCCCAGAACCCCTTCAGCACTGCACGCACCCCACCTGCTGATCCAGAGCTCCCAGGGGCAGGGACTGGGTCTACGTGATGCCCAGCACAGAGAGGGTGCTTTGGTGGAATCATGTCTCAGGGCCAGCGTGGCCCAGTCAGATGCCAGGCCTGGCTGCTGGTCTGGGCCTGGGCAGCCGGTGACGAAGGAGCTGGTGCTGGGAGCTTGATGGCTCAGGGGACGTGTCCCCAGTAGACATGGCTGTGGGCTGGTGCTGCACAAACGTCAGTGTTTAAATGGCCCTCCAAGAACATGGAGGTCCACGTACCCCAAACTTTAATGTGCATTGGAAAAATCTGGGGACTGTGTTTTATTTTATTTTCTATTTTATTTTATGTATTATTTTATTGAGACAAGGTTTTGCTTTGTTGCTTAGGCTGGAGTGCAGTGGTAGCACACTGCAGCCTGGAACCTCTGGGCTCAAGCAATCCTCCCACCTCAGCCTTCCAAGTGGCTGGGACTACAGGTATGTGTCATCATGACCAGCTAATTTTTTCTTTTTTAAAACATTTTGGGGCTGGGCATGGTGGCTCACACCTGTAATCCCAGCAGGAGGATCACTTGAGGTCAGGAGTTCGAGACCAGCCTGGCCAACATGGCGAAACCCCATCTCTGCTAAAATAACAAAAATTAGCCAGGCGTGGTGGTGTATGCCTGTAGTTCCAGCTACTTGGGAGGCTGAAGCAGGAGAATCACATGAACCTGGGAGGTGGAGGTTGCAGTGAGCCGAGATGGCGCCACAGCACTCCAGCCTGGGTGACAGAGTGAAACTCTGTCTTGCAATCTGCCAGCCTCGGCCTCCCAAAGTGCTGGGATTATAGGCATGAGCCACGACACCCGGCCTCATGTAAAGTTTTTAGCAGCAATAAATTAGAGTCAGCATTGAATAATTGTCAGTTGCTACTTTAGCATTTTCTTTTCTTTTGTTGTCTTTTCCTTTCTTTTTGAGGTAGGGTCTTACTCTGTTGCCCAGACTAGAGTGCAGTGGTGTGATCCCAGCTCACTGCAGCCTCAAATCCTGGGCTCAAGCAATCCTCCTGCCTCAGCCTCTCGAGTAGCTGGGACTACAGGCATACGCCACTATGCCTAGTGAATTTATTTATTTATTTATTTATTTTTTAGAGATGGGGGTCTCACTATGCTGCCCAGGTTGGTCGTGAATTCCTGGCTTCAAGTGATCCTCTCATCTCGGCCTCCCAAAGTGCTAAGCTTACAAGCACGAGCCACCACTCCCAGCCTCAAGTCTTATTTTTAAAGAATAAATAGCAACCGGGCGCGGTGGCTCAGCCTTGTAATCCCAGCACTTTGGGAGGCCGAGGCGGGTGGATCACAAGGTCAGGAGATCGAGACCACTGTGAAACCCCGTCTCTACTAAAAATACAGAAAATCAGCTGGGCGTGATGGCGGGCGCCTGTAGTCCCAGCTACTCGGAGAGGCTGAGGCAGGAGAATGGCGTGAACCCGGGAGGTGGAGCTTGCAGTGCTGAGATCGCGCCACTGCACTCCAGCCTGAGAGACAGAGCAAGACTCCGTTTCAAAAAAAAAAAAAAAAAAAAAGAATAAATAGCAATGTATCAGATAAACTTGTCATCCTGAAAAGACAGGGAAAGCCAGGGAGACAGGAAAAAGGAATGGCAGGTGTCCGGCCAGGAGCCTTGAGGGCCACACGCTGCCTCCACACACTCCTGGGCTGCTGTGGGTTTGGCCTGCTTTTGCGGTCCTGCAGTTTGCCCCCCCGGAGGGCACTGGGTTCACCATCCTCACCTTTGGTCCTCTGTGATCACATCTGGGGCAGCAAAACCCAGGTTTCCTCTGACGTTGCCCCCAGGTGCAGAGAACGGTTATCTTGTTGGAGATGACGGGGTGGTCCCTCTACCTGCTCCCAGGTCCCCTTGGCATGTTTCCTTCAAGGAACCAAGTGAGAGGAGGGGAGAAGTGGTCCAGGATTGGGGGGAAATAAAGTGACGCTTATAGGAGGTCAGGGATCCAGCCGTGAGCCCGAATGCCAGGGGAGCTGAAGGCTAGGTTCATATGGGCATTGCTTTCTGGTGGCCAGTTCTGCACCGGGCCAGGAGGAAGTGGCCAGCTTGTGCCTTAGGAGTTCCTTAGGATGCCCAGGTACACACTCACTTCTGCAAATGACCTGCATCCTGCATTCCCATCTGTGAAATGGGATAGTCCCGCCCACCGGCCAGAGGGTCCTCAGTAAGGTTCAGTGAACAAGAGTGTGGATGGCAAAAGCTTTACCAGGCCTCAGTTCTGTGACTGCGAGGCAGCGGAGAGGAAGGCGTGAGAGGGGCCTCAGTTTCCATATCTGCCTAGTAGGGGGAACCTGGCCAGAGCCCACAGGAGAAGAGCTGGGGCCTGTGAGGGGCAGAGGTGATTAGAGTCTGGCGATGTGGGGTTCTTTGCGGTCAGGGGGCTTGACAAAAGGAAAAACTTCTATGGATGGGGACAAGCCACTGGCAAGAATTTCTTTTTTTTTTTTTTTTTTTTTTTTGAGACAGAGTCTTGCTCTGTCACCCAGGCTGGAGCACAGTGGTGCAATCACAGCTCACTGTCACTGCAGCCTTGACTTACCCAAGCTCAAGCCATCCTGTCACTTCAGCCTCCTAAATAGCTGAGACTACAGGCACGCAGTACTACACCTGGCTAATTTTAAAATTTTTTGTAGAGATGAGGACTCGCTATGTTGCCCAGGCCTGATGTTAAGTGATTCTTCTGCCTTGGCCTCCTAAAGTGTTGGGATTACAGGTGAGAGCCAGTCCAAAACCACCTTACCTTACCTTTCCTTTCCTCTATTTCTTTCCTTCTTTTCTGTCTCCCCTCCCTCCCTCCCTCCCTCCCTCCCTCCCTCCCTTCCTTCATTTCTTTTTTTGACAAGTTTTCACTATGTTGCCTAGGCTGTTTTCAAACTCCTGTGCTCAAATGATCCTCCTGTCTCGGCCTCCTACAGTGCTGGGATTGCAGGTATGAGCCACTGCGTCTGGCCAGAATCTCACCTCTCTTTTCTTCCCCTCTCATCTCTTCTCTTCTCTTTTCTCTTCTCGTCTCTTCACTTCTCTTTCCCTTACCTCCCCTCCTGACCCCTCCCTCCCCTCCCTCTTCTTTCTTTCTTTCCTTCCTTCCTTCCTCCTCTCTTTCTTTCTTCCTTCCTTCTTTCTTTTTCTCTCTTTCCTTCCTTCCTTCCTCCTTCCCTTCCTCTCTTTTTCTTTCTCCCTCCCTCTTTTTTTTCTCTCTCTCTCTTTCTCTCTCTTTCTTAGAGACAGAGTGTCACTATGTTGCCTAAGCTGGTCTCAAACTCCTGGGCTCAAGCGATCCTCCTGCCTCAGCCTCCTAAAGTGCTTAAGCCACTGTGCCCGGCAGTGTTTGCTACAGTGGGTTACAGTAACAGAACATTTTTCCACTAAACTCCTCTCTCAGTGAAGGGAGCCGTTGTTGTCCTTCTCAGGAGAAGGAACTGAACTTGACAACAACGTGAGTGATCTTGACCTTGTCCTTAGGAAGAGCAATTCAAGCTAAAACTCTGAATTGGACTTAGTTACTAGATGAAACCAACCAATAAAACAATCAAGAACTATCCTTGATCGCTTACTATGCACCAGACACCACTCAAGACATTTTTCCTGCATTGTGTGTCATTTGACCCTCACAGCGATCTTACGAAGCCAGTTCTATCTTAGCTGCATTTTACAGATGAGGAAGCTGAAGCCCAGAGAGGCTGGTTGACTTGGCCTAGGATGCACGGCACATGTGGAGCCAGATGTCATTCCCAGATGTGGCCGAGCGGGGGCTGGACGTGCCAGTGTTGTACCACACTGCCACCTGCTCTCTGCCTGGGTGAGGCTGGGGTCATGCTGGCTGTTTGGCTCTCAGGGAGCAGAGAGGTCTCCCAGAGGCTGCAGGGAGCACGCCCCTTGAATCACCCCTGTTCCAGATTCTACCTGCAGAGGGCAGTATTGAGCATACACTGATGCTTCCCTACCAAGCCTCAGTTCCTCCAAGCCCTGGGGTGTAGGACTTGGGGTCAGGGAAACATTCGGCCTTCAAACCAACTGGGCCCACGGAGGGCATGCCCTAGCCCTGACACTGCACGGGCCGGTGCAGACATCATGGGGGTACCACGAGTCAGTGCGCGGCAGCTCTATCCTTTCGCCCAGACCCAGCAGCTCCACTCACAGGGCCACATGTTTTTGTTTTTTTGTTTTGTTTTTTTTTTTTGATGGGGTGGGGAGACAGAGTCTCACTCTGTCACCCAGACTGGAGTGCAGTGGCACAATCATAGTTCATTGCAGCCTCCAACTCCTGGGCTCAAGCAATCCTCCTGCCTCAGCCTCCTAAGTAGCTGGGACTACAGGTGTGCACCACCACACCCAGCTAATTTTTTTGTATTTTTAGTAGAGACGGGGTTTTGCCATGTTGGCCAGGCTGGTCTCGAACTCCTGACCTCAGGTGATCCACCCACCTCGGCCTCCCAAAGTGCTGGGATTACAGGCATGAGCCACTGCGCCCGGCCAGGGCTGCATGTCTTTAAGTACGTGACTTTACCCCACTGTAACATGAGGCCAATAGTACCCACCTGGCAGGCTTAGCGCAAGGCTTAGAGAACTTAAATGCAACCAACCCAGCACCTAGGAGATGCTTGACAAGCAGGGGCCAATCACCAGTGTTATCTACCATGGGGGCCACACTGTGGTCCAATGAGAAGCTGCAGGAGGAGGGAAGTGGAGACTCACAGAGGAAAACTGACTTGCTCAAGGTCATGCAGGTGATTAGACAAAGAGGCAGGGGCCAGGTGCGGTGGCTCACACCTGTAATCCCAGCACTTTGGGAGGCCGAGGCGGGCGGATCACGAGGTCAGGAGTTTGAGACCAGCCTGGCCAACATGGTGAAACCCTGTCTATACTAAAGATTAAAAAATAAATTAGCCCAGCGTGGTGGCGCGTGCCTGTGATCCCAGCTACTCGGCAGGCTGAGGCAGGAGAATCGCTTGAAACTGGGAGGCGGAGGTTGCAGTGAGCCGAGATCATGCCATTGCACTCCAGCTTGGGTGACAGGGCAAGGCTCCGTCTCAAAAAAAAAAAAAGAAAAGAAAAAGAGAAAGAGGCAGGGTGGGAGACGACCTGGGTCTCAGAGGGCCACACAGGAGGGTGCCTTGAGATGTCCCAGACCTCCTTACAACAGGAGGGTGGTGAAGGATGGAGGGAGCATTGGTGACTTCATTCCCAACCCTGACATGGCCCAACATCCTCTGTGGGCATGAGGGCCCCTCTGCGCCCTGCCTTGTGCTGGGCACTGCAGATGTGGCCTGCCTGGGAGGAGCTCTCAGTCTGATGGGTTTGTGGGTTTCCTATAGGAGACCTGGTCAGCCAAAGTTAACCCTCACCAAGTTCCTGGTGTGTGTCCAGAAGAGACCCCAGTGTAATTGTCTGACGGGTGTTCCTGCCGCTGCACAGGAAGAATTCACTGAGACCATGGTATTACAGCGAGAAATAGTTTTATGTTTCTTAATTTTTAAAATTTTTTAGACAGTCTTACTCTGTCGCCCAGGCTGGAGTGCAGTGGTGCGATCTTGGCTCACTGCAACCTCCGCCTCCCAGGTTCAAGCGATTCTTATGCCTCAGCCTCCTAAGCAGCTGGGATCACAGGTGCCTGCCACCACGCCCGGCTAATTTTTGTGTTTTTAGTAGAGACAGGGTTTCACCATGTTGGCCAGGCTGATCTTGAATGCCTGACCTCAAGTGATCCACCTGCCTCGGCCTCCCAAAGTGTTAGGATTACAGGCATGAGCCACCGTGCCTGGCCTAATTTTTGAAACACAGTCTCACTCTGTCACCCAGGCTGGAGTGCAGTGGCTGAATCTTGGCTCACTGCAGCCTCCACCTCCTGGGTTCCAGTGATTCTCATGCGTCAGCCTTCTGAGTAGCTGGGATTACAGGCATGCACCACCACACCCGGCTAATTTTTGTATTTTTAGTGACCAGGTTTCGCTGTGTTGGCCATGCTGGTCTTGAACTCCTGACCTCAAGCAATCCACCCACCTTCGCCTCCCAAAGTGCTGGGATTACAGGCATGAGCCACTGAGCCCAGCCAAAAGCGTCTTATTAATGCAGAGCTAGCCAAGCAGTAGGACTGGAGTTATTACTCAAATAAATCTCCCCAAGAACTCAGAGGCTAGGGTTTTTATGGATAATTTGGTGGGCAAGGGCCCAGGGAATGGGTACTGCTGATTGGTTGGAGATGAAATCACAGGGGTGTGGCAAACGGTCCTTATGCACTGAGTCGGTCTCTGAGTGGGGGCCACAGGATGGGCTGAGTCATGAGTCACACAGGTCCAGGTGAGTCAGTCGGTTGCCCGAATGCGAAAGTCTGAAAAACATCTCCAAAGACCAATCTCAGTTTCCACAATAGAGATGCTATCTATAGGAGGAAGTGGGGAACTCACAAATCTTGTGATCTCTCGCCACATGACTCCTGAGCAGTCAGATTATAAAAACGATGCGTAGGTTTTAGCAGCGTCCAGGCCCCTCCCATAATCCTAATCTCACGGCCTTTCGTTAGTTTTACAAAGGTGGTTTTGGTCTCTTGTATAAAAAGCAGGTTAGGTTTAAGGAGTAACTATTATCATCCTTGTTTCAAAGTTGAACTATAAACTAAATTCCTCCCCCGGTTAGCTTGGCCTATGCCCCGGAATGAGTGAAGACAGCCAGCGCGTGAGGCTGGAAGCAAGATGGAGTCAGCCACGCTAAACTTCTGTCACTGTCCTAATCTTTGCAAAGGCAGTTTGGCCAGGAGGCTGTGGGGAGACCTTGTGGGTTTTGCCAGGACCTGGGAGATTCTCGATCTATGTTTGGCTGTCCTTCTAAGCCAGAAGCTCCCTGGGGTTGGGGCCTGCCTGGGGTGAGTCCCTCCCTCCCTGCCATGCCCAGTCTAGCCAAGGTCTAGTTCAGGGATCAGGGCACCACGTGGGGGAAGGACTGTGTTCCTTGTGCTGAATTAGGATTTATGGCTTTGGGGCCGGATGGGAGGCGTGCGCACTGATTCAGTAGGAGCGCTGCTGTGGTGTGTGTGTGGTTGGTGGGAGCGGGGCGGGCGGGGGGCGGGGGGGCTGGTTGGGGGGACAGGGGTAAAAGCCTATCAGAGGGAGGTCCCATCAGACAAGATGGGACCAAGAGTCCAGTTGGCTCTGCTGCGACTTTCGGCCTGTCACTGCCTTCCTGCACATCTCAGGGGTGGGAGGGGGACAAAGGCTGTAAGAGTAAGAGGTACCTGGCCCAAGCCTTAGGACTAGAACCCGGGCCAGGCGGGAGTGACCAGCCGGGACACTCAGGGCCTCCGCGCGTTCCAGCTGGGTGACCTTGACCCTCCAACTTCAGCCCCCTGCGCCCGGCTGCTCTCCCAGTGGTGGTGGGGAGCGGTGGGGGTAGACGGGGGCGCGCCCAGGCTTTTCTAATCCGGCGCTGGTGGGGGAGAACCGAGGGCGCCACCGCCCCTCCCCGCAGGTCCGGGGCCGAGGGGTGCGGCGCGCTCTCCCCACCGCGGTGCCCAGGTCCCCGGGACGCAGGGGCGCTGGGTAGCAAGGGGGGTGCGCAGGGGCGCGGGGCGCGGGGCGGGCTAATCCCGTATGTAAATGGCAGCCAATGGAGGGTGGTGTTGCGCGGGGCTGGGATTAGGGCCGGGGCGAATGGCTGGCAATCTTACTGGGATTACAGAACAAAGAGCCTCCCCGCGCTCCCGCTCTCCGCTCCTCTCCCCGCGCCGCCCCGCCCTCCGCCGCAGCCCGCGCCGGGGGTGGGGGCCGCCGAGCGCCAGCCCCCCGGCCGGCCGATTCCCCCCCCGCGCCCCCTCCCCGCGCCTCCCTCCCCGCCCTCGCCGCGCCGCCGTCCTCGCCTCCCTCTGCCTCTCCTTCCCCCATTCTCCCGGATTAATTAAGGAGGCAGCGGCAGGAGGCTGAGTCCTGGCCGCGGGCCGGGGCCGGGGCGCCGCTGGCAGGAGCGCTTGGGGATCCTCCAAGGTAGGAGAAACTTTTGCGGGGGGCGGGCACCGAGGCCCTTCTCCCCTTCTCCCCCACCCCCGCCCCCGATCCCCTCCGCCTCCGGGGGGGGGGGTCCCCGCCCCTCCCCCTCTCAAGGTGTTACAGGAGCTGGGGCCGGCTTTTGGGTGCCCGGGGAGGCACGTGACTGGGATTATAATTCGGGCCCGGGGGGAGGGGAGGGACGGCCGCCCCCCACCTGCCCGGGAGGGGCCGGGAGCTGGGAGCTGTCACCCCCTCCCTCCTTGCCACCGGCTCTTCTGGAGGTGGGGGGCGTCCCGGGCCGGCGCCCGCAGGCTGCTGCAGTTGGCGAATGAGGTCAGTCGCGCTGCCCGCGGTGGCGGGCGCCGGGGTGGGAGCAGAGGGGGCTGGGAAGGCCGCGGTCCCCGCCTTTCCCCCCTCCACCTTCTCCCGGTCTGGGCCAGCCCCTGGCCCGCGCCCCCAACTCCCAGGCGGAGTCCAGTCCAGCCAGGATTGCCCCAGCAGGGTGGTTCCTGTAGTGGACCCCCCGCCCCGGCCCCGGGGAGGGGGCTGGCCTGTGTGGTGGTGGCCGCTGAATCCCGGGTGGAGGGGACTCAGAAGGTGGCAGTGGGGGGACCACAAAGGGTTCAGAGGAGTAAGTTGGGGATACTCGGTCTGTGGGTGGTCTCTGAGTTCCTGCAGATGGGTGGAGAGGACAGAGGAGGGGCCACAGGGTGCTGAACACCCACCCGCCCCATCCTAAGTACCCTGGGCATGATGGGCTTGACACCTCTCCTGGGCTCCTCACCCCTGGCCAGCAGCCAGGGAGTGAGACCCTGCCTCGCCTGGCGTGGGCCCAGGGAAGGGGGCCGCTGTGCCGCTGAGAGTTCGTTCCACCCTCCTGGCAGTGCTGGAGGGGGCTGGAGCTCTGGCGTCTGGCCTAGTGACCCTACCTCCCAGGACCAAGGTCCTGCGGTGGGAGTCTCCTGTGTCCCCATCCCAGCTGAAGCGAGGGTGCTGGGACATAGGGGTCTCGCTGCAGGGCCTGTGAGGGGAGCACTGACTCTTGGATGGAGAATGTGCCAAGGGGTACCCCGGGATGGCCCTGGGCCTGGCGGGTGGGAGTGGAGGGCAGGCCCCCGCAGTTTTTGGAGAAGTGGGCATTTGCTGGGGTTTCTCTTAGA
The DNA here is from genome assembly GCF_000001405.40 of Homo sapiens. Taxonomy (NCBI): domain Eukaryota; kingdom Metazoa; phylum Chordata; class Mammalia; order Primates; family Hominidae; genus Homo; species Homo sapiens. Next base: position 74,455,340 of record NC_000007.14, read on the forward strand.
AGAGGAGAGGGGTGTCTAGAAGCCACCCTGGCGCGCCGCTGCCATGGTCGGCCTCTGTGTGTCTGGCTGCCCCGTGGCCAGGACTGTTGACTCCTTGGCACTGGCCCGGGGCCTTGGGACTTGGAAGGTGCCCCAAGCAGCTCATTTATTTCAGCAGTGTCATTCCAGAGGGGAAGGGCACCAGCATCGATTATTTATTCTAAGCAGGAGGAGGTGGCTGGAGGCTGGTGGCTGCTGGCAGGGAGGGGCTAGGTATAAGGTAGTTAGGTGGCCGTCATGAACCGCCCTATTTGGGGCCCAGGAGGGTGTGAGATAGACTCTGACCTCTTCTGAGCAGGCATCTGCGGACCAAGGGACAGGCTTGGCCCCAAGGTGACAGGGTATCGGAACCCCCATCCTGCCTCTGGGGTGTGGGAGGCTCAAGTCCACACCTCGTTCTTCCACAGCCTGTTCTGAGGGTGACCTAGAAATTGGCAGTTCTAACTCAGAGGGTCCCACAGGACCCCACAGAGGAAACTAGGAAGGAAGGGTTGAAACTCCGCAGCCACTCAGAGCCTGCACTCTTAAAATGTTCGAGAACTTAAGGCCGATGGTTGTAAAACTGGGTCTTGAAGACAGCTTTGTAGGGGGCACGCTAAACCTACTTAAAAGGACTGTTCTCTCGATGTTGGGAGAAGGGTCATTTATTTGCAGTATGCTAATCACAAATAATTTTTATCTGTTCATTGAAGGCAGCCTCCCAGGAGCCCGGCTAGCCTTCTGATGAGGTGGTAGTCGTCAGCACTTGGTGTTTGGCAATAGTCTGAGTGGCAGCTGTAATCTAGGGTCTTGGAGGTAGCTGTTTTTGCAGCCTGCTTGACTCCAGAGGCCAGGCCATCCACGGTTTGGTGACAGCTTGGTTGTTGGACCTGGGGTCTTGTGGATGGTGGGTGATGGCTTGGGACATTCACGTCCTAAGCATGACCTTGGAACCATAGACTGCAGCTCCCAGATGATTCTCATTCAGGGTCTAGTCTCTGACCACTCACTGCTTCCTCAGCCGACTCATAAATCCTGTAGTCTGGCCGGGCGCAGTGGCTCACGCCTGTAATCCCAGCACTTTGGGAGGCCGAGGTGGGTGGATCACGAGGTCAGGAGTTCAAGACCAGCCTGGCCAACATGGTGAAACCCCATCTCTACTAAAAATACAAAAAATTAGCCAGGCGTGGTGGCAGGCATCTGTAATCCCAGCTGCTCGGGAGGCTGAGGCAGGAGAATCGCTTGAACCCGGGAGGTGGAGGTTGCAGTGAGCCAAGACCGCACCACTGTACTCCAGCCTGGGCAACAGAGCAAGACTCCATCTAAAAAAAAAAAAAGAAAAAATTCTGTAGTCTTGCCGTTTTCCTGAATGGCCTGGCTTCCTCCTACCCCTGGCCTCTGCACACACAGTTCCTCTTCTCTCGAAGGTTCTTCTTGGCCTTTCCCCTGAGGAGGCTGGGGGGCTTCCTTTATTAGCCCTGCCTGGCTAGGGTAGGGGGTCAGGATTATAGAATTTGCCTCTTTTCCTCTCCTTCAGGACTTGGCTTGGCTGTGGTATCTTTGGGCTGAAGACTTCCTCGTCCTCAGGGCTGGCCATGGTTCCACCTTTATATCCCCATGATGTCCTCTCTTTTTTTTCTTTTTTTCTTTTTTTGAGACAGTCTTGCTCTGTGCCCAGGCTGGGGTGCAGTAGTGTGATCACAGCTCACTGCAGCCTCGAACTCCTGGACTCAAGCCACCCTCCCACCCCAGCCTCACAAGTAGCTGGGACCGCAGACAAGGGCCACTACACCTGGTTAATTTTTTATTGTTTGTAGAGATGGGGTCTTGCTATGTTGCCCAGGCTGGTTTCGAACTCCTGGGCATGAGGAGTCCTCCCACCTTGGCCTCTCAAAGTGCTGGGATGACAGGAGTGAACCACCGCGCCTAGCCAACATCCTTTCCTTCCTTTGTCCCAACATTGATCTTACTCAGATGTTTACATCTCTCTCCCCAATTGCACTAGGGACAGGAAGGGATGGAGGCTTGCTCCTCAAATACTTGTTAAATGGCTACATGTTTGAATGAATGAATGAATGAAATCCTGCTCTTGAGCCTTGACCTAAATGGCTAAGCAGACTCTCTCCTATTTTTCTTAAATGCTCATCTCTGGGGCAAGTTCCCCACCCTGGTAGGAGTCCCAGGGTCTCTCCCTGAACTTCCTGGGGCCCCCTCTCTCCCCACTACCCCAGCCTGTGTCTTCTCCCAACCTTAACCCTGGGGGCTTTGCTCCCCAATGTCATCCTCTCTGTATCTCTCAGTTCTCTGACTCTCGCCGTTTGTAAGTATCTCTCTCTCAGATGCGTGGCAGCCAGGGTCACAGCCAGGTTCTTTGGGACAAGCCAGGGGTGTATGCCCAGCTCCATGGGGCCTGCAGAGGCTTCAGGGGACACCCATGGAAGAAGACCTGCAGGGCCAATTTATAAACAGAGGAGCAGAGCAGGACCCAGGGCTTGGAATCCATGCTGAGTTACGTTTTTGTTTTTTTTTTTTTTTTTTTGAGAGGGAGTCTCACTTTGTCGCCCAGGCTGGCATGCAGTGGCGCCATCTCGGCTCACTGCAACCTCTGCCTCCTGGGTTCAAGCGATTCTCCTGCCTCAAGTAGCCGGGATTACAGGCATGCTCTACCACGCCCGGCTAATTTTTGTATTTTTAGTAGAGATGGGGTTTCATCATGTTGGCCAGTCTGGTCTAGAACTCCTGACCTCAAGTGATCTGCCCGCCTCTGCCTCCCAAAGTGCTGGGATTGCAGGCATGAGACACTGCGCCCGGTCCTGAGTTCAGTTTTGATTGGGGGGCTTCCGGGATAATATGGGGCCGCTAGGACAGGGACCCTTAGTGTGACTGGAAGGGAATTTCCTGAAGGAATTCATAGCAGAGGTGGAGTGGTGGGAAGGATGGTTTCTGGGGGAGAAGGAGATGCGTGAACCTGGCCAGAAGACAGTGTGTTGTGACAGATGATTGCTGGTGAGGGGGTAACAGTCTCCAAGGTGTAGATGTTGGGGGCTCCAGATACGGCAGGAGGGGCCTGGCCTCTCGGAATCCCCTCAGCCCCATCTCATAGAAACATGTGCTTTCTACCCAGGCTCCATACTCCGGAAGGGAGGCAGGACCCTGTCACTTTCTTGGCCTACTTTGGAAGTTCTCAGTCAGGTATCTCCAGGTGTGGCAGAGGGGCTTTGGCCTGTAGGGGGTGTGGTAATGTGGGTTTTGGAGGCAGAAAGCTTTTCAGGAAAGCCCCCTGGTCCATCACCCCCCTTTCTTTTTTTTTTTTTTGAGATGGAGTCTTGCTTTGTTGCCCACGCTGGAGTGCAGTGGCACGATCCCAACTCACTGCAACTTCCACCTCCCGGGTTCAAGTGATTCTCGTGCCTCAGCCTCCCGAGTAGCTGGGATTACAGATGTACACCACCACACCTGGCTAATTTTTGTATTTTTAGTAGAGACGGGGTTTCACCATGTTCGCCAGGCTGGTCTTGAATGAACCCCTGACCTCAAGTGATTGGCCCTCCTTGGCCTCCCAAAGTGCTGGGATTACAGGTGTGAGCCCCCAGGCCCGGCCTCATCATCACTTCTTCACCCACCCTATTTTGGTAGCTCTCTCTCCACTCGTCCTGTGGAACTGATCCATTCTCGGTCCCATTCCCTTCTCTCTGGGCCAATCTGCACCTAGGTTTGTGGCTTCATGAGTATGGAGGGTCGTGCAGAAAGGGGCCAGGTCTGTAGGAACCTGGGTTCATGCCCTGGAAATTTGCCCATTTAAGATAAGTTAGGGCCGGGTGCGGTGGCTCATGCCTGTAATCCCCAGCACTTTGCACTTCGGGAGACCGAGGCGGGCGGATCACCTGAGGTCAGGAGTTTGACTAGCCTGGCCAACACGGTGAAACCCCATCTCTACTAAAAATACAAAAATTAGCCAGGCGTAGTGGCGGGCGCCTGTAATCCCAACTGCTCGGGAGGCTGAGGCAAGAGAATTGCTTGAACCTAAGAGGTGAAGGTTGCCGTGAGCTGAGATCGTACCATTGCACTCCAGCCTGGGCGACAAGAGTGAAACTCTGTCTCAAAAAAAAAAAGATAAGATAGGTGTCCTGAATAAGATAGGTGAAATGGGTGAGGATGTACTTTATCTTACACGGTCTTAGGGAGTGTCTCAGGCGGTGAACAGAACTCTCTCGCCCCTGAGCTGGGGCCTGGCTGACCCAGAGCTATTTGTGTGCCCACCTGTCACCCTCTTTCAGGACCACCTGCTTCAGGTTGCCAGATTTAGCAAATAAAAATAAGGATGCCCAGCTAAAATTGGATTTCAGACAAGCAAGGACTAATGCAATATTTGGGATGAACTTCTAGCTAAAAGTTACCTGTTGTTGATCTGTAGTTCAGACTGAACTGGAGGTCTTGCATTTTATCTGCCAACCCTACAACTGCTGCCTCTGGGGCGGTGAGATGGATGGGGTTTGGGGAGGGGCCAGAGGTGTGTGTGGCTGACCCTGGAGTTGGGATCAGGGCTCAGTGGAGGCCCCGGGGATGATCTGGAGCGAGTTTGAATCGAGTGGAGCTGATTCACTGAATCTTGGCTTTTTTTTTTTTAATTTGTATTGAAATGAGGTCTCACTCTGTCACCCAGGCTGGAGTGCAGTGGCACAATCTCGGCTCACTGCAGCTTCTCCCTCCCCGGCTCAAGCGATCCTTCTGGCTCAGTCTCCCAAGTAGGTGGGACCACAGGCACACGCCACCGTGCCCGGCTAATTTTTTGTATTTTTGGTGGAGATGGGGTTTCGCCATGTTGCCCAGTTCCTGAGTTCAAGTGATCTCAAAGTGCTGGAATTACAGAAGTGAGCCACTGTACCCAGCCAGCAGGGTCCTTTTTCATTTTTATTTTATTCTATTTTTTGAGACAGTGTCTCACTCTGTTTCCCAGGCTGGAGTGCAGTGGCGTGATCCTACCTCACTGCAACCTCCAACTCCTGGGCTCAATGTGATCCTCCCACCTCAGCCTCTGCACCTAGCTAATTAAAAAAAAATTTTTTTTTTTTAGAGATGGGGTCTTGCGATGTTGCCCAGGCTGGTCTCAAGCTCCTGGCCTCAAGCGATCCTCCCACCTCAGCTTCCCAAAGTGCTGGGATTACAGGCAGTATCCTTCTAATGTCCTTGGTCGGGCCTCCTCCAGCCTGTGGCTCGAGGGTCTAGATCTCCTACTGGCCTGGGTGGCATGGAGGGTGTAGTCTAGGTGGCCTGAGGGGTGCCCAGGGATCCCCAGTTTGGGAAGTCCTTGTCTTCAGGGATTTCTGGCCAATGTGGTCCGTATATTTAGAGATGCTGGGAGGAGGGGGTGGGAAATTGCTGGAAACACCCTATTATACACCAAGTAAGATTTTCATGTAGGATTGGCAAGGCCTGAGTGCTGGGAAAGTGTCTGCAATGGCTACCTTTCAAAGCTGGGAGACCCCGCCACGGGGGCGGTTGTGGACTTGAGGGGCTGACCCCACAGCACGGAGGCTGCTGGGAATTCCTGCACCTTTGCCATGCTGCCACCTGAGGCAGGTTCCCAGCACCTGAGCTGCAGCCTCTGGAGTGGGGGAAATGGGGGGAAAGTAAGGGGCCGGGGTCATGGGGTCCACGTCCACCTTCCGCCCGCCTGGGCAGTTTTCTTGGATGTAAAAGGGAGATGGCTCTCCCCAACCTGCCTGGGTCCCAGTGTGGTGCTGTAGTCCAAGGGACTTGGTGTGACCCCGTGGGGATGCCACAGCATGGGTGTGTGGGACCCCCGGGGGCAGGTCTGTGGTGGAGACAGGGTGGGAGGGCCTGGCTTGAGGGCTTGCGGTCCTGGGCACTTGAGGATGCAGAAGAGGCTGCATGGTTGGGGAGGGTAGGTAAGCAGGGGGCAGCTTAGCCCTTTCCCCTCCTGTTCCCTGTGACAGAGGGGAGACCCTCCAGGCTGTTTGTGTCTTAGATGGTTGGCCGAGGGTAGGCCTCTTTGCTGGCTGGGGTCTAGCAGGGTCTCAAGGTGCATTTTCTGGCTACTGGCAGAACCACCATCAAAGCAAGTCCGTATCTTTTCGTCTATCCATCTGTTGTTACGCCAGCCAGTGAGGACCTTGCAGAGGCGTCAGGCCTGAGGGAGTCTCATTAGGTCCTGGTCCCCAGCCCCCGGCTGGCACATGAGAAGGGCCCACTTTATATTTTATTTTATTTATTTATTTAAGATGGAGTCTCACTCTGTCACCCAGGCTGGAGTGCAGTGGCGCGATCTCGGCTCGCTGCAACCTCTGCCTCCCGGGTTCAAGCAATTCTCTTGCCTCAGCCTCCTGAGTAGCTGGGATTATGGGTGCATGCCACCTCGCCCAGCCAATTTTTGTATTTTTAGTAGAGATGGGGTTTTGCCATCTTAGCCAGGCTGGTTTTGAACTCCTGATCTCAAGTGATCTGTCCACCTTGACTTCCCGGAGTGCTGGGATTACAGGCGTGAGCCACTGTGTCCGGCCCCACTTTATATTTTATTAAAAATATCGTTGAGGAGTGAAGGCTATGCTATACCAGGAACTTGCCTGGCTCACACCCTTATGTCGTCCAACCCCCGTCAAGACATAGAACAGCGCTTTGGGAGGCTGAGGCGGGAGGATGGCTTGAGGCCAGGAGTTTGAGACTAGCCTAGACAACATAGTGAAACCTCCATCTCTACAAGAAGTACAAAAATTAGCCAGGCGAGGTGGCTCATGCCTGTAGCCCCAGCTACTCAGGAGGCTGCGGCGGGAGGATCACTTGAGGCCAAGAATTTGAGACCAGCCTGGGCAACATAGCAAGACCCCGTCTCTTAAAAAAAAAATTAGCCGGGTGTGGTGATGTGTGCCTGTAGCCCCAGCTACTTGGGAGGCTAAGGCAGGAGGATTGCTTGACCCCAGGAGTTAGAACAATCCTGTAACCCCTAAAAGTTTTTGAAGCCCGTTTGTTCATCCTTGTCTCTTGTCCTGACCCCAGCAACCACTGATCTGTCTTCTGTATATGGTTTTCCATTTGTACAATGTCACATAAATGGAATCCTACAGTCCACAGCCTCTGAATCTGGCTTCACACAGCATAATGCATTTACGGCATTGCTGGGTACACGGGTAGCTGGTCCCTTCTGGTCCCTGAGTAGTGTTCCATGGTGTGGATATGCCACATACCTCTAGCCACTCTCCTCTCTAGGGAAATCTAGCAAACCGGCTTGGCCGGCCCTGCATCAGCTCGGGACCCCCCAGAAGAAGGTGGTTCCTCTTTCTCATTTTCACAAAGGCACCATCTGGCTGGCGGGGGGCCTGTGGCCTGCACCCCATCACTACCCACCCCCCACATCAAGAGCTGACCCCAAGCCGGGGGAGCTGCTCATCTCCGCCCTCAGAGCTGGAATTTCATCTTCTGTTTCTGGTGACTCATACTGTGAGCCCCGCGATGAAATTACACCTGCCTGCCGCTGCCCTCCGGGCCTCTGGCCCCATGCGATCCTCCCGCCGCCATCCAGGTGGGCTCTGGAGTAATTGAGGCTATGGGGCCAGGACAGCTGGAGGTTGAGGGCGGTGCCAGGGAGGGGAGCTGTCTGTGCCCTGGGGTGTCTTGCCCATCATCTTATGTATCCCCACCCTGTGGGAGTCTGGGGTTCCTGGTGGTGCGTCTCTGGTCTTCACTCCTGCAGCTGTTTTGCTTGGGGTAGAAGTTTCATGTTTGCCTGAAATAAGAGCAGGACTTCTGAGGGTAGGGAAGGAAGGTGGTGAAGCCACTGTTGCAGGCAGGAGCAGGAGTTAGGATCAAACGGAACAGGGCTGGCCGAGTGATGTCACATCTCTGGGCTTTGGTTTGTTCATCTGTTCTTATTATTATTTTGAGACAGGGTCTCGTTCTGTCACCCAGGCTGGAGTGCAGTGGTGCAATCATAGCTTGCTGCAGTCTTGAACTCCTAGGCTCAAGTGATTCTCCCACTTCAGCCTCCTAAGTAGCTGGGCTTGGAGGCACTTGCCACTACACCCAGCTAATTTTTTTATTTTGTAGAGATGGGGGTCTCGCCATGTCGCCCAGGCTGGTCTTGAACTCCTGTGTTCAAGTGATCCCACAACCTCAGCTTCCCAAGTGCTGGGATTAGAGGGGTGAGCCACTGCGTCCTGCCTGTTCATCTTTAAGTGGGAGAACAGAACACTAGGTTTGCAGGGCTGTGAGACTCAGCTGAGGGTAATGTGAGTGTGTGGATTACCACAGAGCCCTGGAGGGCCCCAGGGGCCACCAAGGAGCGGGTGGTGGGGACATGTGAGGCTCAAGCCTCCTGTGCCCCTTTGGGCCAGAGTAGGACCACTGTTGTTTTTTGTTTTTTTTTTTTTGAGACAGAGTCTCACTCTGTCGCCCAGGCTGGAGTGCAGTGGCGTGATCACGGCTCACTACAACCTCCGCCTCCCGGGTTCAGTTGATTCTCCTGCCTCAGCTTCTCGAGTAGCTGGGATCACAGGTGCGTGCCACCACACCCGACTAATTTTTGTATTTTTAGTAGAGGCGGAGTTTCACCATGTTGTCCAGGCTGGTTTCGAACTCCTGACCTCAAATGATCCACCCATCTTGGCCTCCCAGAGTGCTGGAATTACAGGTGTGAGCCACCGCGCCCTGCCCTAGGACCACTTTTACCAGAGTTACCTGTTAGAGCTCTAAATACAGTTCTGGTTGCTAAATGTTTGGAATCCACTGCTGCCTGAGGTCAGCCCTGTGTGAACAGTGGCTATTCTGGTGAATGTTTTTGTGGCTAGAGCCTAGATTATGGTGGTTTACGGACTCCAGCCTGTCACTTGCCTGAGGCTGAGCCTCAGTTTGACCCTCTAGAAAATGGAACCACAGCAAGTACCTCCACAGGTTTGCCAGGTGGGCATGAATGAAGCAGGGGAGCCCAGCAAGAGTTTGTCAGTTTCCCATTGGCAAATCCATGAGTTTCCCAGGGCTCTCGGCTTCCTAAGGAGATGGAGCTTCCTGGGTGATCACATGTCTTGCGTGGGTGTCTTGAGAGATTTGGGGGGTTTTTACTTTGTTGTTTTTGTTGTTGTTATTTGTTTGTTTTTGAAACAGAGTCTCCTTCTGTCACCCAGGCTGGAGTGTAGTGGTGTGATCACGGCTCATGGCAGCCCCCCTCCTCCTGGGTTCAGGCACTTCTCCCGCCTCAGCCTCCCAAATAGCTGGGATTACAGGCACCTGCCACCACACCCGGCTAATTTTTGTGTTTTTAGTAGAGACGGGGTTTCGCCATGTTGGCCAGGCTGGTCTCGAACCCCTGACCTCGAGTGATCCACCTGCCTCAGCCTCCCAAAGTGCTGGGATTACAGACATGAGCACAAGCCACCGCGCCCAGCTGGTTTTTACTTTGTTATTTAATTTGTTATTTGTGAAATCGTTGTGGCCCCTCTCTAATGAAGGTTGCCCCAAGTACCTTTCCCCTGTACCCCACCCTTGCCTCCCACCCCTACCGGGTTCCCCAAAGTCCTCAAAGGCTGGACCCTGGGGCCAGCACTCGGTGGGTAGCCTGGAAAGAGGTTAGCCCTGTGCAGGAAGGAAGGCCCTTGGGTGCTCCTGGGTGGCTCCTTGCAGCAGACAAGACCCACCGCCCACCCACCTGGCTCCAGGGTGGTCCTGGCAGCTCCAAGGGGTCTTGTGACTCTCTCAGTCTGATGTTTCTCTCATGTTTATCCAGGAGCTGGTTTTTCAGGCATGGCCGCTTCTTGCAGTGAGGCCAGGTGGGGAGAGGCAGGGCTTTGGGGAAGGAGGTGGTTACCTCTGCTCCCAGGGCACACCCTGGCTGCCAGCTGTGGGTGCAGCCCTCTGGGCAGGTGGGCAAACCACATCCTCCCTCTTTGATCCTGGTCCACCTCCCCACCTGCCCCGGGCCACCAGCTCCCTGAGATATTCTCTTCTCAGCATATCCAAAGGAGAGATGCTCTTGGTGGCCCTGGGTCAGAGGCCAGGGCTCCCTCACTTCACAGCAGGGTGCAGTGGAACCATCAGGGTCTTTGAAGCCAGACACACCTAGGTTCAAATCCCAGCCTGACTGCTGAGCTGCTGTGTGACCACAGGCAAGTGACTGTACCTCTCTGAGCCTCATCTGAAAAAACAAGGATAGTTTTCTTATATAGTATTGCCAGGTTCTTGGGAAAATCAGTGTATTCAGTTGCGGGGAGCTAGCTGCCATCTCAGTGAAGAACACTTTGTCAGCTTGTCACGTGATGACCCCAGAAGCTGGCCCTGTGGGAGCCCCACTCCCCCAGACAGTGAACCTTGGACCCCATCATTCCAAGATCTGTTCTTATTTTCTGCCTGTCTGGGACACACCCCCTCTGTCCGTGGGGTGTGGGGTGTGGGGTGTGGCATGCCTCAATTTATTTATTTTTTTTGAGACAGAGTCTTCCTCTGTTGCCCAGGCTGGAGTGCAGTGGCAGGATCTCGGCTCACTGCAACCTCTACCTCCTGGGTTCAAGTGAGTCTCCTGCCTCAGCCTCCCGAGTAGCTGGGATCACGGGCGCCCGCCACCATGCCTGGCTAATTTTTTGTATTTTTAGTAGAGACAGGGTTTCACCATGTTGCCCAGGCTGGTCTTGAACTCCTGGCCTCAAGTGATCCACCCGCCTTGGCCTCCCAATGTGTTGGGATTATAGGCATGAGCCACTGCACCCGGACAGCATGCCTCGGTTTCTGCTTCTGCAAACTGGGAAAACCTCAAAGGTAGAACTGGTTGGTCCCCTTGGCCTGCCGACCCCTTAGCCCCTCAAGGTCACAGTCAGCCATCCCGCTTGTTAGAGGCCAGGCCCTGTTCTGGGGCGGGGGCTACCTGTGGCTGCTTAGGGGACGGGAGACAATGCCACTCCCAGGTGTGTTTGATGGCAGCCTGCAGAAGTGGCTTTCTGCATGGCCCTGGAGGACGGTGATTTGGACAGAAGCGTAGGGCCAGAGACAGGACGTGACGGTGGGGCTGCTGCATTGGCTCCAGGTAAAGATCTGTATCTGATGGCCTCACTCCCAGGCAGCTCAGGGGTTCCCGTGGCTCCTGGAAAAGCTACAGACTAGGCATGGCCAGGCCCTGCCTGTGTCTCTCTGTGCCAGCCACGATGAGCCTCATCGTTTCTAAAACGTACTGTGCTCCGTCTCGCTTCCTGGAACGCTGCTGCCTCTCCCCTAGAGCGTGCGTAATGCTCCCCGGCTGTGTCCCTGGGCTGATTTCTCGTTGCAGGTCTCAGCTGGGTTGTCACTCCTCTCTGCAAAGCTTCCCTGACCTCATCTCCCTCTCCAGGTCACGTTAGGTGCCTCTTGTCTGTGTCCCCAGCCACAGCCCGCATCACAAACAAGACTATAATTGCCCTCGTGCTTGTCTGTCACCTTCACAGACAGAGTGTGACTTCCAGTGGGTCACGGCCCCATCATCATGTTGTCCTCCGCATCCCTGACCTTAGCACCCTGCCTGTTGCGGAGTGGGCATCCTGTGCAACCTTGTCAAGTGAATTAGAAGCAAGCTCGGGGTGGGGGCCCATGAAGGGTGGGGGCCTCCTCCACCCTTTTTCTTTCTTTTTTTTTTTTTTTGGAGACAGGGTCTCGCTCCATTGCCCAGGCTGGAGTGCAGTGGCATGATCTCGGCTCACTGCAACCTCCGCCTCATGGGTTAAAGCAATTCTGCCTTAGCCCTCCCCAGTAGCTGGGACCACATGCACCTGCCAACACACCCGGCTAGTTTTTGTATTTTTAGTAGAGATGGGGTTTCATCATGTTGGCCAGGCTGGTCTCAAACTCCTGACCTCAAGTGATCCACCCGCCTCAGCCTCCCAAAATGCTGGGATTACAGGGGTGAGCCCCCATGCCCGGCCCCTCTCCATCCTTCAATCCCAGCTCTCGTTGGCGCTCCTCTACCCATCCCAGGAGCTGCTTCTGCCGGCCTGGCTGTGGCGTTCAGAGGCATCTGGAGGGCAGTGGCGATGGCAGTGGGGGCAGCTTGTCTCTCTGAGCCGAGTACAGCCCAATTTGGAGCGTTTCCCTCCAGGAAAGGCAGCTGATGTGTGCAGACAGCACAAGTGTGGAGTGCCAGAACAGTTAATCCTCTGGGCTATTTATTTATTTATTTATTTTGTTTTGTTGTTGAGATAGAGTCTTGCTCTGTCGCCCAGGCTGGAGTGCAGTGGCGTGATCTTGGCTCACTGCAACCTCCACCTCCCAGGTTCAAGCGATTTGCCTGCCTCAGCTTCCCGAGTAGCTGGGATTACAGGCATGCACTACCACACCTAGCTAATTTTTGTATTTTATTTTGTATTTAATTTTTTATTTTTATTTTTTGAGTCAGAATCTCGCTCTGTCACCCAGGCTGGAGTGCAGTGGTTTGATCTCGACTCACTGCAACCTCTGACTCCTGGTTTCAAGCGATTCTCCTGCCTCAGTCTCCTGAGTAGCTGGGATTACAGGCGCCCGCCACTGCTCCCGGCTAATTTTTGTATTTTTAGTAGAGACGGGGTTTCACCATGTTGGACCAGACTGGTCTTGAACTCCTGTCCTCAGGTGATCCGCCTCTGGGCTATTTAGACACACATGCTTGTGTGCATGCATGGGTGTGTATATGCACATGTATGTGACATTCCTGAGGCCACCGGCGGTGACGAGGCCTGATTACTTGACGTTCTGCTGAATCCTGACTACTAGCCTGGAGCTTTACTCCCCAGTGTACACAGCTCCCCGAGTCCTGGTTAGTGGTAAAGAGGGGACTGTCCCCTGTCATTTAGGGCTGCATTTGGCTACAGGTAATTAAACACCCAACTGTAAATATAGCAAATATCTAAATATTAAGCCAGGTCAGGTGCAGCAGCTCAGGCATGTAATTTTAGCACTTCGGAAGGCCGAGATGGGCAGATTGCTTGAGCTTAGGAGTTTGAGACCGGCCTGGGCAACGTAGTGAGACCCTGTTCTCTACAAAACATAAAAATAATTTAAAAAAAAAAAAAAAACCCAGCCAGGCCGCAGTGGCTCACTCCTGTAATCCCAGCACTTTGGGAGGCTGAGACGCGCAGATCACAAGGTCAGGAGTTCAAGACCAGCCTGGCCAACATGGTGAAACCCCATCTCTACTAAAAATACAAAAAATTAGCCGGGCGTGGTGGCACGTGCCTGTAATCCCAGCTACTTGGGAGGCTGAGACAGGAGAATCACTTGAACCTCGGAGGCAGAGGTTGCAGTGAGCCAAGACTGTGCTACTGCACTCCAGCCTGGCGACAGAGCAGCGAGACTCCATCTCCAAAAAAAAAAAAAACTGTGTGTGTGTGTGTGTGTGTGTGTGTGTGTGTGTGTGTGTGTGTGTAGCCTGGCAGACTTTAGATATTAAACCTGACAGTTAAACAAAAAGGAGTTTATTTATTCCTCATAAGAAAATATGGAAGGGCCGGGCGCGGTGGCTCACGCCTGTAATCCCAGCACTTTGGGAGGCCAAGGCAGGCAGATCATGAGGTCAGGAGAGCGAGACCATCCTGGCTAACATGGTGAAACCCCGTCTCTACTAAAAATACAAAAAAATTAGCCGGGCGTGATGGTGGGCGCCTGTAGTCCCAGCTACTCGGGAGGCTGAGGCAGGAGAATGACGTGAACCCGGGAGGTGGAGCTTGCAGTGAACCGAGATCGAGCCACTGCACTCCAGCCTGGACGACAGAGCGAGACTCCATCTCAAAAAAAAAAAAAATATGGAAGGTATTTGGAGGATAGGATGGGTACTTATGAGTAGGTATTTGGAGGCTGGGATGGGTACCTGTGAGTAGGTATTTGGAGGCTGGGGTAGGAGCGTGGTGATGCTTTTCAGGGTTCAGTGATGTCTCCAGAGACTTGATTCTGTTCTTCTCTACCATGTTGGATTTTCTTTTTTTTTGTAAGTTTATTTTAAAACTATTCCTTTAAAGTGTATAATTCAGTGTTTTTTTTAAAATATATTCACAGAGTTGTGCAGTATTCATCACTGTCTAATTTCAGAGCATTTTTATCATCCTAAGAATCTCCCCCCATTAAGCAGTCAGCCCTCATTCCCTCCTCCCCCATCCCCTGGCAACCACTAATTTACTTTCCATCTCTGTAGATTTGCCTATTCTGGGCGTTTCTTGTAGATGGAATCATGTAATATGTGGTCTTTCGAGTCTGGCCTTTTCTCAGTGAGTATAATGTGTTCAAGGTTCATCCACATTGTAGCGTGAGTCAATGTGCCTTTCTTTTTATGGCCAAATAATATTCCATTTAATGGATAGATCATATTTATCTGTTCATCAGTTATGGACATATGGGGTGTTTCTACTTTTTATTATTTTATTTTATTTTGAGACAGGGTCTTGCTCTGTCACCCAGGCTGGAGTGCTTTGGTGGGATCATGGCTCACTGCAGCCTCAAACTCCTGGGTTCAAGGGATCCTCCTGCCTCAGCCTCCCAAGTAGCTGGGACTGCAGGCACCAAGCCACCACCCCTGACTAATTTTTAAATATTTTTTTGGTAGAGACGGCATATGTATTAGCAAGGCCCTGTCTCTACCAAAAAAGATAAAAATTATCATATTCTTTATTATGATATCATTATACCATAAAATTCACCATTTTATTTATTTAGTGTTTTTAGAGATAGGGTTGGCCAGGCTCTGTTGGCCAGGCTGGAGTGCAGCGGTGCAGTCTTGGCTCACTGCAACCTCCATTTCCCAGGCTCCAGCTATTCTCCTGCCTCAGCCTCCCGAGTAGCTGGGACTACAGGTGTATGCCACCATGCCTGGCTAATTTTTGTATCTCTTGTAGCTGTGTTGCCCAGGCTGGTCTTGAACCCCTGGACTCAAACAATCCACCCACTTCAGCCTCTCAAAGTGCTGAGATAGATAAGCATAAGCCACCACACACGGCCAAATTCACCATTTTAAAATACGCTATGCAATATTTTTAGTATCATCATGAAGTTGTGTGACCATCGCCACCATCTAAGTCCGTTCATTTTCGTCACTCTGAAAAGAAGCCTGTTACCTCATTAGCAGTCTCTCCATTCCCCAGCACCCCCCACTCCAGCCCCTGGTAATTGCTAATGGTTGTCTCTCTGGGTTTTTGATAGCTTATTTATAACATTCAGCCTTCACCTACCATATGACTAGGTATTTACCTATGAGAAATGAAAGCTCAAATTCACATAAAAACCTAAAGAGGAATATGTATAGTGGCTTTATTCATAATTGCCCCAAACTGGAAACAATTCAGATGTCAGACTGCCCAGTGAATAAACAAACTGGAACATCCATACTGTGGAATATTAGTTAGCAGTGAAAAAGGATGAATGATGGATACCACACCACCACGGGGAAACCTCACGAGCATTGTGCTAAGGGAAGGAAGCAGACTGGAAAGGCCGCTTCCAACCTAGTTCTGTTCATATGTGGGGTTTTTTTTTTCGAGACGGAGCCTTGCTCTCTTGCCCAGGCTGGAGTGCAATGGCGTGATCTCGGCTCACTGCAACCTCCGCCTCCCTGGTTCAAGCAATTCTCCTGCTTCAGCCTCCCAAGTAGCTGGGACAACAGGCGTGCCACCACACCTGGTTAATTTTTTTTGTATTTTTAGTAGAGATGGGATTTCGCCATGCTGGCCAGGCTGGTCTTAAACTCCTGACCTCAGGTGATCTGCCCGCCTCAGCCTCCCAAAGTGCTGGGATTACAGGCGTGAGCCACCGTGCCCGGCCTCTGGTTCTAGTCATATGATGTTCTGGAAAATGCAGGATTAGGGACAGGGTTTGCCTGGGAGTGGGAGAGTTTTTGGGGAGATGGAACTGAAATGCGTTTTGATTACGGTGGCAGTCACCTGACTGTTTGCATTTGTGAAAACTCATAGAAATATGGCCAGAGGCTCATGCCTGTAATCCCAGCACTTTGGAAGACTGAGGCAGGAGGATCGCTTGAGGTCAGGAATCTGAGACCAGCTTAGACAGCCAAAAAAATTAGCCGGGTGTGGTGGCACACAGCTGTAGTTCCAGCTACTCAAGAGGCTGAGCCGGGAGAATTGCTTGAGGCTGGGAGTTCAAGCCTGCGGTGAGCTATAATTGTGCCACTGCACTCTAGCCTGGGTGACAGAGCGAGACCCCATCTCTACAAAAAGATTTAAAAATTAGCCAGGCACTGTGGCTTGCACTTGTATTCCCAGCTACTCAGGAGGCTGAGGTGGGAGGGTGGTTTGAGCCCAGAAGTTTGAGACCAAACTATGTTTACTGGGTAACATAGCAAGACCCCTGTCTCTATCTTTTTGAAATATTTAAAAAAAAAAAAAAAAACAAAAAAAAAAACAAAAAAAACGGCCGGGTGCGGTGGCTGACGTCTGTAATCCCAACACTTTGGGAGGCCAAGGCGGGCAGATCATGAGGTCAGGAGATTGAGACCATCCTGGCCAATGTGGTGAAACTCTGTCTCTACTAAAATTACAAAAATTAGCCAGGCATGGTGGTGGGTGCCTGTAATCCCAGCTGCTCAGGAGGCTGAGGCAGGAGAATTGCTTGAATCCGGGAGGCGGAGTCTGCAGTGAGCCGAGATGGCGCCACTGCTCTCCAGCCTAGGCGACAGAATGAGACTCTGTCTCAACAACAAACAAACAAACAAACAAAACAGAACACTCATAGAACTGTATGTCAGAAAGAATGAATTTTATTGCATGTATATTACACTCCAGGTAAAAAGGGGCCTGGCCTGGAACTGGCCTTTCCAGAGTAACTCCACTTGGAGTTCACCATCTCATTTGTTCTAGTTGGTGCCACCATCCCTTCTACCAATGGTGAGTTTTGGTCTGTCAAGTTGGCCAACCTGAGTTGTGCATAGGGCCGGGGCCAGGTGCTGCAGTGGGGCCCCCCTCTTTCCCTTCCTTGGACATCCTAACCCCTCTTGGGGTTTCCCGAGCTTCTTGGATGGAGGGAGCCATAGAATGTTAGAACTGGAGGGAACCTCAGAATATACTGGCCTCTTCTCTTTTTCAGATGGGGAAACTGAGGCCCAGGGCTGGGAAGACACTTGACTAAGGTTCTAGAGTTACGAGGATCAAGATCTAAAACCACATCTGGCCGGGCACAGTGGCTCACGCCTGTAATCCCAGCACTTTGGGAGGCCGAGGCAGGAGGATCACTTGAGGTCGGGAGTTCGAGAGCAGCCTGGGCAACGTGGTGAAACCCCATCTCTATTAAAAATACAAAAAAAAATTTAGCCAGGCATGGCGGGGGGTGCCTGTAATCCCAGCTACTTGTGAGGCTGAGACATGAGAACTGCTTCAACCCGGGAGGCGGAGATTGCAGTGAGCCGAGATCGCACCACTGCCCTCCAGCCTGGGCAACAAGAGCGAAACTCTGCCTCAGTAAATAAATAAATAAATAATCAATCAATCAATCCACATCCATGACTCTTGGTCTGGGCCTCCTTGCCCTCCTGCAGATGCCTCTGGAGCCTCCCTTGTCTCCTGCTCCTGGTTCGGGAGGCTGGACAGGCCCAAGCTGGCCCCACAGCTGGTGGGAGGCTTTGCTGCAGCGTACCCTGGACAGGGCAGAGTTGGGTAGGGAAGGGAGAGTGGTCAGAGCATCTGCAACACCGCAGCGGAGGAGAGGAGAGAGTGCGGTGAAGGCTGGCAAGTGGTTGATTATGGGGAGCTGTGAGAATGGTTGATGGCCCCCCAGGGACAGACAGGAGAACAGAGCACTGGTTTCTGCTCTTTGGAGCTCCTGACATCACCTGGAGTAACCCCCAAGCCTCATGATGTGTTCAGGTAGATCCCAGCAAATGCAGAATTGGGGTCAGCCTGGTTGGGATGACAACCAGAAGAGCTTCCTAAGGGAAGGACCCCAGGAGAACCTGGTGGGGGCAGGGGAGAGATCTTGGCCGGTGTCCCTTCCCAAGGGAGGAACCCAGTCTCAGGGACGTAGTCCCGCCCCCTGGTTTATTCTGGTATTGCTGTGTCCACCAGCCTGGGGCTGCCAAGAGCTCTGGAAACTTCTGTGAGGTTGGGCGTGGAGGTTGCATGGTGGCAGCTCAGGGCTTTTTTTTTTTTTTGAGAGAGGGTCTTCCTCTGTCGCCCAAGCTGGAGTACAGTGGAACAGTCATAGCTCACTGCAGCCTCAAACTCTTGGCTTCAAGTAATCCTCTCACTTTGGCCTCCCAAAATGTTGGGATTACAGGCATGAGCCACTGCGCACGGCTTTGGGGATTCTTATTGGCTGTGAACCCCGTGATTCATTGCTCCCATTTTCTTGGTTTAGTGCCCACTCCTGCAGATGAGGGGAGGCAGACTGAACCTCCTGGAGTCTGGGGTCTGGGTGGTGAGCCTGCCCACTTCCAGGAACTGTCCATAACCCACCCACCATCCTGGACAGCCCGCAACCTTGGTAGCACAGGACACTTGCCCACTGCCCTATTTTTGGCTCAGAAAACGATATCTTCAGCTGGGTGCAGTGGCTCACGCCGAGCTGGGCGGATCACCTGAGGTCAGGAGTTCGAGACCAGCCTGACCAACTTGATGAAACCCCGTCTGTACTAAAAATACAAAAATTAAGGCTGGGCGCAGTGGCTCACACCTGTAATCCCAGCACTTTGGGAGGCCGAGGCGGGTGGATCACCTGAGGTCAGGAGTTCGAGACCAGGCTGGCCAACGTGGCGAAACCCCATCTCTACTAAAAATACAAAAAAAAAAAACAAACAAAAAAATTAACTGGGCATGCTGATGGGCACCTGTAATCCTATCTATTTGGGAGGCTGAGGCAGGAGAATTGCTTGAACCCGGGAGGTGAGTTCAACCACTGAGCCGAGGTCGTGCCACTGCACTCCAGCCTGGGCAATGAAGTGAGACTCTGTCTCAAAAGAAAACGATATTTTCTTACCTATGGGGTCCCCTCTGGTTTTCAGGACTCACAATGCCTGCAGGAAGCCCACCTCAGGTCTCACTGTAGCCCCCCTGGTGGGGAAACCCCTCTGCCTCTAGCAGGGCAGGCAGAAAAGATGTGTTTGGAATAAATAATGAGCCTATGGGAGAGCCACTCCCATCTTGGTGCAAATATTTGTGTGTGAATCACTCATCTGGACAGTGGGACTGGATTGTGGTTGACAGTGAGCCATGCCTGGGGGGCTGTGCAGGGGACATTGTAGGGGTGCAGGGCCATGTTTACTCCAGATCCCAGCAGACTTCACTTTGAAGCTGGCCCCTGACTCTTTGTGCTGTGTGACCTTGGGCGAGTTGCTCAGCCTTTCTGAGCCTCTACATCCTCATCTGTAAAATGGGGAGAGTACTGTTGTGTTTGTAGTGTTGCTGAGGTGGGTTGCGAGATGCCCATCAGCAGCACAGCTCCTGCCACTGATGGCTGCAACGCAACTGTGATTTCTCAGAAATGTCATCCCAGGCCCAGCTAGCCCTGAGGCCCAGGTGGGGTTTTGAGGGAAAGGGATCTGGCTGGGAGCAGTGGCTCGGGCCTGTAATCCCAACACTTTGGGAGGTTGAGGCGGGAAGACTGCTTGAGTCCAGGAGTTTGAGACCAGCCTTGGCAACATAGCAAAACTCCATCTCTACAAAAAAAATAAAATAAAATAAAATTAGCCAGGTATGGTGGTGTGTGCCTGTAGTCCCAGATACTCAGGAAGGATTTGGGACGATCACTTGAGGCTAAGAGTTTGAGACCAGCCAGGGCAACATAGCAAGACTCCATCTCTACAAAAAATAAAATAAGTAGCTGGACACGATGGCACACACCTTAAGTCCCAGCTACTTGGGAGTCTGAGGCAGAAGGATCACTTGAACCCAGGAGTTGGAGGCTGCAGTGAGCTATGATCACGCCATTGCGATCATAGGCTGGGTGACAGAGCAAGAGACCCTGTCTCTTAAAAAAAGAAAGAAAGAAAAGAAAAATGATACTCAACCCTTGTCCATTGGGCCTGACTCTCACCTCCCACCTCTACTTTGTGAGGAAGGGACAGGGTGTTAATATGTCTTCATTGGAGGGTACTGGGGCCCAGAGAGGGGAAGGAAGTTCTCCAGCATCACACAGCCACTCGAGGCTGAGCCTCCACTAGACCCAGACCTCCTGGGGCCTGGCCTCATGTACGTTCCTGAGACTACAGGGTTTTGGTGAGGGGCTGCCCTGCCATCTGTTGCTGTACCCTAGGGAGGGGAGGGTGTGGCCCGGGCTGGACTCCTCCAAGTTGCTCTGTCCCTGGGTTTTGGAAGGGGAGGGGCCGCTTCATGAAATTGCACCACCTGGCCAAGGCTCGGGCAAGCCCAGGTTGGATGCAGGTGGCCAGGCTTTTCTGACAGGTGAGGGCAGAAGTGGAAGTAATGCAGGTGTTCAGAGAAAGGGCCGGATGTGTGTGCATGCGCACACCCAGCTACAAAACAAGGGGTGCCATTCCTCAGGGACCAGGCCATTAACGTGAGCCACCCGTCTGATGCGTAGTCACCCGCCGGGGTGACGGGGGACTTCCTGGACTCTGCGGCCTGATCCTGCCTGTCTGGTGACATTCCTGATCTGGAGTACACATTGGGCCTGCAGTGGGTGCTTTGGTGTTTGTGGAATGAATGAATGGGCTGGCGGCACCCACTGATGAGCATCTGCCAAGATGTCTGTGTGCGTGGAGGTGGCAGGTGTGGTCCAGGTACCCGATAACGGATAGACACCTGTACAAAACAGCCTCTTCTCCAATGCCTGGTGGTGGTGAGGGATGGGGGTGTGGCTATTTTGCAGTTGGATGGTGTGGACACTTACAAGTCAACTAATCCCGATGCTCTGGACTCCTGTCTGTAAAATGGGATGGCGTAGGTGTGGGCTGGTGGTGCCTGGTGGGTCCCGCCCAAGCCCCAGAGAAGGGGCTGATGGCAGCTAGTTGTTATTTTTATTACTAAATCATGGCTCAGCCCAGCCTGGCCTGGCAAGCCCAAGTTCCTGGTGGATGTCTGCCTCTTCCACGCCCGCTTGGAAGCCTTCTGAACCTCCTTTTTTTTTTTCTTTTGAGACGGAGTCTCACTCTGTCGCCCAGGCTGGAGTGCAGCGGTGCGATCTCGGCTCACTGCAACCTCTGCCTCCCGGGTTCAAGCGATTCTCCTGCCTCAGCCTCCCAAGTAGCTGGGATACAGGTGCACGCCACCAGGCTCGGCTAATTTTTTTATTTTTAGTAGAGATGGGGTTTCACTGTGTTGGCCAGGCTGATCTCAAACTCCTGACCTTAAGTGATCCGCCTGCCTCTGAACCTCCCAGATTTCATCGGTTCCCCACCGTACTCTCCTGCCTCTAGCCTTTGCCCAAGCTGACCTTGGCCCCAGTCTTCCCCACTGAACAGCCACCCAGCCTTTGGGGCCAGTGCTCCTGGGCCGATGCCAGCCATCCATCCTGGATGTGCCCACGCCTGGTCACTCCCCACATGAGGAGCTGATGATCTTTGGTCACCGTTTATAAACTTTAGCTTCTCTTTCCTCACCCAGGAGCTCCAGGGCAAGGAGTGGGCCTGATTCACCCCCGTTCAGGGACTGGGTCCTAACAGGTGTGGTGAAAATGAGCACTTAGTCAGCGTCCCACAGCATCTAAAAGACGGGAACAAGGGCTGAGGATGTGGGTAGGCCCAAGACTGGAAATAGGGAAGCCTCTGGAATGGGGACTAGAAGATGAAAGGGCTCTGGAAGATGGGGCATCCAAGTGTTTAAAGCAAGAACGGGGCTGGGCGTGGTGGATCGCGCCTGTAATCCCAGCACTTTGGGAGGCTGAGGAGGGAGGATCACTTGAGGCCAGGAGTTTGAGACCAGCCTGGCCAACATGGTGAAACCCCATCTCTACTAAAAATACAAAAATTAGCCACACATGCCAGTGCGCACCTGTAATCCCCGCTACTCAAGAGGCTGAGTCAGGAGAATCACTTGAACCTGAGAGACAGAGGTTGCAGTGAGCTAAGATCGCACCAGTGCACTCCAGCCTGGGCGACAGTTTTTTTTTTGTGTCCAAAAAAAAAAGAGGTGCGGGGAGGGCCAGAGGGCATTTGGGGTGGGACGGGGCAGGGCAGGGCTGGGTGACTGGAATGGGGTGACTATAATGAATGCTTTGGAGTAGGTCAGGGCAGGTGGGGAGGCCAGATGCCAGGGGAGGGAGGGGGCATGGGGATCCTTCCATCTGGGGCCAAGGATGGCAAGGCCCTCAGACAACTTCTAGCCCAGGTTCTCCATTGACAGATGGAGAAACTGAGGCCCAGGGAGGGGCAGTGCTAGTGCTGAGGTTTTACATAGCAGGTGGGCTGTTCCCCAGCCCACTGCAGGGCATAGCCTGCCCTGGGACACCTGTCCTCACCCGTTGGCTCAGTGGTTGCAGGGGCATGGGTGGGTAGAGGTCGGGGAGTGAGCCGGCTCAGGCGGGCAGGGCTGGGGGCCCCGTGAGCCAGCGCCCCAGGATTAGATCACCCACGAGTAATGGGCTTTTTTCCGTCCAGCCTTTTCCCGACAAGAAAAGGCCTGATGTTCCTCATCCGTGTTGTTCTGAGAAGGCATGTTTATGTCTGGCAAGCGAAGGGTTCTTGGGAGACAGGATCCCAGGGCCCCCCTGCACTGCCTGGCCCCAGGGGTTGGCACCGCCCCAGAGCTGGTTTCCTCCCACTGTCTCCTGACACCCAGCCCCCACGCTTTTCAGATGCCTGCCTGAGAACAAATAAATACTTCTGCACCATGCACATGAGCTCAGATAAGCCTCCGGGGCTCAGCCAGAACTGGGGGCACCAAATGCCCGGGTTCCCTGACCCCTAGCTGGGTGCCAAGCCTGCATTTCCCACCCAGCACTCCCCAACCGCCCCTTGCGTGGAGGGACAGAGATATACTGTGAGCAACACGGGACCTGATGTCAGGGGTGGACAGCAGCTCGGCGGGTGATGTCAGCTTGAGCAATCGTCCCCGTCATCACTGCTGTTAAGTGAGCGGGCACTTGGTGTCCCCAGGCCCAGCGCCAGGCCCTGTTCACACATTCTCACGTGGGGCTCTCACAGAGCTGAGAGCAGTAGAATTACCATCACCCTTTTGCTCAGTGGGGAGAGGAAAGTTTGAGCATTGTGTGTGTGTGTGTGTGTTTAGAGACAGGGTCTTGCTCTGTCACCCAGGCTGGAGTGCAGTGGTGCGATCATAGCTCACTGTAGCCTAGAACTCTTGGGCTCAAGCGATCCTCCCACCTCATCCTCCTGAGTAGCTGGGATTACAGGCACATGCCACCACGCCCAACTAATTTTTATGCTTTTAGTAGAGATGGGGTTTCACCATGTTGGCCAGGCTGGTCTCAAACTCCTGGCCTCAACTGAACCACCCACCTCAGCCTCCCAAAGTGCTGGGATTATAGGCATGAGCCACCAGCCCCACCTTTTTTTTTGAGATAGGGTCTTGCTGTATTGTCCAGGCTGGAGTGCAGTAGCGTGATCATGGCTCACTGCAACCTCTGCCTCCTGGGCCCAAGCAACCCTCCCACCCCAGCCTCTGGAGTAGCTGGGACTACAGGCACATGCTATCACACTAGGCTAATTAAAAAAAAAAAAATTATAGAGATGGGGTCTCACTATGTTGCCCAGGCTGGTCTCAAACTCCTGGGATCAGAAACCTGGTGGTCATTCCAGGTGCCTCCCTTGGGACCCCCCGTCGCCAGCTCCTGGTCCCAAAGCTCTGCCCCGTCCTCCATCCCCTGCTGCTGTCTGCTTCATGCCTGGCTGTCTCTGGCCTGGGCTGTCGCAGAGACTTGGCAACTCCTGGCTCCCCAACTCCAAGCATGACCCGACAGTTCCTCCGCCGTAGCTTCCTGGGATCCCCCTCACTGCCCACGTCTCACCCCTGCCCCACACCCTGCAGCGAGGCTGACCTTCCGAGATCCTTGGCCTCACCCCAATGGCCACGCTGGTCTCTGCCCACCACTTCCTGCCCTGCCCTGCACACTCCAGCCATGCAGAGCTGGATTTGTTCCCCACCCACCCACCCACTCCCACAGCCTCTGGCCCCGCTCAGGCCCGACCAGGACACGTGGGCGGCCCAGGCTGGCGGTTGGGTTTCCTGGGCAGCCAGTAATTTGGCACTCCTTCAAACAGGTCTTTATTTATTCAGCATTTATTTCTAGGGGAGGTGGGTGCTGCGGTGGGGCAGGGAAGGCGCCTCCCTTGTAGAAGAGCAGGGCCTGGGCACAGTGCCTGTCTCCCCTCCTCACCTGCAAACGCCAACTCCCCTGGGAGGGTCCCGGCAGCTCAGGTGTCACCTCCTCCAGGAAGCCCCACCCTGACTGCCTCACCCGCCGTCCTGGGCTTCTTCCATGCCACTTATTTTTATCTTTCACTGAAGCATAATTTACTTCCAGTAAAGTACATGAGTACATGAATCTTTTTTTTTTTTTTTTTTTTTTGGAGACAGAGTCCTGCTCTGTCATCTAGGCTGGAGTGGCGTGGTCTTGGCTCATTGCAACGTCCCCATCCTGGGTTCAAACAATTCTCCTGTCTCAGCCTCCTGAGTGGCTTATAGGCGCGTCCACCATGCCCAGCTAATTTTTGTATTTTTAGTAGAGACGGGGTTTTGCCATGTTGGCCAGGCTGGTCTCAAACTCCTGACCTCAAGTGATCTGCCCGCCTCGGCCTCCCTAAGTGCTGGGATTACAGTCGTGAGCCATCGCACCCAGCCCAAGTACATAAATCTTAAGCATCCCGTGTGATGAATTTTCCCCCGACTTGTATACTCATGTAACCATCACTCAGCTCAAATCCTTGCACTGTGTTTTAATCTTTTTTTTTTTTCCCAGTAGTCTATTTTTTTGGTCATTTTCCCTGCCAGCCTGGGAATCCTTCAAGGGCAGGAGCACCTGCTGTTGGGCCCTGTGCGGTGTGGGACACAGTGTGAGAGAGTATTGGTGCCTGTGAGCTGGTGGCTGTGTCCCCACCCCTGTGATTGTCCCCACGTGTGTGTGTGACGGAGGCTGTGGCCGTGGGAACATGTGGATCTGTGAGCCTGGCCAGGGGCCCCAGTGCAGGGGCAAGCGCCCCCTCCTCCACTGGAAGAGAGCCTTGTCCGATCCCCCAGCCAAGGGCCTTTGCAGGGAGCCGTGGCCCTGCTGGAGAGTCCCCGCCGGCTGACAGCCCGGAGATTAGTCTCCAAGGCCACAACGCCAGTTGCCATAGGCACGCAGGCCCGCGTCAGGACTGCGATTTCTCATCCTGGTCACGCAGGCAGGCGGCCGCCCCTGCCCGCCTGCCAGGAGCCAGGCTCAGGCTTTAAATAACAAGGGTGGAAACCTGAACCGCGGAGCCGTCTGCCCGGCGGATCCTGGCCTCCCCTCCTGGTAGAGCAGGCATGGGGCGGCCTGGACCCCGCATACTGCCGGCGGCGGCGGAGTCCCTCCGTGCCCGCCCCGGGGGACGGGAGAGAAATGGAGAAACCTGAGTTTGGGGGCTCTCTTTGAGTGCTCCTAGTACCTGATGCACAGCCCGAGCTGAGAGGAGACAGCCCCTTTTCCTAAATCCCGTCCTCCACGTGGAGGAAGGACGCCCTACCTTCCAGAAGCCTAGATGAAGGGCAGATGGGGCTTCGCATGGCCAGGCCTCAGATCGGCTTCCCCCAGCCCCTCCAGGGAAGAGGCAGGCGGCTCCCTCACTTCCCCTTGGAAGGCAGCATGAATCCCTGTACTTCCTGGACTGCCCCTTTGCCCCCGCCTGGGGCCAACTTTCCTGTCATGGGGTGGAGCAGCTGTGTTGGATGGTTGGTTTTGCTTTTTGTTTTGCTCTATTTTTTATTTAAAAGGAAAATTTTTTTAGAAATGAGGTCTTGCTCTATCGCCCAGGCTGGAGTGCAGTGGCGCAATCCCAGTTCGATGCATTCTTGAACTCCTGGGCTCAAGCCATCCTCCCACCTCAGCTTTCTGAGTAGCTGTGACGACAGGCGCGTGCCACCACGCCCGGCTCATATTTTAAATTTTTTGTTAGAGATGGGGTCTTGCGATGTTGCCCAGGCTGGTCTCAAACTCTTGGCCTCAGGCAATCCTCCTGCTTCTCTGGCTCCCAGAGTGTTGGGATTACAGGAGTGAGCCACCACGCCCAGCCTGCTTTTGTTTTTAAAGGATGAGGTTTCTGTTGTTTCTTTCCAAATTGTAAAAGTAATACTTACCTTAGGTGACTTAGAAAATACAGAAAAGTAGAGGGAAGCAAAGTCAGGCATGGATCCCACCCTGAGATGCACGGTCTGGAGTTTGCATCCCGGGCTGCACTGTGTATGCCCCTGAGGTCATCCTGTCCAGTGTTGGAATCAGCCTCTGCTGGGCATCAGGTTGCCTGCACCTACTCCTTGTTTATATGTGGGTGTGTGTATCTGTGGATGTACCAAGTGAAAGCTTTGGGGAAACATCTTTGCATGTAAATCTTTGCATTTGGGATAATTAACTCAGGATTAATTTATAGAATTATAAGTCCTGGAGCGAAGGGTGGGAACAGAGTTAAAATTGAACTTCCTGAAACACGTCACAGCGTCACCAAATCGCTTGGCTGGGAGGACTGTGTGCACCCAGGGCCCTTCTGTGGGGTGGGCCAGGATTTAGTGTGAAACTCATGGCTGCTAGGCTGGGAAGAGCTCGACCACAGGTGTGGGGTTTTGTCTCCAGTGACATTCCCAGCTGGCTCTTGCAGCCCCTGCCCTAGTGACAGCATGGGGTGAGGGGGCCAGAGGAGGCTGGAGGTGGAGCCCTGCCTCTAGGCGGAACTGTACCATCTGTAGTTGCAGGGCAGGATTAAAAAGGGACAGTTTTGCTGTTTGTTTGTTTGTTTTTTTCTGTCATCTGACTGGGTGTCCCAATACCTGATGTCTCCTAAAACTTTTTTTTTTTTTTTTTTTTTTTGAGACGGGCCTCCTTCTGTATCCCAGGCTGGAGTGCAGTGATGCAATCTCGGCTCACTGCAGCCTCAACCTCATGGGATCAAGTGATCCTCCTGCCTTAGCCTCCCGAGTAGCTGGGACGACAGGCATGTGCCACCACACATGGCTAAATTTTAAATTTTTTGTAGAGTCAGGGTCTCTCTGTGTTGTCCAGGCTGGTCTCAAATTTCTGGGCTCAAGTGGTCCTCCTGCCTCAGCCTCCCAAAGTGCTGGGATTACGGGTGCGAGCCACTGTTTCTGGCCTTATGCACACTTTTCATTGAGAACAAAGTTATTTGTTGTAAGAGAAACACCTTGATAACTGTTCACACACTAAACTACCCAGGTAACCAGCACCCAGATCAAGAAACAGCATTGACAAGCCCCTCTCACCCCCTTCCAGTTACTACCACTCTCCCTGACCCACCACGATAACCGCCGTTCCATCTCCTGGCTTCAGAATGTGGCCTCCTTTTGAACCTTACATAAATGGAATTCTACCATGTGACCTCAGATTCTTTCATCATCCTTGCGAGATTCCACCGTGGTGTTGCGTGTCTTTGTGGTTTGCTCATACGTCTGATGCCTTTTCCAATAGACGGGGCACCCAGGAGGAGTCAGTGGAAACACATGTACCGTGGAAACAGATCAGGTCTTGCGCTGAAATTCGGATACCTCTGAATTACTGCCCATCGTCAAAGAAATAAAGTTTATTTCCCTAAAGGATGTTTTGTGGTGAATAGGAAAGAATTTGCAATCAGCGTAGCTGTTAAGCCCACAGGAGAGCAAGTTGTATTATGTTGTGAGCCTGGGTTGGGTGTGCAGAGATCTGGGGTTCAGTCTGACGCCTCTGGGCCGTGGTTTCCCTAGATGGACATGCAGGTGGTTAGATGAGGGGCCCATCTAGCTCAGTGCTGTGATGCTAAGCATATACTTCTCAGTGCTAAGAGGTTGTTTTCCAAAGTGTTTGAAGTTTGCTCTTAAGATCTTATTTAGGCCGGTCACAGTGGCTCATTCCTGTAATCCCAGCACTTTGGGAGACTGAGGCAGGATTGCTTGAGCCCAAGAATTTGAGCCCAGCCTGGGCAACATAGCAAGGCCCCATCTCTAAAAAAAAAAAAATTTTTTTTTTAATTAGCTGGGCATGGTGGCATGTGTCTGCAGTTCCAGCTACTTGCGAGGCTGAGGGAAAGAATCGCTTGAGCCCAGGAATTTGAGGCTGCAATGAGCTATGATTGCAGCACTGCACTCCAGGCTGGGTGGCAGAACAAGACTGTCTCTACAAAAAAAATTTTTAAAAATCAGGCATGGCAGCATGCACCTGTAACCCCAGCTACTTGGGAGGCTGAGGCAGGCGGATGGCTGGAGTCCAGGAATTTGAGGCTGCAGTGAGCCATGATCGTGCCACTGCATTCCAGCCTGGGTGACAGAGCGAGACTCCATCTTTACAAAACATTTTTAAAAAAATTAGCAGGGAGCTACTCGGGAGGCTGAGGCCGGCAGATGGCTTGAGTCCAGGAGTTTGAGGGTGCAGTGAGCCATAATCACGCCATTGCATTCCAGCCTAGGTGGCAGAGCAAGACTCTGTCTCTTTAAAAAAAAAAAAATCTTATTTACCAACTTGGCTCATTTCTAAGTGGAGCAAAAATGCAGTGTCTCACTTCTGCTCTGCCTGAATTACCTCCAGGCCAGATTTCTTGGTGGAAGGAAGGAGCCGTGTAGATACAGCCAGAGTCTCCCAGGTGCAAAGACCCTCTGAGAGGCCTTGATAAGTGGGCAGCTTCCACTGAGCAGCCCCCAGAGATGGAGACTCAGTGCCCACACAGCAGCTTGTTCTTCCATTCTGGGACAGTTCTTCCCATTAGGAATGTTCCCTTGTGTTGGCTGAAAGCCTGTGTCCCTAAATTCTCTGTCAGCGTAATGGCAATGAACCTGGACTTGGGTCTTCAGGAACCAAAGCCATGGAGTCAAGGATTTGGAGAGATGGTATATGCATCACCGGGCCTAACATGATGGTCTTTTTTTATTTTTAAATTGAGACAGGGTCTCACTCTGTCACCCAGGCTGGAGTGCAGTAGTGTGACCTCAGCTCACTGCAACCTCTACCTCCCAGGCTCAAGTGATCCTCCTGTCTCAGCCTCCCAAAGTACTGAGATTACAGGCATGAGCCACCACACCCGGCCATCCTTCTTTTTTTTTTTTTTTTTTTGAATTGGAGTCTCACTCTTTCACCCACCCAGGCTGGAGCGAAGTGGTGCGATCTTGGCTTACTGCAACCTCCACCCTCCGGGTTCAAGCAATTCTCCTGCCTCAGCCTCCCGAGTAGCTGTGATTACAGGCACCTGCCACCACAGCCAGCTAATTTTTGTATTTTTAGTAGAGACGAGATTTCACCATGTTGGCCAGGCTGGTCTCAAACTCCTGACGTCAGGTGATCCACCCGCCTCAGCCTCCCAAATGTTAGGATTACAGTCATGAGCCACTGCACCCAGCCTGTCTTTCCTTTTTAAGGCTCAGTAATATTCCATTGTATGGATAGACTGTGGTTTTTTATCCATTCATCATCGGACGCTGGGACGGTTTCTGCCTTTTGGCTATTGTGAATACTGATCCTATGAACATGGCTGTACAGATGTGTCTTTGAGACTATTACTGTTTTATTAACAACATTGCTGTAATGAGGGATCTCAAATCTGGAGTGGATCTGAGAAATCGCCTCTTTCAACCCCTTATCCAATGCTTGAGTCCTTCCTTCCAGAATCCCACTGAGACTTCTTCTGGCCTCAGATGCGTGGGTGGGAGACATGCCACCTCCCGACACCTCTGACCAAGGGCCCGGAGCTGGGTGGCTTAGGGTGCAGGAAAGAGGCTTGTGAGTGGGATCATGCCAGAGGGATGTGCATCAAGGCATCCTCTAGCTACAGATGCCCCAGGGGAGGCAGCAGTGGGGCTGCTGCAGGAGAAACCTGGAATGGATGTTTGGACACACTTTCCTCAATGGCCAGGATTGATGGACAGTGGAATTCATCAGACGAGTCTTGGAGACTGAGGCCTTTAAAAATAGATGCAGCTGGCTGGGTGCGGTGGCTCACGCCTGTAATCCCAGCACTTTGAGAGGCCGAGGCGGGCGGATCACGAGGTCAGGAGATCGAGACCATCCTGGCTAACACGGTGAAACCCCGTCTCTACTAAAAACACAAAAAATTAGCTGGGCGTGGTGGCGGACGCCTGTAGTCCCAGCTACTCGGGAGGCTGAGGCAGGAGAATGGTGTGAACCCAGGAGGCGGAGCTTGCAGTGAGCCGAGATAGTGCCACTGCAGTCTGGCCTGGGTAAAAGAGCAAGACTCCATCTCAAAGAAAAAAAAAAAATAGATGCAGCTGGGAGCAGTGGCTCACACCTATAATCCCGGCACTTTGAGAGGCCGAGGCAGGTGGATCACTTGAGGGCAGGAGTTTGAGACCAGCCTGGGCAACATAGCAAGACTCTGTCTCTACTAAAAATTTTTTAAAAAATTAGCCGGGTATGGTGGCGCAATCATGTAGTCCCAGGTACTCGTGAGCCTGAGGCAGGAGAATTGCTTGAGTCCAGGAAGGTGGGGCTGCAGTGAGCTATGATCGTGCCTCTGCACTCCAGCCTCGGTGACAGAGTGAGACCCTGTCTTTAAAAAAAAAGAAGAAGAAAGAAAAGAAAATGCCTCCCATGGAATCTGTTTCTTTTTTTTTTTGAGATGGAGTCTTGCCCTGTCACCCAGGCTGGAGTACGGTGGCATGATCTTGGCTCACTGCAACCTCCGCCTCCCAGGTTCAAGCAGTTCTCCTGCCTCAGCCTCCTGAGTAGCTGGGATTATAGGTGCCCAACACCACGCCCAGCTAATTTTTGTATTTTTAGTAGAGATGTGGTTTCACCATGTTGGCCAGGCTGGTCTCGAACTCTTGACCTCAAGTGATCCGCCCACACCGCCGTGGAGTCTATTTCTGTTAGGAATGTGTTTGTTGCAAGCAACCTGAGAAACAGAGGCTTAGGAGAGAGGGGTGTCTCGTGTAACAGGAGGCATGGGTGGGTGGTCCAGCCGCAGGCAGCTGCTCAGGCACATCTGAGGGGCCTGCGCCATCTCTCTCTCTCTCCTCTGGCTGAGGGCTTTGGTCATCCTGGCCTAAAGTGGATGTCAGCCACCAGGCAGGGCATAGGGAGTAAGGGATTGAGCCCCCCATTGCCTGCTTCCAGGGAAACTCTGCTCTTTTGTTTGGGAATGCCTCACTGGTTAGACTGTGTCTTGTGGTCATCTCTGGCTGCAAGAGAGTATAGGAATGGGAGGATTTTGTGTTGTGGCCCCTACAGAAGAGGAGAGCAAGGGAGAAGTTGGTTATATGGGGATTGAGGTACCAGCCACACAGCATCTGTCTGCCTCACAATCCCAGCACGTTCAGCTGGGCATGGTGGCTCATGCCTATAGTCCCAGCTACTCAGGAAGCTGAGGCAGGAGGATTGCTTGAGCCTAGGAGTTCAGGACCAGCCTGAGCAACATAGCAAGACCATGTCTCTACAAAAAAAAAAAATGAAAAAAAATAGCCAAGCGTGGTTGTGTGCTCCTGTAATCCCAGCTACTCAGGACACTGAGGGTGGCGTGGGGAAGATCCCTTGAGCCCAGGAGTTTGAAACCAGCCTGGACAACATAGCAAGACCCTGTCTCTAAAAACAAAGAAATGAGACGCATTAGACAAAAGTTCCCAAAAGTTGGACTCAGTGATGTAGATGAGAGAATTACAAGATAACTTTTCTTTTCTTTTTTCCTTTTGAGATGGAGTCTCTGTCACCCAGGTGGGAGTGCAGTGGCGCGATCTTGGCTCACTGCAACCTCCGCCTCCCAGGTTCACATGATTCTCCCTGCCTCAGCCTCCCAAGTAGCTAGAATTACAGGCACCCAACACCATGCAGGGCTAATTTTTGTATTTTAATAGAGATGAGGTTTCGCCATGTTGGCCAGGCTGGTCTTGAACTCCGGACCTCAGGTTATCGACCGCCTCGGCCTCCCAAAGTGCTGGGATTACAGGCGTGAGCCACTGCACCTGGCCAGGGTAACTTCTCTCTTTGTCTCTATTCCCTTTCTGAATATGAAAGCTTTCCAGTTCTACTTGATATCGTAAGAAATACTAAGTCACCCAAAGTGTAACACCTGTTTTTTGCAGTCTCCTATCTAAGAACTAACCAGACCCGACTCTGCTTAGCTTCTGAGATCAGATGAGATCAGGCTCTTTCAGGGTGGTGGGGCCGTAGACTGTTTTTGCAATCTCTAGGAAATTTTTTTTAAAGCCAGAGAAAGATAAATTATCCACATTACTTAAACAATTTTTAAAAATATACAAGAAAGCCTAGCTTATTTAAAGCCCAAAACACTGTAATTCCATTGGTAACAAAGATGTTAAACATTTAAAATGTGATTAAATCTAAAATTGGTGGCTTCTGAATAAACTGTAGTTTTGAATTTGATACAGCAAATCTGTGGCAATGTTGAACAAAACAACTTATACATAATGCATTTTTATATTTTAAACTAACAAAGATGCTTCAGAAATATAGAGGACATTTTTAAAAGAATTACTTATATTTTAATCTTTTCAAATTTTCCATTTTGTTTCCATCACTTCCATTTTTTTCAGAATATTGTGCCTCCTCAAACATCATGGTAAGAGGGTGGTGGGACTAGAGATGGAGCCCTCAGCATAAAAAATAAAGTTAGCCGGGTGCAGTGGCTCACACTCATAATCTAGCACTTTGGGAGCCCAAGGTGAGAAGATCACTTGAGGCCAGGAGTTCAAGATCAGCCTGGGCAACACAGTGAGACCCTATCTCTAAAAAGTAAAAATAAAAACTTAGCTGGGTGTGGCGACACACGCTGTGGTCCCAGCTACTCAGGAGGCTGAGGCGGGAGGATCGCTTGAGCCCAGGAGTTGGAGGCTGCAGTGAGCTATGATCACACCCACTTCACTCCAGCCTAGAGACAGAGTGAGACCCTGTGTCAAAATAAAGAATTGTAGCACACTCAGAATCTTCAAATCTTGCTCTGGGTATCAAAATCGGATGTAGGCTCTTCAGCTGCAGTTGGAAAGGAAATTGTAAAATAGACCTGTAGTCAAAAACAAATGGGTGACTTTACAACTGGTAAAGACTGACTTAAGTAGGATGTTTTTAG
The DNA here is from genome assembly GCF_000001405.40 of Homo sapiens. Lineage (NCBI taxonomy): Eukaryota > Metazoa > Chordata > Mammalia > Primates > Hominidae > Homo > Homo sapiens. The sequence continues at coordinate 74,488,455 of NC_000007.14, forward strand.
CTGCAAATGAAAGAAACCTCTGGCTGGGCACGGTGGCTCACGCCTGTAATCCCATCACTTTGGGAGGCCAAGGCAGGAGGATTGCTTGAGACCAGGAGTTCAGAACCAGCCTGGGCAACATAGTGAGACCCTGTCTCTAACAAGATTTTTTAAGTGAGCCAGGTGTGGTGGCAGGCGCCCGTAGTCCCAGCTACTTGGGAGGCTGAGGCTGGAGGATTGCTTGAGTCTAGGAGAGATCAAGATCGAGGCTGTAGTTAGCTATGATTGCATCACTGCACTCCAGCCTGGGTGACAGAAGAAAAAAAGAGAGAGAGAGAGAAGAAAAGAAACTCTAGTCCTGGGGGGGTAAAAAAGGAAAGAAGAAAAGAAACCTCTACTAAGAGTGCCTTAAGAAATATGGACTTTTGCCTGGGCGCGGTGGTTCATTCCTGTAATCCCAGCACTTTGGGAGGCCAAGGTGGCGGATCACCTGAGGTCAGGAGTTCAAGACCAGCCTGGCCAACATAACAAAACCCCGTCTCTACTAAAAATACAAAAATTAGCCGGGTGTGGTGGTGGGTTCCTGTAATCCCAGCTACTCAGGAGGCTGAGGCAGGAGAATCATTTGAACCCAGGAGGCAGAAGTTGCAGTGAGCCAAGATCGTGCCACTGCACTCCAGCCTGGGCAACAGGGTAAGACTCCATCTCAAAAAGAAAAAAAAAGACTTTTACTGTTTCACCCAAAGCTTAGAGATGGCAGATCTGGGGTCATACAGGACCAAGTTCTTCCACGAGTTCACCCTGCCATCCTCAGATACCCTCACCTCCCGGGCTGATTCTTTTCATGTCTCTAGTTGGCTGTCATGGTCGGGGGTGTCACATGCAGGAGAAGGAGGACATCCCTGGTTTCAGTCCCTTTTTTTATTTGAGACGGAGTCTTGCTCTGTTGCCCAGGCTGGAGTGCAATGGTGTGATCTCAGCTCACTGCAACCTCCGCCTCCTGGGTTCAAGCGATTCTCCTGCCTCAGCCTCCCAAGTAGCTGGGATTACAGGCATGTACCACCACACCTGGCTAATTTTTGTATTTTTAGTAGAGACGGGGTTTCGCCATGTTGGCCAGCCTGGTCTCAAACTCCTGACCTCAGGTGATCTGCCCACCTTGGCCTCCCAAAGTGCTGAGATGACAGGTGTGAGCCACCACTCCTGGCCTGGTTTCAGTTCCTTTCTAAGGGCAAGGACAGCTCTCCTAGAAGTCCCTCATGTCTCAGTGGCCAGAATTGGGTTCTGGCCTCTCCTTACACCTGTCCCAGCTAGGGGAAAAGGAGTGCCTTGCTCTGAGCCTTGGAGAATCACCAAAGTTCCTCCCAGGGACTGGGAGGGCCCAGCTGCCCCAAGCACTGGTTGTTGGGACAACCCAGCAAAGTTTGTCCCATCTTTAGATACCAGGACACAACGGGGGGATTCTGTTAGCAGGGAGTGGGGCAGAGGACTTGGAGGACAGCTTTTGGGGTCAGATCCAGGACTGGAACTCAGATTTTTTTTGTGTGTGTGTGTGACAGAGTCTAGCTCTGTCCCCTGGGTTGGACTGCAGTGCTGCAGTCATAGCTCATTGCAGCCTTGACCTCCCGTGTCAAGCTATCCTCCTGCCTCAGCACCCCGAGTAGCTGGGACAACAGGCACGCACCACCACACCTGGCTAACTTTTTTGTTTTTTTGTAGAGATGGGGTCTCACTGTGCTGCCCAGGCTGATCTTGAACTCCTGGGCTTGATCCTCCTGCCTTAGCCTCCCAAAGCACTGGGATTACAGGCGTGAGCCACTGCGCCCAGTGAGACCCCAGGTGTCTTAACCATGACCCCAGACTGCCTTCTACTGCACTGCGGCTGGGTGTAAGACCCCCTCCCGCTGCCCAGCCCAGAGCCTGGCCTGAGCAGATACGAATGGAAGGCCAGGGCTGTGACTGGCAGTGTTCTTCCCGGCTACAGTGACAGTGGTGGTGGGGGAGGGCAGGAATCCAGGACCCCCAGGCCACTCTACCCCCACTGGGGAGCCTCTGGGACTAGAGAGGGAGTATTCAGAGGGAGGCTGAGGCTGCTGGGGAGAAAGGATACCCCCCCCCCCGCCCGCCTTCCAGAAGGGGAGAAATTTCTTTTTTGTTTGTTCTCTCAAGCTTCTTTTTCAAGAAACAAGCATATGGCAGCGGATGGTGCGGGGGCCGTGTTTGGGTGGGGTGTGTGCCTGCCTTTGCCTTTTACGTGGTTGGGTGTATTTTTTTTTTTCTCCATCAGCTCCAACGCCCCAGCTGGTCCATAGGGCAGTGAGACTTGAATCACAGAGACGCTTCTCTGGTGTCCAGAAAAATCCGGCTCTTTCTAGTGGCGCTTCCAAGGGGGAAGAGATTGGAGAGCTCTCCAGCAAACCCAGGCCTGAGCTTTGCAGAGGTCTGAGCTGAGGACTGAGTGTCCAAGGGGCTGAGGATGTGGACTGTCTTTGTGAGGTGGGGTACAGCCAGTGAAGGAGCCAGTGTTAATTTCCTGAAGCTGCTGTAACACGGGCCACACAGACTTCGTGCCTTAAAGCAACAGAAATTTCAGGCCGAGTGCGGTGGCTCATGCCTGTAATCCCAGCACTTTGGAAGGCTAAAGTGGGCAGATCATGAGGTCAGGAGTTCAAGACCATTCTGGCCAACATGGTGAAACCCCATCTCTACTAAAAATACAAAAATTAGATGGGCGTGGTGGCAGGCACCTGTAATCCCAGCTACTCAGGAGGCTGAGGCACGAGAATCGCCTGAACCCTGGAGGTGGAGGTTGCAGTGAGCTGAGATCCCACTGCTGCACTCCAGCCTGGGTGACAGAGTGAGGGAGAAAAAAAAATTCTTTTTTTTTTTTTTTTTTTTTTTACTTTGAGGTTCTTGGGTACAAGTGTGCAGGTTTGTGACATAGGTAAACTTGTGTCATGGGGGTTTGTTGTACAGATTCTTTTTTCACCCAGGTATTAAGCCCAGTACCCAATAGTTATTTCTTATGATCTTCTCCCTCCTCCCACCCTCCACCTTCTGAAAGGCCCCAGTGTGTGTTGCCCCCCTCTCTGTGTCCATGTGTTCTCATTGTTCAGCTCCCACTTATAAGTGAGAACATGCAGTATTTGGTTTTCTGTTCTTGTGTTAGTTTGCTAAGGATAATGGCCTCCAGCTCCATCCATGTCCCTGCAAAGAACATGATCTTGTTCTTTTTTGTGGCTGCATAGTATTCCATGGTGTATACCTACCACATTTTCTTTACCCAGTCTATCATTGATGGGCATTTAGGTTGATTCCATGTTTTTGCTGTTGTGAATAGTGCTGCAGTAAACATACGTGTGCATGTGTCTTTATTGTAGAATGATTTCTATTCCTTTGGGTATATACCCAGTAAGGGATTGCCGGGTCCAATGGTATTTCTGTCTTTAGGTTTTTGAGGAATCACCACACTGTCTTCCACAATGGCTGAACTAATTTACAACAGTGTATAAGTGTTCCTTTTTCTCCACAACCTCACCAACATCTGTTATTTTCTTGTTCGTTTGTTTTTGTTTTTGTTTTTGTTTTGAGACGGAGTCTTACTCTGTTGTCCAGACTGGAATGCAGTGGTGCAATCTCAGCTCACTGCAACCTCTACTTCCTGGGTTCAAGCAATTCTCCTGCCTCAGCCTCCCGAGTAGCTGGGATTACAGGCACACACTACCATTCCCGGCTAATTTTTTTTTTTTTTTTTTGAGACAGAGTCTCACTCTGTCGCCCAGGCTGGAGTTCAGTGGCGTGATCTCGGCTCACCGCAAGCTCTGCCTCCCGGGTTCACGCCATTCTCCTCCCTCAGCCTCCCGAGTAGCTGGGACTACAGGTGCCTGCCACCACGCCTGGCTAATTTTTTGTATTTTTAGTGGAAACTGAGTTTCACCATGTTAGCCAGGATGGTCTTGATCTCCTGACCTCATGATCTGCCCACCTTGGCCTCCAAAAGTGCTGGGATTACTGGTGTGAGCCACCACGCCTGGCCCAGCATCTGTCATTTTTTGACTTTAATAATAGCCATTCTGACTGGTGTGAGATGATATCTCATTGTGGTTGTGATTTGCATTTCACTCATGATCAATGATGTTGATTGAGTCTTTTTTCATAAGATTGTTGGCTGCATGTACATCTCCTTTTGAAAAGTGTCTGTTCATGTCCTTTGCCCATGTTTTTATGAGAACAAGAGAAATTTCTATTCTCACAGTTCTGGAGGCCAAAGGTCCAAAATCATTACCACTGGGCCAAAATCAAGGTGCCGACAGTGCCATGCTCCCTCCAGAGGCTCTCGGGGGGAATCTGTTCCTGGCCTCTTCTAGCTCCTGGGGGCTGCCAGCACTCCTGGGCTTGTGGCCGCATCACTCCAGTCTTCAAGGCCAGCATCTTCCAATCTCTCTCTACTTCGTCTTCACTTGGACTTCTCTTCTATATGGATGTCCAGTCTTCCTCTACCCTATTTTTAAAAAATGTTTGTAGAGCTGGGGTCTTGCTGTGTTGCTCAGGCTAGTCTCAAACTCTTAGCCTCAAGTGGTCCTCCTGACTTGAAGTGATCCTGCTGCCTTGGCCTCCCAAAGCACTGAGATTACAGGAATGAGCCACTGTGCCTGGCATGACCTCTTCTTCTTCTTCTTTTTTTTTTTTTTTTGAGATAGGGGTCTCACTGTCTTGCTCAGGCTGGAGGGCAGTGACGTGATCTCAGCTCACAGCATCCTTGACCTCCTGGGCTCAGGGGATCCTCCCATCTCAGCCTCCCGAGTAACTGGGACTATAGGCATGCTCCACCACACCCAGCTAATTTTTTTTTATTTTTTGTAGAGATGGGGTCTCACTATGTTTCCCAGGCTGGTCTCAAACTCCTGGGCTCAAGCAATCCTCCTGCCTTGGCCCCCAAAGTGCTGGGCTTACAGGTATGAGCTACCGCGCCCGGCCATGACCTCTTCTTATAAGGATGCATGTGATGGCATTTAGAGCCTACCCGGCTAAGCCAGAATAATCCCCTACCTCAAGATCCTTAATCACATCTGCAAAGTGATTTTGCCATATAAGGTAACACAGGCTCTGGGGATTAGGACATGGCTGTCTTTTGGAGGTCATTTTTTTGAGCCTATCTCGGGTCTCTAAGGGCAAACTCCAGCAGCCATTCTAGTAGACAGGTTCTCCTGTGATAGATGCCGGCCAGGTAAAGGAGACAAATGGAAGATCCCAGCTGACCCACCTCGGCTCTGTCCCCTCTGAGGGGACCTTATTCTCATTTATGTGGACTCCCTAAGCCATATATCTAGGCTGGAGTGCAGTGGTGTGATCTTGGCTCACTGCAGCCTTGACCTCCTGGGCTCAGGGGATCCTCCCATCTCAGCCTCCCAAGCAGCTGGGACTACAGGCATGCACCACCACACCCAGCTGATTTTTTTATTTTTTGTTGAGATGGGGTCTTGCCATATTACCCAGGCTGGTCTTGAACTCCTGAACTCAAGCCGTGTCCACTCTCCCAAACAGCTGCCCCCTCTTGGGGGGTACAGCAGCGTCAGCCTGGTGTGCCCTCAGGGTGTATCCGTTATTTATCTTGGACTGCATAAACCAATAGCCCAACATTAGCAGTGTCAAACAACAGTCATTTCTTCTTTTACTCTTCACATTGTGAGAGTTGTCTGAGCTCAGCCAGATGGGTCTTACTCAATCTCTCCTACAATTGCAGTCAAAAGGTTGCCGGTGGGAGTTGGAGGCTGCAGTGAGCTACGATCGCACCACGGCACTCCAGCCTGGGCAACAGAGCAAGATCCCGTTTCTAAATAAAAAGTTAGCAGGGCTTGAGGTCATTTTGAAGATGTTTCACTTGCTGGCCCGGGGCCTGAGCCGAGGAACAGCTGGGGCCCCTTGGGCTTCTCTGCTGCCCCCCGGCCCCTCCAGCACGGTGGCCTCAGGATAGTCGGGCTTCCCACGTGTCAGCTCAGAGTCCAGGGCAAGGGTCTGAGAGTGAGTGAGTGGCTGGGGGAAGTCTAGCGCCTTTGGGGACCTGGCTGCAGAGGTCACGTGTTGGCGCTGCCCACACATTCTGTTGGTTCAAAGTGGGTCTTTATTCAAATCACATTCAAGAGGAGAGAATTAGATGACACCACTTGTTGGGAGAAGTATTAAGAACTTATTTATTTATTTTTTTCACTTTGGGAGGCCGAGGTGGGAAGATCCTTTGAGCCCAGGAGTTCGAGACCAGCCTGGGCAATATAGGGAAACTCCCATTTCTATTTAAAAAAAACAAAAAACCAAAAAACTTATTTATTTATTTTTTAGAGACAGGGTTCTCACTCTGTCACTCAGGCTGGAGAGCAGTGGTGTGATCACAGTTCACTGTAGCCTCCACTTCCTGGGCTCAAGTGGTCCTCTTGCCTCAGCCTCCCCAGTAGCTGGGACTACAGGTATGCACTACCATGCCTAGCTAATTTTAAATTTTTTTTGTAGAGATGGGGGGTCTCACTATGTTACCCAGTCTGGTCTTGAACTCCTGGCCTCAAGCAATCCTTCTGCCTCAGCCTCTCAAAGTGCTGGATTACAGGCATGAGCCACCACACCTGGCCTAAGAATGTATTGTCAGATTTAAAACCATTGCAGGAGGATGGACCAGAGAAGAGGGCCCTGGGGCCCCAGAATGGGGGTTTATCTGCCAGCTGGATTCCAGGGGTCTGAGTACCCAGGTGTCTGGGGTGGGAGAGTGGGTGCAGGCTCCAGGTGGGCGTGTCCCCTTTGGGAAGGGCGGGACAGGGCCCTCCAGAGCCCAGGCCCAGGCTCTGGGCTGAGGCTAGGACAGTCTCAGAGCATTTCCCGCTGGACAGCCCCAGAATCTGACTGCAGTCTGTGCCAAGAGCACTTCGGCGTTCTGCTCCACTCCTGCCAGCCCCACCACGGACGTCACACCCCATCGGGCTCCCTTGTGCCTTAGTGCCTTTGCCTGAGCTGTCCCCTCTGTCTGGACTGCCCCATCCCTCACCATTCACCTTCTTCATGGCTCATGATTCTTCCAAACTTGCATCAACGGCCCCTCTCTTCGGAGGCCTTTCCAGGCCTTGTTATGTGTAGCAGGCCCGGGCACACACAGATGAAAGCAATCAGCCCTGTTCTCCAGGAGCCAGTGCATGGGGGCTCTGACACCTCCACATCCTGGAGGAGGAGGGAAGGAGGGGCTGAGGGAGCCCAACCGAGGGGCACAACAGGAGGTGTTGACGAGCCCACAAGAGCTAAGAGGGAGCCAGCAGCGGGGAAGGGCATTTCTTAAAAAGGGCACAGCAGGTGCAAAGGCCTGAGCGAGAGTGCAAGGCCCACCCAGGGGCCTGCAGACTGGAGTGTGGGGCTCTGGAGGGAAGACAGGTTCAGCTTGATCTGTGATGTGACTCCTGATGGGACAGTGAGCCTTTGGAGGGTGAGGTCATGCCCTGCGCGTCTCTGTGTCCCAGCACGACTGTGGCTGGGGCCAGCCACCTTCTCTGTGAAGGTTTTCACTGCATTCAGACTGTGCTGGGACTGGCCCCAGGAGGACTTGGACTAGCGTGTGTGTGAGTGAGTGTGCATGTGTGCACACATGTGTCTGTATGTGTGGACATGCATGTGAGTTTGCATGCATGTGTGTGCATATGTGTGTATGCATGTGTGAGTGTGCATGCATATGTGAGTGCATTGTGTGCACAAGTACGTGTATGTGTGTATGCATGTGAGTGGCTATGCGTGCGTATGTGTATGGGGTGTCTGCATGTGGGTGTGCATGCGTGTGTGGGTGTCTGCATATGTGTGTATGCATGTGAGTGGGTATGCGTGTGTATGTGGGTGTGCATGTGTGTGGGGGTGGGGGTGTGCATGGGGGTGTGCATGTATGTGCATGTGTGTGTGGGTGCATGTGTGTGTGCATATATGTGTGTGATATATGTGGGTGTGTGTGCATGTGGGTGTCAATGTGTGTGCATGTGTGTATGCATTTGAGTGTGGGTGTGCATGTGTGTTCATGTGGGTGTGCACGTATGTGTGTGTGTGTGTGTTCATGTGGGTGTGCGTGTGTGGGTGTGCATGTATGTGTGGGTGTGTGCGTTTGGGGGGTGTACATGTGTGGGTGTGCATGTGTGTGGGTGGGTGTGGGTGTGCATGTATGTGGGTGTGCGTGTGGGTGTGCATGTATGTGTGCGTGTGGGTGTGTGTGTGAGTGTGCATGCATGTGTGTGTTGACTTGCTAGTGCTCACACTTACCTCTGGGGCAGAGATGTGCTTGTTAGGTGCCCCCTCCCTCTCTCCACTCCATTCCAGCAAAGGTCACTGAGTGTCCTCTCTAGTCTTAGGAACGACACTCGACAGTGGACAATGAGAACAACCAAACACTTCCTCTCTTCCCCCCTCCCCCCATTTTGAAAAATTCTATTAAGGCCAGGCATGGTGGCTTATGCCTATAATCCCAGCAGGTTGGGAGGCTGAGGTGGGAGGATTGTTTGAGGCCAGGTGTTCAAGGCCAGCCTGGGCAACATAGCAAGACCCCATCTCTACAAAAAAATTTAAAATTAGCCAGGCATGGCGGTGCACACCTGTAGTCCCAGCTGCTTGGAAGGCTGAGGTGGGAAGATGGCTTGAACCCAGGAATTTGAGGCTGCAGTGAGCTATGATCACACCACTGCAATCCAGCCTGGGCAACAGAGTGAGACTCTTTCTAAATAAAATAAAATAAAATATAAAAACAGAACTACTATACAATTCAACAGTTCCACCTCTGGGTATATACCCCAAATCATTGAAAACAGGTTTACCAAGTGATTTGCATACTCATGTTAATAGCAGCATTATTTGCAAGAGCGGAAACGTGGAGTGCAGTTGCACAGTCACACCTCACTGCAGCCCCAACCTCCGCAGGCTCAAGCCATCCTCCCGCCTCAGCTTCCCAAGTAGCTGGGACTACAGGTGTGCACCACCACACCCAGCTAATTTTTGTATTTTCTGTAGAGATGGAATCTTGCCAGGCTGGTCTCAAACTCCTGAGCTCAAGCAATCCTCCTGCCTCAGCCTCCCAAAGTGCTGGGATTACAGGCCTGAGCTACTGGACCTGGCTGGTAGTCCTATTTTTAATTTTTTGAGGAACCGCCATGCTGTTTTCCACAGTGCCTGTACCATTTTGCATCCCTACCAGCAGCACACAGGGTTCCAATTTCCCCACGTTCTCACCAGCTCTTGTTTTTTTCCTGTGTGTGGTTTTGTTTGTTTTGTTTGTTTTTGTTTTAGACAGAGTTTCACTCTTGTTGCCCCGCCTGGAGTGCAATGGCATGATGTCAGCTCACTGCAACCTCCGCCTCCTGGGTTCAAGCAATTCTCCTGCCTCAGCCTCCCAAGTAGCTGGGATTACAGGCATGTGCCACCATGCCCGGCTAATTTTTGTAATTTTAGTGGAGATGGGTTTCACCATGTTGGTCAGGCTGGTCTCGAACTCCTGACCTTAGATGATCCGCCTGCCTTGGCCTCCCAAAGTGCTGGGATTACAGGCATGAGCCACCGCGCCCCGCTTTCTTGTGTTTTTTATAGTAGGTATCCTGGTGGGTGTGAGGTGGAGTTTAGATTTGCATTTTGCTAATCTTTAGTGATGTTGGACATCTTTTCATCTGTTTTATGGCCATTTGTATATCTTCTTAGGGGAAAGGTTTACTCAAGTCATTTGCCTATTTTTTAATTGGATTATTATTATTAATGGAGATGATGTCTCGCTCTGTTGCCCAGGCTGGTCTCGAGCTCCTGGCCTCAAGTTATCCTCTCACCTTGGCCTCCCAAAGTGCTGGGATTACAGGCATGAACCACTGCATCCAGTCTTAGTTGTTGAGTTTTAGGAGGTGTCTGCATATCCTGGATATTAATCCCTTACCGATATACTATTTACAAATATTTTCACCCATTCTGTGGTTTGCCTTTTTATTCCATTGATTCTGTCCAAAACTTCTCTTTACTCATAGAGCAAAGGTTGTATATCTCTAAACCAAGCTTCTTCCCTTGCTTCTCTCTGTGGAAACAACAGGGTATTATCCTTCCACTCCTGTACCCAGAGAACTCCTATTCACTCTTGAAAACCCACCTCAACAGTCATCAACTCAGGGAAGCCTTATTTGTCAGGCCCCTCCTCCCCCAAAACTAAGTAAATAAAACATTTAAATAAAACATAGGTAACCCCTTTCCCCATTGTCAAGCTCTGTGCCTGCGCGAGCTTCTCTGCTTGTCCTTCTTTCGTGGTCCTGTAGTTCTTTTTTTTTTTTTTAAATAAGATGGACTCTCACTCTTTCACCCAGGCTGGAGTGCAGTGGCAAGATCTCAGCTCACTGCAACCTCCAACTCCCAGGTTCTAGCAATTCTCCTGCCTCGGCCTCCCTAGTAGCTGGGACTATAGGCGTGTACCACCACCCCCAGCTAATTTTTTGTATTTTTAGTAGAGATGGGGTTTCACCATGTTGGCCAGGCTGGTCTCAAACTCCTGACCTCAAGTGATCCTCCCACCTCTGCCTCCCAAAGTGCTGGGATTACAGGCATGAGCCATCGCACCCAGCCTGGTCCTGTAATTCTCTCTGGACACACTGGCCCTGTGAGCTGGAGGAGGGCAGGCGGAGCCTGGCACAGAGCAGCCTCTTGGTAGGTGTTGAGTGAATGAGTAGGGGTGGTGAGGGGAGGCCACGGAAGGCACCCAGGCTGTGTTCCTCCCACTCCCAGCCTTGCCACGACCTACCAGGTCTCCAGCTCCTGCTGAGCTCTTGCAGGGTGGCCCCTCCCCACTTACAGCTCACTGCCTTGGACTAGGTCCCAGCCAATGGCCCGGCGGAGGTGTCCTCACTGTTCTTACCCAGTATGACCTAGGCGGGAGCCAATAAGCACAGGGAATGAGTATCACCCTGAGGGTTCAAAAGTGTGCAAGGAAGGGAGGAAGGGAAGGAAGGAAGGAAGGAAGAGAAGGGAGTGGGGGAGGGAGAGAGAGAAGGAAGGAAGGAAAGAAGGAAGGAAGGAAGGGAGCAATGAATGAATGCATACATCAAGGAATGAATGAATGCATATACACAAAGGAATGAATGCACACACCAAGGAATGGATGAATGAATGCACACACTAAAGAATAAATGAATGCACACAAAGGAATTAATGAATGTACACAAAGGAATGCATGCACACACCAAGGAATGAATGAATGCACACACCAAGAAATGAATGAATGAATGCACACATGAATGAATGCATACACACAAAGGAATTAATGCACACACCAAGGGATGAATGAATGCATACACCAAGGAATGAATGAGTGTTCACACCAAGGAATGAGTGAGTGAATGAATGCACACGAAAGAAAGAATGAATGTGCACACCAAGTAATTAGTGAATGAATGAATGCACACAAAGGAATGAATGAGTGAATGTACACACCAAGGAATTAGTCAATGAATGCACACACACAGGAATGAGTGAATGAATACACACAAAGGAATGAATGTACACATCAAGGAATTAGTGAATGAATGCACACACAGAGGAATGAGTGAATGAACCTGCCACTTGTGGAGAGTGAAAAAAGCCTGAGAGATCCCCAGATGAGGGAGCCCCCATGTGTGCCCCTGCCGTTGAGAGGCCTGGACATGCTGGTGCATGGTGTAAGGGCTTGGGCTTGGGCTGAGCTGGCTCACAGGCGACCCATCAAGTGTCACAAATGACCTTGAACCGCTGCCACAAATGACCTTGAGCAGCACGCTTCCCCTCCCGAGCCTTAGCCTCCCCAGATGTAACATGGATTAGAAGAACCACCTCATGGTGCTTTTCTGAAAATTTGGTAGGCCTAACGTGGTGGCTCTCGCCTGTAATCCTAGCACTTTGGGAGGGAGGCCAAGGTGGGTGGATCGCTTGGGCTCGGGAGTTTGAGACCAGCCTGGGAAACATAGTGAGACCCTATCTGTTTTGTTAAAAAAAAAAAAAAAGAAAAAAAATTTGGTGGGGTGATGGGTGTGCCAGTTGGAGAGCTGTGACATTTGTTTTTTTGGTTCAACCCCAAGCCAGTGCAGACAAGTGACCCTCCCCAGCCAGCGGGCCAGGCCTCTCAGTGTCACCCTGGCTGAGGTTGTTCGTGTATGTGTGTGTGTGTGTGTCCCTTTCTTTACTGTCCTCATTCTTTGCATCACGTGTGTGGTCTTTTCTGTCTCATACACGCACACCCGTCGCATTTGCATGCTCTGACACACAGACACACATTGATGCTTCCTTTTTTAAATTTTTTATTTTTGGAGGCAGGGTCTTGCTCTGTCGCCCAGGCTGGAGTGCAACGGCATGATCACAGTTCTCTGTAGCCTCGAACTCCTGGGCTCAAGTGATCCTCCTGCCTCAGCCTCCTGAGTAGCTGGGACCACAGGTGTGGACCACCACACCTGGCTAATTTTTTTTATTTTTGTAGAGGTGGGGTCTTGCTATGTTGCCCAGGCTGGTACACTCCTGCTTCTTTATGTATGTATGTATTTATTCTCTTTTTAGAAAATTATTTCATTGAATCGTCCTTTAAGCACACACTTTTCTGAAGCTCTGGGGACACTTGGGGAGAAGAGGAGGGGAGGGTTCTAGCTGTCCTGTAGGGCCACATTGGTCCTGGGTGCAGGACAAGCCCAGGCAGGAGAAACGGACCCTGCTGAGGGGTCTCCTCTTTGCCTCTTCCCTGGGTCCCAGCTGGGTGGTCTCGCCTGTTCACTGCCGGGCAGGGTTGGGCAGTGCAGAGCCGAGCCCACCGCTGTGTCATCATTCCACGGGGGAAGGGGCTTGAAGGCTGCGTTGTGGGGTGATGGGAACCCGGATTTAGTTGGTATGACCCGAGCTCAGGTTTCAGCTTTGCGACATCCTTGTGGTGGGGTCTTCAGGTGGGAATTCCTCCTCTGTAAAATGAGAGCTTGTGAGAATTAAACTGGTCCCGGCATTTGGGAAACAGCCCTGTGACTCCTTCCGTCTCTTCCCTCCGGAGGGGGCGGTCCTTGAGCTCTACTGAGCCCATGCCAGCGAGAGTCGTCATGGCCGAGCCCCTGGGCCAGATTCCAAGTTCCATGCCACCTTGGCACTTACTTTTTTGGCTCCAGTCCTCTTTGGCTGTCCCCTCTGTGAAGGGCATCTAAGGTGGTGGATGGGGGAGGGGAGTTTGTTTGTTTGTTTGTTTTGGTTTTTTCTTTTTTCGAAAAGGAGTCTCACTCTGTCACCCACACTGGAGTGCAGTGGCGTGATCTCTGCTCACTGCAACCTCGACCTCCTGGGTTCGAGCGATTCTCCTGTCTCAGCCACCTGAGTAGCTGGGACTACAGGCACCTACCACAGTGCCTGGCTAATTTTTAAATTTTTAGTAGAGGTGGGGTTTCACCATATTGGCCAAGCTGGTCTTGAACTCTTGACCTCAAGTGATCCACCCACCTTAGCCTCCCAAAATGCTGGGATTACAGGTGTGAGCTACCGCGCCTGGCCTTTGTTGTTGTTTTGAGACAGGGTCTTGCTCTGTCTCCCAGGCTGCAGTACAGTGGCACAATCATAGCTCACTACAGCCTCAAACTCCTGGCTCAAGTGATCCTCCCGTCTCAGCCTCCCAAGTAGCTGGCGCCACAGGCATACACCCGGCTAATTTCTGTATTTTTTGTAGAGACAGGATTTTGCCATGTTTCCCAGGCTGGTCTTGAACTTCTGGCCTCAAGCCATCCTCCCACCTTGGCCTCCCAGAGTGCTGGAATTATAGGCGTGAGCCACCATGCCCGGCCAGAAAGGGGAGTTTATTTAAATGGGCCGAGCCAGGAGCTTTGTCTTAGCCTTGTTCTTCTGTCTACATGCCCTTTTCCCACCTCCCACTAGGCTGCACTTCACTGGGGTAAATCGGTCAGAACCAGCTAGTGGGAACAACCTGTAACACCTGTTTCCAGACATCCAGGCTTTGGGCTGCAGAATAGGCTCGCACCTGTTAGCTCACTCTCTGCTAGCCTCCTAACTGGCCCTGAGCGCCAGGTGCAGGGTGTTTGGGATTGGAAATCACAGCTGGATTTCTGTTAGTTCACTGTCACCCTGGCCCCAGGGCTGGCTAGAAAGTGGGCGCTCTGGGCCGGACTTCTATGGGGGTCCCCCAGCCTGGAGGCAGCCCTGCCTTGAGTCAGGGCAGCACTGATTCAGACGTGGCCACGAGTGCTTGGCTAATTTTTGGCTCAGGGTCCGGGCAGGCCTCCAGCTCTTGGCGGCCGGCAAATCTGCTGCTGTCTGGGCAAGGAGTCCCTGGCAAGACGGGGCAGGTGGCAGGCAGGCAGGGAAGCTGAGCTTCTTGGAGTCTGGAATAGGGAACATCCCTAGAAGATGACCCAGGCCCTGCACCTGGCTGGGTGTAAGAGTCCCCTGTGAACTTAAAAATACAGTGTCCAGGGCTGGGCGCGGTGGCTCACGCCTGTAATCCCAGCAGTCTGGGAGGCCGAGGCGGGCGGATCACCTGAGGTCAGGCGTTCGAGACCAGCCTGACCAACATGGTGAAACCCTGTCTCTACTAATAATACAAAAATTAGCCGGGTGTGGTGGTGCACGCTTGTAATCGCAGCTACTTGGGAGGCTAAGTCAGGAGAATCACTTGAACCTGGGAGGTGGAGGTTGCAATGAACTGAAATCATGCCACTGCACTCCAGTCTGGGCAATAGAGTGAGACTCCATCTCAAAAAAAAAAAAATACAGTGTCCAGGGCCCCGCTGCCCAGGGAGCGGTCACCTCTGATGAGGTAGGGCACAGGAGCCCGGGCACTGAACAGCAGGTGTTGGCAGCAGCTGAGCTACCAGCCGTCCTTGCTTCACAGGTGGGCGGAGCAAAATCGGGAGCTGGGTGATGGGACAGATGTGACAGTCGCTCTTCTACTATTCTCGGACTGTAACCTGGGATCTTCCCAGTGGACTTCCCTCCACCCATCCCAGCTCTGCCTTTTGGGGGCTTCATGTCTTTCTCATTATTATTATTACTTTAATATTTCAGCTTTTAGGCCGGGCTGTAATCCCAGCACTTTGGGAGGCCAAGGTGGGCAGATCACTTGAGGTCAGGAGTTCGAGACCAGTCTGGCCAACATGGGGAAACCCCGTCTCTACTAAAAATACAAACATTAGCCAGGCGTGGTGGTGGGCACCTGTAATCCCAGCTACGGGGGAGGCTGAGGCAGGAGAATCACTTGGACATGGGAGGCGGAGGCCGCAGTGAGCCGAGATCACACCACTGTACTCCAATCTGGGGGACAGTGAGACTGTCTCAAAAATAATAATAATTTTAACTTTTATTTTAGATTCTCAGGGTACATGTGCAGGTTTGTTACAAAGGTATATTGTACGATGCTGAGATTTGGGATACAAGTGATCTCGTCACCCAGGCAGTGAGCATAGCACCCAATAAGTCGTTTTTCAGCCCCTCCTTTTCCCCTCTCTCCCTGCTTTTGGAGGCCTCAGCGTCTGTCATTCCCATCTTTATGTCTGTGAGTACCCAACGTTTAGCTCCCCTTATAAGTGAGAACATTTGATATTTGGTTTTCTGTTTCTATGTTAATTTGCGTAGGATAATGATGTCCAGCTACTTCCATGTTGCCGCAAAGGACATGATTTTGTTCTTTTTTATGGCTGCATAATATTCCATGGTGTGCATGTACCACATTTTCTTTATCCATTCTACCGCTGATGGACACATGGGTTGATTCCATGTCTTTGCTATTGTGAATACTGCTGCTCTGAACAGATGCGTCTCTCACCTTATTAAGGGAAGTTGACTTTTGAACCCAAAGGATGGACATTTGGGATATTTCTCTTCCTTGCGAGTGTCTGCGTTTTGGGCTGCTGAGAGAGGCGTCTGGGCTCCTGTTCCCATTGCTCCCTGCGTTGCAGTGTGACCAACCATCCTAGGTGGCCTAGGACTGAGGGGTTTCCCAGGAGACGGAACTTTCTGTGTAAACCCAGGAATGTCGAGTTGGGCCCAGTTGGCTGTGTGTCAGCTCTGCGTGTGAGCAGCTGGTCTGTTCCCTGCATCCCTGTGAATGTGAGAAGCGTGGTCTTCCTACCGCATGGTGACAGCAAGGACACCAGCAAGGCTGGAGACAGACAGCCTTCTTCCCCGCTGTGCACTGGCTGAGGCCTGGAGCTAGTGCCTTTCTTGTCTCTAAGATAGAGTGATGCTGGAAGAAGGATAGTAGCTCATGCGGGCCAATGCTGCCATCAGAATTTTTACTTTTTTTTTTTTTTTTTTTTTTAATGGAGTGTTGCTCTGTTGCCCAGGCTGGAATGCAGTGGCGCCATCTCGGCTCACTGCAACCTCCACCGCCGGGGTTCCAGCGATTCTCCTGCCTCAGACTCCCAAGTAGCTGGGATTACAGGCGCCCGCCACCACGCCAGGCTAATTTTTGTATTTTTAGTAGAGACGGGGTTTCACCATGTTGTCCAGGCCGGTCTCAAACTCCTGACCTCAAGTGATCTGCCTGCTTCACCCTCTCAAAGCGCTGGGATTACAGACATGAGCCACTGCGCCTGGCCCTGCTATCAGAATTTTTATTTTTTATTTAAAAGACAGGGTCTTGCTGTGTCACCCAGGCTGGAGTGCAGTGTTGCCATCATAGCTCACTACAGCCTCGAGCTCCTTGTCTCAAGCAGTCCTCCCGCCTCGGCCTCCCAAAGTGCTGGGACTATAAGCATGAACCACCGCACCCGGCCTCTGCCTTCATTTTCTGTTTAGAACCATTCCCACTTTACAAATGAAAAATCTCGGGCTTTCAGGACTCACCCGAGGTGCTCCTAGCAGACGTGGGCCTGGGTCTCATCTTCCCCCGCTTCTCCTGCTGCATTCTTGCTCCAGGCACGTGGAACCTGCCTCTCCCTCCATCTGAGGCCCTTTGCAGGGAGTGGCTGTCTCTCTCCATGCTCCCCAAGTGCACCCACCTGGGCTGTGGCTCGGGACAGGGGGTCCTACAAGCCCGGATGACCGAGACAAGGAGCTGGGGATGGCCCACAGCCCAGCCCCTCTTCCCTCTCTGTGTCCCTCCCTCCTGGAGTCCCTGGTTCCTTCCTAAACGGATTAGAGCCTTTACCGGAAGGAGCCGGCCGCTGTCTGGGGCAGCCGGGGGGCCAGGGCTAGATGGCTGTCTGGTGCCTCCTGCTTTGCCCTGATTCGATTTGGGCCTCAGCAGCTGGGAGGCTGGCAGCCCTAAGGCCTTTCTGGGAATGGTTCAAGGGACGGGCTTGCAGGGGATGGCTTGGGGGAGGGGGACACCTTCCAGCCCCCAGGCAGGCAGACCTCTCAGCTGGATCTTTTATGAAGTCTGGTCGCATGCAAGACCCTCAAGCGGGCTTCCTGCCACGGAACATCCCCAGCCGTGGCCACTGGCCACCTCGTGGTTCATCAGCGGGTGTCATCCAAGGCCTGTGTCCCATCCATGGCCTGTCATCCCCTCCGCATCCCTTAATACAGCAGATTTCAAACTTCTATAAAATTGCAACCCAGAAGAAGAAATGTCTTTTATAAACATTTAGCAGCAAACTCAACATACATTTTGGCCAAACGCCCACCGGCCAGTTGTTTAAATCAATATTTATCCACAGCCAAAAAGCAGAGGAGAGCCAGAACTGAGGCCAGAGCCGAGCTCTGATGCATCTCTCATTTCTCGGGATGTTTCTGTCCCTGTGGTTGGACACCTCTGGCCTTGTGAAGTGTGATGCACTGTCACATCTCCTGTTCTGTGTCATTGGCCAATGATCATATATCATGACCTGCTGGAAGGCCTGTCTGTGGCTGGGACCACACGCCTTGGGCCTTATGCACACTGGGCACTGGTCGGGATCCTGGGGTGCAACAGTGGCAGGCAGACCTGGTTTCTGCCCTCAAAGAGCTTACAGATGGCAGGGGCACCCATGGCGGCAGAAGACACCCCAGGCCTGGTGCCCTTTGTGGTGCCAGCCCCATGGTCCTCCTGCCTGGGCCTTCCCTACCCCATTGGGTGCAGAAACTCCCTGTCTGCAGGTAGGAGACAGAGGGTAGGTTTTCAGGCTCCCTTGGGAACTGCAGCCCTGCTCTCTGCCATCAACACCCAGCAGGGGCCACACAGAGAGCACCGGGACTGAGCCCATAGAGGGGAACCGAGAGGCCCCTGCCTCTAGTCTCTGCCTTCTTTGCTTGGATTGGTGCAGGGACAGCTGCCTTGAGGGCAGGCCCTGGCACTGGGGCAGCCTGTGGGTGCCCCCTGGGTCAAGAAGGAGAGGGGCAGGGTAGAACCAGGAGCCAAAGGAGGCTGATCTTTGCATCTCATGGGTGCCCAGCTGGACACTGTCATACCCAGGAAGCCTGTGCCATGCCATGGGGACCCACAACTGGGGGCCCTGGACTTGAGGGGGAGGATGCAGCTCTGTCCCCCAGGAACCCCATTGCAACAGGACACAGTCCTGCCCTGGGGAGCCCCTGACCTGAGACAAAGCAGCCTCGGCCCTGCTGTATCTTTCCATACCCCTGATGCCAAGTCTCCTGGCTAGGAGGGAAACTGAGGCTGGAAGGCCTCGGCGGGGGTGGCATTGGCCTCGGGAGCATGTGGCTTGATGCAGAAATGTGACGGCAGAGCTCAGAGGCATGCGGAAGGGAGGGGAGGACATCACCGGCTCCTGACCCAGCTGGGCTTCAGGTTGGGGGTACAGGAGGTGGGCAAGCAGGTTGGACAATTAAAAGCTTCGATGAGGCTGGGTGAGTGGCTTATGCCTGTATTTCCAACACTTTGGGAGGCTGAGGTGGGCAGATCACCTGAGGCCAGGAGTTCAAGACCAGCCTGGCCAACATGGTGAAACCCCATCTCTACTAAAAATACAAAAATTAGCCAGACGTGTGGTGGCACCTGTAATCCCAGCTACCCGGGAGGCTGAGGCAGGAGAATCACTCGAACCCAGGAAGGGGAGGTTGCAGTGAGCCAAGATTGCACCACTGCACTATAGCCTGGGCAACAGAGTGAGACTCTGTCTCGAAATAAAATTAAATTTAAAATTTAAAAAAGCTTCAAGGACAACCAGCAGATGATGGCAGGACCAGGAAGGGTGCTTCAGGCAGCGGGAACTGAACCTGCACAGACTAGGGAAGCATGAACATCGGTACATCTGGGAGTGGCACAGCTTAGAGGGCCTGGAGCATGGAGTGTGAGGGGGAACTGGAGTGAGGGACAGGAGACCAGGTAACTAGAATACCAGGCTGAGGAGTTGAGAGCTAATATGGGCAGTAGGGAGCCATGGAGGGTGTGTGAGCGAGGGAGGGCTGTGGCCAGAATTGCACACGCCGGGAGAGGTGGCAGTTGGGGCCTGTCCAACAGACTGGTCCTGGTGCTGGGCTCAGCTTGGGTGTGCAGACTTAGGAGGGTGTGCCACAAGGTGTGAGTTATCCTGCCACCTGTGCCCAGGCCTGTGCAGGCTCTAATCCCATCACACATAAAGCCCTTGGGCCCAGGGAAGGTCAGCCCTGGATACAGAGGCGGTCTTGGGAGTCCGGGGGTCAGGTGGATTGGGGTGGGCAGCCACCATATGAGACAAGCCCCCTGCCTTGTGCCCACCACCACTGCCTCCTCCCTCCCCACAGGCGACCATGGCCTTGCTGGGTAAGCGCTGTGACGTCCCCACCAACGGCTGCGGACCCGACCGCTGGAACTCCGCGTTCACCCGCAAAGACGAGATCATCACCAGCCTCGTGTCTGCCTTAGACTCCATGGTGAGTGTCCCCACCCACCCAAGAGGAGGGGACAGGGTGAGCGTCCCCACCTGCCTTGTAGCTCAAGTCCTACCTCAGCTACTCGAAGGAGCTTTCACTGACCTGAACCTCAGTTTATCTGACTGCAGCTAGGGCCACGATGCCTGCATCAAGGGTGTGAGATGTGAGACTTCAGCGAGATCCAGTACATAAAAATCTAGCCCTGGGGCCGGGCACAGTGGCTCATGCCTGTAATCCTAGCACTTTGGGAGGCCGGGGTCGGTGGATCACTAGGTCAGTGGTTCGAGACTAGCCTGGCCAACATGGTGAAACCCCATCTCTACTAAAGATACAAAAAATTAGCTGGGCGTGGTGGCATGCGCCTGTAATCCCAGCTACTTGGGAGGCTGAGGCAGGAGAATTGCTTGAACCTGGGAGGTGGAGGTTGCAGTGAGCCGAGGTCGTGCCATTGTACTCCAGCCTGGGTGACAGGGCAAGACTCCGTCTTAAAAAAAAAAAAAAAAAAATCTAGCCCTGGAATAAACACTGGCTCTCCGCCCTCGTCCCCTTGTCCCTTCACCCCTCTTGCCATTCCCACTTTGTCCCTGGGATGAACCACATGCCTATCTCCTAGCAGGTGACCTGGGGGATAATGTGTGGGGAGCCATTCACTAGAAAGATGTAATCCCCAACGTTAAAGCAAGAGTTCTAACTGCATCTCGGGCAGGAAGAGAGAAACCGAGCTTTGTATAATACATCACTCCCCTGGCGCTATTGCCTACATACCTAGACCTATAACAATTTATCCCAAATGAGGACATCATAATACCATTTTCCTCTAGCCTTTTCCTGGGGGGAAGTTCTGTGATGGAAGTGTTAAAAAAAAAAATCTGGCCCAGCACGGTGGCTCACGCAAGTAATCCCAGCACTTTTAGGGGCCGAGGCGGGTGGATCATTTGGGGTCAGGAGTTCGAGACCAGCCTGGCCAACATGGCAAAATCCCATCTCTAGTAAAAATATAAAAATTAGCTGGGCCTGGTGGCACATGCCTGTAATCCCAGCTACTCGGGAGGCTGAGGCAGGAGAATCACTTGAACCCTGGAAGTGGAGGTTGCAGTGAGAAGAGATAGCACCACTGCACTCCCGCCTGGGCAACAGAGGGGGACTCCGTCTCAAAAAAAAATAAATAAAAATAAAAAAATTAGACTGGCATGGTGGCACATTCCTGTAATCCTGCCTACTCAGGAGGATGAGGCAGGAGAATTGCTTGAACCTGGGAGGCAGAGGTTGCAGCGAACCGAGATCGTGCCACTGCACTTCAGCCTGGGCAACAGAGGAGACTCTCTCAATTAAAAAAATTTTTTTAAATAAAAATAAAATTAAAAATCTGTCTAACATCAGTTAGCTGCGCTCCTGCATTTTAGGATGATGAAGCACAGAGAGGGTAGTACCTTGCCCAAAGTCACACAGCATGACCAGTTTTGTTTTGTTTTGTTTTGTTTTGTTTTTGAGACGGAGTTTCGCTCTGTCGCCAGGCTGGAGTGCAGTGGTGTGATCTCGACTCACTGCAACCTCCGCCTCCCAGGTTCAAGCAATTCTCCTGCCTCAGCCTCCCCAGTAGCTGGGACTACAGGCCCCCACCACCACACGTGGCCAGATAATTTTTGTACTTTTAGTAGAGACCGGGTTTCACCATGTTGGCCAGGATGGTCACAATCTCTTGACCTCGTGATCCGCCCACCTCAGCCTCTCAAAGTGCTGGGATTACAGGCGTGAGCCACTGCGCCTGGCCCAGCAAGACCAGTTTTTAGAGCGAACTTCTGGGTACAAAGTCTCCCCGAAAAATAAAGGACCTCCTTCAAGCTGTTCCTGCTGTAGGTGGCTCAAGGGCTGCTTAAGTGGTGTTTGGGGCAGCGGTGGGAGACACCCCTGGAAAAGGGGCTGGGTGCCACACTCTCTCCATGATGACCCCTCCCCTATGCAGAGTGACTTTCATGAGGAGGGGGCCCCAGGAGCTCAGCCCTGTGTCCCAAAGTACTGTGAGCTTGGCATTGATGGAGGTGTGGCTGATGTGGGCAGTGATGGGCGATGCCATGGCCACTAGTGACATGTGGCTATTTGCAATTTTTTTTTTTTTTTTTGGAGATAGGGTTTTGCTCTGTCACCCAGGCTGGAGTGCAATGGCGCGATCTTGGCTCACTGCAACCTCCGCCTCCTGGGCTCAAGTGATTCTCCTGCCTCAGCCTCTGGAGTAGCTGGGATTACAGGTGTGCGCCACCACACCTGGCTAATTTTTTTGTATTTTTAGTAGAGACGGGGTTTCACCATGTTGGCCAGGCTGGTCTCAAACTCCTGACCTCAGGTGATCCACCTGCCTCAGCCTCCCAAAGTGCTGGGATTACAGGTGTGAGCCACTGCCCCTGATTCATTTAAATTCGAATTCGTTAAAACGAAATAAACAACTCAGTTGTTCAGTTGCACCAGCCTCATTTTACGTGCTCAGTAGTCAGAAGTGGCTGGTGTCTATGGATTGGACAGTGCAGAGGTAGAATGTTTTCATAGTCATAGAAAGTTACACTGGGTTGGCCAGGCGCAATGGCTCACGCATATAATCCCAGCACCCTGAGAGGCTGAGTGGGGCAGATCACTTGAGGCCAGGAGTTTGAGACCAGCCTGGCCAACATGGTGAAACTCCATCTCTACTGAAAATACAAAAATTAGCCAGGCATGGTGATGCATGCCTGTGGTCCTAGCTATTCGGGAGGCCGAGGCAGGAGAATCGCCTGAGCCTGGGAGGCAGAGGTTACAGTGAGCCGAGGTCGTGCCACTGCACTCCAGCCTAGGTGACAGAGCAAGACTTTGTCTCAAAAAAAAAAAAAAAAAGTTCTACTTGGCAGCAGTGGTCTAGTGAGTGTTTCAGAGCCTCCTTGGAGGAGCACATGACCCTATAGTTATCCTAGCAGTGCGAACAAGACAGGCTCCCCCGTCCCTGGGCCTTTTAAGGGTTTCCTGAGGGACCCTATGGGTGACAATGATATTTGCTTAGCAGTAACTTAAGTCCAGCCTCCTCCAAATGCTAGGGTCTTTTGGTGACCTGTAGGGAGGGTGGGCTGAAGGGATGTGCCTTCGTCACCCGCCCCCAATCTCATCCTCTTCCCCACCAGCTCTGGGTGCCTTTAGGTGGGTGAGTTTTCTGCCATGGTCTCGGCGTCTTCAGCTGAGCGGTGACTGTGGGATGAAGCAGCTCTTTCAGCTGTGATGGATGAGAAACAGCTGGATTTATTTGTTTTATTTTTTGTTAATAGTCTACAGTGTTCCCGCGCAGAAAGGGAACAGCAAGCTTTTGTTTTCATCTTAGAAGAAAATGAATGCCCTGTGTTTTAATTTTCCAGTAGGGACCCTGGAGGACAGGCTTCCTGGCCCCACGCCGCGTGCACCTTCCTAACCAGAGCGACTCCAGGCTGGGGCTGGCACAATAGGCAAGATTATGGCCCAGAGAGGTTACCTGTCCCAGGCCACGCAGCACAGAACTGCGTTTGGAAGCCAGACTTTATAGCTGCCAGCACTACCTGACTCAGATGAAAACCAGCATTTATTAGACACAACTGCCTGCCACAGGCTTCACAGTCAGGGTTTTCCTGGTGGGGTAGGTCAGAGACCTGAGATGCTGGTGGTCTTGGTTGTAGGGACCCCCTACATTAAGGCCTCTGGGCTATGGGGCTGCAGACCTCGACTCTGGGGCCATGAGGATAGCCAGCTGCCTGTATACCCATATAGGGTGTCCCAGTTTAGAGATCTTTTTCCTCCAACCATTGAATCCCCATACCCAAGCCCAGTGGCACTGTGGAACTGGGCTGCTTGTCCCCAATTCTATAGACGTGGAAACTGGCCACGCAGAGTGGCTCACGCCTGTAATCCCAGCACTTTGGGAGGCTGAGACGGGCAGATCACCTGAGGTCAGGAGTTTGAGACCAGCCTGGCCAACATGGTGAAACCCCATCTCTACTTATAATACAAAAATTAGCAAGGCGTGGTGGCGGGCGCCTGTAGTCCCAGCTACTCGGGAGGCTGAGGCAGGAGAATCGCTTGAACCTGGGAGGCAGAGGTTGCAGTGAACCAAGATTGTGCCACTGCACTCCAGCCTGGGCGACAGAGTGAGACTGTGTCTCAAAAAACAAAACAAAACAGATGTGGAAACTGGAGCCCAGAGGAGGGACGTGACTTGCTCAAGTCCCACAGCAGAAGTGGCCGAGGTGGGATTGCAGCCCCAGTCTGTCCAGTCCCCGCCTGTCCTGCAGTTCTTCCCACCTCCTCCTCATCCAGGACTTGAGAGGGGCCAAGAAAACCCAGCACGGCATTGTCCCTGGGGCTGGGGCTAAGGGGGGCCTACCCCAAGGAGGAGGACCTTGGAGGGAGGAGCAGAGGACACTTGTCCTCCTCCACCCCCCATCGCCAATGCCTGCAGGGCCATTTCATTCAGTCCCACTACAGAATCTGAGACCAAGAACAGTAGAGGGGCCGTCTGTCCCTGGAGCTGCTGCTGGGGTCTCAGGCAGCTGGGAGCTCACATCCCACCCCCGAAGTGGATACTAGAGGTGTTCGGAGTATGGGGAGCCCTTCCGCTCACACAGCCTGCCCTTCCCACAGTGCTCAGCGCTGTCCAAACTGAACGCCGAGGTGGCCTGTGTCGCCGTGCACGATGAGAGCGCCTTTGTGGTGGGCACAGAGAAGGGGAGAATGTTCCTGAATGCCCGGAAGGAGCTACAGTCAGACTTCCTCAGGTTCTGCCGTGAGTACCCCAGGGCTCCGGAGGGCCGGGCCCGCCATTTCCCGAGGGCAGGCGCTCTAGCCCATCTCTGGGTCCCCAACCCTGTCTAGCCAGGGTGGCGGTGTGTGGGGAGTGAACCTAACAAGCTAGGTTGTCTGAGATTCCCGATGTGGTGTTATTGAGGCAGCCCCTGAGTTGATAGAGACTGGCTGGGTGAACCCCAGGGTAGGCCAGAGCCAGCCACTTCCATCTGCCTTTTCCAGATGGGGACACCAAGGCCAAGGCTGCTGCTCAGTTCTTCCTCTTAACTATGTATTCCTGAACACAAGGACCAAATGCACTTATGCCAACACAATTTTTTTTTTCTTTAAATGAGACAGAGTCTTGCCCTGTCACCCAGGCTGGAGTGCAGTGGCACAATTTTGGCTCACTGCAACCTCTGCCTCCCAGGTTCAAGTGATTCTCCTGCCTCAGCTTCCCGAGCAGCTGGGATTACAGGCACCTACCACCACGCCCAACTAATTTTGTATTTTTAGTAGAGACGGGGTTTCACCTTGTTGGCCAGGCTGGTCTCGAACTCCTGACCTCAGGTGACCCGCCCACCTCAGCCTCCCAAAGTGCTGGGATTACAGATGTGAGCCGCCATGCCTGGCCATGTTCCAATAAGATTTATTGAATGCCTGCTGTACATAGCATCTTTTCTGATGCTAACTCACCTACCCTGACATCAACCTGAGGGGGCAGGCACTGTCATGGCTATAGTCAGGGTTAACATCTTAGGCCAGGTGCAGTGGCTCATGTCTGTAGTCCTAGCACTTCGGGAGGCTGAAATGGGAGGATCACTTGAGCCCAGGAGTTGGAGACCAGGCTGGGCAACATAGCAAGGCCTCTGTCTCTACAAAAAATTTAAAAATTAACCAGGCTTGATGGTGTACACCTGTAGTCCCAGCTGCTTGAGAGGCTGAGGCAGGAGGATCACTTGAGCCTGGGAGTTCAAGACTACAGTGAGCTACGATGGCACCCCTGCACTCCAGCCTGGGTGACAGTGAGTCCCCATCTCAAAAGAACCATGGTATAGCATGAGGTTAAGAGAACGGGCCGCCTGGGTCCACAACTGCTGTGCCTCAACCCACTCATCTGTGAAAGGGGAGGACGGGTGGGTCTGAGGGTTAAACGAATTGGTACCTTGCAAGCACTTAGGGCAGTGTCTGGCACTTGGTTCACACTCAATAGACACCAGCTGTTGTTACTATTATTAGTATTCACCTCACACCCCTAAGATCAGCTGTTTCAGGGAAGGGCATCCCCCAGCGCTGGGCCTAGCATTACTGGGGTGCAGCCGCATCCCCAGCCAGCCCCCCACCCCCCTCAGCCCTCA
The DNA here is from genome assembly GCF_000001405.40 of Homo sapiens. Classification (NCBI taxonomy): domain Eukaryota; kingdom Metazoa; phylum Chordata; class Mammalia; order Primates; family Hominidae; genus Homo; species Homo sapiens. Next base: position 74,514,329 of record NC_000007.14, read on the forward strand.
GAGCCTAGACCTTCTCCAGGGCCAGGATGGGGGACTGGGCCGGGTAGAATGGACAGCAGCAGGTCGTGTGGCACCCCAGCCGCCCAGAGCCTGAGGCGGTGCACCTGCCTTCTAGAGCCACGCAGAGCCGCTATTTATAGCACCAGGAACTCGGCTGGTTTATTTCAAGCTCCGCAGATCCCAGAGGAGAATAGGCTCCAAGCTGGGAGGGGGCCGCAGGCCCCTCCTCTCATCTCCTTTCCAATGCAGCTTCTAGAACATTCCCCAAGGATCCACCAACACTCTCCGGTCCCCACCCTGGCCCAGCCTGGCATGAACCTGCTGTTTGCAACCCACGGCCTCCTTGGAGCAGGGGTTGGGGGGTGCCTCCCAACCCTCTGCCGGAGGGTTTTCTCTCCCTCCGGCAGAGCAGAAAACGGTGGCATAGATTGGTCAAGACAGTGTTCGTGTCAGAGCACAGAAAGGCATGGATGGGGCCGGGCATGGTAGCTCACACCTGTAATCCCAGCACTTTGGTCAGGAGTTCGAGACCAGCCTGGCCAACATGGTGAGACCCCATCTCTACTAAAAATACAAAAATTAGCTGGGTAAGGTGGCAGGCGCCTATAATCCCAGCTACTCGGGAGGCTGAGGCAGGAGAATCACTTGAACCCTGGAGGTGGAGGTTGTAGTGAGCCAAGCTTGTGCCACTGCACTCCAGCCTGGGCAACAGAGCGAGACTCTGTCTCAAAAAAAAAAAAAAAAAAAAAAATAGAAAGACACAGATGGAACATTCATCGAACCTCAGTTCTGAGCTGGAATAGCTGGCCTCCCGTGAACATTCACAGACTGAGGCTCAGAGAGAGAAGGGACTAACCCAAGGTCACACAGCAAATTAGAGGTGACCAGAGGTGAGGCCCAGCCCTGGGAACTCTGAGATGACCAGCCCTGGCCCTCAGTGGGGTGGTTGGAATAGGGCTTGCTCACTCATTAATTCTTCATTCATTCATTCACTTGTGTATCACATTGTGTGCCAGTCTCCGCAGCTCAGCACAGGGCAGCGACATCCCAGCTCGAAGGCCGGGTGGTGAGACGGGTGCTCACTGTGGCCTCGCGTGCTCTGTGTCCCACAGGAGGGCCCCCGTGGAAGGATCCGGAGGCAGAGCACCCCAAGAAGGTGCAGCGGGGCGAGGGTGGAGGCCGTAGCCTCCCTCGGTCCTCCCTGGAACATGGCTCAGATGTGTACCTTCTGCGGAAGATGGTAGAGGAGGTGTTTGATGTTCTTTATAGTAAGATCCTTCCTCATTCCATTTGGGGGCCCCAGGGAGGGTGGGAGCCTCGGTCCCCACCCAGCAGAGGGGGCCCCCTCCTGTCCCACTATGGGCCCTGGGCAAAGCCGGACCCCAAGGCATGGGGCTACTGGCTACCCCAGCCCTTCCTCATCTCTGCATTCCCAGACACAGAAGTTCTGCTCCAGCCGTTTTCCAAACCTCCACCCCTACTGTCCCTGCCCTGGCTCAAGTCACTGCCACCTCTCGCCTAGAAATAGCCCCAGGCTTGCCACGGTCTCCCTGCTTCCAGACCAGCTCTCTACACCTGCCCTGCAACCAAGGGTATCTTCTCAAAGCACAAGTCTGATCATTAATGAAGCTCTTCTCTCCACAGCCTTCGGGGGCTCCCCATCACCCTGAGCATGGCACAGGGGCCCACACACCCATCCTCATCCCCTCCACACCTTCTTCTCCCACTAGGTGACAGGGCCCTACTGACCTCTCTACAGAACCACTTCCAGTTCTCCAGCACTCGCTGGTGCATTTCACATGCCCTGGACTTCGCGCTGTTACATCTTTTGAGACTGCCTTTCCCCTCCTGTGTCTGGCAGACACCTGCGTGGCACTGAGGCTCTGCTCCTGGAAGCCCCCTCACAGTGGGTTTAGGCCCCTCTCTTGGCACCCACAGTGCCCTGTCCCCTCTCCAGCCCAAGAGCTCTCCAGAGTCAGGGGCTGTGTCTGCCCTTTCTAGCTGTCTCCAGCCTACAGTTCAGAGCCCAGCAACAGCAGGTGCTTGGAGAATGTTTGTTGAATGACTAAGTGAAGGCTGATTGCTCAGCCATGTCTTTCCTGCAGGAAGAGGAGACCTGGCCTCCCTTGGGAAGCGTCAGGTTGCAGAGGGCCTCAGGGCCCCAGTGGTGGTCTTCACACGCCCTGGGAAACATCGGGCAGGTCCCTTTGGTGCTCAGGGTCCCACCTCATTCATTTCTGATTTGGCTTTATCCCTTCTCCTACTGTAGCCTTTGGTTTTATGGAGCAAAGGTCTGTGAGGAAACTTCTGCTGTTCTTATGTCAGAAGGAGGGGTACCCAGAGGCCCTGGGTGGTCACACTGGCCACCCTGGGATGGGGGACTTGCCACGCATGGTTGGCTGTGCCTCTGTCGACACTTTTGCCAGCTGCAGGGCCCCGCGCCCCTGCCCGCCTTGCCCTGGCCCCCCTTGTCCACTTTGGGCAGAATTCAAGGAGGCTATGAGAGGATGGGCCTCTTTCTGGCTCAGGGTGGGGGCTGTAGCATGGAGGTGACAACAGATATCCCAGTGCCCAGTCCTCAGTCCCCAGCCTGCCTCCCCTCCTCTGTGCCCCCGAGCCCCCATCTTTGTTCCTGCGTCTTCTCAGTCTGTCTCTTTCTCCTCTCTCCTGTCTTTGTTGTTGTTGTTGTTGTTGTTGTTGTTGTTGTTGTTTTGAGATGAAGTTTCACTCTGTTGCCCAGGCTGGAGTGCAATGGCATGATCTCGGCTCATTACAACCTCCCCCTCCTGGGTTCAAGCAATTCTCCTGCCTCAGCCTCCTGAGTAGCTGGGATTACAGGCACCTGCCACCACACCTGGATAATTTTTATATTTTTAGTAGAGACGGGGTTTCACCATGTTGGCCAGGCTGGTCTCAAACTCCTGACCTCAAGTGATCCACCTGCCTCGGTAATCCCAAAGTGCTGGGATTACAGGCGTGAGCCACCACGCCCAGCCTCTCCCATCTTTTTCTCAATCCCCTATTTTTGCTCCCTCTCCACTTCCTCTTCTTCTTACTTTCTCTCCCCCCTCTCGGTCTCTCTCCCTTCCTCCCTACACCTTTTTTTTTTTTTTTTTTTTTTTGAGATGGATTCTCGTTCTGTTACCCAGGCTGGAGTGCAGCGGCTCACTGCAACCCACCTCCCGGGTTCAAGCGATTCTCCTGCCTCAGCCTCCCAAGTAGCTGGGATTACAGGCATGCACCACCACACCCAGCTAATTTTTGTATTTTTAGTAGAGACGGGGTTTCATCATGTTGGCCAGGCTGGTCTCGAACTCCTGGCCTCAAGTGATCCTCCCTCCTCAGCCTCCCAAAATGCTGGGATGACAGGCGTGAGCCACCACGCCCAGCCCTTATAGCTTTTTCCTTGCAGCCTGGCTCATGCAAGTCCCCACTTCTCCGTCTCTTCTGCCCTCTTTTCTCCTACCGGATTGTCTGCCTCTGCTCTGTCCTCTGGGCCCTTGAGTCCCCGATTTCCCCTCCAGCCAGGTGCCCAGAGTGGAGAGGGGCTTGGTCGGGGAGGGCAGCAGGGAACCTGCTTGGTGGGGGAGCCCCAGCCCCCCAGATGCAGACAATTGGGCCTTGTCCACACCACCCACCCCCAGCCTGCAGGCGGTTATTCTGCACAAAGTCTGCAGTTATGAGGGGTCCATGGGAACCCCGCACCAAGGGGAGCCACTCAGCACTGCCCCCACTCTGGGGCACAGCAGCCCCGACCCCAGCCTGGCTGCCCTCTCATACCAGGCCCCTCTCCTGGACTCTCCCCTACAGGCGAGGCCCTGGGAAGGGCCAGTGTGGTGCCACTGCCCTATGAGAGGCTGCTCAGGGAGCCAGGGCTGCTGGCCGTGCAGGGGCTGCCCGAAGGCCTGGCCTTCCGAAGGCCAGCCGAGTATGACCCCAAGGCCCTCATGGCCATCCTGGAACACAGCCACCGCATCCGCTTCAAGCTCAAGAGGTGAGTGAGGTAGCCGGCCCGGGGCTGGGCTGGGGCTGGGCCAGGGCCGGGTCAGGGCCGGGGGCTGGAGGCCACTTAGCCAGAGGGGAAGGGACTTGAGATGCCCGTGGGGGACCCTGGTGGTGAAAGCTCCCAGTCTGATGGTGGAGGTGAAGTGAAAGCGAAGTCATAGAACAGGATCTGAGCCAGGTCATTAAGCCTTGAAGTCTTCCCAGGGAAGTTGCATTGCAGAGAGACTTGAAGAGACATGACTTGGGACAAAATAGCACCAAAGTGGTCGGGTACAGTAGCTCATGCCTGTAATCTCAGCACTTTGGGAGGCTGAGGTGGGAGGATCACTTGAGGCCAGGAGTTCAAGACCAGCCTGGGCAACATACCAAGACCCTGTCTCTGCCAAAAAATAAAAATAAAAAAAATTACCCAGGTGTGGTGGTGCACACCTGTCATCTCAGCTGTTCAGGAGGCTGAGGCAGGAGGCTTGCTTGAGCCCAGGAGTTTGAGGATGCAGTGAGCTGTGATTGCGTCACTGCACTCCAGCATGGGCAACAGAGCAAGACCCCATCTCTTAAAAAAAAAATATGGCATTTTAGGTGTCAGAAACGGGAGAACCATGTCCTGTGCTTGCTCAGGTTGTAAATCTGGGGTTAATTAGGGATCCAGGGGAGATTAGGTTGTTGAGGCTGGTCTGAGGCAGTACCAGTTGTCAGGAGAGCCAAGAAGGCAGCCTGAGGGCTTAAGGTTGAACCCATCTCTGCTAAGTGCCCCAGGCAATGCAGAGGCAGGAAGGGGAGGGGTGCAGCAGGAGACAGGAGGCAATCAACCGCACCTGGCGGGATCTGAACAGTGGATTGGAGCAGAGGGGCAGGGCCCAGGTCCTCCGGTGGCCTAGCTCTGTGGCCCTGGGCACACCATTCCCACCTCCGAGCCTGCATCCCCACTTGTGAAGTGGAAGAGCAGCTCCTGTCCTGCCCTCCTCATGGGGCTGTTATGTTCTGCAGAGGGCAGGGATGCGGGGTTTTCGGGGGAAGAGCTGCAATGTGTGAAACAGATGTACAAAGCTGTCCATGTGTCCTCTCCTTTACTCAGGCCACTTGAGGATGGCGGGCGGGACTCGAAGGCCCTGGTGGAGCTGAACGGTGTCTCCCTGATTCCCAAGGGGTCACGGGACTGTGGCCTGCATGGCCAGGCCCCCAAGGTGCCACCCCAGGACCTGCCCCCAACCGCCACCTCCTCCTCCATGGCCAGCTTCCTGTACAGCACGGCGCTCCCCAACCACGCCATCCGAGAGCTCAAGCAGGAAGCACCTTCCTGCCCCCTTGCCCCCAGCGACCTGGGCCTGAGTCGGCCCATGCCAGAGCCCAAGGCCACCGGTGCCCAAGACTTCTCCGACTGTTGTGGTAACATTGCTGCTGGGATCTCCAAGTCTAGGGGGTGGGACAGAGGTCACTCATGCAGGGGACAGCCTCCCAGGGCAGGTCAGGATGCCTGGGCCCTCTTAGGTTGGAAGGAGCCATGTCTGGGCATGGGAGTGGGACTGGACAGATGGTGTCCTGGCTGAGACCCCCTTGGACCTTGGGTCTCTGCTCAGCCATCTGTGAATGATGTCCTTGGCCTTGGACTAAGAGGACGCCTGCGAGGACTCCCTGGGTCCCAGCTACTCGGGAGGCTGAGGCAGGAGGATCACCTGAGCCCAGGAGTTTGAGGCTGCATTGAGCTATGATTGCACACCTCTGCACTCCAGCCTGGGTGACAGCACAGCTCTGTCTCAAAAAAAAAAAAAAAAAAAAAAAAAAAAAAGCACCAGCGATATTTCAGGTGTCAAAGGTGGGAGATCCACATCACGTGCTATAAAGGAAGTAAGCATACTAGTCATCCTCATGCATTCCATGAGGACCCATTCCAACTGAATGAGCACCCACTGCATACCCAGCCTGATTAAGGGCACTGGGGGAAGTAGGTCCTGGAAGTAGGTCCTGGGGTGAACAGGACAAAAGGAACAACTGCAGGTGAGGAGCACCTGGATTCATATCCTGGCTCCTCTACTTAGTGGCTAGGCATCCTGGGGCAAATCTCTACTCTCTGAGCCTCAGTTTCTTCCTCTATAAAATGGGGATGCTAGTGGTACCTGCTTCCCAGAAGTGTTATCATGATTAAATGACAGATCGGTGGCAGTAGCATCTCCTGAGAGAGGGTTAGAAATGCATATTCTCAGGCACCACTGCAGTCTTGCTGAATCTGAAGCTTTGGGGATGGGACCCGGTAGTCTTTTTGGATAACTCTGCCAAGTGGTTCCAATGTGCTCAAGTTTGAGAGTTGCTGAATTAAAGCGCTGGGTCTTGCCAGGCATACCTGTAATTCCAGCTCTTTGGGAGGCTGAGGTGGAAGGATTGCTTGAGCCCAGGAGTTCGAGACCAGCCTGGGTAACATAGCAAGATCCTATCTCTACCAAAAAAAAAAAAAAAAAAAAAGCGTTTGGGTCTAATGCTTGGCCTGTAGTAGGTGCTTGTAAGTTATATATACTATTATTATTATTATTATTATTATTATTATTATTATTATTATTATAAGGGGGAAAAAAGCCCAAATATGTGGGCTGACCAGGGCTTCGAACTTATACATGTAAAACAAGTGTTCTTACCTGGAAAAGGTAACCTCCGACATCCCTTTCTTGTTAACCTGGCTTTCGGCTAGCAGATTCTGGTGCAGAATGTCTTAGACCTCTGGTCAGGGGCCTTGCCTTGAGTTTGTGATCACAGGAATCAGTTATTGGATGTCCCTGGCAGATGAGGCTGTTACCCCAGAGCCAGGGCCTGTGCACTGGGGCCAGATCTGGGGAACCCTCTTGGGTCCCACCTGGAACCTTCTTCCTTCTCTCCCTTGTCCAGGACAGAAGCCCACTGGGCCTGGTGGGCCTCTCATCCAGAACGTCCATGCCTCCAAGCGCATTCTCTTCTCCATCGTCCATGACAAGTCAGGTAGGACAGCGCCCACGAAGCACCCCGGCCTGAGTGGGAATCTGAGGTTGGAGGTGGTGCTTATTGAAATGGAAGTGTATCTCCTGGGTCTTTGTGAAAGAAAGGAGGAACAGCTCTGCTCAAGGGGCTGCAAGTAAACTGGGGTGTAATAGTTATCTATTGCTGTGTGATAAACTACCCCAAACTAGGCATGGTGTCTCATGCCTGTAATCCCAGCACTTTGGGAGGCTGAGGCAGGAGGGTTGCTTGAAACCAGGAGTTTGAGACCAGCCTGGGCAATGTAGCGAAATGCTGTCTCTACAAAAAATAAGAAAAATTAGTGGATGTGGTGGTGCCTACCCGTAGTCCCAGCTACTTGGGAGACTGTGGTGGGAGGATCACTTGAGCCCAGGAGTTGGAGGCTGCAGTGAGCTGTGATCGCACCACTGCACTCCAGCCCGGGCAACAGTTAGACCCTATCTCTAAAAAAAGTTGTAACAAAAAATAAAATAAATAACCCCAAAATGGAGCTTAAAACATCAAGTGTTTATTACCTCACAGTTTCTGGGGGTTGGGAATTCGGGACTGGCCGAGTTGGGCAGTGCTCGGTCAGGGTCTTTCATGAGGATGCAGTCAAAATGTTGGCTGGGGCTGCTGTCATCCAAGAGCTCAACTGGGGCGGGAGGAGACGCTTCTGAGCTCATTCACACGGCTGTTCGTAGGAGGCCTCAGTCCCCCACCATGTGGGCTAGCCTTGACGGGGCTGCTTGAGCATCCTCACAACATGGCCACTGGTTTCCTCCAGAGTTATTGATCCAAAAGAGAGGAACGAGGAAGCCACGTGGCTTTTATGACCCATCCTTAGAAATTGCTGTCATATTCTATCTGTTAGAAGCCAGAAACATGATCCAGCCTTCCCTCTGTGGGAGAGGAATTAAACTCCACCTTTTAAAGGCAGTGATATATTTAAAAAAAAAAAAAAGTGGACAGATTTTTAAAGTATCACACAGAAGGCCTGAGTGTAGGAAAGTTTGGGATTCAGTTATACCAAGAAGGAATGCAGTAGGACTTGCCAGCAGTTTTGCTTTGAGGGCCTCAGCCTCACCTCCAGGAAAAGGTTCTGTAAGAAAACCCAGTCCTAGGCCAGGTGCGGTGACTCACACCTGTAATCCCAGTGCTTTGGGAGGCTAAGGTGGGAGGATGGCTTGAGGCCAGAAGTTCTAGACCAGCCTGGGCAACTTAGTGAGACCCCATCTCTACAAAATTTTAAGAAAGAAAGAAAACCCAGTCCCCTGGGATCAGAATGGAGGACCCTCCCCCCCAACAACAACCCAACCTGTCACTGCCCCAAACAAGGTCCAGCCCTGGCAGGGAGGAGATGTGAATGTCCAGATGGAACAGTATCATGACAGGCCCATGGGCCAGGGACACAAGCTGGGATAGAATCTCACTGGGTTATCACAAGCAAGATACTCAGTTTCTTTGAGCCTCAGTTTTCCTATCTGCAAAATGGGACTAATATCTCTGTTTAAAACTTGTCATAAGGAATTAAATAGGATATTATTATATATATAAAGTACTTAGCACAGATAAGCACTTAACAAGTTAAAGTTGTTACTTTTACTGATTATAAATGAACCAATGATCACTTGTTATTATTCAATCAAGACAGAGGTTTTGAGAGAGAGACCAGCAGAGCTGAGAGTTTGGGGGAAGCCAACAAGGCCAGTGCTGAGTGAGACCTCAGATGTAGGAGGTACAAGGGTTAGATTCTCAAGATCAAGACTCAGCCCTTAGCCAGACATGGTGGTAGGCACCTGTAGTCGCAGCCACTCAGGAGGCTGAAATGGGAGGATCGTTTGAGTCCAAGAGTTGGAGGCTGCTGTGAGCTATGATCACACCACAGCACTCCAGCCTGGGCAACAGAGTGAGACCCTGTCTGTAAAAAAGAAAAAAGGAAAAAACACAGCCAGGAGTGTTGGCTCATACCTGTCATCCCAGCTGCCTGGGGGGCCGAGGCAGAGGGATCACGTGAGCCCAGGAGTTCAAGGCTACAGTGAGCTATGATTGCACCACTGCAGTCCAGCCTGGGCAACAGAGTGAGACCCTGTCTCTATTTTTTTAAAAAAATTTAAATTAAAAAATAAAATACTCGACCTCAGGCCGGACTTGGTGGCTCACACCTGTAATCCCAGCACTTTGGGAGGCCAAGGCGGGTGGATCACCTGAGGTCAGGAGTTCGACACCAGCCTGGCCAACATGGTGAAACCCCATCTCTACTAAAAATACAAAAATAAGCCAGGTGTGGTGGCAGGTGCCCTGTAATCCCAGCTACTTGGGAGGCTGAGGCAGGAGAATCGCTTGAACCTGGGAGGCAGAGGTTGCAGTGAGCTGAGACCACGCCACTGCACTCCAGCCTGGGTGACAGAGTGAGTCACCATCTAAAGGAAAAAAAAAAACATAAGACTCGACCTCTTTTTCTGCTGAAGGGACTGCTCTTCCAGCCTCCTGTATGTCTGGGGCAGGATGGGCTCGGGATGGACAGGCTGAGCCTGTTCTGACACCACACCCGTGGGAGAGGCCAGAGACAAATGTTAGGGCAGGAACGGGCAGACGGGGGACCATCAGAGCACCCTGAATTCGTGTATGGTCCGAGGTGGGAGAGGGTGGAAGGACTGGGGGCTGGGGCCGGCCTCGGGGGCTCTGGGGGTGAAAGCCCGGTGGTCATGGCCGGTGGAGGGCGTGTGACCGTCCCGTGGGGCCCTGCTCACTTGTGCCTCCTGTGTTTTGATAGAGAAGTGGGACGCCTTCATAAAGGAAACCGAGGACATCAACACGCTCCGGGAGTGTGTGCAGATCCTGTTTAACAGCAGATATGGTGAGTGGGCGGCGCGGCCCGCCGTGTGGCCCCAGCAGCCGTGTTGAGCATCTCATTACGTGGCAATCACTCGTGTTCCCCAACACGGCAGCGGGAGCCATATGCTGGCTCCCGCGCGCCGGCACCGCTAATGTCATCCGTCGCGGGCTCCTCCTGTCTGGGTAGGGGGTGGTTGTGTCAATATTTCCCTTCCAGATTCTTCAGGGGGCGGAACTGATGGCAAAGCCCCAGACCTGGGCTCAGTGGCGGGGAGCGGGACAGGTTGGGGGCAGAGATTACCCATCTGGGGGCCGGGCGCAGTGGCTCATGCCTGTCATCCCAGCACTTTGGGAGGCCACGGTGGGAGGATCACCTGAGGCCGGGAGTTCAAGACCAGCCTGACCAACACAGTGAGACCTCCCATCTCTACAAAAACAAATTTTTTAACTAGGCTGGGTGCAGTGGCTCATGCCTGTAATCCCAGCACTTTGGGAGGCAGAGGCAGGCGGATCACCTGAGGTCAGGAGTTCAAGGCCAGCCTGGCCAACATGCCAGAACCCTGTCTCTACTAAAAATACAAAAATTAACTGGGTGTGGTAATACACGCCTGTAATCCCAGTTACTCAGATCCTGAGGCACCAGAATCACTGGAACCTAGGAGGTGCAGGTTGCAGTGAGTCGAGATCGTGGCATTGCACTTCAGCCTGGTGACACAGTGAGACTCTGTCTCAAAAAATATAAATAAATACAAATTAAAAATTAAAAAATTAACCACACACCTGTGGTCTTAGCTACTTGCAGGCTGAGGTGGGAGGATTGCTTGAGTCCAGAAGGTTGAGGCTACAGTGAGCTACGATTGTACCCCTGCACTCCAGCCTGGGTGACAGAGCGAGACCCTATCTCTACAAAAAAACAAACAAAACAGATTGCCCATCAGGGGAACTATCCATAAGGCCCAGAAAAATCTCTGTTGGCCTCATGTGCAAGTCCCCCACAGTAACACACCATTTCCCACCTCCCAGCTTTACCTGTGCTGTGCCCTCTGTCTGGCACAGTCTTTTCACATTTTAGGGACAAATTCCTAATTGTTCTTTGAGACTCGTCTTGGGAGTCACCTCCTCTAGGAAGCCTTTGGGTCCCCAGCCTGGGCCAGGTAGGCCTGGGTACCCTGATGGTTCCCTCTCTGTGACACATTGGGAACTTGACGCCCCCTGCCTGCCGCTGTCTCCCTGAGGGCCAGGACTGCACCCAACCCCTCTCTTTGTCCCTAGCACCCAGGACAGAGTCAGGCTCATAGCAGATGTCAGCCCACCGCACTCTGGAAAGAAAACACAAGTGGTAGGCGCTGTGGCTCATGCCTGTCATCCCAGCACTTTGGGAGGCCGAGGCAGGTGAATCACTTGAGCTCGAGAGTTCGAGACCAGCCTGGCCAACATGGTGAAACCCCGTCTCTACAAAAATACAAAAATTAACTGGGCGTGGCATGGTGGCATGCACCTGTAATCTTAGCTACTTTGGGAGGCTGAGGCAGAAGAATCACTTGAACCCGGGAGGCAGAGGTTGCAGTGGGCCGAGATCACGCCACTGCACTCCAGCCTGGGTGACAGAGTGAGACTTTCTCTCAAAAAAAGAAAAGAAAATCATTAAGGAAAGAATTTAAAAAGAAAAAAAAAAGAAGGGAGGATAATTCCAAGGAAGAAACAGTCTCAATAGGCTGGGAAGTCAGGGGTGGCTTCATGGACGAGGTGTCTTGTGACCACGTCTGGGGCAGCCTCTGCGTGTGGGCTGGACCTTCCACATTGACATGGGGCTGAACAAGACTCTGGAGGCCTTAGTGAGGAGCCTGGGATAGCCAGCTACCTTTGATGTGGCCACCCTGGCCCAGCCACGCCTCCTCACTCCTCAGAGCTGCAAAGGGCTGTCTGCACCTGCCCCTGAGTCTCTCCCCGCCCCAGGCAGGTGTGAGCCAGGCGGAGGTTGGGGGAGGGGAACCAGGGAGGAGCCGGCTCTGCCTGCCTTGGGAGGGTTCTGCCCAGGCCAGTGTTCTGGCCTGTCCCACGCTCTGGACTTTCCAAAATGCCAAGCCTTTTCCAAATGTCAGTTCCTGAGTCACATCCAAAGAGTGTTGGGTGTGGAGTGGTCAAGATCTTGTTCCCCATAAAGCCGGAGCTCCCTCTGGGGAGCTGCGTGGGGGAGAAGGCAGCTGCCCAGTACTGGGGACCCCACGGGTGGTGGGGACGGGGTCTGGCAGCCCAAGGCATTCCACTGGTCGTGGGTGAGCAAACCCTGCTCCCAGCTCTACCAGCCACCAAATCTGGGTGAATTGGGCCAGTGACAGTGTGGGTGGTACAAAGGAGGAAGAAACAGAAAAATTAGAATTGGGGGAAACATTAGGCTTCAGGAAGTCTCGAGGACATGTCCTCTGGGATGATGCTGGGACCAGGTGAGGGGCCGAGGAGGGTGCATGGTGGCACTGCATGAAGGCAGCCCCTTCCCAAGGGGCAACAGCAGGGTTCGGGGGTTGGCCCTCTGTCCACTGAATCTCCCCAGTGCTGAAAAGACAAGCCCCAATAAACCAGATGAACCAGACGGAGACAAATTCACAGGCACTCAAAGGACCAATTGCTCAAGGGCTGGGGCTGGGGGTGGCTGCTGATGTGGGAGGTGGGGGGGAAGTGGGGAGAGATGCTTTGCCAGCTGTTGAGATTTCGAAGGTTTCATTTGACAACGAGCTAAGTGTGACATCTCAGTGGGATCTGGATGCCAAAGCCGCCAACGCAGACCTGGGCCGCTGCATCAACAGGAAAACAGTGTCAGAGGCACCCAAGGGAGGGCCCAAGCAGGGCTGGAGGGAGGTCCAGCTCTGGGCTGGCACTTACAGGAACACAGACAAAGCATAGTGTGGCCAGAGAAGCAGGGCTAGGACAGGGAGGGGCCTGAGGAACAGCCAGGAGATATGGGAGCCTGGAGGGAGGACAGTGTATCGAGGCCCCGTCCATGGTCATACGGGGAGGCAAGAGTGAAGTGGATACTCAGGTCAGGGGAAGGGTGACCCATGAAAGTACTTGCTTAAGGCCAGGAGCGGTGGCTCATGCCTGTAATCTTAGCACTTTGGGAAGCTGAGGCAAGAGGATCACTTGAGCCCAGGAGTTCAAGATCAGTCTGGGCAACATAGCAAGACCCCGTCTCTTCAAAAAATAAAAAAGTAAATAGCTGGGCATGGTAACACATGCCTGTAGTCCTAGCTACTCAAAAGGCTGAGGTAGGAGGATGACTTTAGCCAGAAGTCGAGGCTGCAGTGAGCAATGATTATGCCACTGCACTTCAGCCTGGGCTGTTAGCAAGACCCTGTCTCTGAAAAAGAAAGAAAGAAAGTACCAGCTTGTATTAGGAACATAGTAGGTGCTTAAAAAGTATTTGGTGTGGGGCCGGGGACTGTGGTTCACTCCTTTAATCCCAGCACTTTGGGAGGCCAAGGCAGGCGGATCACCTGAGGTCAGGAGTTCAAAACCAGCCTGGCCAACATGGTGAAACCCTGACTCTACTAAAAATACAAAAATTAGCTGGGCGTGGTGGCACACGCCTGTAATCCCAGCTACTCGGGAGGCTGAGGCAGGAGAATTGCTTGAACCCAGTCAGGGAGTTTGCAGTGAGCCAAGATTGTGCCGCTGCACTCCAGCCTGGGCAACAGAGCAAGACTCCATCAGGGAAAAAAAAAAAGTATTTGATGAATGAATTAATGAAAACGTGTAGCTGGGGTCGAAGTGAATGACTGAAATGGCACAAGTCTGGGAAAACAGAGCAAGTAGCCTGGGCATGAGCCTGGATTCTGTCTGCTTGGCTGTTGGCAGAGCCGTCAGCTTCTGGGGTGTGTTTTGTTTATGGCGCTGGTGAATGAAGGGCGTGCCAAGCTCCTCCCTGGAAGAAGGCACACACCTGTGCTCACCTGTGCAACTACTCGCCTGCCAGGAGCTAATCTCAAGCTTGGGCACTTCCTTTAGCCATTTGTATATTCACTATGCAGAAAGCACTTAGTGTGTGCCCAGCCCCATTGAGGTCGCAGTGGCAAGGCAGAAAACAAAACCCCTACTCTTTTTCAGACAGTCTCGCTCTGTCACCCAGGCTGGAGTGTAGTGGTGCAATCACAGCTCACTGCATCTTCGAACTCCTGGACTCAAGCGATCCTCCAGCATCAGCCTGCCAAGTAGCTGGGACTACAGGCCCAAGCCCGGCTAATTTTTTGTATTTTTATAGAGATGGCTTCTTACTGTGTTGCCCAGGCTGGTCTTGAACTCCTGGGCTCAAGCATTTCCCAACAACTGTAGCCTTCCAAAGTGCTGGGATGACAGGCATGAGCCACTGCACCTGGCCAAAACCCCTGTTCTTATGCAGCTTCCTTTCTAGACAGTACACATAGAGATGAGTGTGGATGTAGTGTCAGGTGATGACCAGTGGATGACAGACACAGCAGGGGAGGGAATGAGGGATGGAGGAGGCTGTGTTAGGCTGCCAAAGTGCTATTTGAGCAAACACCTGAAAGGAGGGAGGGAGGGAGGGAGGGAAGGAAAGATGGGTGGATGGATGGATGGATGGATGGATGGATGGATGGATGGATGGATGGATGAATGGATGGATGGGCAGATGGATATACAGCCGGGTGGGTGGGTGGGTGGATGGATGGATGGATGGATGGATGGATGGATGGATGGATGAAAGGATGGATGGATGAATGGGCAGATGGATGGATGGATGGATGGATGGATGGATGGATGGATGGATGGATGGATGGACGGACAACCGGGTGGATGGGTGGATGGATGGATGGATGGATGGATGGATGGATGGATGGATGGATAGACGGATGGATGGATGGATGGATAGACGGACTGATGGATGGATGTTTATGGATTTCTAGGAGAAAGGGATCTGAGCAGACAGAAGAGCAGGTACAAAGGCATTGAACCGAGTGTATGCTCCTGGCCTGTAGGGGAAGCACCAAGGGGGCGGCAGGGGTAGGGGGAGCACACAGAGGCATGAAGGGGGCAGATGAGGCCAGAGGTGATGAAGTCACATACGTAGGACTTTGGCTGTCACCAAATGAGATGGGAGCCACTGGACATTTTTTATTTTTATTTTTTGAGACAGGGTCTCACTCTGTTGCCCAGGCTGGAGTGCAGTGGCATGATCTTGGCTCACTGCAGCTTCGAACTCCTAGGCTCAAGTGATTCTCCCACCTCAGCCTCCCGAGTAGCTGGGACCACAGGCGTGCACCACCACACCTAGCTTTTTGTATTTTACTTTCTGCAGAGATGGGGTCTTGCTGTGTTGTCCAGGCTGGTCTTGAACTCCTGGGCTCAAGCCATCTGTCCACCTCAGCCTCCCGGAGTGCTGGAATTACAGGCATGAGTCACCGCACCCAGCCCAGCCAATTTCCTAACAGAAAAGTGATATGATTTTGACATTTCTGCAGGATCCCTCTGGCCGCTACATGGCCAGAGTGGAGTGGGGACGGTGGGAGGTGATGGGGACCGCAGCTCCCGGGTCCTGTGTGTCCAGCAGCCTGTCTAACACTCAGCCTTGCTGTTTGGTTGTCTTTCCAGCGGAAGCCCTGGGCCTGGACCACATGGTCCCCGTGCCCTACCGGAAGATTGCCTGTGACCCGGAGGCTGTGGAGATCGTGGGCATCCCGGACAAGATCCCCTTCAAGCGCCCCTGCACTTATGGAGTCCCCAAGCTGAAGCGGATCCTGGAGGAGCGCCATAGTATCCACTTCATCATTAAGAGGTGCGGGTGGGGCTGGGCGCAGTGGCTCATGCCTGTAATCCCAGCACTTTGGGAGGCCAAGGCAGGCAGATCGCTTGAGGCCAGGAGTTCGAGACCAGCCTGGTCAACATGGCAAAACCCCGTCTCTATTAACAATACAAAAATTAGCCAGGTGTGGTGGTGGGTGCCTGTAATCCCAGCTACTTGGGACGCTGAGGCAGGAGAATCTCTTGAACCCGGGAGGCAGAGGTTGCAATGAGCCAAGATCATGCCACTGCACTCCAGCCTGGGTGACAAAGTGAGACTCTGTCTCAAAAAAGAGAGGTGCGGGTGGGCGTAGGGGTCTGGCCTTCTGCTCCGGGCTTGGCTTGGGCTCCGGGTTTTGGGGCATGTGGGCTAAGCAGGGGCCTGGGGAGGCAATGATGGGGCAGGGGCAGAATGAATGGGTTCTCTAACTTAACACAGAGAATAAGACGAGTCTGAGAGAGAATTCTGTTATAGCTCCTTGTGTAGCTGTGTGGCCTATTCCTTCTGGGCCTTTTGAGGATTGAATGGAAAATGCAGGCACGGTGTCTGGCCTAATCAGGCACTTTGTAATTTTTTTTTTTTTTTTTTTTTGAATAGAGATGGGATCTTGCTATATTGCCCAGGCCTGCATAGCCTGAGTGTCAGAGCAAGGCCCTGTTTCTTAAAAAAAAAAAAAAAAAAAAAAAGGCGGCAGGGGTGGGGGGAAGGGACAATGATGGCCCCCCCGACCCAAGTTTTCCTAACATAAAATGAAAAAGTGGATGAAACACACCTGACATGTAGCAGATGTTTAATAAGCATGAGGTGTTTTTTCATTGTCCTTATTTCCCTTGTGAATTAAAACATCATTAAGTGCATCGGTGCACCTGAAGACATTTCCGACCTGGGCGTCCTTGGGCAAGTTACTTAACCACTCTGTGCCTCATTTACATAAACCAGGCCTGATACCAGCCCAGGCAACATGGCGAGACCCCATCTCTGCAAAATATTTAAAAAGTTAGCCAGGCATGGTGGCAGGTACCTGTAGTCCCAGCTACTTGGAGGCTGAGATGGGAGGATCACTTGACCACAGGAGTTCGAGACTGCAGTGAGCTATGATCGTGCCACTGCACTCCAGCCTGGGTGACAGAGTGACACCCCATCTCAAAAAATAAAAAATAGGCCAGGCATGGTGGCCTGGATTACGCCTGTAATCCCAGCACTTTGGGAGGCCAGGATGAGTGGATCACCTGAGGTCAAGAGTTTGAGACCAGCCCGGCCAACATGGTGAAACTCCGTCTCTACTAAACATACAAAAATTAGCCAGGTGTGGTGGCGCACGCCTGTAGTCCCAGCTACTCGGGAGGCTGAGGCATGAGAATGGCTTGAATTCGGGCGACAGAGATTGCAGTGAGCCAAGATGGCACAACTGCACTCCAGCCTGGGTGACAGCGAGAATCCATCTCTAAATAAATAAATTAAACATAGAATAACCAGGCCTGATAATTGTCCATGCCTCATAGTGTTGATCGGAGAGTAAATTACCAGATGTGGATGAAATGCTTAGAACAGTGGCTACAGCTTCAGAGCCTCCAAGTACACTTTTTTCTATTACACACCCCAGCCTCATCATTTAACCATCTGAGATCATGCTGGCAAAAGTGAGTCAGGAGAGGAGGGCTTAAAAAGGAGCCAGGGGCTGAGCACAGTGGCTTACGGCCTGTAATCCCAGCACTTTAGGAGGCCAAGGTAGGCGGATCACTTGAGCCTAGGAGTTCAAGACCAGCCTGGCCAACGTAGCAAGACCCCATCTCCAAAAAGAAAAAAAAAAAGTGGGGGGAGCCAGGAGGTAGAGTCTCTGCCCTGGCCCAGGTATCTGCAGGGTATGCACCATCTGGGAGTCAGAAGTGCTTTCTACAAGGCCTGAGGGTCTTGTTATTGGTGGTACAGCTCTCTGCCCCCCACCTCTGCCCCAACCCCAACTCATGCCAAGTTCTGGCCTCCTACTTCTCATGTCTGTATTCCTACTGGGATACAATAGAATCCCCCAGGGCTGTGGGTTCACACCTCAGGGGCAGATATATTGGTTCTAGCTAAGCCAGAACTTAGGAGGAGAAAGTATCTGGAGAAGATTTCTAGAACTCAGAACTGTGCTTAGAGGCTGGCCAGCGACCCCTTGGTCAGTGCCTATCATGTGGGCCTTCCAGTCCGGGCAGCCCGTGAGGGCATCTGACCGCTCCCTGACATCTGCCTCCACCCCCAATGCCCCCCCAGGGAATGGTGTAAGTCCCTGATGCTGTCTCGAACCCACATCTCCCCGACCCTGTTCTCCCTGATAAATAAATAAAACTGTAAATAATAAAACTGCAGGCTGGGCACAGTGGCTTACACTTGTAATCCTAGCACTTGGAAAGGCTGAGACAGGAGGATCACTTGAGGCCAGGAGTTTGAGACCAACCTGGGCAATATAGTGAGACCCTATTTCTACAAAAAATAAAATAAATAGCCAGGCCTGGTGGTATGCACCTGTAGTCCTAGCTACTGAGGAGGCTGACGGAGGAGGATCACTTGAGCCCAGGAATTGGAGGCTGCAGTGAGCTATGATCACGCCACTGCACTCCAGCCTGGGCGACAGAGCCAGACCCTATCTCTGAAAACAATAATAAAACGACAACCAATGCTGACTGTGTCTCCATCACTGGGTGGGGCTGAGGAAGCAGGCCTCAGAAAGGAAGCCAGTTTTCCCCCAAAATTATTCCCTGAGGCTGCCTCTGGGCCTGTGGATCCAGATGTGTGGGGGCCTTCAGGAGTGGCAGGGGAGTGGGGCCTCCAGCGTGAAAACAGAAGTCACCGTCAGCCTTGCACCCCCGGCTCTGCCTCCCAGGACTGGTGTTTTTGCCTCTGTTTTAATTTCCTGCTGGGTCCTCCCTTGGACATTGTCAGGTATGCAGGCTGGGACATCCCTTCTTTCCTCCTACATTCCCCCTAGAGCCCAAGGCTCTGTCCGTGGTCCAGCCACTCCATGGCAGGGAAGCTGTACCTCCATAATCAGCTGCCTGAGGGCCCCTGACCCACCACCAGGCACCACCCTGGTGGGGCTGAGGTTAGAAGGGAAAGAATGCCAGAACTCCAGTCCTGGAGGCAGGAGAGTGTGTGAGCCCAGCCCCGCCCTCTCAGACTCTCAGACCTTTATTTCATCCTCATTTTCCTGGCTAGAGGTTCCATGCATCATTTTTTTTTTTTTTTTTTTCAGATGGAGTCTCACTCTATTGCCCAGGCTGGAGTGCAGTGGTGCTATGTCGGCTCACTGAAACCTCCGCCTCTCAGGTTCAAGCAATTCTCCTGCCTCCGCCTCCCAAGTAGCTGGGATTACAGGCATGCACCACCACACCTGGCTAGTTTTTGTATTTTTAGTAGAGACGGGGTTTCACCATGTTGGCCAGGCTGGTCTCAAACTCCTGACCTCAGGTGATCCACCTGCCTGGGCTTCCCAAAGTACTGGGATTATAGGCTTGAGCCACCACGCCCGGCTGGTTCCATGCATCTTACCTGGATGACTTGGGTCCCTAAATGGGCCCCTGGGTGCCCAGCCTCCCCTCCTCCAATACATTCTCTGATAATCTGACCTTGTCATGACCATTGGGGCACCTGTTGCCCACAGGGTAGAGGCCAGGTGCCTGAGGACAGCACTGAAGGCCGTGCACCTCCACCTCCAGCCTCCAGTCACCTCACCTAGCTCACTGCTCTCTCTCCTGCAAAGTCTCTCCTGCTTCCCTCCCTAAGGGAAGGGCTGGCCGCTCACTGCTTGGGCCCCCTTGATTTCTAAGACACCTGTGAAGGGTCCCACAAGGCCAGGCACAGTGGCTCTTGTCTGTAATCCCAGCGCTCTGGGAGGCTGAGGCAGGAGGATCACTTGAGGTCAGGAGTTCAATGTGGACAACACAGTAAGACCCTGTCTCTACAAAAAAATTTAAAACTTAGCTGGCATTGGTGGCGCATGCCTATAGTCCCAGCTACTTGGGAGGTTGAGGTAGGAGGATCGCTTGAACCCAGGAGTTCAAGTCTGCAGTGAGCTATGATTGCACCACTGCACTCCAGCCTGGGTGATAGAGCAAGACCCCAACTCAAAAAAAAAAAAAAGGATCCCACGGTTCACCTTGTGCTGCCACGATCGGTTGGCAGCTCTGCTCTGTGCCGTCCTGTGCCTGTCACTGAGTAAGATGCAGGAGAAGTTGGGCAAAAGCCCTCAGGATAAACGAATAAGTCATTCAGAGTAGGTGCTGGTGGGAAATGGGCTTGAGTCACTCACCTGGGGCCAGAAGAGGCCCCCAGGGAGTTGTGAGCAGATTAGACCCTCCAAGACCGCCCCAGGGGTTGGCCCATGCTTTCCCTAACTGTGCAAAAATGGTTTGGGATAGGCTGGGTGCCGTGGGTCACGCCTGTAATCCCAGCACTTTGGGAGGCTGAGGCAGGTGGATCACCTCAAGTCAGGAGTTCGAGACCAGCCTGGCCAACATGGTGAAACCCCATCTCTACTAAAAATACAGAAATTAGCTGGGTGTGGTTGCACACGCCTGTAATCCCAGCTACTCAGGAGGCTGAGGGAGGAGAATCCCTTGAACCCGGGAGGCGGAGGTTCATGGGGAACCCAGCAGGAAATTAGAATAGAACCAAAAACGCCAGTCATGGGAGGCAGAGCTGGGGGAGCGAGGCTGACAATGACTCCTGTTTTCACGCTGAGAGACCCCACTCCCCTGCTGAGATCGCGCCACTGCACTCCAGCCTGGGCGACAGAGCAAGACTCCATCTCAAAAAAAAAGTTAATTAATTAATTAGATTAAAGTACAACAATTAGCAGGGCATGGTGGTGCACGTCTGTAGTCCCAGCTACTCAGGAGGCTGAGGCAGAAGAATCGCTTGAACCCTGGAGGCGGAGGTTGCCGTGAGCCAAGATCGCACCACTGCACTCCAGCCTGGGCGACAAAGTGAGACTCTGTCTCCAAAAATAAAAATAAAAATAAACGGTTTGGGATGTTCTGAGGTTCCAGACATGCCCTCTCCTGCCTGCATGTCTGCCGGATGCCCAGGTCTGTAGCTGTGCATGTGTCACTCAGTGACCATCACCAAAGGGGACTGGAGGCATCTCCCCGAGCCCTGGGAGAGTCCTCCAGCCTGCACTGTTCTCATGCCTGTCTCTCTTCTCTCCCCAGGATGTTTGATGAGCGAATTTTCACAGGTATGTGGGGACCATCTAGTCCATTCTGAAGTTTCCGGATTGGTTCCCCAACAGAACCCGAGCTGCCACCACCCTGGACTTGGTCCTCCTGAGCGCCTCCCCTCAGGCAGGGAGGGAGGCTGGGCTGTGGTTTCTGTGTCCTGGGACAGAAATGGGTCCCAGGCTTCTAGGTGCTGACAGACTGTCAGGACAACCCCTCCCAGCTTCAAATGCCCTGGACAGAGAGTACTAAAGCTGGACGCTAACCGGTGCCAGGTTGGTGAACCTGAGCCTGTGCCAGGCTCTCTTTGAAGCTGCCAGCATATTTTATTTTAATCTGATTCCAACAATCCTATGAAGGTGGCTCCACTCCACTACTCTCACGTGCAGACAGAGGAACGGAAGCCCAGCTGGTGAGCACGGGTCCCTGCTGCATGCCCAGCAGTGTGACTCCAGAGCCCATGCAGTGGCCCGTGGGCCAGCACACCTGTCCCAGGAGGAAGATGCGGGCTCTTCCCGGGGTAGCAAAAGCATCACGGTTCTTGGGGTGATCCTGGCACCCCAGTTCCGGTCCCGCCTCCCACCAGCTGTGTGACTTTGGGCAAGGTCTTGTGGGCTTCAGTGTCCACGTCTGTGAGATGAGGATAAGGGCGCCTTCCTCTGGGCTCCTGGCACGATGACATGAGAGCCTGGTCTTGTGATGCAGCCATGGGGAAGCCCCGGCCCTTTTCTGAGGGCTCAGCCCCCATAGTGTGTTGGAGGGCAGGAGAACCATCTCTGGTTGCTGCCTCCCATTCCTCCTGCCCCTTGCTCTCCCAAATCTCTGGCCACCTCTGGCACTAGGGCTGCTGTTCCTCCTTCTGGCGTCAGAGTCTCTCCCCAGGACCCGTTCCTGGCTGTTGGCTGGACGTGGCGCCCACAAGGACAGGCAGAGGCCAGGCCCTATCCCCGGGATTCCCCCAGCTTCACACACAGACCTTTACCCAGGGGCTCTGCAGCAAGAGGAGGCCAGAGGGCCTTCACCCTGACCTCCCTGACTCTCCCCACAGGGAACAAGTTTACCAAAGACACCACGAAGCTGGAGCCAGCCAGCCCGCCAGAGGACACCTCTGCAGAGGTCTCTAGGGCCACCGTCCTTGACCTTGCTGGGAATGCTCGGTGAGGCCCCGCCCCTGGCCCCGGAGGCCCGCGGCCAGCCCTGCTCTGGGCTGAGGCAGTGTTACCTGCAAGGGGGTACCCAGGGCGGCTCCCACCACACCACCACCCCTCGAAGGTGCAAAGGGAGGGCAAGGGAAAACAGACTCCACCTACTTCCCTCTGCCTAGAGAACTCTCACATAGAGAACTCTCCCGCCCCCAACATCTAGCCAGATGTCACCTCTCTCAGAAGCCTCTAAATGCCCACACTAGGCCAGGTGCGGTGGCTCACACCTGTAATCCCAGCACTTTGGGAGGCCGAGGCGGGCGGATCTCTTGAGGTCAGGAGTTCGAGACCAGCCTGGGCAACATGGTGAAACTCCCATCTCTACTAAAAACAAAATTAGCCGGGTGTGGTGGTGCGCATGTGTAATCCCAGCTACTCGGGAGGCTGAGGCAAGAGAATGGCTTGAACCTGGGAGGGAGAGGTTGCAGTGAGCTGAGATTGCACTACTGTACTCCAGTCTGGGTGACAGAGCAAGACTCTATCTCAAAATAAATACATGCCCACACCAGGCCGGACTTGGTGGCTCACTCCTGTAATCCCAGCGCTTTGGGAGGCTGAGGTGGGTGGATCTCTTGATCCCAGGAGTTTGAGACCAGCTTGGGCAACATAGTGAGACCCTTGTCTCTACAAAAAATAAAAAGTTAGCTGGGCGTGGTGGCTGGTACCTGTGGTCCCAGCTACTTGGGAGGCTGAGATGGGAGGATTGCTTGAGCCTGGGAGGTAAAGGCTGCAGTGAGCTATGATCGCACCACTGCACTCCAGCCTGGGCAACAGAGTAAAGACCTTGTTTCAAAAATACAAACATGCAGCTGGGCATGATGGCTCACGCCTGTAATCCCAGCACTTTGCGAGGCTGAGCCAGGCAGATCACCTGAGGTCAGGAGTTCGAAACCAACCTGGCCAACATGGCAAAACCCCGTCTCTACTAAAAATACAAAAAAAATTAGCCAGGCGCAGCGGCGCATGCCTGTAGTCCCAGCCACTCGGGAGGTTGAGGCAGGAGAATCGCTTGAACCCTGGAAGCGGAGGTTGCAGTGAGCCAAGATTGTGCCACTGCACTCCAGCCTGGGCAACAGAACAAGACTCCGTCTCAAAAAAAAAAAACAAAAAAAACATGGATGCATGTATACATACCTACTACATGCATACATACCTACTACATGCATACACACCTACCTACATGCATACATACATACCAACACCAGGTCTGATGCCTGTCCTGAGTGCCCACCAGACCCTGCCCCCAGCACTCAGCTTGGCTACCATCCACCAACACCCCCCAAGCACATTCTGACCTCTTAGGGGCAGGGGTGGGCCGTTTATCCCAGAATCCCCACATCATATCAGGCCTCTCCCTGCAGTTCCCTGGGAGGGAGGGAATTAACCAAATCATCTGTCCCAGGGTTCCTGCCACCTTCATTCCCCAGCCCCTTCCCCAGATTTTTAACCCTTTCCAGGCCCTGCAGGTCTCAGTCCCCCACAAGCAGTGATCAAACCCCCAGTGTGCCAAGCCTAGGATCCCCAGAGCTCCCAGATGGTGAAGAAGGGGGATCCCCAGATGGTTCACCCCAGGAGAGTGAGCAGGTGCCTGGCTCGGCCACCCCTGGAGATTGTGGTCCCTGGAGACAAGACACGGGGAATCTGTCTTCCTGGTGGAGGTGGGGAGCACCATCCTGGAGGGCCAGGGGCCGATGGGGACAGGGATGCCTTCTGCAGTGGCGCCCGCGGTGGGCCCTGACTGCCTGGAGGGGCAAGGCTGGGGCAGGGTGGCCCTGGACTTGGCTGACAGGTGTCATTTCCTGCTTCCCTTCACAGGTCAGACAAGGGCAGCATGTCTGAAGACTGTGGGCCAGGTGAGAAGGAACAGGGCCCGCTGTGTGTGTGGTGGGCCGGGAGGGCAACCACCAGCCCTACCCGGCAGCCTTGGGGAGGAGCTCAACTCAGCCCATGAGCCTGGAGTGCTAACGAGCCTCCTCTGCCCACCTGCCTCCACTAGGCCTCGCAGAGCTGAGGTGCAAGGCATGCTGGGAGCTTACTGGGGTCAGGGACATGGAGAGCTGGGTGCTGGCATCACCACTGCCTCCTGTCGATGCCCAGACCCAGGCTGCAGGTTCTTGGACCAGCAGCCTCCCCTCTGGGGGGCCTCAGTCACCGGGTCTGTAAATCGGAGCCCCTAAGCCTGGCCTGAGGGCTCCCCTGACCTCCAATTCCAGTTTGGGCGGAGCCAGGGGGCTGACATGACTTGTCCTAGGTAGGGCCTCACTAACAAGTTACAGACACCAGAATGTTCTGGAAAGAGTCACTCTGCCCAGTCGGGATCATGCCAGACTTGACAGGATTCTTCCTTTCCTCCTTGCAGGAACCTCCGGGGAGCTGGGCGGGCTGAGGCCGATCAAAATTGAGCCAGAGGATCTGGACATCATTCAGGTCACCGTCCCAGGTAAGGGACGGGCATCTGACCACCCCCTGCAGAAATCAGGGCCGGACCGTTAGCCTCCTGAGGGTCTGCCCTGGTGAAGAAGTGGCCTCCAGGCCGCTGTTTCTCTCTGTGGATTCTGAGAGCCATCGGGGTACTGTGAATGCTTTTTCTGGCCACATCTGTCCCCTGCGTTGTGAATCAGTGTTCTCAGCTCTGACCTTCCAGAAGGTCCCCTCAAAACTTCACCTCCCTGGCTTGGCTTCCCTGGGATTTGTGAGGCTGGACAGAAGAAAAAGCCATGGGTGTGAGAGGCTCTGAGTTTGACCCTACCCCCTGCCAAGCCTCATTTTCCACATCTTCAGAGGAGAGGATAGATTTGGGCGCTGGAGCCTCAGTACGGGGTGACTGTTAGAAGCCAAGAGGGTGCTGGGCACAGTGGCTCATGCTTGTAATCCTGGCATTTTGGGTGGCTGACACGGGAGGATGGCTTGAGGCCAGGAGTTCAAGACCAGCCTGGGCAGCATAGCAACACCCACATCTCCACAAAAAATACAAAACATTAGCCAGATGTGGTGGTGTGTGCCTGTCGGTGTAGCTTCTCAGGAGGCTAGGGCAGGAGGATCACTTGAGCCCAAGAGTTGGAGGCTGCAGTGAGCAGTCATCCCACCACTGCACTCCAGCCTGGGCAACAGAGCGAGACCCTATCTCAAAAAAAAAGAAATGACTGGGCGCAGTGGCTCACGCCTATAATCCCAGCACTTTGGGAGGCCGAGGCGGGCACATCACCTGAGGTCAGGAGTTAGAGACCAGCCTGGCCAACATAGTGAAACCCCATCTCTACTAAAAATACAAAAATAAGCCAGGCATGGTGGCTCACGCCTGTAGTCCCAGCTACTCAGGAGGCTGAGGCAGGAGAATCGCTTGAACCCGGGAGGCGGAGGTTACAGTGAGCCAAGATGGCGCCACTGCACTCCTGCCTGGACGACAGAGTGAGACTCCATCTCAAACCAAAAAAAAAAAAGAGACAGAAAGAAAAGGACCCTTGTCTGTGGGGAGACTGGGCTGGGTGGGCCCTGAGGGACTGTGACAGGAGTATGACAGGCAGAAGATACCCGTGTCATTCGGAGTTTTGTCTTCAGACCCCTCGCCAACCTCTGAGGAAATGACAGACTCGATGCCTGGGCACCTGCCATCGGAGGATTCTGGTTATGGGATGGAGATGCTGACAGGTAAGAAATGGACCTGGGCTGGTGGTGCTTGGGACTCAGCTCTCCAGGGAGCAAAGGGAAAGGGGTGGGCCAGGCCGTCCCCAGGTGTTTCTTGGTGTCAGCCGTCTGTAGTAGAGGAAACCCAATATATGCCTGACCCTAATCCAAGGCTGGGTTCCTTTTGGAAACCTCAAGTAGGCTCTATTTATTTATTTAGAGACGGAGTTTCACTCTTGTTGCCCAGGCTGGAGTGCAGTGGCACGATCTCGGCTCACCGCAACCTCTGCCTCCCAGGTTCAAGTGATTCTCCTGCCTCAGCCTCCTGAGTAGCTGGAATTACAGGCATGTGCCACCATGCCTAGCTAATTTTGTATTTTTAGTAGAGGCGGGCTTTCGCTATGTTGGTCAGGCTGGTCTTGAACTCCCGACCTCAGGTGATCCACCTGCCTCAGCCTCCCAAAGTGCTGGGATTACAGGCGTGAGCCACCGTGCCTGGCCATAGGCTCCATTTATAACAAGGCCCAGCGTCCTTCCCAGGAGCCACCTGTTGGAATTAATTTGTCCATTTATCCAACAACTATTTATTGAGCATCTGTTGTGTACCAGGTCCTGTGTAAGGGGCTGGAGACAAAGCAGTGAACCAAGCAGAAGTCCCCACCTCCTGGGGTGCACATCCTCATGTGAAGAGATAGATGGATAGTACGCAAATAAGTAAAATAGGCAGGGTAAGGTGGCTCGTGCCTGTAATCCCAGCACTTTGGGAACCCAAGGTGAGGGGATTACTTGAGGCTGGGAGTTCAAGATCAGCCTGGGCAACATAGAGAGACCCATCTCTTAAATTTTTTGAGATGGAGCCTCACTCTGTCACCCAGACTGGAGTGCAGTGGCGCGATCTCAGCTCACTGCAACCTCCACCTCCCGGCTTCAAGCAGTTCTCCTGAGTAGCTGGGATTACAGGCGCCCGCCACCACGCCTGGTTAATTTTTTTGTATTTTTAGTAGAGACGGGGTTTCACCATGATGGTCAGGCAGGTCTCGAACTCCTGACCTCAAATGATCCTCCTGCCTCAGCCTCCCAAAGTGCTGGGATTACAGGCGTGAGCCACCACACCTTGCCTCAACAAATATTTATTGAGCACCTGCTATGTACTAGGTCCTGCGTAAGGGGCTGGGGAAAAAGCAGTGGACCAAACAGGTGTCCCCACCTGCTGGGGTACACATCCTCGTGCGGAGAGATAAACAGTAAGCAAATAAGTAAAATAGGCAGGGTGAGGTGGCTCACGCCTGTAATTCCAGCACTTTGGGAGGCCAAGGCGAGGGTACTGCTTGAGGCCAGGAGTTCGAGACCAGCCTGGGCAACATAGCAAGACTCCATCTCTAAAAGATTTTTTTTTAATTGACTGACACAGTGTCTCACAGCTATAATCTCAACACTTTGGGAGGCCAAGGCAGGAGGATTGCCTCAGCCCAGGAGCTTGAGACCAGCCTGGGCAACATGGTGAAACCCTATCTCTACAAAAAATACAGAAATTAGTTGGGTGTGGTGGTGCGTGCCTGTAGTTCCAGCTACTTGGGAGGCTGAGGTAGGAGGATTGATTGAGCCCAGGAGGTTGAGGCTGTGGTGAGCCGTGATGGTGCCACTGAGTAAGACCCTATCTTAAAATAAATAAATAGGTCAGGTGCATTGGCTTACAACTGTAATTCACCATTTTGGGAGGCTGAGGCGGGCAGATCACTTGAGGTCAGAGTTCAAAACCAGCCTGGCCAGCATGATGAAACCCCCTTCTCTACTAAAAATACAAAAATTAGCTGGGCATGGTGGCGCATGCCTGTAGTCCCAGCTACTCAGGAGGCTGAAGCAGGAGAATCACTTGAACCCAGGAGGCAGAGGTTGCAGTGAGCCAAGATTTTGCCATTGCACTCCAGCCTGGACAACAGAGCGAAGCTCTGCCTCAAAATAACTAAATAGATAGATAGATAGATAGATAGATAGATAAAAATTAGACAGGAACGGTAGGACCTATGTGTAGTCCCATCTACTCAGGAGGCTGAGGCAGGAGGATCCTTTGAGCCCAGGAGTTGGAGCCTGCAGTGGGCTATGATGGTGCCACTGCACTCCAGTCTGGGTGCCACAGCAAGACACCATCTCAAAAAAAAAAAACAAAAATAGGCTGGGCATGAAGAATTGCGTAATCCTAGCACTTTGGGAGGCCGAGGCAGGCAGATCACCTGAGGCCAGGAGTTCAAGATCAGCCTGGCCAACCTAGTGAAACCCCATCTCTGCTAAAAAGACCAAAAAAAAATTAGCTGGGCATGGTGGCAGGCACCTGCAGTCCCAGCTACTTGGGACACTGAGGCAGGAAAACCGCTTGAACCTTGGGAGGCGGAGTTTGCAGCCGAGATCACGCCACTGCACTCCAGCCTGGGCAACAGAGTGAAATTCTATCTCAAAAACAAGCAAACAAAAATAGGCAACAAGGCAGGATGCTTAGGATGTAACACTAAGCAAAAGAGGAAAAATTGATTGTGCTTTGCTTACAACTGTGTTGCAAACGTAATCACTGGGGACAAACAAGGGTAGAGCAAAACAGTAGCAGTGTTAGGCAAAATGATTTGCGTTTTTTATTTTCTAAATCAGTTATGATGCACTTCTAATACTTTGGTAATGAAGAAAAAAATATGATTTGTCCAGCACAAACTGGGCATGACCAGACTTGACAGCAGTCTGTGGCGTAGCTATCCAGAGAGTTTGGTTGACGCCAAGCTCAGGCTGAGATGACAGCATGGCGTGGCGCCTAAGGAATTGGCACGGTGCCCAGCTGGGTTTGCAGTGGCCTTAGAAAACACCATAGAAGCCTCCATGCAGCACTCACAGCCAGAGGCTGGGTGGCACTGCAGGGGTTGGGGGCCTTGGATGAGCACAGCATCATTGCTGTTTGTTTCACAGAGCAGAACACAGGCTCAGCAAGGCTCATCCACCTCCCCAAGGTCACACAGCCTTGGGCTGGAAAACATGTTTCCCATGCAGGGTTCCTTCCCAGGCACCCCAGTCAAACCTGATGAATTAAGAAAATTCTGGCTGGGTGTGGTGGCTCACACTTATAATCCCAGCACTTTGGGAGGCCGAGGCGGGATCACCTGAGATCAGGAGTTCGAGACCAGCCTGCCCAACATGGCGAAACTCCGTCTCCACTAAAAATACAAAATTAGCTGGGCATGGTGGTGCGCACCTGTTATCCCAGCTATTTGGGAGGCTGAAGCAGGAGAATCACTTGAACCCAGGAGGCAGAGGTTGCAGTGAGCCAAGATCGCACCATTGCACTTCAGCCTGGGTGACAAGAGCGAAACTCTGTCTAGAAAAAGAAAAAAAAAGAAAAAGAAAATTCTGATGGTAGTCACATCTGTAATCCCAGCTACTCAGGAGGCTGAGGCAGGAGAATCGCTTGAACCCAGGAGGTGGAGGTTGCAGTGAGCTGAGACTGCACCACTGCACTCCAGCCTGGGTGACAGAGCGAGACTCTGTCTCAAAAAGCACAAAACAACAACAAAAAAAGAAAATTCTGAGATGTCCAGGACCACCATGGATTAGAGGATTTTGCATTTGTGTGCTTTTTCTGTTTACACATATTTGATATGAAACAGTTAAATGATACAGAACTGTGTAATACATTGAGCAGGTGCAGTGGCTCATGTCTGTAATCCTAGCACTTTGGGAGGCCAAGGTGGGAGGATCGCTTGAGCCCAGGAGTTCGAGACCAGCTTGGACAACATGGCGAAACCCTGTCTCTACAAAAAATTTTAAAAAGTAGCCAGCCGTGGTGGTACATGCCTCTAGTTCCAGCTATTGAGGAGACTGAGGCGGGTGGATCGTTTGATCCCAGGAGTTTACAACCAGCCTGGGGAGCATAGCAAGACCCCATCTCTACAAAAAAAAAAAAAAAAAAAAAAAACAATTAGCTGGATGTGGTGGTACCTACCTGTAGTCCCAGCTATTCAGGTGGCCAAGGAGGGAGGATAGCTTGAGCCCAAGAGGTTGAGGCTGTAGTGAGCTGTGATTGCTCCACTGCACTCCATCCTGGGCAACAGAGCAAGACCCAGGAAAAAGCTCCAGTCACATCCTCCTCAGGCAACCACTAGTATTCCTAGCATCTTCCTTTTGTATGTTTTTATCTATGTGCTAATTCATGTGATGACTATTTTAAACAAATTGTCCCTTGTATTCTCACCTGGAAGTTTTTTTGTTTGTTTGTTTGTTTGTTTTTGAGACGGAGTCTCACTCTGTTGCCCAGGCTGGAGTGCAATAGCATGACCTCGCTGCAACCTCCGCCTCCTAGGTTCAGGCGATTCTCCTGCCTCAGCCTCCCGAGTAGCTGGGATTACAGGCATGCGCCACCATGCCCAGCCAATTTTTGTATTTTTAGTAGAGACAGCATTTCCCCATGTTGGCCAAGCTGGTCTCAAACTCCTGGCCTCAAGTAATCCACCCATCTCAGCCTCCCAAAGTGCTGGGATTACAGGTGTGAGCCACCGTGCCCAGCCGAGGACTTTGTCTTGTTCCCACGTGTCCTCAGTGTCTAGAACAGACTAGCTTGGGAGGTGCATGCAAAATGATCTCAGCCTGCTTTCGTGTGAAGGCCAGGGTAGGCACCTGTATGGAATCGGGGTCCCTGATCCCATTGGAGTGGGTGCCATGCTTCAGAGTTGGGGCCCCCTGGCCTGCCATTCCCCAGCTATCTGGCCTGACGTCGGCAGTGCATGGCTTAGGAGATGATGAATGTGGCTTCCCGGCATCCTCTGTTCTCTTTTAGACAAAGGTCTGAGTGAGGACGCGCGGCCCGAGGAGAGGCCCGTGGAGGGTGAGGCCCTGTCTACCCCTGACATTTTACACCCACCCCCACCCCATCTCTCTTCCCCTGCCGCCCACCTCCCCTTGGCCTCTGGGTCTCTTCGTTCTCTCCACCTCATCTCTCTCCAGCACCCTGGTGTGGGGGTGGGAATCCTGTGGGCTGCCTGATATGGGAGGAGATTTAAGGATTTGTCTTCTAGAACCAGGAAGTTCCTGGTCAAAGGTGAGAGCAGTTCCCACTGCTAAGGAAAATTGCAAGCCTTTGTTTTTATTACACACCCTGCTGCTTTGCGCAAAGGTTTTAAGACTGGGAACTGAGCCTCCTCTATCTGAGCAAGTAGATTAGAGGCCTGAAAGCACAAAATTTGCTTTGTGTCCAGCAGACACGCCCATTCTCAGGAACGTGAGAATTCCCTCCCTGCTGAGAATGGAAGTAGGACAGAGAGAGAGGGAGGCCAGGGTGAGGGTGGGTCTGTTTCATCTCTGTAGTATCCTGGAATGGAATGAGTGAGTGTCAGAGGAGAGAATTGTCACTTCCCCAAACCCAGCCTGGCAGGAGGAACCATGAAGTCTTAACACAGTTCCGCTGCCACCTGGTGGCAGCCTGCTCAATTTGCAGGCTTAGTGGGTACCCACTAGTTCTATCACATGCTACACTCAGTCACATACCTAGAAAGACCCATGGTCACTCCTAGTCCACAGAACCTTCCAAATCTTCATTCAGGCTGGCGGTGCCCTAGATTTGATTTCGCAAACAAGAATGTGAGCCCAGGAATTGTGGACCTGTCTGCGTGTGCCATTTCTGAGGAAATAAGTTACCCACCGCCCCAGCCCCAGCCTTCCCCCATTCCAAGATCCCACCACAGGGCCAATGTTGGTACCAGCAGAGCAGGAACATCAGCCGAGAAGCTGCCACCAACCAGCCTCAACAGACTGCCTTTTGCCTTCCAGACAGCCACGGTGACGTGATCCGGCCCCTGCGGAAGCAGGTGGAGCTGCTCTTCAACACACGATACGGTGAGCAAGAAGTGGGACAGGGTCTGGGGGCATCCCGGCCCCCCTCCAGCCGCCCTGTTTGCAGAAGGGCTTTGGTCGCATCCCCTTGCCTGTTCCCATCCCAGCTGTTCTCTGGGCAGGGACAAGGGAGAGAGGGAAGGGAGGAGCTGGGACCCATCATGAGGATGGGGACACTAGAGAGGCTGTCACTCAGGCTCCCTGGCTCACTCACTCACACTCTGCCTCAGTCGCAGGTTGGAGAGGCCACTCCCTCCCCTGTAATGTCGCCAGCCCTCAGCCCTCCGCCCTCACCCTCATCCCTCCGCCCTCACCCTCATCCAGGGTCCTCAAGAAGACTCATAATAAGAATAAGATAAGATAACCTCAGTGGTGTGCCGGGCATGAGGCTAGGTGATTCCCCATGTTTTTCTTTTTTTTTTTTTTTTTTTTTGAGGCGGAGTCTCACTCTGTTGCCCAGGCTGGGGTGTGGTGGCGCAATATCAGCTCACTGCAACCTGCGCTTCCTGGGTTCAAGAAATTCTCCTGCCTCACCCTCCCGAGTAGCTGGGATTACAGGCACCTGCCACCATACCCGGCTAATTTTTGTAGTTTTAATAGAGACAGGGCTTCACCATGTTGGCCAGGCTGGTCTTGAACTCCTGACCTTAAGCGATCTACCCACCTTGGCCTCCCAAAGTGCAGGGATTATAGGCTTGAGCCACTGCACCCGGCCCCCTGTGTTCTTGTATCCCATCTCACAAAATCCCCGTGTCCTAAGACCCACTTTACAGATGAGGAGAACTGAGGCCTGGTAAAGGGGTGTGACTCGTCCAAGGCCCCACACCACTCAGTGGCAGAGATCGGGTTCGTTCCAAGGCGTGGTGTTGTGCCACAGCAGCGTGTGGGGTTGCTTATGGTGGCAGGAGGGACACTCGGGGGGCCTTACTGGAAGGGCGAGGCCCAGTGGACTCGGGGAAGCAATGCCGAATCTCAGCAGCCATTAGTGGTGGCTTCTGTACTGCCTGGGCATGAGGGCATGGACCCAGCGTGGGCCTTGGGGTAACCCTGGGTTGAGTTCCTATCCCCTGGCTCTGCTGTTCAGTGGCTCTGTGACCTCAGACAAGTCACGTCCCCTCTGAACTCCAGGTTCCTTTCCTGCAGGCTGGGGGGCCACTCTTTCCACATCCCAGGAAAGCTGGCAGGCCCTCAAAAGGGCTCTGGCAGCTTTGCCCCCCGACACAGGCACGGGACACAGGGGTTGAGGCTCCTGGCCCTGTGGCACCGGGTGGCCCTACAGCAGCCATGTCTCTGCAGCCAAGGCCATTGGCATCTCGGAGCCCGTCAAGGTGCCGTACTCCAAGTTTCTGATGCACCCGGAGGAGCTGTTTGTGGTGGGACTGCCTGAAGGCATCTCCCTCCGCAGGCCCAACTGCTTCGGGATCGCCAAGCTCCGGAAGATTCTGGAGGCCAGCAACAGCATCCAGTTTGTCATCAAGAGGTAAGGCCCAACCAGGTCCATGGGAGACAGCACCGGCCCTGCTCAGCACCAAGGGGCAGGAGCAGCACCAAATTGCCATCAAGCAATTCTTGTGCCTCAGCCACCTGAATAGCTGGGACCACAGGTGTGAGGTGTGTGCCACCATGCCCAGCCTTTTTTTTTTTTTTTTTTTTTGAGACAGAGTCTCACTGTCTCCCAGGCTGGAGTACAGTGATACGAACTTGGCTCACTGCAACCTCCGCTCTGGCTTCAAGCGAGTCTCCTGCCTCAGCCCCTTGAGTAGCTGAGACTACAGGTGCGCGCCACCACGCCCGGCTAATTTTTGTATTTTTAGTGGAGACAGGGTTTCACCATGTTGGCCAGGCTGGTCTTGAACTACCAACCTCAAGTGATCCGGCCACCTCAGCCTCCCAAAGTGCTGGGATTACAGGTGTGAGCCACGGCACCAGGCCTTTCTTTTCTCTCTCTCTTTTTTTTTTTTTTTTTTTTTTGACAGCAAGGTGTTAGATGGGGTTTGGCTGCAGTTGGCAGACATGAGGCTCCCCAGGCCTGCCAGACCCAAAGCCACCGAACTGACCCCTCTCGCAGTCTCAGGAGAGCAGTGTTCAGTTTCCCCAGATGCAGAATGGGAACGTCCCATCAGCTCACGGGTTCTCCAGGCTGGCGTGTTGGTGTCCTGGGCCGGGGGCTGGGAGCAATGCCCTGTCGTCCCAGAATGGGAAGGACCAGCAGTGGCTTCTACAGGCTGTTTCTGTTTCCTTGAGCGTGTTGTGTTTTTGCCAATGAGGGCCCGGGACAGCACCCATGGACATACCCTGTGTGCCCAGCTGGGATAAAAAGTCCCTTTGGGCCCGGGCGCGGTGGCTCACGCCTGTAATCCCAGCACTTTGGGAGGCTGAGGCGGGTGGATCACGAGGTCAGGAGATCGAGACCATCCTGGCTAACACGGTGAAACCCCGTCTCTACTAAAAAAAAAATACAGAAAATTAGTCAGGCATGGTGGTGGGTGCCTGTAGTTCCAGCTACTCAGGAGGCTGAGGCAGGAGAATGGCATGAACCTGGGAGGTGGAGCTTGCAGTGAGCGGAGATTGTGCCACTGCACTCCAGTCTGGGCAACAGAGCGAGACTTCGTCTCAAAAAAAAAAAAAAGTCCCTTTGGAGAAGGTGGTGGCAGTTATTGAGTAAAAATGTGGTTGGGGGATTTCAGGAACAGTGGCTCATGCCTATAATCCCAGCACTTTGGGAAGCTGAGGTGGGAGGATTGCTTGAGCCCAAGAGTTCAAGACCAGCCTGGGCAACATGGCAAGACTGTGTCACTATAATTTTTTTTTTTAAACTCTGGTGTGGCAGCACATGCCTGTAGTCTCAGCTACTCAGGAGGCTGAAGCAGAAGGATCACTTGAGGCCAGGAGTTCAAGACTAGCATGGGCAACATAACAAGACCCCATCTCTACAAAAAAATTTTAAATTAGCTGGGCATGATGGTGCACACCTGTAATCTCAGCTACTCAGGAGGCTGAGGTGGGAGGATCACTTAAGCCCAGGAGGGGTTTGGAGGCTCCAGTGAGCTATGATTGCACCACTGCACTCCAGCCTGGGTAACAGAGCAAGACTCTTCCTCAAAAACAAAAAAAACCAGGGAATGGGAGGATCATATTTCCATTTTGTGTTTGTTACTTCTGTGTTACTGTAATAGCACATATTTAGGCTTGGTTTACAGCTGGGCATGACGGCTCATGCCTGTAATCCCAGCTGGCATTTGGGAGGCCAAGGTAGGCAGATCACTTGAGGTCAGGAGTTCGAGACCAGCCTGGCCAACATGGTGAGATCCCATCTCTACTAAAAATACACAGATTAGCCAGGTGTGGTGGCTCACACCTGTAATCCCAGCTGTAATCTCCCTGTCATCAGGAGACTGAGGCACAAGAATCACTTGAACCCGGGAGGCGGAGGTTGCACTGAGCTGAGATCGTACCACGACACTCCAGCCTGGGCAACAGAGCAAGACTCTGTCTCAAAAAAAAAAAAAAAAATAGGCTTGGTTTGGTTGAAAGTGGCAAGAAAGAAGAGACTCTTAAGGGTTTGTTCCTCCAGGAGAATAGATAGTTCTCAAACTGGGAGACTCACAGCGTCATTTTTCATACAGTGGCGAGGAGATCCGCTGGGACAGGGAGCTCTACTGCAGGGCCTGCTCTGTGCCAGGAGGGAGGCTGCTGCTCCATGACACACAAAGAGCAGATAGCAAAAAGCTATGCAACAGGGCTGGAGAGCAAGAGTCATGATTCGTGCAGTAGAAGCAAAGGCTTCAGCAGGCCAGGATGAATGCAGCCACATGCCCGGTGTGTCTGGGCATATTAAAAGGAAGATTGAGCCAGGCATGGTGGCTCATGCCTGTAATCCCAGCACTTTGGGAGGCTGAGGTGGGCAGATCACTTGAGATCAGGACTACTGAAAATACAAAAATTAAGGCCGGGTGCGGTGGCTCACGCCTGTAATCCCAGCACTTTGAAAGGCCGAGTTAGGCAGATCACCTGAGGTTGGGAGTTTGAGACCAGTCTGACCACTATGGAGAAACCCCATCTCTACTAAAAAATACAAAATTAGCCGGGCGTGGTAGCAGGTGCCTGTAATCCCAGCTACTCTGGAGGCTGAGGCAGGAGAATTGGCTTGAACCCAGGAGGCAGAAGTTGCAGTGAGCCGAGATCACGCCGTTGCACTCCAGCCTGGGCAACAAGAGCAAAACTCCATCTCAAAAAAAAAAATTAGCCAGGCATGGTGGCATGCACCTGTAATCCCAGCTACTCAAGAGGCAAAGAGGAGAATCACTTGAACCCGAGAGGCAGAGGTTGCAGTGAGCCGAGATCGCACTCCTGCATTTCAGCCTGGGGGACAGTAACACTCTTGTCTCAAAAAAATAAAAAGGGAAGATCACATTTCAGGTGGTTTAAGGATAAACTCATGATAGACATATAGCCCATCAGATGTGTGAAAACAGGGAAATAAAGATTCACAAGAGAATATGTGTAATTATAGTACAGTAATTGGCTCTACTATATACATGTATAGTACTGTACTGGTTGAAGGAGGGCTTCTTTCAACAAATTCTCAGCCTGAGCAATGTGTGAAACCCCATCTCTAGGGAAAAAAAAAAATTAGCCAGGCTTGGTGGTGTGCACCTGTAGTCCCAGCTACTTGGGAGGCTGAGGTGGGAGGATCGCTTGAGCCAGGAGGTCGAGGCTGCAGTGAGCCCTGATTGCACCACTGCACTCTAGCCTGGGTGACAGAGTAAGACCCTGTCTCGAAAATTTTTTTTTTTTAATTTTTTTAAAAATACATTCCGTCCAGGCGTGATGGCTCACGCCTGTAATCCCAACACCTTGGGAGGCCCAGATAGGAGGATCGCTTGAGCCCAGGAATTTGAGAGCAGCCTGGGCAATGTATCAAGACCCCATCTCTACAAAAAATTTTAAAAATTCTCACACCTGTAATCCCAGCACTTTGAGAGGACAAAACAGGAGGGTCGCTTGAGGCCAGGAGTTCGAGACCAGTCTGGTCAACATAGCAACCCCATCTCTATTTTATTTTTAAAATTAAAAAATTAGCCAGGTGCAGTGGTGTGTGTCTGTAGTCCCAGATACTTGGGAGGCTGAGGCGGAAGGCGGAAGAATAGCTTAAGCACAGAGGGTCCAGGCTGCAGTGAGCTATGATGGCATTACTGCACTCCAGTCTGGGTGACAGAGCAAGACCTCGTCCCTTTAAAAATACAAAGAGAGGCCGGGGCATGGTGGCTCACATCTGTAATCCCAGCACTTTGAGAGGCCAAGGCAGATGGATCACTTGAGTTCCAGAGTTTGAAATCAGCCTGGCCAACATGGTGAAACACCATCTCTACTAAAAGTACCACAAATTAGCTGGGCGTGGTGGTGCACACCTGTAGTCCGAGCTCCTCGGGTGGCTGAGGCTCAAGAATCACTTGAACCTGGGAGGTGGAGGTTGCAGTGAGCTGAGATCACATCACTGCACTCCAGCCTGGGCGACAGAGCGAGACTCCTTCTCAAAATAAATAAATATAGGGTTTATAAATAAATAAAACACAAAGAGACAAACAAACTAAAAAACCATCCTGGATGCCTGCCAGGTCCCGGGCTTGCAGCCCAGCAGTAAATGCCACCAAGTCCTGCCCTGGAGTTGCCGATGTCACCCAGACAAAATCAAAATGTCATGTCAGGTAGAGATAACTGCTGTGACAGGATATAATGCAGAGTGAGGGGGAGAGAGGGACAGGAGGAACCTGGATAAGAAGGTGACATTGAAGCGGTGACCCAATGAAGGGAGAGGGCCAGCCAGGTGCATAAAGAGTGTGGGAGCAGGCCAGGCGTGGTGGCTCACACCTGTAATCCCAGCACTTTGGGAGGCTGAGGCAGGCAGATCACGAGGTCAAGAGTTCGAGACCAGCCTGACCAACATAGTGAAACCCCGTCTCTACTAAAAATGCAAAAATTAGCCGGGTGTGGTGGCGTGTGCCTGTAATCCCAGCTACTCGGGAGGCTGAGGCAGGAGAATCACTTGAACCTGGGAGGTGGAGGTTGCAGTGAGCCGAGATTGTGCCATTGCACTTCAGCCTGGGTGACAGAGGGAGACTCTGTCTCAAAAAATAAATAAATAAAAATAAAGACTGTTGGGACAGAGAAAAAGTCATGCAAAGTCCCTGAGGCAACAACGTGCTTGGGTGTTTGAAAGCTTGCAAGGTGCCCTTGCAGCTGGTACAGGGTGAGTGAGGGAAGGATGGTGAGGTTGAGGCCCAAGAGGTAGCAGGGGACCAGGCGTGTGGCCCACGCCTGTAATCCTAGCATTTTGGGAGGCTGAGGCAGGAGGATTGCTTGAGCTCAGGAGTTTGTGACCAGCCTAGGCAACATGGTGAGACCCTATCTCTATAAAAAAGAAAAATAGGCCAGGAGAGGTGGCTCACGCCTGTAATCCCAGCACTTTGTGGGGGTTGAGGAGGGTGTATCACCTGAGGTCAGAAGTTCGAGACCAGCCTGCCCAACATGGTGACACCCCATTTCTAAAAATTCAAAAATTAGCCAGGCATGGTGAGGGGGTCCTGTAATTCCAGCTACTCAGGAGACTGAGGCAGGAGAATTGCTTAAACCCAGGAGACAGAGGTTGCAGTGAGCTGAGATCGCGCCCCTGCACTCCAGCCTGGGCGACAAGAGCAAAACTCTCTCTCAAAATAAATAAATAAAAAGGTAGCAGGAGCCAGATCACATGGATTTTGGGCCAGCTTAAAGAGTTTGAATTTTATTTTATTTTTTAAAAAGTCTTAAGAGACAGTGTCTCATTCTGGTTTGTTTTTATTTTTGTTTTTGCTTTCTATGCCTATTCCCTCAAACCATAAACTAGGGGCACCCGGGCAGCTTGAGGTCAGGTGCCAATTCAACAGCAAGTCCTCATGAATGACATTTTTTATGGCTTTGTGCAGAGACACCTTGTGCTCATGAGCATTGGTTTTTTGTTTTTTGTGGGTTGGTTTTTTTGTTGTTGTTTGTTTGTTTTCTATTTTTTGAGACAGAGTCTCACTCACTCTATTGCCCAGGCTGGAGTGCAGTGGCACCATCTCAGCTTACTGCAACCTCCGCCTCCCGGGTTCCAGCGATTCCCCGGCCTCAGCCTCCTGAGTAGCTGGGATAACAGGCGCATGTCACTACACCTGGCTAAATTTTGTATTTTTAGTAGAGACGGTGTTTCACCATGTTGGTCAGGCTGGTCTCGAACTCCTAACCTTAAGTGATCCATCCACCTTGACCTCCCAAAGTGCTGGGATTAGAGGCGTGAGCCACCATGCCTGGCCTTTTGTGGGTTTTTTTTGAGACAGAGTCTCACTCCAGGCTGGAGTACAGTGGTGCTGTCTCGGCTCACTGTAGCCTCCACCTTCCAGGTTTAAACGATTCTCCTGCCTCAGCCTCCCGAGTAACTGGGATTACAGGCGTGAGCCACCATGCCTGGCCATGAGCATTTGTTTTAAGAGACAAGTCTTTCTTTAGCCCAGGCTGGAGTGTAGTGGCACAATCATAACTCACTGCAGCCTTAAACTCCTGGGCTCAAGCAATCCTGCTTCAGCCTCCTGAGTAGCTGGGACTGCAGGGGCACGCCACCACACCTGGCTAATTTTTACATTTTTTGTAGAGAAGGGGTCTCGCTATGTTGCCCAAGCTGGTCTCCAACTCCTGGGCTCAAAGCGATGCCCCTGCCTCAGCCTCCCAAAGTGCTGGGATTACAGGTTGAGCCACCATGCCCAGCCTTGAGCACTTTTTAAAGTCACGATGGCTTTCTCCACCTGTCATTTGGAAAGGGAGACAGGTCAGTGCAGTGGCCGACGGGAGAGGCCGTCTGGTGGGTTTGAGGCCAGCTCCTCCTGTTACTCCCTGTGGCCTTGGCAGCCGGCTGTGCTATTTAAGGGGAAGCACTGTCGCTACTCTGGCCTGGGACTCAGGGGCTCTGCCCAGCTTCTGCCTCTCTAAGTTTACTGCTGGGAAGTCACTTCCCCTTTCAGAACCTGAGTTCTCCCATAAAGAGGAGGGGCCTAAATGCAGTCCGAAGCCTTTTCTAGCTCCTGAGACTGTGGTTCAAGGCAGGGCTATGCTTCCCCTCCCAGCCCTGGCCCCGTGACCCCAGCTCTGTGCCTGGCACTGTACAGAAGCCTAAGAGATGCCCACCGCCAGAGCGGGCACCAAATCCTCATCTACTGGGGACCCCAGGGGTGCCCTCCCTGAGAGTTTGGCCTTTGGGCTCACTCCCAGGCAGAGACTCCTCGGAGTTGCTGCTTGATTACCCCTGTGACAGAGAGCTCATT
The DNA here is from genome assembly GCF_000001405.40 of Homo sapiens. Taxonomy (NCBI): domain Eukaryota; kingdom Metazoa; phylum Chordata; class Mammalia; order Primates; family Hominidae; genus Homo; species Homo sapiens. The sequence continues at coordinate 74,554,140 of NC_000007.14, forward strand.
ACCTCTCCAGGCCCATTACCTCTCCAGAGAGCTCATTACCTCTCTGCTCCATGGCCTACCCTGCCATCCCCCGACAGCCCCCTTCTGGCCAGCATGATTTTCCCAGTGTCCTCTACCCACCACAAACCCCAGCCCCACAACAGGCTTGCTCTAACAGGACAAGTTGTGCTGAAGATGGGGCCTTCAGAAGCAGTGCTGTATGACAAAGAAGGTTGACTCATGTCTGGACAGGGCTTTCTGGAGTCTGTGGAGCTAAAGACATTAGCATAATACAGAGCTGGGCTTGGTCACTGGTGCTTCCGACTGCAGTAACACAGCAGCTCTCAGACGTGAGCCGTAGATCTCAGACCTTTCCAGAAGCTTGGAGTTCTTGCTTCGTAGTGGGCCCCGACTGTTTCTACTCTTTTCTTTCATTTTGAGACGGAGTCTTACTCTGTCACCCAGGCTGGAGTGCAGTGGTGCTATCTCAGTTCACTGCAACCTCTGCCTCCTGGGTTCAAGCCATTCCCCTCCCTCAGCCTCCCAAGTAGCTGGGATTATAGGCACCTGCCACCACACCTGGCTAATTTTTGTATTTTTAGTAGAGACGGGTTTCACCATGTTGGCCAGGCTGGTCTCAGACTCCTGACCTCAAGTGATCTGCCCTCCTCGGCCTCCCAAAATGCTGGGATTACAGGCGTGAGCTACTGCACCTGACCTTGTTTCTACACTTTAAACCAGCTCCACGGGAGGCCACCTGAGGCCACCTGCTCCAATCCCAGGCAGTGACAATCGTGCAATGTCCCTGGAGCAGGAGTGAGATATCAGATGGACCTGTTCAGGACTGGGGGGGGTCTCACTCCCAGCTGGATCCTTCAAGCCCAGCGCAGCCCCCCAGATTCCACATGTGGGGCGGCAGGGACTCCAGGCCTGAACTATGCATAGCCAGAAGGGTCCATTGCAGGGCTGTGTAGACTGAGGCCCAGAGAGGAGGGCTGAGCAGTCCCAGAGATGCTTGGAGGGACCTCTGTGATAGCCTCGCTTGTGTTTTCCAGGCCCGAGCTGCTCACTGAGGGAGTCAAAGAGCCCATCATGGATAGTCAAGGTACCCAGCGCGGGGTCGGGAGCCATGGTGTGGGCGGGCAAGGGAGGGCCCCAGGCCTCTGCCACCAGCCCCTCCTCCTGCTGCCTCTGTCCTGCTCCCATCCTGGCCCTGGCATTCTCCCCACACCCCCACATTGGGTTTCCCCTAACGATGCCATCTTGGGTCCCAGGAACTGCCTCCTCACTTGGCTTCTCTCCCCCTGCCCTGCCCCCAGAGAGGGATTCCGGGGACCCTCTGGTGGACGAGAGCCTGAAGAGACAGGGCTTTCAAGGTAAGGTTGAGCTCACGGGGAGGTCTGTTGTCCCAGCACCAGGACATTGACCTGGTTTGGGTTTGGAGGGCCAGGCTGGAAGTGGGGAGGAGCTGGCCCCCAACTTCAGGGCCTAAGGGACCAGGCAAGCCAGGTTGGCAGCCCAGGCCCGGCTGTACCCTGCCAGCTCTGTGTTAGAGACTCCAGGGGAGAGGGGGTGCCTACAGGTGGACGGTCGGGGGAGCCCAGGAGCCTGCCTGCCCCCTCCCTGCCCCACCCCCCAGAGGTAGCTGACACGCCCACTCCTTTTTCAGCAATCAGCTGTGGTCTTAGTGCTTTGAAATCAGAATAGGAGCCAGACGCGGCACCTCACGCCTGTAATCTCAGCACTTGGGAAGGTCAAGGTGGGAGGATCGCTTGAGGCTGGGAGCTCGAGACAAGCCTGGACAACATAGAACCCGTCTCTATGTCTATTTTTAAGAAAAGAAATCAGAGGCCGAGTGCAGTGGCTCACGCCTGTAATCCCAGCACTTTGGGCGGCCGAGGCAGGTGGATCACTTGAGGCCAGGAGTTCAAGACCAGCCTGGCCAACATGGTGAAACCCCGTGTCTACCAAAAAAATACAAGAATTAGTTGGGCGAGGTGGCGTGCACCTGTGATCCCAGCTACTAGGGAGGCTAAGGCGGGAGAATCGCTTGAACCTGGGAGGCGGAGATTGCAGTGAGCCGAGATCATGCCACTGCACTCCAGCCTGGGTGACAGAGCAAGACCCTGTCTCAAAAAAAAAAGAAAGAGAGAGAGAGAGAGAGATGGTGGTCTGGGATCCCTCCAGCACATGCTGGCACTTGTCTTTGTTTGTTTGTTTGGATGGAGTTTTACTCTTGTTGCCCAGGCTGGAGTGCAATGGCGTGATCTCAGCCCACTGCAACCTCCGCTTCCCGGGTTCAAGCAATTCTCCTGCCTCAGGCTCCCAAGTAGCTGGGATTATAGGCACGTGCCACCACACCCGGCTAATTTTTGTATTTTTTAGTAGAGACGGGGTTTCACCATGTTGGACAGGCTGGTCTCGAGCTCCTGACCTCAGATGATCTGCCCACCTCAGCCTCCCAAAGTGTTGGGATTACAGGCATGAACCACTGCACCCAGCTTTTTTTTTTTTTTTTTTTTTGAGACAGAGTCTTGCTCTGTCACCCAGGCTGGAGTGCAGTGGTGCGATCTTGGCTCACTACAACCTCCACCTCCCAGGTTCAAGGGGTTCTCTTGCCTCAGCCTCCCAAGTAGCTGGGATTACAGGTACGCACCACCATGCCTGGCTAATTTTTGTATTTTTAGTAGAGATAGGGTTTCACCACATTGGCCAGGCTGGTTTCCAACTCCTGCCCTCAGGTGATCCTCCTGCCTCAGCTTCCCAAAATGCTGGGGTTACAGGCATGAGCCGCCGCGCCCGGTCACACTTGGGCGTTTTTAATGAACACTTTCTGGGTGAGGGTGTCTTGGTGGCTCATGCCTGTAATCCCAGCACTTTTGGAGGCTGAGGCAGGCAGATCACTTGAGCTTGGGGGTTCGAGGCCAGCCTGGGCAACATGGCGAAACCCCATCTCTACCAAAAACACAAAAAAGAAATTAGCCAGGTGCGGTGGTGCACGCCTGTGGTCCCAGCTACTCAGAAGGCTGAAGCAGGAGAATCGCCTGAGCCTGGGAGGTGGAGGTTCCATTGGGAGCCGCCAGGCCCATCCCCTGTGTCTGTGGGGACTGCCCATCCTCCTCCATCTGCTAGATCAGCTGGGCTTCCATTCCCTCGCTTGTCTCCAGCCCCCTAGTGACTTCATGAAGCCCCCGCCCCCTGCCTGCCAGCCCAGGGCACAGGACTCCGTACTCTATGGTGTCCCTCCCCTCCGGGGCTTATTTATTGGTTTGGTGGTTTTCAAATGTCATCAATTAACTTAATTTCCAACTCATCACTGTTGTGGCAACAGTGCATGTCCTTCTGAAAAAAAGACATCTCCATCAACATGTCGGTGCTGAAGGACCTGAGGGGCCCACTCCAAAGATCCTTTAATTGCCGGAGAAGGAGTTCCCCATAATTAGAAAATCATCTTCCTTAAAAGTCACCAAGTGCTTTTTCACTCAACAGCCCAAACCCATAATCGTTTTGCGCTTTGCAGAAAATTATGACGCGAGGCTCTCACGGATCGACATCGCCAACACACTAAGGGAGCAGGTCCAGGACCTTTTCAATAAGAAATACGGTAAGCAGTGCAGAACCCCCGGGGAGGGACACGCAGCTGCTGTGCACAGAGAAGTGGGAGGCTTCCCAGTTCCAGCCGAGGGCATTTCTGGGGAAACAATTCACCCCTTTACATGTATTTCTTGAGCATATACTACGTGCCAGGCACTGTCTCAGGCACTGGGGATATTGCTGTGAATAAAACAGACACAGTCCCTGTACTCATGAGCCTTGCAGACCAATGAGGTGAGATACACTTTCAAGAACTACACACAGAATTTAATAGACAAGGGCCCGGCACAGTGGCTCCTGCCTGTAATCCCAGCACTTTTGGAGGCTGAGGCAGGTGGATCACTTGAGCTCAGGAGTTCGAGGCCAGCCTGGGCAACATGGCAAAACCCCATCTCTACCAAAAACACAAAAAAGAAATTAGCCAGGTGCAGTGGTGCACACCTGTGGTCCCAGCTACTCAGGAAGCTGAAGCAGGAGAATCGCTTGAGCCTGCGAGGGGGAGGTTGCAGTGAGCTGAGATCGCGCCATTGCATTCCAGCCTAGGCAACAAAAGCGAAACTCCGTCTCAAAAAAAAAAAAAAAAAAATGGAGCATATGACATGGGAGCATATTGGTGTGGCTTTTTCTTTCGTTTCTTTTTTTTTTTTTTTTTTTTTTTTTTTTTTGAGACAGGGTCTCACTCTGTCACCCATGCTGGAGTACAGTGGCGTGATCATGGTTCACTACAGCCTCAAACTCCTGGGCTCAAGCAATCCTCCTGCCTCAGCCTCCCAAGTGGCTGGAACTACACCCCACTGGGCACTACCATGCCCAACTAGTTTTTAGAAATTTTTAGTAAAGACAGGGTCTTGCTGTGTTGCCCAGGCTGATCTCGAACTCTTAGACTTAAGAGATCCTCCTGCCTTGGTTCCCCAAAATGCTGGGATTACGGGCATAAGCCACCATGCTGGCCTTTTTTTTATGTTCTGATCAAACAGCTCAGATTGTAATGCCTATACCTTTCCACAGTGCTACACTACATAAGAGCTTTCTCGTACCATTCACTCTCCTGCACGCATGTCTTTCCATCACATCCCCGCAATCCCATGTACACACACCCCACGCTGCCTCTCACTCCTGACGGGCAGGACCCTGCCTCTCGCCCACAGGGGAAGCCTTGGGCATCAAGTACCCGGTCCAGGTCCCCTACAAGCGGATCAAGAGTAACCCCGGCTCCGTGATCATCGAGGGGCTGCCCCCAGGAATCCCGTTCCGAAAGCCCTGTACCTTCGGCTCCCAGAACCTGGAGAGGATTCTTGCTGTGGCTGACAAGATCAAGTTCACAGTCACCAGGTACTCAGTGGGAAGGGTGAGGGTGAAGAGGCAGGACTAGCTCAGATGGGAGCTTGCACCTGCGAATCCTTAGCCTTTCCCTAGGTCCTGCCCTCCCCCCTGGACAAGGTGGCTCTCCTGGCACCATCCTGGGTCCTGGGGGTGGTTGGAGAGGGACTGCAGGCCAGCCCAAGTGAAGGGAGCCCTTCAGAAGTGGGACTGGTCACCCCCCCATGGCAAGGGCAGCCTTTGAGGGCATCTTCAACCTGTTCAGCAACACCCGCTCACTGCACCCCCAGCCCCCGGGAAAGGTATTCAGCCCCCATCAGAGGGATTTGCCCAAGGTCCCGGGGCCAGCCAGGGCAAAGCCTGCACAAGGCCCAGGTCTGCGTCCTGCAGAGTGACACTGCCAATGCCAGCACCCTGCCACATTGTCTCAGTGTCCCGCACACACAGAGCCCCAGGGCAGCTTGTTAAAATGCAGATTCTGCTGCTGTAGGTCTGGGGTGCTCCCAGGGGAGACCGAGGCCACTGAATCCCAGGGGTGTCTTCCTCATCCCCCAGGCCCTCCCCATGACACCCCTGCCTCTGTTTCTCTTCTAGGCCTTTCCAAGGACTCATCCCAAAGCCTGGTAAGAGGCACTGGCTGTGGAGGGGGCACTGGGAATAGGGCCCGATCGTGGTGCTGGGGACTGGAGCTAAGCCTGCTGTGGGGCACAGGTTCTGGGGTCTGGGAACAGAAGCCAGGCCCCTGCCTTTCTTTTTTTTTTTTCTGAGGCAGAGTCCTTCTCTGTCACCCAGGCTGGAGTGCAGTGGCTTCATCTCGGTTCACTGCAACCTCCACCTCCTGGATTCAAGCAATTCTCCTGCCTCAGACTCCTGAGTAGCTGGGATTACAGGCAATTGTCACCATACCTGGCTATTTTTTGTATTTTTGGTAGAGACGGGGTTTCACCATGTTGGCCAGGGCTGGTCTCAAACTCCTGACCTCAAGTGATCCACCCACCTCGGCCTCCCAAAGCGTTGGGATTACAGGCGTGAGCCACTGCGCCCGGCCTAGGCCTCTGCCCTTCTGTTTAGCCACCTTACCTGGGCTCCTGCCCCAGGTAGATGGAGGAAGACTAAGCTTGAATGTGGCCCCAGATCCTGGGACAGAGAAAGGGGTGGTGGCGTCAGTGACTTCTAAGTTTTACCCAGTCTGGGTTCAGGAGGGAGGGGCCAGGCCGAGTCAGTGCACCTGCTCCTCCTGATAAAGGGGCTCTGGTTGACCTCAGTGAATAGGCGAGGTTGGAGGTGAGTGGGTTCCTAACCGCAGAAGGAGGGGTGTCTGCATGGGGACCACAAGCATGTTGGTAAGATGTGGGTGGCGCCTACCCTGCCTTAAACAGTGCAGTGCCTCTCCTGACCCTTTTTAAAAAAATATTTTATATATATAATAAAATATATACATAATAAAAAATATATATAATAAAAATATTATATATAATTAAAAATATTTATATAATTAAAATATTATATATAATTAAAAATATTATATATATAATAAAAAATATTATATAGAGAGAGAGAGAGACAGAGACAGACCAAGTCTCACTTTGTTGCCCAGGCTGGAATGCAATGGCACTATCTCTGCTCACTGCAAACTCCACCTCCCAGGTTCAAGCTATTCTGCCTCAGCCTACCAAGTAGCTGGGATTATAGGTGGGCACCACCATGCCCGGCTAATTTTTGTGTTTTTAGTAGAGCTGGGTTTCACCATATTGGCTAGGCTGGTCTCAAACTCCTGGCCTCAAGTGATCCTCCTGCCTCAGCCTCCCAAAGTGCTGGGATTACAGGCATGAGCCACCACACCCGACCTCCTGACCCTTTTTAAGGCACCCATCCACTTCTGTCTCCACCATGGACTGTGTCCTGGCCTCCCAAACCCAGATTTGCAGGGGCTGTCCCTGCAGGGTGATCCCAAACCCAGATTTGCAGGGGCTGTCCCTGCGGGGCGACATGCCACTTGGCAAGCACTAAGGGCTGGCCAGAGCCTCCAGGGCGGGCCAGGCACGGTGGCTCACACCTGTAATCCCAGCACTTTGGGAAGCCAAGGCAGGAGGATCACTTGAGGTCAGGAGTTCGAGATCAGCCTGACCAACATGGTGAAACCCCATGTCTATTTAAAATCCCAAAATTAGCCAGGTGTGGTGGCGCACACCTGTAATCCCAGCTACTTGGGAGGCTGAGGCAGGAGAATCACTTGAACCCGGGAGGCAGAGGTTGCAGTGAGCCGAGATCGCGCGACTGCACTCCACCTTGGGCGACGGGACTAGATTGTCTCAAAAAAAAAAAAAAAAAAAGAACTTAGGGTACAGTGATGTGGCGGCTGCTGACAGGCCACGGGAACCCCCAGAAGGGGGATCAGGAGGGTGAGGGGTAGTTGGAGAGGGTTTCCTGGAGTAAGGATGGCCCTGCTTGGGCCTCAGGGGAAGATGGGACTTTGAGAGGCAGAGAGGAGGGTGGGTTTGGCGGGGTGAACGGCAGGGGTTGGGGGGTCACTGGATGCCAGAAGTGTGTTTCCGGAGCTCTCGGAGGGGCAGAGTGGTCAGATGATGTTGGAAAGGTGGAGAGAGTGGAAGCTGCAGCAGCACAGTGCAGTGAGTGTGGCTCCAGTGGACACCCGGCTGAGAGGTCACTGGGTTTCTGGCCCTGCACTGGTGCTTTATGCGGGTGCCTTTCACACATATTTTGGGAGGTCCTGCTGGGACAAGGTGGTATTCTAGAGGAACTAGGGTTACAGCAGAGTGCAGACAGAGGAGGCATCTCATTTAGTCTTCATAGCTAGGAGGTTGACGCTAGAGCCCACCTTACAGAGGGGGAGACTGAGGCTCGGTGTGAGTGATGTGTTAATACTCTGTGTCCCAGGGCTAGCAGGTGGTCGTGGCCTCAGCCCTCAGGGATGGACCTGCCAGCCCCTTTCCAGGCGTTGGCACCCAAGCCAGGTATCCACCAGGTATCCACACTTACTCATGCCACTAGTCATGCTGGGCTGGGAACACGTCCAGGCTCCTGGGAGTCTCTGAGGGTTCACCAGAGGTCACTGAGTGCTACTTCTGCACCAGAATGGGCTTTTCTCAAACTCTCCCTCACACGGTTCCCGAAGCCTGGCCTGGGCCAGCACCGGCAGTTCCAGGGTGAATCGGAGTGGAAGCTGGGGTCTGCTGGGGGAGGCAGGGGAAATAGCAGACCCCTTCATCTGGAGGCAGGTGTCCCAGGGCAGGTGGAGGGGTGGCAGATAGTTGCAGAGAGGCGGGTGGCTGGGGACAGTGCCCAGGAGTCAGCCTTCAGGGTCTTAGGCAGCATGTGGGCCATGGGAAAGTGCCGCCTCATTCAAGTCCCTGTACCCGCCTGACTAGCCATGGGAATCTGAGCCTTCACTTCCTTACCGCCAAGATGGACAAGCACACCTGCCTCACCATGTGATCTGAATATGGGAAAAGATGGGCAGTGCTAGGTTAGCTGGGAGGACTATTTTCCGCCAATTGCCCTCTTTTTTTTTTTTTTTTTTTTTTTTTTTTTGAGATGGAATTTAGCTCTTGTTGCCCAGGCTAGAGTGCAATGGTGTGATCCTGGTTCACTGTAACCTCCGCCTCCCAGGTTCAAATGATTCTCCTGCCTCAGCCTCCTGAGTAGCTGAGATTATAGGCGTGTGCCACAGCATCCAGCTAAATTTTTGTATTTGTAGGCACCCTAACACAATGAAAGTCCAGGCTGGTTGACCAGGCTGGTCTCGAACTCCTGGCCAGCCTCAAGTGATCCGCCCATCTTGACCTCCCAAAGTGCTGGGATTACAGGCGTGAGCCACCGCATTCAGCCGCCTTTCTTTTTGTCCTCGTTTGCAAATACAGAATGGACCTTAGTCTGCAAACTCAGAAGTGCGAGACATGTATTTTTATTTTTCTAAAATTGAACTGGACTCCTACCAAAAGCCCCCAATGCAGAGTGGCAGAAACTTTATCTGAGTCCATTTTGGATCATCATTTCCCTTGAGCTTGCACTAGGGCCTGGAACCTTCTGTGAGGCCCACTCAGTAGACACTTCCACACCGCAGAGAGACTGAGCATGAGAAGGTCCGTGCTTGAAAAAGGCCTAACGGTGGGATCTCGGTGCAAAGATGGGAGAGTGGAAACCGAGTGGTGAAGAGATGACTGTGGCACCCAGCAGGGAATTCCCAGGAGGGTGAGGCTTCGGGAACTTTCCAGGGGGACAAACCCTGTTAAGAATGGCTCTAGGGCCTGGTGCTGTGGCTCACGCCTGTAATTCCAGCACTTTGGGAGGCCGAAGTAGGCAGATCACGAGGTCAGGAGTTCGAGACCAGCCTGGCCAACATGGTGAAACCCCGTCTCTACTAAAAATAAAAAATTAGCTGGGCATGGTGGCGGGTGCCTCTAATCCCAGCTACTCGGGAGGCTGAGGCAGGAGAATCGCTTGAAACTTGAAGGCGGAGGTTGCAGTCAGCCAAGATCACACCATTGCACTCCAGCCTGGGCAACAAGAGTGAAACTCCGTCTCAGAAAAAAAAAAAAAGAATGGCTCTAAACCAGGAACAGTGGTTCACCCCTGTAATCCTAGCACTTTGGGAGGCCAAGGTAGGAGGATCACTTGAGGCCAAGAGTTTGAGGCCAGCCTGGGCAACATAACAAGACCCCGTCTCTACAAAAAAATTAAAAATTAGCCAGGCACGGTGGCACGCACCTGTAGTCTCAGCTACTCAGGAGGCCGAAGCAGGAGGATGGCTTGAGCCCAGGAGGTGGAGGTTGCAGTGAGCTGAGATTGTGCAACTGCACTCCAGCCTGGGTGACAGAGCATGACGCCATCTGGAAAAAATAAAAATAAAAAGAATGGCTCTGAGATTTTTTTAGGTCACTTATTGAAGGTTCCCATGGAAGCCTTTCCTAACAGAACCACCCCGAGAAGGTAAAAATTCTGAAAGAGATTGTGCTTTTTTGTTTTTGTTTTGTTTTGTTTTTTTGTTTTAAGATGGAGTTTCTCTTCTTGTTGCCCAGGCTGGAGTGCAATGGCACAATCTTGGCTCACTGCAACCTCCACCTCCCGAGTTCAAGCGATTCGCCTGCCTCAGCCTCCTGAGTAGCTGGAATTACAGGTGTGCACCATGACACTCGGCTAATTTTTGTATTTTGAGTAGAGACGGGGTTTCACCATGTTGGCCAGGCTGATCTCAAACTTCTGACCTCAGGTGATCAGCCCGCCTCAGCCTCCCAGAGTGTTGGGATTACAGGCGTGAGCCACCGCACCTGGCTGAGATTGTGCTTTTTTGAAGATGAATCAGTCATTAAATTGCAAGAGCCCCACTGCACCCTAGAGCTGTGAGCCTCCCCAGTGTAGGGTGAGAGTACAGCCACTCCTGGACTGGTTTTGTTCTGGGTCAAAAGAGATGACTCAGGCCAGACGTGGTGGCTTATACCTATAATCCCAGCATTTTGGGAGGCCAAGATGGGAAAATCACTTGAGCCCAGGAGTTTGAGACCAGCCTGGGTAACATAGCAAGATCCCATCCTGCAAAGACATTTTTTTAAATTAGCCAGACATGGTGGGGACGAACGACTGTATTCCCAGCTACTCGGGAGGCTGAGGCGGGAGGATCCCTCGAGCCTAGGAGTTGGAGGCTGCAGGGAGCCATAATTCCAGTGTGTGTGACAGAGCGAGGTCTTGTCTCTAAAAAAGAGAGAGAGAGAGAGATAAGCCCAGAATGTCTTTAATATTTTCCCAGCTGAGGACATCACGTTTGCCTTCAGTGCCTCAGTTTCCCCACTAAAATCTAGAGGCCCTGCCTGCTCTGACATGCTGAGTGGCGGGCAGGCGTCTAGCTTGAGAGGAAGGCATACTTGGACTTGGACCAAGCCTCAGAGGGCAGTGGGTGAATTTCAGGCCTCAGGTCAAGGGAGCTGTGGGCCAGGGGTTTCTGGGGGCCAGGGGTACTAGAAAGCACCAGACTGAACTGGAGGGGACCTGGTGGGGGGCCTCGGGTTGCAGAGGGATGGGGGGGACTGGGTCCCCCAACTCATACCAGAAGGAACTCCAGCCCTGCCCGCAAGGGGCTGAGACAACCCACGCTCGACCCTGGGGGCTGAACGCCATTGGTAGCTGGTAGCTCTATACTGCCCAACCAGGCCACACCCACCTGCCTGCAGCGGCACTGAATTAAATTAGGGAGACTGCCAGGCGCGGTGGCTCATGCCTGTAATCCCAGCACTTTGGGAGGCCAAGGTGGGTGGATCACGTAAAGTCAGGAGTTCGAGACCAGCCTGGGCAACATGGTGAAACCCCAACTCTACTAAAAATACAAAAATTAGCCAGGCATGGTGGTGCACTCCTGTAATCCCAGCTACTTAGGAGGCTAAGGCAGGAGAATCACTTGAACCTGGGAGGCAGAGGTTGCAGTGAGCCAAGATCGCGCCATTGCACTCCAGCTTGGGCAACAGAGCACAACCCGGTCACAAAAAAAGAAAGAAAAAAGAAAACCCAGGACAGCTAACGGGGGCTGTTCAGGATATGCTGGGAAGAAGCGGTGGTGACTAAGGCGGGAGAAACCCTCTACCCAGGTAGCTGCTGTAATATTCCATCCGAAGAACATTCTAGTAGGTCATAAAAACCTAAAGGGGGTCGGGCATGGTGGCTCATGCCTATAATCCCAGCGCTTTGGGAGGCCAGTGCAGGAGGATTGCTTGAAGCCAGGAGTTGGAGATCAGCCTGGGCAGCATAGTGAGAACCCATCTCTACAAAAAAAATTTTTTTTAATTAGCTGGGCATGGTGGTGGGTGGTGGCGCTTGCCTGTAGTCCTAGCTACCCAGGAGGCTGAGGCAGGAGGGTCACTTGAGCCCAGGAGTTTGAGGCTGCAGCGAGCTATGATCACAAAGCTCACATCACCTCACTTCAACCTGAGTGACAGAGTAAGACCCTCTCTCTAAAAGACACACAAACACACACACACACACACACACACACACACACCCTAAAGAGAAATGCAAATATATGCCCATGGTAGAAATTTGGAAAATACAGAAATCTAACAACCCAGATGGCTGTTCATTTTTATGATGATACATTTCTTCCAGATTTCCCCCCAAGCTTATTAATTTTACATCTCACTGTTCTTCTTTCTATAAATTTACACATTTAACCTTAAAACATAAACATGTTCCCATGTCTTTAAAAAGCTCTGTTCCCTCTTCAGGCTGTATCATGGTTATGTAACTACCCTGTCCCCCAGTTATGGACATTTGAGCAGCCCCTCACACCACAGACACCTAACACTCACGTCACACTTTTTTTTGAGACGGAGTCTCGCTCTGTCCCCCAGGCTGGACTGCAGTCGTGTGATCTCAACTCACCGTAACCTCCGCCTCCCGAGTTCAAGCAATTTTCCTGCCTCAGCCTCCCAAGTAGCTGGGATTACAGGTGCCCGCCACCATGCCAGGCTAATTTTCCTATTTTAGTAGAGACGGGGTTTTGCCATGTTGGCCAGGCTGGTCTCGAACTCCTGACCTCAGGCGATCCACCCGCCTCGGCTTCCCAAACTGCTGGGATTACAGGTGTGAGCCACCATGCCTGACCACGTCATACTTACGATTTGCCGGTTACAAAGCCCACTCACGTTACCACGTCATCTCCCCAAGTAGCTGGCCTTATTGGAGGGGACTGAGGCTCAGAGAGATTAAGCAGCTTTCTCAAGGTCACACAGTAGTGTGGTAGAGATTTGAACCTAAGTCTTTACCATTTTATTATACTTCGGAACCCAGGGCAGGCTCTACCACTAGCCTAGGGCTTGTTGTGTGTCCCTGAAGTGGGTTGCAGCCACGCCCTCTTTCCCACCACCCCTCTGGTCTCATCCACACAGGGTGGCTCTTTGCTGTCCCCTCCTGGCTACCAGCAGCTATTACACTGGTCCTGCCTGTGTAAACCTTTAGGCTTGTAGTTAATCCTTTGAGTTCATTTATTTGTACAACAAAAATGTATGGAGGGCCAGGCGCAGTGGCTCACGCCTGTAATCCTAGCACTTTGGGAGGCTGAGGCAGGCGGATCACAAGGTCAGGAGATCAAGACCATCCTGGCCAGCATGGTGAAACCCCGTCTCTACTAAAAATACAAAAATTCGCTGGGCATGGTGGCGCATGCCTGTAATCCCAGCTACTTGGGAGCCTGAGGCAGGAGAATCGCTTGAACCCGGGAGGCAGAGGTTGCAGTGAACTGAGATTGCACCACAGCACTCCAACCCGGCGACACAGCGAGACCCTGTCTCAAAAATAAAAAAGAAAAAAAAAAGGAGAGAGAGGTGGAAAGTCCGCAGGTGAAGCCCAGGGAGAAACTTACTGAAGGGGGTGATTGGTTGCACCAGCCTCTGCTGGGAGGTCAGTCCTAATGCCTGAGAGTAGACGGAGGTGCTAAGCAACAGGTTGCAGTGGGATGGTTCAGAGCAATTTTGGGGGAAGTGGTGGGGACCAGAGTGGAATAGTGGGCTCAAGAGACAATGAGAAAGGCAAGTGATTGAATCTGCCAAGGACCAAGCACCAAAGTGCCAGCTCACTGCCACCCTCAGTAAAGACTAACTTGCCCTTTCCCCCAACTCCCCTCCCAGAAGTAGCTTGCTCTCCTCTGCCTGCCACACATCGGGGGGGTCAGGTCTAAAAGGATCACCTTTTAGAGGGCAGGAGAGAATGAACAAGAGTTGAGAGTGGAATGGCTGCAGAGAGGGCTTTCTTTTTTTTGGTGGAGGGAGGGGACAGAGTCTCGCTCTATTGCCCAGGCTGGAGTGCAGTGGCGTGATCTCGGCTCACTGCAACCCCCGCCTCCCGGGTTCAAGTGATTCTCCTGCCTCAGCCTCCCGAGTAGCTGGGATTACAGGCGCGTGCTATCGCGCCCGACTATTTTTTGTATTTTTTAGTAGAGATGGGGTTTCACCATGTTGGCCAAGCCGGTGTCAAACTCCTGACCTCAAATGATCCACCTGCCTCAGCCTCCCAAAGTGCTGGGATTACATATATGACCCACCACACCCAGCCAAGAGAGGGTTTTAGAGGTAGGAACAGCAGCTGCATGATCTTCAGCAGATTCAGTAGAGAGGGAAGTGAGCTGTGGGAGAGGAAGGAGGATGGGGGGAATGGCAAGAAAAGGAGCACCCTGCTTAGAAAGGGAACGGAGCTGGGTGTGGTGGCTCACGCCTGTAATCCAGCACTTTGGGAGGCCGAGGCAGTAGGATCACTTGAGCCCAGGAGTTTGAGACCAGCCACATAACAAGACTGCATCTCTATTTAAAAAAAAAAAAAAAAAAGAAGGAGAAAGGGCCGGGCGTGGTGGCTCACGCCTATAATCCCAGCACTTTGGGAGGCCCAGGCGGGCAGATCACAAGGTCAGGAGATCAAGACCATCCTGGCTAACACAGTGAAACCCCGTCTCTACTAAAAATACAAAAAATTAGCTGGGCGTGATGGCGGGCACCTGTAGTCCCAGCTACTTGGGAGGCTGAGTCAGGAGAATGGCGTGAACCCGGGAGGCGGAACTTGCAGTGAGCCGAGATTGTGCCACTGCACTCCAGCCTGTGCGACAGAGCGAGACTCTGTCTCAAAAAAGAAGAAGAAGAAGAAGAAAAAGAAAGAAACAGGATGGGTGGAAGAGGGTTGCTGAATGCTCATGCAAGCTCCTCTCTGCCTGCTCCTTCTCTCAGGGAGGGACAGGGGAGGGTGATGAGTCAGTGGACTAAATGTCCCCATGGGGATGAAGGACAGTTGGGGTCAGGTTTCTAGAGGGAGGGCTGGAAGGAGGGAAGGAGATGGCCAGAGAAGGATGTGGGACACAGAGGTGCCGCCATGGATCACCAAGAGGTTCAGGACTGGCCAGAGGGAGGAGAAGAGGTCAAGGTACGTGTGGGGCACTTGGATGACGCATCTGTGCCTGCACACAGCTGAAATCCCCAGGAAATAAGACGGGAGCAGGGTGGGTTTCTGCAGCCGAGGTGAGACCAAAATGCCAGCTCACTGCCACCCTCAGTAAAGACTAACTTGCCCTTTCCCCCAACTCCCCTCCCAGAAGTAGCTCACTCTCCTCTGCCTGCCACACATCGGGGGGTCAGGGAAAGCTCCCCCTCCCTGAGGAGCTGGTGTTCCCTAGGCCAGGGGCCAGTCCCTGCAGAGATTAGGAGCTGGGAAATCCCCTCCTCCCATCCCGCACGTCCACGCGTGCCAGACCCTGTGCTGTGGGCTTTTCACACACAGCCTCTTAGACGCTTAGCCTGTGAGGTGGGTGCTGTTGTCCTTCCTTCCCATTTTGTAACTGAGCAAACAGCCTGAAACAGACAAAAATCAGGTAGTTAGCATGAGGCCAAAGCCACTCCCTGGTCTATGCTGTTCTGCGGCCTGAGCCTGGGGTGGCCAGGTGGGGTTGTGCAGTGAGGGGGGGATGGAGAATAGCCCCCAAAAATGCTGCCGGAATGGTAAAGGGCCTAGCCTGCAAAGCTAGTAACTTGAGCTTTATTTTGTGGCACTGGCGGTTTTTCCAGTCATTGTAATGATACGATCAGATTTGCGCTGTCTTCAGGTTACCATGGTAACCATATTTCCACCCACCAAGGGTGGATTAGAGAAGGCAAAACTAGGGCAGAGAAGCCAGGGAGTGTTGAGAAGGTCTGAACCCAGGCAGTGGGCAGCTGGGCCCCACGATGGATGGGGTTAGGATCTAGAGGCAGCAGCAGGGTGTGAAGAGGGCGGAAGGTTCCGGAAGGGTGATGGTGGTGCTCGTCTCTAAGGCTGGGTCTGTGGGCTTGTGAGACACATCCAGGGGCCCATAGTGAAACCTGAGTGGTATTTAGTGCAGGCAGGGTGGCAGGCAGGCTGGGGGCCTCTCAGAAGCGTGGAGCTGGCAGAGAGAGACCTGCCCGGGGCATCGGAGGAAAGGGCGACTGTGCAGGAACAGAGTAGACGAGGTGGGGGAACCTTTGGGTAAGAAGAGCTGAGTCAGGAGCATTGAGGCAGCGGTTTTCAAACCTCAGAAGCAACAGCAGGGCCGGGCGCGGTGGCTCAGCCTGTAATCCCAGGACTTTGGGAGGCTGAGGCGGGTAGATCACCTGAGGTCGGGAGTTCGAAACCAGCCTGGCCAACATGGTGAGACCCTGTCTCCACCAAAAAATACAAAAATTAGCCAGGCATGGTGGCGGACGCCTGTAATCCCAGCTACTCGGGAGCTTGAGGCAGGAGAATCGCTTGAACCTGAGACGCAGAGGTTGCAATGAGCTGAGATCACACCACTGCACTCCAGCCTGGGTGACAGAGCAAGACTCTGTCTCAAAAAAAAAAAAAAAGCCAGACACAGTGGCTCATTGCCTGTAATCCCAGCACTTCGGGAGGCCAAGGCAGGAGGATTGCTTGAAGCCAGGAGACCAGCCTGGGCAACATAGTGAGACCCTGTCTCTACAAAAAATGAAAACATTGAGCCAGTGTTGTGGCACACATCTGTAGTCTCAGGTACTCGGGAGGCTGAGGAGGGAGGATCGCTTGAGCCCAGGAAGTCAAAGCTGCAGTAAGCTGTGATCACACCACTGCACTCTAGCCTGCGAGACAGAATGAGACCTTGTCTTTCAAAAAAAAATTCTAGAATTGTTCTTGAATAGCAGTGGTTAACGTTTTTTAAAAGCTTTGGAAGGTAGTGAACTCCCCGTCACTGGAGGCATTTAAGCAGAGGTTGAGCTGCCACTCACTAGAGAGGCCGCTTCCTATAGGGCTTGCTGCAGGAGAGGAGAAAGGGACAAGAGAGCCCTGCCGGTTTTGGAGGGGCTGTGGGGAGGACTAAAACCAAGGAGGGGCCCCTCTACCCACCAAATCCACTTCTCTTTGCTGCCCCGCCACCAGCTCCCCACAGCTCCTCCCTGCGTATGGGCCCAGCCACCCTTCTCCAGTTCCCTTTTGGGCAAACACGAGGGCTCTCCCCGGACCCAGGCCAGCTTCCGCTCCTTTTAGTTCTCCTCTCACCCTGGGGGTACAGCAGTCCCTGCCAGCTTGAGGGGACTGTGGGAAGGCAGCGCCCCACCTCTCCTTCCCCAGAGCAGGGGCTCCAGACCCCAGGGATGTGGCAGAGCTGCCAACTTCCTGTGTGACTCCAGCAAGTCAGGCTTGCCTACCTGGGCCTCAGTTTCCCTACTTGTAAAATGAGAAGAATTGCCCACGCCACGTCTGCCTCCCCTGGGGCCACCCTGGAGTGCATGACCAGGTGAGAAGGAGGGATGGGCTGTCATGAGTGGGAGGTGGTGAGGCAGAGAGACTGGCCAGGATGGAGCGGGGACAGCCTGGGAGGCCTGGCTTTGCAGCATGGACAGGGCCCTTCAGGCCTGGCCCTGGTAAGCTCTTCTGCTGACGTCCCCATAGCGGAGGAACCCGTACAGCCCCACTGGTCGGGGCCAAGCTCTTGGTGGGCTCCAGTTTTATCTAGGACATCCCCACATCGTCTCCTCTGTAAACGTTCCACTTTCATCTCAGTTTAAGGAACTATGTCAAATTACATGCTGCTAGCTGGGCACAGTGGCTCACGCCTGTAATCCCAGCACTTTGGGAGGCCAAGGCAGGAGGGTCACTTGCATCCAGGAGTTCGAAACCAGCCTGGGAAACATAAAGAGATCCTGTCTCGACAAAAAATAAAAAATTAGCCAGGCATGGTGGCGTGTGCCTATAGTCCCAGCTACTCAGGAGGCTGAGGTGGGAGGATCCCTTGACCCTGGGAGTTGGAGGCTGTAGTGGGCTATGATTTTGTCATTGTACTCCAGCCTGGGCAACAGAGTGAGACCTTGTCTCAAAAAAAAAAAATTACATGCCACCGAGGAAGATCATTCCACTTACACTCACCTCTCACCCCCACCAGAATTGTTTGAGGCCCATTTTGAGAAGCTCAGCTGTGGGTGAAATGCCTGCCAGGCACAGGGCTGTGATCCCTTTTCAGGGGGTACAAGTGGAGAAAAGCCAGAAGCCTCAAATACAGTAGCACCACTTGTCATTGTCCTCTTTGATCTCCTGCTAAGCCTCTCTCTTCTGTGGGGTCTCCTGTCACCCAGTGGGTGCTATGGTGGGATGGGCTTCCTGGAGAGGATGACCTGAGCCAGGCCTGGATGCTAGTGTAGGACTGACCTCTGCAGAGGGTACTGGGGTGGACATGGGGAGGGACTGAAGAGCGGCAGGCACAGGAACAGGTCCCTTTTTGCCTTCTCAGGAAGAAGTACCATCACTTCTGAGCTGTGTGATCTTGGATAAGTTAACCTACTATCTCTGATCTTGGATAAGTTAACTTGCTATCTCTGATCTTGGATAAGTTAACTTGCTACCTGTGATCTTGGATAAGTTAACTTACCATCTCTGATCTAGATAAGTCAACTTACTATCTCTGATCTTGGATAAGTTAACTTGCTTGTCTCTGATTTTAGATAAGTTAACTTACTGTCTTTGATCTTGGATGAGTTAACTGTCTTTGGGTCTCCATTTCTTTGACGTGATACAGAACAAGGACATCCTCCATGATCCTCCCTTCTGCTGCCCAAGACTTGAGAGTCATTTCCTTGTCGCCAATCACACACAGGCACACACCCTCTGGCCCCTGCCTCCCTCTCTCAGCCTTCCCCACCCCCTCTCTACCCTTCCAACTCTGTCTTGAGCTCTTGAAAGCTCAAAATAAAGCCACCCTTTCTCAAGTTTCTAAAGATATCACAATTCCAGCGCCAGCCACATGTTTCTCCACTGAATTATCTCTGCTTGTCTTTGTTAATTAGGGTTCAGTAATGATCTCCCTTCTGCCTTCCCAGGGAGAGCTGGCATCTGCGGGGCGGGGCTTGGAGGCCTTTGTGGGCAGACGAGACGCCCTACTGCCGGGCCCAGAGTTGGCCCGACGCCTCCTTTCTTCTGAAGTGGCAGAGTGGGCCATGAAATGATGGCATGTTGGGGAGACCCTGCCCTTTTCTGGCTGGTGGGGACTTAGCTGGGGTCATTGCAACACCATTCTGCCCCCCAACCTTCCACACGTCGGGGAAGGGAACTCCAAGGTTTTTAGCCTTTATTAGATGGGCTTCCAGGCTGGGTGCGGTTGCTTACACTTGTCATCCCAGCACTGTGGGAAGTTGAGGCAGGCGGATTGCTTGAGCAATCCTGGAGTTCGAGACCAGCCTGGGCAACATGGCAAAATCCCATCTTGACAAAAAATGAGCCAGGCATGAGGGCACATGCCTGTAGTCCCAGCTACTCAGGAGGTTAAGGCAAGAGGCTCACTTGAGCCCAGGAGGTTGAGGCTGTGGTGAGCCGTGATCGTGCCACTGCCCACCAGCCTGGGCAACAGAGCAAGACCTTCTCTCAAAAAAAAAAAAAACGATTAAAATTTAAAATAGACAGGGGCTTTCCGGACCCGAAAGGGAGCAGGGTTGGGGGCGCCTTTAGAGTCTTTTGCAACATCCCAGAAAGCCTCCCAGAAACCCTTTCCCCAGCGAAGACCACCCAAGCTGACAAGAGCAACCAGCACCTTTATTTGGGCTGGAATGAGATCAGCACCGAGGGGTCGCCAGGCACCTTGTGCAGAACAGAAGCTGATGCGTGTGTCTGAGCCATAGAAGTAGAGCAGGGGCAGGGTGGTAACCATGGCTCAGCACATGTGGTTTACTGGGTGTACCCGATCCTTCCAGCCTTGTGGGGAGGGGTGTGGGGACAAAAGAGGAGGGAGGTGGAGGTTGGGGGCCATGCAGGCCTAGCCCTCTAAGAACCTTCGTGTCATGGAGAGGGCTCAGCACCACCCACAGCAGACTTCGTGTGGCCCCAACAGAGGCCTTGGGGGCGCAGGTGCAGTCACTCATTTGTGCACAGGCCCAGGTGTCTCACTGGGGCCAGCACTGTGCCAGATACTGGTCTTTTATTATTATTTCATTATTCTTTTTGTTTGTTTCTGTTTTGTTTTGTCTTTGAGACAGAGTTGCGCTCTTATTGCCCAGGCTGGAGTGCAGCAGTGCAATCTCAGCTCACTGCAACCTCCGCCTCCCGGGTTCAAGCAATTCTCCTGCCTTAGCCTCCTGAGCATCTGGGATTACAGGCATGCACCACCACACCAAGCTAATTTTTTTTTTTTTTTTTTTTTTTGTATTTTTAGTAGAGACTGGATTTCACCATGTTGGCCAGGCTGGTCTCGAACTCCTGACCTCAGGTGATCCACCTGCCTCGACCTCCCAAAGTGCCGGGATTACTGGTGTGAGCCACTGAGCCCGGCCTCATTATTCTTATTTAATATTTTTGTAGGACAGCATCTTGCTTCATTGCCCAGGCTGGTCTAGAACTCCTGGCTTCAAGGGATCTCACCGCCTTGGTTTCCCAAAGTGCTGGGATTACAGGCGTGAGCCACTACACCGGGCCTAGATACTGGAATTTTTTTTTTTTTTTTTTTTTAAGGCAGGGTCTCTCTCTGTCACTCAGGCTGGAGTGCAGTAGCACGATCACGGCTCACTGCATCCTCGACCTCCCTAAGCTCAAGTGATCCTCCTGCCTCAGCCTCCCAAGTAGCTGGGACTGGAGGCGTGCACCACCGTGCCAGGCTAATTTTTGTATTTTTTTGTAGAGACGGGGTTTTGCCATGTTTCCCAGGCTGGTCTGGAACTCCTGGGCTCAAGTAATCCACACACCTCTAACTTCCAAAGTACTGGGATTACAGATGTGAGCCACCGTGCCCGGCCTATGCTGGACTTTTAATCAACACTGATTAAAAAAAAAAAAAAACCCGGCTGAGTGCAGTGGTTCACGTCTGTAATCCCAGCACTTCGGGAGGCTGAGGTGGGCGGATCACCTAAGGTCAGGAGTTTGAGACCAGCCTGGCTAACATGGTGAAACTCCGTTTCTACTAAAAATACAAAAAATTAGCCCAGCATCATGACACACACCTATAATCCCAGCTACTTGGGAGGCTGAGGCAGGAGAATCGCTTGAACCCGGGAGGTGGAAGTTGCAGTGAGCCGAGATTGCGCCATTGCGCTCCAGCTTGGGCAACAAGAGCGAAACTCCGTCTCAAAATACAAAAAAACAAAAAAAACCCAGCCTCACGGAGCCTACATGGTGGGGCGGGGGGATAAACAGAAAATCTGCAAAGCGTAAACCATGGGAGCAATTGTATTTATTTTTAGGAGATTGCAACATTATTTAGGTGATGACCAGAAGGAGGCCTTAGTTTTAAAGGCCTGAAGGGGCAGCAGGGAACAGCATTGCAGGCAGAGAGAACAGCAGCTGCAAAGCCCCTGAGGTCACCTGCCAAGGTATCAGAGGAAGGTCAGGGGAAGTGAGAGATGAGATGGAGATGGACAGGGAAGATGGTACATGGCCAGATAAGGATTTTGACTTTTGCTCAGAGTGAGCTTAGAGTCGGTGCAGTTCTGAGCAGAGGGTAACAGGATCCAGCTTGTTTTAACAGAATCCCTCTGGTTGCTGGCTTGAGGACAGACAAGGGTGGAGAGACATAAGGAGGTTGTAATAATCCAGGCGACGCCTGTGGCGGCAGTGGGGTGGTGAGTCACCCACTCTTAGGTGAGTTGGCTGAAGCCAACAGAATGTGCTGATATAAGCTGTGAGAAAATGAGGAGCTGACTTTGACTTCAGAGGTTCAGGCTGAACTTGGGGAAGGACGGAGGTGCTGTGGGTGGAGACAGGGAAGATGCAGGAGAAGCTGGTGGGGCAGGAGGTGGCGGATCAGGCGTGTTCAATCTGGGGTCTCATCCAGTCGAAGTTGGAAGCAAGTTGGGGCTCAGGGGAGCAGTCCAGGCTTGAGATATGATTTGGGGAATCATGAATTTATAACTGGTATTTCAAGCCTTAAAACAGGCCGGGTCCAGTGGCTCACGCCAGCACTCTGGAAGGCTGAGACAGAAGGGTCACTTGAGCCCAGGAGTTCGAGACAAGCCTGGGCAACATAGCAAGACCCCATCTCTAAAAAAAAAAAAATAGCTGCACGTAGTGCACACCTGTGGTCCCAGCTACTAGGGAGGCTGAGGTGGGAGGATGACTTGAGCTCAGGAGGTCAGGCTGCAGTGAGCCACGATTGTGCCACTGAACTCCAGCGTGGGAAACAGAGTGAGACCCTGTCTCAAAAAAATAAATAAATTACCTAAACGTAGTGGCTTCAAACAACACAAATTTATTGCCTTACAGTTTTGGAGATCAGAAGTCTGAAATGAGTCTTCCAAGGCTAATGTCAAGGTGTCAGGGGCCAGGTGCAGTGGCTCACGACTGTAATCCTAGCACTTCGGGAGGCTGAGGCGGGCGAATCACTTGAGATCAGGAGTTCGAGACCAGCCTGGCCAACGTGGTAAAACCCCATCTCTACTAAAAATACAAAAATTAGCCAGGTGTGGTGGTGCGCACTTGTAATCCCAGCTACTCGGGAGGCTGAGGCAAGAGAATCCCTTGAACCCAGGAGGCGGAGTTTGCAGTGAGCTGAGATCGTGCCATTGCACTCCAGCCTGGGCTACAAGAAAAAAAAAAAAAAAAGATGTCAGCAGGGCTGATCCTTCTGGAGGCTCTAGGGGAAAATCTATTTCCTTGTCTTTTTTTTTTTTTTTTTTTTTTTTTTTTTTTTGAGACAGAGTCTTCAGGCTGGAGTGCAGTGGCGCGATCTCAGCTCACTGCAACCTCCGCCTTCCAGGTTCAAGCAATTCTCCTGCCTCAGCTTCCTGAGTAGCTGGGATTACAGGCATATGCCAACATGCCCGGCTAATTTTTGTATTTGTAGTAGAGACAGGGTTTCACCATGTTGCCCAGGCTGGTCTCAAACTCCTGACCTCAAGTGATCTGCCCACTTTGGCCTTCCAAAGTGCTGGGATTACAGGTGTGAGCCACTGAGCACGGCCCCCTGTTTTAAGGATTAAATGAATGAATCCATGCAAAGATCAAAGAGCAGTGCCTGGCACAGAAGAGCTCAGATTCTCTGAGTTACCAAGTGCCCGTGATGGGTTGGGCATTTTTTTTATTTGTTTGTTTGTTTTGAGATGGAGTCTTGCTCTGTCGCCCAGGCTGGAGTGCAGTGGCGCAATCTCGGCTCACTGCAAGCTCTGCCTCCTGAGTTCAAGCAATTCTCCTGCCTCAGCCTCCTGAGTAGCTGTGACTACAAGCGTGCACCACCTATCCCAGCTAATTTTTTGTATTTTTAGTAGAGACGGGATTTCGCCATGTTGGCCAGACTAGTCTTGAACTCCTGGCCTCAAGCGATCCACCCGCCTCAGCCTCCCAAAGTGGTGGGATTACAGGCGTGAGCCACCGCGCCCAGCTGGGTTCAGTAATTCTTAGCATATTGCCAATTTTCCCTGCTTTCTCTCTCACACACACGCGCACACACATAATTTCTCTTTCTTTTTCTCTATTTGAAGTAAGGTGCAAACATCTTGACTCTTCGTGCCTAAATGTTTCAATGCACATCTCCTAAGAAAACACTGTTATCTTACATACTCACAATAGCATCATCGTACTTATACAACTTAATAATTCCCTGTCATCTAATACATGGTCTTTATTCAAATTTCCAAAACTGTCTTCTATGCCTGTTCTCCTCCATGATATAATCATTTTTCACTGGTTGATTTCTTTTTTAATTTTTTTTTTTTTTAAAGACAGTCTCCCTCTTGCCCAGGCAGGAGTGCAGTGGCACAGTCATAGCTTACTGCAGCCTGGACCTTCTAGGCTCAAACCATCCTTACCACCTCAGCCCCTCGAGTGGCTAGGACTACAAGCACACGTGCTACCATGCCCAGCTCATATTTTATTTTTTACTTTTGTAGAGATAGGCTGGAGTGCAGTGACACTATCACATAGCTCACTGTAACCTCCAACTCCTGGGCTCAAACAATCCTCCCGCATCAGCCTCCCAAGTAGCTGGGACTATAGCTGGGTGCCACTGTACCAGCTACTTTTAAATTTTTTGTAGACAGAGTCTCTCTATGTTACCCAAGGCTGGTCTCCAACTCCTGCCCTCAAGTGATCCTCCTGTCTCGGCCTCCCAAAGTGCTGAGATTATAGGTGTGAGCCACCACGCCAGGCTCACGGGTTAATTTTTTAAAAATTATTTTATTGCATGTAATGTTTGCCTAAACAAAAATTATTTCATTTTGCTTATAATTTTACTTTCTTTTTTTTGAGACGGAGTCTCGCACTGTCGCCCAGGCTGGAGTGAAGTAGTGTGATCTTGGCTCACTGCAACCTCCACCTCCCAGGTTCAAGTGATTCTCCTGCCTCACTCAGCCTTCCGAGTAGCTGGGACTATAGGTGCCCGCCACCACGCCCAGCTAATTTTTTGTAGAGACGGGGTTTCACTGTGTTAGCCAGGATGGTCTCCATCTCCTGACCTCACGATCCACCCGCCTCAGCCTCCCAAAATGCTGGGATTACAGGCATGAGCCACCGCGCCCAGCCTATAATTTTACTTTTATGACAAAGGCGTGTTATTGAATAGAGTCTGGGACTTGCTGTTTTCCACTTAGCTTTGGTTGACATAATGCTGAAGTGTGTAGCTGTAGCTTCTTAGTTCTCATGGCTCTATAATCTTCCATTGAGTGGAATTTTACCATGATGCAATTCCTCTCTCTCCCCTCCTTGGGGATTGGGCTGCTTCCATTGTTTTGCTGTTACTAAGAATGCAATTAACACTTATAGCCGGGCACGATGGCTCATGTCTGTAAACCCAGCACTGTGGCAGGCCACGACGGGAGGATCCCTTGAGCTCAGGAGTTTGAGACCAGCCTGGGCAACATGGCAAGACCCCATCTCTACTAAAAATACAAAAAAATTAGCCAGGCATGGTGGCATGCTTGCTATTCAAGAGGCTGAGGCGGGAGGATCGCTTCAGCCCAGGAGGCAGAGGTTGCAGTGAGCTGAGATCATGCCACTGCACTCCAGCCTGGGCAACAGAGCGAGATCCTGTCTCAAAAAAAAAAAAAAAGCAGAGGAGGAGAAGCATAGATCCGTTAAAAAGTTTAAGGCCCAGCCTGGTGACTCGCCCCTGTAATCCCAACACTTTGGGAGGCTGAGGCGGAAGAATTGCTTGAAGCCAGGAGTTTGAGATCAACCTGGGCAACATAGCAAGATCCTGTCTCTACAAAAATGTTAAAATTAGCCAGACGTGGTGGTATGCACCTGTAGGCCCATGTACTCAGGAGACTGCGGCAGGAGGATGAGGTCAAGGCTGCAGTGAGCTAGGATCGCACTACTGCATGGGTGACAAAATGAGACTACATCTCTAAAAAAAAATTTTTTTTGAAAAGGAAGAGGAAGAAGGCCAGGCGCAGTGGCTCATGCCCGTAATCCCAGCACTTTGGGAGACCGAGGCAGGCGGATCACCTGAGGTCAGGAGTTCAAGACCAGCCTGACCAACATGATGAAACCCCGTCTCTACTAAAAATACAAAAATTAGCCAAGCGTGGTGGCTCGTGCCGGTAGTCTCAGCTACTTAGGAGGCTAAGGCAGGAGAATTGCTGGAACCTGGGAGGCGGAGGTTGCAGTGAGCCCAGATCACGCCACCGCACTCCACCCTGAGCGACAGAGCAAGACTCCATCTTAAGAAAAAAAAAAAAAAAACTACAGTTCCCTTTGTAAAATGGGTTTTTGGTAGAGACAGTGTCTTGCTGTCATTCCGGCTAGAGTCCAGTAGCTGGGACTACAGGTGTGGGCCACCATGCCCAGCTAATTTTTCCATTTTTATAGAGATGGGATCTTGCTATGTTGCCCAGGCTACATTTTTTTTTAAATCATGAGTTTTTGAAGGAAATTGGATAGGGCAGGCTGTGGTAGGGGATGGATTGGACAAGCCCCTGCTTGAATGCCTGCATACAGTGGGGAAAAGGGGGATCAAAATGGGTCAAGCCTTAAGGGTCCCTCCTGCACGCAGTGTCCAGGTGCAGGTCTGGGATGGCAGAAGAACCACAGGCTCATGAGCACTGGCCTGGGCACAGGTCCACAGGTCTCTGCCCCGCTGCAGCTTGGCCCTCCTCTCTCCAGGCCTCAGTTATCTCATCCATGAAATGGAGCTGATGGAATTCCTGCTAAACCTGTGCGCAGGCCCTACAAGGGGTTAAAAGCTGAACCTGAATGTAGCTTTTTTATTTTTTCGAGACCGGGTCTCACTCTGTCACCCAGGCTGGAATGCAGTGGTGCAATCGCTGCAGCCGTGAACTCTGCCCGGGCCTGGCAGGGAGTTGGGGCTCTGTGAAGTGGTTCAGGAGGGGAGAGAAGGACCATTATCCCACGCTTCTGCTACAGATCGCAGTCTCTCCCCTCTAAACCGCCCTTGCCCTTCGCTGGCTGCGTCTCCCTGCTGTGAATGGTCGTAATTACCAACGTGAGGTCGTCAGTCTGAGCTGAAGTCCTCTAACTAGGCGGGGAGAGTCAGGGCTGGCCAGGGCTCTTGCACTTTGCCCCGAGAGAGAGCCGTGGAGCCAGCCCAGGCACCACCCGAGCCAGTTGGTTTAAAATTGTGTACATAGCATGGCTGTGATTCAGTGAGCTTGGTTGTCTTTTTTTTTTCCCCCTTGGCAAATTTCAGTTACTCCTTGGGCTAACAGACAGCAGACTGGTAAAGATAAGATGAGAGTTGCCCAGCCAGCGTTAAAGAGAGAGAGGAGACCGAAGAACAGAATGAGCAGGAGGGGGGCAGGAAAAATGTCAAGGGAAGGCCTGTCCACCAAAGGTGTCACTGTCCAGGGGCAGTGGGCAGGAGGTCGCTGCTGCGGGGATGGGTTCTTTCAGCAGGACTTTCTGCACAGCACTGGGGGCAGAAACATGAAGGTGAAACCCTACACACACTGAGTCCTAACTATGACATTTCCAAACAGAGAACACTCTGAAATGTTTGCAACTGTGGGTGTCTTTACAGCCAGCCTGGGTTCAGGGGAGCTCAGGCAGGTCCTCCCGAGAATAGGTTTGCTGACTTGGTGTTCCGGACGGTAAACTAAACCCCCTTTTCTGGGGGGGGTTGGGGGGAGACGGAGTTTTGCTCTTGTTGCCCAGGCTGGAGTGCAGTGGCGCCATCTCGGCTCACTGCAACCTCCGCCTCCCGGGTTCAAGTGATTCTCCTGCCTCAGCCTCCCAAGTAGCTGGGATTACAGGCACCCGCCACTATGCCCGGCTAATTTTTTTTTATTAGTAGTAGAGATGAGGTTTCACCATGTTGGCCAGGCTGGTCTTGAACTCCTGACCTCAGCTGATCCACCCACATTGGCCTCTCAAAGTGTTGGGATGAAAGGCATGAGCCACCGCATGCCCGGCCCATTGCTGCTTTACAGATGAGGACATCGAGTGGTTCAGGGACTTGCCCAGGGTCGCGAGCTGATTGCAGAGCTGGGATTTGAACCCAGGCAATCAGTCTTGGGTAGACCACTGGGCTTGTGACCCTGGCCTTGAAGGGCCCGGTATTGCTCCTGCCCCTGCAGTGTCCTCAGCAGCTCTCTGAGGCGATTCTCTGATCCGTGTTTTTCCCGTGAGCAGATTAGACTCAAAGGTGACCGGGCATGCTGGAGCTGCCCTGCCCCACCTGAGGCCGAGGCCACCACTGCCCACAGC
Organism: Homo sapiens; assembly: GCF_000001405.40. Lineage (NCBI taxonomy): Eukaryota > Metazoa > Chordata > Mammalia > Primates > Hominidae > Homo > Homo sapiens. Next base: position 74,581,617 of record NC_000007.14, read on the forward strand.
AGTCCTTGGGGAACTCCCTGGTGGCGACCTGGTGGTGGTGGCAGGAGCCTGGCTCTGTTGGGAAAGAGGACTCATGACCCCACCTGCAGCTCTCCGAGATGCTCAGCTGGTCTGGGCACGATGGCTCACGCCTGTATCTCAGCACTTTGGAAGGCCAAGGTGGGTGGATTGCTTGAGCTTAGGAGTTGAAGACCAGCCTGGGCAACATAGTGAGACCTTGTCTCTACAAATAACACAAAAATTAGACAGACATAGTGGCACACACCTGTAGCACCAGCTACTCAGGAGGCTGAGGATGGAGGATGGCTTCAGCTCAGGAGGCGGAGGTTACAGTGAGCTGAGATTGCTCCACTGCGCTCCAGCCTGGGCAACAGAGCCAGACCATCTCAACTCAAAAAAATAAATAAATAAATAAAGCTTGGCTGGGCCATCTGGGTTAGCAAGGATCTTAGCATTCTCCCTCAGGGCTAACCAGGGTGCGTGGGCGAGCTGTCTCGGTTGCAGCGGGGGCCACGATTCCTGTCGGGCAAGACTGGTGCCAGCCTGCACACCTCAGAGCCCAACAGGAATATCTGTTCAGATCGAGACGTTGCCCTTTCCCCTGCAGGGCACGGCTAGAGCACAGACACAAACCCAGTGTCAGGTCCCCAGACACGGCAGGGGACAGGGGAGTTGGTCTTCACCTGTGGTTCAGGTTCCCTCCCAGACAGTGAGTCACTTATGTGCCCAAGGAGCTGCCTCTGGTGCACTCACAGTTCCCAGAAGATCTGGGATGGGACTACAGGTGTGCACCACCATGCCCAGCATTTTTTCTTTTTTTTTGGTAGAAACAGGGTTTCCCTCTGTTGCCCAGACTGGTCTTGAACTCCTGGCCTCAAGCAATCCTCCCACTTCAGCCTTCCAAAGTGCTGGGATGACAGGCATGAGCCACTGTGCCCAGCCTGTAGTGCTTTTTGATATGTGAGATTAGATCCAGCAGGCCCAGAGTCCCAGTTGAGGAATGTGGAAACAGGCTCAGAGAGGTTGAGTGACTTTCCATACACCACACAGCATTAGGGATTAGAATCAAGATTGCCTTCCAGTCTGATGAGCCAGGGACTTTCCCCATACCTGGCCCTGGGGATCCCCCTTTTCCCCACTGTATGCAGGCATTCAAGCAGGGGCTTGTCCAATCCAGCTCCCACCAGAGCCTCCCCTACTCCATTTCCTTCAAAAACTCACGATTTAAAAAAATGTAGCCTGGGCAACATAGCAAGATCCCATCTCTACAAAAGATGGAAAAATTAGCTGGGTGTGGTAGCCCACACCTGTAGTCCCAGCTACTGCACTCCAGCCTGAATGACAGCAAGACCCTGTCTCTACCAAAAAAAAAAAACCACGTAATTCTCTTTACTCTAAATTAAATAAAAAGAAAGAGGTAGGAAAATGCAAGAACAGCTACAGAGAAAAATCAGTGTTCTTCCTGAGCTTGATGTTGACTGAGCTAGAGAATCCCACAGACAAGGTATATTGTGGGCCTTGCACAGTGTCTGCACGTAGTATGTGCCAAGCTTGTTTTTTATTTTTTAATTTTTGTTTGGTTGTTTGTTTGAAACAGGATCTAGCTCAGTCACCCAGGCTGGAGTGCAGTGGGGCAATCATGGCTTACTGCAACATTGACCTTCCAGGCTCAAGCAATCCTCCCACCTCAGCCTCCCAAGTATCTGGGATTACAGGCACACACCACCATGCCCAGCTAATTTTTCTTTTTTTTTCTTTTTTTTTTTTTTTTTTTGTGGAGACAGGGTCTTGCCATGTTGCCCAGGCTGGTTGCAAACTCGTGGCCTCAGTCTCCCAAATTGCTGGGATTACAGGCGTGAGCCACTACATCCGGCCAGTTCTTGGTGTTATTGACAAAGGCATTTAGCCCCACTCCACCCCTCCCACACTCCAGAGGTGGTCAGGACGCCTCCCCAAACTGCCAGCCCCCTCAGCCAGCCCGGCCCCACTTTCCTGACATGCACACTCCCACCACTTCTGGTCCACCGCCTGGGACCTGTGCCCCATATAGAATTGCCATAGTATCCTATCGACTGCCCCGTAGTGTCACTCCTGGTTAGCTGCAGCCTGGTTTAGGGTTGCACTTCTTCCCAGACCAGGCAAGACTTGGAAGGAAGAGGGGAAGTTTCCTGATTGGCTAAAGCATGTTGAGCACCTGAAATCACAGGATACTACAAGTTTCCTTGTGTCTTACTCACCGCTCACAACTGCCTTGGAGGTCCGTGTGATGAGCCCCAGCGTGCAGATGAGCCCACATCCTTGGAGCTTTGGGCCCCGTGTGGTGGTCACCTCCTCTGGGAAGTCCTCCCTGACTCCCAGCTGGGTCAGGATCCCTGCTATAGACCCCCGTGGGCCATGTAAACCAAAAGTGCCTGAAACAGGTCTCAATCAATTTAAAGATTTATTTTGCCATGGGGGAGGACACAGCCAGGAAAAAGAGACTCAAGCTGCAATAGGGTCTGTGGCCTGTGCTTTTTTCCAGAGTTTTGAGGACTTTGGTATTTAAAGGGGAAAGAGGGCCTGGGTACGGTGGCTCACAGCACTTTGGGAGGCCAAGCCAGGTGGATCACCTGAGGTCAGGAGTTCGAGACTGGCCTGGGCAGCATAACAAAACCCCATCTCTACTAAAAATACAAAAAATTAGCCAGGTGTGGTGGCGGGTACCTGTAATCCCAGCTACTCTGGAGGCTGAGGCACGAGAATCACTCGAACCCGGTAGGCGGAGGTTGCAGTGAGCCAAAATCATGCCACTGCACTCCAGCCTGGAAAACAGGGAGACTCTGTCTCGAAAAATAAAAAAATAAAGGGGGAAGAGGAATAGTTAATGATGTATTTATCCTGTGCTCAGTAAATCTGCCTTTTACATAAGATAAAGTAAATAGAGTAGAGGAAGTCATATAGGCATTTGTCTTGGGTAGACAGAGCAATGATTTCTATTCTTATCTTTGTCCCCTGCCTGTGAAGATAAGCTGTGAATTTACATGGCCAGGGTGAGGGAGGCCACCAGGGGAGCTAGGTGGCCTTCTATCTTGCAGCCATCTGTTTAGGAACAAAAGGCTATTGCGTGACTCAGTTCCCAAGCTTAACATTTCCCTTTGGCATAGTAAGTTTGGGGTCCCATGTTTTTTGTTTGTTTGGGTTTTTTGTGTGTTGTTGTTGTTTTGAGATGAAGTCTCGCTCTTGTCCCCCAGGCTGGAGTACGATGGCGCGATCTTGGCTCTCTGTAACCTCCGCCTCCCAGGTTTAAGCGATTCTCCTGCCTCCGCCCCCGGAGTAGCTGGGATTACAGGCACCTGCCACCACGCCTGGCTAAATTTTGTACTTTTAGTTGAGACGGGGTTTCACCACGTTGGACAGGCTGGTCTCGAACTTCTGAGCTCAGGTGATCCACCCACCTCGGCCTCCCAAAGTGCTGGGATTACAGATGTGAGCCACCGCGCCCAGCCTGTTTGGTGTTTTTTTTTTTTTTTTTTTTGAGACGGAGTCTTGCTCTGTCGCCTAGGCTGGAGTGCAGTGGCGCAATCTCAGCTCACTGCAACCTCCACCTCCCAGTTCAAGGGATTCTCCTGCTTCAGCCTCCTGAGTAACTGGGATTACAGGCATGCACCACCACGCCCAGCTAATTTTTTGTATTTTTAGTAGAGACGGGGTTTCACCATGTTGGCCAGGCTGGTCTGGAACTCCTGACCTCAAGTGATCCACCTGCCTCGGCCTCTGAGAGTGCTGGGATTATAGGCGTGAGTCACCGTGCCCGGTCTGGGCCTCGTCTTTGAGAGGCCTGCTAAGCTTCTTTCTGTCCTGCAGGTTTCGTAGAGCTCTGACTTTGAGTCTCGCTCTGTCCCGACACAGGAGAAGACAGAGGTGTGGCATTGTGGGCTGAGAGCAACAGATTAGAGGAAACTATCTTAAAGATTAAGCCTTCTTTCTACAGCTACTGTAGGGGAGCCTGGGCATGGTGGTTCACGTCTGTAATCCCAGCACTTTGGGAGGCCGAGGTGGGCGAATCACCTGAGGCCAGGAGTTGGAGACCAGCCTGAGTAACATGGTGAAACCCCATCTCTACTAAAAATACAAAAATCAGCCAGGTGTGATGGTGGGTGCCTGTAATCCCAGATACTCGAGAGGCTGAGGCAGGAGAATCACTTGAACCCAGCAGGCAGAGGTTGCAGTGAGCCAAGATCGCACCACTGCACTCCAGTCCAGCCTGGGTGACAGAGCAAGACTCTTCCAAAAAAAAAAAGAAAAAGAAAGAAACTGTAGAGGAATCTGAGACCTCAGGAAACCCAGGGCTCATGGTAGAGTGGAAAGACCAGGGCTTTGGGGTTGACACAGAGTACTCCTGGTGCTTAGAGGCTGTGTGACCTTGGGCAAGTTTCTTTACCTCTCTGAGCCTCTGTGTCTTTGGCTGCAGTGTCTAGGAAAGCATCTGCACACAGTGATGTGTGTGATCCAGGCCATCCTTTCTCTGTTCTGTGCATGCATGGCCATGCCTGCTGAGAATCCTGCCACCAAAGATTCCTCAGTGGCATGGGGACAGATGGAATGTGCTGTTGCTTCCCTGCAGGCTCTAGGAGCTGGTCCTTGGGCCCAGGACTCCATCACTGTTGTCTGCATGGATTTGGACAAGGGTGGCCTTGATTCTTCCCACATCCTAGTCCTGAAAGGAAGGCCCGTGTTGGGTCACAGGAGAAGACGAGGGTTCTAGGGGATGTGGAGCGTGGGGTCTTTGTGTGGCTGAATTAGAGGCATTACTCCACGAGATAGGGACACGGGAGGAGGACGTTGTCTGGAATGGCTGATGTTTGCAGTGTCTCTGGGCACGCAGGGGGGCTGGCGGGCCGTGCCTGAAGACAGATCAGCAACTCAGAGATGTGCAGAGATTGCTGAGTGTGGGTGTGGACGGACCAGGCCAGGGACCTGCAGGGTTTGGGAGGACCTGAGGTGGTGGGTGTTGGAGCCCTGGGAAAAGGAGGAACCAGGCCAAGCAGGTGCCCAGCCTCTGTCCTGTGGGAAGCTCCCTGCTCTTTGGGGCAACCCCCACATGGGGAACAGGGCCTCCATTCTGGCAGCTTGCGCACGGGAGGCCAAGCCACCCAGACGGGGTCAGCAGACTCTAAGCAGCACAGAGCACCACGCCAGGAGATGCAGTTCCCAAGGCAGCCTCCTAAACAGAAGTGAGCTCTTCCCAGAGTTTTCAAGATTAAAAGAGCCAGACACAGTGGCTCACAACTGTAATCCCAGCACTTTCGGAGGCTGCGGACAGGAGGATCGCTTGAGCTTAGGAGTTCGAGAACAGCCTGTGCAACAGAGAGAGACTCTCTCTACAAAAAATTTTAAAAAAACTTAGTCTGGCATGGTGATTCATGCCTGGAGCCCCAGCTACTTGAGAGGCTGAGTGGGGAGGATTGCTTGAGCCAAAGAGTTCAAGGCTGCAGTGAGCTATGATGGCACCACTGTACTCCAACCTGGGAAACAGGGTGAGACCCTGTCTCAAAAAACAGGAGTCAGGCTGGGCACAGTGGCTCACGCCTGTAATCCCAGCACTTTGGGAGACCGAGGCAGGCAGATCACCTGAGCTCAGGAGTTTGAGACCACCCTGGCCAATATGGCAAAACCCCATCTCTACTAAATATACAAAAATTAACCGGACGTTGTGGCAGGCGCCTGTAGTCCCAGCTCTCAGGAGGCTGACGCAGGAGAATGGCTTGAACCTGGGAGGCAGAGGTTGCAGCGAACCGAGACCGTGCCACTGCACTCCAGCCTGGGCAACAGAGTGAGACTCTGTCTTGGAAAAACAAAAAGAAAAAAAAACAGGAGTCATTTTGCTCCAAAGACCCATCAGTCTGCTCTGCCCTGAATCATCCGGCCCTGGCTCCCTGCCTGCGTCTAGCTCCACCCCACAACATCTCACCCTTACCGAACCCGCCTGCCCCAAGAGGCCCAGCCCATGTGACCCCACGCTTCTCAGAGAGGAGATTTCCTGTTGGACATGCAAACCACCCTTCCTGCAATCCCAGCCCCGTCCTCAACCCTGGCACAAGCCCACAGGCTGCTGCAGAGCTCTGCCCCAGACCCCATCTCCAGCCCAACCCCCACTCAGCCTTACAGCCCAGCTCAGGCCCCATCTCCAGGGCTAACTGACTCCAGCAGCTCCTCTAGGCTACAGGGAGGGGAGAGCAGAGCACACCAGGGCTCAAGCAGCAGATAGGCCGTGACGGTTACCTGGGCAGTGAGCAGGGAGAATGCACGGCCCCCACACTCCCAGACACGGTCTGTTTCCCATTCACAGACCTTGGTCAGCGAGCGGTCAGGGGATTTCCAACAGCCCAGCACAGTGACACCGGCCCCTGTGCATGGACCCCACTAGGCCCATCAGTCATCTCCCCTGTACCACCCCAAAGTTCAGCCACTTCCAGGACATGGGATCTTTTTCTTTTTTTCTTTTCTTTTCTTTTTTTTTTTTTTTTTTGAGACGGAGTTTCGCTCTTGTTGCCCAGGCTGGAGTGCAGTGGCGCGATCTCAGCTCACTGCAACCTCCGCCTCCTGGGTTCAAGCAGTTCTCCTGTCTCAATCTCTTGAGTAGTTGGGATTACAGGTGCCCGCCACCACACTCGGCTAATTTTTGTATTTTTAGTAGAGACGGGGTTTCGCTATGTTGGCCAGGGTGGTCTCAAACTCCTGACCTCTGGTGATCTGCCAATCTCAGCCTCCCTCAGTGCTGGGGTTACAGGCGTGAGCCACCGCACCCAGCCAACACAAGATCTTTCACGCTTGAGTGCCTATGCATGGCTGGTCCTTCTGTCCTGGTGGCTTCCCACTGCCACTCCGTCCTTCACAAACTCCTACCTGCCTTTTTGGAGCCCATTTTTTGTTTGTTTGTTTGTTTTCATTTTTGTTTGAGACAGGTCTCTGTCTCCCGGGCTGGACTGCAGTGACGTGATCTCTGCTCACTGCAACCTCCACCTTCCAGGCTCAAGTGATTCTCCTACCTCACCCTCCTGAGTAGCTGGGACTACAGGTGCCCGCCACATGCCCAGCTAATCTTTTTGTATTTTTAGTACAGACGGGGTTTCACCATGTTGGCCAGAATGGTCTCGAACTCCTGGCCTCAAGTAATCTGCCTGCCTCTGCCTCCCAAAGTGCTGGGATTATAGGCATGAGCCACCATGTCAGGCCTTGAGAGCCCATTCAAGCATCCTTCTCTCTTGGGGGAGGTCTCCCCAGACTTGCCCACAGAGGGTGGGCACCCTCATTCATGCCCCTTGTCTCCTAAGTGTGTCCTGTTGTACTTTAGTGACCAGATGACACCCCCTCTGGCTGGGAGCCCCTCAGGGAAGCAGCCCTGCCTCTTCTCTTTAGGTTGTTTTGTGCCCAACACAGGGCCTGTGCTGGGGACACTGATAAAAAAATGTGGGATGGGCTGGCCACCGTGGCTCACATCTGTAATTCCTGAACTTTGGGAGGGCAAAGCAAGAGGATCACTTGAGGCCAGCAAGAGGATCACTTCAGCCTGGGAAACATAGCGAGACTCCATCTGTACAAAAACTTTAAAAAATTAGGCATGGTGGCACACATCTTTATTCCCAGCTACTCAGGAGGCTGAGGTGGGAGGATCACTTGAGCCTGGGAGTTGGAGGCTGCCGTGAGCTATCTATGATCCACTGCTGCCTTCCAGCCTGGGTGACAGAGCAAGACCGTGTCTCAAAAAAAGAAAAATGGATGGAGGGACAGACCAATAACTGATGCTAGAAACCAGCTGCAGCCAGGCACAGTGGCTCACACCTGTAATCCCAGCACTTTGGGAGGCTGAGGCGGGTGGATCACCTGAGCCAGGAGTTTGAGACCAGCCTGGGCAACATGGTGAAACCCCATCTCTACTAAAAATACAAAAATTAGCTGGGCATGGTGGCACGTGCCTGTGATCCCAGCTACTTGGGATGGTGAGGCAGGAGAATTCGCTTGAACCCAGAAGGCAGAGGTTGCAGTGAGCTGAGATCACGCCACTGCACTCCAGCCTGGGCAACAGAGCGAGACTCTGTCTCAAAAGGAAAAAAAAAAAAACAGCTATATAGGAGTGGGTCGGCCCTGCAGAGAATGTAATGTTTTGGCAGATCAGGGACGCCTGGTGGGAGAAGCAGCAGGTCCAGTGGCTAAGCTGGTGCCAACTCTCATGCCCCCTTGTCTTCCTCTTGTAGATGAAGATGACGCCAACAGACTCGGGGAGAAGGTGATCCTGCGGGAGCAGGTGAAGGAACTCTTCAACGAGAAATACGGTCAGTGCCTGTGGTCAGGGTCAGCACACCAAGCCCTCCTCCCGGGGGTGGTGGGGGGCCTCCCTCTGCAGCCAGCCTGGCTTTCAGGAGCCCCCAGCTGGCTGCCTGCTCCCTGGTGACATGGCTGCTCTGCCCATGACCCACGTTTTGTGTATGTTGATTTTTTTTTTTTAAACAGGGTCTCACTCTGTTGCCCAAGCTGGAGTACAGTGGCGTATCTCCGCTCACTGCAGCCTTCACCTCCTGGGCTTAGGTGATCCTCCTGCCTCAGCCTCCCAAGTAGCTGGGACTACAAGCATGCGCCAACACTCCCGGCTAATTTTTCTATTTTTAGTAGAGACAAGGTTTCACTATGTTGCCCAGACTGGTCTTGATCTTCTGGGTTCAAGCGATCCTCCTGCCTTGGCCTCCCAAAGTGCCAGGATTACAGGTGTGAGCCACCATGCCCAGCCTGTAGGTCTTGATTTTTTTTTTTTTGGAGACAGAGTCTCACTCTGTCGCCCAGGCTGGAGTGCAGTGGCGGGATCTCCACTCACTGCAAGCTCCACCTCCTGGGTTCACGTCATTCTCCTGCCTCAGCCTCACGAGTAGCTGGGACTACAGGTGCCCGCCACCACGCCCGGCTAATTTTTTTGTATTTTTTTAGTAGAGACGAGGTTTTACCGAGTTAGCCACGATGGTCTCGATCTCCTGACCTCGTGATCCTCCTGCCTCAGCCTCCCAAAGTGCTGGGATTACAGGCGTGAGCCACTGCGCCCCACCAGGGTCTTGATTTTTAAACTCTCTGGGTGTGATGGCTGCTGGGCTAGGGCAGCCCAGACTCCAGCCCTTTCCCTAGAGGGCTTTGCCATTGACAGGAGACATCTTTCCTCACTGTGACTTCCTGTGCCCTCTAGGTGAGGCCCTGGGCCTGAACCGGCCGGTGCTGGTCCCTTATAAACTAATCCGGGACAGCCCAGACGCCGTGGAGGTCACGGGTCTGCCTGATGACATCCCCTTCCGGAACCCCAACACGTACGACATCCACCGGCTGGAGAAGATCCTGAAGGCCCGAGAGCATGTCCGCATGGTCATCATTAACCAGCTCCAGTGAGTGCCCGGCCTCTGGAACGGGGAACAGAGAGGGCGAGGCCATGGGGAGGGTGAAAGTCAAGGTCACGGTGGGTCAGCTGGGATCCAGACCCAGGTGTACTGTAATAGTTCCTGCCTCTTTCTCCTGAAACATACAACTTCAACAGTCATGGACATTTACTTATTTTTAAAGATTATTTTTTAGATATTACATTTGTTCTCTGGGGAAAAAACAAAACATGTTTTAATTAAATTTGACTTTTTCTGACTATACAATTCTGATTTTTAACATTTAAATATAAATATGTTTATTTAAATATGAATATTTATTATATATTTTAGAATAATTATAATTCCATAGTCTCAGTGATTCTCTTTTTTTTTTTTTTTTTTTTTTGAGACAGAGTCTTGCTCTGTCACCCAGTCTGGAGTGCAGTGGCACGATCTCAGCTCACTGCACGCTTCACCTCCTGAGTTCAACCGATTCTCGTGCCTCAGCCTCCCAAGTAGCTGGGATTACAGGTGTGCACCATCACACCGGCTAATTTTTGTATTTTTTTGGTAGAGATGGAGTTTCACCATGTTGGCCAGGCTGGTCTCGAACTCCTGACCTGAAGTGATCTGCCCGCCTCAGCCTCCCAAAGTGCTGGGATTACAGGCGTGAGCCACTGCACCCAGCCTGCATTATTACTATTATACCGTATATCCTTACAATCTTTTGGGTTTTGGTTTTTGTTTTGAGACAGGGTCTCACTCTGTTGCCCAGGCAGGAGTACAGAGGTATGATCATGGCCCAGTGCAGCCTCAACAGGGTCTCACTGTATTGCCCAGGCTGGTCTTGAACTCCTAAGCTCAAGTGATCCTCCCACCTCGGCCTCCCAAAGTGCTGAGGTTACAGGTGTGAGCCACCACACCCAAACCTGGGTGGCCCAGTTTTTTTTTTTTAATACAATAGATTATTTGATTATTTTCAGAATAATACACACAGCAACCTGGAAAATACAAAAAGATAGAAGAAAAGAAGATAGCTGTAACTCTCCTACTGAAAGTCAACACTGTGATGCATTTCTTTATATTTTTAAATTATTATTTTATTAATATATTATTACTTTCTTTTTGAGATGGACTCTCGTTCTGTCACACAGGCTGGAATGCAGTGGTGTGATCTCAGCTCACTGCAACCTCCACCGCCCAGGTTCAAGCAATTCTCCTGTCTCAGTCTCTCAAGTAGCTGGCACTACAGGCACACGCTACCACACCTGGCTAATTTTTTTTTTGTATTTTTAGTAGAGATGGGGTTTCACCATATTGGTCAGGCTGGTCTCAAACTCCTGACCTCAGGTGATCCACCTACCTCAGCCTCCCAAAGTGCTGGGATTACAGGCATGAGTCACCACACCCAGCCCCCCCTTTTTTTTTGTATTGCACAGGCTAGTCTCGAACTCCTGGGCTCAAGCCATCCTCCCATGTCGGCCTTTCAAAGTGCTGGGATTATGGGGGTCAGCCACCACACCTGGCCTGTGGTGTATTTCTTTCTTTCTTTTTTTTTTTTAAGATGGAGTTTTGCTCTTGTTACTCAGGCTAGAGTGCAATGGCACGATCTCAGCTCACTGCAACCTCCACCTCCCAGATTCAAGCAATTCTCCTGCCTCACCCTCCCGAGTAGCTGGGATTACAGGCATGTGCCACCACCCCAGCTAATTTTGTATTTTTAATAGAGACAGGGTTTCTCCACGTTGGTCAGGCTGGTCTCGAACTCCCGACCTCAGGTGATCTGCCCACCTCAGCCTCCTAAAGTGCTGGGATTACAAGCTTGAGCCACCGTACCCGGCCCGCCTTCAATGTTATATTATGTGTTTTGTTTCTTCGTTTTTTTGAGATGAGGTCTTGCTCTGTCGCCCTGGCTGGAGTGCAGTGCCGTCATCTTGGCTCACTGTAACCTCTGCCTCTTGGATTCAAGCAATTCTTGTGCCTCAGCCTCCCAAATAGCTGGGATCACAGGTGCCCGCCACCACACCTGGCTAATTTTTGTATTTTTGTAGAGACAGGTTTTCACCATGTTGGCCAGGCTGGTCTGGAACTCCTGACCTTAAGTGATCCGCCCACCTTGGCCTCCCAAAGTACTGGGATTACAAACATGAGCCACTGTGCCTGGCCTACATGTTTTTTTAAAATTACGATAATATTTGCGTGTGTCAAAAAAAAACAAATTGTTCAAAATCAAAAAGTGGAGGTTTCCTTTCTCCCACAGACAGTTCACCCCCTGAAGTAACAACTAGAAAATGCAGGAAAACGGCCAGGCGTGGTGGCTCACGCCTGTAATCCCAGCACTTTGGGAGGCCGAGGTGGGTGAATCACCTGAGGTCAGGAGTTCGAGACCAGCCTGACCAATATGGTGAAACCTCATCTCTACTAAAAAAAAAAAAAAAAAAAAAAAAAGATACAAAAATTGGGCCAGGCACAGTGGCTCACGCCTGTAATCCCAGCACTTTGGGAGGCCGAGGCTGGCAGATCACAAGGTCAGGAGATCACAACCATCCTGGCTAACATGGTGAAACCCCGTCTCCACTAAAAATACAAAAAACTAGCCGGGCGTGGCGCAGGGCACCTGTTGTTCCAGCTACTCGAGAGGCTGAGGCAGGAGAATGGCATGAACCTGGGAGGCGGAGCTTGCAGTGAGCCAAGATAGTGTCACTGCACTCCAGCCTGGATGACAGAGCGAGACTCCATCTCAAAAAAAAAAAAAAAAAAAAAATTAGCTAAGTGTGGTGGCATGTGCCTGTAGTCCCAGCTACTCAGGAGGCTAAGACAGGAGAATTGCTTGAACCCAGAAGGCAGAGGTTGCAGTGAGCCAAGATTGCACCACTGCACTCCAGCCTGGGCGACAGAGTAAGATTCTGTCTCAAAAAATAAAAATAGGCTGGGCGTGGTGGCTCGCGCTTGTAATCCCAGCACTTTGGGAGGCCAAGGCGGGCAGTTCACGAGGTCAGGAGTTCGAGACCAGCCTGGCCAACATAGTGAAATCCCATCTCTACTAAAAATACAAAAAATTAGCCGGGCATGGTGGTACACGCCTGTAATCCCAGCTACTCGAGAGCCTGAGGCAGGACAATCGCTTGAACCCAGGAGGTGGAGGTTGCAGTGAGCTGAGACCATGCCACAGCACACCAGCCTGGACAACAGAGCAAGACTCCGTCTCAAAAAAAAAAAATTAATTAATAAAAATAAAAATTAGCCGGGCATGGTGGTGTGCACCTGCCTTCCCAGCTACTGGGAAGGCTGAGGCAGGAGGATCGATTGAGCCCAGGAGTTCGAGGCTGCAGTGAGCTAGGATGGCACCACCGAACTCCAGCCTGGGCAAAAGAGTGAGACTCTGTCTCAAAAATAATAATTGATAATAATGCTGTGATGAATATCCACTTGCATAAATCTGGGCACACATTTCTGATCACTTGGTCAGACAACATCCTCGCTTTATAGATGAGGACAGCAGACCCAGAGGAAAGATTTGCCAGCACAGGCCCATCATCCAGGGCCTATATGGGGGATGCTCTGTTGGGACGTTGTGCCCCCCATTTTTATTTGGGTCTTACCAGGCTCCCCCAGCAGCAGCAGCAGCATATCTCAGGGAGCAGGTGAGAAGGAGGGGAAAACAGCCAGACACCTGGATTCTCCGGGCGCGATGGCTCATGCCTGTATCCCAGCACTTTGGGAGGTGGAGGCAGGCAGATCACCTGAGGTCAGGAGTTCAAGACCAACCTGGCCAACATGGTGAAACCCCGTCTCTACTAAAAATATAAAACTTAGCCGGGCATGGTGGCGGGCGCCTGTAGTCCCAGCTACTCGGGAGGCTGAGACAGGAGAATGGCGTGAACCCAGGAGGTGGAGGCTGCAGTGAGCTGAAATTGCGCCACTGCACTTCAGCCTGGGCAACCGAGTGAGACTCCATCTCAAAAAAATAAAGGAGGGGAAAACCTCATTTTCTAACTGCCACCTCATTTCTTTCTTTTTCAGACCCTTTGCAGAAATCTGCAATGATGCCAAGGTGCCAGGTGAGTCAGAGGTGAAGAAGCCACCCTTCTGCTCCGTGGGGACTAGAGACTGTTCCATTTGAAAAAAGGTAGACCCGGGCGCAGTGGCTCATGCCTGTAATCCCAGCACTTTGGGAGGCCGAGGCAGGCAGATCACTTGAGGTCAGGAGTTCAAGACCAGCCTGAGCAACATGGTGAAACCCCGTCTCTACTAAAAATGCAACAATTAGCTGGGCGTGGTCGTGGGCACCTGTAATCCCAGCTACTCAGGGGACTGAGGCAGGAGAATTGCGTGAACCCGGGAGGCAGAGGTTGCGGTGAACTGAGATCGCGCCCCTGCACTCCAGCCTGGGTGACAGAGCAAGACTCCATCTCGAAAAAAAGAAAAAAAGAAAGAAAGAAAAAAGCAGAGACACCAGGAGTTGGAGGCTGCAATGAGTTATGATTGTACCACTGCACTCCAGCCTGAGCAACGGAGCGAGACCCTGTCTCTAAAAAAAAAAAATTTCATAAAAAAATTTTTTAAAGGCAGAAATAGATGTGGTCCAGGTGGGCATGCAATAGATGGCTGACCACCTTGAGAAAAATATAGCCCCTCTCCACGCTGGGGCCTCCCCAGGGAGCCTGAGGTCTCCATGAACAGAGCCAGGTATCCCCAAGAGGCCTCCAGAAACCTGCAGGTGCCCTGCAGAGGGGAGGCCTTGCCATAGCACCAGTGAGTGTATGAGGTCAGCTGGAAGGACAAGAGGCAGGCTGGGCCTCAGGGAGGATCATGGAGTCCTCCTGGGTAGCAGAGGGGTAGCACGTGACCAACAGTGGTGAGGCAGGCAGGCATTGCCCGAGACTGGCCAGACCCCCTCTGTTCTGCTGGCATCTGCAGGGTATACAGAACCTTTCACTAGGCACCTGGGGGCCGCCTGGCATGATGGTTCTGATTAAGGTGTATGATGGGACTTGGGAGAAAGTACTCCCGGGTGACTATGATGTGCACCTGATTAAGAAACACTGATTGGGCCAGGCGCAGAGGCTCACACCTGTAATCCCAGCACTTTGGGAGGCCGAGGCAGGCATATCACTTGAGATCAGGAGTTCAAGTCCAGACTGGCCAACATGGTGAAACCCCATCTCAACTGAAAATAGAAAAATCAGGGCCGGGCGCGGTGGCTCACGCGTGTAATCCCAGCACTTTGGAAGGCTGAGGTGGGTGGATCACCTGAGGTCAAGAGTTCGAGACCAGCCTGGTCAACATGCTAAACCCTGTCTCTATTAAAAATACAAAAATTAGCCAGGCATGGTGGCACGTGCCTGTAATCCCAGCTACTTGGGGGCTGAGGTAGGAGGATCGCTTGAACCTAGGAGACAGAGGTTGCAGTGAGCCAAGATTATGCCACTGCACTCCAGCCTGGGCAACAGAGCAAGACTCTGTCTCAAAAAAAAAAAAAAAAAGAAAAAGAAAAAAAAAATTAGCCTGGCATGGTGGTGCACGCCTGCAGTCCCAGCTACTTGGGAGTCTGAGGTGGAAGAATCACTTTAGTCCAGGAGGCAGAGGTTGCAGTGAGTCGAGATCACACCACTGCACTCCAGGCTGGGTGACAGAGCAAGACTCTGTCTCGAAAAGAAAAAGAAAAAGAAACACTGATTGGCCAGGTGTGGTGGCTCACGCCTCTAATCCCAGCAATTTGGGAGGCCTAAGTGGGAGGACTGCTTGAGTCCAGGAGTTTGAAACCAACCTGGGCAACGTAGTGAGATCTTGTCTCTACAAAAAGTTTTTTCTCCCATCCAAGTACTAACCAGGCCCGACCCTGCTTCAGTTCTGAGATCAGGCAAGATCGGGTGCATTCAGGGTGGTATGGCTGTGGACCAAAAAGGTTTTTCTAAAAATTAGCCAGGCATGGTAGTAGGCACTTGTAGTCCCAGGAGGCTGAGGCTGGAGGATCACTTGAGCCCAAGAGTTTAAGGCTGCAGTGAGCTATGATTATGCCATCCTGCCTGGATGACAGAATGAGACCCCATCTCTTTTTTTTTTTTCCGAGACAGCGTCTCACTCTGTCGCCCAGGCTGGAGTGCAGTGGTGTGATCTCGGCTCACTGCAACCTCCGACTCCCGGGTTCAAGTGATTCTCCTGCCTCAGTTTCCCAAGTAGCTGGGATTACAGGCGCCTGCCACCACGCCCAGCTATTTTTTTGTATTTTTAGTAGAGACGGGGTTTCTCCATATTGGCCAGGCTGGTCTCGAACTCCTGACCTCATGATCTACCTGCCTCGGCCCCCCAAAGTGCTGGGATTACAGGCGTAAGCCACTGCTACCGGCCTTTTTTTTTTTTTTTTTTCTTTCAAGACAGAGTCTCACTCTGTCACTCAGGCTGGAGTCAATCTTGCGATCTTGGCTCACTGCAACCTCCGCCTCCTGAGTTCAAGCAATTCTCATGCCTTAGCCTCCCGAGTAGCTGGGACTTCAGGCATGCACCACCACACCCAGCTAATTTTTTGTATTTTTAGTAGAAGTGAGGTTTCACCATGTTGGCCGGGCTGGTCTCAAACACCTGACCTCAAGTGATCTTCCCACCCCAGCATCCCAAAGTGCTGGGATTACAGGCGTGAGCTACTGTGCCTGGCCGAGACCCCGTCTCCTAAGAAATAAAAAAGAAGAAGAAAGAAAAAATACTGATCTAATCTTACCCCACCTCATTGTACAGCTGGGAAGCTGAGGCACAGAGATGCCCAGGGACTTGCCCAGGCCACATAGTGAGTCAGATGCTGTGTAGACCCTGCTCTCAGGACCACCCATCTGAACCATAGACCACCGTGGGCCACACGGCCCAGTATGGCTGCTCAACAGGGACAGTGATAGGATTCAGCAAGTCCACGCCACAACCTTACCTGAGACCCAAGGCCCTGACTCCTGTCAGGACCAGGTTCACCTGGAACTCCACAGCCTGGGGTGGCACAGCCCAGCTAGAAGCCACCTCCTTCCATCAAGAGCTAGTCACAAGCCTGGGCCATAAAGTGAGACCCTCCCTCCGTCTCTGCAAAAAAATTAAAAATTAGCCAGGCGTGGTGGCGCGTACCTGTTGTCCCAGATAGTCAAGAGGATGAGGCAGGAGGAGTGCTTGAGGCCGGAAGGTGGAGGCTGCAGTGAGCTATGATTGTGCCACTGCGCTCCAGCCTGGGCGACAGAGTGAGACCCTGTTTCCAAAAAAAAAAGAGCCAGTTAAAAGGGTCAGGTCTGGCACTGAACACACGGATCTGGAGGCGATTTGGTTTACTCTCAGGTCAAAGGCAGAGAGGAGGCCAGTCGCGGTGGCTCACGCCTGTAATCCCAACACTTTGGGAGGCTGAGGCAGGGAGGCAGGTGGATCACCTGAGGTCAGGAGTTCAAGACCAGCCTGGCCAACATGGTGAAACCTTGTCTCTACTAAAATCCAAAAAAAAAAAAATTAGCCGGGGGTGGTGGTGGGCGCCTGTAATCCCAGCCGCTCAGGAGGCTGAGGCAGGAGAATTGCTTGAACCCAGGAAGCGGCGGTTGCAGTGAGCTGAGATCACACTACTGTACTTCAGCCTGGGGAACACAGCCAGGCTCTGTCTCAAAAAAAAACAAAACAAAACATGGCAGAGACACAGAAGGCCACATGAAAGCCTCAGGAGGATTTGGGACAGATGCCCAGAGGGTGGATACTGTCACCCACATCCACCACTCCCTCCAATGTGGCCATCTCTCATGGTGATTCAAGGATGGCCACAGCCCATGGACCAGTCTGAGACAGAGGGTGGGGCAGCCTCTGACTTCTTTTTCATGTGGAATCTCCCACAAAAATCCCTCTGACTCATAGCCTGGGCTCCTCCTGCCTCCAGGGTCTTCTCTTTCGCAGGGTCTCTATGCCTCACCACAGACCCCCAGTTTCTGACTTCTCCACCAGTTGAAGAGACATTTGCCCCATGGACCCAGCCTGCCCTTACTCTGTGTCATTAAGACCCTTCCGGTGGGCTGAGTGCAGTGGCTCACGCCTGTAATCCCAGCACTTTGGGAGGCTGAAGCAGGAGAATTCTTTGAGCCCAAGAGTTCAAGACCAGACTGGGCAACATACAGAGACCCCGTCTCTACAAAAAATTAGCCAGGCAGGGTGGTGTGCACCTGTAGGGAGGCTGAGGCAGGAGGATCACTTGAGCTTGGGAGGTGGAGGTTGCAGTGAGCCAAGACCACACCACTGCACTCCAGCATGGGTGACAGAGTGAGACCTTGTCTCAAAAAGACAATAAAAGCCCTTCTTTATTGGGCTGGGCGAGGTTTCCATGCAGTAATCCATCCAATCAGGACGTGCTGCTCAAAGTCTTACATCTTCACCTCAAGTTAATCCAGCAACCACAGAACACCTGCTGACCCCTCCTCCGTGCTGAACTAGGTGCTGGGTTCTTTTATGCATGCGGTGTTTTTTGAGTCTCACATCACACTGGTTTCCCCATTTGACTCAGAGAGGTTCATCAGTTTTCCCAGATTCACACAGTGATAATAGTAAGTGGCCACAGTGAAATTTGAACTTAGGACTTCTGATTCTAAACCAGAGTTTCTTTCACTGGGGCACTGCCTGTCTACTTGGACCTGTGAACTCTCCACTCAGGACCACCATACATTAGTGATAACCATAGCAATACAATTTTTTTGTATTTTGGTAGAGACAGGGTTTCAACCTTCACCATGTTGCCCAGGCTGGTCTCGAACTCCTGACCTCAGTCAATCCACCCACCTTGGTCTCCCAAAGTGCTGGGATTACCAGTGTGAGCCACTGCGCCTGGCCCCAGGTCCTCTTTATACCCTCCCTGGACAACCTAGCCTGCAGTTCCAGCCTCCCCAGAACTCCCAGAGCCTCTCCTGGGGTCCCACATCCCCTCACAGCCTTAAAGAGCCCAGGAAAGAATGTGGCCTCCGGAGCCACGCAGACTTGGCCTTGGAGAAAGTCCTTTAACAGCCCTGCCCCTTCGGGTGCTCGTGAGTGAAATGTGAATAGGATCTTGGAGGGTTGCTGGGAGGATCCCAGCAGACAATGTGCAAAGCATTTAGCACAGTGCCCAGCACCCAGAAAATACTCAGAAACTGAGAATGCGATTAATATTGTTGCCATGAGCCAGGCACGGTGGCTCATGCCTGTAATCTCAGCATTTAGGGAAGCTGAGGCAGGAGGATTGCTTGAGGTTGGGAATTGGAGACCAGCCTGGGCAACATAATGATGCAGAAATACAAAAAGTTAGCCAGGCATGGTGGCGCGCACGTATAGTCCCAGCTACTCGGGAACCTGAGGTGGGAGGATTGCTTGAGCCCAGGACTTGGAAGCTGCAGTGAGCTACGATTGCACCATGGCACTCCAGCCTGGGCAACAGAGTGAGACCCTAAAAAACAATATAGGCCAGGTTCGATGGCTCATGCCTATAATCCCAGCACTTTGGGAGGCCGAGGTGGATGGATCACTTGAGGTCAGGAGTTCAAGAGCTGCCTGCCCAACACGGTGAAACCCCATCTCTACTCAAAATACAAAAAAATTAGCTGGACGTGGTGGCAGACACCTATAACCCCAGCTACTTGGGAGGCTCAGGCACTAGAATCGCTTGAACCCAGAAGGCAAAGGTTGCAGTGAGCCAAGATCGCGCCACTGGACTCCAGGCTGGGTGACAGAGCGAGACTCCATCTCAAAAAACCAGAAAGAGAGAGGACCTAGGGCCTAAGGGGTGAGCTTGCTGGGGAGGAGGAGGGACACATGGGGATGAGGATACGGTGTTAGCAAAGGCAGGCAGGCCAGCAAGAGCAGGAGGCCGGGGAGAGTGGGCCCTCGGGCTTGCTTTGGGAAGGAGGCTGGACATGTGGGCTCTGGACAGGTGGGCCCTGACCCCCAGGGGATCAGGAGCCTGAAATCCTGAAAGGGGGACTCGAAACCTTAAGACAGAGCACTTTTCCAGGGAGCTCAGGAGGCTGAGACAGAAAAGCCTCAGCTTCCAGTGTCAACAGCCTTTTCCCCTCCTTCCAGCCAAAGACAGCAGCATTCCCAAGCGCAAGAGAAAGCGGGTCTCGGAAGGAAATTCCGTCTCCTCTTCCTCCTCGTCTTCCTCTTCCTCGTCCTCTAACCCGGATTCAGTGGCATCGGCCAACCAGATCTCACTCGTGGTAAAGTTGCACCGATTTGGACTCCGGCACTCATCTCTGTGGCCCTCACCCCTCTGTCTGGCAGGGCCGTCTACTCTGGGATGTGGGCCCAGGGGACGGGGAGGCACTGGGCTTTGAGTGGGGACCTTCCGGCCTCGGGGGTTATAGATGCATCCACCTGTCTCACCCAAGAGGTAGCCCATCCTTCTCGTGGGGTACTCACAGGCACTCAGGCAGGAATTCACATCCTCGCTGGGCAGATGGGCCGGCTGAGGTCCACCTGCCCACACCCTTCAGCCGCACCAGAGCTGGAGACATGAAAAGACATGGCTGGCGGGTGCAGTGGCTCACGCCTGTAATCCCAGCACTTTGGCAGGTCAAGTCGGGTGGATCACCTGAGGTCAGGAGTTTGAGACCAGGCTGACCAACACGGGGAAACCCCATCTCTACTAAAAATACAAAATTAGCCGGGCAAAGTGGGGCATAGTGGCTCATGCCTGTAATCCCAGCTACTTGGAAGGCTGAGATAGGAGAATCGCTTGAACCTGGGAGGCAGAGGTTGCAATGAGCCGAGGTCGCGCCATTGCACTGCAGCCTGGGCAACAAGAGTGAAACACTGTCTCAGAAAAAAAAATTAGCCAGGCATGGTGGCACGTGCCTGTGGTCGCAGCTACTTGGGAGGCTGGGGCAGGAGGATCATTTGAGCCCAAGGGGATTGAGGCTGCAGTGAGCCAAGATCGTCCCATTGCACTCCAGCCTGGGCAAGAGAACGAGACTCCATCTCAAAAATAAATAAATAGGCTGGGTGTGGTGGCTCACGCCTGTAATCCTAGCACTTTGGGAGGCCGAGGCAGGCGGATCACTTGAGGCTCAGGAGTTCAAGACCAGCCTGGCCAACATGGCAAAACCCCGTCTCTACTAAAAATAGAAAAATTAGCCGGGCATGGTGGCGGGCGCCTATAATCCCAGCTACTCGGGAGGCTGAGGCAGGAGACTCGCTTGAACCCGCGGGGCCAAGGTTGCAGTGAGCCGAGATTGCATCACTGCACTCCAGCCTGGGCAGAAGAGTGAAACTCCATCTCAAAAAAATAAAAAATATAAATAAATAGCCTCTGAGAAAGCTCTTCCAAAAGCAGAACTAAGCATTTTGGGTTTGTTCCGCATCACCTGGAGTCCTAATCCAGTCCCTTTGTCCCTCTCTCTAGCAATGGCCAATGTACATGGTGGACTATGCCGGCCTGAACGTGCAGCTCCCGGGACCTCTTAATTACTAGACCTCAGTACTGAATCAGGACCTCACTCAGAAAGACTAAAGGAAATGTAATTTATGTACAAAATGTATATTCGGATATGTATCGATGCCTTTTAGTTTTTCCAATGATTTTTACACTATATTCCTGCCACCAAGGCCTTTTTAAATAAGTAAAAAAAGAAAAAAAAAAAAAAGAGTGTTGCCTTTACTTTTACGGTCACTGTTTCATGTTCTCTTTTGGATCGTGGCCGCAGCTGTCACTGGGGACAGGGTCAGGAAACGCAGCTCAGGTGGCCTGCCAAGGCCCTCCTTCTTCATCACAGCAGAGGTAGTGTCCAGGAAGACCCCAGAGCTCTCTGTGCTCCTGGGAGCACGTGACCTCAAGAAGAAAAGCCACGGAAGGAAAATGTGCCACGGGGCCGGGCGTGGTGGCTCATGCCTGGAATCCCAGCACTTTGGGATGTCGAGGTGGGTGGATTGCTTGAGGTCAGGAGTTCGACCTCATTGGCCTGTAATACCGATGCTTTGGGAGGCCAAGGTGGGAGGATTGCTTGAGACCAGGAGTTTGAGATGAGCCTAGGCAACATAGTAGAACCCTTTCTCTAGAAAATGTTAAATGTGGCTTACACCTGTAATCCCAGCACTCTGGGAGGCTGAGGCGGGTGAATCACCTGAGGTCAGGAGTTTGAGACTAGCCTGGGCAACATAAGGAGACCCCGTCTGTACGAAAATGCAAAAATGAGGCCGGGCATGATGGCTCATGCCTGTAATCCCAGCACTTTGGGAGGCCGAGGCGGGTGGATCACCTGAGGTCAGGAGTTCGAGACCAGCCTGGCCAACATGGTGAAACCCCATCTCTACTAAAAATGCAAAAATTAGCCAGGTGTGGTGGCGGGAACCTGTAATCCCAGCTACTCAGGAGGCTGAGGTAGGAGAATCACTTGAACCTGGGAGGCAGAGGTTGCAGTGAGCTGAGACCACGCCATTGCACTGCAGCTGGGGCAAGAAGAACAAAAGTCCGTCTCAAAAAAACAAAACAAAAGCACAAAAATTAGCCAGGCGTGGTGGTGCACACACCTGGAGTCCAGCTACTCAGGAGGCTGAGGCAGGAGGAGGATTGCTTGAGTAAAGATGGTTGAGGCTGTAGTGAGTCATGATTACACCACTGCACTCCAGCCTGGGCGACAAAGCAAGACCCTGTCTCAAAAAAAAAAAAAAGTGTTAAATATGGTAAATGTCAGAGAGGGAGGGGCCCATCCCAGTGAAGCACTGTGGCTGGATGGGAGGCTTCTTCAAAAAGGGGTTTGGAGACCAGGTGCGGTGGCTCACGCCTGTAATCCCAGCACATTGAGAGGCCAAGGTGTGCAGATCGCCTGAAGTCAGGAGTTCGAGACCAGCCCAGCCAACATGATGAAACCCTATCTCTACTAAAAATACAAAAAAATTAGCCAGGTGTGGTGGCGCGCAACTGTAATTCCAGCTACTTGGAAGGCAGAGGCAGGAGAATTGCTTGGACCCAGGAGGCAGAGGTTGCAGTGAGCCGAGACTGTACCATTGCACTCCAGCCTGGGCAACAAGAATGAAACTCCATCTCAAAAAAAAAGGGGGGTGGGGTGGGGGCAGGACAAGTTTTCTTTTTTCAGAGGCAAGTTCTTTCTGTGTCCCCAGGCTGGAATGCAGTGGCACGATCATATCTTCCTGCAGCCTCAAACTCCTGGGCTCAAGTAATCCTCCTGCCTCAGCCTCCAGAGTAGCTGGGACTACAGGTGTGAGCCACCACACCCAGCTAATTTTTTGATTTTTTTGTAGAGATGGGGTCTTGGGTTATGTTGCCCAGGCTGGCTGCAAATTCCTGGGCTCAAGCCATCCTCCTGCCCCAGCCTCCCAGAGTGCTGGGATTAGAGGCGTGAGCCACCATGCCCAGCCTGGGATGATTTTGGATAGAGCTCTGGATACCTGACAAGCAGAGTGATGGGGTCCCAGCTGTGTCTCAGAAAGACCACTTTAGGGGCAGGTGGGAAGTTGAAGGAAGGGACAAGACTGAAGGCAGAAAGACAAGTCACAAGAGCGTGGCAGGCGTCCAAGGCCTGGCACCCAGTCCCTGCTTATTGGGTGACACATATTTACTGAGCCCTGCCCTTCTGGCTGGGGAGGCCAAGCAGCTGAGTGTCCTAATTGGGGAGGCAGCTGCCAGGGAGTACAAAACAGAGTAGGGCTGGTGCGGTGGCTCAGGCCTGTAATCCCAGTGCTTTGGGAGGCCAAGGTGGGAGGATCGCTTGAGGCCAGGAGTTCAAGACCAGCCTAGACAACATAGTGGAACCCTTTCTCTAAAAAATGTTAATTAGCTGGGTATGGTGGTGTGTGCGTGGTCCCAGCTACTCTGGAGGCTGAGGCAGGAGGATTGTTTGAGACCAAGAGTTTGACACTGCAGTGAGCCGTGATTGCACCACTGCTCTTGAGCATGGGCAACAGAGCAAGACCCTGCCTCTGAAAAAACAAAGCGGGGGGGCCTCACCTAGTGCAGAAAGTAGGAAGAGTCCTTGAAGCTGAGGCTTGAAGAGCAAGTGAGGCTTTGGGGGGACAAAGAGAGGAGGGCTGAGGTAGGTGGGTGTTTAAGACGAGAGCGATGTGGGCAAAAACGGAGCTGGACAGGGACTGGGTACGTTCCAGGAATAAGAAGGTGTCACCAGAGCAGACACAGGGTGGCTGGAGGTGACATGTCAGGGCAGGTGTGGACTTAGTCAGGGTTCCCGAGGACGCTAAGCAGGTGTCTCCTACACATGGTGCCGGGCTGAAGTGGTGGGCAGAGGCAGACATCCAGCCTGGGTTACACCTGCCCAGCCATGCACTCTGGGACAGAGCTGCGTACTTTTTCTCACCGACCCACGTGGAAGGCCTCATAAGCCGGGCCAAGGCAATTTCCAGAAGGCAAATGAGACCCACAGCAGGAAGTACCTGGGGGAGAGCCAGGCCTAGGTCTGCATTTTGGAAGGGTGCCCCTGCCCGCTGAGAGATGTCGGAGAAGGAAGGGAGGAATACATCAGAAGACCACCTGGGAGGCTCCAACAGAAGATAGCAGTAGAGGCCAGGCGTAGTGGCTCATGCCTGTAATCCCAGCACTTTGGGAGGCTGAGGTGGGTGGATCACCTGAGGCCAGGAGTTCGAGACCAGCCTGGCCAACATGGTGAAACCCTGTCTCTACTAAAAATACAAAAATTAGCTGGGCATGGTGGTGGACACCTGTAATCCCAACTACTCTGGAGGCTGAGGCAGAAGAATCTCTTGAACCCAAGAGGCAGAGATTGGCAGTGAGCTGAGATCGCACCACTGCACTCCAGCCTGGGCAACAGAGCGAGACTCCGTCTCAAAAAAAGAGAGAGAGAGAGAGATGGCAGTGGTTTGGGCCAGGTGGAGAAAATAACTAGAGGGTCAGCCAGTCGGGTGGACGAGGGGTTCTGGAGAGTCAGGGGTCAGGGTGGTCCCAGGATCTGGCTCTAACCGTCCACCCAGGGCCCAGAATGAGGCCTGTGGCTTGGAGGGACTGAGTTCTGAATCAGCTGAGGAAATGGTCAAAACTTTAGTCCAGGGCTTCTGCCAGTCCTCAGGGTCAGTCCCATCCATGCCCAGAGCTGGGAGGAAGGCCCCATCCCAGCCTTCCAGACCACACTTCCTCCTGGAAAGACGCTAGAAACCACGTGCCTGGCACAGCCACCCCCTCTCCGCTGGTGCAAACCCCCCACCCAGTCAGCTGCCAGCCTCACCTTCCTCCCTCCCACCTCCTAGTGGCTCCCAGTGCCACCAGGCGCCTCCACTCCACCCTCAGCCCCTGCCCTGGGCCGGGCCCACTTTTTCCACTCCAGGATGGGGGCAGGAGTGACCTCCTCAACTGGCCACCACCTCCAAGCAGAAACTGCCTATGAAGTCAAGATGATCTGAAGAGTCCTTGCAGCTGCCACCTTGCCTTCAACCCTCACGTCCTGTAACCCATCCCCCACCCCCGATCCTGTGACTCTGGATTTAAAATCTGTTTTGCTTTCCTTGCACCCAGTGCAAGCATCTAGGTGCGGCGTTCCAGGCGCCTCGCAGGGGGTCGGGTCCCCAGCCTTCTGTCCCACCGTTCCGTCCCCCGGGCCCGGCCCACCTGGCGCCCCCTCCCGCCCGCCACCGCCCGCTGGCGCCTGTCGGTCGTCTAGACCCGCCGCCCCCGCTCCACCGCTCAGATCCGCGGCCAGAGCCGGAAGTGGCTCCTGCCCCGGCCGGGAGCGGCGGGGCTGAGACTGTGCCCGCGGGCACTGCCATCCCGTGCATGGAGAGGGCGCAGAGCCCGGGGGTAGGGCGGGCCGGGGAACCCGATCCTCCTTCATCCGCGCAAAGGCCCGCGAAGCTCCCAATCTGTTCTCTTTCAGGCTCACTGTGCAGATGGCGTGCAATTAAGTGGGTCGGTGCAGCAAACCCTCGTATCCTCCCGCTTCCCTAAAAGCAGAGGATTGAGCCGCTGCACTCCAGCCTGGGCAACACAGCGAGACCCTATGTCTTAAAGAAAGGGCAGAAGTGGGGACCCCTCTCCCACCCCCTTCCCCTGCTCCAAGCCAAAGCGTTTGAAGCAAGAGGTTGCCTCCTGTGAGTTTCCCCCAGTCCCTGGAGGCCTGGGCTTTGGGAGGTGTGTCCAGGCAGAGGACAGAGGTCTTGTGCAAAGGGCCGCTTTTCCCTTCGCCCACCCTGCGCCCGCCCAGCCCCTTATCCGATGGGAAAGCCTTACTGACTCTTTTCCTCGCAGAAGCGCCCAGATGCTGTTTATGCAACCTCTCCAGAATCTCAGTGTACTGTACTTTTTAAAAAGTGATTTGATTCAAAGCACTCATTCTTTAATTAAACTTCATTTAGCTGCCATCTGTCTCGGTTCGAAATGGCTTCGTGTTTTGCAACTCTAAATGAGAATTGTTATTGGATTTGTAAACACATCCCCAAAAAAATCACAAAACACTTTCAAAAGTAATAAATGAAGGACGGTTAGGAGCTGCATCTTAAACGTTCTAATTGCCGGGGAATGTATTCTGGTGGGTACACAGTCATTTTATATACAAATCATTGTACAAAAATCTGGTATCAATGAAAAGATCAAGATTATAGAAAATGCTGGAATTATATCTGACTGAAAACAGTAATAAAGCAATAATTGGCGCAGGGACGGGCCACAAAACGAGACGGGGCACCTGCTCCCCTCGGGCCACCCTCCCGCACCGCCCAGGTGCCTGGCTTGGTGCACTCAGGGGAGGGTTGGTCCTGAGCTCTCCTGGCTGGTGCTTCCAACGGCCCTGCGAGGTACCTCTTTTTAAGGAACCAAAGCGTTATTTATCTTCATTATTAATTATTACTTTTTTTTTTTCTAAAAGACAGGGTCTCGGCCGGTCGAGATGGCTCACACCTGTAATCCCAGCACTTTGGGAGGCTGAGGCGGGCGGATCACGAGGTCAAGAGTTCAAGACCAGCCTGGCCAACATAGTGAAACCCCGTCTCTACTAAAAAATACAAAAATTAGCTGGGCGTGGTGACGGATGCCTGTAATCCCAGCTACTCGGGAGGCTGAGGCAGGAGAATCGCTTGAAACCAGAAGGTGGAGGTTGCAGTGAGTGGAGATCGCACCGCTGCACACGCCAGCCTGGGCAACAGAGCAAAACTCCATCTCAAAAAAAAAAAAAAGGCCGGGTGCGGTGGCTCACACCTGTAATCCCAGCACCTTGGGAGGCCGAGGTGGGTGGATCACAAGGTCAGGAGATCAAGACCATACTGGCTAGCATGGTAAAACCCCGTCTCTACTAAAAAACATACAAAAAATTAGCCGGGCACCTGTAGTCCCAGCTACTCGGGAGGCTGAGGCAGGAGAATGGTGTGAACCCAGGAGGCGGAGCTTGCAGTGAGCTGAGATCGTGCCACTGCACTCCAGCCTGGGTGAGAGAGCAATACTGCATCTCAAAAAAAAAAAAAAAAGAGACAAGGTCTCTTTGTGTGGCCCAGGCTGGAATGCAGTGGCTCGATCATAGCTCACTGAAGCCTGGAACTCCTGGGCTCAAGTGATCCCCCCGCCTCGCCTCCCAACTGGCTGGGACTTCAGGCACATGCCACCATGCCCAGCTAATTTTTCTTATTGTAAAGACAGAAGTTCACTATGTTGCCCAGGCTGGTCTTAAACTCCTGGCCTCAAGGGATCCTCTCACTTGGGACTCACAAAATGCTGGGATTACAGGTGTGAGCCATTGCACTTGGCCACTGCCCTGTAATTTTTAAATTTCATCATCTTCCTAAAACTCATGGCTGGGCATGATGGTGGGCACCTGTAGTACCAGCTACTAAGGAGACCAAGGTGGGAGGCTCACCTGAGCCCAGGGATTCAAGGCTGCAGTGAGCTATAATTGTGCCACTGTACTCCAGCCTGGGCGACAGAGCAAGACCCTATCTCAAGTAAATAAATATCATTTTATTAATATCAAGTATCATTCGTTCTTTTTTTTTTTTTTTTTTTTTTTTTTTTTGAGGTGGAGTCTATTCTGTCACCCAGGCTGGAGTGCAGTATCGGGATCTTGGCTCACTGCAACCTCCGTCTCCCAGGGTCAAGTGATTCTCCTGCGTCAGACCCCTAAGCAGCTGGGATAACAGGCTTGCGCCACCACGCCTGGCTAATTTTTGTATTTTTAGTAGAGACAGTGTTTCACCATGTTGGCCAGGCTGGTCTTGAACTCCTGACCTCAAGTGATCCACCCGTCTCAGCCATCCAAAGTGCTGGGATTACAGGCGTGAGCCACTGCACCCAGCCTACAATAACTTATTTTTTCTGTCATTATTTTCTGCTTCTCTGCCTGCTTTATGCTTTATGATGTCAAGGACTGTGTCCATTTTATCCACCGTTCTATCCTAGCGCCTACGTCCAGGACATACAAGGTACTCACTAAATGTGAGCGAGTTGGTGAAAGAATATAAACTACACCGGTCTCCTGGAAAATAAGAGGGCCCTTAAATCTTTTTTTTTTTTTTTTTTTTTGAGACAGGGTCTCACTCTGTCACCCAGCTGGAGTGCAGTGGCGCGCTCCTAGCTCACTGCAGCCTCCAATTCCCAGACTGAAGTGATCCTCCTTCCACAGCCTCCCAAAGCACTAGAATTACAGGCACATGCCACTGCACCCAGCTGCCTTAACTCTTTTTTTTTTTTTTTGAGACGGAGTTTCACTCTTGTTGCCCAGGCTGGAGTGCAATGGTGCAATCTTGGCTCACAGCAACCTCCACCTCCCAGGTTCAAGTGATTCTCCCGCCTCAGCCTCCCGAGTAGCTGGGATTACAGGTATGTGCCACCACGCCCGGCTAATTTTGTATTTTTTAGTAGAGATGGGGTTTCTCCATGTTGGTCAGGCTGGTCTCGAACTCCTGACCTCAGGTGATCTGCCTGCCTCAGCCTCCCAAAGTGCTGTGATTACAGGCAAGAGCCACCACGCCCGGCCTGCCTTAACTCTTTAAATCCTCCTGCTCCAGTGATTCCAGTAACCTCCTTCCCCCAACCTCAGCCCCAGAATCCATCTGTAGGGGAACTATGACTTGTGCCTCCATCAGTAGAATTTGCTTTCTCTATTTCTGGTCATAAATTGGAACTCCATAGAAATCCTATATTTATTTATTTATTTATTTATTTATTTATTTATTTTTTGAGACGGTGTCTTGCTCTATCACCCAGGCTGGAGTACAGTGGCACAATCTCAGCTCACTGCAACCTCCACCTCCCAGGTTCAAGCGATTCTCCTGCCTCAGCCTCCCGAGTAGCTGGGATTACAGGCACCCGCCACCACGCCCGGCTAATTTTTGTATTTTTAGTAGAGACAGTGTTTCACCATGTTGGCCAGGCTGGTCTTGAACTCCTGACCTCAAGGGATCCGCCCACCTCAGCCTCCCAAAGTGCTGGGATTACAGGCATGAGCCACCATGCCCGGCCCATTACGCAAGAACTTTTATGTGCTCTGTTAATCCTCACAGCCCTGCAAAGTAAATATTATTTCTTCATTTCACAAATGAAGAATCTGAGGTTCAGAAAGATGAAGGGCTGAGTCCAGGGTTACACAACTAGAAAAGATGAAGCACCAGGCTTGGCTTCAGAGGAGACCGCCAGACTGACTCAGGCGGCTGAGCACTGCCCCAGGCGAACCCCGCAACTTGGGGCTGGACAGAGCTTCTCTTTCGGTTTCCCTAATGTGTTTGAAAGAGAGTAACAGAGGTACATTTGAAAAGAAAAACAGAGGGCCGGGCGCGGTGGCTCACGCCTGTAATCCCAGCACTTTGAGAGGCCAAGGCTGGCAGATCATGAGGTCAGGAGATTGAGACCATCCTGGCTAACATGGTGAAACCCCGTCTCTACTAAAAATACAAAAAATTAGCCGGGCGTGGTGGCAGGCGCCTGTAGTCCCAGCTACTCGGGAGGCTGAGGCAGGAGAATGGTGGGAACCCGGGAGGCGGAGCTTGCAGTGAGCTGAGATCGTGCCACTGCACTCCAGCCTGGGCGACAGAGCAAGATTCCGTCTCAAAAAAAAAAAAAAAGAAGAAGAAAAGAAGAACAGAAATGGGTCCCGACGAGTCAGGTTTGCTCAGACCAGACCTCCCCTGCACAGGAAAGGGACATCAGGAAAGATCTCAGCTGCAAAGACCAGAGAAATACGCGCACACGCACACACACTCACACACACACATTGTGTACACACACATACACACAGGCACACACACTTTTTAATTTTTTTTTTTTAGTAGAGACAGGGTCTCACTATGTTGCAGGCTGGTCTCAAACTCCTTGACTTAAGCGATCCTCTCGCCTCAGCCTCCCAAAATGCTGGGATTACAGGCATGAACCTCTGTGCTCAGCCTGCTTTTAAAAAACAAAACAGGCCGGGTGCGGTGGCTCACGCCTGTAATCCCAGCACTTCGGGAGACCAAGGCGGGTGGATCACGAGGTCAGGAGATCGAGACCATCCTGGCTAACAGGGTGAAACCCCCGTCTCTACTAAAAATACAAAAAATAAGCTGGGTGTGGTGGCGGGCACCTGTAGTCCCAGCTACTCGGGAGGCTGAGGCAGGAGAATGGCGTGAACCCAGGAGGCAGAGCTTGCAGCGAGCCGAGATCGCGCCACTGCACTCCAGCCTGGGTGACAGAGCAAGACTCCATTTCAAAAAAATAAAATAAAATAAAAATAAATAAATAAATAAATAAACAAAACAAAACTGTTTTTGTGGGGATTTGTTTGTTCATATGTTTGTTGTTTTGAGACAGAGGTCTCGCCTTGTTGCCTAGGCTGGAGTGCAGTAGTGCAATCTCCACTCACTGCAACCTCCGCCTCCTGGGTTCAAGGGATTCTCCTGTCTCAGCCTCCCGAGTAGCTGAAACTACAGGCACCCACCACCCCACCTGGCTAATTTTTCTATTTTTAGTAGAGAGAGCGTTTAATCATGTTAGCCAGGCTGGTCTCGAACTCCTGACCTCAAGTGATCTGCCTGCCTCAGCCTCTCAAAGTGTTGGGATTACAGGCGGGAACCACTGCACCTGGCAAAAAAGAACCGTTAATTAGGGCTGGGTGCCGTGGCTCCCACTTGTAATCTCAGCACTTCAGGAGCCCAAGGTGGGAAGGAGGATTCCTTGAGGCCAGCAGTTCAAGAGCAGTCTGGGCAATGTAGCCAAATCCCATCTCTACAAAAAATAAATGAGCCAGGCGTGGTGGTGTGTGCCTGTAATCCCAGCTACTCGGGAGGCTGAAGCAGGAGGATCACTTGAGCCTGGGAGGTCGAGGCCGCAGTAAGCCATGATCACATCATTGCATTCCAGTCTGGATGACAGAGCAAGACTTTGTCTCAAAAACACATACCAAAAAAAAAAAAAAACCTGTCAATTAGAGGTGTTGCCACAATCCCAATAATAGCACAGTGCTTGACTCACAGATATTAAGAAGTTGGCACTTGAAAAATAAAACGAAGCAGTAAGAAGACATTCTCCTCCCCAGCTCTGACCTGCCCGTTCCTGCTTAAGCACAGCCATTCAAGCCTCCACTGCCTCCAGGAGGAAACCCACAGGCGTGAGTCTGGCATCGGAGACCTGGCCCCAATAGCTCACTTCTTCCCTGTCCCCCAGGGAGCCTTGGGTTCCAGCCAAACCAGGCCACCTCCCCCACTCACCAGTCTCAGATCATTCTAGAGCCTCTCACACCTCCAGGCCTTTTGCCTGGCTGGTTCTTGCCTTTCCTTTGCCTGGCCACGATCCAGCTGAAATGTCTTCTGTCCCTTGCAGCCTCCCCCAGCGGCCCAGGCCCAGCAGGCACTCTCAGAGCATGTCACACAATGTGTCATTGTCCCTGCAGAAATGGTTTATTGAACACACAGCTTGAAACACAAGCTCATGATACCGTCTAAATACCTCCCGAGCAAAAAGAATGTTCTTTTCTTTTTTTCTTTTCTTTTTTTATTCTTCCTTTTTTTGTGTGTGTGTGTGACAGGGTCTCACTCAGTTGCCCAGACTGGAGTGCAGTGGGGCCATCATAGCTCATTGCAGCCTCAACCTCCTGGGCTCAAGCCATCCTCCCACCTCAGCCTTCCAAGTAGCTGGGACTACAGACACACATCACTGTGCCCAGATTTTTTTTTTTAATGGAGTTTCACTCTTGTTGTCCAGGCTGGAGTGCAATGGCACGATCTCAGTTCACTGCAACCTCCGCCTCCCAGGTTCAAGTGATTCTCCTGCCTCAGCCTCCTGAGTAGCTGGGATTACAGGCACCCGCCACCACACCTGGCTAATTTTTGCATTTTTAGTAGAGACGGGGTTTCACCATGTTGGCCAGGCTGGTCTTGAACTCCTGACCTCAGGTGATCCTCCTGCCTCAGCCTCCCAAAGTGCTGGGATTACAGGCGTGAGCCACCGCACCCAGCCTTTTTTTTTTTTTTTTTTTTTAAGACAGAGTCTCACTCTCACTCTGTCACCCAGGCTGGAGTGCAGTGGCATAATCTTGGTTTACTGTGACCTCCACCTCCCAGGTTCAAGCGATTCTCCTGCCTCAGCCTCCCAAGTAGCTGGGATTACAGACACCTATCACCAGGCCCACCTAATTCTTGCATTTTTAGTAGAGACAGGATTTCACCATGTTGGCCAGGCTGGTCTCAAACTCCTGACCTCAAGTGATCTGCCTGCCTCAGCTTCCCAAAGTGCTGGAATTACAGGCATGAGCCACCACGCCTGGCCACAGCTAATTTTTTTTAATGTTTTGTAGACAGGAGTCTCACTATGTTCCCCAGTCTGGTCTCTAACTCCTGGCCTCAAGGGATCCTCCTGCCTTGGCCTCCCAAAGTGCTAGGATTCCAGGTGTGAGCCACCACCCCTGGCCCAGAATGCTCTTTTCTTCTTCATAGCCTTCAGGCTTCATGCTGAGAACAGAGTCTCACTCTGTCACCCAGGCTGGAGTGCAGTGGTGCGATC
Organism: Homo sapiens; assembly: GCF_000001405.40. Classification (NCBI taxonomy): domain Eukaryota; kingdom Metazoa; phylum Chordata; class Mammalia; order Primates; family Hominidae; genus Homo; species Homo sapiens. Next base: position 74,613,897 of record NC_000007.14, read on the forward strand.
TTGGCACCCGCCTCCTGGGTTCAAGCAATTCTCCTGCCTCAGCCTCCCAAGTAGCTGGAACTACAGGCATGCACCACCATGCCTGGCTAATTTTTGTATTTTTATTTTATTTTATTTTATTTATTTATTTTTGGATATGGAGTCTTGCTCTGTCACCCAGGCTAGAGGACAGTGGTGCCATCTTGGCTCACTGCAACCTCCCCCTCCCGGGTTCAAGCGATTCTCCTGCTTCAGCCTCTCAAGTTGCTGGGATTACAAGTGCCTGCCACCTCGCCTGGCTAATTTTTGTGTTTTTAGTAGAGACGGGGTTTCACCATGTTGGCCAGGCTAGTCTCAAACTCCTGACCTCATGATCCACCTGCCTCAACCTCCCAAAGTGCTGGGATTACAGGCATGAGCCACCTCATCCGGCCGACCCCATCTCTAACATAAAAATTTTCTTAAACTGGTGGGGCCTTTGGGAGGAGATAAGGTGATGAGGGTGAAGCCTTCATGAATGGGATTAGTGCCCTTATAAAAGGGACCTGTTTAAGCTTGTTTGCCCATTCCACCATATGAGGACATGTGAGAAGGGACCATCTATGAGAAACGGTTCCCTTACCAGACACCAAATCTGCCAGCACTTTGACCTTGGACTTCCCAGCTTCCAGAACTGTCAGAAACCTGCCAGGCGCAATGGCTCACGTCTGTAATCCCAGCACTTAGGGAGGCCAAGGCGGGCAGATCACTTGAGGTCAGGAGTTCAAGACCAGCCTGGCCAACAGGGTGAAACCCTGTCTCTACTAAAATACAACAAAATTAGCTGGGTGTGGTGGCACACACCTGTAGTGCCAGCTACTCGAGAGGCTGAGGCAGGAGAATCGCTTGCACCTGGGAGGCAGAGATTGCAGTGAGCCAAGACTGAGCCACTGAACTCCAGCCTGGGCGACAAGGCGAGACTCTGTCTCAAAAAAAAAAAAAAAGAACTGTAAGAAGAAAACGCTTGTTGTTTATAAGTCACCCCCCAGTGTATGGTATTTTTGTTGTAACAACCCATATGGACTAAGATACTTGGGTTGGCTGTCAGGGCCAGGAAGTAAAAGTGACCATGTTGTCTTCCCAGGAGGCCATAAGCCCATTGCTAAGGGAAATAAGCCATCAAGAACAATTCAATGGCCGGGCACAGTGGCTCACGCCTGTAATCCCAACACTTTGGGAAGCCGAGGCGGGTGGATCACCTGAGGTCAGGAGTTCGAGACCAGCCTGGCCAACACAGTGAAATACCGTCTCTACTAAAAATACAAAAAAAAAAAAAAAAAAATTAGCCGGGCATGGTGGCAGGCAACTGTAATCCCAGCTACTTGGGAAGGTGAGACAGGAAAATCACTTGAACCCGGGAGGCAGAGGTTGCAGTGAGCCAAGATCAAGCCACTACACTCCAGCCTGGGTGACAAGAGTAAAACTCCGTCTCAAAAAAAAAAAGGAACAATTGTATAATCCCACTTATGTGATATATCTAGAAAAGGTAAATTCACACAGACAGAAAATAGAATAAAGGCAACTAGAGATCAGGAGAAGGGGATATGGAGAGTTAGCGTTTAATGGGTAAAGAGTTTCTGTTTGGGGCCGGGCGCAGTGGTTTACATCTATAATCCCAACATTTTGGGAGGCTGAGGCAGGTGGATCACTTGAGGTCAGAAGTTCAAAACCAGCCTGGCCAACATGGCGAAACCCGTCTCTATTAAAAAAAAAAAAAAAAGAAAAGAAAAAGAAAAAATTTGAGACTCTGTCTCAAAAAAATAAATAATTAATTTTTTTAAAAATACAAAAATTAGCCAGGCCTGGTGGCACATGCTTGTAATCCCAGCTAATGGAGAGGTTGAGGCATGAGAATTGCTTGACCCTGGGAGGTAGAGTTTACAGTGAGCTGAGATTGAGCCATTGTACTCCAGCCTGGGCAAGAGAGCAAGACTTCATCTCAAAAAAAAAGCAAGTGTAGAAGAAAGAGTGGAAGGCAGTGTAGAAATATAAGTAGTAATTATCTTTCAGTAGTGGGATTATGAGTGTTTTTATTTTTTCCTCATGCTTTTCTCTTTGTATACTTTTCTTTTTCCTTTTTTTTTTTTTACATTTTTCTAAAATTAGCACATATTACACTTCTAATCAGGCAAAAATCAATGAGCGTTTTTTGGTTTGTTTGTTTTTAGACAAGGTCTCATTCTGTCACTCAAGCTGGAGTTTGGTGGCATGATCATAGCTCACTGCAGCCTTGAACTCCTGACCTCAAGCGATCCTCCTGCCTTAGCCTCCCAAAGCACTGGGATTACAGGCGTGAGCCACCATGCCTGGCCAACTGTTGTTTTCCCATAGCACATATTGTGCTTTGAATCAGAGTTGGCTGATACATGTCTCTTTCCCTTTGTCTTCTCTCGCCCCGACCGTGCACTCAGCGCCTAGAAGGCAGAAGCCATCTATGACCGTGGGGACCAAAGTGACACTCTGGAAATAGGGCGCATAAGGAGAGAGAGTGTGTGTTTCAGCAGCTGCTGCAGACTGCACCATCTAACCCTGAGCTGCTGTCACCCAAGAAAAGTGAAACTCATTTCTTATTTAAGCCACGGTTTGCAGGAGCTGAATGCAATCCTGACTGATCACCATATGCTCCATTTTCATTAAGCTAGAAAATTAGCCAGCCATGGTGGTGCATGCCTGTGGTCCCAGCTACTCCGGAGGCTGAGGCTGGAGGATCACTTGAGCACAGCAGGTAGAGGGTGCTGTGAGCTATGATCGTGCCACTGTACTCCAGCCTGAACCACAGAGCAAGACTCTGTTTCATAAAAATAAAGAGAAAAGGTAGAAAAATTACGTGTGTATGTGTGATCACTTACATGAGCATAAAGATGCTGAAGGATACATATCTTGCCATTAACATTGATAGTCAATATCAAGGGATAAGATTAGAGACAATGGAGAGATTATGAGGTTTCTATTTTTTAATTAATTAATTAATTATTTATTTTGAGGTAGAATCTCGCTCTGTCACCCGGGCTGGAGTGCAGTGGTGTGATCTCCGCTCACTGCAACCTTTGCCTCCCAAGTTCAAGCGATTCTCCTGCCTGAGCCTCCCAACGGCGAAACTCAGTCTCTACTAAAAATACAAAATTAGCCGGGCGTGGTGGCAGAGTGTGGTAGGTGCAGGCCTAGGGAGACTGAGGACATGGAAGGTTCGGTGGAGTTTTCCAGTTTGAGCCCAGGCCACCAGATTCAGAGTTGCTCCAAATTCCTTGGTGCAAAGGGTCAGGCTCCAGTTCCATTAGCCTAATGCAGCAGGCATCCAGGAGACCGGCAGGGCCCTGCCTGGGGACATGAGACCCAGAGGGGCAAGTGCAGCCTGGCAGAGGAGCAGAGTGACAGCTGTGGCATGTGGCGCTGGCCCCAGGCTCCCCAGAGGTGTGCCCTGGCTCTCATGAGCAGACCCAGTTACCTGCCCTGCTCTGGGGCTCTGAGATGGTGGCTGGATCCCATCTTACATGCAGCTGAGCTGGGCTGGGGCACACAGGAGCCAGGCGTGTGCCCAGTAACAAACAAAACCATGTGGCCATGCTTGCACATGATCCATGTCTTCTTGGTCAGCAGCTCTTTGCTGCTCAGAGCCTTCATGGCGCCTGCCCTGTGAAGCCACGTGGTGGGGACGGGGGTGGGGATCACAGTGCTGCTGGCCCAAACCCCCTCCCACACCCCTGCCTCCCTGCTCCTATTTCCTCTCTCGAGGCAGCCAAGGGTTTCCTGTCTTTCTGGCTGTCTGAGCGGCTTCCTCATTTATCTCTCAACATCTTGCAGCAGGTGCCATCGTTCCTTCTGTTCTTGGAAACTCAGACAGGCTGGGACCAAGCAGAGATCCGTGGGGATTGTTCAAAGGAGAGATGGCAGAGGGAAATGGCAGTGGGGTTAGTTTTGCAGGACCCAGCTAGGTTCTGGGGGAGCCAGCAGAGAGAAGGGTTTCTTTCTTTTCTCTCTCTGCTTTTTTTTTTTTTTTTTTTTCTGTTTTTAGAGACAGGGCCTTGCTCTAACACCCAGGTGGAGGCGCAGTGGCGTAATCACAGCTCACTGCAGCCTCGACCTCCCAGGTTCAAGTGATCCATGATTCTCCTGCCTCAGCCTCCTGAGTAGCTGGGACCACAGGCACACGCTACCATGCCCGGCTAATTTTTATTTTTGTAGAAATGGGGTCTCACTATGCTTCCCAGGCTGGTTTCAAACTCCTGTCCTCAAGAGGTTCTCCTGCCTTTTGGGGCCAAATTCCTGAAACCTGGACTGACTCCTGTGCCCCCTCCTCCTTTCTGACCCAGTAAAAGTCTTCTCTTTGCAGCTTCTGCACAGGGACCAAGTGAAATTGCTAACACGGGTCGGGCGCAGTGGCTCACACCTGTAATCCCAGCACTTTGGGAGGTTAAGGTGGGTGGCAGATCATTTGAGGTCAGGAGTTTGAGACCAGCCTGTCCAACATGGTAAAATCGCGCTGGGTGCGGTGGCTCACGCCTGTAATCCCGGCACTTTGGGAGGCCGAGACGGGCAGATCACGAGGTCAGGAGTTCTAGACCAGCCTGACCAACATGGTGAAACCTTGTCTCTACTAAAAATACAAAAATTAGCTGGGCCTGGTGGTGGGTGCCTGCAATCCCAGCTACTCGGGAGGCTGAGGCAGGAGAATCGCTTGAACCCAGGAGGCAGAGGTTGCAGTGAGCCGAGATCATGCCATTGCACTCCAGCCTGGGCAACAGGGCAAGACTCCATCTCATAAAAAAAAAAAAAAAAAAAAAAAAAAAGAATTGATTAAATGCCAACATGGTGAAATTTCATCTCAAAATACAAAAATTAGCTGGGCATGGTGGCACACACCTGTGGTCCCAACTACTTGGGAGGCTGAGGCGGGAGAATAACTTGAACCTGGGAGGCGGAGGTAGCAGTGAGCCAAGATCATGCCACTGCACTCCAGCCTGGGAGACAGAGTGAGACTCCAGCTCTGAAAAAAAAAAAAAAAAAGCAATTGTTAACAGAATCGTGGCTCCGAAAGTAGGGTTGCCAAATAAAATACAAGAAGCCTAGTCAAATGTGAATTTCAGATGAACAACAAATAATTGTTTTAGTGTAAGTTATGTCCATATATTGCAAGGAACATGATTGCACTCAAGAATTATTTGTTGTTTATCTGAAATTCAAATTCAACACAGCATCCCCTATTTTTATTTGCTAAATGTGGCAACCTGATCCTAAAACGGCTCAGCTTTCAAAGTTCTAATCAGATTTCTCAGAAAGGAAAGAGAGGGAGAAGGAGAGGGAACAAAAGAACAAATTGCCCCCTAAAGAAAGAAATCACTCCGTGTGCCTGAGCAATTGAGGGGCTTCCTCCTGCAGGCCCAGACACAGATGCCCCAGGAGAGAGGGCCAGGCTGTGTGAGACACTTAGGTGCTAATACTGGTTCAGCCACCAACTTCCCACCTCCCTGTAGGTCATCCCCGGGCAGTGGTTGGGATTCCCTGAGCTCCAGGGCACCTCCTCGCTGAAGATTCACAGGCCCCGGTGTCCTGGGTGCTGTCATTCATCGCACTAGTTCCCAGCACCCCCTCTGTCTGCAAAGGTCAGGCCCTGGGAGAGGAGTGAGACTCCTGGGCCCCCGAGCAGCTGGCTAGCAGGCAGATACAGACCCATAAACAGATCTCCAAGATCCAAGGGGGCAGAATTTCTGCCTTCTCCTTTAGACAGAGAGTTAGTCCCTGCTGAGCCCCGCACCTGTTCTCTCCCCTGTGCCAGCAGCCACTCAGGGATCTGCAGGGGCTGCCTACAGGTGATACTGGCTGCAGTGGCCCTAACATCGTCGACAAAAAAAAGCTCTCCATGGAGGCTGGGCGCGGTGGCTTACGACTATAATCCCAGCACTTTGGGTCGTTGAGGCGGATGGATCACCTGAGGTCAGGAGTTTGAGACCAGCCTGGCCAACATGGGCAAACCCCGTCTCTACTAAAAATATAAAAATTAGCCAGGCAGCTGGGCGAGGTGGGTCATGCATGTAATCCAGCACTTTGGGAGGCCGAGGTGGGTAGATCACCTGAAGTCAGGAGTTTGAGACCAGCCTGGTCGACGTGGTAAAACCTCGTCTCTACTGAAAAAAAAAAAAAAAAAAAAAATTGGCCAGGCGTGATGGTGGGCGCCTATAATCCCAGCTACTTGGAAGGCTGAGGCTGGAGAGTCGCTTGAACCCGGGAGCCAGAGGTTGTAGTGAGCCGAGATCGCGCCATTGCACTCCAGCCTGGGCGATAAGAGAGAAACTCCATCCCCCCAAAAAAATTAGCCAGGCATGGGCCGGGCGCAGTGGCTCATGCCTGTAATCCCAGCACTTTGGCAGGCCAAGGCCAGCGGATCACCTGAGGTCAGGAGTTCGAGACTAGCCTGGCCAACATGGTGAAACCCCATCTCTACTAAAAATACAAAAATTAGCCAGACGTGGTGGAGGGCGCCTGTAATCCCAGCTACTCGGGAGGCTGAGGCATGAGAATTGCTTGAACCCAGAAGGCGGAGGTTACAGTGAGCCAAGGTCACACTACTGTGCTATAGCCTGGGCAATAGAGCAAGACTCAGTCTCAAAAAAAAAAAAAATTAGCCAGGCATGGTGACAGCTGCCTGTAGTCCCAGCTACTTGGTAGGCTGAGGCACAAGAATCATTTGAATCTGGGAGGCAGAGGTTGCAGTGAGCCGAGATTATGCCACTGCATTCCAGCCTGGGCAACAGAGCGTGACTCCGTCTCAAAAAAAAAAAAAAAAAAAGCTCTCCATGCAGTCCCCTCATTCTTTCTTTTTTTTTTTTTCTTTTAGCATTAGGATCCTTCCCTGTCCCTCTCGAGTAGCTGGATTACAGGCTCCTGCCACTGCGCCTGGCTAATTTTTGTATTTTTAGTAGAGACGGGGTTTCACCATGTTGGTCAGGCTAGTCTCAAACTCCTGACCTCGTGATCTGCGCGCCTCAGCCTCCCAAAATGCTGGGATGGTAGGCGAGAGCCACTGCGCCCGGCAATCCTTGTCTTTTTATTATTGAGTTATAGTTCTTTACATATCTAGATACAGTCCTGGATCAGATATATGATTTGTAAAAATGGTTCCCTGTTCTGAGATTTTCTTCTCACTTTCTTGATGGTGTCTTTCAAAGCATAATTTTTTTTTTTGAGACGAAGTTTCGCTCTCGTTGCCCAGGCTGGAGTGTGCAATGGTGCAATCTCAGCTCACCACAACCTCTGCCTCCCGGGTTCAAGCGATTCTCCTGCCTCAGCCTCCTGACTAGCTGGGATTACAGGCATGTGCCACCAAGCCCAGCTAATTTTGTATTTTTAGTAGAGGTGGGGTTTCTCCATGTTGGTCAGGCTGTTCTTGAACTCTCGACCTCAGGTGATCCGCCCACCTCGGCCTCCCAAAGTGTTGGGATTACAGGCATGAGCCACCGCACCCAGCGTTTTTTGTTTTTTTAAATAGAGCCTCGCTCTGTCGCCCAGGCTGGAGCACAGTGGTGCAGTTTCAGCTCACTGTAACTTCCATCTCCCACGTTCAAGTGATTCTCCTGCCTCAGCCTCCCGAGTAGCTGGGATTACAGGCATGCACCATCACGCCTGACTAATTTTTGTATTTTTAGTAGAGATGGGGTTTTGCCGTGTTGGCCAGCCTGGTCTGGAACTCCTGACCTCAGGTGATCCACCTGCCTGGGCCTCCCAAAGTGCTGGGATTACAGGTGTGAGCCACCGTGCCCGGCCCCTGTTTGGTTTTAAAAGGACACATTGATCAGCACAGATGTTCATCACTGGGCTATTTATAATAATCAAATAGAGGCAATATCTAAATGTTCCACAGTAGAAGATGGTTAAGTGGATGTTGATGACAATGATGATGATGACAACGAATATTCCTCATGGCTTATTCTGTGCCAAACACTGTGCAAATGACCTTATATGAAAATTATCGGCCAGGCATATTGGCTCACACTTGTAACCCCAGCACTTTGGGAAGCCGAGGCGGGCGGATCACCCAAGTTCAGGAATTTCGAGACCAGCCTGGGCAACATGGTGAAACCCCATCTCTACAAAAAATACAAAAATTAAAAAAAAAAAAAAAGAAATACAAAAATTAGCTGGGCGTGGTGGCACGTGCCTCTAGTCCCAGCTATTCAGAGACCAAGGCAAGAGAATCTCTTCAGCCTGGGAGGTGGAGGTTGCAGTGAGCCAAGATCACACCACTGCACTCCAGCCTGGGTGACAGAGCAAGACCTTGTCTCAAAAAAAGAAAAAAGAAAAAAGAAGTGGGGGCGGAGGGGAGGGGAGGAGAGGGGAGGAAAGGAGAGGGAAGGAGAGAAGAGGAGAGGAGAGGAGAAAAATTACTATTAAGCGTAAGTTATCATTTTCCAACCTGATAAAGGGCATCTACAGGCTAGGCACAGTGGCTCATGCCTGTGATCCCAGCACTTTAGGAGGCTGAGGGAGGAGGGCTGCTTGAGGCCGGGAGTTCAAGCCTAGCCTGGGCAACACAGCAAGACTCCATCTCTACAAAAAAAAAAAATTTTTTTTAATTAGCCAGCCGCAGTGGCACATCCCTGTGTTTCCACCTACTCAGGAGGCTGAGACAGGAGGATCTCTTGAGCCCACAAGTTGGAGGCTGAAGTGAGCTATGATCACGCCACTGCACTCCAGCCTGGGCAACAGAGCAAGATCCTCTCTCAGAAAGAAAGCAAAACAGGAGAAAATTTGGACACAGAGGCAAAAGGAAGACTAGGTGGGGAGACTCAGCAAGAACACCATGTGAAGGCGCATGTTTGGAGCAATGCATCTACCAGCTGACGAATGCCAAAGGTTGCCAGGAAACCACCAGACCCTAGGACAGAGGCATGGGACAGATTCTCACCATCATCCTTGTCATCATCACCCACTTAACACAGCCTGCACAGGGAATCAACCCTGCTGACATGTTCACTTTTGGGCTCTGGCCTCCAGACCTGCAAGACAATAAACTACTTTTTTGTGTGTGTTCAGACAAGGTCTCACTCTGTTGCCCAGGCTAGAGCACAGTGGCACAATCTCAGCTCACTGCAACGTCGGCTTCCCTGGTTCAAGCGATTCTCGTGCTTCAGGCTCCTGGGTAGCTGGGATTTTAGGCGCGCACCACCATGCCTGGCTAATAGTAAACTTCTTTAAAAAGGATGGCCAGGCATGGTGGCGCATGCCTGTAATCCCAGCTACTCGGGAGGCTGAAGCCAGAGGATCACTTGAACCTGTGAGGCAGAGGTTGCAGTGAACTGAGGTTGTGCCACTGTGCTCCAGCCTGGGCGGCAGAGTGAGACTCTGTCTCAAAATAACAATAATAATAATAAAACACACACACGCAATTATTACCAAAAAACTGATACGGTGCTACATCAGTAAATACGGTAATAATAAATACGACCCTAGCAGCAGGCACTAAATCCTGCAGAAACAAAGAGGAGAACACAGCCCACCCTGCCAGGATGAGTTGAAGGACATTTTCAAGGAAGAGCCTATCCTTAGCTGAGCCTTGAGAAAAAGAATTCTCCACCAGGCGCGGTGGTTCACGCCTGTAATCCCAGTACTTTGGGAGGCCAAGGCAGGTGGATCACCTGAGGTCAGGAGTTCGAAACCAACCCGCGCAATATGGCGAGACCTCATCTCCACTAAAAACACAAAAATGAGCTGGGCGTGGTGGTGGGCGCCTGTAGTTCCAGCTACTCGGGAGGCTGAGGCAGGAGAATTGCTTGAACCCAGGAGGCGGAGGTTGCAGTAAGCCAAGATTGCGCCACTGTCCTCCAGCCTGGGTGACAGAGAGACTATTTTTATCTGTCTCCAAAAAAATAAAAAAATAAAAAAAACGAAACAAGAATTATCTGGAATTCAGCCGTAGGAAGGTTTTTTCAGGTGTGCGTGAAAGAACACAGGCATGAAATATCCTGTCTGGCATGTGGCAGTATGTTTGTTACTGAAATGTTCTTAAAATAACAGAGATGAGCCAGGCGTAGTGGCTCACGCCTGTAATCCCAACACTTTGGGAGGCTGAGGCAGGCGGATCACTAGAGGTCAGGAGTTTGAGACCAGCCTGGCCAACATGGTGAAACCCCATCTCTACTAAAAATACCAAAAAAAAAAAAAAAAAAAATTAGCTGGGTGGGTGTGGTGGTGGGTGCCTGTAATCTCAGCTACTCGGGAGGCTGAGGCAGGAGAATCGCTTGAACCCAGGAGGCAGAGGTTTCAGTGAGCCGAAATCGCGCCACCGCACTCCAGCCTGGGAGACAGAGTGAGACTCCGTCTCAAAAAATAAAATAAAATAAATAACAGAGATGAAGTTCTGTAAAGAACAATTTTCATAATCCTTAGCTCCTCTTTGCTAATTTGAATTACAACAGAAATACTATTTCTTTTTTTAATTAATCCCAGCACTTTGGGCGACCAACGCAGGAGGATTGCTTGAGCCCAGGAATTCGAGATTAGCCTGGGCAACATAGGGAGACCTTGCCTCTACAAAAAATTTAAAAATTATCCAGGTGAAGTGGCACATGCCCGAAGTCCCAGCTACTCTGGAGGCTGAGGTGGGAGGATCACTTGAGCCCAGGAGATTGAGGCTGCAATAAACTATGATGGCCCCACTGTACTCCAGCCTGGGCAACAGAGTGAGACCCTGTCTCAAAAAAAAAATTAATTAAATTGAAAGAAAAAGAGAAAAAGAGGCTGAGTGTGGTGGGAAAATCAAGTGGGAAGATCACTTGAGGCCAAGAGTTCAAGACCAGCCTAGGCAACATAGTGAGACCCTGGTCTCTATACTTAAAAAATAAAATAAAAAGAAATCTTGGGCCGGGTGCAGTGGCTCATGCCTGTAATCCCAGCACTTTGGGAGCCGAGGCAGGTGGATCATCTGAGGTCAGGAGTTCGAGACCAGCCCGGCCAACATGGTGAAACCCCGTCTCTATTTAAAATACAAAAATTAGCCAGGCATGCCAGGCGCAGTGGCTCATGCCTGTAATCCCAGCACTTTGGGAGGCTGAGGTGGCTGGATCACGAGGTCAGGAGTTCAAGACCAGCCTGGCCAACATGGTGAAACTCCATCTTTACTAAAAATACAAAACTTAGCCACACGCAGTGGCAGGAGCCTGTAATCCCAGCTACTCAGGAAGCTGAGGCAAGAGAATCACTTGAACCCAGGAGACAGGGTTTGCAGTGAGCCAAGATCATGCCACTGCACTCTAGACTGGGCAACAGAGCAAGACTCTGTCTCCAAAAAAAAATTAGCTGGGCATGGTGGCGCACACCTGTAATCCCAGCTACTTGGGAGGCTGAGGCACAAGAATCAGTTGAACCCAGGAGGCAGAGATTGCAATGAGCCGAGATCTCACCACGGTACTTCAGCCTGGGTGACAGAGCAAGACTCCATCTCAATTTAAAAAAAAAAAAAAGAAAGTTTTTTTTTTATTTCTAAGCACATTGTTAGAATATTCTAACCACTTTCAAACTGACCCACGATGATAAAACTGCAGTTTCAGGCCAATGATTCCCAGGGGAAATAAGGGAACTTTATACAATGGTGATCTAAGGGAACTTTACACAACGTTGTTGACTAGAGGAACACTCTGGAAGACAGCGAATGTGGATTCTTGCCTAAACTGGAAGTTTATAAAAATTTTCCATGAGGTGGCAGCAGTTCTTCAAGTAGTTGTGAAAAATGATCTTGTTTGAAATTTATATTTTCTTTTTTTTTTTTTTTTTTTTTTTAGAGACAAGGTCTCGCTGTGTCACCCAGGCTGGAGTGCAGTCCTGTGATTATAGCTCACTGCAACCTTGACCTCCTGTGCTCCAGCAATCCTCCTGCCTCAGTCCTCCAAGTAGCTGGGATTACACATGCAAGCCACCATGTCCAGCTAATTTTCTTTTTATTTTTTTGTAAAGATGGAGTCTTGCTCTGTTGCCCAGGCTGGTCTCAAACTCTTGGCCTCAAGAGATCCTCCCAGTTTGGCCTCTCAATTAGATTTCCTTTCTTTCCTTTCTTTTTTCCCTCCTTCCCTCCCTCCCTCCCTCCTTTCCTTCCTTCCTTCCTTCCTCCTTTCTCTTCTTTTTTTTTTTTGAGACAGAGTCTCGCTCTTGTTGCCCAGGCTGGAGTGCAATAGCACAATCTCAGCTCACTGCAACCTCTGCCTCCTGGGTTCAAGCAATTCTCCTGCCTCAGCCTCCCAAGTAGCTGGGATTACAAGTGCCCACCACCACAACCGGCTACTTTTTGTATTTTTTTTTTTTTTTTTTTTTTTTGAGACGGAGTCTCGCTCTGTCGCCCAGGCTGGAGTGCAGTGGCGGGATCTCGGCTCACTGCAAGCTCCGCCTCCCGGGTTCACACCATTCTCCTGCCTCAGCCTCCCAAGTAGCTGGGACTACAGGCGCGTGCCACTACGCCCGGCTAATTTTTTTTTGTATTTTTAGTAGAGACGGGGTTTCACTATGTTGGCTGGATTGGTCTCAAACTCCTGAGCTCTGGTGATCCACCCACTCCCTCTCTCCCTCCCTCTCTTCCTTCCTTCCTTCTTTCATTCCTTTCGTCCTTCCTTTCTTCTTTCCTCCCTCCCTCCCTTCCTTCTTTTTCTTTCTTCTTTCTTTCTCTTTCTTTTCTTTGCTTTGTTTTGCTTTGCTTTCTTTTTCTTTCTCCACCACAGAGGTCTCTTTCATACACTTGGATTTGTCTGTTTAAATAAAACCTATGATTTAAAATATATATATAAAGGCCAGGCATAATGGCTCATGCCTGTAATCCCAGCACTTTGGGAGGCCGAGGCGGGTGAATCCCTTGAGGTTAGGAGTTCAAGACCAGCCTGGCCAACATGATGAAACCCCGTCTCTACTAAAAATGCAAAAATTGGCCAGGTGTGGTGGCACACTCCTGTAATCCCAGCTACTCAGGAGGCTGAGGCAGGAGAATCACTGCACCTGGGAGGAGGAAGTTGCAGTGGGCCGAGATTGCACCACTGCACTCCAGCCTGGGCCACAGAGCAAGACTCCATCTCAAAAATACATATATACATATATATATATTTTGTTTTTTTAGACAGTTTTTTTTTTTGTTTTTTTTTTGTTTTTTTTTTTTTGTTTTTGAGACAGAGTCTTGCTCTGTCACCCAGGGTGGAGTGCAGTGGGTCAATCTCAACTCAGTGCAACCTCCGCCTCTGGGGCTCCGCCATCCTCCCCACTCAGCCTCCCAAGTAGCTGGAACTACAGCTGTACACCACCATAACTGGCTAATTTTTGTATTTTTTGTGTGTGGAGATGGGAGATTTCGCCGTATTTCCCAGGCTGGTCTCAAATTCCTGACCTTAAGTTATCCGCCTGCCTCGGCCTCCCAAAGTGCTGGGATTACAAGCATGAGCCACCTCGGCCGGAACAATTTAAAAATATTTAAAGTCGTTTTAAGTGTCACTCTTTTCTTAACAGTATTTTCTACCAATTAATGCCAACTGAGGTTCTTCTATCTTTCAAGTCCATTTCCAAACAGTCTAAGGAAAGATGCAAAATTCAATTTCCACTCCAGCTACTGGAAAGCAGTATTTAATTTTAGTCCTGCCAAACAAAATGAAGCAAGCGGTAAGTGATTGTGGCACATGGAAGTGTTTCATGCTTCAGACCGATTGAGTTCGTTGTCCTTTACTTTCCACTCTGAGGCTGGCTGCCCTGTTAATTTCCATTTTCTCAGGGATTACACTGATCTCAATTTACACCGTAATAATAATAAGAAGAAAAGAATCAAGCTAAGTAAATTACAGCAGAGAGCAAAACGTGGAATGGATGGGCCCTTACAGAAGAGACTTGTTTTCAGGCTGAGAACAAAGGAGTGTGGATGGATTAGGACAGCCTGAGTCCAGCCTCAGCCTCTTACCAGCTGGGCTCCTCACCTGATCTCTCTAAGCCGGTTTTTTCAAGCACAAACATAATGACAACAATACCTACTTAGAGGATTTGGGAATGCAAAGAGGAGAAAAAATATCCATGAAAATACTTGAAAAAATTTTCCGTGCCGCACACGTCGGCTGCAGTTAGATCAGGTATTTATCAAGTCACCCAAATATTTTTACCCACCAGCTTTTCTCTCCTCCTACTTTTTGCCTGTCTCCCATGCCAGAGAGACAAAGGAGGTAAAAACCAAAGTCCTCATCCTCTTCTCAATCAATTCATTGGCTGGTTCTCATCCCTGGCTGCAGATCACAGACCCCGGGGAGCCTTCGCCCCACCCCAGGGCCATTGCAACAATCCCTCCGGGGTGGGGCATGGGCTTGAAGCCACCACTTCATAAACCCTCTCTCTGAACGTCCTTGAAAGGACTCTGCCATACCCTGGGAGGTCACGTGGTTTTCTTGCTAAGGCTACTGCCAGCCAAGAAACCAAAGCTTTTGCTGAAATGAATCTGTTAAACAGCTGCTTCAAATTCAACCTCACAGATCCCTGGGGTATGAAACTGTCTGCCCTCATGGAGTTAAATGGGCATACTTTCATTCTGGTATGATTGCAGCATTTTAACTAGCAATGTTATGGAGTTTTTCAACATTGAAAGTGGTTATCTGTGACCCATAATTTGCGAGATCTTTAATTTAATATAATTAGAGGGACACTCCTGAAACAAACGTCCACATAACCAAAGGCATTAGATGACTACTCAAATACATTACTTCAGCACCTTTCTCCTTTCCCTTTCCTCTTCCGTGTCTCTTCCCAAAAATGATGCTTAAATTCAGAGGTTTGGGTTTTGGGGGATTTTTTTTTTAACTAATTAAGCAATTTATCGGTTGCAACTAAGCTTATTAAACTTCTGTAATGAAAATATTACTTGTTTTTGGCCGGGCACGGTGGCTCACACCTGTAATCCCAGCACTTTGGGAGGCCAAGGCGGGTGGATCACCTGAGGTCAGGAGTTCGAGACCAGCCTGACCAACATGGAGCAATCCGGTCTCTGCTTAAAATACAACATTAGGCGGGCGTGGTAGTGCATGCCTGTACTCCCAGCTACTCAGGAGGCTGAGGCAGGAGAATGGTGTGAACCCGGGAGGCGGAGCTTGCAGTGAGCCAAGATCACGCCACTTCACTCCAGCCTGGGCGACAGAGCGAGACTCCGTCTCAAAAAAAAAAAAAAAGAAAAAAGAAAATATTACTGGTTTTTGGTTAGTTTTAAGTCAGAGGCATTCATTAATAAGGAATCTTCAAATGTGAGTGTTCCAGAAATGTTCTCCATGCCATCTGAATTATCAAGAATAAGTTTCTCTAGCCAGGCGTGGTGGGTTCATGCCTGTAATCCCAACACTTTGGGAGGCTGAGGGCAGCCTTAAGGTCAGGAGCCTTAAGATCACTTAAGGTCAGGAGTTCGAGACCAGCCTGGTCAACATAGTAAAACCCCCTTTCTACTAAAAACACAAAAATTAGTCGGATGTGGTAGTGGGCGCCTGTAATCCCAGCTACTCGAGAGACTGAGGCAGGAGAATCGCTTGAACCCAGGCAGCGGAGGTTGCAGTGAGCCAAGATCGTGCCACTGCACTCCAGCCTGGGCGACAGAGCGAGACTCTGTCTCCAAAAAAAAAAAAGAGTAAATAATAATTTTCTCTAGGCCGGACACCAGGTGCAGTGGCTCATGCCTGTAATCCCAGCACTTTGGGAGGCCAAGGTGGGTGGATTACTTGAGGCCAAGCGTTTGAGACCAGCAGGATTACAACATGGTAAAAACCCACTCTACAAAAAATACGAAAAATTAGCCAGGTGTGGAGGCAGGCACTTGTAGCTAGTCAGGACACGAAGGTGGGAGGATCACTTGAGCCCAGGAAATCGAGGCTTCAGTGAGCTGTGACTGTACCATTGCCCTGAAGCCTGAGCAACAGAACAAGACCCTGTCTCAAACAAACAAAAACATCTCTAACATTACCTTTTTCTGCGAAATATCTGTGTACATTTGAACTGAACTCAGAATTTTTCAAAATAAGCCTTAAATTAAAACTATTCTCGCTGGATGTAGTGGCTCACGCCTGTAATCCCAGCACTTTGGGAGGCTGAGGTGGGCGGATCAAGAGGTCAGGAGATCGAGACCATCCTGGCTAACACAGTGAAACCCCGTCTCTCTAAAAAAAAAAATACAAAAAATTAGCCGGGCATGGTGGCAGGTGCCTGTAGTCCCAGCTACTCAGGAGGCTGAGGCAGGAGAATGGCGTGAACCCAGGAGGTGGAGCTTGCAGTGAGCCGAGATCGTGCCACAACACTCCAGTATGGGCGACAGAGCGAGACTCTGTCTCAAAAACAAACAAACAAACAAACAAACAAAAACTATTCTCATCACTTCTCGGCCTTTTGGCTAAGTTCAAATGTAAAACAAACTATTCTGTAGATCGGGCACAGTGGCCTGTAATCCCAACACTTTGGGAGGCTAAGGAGGGAGGATCGCTTGAGCTCAGGAGTTCGAGAGCAGCCTGGGCAACATAGCAAAATCTTATCTTCACAAGAAATTCAAAAATTAGCCAGGTGTAGTGGCTCGTGCCTGTGGTCCCAGCTGCTTGGGAGGCTAAGGTGAGAGGTTTGCTTGAGTCTGAGAGGCAGAGGTTGCAGTGAGTCGAGATCAAGCCACTGCACTCCTGCCTAGGTAATAGAGTGAGACTCTGTCTCAAAAAATAAATAAATAAATAAAGTAAACGTACACTGAACTTCACCCCAAAAACAGGAGCCCTCTGTTGTGCTGCCTTGGAAACCAAGGGGAAGTCACTGGTAGCAAAACTCAGGCTGCTATGGGCCAGGTATTTCCCTATTAGGGATCACACGTCCACTAGTTCCAAGGCCACACTGTGTATCTGTAGCACCATTATTATATCATCATAACCACATCTATGACCATCCTAACTTATAATTCATACTCTGTGCCTGCAAAGTCCTTGGGTTTGACCACTATCCCTATTTACAAAGCCATTCACCATTGGCCAGGTGCTGTGGCTCACTCTTGTAATCCCAGCACTTTGGGAATCTGAGGCAGGCAGATCACTTGAGGTCAGGAGTTCCAGGCCAGCCTGGCCAACATGGTGAAATCCCAGCTACTCGAGAGGCTGAGGCAGGAGAATTGCTTGAACCCAGGCAGCGGAGGTTGCAGTGAGCCGAGATCGTGCCACTGCACTCCAGCCTGGGCGACAGAGTGAGACTCTACTAAAAATATAAAAATTAGCTGGGCGTGGTGGCGCATGCCTGTAATCCCAGCTATTGAGGAGGCTGAGGCAGGAGAACCGCTTGAACCTGGGAGACGGAGGTTGCAGTGAGCCGAGATTGTGCCACTGCACTCCAGCCTGGGCAACAGAGCGAGACTCTAAAAAAAAAGCCATCCACTATCCACTATTAATTAGGTCTTACAAAGCTGCAAAATAATCATACGCTCTTGTACACCATACAATTTAAAAAAAAATTTTATTATAGTAAAATACATGTAAAATTAATCATCTTAATCATTTCTTTTTTTTTGAGATGGAGTCTTGCTCTGTCACCCAGGCTGGAGTGCAGTGGCACAATCTCGGCTCACTGCAATCTCTGCCTCCCAGGTTCAAGCGATTCTCCTTCCTCAACCTCCCGAGTAACTGGGACTACAGGTGCATGCCACCACACCTGGCTAATTTTTTGTATTTTTAGCAGAGATGGGGTTTTACCGTGTTAGCCAGGATGGTTATCTTCTGACGTCGTGATCCACCCGCCCCGGCCTCCCAAAGTGCTGGGATTACAGGCGTGAGCCACCACACTCGGCCCATCTTACTCATTTCTAAGTGTACAGTTCAGTAGCTTTAAGTGCATTCACACTGTTGTGCAACTGACCCTCAGAACTCATTTCGTCTTGCAAAACTGAAACTCTATACCCATTGAACAACTCCCCATCCTCCTTCCCGTTACCCCTTGGCAACCACCAGAGACTTTCTGTCTCTATGAACGTGACTATTCTAGGTACTTCTTATATAAGTGGAATCACACAGTATTTGTCTTTTTGTGCAAGCAAATGATTTTTTTTTTTTTGAGATGGAGTCTCACTGTGTCGGCCAGGCTGGAGTGCAGTGCCCAGGCTGGAGTGCAGTGGCACGATCTCGGCTCACTGCAAGCTCTGCCTCCCAGGTTCACGCCATTCTCCTGCATCAGCCTCCAGAGTAGCTGGGACTATAGGCGCCCCCCACCACACCCGGCTACTTTTTTTGTATTTTTAGTAGAGATGGGGTTTCACCATGTTAGCCAGGATGGTCTTGATCTCCTGACCTCATGATCCGCCTGCCTCGGCCTCCCACAGTGCTGGGATTTGGCCTTTTTTGTGTGTGTCGAGAGAGAGAGAGAGAGAGGGTCTCATTCTGTTGCCCAGGCTAGAGCGCAGTGGTGCAATCACAGCTCACAGCAGCCTCAGTCTACAGGTCTCAAGCGATGCTCCCACCTCAGGCTCCAGAGTAGCTGGGACTACAGATACATGCCACCATCCCCAGCTAATTTTTTAAAATTTTGTGTAGAGATGGAGGGTCTCACTATGTTGCCCAGACTGGTCTCAAATGCCTGGCCTCAAGCAATCCTCTCACCTCGACCTGCCAAAGGGTTGGGATTAAAGGCATGAGCCATCGTGCTCAGCCAGGAAATATTTTTAACCATAATTGTGTTGCATCAAATTCACAGCCAGAAAGCAGAAATCTGAAAATTCGAAGCTTAGCAATAAGTACGTAAACCACACACACACACACACACACACACTCATACATACACACATTCACACATGCATACACACATTCACACATATACACACACATTCACACATATACACACACGCTTCCTATAGAACTGAGCTCAGGACAAAATCCAACTGTGAGGGCCACTGAAGGCCTGTTTTGCAAAACGGCTGCTCCAGTTTTTTTTCATCTGGATGAGCAGAAGAGAAAGACATGCTTGTGGGCCAGGCGCAGTGGCTCACGCCTGTAATCCCAGCACTTTTGGGGGGGCCTAGGCAGGTAGATCACGAGGGCAGGAGTTTGAGACTAGCCTGATCAACATGGTGAAACACCATCTCTATTAAAAACACAAAAATTAGGCAGGCATAGTGGCGCGTGCCTGTAATCCCAGCTATTGAGGAGGCTGAGGCAGGAGAATCGCTTGAACCTGGGAGGCAGAGGTTGCAGTGGGCTGAGATTGTGCCACTGGAGTCTGGCCTGGGCAACAGAACGAGATTGCACCTCAAAAAAAATTTTTTTAAATACAACTAAAAAATACAAAAATTAGGCTGGGCGCGGTGGCTCACGCCTGTAATCCCAACACTTTGGGAGGCCGAGGCGGGTGGATCACCTGAGGTCAGGAGTTCAAGACCAGCCTGGCCAACATGGTGAAACTCCATCTCAACTAAAAATACAAAAAAATTAGCTGGGCGTGATGGTACGTGCCTATAATCCCAACTACTTGGGAGGCCGAGGCAGGAGAATTGCTTGAACCTGGGAGGCAGAGGTTGTAGTGAACCGAGATCACGCCACTGCACTCCAGCCTGGACAGCAGAGTGAGATGTGCTTGTGGCCACTGGGAAGGGTCAAAGTCTTTCAAGTTCAAGTAGGGACCTGCAGAGAGGTTTCTCACGGCACAGCATGGAGCTGAAACAGGTCGTGAAACCAGATCAGACCCAGGGCCGGGGTGTGCGAAGGAGGCCTTGGGGCTCAGAGCTCTCGCCTGAGAATTTCACACAAGACTCGTCCCATTCTGCAGGTCTGGATTTGAGGATTTGCTCCTGGGCTTCACTGGTTATCTGCACATCGGTGCCAACTGGCAAAGGTCAAGGTAGGCTGGATCCAGGCTGGAACCAGCAGGTGCCCTGAGGACTGCGACAGGAAGCCAATTAGGAACAACTTCTTATTGTCTCCTTGCTGAAAACCACAGAGTTCTTATCTTCTGAAAACTTTGCTCTGGGCTGGAAGGCGTGGCTGGTTGCCCTGCTGGTATCAGGGCCACAGTGGGAACCAGTACTGGCCATTGGACTAAGTGTCCTTTTTTTAATTAAAAAAAAAAAAGTTGGATTATTTTATATACAGTATTAGTCCCTCTCCTCTCTCCTGCTTAATTTGTATTTAATTTTCTCTTTTTTTTTTTTTTTGAGAAGGAGTCTCTCTCTGTCGCCCAGGCTGGAGTGCAGTGGCATGATCTCGGCTCACTGCAAGCTCCGCCTCCCGGGTTCACGCCATTCTCCTGCCTCAGCCTCCCAAGTAGCTGGGACTACAGGTGCCCGCCACCATGCCCGGCTAATTTTTTTATATTTTTTAGTAGAGACGGGGTTTCACCGTGTTAGCCAGGATGGTCTCGATCTCCCGACCTCATGATCTGCCCGCCTCGGCCTCCCAAAGTGCTGGGATTACAGACGTGAGCCACCACGCCCGGCCTATAAAAAGTTGTATTATTATATTTTTAAAATTTTTTATTTTATTTTAGTGTGTTTGGCAGAGTCACCCAGGCTGGAGTGCACTGGCACGATCTCAGCTCACTGCAGCCTCCATCTCCCAGGATCAAGCGATTCTCCTGCCTTAGCCTCCCGAGTAGCTGGGATTACAGGCACCCGCCACCACACCCAGCTAATTTTTGTATTTTTAGTAGAGATGGGGTTTCACCATGTTGGCCAGGCTGGTCGCAAACTCCTGACCTCAGGTGATCCACCCGCCTCGGCCTCCCAAAGTGCTGGGATTACAGGCATGAGCTACCATGCCCAGCCCTCCTGGCTAATTTTTATATCTTTAGTAGAGACAGGGTTTCACCATGTTGTCCAGGCTGGTCTTGAACTCCTGACTCTCAAATACAAAAAATTGGCTGGGCGCGGTGGCTCACACCTGTAATCCCAGCACTTCGGGAGGCCGAGGCGGGTAGATCATGAGGTCAGGAGATCGAGACCATCCTGGCTAACATGGTGAAACCCCGTCTCTACTAAAAATACAAAAAATTAGCCGGGTGTGGTGATGGGCACCTGTAGTCCCAGCTACTCGGGAGGCTGAGGCAGGAGAATGGCATGAACCTGGGAGGCGGAGCTTGCAGTGAGCCGAGATCGTGCCACTGCACTCCAGCCTGGGCAACAGAGTGAGACTCCATCTCAAAAAAAAAAAAAAAAATAGTCCCAGCTACTCAGTAGGCTGAGGTGGGAGGATCACTTGAGCTAGGGATGTCAGGGTTGCAGTGAGCTGACATCTTGCCACTACGCTCCAGCCTGGGCTGCAGAGCAATACCCTGTCTAAAAAAGAAAAAAAAGAAGAAAGTAAGCAGGCAAGCAGGTCAGTGATTGCCAGGGCCTGGGGTGGTGGGTGGTGAAGAAAATTAACTAATGAAGAGGGGCACAGGAAACTTTCTAGAGCAATGGAAGTGTTGCATATATTTTTTTTTGACGGAGTCTTGCTCTGTCGCCCAGGCTGGAGTGCAGTGTTGTGATCTCGGCTTACTGCGACCTCCACCTCCTGGGTTCAAGCCATTCTCCTGCCTCAGCCTCCGGAGTAGCTGGGATTTCAGGCACGGCATGCGCCAGCACGCCCGGCTAATTTTTGTATTTTTAGTAGAGACAGGGTTTCACCATGTTGGCCAGGCTGGGCTCAAACTCCTGACCTCAGATGATCTGCCTGCCTCGGCCTCCCAAAGTGCTGGGATTACAGGCATGAGCCACCGCACCCAGCCCTGTATCTTGATTATGGTGGGGGTGACACGGGTGAGTGAAAATATTTGCTAAGGCTCCTTTAAGTAAACACATAAAAACGAATGCATTTTATTCTGTGTAAATAAAATACTTGAATAAAGTTGTTAAAAAAAAAAAAAAGCAGCAGCAGCTTAGTCCAGCTTCCCTGAGTGGGTGGTGTAATTTCGCCTGGAAGCGGAGGCTGGAATGACAGGCATCTTGGCCAACGTGTTCAGCACAAACCAGTCAACTGGCACAGAGGGCCCATTGTGATCAGACCACAGACTCTTCAGACAGAGCTGCATCTTCCCCTGCGCCCCGGCCAGCGCTGGCTGTGTGCCATTCCCTCTGCACCCTGTGCACCTTGACACAGTAGATCTCTGCACAAGCCCTTCTCTTTGCCTCCTTACCCCCTACCCTCCACCTTCTTCACCAGGAAAGTTCTATGCATTGTTCAAATGCCCCCACTCCCCACCTCCTCTGGGCTCTTTTTTTTTTGAGACAGAATCTCACTCTGTAGCCCAGGCTGGAGTGCAGTGGCACAATCTCGGCTCACTGCAACCTCCGCCTCCCGGGTTCAAGTGATTCTCTTGCCTCAGCCTCCTGAGTAGCTGGGACTATAGGCATGTGCCAACACACCCGGCTAATTGTTGTAGTTTTAGTAGAGACGGGGTTTCACCATGTTGGCCAGGCTGGTCTCAAACTCCTGACGTCAAGGGATCCGCCTACCTTGGTCTCCCAAAGTGTTGGCATTACAGCGATGAGTCACCATGCCCGGCCTTTGGGATCTTATGACAGGTGCCCTAGTCAGACTATATTATGACCTGTTTACAACTCTGTCCCCCAACAAGTCTGTAAACTATTTCTTTTTCTTTTTTTTTTTGAGACAGAGTCTCACTCTGTCTCCGAGGCTGGAGTGCAGTGGCGTGATCTCGGCTCAGTGCAACCTCTGTCTCCCAGGTTCAAGCGATTCTCCTGTCTCAGCCTCCCAAGTAGCTGAGACTACAGGTGCCCACTACCACGCCCAGCTAATTTTTGTGTTTTTAGTAGAGACGTAGTTTCACCATGTTGGCCAGGCTGGTCTCAAACTCCTGATCTTAGGTGATCTGCCCACTTCAGCTTCTCAAAGTGCTGGTATTCCAGGCAGGAGCCACCATGCCCGGCCTCTGGGCTCTTATTACAGATGCCATAGTCAGATTGTATTATAACCTGTTCACAACGCTGTCCTCCCACAAGTCCGTAAACTTCTTGAGGTCACAGATGGTACCATTTTTATCTCTGCATCCCCAAAGCACCTAACACATTCCCTAAAACACAGCAATAAAACATTCCTTGCATCCTTGTCAAGCAATGGTGTCAGCCCTTTACACGCTTTGTTTATTTATTTATTTATTTATTTATTTATTGACGGAATTTATTTAGAGACAGCCTGTTGCCCAGGCTGGAGTGTGATGGTGTGATCATAGCTCACAGCAGCCTCGAGCTCCTGCACTCAAGCAATCCTCTCACTTCAGCCTCCTGAGTAGCTGGGGCCACGGGTGTGTGTCTCCAAACCCAGCTAACTTAAAAATTTATTTTTTGCAGACAGAGGGTCTCCCTATGTGGCCCAGGCTGATCTCAAACTCCTGGGCTCAAGCAGTCCTCCCACCTCAGCCTCCCAAAATGTGGGGATTACAGGCATGAGCTACCGGGACCAGCTAATTTTTAAAATTTTTCTTTTTCTTTTTTTTTTTGAGACGGAGTCTCGCTCTGTCGCCCAGGCTGGAGTGCAGTGGCGGGATCTCGGCTCACTGCAAGCTCCGCCTCCCGGGTTCACGCCATTCTCCTGCCTCAGCCTCCCAAGTAGCTGGGACTACAGGCGCCCGCCACTACACCTGGCTAATTTTTTGTATTTTTAGTAGAGACGGGGTTTCACCGTTTTTTAGCCGGGATGGTCTCAATCTCCTGACCTCGTGATCCGCCCGCCTCGGCCTCCCAAAGTGCTGAGATTACAGGCGTGAGCCACCGCGCCCGGCCAAATTTTTCTTTTTTGTAGAGATGGGGTCTCCCTATGTCGCCTGGGCTGGTGTCAAATTCCTGACCTCGAGTGATCCTCCTGCCTTGGCTTCCTAAAGGGCTGAGATTACAAGTGTGAGCCACTGTGCCTGGGCAACTCAAGTCCCCTTCACCTTCAGTCATTCAGTCAACAAACACCAAATACTTGCTCCACACTAGGCATGCCCCAGGCCAATGAATGAGGCTTGGTCCCCGCCCTTAGTGAGCTTATATAAGAGGAAGACTCACAAACAGTGGGCTTTTTGGATGGAAACATGAATGAATGAATGAATGAATGAGTGAATACAAGCTGCCTTTCCTCTCCACTGCTGTCTGGGTGATCACGCAGTATGTGCGGCAGGTGCCTATCCCGTCCCATTCCACGTCCGCTCTGGAGGGTCCTAATCTAGGACACCTTAGCGTATCTCATAGATGGCCAGCTATGGATCTAAGATTCATTGGGCCAATGGATTTGTACTTTTTTGGTGGGCTAATAGTCACAGCTGTGTCTCTCTATTTTATTTTATTATGTTATTATCTTTTATTTTTTATTCTTTTTTGAGACAGGGTCTCTGTCACCCAGGCTGGAGTGCAGTGGTGTGATCTCAGCCCACTGCAACGTCTGCCTCCTGGGTTCAAGCGATTCTCGTGCATCCACCTCCCGAGTAGCTGGGACATCCGGCTAATTTTTGTATTTTCAGTAGAGACGGGGTTTCGCCATGCTGGCCAGACTGGTCTTGAATTCTAGACATCAAGTGATTCACCTGCCTCGGCCTCCCAGAGTGGCAGGATTACAGGGGTGAGCCACTGTACCTGGCCTGTTTTTGTATTTTATTATCAAAATCTAGTGGATTTTATTAACTAGGCTTATGTTGAGGGCCGGACGCGGTGGCTCATGTCTGTAATCCCAGCACTTTGGGAGGCTGAGGTGGGCAGATCACCTGAGGCCAGGAGTTCAAGATCATCCTGGCCAACATGGTGAAACCTCGTCTCTACTAAAACTACAAAAATTAGCCTAGCATGGTGGCACGTGCCTGTAATCTCAGCTATTCAGGAGGCTGAGGCAGGACAATCACTTGAATCCGGGAGACAGAGGTTGCAGCAAGCCGAGATTATGCCACTGCACTGCAGCTGGGGCGACAGAGCGAAACTCCGTCTCAAAACAAAAAAACAAAAAACAAAAAAACTAGGGTTATGTTGGCATCGCTTGCTTTTTTTTTTTTTTTTGAGACAAGGTCTCGCTCTGTCACCCAGGCTGGATTCCAGTGCTGTGATCATAGCTCACCACAGCCTCAAACTCCTGGGCTCAGATGATCCTCCCACCACAACCTTCTGAGTAGGTGGGAATACAGGGGTGCACCACGACACCTGGATAATTTTTAAAATTTTTTGTAGAGGTCAGGGGTCTCACTATCTTGCCCAGGCTGGTCTTG
This sequence comes from Homo sapiens, assembly GCF_000001405.40. Lineage (NCBI taxonomy): Eukaryota > Metazoa > Chordata > Mammalia > Primates > Hominidae > Homo > Homo sapiens. Next base: position 74,639,070 of record NC_000007.14, read on the forward strand.
AACTCCGGGCCTCAAGCGATTCTCCTGCCTTGGCCTCCCAAAGTGCTGGTATTACAGGCACACCATACCAAGCCTGCATTTTCACTTAAATTCGCATTTGGAGTACCTAACCCCCACACATGTGGGTAAAGAACCAAACATAAGTTTCCTTGTCAGCTGCTGCTGCTTTTTTTTTTCTTTTGAAACTGAGTTTCACTTTTATTGCCCAGGTTGGAGTGCAATGGTGAGGTCTTGGCTCACTGCAACCTCTGTCTCCCAGGTTCAAGCCATTCTCCTGCCTCAGCCTCCCAAGTAGCTGGGATTACAGACATCCGCCACCACGCCCGGCTAATTTTTGTATTTTCAGTAGAGAAAGGGTTTCACCATGTTGGCCAGGCTGGTCTCAAACTCCTGACCTCAGGTGATCCACCCGCCTTGGCCTCCCAAAGTGCTGGGATTGAGCCACTGCACCCGGCCCCCTGTCAGCTTCTAAATGTAATGGCTTTCCTGGTTCCTTGGTGCCTAGAACAGTGCTGAAATTTCTCATGTATTCGGATATCTGTTGCTAATAAGTTTTGTTCGTTTTGTTTGCCAAAACTTGATTTTCCCATCCCTTTGGGAAGCCAAGGCAAGAGGATCACTTGAGGCCAGAAGTTTAAGACTAGCATGGCCAGGCCGGGCACGGTGGCTCACGCTAGTAATCCCAGCACATTGGGAGGCTGAGGCAGGCGGATCATGAGGTCAGGAGTTTGAGACCAGTCTGGCCAACACGGTGAAACCCTGTCTCTACTAAAGATACAAAAATTAGCCCGGCGTAGTAGCACGCGCCTGTAGTCCCAGCTACTCAGGAGGCTGAGACAGGATAATTGCTTGAACCCAGGAGGCGGAGGTTGCAGTGAGCCGAGATCGCGCCATTGCACTCCACCCTGGGCGACTGAGCGAGACTCCATCTCAAAAAAAAGACCAGCGTGGCCAACATGATGAAACTCCGTCTCTACTAAAAATACAAAAATTAGCCAGGCGTGGTGGTGCACGCCTGTAATCCCAGCTACTCAGGAGGCTGCGGCACGAGAATTGCTTGAACCCAGGAGTTGGAGGCTGCAGTGAGCCTAGATTTCACCACTGTACTCCAGCCTGGGTGACAGAGTGAGACTCTGTCTCAAAAAAAAAGAAAAGAAAAAAAAAGAACTTGATTTTCAGGGAATGAACTTTCCTAGTGAGGTTTCTTTAAAAATCTTTAATTTCCTGTGTCTGCAGTATGTCAGGAGGTGGTTCACAGCTCATTTCACTTTGCTTGAAACAAAGTATAAGCTTTCAGTTGGGGAGGAGTGTTGCTTGTTTACTACTTTTCAATTCATTAGTAGAAGAGATAAAATTGTGCCTTATGTTTTACCTCATGGTAGGGCCCAGAACAATGCAATCTGGAAATAAGTACACCTGTTTTAATTTTTTTGCACTTTTTGTGTGTGTGGAGACAGGATCTCCCTATGTTGTCCAGGCTGGTCTCAAACTCCTGGGCTCCAGCCATCCTCCCACCTCTGCCTCCCAAAGTGCTGGGATTACAGCATGAGCCACCACGCCTAGCCTATATTTTATTATTTTATTTTAGTTTACTTTAGTTTCTATTTATTTATTTATTTATTTTTGAGACAGCGTCTCACTCTGTTGCCCAGGCTACAGTGCAAAGACATGATCTCAGCTCACTGCAACCTCCGCCTCCCGGGTTCAAGTGATTCTCCTGCCTCAGCCTCCCGAGTAGCTGGGACTACAGGCACCCACCACCACGCCAAGCTAATTTTTATATTTTTAATAGAGACGGGGTTTTACCATGTTGGCCAGGATGGTCTCAATCTCTTGACCTCGTGATCTGCCCGCCTCGGCCTCCCAAAGTGCTGGGATTACAGGCATGAGCCACTGCGCCCAGCCAGTTTACTTTAGTTTCTTTTTTTCCTCTCTTTAAATTTTTTATGCACAAGTAGATTTTTTATTTTTCTTTTGAGACAGGGTTTCTAGCACCAGGCTGGAGTATACTGGTGCAATCATGGCTCACTGCAGCCTCTAACTCCTGACCTTAGGCAGTCCTCTTACCTTACCTCAGTAACATGATATAGGTTGTTTTTTTGTTTGTTTGTTTGTTTTTTGTTTGTTTGTTTTTTTTTTTTGAGACGGAGTCTCCCTCTGTCGCCTAGGCTGGAGTGCAGTGGCACGATCTCGGCTGACTGCAAGCTCCGCCTTCCGGGTTCACGCCATTATCCTGCCTCAGCCTCTTGAGTAGCTGGGACTACAGGTGCCTGCCACCACGCCCGGCTAATTTTTTGTATTTTTAGTAGAGACAGGTTTTCACCGTGTTAGCCAGGATAGTCTTGATCTCCTGACCTCATGATCTGCCCACCTCAGCCTCCCAAAGTGCTGGGATTACAGGCGTGAGCCACTGCGCCGGGCAATATAGGTTTTTATAAGAATTAAATCTATTATCAAGCCAGGTGTGGCCGCTCATGCCTGTAGTCCCAGCACTTTGGGAGGCCAAGGCAGGCGGATCCCCTGAGGTCAGGAGTTCGAGACCAGCCTGGCCAACATGGTGAAACCCCGTCTCTGTTAAAAATACAAAAATTAGCTGGGCATTGTGGCAGGCAACCTATAATCTCAGCTACTTGGGAGGCTGAGGCAGGAGGAGTGCTTGAGCCCAGGGCAAGGCTACAGTGAGCTGTGATCACATCAGTGCTCTCTAGCATGGGAGAGAGAGTGAGACCCTGTCTCTCAAAAAAACAAACAAACTATGATAACTGAATAATAAAAAGACAAGCAACCTTCACAAAATGGGCAAGAAACACACATGACCAATGAGCAAAAGATGCTCCACTTCGTCTGTTATTAGGGTAATGCAAATCAGAATTACAGTGAGATATCTTTCATACCCATAGCAATCAGACAGGAAAAAGCAAAAGCAGAAAATAAGTATTGACAAGGATGTGGAGACACTGGAACCCTAGCGCATTGCTGGTGGGAGTGGAAAAATCATGCAGCCACTGTGGTACTTTGATGGTTCCTCAAAAAGTTAAATATAAAATTACCATGCGAGGCTGGGCACAGTGACTCACGCCTGTAATCCCAGAACTTTGAAAGGCCGAGGTGGGAGGATTGCTTGAGGTCAGGAGCTTGAGACCAGCTTAGCCAACATAGTAAAATCCCGTCTCTACTAAAAATACAAAAATTAGCCAGGCGTGGTGGGACTGTAGGTGGGACTACAGTCCCAGCTACTTGGGAGGTTGAGGCACTGCACTGCAGCCTGGGTGACAGAGTGAGAGAGACTTTGTCTCAAAAAAAAAAAAGAAAAAAGAAAAAGAAAAATGTCATGTGAGGCTGGGCATGGTGGCTCACGCCTGTAATCCCAGCACTTTGGGAGGCTGAAGTCGGAGGATTGCTTGAGGCCAGGATATCAAGACCAGTCTGGGCAACATAGTAAGACCCCATCTCAATTTTTTTTTTTTTTTTGAGACAGAGTCTCACTCTGGAGTACAGTGGCGTGATCTCGGCTCACTGCAACCTCCACCTCCGGGTTCAAGCGATTCTCCTGTCTCAGCCTCTCAAATAGCTGGTATTACAGGTGTGCACCACCATGCCCGGCTAATTTCTGCATTTTTAGTAGAGACGGGGTTTTACTATGTTGGCCAGGCTAGAAAAATATTTTTTTAATTAAAAAAAAAAGAATTAGGGACCGGGCGCGGTGACTCACGCCTGTAATCCCAGCACTTTGGGAGGCCGAGGTGGGCGGATCATGAGGTCAGGAGCTCGAGACCAGCTTGGCCAACATGGTGAAATCCCATTGCTACTAAAAATACAAAAATTAGCTGGGCATGGTGGCTTGCACCTATAATCCCAGCTACTCAGGAGGCTGAGGCAAGAGAATCGCTTAAACCCTGGAGGCAGAGGTTGCAGTGAGCTGAGATCACGCCATTGCACTCCAGCGTGGGTGACAGAGCGAGACACCGTCTCAAAAAAAAAAAAAAGGTTAAAATGGCAAATTTCATGTCATGTATATTTTGCAAAAAGGAAAACAAATCCACACCAAACTGAGACTTTTTCTTCAACTAGTTAGAATGAGATTAAGTTAAAGGGAAACCTTTTCACGGTTTACTCCAGTGCCCTGTGGTTGCGCATGGAGGCAGGCTGGCTGGCTCAACACGACTGAGATCGGGATTACGGAGGTAACTCATGCTAACCAAGCTCCTACAGACTGAACTATAAAACTAGAGCACCTTTCCCCCATGCACAGTTTATAAGGGGAAACAGAATTGTCAGCTGGACTTAACAGAGCTTTCGTTCTAAGCTGTTTACGTTCTCTCCGTCTGCCAACTGCATGCATGGAAATCCCCATAGGGCGGCAGCTGCCCAGGGAAGGGATTGCATTAGGATTTAGCAATGTCATCGGTCCTGTCCCCCACCTCCTCATACTGGGGTACCCTCCCGAACACTCCCTTGCCCCACATACTTGTGGGATTTCAGAACCAGTGGGGAAGGGCACGGCTCTGAGTGCAGGGCGGAGGAGGACTTCCGCCACCTGGAAACCGAGGGCCTGGGGCTGCAGGGGAAGTGACCAGTGTCTGTGCTGCCAGGGAGCCCTGGGAGGTGGCCATTCAGAGGAGGGCAGCGGCGGGGGAAGGTGCCCACAGGCCACCAAAGGCCACAGCAGGCGCAAGGGCTTGGGGCCAGGAGGGACAGCCCTAAAGCCACCGTGAAAAGGATAGCCCTGGACAGCCAGGCTGACGCAGGAGAGAGAAAAAGATCTCGGTGTTGGAAGAGAGAGAGAGAGAGAGAGAGAGAGAGAGAGAGAGAGAGAGACACTAATTATTGGGGTGGGGAGGGCATTTCTCACTGTTGATTTTTAACACCGAAGACATTAAGAAAAAAAAAATTGTACTCCAGCCTGGGCAACAGAGTGAGACTCTGTCTCAAAAAACAGAAAAAGAAAAAAATTGGTAAGTTTCACTATGTAAAAATGAAACTTCAGTATAACGATACAAAAAAAGGCCGGGCACGGTGGCTCATGCCTGTAATCCCAGCACTTTGGGAGGCGGAGGTGGGAGGATCACCTGAGGTCAGGAGTTCGAGACCAACCTGGCCAACATGGTGAAACCCCGTTTCTACTAAAAAAAAATACAAAATTAGCTGGGCGTGGTGGCAGGCGCCTGTAATCCCAGCTACTCGGGAGGCTGAGGCAGGAGAATTGCTTGAACCCAAGAGGCAGAGTTTACAGTGAGCTGAGATCACGCCACTGCACTCTAGCCTGGACAACAGAACGAGACTCTGTCTCAAAAAAAAAAAGCCACAAAAAGTCAAAAGACAAACAGCTACACATAACAAACAAAAGGCTTTTTTAAAGATAGGGTCTTGTTCTATCACCCAGGCTGAGTGCAGTGGTGCAACCTCAGCTCACTGCAGCCTCTGCCTCCCAGGCTCAAGCGATTCTCCTGCCTCAGCCTCCCAAGTAGCTAGGATTACAGGCATGCACCATCACACCCAGCTAATATTCCTATTTTTAGTAGAGATGGGGTTTCACCAGGCTGGTCTCAAGCTCCTGACCTCAGGTGATCCACCCACCTCGGCCTCCCAAAGTTCTGGGATTATAGGTGTGAACCACTGCATTGGGCCTTTCTTTTTTCATGTATAAAGCGCTTATACAAGAGAGTAAGGGAAAAAAGCAAAAGACCTGGACTGGGCGCGGTGGCTCACGCCTGTAATCCCAGCACTTTGGGAGGCTGAGGTGGGTGGATCACCTGAGGTCGGGAATTCGAGAGCAGCCTGACCAACATGGAGAAACCCAGTCTCTAGTAAAAACACAAAATCAGCCAGGCGTGGTGGCACATGCCTGTAATCCCAGCTACTCGGGAGGCTGAGGCAGGAGAATTGCTTGAACCCAGGAGGCAGAGGTTGTGGTGAGCTGAGATCACACCATTGCACTCCAATGTGGGCGACAGAGCAAAACTCGGTCTCAAAAAACAAACAAACAAAAAAAGCAAAAGACCAAATTGTGAAATGCAAAAGACATCATGAATATTGTTCGCAGAAACAGAAATGCAAATGGTTAATAAAAATATAAAAAGATGCCCAACTTTGCTCACAATTAATGTACATGTCAGAATTGCTATAAAATGCTACTTTCCCCCAGAAATGGGAAGGTATGGAGGATATGGACATTCTCTTTTATTTTCTTTTTTTTTTAAGACAGAGCCTTGCTCTGTCACCTAGGCTGGAGTGCAACAGCATGATATTGACTCACTGCAAACTCTGCCTCCTGGGTTCAAGCAATTCTTCTGCCTCAGCCTCCCGAGTGGCTGGGATTACAGGCACCCACCAACACACCTGGCTGATTTTTGCATTTTTAGTAGAGACAAAGTTTCATCATGTTGGCCGGGCTGGTCTCTAACGCTTGACCTCGTGATCCGCCTGCCTCGGCCTCTCAAAGTGCTGGGATTACAGGTGTGAGCTACCGCGCTGGGCCGATATGGACATTTTCATACCCTGTTCATTGTACAGTGGTCCAATCTTTTTGGAAAGAAAATTGGCAATGTGTATCAAAATTTTAGGTGCACAGATCCTTTGATAATGTTGATGCTAAGAATTTGCTTTAAAGATATACTCATGGATGGCTGGGTGCGGTGGCTCACGCCTGTAATCCCCACACTTTGGGAGGCCGAGGCGGGCGGATCACGAGGTCAGGAGATTGAGACCAGCCTGGCTAACACAGTGAAACCCCGTCTCTACTAAAAATACAAAAACAAAATTAGCTGGGCGTGGTGGCAGGCACCTGTAGTCCCAGCTACTCGGGAGGCTGAGGCAGGAGAATGGAGTGAACCTGGGAGGCGGAGCTTGCAGTGAGCTGAGATCATGCCACTGCACTCGAGCCTGTGCAACAGAGCAAGACTCCCTCTCAAAAAAAAAAAAAAAAAGATATACTCATTGCCAGATGCCGTGGCTCACCCCTGTAATCCCAGCACTTTGGGAGGCTGAGGTGGAAGGATCACTTGAGCCCAGGAGTTTGAGACTAGCCTGGCCAACATGGCAAAACCCTATCTCTACGAAAATACAAAAATTAGCTGGGTGTGGTGGCGGATGCCTGTAATCTCAGCTACTCAAGAGGCTACGGCACAAGAATTGCTTGAACTCAGGAGGCAGAGGTTGCCATGAGCTGAGATTGTGCCACTGCACTCCAGACTGGGTGACACAGTGAGACTCCGTCTTAAAAAAAAAAAAAAAAGATATAAGAGAATGCCAAGCCAATTAACATTGCAAAAATATAAGAAACAACTTAGGCTGGGCGCGGTGGCTCACGCCTGTAATCCCAGCACTTTGGGAGGCCGAGACGGGCGGATCACGAGGTCAGGAGATCGAGACCATCCTGGCTAACACGGTGAAACCCCATCTCTACTAAAAATACAAAAATTAGCCGGGCGTGGTGGCGCGCTCCTGTAGTTCCAGCTACACGGGAGGCTAAGGCAGGAGAATGGTGTGAACCCGGAAGGCGGAGCTTGCAGTGAGTCGAGATCGCGCCACTGCACTCCAGCCTGGGCGACAGAGCGAAACTCCGTCTCAAAAAAAAAAAAAAAAAGAAAAAAAAAAAAAAGAAACAACTTAAATGTTCATCATTAGGGGACTGGTTAGAAAAATATGCATAGTATGATCTCATTTTTATACACATTAAAAGGATGTGTGTGTGCCAGTACAGGTTTTTGTTTGTTTGTTTCCTGAAAGGATGTCTTTGATTACAGGTACTAGAGGACTAAGAGAGTACACTCCCCCTTTTAAAAATCATATTCATGGCCCGGCGCGGTGGCTCACGCCTGTAATCCCAACACTTTGGGAGGCTGAGGCGGGCAGATGACCTGAGGTCAGGTGTTCGATATCAGCCTGGCCAACATGGTGAAGCCCCGTCTCTACTAAAAATAAAAAAATTAGCCGAGCCAGGTGGTGCATGCCTGTGATCCCAGCTAACTCGGGAGGCTGAGGCAAGAGAATCGTTTGAACCCGGGTAGCAGAGGTTGCAGTGAGCTGAGATCATGTCATTGCATTCCAGCCTGGGCAAGAACAGCAAAACTCAATCTCAAAAAAAAAAAAAAAAAAAAAAAAATCGTCCAGGCACAGTGGCTCAAGCCTGTAATCCCAGCACTTTGGGAGGCCCAGGCGGGCGGATCACGAGGTCAGGAGATCGAGACCATCCTGGCTAACACGGTGAAACCCCGTCTCCACTAAAAATATAAAAAAATTAGCCGGGCGTGGTGGCGGGCGCCTGTAGTCCCAGCTACTTGGGAGGCTGAGGCAGGAGAATGGCGTGAACCTGGGAGGCAGAGGTTGCAGTGGGCCGAGATCGCGCCTCTGCACTCTAGCCTGGGTGACAGAGTGAGACTCTGTCTTAAAAAAAAAAAAAAAATCACATTCATAGCTAGGCACGGTGGCTCATCCCTATAATCCCAGCACTTTGGGAGGCTGAGGTGGGCAGATCACTTGAGCCTAGGAGTTCCAGACCAGCCTGGGCAACATGGCAAGACCCTGTCTCTACAAAAAAATACAAAAATTAGCTGGGCGTGGTGGTGTGCACCTGTAGTCCCAGCTACTTAGGAGGCTGAGGTGGGAGGATCACTTGGGACCAAGAGATAGAGGCTACAGTGAGCAGTGATTGTACCCCTGCACTGTAGCCTGGGTAACAGAGCCAGACACTGTCTCAAAAAATAATAATAATAACAAATAGAAAAATTAAAATCATATTTATCTTACTTTGTTTTTTAAAAATTCATTCATCCTAGGATGGGTGCAGTGGCTCACGCCTGTAATCCCAGCACTTTGGGAGGCCGAGGTGGGAGGATCACCTGAGGTCAGGAGTTCGAGACCAGCCTGATCAACATGGAGAAGCCCTGTCTGTAATAAAAATACAACATTAGCCGGGCATGGTGGTGCATGCCTGTAATCCCAGCTACTTGGGAGGCTGAGGCAGGAGAATCACTTGATTCCGAGAGGTGGAGGTTGTGGTGAGCCGAGATTGCGCCATTGCACTCCAGCCTGGGCAACAAGAGCGAGACTCCGTCTTTAAAAAAAAAATTAGCCCAGTGTGGTGGTGCACACTTGTGGTCCTCGCTACTTGGTGGGGGTTGAGGCAGGAGAATTGCTTGATCCTGGGAGGTGGATGTTGCAATGAGCTGAGATCATGCAACTGCACTCCAGCTTGGGCGACAGAGTGAGACTTCGTCTCAAAATAAATAAATAATTAATTAATTAAAAAATCCACCCATCCTTTACTTTTCATTGCAAATGCTACTTTCTTTTTTCTTTTCTTTCTTTTTTTTGAGACAGAGTCTTGCTCTGTTGCCCAGGCTGGAGTGCAGTGGTGCTATCTCGGCTCACTACAAGCTCCGTCTCCTAGGTACACGCCATTCTCCTGCCTCAGCCTCCCAAGTAGCTGGGACTACAGGTGCCTGCCACCATGCCTGGCTAATTTTTTTGTATTTTTAGTAGAGACGGGTTTTCACCGTGTTAGCCAGGATGGTCTCCATCTGCTGACCTTGTGATCTGCCCGTCTCGGCCTCCCAAAGTGCTAGGATTACAGGCGTGAGCCACCGCACCTGGCTGCAAATGCTACTTTCTCCATGAAAAATTTTCTGCTTTGTGTCTAGCTTTCTTGTGCCATCTTGACACATTTACCTGAGTGTATATTGTATTTGATTCATTCGTCATATCTGCTTGAATCAGATGGTTATTGCTGGCGAATAGACAACAGTATTTAAGAATTCGGGCTTTGGATCCGAGCAGGTTTAGATCAAAATCTGGTTGTGCCATCTGTGTATCCCAGGCTGAGTACTGAGCCTTTCTGAGCCTCTTTAGCATGAGGGTGGAGGGGCATTCGGAGCACTTGCCACAAAGGCAGCAAGCAATGAGATAATCTATTAAGTGTCGAGCCTGGTGTGTGGCTCCAAGGACTGCTCAATACATGTCAGCCATAATCACATGTTTCTGGAGAGCACAGATGGTCTTGCAGGCTTTCCAGAATATAGTAGGTGTTCAGATTCTTTCTTGATACTCATTGGTGCCCCTCGCTTTCTTCCATTATCTCCGGGTCAGTCTGAGCTCATCTGGGATTGGAAAACACAGCAGGCTGGTATGAATGAAGTCAGCCTACAGCCCCAGGTACAAGCCAGAGTGTGGTCAGCCCCCTCTCTAGGTTTAGCGGGAAGGGAATGGATAATTAACACTTTCTCACTGCTGGGAAAACAATGAAAAGTACTTGATAGTGGGTTAATTTCTTTTTCTTTTTTCTTTTTTTCATACAGAGTTTCACTCTGTCCCCCAGGCTGGAGTGCAGTGGCGTGATCTCAGCTCACTGCAACCTCCACCTCCCAGGTTTAGGCAATTCTCCTGCCTCAGCCTCCCAAGTAACTGGGATTACAGGCACCTGCCACCATGCCCGGCGAATTATTGTATTTTTGGTAAAGACAGGGTTTCACCATGTTGGCCAGGCTGCTCTTGAACTCCTGACCTCAGATGATCCATCCGCCTCGGCCTCCCAAAGTGCTGGGATTACAGGTGTGAACCACCGCGCCTGGCCAGATGGTGGGTTAATTTCACTTTTGAACAGCATCATTCTGATTGGCTTTTCCTCCTCCTTCCAACCCACTGTTCAAAAATTCCCTTTATTATTTGATGAAAACTTTCCCAAGTGGGTCATCTACCTTAAGTGTAATAAACACCAGGTCTTGAAGGGGTTAAAAAAGGTTGCTATGATTCACCAGAAAAAGAGGAAAGGCTTGGTAAATGAAATGCTAAAGAATCAAGAAACTGGTAGTTAGGTCCACGGTGGAAACAAAAAGAGAAAAGGAAGGATGCAGGTATTTGTTGTCAGCATTTAACCTAGATTTTTCTTCTCTTGATTTTATGACTATGTTGCAAAGCTATAGGTTGTCTATATTTTATATATATATATATATATATATATATATATGGAATTGTTCTAACATCTATAACAATATACCGTAATAAAAGTTATGTGACTGTGGTCTGTCTCTGCCTCTCTCTCAAAAATATCTTCTTGTACTGAACTCAGCTATTTTTGGACCGCGGTTGACCGTGGGTAACTGAAACTGCAGAAAGCGAAACTGCAGATAAGAGGGGGAACTACGGTAGACGCCACCCACCCGTTAGTCACTTGGGAGCCGTCTGGGTTATCAGATCAACTGTCTGCAAGTATTGCATTGTTTGTGTTCAAATCACCCTTATTTTCCATCATAATGGCCCCAAAGCACAAGAGTAGTGATGCTGGGAATTTGGATAGGCCAAAGAGAAGCCGTAAAGTGCTTCCTCTAAGTGAAAAGGTGAAAGTTCTCGACTTAATCAGGAAAGACAAAAAATCCTATGCTGAGGTTGCTAAGATCTACGGGAAGAATGAATCTTCCATCCGTGAAATTGTGAAGAAGGAAAAAGAAATTCGTGCTAGTTTTGCTGTCTCACCTCCAACTGCTAAAGTGACGGCCACAGTGCGTGATAAGTGCTTAGTTAAGATGGAACAGGCACTGCATTTGTGGGTGGAAGAGATGAACAGAAAACGTGTCCCCATTGACAGCAACATGTTGCGCCAGAAAGCCTTGAGCCTATACCAAGACTTCAGCAAGGGATGCTCTGAAACTGACACCAAGCCATTTACTGCGAGTAAGGGATGGTTACACAGATTCAGGCATAGATTCTCACATCATTACAAGAAGAAGAAGGGTGAGTACAGTACAAGTTATTTTGAGAAAGAGGAGAGAGAGAGAGAGATGGATCACATTCGCCTAACTTAGTACTTGCTATACTTGTTCTATTTTGTTATCATTGTTGTTAATTTCTTCCTGTGCCTAATTGGATTTGGTATTATCCAAGGTTTCAGGCATCCACTAGCCATCTTGGAATGTGTCCCCCACAGATAAGAGGGGACTACTGTATTCGCTCTCTCTCTCTCTCTCTTTTTTAACTTTTATTTTAGGTTCATGGGTACATATGCAGGTTTGTTATATAGGTAAACTTGTGTCACCAGCGTTTGTTGTATAGATTATTTTGCCACCTGGGTACTAAGCCTATCTAATAGTTATTTTTTTTCTGCTCCTCATCCTTCTCCCACTGAGGCAGGCGGATCACCTGAGGTTGGGAGCTCGAGATCAGCCTGACCAACACGGAGAAACCCCGTCTCTACTAAAAATACAAAATTAGCCGGGTATGGTGGCGCATGCCTGTAATCCCAGCTACTTGGTACGCTGAGGCAGGAGAATCGCTTGAACCCGGGAGGCAAAGGTTGCGGTGAGCTGAGATCACGCCATTGCACTCCAGCCTGGGCAACAAGAGCGAAACTCTGTCTCAAAAAAAGAAAGAAAGAAAGAAAAGAAACATGGACTTTTTTCATATTAAAAAAAGTTTTGAATGCTAAATAATACCATCTAATATTTATATAACACGTACCCAAGTTGATAAAGTATTTTCATCTACATATCATCTGATTTCCCCAAATCCCTGGAGGAGGCAGAGAAAATACTATGGAGGTTTTATTTTTAACAACTTAAATTTAGAGCTTTATATTTAAAAACTTAAATTTTAAAACTTCAAAAAACAACTACAATGTTAACATAATCCTAAATAGCAGATAAAATTCATCTAAATCCTGCTACCCCAACAAAGAAAACTGTTTATTTCAACTGGTGCTACATGAATATTCGTTTTACTGTGTCGGCCAGATGCTCACACAAAAGGCAGAGCTGGAGCTGGAAGGTCTATTTAGATCACACCTACATTATTAATTGTTATGAATAAATTATAACTTGGATTTAGTCTTTTTTCCCCACCTTTGGATGAATTCTAAGAACCATACATACTGGAAAAGGTCGTCATTTATTCAGGATTCTAAATATTCAAATTATTCAAACAAAAAACCATTCAAAAACAGTGTTTTATAATCAGTATTAAAAAATATCATTGTGGTTGGATGTGTTGGCTCATGCCTGTAATCCCAGCACTTTGCGAGGCTGAGGCAGGCAGATTACAAGGTCAGGAGTTTGAGACCAGCCTGACCAACATGGTAGAATCCCGTCTCTACCAAAAATACAGAAATTAGCCGGGCGTGGTGGTGCTCGCCTGTAATCCTAGCTACTCAGGAGGCTGAGGCAGGAGAATCGCTTGAACATGGGAGACGGAGGTTGCAGTGAGCCGAGATCACGCCACTGCTCTCCAGCATGGGATACAGAGTGAAACTCTGTCTTAAAAGAAAACAAACAAAAGAAAAAGTGGCTGGGCACGGTGGCTCATGCCTGTAATCCCAACACTTTGGGAGGCCGAGGTGGGCGGATCATGAGGTCAGGAGTTCGAGACCAGCCTGACCAACATAGTGAAACCCTGTCTCTACTAAAAATACAAAAATTAGCTGGGCCTGGTGGCACGCACCTGTAATCCCAGCTACTCAGGAGGCTGAGACAGGAGAATTGCTTGAACCCGGGAGGCGGAGGTTGCAGGAGCCGAGATCGCGCCATTGCACTCCAGCCTGGGCAACTGGAGTGAGAGACCTTGTCTCAAAACAAAAAGCAGAAAACAAAAAAACAGAGTATCTGAACTTTCACCAGAATTATGGTTTTGGGCAATCTGGTCTGGGCGCAGTGGCTGAAAGTGCAATGGCAGCACTTTGGGAGTCCGAGGTGGAAGGATCACCTGGGCTTAGGAGTTTGAGACCAGCCTGGCCAACATGACCAACATGGTGAAACCTCGTCTCTACTAAAAATCCAAAAATTAGCCGGGTGTGGTGGTGTGCACCTATAATCCCGGCTACTCAAGGGCCTGGGGCAGGAGAATCGCTTGAACCTGGGAGGTGGAGGTTGCAGTGAGCTGAGCTTGTGCCACTGCACTCCAACCTGTGTGACAGAGTGAGACTCCATCAAAAATAATAATAATAATAATAAATAAATATAATATAATATATGAGAGACGGTGGGTGCAGGTGCTCTCGCCTGTAATCATAGCACTTTGGAAGGCTGAGGCAGGAGGATTGCTTGAAGCCAGGAGTTTGGAACCAGCCCGGTCAACATAGCAAGACTCCATCTCTACCAAAAAAAAAATGATATAACAGAGTCACCAAAAGAGTATTCAGTTTGGATTCAAAAAAACATCTTTAAAAAGAGCATATGATCCCAACAACAGAGATCTCAACAAAGTGGCATAACCACCGTTCTGTCACCGTGGGCTTTCAGGGGTTCCTATGCAGGGTCCCATGATCACGTGCTATTTCTTTTTTCTTTTCTTTTCTTTTTTGTTTTGAGATGGAGTCTCGCTCTGTCTCCCAGGTTGGAGTGCAGTGGCGCGATATCGGCTCACTACAACCTCCGCCTCCCGGGTTCAAGCAGTTCTCTGCCTCAGCCTCCCGAGTAGCTGGCATTACAGGCGCCTGCCACCACGCCCGGCTAATTTTTTGTATTTTTAGTAGAGACAGGTTTCACCATCTTGAGACGGAGTCTCGCTCTTTTGCCCAGACTGGAGTGCAATGGCGCGATCTCAGCTCACTGCAACCTCTGCCTCCCCGGTTCAAGCGATTCTACTGCCTCAGCCTCCCGAGTAGCTGGGATTACAGGCACATGCCACCATGCTCGGCTAATTTTTTTTGTATTTTTAGTATCGATGGGGTTTCACCATGTTGGCCAGGCTGGTCTCAAACTCCTGACCTCGTGATCCTCCCACTTCGGCCTCCCAAACTGCTGGGATTACAGGCATGAGCCACCGCGCCAATCACATGCTATTTCAAAGCAGTCAACGAAGCTCTAAGCCCAGAGTCTAAGCGAAGATGCATCTGAGTTGGTGGAAGTGCTCACGTGGGGTCCAGATCCATCTCTAGCTTGGCCAAGGCCCATTTGACCTGGCTTTGTTTCCCACCAAACAGAAGAATGGAAAAGTCACATCATATGGACGCTTATCTGAAGACTAAGCTAAACATTAACAAAAAGAGAGGGGGAAATAATTGAAATAACATGGATGGTTCTGCCAGCTGTTGGACTCTGTACTTATGTCCTGACTGACCATGAGCTGAGAGCCGCAAATCTGCTCTTGCTGAAGCCCCAATCCAGTCTGCATCTCTTGGTATATGCATCCTGTGATTCTAGTATTTTTTTTTTTTTTTTTGAGACGGAGTTTCGCTCTTGTTGTCCATGCTGGAGTGCAATGGCATGATCTCGGCTCACAACAACCTTTCCCTCCCAGGTTCAAGCGATTCTCCTGCCTCAGCCTCCTGAGTAGCTGGGATTACAGGCATGCGCCACCACGCCCGGCTAATTTTATATTTTTAGAAGAGATGTGGTTTCTCCATGTTGCTGAGGCTGGTCTCGAACTCCTAACCTCAGGTGATCTGCCTGCCTCGGCCTTCTAAAGTGCTGGGATTACAGGCATGAGCCACTGTGCCCAGCCCGATTCTAGTCTTTAAAGGAGGATTTCCTGGCTGGGTGCAGTGGTTTACGCCTGTAATCTCAGCACCTTGGGGGGCTGAGGCAGGCAGATCACTTGAGGTCAGGAATTTGAGACCAGACAGACCAACATGGTGAAACCCTGTCTCTACTAAAAATCCAAAAATTAGCCGGGCATGGTGGTGCATACCTGTAATCCCAGCTACTCGGGAGGCTGAGGCAGCAGAATCGCTTGAGCCCAGGAGTTGGAGGTTGCAGTGAGCCAAGATCGCACCATGCACTCCAGCCTGGGCACCGGAGTAAGACCCCGTCCCCTCCCAAAAAAATCAATAAATAAAATAAAGGAGGACTTCCTACTACATCATTTTTAGACACAAATCAACTATTATTTTTCTTCTGTTGCCCAATCCCCAAAACAGTAATCTGATCCTACATTTGAAAAAAAACCTGGGCCCAGTGCAGTGCCTCATGCCTGTAATCGCAGCACTTTGGAGGCCACGGCAGGAGGCTTATTTGAGCCCAAGAAGTCAAGACCAGCCTGGGCAACATAGTGAGACCCGTCTCTACAAAAAACGAAATTAGCTGGGTGTGGTGGCACATACATGTTGTCCCAGGCATTTGGGAGGCTAAGGTGGGAGGATGGCTTGAATCTGGAGTTGGAGGCTGCAGTGAGCTGTGATCGAACCACTGCAGTGCAGCCTGGGTGATACAGTAAGACCCTGTCTCAAAAACAGGAAAAAAAAAAAGTAAAACAAAACCCCAGCTTTGCAGAGAGATAGTATCCAAAGTGATTTATAACAATGGCCACAATTAATGTAGTATCTATGCCACTAAGATGAAGGAGAAATTGGTTGACAAGTGTTCCAACAAGCCGCAGTGAGCCAGACCTTAATGAAGACAGAACACGCAAGATCTTTATGACTGTAACACATGAATTTGAGGGTTACAAACCTTAATGGCAAAATGCTCAGAAAAACGCTTTGTCTGCATACACATTGCCTCAACAGAGACAGCTTTCTGACTAGAGGTAATTCAAAACCAGCTCATGTTGACCTAACCGTTTTAGGAATTGCTTCAGTCTCAAAGAAGTTGGAGTTGTTTATGAAGAGGCAGCAAAATTCCACTGTGGGCCCGGTGCGGTGCTCACGCCTGTAATCTCAGCACTTTGGGAGGCTGAGGAAGGCAGATCACTTGAGGTCAGGAGTTCGAGAACAGTCTGGGCAACATGTTTAGTAGAAACCCGTCTCTACTAAAAATACAAAAATTAGCTGGGCGTGGTAGTGCACGCCTATAATCCTAGCTACTCAGGAAGCTGAGGCAGGAGAATCACTTGAACCCGGGAGGTAGACGTTGCCGTGAGCCGAGATCGCGCCACTGCACTCCAGCGTGGGTGACGGAGCGAGGCTCGGTCTCAAAAAAAAAATTCCACTGTGAACCACTAAACAAATTCATAGAAGAAAGGAACTACCTTCCAAACGTTTTCACGATGATAAGAGTCATCTTGGCTAAATAAACTTCTGCCTTGCTAACTCACTTTGTAACATCCCCCCAAATTCTACTCCACGACTCCACTATACCCAGGAAATCCTTTCCCTGACCCCTCCAGGTGGAGAAACCACTCTCTCAACAAAAGATACTCACTGAAGTCCACAGCAGCTGAAATCTGCATCTCGTAGGCTGGCTGCTCTTACTAGAGTGAGTTATAGGCTTCTCAAGAGTTAAATTTGTTCCTAAATATATGCCAGTGGCACGTGGTATTGGGAATAGAGAATTTAATTAAATATTACTAAATGTCAATGAAATACAAGTGCAAAAAGAAAGTTGCTCTTGTGCAAACTTAATGAATGACTTTCGAGACAATCGACAAAGGAGAGTCACAATCTTATTAGGCAAGGACCGAAGGGATCCTAGACATTGTCCGGGAAATCGCAAAAATTCAGGCTTCTGTAATCAGATTGCTTCTCCGGTGAGCTTTACGCTCTCCATGTATTTTTCAAAAAAAATCCAACATGAAAATTCTAGAGGAGGCTTTATTGGGTGCGGTCTGTGCAAGAGAGACGATGGGGAATGCCAATCGGAGAACCCAGATTGAAAGGAAAGGTTTTTGGAACCCACATCAAAAGACTGGCTGCTCGGAAAGTTTTCTCGCTAGCGACAAAGGCTTGGAGGCTGGAAAAAGCGTCGTGGTCGCCACCTACCGAGAAGCGGCGGGTGGGGGGAGGATGGCCGTCGTGGCCCGAATCCCCAGTGGGTGGTACTGGGTGGGGGGGCGGGCGGGAATCAAAAAACCACTCAATCTCGTGCTTTACATAAACATCTAAAAATCGTCGGCCTCGGGGTTGTAAAGTTTTGGAGTTTAACTTAGGTGAACAGTAATGTCTCTCCATTTTCAAAACCCACCGGCTAATTCAAGTTGAGAAGCAAAAAATAGTGGTAGGGGGAGGAGTTTGAGTTAAATCGCATCGCGGTTGACAGAACAAAACAGGAGCTACGAGTCAGGATTTCTGCTCCCACTCCCTTGCAAGTTTCCTTCCAAATCCTGAGGGAGAGATAGAGGCGGAGGGTCTGGGGGAGGAATTAAAACACAAGGTCTCCTCCCCTCTCGCCTGTCCGAACTTGGGGGCAACGGTCTCTTTGGAGGCCAGCTTGGAAAACACTAGAGAGGAGTTCTTTGTGTCCTGGAGGGTGGTGCAAGGCGGAAGGACTCCCCTTTTGCAGAGCAAGGAGGGCGACGGCCCAGCCCGGGGCTCCCCGGCTTTTGCAGCTTCCCTGCCTCGCAATTTGCAAGGAATGTGGGGTGCAAGAGCAAGTGGCGGACTTGGACGGCGGCTGGCGCTCGGTGGGGACGACGCCGGAGCCACCACCCGTCCAGATTTCCGTTTCTGCACCCCGGCTCCCCTCCCCCACCCGGGCGGCCGCGCAGGCCCCAGGTGCAGCCATGTTCTCGCTCCCACCACCCTCGCCTCCATTGACAGCCCTTGCTGGAGAGGGCCGGGCGCCGCGCTTGCCTCGTCCTCGGGTTCGGGGCTAGCCGGCGCGGTGCTTCCTGGGAGTTGTAGTCCACGACCGCCGCCGCCGCGTTGACGGGGAACGCATCCGAAACTACAACTCCCGCTGGGCGGCGCTGCGGATGCGCAGGCGCAACGCGCCTTCGAGGAACAAAAAAAAAAAAAAAAAAAAAAAAAAAGAAAAAAAAGAAAAAAAAAAGGAGGAGGAGGAGGAGGGTGAGAGAGAAGCTGGGAGAGCAGAGAAAAGGGGCCACCGGTCGCCCCCCCGCTTCCCCGCACGCGCTCTCCAGCCGCGGCCGCCCGCCTGCCGCGGTCACCCCGGCCTCTGCCTCTGTCCCCCAGTGATCGGATCAAGGCGCTGAGCGAGGCCCTGCCTGCGGGGCGGCCATGCGGCGGTGACAGGAGCGCGACCGACACGCACGGGCCCCTCGCCCCCTCTCGCCTCCCGTCCGCTCGCCAGCTCCCCTCAGCCGAGGCTGCTCCGCGGCGGCCGCAGCCCGCGCGCGGCCCACACTCGCCTCCCCTCGGCACCCCCGGCCCCGGAGCTGCCTGGAGGCGGCCGCACTCGGGTGAGTCCCTCTCGCCTCATCCCCGCGCCCCCCGCCCCCGCCTCGGGGGCCATTGCGAGCGGGGGCCTTTATTAGAGACTTTGCCCCGCCGGGGCCTGCAGGGACAGGGGCCTGGGAGCCGCGGCCCGCCGCGCGCGGTGTGGGGCCTTGGGGGGCGCCCGTGCCGCCTCCCCCTACCCCCACCCCCACCGCCTCGCCGGGTCTCGAGCCCCGCCGGCCTTGGCAGTGGCCGAAACGAGGCGATGGGGGTGGGGCGGCACGGACGCGGTCGCGGGGGACGACAGTGGCACGCGCGCGCCTCAGTGCGCGTGGGGGAGGGGCGCGCGCGCCGACCGGCGTGCGGTGGGGGGGCGCCTCGCGCGTGCGATCCCGCGCGCGAGCGAGCGAGCGGCCCTGCGGGCTGCGCATGCCCCGCCGCGCTGATTGGCCGGCTAGGCGGTGCGGGGGCGCGCGCGGTGCCAGGCCCGAGCCGTCGTGGGGTCGCGCTCGCCTGGTGTATCTGGGGCTCCTGCGCCGGGGCAGCAGACGCGCGGGATTGGCCAACCGGCGCGGGGGCGGGGCCGCGCGTTGCCTGGTAACTGCGGCGGGCGGGGGAGCGGGAGCGCTGTCCCCCGCCCCGCCCCGCTCCCAGGTGGAGTCCGCAGTGGGCTTTGTCCCGGGCCGGCCCGGCGCGCCTGCCCCGCGGGGCCTGTTCTTTGGGGGAAATAAACACAATGACCGGAAGGAAAACTTCAGCTTTAGGCCATGAAAATTAAGCCGTCTGGGTTCAGCCAGCACCCAGACGACGGGAGTGCAGAGGAAGAAGGAAAATGAAATGGAAAAAGCTGTCTCCTTCCCGCTCCCCGACTTCTCCACTTTTTCTTAATCCAGCTTTTGCTTTTTCGTGTAGCGAATTTTGTCCTCCCTAGGTTATGGATTTGCGCTGATTTGCGGCTGGGGATGTTCACAGGTGGGGTGCTGTTGGAGTAGTGTCCACTCTTGGCGATGCGCAGCTCTTGCTGACTACTGACCTCCTTTTTTTAAAAAAAATTATTTGTGGAGATGCGTTCTCACTTTGTTGCCCAGGCTGGTCTTGAACTCCTAGGCTCAAGCGATCCTCCCACCTTGGCCCCCCATAGTGCTGGGATTACAGGTGTGAGCCATCGCTTTCGGCTTAATTTTCTTTTTTTTTTTTAGAAACAGGGTCTCTCTGTGTTGCCCTGGCTGAAGCGCAGAGTGGCACAATCATAGCACATTGCAGCCTCCAACACCTGGGCTCCAGCGATCCTCCTGCCTCAGCCTCCTCAGTGGCTGGGACTACAGGCGCATGCCATCATGCCCTGCTAATTTTTTTTTTTTTGAGATGGAGTCTCACTCTGTGGCCCAGGCTGAAGTGCACTGGTGTGATCTCGGCTCACTGCAACCTCTGCCTCCCGGGTTCAAGCCGTTCTCCTGCCTCAGCCTCCTGAGTAGCTGGGATTACAGGCGTGCCCACCACGCCCGGCTAATTTTTGTATTTTTAGTAGAGATGGCGTTTCACCATGTTGGCCAGGCTGGTCTCCAACTCTTGAATCAAGCTGAAAGCAATCGGCCCGCCTCGGCCTGCCACCAAAGTGCTGGGATTACAGGCGTGAGCCACCGCCCTGGGTCACGCCTGGCTAATTTAAAATTTTTTTTTAGAGATGGGGTCTTCTTGTGTTGCCTAGGCTGGTCGGGAACTCCTGGACTCTGGTGATCCTCCCGTTTAGGCCTCCCAAAGTGGTGGGAGTACAGGCTTGAGCCACCACGCTGGGCCTCATCTCTTTTAAATTCAACTTTGCCGCAGACAATGGCTTGATCAGCCAACAGTGCAGAGGAGAAGTCTCCAGTCCTTCAGGGAACAAAAGGGGAAGTTAGTTTGCAAATGAGAACGTGCAGGTAGAGTGCCCTGCGGAGGCGGGGTCTTCTCCCCAGGCTGAGGCCTGTGGTGTGGGATGACCGATTTTATTTCCTGCTACAGGATTTTTCTGTGGCTGCTACCTTGGCTTTCGTTTCTCCTCCTCCTTGAGATCTTGGTCTTTTGGCTGGAATGACATTTTTCAGCCTATGGAAATCTTTCTTGCTCATATGCAGCCACTTCCTTAAGGTCTTCTCTTTTTTTTTTTTTTTTGCTGCTGTTGTTGAGAGGGTTTCGTTCTATCCCCCCAGGCTGGAGTGCAGTGGCGCGATCTTCGCTCACTGCAACCTCCACCTCCCGGGTTCAAGCGATTTTCCTGCCTCAGTCTCCCCCGAGTAGCTGGGATTACAGGCGCCTGCCCCCAAGCCCCGCTAATATTTGTATTTTTAATAGAGACGGTGTTTCGCCATGTTTGTCAGGCTGGTCTTGAACTCCTGACTTCAGGTGATCCGCCTGCCTCGGTCTCCGAAAGTGCTGGGATTACAGGCGTGAGCCACCGCTCCCGGCCTGTGGTCTTCTCTTATATTGCATAGTCAGAGTTTGTTCCTTCTTAGTCTCCCAATCAACTTGTGTGCCCTTCCTCGCAGGGCACCTTTATTTTCTCTCTTTTTTTTCCTTTTCCTTTTTCTTTTCTTTTCTTTTTTTTTTTTTTTCGGAAGCGGAGTTTCGCTCTCGTTGCCCAGGCTGGAGTGCAGTGGCGCGATCTCGGCTCACTGCAACCTCCGCCTCCCGGGTTCAAGCGATTCTCCTGCTTCAGACTCCTGAGTAGCTGGGATTACAGGAGCGCTCCACCACGCCCGGCTAAGGGCACTTTTACTTTCCTCTGCATCTGGCCTAGTCACTGGGTGTTGAGCTCGTAGGGGCAGGGACAAGAAGCCTTTTCCTCCTATGTCTTTCTCCCTCCACTTCCCCCTCCAGTTTGGCATCGTCCTCGTGCCTTGCCGGTGGTAGCAATGCTGCTTACATTTGAGTGTCTTCCGTGCCCCCTCCATGGCTCTTGAGCGCTTTGGATGTACAGTATTTTTCTTATTTAATCTTTGTGACAAGTCTGTAATTCTATTCTATAGAGCGGAACAAGTCTAGAGAAGTTGGAGAGTTCTGTACTCTTGCTTGCCTAGCACATGAACCTGGCCAGTGTGACTCAACCCCTAAGCCGAGGTTGTGAAACCACCGCGCCTGGGCGTCCCCGGGAGAGCTGGCATGTGCGGACTCTGCTTGCTGGGCCCTACCTCCCAGGCTGATTCTGCAGGTCTGGGGAGTTGCCCCACAATTTGCATTTCGATTAGCTCCCCAGGTGGTGTTGATGGTGGCTGCTTCCCGGACAGCCCTTTGAGAACCATTCACAATGGTGCAAAATGAAGGGAGAGAAATTTATTGGAGATATTTGCTTTTTCTTACTTTAAAATTAGATCTTGGCCGGGTGCGGTGGCTCACACCTGTAATCCCAGCACTTTGGGAGGCCGAGGGAGGTGGAACACCTGAAGTCAGGAGTTGGAGACCAGCCTGCCGACATGGCGAAACCCCGTCTGTACTAAAAATACAAAAATTAGCCGGGTGTGGTGGCGTGCGTACGTAGTTTCAGCTACTTGGGGAGGCTGAGGCAGGGGGATCTCTTGAACCCAGGAGGTGGAGGTTGCAGTGAGATGAGATCTCACCACTGCACTCCAGCCTGGGCGACAGAGCGAGACTGTGTCTCAAAAAAAATAAAAATAAAATAGATGTTAAAGAATGAAAAATAATTCGGACGACTGACGGTAGATTGCTCAGAAAACTGGCTGAGAGTTGAGAATTCCTGTTAGCCATGATTAGAAAAGTTAAAAGTTTCATAAGTCTCCAGTTTAAAAAGGGGCCATGGATTTAAGTGTGGAATAAAATGGGAAATCTTTGGAAGTTTGGCTTTTTTCCCACTCTGATTTATTTATTAATTTAGTCGCAGCACGGGCATTTGTTACATTATCCTCTTCAGATGCCCAAAGTCTGCCACACCACCACACAGAAGGTTTGAGTGATAGGACCACAGCTTGTAGTTTTGGCCCTTGGAGGTAGGGGGGTTGGGGAGCATTGTGTGCTGAGTCTCCTCTGCCACATGCCCCTCCAGCGATTCAGCTTACTCAAATATGACTACAGAGACTGACATTAAAATGTAGGCTTTGGGGGTTCTTTTTGCGGGACGGGGTTGGGGGCAATTCTTGCTGAGAAAGATTTTTAGGTTTTTTCTTTCTTTTTTTTTTTTTTTTTTTTTTTTTTTGATGGAGTTTCACTCTGTCGCCCAGGCTGGAGTGCAATGGCACAATCAGCTCACTGCAACTTACGCCCCCCCAGGGTCAAGTGATTCTCCTGCCTCAGCCTCCGGAGTAGCTGGGATCATAGGCATGCGCCACCATGCCTGGCTAACTTTGTATTTTTAGTAGAGACGGGGTTTCTGCATGTTGGTCAGGCTGGTCTCGAACTCCTGACCTCAGGTGATCCGCCTGCCTTGGCCTCCTTAAGTGCTGGGATTACAGGCGTGAGCCACTGCACCTGGACCCTTTTTTTTTTTTTTTTTTTTTTTTTTTTTGAGACACAGTCTTGCTCTATCGCCCAGGCGGGAGTGTAGGTGCGTGGTCTCGGCTCACTGCTACCTCTGCCTCCTGGGTTGAAGTGATTCTCCTGACTGAGCCTCCTGAGTAGCTGGGATTACAAGCACGCACCACCACGCCTGGCTAATTTTTTGTATTTTTAGTAGACACGGGGTTTCATCATGCTGGCCAGGCTTGTCTCCAACTCCTGACCTTGTGATCTGCCCGCCTAGGCCTCCCAAAGTGTTGGGCTTACAGGCGCCCTGTGATTTTTAGGTTTTTAAAATTATAATGGATTTCTTTCCGGGGAAAATAACCGCAGATAGGTGGGAGGAATGGTTTTAGTTTACAGTTGATGACCCCCCTCCTTTCCCCACCTACACCCTTAGGCGAGTTGTACACACTCCTCAGGGGATCCCAACTTCCATGGCCACTGTCCTATGTTCTGGCATTTTCGATGACCCATAGGTGGACAGGTTGTTATCATCTAAAGGAGCTGAACACTGAACAATTACTAAACACTTAACCTTTTCTGTTATTACTGGTTACCAGCTATTTGCATTGCATTTCACCTAATTCATTTCTACTGTTGTTTCATTCTTTGTTGATGACATGAATGTTTTATATAAACATGAGTTTTTGCAATATGCTTCATAACTGGGGTGGTATAATTAACACGAAATTGTTTTACCACTGGCTTAAATAGATGGATGTCAAATCATTTTTATGTCAGTCTAAGGGAAAGTATTTATTTATTTTTTTGAGATGGAGTCTCGCTCTGTGGCCCAGGCTGGAGTGCAGTGGTGCCATCTCAGCTCTCTGCAACCTCCGATTCCCGGGCTCAAGCGATTCTTGTGCCTTAGCCTCACGAGTAGCTGGGATTACAGGCATGTGCCACCATGCCCAGCTAATTTTTTTGTATTTTTCATAGAGATGGGGTTTCACCATGTTAGCCAGGCTGGTGGTCTCCAACTCCTGACCTCAAGTGATCCACCCACCTCGGCCTCCCCAAGTGCTGAGATTACAGGCGTGAGCCACTGCGCCTGGTTCGTTTATTGAGTGAAGGTTATTCATTGTTAATAACTGAAAGAAAGTAGAAAATACACCTAATCAGTTGCTTATTCTAATTGTAGAGTTGAGATACTTGGGAATCAGTAGGCTTAAGCTGGCAGCATAGCTCTATGAAGACTCATACTCGGTTAACTAAAGTGTATTGGGGCTACCTACCTGGGGGAGCAAAACGCCTTAGTGTCTTAGAAGATGTGTGTTTTTTTATTGCATTTTATTTTATTATTATTTATTTTTGAGACAGAGTCTCGCTTTTGTCACCCAGGCTGGAGTGCAGTGGCGTGATCTTGGCTCACTGCAACCTTCGCCTCCTGGGTTCAAGCGATTCTCCTGCCTCAGTCTCCTAAGTAGCTGGGACTATAGGCACCCGCCACCATGCCCGGCTAATTTTGTATTTTTAGTAGAGACGGGGTTTCACCGTGTTGGCCAGGTTGGTCTCAAACTCCTGACCTCAGGTGATCTGCCCGCCTTGGCCTCCGAAAGTGCTGGGCCACCGCACCCAGCCAAGGATGTGTGTATCCTGTAAAAATTGTGTGGGTACGTCATCGGAAGAGGTGAAGGTATTGTCTTGATAATTCTTCATTCTCCATTCTTGCCCTGTCGTCCTTTACTGTTGTCCTTTTGTTCTGGAACTCTCCCTGCTGTCTTCCTGTTTGTTTTCTCCTCTGTAAAATTCTTGTTTTGGTATTCCATGCCTGTTTCTGGCAGTACTCATTTGCTTTTTACCACTTTGGCCTACTGAGAAAGTAAGAGAAAGTTCAGTATAGCCAGGAACTGTCAGAGTTGTTGGAGGATTGACTCATTCTCCTTTGGTTGTAACTTGTTTCTGTTTTTGTTTTTTTGAGAAGGAGTCTCCCTCTGTCGCACAGGCTAAAGTGCAATGGCGCGATCTCGGCTCACTGCAACTCTCGCCTCCCAGGTTCAAGCGATTCTCCTGCCTCAGTCTCCTGAGTAGCTGGGATTACAGGTGTGTGCCACCATGCCCGGCTAATTTTTGTATTTTTAGTAGATACAGGTTTCACCATGTTGGCCAGGCTGGTCTCAAACTGCTGACCTCAAATGATCCACCTGCCTCAGCCTCCCAAAGTGCTGGGATTACAGGCATGAGCCACCACGCCTGGCCAACACTCTATGTAGGATTTTTAAAGAACTAGTTACTTAAAAAATATATCATGAGAGGGAAGACAAATTTATAAATTGAGAGAGGGTTTATAGCTTATGGCTAGCGACACAAGTTTGAAGTCTGACTGCCTGGATTCCAGTCCTGGCCCTTGCCGTTTCCTGCCTGTGCGACCTTGGGCATTTCACTTCATCTTTGTATGTTTCCCTATTTTTTGTTTTTTTTTTTTGAGACAGAGTTTTGCTCTTGTTGCCCAGGCTGGAGTGTAGTGGCGCGCCTGGCTCACCGCAATCTCCGCCTACTGGGTTCAAGCGATTTTCCTGCCTCAGCCTCCTGAGTAGCTGGGATTACAGGTATGTGCCACCACCACGCCTGGCTAATTTTGTATTTTTAGTAGAGACGGGGTTTCTCCATTTTGGTCAGGCTGGTCTCGAACTCCTGACCTCAGGTGATCCACCCGCCTCGGCCTCCCAAAGTGCTGGGATTACAGGTGTGAGCCAACAGTGCCCGGCCTATTTTTTATTTTTATTTTTATTTTTTGAGACAGTGTCTTGCTCTGTTACCCAGGCTGGAATGCAGTGGCATGATCTCAGCTCACTACAACCCCTGCCTCTCGGGTTCGAGTGATTCTTGTGCCTCAGCCTCCCGAGTAGCTGGAATTATAGGCATGCGCCACCACACCTGGCTAATTTTTGTATTTTTAGCAGAGACAGGGTTTCACCATGTTGGCCAGGCTGGTCTCCAACTCTTGACCTCAGATGGTCCGCCCACCTCAGCCTCTCAAAGGCTGGGATTACAGGCCTGAGCCACCACGCCTGGCCCCTATTTTTAAAAATGGAGTTGATAATAGAACATGTTTCGCTTCTAAGAGCTGTTGCAAGGATAGAGTTTAAGTGCTTAGGTTGCTGTCTGGCATGTAGTAGACACTCAAGAAATATTAGTCATAAAAGTACTATTATAAAGACTTTTGGGAAATTGAGGAAGCGAAAATTTTACTAGTAATATCGACTATGACGTTAATCTCCAAGAACTCTGGAGAATATGAATTGCAAGGGCAAGGACTTATTCCTCTGTGGGATTTTCCCCTGTGACTGTTACATTGTTTTTATGTTTTGTTTTGTTGAGATGGAGTCTCCCTCTGTCACCCAGGCTGGAGTGCAGTGGCGGGATCCCAGCTCATTGCAACCTTCACCTCTGCCTCCCGGGTTCAAGTGATTCTCCTGTCTTAGCTTCCCAAGTAGCTGGGACTACAGGCGTGCGCCACCATGCCCAGCTAATTTTTGTATTTTTTAGTAGAGAAGGGGTTTTACTATATGTTGGCCAGGCTGGTCTGGAACCCCTGACCTCAGGTGATCTGCCCATCTCAGCCTCCCAAAGTGCTGGGATTACAGACGTGATCCACCGCGCCTGGCCAGAGCTTGACAGTTGGATTGATGAAACCTGAGAATGTATGCTTTATATGTTGTTCATTTTAATTTGTTATATCTAGAAATTTAGCTCTTACTGTTGACTATAACACATACATGACGTGAGTAGAATTTTATCTAGATTGAGTTTTCAGACCGTAATTGGTTTCAAGAAAATAAATAAGGTATTGGAAGTGAACTAAAATTAGTAACTGGCTTTGGCATTAGACTTTAATGCACTTAAATTACATGATCTCATCTGTGAGATAATTTGACAGAGGAGGACGATGGCATGTATTATGTCCATATGAGGAAAGGGCAGAGAAATAGACCCTGCAAGATTCATTAGTGTTACTCCTTCCTCCTGTTCGTTTTCTTTCTTCGTTTTCCCCCCCGGTAAGCATTAAAAAAAATTTTTTTTGGCTGGGTGTGGTGGCTCACTCCTGTACTCCCAGCACTTTGGGAGGCCATGACTCACTTGAGGTCAGGAGTTTGAGACCAGCCTGGCCAACATGGTGAAACCCCGTCTCTACTAAAAATACAAAAAATTGGCCGGGCACGGTGGCTCACACCTGTAATCCCAGCACTTTGGGAGTCCAAGGCGGGTGGATCACGAGGTCAGGAGATCGAGACCATCATGGCTAACATGGTGAAACCCTGTCTCTACTAAAAATACAAAAAAAAAAAAAAAAAAATTAGCCAGGCGTGATGGCGGGTGCCTGTAGTCCCAGCTACTCAGGAGGCTGAGGCAGGAGAATGGTGTGAAACCGGCAGGCGGAGCTTGCAGTGAGCTGAGATCGCACCACTGCACTCCAGCCTGGGTGACAGTGTGACACTCTGTCTCAAAAAACAAAAACAAATTAGCTAGGCGTGGTGGTGCGCACCTGTAATCCCAGACACTCGGGAGGCTGAGGCAGGAGAATCACTTGAACCCTGGAGGCGGAGGTTGCAGTGAGCCAAGATCACGCCATTCCACTCCAGCCTGGGCCATAGAACAAGACTATGTCTCAAGGAAAACAAACAAACAAAAAAACACATCTCTACTGAAAATACAGAAGTTAGCTGGGAGTGGTGACAGGTGCCTGTAATGCCAGCTGCTTGAGTGGCTGAGGCATGAGAATCACTTGAACCCGGGAGGTGGAGGTTACAGTGTACCGAGATCTTGCCACTGCTCTCCAGCCTAGGCGACAGAGCAAGACACCATCTCAAAAAAAAGAAAATCCTGTAAGATGAATTTGTTCCTTTATGAAGAATAAATTTGTGTCTGCCATTTACACCGTGAATGCCTTTCTTTGGAGTGGTTCCTTGTAGTGTTTTTTGTTGTTGTCGTTGTTGTTAAATTGTGGTAACATATACTTAACACAAAAATTACCATTTTAACCTTTTTTTGTGGGGGGAGGGACGGGATGTCACTCTGTTGCCCAGGCTGGAGTGCAGTGGTATGCTTTTGGCTCACTGTAACCTTCGTGTCCTAGGGTCAAGACATCCTCCCACCTCAGTCTCCCGAGTAGCTGGGACTACAGGTGCATGCCACCACGTCTGGCTTGATTTTTTTATTTTTTGTGGAGATGGGGGTCTCACTATGTTGCCCAGGCTGGTCTCCAACTCCTGAGCTCAAACAATCTGCCTGCATCTGCCTCCCAAAGTGCTGGGATTAGAGACATGAGCTACCACACCCAGCCTGATTTTACCAAAAGAAACTTTTTTTTTTTTTTTTGAGACAGAGTCTTGCTTTGTTGTCAGGCTGGAGTTCAGGGGCATGATCTCGGCTCATGGCAACCTCCATCTCCCGGGTTCAAGTGATTCTTCTGCCTCAGCCTCTCAAGTAGCTGGGACTACAGGTGCGCACCACCACGCCCAGCTAATTTTTGTATTTTTAGTAGAGATGGGGTTTCACCATGTTAGCCAGGATGGTCTCAGTCTCCTGACCTCATGATCCACTTGCCTCGGCCTCCCAAAGTGCTGGGATTACAGGCGTGAGCCACCGCGCCCAGTCTTAACCATTTTTAAGTGTATGTATAGTTCAGTGGTGCAGAACTTTTTTTTTTTTTTTTTTTTTTTGAGACAGGGTCTTGCTCTGTTGCCCAGGCTGGAATGTAGGATATTATCAAGTTCATCTGTGTGTTAGAATCTCCTTCTTATTTAATCCTTCTTGTGGTTTTTGGAGTCTTTGTTTTGTAGCATGGCAAAGCCCATTGTGTGTGTGTGTGTGTGTGTGTGTATGTAAGAAGTATATATAATTATATTATGGTGTACTTGGAGAAGTGGAGCATGATGAAGAGTTTGATCCATAATATAACTGGTTATATAGAACCCTGTTTAGCAGACAGAGCCTAGGAAGTTTTCTGATTGTATAGGTTCTATGCTTTTGAGAATTCCTGCTTGTGTTTTGATCTCATTTCCATACACAGTCCTTAAAGATCATATTTATTTATTTATTTATTTATTTATTTATCGAGATGGAGTCTCACTCTGTCACCCAGGCTGGAGTGCAGTGGCATGATCTTGGCTCACTGCAACCTCCACTTCCTGGGTTCAAGCAATTCTCCTGCCTCAGCCACCTGAGTAGCTGGGATTACAGGAGCCGGCCACCACGCCTGGCTAATTTTTGTATTTTTAGAAAAGATGGGGTTTCACCATGTTGGCCAGGCTGGTCTTGAACTCCTGACCTCGTGATCCACCTGCCTTGGCCTCCCAGAGTGCTGAAATTACATATGTGAGCCACCGTGCCTGGCTAAGAAGGGATCGTTTAAATTTTTAAAAATACATTAATTTATTTTTATAGAGACAGGATCTCGCTGTGTTGCCCAGGCTGGTCTCAAACTCCTGGGCTCAAGTGATCCTCCCACCTCAGTCTCCCAAAGTGCTGGGATTCAGGTGTAAGCCACCACGCCCGGCCCAAAAGAAGGGATCTTTTATCATGTCGGGAACAGTAACTATTCATTTATTCAACATACTGATGGGCTCATCCTATGAGGCCTCAGAACACAGCATGTTTCTTGGAAAATACTGGCATGGGCAAATGACATTGTTGAGAGCTTCAGGATAAAGAATCTTTTAGTTTAGTTTGTATATCCAGACTAGTTTAGTTTTTTTTTTTTTTTTTTTTTTTTGAGACAGTCTCGCTCTGTCTCCCAGGCTGGAGTGCAATGGCACAATCTCAGCTCAGTACAACCTCCACTTCCTGGGTTCAAGCGATTCTGGTGCCTCAGCCTCCTGAGTAGCTGGGATTACAGGCGTGCACCACAATGTCTGGCTAATCTTTGTGTTTTTTGGTAGAGAACGAGGTTTCATCATGTTGGCCAGGCTGGTCTCAAACTCCTGACCTGAAGTGATCCGCCCGCCTAGGCCTCCCAAACTGTTGGGATTACAGGCGTGAACCATCGCTCCCAGCTGGAAGGTGACTTTTTTTTTTTTTGAGACAGTGTCTCCCTCTGTTGCCCAGGCTGGAGTGCAGTGGCACGATCTCGGCTCACTGAAACCTCCGCCTCCTGTTCAAGCTCTTCTCGTGCCTCAGCTTCCTGAGTAGCTGGGACTACAGGTGCACGCCACCATGCCCAGCAATTTTTGTATTATTAGTAGAGACGGGGTTTCACCATATTGGCCAGGCTGGTCTCAAATTCCTGACTTTGTGATCCACTCACTTCGACCTCCCAAAGTGCGGGGATTACAGGTGTGAGCCACCGTGTCCGGCCAAGGTGACTTTTTAAAGTTAAATTTTAAAACGATCTTTGAGGAGTAAATTTGACATAAGCAGGTGTTCATGCACAAATGCCTTAAAAGGTACACATACTTCATTTCAAAGCAGTTATTTATTTTGACACTTGTCTCATTAATTTTCCTGCTCTCTCAGAAAATAGGTTATTTTATTTAGCCGTGATAATTAATGCAGTTTGTTGGGAAATAAGCTATTTTCAATTTACCAGGCTTGGATTTGGTGAGTTTTTATGTAAATTAATAGATATATGTACATATATTTTTAAAATAACTATTTTAGTGAAGTTTAAATTATAAATGCTTGCTCATTCACTGAATGCTTTTGTGATGCACTTTATTAAGAATTGACATGCATTCTGATAACAACTTTGTAAGGTAAGTATGCAGACTGTTGTCATTTTCCAGACTAGTAAATTTGGGATTAAAGAATCCCAGGGTCACCTGTAAGATTTGAGACAGGACTTGAATTCAGAACTTTTGCCTGATTGCAAAGCTCACCTTCCTAATAGCTTTGCTCTGTTGCCTGCCTTCTGTGAACAGTGCTTTTAAAAAAGTAAAGATTGTCGGGTGTGGGTGGCTCACGCCTGTAATCCCAGCACTTTGGGAGGCCGAGGTGGGTGGATCATCTGAGGTCAGGAGTTTGAGACCATCCTGGCCAACATGGTAAAACCCCGTCTCTACTAAAAATACAAAAAATTAGCCAGGTGTGGTGGCATCTACCTGTAGTCCCAGGTACTCGAGGCAGGAGAATTGCTTGAACCTGGGAGACGGAGGTTGCAGTGAGCTGAGACTACGCCACTGCATTCTAGCCTGAACGACAGAGTCAGACTCTTTCTCAAAAAAAAACAAAAAAAAAACAAAAAAAAAAAACACCTCAAGAACAAAGTAAAGATGGACCTTTAGATAATAGCTACTTGATTTTCATTTTCTCTTCCAAATGGTTTTTCCAAAATCCAACTGAGTTTTAAATTTGGAGTCATGTCAAAGGGACACATTCTTTGTGTATTGGCAGAGTAAGCTGCTGCTGTTTAAAAATCTGGACTATCAATTTAAAAGTATAATTAATACATATGCAAAAATGGTGTCTTAAACTGTGGTGCAAGGAAAATAGGTCTTTCCGAATAGCTGGTAAGATTTTTCCTTGTTTGTTTTTTAAGGATGTTGTTTTGGCTACTGTGAAACTCAGAACTCAGAGCTGAACTTGTGATCCACTGATTGGGCAGATCCTTTTTTTTTTTTTTTTTTTTTTTTTGAGACAGAGTCTCACTCTGTTGCCCAGGGTGGAGTGCAGTGGCGTGATCTCAGCTCACTGCAACCTCAGCCTCCTAGGTTCAAGTGATTCTCTTGCCTCAGCCTCCCGAGTAGCTGAGATTACAGGCGTGCACCACCACACCCGGCTAATTTTTGTATTTTTGGTAGAGACAGAATTTCACCATGATGTCCAGGCTGGTCTTGAACTCCTGACCTCAGGTGATTTGCCCACCCTGGCCTCCCAAAGTGCTGGGATTATAGGCATGAGCCACTGCACCTGGCTAGATCTTTTCTTTATTATTTTGTCATTCTTTCCTTCACCTGGCTTTTTAAAAAAGTTAAATTTAGCTATTAGCTGTCTGAAGTGTCTTGTTTTTTTTTTTTCTTTAATGGGGTCACCATACTATAAAGCTTTAAGTACGAATACAACACAGTTGTAAATCGTTTCAAATCTTAACCCTTCAAATTTATTTTATTTTTTCTTGAGGGATATTTGTTATTTATTGATGTAAGTGCCAGCTTTATTTCAGCAGATAGAAATTAACAATTTTGTATCTTAAAATGTCAGCATACGCCCCTAGAAAAATTTCACAGCCGGCTGGCCATGGTGTCTCACGCCTGTAATCTGAGTACTTTGAAAGGCCACGGTGGGAGGACTGCTTGAGCACGGGAGTTTGACACCAGCCTGGGCAACATAGTGAGACCCTGTCTCTACCAAAAAATCAAAAAAATTAGCCGGGTGTGGTGGTGCATTCCTGTAGTCTCAGCTACTAAGAAGGATGAGGTGGGAGGATTGCTTGAGCCCAGGAGGTTGAGGCTACAATGAGCCATGTCCCTGCCACTGCATTCCAGCCTGGGTGACAGAGCAAGACCCTGTCTCAAAAAAAAAAATTCAAACCCTTGATTTAAAAATCAATCCTGATCAAAGATTTGGCCTAGGGATTTCTTATTTTATTTGGAAGTACTTGCCATTCATATATATGTATGAGTTATATATATTCATATATATATGAGTTAAAAATTAAAGTCAAATGAACTAAAATGAGTTCTTTGGCTCTATTTCTTATCTGCTGAAGTGTATATGTTAATATACATTAATATAAATCGTGATAGTTTATATCCTGTTATTAAATATTTGTAAAACAGAACCTCTGGCCGGGCACGATGGCTCTCGCCAGTAATCCCAGCACTTCGGGAGGCTGAGGCGTGCAGATATTGCCTGGGCTCAGGAGTTTGAGACCAGCCTGGGCAACATGGTGAAACCCCGTCTCTACTAAAATTACAAAAATTAGCCAGGAGTGATGGTGCACCCCTGTAATCCCAGCTACTCGGGAGCTGAGGCAGCAGAATCACTTGGACCCGGAAAGCAGAGTTTCCAGTGAGCCAGGATCGTGCCACTGTACTCCGGCCTGGGCAACAGAGTGAGACTCTGTCTCAAGAAAAACAAACAAACAAACAAAAAAAAACACAGAGCCTGTGAATTGCTGACCTAATTTATTTTCCTTGGGAAAATACCTAGTAAGCCTATGGAGATAAACTCTTAGAATTGAAGTATTGTTCATTATAAGCAAGGCATACAGAAGTCCTGCCTATTCCAGGTCTAGTGTAGTCTCTGGAGAACTTATCTTTTCTAAGATACTATGTACAGTAAACAGGAAGCTCTCTGTTGGAGGATATGTCAGAGCTGGAGATTGGACTAGAATACTGAAGACAATATCGACAACAATGACATTTTTTGAGAGTTTATGAGTTTACTGTTTTGTTTTTTTTCTTTTGAGACAGAGTCTCATTCTGCTGCCCAGGCTGGAGTGCAGTGGCACGATCTCGGCTCACTGCAACCTCTGCCTCCTGGGTTCAAGCGATTCTCCTGCCTCAGCCTCCCTAGTAGCTGGGACTACAGGCGCGTGCCACCACGCCCGGCTAATTTTTTGTATTTTTAGTAAAGATGGGGTATCACCGTGTTAGCCAGGATGGTCTCCATTTCCTGACCTCATGATCTGCCCGCCTTGGCCTCCCAAAGTGCTGGGATTACAGGCCTGAGCCACTGCCCCGAGCTGAGTTTACTGTTTTAAGTGCTACCTGCATTAACATCTTTAATCCTCATAGCAATCCTGAGATGTGAGGTAGGCACTATTATGATCCCATTTTAAAGTTGAGAAAAATGAGGTTAACTAATCTGAAAAATATAGTAAGGGACAGTGTTAATATAAAACTAGGCAGCCAGACAACTCCTGCTCTTAACTGCTATGTGGTTTTTGGATTTGTTTGTTTGTTTGTTTTTGTTTTGTCTGAGATGGAGTTTCTCTCTTGTTGCCCAGGCTAGAGTGCAATGGTGTGATCTGACCTCAGCTCACTGCAACCTCTGCCCCTCAGGTTCAAGCAATTCTCCTGTCTCAGCCTCCCGAGTAGCTGGAATTACAGGCATGCGCAGCCATGCCTGGCTAATTTTGTATTTTTAGTAGAGACAAGGTTTCTCTGTTAGTCAGGCTGGTCTCGAACTCCTGACCTCAGGTGATTGCCTCACCTCGCCCTCCCAAAGTGTTGAGATTACAGGGATGAGCCACCACGCCCGGCCTCTTTTTTTTTTTTTTTTTTTTGAGACCAGTCTTGCTCTGTCGCCAATCTAAAGTGCAGTGGTGTGATCTCAGCTCACTGCAACCTCCACCTCCCAGGTTCAAGCGATTCTCCCGCCTCAGCCTCCCGAGTAGCTGGGATTACAGGCACCCACCACCACACCCAGCTAATTTTTGTAGTTTTAGTAGAGACAGGGTTTCACCGAGTTGGCCAGGATGGTCTAGATCTCTTGACCTCGTGATCTGCCCACCTCGGCCTCCCAAAGTGCTGGGATTACAAGCGTGAGCCACCGCGCCTGGCATAAAACTATTTTTAAAAGAAGAAAAATAGCTACAAAATTTAAAAAGCAGGTAAAATGTACAACTAATATAAACCAGCTAGTGATCTATGACTTTTTTTTTTTTTTTTTTTTAACAGGGTCTTGTTCTGTCTCCCAAGCTGGAGTGCAGTGGTGTGGTCATAGGTCACTGCAGCGTCGAACTCCTAGGCTCAAGTGATCCTCTTGCCTCAGGCTCCTGAGTAGCTGGGACAACAGGCGTGTACCACACCTGGATACTTTTTAAATTTTTGGTAGAGAAGGGATCTCACTCTATTGCCAAGCTGGTGTCGAACTCTTGGTCTTAAGCAGCCCTCCCACGTCAGCATCCCAAAGTGTTGGGATTTCAGAGGTGAGCCACGGCGCCCAGTCTGAGTCACTTTTAAACTTAGAAAATAGTTGCAAGAACAGCAAATAAACAAAACTTGCTCACATATCTTTCACGTAGAGACTTGCATTCAAGTTCTGCCCATCGTTTTGGTGATGGATGTCCTTTATTGCAAGACTGTAATCCAGGATCACATTTCCACCCAGTTTCCTTGCCTCTCTAATATACTTTTTTGAGATGGAGTTTCACTCTTGTTGCTCAGACTGGAGTGCAGTCGTGCAATCTCAGCTCACTGTAACCTCTGCCTCCCGGTTTCAAGCAATTCTCCTGCCTCAGCCTCCCGGGTAGCTGGGATTACAGGCATGAGCCACCACGCTCAACTAATTTTGCATTTTTTTTTTTTTTAGTGGAGACGGGGTTTCTCCATGTTGGTCAGGCTGGTCTTGAACTCCCAACCTCAGGTGATCCGCCCACCTCGGCCTCCCAAAGTGCTGGGATGATGGGCATGAGCCACTATGCCCAGCCCTCTAATATATATATATATTTTTTTGAGACGGAGTTTCACTCTTTCACCCAGGCTGGAGTGCAGTGGCACCATCTCAGCTCACTGCAACTTCTTCCTCCTGGTTCAAGCGATTCTCCTGCCTCAGTCTCCCAAGTAGCTGGGATTACAGGCACCTGCCACCACACCCAGCCAATTTTTGTATTTTTAGTAGAGATGGGGTTTTGCCATGTTGGCCAGGCTGGTGTCGAACTCCTGACCTCAGGTGATCCACCCACCTCGGCCTCCCAAAGTGCTGGGATTACAGGTGTGAGCCATCCATCCCGGCCTAATATACTTTATTTTAGAACAGTTTTTCAGTGTTTTGAGTTTCATTCATGCCCTTGACCTTTTTGAAGACTAGAGGCATTTTTATAGACTGTCTCTTAACTCAGGTTTGTCCAGTGCTTCCTCATGCTTATATTGAGGTTAAGCATTTTGAGCAGGAATATCCATGTTTTCCTTGCATTTTGTTGGGTGGGACGTGGTGTTTGTCTGTCTGGAGACTAGTGTTAACTTTGATGACTTGGTTACGATGGGATGTGCCATGTTCTCCTTTTTTTTAAAAGAATGAATATTTTTAAAAGAAGAAAAGTAGCTATGAACTAGTATTTTGTGGTACAATACTTTGGCAAAATGAAAATATCTCCTTTTAGTATTGAGGAATCCTATTTCTTTGAGAGGCTGTTTTTTTTGGGGGGGGCAGAAGGTCAGTTCATAGACTTAAATACCATTATAGTTGTTGTCTAAGCCCTTGAAAACTTAAT
Organism: Homo sapiens; assembly: GCF_000001405.40. Taxonomy (NCBI): domain Eukaryota; kingdom Metazoa; phylum Chordata; class Mammalia; order Primates; family Hominidae; genus Homo; species Homo sapiens. Next base: position 74,675,630 of record NC_000007.14, read on the forward strand.
GTTTTTCTAAAGTTTAAATTTGTAGATAATGGAATTTGAAAAATATTTAAAATCGGATTAAATTTTACAGTGTATAGTGTGGTTTGAAAGAGAATGGGGGGCTGGGCGCAGTGGCTCACACCTGTAATCCCAGCACTTGGGAGGCCGAGGTGGGCAGATCACTAGAGGTCAGGAGTTGGAGACCAGCCTAGCAAACATGGCAAAACCCCGTCTCTACTAAAAATACAAAAATTAGCTGGGCATGGTGATGGGCGCCTATAGTCCCAGCTACGCAGGAGGCTGAGGCAGGAGAATCGCTTGAACCCGGGAGGCAGAGGTTGCAGTGAGCCAAGATCATGCCACTGCACTGCAGCCTGGGTGACAGAGCAAGACTCCATCTAAAACAAACAAACAAACAAACAAACCAAATAAAAAGACAGAGAATGGGGAATTGAGGACATCTAGTCAGTTGGATAGATCTGGATTCTATTCTTAGCAATTCTGTGATCTTGGGCAATTTACATTGTCTTTTAAGTTATCAGCTGTTCTTAGGTTATAAAAAGATCCATTTTGTAAATTGTGTCAAGCAGATGTCGACCATTTATAATAAACTTATCAAGATATGAAGTTAATTTCTTTGCTGTCATTCGAAAGACAAACTGATAGGGTCAGCAAACTACCTTAAACATGTTCTCATTAAAACAAAAATTAAAAACACAGCTCCTATAGCCAGACGTGGTGGCAGATGCCTGTAGTCCCAGCTAATTGGGAGACTGAGGTAGGAGGATCCTTTGAGCCCAGGAGTTTGCAGCCATCTTGGGCAACATAGTGAGACCCTTATCTGAAAAACAAACAAACAAACAAACCAAAACCCTAGCAAAGCACATTTTCTATAGAAGCTACTCAGTGGACATAATTAAAACAAATGGTAGTATCTTGAAAAAATTAAGACATTTAGTGTGAACCACATGTCTAGAAAAAAAAATTAAATAGAAAACATTAAGATATTTACAAAGTCTGTGTTTACAATCTGAACTGATTATATTAAATGTATACTGACATTTTAGGGATGAATAAATTTCCTTCTGAAAAACAGATTTTAGTTTTGGCTTTTAGTACTTAATAATTATAGGGAGAACATGGAAATATTAAATACCAACAATTTGGCTGGGCATGATGGCTCATGCCTGTAATCCCAGCACTTTAGGAGGCTGAGGCGGGCAAATCACTTGAGGTCAGGAGTTCAAGACCAGCCTGGCCAACATGGGGAAACCCTGTCTCTACTAAAAATACAAAAAAAGCTAGCTGGGTGTGGTGTCAGGTGCCTGTAATCCCAGCTACTCCGGAGATCCAGCCAGGAGAATTGCTTGAACCCAAGAGGTGGAGGTTGCAGTGAGCCGAGATTACGCCCCTGCACTCCAGCCTGGGCGACAGAGTGAGACTCTGTCTCCAAAACAAAACAAAAACAAAACAAAAAACCGAAAAAACCCCAACAGTTTCAGAGATGAAAAGATTTAGGCGGCCTAAAAGATTGCCAAAATGTAGTATTACATGATAATCTAAACTAGTTTTAATGCAGCTGAATCCTGGTTTAGACTAAAGTCAGCTGATTGAACTACTAGTATTAGATCTTTTGGATTTATTTTAAGCACTATTTTAGGACAAAATATCTAACATTTTACTTGATGAATTTTAACTTTTTCTTACCACTCATTGTTTTGAAGAAATTACTTTGTAAAAGTTTGAGATGTCACTAATTTTTCCCTTGGCATTAAGCGATACATGAATTCATTTTATTCTTCTGACTGAGGATGTTTCTGTTAGTGTATACATTCAAGAATATGATGATGCCATTAGTCATTTAATTTTGTTGAAACTTGGCTTTAGTGGCTGTTAATAAAATGAATTGGTTGGCCAGGTGTGGCACTTTGGGAGGCTGAGGCGGGCAGATCACCTGAGGTCAGGAGTTCCAAGACCAGCCTGGCCAACATGCTGAAACCCCATCTCTACTAAAAAAAAGAAAATTAGCCGGGCGTGGTGACATACACCTGTAATCCTAGCTACTCGGGAGGCTGAGGCAGGAGAATTGCTTGAACCCAGGAGGCGGAGGTTGCAGTGAGCCAAGATCACGCCACTGCACTCCAGCCTGGGCGACAGAGTGAGATTCTGTCTCAAAAAAAAAAAAAAAGTAAATTTGGGTTTTACAGTTTTTCCTCTTATACAAAAGATAACTGGAGACTAGATCTCAAAGAATGAAGACAGCTGGAAAGCTGGAAGACACCAGAAAACCAAGAAAGAGAGAACTTCCCTGAAATACTGGCCAAGGCAGAAGTGCATCCACCAGTACTGCAGACTCACCGCTGTAGTCCATTTTTTGGAATAGGGGGACAAAAACTTAGGTTTGGACGGAAAATTTCTCTGGTAAAAGTATTATTTCTGTCTGTCTCTCTCTCTCTCTCTTTAATGGACACGGGCTTACTCTGTCACCCAGGCTGGAGTGCAGTGGTGCCATCATGGCTCACTGCAGCCTTCACCTCCTGGGCTCAAGCCATCCTCCTGTCTCGGCCTCCCAGAGCGCTGGGATTACAGGTGTGAGCTACTGAGCCCGGCTTTTTTTTTTTTTTTTTTTTAACTCAAGCCTGTTGAATAATTACAGAATTGAATACCATTACCTGTCTTAAATACTGTCTTCCAGGGACAATATCCTAGTGGCAATTATTTTAGCTAATTTTGAAGGTTTTTCTCAGTTTTTATTCATCTAAGCATCTAGGGGTTTAGTGATTATTGTCTGAATGCAAAACATTGAGTTAAGAAAGATACTGATTTTTGCAGTCTTGAGTTTATCTCGCCTTCCTTAAGTAAAGGTGCAGTGTAGATCTTCATTGCTTATTACAAGTAAAAATAGTAGCCTGTAGAAATTTGTGCAGAAGAAAATAAAATAATGGGCCTGGTGTTTCTCATCAGTTTAAATCCATTTCACCTTCGTTGAGACTGAGTCTTCAGTCTTTTAGGTGGCGAGTCAAGGTTTTACTAATTTAAACTATTGTCTAAATTCAGGGCTGTCTTTCATTGTTAAAGGAGATAGTTTGCCTGACAGTACCTGGAAGCAGTGTTTTGTGACATAAGTAATGTGTTCACCTAGATAATCGGTCTGTAACCTACTCATATATATATATTTTTTGAGACAGAGTCTCGCTCTGTCACCCAGGCTGGAGTGCAGTGGCGCGATCTCGGCTCACTGCAACCTCCGCCTCCCGGGTTCAAGCAATTCTCCTGCGTCAGCCTCCTGAGTAGCTGGGAATCCAGGTGTGCGCCACCATGCCTGGCTAATTTTTGTATTTTTAATAGAGATGGGGTTTTAGCATGTTGGCCAGGCTGGTCTCGAACTCCTGACCTTGTGATTTGCCCACCTCAGCCTCCCAAAATGCTGGGATTACAGGCATGAGCCACCGCGCCCAGCTATATTTTTAAAAATTTTTTAATTTTTTGAGATGGAGTCTCACTCTGTTGCTCAGGCTGGAGTGCAGTGGCGTGAACTTGGATCACTGCAACCTCCGCCTCCCGGGTTCAAGGGATTCTCCTGCCTCAGCCTCCTGAGTAGCTGGGATTACAGGCGCCCACCACACCCAGCTTATTTTTGTATTTTTAGTAGAGATGGGGTTTCACCATGTTGGCCAGGCTGGTCTCGAATTCCTGACCTCAAGTGATCCACCTGACTTGACCTCCCAAAATGCTGGGATTACAGGCGTGAGCCGCTGCCATATTTTCCATTTATTTTTTTTTTAACCAAATGCCTTATTTTCTTAGAATGTGACTGATGCTGATACAGAAAGTTCAGTGTCCACTATCATCTTTGCTTTCTAATGAAAAGGATATTATACTTTGCTTCAGTCAGTTCGTTTATGATGAGTGGCAGTTAATTCTCTGCTGAAAGACTGTGTAGTATTATAGTTGCAATCACTGTCTAATTATTTACCTTGTGTTGATTATGTTTTTAAAACCTGCCATTCTTTGATTGTTATTATGCATTAAAAAGGCAGTTTGGTCTTGAACTCTAGACCTCAAGCGATCCTCCTACCTTGGCCTCCCAAAATGCTGAGATTACAGGTGTGAGCCACCACACCTGGCTGTAAAGAGGCAATTTGGAATTTAGAGAGGGATTCTAGTCCCTTGTTAAAGAACTAACTCTAGGCTGTGCACAGTGGCTCTCGCCTGTAATCCCAGCCCTTTCGGAGGCCGAGGCAGGCAGATTTCCTGAGGTCAGGAGTTCAAGACCAGCCTGGCCAACGTGGTGAAACCCCATTTTTACTAAAAATAGAAAAATTATCTGGGTGGTGGCGGACACCTGTAATCCCAGCTACTCAGGAGTCTGAGGCAGGAGAATCGCTTGAACCCGGGAGGCAGAGGTTGCAATGAGCTGAGATCACACCATTGTACTCCAGCCTGGGTGACAAGAGCCAGAGTCCATCTCAAAAAAAAAAAAAAAAAAAAATATATATATATATATATGTATGTATGTATGTATATACACATATATATATGTATGTATATACACACATATATATAATTTTATATATTTATTTATATATATTTGTGTATATATATTATAACATGAAAAAGAAATAGGGCATGAATGTAATTTAAATAAAAGAGTGTTCTAGCACCTGCCCACTTGCCAGTCTGACTGGAACCTTGTTTTGAAGCAGAAATGTATTGAAAGTTCAGAAGTATCTCAGAGAACAGCATCATAAAAAATATTAAGAACCTCAGTTTTTATGAGGGTAATGATAAGGTTTGTAAAAATCTTCAAGCGCGTTCTTCCTTTCACTCACTATAAAATATTTTTTTTTGTCTGGGTGCAGTGGCTTATGCTTTTAATCCTAGCACTTTGGTAGACTGAGGCGGGAGGATCATTTGATCTCAGGAGTTCGAGACCAGCCTGCGCAACATAGTGAGACCCGATCTCTACTAAAAATACAAAAAATTAGCCGGGCGTGGTGCTGCAAGTCTGTAGTCCCAGCTAGTAGGGATGCTGAGGTGGGAAGATCGCTTGAACACAGGAGGTGGAGGCTTCAGTTAGCAGTGATGGTGCCACTGTACTCGTCCAGGCAACAGAGTGAGACTTTGTCTCATAAAACCCAAAACCAAATGTTGTTGTGTGCTGTTTGGTATTAACAGCAAGGAATCAGATAATTAAAGCAGAAGTACAGACAAAAAGAAAATTTTATGGAATTAGTTATTGGCTTATTTTGAGGAAGAATGGATCAGAACAGCAAGGACACGGATAAATCTAATACCTGAAATGGATCTCCAACAGGAAACTCGAGGATTTCAAACAATGGCTAGAGTCTTGTTTTCAGAGATAAAGAAGGCATCACATATACAGTAGCCAACCAGAATCGGAGATAAACAATGAAATAGCAACAGGCCAATTGAGTTCAACTTTGAAACTCATGAAGGAGAATTAAAATCAAATCAGGGAAACGAAAGGTGAAGTCAAAAAACGTTGAGAATAGAAGAACTGAGGAGATTGAAAAAATGGGAGGCTGGGCGCAGTGGCTTATGCCTGTAATCCCAGCACTTGGGGAGGCCAAGGCGGGCAGATCACCTGACGTCAGTAGTTCAAGATCAGCCTGACCAACATGACGAAACCCCATCTCTAAAAAAAATACAAAAATTAGCTGGGTTTGGTGGCAGGCACCTGTAATCCGAACTACTTGGGAGGCTGAGGCAGGAGAATTGCTTGAACCTGGGAGGCAGAGGTTGCAGTGAGCCGAGATCGTGCCATTGCACTCTAGCCTGGGCGATAGAGCAAGACTCTGTCTCAAAAATAAAAAAAAAGAAAAAAAGAAAAAAAAATGGGAAAGAAGGCATACCAGGCTCACATAGCTGTTATTTTTTGTGTGTCTGTTTAATCACAGTATATCCCGTGTCATCTTGTTCTGACCAGCCCACAGTAATTGGGTTTGGGTAGGCTCATGACACATATGCCCAGATCTTTTACACAAAATGTAATGGGAAGGCTGGGCATAGTGGCTTACGCCTGTAATCCTAGCATTTTGGGAGCCCAAAGCAGACGGATCAACTGAGATCAGAAGTTCGAGACCAGCCTGGCCAACATGGCAAAATCCTGTCTCTACTAAAAATACAAAAATTAGTCAGACGTGGTGGTGCACGCCTGTAATCCCAGCTACTCGGGAGGCTGAGGCAGGAGAATCACTTGAACCCAGGAGGTGGAGGTTGCAGTGAGTTGAGATTGTGTTACTGCACTCCAACCTGGGCGATAAGTGAGACTCCGTCTCAAAAAAAAAAAAAAAGTAATGGGAGGATGTGATAGTTCTCTGCCTCTGGGATCACAGGACAGGAATGTGGTACGCATGAAGGTGCATGTGGCTGTCAGGTCTGCCTTAGGGAGGACACCCTTCTGCTTAAGCTGAGAGAATTCTAATGACTTATTTTGTGGTTTTGGATCTAGCTATATGTGGAGCCAGTATAACCTTTAGACTTAATTAATTAAATGAAGCAATAAAAGTTCTCTTTTGTACTTGATCTTGTTTGAATTGGGAATTGGTAACCTCGCAATCTAAAGTAGTTCTGGCTAATTCATAAATTGTTCTTGAGAATAAAGGATATGGAAGGTATGGTTCCCAGAGTTGGTGAGGTTAGTTATTCTTACTGAAAACAACCAACACTGTTGTAAAATTATAAAACAAAACTTTTGTGAAAACACCAGAAAGTTGAAAAGTAGAGAAAATTTGAAGGGCTGGGTTATGGGAACTCAATTGACAGAAGTGAGAATTACTCTTGTCCTGAAGGCAAACATTTCACCACTTGACCTTGAGTTTTAAAAGCTTTGTGGGGTGAGAGACTCAGAATAGTCTGCATCCTTACTTGTGGCCTGGGTTAACTTCTACTGGGTGGGCCAAGGAACCAAGTCTCGAACTTGGATTAGAGTGATTCTAGGCAGGTGTTGTCTCTTGACACCTGGAGGAAGCTGCCTTCACCCTAGGCTTAAGATTATAAGTAATTTTTTCACGTAAAATAACTAACTCACTAAGATAATTAGGCATAGAAGGGAATAAGAACCATGCATAAGGGTAAGAACCACTGGGAACAACAGAAATAGTCCTGCAAAAACTTGAGATTTGGAATTATCAGAGACTATAAAATAACTGCCCCATTACCAAAGAAATATGACAATCTTGAAATTCCTTAGAGAGTAGGAAACTATAAAATATGACTTAGCAGTAACTAGAAATCATAGAAATGAAAATTACAAACAAAATTAAAAACCGGATAGGTGTTTTAACAACAGAATAAAAAGATGAAGAAGGAGTTAGTGAAATGGAAGGTAAGCCAGAAGAAATAATTGTTTAGTATGGAGAAGAAAACGTAAAAAAAGGTAAGAAGCTAAAAGGATAAAGTGATGACTAACATACATTAATGTGAGTCCCAGTAGGATAGGAGATAGAGAATGGGGCAGAATCTAAAGAGACAATAGCTTAGAGTTTTCCACATCGAAGGATACCATTTCATAGTTAAGCCCATGAATGACAGACATATGTTTAATAAAAATAAAATCTACACCTAGAATACACAGTGAAACTGTAGAAAACATCTTAGACAAAGAAAACCTCTTAAAAACAGCAGGAGTAGGAATGGGAATCACCTAAAAAGAGACCGTAGATTACTTCTCAATAGCGACAGTGGAAGCCAAAATATAATGACACCAACAGATAATGAAATAACCTTAGTGTGCTGAAAGAATATAATTGTCAACCTAGGTTTCTATTCCAGCGAAAATACCTTTCAAGAAAAATTTTTTAGCAAACAAAAACAGTTTGTCACCAGAGGACAGCAGGAACACAAAAGAATGAGCAAATTATGTCATAAATACGTGGTTACATCTAAAGGAAAATTAAATTAAGCAAAAATAGTGTTGCATCTAAAAATACAGAATTAGGCCGGGTGCGGTGGCTCACGCCTGTAATCTCAGCACTTTGGGAGGCTGAAGCGGGCAGATCACCTGAGGTCAGGAGCTCAAGACCAGCCTGCCCAATGTGGTGAAACCCCATCTCTACTAAAAATACAAAAATTACCCGGGTGTGGTGGCGGGCGCCTGTCATCCCAGCTACTCGGGAGGCAGAGGCAGGAGAATTACTCGCACCCAGGAGCTGGAGATTTCAGTGAGCCAGGATCGTGCCACTGCACTCCAGCCGGGGCAACAGAGCGAGACTCCTTCCCCCCACCAAAGAAAAAAAAAACTTAAAAACTCGTACCTAGTTGCATTCCTTATGAGCACAGAGCAAAATGTCCTCATTTTACCTGGTTTAATTTTTTTTTTCTTCCACGGCCTCTTTTACTGGGAGACCTCTGAGTTTTGATGTGTCATGACAGATAGGAGAGGTCATATCCTTGTGATTTGTGGTTCATTGCTGGTGACATCAGAAAGTAAAGTCAACCAGGAAAAGACTCCATGGGCCTGGCTCAGGTGGCTTCTGGAGCACCACCTCCATCAAGGAGCTTTTCCTGGGGTCCATGTGTAGTCCATGTTGCCTGCTCTCCCACCCAGGGTTGCTGTGCTTATTATACAAGATGGCCAATAAAGCATGACATATATTCAATAAATGTTCATTTCTTTTTCCAACCCTTCTTATTTTAAGTTGAGGGTATTCATAAAAGGGATTGAGCATTTCCATTTATGGACGAGGCAACTGAGTACAGCCCCCAGGGGCACGCAGCGAGATGGCTGTCTGCTGAACCCATACACCAGCTCTCTAGGCGTTTGGTCCTGTGGGGACCGGTGCATCAGATGCTTCCTAAGCTGGCGTCACCTGCCTGGCCCGATGCCTCCTCTGGTGTTCATTGTTTAATTAATGCCACCTCCTGATGGCAGTTTCTTTCTGGGAAGAGGAGAAAAGAGAGCCGTCCCCAAGTGAAGGGTGCAGGGAAGCCTCCACGAATAGTTTCAACTAAGGACTGTCCCAGGAAGGAAACTCTTGGGATGGGCAAAGAACAGCGAACTTCCGGTGTGACCCGGATGCACCCATTTCCAGAGAGCAGGAAGCACAGAGAAGGCCCGTGGGTCGCCCTTGGGGTGCTTTCCATCCTGCAGGGCTCGCTGCCTGCCCTGAAAGTTCTGATAAAGACATAGGACCTTCATCACCAGGGGCGCCCCGTGGGCTGTTGCTGTAGCGTCTGTCCCCCATTTCTTACACACATTGAGTGTGATTGTTACCAGTGGAGGGTGTCCAATGGAAGAAGCACCAAAAGCCGAGATTTATTGAAAGTGGAAGGTACAGTCCACAAAGAGGGGGCGGGCCGAGCCTGGGGGCTGAAGAGCCCCTTTACAGAATTTTCTGGGGTTTAACTACTTTCTGGGGTTTAACTTTCTGGGGTTTAATTTTCTAGAGGTTTCCCATTGGTTACCTGGTGTACATCCTTTGTAAATACAGTAGTGGCCTGCAAGCAGTCTGATTGGTTGTGAAAAGCAACCAATTAGAGGCTGACTTGAAGTTACAAAGGTTACACCCTATGCAAGCATCTGTGGAAAGCAACCAATCAGAGACTAAAGTGAAGTTACAAAGTTACACTTGTATGCAAATGACGACTTGCCCTGCCGGGCTCCAGTAATCCCAGTACTTTGGGAGGCCAAGATGGGTGGATTACTTGAGGTCACGAGTTCCAGACCAGCCTGACCAATATGGTGAAACCCCCTCTCTACTAAAAATACAAAAAATTAGCCAGGTGTGGTGGCAGTTACCTGTAATCTCAGCTACTCGGGAGGCTGAGGCAGGAGAATCGCTTGAACCCGGGAGGCAGAGGTTGCAGTGAGCTGAGATAGCGCCATTGCACTTCAGCCTGGGCAACAAAGCAAGACCCTGTCTCAAAACAAAAACAAAAGGCCGGGCGTGGTGGGAGGCCAAGGTAGGTGGATAACCTGAAGTCAGAAGTTCCAGACCAGCCTGGCCAACATGGCGAAACTCCATCTCTACTAAAAATACAAAAATTAGTTGGGCGTGGTGGCGGGCACCTGTAGTCCCAGGTACTCGCGAGGCTGAAGCAGGAGAATCGTTTGAACCCGGAAGGCCGAGGTTGCAGGGAACCCAGAACGTGCCACTGCACTCCAGCCTCGGCGATAGAGCTAGACTCCGTCTTAAAAAAAGAAAAAAAAAAGTCCGGGGGCGATGGCTCACGCCGGTAATCCGGCCGAGGCGGGCGGATCATGAGGTCAGGAGATCGATACCATCCTGGCTAACATGGTGAAAACCCGTCTCTACTAAAAAACACAAAAATTAGCTGCGCGTGGTGGCGGGCGCCTGTAGTCCCAGCTACTCTGGAGGCTGAGGTGGGAGAATGGCGTGAACCCGGGAGGCGGAGCTTGCAGTGAGCCGAGATCGTGCCACTGCACTAAAGAAAAAGGAAAGGAAAAAAGACTTGGTCGCAGTCAGTCTGGGATTCGTTGCAGGAAGCAACCAATCAGAGGCTGAAGTGAAGTTACAATGTTACACTCCTGTGCAAACGTCTGATTGGTTGCAGAAAGCAACCAATCAGAGATACTTTGAATTTTCCATCTGGGACACAGAAAAAGTGGGGGTGGTGGTTTGCAAACTGAGTAGCCTCCCATCCTTTTGTTACTTAGGTGTGAAAAGTTGGGGTTTTCCTTTTGATTTAGTTCTAGGAAGTCAGCATGAATTGGCCTTAGGTTCCCTGCCTCCAGACCCTATTCTCCGGCCTCATGATGACTTGATGGCAGATTTATGGCGATTAAAGATGAGAAAAAGTGGTAACAGCAGTAGGCAGAAAATTGCCCTAGTTTCATGTTCTGACTGTGATAGTGGCAATATGACCTTGACAAATCACTGCATTTGTAAAATGAGAACACATCTCTGTTTTCTTTCGCTGGGGAATTAAAGGAAAAGTGAGATTATGAAGAAATACTATGAATTTTCAGAAATAATGAAAGTGTACGCTAAGTGAATGTCTAATTATAGAAACATATATGCCTTTGTTGTCCATTTCGCCTAAGCCACATTTTAATGGAAATTTACTTAGACTTGGGGGAGAGGGAGAGGGAAAGAAAACCAGACAAATTCACTTAGTTTTATCCAAGAGAAAAAGAATGGGACCTAAGCTGTTAGGCCAAATAATTTCTATAATTTACCTATTCACTTGCTTGATACGGCCTTTACTTCCGTCTCTAGTCAGGGACCCTTGTGTTGGGAATCAGATTTGCTTCTGTTTGTTCAAATATATGGGGATAAGTGTTTTGTTTGTTTTGTTTTTGTTTTTTTTTTTTGAGATAGAGTCTTGCTTTGTTGTTTGGGTTGGAGTGCTGTGGCGTGATTTTGGCTCACTGCAACCTCCACCTACTGGATTCAATTGATTCTCGTGCCTCAGCCTCCTGAGTGACTGGAATTACAGATGGTACACCACCATGCCTGGCTAATTTTTGTATTTTTAGTAGAGACAGTGTTTCGCCACATTGCCCAGGATGGTCTCGAACTCCTGGCCTCATGAGAGTCACCTGCCACGGCCTCCCAAAGTGCTGGGATTACAGGTTTGAGCCACTGGGCCCAGCCAAGTGTCAATTATTTTTTATTATGGTTTGTATTTATTTATTTTATTTTTTTTGAGGCGGAGTCTCACTCTGTCGCCCAGGCTGGAGTGCAGCAGCGCAATCTTGGCTCACTGCAACCTCCGCCTCCTGGGCTCAAGCGATTCTCCTGCCTCAGCCTCCCAAGTAGCTGGGATTACAGGTGCGTGCCACCATGCCCGGCTATTTGGAATTTTTAATAGAGACAGGGTTTCACCATGTTGGCCATGCTGATCTCGAACTCCTGACCTCAAGAGATCCACCCGCCTCGGCCTTCCAAAGGGCTGGGATTACAGGCGTGAGCCACCACGCCCAGTGGATTATGGTTTTTATTATAAAGCGCAACTTCCTAAGTATGTATGCTTCGTTACTTGTTGATGGGTAATCTGGGCTAGCAGTTAATTCACATGGTAACAGATAAAGCTAGATCACAGTCTTTAATAATAGGGAAATAGAGCATCCTCTTTAATAATAGGGAAAAGATTTACTGACATTTTTAGGCATAACAGTTTTCTGCTGACAGCTCCTCAGCTGCTTGTCCACGTTCTCCAGAACCCTGGGGCTTTAGTTAAGGAATACTCGGGTGTTGTCAGTAAATTAATTTGTTTTTACAGTTACTATTCTTGTTTCCAGTGTTTAATTTTTAAATTTTTCAGTTATCTTTCCATATTAAGTTTATTTAATTATTCAATAGCTCCCTAAAAGTAGAATTAATTCAACTAAATTAAAAGGGACAATTTTTAATAGGCATCTAATTTGCATGCTATTTACAGAAAACCTTTTTAGTGTTTCAGTTTTAGAAATTTGCTTTAGATTTTGCCATCTTAGTATGTCTTTATATGGTGTATTGTTTTGGTTTTATTTTGGTAAAATATACATAATTTTTTTGTGTGTGTGACAGGCTCACTCTGTCACCAAGGCTCCAGTGAGGTGGCGTGATCTCGGCTCACTGCAACCTCCGTCTCCCAGGTTCAAGCGATTCCCCTGTCTCAGACTCTTGAGTAGCCGGGATTACAGGCGCCCACCACCCTGCCTGGCTCATTTTTGTATTTTTAGTAGAGGCAGAGTTTTGCCATGTTGGCCAGGCTAATCTCGAACTCCCGACCTCAGGTGATCCACCTGCCTCGGCCTCCCAAAGAGCTGGGATTAGAGACATGAGCCACCACGCCTGGCCAGTATGTTTTTATATGGTGTGTTGTTTTCATTTTATTTTGGTAAAATATACTTAACATAAAATTTACACTTCTAACCATTTTGTTTTGTTTTTTTGAGACGGAGTTTTGCTCTTGTCACCCAGACTGGAGTGCAGTGCTGCGATCTCCGCTCACTGCAGCCTCCGCCTCCTGGGTTCAAGCAATTCTCCTGCCTCAGCCTCCCAAAGTGCTGGGATGATAGGCATGAGCCATCGTGCCTGGCCAGAATATGCTGTATTATAAAGAATCTTACATGTTACTTGATGCCTGTGATCTATTTTCTTAGTAAGAAGAGAAACTTCTCTCCACTCAGCCTCAGTCCACTGTACCCACTCTTTTGTGTGTCAGGATGTTCAGGGGAGAAGAGGGCTTAGCATCTCTGTCCTGTGTTGAGTTGTGGTTGCCCGTCACTGGGCTGTAAAGTGCCTTGCCTCGTCTTGTTCTTACTTGGGAGAAATTTCACTGATTCTGGGTGCCACCTGGATTTATTTGGGGTGTGATATTGACCCAATTTTCTGGAAATAACAATATATAGAAAATTAGGGGATAGATTCTTTATCTTATGAGGGTTTGGGCAAGTCAAATACTTAGTTTCTGAGCCTTATTTTGTCTCTAGAGCAAGAAAACTGTAAATTAGGCAGCCGGTGAGGGGCCCTCACAGCTTTGGCTGTGGGTTCAGGACACCAGATTTCTACCACTCACTTTCTTCTTACTTCTCCTGCACAGGGATCATGGCCCAAGTTGCAATGTCCACCCTCCCCGTTGAAGATGAGGAGTCCTCGGAGAGCAGGATGGTGGTGACATTCCTCATGTCAGCTCTCGAGTCCATGGTGAGGCCTTCTGTTCCATCATTCCATAGTTGGGTAGGCCTGCACTGTAGATAAGGTTGATTTGTTTTTGTGGAAGATAGAATTTTATGGTTTTTAGTTTTAATGAGTACTTTTTCTTTACTTTTTTTTTTTTTTTTTTTTTTTTGAGACGGAGTCTTGCTCTGTTGCCCAGGCTAGAGTGCAGTGGCGAGATCTTGGCTCACTGCAACCTTTACCTCCCGGGTTCAAGCGATTCTCCTGCCTTAGCCTTCCGAGTAGCTGGGATTACAGGCGCCTGCCACCACACCTGGCTAATTTTTTGTATTTTTAGTAAAGACAGGGTTTGACCATCTTGGCCAGGCCGGTCTCGAACTCCTGACCTCTTGATCCACCTGCCTCAGCCGCCCAAAGTGCTGGGATTACAGGTGTGAACCACTGCCCCAACCAATGAGTAGTTTTTCTTCTTGAATAGTTATGGGTTTAAGCCTTTCACATCACAGTCATTCATTCATTCATTCATTTATTTGAGACAGAGTTTCGCTCTTGTTGCCCAGGCTGGGGTGCAATGGCATGATATAGGCTCCCTGCAACCTCTGCCCCCTGGGTTCAAGTGATTCTCATGCCTCAGACTCCCGAGTAGCTGGGATTGCAGGTGTGCGCCACCACGCTCGGGTAATTTTTTGTATTTTTAGTAGAGACAGGGTTTCACCATGTTGGTCACGCGGGTCTCGAACTCCCGACCTCAGGTGATCCACCCACCTTGGCCTCCCAAAGTGCTGGGATTATAGGCTGAGGTCAGGAGTTCAAGACTAGCCTGGCCAACATTGTGAAACCCTATCTCTACTAAAAATACAAAAAAATTAGCCAGCGTGGCAGCGTGTGCCTGTAGTCCCAGTAACCCGGGAGGCTGAGACAGGAGAATTGCTTGAACCCGTGAGGTGGAGGTTGCAGTGAGCCGAGATCGCGCCACCACACTCCAGCCTGGGCGACAGAGTGGAACTCTGTCTTAAAAAAAAAAAGAAAAAGATGCCCATAAATATTTTGTTCCCAGGTTGTTATGGTGGTATTATTTTTAGGGGGGAAAATTGGAATCACCAACCTTTTAAATAATGTTATCAGTAAATCATTCAAGGTATATTCATTAAATGGAATACTATATACTCTGTAACATTTTAAAAGAATATTTAATCTCGTAGAAATATGCTTAGTAAAAGTCAGTAAATACTCTGCCCACCTAAAAGTGATTCTGGCTGTGTGTACACAGGGGAATACTTCTGGAGGTGGGGATTATGTAATGAATGCTGTAGTGTGGGTTTCAGACCCCCACCCTCCTTTTGTACTGAGGGCACTAATTGCCCCAGGTGCCATGGCTGTTCGAGCCACCTTGTACAAGATTCCACCCTTTCCCAGGGGAGGGCCATGCCAGCTCCCAGCTCTGGGTGCAGCTACATCAGTGTTCAGTGCTTCGTCTGTCCAGCCCTGCCTGCCTTCCGCCTCCCAAGTGCTGTAATTGACAGTGCCCCCCAGCAAGCCTGTGTAAACTCTCAGTCTACTACTTGGAGAATCTGACCTATAAGAGATTACAAGGGAATTGTGTTTTTTTTTTCCTTATAAATTCTGTGTTGTCTTTTGTTTAAAATCAGGCCAAAAACTATCTTGAAAGAGAAGTACCTTTAAAAAATGTTGTTAGTTTTTTTAATTCATCGAGCAGAAATGATGCTCTTAAACGTCCGCCTGTAACATGATGTTTGCTGTTTGTATTGTAGTGTAAAGAACTGGCCAAGTCCAAAGCCGAAGTGGCCTGCATTGCAGTGTATGAAACAGACGTGTTTGTCGTCGGAACTGAAAGAGGACGTGCTTTTGTCAATACCAGAAAGGATTTTCAAAAAGATTTTGTAAAATATTGTAAGCATTGTATTTTTATCTTTTGCATTTCATTAATTTTAAGCCTAAATATTTGTAGGTAAGACAAGTTATATTATTTTCTTTCTTTCTTTCTTTCTTTTTTTTTTTTTTTGAGATGGAGTTTTGCTCATGTTGCCTAGGCTGGAGTGCAGTGGCACACTCTTGGCTCACCACAACCCCCGCTGCGTGAGTTCAAGTGATTCTCCTGCCTCAGCCTCCCAAGTAGCTGGGATTACAGGCACGCGCCAGCACGCCTGGCTAATTTTGTATTTTTAGTAGAGACGGGGTTTCTCCATGTTGGTCAGGCTGGTCTCAAACTCCCGACCTCAGGTGATCTGCCCACCTTGGCCTCCCAAAGTGCAGAGGGATTATAGGCGTGGGCCACTGCGCCTGGCCAAGTTATATTTTCTTCTAAAACAGAATGAGGTTTAAACTAAAAAAGATTTTCTGAAATGTTTATGGAGACATTTCAAAATGCTCAAAAGGAATCACTGAAATATGTCAGGATAGATACTGAAGAGTTAAGAAAAATGGTAGTGTTTGTTGTACGGTGTTCCTTGCTTGGCTTTACTCTGGGTTAATGAGATGCATTAGAGAGAAGGTAATGAAGGTAGAGAAATTTTGAATAGGTTAAAACTTTTACTCAGATAAGGAGTTATTTTCTTTTTCTTTTTTTTTTTTGAGACAGAGTTTCACTCTTGGCCCCCTGGGCTGGAGTGCAATGGCACGATCTCGGCTCATTGCAACCTCCACCTCCCATGTTCAAGCAATTCTTCTACCTCATCCTCCCGAGTAGCTGGGATTACAGGTGCCCACCACCATGCCTGGCTAATTTTTGTAATTTTAGTAAAGACAGGGTTTTGCCATGTTGGCCAAGTTGGTCTCAAACTCCTGACCTCAGGTGATCTGCTTGCCTTGGCCTCCCAAAGTGCTAGGATTTCAGGCATGAGCCACCACTCTCGGCTTTTTTTTTTTTTTTAAGAGATGGGGTCTCGCTCCGTCACCAGGCTGGAGTGCAGTGGCGCGATCTCCGCTCACTGCAACTTCCACCTCCTGTATTCAAGCAATTCTTCTACCTCAGCCTCTGGAGTAGCTGGGATTACAGGTGCACACCACCATACCTAGATAATTTTTTGTATTTTTAGTACAGACAGGGTTTCTCCATGTTGGCCAGGCTGGTCTTGAGCTCCTGACCCGAGGAGCCCACCTCGGCCTCCCAAAGTGCTGGGATTACAGGCGTGAGCCACCACATCCGGCCGGGAGTTCTTTTCTAGATAAAAAGTTGGTGTGTTGAAAACCAGTGATTCACTGTGCAAGTTTGTTTAAGCATATTGCAAAATTAAACAGTTCTCCTCCACTCCCTCACAGATACGAGTCACCTTATCACAGTCTTCAGTGAGTTTTGTAATCTGCATTTAGAGCAGTGGTGAGCTTATTTGACATTGGAACAGTGTTGAAATTTACTATAGGGTTTTAATACCCACAGCCTTTCACAGTATGACCATTTTCATATCTGTGTTTAACCTAACACTGTAGGTTTTATGTTAACTGATTGATACAGCATTTTCTTAAAAACATGGAAAGGGAACAAAAAAAGCTAGGGTATCTATAGGCACATATTATATATGGGCATACCTCATTTTTTGTTGTTGTCATTTTTGTTTTTTTGAGACGGAGTTTTGCTCTTGTTGCCCAGGCTAGAGTGCAATGGTGCGATCTCGGCTCACCGCAACCTCTGCCTCTTGGGTTCAAGTGATTCTCCTGCCTCAGCCTCCCGAGTAGCTGGGATTACAGGCATGCACCACCACACCCAGCTAGTTTTGTATTTTTAGTAGAGATGGGGTTTCTCCATGTTGGTCAGGCTGGTCTCGTACTCCTGACCTCAGGTTATCTGCCCGCCTCGGCCTCCCAAAGTGCTGGGATTACAGGCATGAGCCACTGTGCCCGACCGGGCATATCTCATTTTTTTTTTTTGTGCCTTGCAGACACTGCAGTTTTCACACATTGAAGATTTGTGGCAACCTTGTGTCAAGTCTATTGGTGCCATTTTTCCTGCAGCATGTGCTTACTTGGTTCTCTGTGTTGCATTTTGGTAACTCTTGGCATAGCATTATTTGAGACTTTTTCATGATTATTGTATCCGCTGTAGTGGAATTTTTTTTTTTTTTTTTTTTTTTTTTTTGAGATGGAGGTTTGCTCCGTCACCCTGGCTGGAGTGCAGTGGTGCGATCTCGGCTCACTGCATCCCCTGCCTCCTTGGTTCAAGGTATTGAGATCAGTGATCTTTGATGTTACTATTGTAATTGTACTGGGAGTCCTCGAACGCACACATATAATATGGCAAACCTAATAGGTAAATATGTGTTCTGACTGCTTCACCAATCGCCTGGTCCCCCATCATTCCCTTTCCTCAGGCCTCCCTGGTCCCTGAGACACAATATTGAAATTAGGCCGGCCAGGCACGGTGGCTCATGCCTGTCATCCTAGCACTTTGGGAGGCCGAGATGTGTGGACCACGAGGTCAAGAGATCGAGACCATCCTGGCCAACATGGTGAAACACCATCTCTACTAAAAATACAAAAAATTAGCTGGGTGTGGTGGCGCGTGCTTGTAGTCCCAGCTATTTGGGAGGCTGAGGCAGGTGAATTACTTGAACCTGGGAGGTGGAGGTTGCAGTGAGCCAAGATCGCACCACTGCACTCCAGCCTGGCGAAAGAGCAAGACTCCGTCTCAACGAAAAAAAAAGGAAATTAGGCCAATTAATAGACCTATAGTGGCCTCTGAGTGTTCAAGTGAAAGGAAGACTTGCAGGCTGCTCACTTTACATCAAAAGCAGAAATGATGAAGCTTAGTGAGGAAGGCATGTCAGCAGCTGAGGTAGGCTGAAAGCTAGGCTGAACAGGTAGCCAGGTGGAGAATGCGTAGGAAAAGTTCTCGAAGGAAATGAAAACTGCTGCTCCAGTGAACACGCAAATGATAAAGCAAAACAGCTTATTGCTGATAGGAAGAAAGTTTGAATGGTGTGGATAGAAGATCAAACCAGCCACAGCATTCCCTTAAGCCACAGCGTAATCCAGAGTGAGGCCCTAACTCTCTTCAATTCTGTGAAGGCTGAGATGGGTGAGGAAGCTGCAGAAGAAAAATTGGAAGCTAGCAGAGGTTGGCTCATGAGGTTTAAGGAAAGACACAGTCAGCTGGGGGCGGTGGCTCACGCCTGTAATCCCAGCACTTTGGGAGGCTGAGGTGGGCAGATCGTCTGAGCTCAGGAGTTCAAGACCACCCTAGGCACCCTGGTGAAACCCCGTCTCTTCTAAAATACAAAAAATTAGCCAGGCCTGGTGGCGTGCACCTGTAGTCCCAGCTGCTCTGGAGGCTGAGGTACGAGAATCGCTTGAGCCCAGGAGGCGGAGGTTGCAGTGAGCTGAGATCTCGCCATTGCACTCCAGCCTGGACTCTTGAGATCTGTCTCAAAAGAAAAAAAAAGGAAAGACAGAGTCTCTATAACATAAAAGTGCAAGGTAAAGCAGCAAGTGTTTGATGTAGAAACTGCAGCAAGTTCTTTAGAAGATCTAGCTGAGGTAATTCATGAAGATGGCTACACTCACAAAACCCGATTTTCAACGTAGACAAAACAGCCTTATATTGGAAGATACTCTCTAGGACTTTGCTAGCTAGAGAGAAGTTCATTCCTGGCTTCAAAGCTTCAAAGGACAAGCTGAATTCCTTGTGAGGGGTTAACGCCGCTGGTTACTTTGAAGCCATGTTCATTTACCATTCTGAAAATCCTGGGGTCCTGAAGAGTTACACTAAATCTGCTCTGCCTGTGCTCTATTGATAGAACAATAAAGCCTGGATGACAGCACATCTCTTGATAGTGTTGTTCACCGAATATTTTAAGCCCACTTTTGAGACCTACTGCTCAGAAAAAAAGATTGCTTTCAAAATATGACTGCTCACAGTCACTCACAGAGTCCTGATGGAGGTGTATAAGGAGATGCTTGCCATTTTATTTTTATTTTTTATTTAGTTTTTTTTGAGACAGAGTTTTGCTCTTGTTGCCCATGCTGGAGTGCAATGGCGCGATCTCAGCTCACTGCAACCTCCATGAACACTGTTGAAATGATAACAAAGGATTTAGAGTATGACATAAACTTAGTTCATAAAGCAATGGCAGGGTTTTGGAGGATTGACTCCAATTTTGAAACAAGTTCTACCGTGGGTGAAATGCTACCAAATAGCCTCACACTACAGAGAGACCTTTCATGAAAGCAAGAGTCAATGTAACTTTTATATGCATTGGGAAACCAAAACATCTGTGTGACTTTACTTTATACTTGTATTATTGTGGTGATTTGGAAATGAACCTGCAGATGCTTGTATGCCACTAAGGTCTAAAGTTAAACTTCTGATGTCAGTTTAGATTAAATTGGTGATACATTCAGCAACTTATTAGTGAACAAAAAGTTTTGTTAATTCACGAATTTTAATTCCCAATTGTATTTTTAGTTTGTTTTAAAAACTATCCCCTGCCACTGTATTCCTCCCCCTGTCCCTTACCCCCATGCTGTAATCTTCTAAGCTTTATGTTAGTAACTTATTTTTAAAATGTTGACATTATTATAATGTTGAGAAATGTTCAAGCATTGATTATGTTTCTGTGTTTCTTTATACTAATAATGCTGTTTTGATTGTGTGTGTATCAGCTGCTGTCTGCCCCACCAATACCATAAGCCCGCCTGCAGCTGTACTTATTCTCCCCTTCCCTGTCCTGCCTGGCTTATGTGGTTCTCCACTGGTTAGAACTAAGCATTAAGGGCGCTGTCCTCAGCTGCAAGCTGTAGTCACTGTCCATCAGTATTCATACTTTGTTTTTATTGCTAATAATTTTTTTTTTTTTTTTAAGGAGTCTCGCCCTGTCACCCAGGCTGGAGTGCAGTGGCGTGATCTTGGCTCACTGCAACCTCAGCCTCCCAGGTTCAAGCGATTCTTCTGTCTCAGCCTCCCGAGTAGCTGGGATTACAGGCACACCTGGCTAATTTTTGTATTTTTAGTAGAGATGGGGTTTTGCCCTGTTGGCCTGGCTGGTCTCGAACTCCTTACCTCAAGTGATCCACCCACCTTGGCCTCCCAAAGTGCTAGGATTACCGGCGTGAGCCACCGTGACTGGCCTCATTGTTAATAATTTGATCCATGGAGAATGGTTTCTGTATCTAATTCTCCTTCTTCTCTTTTTTTTTGAGACAGAGTCTCACTATCGCCCATGGAGTGCAGTGGTGCGATCTTGGCTCACTGCAACTTCTGCCTCCCAGGTTCAAGCAAGTCTCCTGCCTCAGCCTTTCTAGTAGCTGGGATTACAGGCGTGTGTCACTACACTCGGCTAATTTTTTTTTTTTTTTTCGAGACGGAGTCTCGCTCTGTCGCCCAGGCTAGAGTGCAGTGGCACGATCTCAGCTCACTGCAAGCTTCACCTCCCGGGTTCACGCCATTCTTCTGCCTCCGCCTCCCAAGTAGCTGGGACTACAGGCGCCCACCACCATGCCTGGCTAATTTTTTGTATTTTTTAGTAGAGGTGGGGTTTCACCATGTTGGCCAGACTGATCTTAAACTCCTGACCTCAGGCGATCTGCCCTCCTTGGCCTCCCAAAGTGCTGGGATTACAGGCATGAGCCACTGCACCCGGCCTAATTCTCAAGTACCTCTTACTTGTTTGTGTAAAGTACTTTGCAGATAAGGAGCAATAATGGTCTTCTGGAAGGTAATCAATAGGTTTATGAGGCAATCATAGAAATTCTTCAGGAGAATTCTGAGCGCTTTTCTGGGATTTAGAAAAGCGTTGTTCAGCAGAAAAAAGTATCATGTGAGTCTCTCACATAATTTAAAACTTTCTAGTTAGAACATTAAAGAAAAATAAAGAAAAACAAGTGAAATTCATTTTACTGGTAATACTTTAACTTATTATATCTAAAATATTTCAACATGTAATCAATTTAAAAATTATTAATGGGCCGGGTGTGGTGGCTCATGCCTGTAATCCCAGCACTTTGGGAGGCAGAGGCAGGCGGATCACGAGGTCAGGAGATCGAGACCATGTGGCCAACATGGTGAAACCCTGTCTCTACTAAAAATACAAAAATTAGCTGGGAGTGGTGGCGCGCACCTGTAATCCCAGCTACTCGGGAGGCTGAGGCAGAAGAATCGTTTGAACCTGGGAGGTGGAGATTGCAGTGAGCCACGATCGTGCCACTGCACTCCAGCCTGGTGACAGAGCAAGACTCCGTCTCCAGAAAAAAAAAATTATTAATGGGATATTTGTCATACTTTTTTTGTACCAAGTCTTCAAAATCCAGTGTGTATTGTACACTCATGAAACATCTGAATTTGGACCAGCCAAGTTGCAAGTGCCACATGTATCTATTTGTTATCGTGCTAGACTTTGCAAGCCTAGAATTTTTTTGTGTCGATAATCTTCTCATATTTAAATTTGTAACCAATACAAATTTTCTTTTTTAAAGTAGTACAAGGGTACTGGTATGTAGTATTTTTAGCTATAGCTACACTTATTTCAGAGATGGTCACCATTTCATATTACTTTCATTCATCTAAGTATTTTAGATTTTTATTTGAAAAGTTCCCTTTTAAATCTCCATCTCCCTGCCTTTTATTTTTTATTTTTTTGAGACGGAGTCTTGCTCTGTCGCCAGGCTGGAGTGCAGTGGTGCAATCTTGGCTCACTGCACCCTCCACCTCCCGGGTTCAAGCAATTCTCCTGCCTCAGCCTCCCAAGTAGCTGAGACTACAGGTGTGTGCCACCATGCCCAGCTAATTTTTGTATTTTTTGTTTGTTTGTTTGTTTGTTTGTTTGAGACGGAGTCTCACTCTGTCGCCCAGGCTGGAGTGCAGTGGCGCAATTTCCGCTCGCTGCAAGCTCCACCTCCCGGGCTCACGCCATTCTCTTGCCCCAGCCTCCTGAGTAGCTGGGACCACAGGCGCCCGCCACCACGCCCGGAGAATTTTTTGTATTTTTAGTAGAGACGGAGTTTCACTGTGTTAGCCAGGATGGTCTCGATCTCCTGACCTCGTGATCCACCCGCCTCGGCCTCCCAAAGTGCAGGGATTACAGGCGTGAGCCACCGCGCCCGGCCTAATTTTTGTATTTTTAGTAGAGACGGTGGTTTCATCATGTTGACCAGGACGCTCTCAATCTCTTGACCTTGTCATCTGCCAGCCTCAGCCTCCCAAAGTGCTGGGATTACAGGTGTGAGCCACCGCACCTGGCCTTTTTTTTTTTTTTTTTTTTTTTTTTTAATTTAAGAGACACAGTCTCTATCCATCACCCAGGCTGGAGTGCTGTGGTATGTTCTCGGCCCCATCATAGCTCACTGCAGCCTTAAACTTCTAGACTCAAGCAGCCCTCACTTCAGCCCCCAGACAGCTAGGACTGCAGACATACAACACTATACCTGGCTATTTTCATTTTTTTGCAGAGATGTGTCCTTGTTATGTTGCCAAAGCTGGTCTTGAACTCCTGGGCTCAAGCAATCCTCCTGCTTCAGCCTCACAAGGTGGTGGAATTACAGGCGTGAGCCCTTGGGCTTGTCCTCTTTTTTGCTTTTATAACAAATCACAAATGACTTGCTATTTTGTTACAAAATAACAAATCATTGGTTACAATGATTAATAAATGTTAAAGAATGGTTAAGAAATAGTTTTTTCCTGTTAGAATACATGATAAAAGTAGTTTTCCCTGTTAGGATACAGGAAAACGATTTTTACTAAAAACCAAATATTAAGGTAATGGATATGGACCTTATTATTATTTTTTTATTTTATTTTTTATTTTTTTTACAGGTGTTGAAGAAGAAGAAAAAGCTGCAGAGATGCATAAAATGAAATCTACAACCCAGGCAAATCGGATGAGTGTAGATGCTGTAGAAATTGAAACACTCAGAAAAACAGTTGAGGACTATTTCTGCTTTTGCTATGGTAAAAACAATAGATTTAATTTTTCTAAAAGATACATTATATAATTGAATTTTCTAAAGGGAAGCTTATGTAATTGATTCGAAAATCATATAACACACATTTTCAGTGACTGAATGGATTAGCAATAACCTTACTTTCTTCCACTTCCATTTTGAAGGAACCCAGGAGGAAGTGTGGCCAGTAGAGCTGTTTCTTTCTTTCTGTTTTTTTTTTTTGAGATGGAGTCTCGCTCTGTCGCCCAGGCTGGAGTGCAGTGGCACGATCTCAGCTCACTGCAATCTCCGCCTCCCGGTTTCAAGTGATTCTCCTGCCTCAGCCCCCTGAGTAACTAGGATTACAGGTGTCCGCCACCATGCCCGGCTAATTTTTGTGTTAAATTTTAGTAGAGATGGGGTTTCACCACATTCGCCAGGCTGGTCTCGAACTCCTGATCTCAGGTGATCCACCCACCTTGGCCTCCCAAAGTGCTGGGATTACAGGCGTGAGCCACCATGCCTGGCCTAGCTGTTTCTTTCTAATAAGCATGCTCATCTCTCTAATTCCATGCAAAGCCACCTTTTCTTACTCTTGTCACATCATAAAACAAAGCTCTTACAAGAAAACAGTCAAAGGAGGAGATTGAGGTTTTACTGCAGGGTCATAGGTGAAAATCAATTCTCTGGAATGGGATTTTCAGTATGTGTGAGGCTCGCTGCCCAATAGGTTGACAGTATATACTCATTTGTAAATGGGAAGTTTGTATTTACCTGATAAGTTTTCAATGAGAATATTAGCCAAAACATTCCTGGTATTTTATGGTAATAGTTGGATGTGCTGGGCTTCTGTATTCTGAGGCCAAATTGTACCTGAGAATATGCCAGGATGGGACCATCTTCAAGAAAGACAATAGTGCAAGAAACCAACCATTGCTCTCTCTATGTGTTTTTTAAAGTAAAATATTTTATCTACTTTTCATTTTGGCCCTTCGGATCAGTTTCAGGTTTAGACCTTCTGCTGACATGGGGAGATAGAATGCTGTAGTATTAATTAATTTTGAAATCATATATTATAAAAAATCATGGATGCCCTTATTAAGCCACAATAAGCTAGCGATGATTTCATTTTGTAATCTTACCATTGAATGATGTTCATCCGCTTTTCATCTGCCCCAGGGAAAGCTTTAGGCAAATCCACAGTGGTACCTGTACCATATGAGAAGATGCTGCGAGACCAGTCGGCTGTGGTAGTGCAGGGGCTTCCGGAAGGTGTTGCCTTTAAACACCCCGAGAACTATGATCTTGCAACCCTGAAATGGATTTTGGAGAACAAAGCAGGGATTTCATTCATCATTAAGAGGTGAAGTGCTTTCTCCCTTTGTACCCATCAACAGTTGATTCGTATAAATTTGAATATTTAGCTTACGTTAATGTATTTTTAAAATTCATATTTAACACAGAAGTCATTTAAATGTATGCTTTACAATAATTTTGCGTATTCATACGAAGTTTTGTTTTGTTTTGTTTTAATGCAGACCTTTTTTAGAGCCAAAGAAGCATGTAGGTAAGTAAGTGCTTTGCTTCCTTGATAGCTGGCTGGCCTCCGTTTTGCTAGATTTTCATACACTTTAATGGTTTCTGTTTTATTGTCTTTGAGAATATGATGTCAGACATTTTCGGATGGGCTGTTTAGATGTTTATATAATCCACAAAAGGTTCATTGAGCTAAAAAAGTGGAGACTTGTTTTTTTGTTTTCAGCTTCGCTGCTTGTTTTCTATAGAAGATCATACATCTGCCCTCACTTACCAGAATTATGAGTAGGATTTAATTGACCTAATGTCATCGACTCGGCAAGACGTTGTTGGGCACAGCATTGGGTGGGGAGGGGATACGCAGCTGTGTATCAGCATTACCACTTTTGAGAGCTGTGAGTCTCACGGAAGAGAGAAAATTCTGTAAAATGAACATGGCAAGAACATTGCATCCCTACGGCAAGAATGGCTCTGAGAAAGTGCTGTGGATGTTATTGGAGGTTGGATTCCTTTATAGTTCAGGAAAGAGTTCATGAGGAAGAGAGCATTTCCAGGAAGGGCGTTTGAAGAATGATGCGGATTTCAGCTTCCTTTAGGGAAGTCTAGCCATTTCATTTGAAGGGAAAACAGGATAAAGAGTAATACCCTTTAGAGCCAGGTTTATTTGAGACTTTCGGAAGTAAATAACCAGTATCATTGGAATACTTTTAAACATGTAACTATGAAAGGAAAAAATTATATATACATAAACATACACATTGTGTTTTCTGTTAACCTTTGTCTTATTCTCATTGTGGTGAAAAGATTAATTTTTTAGCAGCTTTATTGAGGTATAATTGATACACCATAAAATTCACCTGCCTTTTTTTTTTATTATTATTTTTTGAGACGGAGTCTTGCTCTGTCGCCAAGGCTGGAGTGCAGTGGCGCGATCTTGGCTCACTGCAGCCTCTGCTTCCCAGGTTCAAGTGATTCTGCCTCAGCCTCCCGAGTAGCTGGGATTACAGGCACATGCTGCCACGCCCGGCTAATTTTTTGTATTTTTAGTAGAGATGGGGTTTCACCATGTTAGGATGATCTCGAACTCCTGACCTCAAATGATCCACCCGCCCCGGCCTCCCAAAGTGCTGGGATTACAGGCGTGAGCCACTGTGCCCAGCCAAATTCACCTGTCTTAAGTATATAATTCACTAATAGTAGATTTACAATCTTAAAATGTTTTTAAGGGGTTTTTACCCATCATCACAGTCTTAATTTTGGGATGCTTTCATCGTCCCTGTCTCTGTTATTTCATGAATGTTGTAGAAATGGAATATGTAGTATGTATCCTATTGAAATGAGCTTTTTTCACTGAGCATCACTCACTCGAGGCTCATCGAGCTTGGTAGGTGTAGCCGTAGCTTCTTTTTATTGCTGAGCACTAACTATTCTGTGACATGAACATACTGTCTGTTGATCCAGTCATCAGTTTATAGATATTTTGGTTGTTTCCACCTTTGGGTATTGGGAATAATGTTACAGTGAACATACTTGAGCAAGGTTTTGTCTGGACATATTCCTTGATATCTCTTGGATATTTACGTAGGAGTGCAATTACTAGGAATAGGGTAAATTTACACTGAACTTTTTTTTTTTTTTTAATTGAGACGGAGTCTCGTTCTGTCACCAAGTTGGAGTGCAGTGGCATGATCTTGGCTCACTGCAACCTCCGCCTCGTGGATTCAAGAGATTCACCTGCCTCAGCCTCCTGAGTAGCTGGGATTACAGGCACGCGCCACCACACCCGGCTAATTTTTGTATTTTTAGTAGAGACGAGGTTTCACCATGTTGGCCAGGATGGTCTCAATCTCTTGACCTCATGATCAAGGGAGGCCTCTCAAAGTGCTGAGATTACAGGCGTGAGCCATCGCGCCCTGCTACACTGAACTTTGAAGAAACTGACAAGCTGTTTTCCAAGGTGGCTATACCATGTTATATTCTCACAGCAGGATAGGAGGGTTACCCCCACATTGCTGCCAACTTACTTCTTGATTTTAGCCATTGTAATAGATGTGAAGTGGTATCTAATTTTTTTTGATTTTTAAAAATTTCTCTAGTGATTGTTGATGTGTTTTTACTTTTCTTTCTTTCTTTCTTTTTTTTTTTTTTGAGACAGGGTCTCACCCTGTCGCCCAGGCTGGAGTGTAGTGGCGCCATCTCAGCTTAGTGCAGCCTCAACCTCCCAGGCTCAAGCAATCCTGCTGCCTCAGCTTCTCAGTAGCTAGGACTACAGGCGTGTGCCACCATACCCAGCTCATTTCTGAACCTTTTTTTGGTAGAGACAAGCTCTTGCCGTGTTGGCCAGGCTGGTCTGGAACTCCTGAGCTCAAGTGATCCGCCTGTGTCAGCCTCCCAAAGTGCTGGGATTACAGGCTTGTGTTATCTTCAATTGTGCTTATTGGTCATCCATACATATTTTTTGGAGAAATATCTATTTAGGTCCTTTTCCCATTTAAAAATTGGGTTTGTTTGTCTTTTTATTATTGAGTCTTGTTTTTTATATAGTCTTGATATAAGTCTCTAATTGATGATTTGTTAAAAAAAAATTTTTTTTTTCTTTTTGCAATGGTGTCACTCTGTTATCCAGGCTGGAGTACAGGATTTGGGAATATTTTCTCCAATTCTAATAAATCTACATTATCCTTATTGTATAACTTGTCTTCTTCCCTTACTTGGTAGTATCCTTTGAGGCACAAACGTTTTAAATTTTGATAAAAATAAGTTTATTCTTTTGTTAACTTGTGCTTTTTTTTTTGAGACAGAGTCTCGCTGTGTCACCCAGGCTGGAGTGCGGTGGCATGATCTCAGCTCACTGCAACCTCTGCCTCCCGGGTTCAAGCAATTCTCCTGTCTCAGCCTCCCGAGTAGCTGGGACTACAGGTGCCCGCCACCATGCCCGGATAACTTTAGTATTTTTAGTGGATACGGGGTTTCACCATATTGGTCAGGCTGGTCTCAAACTCCAGACCTCAGGTGATCCACCTGCCTCAGCCTCCCAGAGTGCTGGGATTATAGGCGTGAGCCACTGCGCCTGGCCCTCACTTAAGCTTTTGACTTCATATTCAAGAAACCATTGCGTAAACCCAAAGGCATGAAGATATGACTTCTGTGTTTTCTTCCACAAGTCTTATAGCTTCAACTCTCACATTTAGATCTATGGTTCATTTTGAGGTCATTTTTGTATATTATACAAGGTAAAGGTATAAATTCATCTTTTTGCACGTGGATATCCAATGATTCCAGGACAATTTGCAGAAAAGACCGTCCTTTCCCTCAAGATATCCTTGTTATCTTTGTTGAAAGTCTTTTGACTCTTTGTTTATTTCTGGGCTTTCTATGTAGGAGATCATGTTGTGTGAGAATCAAGACAATTTACCCCTTTCTTTGCAATCTAAGTGCCTCTTATTTCTTCTTCTTGTTGCTCTGACTAGAATATAAATGTCACACAGCATTGGTGATAGCAGACATCACCTTGTGATATTAGTAGGAAAGCATTCTGTCTTTGACCATGAAGTATGATGTTAGTGGTAGGATTTTTGTGTAAATCTCTTTTAAGATGGAGAAATATTTATCATGTTTATGTTAAATTTCAGACTTAAAAGTTTTTTTTAAACTTAATTATTATTTTTATTTATTTATTTATTTATTTATTTTTTTATTTATTTTGAGATGGAGTCTTGCTCTGTCGCCCAGGCTGGAGTGCAGTGGCATGATCTTGGCTCACTACAACATCTGCCTCCCAGGCTCAAGCAAATCTCCTGCCTCAGCCTTCTGAGTAACTGGGATTACAGGCGCCCGCCACCACACCTGGCTAATTTTTATATTTTTTTAGCAGAGACGGGGGTTCACCATGTTGGCCAGGCTGGTCTCAAACCCCTGACCTCAAGCAATCTACCCATCTCAGCCTCCCAAAGTGCTGGGATTACAGGTGTGAGCCTCCACGCCCAGCCTAATCTCAGCATTTTGGGAGACCAGAGTGGGAGTCTCCCTTGAGGCCAGGAGTTCGAGATAAGCCTGGGCAACATAGCAAGATCCAATTTCTACAAAAAATAGAAAACAATTAGCTGGGAGTGGTAATGCATGCTTCTGTAGTCCCAGCTACTCAGGAGGCTGAGGTAGGAGGATTGCTTGATCCTCGAGAGTTGGAGGCTGCAGTGAGCTATGATCATGCCACTGCACACCAACCTGGGCAACAGAGTAAAACCCTGTTTCTAAAAAAAAAAAAAAAAAAAAAAAAAAAAAATCTGTTTCATCATTTATATGTCAGCAGAGTCATATTCTCCATATTCCATCTTACTAGACAAATGGTATGTTTCTGCATTTCTCTCACTGATGAAAATAAGAGCTTTTTCATTCAAGGAGGTTGTGGTTGGGTGAAGGGATGAAAAGCAGTGTTTATTCTGGTGTGATCCAGAGCTGCAAAGCCTAGTTCTACCCCACTAATTCTATATTTAAAGCCTTTAGACATATTATATTTGAAATGTTGAAAAACTAACTCCAATTTTTTTTTTTTGTATGTAGGTGGTCGTGTGATGGTAACAGATGCTGACAGGTCAATACTATCTCCAGGTGGAAGGTAAAACCTAATTTCATTACTGCTGTTTAACTCCCACACCTCAAAAAGTTTTAGTTGTTAGATAATTGAGATATCAGAATATTAAAAAGGCCTCATGTCACACATCTTAAAGTTTAATAGGCAAGGATATCATTTGGGGATCTTGTGAACATGCCCTCTTTGACTTGGTATTTCTGAATAGTAGAGTTCCTGGGAAAAGCCAGAGGCATTGGTCACACTGTGAATTGGCCTTAGAGTGGTATTTGGAAGTTAATATGCTATTCTGTAGTATTTTATTATACTGTTTTCCCCAAAAGATAGATAGAAATTAAAGTACTAAGTTCAGTTGGTAACTCTTTTTTTTTTTTTTTATTTTTGAGATGGAGTTTTGCTCTTTTTGCCCATGCTAGAGTGAAGTGGCGCGATCTCGGCTCACTGCAACCTCTGACCCCCTGCTGGGTTCAAGCGATTCTCCTGCCTCAGCCTCCCAAATAGCAGGGACTACAAGCATGTGCCACCATGCCCAGCTAATTTTTTTGTATTTTTAGTAGAGACGGGGTTTCACCGTGTTGGCCAGGCTGGTCTCGAACTCCTGACCTCGGGTGATCCACCTGCCTCGGCCTCCCAAAGTACTGGGATTACAGGCATGAGCCACCACGCCTGGCCCGATAAGTCTTAATATGCTACTCTGTAGTATTTTATTGTACTTTTTTCCCCAAAAGATAGATAGAAATTGAAGTACTAAGTTCAGTTGATAACTCTTTTTTTTTGTGGAGACAGAGTCTCCCTCTGTGGCTCAGGCTGGAGTTCAGTGGCATGATCTCAGCTCACTGCAACCTCCACCTCCCGGATTCAAGTGATTCAGGTGAGCGCCACCACGCCTGGCTAATTTTTGTATTTTTAGTAGAGATGAGGTTTCACCATATTGGCCAGGCTGGTCTTGAACTCCTGACCTCGTGATCTGCCCGCCTCGGCCTCCCAATGTGTTGGGATTACAGGCGTGAGCCACTGTGCCCGGCCCAATAACTCTTATTTATGCAATAAATAAATATGTCAGTTTTAAGCTGAGTCAGGTTTGCACCCACCTTGGTCAAGGGAGGGATCTTAACACTTTGAGACCCAGAGACTTTGAATGCTGTGGGAATGGCTGTCACCAGCACGTGGCTTGATCAGGGCTTTCTTCTCCTTGCAGTTGTGGCCCCATCAAAGTGAAAACTGAACCCACAGAAGATTCTGGTATGTACTAGCACTTTTAGAATCAATGGTGAAATTAAGGAAGACTTTTCCTTAGTGTAGAAGTTTATAGTTTGACTCAATTATTGTTTTGTTTTGATAAGAAAGAGGCAGTCACTACTAATGTATTCCAACTGTGACACTATTTGTTAATGTTATCACATTAAGACCCAGAAAGGTAATTTGCTCAGTAAGTGGTAGGCAGAGTTCTTTGCCAGTTACATATGTTTGTAGATAAAATGTATTTTTTTTTCCCGTTGTACAGACATATAATGTAAGAGGTCAGCTGTTCTATAGTGCTTTTTACAAAAATCAATAGAATGCCCCCTTCGTCTCCACCTTCCTTCTCTGCACTCCTGTTTTCCACTCTCCAAGGAGACCATTTTCAATTCTCAAATAAAATTGCTATTTAATTCCTTATTTATTTATTTATTTTTTGAGATGGAGTCTTGCTTTGTCACCCAGACTGAAGTGCAGTGGCACGACCTCGGCTCACTGCAACCTCTGCCTCTGGGTTCAAGCGATTCTCCCACCTCAGCCTCCCGAGTAGCTGGGATTACAGGCATACGCCATCACGCACGACTAATTTTTGTATTTTTAGTAGCGACGGGGTTTCGCCAGGTTGGCCTGGCTGGTCTTGAACTCCTGACCTCAAGTGATCCTCCTGCCTCAGCCTTCCAAAGTCCTAGGATTACAGGCATAAGCCACCGTGCCCGGCCCCCGTTTATAATTCTGTTCTGTCCTAGAACCGTGGCACCCAGATGTTCTCAGCATATGTATTTATTTCATCATTTCCCAGTGTTATCCTGTGTCCTAGTGCCACTGTCAAGCCTCCCGCTGCTCGGCCCTGTGCCCCTTATTCACACGGGACACTCCTTAGTGGGCTGTCACCGCCCTGCCTGCCCCCTCATCTCCCTCTGTCTGACCAGGCCCTCGGCAGCTTCCCCAGCCCCTTCCCCGGCCCTTTGTCAGCCTTCTCATTCTGCCATGCTTCCTGGGCAGCCACCTGCCCCGCTTCACCCCATCTAAGGGCATCTCGAATGAGTTGTTGGGGAGGAGGGTAGGGCCGCGTTAACGTGTGTGTGCGTGCATGTGAATGAGAGCTTTTATGTATGTAAGTGTATTTTGGGAGAGCTGCAAGAAAGTGTTGAATTATCCTTTTTTGGAAAAGGTATTTGAGTCTTTTACACTGTTTGCTGGTTTTACAGAAGGTTTTTCTTTTTTCTTTATTTTCACTCCATAGGAAATCTCAAATTTTTGTGTGGTTTTCAGTAGATTGTGCCAAAAAAAATCATCATTTTGCAAATGTTTCCCCTTAATTCATATATTCATCTCCTGAATATTTAGTTTGCTTCTAAAAAGAAACATGCTGAATTCAGAAACCCCATGTGTTTAATTGAATTCTTTCAACTGTCTTTATGTACACATCAGCATCATTATAGGTTTTTTTTTTTCTCTTTTACACTTTGCATCTTTGTATTCTTAATTTATCCTGCAAATAAGATGTACATTTATAGCCAGGGTGCAGCCAGGAGACAGAAACCATATCAGTTATTGGAACAGAGAAAATTTAATGTAAAGATTGTTGGCCGGGTGCAGTGGCTCACACCTGTAATCCCAGCACTTTGGGAGGCTGAGGCGAGTGGATCACCTGAGGTCAGGAGTTGGAGACCGGCCTGGCCAACATGGTGAAACCCAGTCTCTACTAAAAATACAAAAAAAATTAGCAGGGCATGGTGGTGGGCGCCTGTAATCCCAGCTACTCAAGAGGCTGAGGGAGGAGAATCGTTTGAACTCAGGAGGTAGAGGTTACATTGAGTCAAGATCGTGCCATTGCACTCCAGCCTGGGCAACAAGAGTGAAACTCCATCTCAAAACAAAACAAACAAAAACAGATTGTTAACTGGTTATAAAATTGTTAACTTTGTAACCTTAAGGAGAATACTAAGGTTTTTTTTAAGGAACAATTCTAGGCAGTGGCTGCCACCCCATCAGCTTTCCATCTGACTTCTGAGGTGGGGTAGTGTTTGGCTGGTGCTGGTGGCTGAGGGGCATGGTGAGGCTGCTTCTGGTAGTGTTGGAGACATTGCCAGCCGGGCACAGCTGTTGTGATGGGAGGGCCTGCTTTGGCCAGGCTGAACGAGGGTACCAAGGAGTGACCTTTTTGGGATGAGAATGCAGACAAGAAGCCAAAAGGAAGGCCCAGATCTCTTCTCCTCCTCTAGCCTTTCTCTCTGTAGTGTATCTTTGTGGCAGAGACTCACATGGAGCCAGCTGCTATGCAGAGCTCAAACTTCAGCAGAAACCCAGAGGATGGGTTTGCAACTGAGAGACATCAGTTTTGTGGGTGGCCCAGGCTGTTCTCTTTGGCTGCTCAGCATATATACACACCCTTCCCTGCACATTTGACCTTCTGTACAACAACGAGACAACTGTTCCATCTAAAGAGATGCAACTTTACTTCCTACAAAGAAATCCATTTTTACTCTCTCCTCAAAATGGGGGGACACAGTGTTCCAGCAGTCACACCCATCGCTGGGAGACTGACTGAAAATCCAGTCGCGAGCTATGTTACCTGCTCTTTAAATGCAGTGCAAACCTATTTGAGTAATCTCTAGTCTAATGGACAAATGGAAAGGAAACTTCCAGCCAAACTATTGTGAAATACTACCACACAGAAGAGAATAGTTAGTATATGCAAGCATATAATCTTCACACAAACACATTTGTAACAGACAAGGAAGACAATAGGCATAGTCGCCACAGTCTACGTTTCTGCAGCTTACCAGACTTTTTTTTGGATTTACCTTTTTATTTTTATTTATTTATATTTTTTGAGACAAGGTCTCACTCTGTCGTCCAGACTGGAGTGCAGTCGTGCGATCTCGGCTCACCACAACCTCCGTGTCTCAGATTCAAGCGATTCTCCCACCTCAGCCTCCCGAGCAGCTGGGATTACAGACGTGTGCCACCCAGCCAATTTTTGTATTATTCATTTATTTATTTTAGTAGAGACGGGGTTTAACCATGTTGACCAGGCTGGTCTTGAACTCCTGACCTCAGGTAATCATCCGCCTCAGCCTCCCAAAGTGCTGGGATTATAGGCATTAGCCTCTGCACCCAGCCAGTATGTGTAAGGTTCTTTAGCCAATTGGAGTGACCCAAATTTTTATTCCTGAAGGGTCTGAATCCCCAGTGGATCTGCCTTTTTTGTTAGCTGTAATGCTGTGATTTTCTTTCTTTCTTTATTTTTTTTTTTTGAGACGGAGTCTTGCTGTGTCGCCCAGGCTGGAGTGTAGTGGTACCATCTCCGCTCACTGCAACCTCCACCTCTTGGGTTCAGGTGATCTTTGTGCCTCAGCCTCTCGGGTAGCTGGGACTACAGGTGCGTGCCACCACTCCCGGCTAATTTTTGTATTTTTAGTAGAGACGAGGTTTCACCATGTTGGCCAGGCTGGTCTCGAACTCCTGACCTCAGGTGATTCGCCCGCCTGGACCTCCCAAAGTGCTGGGATTACAGGCACGAGCCACCGCACCTGGCTGTTAGCTGTAATTTTCTATTAACTTTTACTGATGGACATGAAAGTGCTAAGTTAGCCCAGAGAGTTGCAAAGGTCTCAGATGCAGTGTTCTCTGCCACCACTGTGTAGCAGCAAAACACTTTCCCCTTGGTGATTGAAGGCAATGGAGTAACTCCTTTTTTTGCTTGTTGCTTCAGGGATGCATACCCTTTGTATATCAATTTAACTCTCTTTGAGCTCTTTCTCTAGAGTTGAAAATATTCTTTACAAAGTTGCCCAAGTCAGAGCTCACGATTTCGTTTGTGTTAGGGTTGGTATGACTGTGGTTGAATATCTCAGTCTGAAATGTGTATGTGCACCCATGCATTGTTCATTTCTTTTTCTTTTTTTTTGAGAGGGAGTCTCGCCGTGTCACCCAGGCTGGAGTGCAGTGGCACAATTTTGGCCCTTCCCAAAGTCAACTTTTTAATAACATCGATTGCTTTTGCCTATTTTGACCTTCATATGAGTGGAATTACACAACATGTACTCTTTTGTATCTGGCCACAAAGGTCTGCTTCAAATCATCTGTCCTAATTGTGGGCAAAGCTTTATGCAGAAAGGTGTGCTTTGTACCCTTACACAAATCCCTGTAATAAAAGGGATGTATTAGGCAGAAAAAAACCAATGTATCTCATTATTGAAATTGTTGACCATTATGCTATCTCTCCTTTGGAATACTGAGTTATTAAAACTGATGTTTATAAGTGTGTTTCAATGGTTTATAAAAGTATTTTTAATATTAAGTGAAAAGGGAGTGTGGTAAAATTTTCTTTGATTCTAAAGATAAGAATTTGCTGGAGAAAAGAGCAGCACATAATTGCAGAATATTAATAAATGGTTAAAACTTTGCATTGGCTGGGATTATAGTGATTTTTTACCTTCTGCTACCTAGCAAACTTTTGTCTTTTCAAAGACGTAAAGTCTTTACTTAAAATAAATATGCATTGCTGTATTTATAGGGAGGGCAGAGAGGATTTCCCTACACAATCTAGCTGAAAGTTCTCACATGCAATCATATCATTGCATTTG
Source organism: Homo sapiens (assembly GCF_000001405.40). Lineage (NCBI taxonomy): Eukaryota > Metazoa > Chordata > Mammalia > Primates > Hominidae > Homo > Homo sapiens. The sequence goes on from NC_000007.14 coordinate 74,711,023, forward strand.
CTTTTCTAGGCATTTCCCTGGAAATGGCAGCTGTGACAGTAAAGGAAGAATCAGAAGATCCTGATTATTATCAATATAACATTCAAGGTAATTTGAATTAATGCAATTTTTCTTTCTAAAAATTATTCGTGGTTAAAATTAAAATTTGCTCATCAATTGCTTTAATTTCTTAAATAATATTTTATTGATCAGTTCTTGATTGACATATATATTGTAATTCAGTCCCGGGGATAAAACATTTAAAAATGGGGCTAAAAGATCAACTCAGACAATCCAGAGGGGATATGTAAAATAGCCATTTGTGTTCTTAAAAGGATGAGCAAAAGTTGTGGCACAATTTAGAATTCAATCCCAGGTTCTAGTGTTGCAAAATAAAACAAACCTATTAGGCAAATGCAGATAATGTCAGCTTAATTTTTTCTCACTGCATAATTATAGTATATTAAACACTTAAAGTAAAAAATCTGGTTAGCTTTGCCATCTACATATCTAATACACCATCTTCATTGCATCCAAGATAATGAAATATCTATAACCCCAAAAGTTTCCTGTGTCCCCTTGTTATTCATTGCCCTGCCCAGTATTCAGGCAACACGGATCTGTTTTCTGTTTTAGGTTAGTTTGCATTTTCTATAAAGTCTTATGAATGAAATAATAAAATGTGGACTATTTTCATGGGCCGGGGAGCAGTGTGGCTTCTTTCATTTCAAATGATTGTTTTGAAATTCATCCACAGCGTTGCACGTATCAGTAGTAGATTCCATTTGATTGTTGATTTGTATTCTATTGTATGCCTGAGTCAAAATTTATTCATTTCTTTGTCTGTTGATAGCCATTTGGGTTCTTCCAGTTTGGGGCCATTACAAATAGAGGTACTATGAACATTGTGTAGAGGCTTTTGTGTGGACATAGGCCTTCATTTCTCTCTTTTTTTTTTTTTTTTTTGAGACAGAGTCTCACTCTGTTGCCCAGGCTGGAGTGCAGTGGCGCGATCTTGGCTCACTGCAACCTCCACCTCCCAGGTTGAGGTGATTCTTCTGCCTCAGCCTCCCGAATAGCTGGGATAGCAGGTGTGTGCCAACACACCTGGCTAATTTTTGTGTTTTTTAGTAGACACAGGGTTTCACCATGTTGGCCAGGCTGGTCTCGAGCTCCTGACCTCAGGTGATCCACCCGCCTTGGCCTCCCAAAGTACTGGGATTACAGGGGCTAACACGCTTTTTTAAAATGAAATATTTAAAACCTAAAAGCATAGTATCAGTCTGCCCAGGTTTAGTGAACCATAGTATTTGTCTCTTCTCTCCTCCCTCCAAGAAACAACGTGTAACTATTTCATTGAAGCCTTTCTTTGGGCTCCCCCAAATCCCCACTTTTCTCTCTATTCTTAAGTTAACCATGATCTTGAAAACTGAGAATTGTCCTTCCTGATGGTGATGTGCTTTACTACGTAAATATTCTCCCGGGAGTGTGTGTGTGTGTGTGTGTGTGTGTGTGTGTGTGTGTGTGTGTGTGTGTCATGTCATATTTATTGTTTTATATATGCCACTTCCTGAGTGAAGCTTACACAGTGGTACACTGTATGTGTTGTTGAGTATAGTCTGTCACTCAATTTAAGTTTTCAAGATTTATCTTTTTTTTTTTTTTTTTGGCGTGGGGGTGGGGATGGATTTTTGCTCTGTCGCCCAAGCTGGAGTGCAGTGGTGAGATCTCGGCTCATTGCAACCTCCGCTTGCCGGGTTCAAGCAATTCTCTGCCTCAGCTGGGATTTATCTGTTTTGTCACAAGTAGATTTAATCATGTCATCATGGTAGTTACACTGTGTGATTATAATACAGTTCGTTTTTTCGTTCTTCTACATAAAGACATTGATGTTTTCTTCTAAAACTTTTGTATTCCAAAATAGGCTTGGATATATTTCTCTGTGCACCTCAGTGCTCCTGTAAAATAGTGACATTCAAATGTGAGTGTTGGGAATGTGTTGATTTTCTCAATGAGTGGTAGGCACCTCAAGCATTTGAGAGGTGGAGGTTAAGTATGTTTTAGGGTGAATAAAATCAAGTACCATTTTTAGGGTGAATAAAATTCAAATATGGGACATTAAAATAATTTGAAAGTATAGTGATACGTGAAGGTATTTTGAGTAAATACCAACTAAAAAAAATATAGTTTAGCAATATTGGAAGCCAAAAACAGTAGTAGCAGGATAGAATAAGACTATGTCGTATTTAAAGGAATTGGTCACTAAGTTGATATAACAACCATTAGTTTGTATGTGCCTAACTATGTATCCTCACAGTAAAAGTAAAAATTATTTACAAATTATAAGTCTCTATAGATATGTACAGTCATGTGGGAGATTTTAACCAATGATATACGTCTAGCTGATGAATACTCTTTTAACATTTATATGCTAAATAGAATATTTTCACTACAGTTAATATATGTAAGCTAACTATAGAAAACTGTGTACCCAAGAAATAAGTTTATTTACAAAGCATGAATCATTTATAAAAATTGACTGTATACTTGTTCACAGTCTTAATAAATTCTCTGAACATACTGAAATTAAATTATTAATAGAAAACATACACAGTGGGAATCCTAGGAAACATGCTTGTAATTGACTTAATGAGGGCCTCATTAAAAATATTTAGACCAGAATATTGAGAATGCCACATAGTTAAACTTGTGAAGAGCAACTAAAGCAGTACTTAGAGGTCAATTAGTAGCCTTCACTAAGGTTGCATTTTTAAATCCTGTAAATAGCACATCTTCCTTTTCTTGAGCTCTGTATATTTTACTCAGAGTCAGAAGACTAGGAAGCAGTGGATCTAGCATTTGAATTTAGGAGTCTACATTCCAAGACTTGCTCTTCTTTGAGATTCCAAATAGAAACTATTTCTTTATTTCTCATGCAATTGATTTTTTTCTCTGATGTGTCCTTTGCCTGTAATGTGTAGTGTGGTGCATCTTTGTGAAATTTCTTAGGCTTTAGAGAATGAAGCCTTTCAAACAACTTCGGATGTTTTCCCAATTCTCTTCAGAGATAGTTAACTGAACTGTGGTCATATTAATGCCAAAATGTGTTTTATATTAAATAGCCATTGAAAACACAATGTTTTGTTTTCTATTTTAAAACTATTATTATTTTAATCATTAAAAAGTTTGATGATAACATGTAAATGTGTTGTCAAAATATAGCAGTTTGTGAAGTTGAATTTAACTCAGAGTACTTTCTGTGTTTTGGAAAGAACCTTATTAGAAAAAGTGCCCGCTGTGCTGGAAGAAAGGGAGAATGAATTAATAGCTGTTAGTTTGTCACATTTCTATTTCAGTAGAGATTCAAGGAGATGGTTTACGTTATTTTAGAGATTCTAAGGAAGGTATATAACATTTGGTTCTGCATTTTTCTTCAGTATGACAAAAGAGTAAGCAAATATTTGCCAAAGAAGAAACAAATAAACCTGTGAGATAAACCTGCATTTGTAATCTGTATGAAGTAAAAGTTACAGTTTACTGTTATGAACATTGTACTGTTTTAAAAAACCCACATCTTCCATTTTAGACATACCATTCCCATTCAATCCATATGTCCAGTCATCTTCAAAATTTCTTTTGACTGTTTACATATGAATTCACCTGATTACATTTTTCCATTCACCAAGACCATAAATTGACATTGCTCATCTTGTCAGTCTTTTTTTTTTTTAATTTTTTTCTTTTTATTTATAAAAAGGCCATTCCATGTATCTCACCCAAATTTGTTGACTAAAGTCACCCCACATTTTTTTTTGGGGGGGATTACTTTTGAAGTATTATCTTTGTATCCCAAAGCAGGCCCTTCTGAAACTGATGATGTTGATGAAAAACAGCCCCTATCGAAGCCTTTGCAAGGTATAATCTTTTCACTTCCATTCTCCCACATACTGCTTGTGTTTAATGTTTCCTTATATTGCACAGACTGTGTTTTAATATTTATAAGTACAGTATTACTTTTCTAAATGGAAAAGGAAAAAAATGTATTGGCCTTTTTTTAACATATAAATGAACTTCACAAGCAACAATTTTTCAAAAATCAATTTTCCCTTTTGTGAATCTAGTAATGAATCTCGAAATGGGTACATGACACACTTTCCTATTGAAGGTAAAGTACACATTTATACCTTATCTCAGAACAGTCAGAAGCCAGGTTACTGTTTTATTGGTTAGTGATGCAAATATTGATAAGGTCAGGTTGATACTTAGTATTTAGAAGAATTCTGAAATAGCACTTGTTAATCTGTAAGTTTCGAATTGATTGCCTTTTTGGCAATTTTTTACAGTGTTCCCAAACTTGATACTCATAGGCTATTAGTAATGGCATTTACTTCTATCTATTCTGGCTTTGAGTGCATAAGATGTATTTTCTTTAGGCTTAGCATATAATGTAAATGTAATTGTTTATTTCAGATTTTAAAAGACATACAGAATTATTGCTTACACGAACAATCATCTTAACTGTTATTCTTTGCTGAAATTTTACTTTTTACCTACTGGCCTCATCATTTCACTCTCATTCCTTTGACCTCACATCTCTTTTTTCTTTGACTTTTACAGTCAAATAACTTAATGCTCCATAAATTCAAATATTAAGATTAAAAAAAGAGAAAGGAAGTGTGTAGAGAAAGCATATTTTAAAAATGAATTAAAGAGTGACTCATAGGTATAGGTTTGTAGATTTACCTAGAGTTTGAGTTCAGGTGAGTTTTCACAATATAAAGTAAGTGGAAAAGAATCCCCAGATAATTGTGACATGCTAAAGCTAGATACTGAGAACCAAAAAGATGTGACCTCAGTATGGGACTTTTAATTCAAGGATATTAGCTACCAAATGACAGTTTTTCAGACCGTAAGCATTGCTTTTTAAAAATCAAGATAAAATACATTTATAACATATCTTACTTTTAGTATAGCTTCTGAATTTAGTTCTCAATAGATAAGACAAAAGAGATGAACATCTGCTTCCTTTCCCCTCAAGCGATGTATTCTTACTAATAGGTAATATGTTTTTTTTTGGTACTTAAAGGCAGTGTTTTTCAATCTTTTCCATGTTAGTAGCTCAGATCTTTAAGGACAGAGGATACAAATTAGGGGGCAGCTTGCGTTCTTAATCCTAAGTGGCTCTCTGATGTCTTAGATTCTTCCTTTCCTTTTTGTGAGTAAAACTTCTGCTCTAGTAGGATGAGCCTGTTCACCTTGTGACTGCCTAACTGATCATTGCTTTATGTTCCAGTTTTTAGAAGCAGGCAGATTATATTACCTGACTTAAAATGCTTTTGAGACTAAAGGTAGTATCTTAAATTTTAACTTACGAGTTTCCTTTAAGTACAACTTTGATGAAATTATGGGGATTGAGTTTCCATGGCTTTCACCATAGTGAAAATGGAAAGCATGAAACATTCCACAGCAAACCCTGAACTTATTTATAGGGAGTTAATTAAGTGTCTGATCACAGCAAGCATTTACTCTGATCTGTTTGTGTATGTGTGTCTTTGACAGATGAGCATGGTACTTGAAGCATAATTCTGCTTCCTCAGATTCCAATATCTAGTAATTTTATCATGTAGTTATAGTAACTAATATTAAATCCCCAAACCTACTTAGGTCTACTCTGTATTTGTGTTTTCAAATAATTTTTTTAGCTTCCAAATAGAAGCGTTGTATTCTTTTCTGAATTAGAAAACATTGTTCGACTTAACTGCTAAAGAGTTAGACAATCATTTTGCATATGTTTATTATGTCTTAGATTGTTTGCATTGTTACCTAGATTCTCTTTCATCTTTCAATGTCAGTTTTTATTGGTTTATTATATGTTGTTTATTTTCTTTTTAGGAAGCCACCATTCTTCAGAGGGCAATGAAGGCACAGAAATGGAAGTACCAGCAGAAGGTTAGGAGAAAAAGAGATTGCATATTTTCCACTATTTGTTGTATGTTTATTCTATTTTATAGATTCTATTATCCTTAAAACACCTTATTTGGAAATAAAAGGTGATTCCCTTGGTATGCCTTCCTAGCCAACAGGTTATTATTTTTTTAAAAATTCTAAGATGTAATATACTTCTTTGACCATACTGATTAATAAAGCCTATGGGAATGAAACTAAGTGGTAAGTAAAGCTCTTACATGATGCAAAATGCTACTTTTTTTTTTGTCCTGGTTTTCTTGTGCCATATTAAATATCTTTTAAGGAAGAATAGCTTCAGTGTTTCAGAATTAAAATTACTAGCTCCATTCATATTTTATTTTCAAATGTATTTTTTAATACTTCTAGTCTCTTAGTAGGGTAGGAATTTAGTCTACATAAAATTTATACAGGAGAGAGTTTCTCCCTTTATTTTGTACTCACAACTACTCCATAAATGACTTTGTCAGTTTACCAGCTCTACAGCTTTGGTTTTAGAATTGAACGCCTGACTGAGGTACAGTTCTTTTTGTTTAGAATCCTGAGTTCAACTTATCATGTAGGGTGGCTTCTTATTTCCAAGGTGTTTAAACGGTTCCACACAAATTTTTGTAGATTTCTCCCAAGGAAAATGACTGGTAAGGTAACTGAATCTTGTTTTAGAATTATTTCTCTCATAAATTGGTCATGTTATCCCTTATTTTTCTAGAATGAAAAGAGGAGTCTGTTGTGTAACTGCTTATATTCCATTGTATTTACATTTTTATTTTAATTAAAAAAAAACATTTGTTTGATCTTTTACCTTCTTTGAGGGAAAGGCAATCTTAAAAGTTCCCCAGTATAGGCTGGTTTCTCCAAATTCAATTATAGAATTAGGGTTTCTCCCTGGAATACATTTCTCTCAAAAATACTGATATGCTCATTGTAAACCGTTGGTTACATTTCCCTGTCAGCCCTTTTTATAGAAGATTGTGTGGGTGAATGTTGTATGCTTTACTGTGTGGAGGTGGGTATCTTCTGAGTGACAGAGTTTTCAGCTTTGAATAGGCGGGATTTAGAACAACAAGACCTAGGTAATAGATCATGTGCAGTACGAGGGCTCATTGGGCAGTACCGATGGCTCACCGCCTTGCAGCCCCGCCGGCAGGTACTGCACCTTGAAGACTGCGTTTTTAGGACATTTTTACTGTCATATTCCAGTGTTAACAAAGTTGAATCGAATCTGGGTTCTGGCCTTTATTCCTTTACTAACAAGTAAACATAATCTTTGGCAAATCAATTAATCTCTCAACCTTTGCACAATGAAAGAGAACTAATGAAAATACTCTATAAGCTTCTAGCACTAACACTCTGATGTACATTTGTCTTGTGTAGGAACAAATATGAATGAACTTTGTAATTTTTGAAATATGTTGCATACAAAGCCAGAGGATATAGTCTTGTGTGCACTTGTGACACTCAGTCTCTTGATAGGAAAGTCTCCATTGTAAAGCCTGGGTTGTGGTTTTATTGAACAGTAGAAACCACTCCTCACATTTCTGAAAGGAGAGAAGAAATTCTAACCAAAGTAGAAAGCATTTGTTTCTATCCGAGCATCTTCTAGCTGTGGCAGGAAATTCATTGTGACTTTGTCATATCCTCATTCCTCCAAGACTATGGGATTTTTTTGAGTCAATTTCTGCAGGTAACATGTTATCATCTAAATTTTTCCAGAGTTTTTCTAATTTTTGTTTTCTTTTATCCCTATTTATAATGACAAGGGTCAAATTTTAATTTCATTAATATGAAATGAATGAAAATGCCAGTGGATTTTTATAGTAGGCTGCTTTTGGAGTATCAAATCAGTAAAATGTTGGAACATATGGAAACATGCTTAATAATGAATGTCATTTTAGAATTTTATTTTTTTCAAGATTCTACTCAACATGTCCCTTCAGAAACAAGTGAGGACCCTGAAGTTGAGGTGACTATTGAAGGTTAGTTATCTAAAAGCCTTGATTCCAAAGTTTACTTCTGGTCATAAAAATACTTGTCACATTCACATTGCTAAATATGCATTTCATTCATTTTTAAAGGAGACTTGTGGGACGAATACATGTGTCTGTGTGGCCAAAGCAGCCCACTCCCCAGTGCTTTGGGAGTTTTAGATGACAGAATGAGGCCGTGAGAATTAGCATTGGCCCACGGGTGGCCCAAGCTATCCTTGCTATCAGTGGGAGTTGAAAAGAGAAAAAGAAAATTATGACCAGACTTGATACACACAAAAACAGATTCTATAATCTATTGGGTTGTGATAGAAGAAGACTTATTTGGAGCTGGAATCCCTAATTTCTAATTAAGTAAAGTGGAGGAGAAAGTGTTGATAGTTTAGTGAGTAATTTTTAAAGCAAGTCCCTGCCCCCTTCAACGACCCGCAAATACTACTTAGAGGCTGACATACAATTTATCTTTCAAAACTGTTTTGAAGCAATAGCTACAAATATATTCTACAATACTCTCTATAGCTAAGATTGCTTCAAACCTGTTTTTTTCTCCAAAGATAAGCTTGAACTCAGCTGAGCCAGTTTATCCTGAATTATTTGAAAATTCAGCTAATAGAATTATTAACTATCACTTCATATTAATAGTTATTAAATGAGCATTGCGTTTTTCCTTTTAAATTAATGTCTCACAGCTGGGCACGGTGGCTCACACCTGTAATCCCAGCACTTTGGGAGGCCAAGGTAGGCAGATCACCTGAGGTCGGGAGCTCAAGACCAGCCTGACCAGCATGGTGAAACGCCCATCTCTACTAAAAATACAAAACTAGCTGGGTGTGGTGGTGCATGCCTGTAATCCCAGCCACTTGGGAGGCTGAGGCAGGAGAATCGCTTGAACCCTGGAGGCAGAGGTTGTAGTGTGCTGAGTTCACGCCATTGCACTACAGCCTGGGCGACAGAGTGAAACTCCATCTCAAAAAAAAAATTAAAATTAAAATTAATGTGTCACAATACTTGTGTAAGTTTCTTCCCCTGAAAGTACTTCTTTCTTGTGGTAAAATGTGAAAATGGTACAGTAAATTGTACAGTGGAAAGTTTTCTTCACCCTCACTCTGCTCCCAAGTCCCAATACTGAGGGATGTATGCCAGCTTATTGTGTCTACTTAGAGAAATAATTGCAGTACATATCTTGATGCGAAAATACACAGATGCTTTCAGCATACATTACAATGCACATTTTAAAATATTACATATTCCATAGGCCTCCCCCTCCCATAACTGCACATCTTGGTACTTTATTAGTTTTTTTTTCTAGCTGCTGCGTAACCTTTCTTGGTTTGCTGTCTGTCTCTCTTTCTCTCTTAATAACCTGTCACCTACTGATGTCACTTGGTTATTTCTAGTGTTTGACTACTCCAAACTACTCAACGTGTCTGTCTTCATTGCTTCTAAAATATAAGTCAATTAGTAGCTTCCACTTAATACAAGAAATCTTTTCATACTTCATGTGTTAACTTAATATACAGATTTCTTTTTTCATAAATATAATTTTTCTAATCTAAAACATTTTGCATTGTTTACAGTCCAGCATTAAATGGTTGAAATTTAATTCGTTTTTAGTGAGAAACCTCATTAACAGGAAAAAAACTTAAGAACATACAAATATTACAACTACTCAGCTGTGCCCTTTCTATGGAGATATTAATAGGAGGTTATTAAAATTATAAAAATAAAGCTTTTAGGGTAGGACTAATAACCATTTTGATTTGTCAAATCTTAAAGCAGATAGAAGCTGTATTTTTTTTTTTTTTTTTTTGAGACAGAGTCTGGCTCTGTCGCCCAGGCTGGAGTGCAGTGGTGCGATCTCGGCTCACTGCAAGCTCTGCCTTCCTGGTTCACGCCATTCTCCTGTAGAGGCTGTATTAAAATGGTTTAGAATGTAAATACTTGCTTTTATAGTATAAGACTTTTAAAGAAAGGTTACGAAAATCCAGAAATAAATGGCTCATGAACCTGAAGCTTATGTCAGCCTTTTGAACTTTAACTGTTTTGGATGGAGTAATAAATCTCTTTTCTTTTCATTTATTTGTTTATTTATTTATTTATTTGTTTTTGAGATGGAGTTTCACTCTTGTTGCCTAGGCTGGAGTGCATTGGCGCTATCTCGGCTCACCGCAACCTCCGCCTCGCAGGTTCAAGCGATTCTCCTGCCTCAGCCTCCTGAGTAGCTGGGATTACAGGCATGCGCCGCCATGCTCGGCTAATTTTGTATTTTTAATAGAGACAGGGTTTCTCCATCTTGGTCAGGCTGGTCTCGAACTCCTGACCTCAGGTGATCTGCCCACCTCGGCTTCCCAAAGTGCTGGGATTACAGGCATGAGCCACCGCACCTGGCCATTCATTTCTTTTAAACTAAGACATTGTGCCATAAGCCTGATTTAATGTTCACATTTGTGATTAAGTAGTAGAATTTTGCTAGTAGACCTCTTTCTTTTCAGAAGACCAGTGAAATACCAGGTCTGAGTAAAGTAATCCTTTTAAAAGGTAGCATTTTCCATGTCATATGTGCATATACACACACACATTTTATGTATTATATATAAAAAATATGTATATTATATAGAAATTACATCAACAATTAAATTCCTCATTTTTTTAAGAAGATAAAAAACTGTCTCAATATTAACAAGGAAGGTCAAGTGAGAACTTACATGCACACCTCTGGTTAATAATGTGTATCATATATTCTTTCTGGAAAGATTACTTCCAAATGGTAGGAGCTATTTAGATACCCGTAGTTAGGAAATAAAATTTTGGTATATCTTCATAACAGAAAAATATATAGCCATTGAAATCCTGATAATGTTTTCCAATAATCTGAAAAAAGATCTCTAATATAAAATGTTCAGTGGAAAAAAAAAAAATCCTGCCTTGAGAACAAGGCAACTTGAAAAGCAAAAGTGCATCTAGAGGATAATCTTAGTTTTGTTTTGGAAAATACTCATGCTTGGTAGGAAGACGGACAAAAATAAACTGAGATATTCCTGCTTGCTTGGAGACGACTTAATTTTCTCCTTTTATATCTTTTCACATTTCCCAAATCATTGGTAGAAAAAAAAACAGAACTTTGTTATCAAATAAGTCTGTCCGATTTTTCACAGTGTTTTCACCTCGATATCTTCATTTGCAATTATGTGGAGTTCTGAAGTGGCTAATTTGACACCGACGCGGACGTGTTTGTGGATACAGGGTCATTACTTACCCACTGCCGGTGCGCTCTGAGCTGTGCACTTCCATTTGTGGCGTTTTATTTGTACTTGGAGTCGGTGGTAAACATTTAAAACATACGTGACTTAGGTTTGGGAAATCGGCCTTGGACTAATAGGACCGCATGCCTCAGTTTTCGTAAACACCGTGACTACATTTCTGGGTTAAGGTGAATTGCCGTCAGGTATGTTATCTCTAATGTGTGCAGAGAAAACCTTATCAGACTTGTTTCAGGTCTAGCTGTCATGGGAGTGCTAAGAACCGTGTAAAGGAGGTTTCTTTCTTGCGCAGTTCTCTCTTAGGGCCTAGCTTCCCAAACCTGAGTCACTTACCTGTTACCTGTGTTCCTTCTGCTGTGGCCTAACTCTCTGTTCATTACTTAACCTGATTTTTTTCCCTTAAATTGATTTTAAGTAAATTCATTTTGTGATGAATTTTACGTCTTCCTAAGTCAAACTCTGGCTTTTTTATTTCTCATATTTTGAAAGGTATATGTAAATAATTTCAAATATAATTGACTCACATGACCACACGTGGCACACTTACTGCAGCTGGTACTGTAGGTTTTTTAGGATCTCTGTAATTGAGGAGGTTAGCGTTGGAAAACTTCTGTGTTTTTTATTTTTATAGCTGCCAATCAGACACTTAATGAATACACAATTATATATGTAAAAAAAGGAGTCTCAGAGGAATTATGTACTAAGATTTGAATAATACGTTTTTAGAGTTTCAGTATTTTAGTAGGGTTTATGATGGGCAGTTGGACTACCTACCATCCCTTTCTTGTGGAATTTATGTTTAAGATAGTGCCAGATACTTGACTGCAGCATATAATTAGGGACTAAACTATTCATATGTTCATTTAATCCCTCCACAAATACTGAGCACATTGTATGTACCAGGTGCTAAGAGTTTTTTTTTTTTTTTTTTGAGACGGAGTTTCGCTCTGTCGCCCAGGCTGGAGTGCAGTGGCGCAATCTCGGCTCACTGCATCCCCTGCCTCCCAGGTTTAAGCAGTTCTCTGCCTCAGCCTTCCTCCGAGTAGCTGGGATTATAGGCGCCCGCCACCATGCCTGGCTAATTTTTTTTGTATTTTTAGTAGAGACGGGGTTTCACCATTTTGGCCAGGGTGATCTTGAACTCCTGACCTCGTGATCCGCCCACCTCACCCTCCCAAAGAGCTGGGATTACAGGCATAAGCCACCGCTCCCGGCCTCTTTTTTTTTTTTTTTTTTTTAAGACGGAGTCTTGCTCTGTTGCCCAGGCTGGAGTACAGTGACCTGATCTCGGTTCTCCGCAGCCTCCGCCTCCTGGGTTCAAGTGATTCTCCTGCCTCAGCCTCTGGAGTAGCTGGAACTACAGGCACACGCCACCATGTCCAGCCAATATTTTACTTTTAGTACAGACAGGGGTTTCACCATGTTGGCCAGGCTGGTCTTGAACTCCTTACCTCAGGTGATCCACCCGCCTCGGCCTCCCAAAGTGCTAGGATTACAGGCATGAACCACCGCGCCTGGCCACGGTGCTAAGAATTTAGTAGTGAATAATTCAGTGGCAAATCCTCGGGAGTGTTTTGCAAATAAGAGTGACACTTTTTGTCCTTCACTTCTAGGAAACGTGGTGACTATGTTGAGAAAAGGGGGAAAAAAAAAAAAAGAGAAGACCTAGAGCAGTCAATAGTTTTTTGACAGAAAACTAGCTTGGGAGCCTCTTGGAACTACCTAGGGCACAGAGAAGAGTGCTTTAGAGCAGGTTGGTGGCAGGGGAGATAAGAAGTTGTTGATTCTGGGGAGATTTTGAAGACAAAGCCACCAGGCTTTGCTGTTTATTGTTTAATTCTTGTATTTTCTTAAATGTCTCTGCAGCACTTTTAAAATGGACATAATTGCTTAGGTTAGCACTTGAACACTTTGTTTTAAATTTTTTTTATTGCTGCCAAATAGTCATTTAATAAATACCCAATTGTTTATGTAAAGAGTTTTAGAGGAGCTATAAGTGGTATCCATGGGTGAAAGAATGAATCCATTTATTTGAAATGTATAGGGTAATTAATGGCTCCAGTTTTGAAATAGATATATTACCTGGTGTTGATTGTTTTTTTAACTTTGAATAGATGTCAGATTGTATGATAACACATTCCCAGTCTGATTATGTTGAAGCTAAGAGTATCAGAACATATTGTAACATAGTCTATTTATTGATTCACCGGCCAGAATGCAGTGATAAACAGCTTTAGCTCTGAAGCCTGTATTATCTTTAGGTGTATTCGTTAATATGTTGCAAAAAGGAAGTTGGTGTTTTCTAAACACAAATTTTGAGTTAGGGACGGTGTTGCCAACTTGAAGGTATTGGCGGAGTGCTTTTGTTAGTGTGGGTAGCATAACTATTGTAAATTCATGAATAGCACCTTTTGCATATTAAAATATCTTAAAATGGGCCAGGTGTGGTGGTGTAATCCCAGCACTTTGGAAGACCGAGGTGGGTGGATCACCTGAGGTCAGGAGTTTGAGACCAGCCTGACCAACATGGTGAAATTCCATCTCTACTAAAAATATAAAAATTAGCTGGGCGTGGTGGTGGGCGCCTGTAATCCCAGCTACTCTGGAGGCTGAGGCAGGAGAATTGCTTGAACCCAGGAAGTGGAGATTGCAGTGAGCCAAGATCGTGCCACTGCCCACTGCACTCCCAGCCTGGGTGACAGAGCAAGACTCCATCTCAAAAAATAAAATAAAATATCTTAAAATGTATTTTAAAAGCTTTACATTTTGATTATGGAAACAGAGTTTGGGCTTGAATTTGAAGCATGCTGAAACGTGTGTCTTGTTAAACAAAAATGGTTGTTTATACTTTGGAAACGGCAGATAATTGGAAGAGCAATGCCCAGTATGTGAGGGCAGGCCCTAGAGCTTTAGTTGATGTTTTATGCTTCAGAGTAAAAAGTAATTTTGATCCTTTGTGGAAAGGATTTTAGGTCGAGAAACCCATTTTTTTTCTTACTTTCTCAAAACCAATTAATTGCAACAAAGAGTTAATTGCAGAAAAAATTGAGGATGTGGTGAAGTTTATAGCTGTTCTGATGCCTGAATGCCATGTTCCATATGACTTAAAACACCCAAAGATTAATTAATAAGTTTATGAAACAGGGTTTTTAAAATAGAATATATGGTGTGATATTTTATCAATAACTACATCCAGCTGGGTGCGGTGGCTCACACCTATAATCCCAGCACTTTAGGAGGCCAAGGCAGGAGGATCACTTGAGGCCAGGAGTTCAAGACCAACCTGGGCAACATAGGGGGACCCCTATCTCTACAAAAGTTAAAAAAAAAAAAATTAGCTGGGCGTGGTGGTGCAGGCCTGTAGTCCCAGCTATTTGGGAGGCTGAGGTGGGAGGATCACCTGAGCCTGGGAAGTCGAGGCTGCAGTGAGTGGTGCTCCAGCCTGGGTGAAGGAGGGAGACCCTGTCTTAAAAAATAAAGTAACTACATTCATCTCTATATATGTTCACATTTAACAGATTGAACTTTATTATTTGTCAGTGAAGAGGAAAATGTGATATCCCTGATATTTTCAATATTTTACAGTCTTTGTTGTATTAAAAAAGCACTCTAGTAGATTTGCCTTTTTCTCTTTCTTTTTTTTTTTTTGGTTTATGATCGATTGGGTTACCTTCATAAAATATATTTATGCTATTAAATCTATTGTGGTCTAAAATGTTTGTGTGACTGAAAAAGTGAAGTCTTTTCAGTAAGGAAAACCTGTCTTCCCTTCCCCTGGGCCTCAGCTGTGAAGTTTGGATTTGGACTGAGATCCATGGGATGGAGCTCCACAGGTGTCCCTTCCATTCCATCTACAGCTGTGTTTCCTTTCTCATGTCATTCTACTCTAGCAGCTTTCAGTTTATGTCACTCAATGAATAGTCAGCTTAAATGATGATCTATAAGGATACTTAGGAGACCTTAACCTATAGGGGAAATACTTTTATTTTAGAAGTTACTGCTTAATGTTTGTAAAAAAATATATAGTAATATTAAGCATTTATAATGCTTTGACAGTATTCATAGGTGAAATGAGTGTATTTTGTTTTAACCTTTGGAAGCCAGCATAAAAATACTCTTAAGGTTTCTAAAATCTGTTTGGGAGTTGGAAAATCGGGTTTTTTAAAAAGTATATTTTCAGAATTGAGGTCCAAACTTACACACTTCTGTTTTCCAGATTGTTTCTACTTAGGTTGGAACCTTAATCTATTTATAGGGTGTCTTGACCATTTTTAATCCTTACAGTCATACAAACCCAGGTGCCAGTCAAGTTTTATTTCACAGGGAGGTTGTCATTTTAAAATTGTTTTCTGTCCTGGTCCCGTGGCTCATGCCTATAATCTCCGCACTTTGGGAGGCTGAGGCAGAAGGATCACTTGAGGCCAGGAGTTTCAGACCAGCCTGGGCAACATAATGAGACCCTGTCCCTACAAAAAATTAAAAGAAAAATAGCCAGGTGTGTTGGTCCCAGCTATTTGGGAGGCTGAAGCAGGAGAATCATTTGAGGCCAGGAGCTCGAGGTTGCAGTGAGCTATAATCATGCCACTGCCCTCCAGCCTGGGCGATAGAATGAGACCCTCCCGACAGATAGATAGATAGATAGATAGATAGATAGATAGATAGATAGATAGATAGAATGAGACCCTGCCAATAGATAGATAGATAGATAGATAGATAGATAGATAGATAGATAGAAAGAATGAGACCCTGCCGATAGATAGATAGTTTTCTATCAAATTTTTTCCTAGATTTGAACATGTTTTTCTAAAGTAGCATTCAACACATCAGCATTTTATAGCGTCATTAGTTGTTACTATGATTATGTTTTTCTGAAATAGTATCCTTTACAAAAGCACTTCTGTCTTTCTAAGCACATACATAGGTCCTAAAATGAATTTGTCTGATGTTGGTGACCTCGGAACCATTTTCTCCAGTTGATTAGCACGGCCAGCCAGTCAATAATTTCAGGTCACTGTTGGCCTTAGAGGAAGAGCCCAAAGGCAGCAAGCAAGGGTGCTGGTGTCCAGTCGCCTTCTAGAAGCATTTTCACCTTCCCTTAAGATTTCCCTTGATTAACACAGAAGTGTCTATAGAAGTGACCCAGTGCTGCCCCGGGCAACATCGTATATTAGGCCAAATTTGCATTTCTTACCTTTATGAGAAGCACCCTCGTAGTCTAGTGGAGTTACACACACACAGTCTGATCTCAGCTGTGCTCTCCAGAGATACAACATAGTCCAATCAAATAACATCCTCTGAGCCTGTTTCTTTAGCTGTAAAATAAGAATAACAATTATACCCATCTAAAAAGATAGTGTCTTGTACTTGAGTGATCTTTTTTCTATGATACTGTCTTTAACACAATAATTATTTTCTTCACCATACCACATTTGTTTTTAAATAAGAATTTCTTAAAATGATGTTTTCAGTATTTTATAGATGATGTTTGAGCAGCAATATTAATAGCATGTTACCTGACACTTTGAGGGACTAGAAGATGACAGTGGCAGCTGATATGACCCAGATGTCTCTAATCCTAACATGAGGTGTACTGAAGGGTCACAGCAGAGTGAGTTCCTGGTGTATCCACAAGGAAATGAGCACGGAACTCTCACAACAGCGTGTGTGCTGTGCGCTGTGCTTGAATAGCTGACTGCTCCTTTATACACAGCCTCTGTGCTGACTGAATCAACAGTATCTGTTTCATCATAATGCAGCCCTATTTCTTTAAGCCCATACATTTTGCACTTGTTAAAAGTATTTGAACAGGCCAGGCGCGGTGGCTCACACCTGTAATCCCAGCACTCTGGGTGGCCGAGGTGGGTGGATCACTTGAGGCCAGGAGTTTGAGACCAGCCTGGCCAACATGGCGAAACCCCATCTCTATCAAAAAAATACAAAAATTAGCCGGGCGCGGTGGCGGGTGCCTGTAATCCCAGCTACTTCGGAGGCTGAGGCATGAGAATCGCTTGAGCCCAGGAGGTGGAGGTTGCAGTGAGCCAAGATTGCATCACTGAACTCCAGCCTGGGCAACAGAACAATTCTCTGTCTCAAAAACAAAAACAAAAACAAAAACAAAAAAAAACTATTTACCCAATTTCCCTTGCTTATGCATGCTTAAATTTTGTATAAGCTTAAATATCTTTTCCATCTAAGCTGTACTCTATCCCCTTTTATAACTTTAGGTGGCTGTCTTTATTAAAAGTTTTTTCTTGAAAGTCTTAAAACAATATAGTTCTTGGCAATTTGAAAGTTATTTGAGAAGGGGAAATTTATAATGACAATTCAAATGAAGCAAACTAAAAAATAATGAAGAAAGACAGAGGAAAAAGCAGTATTCACTTGAACACATCCCAAACAAAGAAAATTTCAAATGTAACAAGGAAAAAGCCTGCTAAAGCTCACAATACAGAAATAACTATTGATACTCAAAATAGCTTTAAAGCCCTGCTCACCTTTTGAATGTTGGGAATTGACCAGGAGGTGACTGTAACTGTAAGATGGTTCTTCCAGTAATGACCATTTTCTTTTTCAAGATGATGATTATTCTCCACCGTCTAAGAGACCAAAGGCCAATGAGCTACCGCAGCCACCAGTCCCGGAACCCGCCAATGCTGGGAAGCGGAAAGTGAGGGAGTTCAACTTCGGTAAGTTCTCAGCGAACGACGTGACCTTTTCCTTCATCTTCTGGATTCTCAGTGTGACTGATAAATGTTGCAACATGCTCTGCAGGGGGAAAATGCTTTAGCGTCTATTACTGCATCATAATCTCATCTTTGGAAAGCCAGGAGCATTTTGAAAATTACATTACAGACATTGTTTAAACATAGTTTGGATTTACCAAAGCATAGGACATTGTCTTGTCTGATGTTAATTAGTCAGCTCAAGATTAGTGCTAAAGACTTAGTAATTTAGTTATTTCTCTTAGCTTTAAAATCTTTATTTCAGAACTATTTCACCTCTTGGTTTTCTTTTTTTTTTTTTTTGCTCTGTGTTACTGCAGCTGCTAATCTGTGAGCTCTCAATGGATGATGTATCCTAGCAAGGGACTGAATGAGATATTAGCGGCAAATTATGTTGATGATTCATATTTTGAATAAATGGAATATTAAGCTTGTATACATCTTGAAAATAGTACTTTAATATTCTACTGTGTCGTAGTCACAATGATTGGATATGAATTGAATTTTTGTACTTTTTAAATATGTTTTTGTTCTTTATTTTTAATTTTTATTATTATTTTTTTGAGACAGAGTCTTGCTCTGTCACCCAGGTTGGAGTGCAGAGGCACGATCTCAGCTCACAGCAACCTCCGCCTCCCGGGTTCAAGTGATTCTTCTGCCTCAGCCTCCTGAGTAGCTGGGATTACAGGCGCCCACCACCATGCCCAGCTAATTGTTGTATTTTTAGTAGAGATGGGATTTCACCATGTTGGCCAGGCTGGAATCGAACTCCTGACCTCAGGTGATCCGCATGCCTCAGCCTCCCAAAGTGCTGGGATTACAGGCATGAGCCACTGCACTTGGCCTGTTCTTTAGCATTTTAAGTTGCAACTATATATCCGTAAAGTCTTATTTCCACACAACTGAGACATGTTTTAGGAAGTTTGCTAAAAGACCCCTGGAGACCTTTATCGTGGTCTCCCTTTTGTCGTGTTTCATTTGCTTGATCTTTTCTGCCCTCCTGCTTTTCAGAAATTAAAAGGCTAAAAAGAGGTGCTAAATGTTAAAACTTCTCGTGTAGTCTCCCATGAGACTATTAAAAGTAATGGCAAAAGCCACAGTTACTTTTGCACCAACCTACTAATTCTAAGAACCACCAAAAAGGGGAAAGTTCTTGGAAAGCAGTAAAATGATATGGACAGTTGGGATGTAAAAATGTAGAAAATATGTCATTGTATGTTCAGTCATCCCAAGACCCTAGTGCTGCCCCGATGGTAGGGACTTCTTAATGAGAATTAACTTTTGCTCAATTTTCAGAGAAATGGAATGCTCGCATCACTGATCTACGTAAACAAGTTGAAGAATTGTTTGAAAGGAAATATGGTATGTCTAAATAGGAAAATTCCTGTAATACTTTGTTCATGAGCATTTACACAATGGCGTTACTGTTCATCATGGGGGTGATGTGGACAAGCCCAGCCCAGGGCTGCCAGTGAACCGTGCCACACTTTCTTACACGTCTCTCATTGTAAGGTCCTTAGTAGTGTCTGTCTAAATATTAGAAACAGTCTTTGTTTCTAGATTACAGTAAAGCTAAGGAAAAGTTGTATTTCTGTAGTTATCAGCTAACATTTCTTTTAAACTTCCAGCATGGATATTTGGGAATTTATTTACATATTTATTACAAAGCTCTGGATCTTGGGGGTTTCATTAAAAATTATTTTTTTAACTGACAGTTTCTGTTAATCTACTTTGTTAAATCCAGTATTTGCTGAGATCCCCCTATTGTCTCTACTTTTATCTTTTTTTTTTTTTTTTTTTTTTTTTTTGAGACGGAGTCTCTGCATTGCAGTAGTACAATCTCGGCTCATTGCAACCTCCGCCTCCCGGGTTCAAGCAATTCTCCTGGCTCAGTCTCCCAAGCAGCTGGGACTACAGGTGCCCGCCACCATGCCCTGCTAATTTTTGTATTTTTAGTAGAGACAGGGTTTCACCATGTTGGCCAGGCTTGTCTCAAACTCCTGACCTCAAGTGATCCTCCCGCCTTGGCCTCCCAAAGTGCTAGCATTACAGGCGTGAGCCACCCTTCCCGGCCACTGCTTTTATCTTGATGTATAACTGAGTTGATGCTAGATTTCAATTCCTTCTTTGTCCTTTTACTATTCTGTCCTATAGCCACCTTTATATAATGATCAAAGAAATTCGCAATTTGTTATTATCATTTTTATTTTTTATAAAATATTTAAAATGATTTAAAATAAAAATCATTTTATTTTTATCATATTTATTATCATCTGTTATCATTTTTATTTGGATGACTATTTACTTTGCCATTAACTAGCAAGCGGTAAAATTGTATGATATGCAGTTTTAACTGAATTGCTATAAGTGAAAATTTAAATGCAATAAACCATATTGATGGTATTTGTGTTAACAAACTTAAAATGAGCATTTTTTCTTCATCATGAGTAATATAACCTACCCCTCAATGAAAATCTACAATTAGAGTAAATTTGCTAATGAATTCAGTAACTTTTCCATATTTTTAGTGGTTTACTTAAGGTTCTCTTAGTGTTTCTCCCAGTTTTTAATAGCTTACACCTTTTTTGCCCGTGGTTTTTTGTTTTTTGTTTTGTTGTTGTTTTTTTTTTTTTTGAGATAGAGTTTTGCTCTTGTTGCCTAGTCTGGAGTGGCACGATCTTGGCTCACTGTAACCTCTGCCTCCCAGGTTCAAGCAATTCTCCTGTCTGAGCCTCCTGAGTAGTTAAGATTACAGGTGCCCGCCACCATGCCCAGCTAATTTTTGTATTTTTAGTAGAGACAAGGTTTCACCATGTTGGCCAGGCTGGTCTTGAACTCCTAACCTCAGGTGATCCACCCACCTCGGCCTCCCAGAGTGCTGGGATTACAGGCGTGAGCCGCTGCGCCCGGCCTCATGTTTTCTATTGGTTCATTATGAAGCAAAAACTTCATAGCATGTGCTACCTGGAAGCACTGTAACCTAGTGGTAAGATCATAGGCTCTGGGGACACAGTGCCTTGCCACGTCTCTTCTCCTGTCTGAGTCTTAGTATCCTCTTTTGTGGTCATGAGAACTGAAGATCTATCCTGGAGATTGATAAGATAGTAAAGTGCTTCACGTAATACCTGGCATACATGTAATAAATGCTTCCTGTGTGTATATATATACACACATATACATATATATGTATATATACATATACACATATACATATATATATATATATACATAAACACATATACATATATATATAACACAGTGAAACCCCCGTCTCTACTAAAAATACAAAAAATTAGCTGGGCGTGGTGGCGGGCACCTGTAGTCCCAGCTACTCGGGAGGCTGAGGCAGGAGAATGGCGTGAGCCCGGGAGGCAGAGCTTGCAGTGAACCGAGATCACACCACTGCACTGCAGCCTGGGAGACACAGCAAGACTCCATCTCAAAAAAATAAAAAAAAAGTTAAAGAGCACTACAGATTCAATGATTTATTATTCTTTTCTACAAATTGTGTTTAAATGATATCTCTTTCTCTTTTTGTCCTTATAGCTCAAGCCATAAAAGCCAAAGGTCCGGTGACGATCCCGTACCCTCTTTTCCAGTCTCATGTTGAAGATCTTTATGTAGAAGGACTTCCTGAAGGAATTCCTTTTAGAAGGCCATCTACTTACGGAATTCCTCGCCTGGAGAGGATATTACTTGCAAAGGAAAGGATTCGTTTTGTGATTAAGAAGTAAGACTCTTGGATTCCTGTTGAACTCTTGTCTCTTTTCTGAGTAATACGTCTTTTTTATTGTTGACCAATATTCATTCACCACTAGGTTCTATGTGATGAAGTTTGAGTTATTTTATGTATTTTTATCTTGCACTTTTTAATTTATCTGGGTCCAGCATTGCATCAGTCATGCAGTGTTGGCATTCGAAGCATGAACAGTGCCCGCACTGGATTGGCATGCAACTCACATTTTCTTTCACAATTTTCTGCTACTTTTGCTAAAGAACATAGAATCCACGCCTTGTTTTTAGGCCTGATATATATATATATTTTTTTTTTCGAGATGGAGTCTCACACTGGAACCCAGGCTTGAGTGCAGTGTCGCAATCTCAGCTCACTGCAACCTCTGCCTTCCAGGTTCAAGCGATTCTCATGCCTCAGACTCCCGAGTAGCTGAGATTACAGGCGTGCGCCACCATGCCTGGCTAATTTTTGTATTTTTAGTAGAGACGGTGATTCACCATGTTGGCCAGGCTGGTCTTGAACTCCTGACCTCAGATGATCTGCCAACCTCGCCCTCATAGGCCTGAGATTTTTAAAGCATGCGTGGGAATATATGATTGTTTTTATAGATGTGCAGAGGAAGATAGTCTTGAATGCAATATGACATTAAAGGATCCCATTTAAGATTTTTGTAATATGCTTCAAAGACCTGTGGGTTGCAAAGTTACCTCTTTACTTGTGAGGATACATGCTCCATGAAGCACCTTATGAGACAACTTGCAATTATTAGTTTGCTTTTTACTCTGTAGAAACCTCAAATTAAGATTTAGTTGTGGGCTGGGTGTAGTGGCTCACACCTATAATCCCAGCACTTTGGGAGGCCAAGGCGGCTGGATCACCCGAGGTCAGGAGTTCGAGACAAGCCAGGCCAACAATGGTGAAACACTGTCTCTACTAAAAATACAAAAATTGACCAGGTGTGGTGGTGGGCGCCTGGAATCCCAGCTACTTGGGAGGCTGAGGCAGGAGGATTGCTTGAACCCGGGAGGTGGAGGTTGCAGTGAGTCGAGACTGCGCCATTGCACTCCAGCCTGGGAACAAGAGCAAAACTCCGTCTCAGGAAAAAAAAAAAAAAGATTTAGTTGTGCTCAAGCATCCAGATTATCTTTTCTTTTCAAAACCAGCCTTACTGACTAAATGTTAAATATGTACTAGTCGTTATTAGTTTGCTGAATATTACCTAGTGATTATTGAGTATTTATTCTCACCTTTCAGACATGAGCTTCTGAATTCAACACGTGAAGATTTACAGCTTGATAAGCCAGCTTCAGGAGGTAGGTCTTCAATCTCGAGGCAGATCAGAAGATTATGTGCAATAATTATTTCACGCTTAACATTGATTTCTTCTTTATGTTACCTTCCACATGAAATAATATGTCTCTAACTATTAATTATGTGCCATTACAGGAGAATTCATGTTGTCAAAATTCTAATAATTTCTAGAAGAATAAACGCATCTTCTTTTTATTAACCCATTGTAAATACTTATAAATATTGCATTTATGGGTAGACAGAAGTAAAAGAACAATATTTGTTCTACTTTTGATGCAAGATTTATCTGGCATAATGCATTGAACAGTTTATTATTGAAGTCTACACGAGTCAATGGAACAAGCATTCATTGAATGTCCATGATATGCAGGACATAAGAAGGTTTCCTTTTAGAGCATGGAGCCATTTATATCATCTCTTAATTGTTAGATGTATTTTGTTTTGTTTTGTTTTGTTTTTTGAGAGGGAATCTTGCTCTGTTGCCCAGGCTGGAGTGCAGTGGTGCGATCTCCGCTCACTGCAACCTCCCGCCTCCTGGGTTCAAGCAGTTCTCCTGCCTCAGCCTCCCTGTAGCTGGGATTACAGGTGCCTGCCACCATGCCCAGCTAATTTTTGTATTTTTCGTAGAGACAGGGTTTCACTATGTTGGCCAGGCTGATCTCAAACTGCTGACCTCAGGTGATCTGCCCACCTCGGCCTCCCAGAGTGCTAGGATTACAGGCATGAGCCACCGCGCCCAGCCTGTTAGATGTGTTTTAAAATAAATAGAAATATAATTGATTTTCTTGCTTGCTTTTGCTCTGGAGTGGAGTGGAGTGAGGATAAAACAGAATGGAATCACCCTGTTGATATTTACTAAGATAGAAGGACTGCAGCAAGATCATAGCCCTAATCTTCCTGTAGCAAGTGTTACCTGCTAGCTGTTCCTGAATACACTGAGTTTTGCTTTTTCCTAGCTCTAATGAATGTTTCGTTCTTCCTCTTTTTGTACAGTGTCAGCATTGTTTTAGAAATAAATACATTCTAGAATCTTAGGAATAATTTTATTATTGTCTTTTTTTTTTTTTGAGACGGAATCTCATTCTGTTGCCCAGGCTGGAGTGCAATGGCGCAATCTCAGCTCACTGCAACCGCTGCCTCCTGGGTTCAAGCGATTCTCCTGCCTCAGCCTCATGAGTAGCTGGGACTACAGGCGTGCGCCATCACGCCTGGCTAATTTTTGTATTTTTAGTAGAGATGGGGTTTCACCATGTTGGCCAGGCTGGTCTCAAACTCCTGACCTCAAGTGACCCGCCTGCCTCGGCTTCCCAAAGTGTTGGGATTACAGGTGTGAGCCATTGCACCTGGCCACGAATCTTAGAAATAATTTTGGCCATAGGAAAAGGAAAAGTTATACCTCTTATTTTATAGTAATAATGTTTAATAATCAAGTTATTAAACCCATTAAATTGAGAACACTTGTATTACTGTTATTTTGACAGTAAAGGAAGAATGGTATGCCAGAATCACTAAATTAAGAAAGATGGTGGATCAGCTTTTCTGCAAAAAATTTGGTAAGTCTGTTTTTTTTAATTACCCCTTCAACTAAAATGTATTACTGAGTAACATTTTTTTAAATGTTGTTTTATTTTAGGAAAGTAAATACAGTGAATAGGACTCAGCTTTAGTTTTCCCTGTTTTTTTTTTTTGGGTTTTTTTTTTTTTCTTGAGAAGGAGTCTTGCTCTGTTGCCCAGGCTGGAGTGCAGTGGTACGATCTCAGCTCACTGCAACCTCCTCCTCCCGGGTTCAAGCAATTCTCCTGCCTCAGCGTCCCAAGTAGCTGGGATTACAGGTGCCCGCCACCACGCCTGGCTAACTTTTGTATTTTTAGTAGAGATGGGGTTTCGCCATGTTGGCCAGGCTGGTCTCAAACTCCTGAATTCAGGTGATCCACCCGCCTCAGCCTCCTAAAGTGCTGGGATTATAGGCGTGAGCCACCGCGCCCGGCCCCCATTCTATGAATTATCTGTGGAAAGTTATTTCCTTTAAAATGGCATGCTCGTGAGGTTGAAGGGGTAAAGAACATTGATCTGGTTGCCACGCAGATGAAAGTGTAGTCGGAAATGTGTTACCAGTTTGCCATAGCCGATGGAGGAGGGTAATTACGGTCCTGAACAGTTAGTAGCAAAAGGCTGCTTCCAGATAGTATTTAGGTTGTGTCCTCTATTGTCCATGATGATTTTCTTTCTCTCTTTTCTTCCTAAGGATATTGAAAAACAAACTTTAATCTTTTAAAGATCTCAGAGCTATTAAGATTGTCTTAGGACCAGGACACTTAAATCTGCCCAAATCTGGCTGTTGATGATCGGTCATCTCTACTTGTCTTTGCTGTATTAAGTCTATTCAATAGTTAATAAATATGTTTCTAGAAAGAGTTTTTTTCAAGTAAAACAAAATTGACCTGTGCCTTTCTTTGGATTGTACTAAAATCTGATTTCAATACAAATGTAGTCTCCCGAATTGCTTTGATTTTTGTCCAGCGGAAGCCTTGGGGAGCACTGAAGCCAAGGCTGTACCGTACCAAAAATTTGAGGCACACCCGAATGATCTGTACGTGGAAGGACTGCCAGAAAACATTCCTTTCCGAAGTCCCTCATGGTATGGAATCCCAAGGCTGGAAAAAATCATTCAAGTGGGCAATCGAATTAAATTTGTTATTAAAAGGTAAGATGATAATCTGTAGAAATAGTTTCAGTGTCTTCCCTGAGAAGAGGTTAATTTGATGAAGAAGGGCCTTTTGTTTACCTTATGACTTATTTCTATTGACAATGAAGGCATTAATATTTAGATTCACTTAGTGAACAAATATTAGTATAAGCATCAGATGTGCAAAATTGGGTCTAACAAGAACACTGTCCTTGGGGCCTTCATACAAAGAAAAATGCACTGAAGGCCGGGCGCGGCAGCTCACGCCTGTAATCGCAGCACTTTGGGAGGCCAAGGCAGGTGGATCACTTGAGGTCAGGAGTTCAAGACTAGCCTGGCCAACATGATGAAGCCCCATCTCTAGTAAAAATACAAAAATTAGCTGGAAGCGGTGGTGCAAGCCTGTAGTCCCAGCTACTCGGGAGGCTGAGGTTGGAGAATCACTTGAACCCTAGAGGCGGAGGTTGCAGTGAGCCGAGATCGTGCCACTGCACTCCAGCCTGGGCAACAGAGCGAGACTCCATCTCAAAATAATTAAAAAAAAAAAATAGAAAAATGCAATGAAGTGTTATTGAGCGTTTTTAAGGGAGAAGGCAAGGATGGCACACCCAGCTCGGTCACTTGTGCATCCAGAAGAGATGGAAGGTGTTTCAAGTGAAGGAAATCATATGAGTAGGGGGAGGAGGTGGCAAATATGCCTGCGTATCCACAGAACTCACCCACCGTGTGTGGAGTGAGGACTGCCACGTGGGCGTGGTGGGGTTGCATGGATCGACTTGGGTGGGCAAGTGGAGGAAGGCCTGAGATCCTACGAACACAGAGGCAGTCACGAAGTGGTCTCGAGGCAGATGCCTCTGAAAATAATGTGGATCCGCCCTTTAGAAAGGTAATTCTGGCTTGATTTTGAAGGATAACACAATGGTTAGTTTGGGTGCGGGGTTAGGAACAGAAGGCCTCTCTCCACTCATTGACGGGATGTGGAAGGGTAAACCTTCCTTACTGATTGGGGTCATGCCTCTGTGTGTTTGTTGGGACTGAGTTATAAGGGATAGGAAACGTTTAAGATGCTACAGCGAGCTGCTTCTGGCTGTGCTGTGGGACAGTTCATGTAAGATTCAGAAACAGAATTGAGCTGGTTTGGGGGAAAAGTGACTTTCGCCTGTTTATCTTAAATATAGGATGATTTTGAAGGTCTCACCCGAATATCTGAAAATTGCCATTTTCAAAATAAACTCGTCACCAAAATGATTTTTTTTTCACTATAAAATGAAGGCAGGATGAACCATATTTATAACTAATTGGCAATGAACAGCTGTGTGAGAAAGGCCTGTGAGTTGCTTCTAAATGCTTTATTACTAATATCAACTCTGTTTCTACAGACCAGAACTTCTGACTCACAGTACCACTGAAGTTACTCAGCCAAGAACGAATACACCAGGTAAACTAGTTGTGAAATCCTTTTTTAAAAACACAGATCAGCCAGGCTCGGTGGCTCACACCTGTAATCCCAGCACTTTAGGAGGCTGAGGCGGGCAGATCACAAGGTCAGGAGATCAAGACCATCCTGGCTAACATGGTGAAACCCCATGTCTACTAAAATACAAAAAAATTAGCCGGGCCTGGTGGCGGGCACCTGTAGTCCCAGCTACTCGGGAGGCTGAGGCAGGAGAATGGCATGAACCCAGGAGGCGGAGCTTGCAGTGAGCCGAGATCACGCCATTGTACTCCAGCCTGGGCAGCAGAGCAAGACTCTCTCAGAAAAAAAAAAAAAAAAAAGCACAGATCAATACTTTGTAAGCTTTTAAAAGTTAATCTTTTAAAATTATGGAAGTCCCCCTTCCCCTGCCTCCCCAAAAAATCATTTGCAGAAGCTCAATCCAGCCACTCCTTGATTTATCAATGTGAACACCTGCAGTGCACAGATAACTCAAGCTTTGACCGTAGACCACTGCTATCCATGAGAAAGGCAGTGTGCCCCACAAATGCAAGCCACATGTGTAATCGTCCACGTTCTAGTTCAGCCTGTAATCATTATAAAGAAATACACAGGGAAGTATTTCACGGTCTTTATCCCATGTTCTTTATTTGACAGTTGGCGCGTCTTTCATACTCACAGCATATTTCAGTTCCAAGTAGCCACATTTCAAACATTTCAACTGCTCGGGGATAGTACCTGCTATATGCATTTAGACCTTAATGTTTATTCATATGTATCGTGTTCCTAAAATGGCAAAGACTGTAACTCTGACCTGCACACAAATATCACAGCCTAATAGGGAAGATCTAAGAAGTCTCTGTTCAATGAATGATGTTATTTTCTTTATTAGAGCTCTAAGTGTGCCTTTATTTCTTTCCTATCTTTTTTTTTTTTTTTTTTTTTTTTGAGACGGAGCCTCACTCTGTCATCCAGGCTGGAGTGCAGTGGTGCAATCTCGGCTCACTGGGGCCTCCGCCTCCCGGGTTCAAGCAGCTCTCCCGCCTCAGCCTCCCGAGTAGATGGGACTACAGCTGCACGCCACCACACCTGGGCTAATTTTTGTATTTTTAGTAGAGATGGGGTTTCACCATGTCAGTCTGGCTGGTCTTGAACTCCTGACCTCAGGTGATCCACCTGCCCTGGCCTCCCAAAGTGTTGGGATTATAGGCATGAGCCACTGCACCTGACCTCTTTCTTTTTGTTTGCCGTTGTGTAATGTCAGAGGAAGTGACCACACTCTGTAGATCATCAGCCACCTTAGGAACTTCTGTTGCCAAGAACCAATAAATGCCCATACCCTGTAGTGTGTAAATGCCCATACCCTGTAGTGTGAAGTTTTCTGTTGTTAGAAATAAGTGTTAGGAATCAAGTATGAAATTTGTGTGTGTACTAGGTGTATACAGATTGGTGCAGTTAATCATGCTCACGACTACTAAGGTGAACAAATGTTTCAAGTTGGGTTCCTGGGTGTGCCCTAAAATACTTCTCCTTCAGCTCTCACAGCACCTTGTGGACATGAGTGAAGGTCAGTCAGTGTGCCAAATAGATTTTGTGTGGATTATGGCATGGAAAGTGGCTGAGAAATTCTGTAGCAGGGTAACAAAATTATCTTGGTCCAGGAGTCCTGTAGTGGAGAAGATAAAAGTCAATGCTTAACTCATAGGTTAACCTCAGCATGCTTTTGATTTGGTCAAGCAATCAAAGTACTGGTGAAGAATTGAAGATTGGAAGTGACACATTTTTTGCTCAGGGAAGTAATGGAGAAAGAAAAATCTTCCTGGAGGTAGATCTTCAGTTTGGATTAGTCTGAACATGATGAAACCTGTAGAAACCTTCATTTCTCAAGACAAAGCTCAAATTCAAGGTTGTGAGGAATGCAGTCACCACTTTTGTTAGGGGCAGTTGTGACAGTGAGTGACTGCAAAAACTGAGAATGCGAAGCCTCTATTGTAAAAAGAATGTGCAAGTGCCATAGAAGTCACTGCAAGGATTGGGTGCTGGAGCAGTGCCGGACCTGCCATCGTCACCAGAGTGCAGCAGATTCACCAGAAGGAGAATCTCCACTCTTGTCGTCACTAACAGCACTTGACTTTGTCCCATTCATAAAAGATCTTGGAAGGAATTAAAGGTGCTTGGTGGTTCCTCATTCCAACAACACCTTACTTGGCCTGCCCGTGGAACATGCGTTAGTCTTTGGACAGGACAACTCGAGTCACAGACCACAAGAGAAAAGAATTTTGTGGCCATCAGAATTGTCTGCTTAAACACACCACGGGTGCACAGTGTCCTCAGCTTGGTGAAAGGGAGATGTCACACGCGAGAAGGCAGCGGAGCCAGGCATGTGATGGAGTGGGAGGTGGCACCTGGCTCTGTGAGGAGGCTGTGAAGTCCTGCATGGGAGGAGCAAGGTGGGGGAGGAGGGGGTGGGGGTGGGGCAGAAGAGGAGGCTGAGCAGTTAATAGAGGCGCTCGACCTTAGAGGAGGAGAGTCCGAGGTCTTTATTGGTAGTATTCAAATGTGGTTCATCCAGAGTTATTTTCTGTGGCTGAATGGCCTACTCTGAAATCCACAGGGAAAAAACAACTCACATTCAACCCTTGAGATGCTAAGTTTTCTTTTAAAGTAAAGGAAATGTTATAAGATTTTCTGAAACCACCAACCTTTAGCGATATTGTCAGACCTTCTCCAACATTTTCCACTGCATTTGTCAGCAATCAGAGATGACCTCCACACCGAGGCGAACCCTCCACCCCCCGACCCGTTTCCTCTTTCTCTCTTTCCCTCCTTTGCTCATCCAGAAACACTTCAGTCATCCTGCATTGTCTCCAAGTTGACCTCCATCCTCATCCGCACCTCGTCCACACCTGAATACTCTGTCCACATCAGTGATATTCTACATGTCTTTATAATAGCTTTTTTGTTTGTTTGTTTGTTTTTTAAATTTTGATGCTTAAAAGGCAATGGTTGTCTTAGGGATAGGAAAACACACCCCACTGTCACTGTGAGTGAAGCTGAATAACGTCTCTAGGTCTTTTACCATTGCTTTCTTTTTTTTCTGAAGTGATTTTTCCTTTTATGTCCATTGCTTTAAGCCATTTGTGAAATTGCACAGTGATTTCTGGAGTGGGGACAGAAGGAAGGCGGTAGTAAAAGTCATTGGTGCTGTGGCCCAGTTGGCTGGAGGAGGTGCAGGGCAGGGCGGCCTGCGCTGGGGCAGCTGGAGGAGCACAGATGTCCCCACGGGCAGGTGGATGAGTTCTGAGAGCTGGAGGGCCGGTACAGTGTCCTCCATGGTTCCAGCTTGTGGGCTTGATCAGGCCGTCACCTGCGGTGGCCACTGAGCTGGCGATGAACTCCGTGGCCTTGGAGTCGCCCTCGGCAGAGATGATGGCCGCCGTCTTCTGCTGCTCAGCCCTTGCCACCACAGATCTGGCCCTCTCTTCTTCCTGCTGAGCCACCTCTTTGGTTCCACTGCTTCTGCAAATTCCTTCCCGAAGGTCAGATCCAAGGTCACAGCATCCAGGAGGAGCCCAAAGGTTGCTGCTTGCTCCGAAGTTAATTGCTCACCTGTCTGGAGCCCAGCTCTCCCTGCGTGATCAGTTCTCCAGCGTCAGCCTGAGCCGCCCCCAGCTTGAGGAGCTCCGCAGTGATGGATGGCAGCACATTCTTCATTGGCTTCTCCAGTAATTGGAAGATGCAAGGACCTGGCCAGCAACAAGGTGGGAAGAGGACGCCCAGTGTGATGGTGACAATCTTTGCTCACAGTGATGATTGGTGCATAATGTGGTCAAGAGCAGCAGTCAAAAATAATTGGTTTCTTTTCCCATGGGATGAGAAAGTGCGTTCCTTCCCCTATCACAGTGTCCTGAATGCCATGGAATTGGTCGAAGATGACAGACAGCTCTCTGTGCAGCATCACATTGTAGAAGGCAGAGTTCCCCACACCTCCTGCAGAAGCTAAGGACAGGGCAGACTTGGCAGCTGTGTTTCCATCTGCTGGACCCACTCACGCCTGCGTCCACTCCAACCCCCCACATGAATTCCGTCCCTTTATCATTGATTTCTGATGCGAAAAGTCACTTTGATTAGTGAAGTGTTGCTTTATGTAGATTTTTAGGCACACATCTGTTAGATAAAACGAGGATTGCCTGTAGAGAAAGCAAATAAAAGCAAAGTCCCTCTTGTTGAAACTGGTGTGGGAGCCCTTGAACCTCATGCAGCTGGCCTCCCTGCTCTGACCGAGTTCCCTGAGGGACTTCTCCAAGGAGGAATGTGTGAGAAGCACTGATTTTGAGCACTCTTTCATGTGGACAAATTTCACTTTATTTACAATGTAAACTTAAATTTAAATTCTGTCTTTCTAGGCTGGGCACGGTGGCTCACGCCTGTAATCCCAACACTTTGGGAGGCCGAGGCGGGCAGATCACTTGAGGTCAGGCATTCAAGACCAGCTTGGCCAACATGGTGAAACCCTGTCTCTACTAAAAATATAAAAATTAGCCGGGCGTGGTGGCGGCTACCTGTAATCCCAGCTACTCGGGAGGCTGAGGCAGGAGAATCGCTTGAACCCAGGAGGCGGAGGTTGCTGTGAGCTGAGATCACGCCACTGCACTCCAGCCTGGGCGTCATAGCAAGACTCTTTCTCTAAATAAATAAATTAATTCTGTCTTTCTGCAGTTTTTCTGATATTTGGCAAGTACTGGAAATTATTATTTTCCTTAAGACCCCAAATTTTCACACCAACATGGCACATGTATACATATGTAACAAACCTGCACGTTGTGCACATGTACCCTAGAACTTAAAGTATGATAAAAAATAAATAAATTAATTAATTTAAAAAAAAAGACCCCAAATGTTTGCTTTTAACAAAACTGAATTAAGAGAATCACTGCAGGCCGGGCGTGGTGGCTCACGCCTGTAATCCCAGCACTTTGGGAGGCCGAGGCGGGCAGATCACGAGGTCAGGAGATCAAGACCTTCCTGGCTAACACCGTGAAACCCCATCTCTACTAAAAATACAAAAAGAAATTAGCTGGGCATGGTGGCGGGTGCCTGTAGTCCCAGCTACTCAGGAGGCTGAGGCAGGAGAATGGCGTGAACCTGGGAGGCGAAGCTTGCAGTGAGCCGAGATCGCGCCACTGCGCTCCAGCCTGGGCGACAGAGCAAGACTCTGTCTCAAAAAAATAAAACAAAACAAACAAAAAAGAATCACTGCAAACAAGAGTACTTTCTAGCAAAATCCATTCTGATTTGCAACAGCACTGATAAATAACATGGTTATTGGGTTTCTTTTTGTTTTCCAGTCAAAGAAGATTGGAATGTCAGAATTACCAAGCTACGGAAGCAAGTGGAAGAGATTTTTAATTTGAAATTTGGTAAGTAAAAGCCAGTATTTATGTCTTTAATAACATATCAACAAAGGGCCATGTCTGAATGAAGTATAGAAGTTCGGGACCAGCCGGGTGCAGTGGCTCACGCCTGTAATCGCAGCACTTTGGGAGGCCAAGGCGGGCGGATCAGGAGGTCAGGAGATCGAGACCATCCTGGCGAACACGATGAAACCCCGTCTCTACTAAAAATACAGGAAAATTAGCCGGGCGTGGTGGCGGGCGCCTGTAGTCCCAGCTACTCGGGAGGCTGAGGCAGGGGAATGGCTTGAACCCCAGAGGCGGAGCTTGCAGTGAGCCAAAATCGCACCACTGCACTCCAGCCTGGGCGACAGAGTGAGACTCTGTCTCAAAAAAAAAAAAAAAAGAAGGAAAAAAAGTTCAGGACCTAAAGAAGGAAGGTCCCAGAAACTGGGTTTCTGTTTCTTTCTACCACTACACTTGCTACTGAAACCAAGCAGATGACTTCATTTCTCTTGGATTCCACTTTCTCACGTGTCAGAATGGGAGAGGAAGGGAGGTGTTGGGATAAGTTTCAGTTCCACTGTTTGTACTTCTCGTCTGGCTAACACCCATGTGGCAAATAGGTTTCATCATTTGTTTCAGCTTAGATTTGTTGACAGCGGTTTCCTGGAGTGCTGTCTTGAGAACGATTCTGAGGAGGCTCAGCAAGAAAGAGTGTTTCAGTTGATTGGGTGTGTCTGTCATGGAGAAGGAAGTAAGGAGTGGGCAGTGCTAGCAAAATTCCCGGGGCACTTCTGTCCATTATCTCAATACCTGGGGTTGACATTTCCTGTCTCAGATCAGGAGTCCTGACTACCCTGCCTCTGACCACTCGAACTGAGTGCTGCTTAGCTGTATCGTAGACACCGCCTGTTTGTGAACAGACACCCTGCTTCTTGATGATAACACAAAGGCCAGCAGGGTCCACTGCTGTGTGGAATGGCCTTCGGTCATTTCTGCCCAGAGCATAGAGGTCATTTTCACTAATAACATAACTCTCCTTTTGATTGAAAGTGTTAAAATGTTCCTCCTAAAAGCACTTATTTTTTAGGCTCGTTCTTCAGATTTGCCCCATATCCTAAGCAAAATGCCTTCAATATGAAGTGGATATTGCTTGACCGTAGGGAGCTTGTCCATACTGTACTCGAGAATGTAGACACAAAGAAAGAATGTCTGTGTCAAATGTTATCCTCCGCAACTTAACGTTCTCTTGCACTTTCAGCTCAAGCTCTTGGACTCACCGAGGCAGTAAAAGTACCATATCCTGTGTTTGAATCAAACCCGGAGTTCTTGTATGTGGAAGGCTTGCCAGAGGGGATTCCCTTCCGAAGCCCTACCTGGTTTGGAATTCCACGACTTGAAAGGATCGTCCGCGGGAGTAATAAAATCAAGTTCGTTGTTAAAAAGTAAGTTCTTTTTGCCACTGTAGTCGTTTCTGGAATCAAAACAATAAAATGACATTTCTGTTAAGATGTTTTTCAAGCTAGAGGTGACAGGCGTGGCTGTAAGTCCTTGATGGCAAAGCCTGGCTGTGAGCTGCAGTCCGGGTACTGTCCATTGCCCCTGCCCATACTCAATCATCTTCATCCGTGCAAGGAAAATAGTGACAATCGCCTCCGCGGAGTCACCGTGAGGCCCCGTGGTGACTCGCAGTATGCCTGAGTACTTGAATGGAAGTTTAATTTGCTGGTTTTTATCTGCTCTGTTATTCCTGGTCAATCTTGAGAGCGACTAAATATTGATGATTGAGTTTCTTTCTTTTTTTTGAGACGGACTCTTGCTCTGTCGCCCAGGCTTGAGTGCGGTGGCGCAATCTCAGCTCACTGCAACCTCCGCCTCCTGGGTTCGAGCAATTCTCGTGCCTCAGCCTCCCGAGTAGCTGGGATTACAGACTTGCACCGCCACGCCTGGCTAATTTTTGTATTTTTAGAATAGATGGAGCTTCACCGTGTTGGCTAGGCTGGTCTGGAATTCCTGACCTCAGGTGATCCACCCGCCTCAGCCTCCCAGAATGCTGGGATTACAGGCATGAGCCACCGTGCACGGCCTAATGATTGATTT
Source organism: Homo sapiens (assembly GCF_000001405.40). Taxonomy (NCBI): domain Eukaryota; kingdom Metazoa; phylum Chordata; class Mammalia; order Primates; family Hominidae; genus Homo; species Homo sapiens. The sequence continues at coordinate 74,745,597 of NC_000007.14, forward strand.
TCTTATCTACATTTCTGCAGAATTTTAGTGGCTAAAGAAAGTACACTAGTGTTTTTTTTTTCTTTTTTAATGAAAATAGTCACTTATTTACTCTTCATAAAATGGCTTACCAGTCATGGGAAGGAAAAGTCAGGGTCTTTTGTCCACAACACTAGGAATTATTGTGTTACAGGATGATTCTGTGAATGCCTTTAGAAAAAAAACCCTGATCACATCACGACCGTTTTACTAGCTGTGAGGCCACCACTGTGCTGGCTACTGTAACACTTCTTGGTTTTCTTTCTAGACCTGAACTAGTTATTTCCTACTTGCCTCCTGGGATGGCTAGTAAAATAAACACTAAAGGTAAGAGACGACGTGTACTCCGTATCCTATTTGAGCGCATTAAGACACTCTTTATCCGCATTCCTTAAATCATACGGAATCGGCCAATATCTCTGTGGGGCTTGGAGTTGTTTACTTTGCTTTCTAAGGTATTTTATTTAATGGAACTATTTTTCTTTTTTTTTTTTAAAAAAACAAAACATTTCATTGGAAATGTCACATTTGCAATCCCAGTTCATTCATGTTTTCACAGCTTTGTTGAGCCCCTGTGGAGGATTACACTACAAGTTTAATTCTGCAGGTTTCTTTGAAAAGAACCAAACTGTATGAATTTTAATACTCTGCTCTTATAAAGCATCTCCTTCTGTATTTTTTTTTCCCTACAATATACAAAAGGAACTCTGCTTATTTTACAGCTTTGCAGTCCCCCAAAAGACCACGAAGTCCTGGGAGTAATTCAAAGGTTCCTGAAATTGAGGTCACCGTGGAAGGTAAGGGCCAGTCCTCGGTATGTTTCTGTTCATTCTCTAGTTTACTAATTATGTCAGTTCACTAGCTATGTGTTTATACAGGTTTATACAGATGACGTTAACCAAACTAGCTTTTAACTGTGAACAGCTGCCTGTGATAAAGCTAAATTTCTGAATGCTTCTAATTGAAAATTTTTAAATCCTTAATAGAAAACAGATAACATGGATCACATCATAAACTTCCCCCAAGAAAAGTCCTAAAATGCTTTTCCTTTATCATAACAAATAAGGGTGCAGAGTCATGTGGAATGTTTTATCTTTTTTTTCCTCTTCATTTTTTTCTATTGTTTTAAGGAAAGAAAGTTTAGGGTGGTTTAAACAGCAGTGCCTTGAATAAAAGTATTTTCTTTTTCTTTTTTGAGACAGAGTCTGGCTCTCTTGCCCAGGGTGGAGTGCAGTGGCACAATCTCGGCTCACTGCAGCCTCCGCCTCCCGGGTTCAAGTGATTCTCCTGCCTCAGCCTCCCAGGTAGCTGGGATTACAGGCGTCCACCACCAACTCCAGCTAATTTTTATATCTTTAGTAGAGACGGGGTTTTACCACGTTGGCCAGGCTGGTCTCGAACCCCTGACCTCAAGTGAGCCACCACGCCCAGCTGGTTCTTGTCTTTTCAGGCTCACAGTGTTAAAATACTGCATACAATACTAAAGACAATCTCCAACCAACTGTCAAGTATGGATATTTCTTCCATCTCTTCATAAATGCAGAAGGAAATCACTGCATTAGGATCATTCTCTACATCCCAGGTGTCAAGTTTTTAAATAAGAGTTTGCCGTACTGGTGTTGAGTGGCGCAGAAGTCCCTATTTAGTCATGTGGCACACTTTCAGAGAGCCTGCTTTCTCATAAGATAGCCAACAAGCATCCATGGACAACTTACACCTGATTAATTATTTCTGTTCAAAAATGCCAAGAATTAAAAATATATTGAACCCTTGACTTTCCTCCTTCCGGAAGAGATCAGAGGAAGATCTCTCTTATATACAAGATGCCAGCCTTTCCTAAAGGGCAGAGCCAAGTTCACGGGGCCTGGGAGGCCTGCTTTAAGAATACAAAATTAGGGCCAGGCGTGGAGGCTCACGCCTGTAATCCCAGCACTTTGGGAGGCCGAGGCAGGCGGATCACCTGAGGTTGGGAGATCGAGACCAGCCTGACCAACATGGAGAAACCCCATCTCTACTGAAAATACAAAATTATCTGGGCCTGGTGGCGCATGCCTGTAATCCCAGCTACTCAGGAGGCTGAGGCAAGACAATCGCTTGAAACCAGGAGGCAGAGGTTGTGGTGAGCCGAGATTGCGCCATTGCACTCCAGCCTGGGCAACAAGAGCGAAACTTTGTCTCAAAAAAAAAAAAAAAAAAGAAGAAGAAGAAGAAGAGAAGAAAAATGGGTTTCTGTAGAAATAGAAAAATGGTTTCTGTGGAACTCGCCGGAATGACAAGAATACCCATTTCAATTTGAACCTAGCTTTGTTTTCTGGCACAGGCTGGACTTGAAGATTGTAACCTAGAGACACTTACGTCATTAAATGTGTGTTGATTATCATTATTTTTTCTGTCTTTTAGGCCCTAATAACAACAATCCTCAAACCTCAGCTGTTCGAACCCCGACCCAGACTAACGGTTCTAACGTTCCCTTCAAGCCACGAGGGAGAGAGTTTTCCTTTGGTAAGTAAGCGTTTTATTTTTCTTTCTTTCATAGTTTTAAATAGAATACGTTCATTATGTTTCATTTTACCAGGTGAATTGTTCCTATTGGTGAGTCAGTATATATCAAAGGTTAAAGGAATAGCCCGTAGAGCCAGGCTGCCTGAGTTCAGATCTGAGTTCAAATCCGATGCCACTTGGGCAGGCGAATACACCCTGCCTCAGTTTCCCTTTGTGCAAAATGGTAATAACATTACTTTCTTTCTCATGAGGTTATGGTGAGGATTATAAATACTGTCATTTAAAGTACTTAGAACCATACCTCGCATGTAGTAGAGACTATAATTTGTGGGGGCATTTTGGGGGTTTTCATTTGTTTTTTCTTTATTTTAGCATTTGTTCACTTATTTGTAGTCAACATAAAAGCAATGTACTAAAACAGTTTGCTTATGTATCAGGATGGGAGTAGTTGTCAAGTCATATCATGGTAAAAGATTATGCATTTTTTATTTCTTCTTAAAGATGCACAAATAAGGCCAGGCGCAGTGGCTCACGCCTGTAATCCCAACACTTTGGGAGGCCGAGGTGGGCGGATCACCTGAGGTTGGGAGTTCGAGACCAGCCTGACCAACATGGAGAAACCCCGTGTCTACCAAAAATACAAAATTAGCCAGGCATGGTGGCGCATGCCTGTAATCCCAGCTACTCAGGAGGCTGAGGCAGGAGAACTGCTTGAACTCAGGAGGTGGAGGTTGCAGTGAGCAGAGATCGCACCATTGCCCTCCAGCCTGGGTAACAAGAGCGAAACTCTGTCTCAACAAAAAAAAAATAAGATGCACAAATAAGATGAAACACTCCTGCCTGTGAATGTGTATTGATAAGTACTGTGATAAGTATTGCAATTTAACTCTCTTATGTTTTATATGCAGAGGCCTGGAATGCCAAAATCACGGACCTAAAACAGAAAGTTGAAAATCTCTTCAATGAGAAATGTGGTAAGTCTATTTTGAAACCTTCTTACTGCCACGCAGGGTGCCTTCATGGGAGTAGGAGGGAGCAGAGTGGGATACTGAGCGTTGGAGTATCCCTGTCATTGGCAACGTGTGGGTTTTTCGGGATTGAATGGCGTCATTTCGCCCATGTTCTGTTTCGTGTACGCGGCTGTTTTGCAGGGGAAGCTCTTGGCCTTAAACAAGCTGTGAAGGTGCCGTTCGCGTTATTTGAGTCTTTCCCGGAAGACTTTTATGTGGAAGGCTTACCTGAGGGTGTGCCATTCCGAAGACCATCGACTTTTGGCATTCCGAGGCTGGAGAAGATACTCAGAAACAAAGCCAAAATTAAGTTCATCATTAAAAAGTAAGGAAACTGGATGAAGTGGGATTAGCATGAGTTGATTGTGTTTGACACTGGGAGATGGGTATGTGGGTTTGTGTTTGTGGCAGGGCTGAATTAGCTCTGGAGTCAGAAAAACTGCTTTTTAAGCTGCACTCTTGTATATGTTTAAAACTTCTGGCCAGGTGCGATGGCTCACACCTGTAATCCCAGCACTTTGGGAGGCCAAAGCAGGTGGATTACCTGAGGTCAGAAGTTCAAGACCAACCTGGCCAACATGATGAAACCCATCTCTACTAAAAGTACAAAAATTAGCTGGGCGTGGTGGCACGTGCCTGTAATCCCAGCTACTTGGGAGACTGAGGCAGGAGAATCACTTGAACCCAGCAGGCAGAGGTTGCAATGAGCCAAGATCGTGCCACTGCACTCCAGCCTGGGCAGCAAGAGCAAAACTCCATCTCAAAAACAAAAAAAAAAAAAAAAAAGAAGAAGAAATTTTCCTTATGCTGCTGGTAGAAGGGAAGGAGGACTCCACCATACTAGAGAGATAACGACTTTTGGTTGCTAAATCTACACAGCTATGTTGTTACTATTTGATGCTGCTGGAATCTGAGCAGCTGTTTAGTTTTTCAAGTCCTTTTATTTCTCCAACTTAATAGAATATTTTCAATTTCTCCTGTTTGCTTGAACATCTGTGGATTAGGCTAACATAATTGAAATAGATAGGAATGGGCCGGGTGCGGCCATAAATCCCAGCACTGTGGGAGGCTAAGGCAGGCAGATCACTTGAGGTCAGGAGTTCGAGACCAGCCTGGCCAACATGGTGAAGCCCCATCTCTACTTAAAATACAAAAAAAAAAAAAAAAAATAGCCAGGGGTGGTAGCTGGCACCTATAATCTCAGCTACTCAGGGAGGCTGAGACAGGAGAATCACTTGAACCCAGGAGGCGGAGGAGATCGTGCCATTGCACTCCAGCCTGGATGACAGAGTAAGACTCTGTCTCAAAAAAAATTAAAAAAAGAAATAAGAATAATTGGAATTTTATAGTACATGCTAATGCACATGAATTATTTGAAATCAATTGAAATGAATTTTAGGTTTCATTTGCTTGGTGTCAGGCTTAATTTTGAGTCACCCAGGGATGCTCTCAAGCAAAGCTGGCCACTTTTTTTTTTTTTTTTTTTTTTTTTTTTGTGAGACAGAATCTCGCTCTGTACCCAAGACTGGAGTGCAGTGGTGTGTGATATCGGCTTACTGCAAATTCCGCCTCCTGGGTTCAAGCGATTCTCCTGCCTCAGCCTCCAAAGTAGCTGGGATTACAGGCATGTGCCACCATGCCCAGCTAATTTTTGTATTTTTAGTAGAGAAGGGGTTTCACCATGTTGGTCAGGCTAGTCTCAAACCCCTGACCTCATGATCCGCCTGCCTCGGCCTCCCAAAGTGCTGGGATTACAGGCGTGAGCCACCGCGCCCGGCCAATGGCCACCTTTTATGCTTTTGGCCAGGTCTGCAGAGGTTTGGCAGCCTCTAAGCCCTCTGCTTCTGCTTCCGGAGTGAGAGCCTCAAGTGCTCCTGTTTTCACAGCCCATCTTGTGTTTCCATGCTGCGTTTGTGGGGCGTTTTCTCTTTGCATCCTCAATTCTGGCGCTGATTCTTTTCAGGATACATTCTAACCTTGGAAAGAAGATGCCAATAAAACCAGTGTAGGGGAAGGGCAGCCAATGAGAGGCAGCAATGGATGTTAAATTTACAATTGTGGTTTGTCTTTTTGGCTGTGGTTCTTTAGATAAGCATGTGATTTCTGTTCTTCATGACTAAGAATTGAATTTAGACTTTACAGAGTTACTGGTTTGTAAATCTTTGAGTTGTTTAAATTTTAATGTTAGAGTTTTACTGTTTGATCAGCACATTTTTTTTCTCTTTTGTCTATAGGCCCGAAATGTTTGAGACGGCGATTAAGGAGAGCACCTCCTCTAAGAGCCCTCCCAGTGAGTGTATTTTCTGTATTTTCATTGCTATAGAACACACGCTCTTAGGCATGCATTGTGCAGCTGTGGTTTACAAACATTGTTTAAAGAATAGCCATTGAGGCCAGGCATGGTGGTTCACGCCTGTAATCCCAGCACTTTGGGAGGCTGAGGTGGGTGGATCACCTGAGGTCAGGAGTTTGAGACCAGCCTGGCCAACACGGCAAAACCCTGTCTCTACTAAAAATATAAAAAATTAGCCAGGCGTGGTGGCAGGCGCCTATAATCCCAGCTACTCAGGAGGCTGAGACAGCAGAATCACTTGAACCCGGGAGGCGGAAGTTGCAGTGAGCCGAGATCGCACCACTGCACTCCAGCCTGGACAACAGAGCAAGACTCATCTCAAAAAGAAAAAAGAAAACCCATTCAAAGTTGTAGTTCAGGCTATTTCACAATTTTTAGTTATTTAATAATTGGGTGGCTCTGTGAGTGTGTGATGATCTCCTAAGTACCCCCAGGAAGAGAAAAACAGTGAAAGGCAGCCCTTCAGGGGGCATCATGTCTTCTTGAAATGATCTACCATGGAAAGAAAGAACCTTGAACAGGACTGAGATAAAACAGTCTCAGACAGCATGATTATTAGAGATGTTGACCGTGTTTTCTACAAATTCTGATTTTAAATGTATATTTTCAGGAAAAATAAATTCATCACCCAATGTTAATACTACTGCATCAGGTGTTGAAGACCTTAACATCATTCAGGTGACAATTCCAGGTATGAGTTCTCTGCTTCCATCAGAGTTTTTGGGGGTCTCTTCAGGGCCTCTTGGACTTTCCCAACTAGAGAGGTTTGCTCAGCTCATCCGGGGACTCGGATACATTACACGTTGCCTGGTGCTCCTCCCAGACTCCTACAGCAGTTGCCTTCCAAATACAGTTGCTCTCCAAACAGCAACGGCAAGTTTTGGCACTTGGCATGAGCTAAATCCTGTTAACCACCCAAATGGCTAGTCTGTTCCTTAAAAAAAGTCTATATGAGACCGGGCACGGTGGCTCACGCCTGTAATCCCAGCACTTTGGGAGGCTGAGGCAGGAGGATCGCTTGAGGTCAGGAATTCAAAACCAGCCTAGCCAACGTGGTGAAACCCTGACTCTACTAAACATACAAGAAAAATTAGCCAGGCCTGGTTGTGTGTGGCTGTAATCCCAGCTACTTGGGAGGCTGAGGCAGGAGAAGTGCTTGAACCCGGGAGGTGGAGGTCGCAGTGAGCCGAGATGGGGCCAGTGCACTCCAGCCTTGGTGACAGAGCCATACTCCATCTGGGAAAAAAAAAAAATCTATATAAAACAGCAGGTAAAGGTCTTTATAACAAGAATAAATTTGTAGCATTTTTAGTTAGGCATTATTTTAAACAATTTCAAATTTAATTAGCTCAAAGTGCTCAAATACTTAAATCATTAAAAAATGGAAAATGCTTGAAAACATTACACAGAGCTCCTAAAAATTGGGATTAAAAGTGCATCATTGAGCAGCGGCTTGTACCTGTAGTCTCGGCTACTTGGGAGGCTTAGGCAGGAGGATCGCTTGAGCCCAAGAGTTCAAGGCCAGTCTGGGCAACATCGTGAGATACCATCTCTTTACCATAAAAAAAAAAAAAAGCAGTATTTAAGTTTTGGGTTTTCTCTGAACTGTTTCAGATGATGATAATGAAAGACTCTCGAAAGTTGAAAAAGCTAGACAGCTAAGAGAACAAGTGAATGACCTCTTTAGTCGGAAATTTGGTAAGTTTTGCATTTGCAAAGTACAGTTGCTATAAGCAAAGAGATTTGTTTTAATAAGATCTTTTCAGCAGATGATGGTTGGATGGTTGTAATCCTATATAAAAGGAGTTAAAATTTAAAAGTGAGTTGTTTGTGCTAAATTTATTTAATAAGATACCATTAGTGTTACACTATTGATTGTCAGTATGAAAGTTAATGAATTTAAGGTTCACCATCTGGCAGTGTGGCTCACACTTGTAATCCCAGCACTTTGGGAGCCCGAGGCAGGTGGATCAGTTGAGGCCAGGAGTTCGAGACCAGCCTGGCCAACATAGTGAAACCCTGTCTCTACTAAAAAATTCAAAAAATTAGCCGGGTATGGTGGTGCACACCTGTAATCCCAGCTACTCAGGAGGCTGTGGCACGAGAATTGCTTGAACCTGGGAGGCAGAGATTGCAGTGAGCTGAGATCAAGCCACCACACTCCAACCTGGGTGACAGAGCAAGACTCTGTCTCAAAAAAAAAAAAAATTTAAGGTTCATATTTAAATTTGTTTGAAGTGTACAAAGACCTTAGTTAACAGCAGAGACAGTCTTTAAAATAAATGTTGATCTTGTGCTTTTGACAGGCTGTTTAAGGCGGTGGGTTAATCTGTGCTGTTGTGCTGTTTGTCTCACTGTCCCTGTAGGTGAAGCTATTGGTATGGGTTTTCCTGTGAAAGTTCCCTACAGGAAAATCACAATTAACCCTGGCTGTGTGGTAGTTGATGGCATGCCCCCGGGGGTGTCCTTCAAAGCCCCCAGCTACCTGGAAATCAGCTCCATGAGAAGGATCTTAGACTCTGCCGAGTTTATCAAATTCACGGTCATTAGGTAAGTGAGAGTTTCCTGCTTAGTCACAGGAGCGAATCTGGAGCTCATGAGGCTGACTCTTCTAAAATGCAGCCACAGGTAGTCATCGAATCCGGCTTCCTATGCTGTGCAATCAACAAATCAAAATAACTTGTGTCATCATTAGAATGTCAGATGTGCTTCTACGAACTAAGCTGACTCTTTTAATTCTTTGGCAAAGGGTTGGCAAACTAGGACTGTTTGCCAAATTCAGGCTGCCTCCTATTTTTAGAGTCTTCCTGAAACACAGCTACACCCGTATTATCCATGGCTGCTTTCCTGTCACAGTGAGTAAGTAGCTGGGACTGAGAAGGCATGGCCTCCAAAGTCTAAAATATTTACTCTCTAGCACTTTGTAGAAAAACCTTAGCTAGGCACAGTGGCTAACGCCTGTAATCCCAGCATTTTGGGAGGCCAAGGCAGGCAGATCACCTGAGGTCAGGAGTTCCAGACCAGCCTGGCCAACATGGTGAAATCCCATCTCTACAAAAATAAAACAGTTAGCTGGGCATGATGGCGGGTGCCTGTAATCCCAGCTACTCGGGAGGCTGAGGCAGGATAGTCGCTTGAACCCAGGAGGTGGAGGTTGCAATGAGCCAAGATCATGCCACTGCACTCCAGCCTGGACGACAGAGTGAGACTCCATCACAAGAAAAAAAGAACTTTGTCAACCTCTGTCTTAGGGCGCCTTGTCACAGGCTTCGGGTCAGACGGATTCAACCTTGCATCAGCCATTTGTTAGCCAGGTCACTCTGTTCTTTGTCTGTAAATGAGATTGATCGTTGTTCCCACTGAGAGTGTCAGCTCCTTCCCGTAGAGCAGGCATGATGATTGTACTCACCTCTGACACCATTGTGAGTGCCACATTCCTTCCCACGTCCTTGTCACTGTAAGAGATGCCCACCTGAGCACCAACCCCAGGTTATCTTCCCCTTTGTCTTCCAGCCCCCCAGAAACAGCTACGACTCAACCTACCCAATCATTTCATCATCAGATTGCCACTGTCTCTAGTTCAGGTCTCTTGGAACTGGCACTCAGAAATCTCATAATAAATCCTCTTGAGGCTTCTCATACACTCGTCTTCTTCCAATCTTCTTTCCCTCAAAATCTCATATTTTGGTTCCACTTCACCCACCGTCATTCTCCATATCACTCCCAGGAGTTAGGCAAAAAGCCCCTTCCGTTCTTCCGTATGTTAAACTTAGAATCACTCTGTTCCCTGCTCTGCGTTTCTATTTTTTGTTTTTCCTCCATTTACTAGTAGCTTAACACTTTCTAACAGTGTTCTTATTATTGATACGTATCTATCTCTTCCATAAGCTTATAAGGTCACGGATAATACTTCTCATTGTAGTACGTAAATGACGTGGGCTAGATATGAGTTGAATAAACAGTTATACCTGTAAATTCTTACAGAGTGAAAATAAATTGTTATACTTTACAATTTGTTTCTCTCTTTAGACCATTTCCAGGACTTGTGATTAATAACCGTGAGTATTTTGTGAAGTGTTTTGTTTTTGTTTTTTCCTGGGGTCTGACGTGTGTGCGTGTGAGTGTGTATACATGCTTAACGTATATCACGTTACTTCACCTATGTCAGTAACCAGGCCAAATACTTGTTTTAGCCCTCAGTAAAAACACCAGGCACTTCCTAGTTGTAAAATTATTCAAGCTTCTTAACTTCCTATCCTCGATGCACTTAATCATAAAATGGTAATAATAGCACCGATTTTGGGGGAGTCGTTCCAGTAGATGGAAAGCATCTGGAACAGGTGTCAGCAAGCTCCTGCCGACGTGTATGCATAAAGTTTTATTGAAACCACCATCGTGTCCATTTGTTTATGGCAGAACTGAGAGATGGCAGCAGCAAGTGTGTGCCTGCAAAACCTAAAATATTTACTAATTGGCTCTGCAAGAAAAGAGTTTGCATCCCCCTAACCTAGAACAGTGTCTAGCCTCTAGTATGTGTTTAGCCTACAGTATGTGCTCAGCGAATACAATCTATATTTATTACTGCTTTTATGACTGTTATAATTACTGTGCTTGGATTTCGTTACAAAGTAAGTCACAATGTGCCTGCTTCTGTTAGTATTTCAGCACAGTGCCTGGCACACATGGGGCTCTCAAATATTGCTGAGCGAGTGAACAAATGTCCTTTCAATTCCTTAACGTTGATGTCATTTTCAATAGTATTTTGAGCCAAACTTAATTTTGCGAGTGTGTTTTGTTTTCTTAACTTTATTATTAAAAATGTATAAAAGTGAGGCCAGGCGTGGTGGCTCACGCCTGTAATCCCAGCAGTTTGGGAGGCTGAGGCAGGCGGATCAGTTGAGGTTGGGAGTTGGAGACCAGCCCGTCCAACATGGTGAAAGCCTGTCTCTACTAAAAATACAAAAATCAGCTGGGTGTGGTGGCACGTGCCTGTAATCCCAGCTACTCAGGAGGCTGAGGCAGGAGAGTTGCTTGAATCCTAGAGGTGGAGGTTGCAGTGAGCTGAGATCGTGCCATTGCACTCCAGCCTGGGCAACAAGAGCAAAACTCTGTCCCAATAAATAAATAAATAAAATGTTCTCTTTTGTTCCTGTTCTTGTGCGGTAGTGTGGTATAGAGTTTTATGGTAATTACTGTGAATTAGTGATTCTGAGGGACATATCAGAACTCTGAGGTTTGTTTCCTTCTCATCTTGAGGGAAACAGCAAATGTATGTTAAAATGCTTTTCCAAGGGAACAACACATCCTTACATTATTTAAACCAATCTGCTTCATTTTCAGAGCTGGTTGATCAGAGTGAGTCAGAAGGCCCCGTGATACAAGGTGAGCGAGGCAGGGGAGGGCCCGGAGCTACTCCTGCCTGCACAGTGGCACAATGGCGTGCCTGCGTGTGGCTTTGGCTCTCAGTCACCTGCCCTGAGGGGACTCAGTTACACAGCACACACATGCTTCTCTGTGGTTTTCACTCCTGGGTTTGACAGCTGATCAAAACATAAATTCAAGCTGTGGGTCCTGATTGAGAACTGGGGGCTGCAGACCATTTGCACCCCCTATCCCAGCTCAGGCCTAACATCAGGAACCCCAGGATTAATGGGTAGGATGAAATGGCAGAGCAAGAGGGCCGTCACTTTAACCTGACTCTGCCATCCATTTCTAATGTCTGCCATAAGTCAGTGAGCAAAATGTTCTTCAGTAGAAATGTACACATTGTGCTCTTAAAAAATTCCTTAAAAAACAAGTGGAATGGCCTGGTGCTGTGTGAGTCATTGAAAGTAATGAGACTGGGCGCGGTGGCTCACGCCTGTTATCCCAGCACTTTGGAAGGCTGAGAAGGGTAGATCACTTGAGATCAGGAGTTCGAGACCAGCCTGGCCAACATGGTGCAACCCCGTCTCTACTAAGAATACAAAAACTAGCCAGACGTGGTGGCGTGTGCCGGCTACTCAGGAGGCTGAGGCAGGAGAACCGCTTGAGCCTGGGAGGCGGAGGTCGCAGTGAGCCAAGATCGTGCCACTGCACTCCAGCCTGGGCAACAGAAAGGAGATTCTGTCTCAAAAAAACAAACATACGAAGAAAAACAAAAAAAGTAATGAAAAGCTTTTATTAAAGGGAGTAAACAGAAGGATAAGGGAGAAAGCATAACTAAGGAGCTTGTTTTCATGGTAGAGCTATGTTAAGACTCTGCTCTTTCAAACTTCAGTTGCATATGTGAACTTAGGACCACATTTGAAAAACAGAAATTTGAAAGTACACTTGGATAATCGTGTGCTCCATCTCAAGACCGTGAGCATTGTTTCATCATGCACCTGTGTTTGTACAGAGTCTAGAGGGCTTTTCTCCTCTTCCTCCTCCTGGGTTCTTTACATAGTATAAAGCAGCTGTTGAACAATGTGGAAATCAGTCTCTGTGTTTCTCTTTAGAATCAGCTGAACCAAGCCAGTTGGAAGTTCCAGCCACAGAAGGTAAAAGGGTGGGGTGGTCCTGCAAGTCCTTAAGACTTCTTCTTTCTTCTTCTTCTTTTTTTTTTTTTTAAAGACAGAGACTTGCTCTGTCACCCAGGGTGGAGTGAGGTTGCGCGATCTCTGCAACCTCCGCCTCCCGGGCTCAAGCAGTTCTCCTGCCTCAGCCTCCCGAGTAGCTGGGATTACAGGCCTGCACCACCATGCTTGGCTAATTTTTGTATTTTTAGTAGAAACGGGGTTTCACCATGTTGGCCAGGCTAGTCTCAGACTTCTGACCTCAAGTGATCCGCCAGCCTTGGCCTCCAAAGTGCTCGGATTACAGGCGCGAGCCACCTTGCCCAGCCAAGACTTTTTTATCAGGACAAAGGATTGTGCATTTAAACTATTTCACTAGAACTGGGTGGTGGTTTTGCTCTCTTTCTTCTGGGTGAATTGGATTTGCAGGTTATGCTGTTGAGTGATGACGCATAGCTGCTTTTGCTCCATTTCCCCCAGATGACTTGGTAAATTCTCCGTGAATGACTCTGCTACATAACCTAGATAACCTAACGTGTGTCCTTTAAATGCATGTAAGCCAGAAGATGTATGTTACTTTGAAAACATAAGTAACAAAATTTTGAATGTATTGCTAAAGAGATGTCTCTCTGAAGCTCTTTTGATGTTTGGTGTCTTGTCCTTCTTATTAAACCATATCTTAGTAAATAGTTTGGTACGAATGGATTTATCACTGAGCAGGTCTGCAAAATAATTAATCGGTACCGTTTTGTTTCTGTTGATAGAAATAAAAGAGACTGATGGAAGCTCTCAGATCAAGCAAGAACCAGACCCCACGTGGTAGACCTCTTCCCTCCTAGGGTAAATCAGCTTCTGTGTCAGGGATGCTGTGTGGTGTCCATCTGAACCCCCTGCATACGCGTAGCTAATGTGATCTCCCCACTTTCACATAAGATGGTGGCCCTGCCTTCAGGGAATGTGGGAGCCAGGTGGGAGCCTTCCCGGATATTTAAGCTAGAAGATTCTACAGGGAGATTCTCCTTGGATCAATATATGTCTCTCAGTCAAAGATGTAAAAGCACTTTTGCCTTAAAAAGAATGTTCTGTTTCTAAATAGAGTCAACGTTGTCCTCCTCATTGGAATTCACTATGAGTCAGAATCATTAGACTGACTTTTTTTTTTCCATAGTAATAGTATTTTGCAGAGTCTCACAGAGCTGCAGATCTTTTGTTCATCTTGCAGAGTTAACAAGTCTGATCCTGTTAGTCCAGATTTCTTAAATTTGGCCAAGTTATAATAGGAGCAGTAGCTTGAGACCCGAAGTCAGGAAACTTTGACAATGGATTTTTTTTTTTAATCCAGAGACTTGTACTGGAATTTGCCTTACCCTGTCAGCTCATGGACTTAAGGTTTCATCCCGCTTTATGAGTGCTTCTGAATCCAAGTCATTGTTACCTGAATTTGCAAATTAAGTTGTGATATTCGTGACTGTTAAATTCCTGTAATTAGATTAACCTCTTTGCTTGCTTGTTTGTTTTCTCTCCTATTTTAGCTTAAAGTATCAGTGGTTGAGAAGAGCTTTTCGGACCTGTTACTACCCCAAGCTGTGTAATATACTTGTATAACAGAAATACCTTCTATACAAACCTTTTTTTCTACTTTTAGATAGAAATGTCTACTTTTTCAGCAGTTCTGTGAATTAAAGAGCAGAGTGACTGTGGGTCTGGAATGGCTGGTGTACTTGGGAATGTACTATCAGGATTTTACAGCAATGCTGGGAAATGACAGGGAAAATGACAGGAATGAATCTCACCAGATTTTTTATGTACTCAGCAGAGCCTTGAGTTACGGTGTTTATTTTCCAATCAAGTGAAGATATCTCCTACTTCTCCTACTGGAACATCTCAGCTTCTGCAGTGAAGAAAAATTCCTGTGATAGTTCAGTTCTTTAGTTTTTCTATTTGAAAAAAAAAAATCATTTAAATGATCCTTTGTTCACGGCTCTCCTTAATGACTGAGTGAACAGTTCCTATCTGTATATTTGACTAAACCTTTTCCTAAGCTATCTCTCATGGTTCCTATGTTTTTTTATCATAATTAAAAGCAAAACCATCTGGATCACCTAACAGTCAGAGGTCAGTATCTCAGCGTGTGAATTATAGAGGAAATACAGAGAGAACCTCTTCCACTTTTACTTTTCGTCCAAATAAAATGCATGGTGTACCAGAAGTTGAAGATCGGGTTGAGGATTGGGGCTAGCTCGATGACACTAAGGCCCCAACATCGCGGGACCTGCTGTGGCGCGGATTCTTAGGAACGCTGTTCTAGCCGGCCCCCTCTCCAGGGGTCGCCGTGGCCGGCATTATTTCCTAGTTCTTCTTGTAACCCTGAGGTGCCAGCGCGGGGAGTGAGGAGGGGTCAGGGGGCTAAGGATGCAACCTCTGACGTTCTGCGCCTTCCTAGGAGAGTCTTACATGTGTTGAGATTTCACAAGCAATGCGAGTTGTAAAATACCAGCTCTACAAGAAGCTAGGCTCTGTGACGGCATAGTTTTCAGTAGCTTTATCACAATATTCACAATGGAGAATTATATGACATGGTAGCAGAAATAGGCCCTTTTATGTGTTGCTTCTATTTTACCTCAAATTGTAGATATAGGGTAATCAATAAAATCCATCCATGCCTTTCACACACTAAGTCATTGCTCTCTCGGCTGTTTTCATGGTCCTGTCTGGGGAAGCTTGGGGGTGGCTCGGCGTAGGTGGGACGCAGACCAAGGCCGAGGCTGGCGCTGGGCAGAGCCCGCCGGGCCTCCCGGGGACAGCGCCACTTGCGGTGTTTCTCAGACCGCTGCTGCCCATCTCCTCTGAGCGGGCCAGGGCCCCCACCCTTCCATCTGGGCCATGCCAGCTGTGTATGGAGAGCCGCTCACATACGACATTGGGTGCCAAAAGCCCCTGCCATCGAGAGCTCATGCAGCAGTCCCTCCTGCCTGAGCCCACACACTGACTCTGAGGCTCTTCTGTTCTCAGCGTGGTCCCTGCCTCTGCCGTGCCCTATCCGCGTGTGCCAGAAAGGGAAACTGATCTCATGATTCACCTGCCTGCTAACCTGGGAGGAGACTGCTTCTCTGATAGCATCTCACAGTTCTTTTAACATGTTCTTAAAATGTGTCCTGCCGCACCACCCTCAGCCACACCTCCCAGCACCCATCCTGGAGAATCAGGGCCATGGCAAGGCTGCCGTTGGCAAAAGCCCAGCTCTGCCATGAATCTCCGTTCAGTTACTGGTTTCACACTCATTTGTGAGGTCACAGACTTGCCAAGGATATTCATGATTCAATCCATTACAACAATTCTGTGTGTACATAACACATTTTTTCCTTTCTTTTTTTTTTTTCCTGAGACAGTCTTGCTCTGTTGCCCAGGCTAGAGCACAGTGGTGCAGTCTCAGCTCACTGCATCCTCCACCTCACAGGTTCAGGCAATTCTCCTGCCTCAGCCTCCCGAGTAGCTGGGATTGCAGGCACCCACCAACACACCTGACTAATTTTTGTATTTTTAGTAGAGACGGGGTTTCAGCATGTTGGCCAGGCTGGTCTCAAAATCCTGGCCTCAGGTATATACACATATTTTTACACACACACACACACACACACACACACACACACACACATAAAGGATTTAAGCCAGGTGCTGTGGTGTACAACTGTAGTCCCAGCTACTAGGGAGGCTGAGGTGGGAGGATCACTTGAGCCACTGCAGTGATTACACCACTGCACTCCAGACTGGGTGACAGTGAGACCCTGTCTCTTAAAAGAAAAAAGAAGAGGCCTTAGCTGCCTGCATTAATTAATGAACAGGCAGTGTATTTCTGTTCTTTTTTTTTTGAAGACGGAGTCTCACTCTGTTGCCCAGGCTGGAGTGCAGTGGCGCAATCTTGGCTCACTGTAACCTCCGCCTCCTGAGTTCGAGATTCTCCTGTCTCAGCCACCCCAGTAACTGTGATTATGGCCACCTGCCACCACGCCCGGCTAATTTTTGTATTTTTAGTAGAGACGGGGTTTCCCCATGTCGGCCAAGCTGGTCTCGAACTCCCAACCTCAAGTGATCCACCTGCCTCGGCCTCCCAAAGTGCTGGGATGACAGGTGTGAGCCACCAAACCCAGCCTCAGGCAGTGCATTTCTAAAAGGCAGATAGTGTGATTGTTCAGAGGGTGAAGGGGAAGTTAAACTTGTCCAGTAAAATCTTCGTTAGCCCGGTATTCTGGATTGAAAAAGCAAAATATAGTTCAAGTAGGTCTCTTCAGTGTATCTAATAAGCTCTTGTTTCTGAAACAACTGATTCCTTGGCCGGGCGTGGTGGCTCACGCCTGTAATTCCAGCACTTTGGGAGGCCAAGGAGGGCAGATCACTTGAGGTCGGGAGCTCAAGACCAGCCTGGTCAACATGGTGAAACCTCGTCTCTAGTGAAAATACAAAAATTAGCCGACTGTGGTAGTGCACACCTGTAATCCCAGCTACTCGGGAGGCTGAGGTAGGAGAGAATTGCTTGAACCTGGGAGGCGGAGGCTGCAGTGAGCCAAGATCACACCACTGCACTACAGCCTGCGTGACAGAGTGAAACTCTGTCTCAAAAAAACAAAAACCTCCTGATTTTTTTTTTTTTTTTTTTTTTTTTTGAGATGGAGTCTGGCTCTGTCGCCCAGGCTGGAGCGCAATGGTGCGATCTCGGCTCACTGCAACCTCTGCCTTCTGGATTCAAACGATTCTCCTGCCTCAGCCTCCAGAGTATCTGGAACTACAGGCGCCTGCCACCACGCCCAGCTAATTTTTTGTATTTTTAGTAGAGATGGGGTTTCACCATGTTAGCCTGGATGGTCTCGATCTCCTGACCTCGTGATTTGCCCACCTCGGCCTCCGAAAGTGTTGGGATTACAGGCATGAGCCGCCACACCCGGCCGCCTCCTGATTTCATAATAATTCAAGGGACAAACATAATTACTTCCCAGGTAAGGCAGTAGAGTGACTAAGAACAAATCCACTTCTGGACAGCCATTATATAGGGGACATTTTTATCAGAAAAACAGTAAAAGCAAGGAAATGTCTCCCTCCCAGGACTGTATGAATTAAACCCTGCCTGCTGATTGCCAAGTGACAACTCCCATTCCAAGCCCCTGGTCCTCAGTGGGGAGGAAACCAAAGCTTTGTCCCTGGAGGGAGGTCCTGCGGGAATGGCCAGGGACGCATCCGCTCTCAAATGCTAGAGCTGGCAGTTGTCATCTGCTCGTGAGAAGGTTTCGCCTTTGCCTGTCCCCACCCCCGTCCCTCCCAGGCCATCAGCGCACATCAGAGTTAGCACATTACATGATGCCTTAATCTTCTAATTGGTTTAAGTCAGCTGACATGTAAAGTGAGGTCTGGGAGACTGTTCTGGAACTGTATAGATGAGGACGTTGTTGCCCCAGTCTTATTCAGAAGCTTGAGGATGCAACTTGGACCTGGGTCTGTGGTCCCCTAGGACCTGAAACTCATATAGAGCCAGCTGCCAGTTCCATTTTGAAGTAGGTTGGTCTCTCTCTCTCTTTTTATTTTTTGAGACAGAGTTTCGCTCTTGTTGCCCAGGCTGGAGTGCAATGGCACGATCTCAGCTCACCGCAACCTCCACCTCCCAGTTCAAGCGATTCTCCTGCTTCAGCCTCCCGAGTAGCTGGGATTACAGGCATGTGCCACCACACCTGGCTAGTTTTGTATTTTTAGTAGAGATGGGGTTTCTCCATGTTGGTCAGGCTGGTCTGGAACTCCTGACCTCAAGCAATCCGCCCGCCCCAGCCTCCCAAAGTGCTGGGATAACAGGCATGAGCCCCTGTGCCTGGCTGTAGTTTGGTTTTTCTGAGCCTCCTCCTGGTTCCCATTTCTGTTTTTTTGTTTTTGTTTTTGTTTTTTCTCCAAAGACCAAAAGTTCCACCAGAGAGGAAGATCGAGGGACCAGGCCTTTCTAGTTTCCACATTACACTCTAAGTGCTGGTCTTAGTAAATTCAAGGCACCTGGTGGGCTTGACCATTCGGGGGCAGATAATTGTTACACACCAAAGGGGCATCTTTTGGAAAGTCACTGCCCAGTAACCACTTCCATCTTCTGGAAGGTCGCTGCTCATCTTCCTAAATGGAAGCCCCAGTTTCTGGACTTGGATGTGTTTTGAGGATCTGATGTTCTCCCAAAGTGCCTCAGTTTCCCTATGATGGGGAAAGAGGAAGGGGACGGATTTTAGGAATGGAGGTGACCTGGAGGCCGCTGTCCCTGTCCTTAGACCTGCGAGTCCAGGGGGATGACCGCAAACAGGGCTGTGGGGCCTTTCTTTACTCTCAAAAGCATCACTTCCCCTGCCTGGAGTTCAGATCCTGCCTGGATCCACGGTGGGAAGGGAGCTCTGGCTCTCTGTACTTCACCCACGGCTGCCCACTCACCTGGCTCACAGGGCAGACTGGATGCAGCTTTCAGCCAGTTGTAGAAATCACAGGTCCCTGGCTGGGAACAGTGACTCAGGCCTGTAATCCCAGCACTTTGGGAGGCCGAGGCGGGCGGATCATGAGGTCAGGAGATCGAGACCATCCTGGCTAGCACGGTGAAACCCCGTCTCTACTAAAAATACAAAAAATTAGCCGGGCATGGTGCTGGGCGCCTATAGTCCCAGCTACTCGGGAGGCTGAGGCAGAATGGCGTGAACCTGGGAGGCCAAGCTGGCAGTGAGCCGAGATCGCACCACTGCACTCTAGCCTGGGTGACAGAGCGAGACTCCGTCTCAAAAAAAAGAAATCACAGGTCCCTAGGGGCCTAGTGGCCCATCGGTGACAAAGGGCAGGTGGACCTGGTGTGGCTGCACCAGAGGGGCCTTCTCATCCTGGGAACTGGGCTAAAAACCAAGCCCAGACTGAGGCCCATGCTTTTGTCCCCCCAGCCGCCTCGAGGTCCCTCCTTACCTGCCCCCTGCACCCCTACCCCATCTTAACTCTTTTTTTTTTTTTCCAAGATGGAGTCTCGCTCTGTGGCCCAGGCTGGAGTGCAGTGGTGCAATCTCTGTCCCCTGCAACCTCTGCCTACCAGGTTCAAGCTATTCTCCTGCCTCAGCCTCCCGAGTAGCTGGGATTACAGGTGTCCACCACCACACCCAGCTAATTTTTGTATTTTTAGTAGAGACGGGTTTCCCCATGTTGGCCAGGTTGGTCTCGAACTCCTGACCTCAAGTGATCCGCCTGCCTTGGCCTCCCAGAGTTCTGGGATTACAGGCGTGCGTGAGCCACTGCGCCTGGCACCGCACCTTAATTTTGAGGAAGTGTTGGGAAAGCTGGCTCTGACATCTCTTGTGAGGCAAGCCCAGCTGGGGAAGGTGTTTCCTGCCTGACTTCCTCCCCAGAAGCAATAGCAGGGCTTGCTGTGGCATCCGCTTCCTGCGGGGGCTCAAGGTTGCTCGTTCCTCAGGCTACATAAAGCAGTAAGGACCCACCCAGGAGGACCCCTCCAGAGGTGTGAGGGCGATTTGGTGGACACAGGTAGGGCCAGCGACAGAGCAGAGGGCACACCTCCCAGAGCCCCAAATGCCACAGGCTGAGAAGGTCTAGCTCTAGCTGCATCCAAAGGACCTGTTGAACTCCTGTCCCGATTGACACTAAAACTGTCCCCTCCTGTATGGTGCCCACACCCTTCAGGGGAAACCCCTGGATAAACAGCAGTCACTGCAGGTCTCCAAAAAGACAAGGCCGGAACAGGGAACCTGGGGTGCATGTTCAGGAAGCTGTGGCAAGTGTTGACACCACAGCCCCAAGTTTCTTTTTCTGGCCCGCGGAAGATGAGCTTCAGTCCCATGGAGGTGACAAGGTTGTCCTCCTGCATGATGGGGCTCTGCGGTGCCTCTGCGCCTGGGTAACCCCTCACCGAGAAAGCCACGTCTACAGGTCCCACCTGTCTGCAGGTGTGCCGCCCCCAACTCCAGGCCTGTGTGACTTAGCGACTGTCCCAGATCTCTCCTGGGAAGTGGCGCAGGGGCCTGGCCCTCAGTGAGTCCCAGAGGGACCGCACCACCACTGACTTCACTGTGCTGCTTGGAGCTGGGGAGATGTGGAAACGGCCACTCCAGACCCAGTGACTGGCTGGTGCTTAGGATGTGATTTCCTCATTACTGAAATTTGTTTCAAGTGTACAGAAATCACCATCGGCCACGTGCAGTGGCTCACGCCTATAATCCCAGCACTTTGGGAGGCCGAGGCGGGCGGATCACCTGAGGTCAGGAGTTCGAGACCAGCCTGGCCAATATGGAGAAATCCTGTCTGTACTAAAAATACAAAAATTAGCCGGGTGTGGTAGCGGAAACCTGTAATCCCAGCTACTCAGGAGGCTGAGGCAGGAGAATTGCTTGAACCCAGGAGGTTGGAGGTTGCAGTGAGCCGAGACTGCGCCATTGCACTGCAGCCTGGGCAACGGAGTGAGACTTTGCCTCAAAAAAAAAAAAAAAAATTTCACCAAAGCCCCTGGGGGTGGTGGTGCACTGCGGAGTTTATAGCCTTCCTGGGTGGCAGAGGGCAACTGGGCCCCTGAGCACAGAAGTGGGGCTCCCGCGGGGGTGGGGCTGGCTTGGAAGGTCCCCATTCCTGTGGTGCATATTTGATGAGGGCCCATGTCGTGCCTGGAGCTGGGCCAGAAGCCACAGTGCAGTGCAGTGGGGACAGACCCAGCCTGTCCATGGGCTTGGTTACTGTCAGCCTGGCCGTGTCAGGGAAGGCTTCCAGGCCACCCACACAGCTGCACCACACCCAGACAAGCTCTCCAAGGGACATCATGAGACTGCTCCACTGTCAGAGCCCCGGGCCGGTGGTCCCAGCAACTTGGGGTGCCTGCTGTCCTTCATGTGACATTTTCTTCATTCAAAGCTCAATTTAAACAGCAAGAAGCCTCCCTGCCTCCTACCTGGCAATTTCCCTGCCCCGCACCTTGGAGGCAGCCCCTGCGCAGTTTGCATCTGGTGATGGCCAACGTTTGCCACCCTAGTACTTGACCCTATTTAATCCTCACGGCAGCCCATGAAGTAGGTACAGTGGTCAGTGCCATTTCACAGATGAAAAGACAGAGGCTCAGGGAGCTTCAGCCACGTGCACAGCTCAGCCGTCAGCCTGCACGTCTCCCCACGGGGCCTGGGTCTCCGTCTGACTCCCCTAAGTCGAATGCCTGGGGCCTGGAGCCCATTCTCTTGTGTCCCTAGGCCAAGGGCTGGAGATCAGGTCTAGGGGAGAAGGGAATTCCCAGGGGTGTGGTTCAGGTGTGTCCTGGGACAGTCTCCCAAGGGCAGGTCCCTGATTCCCCTCTGCCGAGGCCTCAGGGTCCACCCCTGCCAAGCAGAGCCCAGCGCAGGTGATTTGGCTGATAAAGGAAGATGGGTCTCTGGGGAGGCAGCAAGTGGCCCACTTTCTTCTTTGCTTTTTTTTTTTGAGATGGAGTCTCACTCACTCTGTCTCCCAGGCTGGAATGCAGTGGCACGATCTCGGGTCACTGCAACCTCCGCCTCCCGGGTTCAAGAGAGTCTCCTGCCTCGGCCTCCTGAGTAGCTGGGATTACAAGCACCTGCCACCATGCCCAGCTAATTTTTGTATTTTTTGTAGAGATGGGGTTCACCATGTTGGCCAAGGCTGGAGTGGCCAGCGTTTCTGCCTATTGACACCTGCCTGCCAATACAGGGTCGGTCACACAGAGCCAGCGTCATAGGTACCTTGGGGCCCATCCTGCTGCCCTAGGCAGGAGGGAGAGCTGGTCCTGTGGGCTGGCCCAGGAGACGGTCACCCAGGGCTGTCCAAGGGGATGGATCCTGGCTGTCACTCGCTCAAGAAGAGGCAGCAGGAGAGGCTTAGGTTAGATCTGGGAAAGAACTGTCCCACCCAAAGGCTGATTTGCTCCAGTCCTGGGAACTGCTAGATTCCCTCTCCTGATAAAATGTCCCAGAGGGCACTGCGTGGGTCCCATGCCCTGACGCCAAGTCGCCTTTCTCCTGATATGGTACCCACTGGCCTGGCCTTGGGGATTTCCTGGTTAAAGAAATAGCGAGCTCAGCCCATCTGGGGAAAGCCAAGTGGCCTGAGGGCGGAGACGGTGACATTTGGAAAAAGGCCAGGACTGGCAGCTCAGACCTGGAAGCCCCCACTCCCTGCCAGCCTGGCTTGAGGTGAGAGCCTTCCTCATGAGCCCCCTACCCCCACTCATTCATTCATTCATTCATTCACATTGTTCAAGGGCAAGGCATGAGAGTACAACAGTTAAATCATGGGCCTGGGTCCAGACTGCCCAAGTTCAATCGCGGTTCTAGCCTGGCGCGATGGCTCATGCCTGTAATCCCAGCACTTTGGGAGGCTGAGGCAGGCAGATCACTTGAGGTCAGGAGTTCGAGACCAGCCTGGGCAACATGGTGAAACCCCATCTCTACAAAAAATACAAAAATTAGCCGGGCGTGGTGGCACGAGCCTGTAATCCCAGCTACTCGGGAGGCTGGCACAGAATTTCTTGAACCAGGGAGGCGGAGGTTACAGTGAGGCAGGATTGCGCCACTGCACTCCAGCCTGAGTGACACAGCAAGACTCTGTCTCAAAACAAAAACAAAACAAATCCCAGTTCTGCATATACCAGCTGTGGCAATCTGTTTTCCTCTCTGTTTTCCCATCTGTGAAGTGGGGAAAATTGTACCCACTCCCTGACAGCCTCCTTGTGAGGAGAAGATACGGTCATAAATAGAAAGCACCTAGAATAGTGCCTGACGTAGGGCAGGGCGGCGGGGTGCAGGGGGCCCTTCCTATTAGCACTCGGGACGTGGGGGAATTCTTGGGGCCCTGGTATTGTTCTAACACCCAGTGATGGTTCACCAGCTGTCTCCTTTATAATAATTAGGTAAGAGATGTGGTTTTCTACATATTTCACAATACAAACATTTTTAGAAATTCTATTTCCTTCCCCTGAAAAAACTCTCTTATCTCTTTATTACTTCCTTCCTTAACTTTATTTTATTTTATTTTATTTATTTATTTTTTGAAACCAAGTCTACTCTGTTACCCAGCCTGGAGTGCAGTGGTGTGATCTCGGCTCACTGCAACCTCTGCCTCCCAGGTTCAAGCGATTCTTCTGCCTCAGCCTCCCAAGTAGCTGGGATTATAGGCTTGCAATGCCATGCCTGGCTAATTTTTTTATTTTTAGTAGAGACCCGGTTTCACCGTGTTGGCCAAGCTGGTCCCGAACTCCTGACCTCAGATGACCCACCCACCTTGGCCTCCCAAAGTGCTGGAATTACAGGCATGAGCCACTGCACCTATCTTTTTTTTTTTAATTAAAAAAATTATTTGGTACCTTGTTTCATCCATGCATTAAATTAAATCCTGGCCAGACACAGTGGCTTATGCCTGTAATCCCAGCATTTTGGGAGGCTGAGGTGGGAGGACCACTTGATACTGGAGCTTGAGACCAGGCCGAGCAGCATCTCGAGACCCCGTCTCTACAAAAAAAAAATAATAATAATAATAATAATAAATAAAAAGTGGAAAAAATCCTATGTCATCCTGAAAAAAGGCTGTAAGCCTGCTTACAGAGGTCATTACAAGGTCAAACTCAAGTTCGGAGCGCTTCCTGCCTCTGCTCATCCAACAAACTTGCTGGATACCTCCTGTCTGCAGAGCACTTTGAGGGAACATAACAGGGTCTTGGGAGGCCACAGGAGGAGAGTTGAAAGATCACAGCCAGGGGCTCAGGGTGTCCACAGGACAAGTACCCTTGGCCAGGCAGTTACGCAAGTGTGGAAAGACTGCTAGAGGAAGGGAAGGAAGTGCCGAGAGCCCACAAAATTCTCTGCTTACAACCAGCCCCACTAGAACCTTCCTCTGCCCTGCCTCGACATGCCCAGGAGAGCACCGCTGCAGGTCTGGCCTCTGTGCTGAGCCTTTTTTTTTTTTTTTTCCTGAGACAGAATCTCACTCTGCTTCCCAGGCTGGAGTGCAGTGGCAGGATCTCGGCTCACTGCAACCTCCACCTCCCTGGTTCAAGTGATTCTCCTGTCTTACCCTCCGGAGTAGCTGGGATTACAGGTGTGTGCCACCATGCCCAGCTAATTTTTGTATTTTTAGTGGAGACTGGGTTTCACCATGTTGGGCCAGCTGGTCTTGAACTCCTGACCTCAGGTGATCCGCCCACCGTAGCCTCCCAAAGTTCTGGGATTAGAGCTATGAGCCACCATGCCTGGCTACCGTGCTGGGCCTTTCGAGGAGGCATTTGACAGGGAAGATGAGAGACAAATTGAGTGTCAGGGAAGGGGTGTTGATAGAAAAATTACAGGAGAGCACACAACTTTCAGCGGGTGAGCCCAGTGCCTGAGCTGCGGGACCACCCTACCAATGACCTTGAACTTATCTGACTGCAGCCTTGAACTCCTGAGCTCAAGGAGTCCTTCTGCCTCAGCCTCCTCCCAAGTAGCTGGGACTACTGGCACATGCCACCATGCCCAGCTAATTATTTTATTTATTTTATTTTATTTTATTTTATTTTATTTTATTTTGAGATGGAGTTTTGTCCTTGTTGCCCAGGCTGGAGTGCAATGGTGCAATCTCAGCTCGCCGCAACTTCTGCCTCCCAGGTGCAAGCGAATTCTCCTGCCTCAGCCTCCTGAGTAGCTGGGATTACAGGCATGTGCCACCACGCCTGGCTAATTTTGTATTTTTAGTAGAGACGGGGTTTCACCATGTTGGCCACGCTGGTCTCGAACCCCTGACCTCAGGTGATCCACCTGCCTCGGCCTCCCAAAGTACTGAGATTACAGGCATGAGCCACCGCACCTGGCCCCACTTGTGGAACTAGCATCTATCTGGAGAGGAGGCAAACATCGCCCACCACCTCCCGCTCTCTCCTGTCACCACTGTCCCCACCATCATTCCAGAGGTCACCCTGGCTTCCAACACCACAGCCTGGCTTGGGCAGTTTTCAAGCCTCGTATAAATGACATCCTCCAGAACATGTGCTCTGTGCCTGCCTTCCTTCCGTCAGTGATGTATCTGGAAGATTCCACTGTGTCGCCCTGTGGGACAGGTCCTTGTCATTGCTGAGTAGATCCTGTTGCAAATGCCTATCTCTCTTCATGGAAAGATCCAAGATACACAGATGGAAATCATCATAGGAAGGGCTGGCAAGGCCGTTCACACCCAGGGCTGGGGACCTCAGGGTGGAGGTGGGGGACAGTAAGGACCAGAAGGAGCAGGTGCCGGCGGGTGATGTGAGCTTTCTTCTCTATAGAGAAGTGAAGGCCGGGTGCAGTGGCTCACTCCTGTAATCCCAGCGCTTTGGGAGGTCGAGGCGGGCAGATCACTTGAGGTCAGGAGTTCGAGACCAGCCTGGGCAATTTGGTGAAACCCCATCACTATAAAAATACAAAAAATTAGCCGGACATGGTGGTGCACGCCTGTAATCCCAGCTATTTGGGAGGCTGAGGCAGGAGAATTGCTTGTACCCGGAAGGTGAAGGTTGCAGTGAGCCGAGATCATGCCACTGCATACCAGCCTGGGGGACAGAAAGAGACTCTGTCTCAAAAAAAAAAAAAAGAAAAAAAGAAGTGAAGCACTTGCCAAGCAAATCTTTCAGAGCAGGTGGAGTGGACCCTACACCTCTTGGATAATAAATGCACTGGATAATAAAAGCAGGAACAGGCCAGGTGCGGTGGCATGTGCCTGTAGTCCCAACCTACTGGGGAGGCCAAGGCAGGAGGACTGCTTGAGCCCAGGAGTTGGAGGCTGCAGTGAGTTATGACCAGGCAACTGCACTCCAGCCTGGGTGACAGATAGAGACCCTGTCTTTAAAAAAAAAAAAAAAAAAAAAAGGGCCAAGCACAGTGGCTCATGCCTGTAATCCCAACACTTTGGGAGGCTGAGGTGGGTGGATCTCCTGAGCTCAGGAGTTCAAGACCAGCCTGGCCAACAGGGTGATACCCCTTCTCTACTAAAAATACAAAATTAGCCAGGCGTGGTGGCGCACACCTGTAATCCCAGCTACTTGGGAAGCTGAGGCAGGAGAATCGCTTGAACCTGGAAGGCAGAGGTTGCAGTGAGCCGAGATTGTGCCACTGCACTCCAGCTTGGGCAACAAGAGCGAAACTTCGCTTCAAACAAATAAATTAACGCCCAGCATGTCTTGGCTTTCATCTGCCAGACCTCAACCCTCACCCCCAGGAGATCAGGTCCGGACCATGAGCTGACCCTGGACTCAGGCAAGGGTGAGTTGGTGCAGCCCTGGCCTGCTGGGAGGCACAGGCTGCAGCAGGCTGCCTGGGGCTGAGGCCCGCCACTCATGAACTCATGACCTTGAATGAGCTCCAAAAGCTCTGGGCCTCCCAGGCTCTAGGGGGAGTGGGAGAGAGAGGCCTCAGCCTGTCCCTGGGCATGCTGCCCCCTCCTCACCTCTTTGTCCCAAATCCCCTTCCTGGCAAAGCTGACAGTCTTAATATCACTCTGGAGAAAACTGAGTCAGCCCTAAGGAACAATTCAATGAACCATTTGCTTACTTGAGGATTGGAACTCAAGTCTCACTCAAAGTCTGTGCCATTTTCGTCCCAGCTGTCACTGGCCCTCATCCACACACACCCAAGGATGAGCATCTAACGCTTGCATGCACACTCCCATGCCCGCGTTCATTCACTCATTCATTCATTCATTCACTCATTCATTGACTCATTCATTCATTCACTCACTCATTCATTCACTCAGTGAATGTTGCAGTCACGATCCAAATATTTATGGCCTCTGTGTGCCAGGCACTAGATGGAGGGGCTGGGGCTAGAGCCCCTGATAACCCGGTCATGCCCTAGCTTTCCTGGGACACACATTGTGGTAAGGGGAGACTAAAAAAATTAAGTCAGGCCAGGCACGGTGGCTCATGCCTGAATCCCAGCACTTTGGGAGGCCGAGGCGAGTGAATTACCTGAGGTCAGGAGTTCAAGACCAGCCTGGCCAACATGGAGAAACCCAGTCTCTAATTAAAAAAAAAAAAAATTAACCAGGTGTGGTGGCACATGCCTGTAATCCCAGCTACTCAGGAGACTAACGCAAGAGAATTGCTTGAACCCAGGAGGCAGAGGTTGCGGTGAGCCGAGATCGCGCCATTGCACTCCAGCCTGGGAAACAAGAGCGAGACTCCATCTCAAAAAAAAAAAAGTGGGAGGCAGAGGCAGGAGGATCACTAGAGGCCAGTAGTTTGAGACCATCCTGGGCAACATAGCAGGACCCTGTCTGTACAAAAAAATTAAAAAAAATTTAACCGGGCATGGTGGCACACACCCGTAGTCCCAGCTACTCCAGAGGCTGAGGCAGGAGGATCGCTGGAGCCCAGGAGTTGGAGGCTGCAGTGAACTGTGATCCCACCACTGCACTTAAGCCTGGATAACAAAGCAAGACCCTGTCTCAAATAACAATAGCAATAATAATAAAGAAAAATTAAATGCAATTTGCGATGCATCAGTGATAAGTGCTCTGCAGAAAAAGGAGGCAGGAAGAGGCTGAGAAAGGTATGAGGTTTGCTATGCAATGTGAAGTTATCAAGGAAGGCTTCTCGGAAGAGGTGACATTTGAGCAGAGAAATGGAGGAGAGTTATGGAGGGAAGATGGTGAATGGGGGGAACATGGTCAAGACCAGGAATATGGTCAAGGGGGGAAAGATGGTCAAGGGGACGCAGCAAATGCAAAGGCCCTGAGGCAGGAGCAGCTTGATTCACCCCCAAAACCCGTGGGGCCCGTGCAGGCGACGGGAAGGACAAGTGTAAACCCTTTTCCTTGTCCCTGCAGGTGTGTGTGAACATGAGTCTGCCCATGTTTACACCCTGCAAGCCTGAAGAGTCCCCAGAAACTGAAAGAAGAAGCAAAGCCCTTTCTGTACCCTCCCTGCCCCCTGTCCCGACCGCGACAAAAGCGACTTCCTCTTTCCAGTGCATTTAAGGCGCAGCCTGGAAGTGCCAGGGAGCACTGGAGGCCACCCAGTCATGGGGGACACCTTCATCCGTCACATCGCCCTGCTGGGCTTTGAGAAGCGCTTCGTACCCAGCCAGCACTATGTGAGTAGCTGGTGGAGGGCATCCCGTGGGGGGAATACGGGAGGGACAGCACGGCCACCCTTGCAGTCCCAGGGCCAACCAGCTCCAGTGAGGACTAACGGGGCAGGGTCTTGGGCACCTGGTCCCTGGTCTTTGAGCCTGGATCTACCCCTCTGATCCCTGGGAAGACAGTTCCCTTGGACCCGCCCTGGGCCCCAGCCCTTTACTGTCCCCGCCTGTGTCCCCAGCCAGGCCCTCAGCCTTAGCCAGGAGTCCTCTTTCTGCTCCCCTGCCATGGCCAGGCAGCCCAGCGCTCTCTCAGGTCCGAGGCCCACTCCTCCAGGAAGCCTTCCCTGACTAGCCCAGCTATCAGAGAGTGGCCCTCCCAAGAGGGAGGCCTGGAAACTAAAGCTCTCTCTCTCCCCAGCTGCCTGTAGTGTCAGTTAGAGTCTTATCCTCTCCAGTAGGGTGACACCATGACAGGGGCCAATAGAGTCCTCCCATCTGTCCCCAAGGAGGCTGGACAAATGCCTGCTCAGACACACAAGTCCACTGGGTCCCCTAATCCCATAGGAAGGCCAGGGAGGAACTACATTTAGGAAATTGAAGCTTGTATGGAACATTTAGTCCTATGTGCCAAGACCTTTCTCTTTTTTGTTATTTTTTTGTTTTTTGAGACAGAGTCTTGATCTGTTGCCCAGGCCAGAGTGCAGTGGCACGATCTCAGCTCACTGCAACCTCCGCCTTCCAGGTTCAACTGGTTCTCCTGCCTCAGCCTCCAGAGTAGTTGGGATTACAGGTGCCCACCACCACGCCTGGCTAATTTTTGTATTTTTAGTAGAGACAGGGTTTCACCATGTTGGCCAGACTGGTCTCAAACTCCTGACCTCAAGTGATCCACCCACCTGGGCCTCCCAAAGTGCTGGGATTACAGGCATGAGCCACCGTGCCTGGCCTGTTTTTTTGAAATGAGGTCTGGAGTGCAGTGGTGCGATCATAGTTCACTGCAGCCTCGACCTCCCAGGCCCAAGTGATCCTCCTGCCTCAGCCCCTTGAGTAGCTGGGGCTACAGGCGCACACCACCATGCCTGGCTAGTTTTTAAAATTTTTGTGGAGATGAGGTTTCACTATGTTGTCCAGGCTAATCTTGAACTCCTCGGCTTAAGCAACCCTCTGGTCTCAGCCTCCCACAGTGCTAGGATTACAAGCGTGAGCTACCGTGCCTAGTCACTTTTCTCCTTTTCTTTGTAACTTTCAGTTTTGAAATTTCAAATTTACAGAAAGGCTACTGGGTGTCAAAACGGTACCAGTCACTCCAATAGTCTTTCACTCACCTTCATCCACACCTCTCTTTCTGGGGATATTTTCTGAATTATTTGAGAGTGAGTTGAAGACGTGTTTCTTTACCTCTAAATACTAGTTGTTGGGCATTTCTTAAAATCAAGGCATTCTCTTACATAATCACAACACACGTGTCAAAATCAGGAAATTAACATGGACAAAACACCATTATCCACCCACAGACTTTACTGAGGTTTCCCCGATTATCCTGCTTGTCCTCTGCAGTGAAAACTTTTTTCAGGTCTAGGATCCAGTCAAGGATCAATGTCATAGCCTTTAACCTTCTTTAATCTGGATCAGTCTTTTTTCTTTTTCTTTTTCTTTTTTTGGACACGGAATCTCACTCTGTCGCCAGACTGGAGTGCAGTGGTGCAATCTCGGCTCATTGCAACCTCTGCCTCCTGGGTTCAAGAGATTCTCCTGCCTCAGCCTCCTGAGTAGCTGGGAATACAGGTGCGCGCCACCATGCCCAGCTCGCATTTTTTGGTAGAGACAGGGTTTTGCCATATTGATTCTGGATCAGTCTTTTTTTTTTTTTTATGAGATGGAGTCTTACTCTGTCACCCAGGCTGGAGTGCAATGGCACAATCTCCACTCACTGCATCCTCCGCCTCCCAGGTTCAAGCAATTCTCGTGCCTCAGCCTCCCGAGTAGCTGGGATTACAGGCATGCGCCACCATGCCCGGCTACTTTTTGTATTTTTAGTAGAGACAGGGTTTCACCATGTTAGCCAGGCTGATCTCGAACTCCTGACGTCAGGTGATCTGCCCGCCTCGACCTCCCAAAGTGCTGGGATTACAGGCGTGAGCCACCGTGCCAGCGGATTCTGGATCGGTCTTAATCAGTCTTTGTCTTTTGCAACTTTGATGTTTTGCAGAGAGCAGACCAGTTACCTTGTAGAATGTCCCTTAGTTTGGGTTTATCTTCATTAGATTCAGTTTGTGTATCCAGGGCAGTGGATCTTAGATGCAATTCTGTCTTCTTTTTAATTTTTTTGAGAGGGAGTCTCGCTCTGTCACCCAGGCTGGAGTGCAGTGGCACAACCTCAGCTCACTGCAGCCTCCGCCTCCCGGGTTCAAGCAATTATCCTGTCCCAGCCTCCCAAGTAGCTGGGATCACAGGTGCCCATCACCACTACCGGGTAATTTTTGTGTTTTTAGTAGAGACAGGGTTTCACCATATTGGTCAGGCTGGTCTTGAACGCCTGACCTCAGGTGATCCACCTGCCTTGGCCTCCCAAAGTGCTGGGATTACAGACGGGAGCCAACATGCCCAGCCTTCCTGCCCCTCCCGTCCCCTCCCCTCTCCTCCTGTCCCCTCCCTTCCCCTCCCCTCCCCACCCAAGCTGGAGTGCAGTGGTGCAATCATAGCTCACTAAAGCCTTGACCTCCAAGTCTCAAGCAATTCTCCTGCCTCACCTGGGGCCACAGGTGTGCGGCACCACACCCGGACAATTTTTGTGTTTTTAGTAGATATGGGGGTCTCGCTATGTTGCCCAGGCTGGTCTCAAACTCTTGGACTCAAGCGATCTTCCCACCTCGGTACTAAAAAGTGCTGGGATTCCAGGTGTGAGCCACCGTGCCCAGCCTAGGTCCTACTTTTATCTCCAATTTACAGATGAGTCCATTTGAGAGAAGCTGACCCTCTTGCCCTGGGTCTCAAGGCTGGGGCGTGGCAGCACTTGGGTCCACGTTTGTGCCCTTTCTGCAATCCAGGACAACCGCAAAGATGGTCCTCACCCCAATCCTCTGGGCTTCCTCCAGTGGGTAGTGGGATCCTGGGTGCACACAGCAAAGCCTCTTTGGAGGCTGAATGGGGTCCCCCGACTCTGGCTTTCCCCCAGGTGTACATGTTCCTGGTGAAATGGCAGGACCTGTCGGAGAAGGTGGTCTACCGGCGCTTCACCGAGATCTACGAGTTCCATGTGAGTGTGGGGATGGAGGAGGGACAGGGACCCACCGTTCCAGCTCCACCCTTTGGGAAGGACCTTAGCCCAGGTGATGGGGAAACTGCAGAACCCAGAATCCCCTCCCAGACCACAGTTAAAGGGGATTTATTTATTTATATAAATTTTTGTGACAGGGTCTTGCTCTGTCACCACTCTGAACACCTCATGTTCTCTGATTACAGGCATGAGCCCCCACGCTCGGCCTTTTAGGTGGTTTTGAGAGGTATTTAGGTTTGCAGTGCAGGGGCGCAATCATAGCTCACTGCAGCCTCGACCTCTGGGGCTCAAGCGATCCTCCTGCCTCAGCCTCCTGAGTAGCTGGGACTATAGGTGCGCATCACCATGTGTGGCTAATTTTTGTATTTTTTATAAAGATGGGGATCTCACTATGTTGCCCAGGCTGGTCTTGAACTCCAGACCTCAAGTGATCCTCCTGCCTTGGCCTCCCAAAGCTAAGGGGGCATTAAAAGAAAAAAACATTTTTCCCCCTGAAACATTTAAGTAGTCTTACTGAAAACAATAAAACACAGAAACACCAGATTCTCATTTTAAAGTAAAACAGACAGGATCTCCCAGAACCTTCCTAGAATGGAACCATTCTTGTCGCTTTTGAAAAACAAAGCCAAGTTCTAGATCCCAAATAAATGCACCTGCTGGTGAACATTCTCCTTGTGGTTCTCGTCCCTATGTTAGTTATTTTCCTAAATTTTACATTTGTACCTTTTTAAGAATGAGTTATCAGTTTTTTTATATTTGCTTTTCTTTTGAGATGGGGTCTTGCTCTGTCACCCAGGCTGGGGTGCAGTGGTGCAATCACGGCTCACTGCAGCCTCAACCTCCAGGGCTGAAGCGATTCTCCCATCTCAGCCTCCCATGTTGAGATCACAGGTGTGCACCACCACACCTGGCTCCTTTTCCTGATTTGTTTTTTGTAGAGATGGGATTTCGCTATGTTGCCCAGGCTGGTCTCTAACTCCTGGACTCAAGTGATCCTCCCGCCTCAGCCTCCCAAATTGCTAGGATTACAGGTTTGAGCCCCTGCACCTGGTCAACCTGAGTTTTAAGAGGATCCCTTTGGCGACTGGATTGAGGACAGACAAGAGTGGACGGGGGACACAAGGAGGCCATTTTCGTTATCCAGGCCTGGTAGTGGCTAGGGCCAGGAGGGTGGGGTTGGTGGGAAGCAGTCAGATCCCAAAGAGATTTGGGGATTGGAAGCAAAAGGATTTGCTGGTGACTTGCACATGGGAGGGAGAGAGGTCAGTGCCTCTGCTAATCAAGGAATCCAGATTGCCACCGAAATTTCTAGGCCCGAGATATTTAGGTAGTGTCTCACTCTGTCACCCAGGATGGAGTGCAGTGGCACCATCTCGGCTCACTGTAACCTCCGCCTCCCAGGTTTAAGCGATTCTCCCACCTCAGCCTCCTGAGTAGCTGGGATTACAGGCATGTGCCACCACTCCCGGCTAATTTTTGTATTTTTAGTAGAGACGGGGTTTCACCACGTTGGCCAGGCTGGTCTTGAACTCCTGACCTCAAGTGATCCACCCACGACAGCCTCCCAAAGTGCTGGGATTACAGGCGTGAGCCACCATGCTCGGCCTTTTAGGTGGTTTTGAGAGGTATTTAGGTCACTTCCAATCTCGTGCTTTTCCAAGTGTTGTAAACTACAAATATTCCTTCACGTCTTCTTGTCTTTTTAATGTTTAGAAAACCTTAAAAGAAATGTTCCCTATTGAGGCAGGGGCGATCAATCCAGAGAACAGGATCATCCCCCACCTCCCAGGTGAGCACGGGGCTGAGCCGCCTGTCAGGGGGTCATTGGCGGGGGCTCACCTGCCCTCCCAGCCCCTCTCGGGCTTGACCTCATGTTCTCTGGTGCCAGCTCCCAAGTGGTTTGACGGGCAGCGGGCCGCCGAGAACCGCCAGGGCACACTTACCGAGTACTGCAGCACGCTCATGAGCCTGCCCACCAAGATCTCCCGCTGTCCCCACCTCCTCGACTTCTTCAAGGTGCGCCCTGATGACCTCAAGCTCCCCACGGACAACCAGTGAGTGAACTTTTCACCCTGCCAGGTGGGAGAGGGAAGGAGGGGTGGGACTTTCTGTGTTTTGCAGATGAGGAAACCAAGGCTCAGAGAGGGAAAGCCACCTTCCCAGAGCCACACAGCCAGAAAGAGGAGGCAAATTCCACCTCCGGCCCCTGTGACCCCGCCAAGCCTCCACCTTAATCTTTCACACCTCAGGGCACTGGGGGAAGCACTCGGGGCTGGAGGTTCAAAGTCCTGGGTCCTCATCCTGACATTATGGCCACCTGGCCATGGGACCTGGAGCCAGTCACCACTGCTCTCTGAATGCAGGTTCTCCATTTCTATAATGGGCAGTGAGGATCAGATGAAGCATTGGGTGTCTTGCGGAGCCCCCCAGAAGGATGTGGGGTTGATGCCTCTGCTAAGTGCTGAGCATGTCTGGGGTCTCCTGTACCCAGGACCCTGTGTGGAAGGCACCTGAGAGGCTGAGGGAGCTCCAGGCAGGCTGGGGAAGTCCCCTTCTCCACTCCTCTCTGGTCACTGAAGCTCGAAGTGGGGAGCATGAGGACAGGACGTTACCCCTTGTCAAGGCACCCAGGCTGCCAAGACAGAGACAAGCAGCATTGCTCCGGCCAGCACTTATTGACGCTTGAAGGTGTCCCCTGGCCCAAGGAAGGGCAGTTATCATCAGCCCGGGAGGCGGGGGAAGGATGGACTCTGCAGTGGGGTCCGCTCCTCATTGCCTGCTCTCTCAGGGCTCCAGAAGGAGGAAGAGGCCGGGCACAGTGGCTCACACGTATAATCCCAGCACTTTGGAAGGTCGAGGTGGGCAGATCACCTGAGGTTGGGAGTTTGAGACCAGCCTGGCCAACATGGTGAAACCCCATCTCTACCAAAAATATAAAAATTTAGTCAGGCATGGTGGTGTGCGCTTGTAATCCCAGCTACTTGGGAGGCCGAGGCAGGAGAATCGCTTGAACCCGGGAGGCAGAGGTTGCAGTGAGCTGAGACTGCGCCACTGCACTCCAGCCTGGGTGACAGAGCGAGACTCTGTCTAAGAAAAAAAAAAGAAAAGAAGAAAGAAGATGGCCTGGGAGCCCGCAAGAGCATTTTCCAGGCTTAGGGCATCCTTTGGGTCTGCAGAAGGCTATGCAGTGTCCTCCTCATGTCCCTCCCTTGGGCTGCCCGAGCAGATCCGCCCGCCCCCATCACTTCCTGAAGCCCTTCCTCAGCCAGTCCAGTTGCTGTCTTCTCTCCGCAGTGCCCCTTCCCTTTCCCGGGTCCCTCTTCTCTTGGGAAGTTCTTCTGCAGGTCTACCCAGTGCCTCTTCTTCCTCCATGGGAAGCCAAGGGTCTCACCCAGACTGTTCTCTCCTCAGGACAAAAAAGCCAGAGACATACTTGATGCCCAAAGATGGCAAGAGTACCGCGACAGGTGAGAGGACGGGGGGCAGCCGGCGGGGGGGGACACCCTGAGGAGACCCAGAGTGTTCAGGGAATGGAGCAGGGGCTGGGAGCAGGCTGGGAGGGCTCACAGCTACCCTGCTGAAGAATTGGGTCTTTGGGCCGGGTGCGGTTGCTCATGCCTGTAATCCCAGCAGTTTGGGAGGCCGAGGCAGGTGGATCACTTGAGGTCAGGAGTTTGAGACCAGCCTGGCCAACATGGAGAAACCCTGTCTCTACTAAAAATCCAAATTAGCCAGGCGTGGTGACAGGTGCCTGTAGTCCCAGCCACTTGGGAGGCTGAGGCAGGAGAATTGCTTGAACCCGGAAGACGGAGTTTGCAGTGAGCCGAGATCGTGCCACTGCACTCCAGCCTGGGCAGCAGAGCCAGACTCCATCTCAAAAAAAAAAAAAAAAAAAAAGAAGAATTGGGTCTTTGGAAGGTCCCTGGAGACTGAAAGGAGCCCTTTGCAGGTGGCAGTGCAGAGACCAGCGCAGACCCTTGCTACTGGCAGCCGGGGGAGTGTTTGCGGCTGAATGAATGAACAGGTTTTGGAGGGCAGTGTGGCCTTCAGAGGCGATGCAGGGCTGTGGCAGTTTCTAATACTTATTGCACAGTCACTGCTAATAACAATAATAATAATAATACCTAACATTAATGGAGTGCTTACTCTGTGCCAGCCACTATTTTGTTTTTGTTGTTTTCAGTGACAGGGTCTCGCTCTGTTGCCCAGGCTAGAGTGAAGTGGTGTGATCATAGCTCACTACAGCCTCGACCTCCTGGGCTGAAGCGATCCTCCCACCTCAGCCTCCCAAGTAGCTGGGATTACAGGTGTGTGCCACCATGTCCAGCTAATTTTTAATTTTCTGGTAGAGATGGGGTCTCACTACATTGCCCAAGCTGGTCTTAAGCTCTTGGCCTCAAGCAACCCTCCTGCCTCAGCCTCCCAAAGTGCTGAGATTATAGACATGAGCCACTGTGCCCGGCTTTTTCTTCTTCTTATAAGGACACGAGGCCTGTTGGGTTAGGGCCCACTCTACTGACCTCATTTTAATTTAATTACCTCTTGAAACGTACTTAAGAGTACCTTTCTCTTAATACACCCACACTGTAAGGTACTGGGTGGTTAGGACTTCAACATATGAATTTTGAGAAGGCGGATGTCAGCCAATACTAAACAGCATCAGCACCTCCACGGTTGGATGAAGGGCTGGTCAGAAATGCACACTCAGGTCCCACAGTGGACCTACTGAACAGGATAGGCATTTTAGCAAAATCCCAGGTATTCGGGTGCACCTTAAAGTTAGGAAAAGGTCAGGCACTGTGGCTCATGCCTGTAATCCCAGCACTTTGGGAGGCCGAGGCGGTTGAATCACCTGAGGTCAGGAGTTCGAGACCAGCCTGACCAATATCGTGAAACTCCATCTCTACTAAAAATACAAAAATTAGCCAGGTGTGGTGGCGGGTGCTTGTAGTCCCAGCTACTTGGGAGGCTGAGGCAGGTGAATTACTTGAACCTGGGAGGTGGAGGTTGCAATGAGCCAAGATTGCACCACTGCACTCCAGTGACAGAGCGAGACTCCATCTCAAAAAAAAAAAAAAAAAAGTTGGGAAAAGGCCAGGTGCAGTGGCTCCACACCTGTAATCCCAACACTTTAAGAGGCTGAGGTGGGAGAATCCTTTGAGCCCAGGAGTTCGAGACCAGCCTGGGCATTGTCCCAAGACCTTGTCTTTACAAAAAATTAGCCGGGTGTGGTGGCATACGTCTATGGTCCCAGCTATTCGGGAGGCTGAGGCAGGGAGATTGCTTGAGCCTAGGAGTCCAGGGCTGTAGTGAGCTGTGATCACGTCACTGTACTCTAGCCTGGGCAACAGAGCAAGACTCTGTCTCCAAAAAAGAAAATAAAGTTGGGAAAGGCTCACTAACTTCATCAGATGAGAACAAGGACATGTTTGAAGTGTGAGGCCGAAGCCTGGAGAACGCTATGCGCCCAGGAAATGCAGGGCAGCAGAGACTCAAGATGCCAGCGCCTGTTCTGGAGGCCCAGATGGGCCCTGCAATGCCCACTCACCCTGCCCTCCCTCTTGCCCCAGACATCACCGGCCCCATCATCCTGCAGACGTACCGCGCCATTGCCAACTACGAGAAGACCTCGGGCTCCGAGATGGCTCTGTCCACGGGGGACGTGGTGGAGGTCGTAGAGAAGAGCGAGAGCGGTCAGACCTCCCACCTTACGGGGCTCCTTCCCCTGGTGCTCAGGAACCCACAGCCACAAGCCCCCTGCCAAGGCTCAGGCAGCCTTGCCCCTGGGAGGACTCCGGCTCTGTTAGGGGCCCTAAATGTCCTCCCCACACTGTGGGTCGCCTTCTGTCTTAGTGTGCACCCTGTGGTGGCTGTGGGCATCTGTGCATGGCAGGCCGGGGCGGGGCATGTCTGCGTGTTCTGTCTGGATGGGTATGGGACCGTCTGTTCATTATGAAGTGGGCTCAGAGCTGTGATTCTGTGAGCATGTGTGCATGCATGCATGTGACCTCATTGTCCAGTGTGGTGAAGGTGACATTTCCAAATCTGAGCATTGGACATCAGTGTGTCTGTGTCCCTGTGTCCTCACCATCCCTGATGGCTGCAGGGAGCCGCTGGGCCCTGCCCCTCAGTCACATTCCCGCACCTCTGGCACAGGTTGGTGGTTCTGTCAGATGAAAGCAAAGCGAGGCTGGATCCCAGCGTCCTTCCTCGAGCCCCTGGACAGTCCTGACGAGACGGAAGACCCTGAGCCCAACTATGCAGGTGCCCCCTGCCCTCCGAGGCTGTAGGGGTGTGGGAGAAAGGGGCAGGCAGGGCTCAGGGATATTGAGTGACTGCTTTGGAGTCTGGGCTGGTTGCTGGCTTGGCAGAAAAGTCAGGGCTAAGATCTCATCGACTCTGGCTTGGGGGCCCTGGCAGGTTGTGATGCCCTTGGTCTGGACAGGGAACCAGGAGGAGGAGCAGACGACTGGGGAGAGTGGGAGGCCAGTGGTGTCTGTGGATATGTGGCCAGGTTCAGTGGGAAGCTGAAGGATGAGCAGACCTTAGGCTCAGGAAGGAGGGCTGCCTGGAAGTGGGGGCATCATCACTGACCAGAAAGGGAAAACTGGCAGTGCCAGGGCTGGATGGGGCCTGCATTGAGCTTGAAAAAAACTATAATAGAATTGGTTACCATTTTATTTTATTATTTATTTATTTATTTTACTTTTTTGAGATAGAGTCTCACTCCCTTGCTAAGGCTGGAGTGCGGTGGTGCTATCTCAGCTCACTGCAACCTCTGCCTCCCAGGATCAAGTGATTCTCCAGCCTCAGCCTCCCCAAGTAGCTGGGATTACAAGCATGCACCACCATGCCTGGATAATTTTTGTATTTTTAGTTGAGACGGGGTTTCACCAGGTTGGCCAGACTGGTCTCGAACTTCTGACCTCAGGTGATCTGCCTGCCTTGGCCTCCCAAAGTGCTGGAATTACAGATGTGAGCCACTGTCCCTGGCCTGGTTACCCACATTTTAAAATGGAGTGATTTCACCCTTTTATGTGGATTTACAGCTTTTTTTTTTTTTTTTGAGACAAAGTCTGGCTCTGTCACCCAGGCTGGAGTGCAGTAATGCAATCTCAGCTCACTGCAACCTTAGCCTCCTGGGTTCAAGCAATTCTCCTGCCTCAGCCACCTGAGTAGCTGGGATTACAGGCATGCACCACCACGCCAGGCTAATTTTTTGTATTTTTAGTAGAGATGGGGTTTCGCCATGTTGGCCAGGCTGGTCTCGAACTCCTGACCTCAGGTGATCCGCCCGCCTTGGCCTCCCAAAGTGCTAGGATT
Source organism: Homo sapiens (assembly GCF_000001405.40). NCBI lineage: Eukaryota > Metazoa > Chordata > Mammalia > Primates > Hominidae > Homo > Homo sapiens. Next base: position 74,784,692 of record NC_000007.14, read on the forward strand.
ACAGGTGGGAACCACCTTGCCCAGCCTGTGGCTATCGTTTAAACACTGGGAAGGCCTGCAGCCCCCAGGCCGACAGTTAGCTGCAGCTGAGCAGTTCCCAGTGCCAGGTAGACGGATGCTCCACCCACCTACTCATGGCTGATCTCTTGTCATAGTGAAGTGTCTGGACAGACCTTCATCGTTATGGGATCTCTGGTCCCCAGAGTGGGTGGCAATGAATGGGAGTGGACAAGCTCACCTGGGTGTAGGGGGCAGAGGGCCGAAGTCCAGAGTGTACCCCCAGAGTGGGTGCCAGCAGGAGCTTGCCGAGGGATCTGGGATGGAGCAGGAGGGTGGAGGGAGGAGACCCAGAAGAGGGGGAACTGTGGGCCCTGGGTGGGTCTGGAGTGCCTGGAGGAAGCCCAGGCGCAGAGAGGAGAAGATGGGATGGGTGGCGAGCCCCAGGCTGGGCCGACCTCACACTGTGCTCTGTGCCCCTGCCGTGGACCAGGTGAGCCATACGTCGCCATCAAGGCCTACACTGCTGTGGAGGGGGACGAGGTGTCCCTGCTCGAGGGTGAAGCTGTTGAGGTCATTCACAAGCTCCTGGACGGCTGGTGGGTCATCAGGTAGGAGGGCCCCTCTCCATCCAGAGCACCCATCTGAGTCAGCCCCAGCCAGGACGGGGTGTTTAGGGATCTGGGGTGACTTGTCCCTGGGACTCTGGGTAAGCCACTGCCCCTCTCTGGGCTTAGTTTCCATCTCAGTAGCAGGGAGGAATGAGCCCACCCTTGCCTGTCTTGTGGGGATCCAATGTCCTTGTCCAAGTGGGTGCATTTCTCCTTTGTGATTTAGGGTCTCTTCCCAACCATCTATTATTATTCCTTCTCTGGCAACATGGTGAACTGTTGTATAAATAATTACATTCCTAGCTAGGCGCAATGGCTCAGGCCTGTAATCCCAGCACTTTGGGAGCCCAGGACAGGACGATCATGTGAGGTCAGGAGTTCGAGACCACCCTGGCCAACATGGCAAAACCCTATCTCTACTAAAAACACAAACATGAGCCGGGTGTGGTGGTGGGAGCCTGTAATCCCAGCTACTCGGGAGTCTGAGACAAGAGAATCACTTCAACCCGGGAGGCGGAGGTTGCAGTGAGCCAAGATCGCGCCATTGCACTCCAGCCTGGGCAACGAGAGCGAAACTCCGTCTCAAAAAAAAAAAAAAAAAAAAAGATTACTTTCTTTTTATCATTCCTTTATCTTTTAAAGCTTTCTTGCAGTCAGGTGCAGTGTCTCATGCCTGTAATCCCAACACTTTGGGAAGCTGAGGTGGGAGGATCACTCAAGGCTACAAGTTCAAGACCAACCTGGGCAATGTAGGGAGACCTCTGTCTCTACAAAAAAAATTAAAAAATAGCTGGATGTGGTAGCACACACCTGTAGCCCCAGCTACTCAGGAGGCTGAGGTGAAAGGATCACTTGACCCCAGGAGTTGGAGGCTGCAGTGAGCTATGACTGCACCACTGCACCCCAGCCTGGGTGATGGAGCAAGACCCTGTCTCAAAAAAAAAAAAAAAAAAAAAGCTTCCATTGCAATTCCCATCTGTTTATCCTCCAAATGAATGCAGAAATACTAATTATCTTTTTTCTGGTTCTGGGGAACACAGAATTCTAGCGGCTTGTGGAGCCATTTCCCTGGAGCCATGGGGCCTCCCAGGTCCTTTCCTGTGTCTTCATTTTTTACGAATTTTTTCATTTTTTGAGACAGGATCTTGCTCTGACTCCCAAGCTGGAGCACAATCATCGCTCACTCAAGCGATCCTCCCACCTCAGGCTCCCACGTAGCTGGGACTACAGGTGAGCACCACCACATCTGGCTAATGTTTTTTAATTTTTTTGTAGGGATGGGGTCTCACTATGGTGCCAAGACTAGTCTTAAACTCCTGGCCTCAAGAGTTCCTCCTGCCTTGGCCTCCCAAAGCACTGGGATTACAGGAATGAGCCTCCATGCTGGGCCTTTGCTGGCGTCTTCAGAGCCCTAGGTCACAGGGCCAGCCTGGCGCCCTGCCGCAAGCTTATCTTAAAGCTGGGACCACAACATGCATACCTGCAGCCGGGCCCGGGGCCAGAGGGCTTTGAGGCAGCATTTCTCAGCCTTTTAGACACACACTCTGTTAACCCCCATCCTGTGTCTCTGATAATCTTCTTGTGATCCTCCCACCAGCCAAGAATTGGGTTTTATGTGAACCTTGTATTATGCAAAGTTTTCTTTTGTTTTTTTTTTCACTCCCAAATATAATATTGAGAATAGAAAGAAAGTCTTTTCAACAAATGGTGCTGGAACAGATGGATTTCCATACTGGAAAAAAAAAAAAAAGAGCAAAAAACAAACCTAGACCCCTTCCTCACACTGTACACATATGTTTACTTCAGATGGATCACAGGTTTATCCCAGAGTAAAACCTGAAACTAAAAACCATTTGGGGCTGGACAGGGAGCTCACGCCTGTAATCTCAGCACTTTGGGAGGCTGAGGCAGGTGGATCACTTGATGTCAGGAGTTTGAGACCAGCCATGACCAACATGGTGAAATCCTGTCTCTACTAAAAAAATACAAAATTAACCAAGTGTGGTGGTGCATGCCTGTAATCCCAGCTACTTGGGAAGCTGAGACAGGAGAATTGCTTGAACTTGGGAAGCAGAGGTTGCAATGAGTCGACATCATGCCATTGCACTCCAGCCTAGGCAACAAGAGCAAAACTCTGTCTTGGGGTTGGGCGGGGGAAAAGCATTTGGAAGAAAGCATAGAATTTGGTGGCTTGGAGGTAGGCAAAGGTTCGTAGGAGACAGAAGGCAGTTAACATAAAAGAAAAATTGGCAAATATAATCCGCCAATGTCTTCTTTTTTCTTTACTTTTTTCGGGAGGTAGAGATAGGGGTCTTGCTATGTTACCCAGGCTGATCTCCAACTCCTGGCCTCAAGCGATCCTCCCACCTAGATCCCTCAAAGTACTGGGATTACAGGCGTGAGCGACCGTGCCCTGCCCATTCTTGCCAATGTCTTATAGCAAATACCTGTCCCCTGCGGTGACCTGGATCTGCTAACCTCCACCCCTGCCTAGACTGTGGAAGGATTGCTGGAAGGGTCTCAGTTGCACAGACCAGGAAACTGAGGCCCACAGAGGCAGGTGTCCGGTTGTTTGCAACCTCTCAGCCTGTGCTAACCCCAATTGTTCAGAGAGAGCCCTGAAACCCTCTCCTCTGGGCGCCCCCAGGTGACTGCCCCAGCCTCAAGGGCTGCCTCTGTTGCAGGAAAGACGACGTCACAGGCTACTTCCCGTCCATGTACCTGCAAAAGTCAGGGCAAGACGTGTCCCAGGCCCAACGCCAGATCAAGCGGGGGGCGCCGCCCCGCAGGTAAGCGGGGGTCCCCGGGGCTGGGCGGGGTCGAGCGGGGCGCACCACGGGTTCGCTCTGTCTAGGCCATAGCTTGGCAGTGCCGGGGCGGGGGCTCTCAGCCTGGCAGGAGAGGCAGGACCCTCACGGGGGAAAGGGGCTGGACGCGCCTGGCCGCGGTGTGGGGCTGGCACGGGGGCGGAAGGAAAGCGGCGATGCCCGGGGGCTTTGGGGATGGGCAGTCCAGGGGGGGTCCCCGGAGAGGGGGACGACAGACCGAAGGCTGGTGAGGGGCGTGGAAAACCGCCCAGGCTCTGCTGCAGGGCAAGGGTCCTTGTCGTGACGGGGGCAGCCGCCTCTTGTCCCGCCGGGGTCGTGCAGACTACCGGCCCCCTACTGCCCCCCACTTCCTCGGACCAGGGGTGCCCATCTGAGTCCCTGGGGGCAGGGGCGCCCTCGGGCTTTGACGACGCCCCGTCCCGCTGGGCCAGGTCGTCCATCCGCAACGCGCACAGCATCCACCAGCGGTCGCGGAAGCGCCTCAGCCAGGACGCCTATCGCCGCAACAGCGTCCGTTTTCTGCAGCAGCGACGCCGCCAGGCGCGGCCGGGACCGCAGAGCCCCGGGAGCCCGCTCGGTGAGTGCAGCGGGAGAGGGCAGGAAGGGCAAGCCCTAGAGGCGGAGTCAGCGGGAGAGGCGGGGCCAGAGGTAGGGCCAGAGTAGCGGGGCGGGACCAGAGGGCGGAATCAGAGGGAGAGGCGGGGACTGGAGGCGGGGTCAGAGGAGGAGCCAGCGCTAGGGGGCGGAGCGATCCCTAAGAGGCGGAGTCAGAGGGAGAGGCACAAGCGGGAGGCGAGGCCAGAGCGCGGAGCAGGAGTTGGAGACCGCGGCGGGGCGAGGCCAGAGAGCGCTGTGGGCGGGGCCAGTGTGCGGGGCGGGGCGTCTGACTCGGCCCCGCTCTCTGCCCGCAGAGGAGGAGCGGCAGACGCAGCGCTCTAAACCGCAGCCGGCGGTGCCCCCGCGGCCGAGCGCCGACCTCATCCTGAACCGCTGCAGCGAGAGCACCAAGCGGAAGCTGGCGTCTGCCGTCTGAGGCTGGAGCGCAGTCCCCAGCTAGCGTCTCGGCCCTTGCCGCCCCGTGCCTGTATATACGTGTTCTATAGAGCCTGGCGTCTGGACGCCGAGGGCAGCCCCGACCCCTGTCCAGCGCGGCTCCCGCCACCCTCAATAAATGTTGCTTGGAGTGGACCGAGGCTCTGCAGGAATGCAGGGAGGGCCGGGCTCCGCCCCAGGGTTATTTCTAAGTTGAGGACAGGAGGTTGTGAGTTCTGCTGGGGGGAAGTTGCAAGAGCCGAGGTCTGGTTGCATGTTGCCCTGGTCTTGGCCAAGAACAGGTTTGCACAAGGCCAAGTTCAAGAGGAACTCCCGGTTTCCTGCTGACCGTTTGGTCAGAAACCACCTGCTTGGACTCTGGCGGAAGAGTGCTGAAGATGGGTGCACACAGTGCAGCAGGGCAGCCCTGTCTCATGACAGGAGACAGGCTGCCGTCCAGGGTGTAGGAGTGACCTCATAGCTGGGATAAAAAATATATTATAACTTAGGTTCGGGCGCGGTGGCTCACGCCTGTAACCCAGCACTTTGGGAGACCGAGGTGGGAGGATCCGTTGAGCTCAGGAGTTCGAGACCAGCCTGGCCAACATGGTGAAACCCCATCTCTACCAAAAATATAAAAATTAGCTGGGCGTGGTGGCATGCATCCATAATCCCAGCTACTGGGGAGGCTGAGGCATGAGAATCGCTTGAACCGGGGAGGCAGATGTTGCAGTGAGCCGAGACGGCGCCACTGGACTCCAGCCTGGACAACATGGTGAAACCCCATCTGTACCAAAAATATAAAAATTAGCTGGGCGTGGTGGCATGCATCCACAATCCCAGCTACTGGGGAGGCTGAGGCATGAGAATCGCTTGAACCGGGGAGGCAGATGTTGCAGTGAGCCGAGACGGCGCCACTGCACTCCAGCCTGGACTACAGAGCGAGACTCTAGCTCAAAAAAAAAAAAAAAAAAAAGTAACTTAGGTGCAGGGTGTCCTCTGTTATTCACTGAGACCGTGCCCCGGTTATGAGGTTGTACCAGAAAGCAAGTATTCACTATGCACACTATTCACCGCTCACCCTAGCATTGAAGCCAGCCTGTAGCCTGAAAGCCTTTGCTTTGAGGGCAGGTCTTTCCCCAAAATGCAGACACGAAGGTGCAAAGTGAAGCTGCCAGTCTTGCAAAAGATGTAACTTGTCACGAAGGCCACGAGTGGCAGGGAGAGCTGTCCCACATTTGCGGAAGTGGCTATGTGAGGACGGGGGAGGCGGGTCCCTTAGAGATAAGAGACAATCATAAGGGGAGATATCAGAGAAAATCGTAAGGGGAGCAGATGGTTGTCAAGAGAATAGGCTGACCATCGAAGGACTGGCAGAAGCTTTCAGAAAACCACTGGACGGCTGGGCACAGTGGCTTAGGCCTGTAATCCCAGCACTTTGGGAGGCTGACGCGGGTGAATCACTTGAGGTCAGGAGTTCCAGACCAGCCTGGCCAACATGGTGAAACCCCATCTCTACAGAAAATATAAAAATTAGCCAGGCGTGGTGGCACAAGCCTAGAATCCCAGCTACTTGGGAGGCTGAGGCAGGCGAATGGCTTGAACCCAGGAGTCAGAGGCTGCAGTGAGTCGAGAGTGTTCCACTGCACTCCAGCCTGGGTGACAGTGCAAGACTCCTTCCAAAAAAAAAAAAAGAAGAAAAAAGAAAACCACTGCAGCTCTAAACTAGTTCTGCATTTTTGCCGAACCTGGTTTGCTGGAAAAGCCCAGCACCAAAGGCTATCATACAAAGCTGTGGGAAATTGAATCACCAACCTCACCCCTTCTGCTTGTTCAGTTGCAGTTATAACCCTTTTATTAAATACAGTATAAAATACCACGCCTCTAATCCGAGTGCTCTGGGAGGCCAAGGTGGAAGGATTGCTTGGGGCAGGGAGTTCAAGACCAGCCTGGGCCACACGGTGAGACCCATCTAGACAAACATTTTTAAAAATTAGACAGGTGTGGTGGTGTGCACCTGTAGTCCCAGGCTGGGTGGGAGGATCGCTTGAGCCCAGGAGTTTGAGGCTGCAGTAAGCTGTGATCGTGCCACTGTACTTCAGCCTGGGTGACAGAGCAAGACCCTGTCTCTAAAAAAAAAACAAATTAAGGCCAGCCACAATGTTTCACGCCTGTAATCCCAGCACTTTGGGAGGCCGAGGCAGGCGGATGACTTGAGGCCAGGAGTTCGAGACCAGCTTGGCCAACATGGTGAAAGCTTGTCTCTGCTAAAAATACAACAACAACAACAAAATTAGCCGGGTGTGGTGGTACACGTCTGTAATCCCAGGTACTCAGGAGGCTGAGGCGGAAGAATCACTTGAACCCGGGAGGCAGAGGTTACAGTGAGCCGAGATCACGCCACCACACTCCAGCCTGGGCGACAGAGCATGACTCTGTCTCAAAAATAAATAAATAAATAAATAAAAATAAAAAAATACATACATATAAAAAAGAAGAGAAAATACTTATTTTCATGATTGTTTCATTTTTTTCCAAGCTGAGGTCCTGACCAAATGTTTCCCCGTGGTTTTTGTATATTTCTGATCCCCTTAAAGTGGCCCTTGCAGCGTGCTGGGGAGGAGGCCTCTCGGTGGGTGGGTGATTGGGAAGCCACGCCCACAGGGAAGGGAGAAAAAAACTGAAGTTGCCTGCTCTAAGGGCTGCACCTCTGTTTAGCCAACAATTTTCTTGAGGCCAGTCATAGTGCTGGGCTCATTCCATCATCTCCAGTTCTGAGACCAACACTGTCTGGTAGGTGTTTTATGGATGAGGAAACCAAAGCTCATAAAATTAATTAAGTGGTTTGCTTATGAAATAATGCAAGAAAGCAACAGTGCTGGGAGGTGGAACCGGGTTTTTCTTTTCTTCTTCTTTTTTTTTTTTTTGATGGAGTTTCGCTCTTGTCACCCAGGTGGAGTACAATGGAGCGACCTCAGCTCACTGCAACCTCTGCCTCCCGGGTTCAAGTGATTCTCCTGCCTCAGCCTCCCGAGTAGCTGGGATTACAGGTGCCCGCCACCCTGCCCAGCTAATTTTTTGTATTTTTAGTAGAGATGAGGTTTCACCATGTTGGCCAGGCTGGTCTTGAACTCCTGACCTCAGGTAATCCGCCTGCCTTGGCCTTCCAAAGTGGTGGGATTACAGGCATGAGCCACTGCGGCTGGCCCAGGCTTTTCTTTTTGATTCTAAGGCCTTCCAGATCCAGTACTTTATCCTGACCCTGCAGAGCTCAGGATCTGTGGTTCAGGCCTGCGGCTCAGAGGAGGGAATACGGCACACAGGTACGTGCCAGGCCAAGTGTGAGGGGGTCTGGCTTCCAGGGCCCTCTGCAGACCCCTAGTCCCAGGGCCTGTGTTGGAGGAGAGATTGGCTCTTTCCTCTGCCCATCCTGGGATGAGAAGTCGGGGACTTGGGATAGATGCAGTGCAATCCCTGCCCCTGAAAATTGACAAAGACCCACCAAATCTAGCCCCTACTCCTAGGCTGGGCCCCTGCCCATCTCCCTGGACCACACCACTCTCAAGGGCTCTCGTTTGCAGACACCCCATTGCCCTACTAAAAACCTCTCCTGGCCAGGCTTGGTGGCTCACGCCTGTAATCCCAGCACTTTGGGAGGCTGAGTTGGGTGGATCACCTGAGGTCAGGAGTTCCAGATCAGCCTGGCCAACATGGTGAAACCCCGTCTCTACTAAAAATACAAAAATTAGCTGGGTGTGGTGGGGGGCGCCTGTAATCCCAGCTGCTCGGGAGGCTGAGGTAGGAGAATTGCTTGAACTCGGGAGGCAGAGGTTACAGTGAGCTGAGATCGTGCCACTGCGCTCCAGCCTGGGCAACCGAGCAAGACTCCGTCTCAAAAAAACAAACGAAAAACCTTTCCCAGCCATTCAGTCATTCCCACAGTCTCAACTCAGTCCTATGAGTGACAGTGCATGTCAGTGGCCATCATATCTCAAGCCATCCTGGTCCCAACACACATTCCTGGGGCCTTGGGAATTGATTCAAAGCAGAACAGCTTCATGAATGGTCCGGCCAACAGGAGGCAGCCTAGGCTGAGCCCTACTGTCCCCTCCCTATCATCTGATTGGTGGACCACCAGGGAGCCACACACATGACAGATGATGAGGGCAGAGGCTGCATGACAGATACCTGCTGGGTCTCCATGTCAGGCACAGTGGCTGCTTAGGAATGAAGCACATGGGCCAGGTGTCGTGGCTCACACCTGTGATCCCAGCACTTTGGGAGGCCAAGGCGGGTGGATCACTTGAGGTCAGGGGTTCAAGATCAGCCTGGCCAACATGGTGAAACCCCGTCTCTACTAAAAAATACAAAAATTATTCGGTTGTGGTGGCGCATGCCTGTAGTCCCAGCTACTCGGGAGGCTGAGGCACGAGAATCACTAGAACCCGAGAGGCGGAGGTTGCACTGGGCCAAGATCACACCACTGCACTCCAGCCTGGGCGACAGAGCGACACTCCATCTCAAAAACAAAAAGTGAAGCACATGGACTTTGGAGTCACATGGACCCTGGTTTGAATCCTGACAACTCCTATAATGGCTGCGTGACCTGGAGCGAGCCACTTAGCCACTCTGAGCTTCAGCTTCCCGTCTATGAAAGGGGGCTGCTCTGGTCCTGCTGCTCGGCCACACCTCTGATATGTGGTGTGAACGAGTGCTCACTTCCACCAAGACCTGGACTCCCCTCCAACTCCCGTTATAAACCAGCCTATCTGGGATTCCTTCTCCAAAAGAGCGCTGAGCTTGCCAGAGCCAGCTGTACCTGAAGTCAACGACAGGAACTGCCTGGAGTGGGGTCATTTCCCTGTGTCTAAGGATAGGCACCTGGGCTCCAACTGGGCTCCTGGCCTGGGGGTTGCTCTCTCTCTCCTGCACCCCCTGTCATTTTTATCAAAGTCCTATTCTCCATTGCTTCCTGAGTGGGTCATTAGGTGGAGATCCACAGCCTTCCTCCACGCTGGTCGCGTGAATTCCCCCAATCTGGAAAGTATTCACAATTTTGTGTCACTAATTCCAGTGACTAATAGAGATCACACACACACACACCTTCAAATGACAACCTGCCAGGAGAAAAATGCTATAAAGGGAAAGATATCACTTTGGGAAGCTGAGGCGAGTAGATCGCTTGAGCCTGGAAGTTTGAGACCAGCCTGGGCAACAAAGGGAGACCCTGTCTCTACAAAAAAAAAAAAAAAAAAAAAAAAAAAACCACAAAAAACTCCACAAAAATTAGCTGGGCATGGTAGCATGCACCTGTAGTCCCAGCTACTTGGAAGGCTGAGGTGGGAGGATCACTTGAACCCAGGAAGCAGAGGTTGCAGTAAGCCAAGGTCGCACCACTGCACTCCAGCCTGGGTGACAGAGCGAGCCGATTTCCTTGTTTCCAAAAATAAAAAAGGGAAAGATATTATTGGGTCAACAGAGAAAACTAGAGTATGAACAGTAAACTGGATAAAATAATTGCAACAACGTTCAATTTACTGAAGTTGGTAAAGGAAACGTTATTGTGTAAGAGAATATCCCTGTTCTCTGAAAATACTCACTGAAGTATTTAGGGGTAAATGATATACGTAACTTTCCCTTGAACGGTCCAGGAAAAAAATGAACATCCATTTATACACATATCATGGATACTCATAGACATTTGCTTATACACACTTACCATAGGTACTGATTATAGATACACATACACACATATGAGTGAGAGGGAGAAGGAGGGAAGGGGGTAGGGAGACAAAGTGATCCAATAATGAAACAAGGGTGAAATGTTAACAATTGAGAGTCTGGCTAAAGGGCATGTGAGTATTTTCCATACTATTTTTATTTTTGCAACTTTTCTTTTTTTTTTTTTTTGAGACAAAGTCTCACTCTGTCGCCCAGGCTGGAGTGCAATGGCACAATCTCGGCTCACTGCAACCTCTGTCTCCTGGGTTCAAGTGATTCTCCTGCCTCAGCCTCCTGAGTAGCTGGGATTACAGGCACGTGCCACCATACCCGGCAAATTTTTGTGTTTTTAGTAGAGACAGGGTTTCACCATGTTACCCAGGCTGGTCTCGAACTCCTGACCTCAAGTGATCCACCCACCTTGGCCTCCCAAAGTGCTGGGATTACAGGTGTGAGCCACATGCTTGGCCACAACTTTTCGGTAACTATTCATAGTAAAAAACAAACAAAAAAACCCCTCTAAACCTTAACTTACTTTGTCTAACTTTTATAGACAAAGTCTACGTTATTTGCTCTGGGGTTTTCCATTTTAAACCTGACCTTTCTGGCTCTGGGTTTTTCCATTTTAAACCTGACCTTTCTGGTTCCAGGTGAAGGCAGAGACAGATAACATAGGATTATTGTATGTCAGTATGTTTTCAACTATTTCTCCTGAAACTTGGAAACGTATTAGACCATGTGGGATACCACGCGGACGGGAACGGGGGATAAATGTGTGTTCATATATACTCCTCCACAAATATACATGTCTCAGGCTGGGCGCAGTGGCTCACGCCTGTAATTCCAGCACTTTGGGAGGCCAAGGCCGGCAGATCACTTGAGGTCAGGAGTTTGTGACCAGCCTGGCCAACATGGTGAAACCCTATCTTTACTAAAAATACAAAAATGAGCCGGGCGTGGTGGTGGGCACCTGTAACCCCGGCTACTCGGGAGGCTGAGGCAGGGGAATCACTTGAACCCCGGAGGCAGAGGCTGCAGTGAGCCCAGATCGCCCCATTGTACTCCAGCCTGGGTAACAGAGTGAGACTCCGCCTCAAAAAAAGAACCCCCAAAACCAAAAAGCAAATATACACGTCTCTCTCCCTATTTCTCTGTTGATTGATTTAAACTTCAAGATGCCAACTACAGTGCCTATCAGGGTGGCAGGCAGGTAATGTGAATGAATGAAACAAGCCAGGCATAAGAAAAGTCAACTACCAATAATACAATAAAACTTTCTTGATTTTTAATGAATAGTGAGGCATACAATGTAATATAAACAAGTATGATACTGCAGATTATATTTCTGATTCAAAGTGGAAAAAAAACTGAAAAAAAAAAAAGTTTAAGAACTCATTTTGTCAGCTGGGCACAGTGGTTCATGCCTGTAATCCCAGCACTTTGTGAGGTCGAGGCAGGTGGATCACCTGAGGTCAGGAGTTGGAGACCAGCCTGGCCAACATGGTGAAACCTCATCTCTACTAATACAAAAATTAGCCAGGCATGGTGGCGCACGCCTGTAGTCCCAGCTGCTCGGGAGGCTGAGGCAGGAGAATCGTTCGAACCCAGGAGCTGGAAGTTGCAGTAAGCCGAGATCACGCCACTGCACTCCAACCTGGGCGACAGAGCAAGACTCCATCTCAAAAAAGAAAAAAAAATTCATTTTGTCATCTCCCAATCCCTTGGGACTAGAAGACTCCAGCCTTTCCCACCATAGGGCCCTGCCAGGAGTTTTCTCTCCATCACGTTGCGATGTGGAGTACAGAATCCCACTGGGAATCCTTTAACTGGGAGCAGTATTTTGTTTTGCTCAGTTTCATAATGGAGAACAGCTGTTCGCAGATGTAGGTGCTCCCGAACATGGAAAGAATCTTTGCGCAATGGTGCTTGTATTTCGGGTAGCTACCCCAGAGGTACTTGTAGAATTCTGGTATTCCCACCTTGTCGTATTTCGTCTTCAGGACCGTGTTGCATTGCAGGTCGATAACCTCCATCTGGAGCTCCTCGTGCACACTGTCGATCTTCGTGGAGAACGGGGAGCTGAACAGAGTCAGTTCGCTTTCGTAGAGTTTGAAATCAGACAGCCTTTTCTGGAATTCGGTCTGGAGTTCCGCGATTTTGGGAATGTAGTTCAGGCCATCGCTTTCATTTCTGGAAGCCAATTTCAGGGTGGGAAAGTGGGCCAGATTATTCCTCGTCAAATGAGTCTCCCAGAGGCACAGTTTTGCTAGGAACGCCCGGATCAGGTCATACATCTGCGTGACGATTTGGGAGTGTCCTTGGAGAGAGATGTTCAAAGCGTTCAGATGCATCGTCATGTCAACCAAGAAGGCCAGGTCTCGGATCCAATCTATGGAGCTCAGTTGAGGCAGGGGTTTCCCTCTGGATGACATGAAGGAGTCGATTTCTTCCAAGGATTCGAAAAATCTCTTTAGCACGAGCCCGCGACTGAGCCACTTAATCTCCGTGTAGTACAGGAGGCTACCATACTGGCTGTCCAGCTCATAGAGCAAGGTTGTGAACTCACTGTGGTTCAGTCCCCGGGAGCATATCCAGTTCACGGACTTCACTACCACGTCCATGACGTGGTCCATCTTCAACTTCTGAGCACAGAGTGATTCCGGATGAATTATACAACAGATGGACTTCAGTTCCGCACCCTTGCAGAACGTCGCCACCCTGGACTTCAGTTTTGTGACAAGCCCGTTATTGGCATCCACCATCGCTGGGGTGCCAGTGGAGGCCACGCTTACTAATTTCGACCAGTCGATACAGAAGTTTTTCAGGCTTTTCTCAACACGCGAAAAGATCTCGTTGCCAGATTTTGTACCCGTCATGGGCACCGTGTCCAGAAGTTCTTCGGACACATCGAAATTCTCATCGACACCACGGATGAATATGGCCAACTGGGTGGTATTATTTATATCCGTGATCTCATCGATTGCGATAGAATATGCCACAAAAGACCTGATTTTTTCACGTAACTTCTCCCATAAGTTCCCAGCTAGGTCCTCTACAGGCTGCACGGGGGATTTCTGGGTTGGACTTGGGTTTGCAAACACTTGTTTTTGCTCGGGACACTCGGTGTCTGATGAGCCTAAGAGATACTTCCTGAGCCCTTTTTTCAGCTCGTGAAGCTTCTCGTCACGCATTCTTTCCATATACTGGTCATAATGCTTGCTGTGATTGGTTTGATAGTGGCGTCTTAGGTTATATTCTTTGGACACAGACATGCTTTGTTTGCATATGAGACATGTTGGAATATTCTGTACTTCCACGAAGAAATACGCTCTCTCCCACTTTTCTTGAAACACACGGCCCTCCTGGTCTATCTTGCGTTTTCCCACTTTTGACAGAGACAGGGAGACAAAGATATTTCACTTTTCTCTTATCACTACTATGAGGAAAACAACAGCAAATGCTTGATGACGCACGAGAGGGAGGAAGCGGGGCGGGGCAGGGCGTGGTTAACAGGAGGGTGACCCACCCTGCAGAGGGACGGCTGACCCTCAACTCCAGCAAACCGCTGCCAGGATGCCAGCTGTGGCCAGATCTTCAAGTTTTCTAAAGAAAACCTGAAGACTGAATTTTTGTTGTCGTTGTTGTTGAGACGGAGTTTTGCTCTGTCGCCCAGGCTGCAGTGCAGTGGCGCAATCTCGGCTCACTGCAACTTCTGCCTCCTGGGTTCAAGCGATTCTTCTGCCTCAGCCTCCTGAGTAGCTGTTATGACAGGTGCCTGCCACCACGCCCAGCTAATTTTTGTATTTTTAGTAGAGATGAGATTTCACCATGTTGTCCAGGCTGGTCTCGAACTCCTGACCTCAGGTGATCCGCCCACCTCAGCCTCCCAAAGTGCTGGGATTACAAGCATGAGCCACTGCACCCAGCCAGATCTTCAGGTTTTCTAAAGAAAACCTGAAGATTGACTTTTATGAAAGAGTGCCTGGTTTGTGGTGATAATGACTCATTGCAGCCTGGAACTCCCTGGGCTCAGGTGATCCTCCCACTTCAGCTCCCAGTTGCTGGGACTACAGGCATGCACCACACCGAGCTATCTTTTCTTTCTTTCTTTCTTTTCTTTTTTTCTTTTTCTTTTTTTTTTTTTTTTGTAGAGCTGGAGTCTTACCTTGTTGCCCAGGCTGGTCTGAAACCCCAGGCTCAAGCGATCCACCCGCCTTGGCCTCCCAAAGTGCTGGGATTACAGGAGCCACCGTGCCAGGCCTCATCCTTATTTTCAAAAGTACATGAGCCAAACAAAAGACACCTTTGATGAGGTTCAGCATGTAGCTGTGCTTGTTATGTCCAGTTTAAACAGGAATTATTTGATAATATGTTTGCATTTTCTTTTTAGAGACAGGGTCTTGTTCTGTCACCCAGGCTGGAGTGTAGTATTGCAATTATGGTTCTCTGCTGTCTCAAACTCCTGAGTTTAAGTGATCCTCCTGCTTTAGCCTGCCAAGTAGCTGGGGCTACAGGTGTGAGCCACTGTTTCCAGCTAATTTTTAAATTTTTTGTAGAGATGGGGTCTTGCTATGTTGCCCAGGCTGGTCTCAAACTCCTGGCCTCAAGCAATCCTCTTGCCTTGGCCTCCAAAAGTCCTGGGATTATAGGTGTGAGCATTTTAATATATTTTCTCATTTGATTCCCAAGAAAACTTTGTAATAACAGAGATGGGAATGAGCACAGAAAGGCATATGATTTTTACCTACTGTGAGTCTCAAATGACAAGGGTGACGGCCACAGAACCACACAAAACTCATTCGTATAAGTGTGTTCGAGTGTACAGGGGCTAGTGTTTTAGATTTAAAGAACCTGGCCACCCTGCAGGTAATCAAGGTATTTCCAGAGTACACACACATAAAAGTGCACCTTAAGAAAATGTAGGCCATGTACAGCGGCTCATGCCTATAATCCCAGCACTTTGGGAGGCTGAGGCAGGAGGATCGCTTGAAGCCAGAAGCTCAAGGCCAGCCTGGGAAACATAGTGAGACCCTGTCTCTACAAAAAAAAAAAAAAAAAAAAATTATCTGGGCATGGCAGTGCTGTCCCAGTTACTCGGGAGGTGAAGGTGGGAGAATCACCTGAGGGCAGGAGTTCCAGGCTGCAGTGAGCTATGATCATGCCACTGCACTCCAGCCTGGGTGACAGAGTGAGACCTTGTCTCTAAAAAACCCCAATAATAATACAATAAATAAATAAAGATATTATAAAAGATCAAAAAATCATTTAGCAATCAGATGCGTTTGGGAATAAAAATGGAGCATTTTAATAGGATACTTTGGTTTTCTTTTCTTTTCTTTTTTTTTTTTTTTGAGACAGAGTCTTGCTCTGTCACCAAACTGGAGTGCAGTGGCACGATCTCGGCTCACTGCAACCCCCGACTCCCTGGTTCAAGTGATTTTCCTGCCTCAGCCTCCCGAGTAGCTGGGATTATAGGCACGCGCCACCATGCCCGACTAATTTTTGTATTTCTAGTAGAGACGGAGTTTCACCACGTTGTACAGAAGGGTCTCCATCTCCTGACCTCATGATCCGCGCGCCTCGGCCTCCCAAAGTGCTGGGATTACAGGTGTGAGTCACCGCGCCCAGCCTACTTTGGTTTTCAAATGTTACATTAGGAGGTTCCCTGGTGACTCATGCTCGTGAGAACACCTCTCCGTATTCTACTTGACAGGATACTGACTCACTTGCAAGGGCTCCGGGGAAGACATTAAGAATATTTAACAGGGTGGGGGCGGGGGGAGGGAGAGCATCAGGAAGAATAGCTAATGCATGCTGGGCTTAATACCTAGGTGATGGGTTGATAGGTGCAGCAAACCACCATGGCACACGTTTACCTGTGTAACAAACCTGCACATCCTGCACATGGACCCTGGAACTTAAAATAAAAGTTGAAGGGGAAAAAAAAGAGAATATTTCAGAAGCAGAGTGCCTGGGCATTGCTCAATCAGAACAGATGCTGAGCCAGGTGCAGTGGCTTACATCTGTAATCCCAGCAGTTTGGGAGACCAAGGCGGGTGGATCACTTGAGGTCACGAGTTTGAGACCAGCCTGGCCAACATGGCTAAACCCTGTCTCTACTAAAAAATACAAAAAGTAGCTGGATGTGGCGGCACGCACCTGTAATCCCAGCTAATCGGAAGGCTGAGGCAGAGAATCGCTTGAACCCGGGAGGCGGAGGTTGCAGTGAGCCGAGATCTTGCCACTGCACTCCAGCCTGGGTGAGAGAGCGAGACTCTGTCTCAAAAAAAAAAAAAAAGAAAAAAAAAAGAACAGATGCTAGTCTCAGCACTGGAAGGGTTCTAGGGGCCTCTGCTGTGCCAGGTGGAACCCCTTTTGCTTCAGCACTGTAGGGAGGTCAAGCCACGGTCGGAGGGTACTAGGGTGGGACTGCATGGCCAGGCAGGCACTATTTACCAACTAACACAGAGGAGATCGGTACTGTGATCCTGAGTGCAGCTGTGCGGGTGGCCTCAGGGGAGCCCCCACCACAAAGCACACTTGAATAGTGTGCCACATCAGCCATGCGTGGTGGCTCATGCCCGTAATCCCAGCACTTTGGAAGGTGGAGGCGGGCAGATCCCTTGAGGTCAGAAGTTCAAGACCAGCCTGGCCAACATGGCAAAACCCCATCTCTACTAAAAATACAAAAATTAGCCAGGCGTGGTGGCACACGCCTATAGTCCCAGCTACTCGGGAGGCTGAGGCAGGAGAATCACTTGAACCCGGGAGGCGGAGGTTGTGTGGTGAGCCGAGATTGTGCCATTGCACTCTAGCCTGGGTGACAGAGCGAGACTCCGTCTCCAAAAAAAAAAAAAAGAGTGCGCCACATCACACGTCACACTCATGGTGTGATATAGATCACTCTCCTTCAGACTGGTTAATCAAACTCAAGTAACAGAGTTATCTAACTTTATCACATGCAGGAAAAATAAAGCATGCATCGAAGGCTGCATACTTGGGTCCCAGGCTCACGGAAGCAAAAACCCCGTGGTGAGCGCCCACCAAGACACTTCCCATGGCCCAACATTGCCGGAACGTTCTTCTCACCTGTAGAATACTCACCATTACTGAGCTCAAGCCCTGGAAGCGGCCTGAAGAGAAAGACACATTGATAAATGTGACAAGCTCACATTTCCTCTTTTGCCCACTTAGTTTTATTTTTTTTTAATTTTTACTTATTTATTTTTTTACAGAAGAATATTTATTTATTTGTTTGTTTTGTTTTTGTTTTTTTTGAGACAAGAGTCTCGCCGCGTCACCCAGGCTGGAGTGCAGTGGCGCGATCTCGGCTTAGCGCAACCTCCGCCTCCTGGGTTCAAGCCATTCTCCTGCCTCAGCCGCCTGAGTAGCTGGGATTACAGGTGCCCGCCACCACGCCCAGCTAATTTTTTGTATTTTTAGTTTCACCATGTTGGCCAGGCTACTCTTGAACTCCTGACATCAGGAGATCTACCTACCTTGGCCTCCCAAAGTGCTGGGATTACAGGCATGAGCCACTGCGTTGAGCCTTTTGTTTTTGTTTTTTTTGAGACGGAGTCTCACTCCATCACCCAGGCTGGAGTGCAGTGGTGTCATCTGGGCTCACTGCAACCTCCACATTCCAGGTTCAAGTGATTCTCCTGAGTAGCTGGGATTACAGGCACGTACCACTACACCCAGCTAATGTTTATTTTTAGTAGAGATGGAGTTTCACCATGTTGGCCAGGCTGGTCTCAAACTCCTGACCTCAAATGATCCACCTGCCTCAGCCTCCTAAAATGCTGGGATTACAGGCCTGAGCCACCATGCCCGGCCTATTTATTTATGTTTTGAGATGGAGGCTCATTCTGCTGCCCAGGCTGGAGTGCAGTGGTGCCATCTCAGGTCACTGCAACCTCCACCTCCCAGGTTAAGTGATTCTCACGCCTCAGCCTCCTGAGTAGCTGGTATTAGAGGCGCACGCCACCACACCCGACTAATGTTTGTATTTTCAGTAGCAACGGGGTTTCACCATGTTGGCCAGGCTTGCCTCATACTCCTGACCTCAGGCGATCTGGCCCGCCTCAGCCTCCCAAAGTGCTGGGATTACAGGCGTGAGCCACCGTGCCTGGCCCCACTTAGTTTTATTGGACAAATTTTTGCAGAGTATCAACTCTACGCTAGGTGCTGTGTGAGCTAAAACTGGGACGGGCTGCCCATGATCACCGAGGAACAGGGACATGGACACATCTCAAGGAAGCAGAAGATGATGAAGTCAGTGTGAGAGGCAGCATGGCCCAGCGGTCAGCTGCGGGAACAAACCCCCAGCCCAAGTCATGGGACAGACATTCCTGGGCAGCCACATGCCCACCTCGGGCAAGTCAGAGTCTCCAGATTCCTTCTCTTGACTCACTTACCTGATGACTGTGAATTTGATAAACTCAGCTGCCTCCAAGATCCTCCTCATGGAACTGATTTCCAGATAGCCGGGGGCCTTGAATACCACCCCCGGGGGCATGCCATCAATCACCACACAGCCAGGGTTGAATGTGATCTTCCTGTAGGGAACTTTCACAGGGAAATCCACGCCAATTGCTTCACCTGTGACGGGATGAGCAGCATAAAACCAGCTGAGTTTGGCTGGGCACGGTGGCTCACACCTGTAATCCCAGCCCTCTGGGAGACTGAGGCGGGTGAATCACTTGAGGCCAGGAGTTCGAGACCAGCCTGGCTAACATGGTGAAACCCTGTCTCTACTAAAAATACAAAAATTAGCTGGGCGTGGTGGCGCATGCCTGTAATCCCAGCCACATGGGAGGGACCCAGGAGGCAGAAGTTGCAGTGAGCCGAGATCGCCCCACTGCACTCCAGCCTGAGAGACAGAGCGAGACCCTGCCTCAAAACAAAACACAAAACAAAACAACAAATTAAAAAAACAACAACACAAATAAAACTAGCTGAGTTTGTTCCTTACGTTTCCTAAACCAGGATTTTTCTTTAATGTCAGGATTTAGAAGCATCAAATGACAATACTTATGATCAGTCATTTTATTTTCCAGTGCTACTATGATGTGTGAATATAATTTTAAAAGTTTGGAATTAGCATGGGTAGTAGGCAAACTCAGTTCCTCCATCCATTACACAGGGTTATCATGGCGCCTACCTGAAAGGTTTTATGTGAGGATTAAATGATCAAACACATGTTGAGCACAAAAAATAATATACAAGGTAAGCACTCAGTAAAACAAAGATAGCTATTATTATTATTATTGTAATTAGTCAATGATACCATGCAAAAGCTCTTCTGTAAAAAGACATATTGACTAATTTTTATCATAGCTCTTTCACAAAAAGATCAATTTCTTTTTTTTTTTTTTTTTTTGAGACAGGGTCTCACTCTGTCGCCCAGGCTGGAGTGCAATAGCGCGATCTAAGCTCACTGCAACCTCTGCCTCCCAGTTACAACCGATTCTCGTGCCTCAGCCTCCTGAGTAGCTGGGATTACAGGTGTGCGCCACCACACCCGGCTAATTTTTTTGTATTTTTAGTAGAGATGGGATTTTGCCATGTTGGCCAGGCTGGACTTGAACTCCTGGCCTCAAGTGATCCACACACCTTGGCCTCCCAAAGTGCTGGGATTAAAAGTGTGAACCACTGCGCCCAGCCAAGATCAAATTCTTATAAGATAAAGTTTTGTTTTTTTCCTTTTGTAGACCTGGGGTGTCACTTTGCTGCCCAGGCTGGTCTCAAACTCCTGGGCTCAAGTGATTCTCTAGCCTTAGCCTCCTAAAGTGCTAGGATTACAGGTATGAGCCAATGCACCTGGCCAAGTATTCTTTTAAAAAGAAGTATTTTAGGTATATGAATTCTGGATATAAAAAGATATAAAAACTTACCAAATTTTCGGCTAAAGAGGTCATTAACTTGTTCTCTTAGCTGTTTAATCTTTTCAATGCTTGATAATCTTTCCTTCTCATTATCTAAAAATAATTAAACAAATAAACAAACCAAGGTTATTAATGTATTTTCTCCCAAGAAAGCTGTTGGGAGAAATGCCTGTTAGCACCCGAGAAAGTGCTTTACCTGGATTGTTATTCAGTCTACTTTTAGCAATAATTAAGCATCTTGGAAATTTGGAAATGGAAGCCATTACAGACAATAGAGAATTTTCCAAATTATAACCCTATATAAACATACTACATACTACTTTTAAGGAATATTTTCAATATCATACAAGACAAGGATGTTTAGGGCCAGGCGCGGTGGCTCACGCCTGTAATCCCAGCACTTTGGGAGGCCGAGGCAGGTGGATCACGAGGTCAGGAGATTGAGACCATCCTGGCTAACATGGTGAAACCCCGTTTCTACTAAAAATACAAAAATTTAGCCGGGCATGGTGGCAGGCGCCTGTAGTCCCAGCTACTCGGGAGGCTGAGGCAGGAGAATGGCGTGAACCCAGGAGGCGGAGCTTGCAGTGAGCCGAGATCGCGCCACTGCACTCCAGCCTGGGTGACAGAGCAAGACTCCGTCTCAAAAAAAAAAAAAAAAAAAAAAAGACAAGGATGTTTACTTTCACCACCACTTTTCGGCCTTAAAATAGAAATCTTAGCCAATGAAATATGACAAGTAAAAGGAATAAGAGGTACTAGGATTAGAAGGTAAGGTATATTTTTATTTTCTTTCCTTTTTTTCCTCTCTTTTTTTGTTTGTTTGTTTTGTTTTGTTTTGTTTTGAGGCTGAGTTTTGCTCTTGTCACCCAGGCTGGAGTACAATGGTACAATCTTGGCTCACTGCAAACTCCTGGGTTCAAGCAATTCACTGCACCCCTCCTGGGTTCAAGCAATTCTCCTGCCTCAGCCTCCCAAGTAGCTGGGATTACAGGCACCCACCACCACACCAGCTGATTTTTGTATTTTTAGTAAAGATGGGGTTTCACCATGTTGGCCAGGCTGGTCTCGAACTCCTGACCTCAGGTGATCCACCTGCCTCAGCCTCCCAAAGTGCTGGGATTACAGGTGTGAGCCACCGCACCCGGTCTGTTTTTCTTTTCTTTTTGTTTTTTAGAGACAGAGTCTCACTGTGCTGTGCAGGCTGGTCTCAAACTCCTGGGCTCAAGTGATCCTCCTGCCTCAGCTTCCCAAAGTGCTGAGATTACAGGCACATGCCACCATGCCTGGTCCTTTTTTTTTGTTTTTATTTTTTAGATATTTTTCAACACTTTAAAACTTTATTTACTTTTGAATAACTAAAGCAATCACATGGCTCAACATTCAAGAGGAGTAATATACAGAAACATCTCAAACGTCTCTCTCCTATCCCTATCTCAGCGGTCAGTTTCCTTCCCTGGAGGAACTATGTAATTAGATTCTCTTGTATCTTTCCAGATATATTTTACATACACATATTCAGAAAAGAAGATTATTATTATTATTATTATTTATTTTTTTGAGACAGAGTCTCGCTCTGTCACCCAGGCTGGAGTGCAGTGGTGTGATCTCCGCTCACTGCAAGCTCCACCTCCCAGGTTCACGCCATTCTTCAGCCTCAGCCTCCCGAGTAGCTGGGACTACAGGTGCTCGCCACCACACCCGGCTAATTTTTTTGTATTTTTAGTAGAGACAGGGTTTCACCGTGTTATCCAGGATGGTCTCGATCTCCTGACCTCGTGATCTGCCCGTCTTAGCCTCCCAAAGTGCTGGGATTACAGGCGTAAGCCACCGTGCCCGGCCAGAAGATTGTTAATGATGAGCAACAAAACATTTCACCTCTGTGGCCAATTCCAATTCAACCATAGCTGGTGCTCCGTGCTGCCTGCTCTGAGATGCATTTTCCAGGTAATGCCCGGGCTTGTCCAGGAGAAGCAAAATATCCGATTAATAATGTCTGATGTGAGCAAGATGCTCGTTGTGTAGCAACTTGCAGAATATTTTATATTCCCGAAATGTCATTTCTTAGCTATCAGGGTGAACTAAGTGAAAAATGACAGGTCCAAGAGACCAGCCTATGTCAAAAAATAATTAAGACAAAAGGAAAAATGTAACATTAGTCCATACCTGGAACAGTCACTTGAACGATGTTAAGATCTTCAACACCTGCTGCAGAATTTGTAACACTGGATGAATTTGTGTTTCCTTAAAACAGAAGTTGAAGTTTAGAATTTACCAAGAATAAGACCAATTCTCCTTTAAATATGTCTAAGTGCTGCTTTGATCAGAAGCCCAGACTGAATTTTTTTTTCTTTTTTTTTTTTTTTTTGAGACAGGTTCTTACTCTGTCATTCAGGCTGGAGTGCAGTGGTGTGATCCTAGCTCACTGCATCCTCGACCTCCCACGGTCAAGTGATCCTCCCACCTCAGCCTTGTGAGTAGCTGGGACCACAGACATGCACCATCATGCTTGGCTAATTTTTTTTTTTTTTTTTGAGACTGAGTCTATCACCCAGGCTGGAGTGCAGTGGTGCGATCTCGGCTCACTGCAACCTTTGCCTCCCAGGTTCAAGTGATTCTCGTGCCTCAGCCTCCTGAGTAGCTGGGATTACAGACACCCACCACCATGCCCAGTTAATAATTGTATTTTTTTTTTAGTAGAGACGGAGTTTCACCGTGTTGGTCATGCTGGTTGAGAACTCCTGACCTCAAGTGATTCACCTACCTGGGCCTCCCAAAGTGCTGGGATTACAGGCGTGAGCCACCACGCCCGGCTCTAATTTTTGTATTTTTAGTAGAGACAGAGTTTCGCCATGTTGGCCAGGCTGGTCTTGAACTCCTGGCCTCAAGGGATTCACCCACCTGGGTCTCCCAAA
Organism: Homo sapiens; assembly: GCF_000001405.40. Classification (NCBI taxonomy): domain Eukaryota; kingdom Metazoa; phylum Chordata; class Mammalia; order Primates; family Hominidae; genus Homo; species Homo sapiens. The sequence goes on from NC_000007.14 coordinate 74,807,683, forward strand.
GTGCTGGGATTACAGGTGTGAGCCACCCACCACGCCAGCCTTAAATCACACTTTCAACTTCACTTCCTTTAGATACTTGCACTTCAACTGAGTTCACCGGCTGCAGGCCTGCGGAGTTACCTTTGATATTTATCTGTCCACTCCAGTAGCAAAGGGGCTATGTCTGAGTGAATCGTCCTTTTCTTTCCATTCTCCCCCCTCATGTACCCTCAACCCTTCATTCTTTCCTCACGTGAACACAGCACAGTTGAGGCCCAGTTGTGGGTCAGTGCTAACGTGCAAGACTTAAAAAAAAATTTTTTTTTAATTTTTATTTTTAGAGATGGAGTCTTGCTCTGTTGACCATGCTGGAATGCAGGGGCATAATCACAGCTCACTGCAGCCTCAAAATCCTGGGCTCAAGCGATCCTCCCACCTCAGCCTCCCAAGTAGCTGAGACTACAGATGCATGCCACCATGCATGGCTGATATTTTTGTTAGTTTGTTTCGAGGCAGGATCTCACTCCCATCACCCAGGCTGGAGTATTGTGGCACAATTACGGCTCACTGCAGCCTCGACTTCCCTGGGCTCAGGTGATTGGCCCACCTCAGTCTCCCGAATAGCTGGGACTACAGGTGTGTGCCACCATGCCCTGCTAACTTTTTGTATTTTTAGTAGAGACAGGGTTTCACTATGCCCAATTTGGTCTCAAACACCTGGGATCAAGTGATCTGCCCACCTCAGCCTCCCAAAATGCTGGGATTACAGGCGTGAACCACTGTGCCTTGCCTAACTTTTTCTTAATGTTTACTTTTTGCAGAGATAGTCTCACTATGTTGCCCAGTCTGATCTAGAACTCCAGGGTTCAAATGATCTTCTTGCCTTGGCCTCACAAAGTGCTGGGAATACAAGCATGCACCATCATGCCTAGTTATTATTTTTCTTTTCTTTCTAATTTTTTTTTGCACAGCTAATTATGTTGTCTACAACACCTCAAAGCATTGGGCCCTAATGGGAATGGCTGCTCTATTATATATATACATTATACTACATTAGAGATTTCAATCTCTTCCCCACAATTTTTTTTTTTTTTTAGATGGAATCTCGCTCTGTCACCCAGGCTGCAGTACAGTGGTGAGATCTCAGCTCACTGCAACCTCCGCCTCTCAGGTTCAAGCGATCCTCCTGTCTCAGCCTCCCAAGTAGCTGGAAATACAGACATGCACCACCACGCCTGGCTAATTTTGTATTTTTAGTAGAGACAGGGTTTCGCCATGTTTCCCAGGCTGGTCTCAAACTCCTGGGCTCAAGCAATACACCTGCCTTGGCCTCCCAAGGTGCTGGGATTACAGGCTTGAGCCACTGAGCTCTGCCATCCTCCCTGCAATTAATCCTGTTAGAAAGAATGAAAACCATACTTGGCAATGGGGCTTTGGGCAACTAACCTTCGATTTTCACCTCGGCTTCAGGGTCCTCATTTGGTTCTTCTGAAGGGACCAGCGGAGTGGAATCTTGAAAAAAAAATGTCTAAAATGACATTCATTATTAAGTATTCTCCTCATATTCCAACACATTAATGCTCCTATACCAAAAAAGTAGCTTATCCTGGCATTTTAAATATATTTCATATATAAATAATATAAACATAATTTTAATTTTATAAGCAATAATAATAGGATAATAAACAGTAACTGGGCCGGGCACGGTGGCTCGCACCTGTAATCCCAGCACTTTTGGGAGGCCGAGGTGGGCGCATCACTTGAGGTCAGGAGTTGAAGACCAGCCTGGGCAACATGGTGAAACCCCAACTCTATTAAAAATACAAAAATTATCCAGGCGTGGTGGCGCACGCCTGTAATCCCAGCTACTCAGGAGGCTGAGGAGGGAGAATTGCTTCAGCCCGGGAGGTGGAGGCTGCAGTGAGCCAAGGTCGCGACACACTGCACTCCAGCCTGGGTGACAGGGTGAGATTCTGTCTCAAAAAAAAAAAAAAACAGAATCATTTTGGTAGTCCATGTGTCACTATCTCTCTAAGGCAGATATATACAACTAAAAGTAAGATCACATTGCCTGTAAATGGCAAAGATGTCCCACGCCTCTAGGTTTGGAAAGGAAATCTTTATTATTATTATTATTATTATTATCATTATTGAGACAGTCTCACTCTGTCACCCAGGCTGGAGTGGAATGGTGCGATTTCGGCTCACTGCAGCCTCCGCCTCCTAGTTTCAAGCAATCCTCGTGCCTCAGCCTCCCGAGTAGCTGGGATTACAGGTGCCTGCCACCACGCCTGGCTAATTTTTGTATTTTTAGTAGAGACAGGGTATCACCATGTTGGCCGGGCTGGTCTTGAACTCCTGACCTCAGGTGATCTGCCCACCTCAGCCTCCCAAAGTGCTGAGATTACAGGCATAAGCCACCATGCCTGGCCCTTTTTTAAAATTATTAATTTTATCTTGGACATACACAAACCACCGTAGGAATTTAGGCTTTATTCATATGATGCTCAAGATTTATATATGAATGGAGGGAAGTATTATCAAATTTTACTTCTAATGCAAGGATTTCCTAAAATACTATTCGACTCTGTCCAAAAGAATTATGTCATGCCATCCAAAAGACAAAGCAAGAAACAGCACCACTGCAAAGTTAACTTCCATATTCGGGTGCTTTAAGTAGAATCACTCACAGATCAGAAGCACAAGAAGTGATAGAGCCCTTCATGTTATATCTTAGGGCAAGAGCTCAACTATTCATAGTTTTCTGAGAAGACAGGCATGCCAGAAAGTCACCTTCCTTATTTTCCAACTTACATGTATAAAAGAGTATGTTCTCTGTAAAATACTATAAACTTTCAGCTGGGCATGGTGGCTTACGCCTGTAATCCCAGCACTATGGGAGGCAGAGGTGGACGGATCACTTGAGGTCAGGAGTTCAAGACCAGCCTGGACAACATGGTGAAATCCCGTCTCTACTAAAAATACAAAAATTAGCCGGGCGTGGTGGTACGCGCCTGTAATCGCAGCTACTCAGGAGGCTGAGGCACATGAATCGCTTGAACCCAGGAGGCAGAGGTTGTAGTGAGCCGAGATTGCGCCACTGCACTCCAGCCTGGGTGACAGAGCGAGACTCTGTCTCAAAAAAGAAAAAAAAAAGTATGTTCTTTGTAAAATACTATAAACTTCTATAAACTTTTCTTAAAAGAGAGAGAAAAAATGCTGCATTTTTCTAACCTTCCATTGGTAATTCCATTTCTATTACTTCATTGCTTGTGGAAGAAGGGTGGCTTCCTGAAAGAAAAATAAATAATATATAACAAAGGAGAAATACAAAAATGTAAAAAGAAATCACTGAATACAATGCAAACAAGTCAATACCCACACAGGAATACACCTGAAATACTTCTACCCCTTGAAATAAAACTGGCTGCGCGCGGTAGCTCACGCCTGTAATCTCAGCACTCTGGGAGGTGGAGGCGGGCAGATCACCTGAGGTCAGGAGTTCGAGACCAGCCTGGCCAACATGGTGAGACCCCTTCTCTACAAAAAAATACAAAAATCAACCGAGTGTGGTGGCACACGCCTGTAATCTCAGCTATTCTTGAGGCCGAGCCAGGAGAATCACTTGAACCTGGGAGGTGAAGGTTGCAGTGAGCCATGATCACGCCACTGCATTCCAGCCTGGGCGACAGAGCGAGACTCTGTCTAAAAAAAAACAAACAAAAAAAACATAAACCAATTAATTTCTCTGAGTTTCTCACATTCTGGATTTTATTGACTACATCCTTGTGGTGATGTTTTCATATGTGCCTGTATTCCATGCATCTCCTAAAAACTGCTGGTTAGATCTAAAGGCTGGATCAGACTTAGGTCTGATTGTTTTGTTTTGTTTTGTTGTTGTTTTGAGAGAGAGTCTCACTCCAGCACCCAGGCTGGAGTGCAGTGGTGTGATCACAGCTCGCTGCAGCCTTGACCTCCCAGACTCAAGCGATCTTCCCACCTCAGCCTCCCAAGTAGCTGGGGCTACAGGTGTGTGCCACCATGCCCGGCTACTTTTTGTATTTTTTGTAGAGACGGCGTCTCACCATGTTGCCCAGGCTGGTTTTGAACTCCTGGGCTCAAGTCATACACCTGCCTTGGCCTCCCAAAGTGCTGGGATTACAGGTATGAGACACTACACCTGGCCAGGTTTGATTTTTTTTTTTTTTTTGGAAGAATCCTTGACAAAGGTGGTGTGGTGTACTTCCTACTGGATACCGTCAGGAGACCAGTGACCAGTCAGTTCAGGAACTGTCAGTCAGGTCTGCCCATGATAAAGTCCCCATCAGACTTTTATAAAATGGTTTTAATGACCACTGACAATTATTGCCAAGATGCACTGCTTCATTAGGTGGTGCAAAATCATGACAGTCGTGACAATTTATGACTTCTTTTTAAAAGCCTTATGGGTCAGGTGTGGCGGCTCATGCCTGTAATCCCAGCATTTTGGGAGGCCAAGGTGAGTGGATCACCTGAGGTCAGGAGTTCGAGACCAGCCTGGCCAACATGGCGAAACCCCGTCTCTACTAATAATACAAAAAATTAGCCAGGCGTGGTGGCACACGCCTGTAATCCCAGCTCCTTGGGAGGCTGAGGCACAAGAATCATTTGAACCCAGGAGGCAGAGTTTGCAGTAAGTGGAAATAGTGCCACTGAACTCCAGCTTGGGCAACAGAGTGAGATTCTGTCTCAAAAAAAAAAAAGAGTATGTGGATTTAGCCCAGGCATGGTGGCTCACGCCTATAATCTCAGCACTTCTGGAGGCCAAGGCTGGAGGACTACTTAAGCCCAGGAGTTAGAGAACAGCTTGGGCAACAAGGTGAGACCTCATCTCTGTAAAAAAACAAACAAAAGAGTACGTGGATTTAGGCTAAATAGAATCTATTTTATAACTGTAGGATTATTTACTCTAAATGGCAGCATGCTAGATCCTAGGTAAACACACATGGGTGCTCGCCAGTTTTTCAGACAGGTAGTAATTAAAATCTTCCATCCCAAATAACTTTTGGGGAAGAAAATTATTATCAAACAGTATTACCTTGCATATTATATTGATAGTAATTAGGATCTTCTGATTCTTTCTTGACTGAGACAGCTTCTGCTTTCAGTGAAATGCCTTGGAATGTAATGGAAATGATAAAATTGTATGTTAGGTTAAGTTTGCCAACAAAGAAATACGACTAGCTAATATAAGTTGATTAATACAGCAATGTTACAATCAGCAAAAGAACTTGTAGCTCACTCACTATGAACAAATTTGACCTCTTGATACAAAAATAGAAATACTATAAATTAAAATAATATACATATAGAAAACATACATTTGTGTATTTATGTATGTTTATATAAAAATAATATCAATTGTAAAATCAATAGAAAAGGAAAGAAGGAAGGAGGGGACCGGGCACGGTGACTCACGCCTCCAATACCAGTACTTTGGGAGGCTGAGGCGGGCAGATCACTTGAGGTCAGGAGTTTGAGACCAACCTGGCTAACATGGTGAAACCCTGTCTCTACTAAAACTACAAAAATTAGCTGGGAGTGGTGGCGGACGCCTGTAGCCAGCCACATGGGAGGCTGAGGCAGGAGAATTGCTTGAACCCAGGAGGTGGAGGTTGCAGTGAGCTGAGATCGAGCCACTGCACTCCAGCTGGTTGATAAAGCGAGACTCCATCTCAAAAAAAAAAAAAAAAAAAAAGAAAGGAAGGAGAGGAGGATGAAGGAAGGCATCGTGAAGGCGGGAGAGCTTAGTTCTGATTCTAGTCCTAGTTTTGGGAGATTTTCCCCTTCAGGGTGGCTGAATATCCACGTGCATTTACATGAAATGCTGTGAAGATTCTTCTGTCATGAAGCCTGAACTGACATATATAACCATTTTTTTTTTTTTGAGACAGAGTCTCACTCTGTTGCCCAGGCTGGAGTGCAGTGGCATGATCTCGGCTCACTGCAACATCCACCTCCCAGGTTCAAGTGACCCTCCTGCCTCAGCCTCCCAAGTGGCCCACGCCACCATGCCTGGCTAATTTTTGTATTTTCAGTAAAGACGGGGTTTCACCATGTAGGCCGGGCCGGTCTCAAACTCCTGACCTCAGGTGATCCACCCACCCACCTTGGTCTCTCAAAGTGCTGGGATTACAGGCATAAGCCACCGTGCCCGGCTAGGCACTTATAATCTTAACTTACTCACTATAATGGAATGGATTTCAAAACCTGGAGAAGCTATATCAGTACAACCTAATGCCTTTATCAGAGAAGGGTGCGGTTGGCTGCAAAAATTAGCTCAAGACCTCTCCCATCCCAGGATGTACATCCCTTTGCAATGTGACTATCCCATGCTTCTTTTCTAGAAGTAAAGTCTGTTTCTCTGCCATTTTGTTATTATTTTTTGAGACAGAGTCTTGCTCTGTTGCCCAGTGGAGTGCAGTGGCATGATCATGGCTCACTGCAACCTCTGTCTCCTGGGCTCAAGCGATCCTCCTGTCTCAGCCTCCTGAGTAGCTGACTATAGGCATGCATCACCACGCCTGCCTAATTTTTGTATTTTTTGTAGACATGAGGTTTCACCATGTTACTCAGGCTGGTCTCGAACTCCTGGACTCAAGCAATTTGCCTGCCTTGGCCTCCCAAAATGTTGGGATTACAGCTGTAAACCACGGCGCCAGGCCATTCTCTGCCCTTTAAATCTGGCCCTGGCTGTGTGACTTGCTTTGGTCAATGGGACATCAGCCGATGGGATGCAAAGAGAGGCTTGAGAAGAGCTTGATCATCTGTGCCTGCTGCTTCTAGAACCTCATCACCATGGGAGCCAGCCTAGGGTGCCTCCAAAGGGTATGAGGCCACAAGGAGAGAGACCCTGATGTCCCAGCCGGGGCCTCAGACACACAGCCATCCGGCCCTTGCTGAGCCAGTCCAGCCAACACACAGAAATGTAGGAAAGACTAAATATTCCATTCCATTCCATTGGAGCCCTTCCCCTTCTCTTTCCAGCCCAGGCTGGAGTGCAATGGCATGATCTTGGCTCACTGCAGCCTCCACCTCCCAGGTTCAAGTGATTCTCCTGCCTCAGCCTCCCAAGTAGCTGGGACTACAGATGCGCACCACTACGCCTGGCTAATTTTTGTATGTTTAGTGGAGACAAGGTTTCACCACGTTGGCCAGGCTGGTCTCCAACTCCTGACCTCAGGTGATCCGCCTGCCTTGGCCTCCCAAAGTGCTGGGATTGCAGGCGTGAGCCACCACACCCAGCCTCATTTCAGGGGTACTTTTAAATACAGCAATAGATGACTGATACTAAAATGTACATGTAATTTAACCATGAATGTTTGTAATAGCAAAACAAAAAAACTGTGGCATAGCTTGGGGTTCATTGTTTAACATAATTTATAAGTTCTGAGGGGTCGTCTGAAAACCTTTAACAGCTCTGTTGGTATAAGGACAGTGAAGCTAAACATTTAAAAATCTGATTTTCAGCTGGGGACAGTGGCTCAGACCTGTAATCCCAGCACTTTGGGAGGCTAAGGTAGGCAGATCATTTAAGGTCAGGAGTTCGAGACTAGCCTGAACAACAGGGTGAAAACCCGTCTCTATTAAAAATACAAAAACCAGCCAGGTGTGGTGGTGGGCACCTGTAATCCCAGCTACTCGGAAGGCTGAAGCAGGAGAATCGCTTGAACCCGGGGGGGCGGAAGTTGCAGTGAGCTGAGATCACACCACTGTACTCCAGTCTGGGCGACAGCGAGACTCTGTCTCAAGAAAAGAAAAAAAAATTGGCCTGGTGCGGTGGCTCATGTCTGTAATCCTAGCACTTTGGGAGGCCGAGGAGGGTGGATTACCTGAGTTCAGGAGTTTGAGACCAGCCTGGGCAACACGGTGAAACCCTGTCTCTACTAAAATACAAAAAAATTAGCCAGGTGTGACGGCGTGCACCTATGATTCCAGCTACTCAGGAGGCTGAGACAGGAGAATCACTTGAACCTGGGAGGCAGAGGTTGCAGTGAGCTGAGGTCGTGCCACTGCACTCCAGCCTGGCAAGACAAGAAAGAAAGAAAGGAAGGAAGGAAGGAGAGAAAGAAAGAAAGAAGGAAAGAAAGAAAGAAGGAAAGAAAGAAAGAAAGAAAGAAAGAAAGAAAGAAAGAAAGAAAGAAAGAAAGAAAGAAAGAAAGAAAGAGAAAATAAATTAAAACCAGGGAGATGGTTTGTTTTTGTAGCAAATGCTACACACATATCACAAGAAATAAGGACCAATTGAGGACCAGCTCTCAGGAGCCTGCTGGCAGCTGGTAGCAATCCATATCGCTTTATAAAGTCTACAGTAGGAAGTTTTGTGAATAAGGAAGCATATTTTTGTTCAAATGAAACCACATCTCCAACAAAGGCACGTGAGAACCACAGATCTAGCCCAACAGCTAGTGAGGAAGGAAACTCGGCCCCTGGGGACACTGATCACTTCTCACTCTCACCCCCTTCATCTTCCCAGGTTCTTTCTTTTTTCTTTTTTTCTTTTCTTTTTGAGACAGTCTTGCTCTGTCACCCAGGCTGGAGTGCAGTGGTGCCATCTTGGCTCACTGCAACCTCCACCTCCTGGGTTCAAGCAACTGTCCTGCCTCAGCCTCCTGAGTAGCTGGGATTACAGGCATGCACCACCACGCCCAGCTCATTTTTGTATTTTCAGTAGACATGGGGTTTCACCATGTTGGCCAGGCTGGTCTCGAACTCCTGACTTCAGGTGATCCGCCCACCTTGGCCTCCCAAATTGCTGGGATTATGGGCGTGAGCCACCGTGCCTGGCCTCATCTTCCCAGTTTGTATGTGGAGCCTGTGGCTTGGGGTATTCTTTTAATTCTCTGTGACCAGGTAAGACACAGGCAGAAGATATCTGAGCTCTGAAAACATCCAAGGCTAATATTGAGTGGGCAAGAGTTTGAGGCCTGTCACGTCAGAAACGAGACCAAGATTCCACAGCTGACCTGTGCTCACAGCTGAATTGTGCTGAGCTGAAATACTGCGCCCGTTTCTTTCCATTCAACTTGTCTTGGTTTGACCTAGAACCACACTGCACAGGAGAAGCACCATTTTTTGTTCAGACTCTCATCTGAAGCTGGAGCTTCTGCTAAGCACTTGTTTGCATGGGAGTGGAAGGGGACATGTGCACCCACAGTTGTGGCGAAAAGATCCTTGGGTGTGACAAAGGAGGAGGCGGGCCAAGGAGACCCATCCACTGTGTCCCTGGACCCTCCCAAGGAATCCCAGGAACTGCGAAGCATAAACCACATCTTCACTGTCTTAGAGACGCTGCTGTCCTTCCTTCATTTTACTCATGCTAAAGGCTCTATTTTTCTTTTCTCTAGAACTTTCTTTCTTTCCTTTTTTCTGAGACGGAGTTTCACTCTCACCCAGGCTGGAGTGCAATGGCGCAGTCTCGGCTCACAGCAAACTCTGCCTCCTGGGTTCAAGCGATTCTCCTGTCTCAGCCTCCCAAGTAGCTGGGATTACAGGCGTGCGTGGTGGCGCCTAATTTTTGTATTTTTAGTAAAGACAGGGTTTCACCATGTTGGCTAGACTGGTCTCAAACTCCTGACCTCAGGTGATCTGCCTGCCTCCGCTTCCCAAAGTGCTGGGATTACAGGCGTGAGCCACTAGACCCAGCCAGGTCTTTGTTTCTTAACACAGAATATTGTTTTTCTTTTGGATTATGATTATTATTCTTTGAAGCCAGGGTCTCGCTCTGTCACCCAGGCCGGAGTGCAGTGGTGCAATCATGGCTCACTCCAGCCTTTATCTCCTGGGCCCAAGTGATCCTCCAACCTCAGCCTCCCAAGTAGCTGGGATTATAAGTGCGTGCTACGATGTCTGGCTAATTTTTTATTTATAAATATTTTTTGTAGAGACAGGGTCTCGCTTTGTTGCCCAGGCTGGTCTCAAATTCCTGGACTCAGGCGATCCTCCTGCTTCAGCCTCCCAAAGTGCTGAGATTACAGGCGTGAACCTTTCAACTTTTAATGCTTTCAGTATTTTCCCATCCCTTGATTGAACATTTGGGTTTTAAATTATTTTTGTTGTTGTTGTTTCTTTTTGAGACAGAGTCTTGCTCTGTCACCCAGGCTAGAATGCAGGGGTGTGATCTCGGCTCACTGCAACCTCTGCCTCCTGCGTTCAAGCGATTCTTGTGCCTCAGCCTCCTGAGTAGCTGGGATTACAGGCGCCTGCCATGATGCCCAACTAATTTTTTGTATTTTTAGTAGAGACAGTGTTTCACCATGTTGGCCAGGCTGGTCTCAAACTCCTGACCTCAAGTGATCCGCCCACCTTGGCCTCCCAAATTGCTGGGATTACAGGTGTGAGCCACTACACCCGGCCTAAGCTTTTTTTTTTTTAATCTTAACCTGTTAACATTTTTCCTCTAATTAATGCTGGTTTTCTTTTATTGAGGAGTGAGGAGAAGCAAGAATGGGGTCAACCCCATTGAAGAGGGATTTTTTTTCCAGTATACACTGTCATAGTAATGTACCTATATTGTAAAACATTTAGAAATGACAGAAAAGTCCAAAAAAGCAGTAGTATATGTCCAAAAATGAAAACACTGCTCTATTTGTGAGTCAAGTAATAATTCCAAATTTATATTCAAAATGTTTTACTCATTTCAAATTCAGGTTCTCATTCAACTATAAATAAAATAATATTCTGTCCAAAAGTATGTGTATTTAATAACATCTTAGTCCCTATTATGTACTGAATTAGAAGGCTCCCTCTCTCTCTCTCTTTTTTTTTTTTTTTTTTTGAGACAACGTCTCTCTCTGTCACCCAGGCCGGAGTGCAGTGGTACCATTACAGCTCACTGCAGCCTCAACCTCCTGGGCTTAAGCGATCCTCCCACCTCAGCCTCCTGAGTAGCTAGGATCACAGGCATGCACCACCATTTTTTATATGTTTTGCAGAGATGAAGTCTCGCCATGTTGCCCAGGCTGGTCTTGAACTCCAGGGTTCAAGCAATTTGCCTGCCTCGGCCTCCCAAGGTGTTGGAGTTACAGTCGTGAGCCCGCACACCCTGCCAAGGCTTGTTTTCTAGATATTTGAGTAAAATAATGGTTCTGCAAATGAGGCTCCACTGAGGTTAATTCACGCCCTGGTCTTTATTTATTTATTTATTTGATAAAACAAAAGAAAGGTGTCAAATGATAACCTGCTAGATACTTGGTTCTTTTTTTTTGTTTTTTTGTTTTTGTTTTTGTTTTTGTTTTTTTTTGACACAGAATCTCACTCTGTAGCCCAAGGTGGAGTGCAGTGGTGCGATCTTGGCTCACTGCAACCTCCACCTCCCGGGCTCAAGCAATTCTCATGCCTCAGCCTCCCAAGTAGCTGGGACTACAGGCGCACACGAACATGCCCAGCTAATTTTTTGTATTTTAGTAGAGACAGGGTTTTACTATGTTGGCCAGGATGGTCTTGAACTCCTGAGCTCAGGCGATCTGTCCGCCTCAGCCTCCCAAAGTGCTGGGATTACAAGCGTGATCCACCGTGCGCAGCCTTGTTTGTTTTTTTGAGACAGGGTCTTGCTCTGTCACCCAGGCTGGAGTGCAGTGGCGCCATCTCAGCTCACTGCAGCCTCAGCCTCCCAGGTCCAAGCAATTCTCCTGCCTCAGCCTCCCTGGTAGCTGGGATTACAGGCACGCACAGCCACGCCTGGCTAATTTTTGTATTTTTAGGAGAGACGGGGTTTCACCATGTTGGCCAGGCTGGTCTTGAACTCCTGACCTCAAGTGATCCGCCTGCCTCGGCCTCCCAAATTGCTGGGATTACAGGCGTGAGCTACCACGCTTGGCCGATACTTGATTCTAAAAGCATCTTGGTACCCACCAGAATCTTCCATGGGTTCAGTTTTCACATTGATGGGGCCGCAGCTGCAAGGAGAAGGGAACCCTGGTCAGATGGGCAGGGTGAGGACCAGGCACAGCCGCCTGGACACGATGAGCTCAAATGCCCTGGATCTCCGCAGCACCAAATCCCCCTCCTCCCCTCAATCAAATGCAACAATGCCTCCATTTTAACATTAATGTCTTAATAAGTTGTTCCCAAATTAAACGTGTCTACCGAAAGTAGTCTTCTAATTCCAAAGGTCCTTTTGGACAAAGAATAGGATAGAAAATAAGGAAGGGAAGAAGCACATTAACCCTTTACACTCCACTTAAATGCTGTAAGGAGGCCTTTCTGTCATCCAAAAACGAACGCTGTGCATAGTTGTGGATTTTGGTTGCTGTGATTTATCTTTTACCTTTCACTTGGTGATACTATGGATCTCTCCGCATCTGTTACCATCCCAGGGCCACCTGTAGAGGAATGAAAAAACACACACCAGCCCCTTTTAGCACCTCGGAAAATGACTAACATCCAAAGGCATAGAAATTGACAGCAAATACACAGAAAACGGAACTCCCAGATCGAAGCCAACGTGGAAAAGTCATCGAGAGAGAAACTGACTCAAAGCAGCCGCTGTGTTCCGGGGCCATTTGTGTGGGCAGGATGGGGGTTACCGAGGAGTGTTTTGGGGCCAGAGCACGGTCGTGCGGCTGAGCCTCAGCTCACCAGCTGGGCTGCCTCCAGCAACTCACTAAACCTCCCTCTGCCTCCGCTTCCTCGTGAACACGGTGGTTGTGGGAGGATTCATGAATATACGCAAAATGACTAGAACAGTGCCTGCATGTTGTAAGCACTAAGTTAGAGCTGCTATGACACGAGCTCCCCCTTGATCTGTGGTTTCGCGGTCCTCGGTTTGCTCCCCAAGGTCAACCAAAGTCTGCAAAGAGTAAACGGAAAATTCCAGAAATAATTCAGAAGTTTGAAATCACACGTTGTTCTGAGCAGCGTGATGAAGTGTCGTGCCGTCCCGCCTGGGACGTGACTCATCCCTTTGTCCTGCAATCCACGCTGTCTACACTACTCTCCCACTAGTCACTGAGTAGCTGGCTCTGTTATCAGACTGACAGTCCTGGGAAGGCCAGGGTGCTTGTGCTCAAGTCACCTTTATTTGACTTCATAATAGCCCCAAAGTGCAAGAGTAGTAATGAAGGCATATTGTTATAATCATTTTATTTTATCTTTAGTTATTGCTGTTAATCTCCTACTTTGCTTGATTTATTGATTTATTTACTGAGATGGATCTTGCTCTGTTGCCTGGGCTGGAGTGCAGTGGCACGATCTCGGCTCACTGCAACGTCTGCCTCCCGGGTTTAAGCAATTCTCCCGCCTCAGCCTCCCGAGTAGCTGGGACTACAGGCACGCACCACCACGCCCGGCTAATTTTTGTATTTTCAGTAGAGACAGGGTTTCACCATGTTGGCCAGGCTGGTCTCAAACTCCTAACCTCAGATGATCCACCCGCCTCGGCCTCCCAAAGTGTTGGGATTACAGGCGTGAGCCACCACACCTGGCCTGTGCTTGATTTATAAATTAAACTTTCTCTTAGGTAGGTATGGCTAGGGAAAAACATAGTATATGAAGGGTTCTGTACTACCCATGGGTCCAGGCATCTACTGGGGGTCTTGGAGCATATTCCCCGAGGATAAGGGGGGACCACTGTATTATTGTTTTTCTATGATGATGATACAAGTCAGTTGGGACAACAATCCATGGCCACCTGCCACCCTGCCCCTCTCATTTGTCCTTTAATGTGAGTTAGAGGATGACAGGAACTCACCATCCCTCCCGAAACAGACTTTCCACTGTGTTTAGTCCCCGGCTAAGAAGAACTGAAGCATGTCATACACCCAGCAGGTGCCTTGTGAACTGTGCCACCCCCCACCCCTGCCGTCTCCTTACTCCACTTAGGCAGTCTCAGCAAGACATCTTCTTTTATTCTTCTTTATTTATTTATTTTTGAGGCACAGTCTCATTTTGTCACCCAGGCTGGAGTGCGGTGGCACAATCTTGGCTCACTGCAAATTCTACATCTCGGGTTCAAGTGATTCTCCTGCCTCAGCCTCCTGAGTAACTGGGATTACACGCACCCGCCACCATGCCTGGCTAACTTTGGTATTTTTAGTAGGGATGGGGTTTCACCATGTTGACTAGGCTGGTCTCGAACTCCTGACCTCAAGTGATCTGCCCACCTCTGCCTCCCAAAGTGCTGGGATTACAGGTGTGAGCCACTGCGTCCGGCCAATTTTTTTTTTTTAATAGCTACAAATGTATTTTTCTTTTTTTAAAAAATATTCTTTATTTCTTCTAAAAAAAAAAAGGGGGGGATACATCTGCAGAATGTGCAGGTTTGTTTCCTAGGCACATGTGTGCCACAATGGCTTGCTGCACCTATTGGCCCATCCTCTAAGTTCCCTCCCCTCACCCAAATTCAAGTTTTGTTTTTTTTTTTTTGAGACGGAGTCTTGCTCAGTCGCCCAGGCTGGAGTGCAGTGGCGCGATCTCCGCTCACTGCAAGCTCCACCTCCCGGGTTCACGCCATTCTCCTGCCTCAGACACCCGAGTAGCTGGGACTACACGCGCCCGCCACCACGCCCGGCTAATTTTTTTTCGTATTTTTAGTACAGACTGGGCTTCACCGTGTTAGCCAGGATGGTCGCGATCTCCTGACCTTTGTGATCCACCTGCCTCAGCCTCCCAAAGTGCTGGGATTACAGGTGTGAGCCATCACGCCCGGCCCCCAATTCAAGTTTTAATGAAGAAGAAGTGGTTCAGCAGCTCAGAAGAGCCACCAAACCTGAGAAGCTGTCACTTACCCAGCTGACTCTCTGGTCCTAGGAAGGGTCTGCAAGAAAAGCAACACCATTACCCAGCACGGACCAATGAAAAAAGCATGACACATCTGAACAGTCAGCTCTGAAACGCAGCAGGCGGGATGCACGAGTGAATTAAAATTAGGCTATTGGTTTCATCTTTAAATGAACTGAAGGGGCGGGGGTGCAGAGTGTGTCACCTATTTATGATGAATGAAATCCCTGCTTTGTTCTCCAAAATCCATTTCAGGGTTGCAAGGTCGTAATTCTCAGGGTGTTGAAAGGCAACGCCTTCCGGAAGCCCCTGCACTACCACAGCCGACTGGTCTCGCAGCATCTTCTCATAGGGAACAGGCACCATCACTGTTGTCCCTAAGGCTTTACCTACAAGAAGACGCAAACGTCTTTGGATGGTGTGAACCTAACGTTCTACCAGTTTTTTTTTGTTTGTTTTTTGTTTTTTGTTTTGTAGAAACAGAGTCTCGCTCTGCCACCCAGGCTGGAGTGCAATGGCAAGATCTCGGCTCGCTGCAACCTCCACCTCCTGGGTTCAAACAATTCTCCTGCCTCAGCCTCCCGAGTAGCTGGGACTACAGGCACACACCACCATGCCCAGCTAATTTCTTTTGTATTTTAGTAGAGATGAGGTTTCACCGTGTTTCCCAGACTGGTCTCGAACGGCTGAGCTCAGGCGATCTACCCACCTTAGCCTGCCAAAGTGCTAGGATAACAGGCGAGCCACTGAGCCCAGCCTAGTTTTTTTTGTTTTTGTTTTTGTTTTTAATTAAGAGACAGGGTCTCGACTGGGCTCACTGCAACCTCTGCCTCCTGGGTTCAAGCAATTCTCCTGCCTCTGCCTCCTGAGTAGCTGGCATTACAGCCGCCTGCCACCATGCCCGACTAATTTTTGTAGTTTTAGTAGAGACGGAGTTTCACTATGTTGGCCAGGCTGGTCTCGAACTCTTGATCTCAGGTGATCCACCCACCTCAGCCTCCCAAGTAGCTGGTGTGAGTCACCGTGCCCAGCCTGTTATCTAGCTTTTTAAAACACTGCAAAGGATTTTTGAAAATTATTTTTATTTTATTTTGTAGAGACAGGGTCTTACTATGTTGCTCAGTCTGGTCTCAAACTCCTGGGCTCAAATGATCCTCCCACCTTAGCCTCCCAAGTAGCTGGGATTACAGGCTCAAGCCACCATGCCCAGCGTATTTTTTTTTTTAATTCCCATCTTCATGCCTATGGAAAGACATGGGTAGGTGGAGTGACAACTGAGGGGTGAGGGAGGTGACTGAGCCAACATTGACTGTCTTTAGCAATACACTGGCCTTGATGCAGGGCTCTCTAAAATGGGATCAAGGAAGAAAGAGTGATCAATACAGAAGTTTCCACAGAGCAGAAGATCCAAGATCCACATCATCTTCTATAAGAACACTTAATCTGGTAATTAAGAACTGGTGGGCCGGGCGCGGTGGCTCACGCCTGTAATCCCAGCACTTTGGGAGGCCAAGGTGGGCGGATCACGAGGTCAGGAGATCGAGACCATTCTGGCTAACACAATGAAACCCCGTCTCTACCAAAAAATACAAAAAAAGTTAGCCGGGCACGGTGGCGGGTGCCTGTAGTCCCAGCTACTCAGGAGACTGAGGCAGGAAAATGGCAGGAACCCGAGAGGCGGAGCTTGCAGTGAGCCGAGATTGAGCCACTGCACTCCAGCCCGGGCAACAGAGCGAGACTCTGCCTCAAAAAAAAAAAAAGAACTGGTGGCCAGGCACGGCGGCTCACACCTGTAATCTCAGCATTTTGGGAGGTCGAGGCAGGAGGATCACCTGAGGTCAGGAGTTCGAGACCAACCTGGCCAACATGGCAAAACCCCATCTCTACTAAACATACAAAAATTAGCTGGGCAAGGTGGTGGGCACCTGTAATCCCAGCTACTTAGGAGGCTGGGGTGGGAGAATCGCTTGAACCCAGGAGGCAGAGTTTACAGTGAGCTGAGATTGTGCCAATGCACTTCAGCCTGGGTGTCAGAGCAAGACTCCTCTCAGAAAAAAAAAAAAAAAAGAACTAGCTCCTCGCTTGATAAGCATATGGGTTTTGAAATGTTCAAACATTCTAAGTAGTCATGGCAATAAGACTGTCTGTGACACTGTCCTACTCCTGGGTGAACCACTTAGAGAATTCATGCTTGGCTGGGCGCGGTGGTTCACGCCTATAATCCCAGCATTTTGGGAGGCCAAGGCAGGCGGATCACAAGGTGAGGAGTTTGAGACCAGCCTGGCCAACATGGTGAAACCCCATCTCTACTAAAAATACAAAAATTAGCTGGGTGTGGTGGCGGGCGCCTGTAATCCCAGCTACTTGGGAGGCTAAGGCAGGAGAATCGCTTGAACCCAGGAGGCGGAGGTTGCAGTGAGCCGAGATCGCACCACTGCACTCCAGCCTGGGTGGCAGAGCAAGACTCCATCTCAAAAAAAAAAAAATAGAATTAATGCTTAAAGTGAACGTTACCATAACAAAAGCAGAAATAGTCCTCCACTGCCTTCCTGAGTATTTCCGTTTCGCCTGAGTGGACCTGCATCCCGTTCACAGGGCAGGGAGGTTTCACCTCACACAGTCCCTCTGCAACGCCTGCAAATGGATGATTGGCATTAGGTCAGTTTCTAAGCATTTGTGCTGTACACTTCCGTACTTTGTTTCTGGTATTGAAAGAAAAAAGGGGAAAAAAGTGAATAAATATAAAACAAGATCTTTTAAAGAAAAACAAGAAAAAATTGTATTTATGATAAACAGGTTAATGAACTATAAAAAAATCAACATATAAAGAAATAGTAGTAGTTTAAGGAAATTATTATTTTTAGAGACAGGGTTTCACTCTGCTGCCCAGGCTGGAGTGCAGTGGGATGATCGAAGTTCCCGGCAGCCTCAAATTTCTGGGCTTAAGCGGTCCTCCCACCTCAGCCTCCAGGAGTGCCCCATCACACCTGGCTAACTTTTAAATTTTTTTTAGAGATGGGATCTCACTATGTTGCCCAGGCTGGCCTCTAACTCCTGGCCTCAAGTGATCCTCCCATCTTAGCCTCCCAAAGTGTTGGGATTACAGGTGTGAGGCACTGCACCCATCCAGAAATTATCTTTATAACAGAAATTTGATTTGCTATACAGTTGAAACGTGGCAATAATTGTATAGGAAGACTATACCCCTGAACCCATTCAAGACCAGCCCCAGAATCAATTGCTCCTCCAAAAGTTTTAAAACTGATTGTTTTCATCAGTCTAGTCAGAAGAGAGAAACCACATAGTAATTTGAACACAGAAAGGTTTTTGTTTTTTTTTTTGTATCAATGTAAGGGGCACAAGTATAGTTTTCTTTCTTTCTTCTTTTTTTTTTTTTTTTGAGACAGAGTCTCGCTGTGTCACCCAGGCTGGAGTGCAGTGGCATGTTCTCCACTCACTGCAAGTTCTGCCTCCCGGGTTCACGCCATTCTCCTGCCTCAGCCTCCTGAGTAGCTGGGACTACAGCTGCCTGCCACCACGCCCGGCTAATTTTTTGTATTTTTTAGTAGAGATGGCCAGAATGGTCTCGATCTCCTGACCTCGTGATCCGCCTGCCTCGGCCTCCCAAAGTGCTGGGATTACAGGCGTGAGCCACCACACCCCGCCAAGTATAGTTTTCTTGCATGGATATACGGTGTTGTTGGTGAAGTCTGGGGTTTTAGTGTACTCATCACCCAAATAATGTACATTGTACCCATGAAGTAATTTATCATCCCTTACCCACCTCCTGCCTCCCACCCCTGAGTCTCCAGTGTCTGTTATTTCACACTCTATGACCATGTTTTTGTTTGTTTGTTTTGAGACAGAGTCTCACTCTGTCGCCTAGGCTGGAGTGCAGTGGCGCAATCTCAGCTCACAGTAATCTCTGCCTCCTGGGTTCAGGAGATTTTCGTGCCTCAGCCTCCCTAGTAACTGGGATTACAGGCACCCGCCACTACACCAGGCTCATTTTTGTATTTTTAGTAGAGACAGGGTTTCACCATGTTGGCCAGGCTGGTCTCGAACTCCTGGCCTCAAGTGATCTGCCCACCTCGGCCTTCCAAAGTGCTGGGATTATAGGAGTGAGCCACTGCACCTAGCCTCACATTCTATGTCCATGTGTACCTATTATTTAGCCCCTCTTGTAAGTTAGGACATGCCGCATTTGCCTTTTTACGTCAAATGATAAAGACAATAGCCCCCAATCCCATCCATGTTGCTGCAAAAGACATCATTTCATTCTTTTTTTTTTTTTTTTTTTTTTTTTTTTTTTTGAGAGAGTCTTACTCTGTTGCCTAAGCTGGAGTGCAATGGCATGATCTCGGCTCACTGCAACCTCTGCCTCCCGGGTTCAAGCAATTCTTGTGCCTCAGCCACCTGAGTAGCTGGGATTACAGGCATGCACCACCGCCCCCGGCTAACTTTTATAATTTTAGTAGAGACGAGGTTTCGCCATGTTGGCCAGGCTGGTCTAGAACTACTGATCTCAAGTGATCCATCGCCTCGGCCTCCCAAAGTGCTTGGATTATAGGCATGCACTACCATGCCCGGCCATTTCATTCTTTTTTATGGCTGAATAGTATCCCATAGTGTACGTACCACATTTTCTTTGTCCCGTCATCTGGTGATGGATGCTTAGCTTGATTTGCACATCTTTGCTATTGTGAATAGTGCTGTGATAAACGTTCAAGGCAGGTGTCTTTTTGATAGAATGATTTATTTTCCTTTGGGTAGATGCCAAGTAGTGGGCTTGCTGGATTGAATGGGGGTTTATGTTTAGTTCTTTGAGAAATCTCCATACTGTTTTCCATAGAGCTTGTACTAATTTACACCAACAGGTGAAGTTTCCTAGAAGAGTCGTCAACTGGTAACATGGGATTAGCTGCTAGAGGGACTGAGGACTCTAAAGAGAACATAAGCAGCAAATTGCAAGAGCATCTGTGACTGCTGGGCTAAGGCAGGGGACCCAGGAGGGAGCAAATCCAGGAATGGGGTGGCTCCCCAGGGCCGAGATCCAGACCTCATTAAACAGGATTTGGTCACGGCCCACTGGATAGTGGGGAAGCCTGTGGGGGTGTCCATGTGGTGGCTGGCAAGCAGGGGCCTGCTTTCTGGGGGTGCTGGTGGAAATCACTAGACAGTTACCCTGTGGGTGCCTGCAACACTTTCTGGGCGTTATAAGGAAGATGGCCTCTAGTGTGCTAGTGGAACTCTCTGGAAGCTACCTGGAGGGTGATGCCAAGAGAATTTGCTGGGAAGCCATGCTCTGGGGAACTGGTGGAACTCCCTAGGAAACTGCCTGTGGGTATGGTGCCACTGAAATTCACTGCGAAACCTCCTTCTGCAATTTTCTTTCTTCCTTTTTCCTTTCCCTTTTTTTTTTTTTTTTGTCTTGCTCTGTCACCCAGGCTGGAGTGCAATGGCACGATCTGGGCTCACTGCAACCTCCACCTCCCGGGTTCAAGCGATTCTCCTGCCTCTCCCTCCCGAGTAGCTGGGATTACAGGCTCCTGCCACCACTAAAATTTTTGTATTTTTAGTAGAGACGGGGTTTTCCCATGTTGACCAGGCTGGTCTCGAACTCCCAACCTCAAGTGATCTGCCCGCCTTGGCCTCCCAAAATGCTGGGATTACAGGCGTGCCTGGCCCCAAGTGGAATTTATTCCTCAAATACAAGGATGGTTCAACATATTTAAATCAATCAATGTAACATACCACATTGACAGAATAAAGGACAAAAGCCACATGATCATCTCAATTGCCACAGAAAAAGCATTTGACAAGATTGAACATCCTTTCATGATAAAAGCACTCTACCAACTAGAAGTGGTAGGAAATGACCAATGTAATAAAGGCCATTTATAAAAAGTCCATGGCTAATATCACTCAACAATGAAAGACTGATAGCTAAGATCAGAAATAGCAAAGATGGGCCAGGTGCGGTGGCTCACCCCTGTAATCCCAGCACTTTGGGAGGCGGAGGCAGGCAGATCACTTGAGGTCAGGAGTTTGAGACCATGCTGGCCAATGTGGTGAAACCCCACCTCTACTAAAAAAATACAAAAATTAGCCAGGTGTGGTGGCACGCACCTGTAATCCCAGTTACTCAGGAGGCTGAGGCACGAGAATCACTTGAACCTGGGATCCGGAGGTTGCAGTGAGCAGAGATCAAGCCAGTGCACTCCAGCCTGGGCAACAGAGCAAGACTCCATCTCAAAGAAAAAAAAAAAAAAAGAAATGGCAAAGATGCCCTCTCTCCCCACTTCTGTTCAACACAGTTTTGGAAGTCCTAGCCGAGCAATTAAACTAGGTAAGAAAAAAAAAGGCCTCCAAATTTGAAAGAAAGAAGTAAAATTATCTCTGTTCATAGATGATACATGATTTTGTATGTAGAAAATCCTAAAAATTCCACACAAAAATCTATTTGAACTCCAACATATTCAGCAAAGTTGCAGGATACTACATCAACACACCAAATCAACTGCATTTCTATACAGTAACAATGAACAATCTGCAAAGGAAATAAAACAATTCCATTTACAATAGCATCAAAAAGAATAAAATCCTTAGGGATAGACCTAATCAAGGAAGGGAAAAATCTGTATACTAAAACAATAAAACACTGCTGAAAAAAATTAAAGAAGACAGGCTGGGCGTGGTGGCTCACGCCTATAATCCTATAATCCCAGCACTTTGGGAGGCCAAGGCAGGCAGATCACTTGAGGTTAGGTGTTCAAGATCAGCCTGGGCAACATGGCGAAGCCCTGTCTCTACTAAAAATACAAAAATTAGCTGGGTGTGGTGGTGCATGCCTGTAGTCCCAGCTACTTGGGAAGCTGAGGCAGTAGAATCGCTTGAACCTGGGAGGCAGAGGTTGCAGTGATCCGAGATCAAGCCACTGCACTCCAGCCTGGGCAACAGAGCAAGACTCTGTCTCTCAAAAAAAAAAAAAAAAAGAAAGAAAAGAAATTAAAGAAGACACAAACAAATGGAAAGACATCTCATGCTCATGGATTGGCAGGCTTAATATTGCTAAGATATCTGTACTACCAAAAGCCATCTACAGAATTATTGCAATCCCCATCAAAATCTCAAGGGCACTTCTCGTACAAATTAAGAAATCCACTCTAAAATTCACATGGGGCTGGGCGCGGTGGCTCACCCTGTAATCCCAGCACTTTTGGGAGGCTGAGGAGGGTGGATCACGAGGTCAGGAATTCAAGACCATCCTGGCCAACATGGTGAAACCCTATCTCAAAATACAAAAAAAAAAAAAAAAAATTAGCTGGGCATGGTGGCATGTGCCTGTAATCCCAGCTACTTGGGATGCTGAGGCAGGAGAATGGCTTGAACCGAGGAGGCAGAGGTTGTGGTCAGCCGAGATCTCTCCACTGCACTCCAGCCTGGGCGATAGAGCGAGATTCTGTCTCAAAAAAAAAAAAAAATTCATATGGAACACCAAGGGACTCTGAATAACAGAAGTAATCTTGAAGAAGAGCAAATTTGGAGGTCTCATACTTCCTGATTTCAAAACATATTATAAAGTAATCAAAACAGCATGATACTGGCATAAAGACAAATAGATCTACGGAATAGGGTAGGGAGTCCAGAAATAAACCCTTGACCAAATATTTAGCATGCATGCCAGGTGCAGATCTCAGCTACTTGGGAGGCCAAGACAGGAGGATCACTTGAGCCCAGGAATTTATGACCAGACTGGGTAATATAGCAAAACCCTGTCTCAAAAAAAAAAAAAAAAAAAAAGCTGGGCACGATGACTCACGCCTGTAATCCCAGCACTTTGGGAGCCAGAGGCAGGCGGATCACCTGAGGTCAGGAGTCTAAGACCAGGCTGGACAGCATGGGGAAACCCTGTCTCTACTAAAAAATACAAAAATTAGCCGGCTGTGGTAGCAGATGCCTGTAATCTCAGCTATTTGGAAGGCTGAGGCAGGAGAATGGCTTGAACTCAGAAGGTGGAGGTTTCAGTGAGCCAAGATCATGCCATTGCACTCCAGCCTGTCCGAAAGGGCAAAACTCTGTCTCAAAAAACAAAAACAAAAACGAAAAACCTGCGGCCATAAAAAAGAAAGAAATCATATCCTTTGCAGCAATGTGGAGGCAGCTGGAGGCCATTATCCTATGTAAATTAATGCAGGGACAGAAAACCAAATACCACATGTTCTCACTTGTAAGTGGGAGCCAAACCTTGGGTACACATGGACATAAAGATGGGGATGGGAACAATAGACACTGGTGGCTCCTAGAGGAAAGAGGGAAGTGGGGGCAAGGGTTGCAAAATGAACTACGGGGTACTATGCTCACTACTGTACCCCAAACCACAGCATCACACGATATACCCATGTAACAAATCTACACGTGTGCCCCCCGAATCTAAACTAAAAGTTGACATTATTAAAAGAAAAGAAAATATAAAAAGATTATCACACCAATTTCAGAACAGTTTCATTACAAGATGAATACTAGAGAAAATATTTGCGACAACAAAATTAACATGCAACTATGAATCTTAAAAAAATCTACAAGTAAATTTCAGTGATTAGAAATTCAACTGGCATCTGACATTAATGAATTGAGAATACCCTTCTTGTGTATCAATTACATACTGTATTATTTAAAGATGGCTTCATTTTTTAATCTGTCTTTTTGATAGTGGAGACCTTAATTTGGGATCTCGGAAGTAAATTTGAATCAATCTATCACTCAATTCTCCCCTCTCTCATCTCTCTCTCTCTCTCTCTATCCATTCATCTAATCTATCTATATACATATATATATATAATTCCTGTCTCCCTTATCTATCCATCCATCTAAGCTATCTACATACATATATATATATAATTCCTCTCTCTTATCTATCATCTATCCATTTATCTAATCTGTCTATATACATATGTATATAATTCCTCTCTCTTATTTATCTATCTACCTATCTATCTAATCTACTTATACACACACAGACACACACACACACACACACTTTATATACCCTCTGCCAATCCATAGAGACCCCTCTCTCTGTACATACACACACACACACACACACACACACACACACACACACACCCTTATACCCTCTGACGAACCTTTCTGATTTTTATCCTTTCATGGTTACAAGGAATATTAAATTGCTGTATCAATACTTGGTAAATAACCTACAGTGTTAGAGATTACCACCATAAAAGGTGTAGTTTTTTGTCTGGTTTTGTTTTGTCTTGAGACCGGGTCTCGCTCTATGGTCCAGACTGGAGTGCAGTGGTGTGATCACGGCTCACTGCAGCCTTGACCTCCCGGGCTCAAGAGATCCTCTCACCTGAGCCTCCTGAGTAGCTAAGACAACAGGCGAGTGCCACCACGCCCATCTAATTTTTTTTTGTATTTTTTAGTAGAGATGGAGTCTTGCCATGTTGCCCAGCTTGGCCTCAAACTCCTGAGCTCAAGTGATCCATCTGCCTTGGCCTCCCAAAATTTTGGGATTACAGGAGTGAGCCACCGAGCCCGGCAGAAGGTGTAGTTTTTAACACTGTAGAGTAGTTCCTTGACATATGGCCACATATACTCACTCACACTGGATGCTTGCAGCACACCGTGGCATATTGAAGGCTCTGAAATTGCCATACTAAGAAAAGGAAAAAACGGCCAGGTGCAGTGGCTCACACCTGTAATTCCAGTACTTTGGGAGGCAGAGGTGGGCAGATCACTTGTGGTCAGGAGTTTGAGACCAGCCTGGCCAACAGGGTGAAACCCTTTCTCTACCAAAAATATAAAAATTAGCTGGGCATGGTGGAAGGTGCCTGTAATCCCAGCTACTCGGGAGGCTGAGGCAGGAGAATCGCTTAAACCTGGGAGGCGGAGGTTGCGGTGAGCCAAGATCGCACCACTGCACTCCAGCCTGGGTGACACAGTGAGACTCTGTCTCAAAAAAATAAAGAAAAAAAGAAAAAAGGAGTAATTGTATAATGGCTATTAATAGGCAGTAATACACAACAAGCTCTGAAAAAGTTTTTCCCCCTTCCTTTGGAAAGGACTAAAGAGTATTTTGTAAAATGGTGTTTATTTTAGGAATTAAAGATAATTTGTTCTATGTCCTTGAAATTTATTCTAATAAACCAGAGTACCGCTGAGGACCTAGTATAAAATAAAATGACCATTTGTCTTGGACTCTGCAGTGTTAAGCAGTGTTTATTTGGTAAGCTGAATCCAAGAAGATGTGTTAGGATCGTTTCTAGGAGAATGCTTATGATAGCTTAGAAGAAAATACTGTGGAAGTCTTGCCTGCGATCCTTTTGAGATTGGGAATACAAAGGATAAAATTAAAACACCTACAGTATTTTGCAAAATCTTTCTGAAAATCCGTCCTGGCATTAACAAAAGCGCATCCTCTCTCGGTTCCGACGACAAACACGTCTGTTTCGTACACTGCGATGCAGGCCACTTCTGCCTTGGACTTGGCCAGTTCTTTACACTGAAACAGAAACAAAAAGCGATGTATTATCTACAAGGGCAGATCCAAGTTTGTGGGGCCTGGGAGGCCTGATTTAAGAATACAAAATTAGGTAGCAAAAGGAATATTTATTTATTTATTTATTTTTGAGACGGAGTCTCGCTCTGTCACCCAGGCTGGAGTGCAGTGGCGCAATCTCGGCTCACTGCAAGCTCCGCCTCCCGGGTTCATGTCATTCTCCGGCCTCAGCCTCCTGAGTAGCTGGGACTACAGGCGCCTGCAACCACGCCTGGCTAATTTGTGTGTGTGTGTGTGTGTGTGTGTGTGTGTGTGTATTTTTAGTAGAGACGGGGTTTCACCGTGTTAGCCAGGATGGTCTCGATCTCCTGACCTTGTGATCCGCCCACCTTGGCCTCCCAAAGTGCTGGGATTACAGGTGTGAGCCACTGCGCCCGGCCAGGAATATTTATTTAGAATGAGAAAAATCACTGAGAAAGGAAATCAAAAGAAATTTATCAAGCAAACACCATAAACATCATAAAACCCAAAGAACATATTTTTATTGACTGCCTGACATGGATCTTCCAATATGCCTTTTCCCTACATTTTTGGCTGCAGACTTTCTGGTTACCTCTTCATATATACCTTTTTTTTTGAGATGGAGTCTTGCTCTGTCACCCAGACTGGAGGGCAGTGGTGCGATTTCGCCTCATTACAACCTCCGCCTCAGCCTCCCATGTTAGCTGGGATTAAAGGTGCCTGCCACCACACCCAGCTAATATATTTGTATTTTTAGTAAAGACGGGGTTTCACCAAGTTGACCAGGCTGGTTTCAACTCCTGACCTCAGGTGATCCACCCTCCTCGGCCTCCCAAAGTGCTGGGATTACAGGCGTTGAGTCCCCATGCCCAGCCGAATTTGTTTATTGTTTATCTCCCGAGTAGGATATAAGATCTCTGTAAGGCGGACCTTCTCAGGTCTTGTGACTCCAGTTCCTAGAAGAGGGCCTTGGCTTAGGAAGTGCTTCATGGATATTTGTCAAATGAAAGGAATGTGATCAGTTCTTAAACAATGTCCCTGGGGAAGATATTTCGAGTTTTCTTCAAACAGATCCTAATGCTTTATTATTATTATTATTTGAGAGAGGGTCTTGTTCTGTTACCCAGGCTGAAGTACAGTGGTGCAATCCTAGCTCACTGCAGCCTTGATCTCCTAGGCTGGAGCAATCCTCTTGCCTCAGCTTCTCTAGTAGCTGGGACTATAGGCATGTGTCACCACGCCTGGCTAATTTTTAAAATTTTTTATTTTTCCTTTTTTTTTTTTTTTGAGACGGAGTCTTGCCCTGTTGCCCAGGCTGGAGTGCAATGGCGTGACCTCGACTCAGTGCAACCTCTGCCTCCCAGGTTCAAGCGATTCTCCTGCTTCAGCCTCCCAAGTAGCTGGGATTACAGGCATGTGTCACCACTCCTGGCTAATTTTTTGTATCTTTAATAGAGACGAGGTTTCACCATGTTAGCCAGGCTGGTCTCGAACTCCTGACCTTGTGATCTGCCTGCCTCGGCCTCCCAAACTCCCAAAGTGCTGGGATTACAGGTGTGAGCCACCGCGCCCGGCCTAAAAATTGTTTTTAGTAGACAGAAGGTCTTGCTATGTTACCCAGGCTGGTCTCAAAACTCCTGAGCTCAAGTGATCCTCTGGCCTTGGCCTCATGAAGTGGTGGGATTACGGGCGTGAGCCACCCTGCCTACCCCTAATGCTTTCTTCTAAAATTAATTCCAACTTATTTTTTTTTTTTTTTAAGAGTCAGGGTCTTGTGCTGTGCAGGCTGGAGTGCAGTGTCATGATAGCTCATGATAGCTTACTGCAGACTTGAACTCCTGGGCTCAAGCAATCTTTCCATCTCAGCACCCCAACTAGCTGGAACTATAGCACCATCCCCTCCAGCTAATTTTTTAAAAATAGTCTTGTAGAGACAAGGTCTCACTATGCTGCCCAGGCTGGTCTCCAACTCCTGGCCTCAAGCCATCCTCCCACCTCGACTCCCAAACCGCTGGGATTACAGTCTGACTATGCTAATTTTGATCACTTGAATGAGGTGGTGTCTGTCAGGTTTCTGCACTGTAAAGTTACTGATTTTCCATTTTTAATCAATAAATATCTTCTGATCAGGTACTTTGGAGTTATGTAAATTTCTCATCAAATTTTCACCCACCAGGTAAAGTTTATCTTTTGGATGTAAATAGATATATATAAATAGGCTGTTTACTTTTTTTTTCTTGAGACAGAGTCTCGCTCTGTTGCACAGGCTGGAGTGCAATGGCACAATCTCAGCTCACTACAACCTCCGCCTCCCGGGTTCAAGTGATTCTCGTGTCTCAGCCTCCTGAGTAGCTGGGAATACAGATGCCCGCCACCACGTCCAGCTAATGTTTCTATTTTTAGTAGAAATGGGGTTTCACCATGTTGGCCAGGCTGGTCTCCAACTCCTGACCTCAAGTCATCCACACACCTTGGCCTCCCAAAGTGCTGGGATTACAGGCGTGAGCCACTGCACCTGGCCTATTTACTTTTGAAATTAGATTTTTAAAATATTCTCAAACATGGTAACAAAGGTTACCATTCATTACATTTCAGATCTGGGAAGCTTAAGTTTATATAATTGCATCCATAATGTAATATACAAATACATAAATAATCTGACAAGCCCATTACCCTCTATAAAGGATACCCTTATATAGATGTCAGGCAGCAGGCAAACATCAAAAGTGATACTGAAGCAGCCAGACACGGTGGCTCACGCCTGTAATCCCACCACTTTGGGAGGCCGAGGTGGGCAGATCACCTGAGAGTAAGGAGTTCGAGACCAGCCTGGCCAACGTGGTGAAACCCCGTCTCTATTAAAAATACAAAAAATAAGCCGGGCGTAGTGGCCGGCGCCTGTAATCCCAGCTACTTGGGAGGCTGAGGCAGGAGAATTGCTTGAACCCGGGAGGCGGAGGTTGCAGTGAGCCGACATCATGCCACTGCACTCCAGCCTGGGCAGCAGAGCAAGACTCTGTCTCAAAAAAAAAAAACAAAAATTAGCTGGATGTGGTGGCTGGTGCCTATAATCCCAGCTACCCAGGAGGCTGAGGCAGGAGAATTGCTTGAACGCAGGAGAATTGCTTGAACCCAGGAGGCAGAGGTTGCCGTGAGCTGAGATTGTGCCACTGCACTCCAGCCTGGGTGACAGAGTGAGACTCTGTCTTAAAAAAAAGAAAAGAAAAAAAACAAAAGGGATACTGAAGTGTTTCATGATTCTGTCATTTCGACAATGATCCATCTATGGAATGTCAGACAAGTGTCAGGCTGTCTCACCATGGATTCGAGGGCAGACACGAGGAATGTCACCACCATCCTGGTCTCTGAGGAGGACTCTTCTTCAACAGGCAGGGTGGACACTGCTACCTGGGCCATGATCCCTGTGCAAGAGAAGCAATAAGAAAGTGGCAAAAATTCAGAGTCTGAAACCCACATTTAGAGATGTGAGGGTGCTCACCAAAGATCTAGTTCAAACTTTCCTCTTGAGATGAAGAAACTGAAATTTAAAGGCATTTAGTGACTTGCCCATGAGCTCCTGAATAGTAATGCTAACTTATTTTATTTTATTTTGTTTTATTTTGAGACAGGATCTTGCTCTGTCACCCAGGCTGGAGTGCAGTGGCGCAATCACAGCTTACTGTAACCTCTGCCCCCTGGATTCAATCAGTCCTCCCATCTCAGCCTCCCCAGCAGCTGGGACTACAGGTGAGCGCCATCACGCCTGGCTGATTTTTGTATTTTTTGTAAAGACGGGGTTTTGCCATGTTACCTAGGCTGGTCTCAAACTCCTGAGCTCAAGCAATCTGCCTTCCTTGGCCTCCCAGAGTGCTGGGATTATAGGTGTGAGCCACCACACCCAACCCTGCTAACTCTCTTTCTTTCTTTCTTTTTTTTTTGAGACTGAGTTTCACTCTTGTTACCCAGGCTGGTGCAATGGCACGATCTCAGCTCACTGCAACCACCACCTCCTGGGTTCAAGTGATTCTCCTGCCTCAGTCTCCCGAGTAGCTGGGATTACAGGTGTCTGCCACCACACCCAGCAAATTTTTGTATTTTTAGTGGAGATGAGGTTTTGCCATGTTGGCCAGGCTGGTCTCGAACTCCTGACCTGAGGCGATCCGTCCGCCTTGGCCTCCCAAAGTGCTGGGATTACAGGCGTAAGCCACCGTGCCCAGTCAACTTTCTTTTTTAAAAACTATTTATTTATTTAGACACAGGGTCTTGCTCTGTCACTCAGGCTGGAGTGCAGTGGGGCAATCTCAACTCACTGTAGGGTCCGAAGCAGCTGGGACTACAAGCACACTCCAGCAAACCTGGATTTATTTATTTATTTATTTATTTTGTAGAAACAGGGTTTTGCCATGTTGCCCATACTGGTCTTGAACTCCTGGTCTCACGTGATCCACCTGCCTCGGCTTCCCAAAGTGCTGGGATTATAGGCATGAGCCACCATGCCCAGCCTTTTTTTCTGGAACAGAGTCTTGCTCTGTCGCCCAGGCTGGAGTGCAATGGTGCGATCTTGGCTCACTGCAACCTCTGCCTCCCAGGTTCAAGCGATTCTCCTGCCTCAGCCTCCCAAGTAGCTGGGATTATAGGCTCCCACCACCACGCCTGGTTACTTTTTGTATTTTTAGTAGAGATGGGGTTTCACCATGTTGGACCAGGCCAGTCTCGAATTGCTGACCTCAAGTGATCCACTTGCCTAGGCCTCCCAAAATGCTGTGATTACAGGCGTGAGCCACTGCACCCAGTCTTTTTTTTTTTTAAGACAGAGTCTCATTCTGTCGCCCAGGCTGGAGTGCAGTGGCACGATCTCCGCTCACGGCAAGCTCCACCTCCCAGGTTCACGCCATTCTCCTGCCTCAGCCTCCCGAGTAGCTGGGACTACAGGCGCCTGCCACCACGCCTGGCTAATTTTTTGTATTTTTAATAGAGACGGGGTTTCACCATGTTAGCCAGGATGGTCTCGATCTCCTGACCGCGTGATCCGCCCACCTCAGCCTCCCAAAGTGCTGGGATTACAGGTGTGAGCCACCGCGCCCGGCCCGCACCCAGCCTTTTACATTTATTTTTATGCTAACTTTATAGAATATATTTTCCACTAAACCTACACATGGCCTCCCCGTAAAACAAACTCAGGTATTATGTGAGAGGAGCATGCTGTTTCCCAGATGAGGAGAGGAGGATTTGTACCTTATTGATCCAATGATGTTTAGTCAGATTTCAGCATGGTTGTGACAGCTACCACACTATTTCACTTACACATAGAAAGGGTATAATGGGTTTGTGTGCTAAAGATAGGAAGAGAAAATTCCTTCTTTCCCACTTCCCTTCGGACTTCTGTCTCCTAAAAGCTCACTCTAAATTTTGCCAAGATTTTTTTTTTTTTTTTTAGCTTTTTGTTTGTTTTGTTTTTAGAGACAGGATCTCACTCTGTCACCCAGTCTGGAGTGCAGTGGCACAATCATGGCTCACTGCATCCTCCAACTCTCAGGCTCAAGTGATCTTCCTGCCTCACCCTCCCGTGTAGCCCCAGCTATGTTTTGCATATGGGACTGCAGGCATGTATTACCAGGCTCAGCTAATTTTTAAACATTTTTTTGTAAAGATGGGGTCTTGCTCTATCGCCAAGGCTGATCTCAAATTCCTGGGCTTAAGCCATCCTCCTGTGTCGGCCTCCTTAAGTGCCGGGATGACAGGCATGAGCTACTGTGCCTGGCTGATACATTTTGCCAAGCTCTAAATGAAGTTAGCTTTAAGAAATTTCTTTGAAAAAAATTCTCTGAAATCTTAAAAACAACTTTTTGAAATGGAACATGCAAATTAAGTACCTGTCAGCTACCATCATATCCCTCCAATATTTGGCTTAATTCTATTTGTAAGCAAAAGATACACAGATCAACATGAGTGTGCATGCGGAAGGAAGACAGAAGATTTTTCTATTGAGTTTCACTCTTGTCACCCAGGCTGGAGTGAAGTGGTGTGATCTCTGCTCACTGCAACCTCTGCCTCCCGGGTTCAAGCGATTCTCCTGCCTCAGCCTCCCAAGTAGCTGGGATTACAGGCAGGCGCCACCATGCTCGGCTAATTTTTGTATTTTTAGTAGAGACGGGGTCTCACTATGTTGCCCAGACTGGTCTCCAACTCCTGGGCTCAAGCGATCTTCCTGCTTCTGCCTCCCACACCAGTGCTGGGATTACAGGTGTGAGCCACCGCGCCCAGCCGGTATTGTTTTTCATAGCAAAGACTCTGTTCTGGCAACAGAGCTGGAGTCAGAAAAAGCAGCCTCAATTGCCTCTCTGCTTTTTGGCTAAGATGAAGAGTAGCAAAAGCGGCATCCAGCCATGAGACGCGTAGGTCCTAGAAAGTCTTTTCTTGAGCATTCTAGATTCCACTCACCAAGCAAATGCACATCAAAGAATATGTAACGGCAAAGACATGTTAAGTTCCCATTCACCAGAACACTCCCTTAGATCATGCTCCATCCTGATTCTTTTGGAAGCTCAGAGAATTTCCATTCGTAATCTTTATTTTGTCTTTAGCATCCCCGGGAGAGAAAAGGGCGTAGAAGTATTCTCATTTTACAACTTAGCAAGTTGTCCAAGCAAAGCTAGAACATACACCAGGACAATTTTTGCCTAGTGCTATTTCCACTTCTTCACACCTGCAATTGCCATTGATCTATGATGTCATCACACTCAATGTGTATTAAGAAATGGGGCCGGCGTGGTGGCTCACGCCTATAATCCCAACACTTTTGGAGGCTGAGGCAAGCGGATCACTTGAGGTCAGGAGTTCGAGACCAGCCTGGCCAACATGGTGAGACCCCCCCCTTCTCTACTAAAAATTAGCTGGGCATGGTGGCAGACACCTGTAATCCCAGCTACTCCGGAGGCTGAGGCAGGAGAATTGCTTGAACCCAGAAGGCGGAGGTTGCAGTGAGCCAAGATTGTGCCACTGCCCTCCAGGTGGGGCAACAGAGTAAGATTCCGTCTAAAAACAAAAAAAGGGAGATGCCACAGCAACAGCCCAAGGGGCACCCCTGGTGATGAAGGTCCTATGTCTTTTTTTTTTTTTTTTTTTTTTTGAGACGGAGTCTCACTCTGTCGCCCAGACTGGAGTGCATGATCTCTGCGCACTGCACCCAGTGGCATGATCTCTGCGCACTGCAAGCTCTGCCTCCCAGGTTCACGCCATTCTCCTGCCTCAGCCTCCCGAGTAGCTGGGACTATACGCGTGTGCCACCATGCCCAGCTAATTTTTTGTATTTTTAGTAGAGACGGGGTTTCACCATGTTAGCCAGGATGGTCTCGATCTCCTGACCTCGTGATCTGCCCACCTCGGCCTCCCAAAGTGCTGGGATTACAGGCGTGAGCCACCGCACCCGGCCGGTCCTATGTCTTTATCATAACTTTCAGGGCATGCAGCAAGCCTTGCAGGATGGAAGGCACCCTGGGGACGGCGACCCACGGGCCTTCTCTGTGCTTCCTGCTCTCTGGAAATGGGTGCATCCGGGTCACATCAGAAGTTTACTGTTCTTTGCTTGTCCCGAGGTTCCTTCCTGGGACAGTCCTTAGTTGAAACTATTCATGGAGCCTTCCCTGCACCCTTCACTTGGGGACGGCTCCCTCTCTTCTCTCCTCTTCCCAGAAAGAAACTGCCATCAGGAGGTGGCATTAATTAACAATGAACACCAGAGGAGGCATCGGGCCAGGCAGGTGACGCCAGCTTAGGAAGCACCTGATGCACTGGTCCCCACGGGACCACATGCCAGGAGAGCCACGGGCTGTACTCAGGCATCTTGTCTATTGAAGAAGATACTAAATCAACTGCTTATTTATTTATTTTTATATGTATTTTTTGAGACAAGGTCTTACTCTGTCACCCAGGCTGGAGTGCAGTGGTGCGATCTCGGCTCACTGCAACCTCTACCTCCCAGGTTCAAGCAATTCTCCTGCCTCAGCCTCCCGAGTAGCCGGGATTGTAGGCACCCGCCACCGGGCCCAGCTAAGTTTTCTATTTTTCAGTAGAGACGGGGTTTCACCATGTTGGCCAGGCCGGTCTTGAACTCCTAACCTCAGTTGATCCACACGCCTCAGCCTCCCAGAGTGCTGGGTCTACAGGCGTGAGCCACCATGCCCAGCCTTATTTTATATATATATATGTATTGGTTTTTTTTTTTGACATGGAGTCTCACTCTGTTGCCCAGGCTGGAGTGAAATGGCATGATCTTGGCTCACTGCAATCCCTGCCTCTGGGGTTCAAGCAGTTCTTCTGCCTCAGCCTCCCAAGTAGCTGGGATTACAGGCAGCTCCCACCATGGCCGGCTAATTTTTTGTGTTTTTAGTAGAGATGGGGTTTCATCATGTTGGCCAGGCTGGTCTCGAACTCCCGACCTCAAGTGATCTACCTGCCTTGGCCTCCCGAAGCCCTGTGATTACAGCCATGAGCCACTGAGCCTGGTCAGCTTTTTTATTTCTAAGAGTCAGAGTCTCACAATGTCACCCAGGCTGGAGTGCAGTGGCTTGATCATGGCTCCCTGCAGCCTCCAACTCCTGGACTCAAGCCATCCTTCCCCCTCATCCACACTGGGATTACAGCTGCAAGCCACTACACCTGGCTCAATCAACTACTTCCTATGAATGTTTCACTTCTGACCTTTTATGAATCCCCTCAACTTAAAATCCAAAGGAGTCACATATTATGTAATTCCATTCATATTAAATTTCTAGAATAGGGAAATCTATAGGAACTGAAAATAGATTAGTGGTTATTTCAGGTTGATAGCTAAAGGGTAAAAGGTTTCAGAGTGATGAAAATGTTCAAAAATTGACTGTGATGGCCGGGCACAGTGGCTCACGCCTGTAATCCCAGCACTTTGGGAGGCCGAGGCGGACGGATCACGAGGTCAAGAGATCGAGACCATCCTGGCCAACTTGGTGAAACTTTGTCTCTACTAAAAATACAAAAATTAGCCGGGCATGGTGGCGCACGCCTGTAGTCCCAGCTACTCGGGAGGCTGAGGCAGGAGAATCTCTTGAACCCGGGAGGCGGAGGTTGCAGTGAGCCGAGATCCCACCACTGCACTCCAGCCTGGGCAACAGAGTGAGACTCCGTCTCACAAAAAAAACAAAACAAAACAAAAATTGACTGTGATGATAGTTGTACAACTCTGTGAATCTATTTCAAGAAACCACTGAACAGTACACTTTATTTTTTTTAATTTTCTTTTTTTTTTTTTTTTGAGATGGGGTCTTGCTCTGTCTCCCAGGCTGGAGTGCAGTGGCACAATCACAGTTCACTGCAACCTCTGCCTTCTGGGTTCAAGCGATTCTCCTGCCTCAGCCTCCTGAGTAGCTAGGATTACAGGCGTGCACCACCATGCCCAGCTAATTTTTTGTATTTGTAGTAGAGATGGGGTTTTGCCATGTTGTCCAGGCTGGTCTTGAACTCCTGACCTCAGGTGATCCACCCTCCTTGGCCTCCCAAAGTGCTGGGATTATAGGTGTGAGGCACTATGCCCACCCCTATTTTTTAAATTTTTATTTATTTTTTCTGACAGGGTCTCATTCTGTCACCCAGGCTGACGTGCAGTGCCATGATCATAGTTGGAGTACAGTGGTGCAATCACTGTAGCCTTGACCTCCTGGGCTCAAGCAATGCTCCTGCCTCAGCCTCCAGAGTAGCTAAGATGACAGGCATGTGCCACGACACTCAGCTAATTTTCTATTTTTGTAAAGAGGTCTCACTATGTTGCCCACGCTGGTCTCAAACTCCTGGGCTCAAACGATCCTTCCACCTCAGCCTCCCAGAGTGTTGGGATTACAGGCATGAGCCTCCGTGTACAGCCTGAACTGTACACTTCAAATGGGTGAACTGTATAAGTATATGAATTGTATCTCAATAAAACAGTTTTTATCATATTTATTTATTTGTTTTTGAGACGGAGTCTCACTCTGTGGCCCAGGCTGGAATGCAGTGGCACGATCTCAGCTCACTGCAACCTCCGCCTCCCGGGTTCAAGCAATTCTCCTGCCTCAGCCTCCCAAGTAGCTGAGATTACAGGCTTGGGTCAACATGCCTGGCTAATTTTTGTATTTTTAGTAGACACAGGGTTTCATCACGTTGGCCAGGCCAGTCTCAAACTCCTGACCTCAAGTGATCTGGCCTCCTTGGCCTCCCAAAGTGGTGGGTGACAGGCGTGAGCCACCGCGCCCAGCTAAAGAGATTTTTAAAAATCAAATAAAATCAAAGAGAGGTTGGATGGAAAAAAAGAAAATTAACATGTACTGAACTACACTCTATGCGCCGATGCTTTTACGATCACCCAATTTAAAACCTACACACCCTCCAAGGGAAATATTATTTTCCGTGAAAGGACACAGAGAGCATGGGAGCCTGCTGGTGGGTGTGCAGATGGTTTAAGGAATGGCAGAGGCTGCAACCGCAGTGGAGGAGCAGAAAGGCAAACAGAAGAAAGGCCCCATGAGGGGAAAATAAGATGGGTGACCCACATGTCCCAGGTGGGACAGTCCTAGTCCACACCCACCCTGCCAGTGAAATTATTAACAATGCTCCCTTCATTCTCAAGTGCCTGGAAGATGAATTATAAGATATTTATGTATGGGTTGTTGTGTGTGAAATGCACACACAAAATTACTAGAATCATGGCACCCCACGTCCTTAAAACAACCTCCAAACTCAGAGAGGTCTCTCCCTGACGCCGACCAAAAGGCAATCAAAACACCGATCTCTTAACTCAATGCTTAAGTCTGCATACTTTATTTAGCATGAAGAAAAATGGTCAAAACAATCATGCAATCCATTTCCTGTGAAATAAAAAAAAAAGTTTTAAATAAAAATTCTTCTTTTTTTTTTTTTGAGACAGAGTTTTGCTCTTGCTGCCCAGGCTGGAGTGCAGTGGCTTGATCTTGGCTCACTGCAACCTCTGCCTCCCGGGTTCAAGCGATTCTGCTGCCTCAGCCTCCTGAGTAGCTGGGACTACAGGCCCGTGCCACCATGCCCAGCTAATTCTTTGTATTTTTAGTAGAGACAGGGTTTCACCGTGTTAGCCAGGATGGTCTTAATATCCTGACCTTGTGATCCACCCGCCTTGGTCACCCAAAGTGCTGGGATTACAGGCGTGAGCCACCACTCCTGGCATGCCCAGCGAATTTTTGTACTTTTAGTAGAGACGAGGTTTCCCCATATTGGTCAGGCTGGTCTTGAACCCCTGACCTCAGGTGATCCACCTGCCTCAGCCTCCCAAAGTGCTGGGTTTACAGGCATGATCTACCACGCCTGGCCGAAAATTCTTTTACCTGATGTAAACTAGACTAGATGAGGATTATGTTTTTTTTATTTATTTATTTATTTATTTATTTATTTATTTATTTATTTTGAGACGGAGTCTCGCTCTGTTGCCCAGGCTGGAGTGCAATGGCGTGATCTCAGCTCACTACAATCTCCACCTCCCTGGTCAAGCGACTATCCTGCCTCAGCCTCCTGAGTAGTTGGGACTACAGGCGCCCGCCACCACGCCCAACTAATTTTTGTATTTTTAGTAGAGATGGGATTTTGCCATGTTGGCCAGGCTGGTCTCGATCTCTTGACCTCCTGATCCACCCGCCTCAGCCTCCCAAAGTGCTGGGATCACAGGCGTTAGCCACCGTGCCTGGCCGATTTTTTTTTTTTTCTTTTTTGAGACAAGGTCTCACTCTGTCACCCAGGCTGGAGTGCAGTGGTGCACTCTCAGCTCACTGCAACTTCCCCATCCCGGGCTCAAGCAATCCTCGTGCCTCAGCCTCCTGAGTAGCTGGGACCACAGGCACGTGCCATCATGCCCAGCTCATTTTCTGCATTTTTTTTTTTTTAATAGGAGGTTTCACCATGTTGCCCAGGCTGGTCTCAAACTCCTGACCTCAGGTGATCTGCCACCTTGGCCTCCCAAAGTGTTGGGATTACAGGTGTCAGTCACCTGCCTGGCCCCTGTGAATTCTGACATATATAAAGTTACATAGGTAAAATTAAGGTATAAAACAGTTCTGTCATCCCCAGAATATTATACCACAATAATCCCTAAACAAGCTCTGATGTCAAAAGTCTGCTTTTTTACAAAAAAGAAAATAAAAATAAAAACACAAACAAAAATAGAAATAAAAAAATTGAAAAAACCGAAGAATAAAATAATAGGCAGGATGATACCACGTGGAATTCAAAAAAAGATACTATCAGTTGGCGTCAACTATGCTACCAGTAATCATTTAAAAAACAAGTGTTTCATAATAATTATTATCATTTTTTTGAGGCAGGGTCTCACTCCGTCACCCAGGCTGGAATGCAGTGGTGCAATCACAGCTCACTGCAGCCTCTGCCTCCCTGGGCTCGGATGATCTTCCCACCTCAGCCTCCTGAGTAGCTGGAATACCAGGCATGCGCCACCATGTTCAGCTAATTTTTGTATTTTTTGTAGAGAGGGGGTTTCGCCATGTTGCCCAGGCTGGTCTCGAACTCCTGGGCTTAAGTGATCTGCCTGCCTCATCCTCCCAAAGTGCTGGGATTACAGGTGTGAGCCACCGCGCTGGGCTGAGTGTCTCATAATTATTGTGCTTTCTTTGCATTTTGTACATAACAACAAATGGAGGCAGGAATGTTGTCTTTTATATTTTATGATTTGGAACACAGCATGCATTAATAGAAAATTGAAAATAATGAAACATGACTATAAGCCAACACTGTGTTTCCTGTCCCAAGTACATTTTCCTGAGAAAATTTCACTGCACTC
Source organism: Homo sapiens (assembly GCF_000001405.40). Classification (NCBI taxonomy): domain Eukaryota; kingdom Metazoa; phylum Chordata; class Mammalia; order Primates; family Hominidae; genus Homo; species Homo sapiens. Next base: position 74,845,788 of record NC_000007.14, read on the forward strand.
TAATAAAGCTCAAAAATCCTTCACCATAAGAACTTGTACCACAGAATAAAATCTCCCAAAGCCGATATAGTTATTAACCCTTTTTTTACTCACATCTGAAGTGCCAGCACCATTTACTGAGATCACAGATTTTTACATAGTACTTAACTTTTTACTCTTTTATTTTGAGATGGAGTCTTGCTCTGTGGCTCAGGCTGGAGCGCAGTGGTGCAATCTCAGCTCACTGCAAACTCTGCCTCCCGAGTAGTTGAAATTACAGGTGCGTGCCACCACATCTGGCTAATTTTTGTATTTTTAGTAGAGACTGGGTTTCACCATGTTGGCCAGGCTGGTCTCGAACTCCTGACCTAAGGTGATCCGCCCCGCTCAGCCTCCCAAAGTGCTGGGATTACAGGCATGAGCCACCGTGCCTGGCCCTTTTTGCTCTTTTAAAACTGTAGATGTAAACTCCAAAAACTTCCAAATCTCATTTTGTCTTCCCAGCAATGCTGGAGGCGTTTCTGTCCTTCTAGTGTAATATTTTACTAACGAAAAGCAAATACCTAGAACAATCTCCAGCCTACAGGTCAAATCCAGACCGCAGCCTAGTTTTGTAAATTAAGCTTTGTCAGAACACAGTCACATTCACTTGTTGACATCTTGTCTACAGCTGCTTTCCTGCAAAGGAAGGTTTGCATGCATGTGACAAAGACCCCATGTTCCCAAAGCCAAAAATATTTACTATCCTTACAAACAAAGTTTGCCCATCACTGATCTAGAATCTGTATCTATCCCTTACAACCTTTCATCATTTGGAATGTCATCCACTTCCTTTATGAAAACTCTGAAATCTTGAAATAGAGGACTGGTTTATTTTTAAAAACTGTTTCTAGATTTTCCCTTCCAAAGATTAATTTTTCAGGTTTTAAAGGGCTTAGTTTTTTTGTTTTGGTTTGGTTTTGAGACAGAGTCTGCTCTGTCCTCCAGATTGAAGTGCAGTGGTATCATCACAGCTTACCATGCGCCTGGCTAATTTTGACTTTTTTTTTTTTTTTTTTTTTTTGTAGAGACAAAGTTTCACTATGTTGCCCAGGCTGATCTTGAACTCCTAGGCTCAAGCGATTCTCCTGCCTCAGTCTCTCAAAATACTGGAATTATAGGAATGAGACACTGTGCCCAGACCTGGGACTTGTTTTCTGTTTTGTTTTGCTTTTTTTCTTTTGAGATAGGGTCTTGCTCTATCACCCAGACTGGAGTGTAGTGGCATGATCATAGCTCCCTGCAGCCTGGGACTCCCAAGCTTAAGTGATCCTCCCACCTTAGCCTCCCAAGTAGCTGGGAGCACAGGCGCACACCACTGTACCCAGCTAATTTTTTGTTGTTGTTTTTTGTTTGTTTTGTAGAGACAGAGTTTTGCCATGTTGCCCAGGCCAGTCTTGAACTCCTAGACTCAAGCAATCCTCCCACCTCAGCCTCCCAAAGTGCTGGGATTATAGGCGTGAGCCACCACACTGAGCCGCAGGGCTTGGTTTTAATTAATAAATTCTACCTTCTTCACAGCTCAGCCTACAAGTACAAACACAAGAGTACATGTTTCACCATTCAACAAAAATGTAATGAGCACCTGCAATGTAAAAATGTATACTAGTAGCCAGGCGAGGTGGCTCACACCTGTAATCCCAGCACTCTGGGAGGCTGAGGCAGGTGGATCACCTGAGGTCAGGAGTTCCATATCAGCCTGGCCAACATGGTGAAACCCTGTCTCTACTAAAAATCCAAAAAAAAAGGACAGGCGTGGTGGTGGGTGCCTGTAATCCCAGCTACTCGGGAGGCTGAGGCGGGGAGAATTGCTTGAACCCGGGAGGCGGAGGTTGCAGTGAGCCAAGATCATGCCATTGCACTCCAGCCTGGGCAACAAGAACGAAACTCCATCTCAAAAAAAAAAAAAAAAATTAGCTGGGCATGGTGGCACGCACCTGTAATCCCAACTACTCAGGAGGCTGAGGCAGGAGAATCTCTTGAACTCAGGAGGCGGAGGTTGCAGCAGGACGTGATTGTGCCACTGCACTTCAGCCTAGGTGACAGAGCAAGACTCTGTATCCTTCCCCCCAAAAAAAAACGTATACTGATGGCAAGGAGTGGAGGGGAATCACAAGCAATACAGTAAAAGGAGCCAGACACCCATGAAATGGCCTCAGGGCATGTAGGAACGCAGATGAATCCACTGGGAGGACAAGAGAAATGAAGGGCCAGGATTCTCCCCCTTATCTTCAGCAGACTCATTCCAAGACCCTCAGCGGATGCCTGGAACTGCAGATAGTGCCAAACCCTAAATCTATTATGTTCTTTTTCTTTTTTGAGATGGAGTCTCGCTCTGTCGCCCAGGCTGGAGTGCAGTGACGCGATCTTGGCTCACTGCAACCTCCGCCTCCCAGGTTCAAGTGATTTTCCTGCCTCAGCCTCCCAAGTAGCTGGGGGTTACAGGTGTGCACTACCATGTCTGGCTAATTTTTGTATTTTTAGTAGAGACAGGGTTTCGCCATGTTGGCCAGTCCGGGCAACATAGTGGGACCAGCCTGGCAACATAATGGGACTTCACCTCTACAAAAAAATTAAAAATTAGCCAGGTGTGGGGGTGTATGCCTGTGGTCCCAGCTACTCAGGAGGCTGAGATGGGAGGATTGCTTGAGCCCAGGAGGTCAAGGCTGCAGTGAGCTGTGATCCCACCATTTCAACAGGGCGAGGCCCTGGGTAGGACTCTGTCTCAAGAGAAAAACAAAGAAGGCCTGCCGGGCGTGGTGACTCATGCCTGTAATCACAGCACTTTGGGAGGCTGAGGTGGGTGAATCAACTGACGTCAAGATTTCGAGACCAGCCTGGCCAACATGGTGAAACCCCGTCTCTACTAAAAACGTAAAAATTAGCCGGGCGTGGTGGTACACGCCTGTCATCCCAGCTACTCTGCAGGCTGAGGCAGAAGCATGGCTTGAATCCGGGAGATGGAGCTTACAGTGAGCCGAGATCGCAACACTGCACTCCAGCCTGGGCGACAGGGCGAGACTGTCTTAAAAAAAAAATAAAGGCAAAGGTGACAGGTATGGAATTTTCAACTTGCATCAGGTCAGCGGCATTCAATAAGTTTTGGATTTTGGAACGGTTCAAATTTTGGATTTTTGGATTAGAGATGTTCAACCTGTACATACATACCTACGATGAATTTTAATTTATAAATTAGGCACAGTAAGAAATTAACAACAACAATAATAAAATAGAATATCAAGTACTGTAATGTTATGTGAATGTGATCTCTCTCTCTCTCAGTATAACTTGTTGTAACGTACTTACCCTTCTTCTTCTTCTTGTAATGATGTGAGAATCTATGCCTGAATCTGTGTAACCATCCCTTACTCGCAGTAAATGGCTTGGTGTCAGTTTCAGAGCATCCCTTGCAGAAGTCTTGGTATAGGCTCAAAGCTTTCTGGCGCAACATGTTGCTGTCAATGGGAACACGTTTTCTGTTCATCTCTTCCACCCACAAATGCAGTGCCTGTTCCATCTTAACTAAGCACTTATCACGCACTGTGGCCGTCACTTTAGCAGTTGGAGGTGAGACAGCAAAACTAGCACGAATTTCTTTTTCCTTCTTCACAATTTCACGGATGGAAGATTCATTCTTCCCGTAGATCTTAGCAACCTCAGCATAGGATTTTTTGTCTTTCCTGATTAAGTCGAGAACTTTCACCTTTTCACTTAGAGGAAGCACTTTACGGCTTCTCTTTGGCCTATCCAAATTCCCAGCATCACTACTCTTGTGCTTTGGGGCCATTATGACGGAAAATAAGGGTGACTTGAACACATACACTGGGACACTGTGACGGTCGATCTGATAACCGAGCCAGCTACTAAGTGACTATGGGTGTGGAGCGTCCACAGCGTGGGGACGCTGAACAAAGGGGACGATTCACTGCCCAGGCTGCACAGCGCGAGATTTCATCACAGCGTGCAATTTAAAACTTACGAATTGTTTATTTCCGGAATTTTCCATGTAGTATTTTCAGACCACGGTTGACCTCAGGTAACTGAAACAGCGGGTAAGGGGGGACAACTGTACTTCCAGGTTCTGCAGCCTGAGAATGAGAGAAGGGACTGTGCAGGCTGAAGGCGTGGGGGAAGAGCCAGGGCCCTGGGGAGCAGACGTCAGGGACTAAACTGGAAGGCAAGCAGGAAGAACCGTGACCCACTCCAAACCGCCACTGAAGATTGATCCCAACTGCAAGCCGGTGCCAAGCCCCGCGTCCACGGAAGTCACACAGCCTATGACGCCTTCCTCTCCAAATGGAAGCAAAGAGGAGAAGAGGCTGCTGGAGTCTTCAATTGCAGCCGTGAGCAATCTCCAACTGGCCAGTTTCCAAGCTTATATCTAGACATCTGCTTACTTCAAATTACCAGCACGAAACTAAAACATGATTTTTTTTTCCTTAAAACACAAAGCTTGGCCCATCAATTCCAGTCCTTGGTATACACCTATGAGAATTGAAAACAAATGTCCGCACAAAAACGTGTACACCAATGTTCATAGCAGTATTATTCATAACAGCCAAAAGGTGGAAATTACCCAAATAGCCATCAATGGATGGAAAATCAAAATGCTGTGTATTCATATCATGGATTTTTATTCAGCCATAAAGAAGGAAAGAAGCCAGACACACAAAAAACTTCTTGGGATGATTCTATCCACACAAAATGTCCAGAATAGGCAAATCCACGGAGACAAAAGTGATTGCCAGGGGCTGGGGATAGGGACGGGGTGGGGACCGGGGAATGACGGCCTAATGGGGTTGGAGTTTCTTCTCCTCGGGTGCTGAAAGCGTTCTGCAATTAGTGGCAAAGGTTGCACAGCTCTGTGCACTGAATTATTCACTCTTAAAACGTGAATTTTACAATGGATCTCAACGAAGCTGTTATTAAGAAACAAGAAAGCTTGGGCTTGAGGGATGGAGAATACAGCCTTGCGAGCCTTTTTCCCCCTAGAACTCGAAACCAGAATTGCAACGGGAAATTCCCGGGCCTCGGCCTTTTTCCTTGGGAGTCTGGATTGGTTTTCCGCCAACAAACAGATCCCCGGAGGCCGTCGCGAGGACCATACCCACGGACAAAACCCACAACCTGGGCCTCTAGGCAACGCGTGACGTCAGGGGGCGGATCCGGGGCGCAGTTGCCTGGTAACAGCGGCGGCCCCCGCCCCCTTATCTAACCAATCAAGCGCGTCTGCACGCAGCGCGAGCGCCCCACGTACGACGGGCGGAGCGTGGCATCACGCACATCCCCGCTCGGCCAATCAGGAAGGAGAGGGATGTGCGCTCCGTGCGTACGACCATTGCCCCCGCGGCAAGGCTTCCCCGCCCCCACCCTCACACCTCTGGTCCTGCCAGCAGGGATCGGGGTTCGGGGGTGCCTCGCCTCGGGGCGCCGGGGTGTCCCGGGGGGCCACCTCCCGCTGCGGCCGGGCGGCCTCCCTTCCCCAGGCCCTCAGGAGGAGGACGTTCCGAAAGGCAACCCGCCCTTAATGGCGGCGTCGGCGGCGGGGGCGGGGTACGCACCTGAGGGCGCTGGGCCGCGCCGGGCCGGCCGCGGAGTCCGAGGCCTGGGCCACCGGGGAGCAGCCGATGGCCGAGGGCGGCGGCCGAGAGCCCCGCGCGGGGGACGAGCACGCTTCGGGGCGTGTGGGTGGCGGCCGAAGCCCCTGCTCGCCACTCGCCCTCCTTTTTCTCTTTCTTTCTTTCCCCCCCTTTTCCCCCCTTTTTTTGTTTGCTTCCTGGAAGGCAGCCTCGACTCGTGTGTCCGCAGCGCCCCAAGTGGGAGTCGCCGTTTCCGGTGCTGTCGAATCCAATTTAGCCGCGCTGTGCATTTGCTTGGGGGCGTGCAGCCCCGTCCCGCGAGGTCCAGACCCCCTCAGCCATCGCTGATTGTGGGATGGATTGCTGGCGGGGCCTTTCTCACCCCGGACACCGCCCCCAGACGTGCATGCAGTTGCTTGCTGTTATTTAATTTTTTTTTTTTGAGACGGAGTTTGGCTCTTGTTGTCGAGGCTGGAGTGCAATGGCGCGATCTTGGCTCACTGCAACCTCAGCCTCCCAGGTTCAAGCGATTCTCCTGCCTCAGCCTCCGGAGTAGCTGGGACTACAGGCGCCCGCCACCATGCCTGGCTAATTTTTTGTTTTTTTTTTTTAGTAGAGATGGGGTTTCACCGTGTTGGCCAGGATGGTCTCGATCTCCTGACCTCGTGATCCGCCCGCCTCGGCCTCCCAAAGTGCTGGGATTACAGGTGTGAGCCACCGCGGCCGGCCAGGTTACATTTTCATATGGTTATGACTCCCAAATATTCATCTCCAGCCCAGACCATTCCCCTAAACTCCACATCTATATAGCCAACTGCCTGCTTTGAAATCTCCACTTGTACAGCGACTTAAGAAAAAAAATTTTTATCTTGGAGAATGAATAGGCATCCCAAGAAGAACATGTCTCACGCTCCCCACACTTCTCCTGCAGTCTTCTCCAGCTCAATGAATGAAACTCCATTCCTCCACTTACTCAAGCCAGAAGCCTTGGAAGCATCTTATTCCTCCCACGCTCCACACCATTCCTTCAGATTCCTCCGGCAGCTCTAACTTTGCCCAGATTCTACCACTTTCACTCTCTCTCTCTTTTTTTTTTTTTTTTTTTTTTTTTTTTTGCTATGTGTGTTGAGGGGAGATGGACTTGCTCTGTCACCCAGGTTGGAGTGCAGTGGTACAGTCATAGCTCACTGCAGCCTCAACCTCCTGCACTCAAGCAAGCCTCCCACGTCAGCCTCCCGAGTAGGTGGGATCACAGGCGCACATCACCTCACCCGGCAAATTTTAAAAATTATTTGGCCAGGCGCAGTGGCTCACGCTTGTAATCCCAGCACTTTGAGAGGCCAAGGTGGGCAGATCACAAGGTCAGGAGTTCAAGACCAGCTTGGCCAACATGATGAAACCCCATCTCTACTAAAAATACAAAAATTAGCTGGGCGTGGTGGCGGACTCCTGTAATCCCAGCTACTTGGGAGCCTGAGACAGGAGAATCTCTGGAACCTGGGAGGCGAAGGTTGCAGTGAGCCGAGATCACGCCACTGCACTCCAGCCTGGGCGATAGAGCGAGACTCCATCTCAAAAAAAAAAAAAAAAATTATTTGTAGAGGCTGGGTGCGGTGGCTCACGCCTATATTCCTAGAACTTTGGGAGGCCAAGGCGGTCGGATTGCCTGAGCTAAGGAGTTCGAGACCAGCCTGGGCAACACGGTGAAACCCCGTCTCTACTAAAATACAAAAGAAATTAGTGGTGGCACGCGCCTGTATTCCCAGGTACTTGGGAGGCTAAGGCAGGAGAATTGCTTGAACCCAGGAGGCGGAGGTTGCAGTGAGCCGATATCGCACCACTGTACTCCAGCCTGCGCGACAGAGCAAGACTCTCTCCAAAAAAAAAAAAAAAAAAAAATTATTTGTAGAGACAAGGTCTCCCTGTGTTGCCCAGGCTGGTCTCAAATTGCTGTTCTCAAGGGATCCTCCTGCCTCCTTCCTCAGCCTCCCAAACTGTTGGGATACAGGCACGAGCCGAGCCTGGCCTCTACCAATTTCTAATGGCCCCCACTACTACCAAGCCAACACTGTCTCTTGCTGTAGACTCCTAATTTGTCTCCCTAATTCTGCCCTTAACCCTCTTCCATTCTTAACACAGCAACAAAAAGAATCTTGTAAAGTGTAACTCATTTCACTCTTCTCAAAAATGTCCATTTCAGAGTAAAGGTCCTAATTTACGCTTCTGTCCACGACGAAGTGACAAAGACCAGATATACCCTCCCAGCTGCAACAATAAACAAAAAAATGCATGAAACAATGTTTTTTTCAAGACACTAGACATCAGGTGACAAAAGATAGTGTTCGAGAGATGGTAAACGTGAGGTGAGCCCTGCAATTGCTTAGCTTACAGACTTGAGAGTTTATCAGGTCATCACACAGGGAAGGAGAACTAAGACAAGAGACCAGCTGACTTCCTTGGTTGTAACAGAGCTAAGTCCAGAAAGAACAAGGTAACTGCAGCTTATAAGGAAGGGTACCAGAGAGAGAGTTTTGCACAGAGAGAGAACCCCGGAGATCTGCAGAGGAACCCCTGGAGTATGTAGCAGAGTACATCAGCATACACGTGTGACATAATCACTTGCTTCTAGGGAAAGAACCATCTGAATGCATTGGAATAGTGCTTGACACTCAGACAGGGCCAAGAACAATGCCTGTTCAGAATTCACAGGTCATTGGGTAGAGGACTAAGCAAGGTCTTGCCTCATTAGAGGGGAAAATTAGCCTTAGATTGCACACTGCCTAATACCCACCTAACAGGGCATAACAGCAAGACTTGAATGCATCAAATGGTTCCCAAGTAGCTTTTTTTTTTTTTATTTTTTTGAGATGGAATCTCACTCTGTCTCCCGGGCTGGAGTGCAGTGGCACAATCTCGGCTCACTGCAACCATTGTTTCCCAGGTTCAAATGATTCTCCTGCCTCAGCCTCCCTAGTAGCTGGGATTACAGGTGTGCACCACCATACCCAGCTAATTTTTTTTTTGGAGACAGAGTCTTACACTGTTGCCTGGGCTGGAGTGCAGTGGCTCAATCTCAGCTCACTGCAACCTCCGCCTCCTGGGTTCACGCGATTCTCCTGCCTCAGCCTCCCTAGTAGCTGGGATTACAGGCTCACACCACCACACCCGGCTAATTTTTTGTATTTTTAGTAGAGACGGGGTTTCACTATGTTGGCCAGACTGGTCTCGAACTCCTGACCTCATGATCTGCCCGCCTTAGCCTCCCAAAGCCAGCTAACTTTTTTGTATTTTTAGTAGAGACGAGGTTTCACCATGTTGGCCAGGCTGGTCTCAAACTCCTGACCTCAAATGATCCTTCTGCCTTGGCCTCCCAAAGTGCTGGGATTACAGGCGTGAGCCACTGTGCTCGGCGTGGTTTCCAAGTAACTTAACTGTATTCCAGAACACAGCTCAAGAAGAGTTCTGGTAATACAAATATATCCAGCTTCAAGAAAGGTAAAATTCACAGTGTATGGTGTCCAAGCAAGGATTACTGACATACAAAGAAACAGGAACATGTGACCGGTAATGAGGAGAGTAAACAATGTAAATCAACCCAGAACTCACCCAGATATTAGTATTAGCAGAAAAGGACATTAAAACAGTTATTATAACTATTTCAAATGCTCAGACGTTAACTAGAGATGTGGGAAATATTAAGAAGACCCAAATTGAACTTCTTTTTTTTTTTTTTGAGATGGAGTCTCGCTCTGTCACCCAGGCTGGAGTGTAGTGGCGTGATCTCCGCTCACTGCAAGCTCTGCCTCCTGGGTTCACGCCATTCTCCTGCCTCAGCCTCCCGAGTAGTTGGGACTACAGGTGCCCGCCACCATGCCCGGTTAATTTTTTTGTATTTTTTAGTAGAGACAGGGTTTCACCATGTTAGCCAGGATGGTCTCGATCTCCTGACCTCATGATCCACCTGCCTCGGCCTCCCAAAGTATTGGGATTACAGGTGTGAGCCACCCGCGCCCGGCCTCCAAATTGAACTTCTATAGATAAAACCTACATGAGGTTTTTTTTTTGCAACAGAGTCTCGCTCTGTTGCCCAGGGTGGAGTGCAGTGATGCAGTCTCGGCTCACTGCATCCTCTGTCTCCCAGGCTCAAGTGATTCTCCTGCCTCAGCCTCCCAAGTAGCTGGGATTACAGGTCACACCACCACGCCCAACTAATTTTTGTATTTTTAGTAGAGATGGGATGTCACCATGTTGGCTAGACTGGTTTCGAACTCCTGACCTCAAGTGATCCTCCCACCTCAGCCTCCCAAAGTGTTGGAATTAATAGGCGTGAGCCACTGCACCCAGCCTACAATGAGATTTTTTTCTAAAAAGTACACTGGATGGGATTAATGACAAATTAGACATTGCAGAAGAAAAGGTTAGTGAATTTGAAGGCACAGCAATAGTAACTACCACAACGAGAAAAACACACAGAGAAAAAAGAATTAGAAAAAGAAACATTAATGAGCTTTGGGACAACTTCAAGTAATCTAATATACAAATAATTGAAATCTGTAAAGGAGAGGAAAGACAATCGTCCGAACAAATAAAAACTATAAACCAGGCCGGGTGCAGTGACTCACGCCTGTAATCCCAGCACCTTGGGGGGCCGAGGCAGGCAGATCACTTGAGATCAGGAGTTGGAGACGAGCCTGGCCAACATGGTGAAACCCCATCTCTACTAAAAATACAAAAAATAAACCAGGCATGGTGGCGTGCGCCTATAGTGCCAGCTACTTGGGAGACTGAGGTGGGAGAATCGCTTTGAAACCCAGGAGGTGGAGGTTGCAATGAGCCAAGATCACGCCACTGTACTCCAGCCTGGGGAACAGAGTGAGACCCTGTCTCAAAAAAAAAAGAAGAAAAGAAAAGACATTAATAACAGAAAGATGCTTGACAAATCCCCAAATATTTGGAGACCAAATAACACACTTCTAAATAAGCTATGGAATAAAGGAGAAATGAAAAGGGATATTAGTCTTTTGAACTAAATGAAAATAAAAACACACACCCACATCAGAATTGGTGAGATGCCGCACAGAACACCTATATTAGGAAAAAGAAAATGCCTTGAATTAATAAATTCAACTACTTAAGAAACAAGAAAATTAAGAGAAAATTAAATACAAATTAAGCAGAAGAGAGGAGAAGGACTAATAAGGGTAAAATCTGAAATCAATGAAACAGAAAACAGAAAAACAATAGAGAAAATCAGTGAGCCCAAAGCTGCTTTTGTGGGATGGTGTATGAAATTGACAAACTTCTAGCTAGACTGGACAGAAAAAAAATGAAGACACAACTTAACAATATTAGGAATTAAAGAGATGAAATCAATACAGATTTTACAGACATTAAAAGGATAATAAGGGAAAACTATAAGCAAGATTATGGCACTAAATTCAACAACTTAGATGAAACGGACATATTTCTTGAAAGACACCAATTACCAAAGCTCACTCAAGAAGAAAAGGATAACTTGAATAGCCCTATAACTATTAAAGACATTGAAATTATAGTTTAAAACCTTTCTACAGGTCAGGCGCGGTGGTTCACGCCTGTAATCCCAGCACTTTTGGGAGGCCAAGCTGGGCAGATCACTTGAGGCCAGGAGTTTGAGGCCAAACTGGCCAATGTGGTGAGACCCCCATCTCTACAAAACACAAAAACAAAAATTAGCCGGGCATCATGGCAGCTGCCTGTAATCCCAGCTACTCAGGAGGCTGAGGCACAAGAATTGCTTGAACCCAAAAGGCGGAGGTTGCAGTTAGCCAAGATCATGCCACTGCACTTCAGCCTGGGCGAAAGAGCGAGACTCTGTCTCATAAAAAAATGTGTATGGAATCTCAAGGGATGATGAATAGCCAAAATAATTTCTAAAAGGAAAAACAAAATTGGATGATTCACAGTTCCTGATTTCAAAACTTATTACAAAGTTACTGTAATCAAAACAGTTTGGTACTGGCATAAAGACAGACATATGGAATAGAATAGAAATCCCAGATATAAACCCTCACACATATGGTCAGATGATTTTTGACAAGGGTACCAAGACCATTCGACAGGGAAAGGACAGTCTTTTCAATAAATGGTGCTGGGAAAACTGGATAGCCATATGCAAAAAAATGAAGTGGCATCCTTACCTTACCTTGCATGATATACAAAAATTAATCAAACTGAATGAAAGAGCTAAATGTATTAGCCAAAATTACAAAATTCTTTTTTTCCTCTTTCTTTCTTTCTTTTTTTTTTTTTGAGACAAAGTATTGTTCTGTCACCCAGGCTGGAATACAGTGGCACCATCATGGCTCACTGCAGCCTCAATTTCCCAGGTTCAAGTAATCCTTCCACCTCAGCCTCCTGAGTAGCTGAGACTATAGATGTGTGCCACCATGCCCAGCTAACTTTTGTTTTTGTTTTTTGTAGAGATGGCATCTCACCATGTTGCCCACATTGGTCTTGAACTCCTGGGCTCAAGTGATCTGCCCACCTTGGCCTCCCAAAGTGCTGGAATTACAAGCTTGAGCCACTGTGCCCAGACTATAAAACTCTTAAAAGCAAATGGGAGAAAATTTTATGACATTAGATTTGGTATAGGTATATTGAACTTCATTAAAATGGAAAATTTTTAGGCATCAAAGGACACCATCAACAGAGTCCCACAGGATGTGAGAAAATACCTGCCAATTATATATCTGATAAGGGATTAATATCTAGTATATATAAAGAACTCCTATAACTCAACAACAATAGCAGAAACAACAATACCCCACAAGACCCAATTCTAAAATGGGAAAAGGGGCTGGGCACGGTGGCTCATGCCTGTAATCCCAACACTTTGGGAGGACAAGGCAGGAGGGTCACCTGAGGTCAGGAATTCAAGGCCAGCCTGGCCAACATGGTGAAACCCCGTCTCTACTAAAAATACAAAAATTAGCCTGGTGTGGTGGCTCACATCTGTAATCCCAGCTACTCGGGAGGCTGAGGCTGGAGAATCGCTTGAACCCAGGAGGCGGAAGTTGGAAGTTGCAGCGAGCTGAAATTGCACCACTGCATTCCAGCCTGGATGACAGAGCGAGATTCCGTCTCAAATAAAATAAAATAAAATAGGCAAAGGGCCAGGCATGGTGGTTCACTCCTGTAATCCCCACACTTTGGGAAGCTGAGGTGAGCAGACCACTTGAGCCCAGGAGTTTGAGGCAGGTGAATCGCCTGAGCTCAGGAATTCGAGACCAGCCTGGGCAACATGGCAAAATCCTGTTTCTATTTAAAAATACAAAATTAGCCTAGCATGGGGGTGCGTGCCTGTAGTCCCAGCTACTCAGGAGGCTGAGGTGGGAGGATGGCCGGGAGTGGTGGCAGGAGACCGGGAGGCAGAAGTTGCAGTGAGCTGAAATTAAAAAAAAAAAAAGGAATGAAGTTCTGCTACATCTTACAACATGAAAGGGCCTTGACAGCATTATGCCACATGAAATAATACAGACACAAAAGGACAAATGTTGCTTTGGGAGGCTGAGATGGGAGGATTGCTTGAGGCCAGGAGTTTGAGATCAGTGTGGGCAACATAGCGAGATAACATCTTTACTCCCCTCAAAATTTATGTATTTGTTTATTTATTTACATATATATCTCTATCTATCTATCTAGCTATCTTTTTTTTTTTTTTTTTGAGGCAGAATCTCACTCTGTCACCCAGGCTAGAGTGCAGTGGCGCGATCTCAGCTCACTGCAAGCTCTGCCTCCTGGGTTCACACCATTCTCCTGCCTCAGCCTCCCGAGTAGTTGGGACTACAGGCGCCCACCACCACGCCCGGCTAATTTTTTGTATTTTTAGTAGAGATGGGGTTTCACCGTGTTAGCCAGAGTGGTCTCGATCTCCTGACCTTGTGATCTGCCTGCCTTGGCCTCCCAAAGTGCTGGGATTACAGGCATGAGCCACTGCGCCCGGCCCCTATTTATTTATATTTTTGAGATGGAGTTTCGCTTTTATTACCCAGGCTGGAGTGCAATAACATGATTTCAGCTCACTGAGGCCTCCACTTCCCAGGTTCAAGCAATTCTCCTGCCTCAGCCTCCCGAGTAGCTGGGATTACAGGCACCCGCCACCATGCCTGGATAATTGTTTGTATTTTTAGTAGACGTGGGGTTTCACCATGTCAGCCAGGCTAGTCTCAAACTCCTGACCTCAGGTGATCTGCTCTCCTTGGCCTCCCAAAGTGCTGGGATTACAGATGTGAGCCACTGTGCCCAGTCAAAAAAATTTAGTTTTAAAGTTAACTGGGTGTAGTGGTGTGTGCCTATAGTCCTAGCTACTTGAGAGGCTGAGGTGGGAGGATCCCTTGAGACCAGGAATTTGAGACTGCAGTGAGCTATGATCGTGCCACTGTACTGCCTGAGCAACAGAGCAAGACCCTGCCTCTTAAAAAAAAAAAGAAAAAAAGTGTTATTTTACTTATATGAAAGAATAGGCAAATTCATAGAGACAAAAAGTAGATTAGAGGTTACCAAAAGCTGGGTAGAAGAGGAGAAAGGGAATTGTTGCTCAATGAATACAGAGTTTCTATTAGGAGTAAAGTTTTAGCTTGGTTTTTTTCCCCAACTGGTCTCGAACTCCTGGGCTCGAGAGATCCACTCACCTCAGCCTCCCAAAGTGCTGAGATTACAGGTGTGAGCCACTGCACCTGGCCACCACTACTGTTTTCAATGAGAGCAAATGGATTAAAAACCACAAGAAAATATTTGCTTTATAACTATTGTTTTCTTTTCTTTTCTTTTTTTCTGAGATGGAGTCTCACTCTGTCCTGCTCAGGCTGGAGGGCAGTGGCGTGAACTCGGCTCACTGCAGCCTTTGCATCCTGGGTTCAAGCCATTCTCCTGTCTCAGTCTCCTGAGTAGCTGGGACCACAGGCATGTGCCACCACACTCAGATAGTTCTATATTTTCAGTAGAGACAGGGTTTCACCATGTTGGCCAGGCTGGTCTCAAACTCCTGACCTCAGGTGATCCACCTGCCTTGGCCTTCCAAAGTGCTGGGATTACAGGCGTTAGCCACCATGCCCAGCCACCGCTACTGTTCTTAATGAGAGCAAATGGATTAAAAATGAAAATAAAATATTTGCTTTAAAACTGTTGTTTCCTATAAACATTTAAAATAAAAATGCTTTTAAAAGAAAAAATAAAACATTTATTTAATCTTTATCTTATTTAAAATATTCCTTTGTATATTTTATAAAGTATATATTAGTATAATAGTATATGTAAATAATTTATATGTATTTTTTCATGCTCACAAATTTTACTCATAAGAATCAATTTGGCCAGGCACAGTGGTTCACGCCTGTAATCCTAACACTTTGGGAGGCTGAGGTAGGCGGATCACAAGGTCAGGAGTTCAAGACCAGCCTGGCCAACATAGTGAAACCCTGTCTCCACTACAAATACAAAAAATTAGCTGGGTGTGGTGGCAGGTGCCTGTAATCCCAGCTACTTGGGAGGTTGAGGCAGGAGAATTGCTTGAACCCAGGAGGCAGAGGTGGCAGTGAGCGGAGATCGCACCACTGCACTCCAGCCTGGGTGACAGAGTGAGACGCCATCTCAAGAAAAAAAAAATCAATTTAAGCTCCTTTTTTTTTTTTTTTTTTTTTTGAGACAGGGTCTCATTCTGTTGCTCAGGCTGGAGTGCAGTGGCACAATCTTGGCTCACTGCAACCTCCACATCCTGGGCTCAAGCGATCCTCCCACCTCAGCCTTCCGAGTAGCTGGGATTATAGGCTAATTTTTGTATTTTTCTGTAGAGACAGGATTTTGCTATGCTGCCCAGGCTAGCCTCAAACTCCAGGGTTCAAGGTATCCACCTGCCTTGGCCTCCCAAAGTGCTGGGATTACAAGTGTGAGCCACCACGCCTGGCCAGGAATGTGTAATCAAAATAATTTGGAGACCACTGGCCTAAAAAATAGGCAGATTATGTTCTCAGGAAATGGAAGTAATTTATCTACAAGCAGAGAGTTGAATCCACTGAAGTAGATGACTGAAGCCAATCGTAACATGAGTAGTACCATGTTACGTTTCTTTTTTCTTTTCTTTTTTTTTTTTTTTTTTTTTGAGTCAGAGTCTCTCTCTGTCACCCAGGCTGTAGTGCAGTGGTGCAATCTTGGCTCATGCAATCTCCTCCTTCCGGGTTCAAGTGATTCTCCTGCCTCAGCCTGCCGAGTGGCTGTGATTACAGGTGCGCCCCACCACGCCTGGCTAATTTTTTTGTATTTTTAGTAGAAACAGGGTTTCACCATGTTGGCCAGGCTGGTCTCGAACTCCTGATCTCAAGTTGTCCACCCACCTCGGCCTCCCAAAGTGCTGGGATTACAGGCAGAGCCACCACGCTGGGCCAGTAGATACCACATTTCTGAACAGGAAGACTGAAGATTGTAAAATGAGATATCTCCTAGTTAATTTATCGCAACGAGCCTGGGAATTTAATGTAATTTCAACCAAAATCCTAGTGGGATTTTTAATGTAGCTTGTCAAGATGATTTTAAAATTTATATGAAAGTAAATGTTATGAATCGCAAAGGCATTTTTGTAAAAGAATAGACAAGAACAAAGAAGACATTTGACTAAATAAAAACCAGAACATATTATAAAGTTGCAGCCATTGAAACCTCGTCACATTAATATAAGAATAAAGCAGTAGAAATAAATAGTTTCCATAAAATTGACCTATGTATTTTTGGAAATTAACCATATGTTATAAATGGCATCTTGAATCTTCAGATAAAGCCCTTACTAGCCAATAAATTATTTTGGACAATCAGACATGCCTTTGGAAAAAATATTAATAAGTATGCTGCCTGGCATCATGCCATTCATAAAAGTCAACTCTAAACCTGAATATAGCCGGGTGCAGTGGCTCACGCCTGTAATCCCAGCACTTTGGGAAGCCGACGCGGGCAGATCACAAGGTCAGGAGTTCGAGACCAGCCTGGCCAACATGGTGAAACCCCTTCTCTACTAAAACTACAAAAATTAGCTGGGTGTGGTGGTGGGCGCCTGTAGTTCCAGCTACTCGGGAGGCTAAGGCATGAGAATCACTTGAACCCAGGCGTCGGAGGTTGCAGTGAGCCAAGATCGCGCCATTGTGCTCTAGCCTGGGTGACAAAGCGAGACTCTGTCTCAAAATAAACAAACAAATGAAACCCTGAATATAAAAAATGAAAGTAGGTCAGCCACAGTGGCTCAGGCCTGTACACTTTGGGTGGCCAAGATGGGAGGATTGCTTGAGCCCAGGAGTTTGAGACCAGACTGAACAACATGACAAAACCCTGTCTCTACAAAAAATACAAAAATTATCTTTATACCTTGGGTAATAGACATTCTTCGTTAACATGATACAGAAAACCAAAACGCTAATGAATAGGATTAATAACGCTGACTACATCAAGATAAAATTTTCTATGACAAGAGACACCATGAATTAAGTAAAAGGGGCTGGGCGTAGTGGCTTACATCTGTAATCCCAGCACTTTGGGAGGCCAAGGTGGGCAGATCACTTGAGGTCAGGAGTTCAAGACCAGCCTGGCCAACATGGTGAAACCCCATCTCTACTAAAAATACCAAAAAAATTAGCCAGGTGTGGTGGCAGGCGCCTGTGAACCCAGCTACTTGGAAGGCTGAAGCAGGAGAATCACTTGAACCTGGAAGGCGGAGGTTGCAGTGAGCCGAGGTTGAGCCACTGCACTCTAGTCCGGGCAACAGAGTGAGACTCCATCTCAAAAAAAAAAAAAAATTAAGAAAAAAGACAAGAGGCCAGGTGCAGTGGCTCATGCCTGTGGTCCCAGCACTTTGGGAGGTCAAGGTGGGCGGATCACCTGGGATCAGGAGTTCAAGACCAGCCTCAACATGGAGAAACCCCGTCTCTACTGAAAATACAAAAAAAAAAAAAATTAGCTAGGCGTGGTGGTGCATACCTGTGGTCCCAGCTACTCGGGAGGCTGAGGCAGGAGAATTGCTTCAATCTGGGAGGTGGAGGTTGCAGTGGGCCAAGATCGTGCCATTGCACTCCAGCCTGGACAACAAGAGCAAAACTCAGTCTCAAAAAAAAAAAAAAAAAGACAAGAGAAAATATTTAGACAGGTAACGAAGGGTTTTATGCAAATATATCAAGTACTCCTACAAAGTAATAAGAGACAAACAATCCAGTATGGGTGCGGTGGTGGCTCACGCCTGTAATCCCAGCACTTTGGGAGGCTGAGACGGGCGGATCACCTGAGGTCAGGAGTTCGAGACCAGCCTGGCCAACATGGTGAAACCCCGTCTCTGCTAAAAATACTAAAATTAGCCAGGCATGGTGGTGCACGCCTGCAGTCTCAGGTACTTGGGAGACTGGGACATGAGAATCACTTGAACCCATCAGGCAGAGGTTGTGGTGAGCCGAGATCGGACCACTGCACTTCAGCCTGGGCGCTGGGCCACAGAGTGAGACTCTGTCTCAAAAAAAAAAAAAAAGAGACAACCCAATAGAAACGTCACCAAGGATATGAGTAGATTTGCAATTCTCAGTAGAGGAGACGTGAAACTGTAAGATGTTCAACTCTTCCAGAGATTACAGAAATATAAAGTAAATAAAAAATGAGATATGTTTCAAGTAGCAGATTGGCAAACATTTAAAAAACGTGGGCGGGGCACAGTGGCTTATGCCTATAATCCCAGCACTTGGGGAAGCTGAGGCAGGAGGATTGCTTGAGCCCAGGAGCTGGAGTCCAGCCTGAGCAACATAGAGAGACCCCCGTCTCTGCAAAAAATTTTAGAAATGTCCAGGTGTGGTGAGGTGTGCCTGTAGTCCTAGCTACTTGGGAGGCTGAGGTAGGAGTATCACGAGAGCTGGCAAGATTGAATCTGCAGAGGCTGCAGTGAGCTACGATGGCACCACTGTACTCCAGCCTGGTTGATAGAGTGAGACCTTGTCTGGGAAAAAAAAAACCAAGTCGTGTAGCAGGGGGATACGTAAAAGCAAATCCCACTCATAATATTGAAGCACAACTTATGAAAAACAAATGGAAAACATCTATTAACATTTTAAAAATTATTTTTATTTTTTGGTCATCTCTTAGAATATGTATATTAACATGTTTATTTATTATTATTTTTTAAAATTTTTTATTTATTTTACTTTATTTTTTGAGATGGGAGTCTTGCTATGTTGCCCAAGCTGGTCTTGAACTCCTAGGCTCAAGCAATCCTCCTGCCTGGGCTTCCCAAGTAGCTACTGGCACACACCATCACACTCGGCTGATTTTTAAAAAAATTTTTTAGGGACAGAGTTTCACTATTGCCCAGGTTGGTTTCAAACTCCTGGCCTCAAGCAATCCTCCGGCCTTGACCTCCCAAAGTGTTGGGATTACAGATGTGAGCCATGACACCTGGCCAAAATAATGTTTTTTATATGGCAAGATGTATATGTGAGACTGTGGTTAAAGGAGCCTTTAGCCATACCCATATATAATATTTTTAAATTTATTATTATTATTTTTTGAGACGGAGTCTTGCTCTGTCACCCAGGCTGGAGTGCAGTGGCACAATCTTGGCTCACTGCAACCTCCACCTCCCAGGTTCAAGTGACTCTCCTGCCTCAGCCTCCCAAGTAGCTGAGATTATAGGCGCCCACCGCCACGCCCAGCTAATTATTGTATTTTTATTAGAGACTGGGTTTCACCATGTTGGCCAGGCGGGTCTCGAACTCCTGATGTAGGGTGATCTGCCCGCCTCAGCCTCCCAGAGTGTTGGGATTACAGACATAAGCCACTGCTCCCGGCCGATTTATTATTATTTTTTAACAAGGAACTGCATGATACATTAATTGTATAATTAAAGTTAATAATAATACAAATAAAAACATGTAAGTTTAGTCTGGGCACCGTGGCTCATGCCTGTTATCCCAGCACTTTGGGAGGCCAAGGCGGGTAGATCACTTGAGGTCAAGAGTTCAAGACTACCCTGGCCAACACGGTGAAACCCCCGACTCTACTAAAAATACAAAAATTAGCCGGTCGTGGTGGCAGGTCACTGTAATCCTAGCTACTTGGGAGGCTGAGGCAGGAGAATTGCTTGAATCCGGGAGGAGGAAGTTGCAGTAAGCCAAGATCCTGCCACCGCACTCCAGCCTGGCAACAGAGTGAGACTCTGTCTCAAAAACAGACAAACAAACAAATGTAAGGTTAGTTAAGTTCACTCTTTCCCAGACTAGAGAATTTCAGCTACATCAAACGTCAAAATAATTAGAATGTGTACAGGAAAATGTCATCATAGGTGGCAAAGAAATTAGCTTGGCTAACGTTAGCAGACATTTGGATACTCTGAGATAGCTGATAGTTTGACAGTAGTACCATCTTTTCCAAGCAAAAATTTGGACAGAAATGTAAGTATTTTCTAGCATAGAACCAGTCTACAAAACCAGCCAAGTTTTTTTCATGTTTGTTTGTTTGTTTGTTTGTTTTTGAGCCAGAGTCTCTCTCTGTCGCCCAGGCTGGAGAGCAGTGGCGCAATCTCGGCTCACTGCAACCTCTGTCTCCTGGGTTCAAGCATTTCTCATGCCTCAGCCTCCTGTGTACCTAGGATTAAAGGCACCTGCCACCACGACCGGCTAATTTTTTTTTGTATTTTTAGTAGAGATAGCATTTCACCGTGTTGGCCAGGCTTGTCTTGAACTCCTGACCTCAGGTGATCTACCTGCCTCGACCTCCCAAAGTGCTGGGATTACAGGCGTGAGCCACCACGCCCAGCCAGAAAAGTAAGTATTTTCTAGCACAGAAGCAGTCTACAAAACCAACCAAGTTTTGATAGCAAAATAGAAAAGCCCAGTTGTGGCTACAAATCCAGCTCTTTATTGGCCAAATAGACGTTTAGGATGTTTTAGCCTTTCATAGGAGACAGAATTGGTGGGTAAGTATTGCCACCCCGTGGCTACGATTCACATTGCAGTTTGTCCTTTTGTCTTCAAAATACTAAACCAAGGCTTGTGTCCTTTGGATATCCCCTAATAGTAAAATGTTTTAGAAATTTGAGAAACTCACATAGGGTTATTAAAATATTGACAAGTAAAAAAAATTTTAAAACCTACTATCCTATTGTCATTATGAGTTTGTAAAAGACCAGACGTTGAGCCAGGTGGGATGGCTCACGCCTGTAATTCCAGCACTTACAGAGGCCAAGGCAGGTGGATCACCTGAGGTCAGGAGGTGGATCACCTGAGGTCAGGAGTTCGAGACCAGCCGGGCCAATATAGTGAAACCCCGTCTCTACTAAAAATACAAAAATTAGCCAGGCATTGTGGTGGGTGCCTGTAATCCTAGCTATTTGGGAGGCTGAGGTAGGAGAATCACTTAGAACCCAGGAGGCAGAGGTTGTAGTGAGCCGAGACTGTGCCACTGCACTCCAGCCTTGATGAAAAAGCCAGACTTTGAAAAAACAAAAAAATCAGATGTTGAAAACCAAAAAACTAGAAAGGACATAAACTCAGATAAAAGGACAGTCCTGCTTATGAAAGGTCAGTTCAAAATTTTTCTTTTCTTTCTTTCTTTTTTTTTTTTTTTGAGACAGGGTTTGTTCTGTCACCCAGGCCGGAGTGCAGTGGTGCAAATGCAGCTCACTACAGCCTCGACCTCCCAGGCTCAAGAATCCTCCCACCTCAGTCTCCCAAGTAGCTGGGACCACAGGTGGGCTCCAACATGCCAGGCTAATTCTTAAATTTTGTATACAGACAAGGTCTTGTTATGTTGCCCAGGCTGGTCTCGAACTCCTGGGCTCAAGCAGTCCTCCTGCCTTAGCCTCCCAAAGTGCTGGGATTATAGGCATGAGCCACTCCACCCAGCTGAACTGTGTATGCATTTCGTAAATATATAAATATTCCCTATATTAACTATTAATATTAACTATATTTATAATATTTACATAATTGTCCTTTATCAATATATGTCTCAGATTTATCAACTCAAGTGCAGCCAAATTCTGTCTCTAAAAAATGAGTAAATAAATGAATAAATAGGCCGGGCACGGTGGCTCATGCCTGTAATCCCAGCACTTTGGGAGGCCGAGGCGGGTGGATCACCTGAGTTCAGGAGTTCGAGACCAGCCTGGCCAATAGGGTGGAGCCCCGTCTCTACTAAAAATACAAAACAAAATTAGCCGGGCGTGGTGGTGGGCGCCTGTAATTCCAGCTACTCAGGAGGCTGAGGCAGGAGAATCGCTTGAGCCAGGAGGTGGAGGATGCAGTGAGCTGAGGTCACGCCACTGTACTCCAGCCTGGGCAACAAAAGTGAAACTCCGTCTCAAAAAAATAAAAAATAAGGGAATAAAGACGGAGATAAGGAATAAAGGAATAGAAACGGAGATAAGTTTTTTTTGTTTTTTTGTTTTGAGATGGAGTCTCGTTCTGTCGCCCAGGCTGGAGTGCAGGGGCACGATCTCGGCTCACTGCAACCTCCGCCTCCCGGTTTCACGTGATTTTCCTGCCTCAGCCTCCTGAGTAGCTGGGATTACAGGCACACACCACCACACCCAGCTAATTTTTTGCGTATTTCTAGTAGAGACAGGGTTTCACTATGTTGGCCAGACTGGTCTCAAACTTCTGACCTCGTGATCCGCCCACCTCAGCCTTCCAAAGTGCTGGGATTACAGGCATGAGCCACCGCGCCCGGCTGGAGACAAGGTCTTGTAACAGATACTTAATGTGGGTGGTGTCGGGAGTGAGACAGTGGGAGAGTTCATGAGTAATGCTTTCCTTCACGCAGAGGCAAACTGTTTTTGGTCCTCTTTTCTGTTAGGGATTGAAAAGAACCCACTCACCAGATCAGTGTCCTGTATCATGTTTCAGAGGGTGTGTTGATCTCTTCTGGTAAAACAGATGCCATGGCTGGGCGCGGTGGCTCAGGCCTGTAATCTCAGCACTTTGGGAGGTGGAGGCGGGCAGATCACCTGAGGTCAGGAGTTGGGGACCAGTCATGGCCACCATGGTGAAATTCCGTCTCTACTAAAAATACAAAAAATTAACGGGGTGTGGTTGTGCACGCCTGTAATCCCAACTACTTGGGAGGCTGAGGCAGGAGAATTGCTTGAACCCAGGAGGCGGAGGTTGCAGTGAGTCGAGATCATGCCACCGTACTCAAGCCTGGGTGATAGAGTGAGACTCTGTCTCAAAAGACAAACAAACGAACAAAAAAACAGACGGCACGCTTGACACAGCAGCTATGAGTTGGACCATGCACTTGCCTAAATGTATGGTGGTCCCCTGTCCCCTACCACAGTCCATCTTTTTTTATTTTTTGAGACGGAGCCTCGCTCTGTCGCCAGGCTGGAGTGCAGTGGTGCGATCTCGGCTCACTGCAACCTCCGCCTCCCGGGTTCAAGCTATTCTCCTGCCTCAGCCTCCCAAGTAGCTGAGACTACAGTGCGTTCCACCACGCCCAGCTAATTTTTGTATTTTCAGTAGAAATGGGGTTTTACTATGTTGGCCAGGATGGTCTCCATCTCTTGACCTCGTGATGTGCCTGCCTTGCCCTCCCAAAATGCTGGGATTACAGGTGTGAGCCACTATGCCTGGCCAATCCATCAGTTTTTTTAGGAGCCAAACAGGTGAACTCAATGGGGAGCTACCCATTGGATAGGAATCACCACCCCTCTGAATCTTTTACATCTTTGAAGGTGGCACTAGCATCTACAATTCCATGTGGCAAACAGTGTGTGTTCTGATTGAATACTGGCTGGGTCGAGACAGGGTAAGGGGACCGATGTGAATGGCTAAGTTTATCTATCCCAAATGTGTCCTTGGGTGGCAGGGAACTTACTACCAGGCGGGTCCATAGACACATTTATTTTTACTTTTATATTTACATTTAATTTAATTTTTTTTTTTTCAGAGACAGGGTCTCACTCTGCTGTCCTGGCTGGAGTGCAGTGGTGCAATCATGGCTCACTGCAGCCTCGAACTCCTGGGCTTAAGCCATCCACCTGCCTCAGTCTCCTAAGTAGCTGGCACCACAGGTGCACACCATCACGCCGAGCTAATTTTTAAATTTTTTTGTAGAGAAAGGGTCCCACTATTTGCCCAGGCTGGTCTCGAACTCTCAAGTGATTCTCCCACCTTTGTCTTCCAAAGTGCTGGAAGACTGGGTCCGCCGCAGAGAATACATTTCATAGCCCGGCAGACTGGTGGTTTCAGTGCCTTCATGAATTTTACTCCCTGTAGTAAGAGGCTTTCCATGAGCAGTCTTGTGGTCACCACATTTTATTAGTGGGTTTTCCCCAGTCACCTTCCATAAAACAGGCCTGCACAGGCTGGGGGCGGTGGCTTATGCCTGTAATCCCAGCACTTTGGGAGGCCGAGGTGGGTGGATCACTGGAGGTCAGGAGTTCAAAACCAACCTGGCCAACATCGTGAAACCCTGTCTCTACTAAAAATACAAAAATTAGCTGGGCGTGGTGGCGTACGCCTGTGGTCCCAGCTACTCGGGAGGCTGAGACATGAGAGTCACTTGAACCCAGGCCAGAAAACAAATTTCGGTTTGTTTGTTGGTTTGTTTGTTTGTTTGTTTTTGAAATGGAGTCTTGCTCTGTCGCCCAGGCTGGAGCGCAGTGGCACGATCTCGGCTCACTGCAACCTCCACCTCCCGGGTTCAGGTGATTCTCCTGCCTCAGCCTCCCTGAGTAGCTGAGATTACAGGCATGCACCACCACGCCCAGCTAATTTTTGTTTTTTGGTGGTTTTTTTTTGGAGACTAAGTTTCGCTTTTGTTGCCCAGGCTGGAGTGCAATGGCGCAATCTCCAGGCACCGCAACCTCTGCCTCCCGGGTTCAAGCAATTCTCCTGCTTCAGCCTCCCAAGTAGCTGGGATGACAGGTATGCGCCACCATGCCTGACTAATTTTGTATTTTTAGTAGAGACAGGGTTTCACCATGTTGGTCAGGCTGGTTGCGAACTCCCAACCTCTGGCGATCTGCCCGCCTCGGCCTCCCAAAGTGCTGGGATTACAGGTGTGAGCCACTGCACCTGGCCACCTTTTTCTTTTTTTTTTTTTTTGAGACAGAGTCTTGCTCTGTCGCCAGGCTGGAGTACAGTGGCACGATCTCGGCTCACTGCAACCTCCACCTCCTGGGTTCAAGCAATTCTCCTGCCTCAGCCTCCCAAGTAGCTGGGACTAAAGGCATGCGCCACCACGCTCAGCTAATTTTTGTACTTTTAGTAGAGACGGGGTTTCACCATGTTGGCCAGAATGGTCTTGATCTCTTGACCTCGTGATCCACCCACCTTGGTCTCCCAAAGCACTCAGATTATGGGCCTGAGCCACCGTGCCCGGCCAATCTCTTTTATCTTGTTTCCAAACCAAATCATACCTGAAGACAACTTCATTCTCTTGGACAAAAGAGCACCGACCTCCAGCTGATCCTAACTCACACCTCCCACCTTCTCCATGGCTCCTGCTTAGACACCAGGACACTCAAAGCTGTGGATGCCTCGGGCCTTCCCCCATCTGCCTTTCCTGAGACTTTCAGAACCCCCAGGTCAAATTGACACCCTTACCCCCACCCCAACATAGCCCACTGGCATCAGACATGCTTTGCTGTAGTGTACACTTCTTTTTTTTCTTTTTTTTTTTTTGAGACAGAGCCTGGCTCTGTCGCCCAGGCTTGAGTGCAGTGGCACAATCTCATCTCACTGCCACCTCTGCCACCCAGGTTCAAGTGGTTCTCCTGCCTCAGCCTCCCGAGTAGCAGGAGGGATTACAGGCGTCCACCACCACGCTCGGCTAACTTTTTGTATTTTTAGTAGAGATGGGGTTTCACCATGTTGGTCAGGCTGGTCTCAAACTCCTGACCTCAAATGATCCACCTGCCTTGGCCTCCCAAAGTGCTGGGATTACAGGAGTGAGCCACTGTGCCCACCTGTACACTTCTTTTAAAGAAATAAAAATGATCAGAAACCATAAATAGGCCTGGCTTGGTGGCTCATGCTTGTAATCCCAGCACTTTGGGAGGCTGACGAGGGAGAATCCCTTGAGGCCAAGAGTCTGAGACCAGCCTGGGCAACATAGTGAGACCCTGTCTCTACAAAAAATAATAACGATAAACTAGCTAGGCATGATGGCACATGCCTGTAGTCCCAGCTACTCAGGCATGGAAGGAGGATCGCTTGAGCCCAGAAGTTCGGGCTGCAGTGAGCTATGACTAAACTGCTGCACTCTAGACTGGGCAACAGAGTGAGACCTCATCTCAAAAAAAAAAAAAAAAATTAAAGCCTTAGTTTACAGGCATATATTATCATTGCAAAGGATGACTGCAAAAGAGAGTTCTCACTGTGACCAGTCATGGGATCTTTAAAAGTTGTCATTGATAAAAGATGACAGAGTGGGAGGAAAGAAAAAGGAAAGGAGGCTGGGCGCAGTGGCTCATGCCTGTAACCCCAGCACTTTTGGAGGCCGAGGTGGGTGGATCACTTGAGGTCAGGAATTGGAGACCAGCCTGACCAACATGGTCAAACCCCCTCTCTACTAAAAATACAAAAATTAGCTGGGCGGCGTGGTGGCTGGTACCTGTAATCCCAGCTACCTCAGAGGCTGAGGCAGAAGAATCACTTGAACCTGGGAGGCAGATGTTGCAGTGAGCCGAGATTATGCCACTGCACTCCAGCCTGGCGAAAGAGCGAGACTCTGTATCAAAAAAAAATATATATATATATATTATATATATATACATATATACACATATATATATACATATCATGAAAGAAAAGAAAAAGGAGCAGCGGGGTAGGCAGTGGGGGGGTTGGCGGGGGGTTCACCATGTTAGCCAGGCTGGTCTCGAACTCCTGACCTCAGGAGATCCACCTGCCTCGGCCTCTCAAAGTGCTGGGATTACAGGCATGAGCCACCGCGCCTGGCTGAACAAGTTATTGTTGAAATAAAAATGAAAATTTCAAATCCTCAAGGAATTTGAAGATCTCTCCAAATGCATTTTCACGTCCCTGTTTTGAGAGCCATCCCTGGGAAATCACCCCCGCCCACACACAGCAAGACCCCAGGGTCCAGGACCACCTCATTGTATAACGTCCAGGACAGAGCAAGCACTTGGTAAATGCTAACAGGTGATTAAGTGAAGGAAGGAAAGATCTGGAGTGCAAGCAGGGGATGAAGACACATGCAAAACGTTGGTTCAGAAGGTGCCCCTTCCCACAGTGGAGTGGAGGAATCTCAAAGGCAGGGGTCCATGGTCCCCAGCTGGTCCGTGACTTGTTACAAATCAGGTTGTGCAGCAGGAGGTGAGTGGCAGGTGAGGGAGCATTACCGCTGGAGCTCCGTCTCTTGTCAGATCAGCGGTGGCATCAGATTCTCACGGGAGCGTGAACTCTATTGTGAACTGCGCACGTGAGGGATCTAGGTTGCATGTTCCTAATGAGAATCTAATGCCTGATGATCTGACATGGAACAGTTTCATCCCCAGACCATCTGGCTAACTCCTACCCCCAACCCCATCCCCATTCGTTGAAAAATTGTCTTTTTTGAAACTGATCCCTGGTGTCAAAAAGGTTGGGGGTGCTGGGCACAGTGGCTCACACCTGTAATCCCAGCACTTTGGGAGGCTGAGGTGGGTAGATCACTTGAGGTCAGGAGTTCAAGATTAGCCTGGCAAATATGGCAAAACCCTGTCTCTACTAAAAATACAAAAATTGGCCGGGCATGGTGGCTCACGCTTGTAATCCCAGCACTTTGGGAGGCCGAGGCAGGCGGATCACGAGGTCAGGAGATCGAGACCATCCTGGCTAACACGGTGAAGCCCTGTCTCTACTAAAAATACAAAAAATTAGCCAGGCGTGGCAGCGGGTGCCTGTAGTCCCAGCTACTCGGGAGGCTGAGGCAGGAGAATGGCGTGAACCTGGGAGGCGGAGCTTGCAGTGAGCCGAGATCTCGCCACTGCACTCCAGCCTGGGAGACAGCAAGACTCTGTCTCAAAATAAAAAAAAAAAAAAATAATAATAATAATAAAATTAGCTGGGCGTGGTGGCACATGCCTGTAATTCCAGCTACTCAGGAGGCTGAGGCAGGAGAATCACTTGAACCTCAGAGGCAGAGGCTGCAGTTAGTTGAGACTGCGCCACTGCACTCCAGCCTAGGCAAGACAGCACGACTCCATCTAAAAGAAAAAAAAAAGAAAAAAAAATGGGGACCACTGTTCTACGGGATAGAGGACAGGGAGGTGGAAGAAAGAAAGGGAGAAGTGTGAGGGGCGTTTTGTCTGCCCTGAGCTCTCTCATACTCGCAGCCCAGGGCAGGCAGGGCTGGGCTTGGAGGGTGGAATGGTCTGGGCAGAGGTCAGTCCGAAACTTCAGCCCTGGAGGGAGCTGGAGCTGGGGCTTTATCTTGCTCTCTTTCCTTACTTTAACTTAATCTTGTCTTTATTAGTTTTATAGAGATAGGGTCTCACTATGTTGCCCAGGCTGGTCTTGAACTCTTGGGCTCAGGAAATCCTTTCACCTCAGCCTCACAAAGTGCTGTGATTACAGGTATGAGCCTCTGCACCCAGCTCTTTCCTCCTTTTAAAAACAAGAAACCTGGCCAGGCACGGTGGCTCATGCCTATAATCTCAATACCTTGGGAAGCTGAGGCAGGCCGATCACTTGAGGCCAGGAGTTCGAGACCAGCCTGGCCAACATGGTGAAACCCTGTCTCTACTAAAAATTCAAAAATTAGCTGGGCATAGTGGCACATGCCTGTAATCACAGCTACTCAGGAGGCTGAGGCAGAAGAATCGCTTGAATCCAGGAGGTGGAGATTGCAGTGAGTCAGGGTCATGCCACTGCACTCCAGCCTGGGTGACAGACTGAGACCCTGTCTCAAAAAAAAAAAAAAAAAAAAAAAGCAAGCAAGCAAGCCTGAGTCACAGGGAGAGGCTTCTCCCCAGCCCCTGGGAAGCCGAAGAAGCCCTGGCCAGGCCGGCTCCCAAACTCAGGGGTCCTGCTAGGCACCTGCTGTCACTCTCACTACCGACCTGGGAGAAGGCAATGGCCCATTTATGACACTGGAGGCGAGGGCCATGCACCCCCTAAGCAGGCAGCACCTCTGGAGCCATTCTGCAGCTGGAGGTTCATTTCCTTCCTGATGTCATAGTGCTCCAAGGTGGCACAGCCAGGACGGGAGCCTAGGGAATTGTCATCCACCCTGGAGCCCTTTCCGTCTCTCAGCGGCTGTCCCAGCCCTGCACTCAGGCAATTCCTGCAGGAATCGGTGGCCCCTGGGCGTCCTGGATGGGGAACCACAGCCCCTGAGGCAGAGCAGCACAAACCCTCCAGTGGATCCCGTTCTCTTCTCCCAGGGATCAATGAAGCCCAGGGTGTGGGAGCTCAGCCTTGGTGTCCCGGCCCCTGTGGTCACACAGCAGCTATTGCTATGGGGTTGGGATGCAGGGAGGAAAAGCCCAGCGTACCCCTTTCCACCCCAGGCCCCAACTTCTCTGTATTTGTTTATTTACCTTGGAAAAGGCCCCACGGCCCAGGCAGGAAATGGGCCAATTCCAGGAGGCCGAGGCGGGGAACAAGGAGCTACATTGTGCTCGGGCGGTGGCTCCCCACCCGGGCCTGCCGGGAGCCCAGAGGTGGGGGGGTCTGCATGGGGACCGGGCGGGAAGGAGGCGTGGGGCTGAGGGGCTGCCAGTGCTCCCAGCCAGCCGGCCGGCCTGTCAAAAGGCTTCTGTGCAGGGGGTGGGATGGGGGCTGTGGCTCCCTGTCCCACCTGGGAATGAACAGAGGCTGGGCAGTGGGGGAGGCAGACGCTGGGCTGGGGCTGGCCCCCAGTGGCGACCCAGGGCCCACCTGGCACCGATCTGCCTGCCCAAGGCAGACCCTGCCCTGGGAACCCCATCTCCTTGGGCTGAGATCCCACCCTGGGGCTGGGGAATGTTCCCGCCCTCCACCTTCCTTCTGGGGTCTCAACTCCTGCCAGGCAGCTGGCCTGACCTCAGATTTCCCCTAGCCCAAGGCTATGTCATCATGGGGGCGGCCTGAGGAGGGCTGAGCTCTCCCTGACCCTAGACTCTTCTTTACTGACAGGCTAGTGTCCATATGGATGGATCATTCATTCACTCATTCATTTATTTAATACACTCCCTGTCTGTTCGATGCACACTCCCCTTCTCTCCACTTCTGGCCCCGTTTCCTCTAATCCTTCATTCCTTGGTTCCCAGAGGGTTAAATGTAGATCGATATGTCACCTCTGGCTCCAAAGGTCTCTGAAGGGCCAGGTGCGGTGGCTCAAGCCTATAATCCTAGCACTTTGGGAGGCCGAGGTGGGTGGATCACCTGAGGTAAGGAGTTCGAGACCAGCCTGGCCAACAAGGTGAAACCCCATCTCTACTAAAAACACAAAAATTAGCCAGACTTGGTGGTGGGCGCCTGTAATCCCAGCTACTCAGGAGGCTGAGGCAGGAGAATCACTTGAACCTGGGAGGCAGAGGTTGCAGTGAGCCAAGATCACACCACTGCACTCCAGCCTGGGCAACAAGAGGGAAACAAAAAAACAAAACAAACAAAAATAAATAATTTAAAAATAAGGGTCTCTGAAGACTTCCTGCTACTTTCTGGGTCCATGCCCCTCCTCTCCGTCCTCCACTTCCCACCGGGCTCTTCAGGCTCCAGCCTAGATAACACCAGGTTAAATTTTGATCTCCCGGGGACTGGGTGTCGGGAGGGAAAGGCGGGGGGAGTGTCAGAGAGGGGATGGATTTCTCCCACCACACTTGGGGAGGCCTCCGGATGGATATGTCCTTCCAGCTGATGGACCTCAGGATTGGGAGAAAGATCGGGGACAAGAGACGGGCACAACAGTCACCTGGTTTCTTTTTCTTCCTTTATTTTTTGAGACTGAGTCTCGCTGTATCACCTAGGCTAGAGTGCAGTGACACGATCTTGGCTCACTGCAACCTCCACTTCCCAGGTTCAAATGATTCTCCTGCCTCAGCCTTCTGAGTATCTGGGATTACAGGCGTGCACTGCCATACCCGACTAATTTTTGGATTTTAGTAGAGATGGGGTTTTGCCATGTTGGCCAGGCTGGTCTTGAACTCCTGACCTCAAGTGATCTGCCCACCTTGGCCTCCCAACGTGTTGGGATTACAGGTGTGAGCCACCGTGCCCAGCCACATGGTGTCTTCCGTGACAGCTCCCTCTCTGCTGAAATAGCATTTCCCACCCCCACCCATGGCATCACTCTTCTGCTGCCATTTTCATCAAAGACTGATGTCACTTGGCATGTTTTTAGGTTTTTTTCTGGTGGCTTTTATTTTTTTAATTTTAGAGATGAGGTCTCACTATGTTGCCCAGCCTAGTCTCAAATTCCTAAGCTCAAGGGATCCACCTGCCTCTATCTCCCAAAGTGCTGGGGTTACAGGCATGCACCACCACGCCTGGACCACATTGCATGCATTTTATTTAAATTTTTTTTTTTTTTTTTTAAGACGGAGTCTCATTCTGTCACCCAGGCTGAAGTGTAGTGGTGCGATCTTGGCTCACTGCAATCCCGGGTTCAAGCAATTCTCCTACCTCAGCCTCCCGAGTAGCTGGGATTACAGGCGTGAGCCACTGTGCCCGGCCTTTATTTAAGATTTGCCTCCTTAACCATTACACCTGTAATCCCAGCCCTTTGGGAGGCTGAGGTGGGCAGATCACCTGAGTTCAGGTGTTCAAGACCAGCCAGGCCAAGATGGTGAAACCACATCTCTACTAAAAATTCCAAAATTAGCCAGGCGTGGTAGCAGGCACCTGTAGTCCCAGCTAATCAGAAGGCTGAGGCAGGGGAATTGCTTGAACCTGGGAGGTGGAGGTTGCAGTGAGCCAAGATTGCACCACTGCACTCCAGCCTGGGCAGCAGAGTGAGACTGTCTCACAAAAAAAAAAAAAAGAAGTGTCAGGTGCTGGCAGAGACACTGCTTTTCCCTAATTGACCTGTTTGGTCCTCACATTAACCATATTTTACAGCTACTCTCATTTACAGATAAGGAAACTGGGCCAATGAGGAGGTGAGAAATCGCTCAAGGCTGCCAGGTACAGTGGCTCATCCCTGTAATCCCAGCACTTTGGGAGGCCAAGGGAGGAGGATTAATTGAGGCCAGGAGTTTGAGACCAGCCTAGGCAACATAATGAGACTCTGTCTCTACAAAAAATTTAAAAATTAGTGGGGTGTGGTGATGCATGTGTAGTCCCAGCTACTCCGGAGGCTGAGGTGGGAGGATCGCTTGATCCCAGGTGTCTGAGACAGTAGTGAGCTACGATTGCACCACTGCACTACAACCTCGGTGATGCAATGAGACGCTGTCTCAAAAAAAAAAAACCACACACACACAAAACAACAAAAAAACAAATTGTTCAAGGCGAGCCTGGTGTGCCAAGCCCTTGTTCTGGGCACTTGGCTTATATTATCTCCCTTAATCCTTCCCACCACCCCAAGTGCTAGATACTGGGATTAATTTAGTTGAGCTGTAATACATCAATACTGTGTGAAATGCTATGCAACATCTAAAAGGAAGACAGGTGGAGCTTTTATTTATTTTTTATTTTATTTATTTTTTGAGACGCAGTCTCGCTGCATTACCCAACCTGGAGTGCAGTGGCACAATCACAGCTCACTGTAGCCTCAACCTCCTGGGTTCAAACAATCCTCCCACCTCAGCCTCTCAAGTAGCTGGGACTACAGGCTTACACCACCAAGCTTGGCTAATTTTTTTTTTTTTTTTTTTTAGAGATGGTGTTTTGCTAAGTTGTCCACACTGATCTCAAAATCCTTTTGTTTTTGCTTTGGAATGGTCTGGAACTCCTGAGCTCAAGTGATCCTCCCACCTTGGCCTCCCAAAGGCCTGGGATTACACGTATGAGCCACCGCACCAAGCCCATGTTGAGCTTTTAAGGTATTAAAGATCCACTAGGTGAAAAAAAAGAGTGAAAGATACATATGCCATTTAAGGGAAGCACAGGAAAACTCCTATTTTGTTTATATGTGAATAGAGGCACATAGATGCCTAGAAAAGTGTCTGGGAGGGAATGAAACCAGATTGGCCACAAAAATCACCTCTGGAAAAAGGAAAAGAATGGGGACTTTCACTTTTTGCTTCATATGTTTCATGTACCTTTTTTTTTTTTTTTTTGAGATGGAGTTTCACTCTTATTGCCCAGGCTGGGGTGCAGTGGTGCGATCTCAGCTCACTGCAACCTCTGCCTCCTAGGTTCAAGCGATTCTCCTGCCTCAGCCTCCCAAGTAGCTGGGATTACAGGCATGCGCCACCACGCCCGGCTAATTTTTTGTGTTTTTAGTAGAGACGAGGTTTCTCCATGTTGGTCAGGCTGGTCTCGAACTCCTGACATCAGGTGATCTACCCACTTTGGCCTCCCAAAGTGCTGGGATTACAGGCGTGAGCCACCGCGCCCAGCTGCTTTTTCTTTTTAAAAAGTAAAATATAACAGAGAAAACTGCACAAAACAGAAGTGTTCAAATTAAATTTTTTTTTTTTTGAGACAGGGTCTTGCCCTGTTGCCCAGGCTGGAGTGCAGTGGCTCATTCATAGCTCACTGCAGCCTCAAACTCCTGGGTTCAAGCGATCCTCCCACCCCAGCCTCCTGAGTGGCTGGAAGGCCAAGGGAGGATCGCTTGAGCCCAGGAGTTTGAGGCTGTGCCACCACACGCAGCTGGTTTTTTTTTTTTTTTTTAATTTTTTGTAGAGACAGGGTCTCGCTATGTCACCCACGCTGGTCTCAAACTCACGGGCTCAAGCAATCCTCCCATCTTTGGCCTCCCAAAGTACTGAGACTACAAACATGAGCCATCTTGCCCAGCCCCTAGAACGTGTTATCAAATAAACACCGATGCAACCCTCACTCAGCTGAGAAGTAAAACATTGCCAGCCAATCCCTAAATGCTTCTGCTTGCCGCTTCCCAATCCTAACCAATGCCTTCTCCTGACAATTATGATGGTCATGTCTTTGCATTTCTCTAATGTTTCCCATCACGATCAAACTAGTTTTGTTTTGCCTGTGTCCAAACTTTGCATAAATGAGCAGCATGTGTCTGGTGGACCTGGCTTCTTCCACTCAACATTATGATAAGAAGATTGACCATTTGGTGCCCATAGCTATTGCTCTTGCATTTTCATTGCTCTATAGATTCTTACTCAACATACCTTAAAAATTTTTTTATTCTGAAATAAGAGCGGGATGCTATTAAAAAAAGAAAAAAGAAGAGAACAAAAAAGTCCTCCAGTAAATTTAAAATATGGTAGTCAAGGCCGGGCACGGTGGCTCACACCTGTAATCCCAGCACTTTGGGAGGCTGAGGTGGGTGGATCACCCGAGGTCAGGAGTTCGAGACCAGCCCGGCCAACATGGCAAAACCCTGTCTCTACGAAAAAAATACATAAATCAGCCAGGTGTGGTGGTGTGCACCCGTAATCCCAGCTACTCGGGAGGCTGAGACATGAGAATTGCTTGAGCCCGGGAGGCAGAGGTTTCGGTGAGCTGAGAACTGCCACTGCACTCCAGCCTGGGTGACAGAATGAGACTATAAAAGAAAGAAAGAGAGAAAGAGAGAGAGAAAGGAAGGAGGGAAGGGAAGGGAGGGGAGGGGAGGGGAAGGGAGGGGAGGGGAGGGGAGAGAAGGGGAAGGGAAGGGAAGGAGAAGGGAAAGGGAAGGGAAGAAAATTAGAGATTAATTCAGGAGATTCAACATCCGCCTAATAGAAATTCTAGAAAGAGGAAGTAGAGAATAGAGAGGCCAGGTGCAGTGGCTCACACCTATAATCTCAGCACTTTGGGAGGCTGAAGTAGGAGGATTGCTTAAGGCCAGGAGTTTGAGGCTGCAGTGAGCTATGATTGAGCCACTGTACTCCAGCCTGGAAAACAAAGCAAGACCTCGTCTCTAAAAGTAATAATATGCCGGGACAGTGGCTCCCCACACTTTGGGAGGCTAAGGTGGGCGGATCACTTGAGGTCAGGCTTTCGAGACCAGCCTGGCCAACATGATGAAACCCAATCTCCACTAAAAATAAAAAAATTAGCCAGGTGTGGTGCTGCACACCTGTAACCCCAGCTACCTGGGAGGAGACAGGAGAATCGCTTGAACCCGGGAGATGGAGGTTGCATGAGGTGAGATCGCCTCATTGCACTCCAGCCTGGGTGATAGAATGAGACTCTGTCTCAAAATAATAATAATAATAATAAAGTTAAATATAAATAAATAAAAGCAAATGAATATAATGAGTTTTATTCATTTGTTTTGCTGTTGTTATTGTTTTGGAGACAGAGTTTTGTTCTTGTCGCCCAGGCTGGAGTACAATGATGCGATCTGGTCTCACTGCAACCTTCGCTTCCTGGGTTCAAGCGATTCTCCTGCCTTAGTCTCCTGAGTAGCTGGGATTAGAGGCGTGTGACACCACGCCCGGGTAATTTTTGTATTTTTAGTAGAGACGGGGTTTCACCATGTTGGCCAGGCTGGTCTCGAACTCCTGACCTCAGGTGATCCACCAACCTGGGCCTCCCAAAGTGCTGGGATTACAGGTATGAGCTATCATGCCTGGCCTCATTTCTTTTAAAATCAGAAGGAAAAAATATATATAACTTTTAGGCCAAAAATGTCTTCACATATATTAATAGATTGATCTTTTCCCAATGCAACCATAAATATCATTTTTTAAAATTATTATTATTTTAGAAACAGGGTCTCACTCTGACGCCCAGGCTGAAGTGCAGTGGTATGATCTTAGCTCACTGTAGCCTCCAATTCCTGGGCTCAAGCGATCCTCCCACATCAGCTTCTTGAATGTGACCTCAGGCAGACGTCACCGTGCCCAGCTAATTTTTAATGTAATTTTATTTTTTTGGTAAAGATGGGTTCTCATTATGTTGCCCAGGCCGGTCTTGAACTCCTGGCCTCAAGTGATCCTCCTGCCTTGGCCTCCTAAGGTGCTGGTATTATAGGATTGAGCCACCAAGCCCGGCCCGAATATAATTTTTAAATTTTTTTTTTTAAGACAGAGTTTCACTCTTGTTGCCTAGGCTGGAGTGCAGTGGCACGATCTCGGCTGACCGCAACCTCCACCTCCCGGGTTCAAGCGATTCTCCTGCCTCAGCCTCCTGAGTAGCTGGGATTACAGGCATGCACCACCACACCCAAATAATTTTCTATTTTTAGTAGAGACAGGGTTTCTCCACATTGGTCAGGCTGGTCTTGAACTCCCGACCTCAGGTGATCCTCCCACCTCGGCCTCATAAAGTGCTGGGATTACAGGCATATGCCACCACGCCCGGCCTAATTTTCTAATTTTTTTTTTTAACTGAAGAAGGACCCCAGGAAGTCAAAAGTGCCTATAACCCAGGAAAGTCTAAATGAGGACAACGGAGGCTGGGCGTGGTGGCTCACTCCTGTAATCCCAGCACTTTGGGAGGCCAAGGTGGGCGGATCACCTGAGGTCAGGAGTTCGAGACCAGCCTGGCCAACATAGTGAAACCCTGTCTCTACTAAAAAACACAAAAATTAGTCGGGTGTGGTGGCGGGCACCTATGATCACAGCTTCTCAGGAGGGTGAGGCAGGAGAATCGCTTGAACCTAGGAGGCAGAGGCTGCAGTGGGCTGAGATCGCACCACTGCACTCCAGCCTGGGGGACAGAGCGAGACCCCGTCTCAAACAAACAAAACAAAACAAAATGAGGACAATGGGGCTTCCAATGGCAACTCGAGACGTTAGTTTACTCCAGAGTCATGGAGACAGTGAATGGAGTGTGTGTGTGTGTGTGTGCGTGTGCGTGAGTGAGAGAGAGAGGAAGAAGGGAGGGAGGGACGGTTACAGGAGTGTGGGAAAGTCAACAGGAAAAGGAGGGAAGGTTCGCTGTGAACTGACAGTAACTGTGACATCACAGGCATGTGCGGAGTCCCCGCCCCCCCAGGCACTGTGCCAAGGCCAGTACCTTCATGTCATGAGACCCTCTCAGCAACTCTGTAACCTTGTCCCCACCAGAATATTCCTTTCACAGCTGAGAAAACAACAGCACAGAGAGGATGAATTAAAAATTGTCTAACATGCTGGGCGCAGTGGCTCACGCCTGTAATCCCAGCACTTTGGGATGATGAGGCAGGTGGATCACAAGGTCAAGAGATCAAGACCATCCTGGCTAACACGGTGAAAACCCGTCTCTACTAAAAATACAAAAAAGTTAGCCGGGCGTGGTGGCGGGCACCTGTAGTCCCAGCTGCTCGGGAGGCTGAGGCAGGAGTTGCTGGGCACTGGACACAAGGATTTCTATCAGTGTGCTCTCCTGCACATCACCCAGGTCTGGAGTGCCAGGAGGATCAAAAACATAGAATCAAAGATTAGCCACCTTCCAACTCCAAGTTTCCCCCACCCCATGCCACCGTTCCTGCCTTGTACAAGTGAAGCAAGCAATCTCTCCTGGTTTCACCCTAGGAGGTGGAAGGTCCCTGGCCCTGGCTCCATGTGGCACGTGCTCTGGTCCTTCTCCAGCAGCAGGCTTGTCAGACCCTCCCAGTCCTTCAGCTGAGTCCCTGCACAGTCCCACAGGTTGTCTACTAAGTAAGCAGCGTGGTCGTGGAGCTGGGGAAGGAGGTGCATGGGGATTTAGTGATGGCATGTTAAAATACCCTAGGAAGTGGTTACTGATTAAATATCGCTCTCCTTCCTACAGTGTACACCCCCATCCTTCTCCATTTGTCTTTTTTTTTTTTTTTTTTGGTAGAGACAGGGTCTCACTATGTTGCCCAAGCTGGTCTCAAACTCCTGGGCTCAAAGGATCCTCCCACCTCAGCCTCCCAAAGTGCTGGGCTTACAGGCGTGAGCCACCAACCCCAGCCCACTTGTAGGTCCTATGCACAACAGCCAGAGTTCTCTCTGTGTATGTCACCTTGCTCTCCACAAAGAAGGACAGCAGAAGCTGGAAGAAAGTCCTCTGGGCGCCTGGGCTCTGGCGTTGCTCTCTTCCACCCATCGTTCTTATCTCGCACTCAGGGTAGAAAAGTCTGGTGGAATGGACACAAGGAAAGGGCTCAGCACAGGAGGAAACAAGGAGGTGTAATCATGACCACAGACGGAGGAGATGGCCCAAGGAGATGATAAAGGAAAAGGAGGTGCAGAGCTAAGGAAAGCCCCAAGGAGCTGAGAGAGGAAAAGAGACAGCAGAGAGACTTCCACGGAGATGGGGAGGCCTTAAGTAGGGCAGCAGCACATGTGGGAGAGAAACCGAGAGGGTGGTGTTAAAGAAACGTAAAAGGAGCCCCACTCACTTCCAGTACAGAAATTCACCCACAGCAGAGGCCAGGCCTCAATTAGAGGCCTACACAATGGGGTAGACGCTCTCACAGTCCACGTCCATCAGCACCCCTTCCATGTTCCTGCCCACAGAAAAGCAGAAAGAGTGTGTGAATAGGGACATTGTCTTCTGGCACAATCAAGGCTAGAAAGAAAAAGAGGCAAAAGCAACAAGGACATAACTCACAAAAAACTCCTAAGTGGAGAGTGGAAGACAAGGGAGTATGGGGAGTTAGAGAAGACAGAAATATTACCCTCTCAACATACTGCAACTCAGGAATGACCTCAGTCAACCTGCACAGATGGAAGAGTCAGCTGTGACAGGTGGAGGGAGATGACCCTGGAAGGGCAAAGGTCTGAGACACTGGCCTCCCCTCTTCCCAGGACTCACTTAAGGATAAGTATCAGTAATCTGACGGCCTCCACTGCCACACTGTACTCTCTGTCCACGATCATGGAAACCATCCAGTCCTGCAGAAAGGAGAAAGTCACTCAATATCTCATTACGCCCATTCCAAATATTCTGTTCTCTTAGAATCAGAGCCTCCTAAAGAGAGTGCCTACGTAGAGGCAGATGCTGGGATAGCCAAGACATCTTAGAGCATGAAGGGTAGAAAGATACAAGGTGGGGAAACGGGAACCACGACAAAGAGCCAAGCCAAGGAGCACCACCCGTCTCACCTTGAAGCGGCCAGTGAAGGCGTGCGGTCAGGTCCCGGTTACCGTACAGCCCTTTCAGAGCCTTCACGCACTTCACGCGGACTTCTCGGTGCTGGTGAGGAGGGAAAACCAAGAGAATGGAAATAAGACCAACCACACTCTACTCGCCCCTACTGAGCGTCCAGACTCCCCTCTCCGATCCCTCATTCTAGCTTGGGTGTCCCCTCTACTGAGGACTCTGAGATGTCAGAAACAATGAACAGCTGTCTTCATACTTAAAAAAAAAAAAGGATCACAGCAGTACTCATGATGAGAAGGATCCTTTGGCTGCCCCTTAGCACCTGCATTACCATCCATCAATAACTCTCTTCCATTGGAAAGTCTCTCTCCCCGTACCTCATGTTTTGAGTCATTTCATCTCCTGGGTATGTCTCTCTCTACCTTATCCTACCCTCCCCAGTGCTAGCGGAGTTTCAAGGTTCAGCGCCTTGATGGGTTAATCATTGGTCACTAGGTAAAATATCTCAGTGGCAGGCCCAGGAAAAGGTGAAGTGTCCTAGGACAGGAAAAAGATGAAGGAAACGGAAAGGGAAACTGACTCGAATCCCACCTTATCATGCAGAGTCCAACCAATATATTTTAAATAGCTGTCGGTGAGGAAAGACGTGCTGTAGCTTTGCATCCAACACCCAATTTCCTCAATGCAGATAGCACGGATCTCAGGAAGGACATCCCTAGACACAGACAGATAAGTCGACTCTTAGAGCCACCCTCTCTCCAAACTCACTTTCCATCCTACCAGTTAACTCCCTCTCATGGAAGAATTTATTTTCTTGAAATGCCATGTACCCCATGCCTTTCATTTCTTCCTCCCGATGTAAATACTATATATATAGTAAAATACATGTAAATATTTTTTCTCTTTTTTTTAAGGGATGGGGTCTCTTGCTGTGTTGCCCAAGCTGGCCTTGAACTCCTGGGTTCAAGTCATCTTCCCACTTTGGCCTCTCAAGTAGCTAGGACTACAAAAATGTGCCATACCCAGTTAGTAAATATTTTCTTTCTGTTACCAAACCATAAAATAGTTAAACACCAGCCTTGTACAGCCTAATTCTCCACTCCACCTGTTGCCCAGGCTGGAGTGCAGCGGCACAATCTCAGCTCACTGCAACCTCTACCTCTCGGGTTCAAGTGATTCTCCTGCCTCAGCCTCCTGAGTAGCTGGGATTACAGGTGCACCACCACGCCCAGCTACCTTTTTGTATTTTTAGTAGAGATGGGGTTTCACCATGTTGGCCAGGCTGGTCTCGAACTCCTGACCTCAAGTGATCTGCCCGTCTTGGCCTCCCAAAGTGCTGGAGTTACAGGTGTGAGCCACTGCACCCGGCCTCCATACCTCTTTTAAAAACCAATTTTGAAAGTTCATTCAGGCTGGGCATGGTGGCCAAAAATTAGCCAAGCATGGTGGCGGGTGCCTGTAGTCCCAGCTACTTGGCAGGCTGAGGCAGGAGAATCGCCTGAACCCGGGAGGCGGAGGTGCAGTGAGCCAAGATCGCGTCACTGCACTCCAGCCTGGTGACAGAGCAAGACTCCGTTTCAAATAAAAAACTAACACACTGTACTACTGCATGTAAGGTGGAAAAGACAACTGGAATTAAAATGTGCTCAGGTCCTTGTAGAAGATAAGAAATCCAGAGGAAAGCAAGCAAAGGGGGAAAAAGAAACAGAAAAGATAAAACGATTGTGCCAACTCAATACTAGGCCATAAGGCTAAGTCTCCATAAATGTCTTTTTTTTTTTTTTTTTTTTTTTTGAGACAGAGTATCACTCTGTCACCCAGGCTGGAGTGCCGTGGCACAATCTCAGCTCACTGCAACCTCCACCTCCTGGGTTCAAGCAATTCTCATGCCTCAGCCTCCCAAGTGGCTGGGATTACAGACAAATGCCACCACATGCAGCTAATTTTTGTATTTTTAGTAGAGATGGGGTTTCGCCATGTTGGCCAGGCTGGTCTCGAACTCCTGGCCTCAAGTGATCTGCCTGCCTCAGCCTCCCCAAGTGCTGGGATCACAGATGTGAGCCACTGTGCCTAGCCCCTACATAAATTTCAAACACCACATTCCCTGACTACAACACAATAAAGTTAGAAATCAAATAACGAAAATATAACTAGCAAAATTCTGTATGTTTGAAAATTTTAAATATTTTCCCAGAAACTATAAAACTACATGTTAATGTGGATAAATCTCAAACAATCTTAACTGAAATAATTAAATCACAGAAGCCTGAATAATGGATTCATTTACATAATTAAAGAACACATTCATAGTGGTAACACTATAATGAAAGATGAGAAAGATTAACGCAAAGTTCACCCTAGTGTTTACCTATGGGTAATAAGGGGACTGTGAGGTAGGGTAGAAAGAAGGTACACAAAGGATCTCTACAGCACTATTAATGTTTCATTTCTTGAGCTGGGGCTAGAGATCTGGGTGATATCTCATTTTTATTTTTTAAACTACATATACGCTTTGTACACTTCCAGATATTAGAACTTCAATAAAATTATAAAAAAAGAAACAGAGAGGGAAAAAATAATTAAGTATAATTGTCAAGATGGAGCTAAAAAATAACATGGGTGAACAAGGTGCCACCCACATCTAAGCTTCCTTCCCATGTCATGCAATGCCTCTCCTCATCTGCTCCATCAATCAATAAAGGCATAATCACTCCTGTGATACCTTTAAGAAAAGAACACGCTTTAAGAAAAGAAACGCTCTCTCGAAGCCGGGTGCGGTGGCTCACACCTGTAATCCCAGCACTTTGGGAGGCCGAGGCAGGCGGATCACCTGAGGTCAGGAGTTGGAGACCAGCCTGGCCGACATGGTGAAACCCCATCTCTACTAAAAATACAAAAATTAGCTAGGCATGGTGGCACATGCCTGTAAGCCCAGCTACTTGGGAGGCCTCAGCCTCCCAAGACCATGAGAATCGCTTGAACCCAGGAGGCAGAGGCTGCAGTGAGCTGAGACTGTGCCACTGCACTCCAGCCTGGGCAACTGTCTCAAAAAAAAAAAAAAAAAAAAAAAAGAACATGCTCTCTTATTCAAGGTTACCTTCTATCACTCCAAGGATTCACCCCATAATCTTATCTTTCTTGATATGTTACACTCACTAAAATGTTCAC
Organism: Homo sapiens; assembly: GCF_000001405.40. Classification (NCBI taxonomy): domain Eukaryota; kingdom Metazoa; phylum Chordata; class Mammalia; order Primates; family Hominidae; genus Homo; species Homo sapiens. Next base: position 74,887,600 of record NC_000007.14, read on the forward strand.
ATCAAATCAAGTTTGTAGACACTTGTCCTTACCACCTTACAAAAAGTGAGATGGTATCAACAGAGGTAAGACACTGCTTTTACCTGCATGTCACTTTTGGCAGCTTTCGCAGCATTGAAAATATCATTGGCTGGTGGCTCTGACTGTTTCCGGCTATGACGATGTACCGCTTGGGACCCTTTCTTTGGATATTTTGCCACCTGATACACATAAAAAGATCAGAAATATGAAAAAAAGGTAACAGTGACATTAACACTTGGTTTCATCATTATCACACAAGTAGGCTTATGCTGCCAATTCCACAGCAGTCTGAGTTAGACTCAGTCCTGAAATAATTGATTTTTATATTATGAAGTTTATTAACTTTTTTCCCTTTAAAAAAAAAATTCCTTGAGTCTCCTTCCCGTATCTCTATAACCAAACATCCTTTTCTTTTCTTTTCTCTTCGAAATTTCTCTTCTTCCTATTTCCGTCCCTTAATACTTTGTAAATCTTGTCCTTTTTTGAACCATATCACCTGAACCTCTTAGGTTTTCTCTTTTTTTTGAGACGGAGTCTCGCTCTGTCGCCCAGGCTGGCGTGCAGTGGCGTGATCTCGGCTCACTGCCAGCTCTGCCCCCAGGGTTCGTGCCATTCTCCTGCCTCAGCCTCCCGAATAACTGGGCTGATTCCCCCACAAGATTCAAAAACAAAAGAAAACTGGCTGACTCACCGGCGTTGTTTTCAGTGGTCGTTTTGCTGCTTTCTTCTTCACACCGCGATTGAAGCTGTCCTCAAATCATTTTCTTGTCTTCTTGTCTATTTGTATGAATTACTGAGTTACATTCTCATTGCTACTTATTTAAGCAAAGTATTCTTAGTTTGTTAAGAACAAAGAACTACAAATTGTGTTCATTTTCTGTCCTTTCCTGTTCTTAGACTAAATTACCTGAAATACATCAAAATATATGCTGTATGCTTACCTATATCAAAACTATGTTGTTTAGGTGCCGGGCACGGTGGCTCACACCTGTAATCCAGCACTTTGGGAGTTCAAGGCGGGCGGATCGCCTGAGGTCAGGAGTTCAAGACCAGCCTGGTCAACATGGCAAAACCCCGTCTCTACTAAAAATACAAAAATTAGCCAGGTGCAGTGGACAGTGCCTGTAATCTCAGCTACTCATGAGGCTGAGGCCTGAGAATTGCTTGAACCCAGGAGGCCAAGGTGGCAGTGAGCTGAGATCATGCCACTGCACTCCAGCCTGGGTGACAGAGTGAAACTCCGTCTGAAAAAAACAAAAAAAACAAACAAACAAAAAACCTGACCATATTGTTTAGGGATACTTAGCTGACAAAATAATAGAGACAAGCATGACATAATTACCACAAAAATCAGGCCCTGGGGTGCTGGTGGGGAAGGTTTAAGTGGAAAGAATGGAGCGGTGACAATGTGTGTCAACCTAGGAGGTGGTGACCCTGGGGTTCGCTTTGTAATTCCTCAAAATGAGCATTTATGTGCTATTCACTTTTCAGAGGATAGAATTCTGAACTAAAATGTTTAAGCAGCCATACGCAAAAAAAAAAAAAAATATGGATAGATTTTTATTTTAATTAAAACATTTAAAAAATAGAGACAAGGCAGCTGGGCGTGGTGGCTCACGCCTGTAATCCCAGCAATTTGGGAGGCCGAGGCAGGCGAATCACGAGGTCAAGAGATCGAGACCATCCTGGCTAACACGGTGAAACCATGTCTCTACTAAAAATACAAAATAAAGTTAGCCAGGCGTGGTGGCGGGCGCCTGTAGTCCCAGCTACTGGGGAGGCTGAGGCAGGAGAATGGCGTGAACCCGGGAGGTGGAGCTTGCAGTGAGCCGAGATCAGGCCACTGCATTCCAGCCTGGGCGACAGAGCAAGACTCCAACTCAAAAAAAAAAAAAAAACATAGAGACAAGGGTCTTGCTATGTTGCTCAGGGTGGTCTCAAACTCTCCGGGCTCAAGCAATCCTCCCGCTTCGGTCTCCCAAGCAATCCTCCCGCTTCGGTCTCCCAAAGCGCTGAGATTCCAGGCGTGAACCACCGCGCTCGACCAGGAAAAAAAATATATATATATATAATATATAATATATTTTATAATATATTATGTCATATATTACACATAATATACAATATGTATAATACGCATAATAAAGGTATATTTAATATATATAAAGATATATATGTATATAATAATTTTTTTTTTTGAGACGGAGTTTCACTCTTGCTGCCCAGGCTCGAGTGCAATGGCTCGATCTCAGCTCACTGCAAGCTCCGCCTCCAGGGTTCAAACCATTCTCCTGCCTCAGCCTCCCGAGTAGCTGCGATTACAGGCGCCCGACACACGCCCGGCTAATTTTTGCATTTTTAGTAGACACGGGGTTTCACCATGTTGGCCAGACTGGTCTCGAACTCCTGATCTCAGGTGATCCGCCCGCCTCGGCCTCCCAAAGTGCCGGGATTACAGGCGTGAGCCACGGCGCCCGGCCTGAATAAATCTTTTAAAACATAAAAATCTGGGTGAGCCCCTGGCCGGCCGGCACAGATGCCGGGGTGGGGCCGCGAATCGGTTGGGACGCACTCTATCCGGCCTAGGGGCACCCGGGCCAGCACCCGGCCGCCGCGCGTGCGCAGTGGGCGGGGGGCCCCGCGCTCCTACCTGCAAGTGGCCAGTGCCAAGTGCTGGGCCGCCGCTCCTGCCGTGCATGTTGGGGAGCCAGTACATGCAGGTGGGCTCCACACGGAGAGGGGCGCAGACCCCGTGATAGGGCTTTACCTGGTACATCGGCATGGCGCAACCAAAGCAAGAGAGGGTGGCGCGTGCCAGACACCAACGGTCGGAAACCGCCAGACACCAACGGTCAGAAACCGCCAGACACCAACGCTCGGAAACCGCCAGACACCAACGCTCGGAATACACGCCAGACCACGACGGAGGGCGACCACCTCCCTTCTGACCCTGCTGCGGGCGTTCGGAAAAAAAAAACGCAGTCCGGTGTGCTCTGATTGGTCCAGGCTCTTTGACGTCACGGACTCGACCTTTGACAGAGCCACTAGGCGAAAAGGAGAGACGGGAAGTATTTTTTCCGCCCCGCCCGGAAAGGGTGGAGCACAACGTCGAAAGCAGCCAATGGGAGCCCAGGAGGCGGGGCGCCTGTGGGAGCCGTGGAGGGCACTTTCCCAGTCCCCGAGGCGGATCCGGTGTTGCATCCTTGGAGAGAGCTGAGAGCTGGAGGTGAGCTGGGCTCGCGGTCGCCCCTCTCGCGCGCCCTCTTTGAGAACCACGGCTTCCAACCTCCCTGGAAATGGGGGGAACATGGCCGAGGCGCGTGGCGAGGTCACCTCGTGGAGGCCCCGGAGCGGCATCCTCAGCGCCCCAGCGATCCGGTGCCCATTAGGTGCGCCTTGAAGCCGAGGCAAGCTCCTTCGGGGTGCTGGGCTGCGGGCAAAGAATTCGGCCCTGTGAAGAGTTGGGTTCGGCCTGTCTCAGGCCCTGCCCACATCCCATCACAGGGCCGTGGACTTGAAGCCGGAACGTGAAATCCCCATAGACTGAATGCATTTCCTTTCTACCTGTTCTCCCTCCCCTTTTATTTTTATTTTTATATTATTTTATTTTTAATTTTTATTTTATTTTTTTGTAGAGACGGGGATTTCGCTATGTTGCCCAAGCTGGTCTGGAACTCCGGAGCTCAAGCAGTCCGCCCGCCTTGGCCCCCCAAAGCGCTGGAATTACAGGCGTAATGCACTGTGCCTGGCCTTTTAAAAAAAAATTGAGGTTATTTTGGGGACAGTAGAGCATCCAGACATATCCTAATTTGCGTAGCTGCTCAGTTTTAAAAAATGCAATGCATTTTTACCTGTTAGGGTATGTGATTTCTGGCTGGTAAGCTACACCGAATCTTGGCTAGCACAGTTGAATTCCATGTCAGATTTGTAAACGCAAATTTGCTCTCTGCATTTAAATATATTAGATATATTTAGGTAACTACATTTAAATGTATTGAGACATTTAAATAAATTTGCCGTCTGTATCTAAATATCTGAAGTGGACCAGGTGCGGTGGCTCACACCTATAATCCCATCACTTTGGGAGGCCAAGGCAAGTGGATCATGAGGTCAGGAGTTCACGACCAGCCTGGCCAACATGGTGAAATCCCATTTCTACTAAAAATACAAAAATTAGCTGGGCGTGGTGGCAGGCGCCTGTAATCCTAGCTACTTGGGAGGCTGAGGCAGGAGAATCGCTGGAACCCAGGAGACAGAGATTGCAGTGAGCTGAGATTGCACCACTGCAGTCTAGCCTGGGTGACACAGCAAGACTCCATCTCAAAAAAAAAAAGAAAAAAAATCAGAAGTGAACCTGTAGCCTGTAGTGTGTTGCCAAATAAACTTATTTTTAGAGATACTTCTTTCCATTTTCTGTGAGGTCATCTGCAGTTTCACATGGTAGACAGACTTAGGTGAGATTCTTAGCAACATAGAATGAAGAGTAAAGAGGTTTGTTTATTTCACAAGGGTTTATTGAAGGCCTACGATGTGTTAAATGCTGTAGGAAATACCCACTGATTTCTCTTTTCATGGAGGTTTCCCGCCTTCTCTTAACGAGTGATCAATTAAACTGTTTACTGGGAACTTGCTAAGTTAATGAACACACGGGATACATTCTTTGGATGAGCAGACATTGGTTGGGCAGAGGGGCAAGAGGAGAGCAGTTTAGACAGAGACCTGCTTATACACTGTAGTGTCTAAGAGAGCTTGTGATGTTCAGGAAACAGTTGTTCACTGTGCTGCAATATAGGGGACGGCCAGTTGCGGTGGCTCACACCTGTAATCCTAGTGCTTTGGAAGGCCAAGGCGGGCAGATCACCTGAGGTCAGGAGTTAGAAACCAGCCTGGCCAACATGGTGAAACCCCATCTCTACTAAAAACACAAAAATTAGCTGAGTGTAATGGTGGATGCCTATAATCCCAGCAACTTGGGAGGCTGAGACAGGAGAATCACTTGAACTTGGGAGGTGGAGGTTGCAGTGAGCCGAGATCATGCCATTGCACTCTAGCCCAGGTGACAGGGTGAGACTCTGTCTCAAATAATAATAATAATAATAATAATAATAATAATAATAATAATAATGTAGGGGACTTGATGAAGGGAAAGGATCGGAGAGATTCTGAAAAGAAGGTAGTTTGGGGCCCAGTGATGACTAGATTTTAAGTTTCATATAGTAGGAAGTGGGGCACTAGTAATTTTTCAAGCAGAAAAATTATTTGACCAGATTCGTGATTTCAAAAATAGCTCTGGTGATAGAGTGGAGGATGGGTTGGAGCAGGGAATAAGGGGAAATGAAACCGTTATAAAACTCTTAAAGTGGGCTGGGCGTGGTGGCTCACGCCTGTAATCCCAGCACTTTGGGAGGCTGAGGCGGGCGGATCACGAAGTCAGGAGATCGAGACCATCCTGGCTAAAACGGTGAAACCCTGTCTCTACAAAAAATACAAAAAATTAGCTGGGCATGGTGGTGGGCGCCTGTAGTCCCAGCCACTCAGGAGGCTGAGGCAGGAGAATGGTGTGAACCCGGGAGGCAGAGCTTGCAGTGAGCTAAGATCGTGCCACTGCACTCCAGCCTGGGCGACAGGGCGACAGAGCAAGAATCCGTCTCAAAAAAACAAAAACAAAAAAAAAAAAACTCTTAAAACAAGTACAGCAAGAACTTTGAGGGTCTTTGCTAAGACAGCAGCTGGCAGCTTCAATTTGGAGTAGGGTATCAAAGGCAACTGTGTATAAGGAATAGTTATATAACTGGTATCCAATTTCTGAGATGATTTTGACTTAAACATTGTGTATTTCCCAGCATACTGTTGGTTTTTCTAATTATGTGGGAAATTATGTTGCTTTTACTTTTTTTTTTGCTCATTGCCCAGCCTAGCGTGCAATGCTGCAATCTCAGCTCACTGCAACCTCCGCCTCCCAGGTTTAAGTGATTCTTCTGCCTCAGCCTCCCAAATAGCTGGGATTACAGGCGCCCACCACCATGCCTGGCTAATTTTTTGTATTTTTGGTAGAGACAGGGTTTCACGACGTTGGCCAGGCTGGTCTCAAACTCCTGATCTCAAGTGATCCGCCTGCCTCTGTGTCCCAAATTGCTGGGATTACAGGCATGAGCCACCACACCGGCCATGCTTTCAGTTTTCAAGAAAGAAGACACCATTATTGCCAAAGATTTTGGTAATTTGAGAGATACAATGTATGTTTTCTCCATGTGGATACTAGATAGTAAGGATGTGTTGAATTTGAAGTGTCTATCCAGAAGTATTTTGGGTACTTGTTTAAGGATTGTAAAACAATGTTTCCATTTCTGGATATAATAAATGTATTTGTTAATATAATAAATGAATAGATTAGAACCATAAACTATTTGCAGTGTTGAGTCATTTCCCACAGTTAAAATCAGGATGAAAATATATAGCTGAATACTTGCTTTGTTTCTTGTAACTGATTTCTTTAGTACAGAACCTGCTAAGGCCATCAAACCTATTGATCGGAAGTCAGTCCATCAGATTTGCTCTGGGCAGGTGGTACTGAGTCTAAGCACTGCGGTGAAGAAGATAGTAGAAAACAGTCTGGATGCTGGTGCCACTAATATTGGTAAGTTTGGGAGAGTTTTAAGCCACAAGAAATGATCAGTGAATGTTGTTGTAGTCAAGAAACATTTGTTATTGAAATAAGACTATCAAGTGTTGATGTAGTAATAAACTATTATTTTTAAGTTAAAGTTAGCACCTATTATGTGCCTAGTACTTAGCTAGGTAGTAATAATAATAACGACAGCTTTTCTTGTGTTCTTATGGTGTGCCAGGCAGGTGTTATGCTAAGAATTGCACAGAAATATCTCATTTAATTTGCAGAATAGCTGGGCGTGGTGTCTGACGCCTGTAATCCTAGCCCTTTGAGAGGCTGAGGTGGGGGGATTGCTTGAAGCCAAGAGTTCAAGACCAACCTGGCCAACATGGGGAGACCTCGTCTCTATTAAAAAATAAAGCAGGCCGGGTGTGGTGGCTCACGCCTGTAATCCCAGCACTTTGGGAGGCCAAGGCGGGTGGATACCTGAGGTCAGGAATTCGAGACCAGCCTGTCCAAAATGGTGAAACTCTGTCTCTACTAAAAATACAAAAATTAGCCAGACCTGGTGGCAGAAGCCTGTAATCCCAGCTACTGGGGAGGCTCAGGAATGAGAATTGTTTAAATTTGGGAGGTGGAGGTTGCAGTGAACCGAGATTGTGCCACTGCACGCCAGCCTGGGGACAGAGCAAGACTCTGTCTCAAAAAAATAAAATAAAATAAAATAAAATAAATCCTGGAGTAGTGGCTCACATCTGTAATCCCAGCACTTTGGGAGGCTGAGGGGGGCTGATGCTTTGAGGTCCGGAGTTCAAGACCAGCCTAACCAACGTGGTAAAACCCTGTCTCTACTAAAAATACAAAAATTAGCCAGATGTGATGGTGCATGGCCGTAATCTCAGCTCCTCAGAAGGCTGAGGGAGGAGAATTGCTTAAACCTGGGAGGTGGAGGTTGCAGTGAGCCAAGATCGATTGTGCCACTGCATTCCAGCCTGGGTGACAAGAGCAAAAGTCCATCTCAAAAAATTAAAAAAAAAAAAAAAAGGAAAGAAAAAAAAGAAAATGACAAAATTAAAAAAAAAATTATTAATCTGCCAAATAACTTTATGAGATAGAACTTATTACCTCCATTTTACAGTTGAGGAAATTAAGGGACAGTAAATTTCCTTTTTTTGAGATTATAAAGCTAATAAAATAGAATCTAGGAAGTCTGATTCCAGAACCAGTTCTGTTTTTTTTTCTTTTTTTTTTTTTTGAGATAGAGTTTTGCTCTTGTTGCCGAGGCTGCGGTGCAATGGCACGATCTCAACTCACTGCAACCTCCACCTCCCAGGTTCAAGCGATTCTCCTGCCTCAGCCTCACAAGTAGCTGGGATTACAGGCATGCACCACCACGCCTGGCTAATTTTGTATTTTTAGTAGAGATAGAGTTTCTCTACGTTGGTCAGGCTGGTCTCGAACTACTGACCTCAGGTGATCCGCTCGCTTTGGTCTCCCAAAGTGCTGGGATTACAGGCATGAACCACTGTGCCCGGCCCCCGTTCTCCTTACTGGGTATGTTAAAATTATTTCTTTCAAAGGAAAAGGCTGGTCAAAGTGCAACGGTCTTTACAACTAATTGATCACAACCAGTTACAGATTTTTTTGTTCCTTCTCCACTCCAACTGCTTCACTTGACTAGTGTAAGGAAAAAAAAAAAAAAAGAGGAAAGAAAGAAAATGCTAAACTATTTAATCTGGGCTAGTAAATGGTCAGAAAGAACTTTATAAAAATGAAATATACAAAATGACACTAGTATGTTTAACTAAAGGTATAGTTACGACACTTAAATTTGCACGTTATAAATAATATCAATATAAAAACTGATAGCGTGGGTCCATTTTTAATAAATATATAAATATTTTAAACTTTCTAGATCTAAAGCTTAAGGACTATGGAATGGATCTCATTGAAGTTTCAGGCAATGGATGTGGGGTAGAAGAAGAAAACTTTAAAGGCTTAAGTAAGTTAACTTTCTAATCCTATTATAAAATAATTGGGCCACATGTCTTAGAATTTTGAGTAACACTGTCTTGGGAAACACAAAAACAGTTTTCTAAAGCCAGTTACTAGATATCATGTATATTTGTTGTTATAGCACTTGAGATGTCTTAGTCCTTACTTTACAGTCTCTTTCAGCTCTGAAACATCACACATCTAAGATTCAAGAGTTTGCCGACCTAACTCGGGTTGAAACTTTTGGCTTTCGGGGGGAAGCTCTGAGCTCACTTTGTGCACTGAGGTGATAAAATATTTTTATCCATTCACTTGACCCCTTAGAAAAACCTCTCTGAAAATTAATTGGAATCATTATTATTTACAATTTTCTATCTCAATATCTCAGCTTCTAGCTTCTGAATTCTGTTTTGTCTCACTGCCAATCTAAGTCCTAGTACTTCTGAAATGTGAGCAATAAATGAATGAAATGAAGCAAATAGTATTGTTTAAAAAATTGGTTACCCTTATTAAAACAGTAACTTCTCAATTTGAACAGAACATATAGATAATAAATGATAGTTACCATTGGTTTTCATTATCAATTTTTAGGGAAACATTTCACCAAAGCACTATTTAATTATAGCACAGATACTAAATTTTTATAAATGATTACATGCACACACACACACACACATATATATATACATATATATATATATATATATATATTTTTTTTTTTTTTTAGACAGAGTCGCACTCTGTCACCCAGGCTGGAGTGCAGTGGCACAGTCTCAGCTCACTGCAGTCTCTGCCTCCCAGGTTCAAGTGACTTTCGTGACTCAGCCTCCTGAAGAGCTGGGACTATAGCGTGCACCACCACTCCTGGCTAATTTTTGTATTTTTAGTAGAGATGGGGTTTTGCCATGTTGCCCAGGCTGGTCTGGAACTCCAGGCCTCAAGTGATCTGCCCTCCTTGGCCTCCCAAAGTGCTGGAATTACAGGCACGAGCCACCGCACCCTGCCCTACATATACATTTTAATTATAATATCTTTTGGATTCTTTAAAAAAATTTTTTAAAATTTTAAAAAATTCTTTAAAAAAATTCTTTTAAAAAATTTTGTTTGAAGAGTAATAACAAAACAAATCTCTATTTGAGAATCAATAAATCTTGAGATCATTTATGGTTTTGCAATTCAACCTGAAAAATGAAGTCAAAGCTTTTATCAAAACAAAGCATGTTTAGTGCTCTCTGTCTCACTGTCTTTTAGATGCCAGACCTTAGATTTTGTGATGACTCCTCAACCGTTTAGATCTCGGTTATCTCAGAGGGATCATCAGCTTTTTAAGAAAATTTTGAGAGAAAAGCAAGTGAAGAAAAGAGTAGTCAGTGCCCAACATCATGGATCTCTCACTGAACACACCATGCCTGGTATTCTCTCACAGTGATGTCACCATTTCTACCTGCCACGTATCGGCGAAGGTTGGGACTCGACTGGTGTTTGATCACGATGGGAAAATCATCCAGAAAACCCCCTACCCCCACCCCAGAGGGACCACAGTCAGCGTGAAGCAGTTATTTTCTACGCTACCTGTGCGCCATAAGGAATTTCAAAGGAATATTAAGAAGGTACAGTAAATTAATCCTGGTTTTCAAGAGTATTGGTTAATGCACATGAGCAAAAGATTTACTAAAGATGTTTATTCTTCAGTTGATTCTCTTCCCATAATTTATTGAGAAATGCTTTATTTGCATTTCTCATTAAAGACTTAACTTCAGGATGATTTACTTTTTTCTTTTTATCACATAATGTTTATTAGGACTGGGAAACATAGTGAGACTCTGTCTCTATGAAAAATTAAAAAAAAAAATTGACTGGGCATGGTGGCATGCACCTGTAGTTCCAGCTACTTGGGAGGCTGAAGTGGGAGGATCACCTGAGCTCAGGAACTTGAGACTGCAGTGAGCTATGATTGCGTCACTACACTTCAGACTGTGAGACAGAGTAAGACCCTGTCTGGAAAAATATATATACATATATATACATTTTTTTTATTTTTTATTTTTATCTTTTTTTGAGATGGAGTCTCACTTTGGCGCCCTGGCTGCAGTGCAGTGGCGCGATCTCAGTTCACTGCAACCTCCACCTGCCAAGTTCAAGCGATTCTCCTGCTTCAGCCTTCTGAGTAGCTACCATTACAGGCGCGCGCCACCACGCCCGGCTAATTTTTGTATTTTCAGTGGAGACGGGGTTCCACCATGTTGTCCAGGCTGGCCAGGCTGGTCTTGAATTCCTGCCCTCAGGTGATCCGCCCACCTCGGCCTCTCAAAGTGCTGGGATTACAGGCGTGAGCCACCATGCCTGACCTTATGTACTTATATTTTTATGAGAATATTTCTCTTGGTTTTCTGATAAATGAGTTACTGGAACCCTTATGAATTTGAATGCAAATGAAACAGCTAAATGTTATATAATTGTTGTGTTTAAAAAGCAGATTATAAAACTGTCTGTATTATATGATTACAGTTTTATAAAAACAAAACAGGCCTAAATGTGTATAGTATAAAGACTGAAGAGTCAGCACTTCCATGTTCTCAGCGGTTATCCTTGGATGTGAGATCTCATGCACTTTTTGCTCTCTTCTTTGTGCCTTTCCATTTTGCATGCGTATTTCTTATAATCTAAAAAGTTACTTAAACATATGCAGCTAAAAACTTTTTTTACTTGTAAAGCGTTTGGTGCTAATTTTAACTTTTTTTTTTAGACGGAGTCTTCTCACTCTGTCGCCCAGGCTGGAGTGCAGTGGTGTGATCTTGGCTCACTGCAACCTCCGCCTCCTGGGTTCAAGTGATTCTCCTACCTCAGCCTCCCAAGTAGCTGGGATTATAGGTGTGTGTCACCACACCCAGCTAATTTTTGTATTTTTAGTAGAGATGGGGTTTCACCATGTTGGCCAGGCTGGTCTTGCACCCCTGACCTCAAGTGATCTGCCCACCTCAGCCTCCCAAAGTGCTGGGATTACAGGCGTGAGCCACCACGCCTGGCTTTTTTTTTTAAAGCTTTTTTGTAAGTCAGCCAGCAAGAACACAGGAGGAAGTACTCAAATCTCCCTTACACAGCTGGGGGCTGTGTCAGGTTTTATAAGCATAGGGTAATGAGGTGTGATTTGATTGGATCTTGCAATAAAGTAATGCTGGGAGGTGTGATCTGACTGGATCCTGCCATGGGGTGACACCAAAACTCAATCTGATTGGATCCTGGCTCCTGCCTGGGGGTGTCTGGTTCTTAAATCGGTCCGAGCTCTTCAGGCTGAGCTCTTAGGTTCCACTCCACGGTGGCACGCGTGGTTAACCTGGGCATGCACAGGGTACATGACCTTCAACCTGCAGGTCGATGGCAATTGGAAAACAACTGACAACTTCATTACATAAAAGTTGAACTGATTCGGGTGCGGTGACTCACGCCTGTAATCCCAGCACTTTGGGAGGCCAAGGCAGGTGGATCACCTGAGGTCGAGGAGTTCAAGACCAGCCTGGCCAAAATGGTGAAACCCCGTCTCTACTAAAAATATAAATATTAGCCAGGCGTGGTGGCGCACCCTTGTAATCCCAGCTACCCCAGAGGCTGAGGCAGCAGAATGCTTGAACCTAGGACGTGGAGGTTGCAGTGAGCTGAGATCGTGCCATTGCACTCCAGCCTGGGTGACAAGAGTGAAACTCCATCAAAAAAAAAAAAAGTTGAACTAGATTTGGTCTGATGCAGTTACAGATTTACAAACCGCGTCCCACCCTCCTGCCAACACCTTCCACTCCTCATTCTTGAGGGATTAGGGATGGAGGTCATGCTTCTGTATCGACTTCATGCTGACCAGGGGCACTTAGTCCCCTAAAGTGAGAGGAATGAAACTCTTGGGCTTCTGAGTTCAGATGAGTTCTGGGGTCACCCGGAGTAGCTTGAAAGGCTGGTATTGTTGTAATACAAGCTGAAGGTGGAAGTGTTGGATCCTGGAGGACAAACAGCTCACCATCCATTTAAATAAATAGGACCAAAAAGTAACAGAACAGTGGCCACGAGGGGCCCCAACAGAGGAAGAAACCAGGTGAGGTGTGGTATAGTGGACTCGACTGCCTTCTAAATCTCAGTGGTTGTCCGGGTGCGGTGGCTCACGCCTGTAATTCCAGCAAAAGAAGAGCCGAGGCAGGGTGATCACGAGGTCAGGAGTTCAAGACCAGCCGGGCAAACATGGTGAAACCCCGTCTCTACTGAAAATACAAAAATTAGCCAGGTGTGGTGGCGTGTGCTGTAGTCCCAGCTACTAGGGAGGCTGAGGCAGGAGAATTGCTTGAACCTGGGAGGCGGAGGTTGCAGTGAGCCGAGATTGTGCCACTGCACTCCAGCCTAGGTAACAGAGCAGGACCCCATCTCAGTCAATCAATCAATCTCAGTGGTTGAACTACCCTTGATATGGTTCAGCTCTGTATCCCCAACCAAATCTCATGTCCAATTGCAATTCCCAGTGTTGAGGGAGGGACCTGGTGGGAGATGATTGGCTCATGGCGGCTGACGTCCCCCTTGCTGGTCTCGTGATAGTGAGTGAGCGCTCATGGGATCTGGTTGTTTAGAAGCATGCAGCACCTCCTGCTTCACTCTCTCTGTCTCTCCTGCTCCACCATGGCCAGAAACGTGCCTGCTTCCCCTTCGCCTTCTGCCGTGATTGTCAGTTTCTTGAGGGCTCCCCAGCCATGCTTCCTGTACAGCCTGCAAAACTGTGAGTCAATTAAACCTCTTTTCTTCATAAATTCCCCAGTTTCCAGTAGTTCTTTATAGCAGTGTGAAAACAGACTAATGGACCCTTCTGGTTGAAGGAATGTAGCCATTCTGCTTGTTTAAGTATTTCCTTTCTATTCATCTCTATTTCCCGGGAGGTGTTTATCCAAGTGCAATAGGAGATATTGGTGACTGCAGAGTCCCCTCAGTGTTCTGCTAGTAAATAGTTGAAGGTTGATCAGTGATCTCCAGCATTTTCAGTCTGGCATGGAAAAGCCCCCATGTAACTGGTAAAGGTATCAGTAAGCACCAGGAGGTATCTAAATCCACCAGGAGCCATAGGCATCATGTTGATGTCCATTTACCAGTCTTCCCTGGCAAGATTCTCTGAATTGTACTGCCTTGGCCAAAAGAGGTATGGGAGGGGCTGGGCACAGTGGCTCACGCCTGTAATCCCAGCATTTTGGGAGACCAATTCGGGTAGATCATTAGAGGTCAGGGGTTCAAGACCATCCTGGCCAACATGGTGACATTCCATCTCTACTAAAAATACAAAAAGTCAGCGGGGTTTGGTGTTGGGTGCCTGTAATCCCAGCTACTCGGGAGGCTGAGGCAGGATAATCACTTGAACCTGGGAGGAGGAGGAGGTGGCAGTGAGCTGAGATCTCGCCATTGCACTCCAGCCTGGGCAACAAGAGCGAAACTTCATCTCAAAAAATAAAACAAGAAGTCTGGGTGTGGTGGCTCGTGCCTGTAATCCCAGGACTTTGGGAGGCCAAGATGGGTGGATCATGAGGTCAGGAGTTCAAGACCAGCCTGGCCTAGATGGTGAAACCCTGTCTCGAGTAAAAATACAAATATTAGCTGGGCATGGTGGCACACACCTGTAATCTCAGCTACTCAGAAGTCTGAGACAGAAGAATTGCCAAAACCCGGGAGGGAGAGGTTGCAGTGAGCCGAGATCGCGCCACTGCACTCTAGCCTGGGCGACAGAGCAAGACTCCGTCTCGAAAGAAAGAAAGAGAAAGGAAATTCCCCAGGGAAGTACCTCGGCTTATTTCATGAAGAGGTACTGAAGGAAGCAGAGGCATGTGGAGGACTTCCCCACCTCGTGCAGCTATTTGGGCCGTGGCGTCTGAAATTTCTTATTTCAGAGTCACCCCTTTGATGACCTTGGCAGTGGACTGCAGTCATCTGTTTAGGCCTCTCCATGGCCCGTGTCAATGCCGATATTTCTGTCTGTTGCACATTTGATTTCCTTGTTGTTGGCATTTAGAAGGCCCCCTGTTTCCCAGATCACACCACGGGCATGGACCGCAGAGATTGCATCTTGTGAGTCTGTAGAAACAGTCAAGGCCTTGTCCTCTCTTAGGTCCAGAGCTCAGGTGAATGCAGATTTTCCCGGCCATCTGTGCTGAAGTCCCTGTGGGGAGGCTCCTGGCTGGTTTCCTGTAGGTAGACAGCTACACATCCTGCCCTTCATTGGCTTCTTTTCATGAAGCTCCTGCTGTCTACAAAACATGTCTCCCTTTTCTTCTTGAACCACATCTCTGTTATTGAAACTCTAGAAGTCAGCCAGGCACAGTGGCTATGCCTGTAATCCCAGCACTTTGGGAGGCCAAGGTGGGTGGATCACCTGAGGTCAGGAGTTCAAGACCAGCCTGGCCCACATGGCGAAACCCTGTCTCTAATACAAATACTAAAATTAGCCAAGCATGGTGGCCACTGCACTCCAGCCTGGGTGACAGAGCAAGACTCTGTCTCAAATAAAGAAAGAGAAAGTATCATGCTTTTCAGAGTTCTGTGGGTTGTTATGGTGAATTATCAAACCTGAGGACGTGGTGGGAACCTCCAAATTTGCAGCCAGTTGGTGAGAAGTACATGCGGTCTGTGGACACCCAAGCTTGCAGCTGCATCTGAAGCGAGGGCAGCCTAGCGGGGGCTGGTGGCCTTAACCTGTGGCATTTGATGTAACATCAGGGAGTTGACATCAGAATTACGTCACACAGGCCAGGTGCAGTGGCTCATGCTTATAATCCCAGCAATTAGAAAGGCAAGATAAGAAGATTGCTTGAGCTTGAGTCTGAGCCCACAGTGAGCTATGACCGCACCACTGCACCCCAGTCTGGGTGACAGCACAAGACCCCGACTCCAAAAATAAAAAAGAAAAATCACAAAGAATTGCATGGCAGAGTGCCTGTCTTTCACAGCTTGAACTGTTGCAGGAACTTTCTTTTTTTCTTTCTTTTTTTTTTTTTTTTTTTGTGATGGAGTCTCGCGCTTTCACCCAGGCTGGAGTGCAGTGGCGCGATCTCTGCTCACTGCAGGCTCCGCCTCCTGGGTTCACACCATTCTCCTGCCTCAGCCTCCGGAGTAGCTGGGACTACAGGCGCCTGCCACCGCGCCCAGCTAATTTTTTGTATTTTTAGCAGAGATGGGGTTTCACCGTATTAGCCAGGATGGTCTTGATCTCCTGACCTCATGATCCGCCCACCTCAGCCTCCCAAAGTGCTGGGATTACAGTCCTGAGCCACCGCGCCTGGACTTTTTTTTTTTTTTTTTTTTTTTGAGAGGGGTTGGGGAGACATATTCTCTGCTAGTGATTCTCCTGCCTGGTCTCGAACTCCTGCTGGGATCACAGGCGTGAGCCACCACGCCCAGCCACCTTTAGAGTTTTCTTACCACCTGGTTTTCCTCTCTCAATATCTTTCTCTCATTTCCTGCTTTAAAACTCTAGCTTGGGGTCTGGGCACAGTAGCTCATGCCTATAATCCCAGCACTTTGGGAGACTGAGGCGGGTGGATCACTTGAGGTCAGGAGTTTGAGACCAGCCTGGCCAACATGGTGAAACCTTGTCTCTACTATTTTTACAAAAGTTAGTCAGACGTACAGGCGGATGCCTGTAGTCCCAGCTACTTGGGAGGCTGAGGCAGGAGAATTTGCTTGAACGCGGAGGTGAAAGTTGCAGGGAGCCGAGGTTGTGCCACTGCACTCCAGCCTGGGAGACAGAGCGAGACTGTCTCCAAAACAAACAAACAAACAAAAAAACCCTGTAGCTTGGGATCAGCCTTCTCTTCTGTTGTTTTTCTTTAAAAAATAAAAATTAAAAATAGGCTTCAAGTGATCCTCCCGCCATGACCTCCAAAACTGCTGGGATTGTAGGTGTGAGCACTGCACCCAGCCGTATGTTTTTTTCTACATAAAAAACAGCACAGGATTATCTTCCAAAGCTAATAAATATGTTCAAATAAGCACAACCCCATTAAGGAAAAATGTCACTTGACAGCAAATAATCAATCCAGACCACAATATGATCACACTCACTGTGAAGGTGAGAAAAGTTCATCTTTATTATGTTTCCCCAAGAGATGCACTGCACTGTTCTCTTGAAAACACACAGCTCATGTCCTCCTTTAGAACACACATCCTCTTTAAAGTAACATACAAACATGCCAAAACAAGATAAAAAATTCCATCTGAATTCTCACATTTCAAACATACACTAAATATCAAATAAAAATTTATTTTTACAAGAATTTAGGGGAACTACCACATAGCTATAAATGTAATATATATGTTAACTAAGTATCATAGATAAAAACCATGCTCCCCTTCAGCAGCACGTGTAATAATAGATACAAAGATTGAAAGGTAAAAGATTTAGGATGAAAAGAATCCTCTCTTAAAAAGGAAAACAAAATTATATGTATGTGTATACAACAGTTATAACACCCATCACACAGCTTTGTAGAAACAGCATCTATTCAAAAATACCAGTATTTCCAAAATATTTAAAATAATATTTAAAGTAATAATAATATTTAAATAAATAAACATATTTAATAAATATTTCAATAAATAAAATAATATTTAAATAATTCTATACCCATGTTTTTCAAAATAAACCAATAAAATAGATAGTATATATTAGACGTGTTAGTATATATATCTGAGACATGTTAAAAATCACAACTGAATTCTCACAATTCAGTCACAAACCTAAACAGCAAATAAAAATTTCTATCACCAGAATTATGTTTTTTTCTGGTGGGGAACTACCAATAGCTATAAATAGAAGAGATTATTATGGAAGTATCATAGATAAAAAGAGTGCTCGCTTCAGGAGCACATATAATAATACAGAAAAAAATTTAAAGATAATAAAAGATTTAGGATAAAAAGAATTCTCACTTAAAAATGAAAAGAAAATTATCTTTAGGTATATATAACAACTATAACTCTCATCAAAAAACTCTACAGGAACAGCATGTTTTCAAAAGTACAACAATTTCCAAACTATTTGAAATAAACCTATTAATAATTCAATGGCCAACATTTTCCAAACAAACCAATAAAATGCATAGTGTGCATGAAGCTATCTGTTACAGTCTGTGGCACTCATATTTCACAAAGAATTCTGTGCCAATCTGAGCCCCTGCACTGTGCCTTCAAATGCTCCTGGACTGTGGCAACCAAGTCCATAAGAAATAGGACCTCCAGGTTCCGCCCCAGGGAGGTTGGCATTCAGCAATATAAAAAGGGAGGTGGTGCCGCAGGAAAGGGTGGAACTGGAAACACTCCTGGTTTCTTACTTTTCTCCAAGGACTCCTAGAAGTACCCCACCCCACCCCTGCTCCTTGGAGGACAACGTGATCACTGTATTCAGCTCTGTCAAGAATGGTCCAGGTTCTTCTAGATGATCTGCACAAATGGTTCCTCTCCTCCTTCCTGATGTCTGCCATTAGCATTGGAATAAAGTTCCTGCTGAAAATCCACATCTCCCCTGGGTCCGGTGTTCTGGAAGTGAGAGAGACAATGTCACACTTCAAGGAGGCAGCTCTCTAGACAGGAAGGTTATTCACGTCCCATGTCAAGTCTAGCTAGAGTTCAGAGCAATTGAGAAGTGCAATTTTATCTCCTGCCTTTCATTCTATACCCTGCTTCTGAACCATCGTGTTCAACTGTGAAACTCACACTTTGGTGACCCTGACTCCAAAACTTAATACACCCAAGGTCAGCCCCAGTGATCTGCTTCATAGCAAGGACTTTGGGTGGGTCTTCCCAGGGAGTAGGGCACCCTCAGAGAATGTGGCTTTGGACTTCATCACAGCTGGGGCCTTTTGTGTCACTTCAGATCTAAACTTGTAACCGTGCTAGATCTGTTTCTAATGTGACAACATCACGAACCACGAGTCCAGAAGCCTAATCCATAATCCTCCCTCCTCATGACAAAGTCTCATGCTCTGTGCTCAACATGGTTAGCTGCACAAGATGTAAACCAAAGCTTCACTGAACCCTCGACCCAGATCGGTAACTCAAGTGCATCAATCATAATGAACCTCCCCGAACTCAGTATTTATGATTATTTTTGAGGCAGGGTCTCACTCTGTCGCCTGGGCTGGAGTGCAGTGGCAGGATCAGGGCTCCCTGCAGCCCCGACCTCCCAGGCTCCAGCGATCCTCCCGCCTCAGCCTCCTGAGTAGTTGGGAGTAGAGATGCCTCCCACATCGCCTGGCTAATTTTTGTATTTTTGTGGAGAGGGGATCTCGCCACGTTGCCCAGGCTTGAAGCCAGATCAAGCAATTGGGTTCCTTGGATTTCCGAAATAGACCCCAATATTCTGCCTTTACCCCGGAGGATGCAGATGTACCTTCTCTCAGGCCGATGACCTCAGGCCTCCACGGTCCCTGGAGCTCTAGGAAAGGTGGGCGCGATCTCGCGCCCACACCCAGTGCTCTGGGTCATAAGCCTGGATCTGGAAAAACAAACGCGCTTTGAGAAGACGGGGACTCCCCAGGATACCCCTCTCTCCCCTCGTCCAGCCTCCAGCCCACCCGATTCCTCCCCACATCCTCCACGTCCCCAGGCCCCACCCACCTCTTCCAACTCCTCCAGGGAAACCCAAGCCCTGCAGCGCATGGAACAAAAGAAGTGGAACCGATACTTCCGGAACAAGGCTATCTGAGAGCAGTTCTTCCTGGCCCTCGGGTTCATGTAACGGCATAACTGGAACCAAAGCTCACGGAGCAAGGGTATATGAGAGCGGGTCTCCTCGTACAGGAAGTAGAAGATGTTTTGTTTGGGGGCCTCATCGTCCTCCTCCATGTCATTGGCCAGATAGCTGAGGACAGAAATCAGGTTGCTGCTCAGGGGCACCACCAGGAGAGACCTCCGGCTGAGGTCAGCTTCTCAGAGAGGAAGGTAAGGGACCGTCCCTAGCTCAGGACTGGCACCCACCCTGCAGAGAGCCATGCCTTCCTCAGGAGGGCTCTGCTGGACAGAGACCTGATCAAGGGCGTCTCCCACTCCTTCAGGATGGAGACAAAAACCCAACTGGTGACCAAGAGTGGTGGCTTATGCCTGGAATCCCAGCACACTGGGAGGCCGAAGCAGGAGGATCACTTGAGGCCAGGAGTTTGAGACAGGCCTGGGCAACATAGCAAGACCCTCGTCTCTATTAAAAATATAAAAAATACACCAGACGCGGTGGCTCATGCCTGTAATCCCAGCGCTTTGGAAGGCTGAAGCAGGTGGATTGCTTGAGACCAGGAGTTTGAGACCAGCCTGGTCAACACAGAGAAACCCCATCTATACTAAAAATACAAAAATCAGCCTGGTGCGGTGGCACACCCATTAGTCCTAGCTACTCAAGAGGCTGAAGCATAAGAATTGTGTGAACCCAGGAGGCGGAGGTTGCAGTGAGCCAAGATTGGGCCCCTCCATTCCAGCCTGAGAGACACAGCAACACTCTTGTCTTGATAAATAAATAAATAAATAAATAAATAAATAAATAAATAACTGTCCAGGTGTGGTGGTACAGCCCTGTAGTCGGAGCTAATCAAGAGGCTGAGGTGGGAGGATCGCTTGAGCCCAGGATATGGAGGCTGCGGTGAGCTATGATCTCACCACTGCACTCCAGCTTAGGGGACAGGGCAAGTCTGTCTCAAAAAAAAAAAAAGCAATTGAATACACTGATATTTTGCCAGGACCCTGCCTTCTACAGGCATCTAGTCTAATGGGACTGGGAGTAATCAGGGGAGATGACCTAATCCCAATGTCACGTTATAATAGGATGTAACTGGAGAGCTACGGGCATGCAGAAGTTGGAAGATGAGGGAAGGCATCACAGAGGCTGTGGGGTGAACCGACTTCAAGGAATGGGTCCTTCCCTTCAGAACCACATGTGTGCGGGACACCCAGACAGAAAACACAAATGCAAAGTCAAGTGGAGGGCATTTGGAAGGAGCAGTGAAGCCAAGCCAGGAAACACCAAGATGGCGAGCCAGTGTGGTTGTAGAGATTGTAGAGAGGGTGGAATTGGCACTGTGGACCCTGGCCTCGATAGAGAAAGACATCAGCTAAGGAAGTTGTTCAGGTGGGCAGTGAGGTTGTCGTGCTTTGGAAAGATGTTCAGGCTGCACTAGGAAGCCCCCTGGCTTGGGGAGAGACTCCAGGAAACCCCAGCAGGGAGCATTTGACAGTGGATTCGAGTGATGCAAGGGGGACCTGAACTGTGGCCTCTGTCATGGGAACCCGGAGGAGGCTGATGGCTTTTGCGGTTGATGTGGGAAGGAGAGAGAGAGAAGAACCGGAAACGTCTGCTTGCTGGGGGAAGTGTCATGTCCGCTCCTCCGCTCCTTTTCTTCTCCCCTTAGGAGCGGTTCATGGTTCCTTTTGTTTTTTGTTCTTTTTTTTTTTTTTTTTTTTTTTTTTTTTTGAGACGGAGTCTCATTCTGTCGCCCAGGCTGGAGTGCAGTGGTGCGATCTCGGCTCACTGCAAGCTCCGCCTCCCAGGTTCACGCCATTCTCCTCCCTCAGTCCTCAGAGTAGCTGGGACTACAGGCGCCCGCCACCACACCCGGCTAATTTTTGTATTTTTTTTTTTTTAAGTGGAGACAGGGTTTCACCATGTTAGCCAGGATGGTCTTGCTCTCCTGACCTTGTGATCCGCCCACCTCGGCCTCCCAAACTGTTGAGATTACAGGCGTGAGCCACCGCACCTGGCCTGTTTTACTCTTGTATTTGTACACTGGCATTGGAGTTTGGTTTTTTTGCCTGGTTTTTTTTTTTTTTTTTGGCTTTTTTTTTTTTTTTTTTGAGAAAAAGTCTCACTCTGTTGCCCAGGCTGGAGTGCAGTGGCTCAACCTTAGCATACTGCAACCTCCACCTCCTGGGTTCAAGGGGTTCTCTTGCCTCAGCCTCCCAAGTAGCTTGGATTACAGGTGCACACCAACATGCCCGACTGATTTTTCTATTTTTAGTAGAGACGGGGTTTTGCCATGTTGGCCAGGCTGGTCTCAAACTCCTGACCTCAGGTGATCCGCTTGCCTCAGCCTCCCAAAGTGCTGGGATTACAGGCCTGAGCCACCATGCACAGCCTGAGTTTCTTTTTAGAAATAACAGTCTAAGATACTATAATCCTGTCTTTTTTGTACACAGAGTAAAGAGGACAAATAGGTGAAAGAATAAATGAAAGGCTGGAATCCCACTTCCCCCGCTGTCCCAGGGCATTGGATATTGATGGATAGGAGGCAGCAAACCACTCACAGAGCCAGGAAGAAATGAATGCGTTGGTATTGCCAGGAGGGGAGGCCGGCCCGGCTGAAATACGCTATGACCATAGCCAGGAGATACTGATGGAGAGAAAGGAACACAGAGAGGGAGAGGTCACATCTTGGGAGAGGAAGATTGTGGAGATAGTGGAATGGGGGTCTGGGGAGGGGCTGCCCATCAGAGAAGGGACCTCAGCATTGGGGTGACTGTGCTCATGTGGAAATTGCGGGGTGGAGGGGTATTCGAAGGTCGGATGCAAATCCGAGAAGCCGGAGGAAGGGTTTTCGGTGATGCTCCCAGGATGGTGGGCTCCGATGGGATCTTTGGAGGGGGTGTGTCTAGGTCGGCTGGTGTCAGGAGGGTCTTTTGTGTGCCAGGCAGAGAACTGTCCCAAGGAGCTGAGAGTAGAGGGCCCAGGAGCTTCAGGGCTGCAGCCAGACTGTGGCCCAGGGCTCAGATCCCAAAGGACTCATAGGGGAGGCAGGGGCCACTCATTCACTCTGCAAGAGACCAGCAGAATCCTGACGGAGATGCTGACAAATCATAAAAAGACAAAGAATAGCCGGGAGTGGCAGCTCAAGCCTGTGATCCCAGTACTTTTTGAGAGGTGGAGACAGGAGGATCATGTGAGCCCAACAGTTGGAGAACAACCTGGGCAACACAGCGAGACCCTGTTTCTACGAAGGTTTCAAAAATTAGTTGAGCATGGTAGCATGTGCCTAGTCCCAGCTCCTCAGGAGGCTAAGGAAAGAGGATTGCTTGAGCCCAGGAATTAGAGTGAGCTATGATCATGCCACTGTACTCCATCCTGGGGAGCAGAGCTGGACTCTTGTCTCAGAAAAAAAAATGTGTGGGTGCCAAGACTCAAGACCATGGGAGCTGGTCAGACACAGTGCTGACGTCTGTAATCTCAGCACTTTGGGAGGCCAAGGCGGGTGGATCACCTGAGGTCAGGTGTTCGGGACCAATCTGGCCAACATGGCAAAACCCCGTCTCTACTAAAAACACAAAAATTAGCCAGGCGTGGTGGTTCATGTTTGTAATCCCAGCTGCTTGGAGGCTGAGGTGGGAGAATCGCTTGAACCCAGGAGGCATCAGCTGCAGTGAGTCAAGATCGAGACACTGCCCTTCAGCCTGGGCAACAGAGCAAGACTGTGTCTCACAAAACAAAAACAAAAACAAAAACAAAAAAAAACTGTAGGAGCATCTGGTGGGAGGTGGTGGAGGGAGAACTGTGGGTTTGGAAGCTGCGCCCTCCCCCTGGCCGTGCGTTAGAACAGGAACACAGTTACATAGAGAACAACCTTACCTTGTCCGACACCCTCAGATCTTTGTCCCAGGCCAGGAGTCTTTTAATGACAGGATCCTCTGTGATTAGAGAGCAGATGTCAGTGTGAGAAGCAGGACAGGGTTTCCGTGAGAGCAGCAGGGCAGTGAGGAGAAGTGTGCCTCCCGGGGGAAAGTCTCAGGATTGTGGCTGCGGGTGAGGTGGATGGGAGAGGGGAGAATGACTTTCACTGGGCAAGGGAGAGAGGCTCCTGCTCTGAGACTCCCCTGAGAAGAGGCCGAAGGAGGCCCTGGGTGTGAGAATCTACAGGATGTAGAGCTGGGAATCAGCCAGGACCCCCTCCAGCAGACACGGAGGGACCACTGCAGAGTCATAAAGGAATTCCCATCATTTCCTCATGAGACAGTCACACATCAGGGTGTGACCATGGCCTTGGGATCCCTCACTATGGATGGAGACACTTAGGTTTAGAAAAGTCAGTAAGAAACATTAAGTTTCAGAGGGCACAGCTGAAACCACTTTTTTGATTTTTGATTTTGTTTTTCTTTATTTGATTTTTATTTTTATTTATTTATTAATTTATTTTGAGACAGAGTCTTGCTCTGTGGGCCAGGCTGGAATGCATTGGCCTGATCTTGGCTCACTGCAACCTCTGCCTCCTGGGTTTAAGCAGTTCTCCTGTCTCAGCCTCCCGAGTAGCTGGAACTACAGGGATGAGCTACTGTGCCCAGCCTTGGTTTTTCTTTTGACGCAGAGTTTTGCTCTGTCACCCAGGCTGGAGTGCAGTGGTGCAGTCATAGCTCACTGCAGCCTCAAAGTCCTGAGTTCAAGCAATCCTCTTGCCTCAGCCTCCCAACGTGCTGGGATCTCAGGCGGGAGCCACAGCGCCTGGCCCAAAACCAAGCTTTCTTATCCCAAGCACCGACCTTTATCAAGTCTACCTAATCCTCTGTTGTCTCCTTAAGTGTCCCTCATGAGTGATCACTTCAGAGTCCTCCCGCATGGAGAGCTCACCCACTGGGGCATATTTTTCCCATTGGAAAAGTGTGGTTATTGGAAGTTTCCTCTTTAGAAAGAACAGGATTGGAGGTGCTCTCTGGGGTGTCCTCCTACCAAGCAGCCTGTTGAAGGCCTCGTAGTACTCAGGGAGCACGAGCGACACTCGCCGTCGCTTCGCCTTCATCTTGAGGCCACACAGCGTCTCCGCCACCCAGGTCTCCTCAGGCTCAGGGGCGAGCTCCTTCTCTGGCTCATCATCAGATTCATCCAAACATTCCCTCTTCCTTTTCCAGCCAAGGGACCTACGTGGGGGGCTGGGATCTACCCCAGGGGCTGAGTAAAGAAACCAGGCCACCGTGTAATGCTTCTGCAACTGATCACGTTAGACCCCGACCCCAAACCCCAAACCACTCTCCATCCTCCCCAGCCTCGCAGACTGCTGGCTTCTCCAAGCCACCTTTCTGACTTTCTCCTCTGCTCAACCCCATGTGCCACTCCTTCCCCTCCCCATTCTTCCCTCTCTCTGTCCTCAGAACACTGCCTCATATCCTTCCCTGGTCCCTGGCTCTCTGAGTCCCTCTTTTTTTTTTTTTTTGTTTCGAGACAGAATCTTGCTTTGTCACCCAGGCTGGAGTGTAGTGGTGCAATCTCAGCTCACTGCAACATGCATCTCCCGGATTCCAGTTATTCTCCTGCCTCAGCCTCTCAGGTAGCTGGGATTACAGGTGCCTGCCATAATGCCCAGCTCCATTTTGTACTTTTAATAGAGACAGGGTTTCACCATGTTGGCCAGGCTGGTCTCAAACTCCTGGCCTCAAGTGATCCGCCTGCCTTGGCTTCCCAAAGTGCTGGGATTACAAGTGTGAGCCACTGCACCCAGCCTGAATTTCTCCATTCTTCCCACACACCCTCCCCAGGTTCTCCTTCCTGACCTCTGACCCTTCTTTTTTTTCTTCTTTTTTTTTTTTTTTTTTTTTTTTTTTTTTTTTTTTTTTTTGAGATAGCATCTCACGCTGTCACCCAGACTGGAGTGCAGTAGCACGATCTCGGCTCACTGCAACCTCTTCCTCCCAGGCTCAAGTGATTCTCCTGTCTTAGCCTCCCAAGTAGCTGGGATTATAGGCACACACCACTACCGCCTGGCTAATTTTTGTACTTTTAGTAGAGATGGGGTTTCACCATGTTGGCCAGGCTGGTCTTGAACTCCTGACCTCAGGTGATCTGCCCGCCTCAGCCTCCCAAAGTGTTGGGGTTACAGGGGTGAGCCACCACGCCTGGCCCCCTTCCTTCATCTTAGTCAATCCTATGCCACCTCTTCTTCCTCCAGTCCCCTCACCTGATGGTCCCGACACTTCATCATCCACCACCTCCTGGAGGGGGTACCCTGAGGTGCTCCGCTGGGGGCTCTGCTCTTCCTGGGGCTGCGGTTGATGGCTCATCATGATCTTTCCCAAAATCTGTCCCATCTCACCAAACCTAGTCTCTGTTCTGTCCTTGGTCTTCTTCTGGACACTGCTGGGATCCAGAAGAGTGTGTTATCAATTCTCGAGGCTGGGAGAAGTCAGGAGTGGAGAACAGCTCTGAGAAGTTACTGTTGTCCAACTGAACTCCCAGGTGCCGACAGAGTCCGGTCCCTCCAATCAGGAAGGTCGGAATCTCTGATGTCATCGCTCATGCCAACCTGGCAACCAGTTTGAAAAAAAACACATGTAACTGCCAGGCTGATCTCTTGTCCTGGAGATCCTGGGTGAATGGTATCTCCTGCCACTGTCCCAACCTCAGACCACTGTCCAAAAGCATCTTCAGGGTCTCCGCATCCCTCTGTTCCCTGTCCCAGCAGAGGCTGTGTCCTCTCCACTCAAAGCTTGAAGCGTGTTGGGGTCTCCTCTTCTCTGTACATGCCCGTTTCAGAGTCCAGTCTGGTGGGAGAGGGATCAGGATGGGAAAGAAAAGTAGGGTAAGCAGAAACGATGAAACCTTACAAGAGTGAGATTATCATGTACAAGAGATCCCAGGAACATTGACTTGATGAAAAAGTCACATCAGAGCACTCAATTTGGCAGAGGTTTTCTGCCGAATGTCTACTGACATTCACTGTCCGAGATTCTGTACTGGGGGTACACGCGTCCTCTGCCCTAAGGCATCTTTGAGTCCAAGAGATACTTTGAGGACTGGAAATCATAGGAAACTGCCCATGAGTTCACACATATTTCCAATGGTGTCCCCAATTTCAGGGAGTCCACGGATCACCTAAAGCCAGCCCCTCCAGTTTGGCTAAGAAACTCTATATATCAAGTTTTGTATCATATGTATTGCTCTTAACTCAGAAAATTCCACCATTTATAGCAGTGGTTTATTTATTTATACCATTGAAGGAAATGGTTTATTTATGAATCTATATTACGGATATTCTATAAGATACTGGGTGTACAAAAAGACTAAGTCGAAAAATCTCAGCTGTGCACAGTGGCTCATGCTTGTAATCCCATCTCTTTGGGTGGCCAAGGGAGGAAGACTGCCTGAGGCCAGCAGTTCAAGACCAGTATAGGCAACATAGCAAGAGCCCATCTCTAAAACAAAACAAAACAAAACAAAACAAAATTAGCCAGGTGTCGTGGCTGGCACCTGTGTTCCAACAACTTGAGAGACTGAGGTGGCAGGAGGATTGCTTGAGCCTAGGAGTTAGGGGCTGCAGTGAGCTGTGATCGTGACACCGCACTCCAGTCTGGGCAACACAGCAAGACCTTGTGTCAAAAAAATTTTTTTAATTAAATATAAAAGAGTTTCATGACATTCAGAGACCATCCAAAGAACCTGTGGGTTCTGGCCAGGCACAGTGGCTCACGCCTGTAATCCCAGCGCTTTGGGAGGCCATAGCAGGTGGATCGCTTGAGGTCAGGAGTTTAAGAGCAGCCTGGCCAACATGGTGAAACCCCATCTCTTCTAAAAATACAAAAAATTAGTCAGGCATGGTGGTGGGTGCCTGTAATCCCAGCCACTCAGGAGGCGGGGACAGCAGAATGGCTTAAACTTGGGAGGCGGAGGTTGCAGTGAGCCAAGGTCGCACCATTGCACTCCAGCCTGGGCAACAAGAGCAAAACTACATCTCAAAAAAAAAAAACAAAAAAAAAACAAAAAGAACCTGTGGATGAGTTCCCACATGGCTTCCTAACGGGCTGCGGCTCTCCTAGGAGTCTCTCGCTCATGGGAAAGGCATAAACTGAATGCGGAAGGAAATCCCATTGCTGTGGAAGTCCCATTGTTAGGAAGCTCTGCTTTTCTGGAGTTCAAATTTGCATTCATGACGCTTTAAACCGTCAGAGCTGGGTGTGTCCTCCTACAACAAATCACTTTACTCTCTCTCTCTCCTAGTTAACAGGCTTTCAACTATTAGAACATCCATGTTCTGACCTCATTAAAATTGCTCTTTTGTGGAATGAAAAGCTCTGATTTAACCCGTCTTTAAGCCTGGTATGCATATTCCTCTCTGTTCCGGCCACCTTGTCTAGACACACTACACTGAGGCAGTGCCCATCTTAGATGATGTTGATACATTGTCAGAAAATGGGCAAACCAGGTGCGGTGGCTCACACTTGTAATCCCAGCACTTTTGGAAGCCGATGCCGACAGATAACCAGAGGTGAGGAGGTTGAGATCAGCCTGGCCAACATGGTGAAACCTGTCTGTTTTTCTGTAAAAATACAGAAACAATGAGCTGGGCGTGGGAGTGCACTTCTGTAATCCCAGCTACTTGTGGGGCTGAGGCAGGAGAATCACTTGAACCGGGAAGGTGGAGGTTCCAGTGAGCCGAGATCACGACACTACACTCCAGCCTGGGCGACAGAGTGAGACTCCGACTCAAAAAAAAAAAAAAAAAAGTGCCAGACAGCCCTGGTTTGGTCTGATATGTTCAGAAAAAAGCAAAACAGTCACCTCTCACCTTTTCTTTTCCTGCAATGATGCCGTTTAATACAACAATGGCTGTAGGTCTGCGGCAGAAATATCATTCAAGTGAAACAGAAGGGCTTTCCTGGCTGGACACAGTGGTCACTCCTGCAATCCCAACACTTTGGTTGGCTAAGGTGGGAGGATTTCTTGCGGCCAGGAGTTCGAGGCTGCAGTGAGCTGTGATCCACCACTGCATTCCAGGCTGGGCATCAGAGTGAGACCTGTCTCTAAAAAAACCCTTCACTCCCCAAATAAAGGGATTTTCAAATACCAGCCTTTCAGCATGAGGATCACATGGAGGAACATTAAGACACAGATGCTGGGACCCAGCCCTATTGATTGTAATTAAAAAACTGAGGTGAGGCCTGATTTAGCTCCATCATTGGAATCCATTCAGATTTGAAATTCTCTGAGTTGGACAGTGCAAGAGAGATCCTAAAGAAAGCAAAGTCACTGTGGACTGAAATGAGCTGACAAGGTTTTCTGAGCGTGGTGAAATATGATCTGGGCCTCGTTTGGGAGGGCTGTGGCCAGGCCTTGAGTCCGTGGCTCAGTGGGACCTTCTGAAACAGCCTCCAATCCGTGCCCCCACTTCATTTGCTAGTGGATGACCCCCTCCAGCGGCTTTGGTGCTGATGGGAATAAGTCAACCTGCAGCGGAAGTTCAGCCCAAGTTTCAGCCCAGCAGCTTCTACACACCTGTCCGTGGTCTGGTCATGCTGCCATCTCTGCGGTTCTCTGCGGAGTCGTGGTTTCTGTACCTTGAAGAGAACTTCCCCTCTGGGACCCAGAAACCCAGTGAATCCTCAGGAAAGAAGGGAATGAAATTACTGAAGACAACTCTGTGGCGGGGAGATGGAAAAGAGGCTCTCTCTCTTTTTTTTTTCCTAATATTTTGAGACAGAGTTTCGCTCTTGTCACCCAGGCTGCAGTGCAGTGGCTCCATCTCGGCTCACTGCAACCTCTGCCTCCCAGGTTCAAGCGATTCTCCTGCCTCAGCCTCCCGAGTAGCTGAGATTACAGGCACCCACCACCACTCCCGGCTAATTTTTGTATTTTAGGGTTTCGTCATGTTTGCCGGGCTGGTCTTGAACACCTGACTTCAAATGATCCACCCGCCTCTGCCTCTCAAAGTGCTGGGAATACAGGCATAAGACACTGCACCCGGCCTGTTTTTGTTTTTTAGAGACAAGGTCTCTGTTGCCTTGGCTGGGGTGCAGTGGTACAATCAGCTCTCTGTTGCCTCCTGGGCTCAAGCAATCCTCTTCTCTCAGCCTCCCAAGTAGCTGAGACTACAGGTGCATGCCTGTAGTAGATATAGCATCTTGCTCTGTTGCCCAGACTGGTCTTGAACTCTTGGTCACAAGCGATCCTCTTGCCTTGGCCTCTCAAAGTGCTGGAATTACACGCGTGAGCCATTGAGCCCAACCAGATAAGATGATCTTTAAGGGCCCTTCCCATGGTACCATATCCAAGTCAGCGAGACTGTGGCTATAGCAAGTTTAACATAACCAGATACGCTAGTATTATGGGCTGCATGGTGTGCCCCCCACCCCTAATTCATGTATTGAAGCCATGACCCTCCAGACCTTAGAGGTGACCTTATTGGAACCAGAGTCTTTACAGAGGTGATCAAGTTAAAATGAGGTCACTAGAGGCCAGGCACGGTGGCTCACACCTGTAATGCCAGCACTTCGGGAGGCCGAGGCAGGCAGATAATGAGCCCAAGAGACCGAGACCATGATGTCCAACATGGTGAAACCCTGTCTCTACTAAAAATACAAAAATTAGCCAGGCGTGGTGGTGTGGGCCTGTAGTCCCAGCTACTCAGGAGGCTGAGGCAAGAGAATCGCTTGAACCCGGAAGGCAGAGATTACAGTCAGCCAAGATCATGCCACTACACTCCAGCCTGGGTGACAGAGTGAGACTCTATCTCAAAAAAATAAAAATTAAAAAACTAAAAACCTACAGTACCGCCTTTTACATAATGCAATGGTTTGGTAAGCACATGCACCCCAGGGAGGTAGTGGCAGATTCAGTCAACCTTCCCAGCAGCGTGGAGACGCAGTCAGGCATAGCAGGTGTTGATGTGGTTTGAACCCACAGCTTGGCTCAAATCCACACTCCCCTACTTAGTACCGAGTGAAGCCACTTACCCTCTAAGTGCCTTACTTTTCTTTTCTTTTCTTTTTTCTTTTTTCGAGACAGAGTCTCGCTCTGTCACCCAGGCTGGAGTGCAGTGGCATGATCTTGGCTCACTGCAAACTTCGCCTTCCAGGTTCAAGCAATTCTCCTGCCTCAGCCTCCCAAGTAGCTGGGATTACAGGCGCCCACCACCATGCCGGGCTAATATTTGTATTTTTGATAGAGATGGGGTTTCACCGTATTGCCCAGGCTGGTCTCGAACTCCTGACCTCAAGTGATCTGTCTGCCTCGGCCTCCCAAAGTACTAGGATTAGAGGCGTGAGCCACCACACCTGGCCACTTTTCTTATCTATATTTGTTATGTGGATGACTTGTGTTAACGCAAATAAGATGCTGCTCGTCATCTTTAAAGAAAATAGGTGGCAACCTGTTATAGCAAGTCCTGTTTTTATTTGTACTTATGAGGCTTTAGTTAAACGCTAAGAATTAAAATGCACATAATAATAGACTTTACCTCACAAACTGGCTTCAATTATTCGATGAGACTTATATGTATTACTTAAATGAGGTTAAATTTAACCTTTAAAAAATGATTTATTGTGGCTGGGCACAGTGGCTCACACCTGTAATCCCAGCACTTTGGGAGGCCAAGGCAGACGGATCACTTGAGGCCAGGAGTTGAAGACCAGCCTGACCAACACGGCAAAACCCCATCTCCGCTAAAAATACAAAAATTAGCCAGGCATGGTGGTGCACACCTGTAATCCTAGCTACTCAGGAGGCTGAGACACAAGAATCGCTTGAACCCGGGAGGCAGAGGTTGCAAGGAGGTGAGATCACACCACTGCACTCCAGCCTGGGCAATAGAGTGAGGCTCTGCCTTAAAACAAAGAAAAATGATTTTGGGGGATGATGGGGTGTCACTATGTTGACCAGGCTTGTCTCAAACTCCTTGCCTCAAGCAATCCACCCACCTCAGCCTCCCAAGTAGCTGGAACTACAGGCGCATGCCACCACGCCTGGCTAATTGTGTGTGTGTGTGTGTGTGTGTGTGTGTGTGTGTGTGTGTGTGTGTGTGTGTGTGTAGAAACAAGGTCTTACTGTGTTGTTTAAGCTGCTCTCAAACTCCTGGCTGGGCTCAAGTGATCCTCCCACCTTGGCCTCCCAAAGCATTGGAATTACAGGTGTGAGCCACCTCACTGAGCCCTCCACCTTTCAGCTGAACGCAGAAAAGTACAATCTTTTAACCCAAAGCGTTCCTCACACTTAGGGTCAGGAAGAGCCCTTCATGCCCTGGAGGCAACTACTAACCCTCTGCTAAACACTCTGACTCTGGGTGTGAGAAACACACCTACTGTGCCCCACATATTTTTCCAAATACAACTTAATTTAGCCTTCACGACAACCCTGGAGTGAAGGATCATTAACTTTATTTCATAGATGTGGAAACTGAGACTCAGAGGCAGGAAATGACCTCCTTCTGGAGGCTGCAAATTCTTTGATGCTCCTTTGATCAACAGGTGGGAGCTGGCCAGAGGTGGTGGCTCACACCTATAATCCCAGCACTTTGGGAGGCCAAGGTGGGAGGATTGACTGAGGCCAGGAGTTTGAAACTAGCCTGGGCAACATAGCAAGACCTCATCTCTACAAAAAATACACAAATTAGCAGGGTGTGGTGGTGCACACCTGTAGTCGCAGCCACTCGGGAGGCTGAAGTGGTAGCATTGCTTGAGCCCAGGAGGTTGAGGCTGGAGTGAGCCATGATCAAGCCACTGCACTCCAGCCGAGGAGATGGAGATAGACCCTGTCTCAAACAACAACAAAAAAATAGGTGAGGATCAGCCAGGCATGGTGGCTCACGCCTGTAATCCTAGAACTTTGGGAGGCCAAGGTGGGAGGATTGCTTGAGGCCAGGACTTCAAGACCAGCCTGGGCAGCCTAGCAAGATCCCATCCCTTAAAAAAAAGTTTTTAGGCTGGGCATGGTCACTCATGCCTGTAATCCTAGCACTTTGGGAGGCCAAGGCAGGCGGGTTGCCTGAGCTGAGGAGTTTGAGACCAGCCTGGGCAACATGGTGAAATCCTGTCTCTACTAAAATACAAAAAATTAGCCAGGTGTGGTGTTGGGCACCTGTAATCCCAGGTACTCAGGAGGCTGAGGCAGGAGAATTGCTTGAACCCAGGAGGCAGAGGTTGCAGTGAGCCGAGAGCGCGCCACTCCACTCCAGCCTGGACAACAGAGCGAGACTCCGTCTCAAAAAAAAAATGTTTTTAATTAGCCAGCTGTGATGATGCATGCCCATGTCCCAGCTACTTGGGAGGCTGAAGCAGGAGGATTGCTTGATCCTGGGAGGTCAAGGCTGCAGTGAGCTATGATTGCGCCCCTGCACTCCAGCCTGGGCAGCGGAGGGAGACCCTGTCTGAAAATAAAAAAAGAGGTGGGGGCCTATGACCCCCCCTTTAATTTTGGCCCAACCTTAGTAACAGGATAGTCATTGAGTAGGGCAAAAGTGATGTTATGATGTTTTTCAGCCTCCAATTTACAGTCTAAAACATGTACGCGGTGGCCCTGAGCTGTTGTGTAAATGGACTCACTGCCCTGAGGCCACCATGCTGCAAGGAAGCCCAAGCTAACCCTAGGATGTGCCCTGAGACGACATGAAGACGCATCCCCAGCCAGCCTTCCACTACCCCATCCTTCACTGCCCCATTCTCACCCCCGCCCACCTCCTTACTCCCTCCACCCCTCCACCTGCCTCCAGCCAGAATTGCACAGCCAGCTACTTCCAGAATCGCTGGTCCAAAGAAATCACGACAGGCGCTAAGTTTGGGGCAATCCATTTAATGCTACTAAGTTGTGGGATGGTTTGTTTGAGCAGCCCCAGATAACAAACATTCCTTGAGGTCACATGCTAACCAAGCTGTGATTCGAACACTGCCTCTCAAATTCACGAGCAAAAGAGGGGGAATTCTGTTTGAAATGCCAAAAAGAACTCTTTCTTGCTTTTATTATTTTTAATTTATGTATAATAATTGTATGTTTATATAATAATTGTAATAATTTACGGGATACAGGTGATATTTCAATATATGTATGCAATGTGTAATGATCACATCAGGGTGATTAGCGGATTCATTTCCTCAGTTATCATTTCTTTGTGTTGGGAACATTCAAAATCTGCTCTTCTACCTATTTGAATATAGAAAATAAATTGTTTTGTTTTGTTTTTGAGAAAGAGTCTCCCTCTATTGCCCAGGCTGGAGTGCAGTGGCGCAATCTCGGCTCACTGCAACCTCTGCCTCCCAGGTTCAAGCTATTCTCCTGCCTCCGCCTCCCGAGTAGATGAGATTACAGGCACGTGCCTCCACTCCCAGCTAATTTTTGTATTCTTGGTAGAGACGGGGTTTCACCCTGTTGGCCAGCCTGGTCTAGAACTCCTGACCTCAGGTGATCCGCCTGCCTTGGCCTCCCAAGGTGCTGAGATTACACACGTGAGCCACCGTACCTGGCCTCTCCTCTCTAATTCTGAGATTAACTTTTTTAGCTAC
Organism: Homo sapiens; assembly: GCF_000001405.40. Taxonomy (NCBI): domain Eukaryota; kingdom Metazoa; phylum Chordata; class Mammalia; order Primates; family Hominidae; genus Homo; species Homo sapiens. The sequence goes on from NC_000007.14 coordinate 74,921,456, forward strand.
CACATGTTAACACAATCATGCGGCATTTGTCTTCTTTTTTTTTTTCATTGAGACAGGGTCTCATTCTGTCACCCAGGTTGGAGTGCAGTGATGCAATCATAGCTCACTGCAGCCTCAACCTTCTGGGCTCAAGCAATCCTTCTGCCTCAGCCTTCCTGGTAACTAGGACTGTAGGGGCACACCATCACGCCTAGCTAATTTCTTATTTTTATTTTGTGTAGGCATGGGGTTTCTCTCTGTTACCAAAGCTGGTGTCGAACTCCTGGGCTCAAGCAATCCCCCCACCTCCACAAAGTACTGGGATTACAGGCACGAGCCACCACACCCAGCCCATTTGTCTTGCTGTGCCTGACTTATTTCACTTAACATAATGGTCTCCAAGCTCACCCGTGTTCCTGCAAATGACAGAATTTCACTCTTCCAAAGATAATTTTTTTTTTTGAGATGGAGTCTTGCTCTGTCACCCAGGCTGGACTGCAGTGGCACAGTCTCAGCTCACTGCACCCTCCACCTCCCAGGTTCAAGCGATTCTCCTGCCTCAGCCTCCTGAGTAGCTGGGATTACAGACCTGCGCCACCACCCCCCGCTACTTTTTGTATTTTGTAGAGACGGGGTTTCACCATGTGGCCAGGCTGGTCTGAACCCCTGATCTCAAGCAATCCACCCGCCTCGCCCTCCCAAAGTACCAGGATTACAGATGTGAGCCACCATGTCCGGCCCCAGAGAGAATTTTTAAATCACATGGGTTGTGGGATCATGTGCCTTGGAGAGAGAAAAACCGTTAGGAAAAAAGAGTAGAAAACCAACCAACCAAACAAACAAAAAATAGCAGGAAGACAAAGGGCGTGCAGTGTGCTTTCAGTGAGGATTTACACAGGACAGAAACGGTAGGAATGGCTGTGTGGCTTTGGAATGAAAAGTAGGTTAATAGAGCTGATCAATGCACGGCGAGTCTGGATGCAGGATGCCATGAAGGATGGCTGTTTTAATGATGAGAGAGGCTGGGAGAAGGGCCGATAGGGAAACCCAGCTTTCGGGCCCAGACACTGGAGCAGCCTCCACGCTGCCATGGTCTGGAGAAAGCTATGGCAGGGTCAAGGTCTTTGACCCGTGTGCTCATCATCGGTGCCTCTGTTGGGAAGGTGGCTGCATGCTGCCAGGATAGTAGCAGGTGAGTGGCAGGCTCTGGGGTCTGCAGACCTGATTAGAAGGAGGACAGGGCAGGCCTGCTGGCTGTGCCATGACAAGGCAAATTTATAACTCTCTGACCACAAAGGAGAGTTCCACGGGGCTGAAGCCTGCGAGGGCTGAGGAGTTCATGAGATTCCCATTCAGCCAGCCCCATGGAGGGGAAGGAGGGGATGAGGGAGGCAGGGAGTGTCCTTGGCTTTTCCTCTTTTTCTTTGGGGCTGAGACTCAGCCTTCCTGGGAGGGGCTGGGAGCTGGCATTTACATTCACGGGTCTGGTCTGTTTAAAAGGACAGACTTACTGTATTGACCTCAAAATTATACCCTTGAACTTGCAGGTTCTCCACAGTTTCTTTCTTAGGGTGGGAATGGAGTTGGGTTAGAGGCATCTTTGAGATGCTGTATTAGTTTGCTCAGGCTGCTCTAACAAAATACCACAGACCAGGTGGCTTAAACAATAGAAATTTATTTTCTCATAGCTCTGGAGGCTGGAAGTCCAATATCAAGATGTTGGCAGGGGTGGTTTCTCCTGAAGCCTCTCTCCTTGGCTTGCAGATGGCCGCCTTCTTGCTGGGTTCTCACATGGTCTTTCCTCTGTGCACACACCCCTGGTGTCTCTATCTGAATATCTTAATATCCCCTTCTTCTTTTTTTTTTTTTTTTTTTTTTTTTTTTTTTTTTTTTTTGTGATGGAGTCTTACTCTGCCACCCAGGCTGGAGTGCAGAGTGTTGCAGTGGCACAATCTCAGCTCACTGCAACCTCCGCCTCCCAGGTTCAAGCGATTCTCCTGCCTCAGCCTCCCGAGTAGCTGGGATTACAGACTTGCGCCACCACCTCCCTCTAATTTTTGTATTTTTAGTAGAGACGAGGTTTCACCATCTTGGCCAGGCTGGTCTCAAACTCCTGAGCTCAAGTGATCTGCCCACCTCGGCCTCCCAAAGTGCTGGGATTACAGGCATGAGCACCATGTCCACCCATGCCTCCTCTTTTTTTAAGAGACAGTCTCACTCTGTTACCCAGGCTGGAGTGCAGTGGTGCAATCATAGCTCACTGCATCCTTGAACTCCTGGGCTCAAACAATCCTCCTGCCTCAGCCCCCTGAGTAGCTGAAACTACATGTGAATGCCACCACACCCAGCTAATTTCTTCATTGTTTGTAGAGATGTAGAGATATAGAGACAAGGATCTTGCTATGTTGCCCAGGCTGGTCTTGAACACCTGACTTCCAGCCCTCCTCCTGCCTCAACCTCCCAAATTGCTGGGATTACCAGAGTGAGCCACCTCGCCCAGCCTCCAGACCTTTTTGAATTCCAGAATTGAAGAGCAATTTTAGATCTATAATATGGTTTTTGGAGGATTGCTGAGGGACTCAGTAAGAAACAATAGTAGGGAGAGGAGAGCTTGAACTAACACTTACTGGAAGAAGACAAAGAAATCCTAGGCTGGGCGCAGTGGCTCACACCTGTAAACCCTGCACTTTGGGAGACTGAGGCAGGCAGATCACTTGAGGTCAAGAGTTCGAGACCAGCCTGGCCAACATGGTGAAACTCCATCTCTCCTAAAAATACAAAAATTATCCAGGTACAGCAGTGCATACCTGTAGTCCTAGCTACTTGGGAGGCTGAGGCAGGAGAATTGCTTGAACCCAAGAGGTGGAGGTTGCAGTGAGCCAAGATCATGCCGCTGCAATCCAGACTGGGTGACAGAGTGGTATTTTGGTATTTTGGTATTTTAGATACCAAAAAGTAAAAATTAAAATTAAATTTAAAATAAAAACATAAAAATCTGCCCAGAGGCCAGGTGTGGTGGGTATGCCGGTAATCCCAGCACTTTGGGAGGCCAAGGCAGGAAGATCACTTGAGCCCAGGCATTAGAGACCAGCCTAGGCAACATGGCGAAACCTCATCTCTACAAAAAATACAAAAATTAGCCAGGCATGGTGGCAGGCACCTGTAGTCCCAGCTACTCAGGAGGCTGAAGTGGGAGGGTGGTTTGAGCCCAGGAAGCAGAGGTTGCAGTGAGCCGAGATCTTGCCACTGCACTCCAACCTGGGCAAGAGAGCCAGACTCCATCTCACAAATACATGAATACATAATAAAATAAATAAAATATATTTTTTAAATGCCTAGAACATTCTGTTCTTCTTAGTGAGGACCGCCCTCTATTGAAACTATTTTTCCAGAGCCTAATTGGCCTGCGGAAAAGAAAATATCCAACCTCACCCACCTCCTTCCACAACTGGATAAGAGAAATACCTATTCCAGCTCCCCCAGCCTTCCTATGTAGCCTAAAGGGCAGTGGGGATGGAACTGAGAGAAATGTGTAAAAGGCACAACCCTGGGGCATAGGCTCACTGCAGACTGAGACCTGGTCTGGCTTGGTGGCTTGTGAATTATAGGTACTATTTTGACAGCAGATCTCTAGAATTTATTCACCTTATATAACAGAAACTTTGCACCCATTGAAGAACAATTCTCCATTTCCCCTCCTCCCAGCCCCTGGCAACCACCAGCCTATTCTCTGCTTCTGTGAGTTTGACTCTTTTTTTTTTTATGAGACAGAGTCTCACTCTATCTCCCAGGCTGGAGTGCAGTGGCACAATCTCGGCTCACTGCAACCACCACCTCCCAGGTTCAAGCAGTTCTCCTGCCTCAGCCTCCCAAGTAGCTGGAAATATAGGTGTGCCCCACCACGACTGGCTAATTTTTGTATTTTTAGTAGAGACAGGGTTTCACCATGTTGGCCAGGCTGGTCTCGAACTCCAGGCCTCATGTAATCCGCCCACCTTGGCCTTTCACTTAGCATAACATCCCCAAGTTCAATCATGGTGTTGCAAATGACAGGATCTCCTTATTTTTAAGGCTGAATTAAATACTCCATTGTATGTATATATCACATTTTCTTTATCCATTCATGTGCTGATGGACATTTTTTCTTGCTCCTTTAAAATAAATTCACTATCTATTAGCCTGGGCAACGTGGCAAGACCCCATGTCCACAAACAATAAAAAAGATTAGCTGGGTGTGGTGGTCTGTGCCCCATAGTCCCAGCTACTCGGGAGGCTGAGGCAGGAGGAGCACTTGAGCCTGGAAGGTGGAGGCTACAGTGAGCCATGATCACACCACTGCACTCCAGCCTGCGTGGCAGTGGTGTCTTCAAGAAAGAAATAATAAAATAAAATAATTTCATCATTTATCCCATCTAAATATGTATTCTTGAATACTATTGTTTTGCCTGGTTTTTTTTTTTTTTTTTTTTTTTTTTGAGACGGAGTCTTGCTCTGTCGCCCAGGCGGGAGTGCAGTGGTGCGATCTCGGCTTACTGCAAGCTCCGTCTCCTGGGTTCACGCCATTCTCCTGCCTCAGCCTCCTGAGTAGCTGGGACTACAGGTGCCCGCCACCACGTCCAGCTAATTTTTTGTATTTTTAGTAGAGACAGGGTTTCACCATGTTAGCCAGGATGGTCTCAATCTCCTGACCTCTTGATCCACCCACCTCGGCCTCCCAAAGTGCTGGGATTACAGGTGTGAGCCACTGCGCCCGGCCTAATTTTTGTATTTTTAATAGAGACAGGGTTTCACCATGTTGGCCAGGCTGGTCTTGAACTCCTGACCTCATGTGATCTGCCCCTGCTTAGCCTCCCAAAGTGCTGGGATTACAGGCATGAGCCACCACGCCTGGCCAGATCTTATTTGGAAATGGTATTCTGCATTGTAATTTTTGTTCTGTTTTATTTTTACATTTTCTTTTTATGACATATCTAGGATTTGCTTTAAAACATCCCAGCCAAGAAAAAGAGGGGAAGGGGAGGACAGTTTGGAGCACATTGGCAAAATCCTGATTGCTATTTAAGCTGGGCAGTGGGTCCATGGGGGTTCACTGTACTCTTCTGTCTACTTTTGTAAATGTTTAAAAATGTTTGTTGTAAAAAGTTCCTTGGTTTTCCTTATGTTTCTCCAGAGAGGAAAAAAGATGTTCAGTTTTATATCTTAAAATGTACAAGCTACCTTGTTAGAATAAAACTAAATGTGTATGCTGCTGGGCACCAGGGCTCATGCCTGTAATACCAGCACTTTGGGAGGCCAAGACAGGTGGATCACCTGAGGTCAGGAGTTCGAGACCAACCTGGCCAGCATGGTGAAACCCCCGTCTGTACTAAAAATACAAAAATTAGTCGGGAGTGGTGGTGCACTCCTGTAATCCCAGCTGCTCAGGAGGCTGAGGCAGGAAGATCACTTTAACCCGGGAGGAGAAGGTTGCAGTGAGCTGAAATCCCACCACTGCACTCCAGCCTGGGCGACACAGCAAGACTCTCTGTCAAAAAAAAAAAAAAAAAAAAAAAGCCAGGACTAGTTCATCAAGAAGCAAAATAATATGACAAACCCTACTTAAATGATTTCATCTGGTTTCAACCACTGCCAGCTGGTTTGATCCAGTTTCAGCTGGTTTCAAATGACTTCATCCAGTTTCAGCCAGGTTAATTCAGCTTCAGCTGGTTGTGAACAGTTTGTGGCTCCTTTCAACCAGTTTCAGGTGGTTTCAGCCAAAGTCATCCAATGTTGGCTGGCTCCAACTGGTTTAACTCCTGTTTCAACTGGATTCAGCTGATTTCCACTCTCCTTAAGGCTGTGCTGTCCAATTCAGTAGCTCCTAGCTACATGCAGCTCTTTACATTTAAATTGATTAAAATTAAAGGAAGGCCAAGTTCGCTGGCTCACCCTGTAATCCCAGCACTTTGGGAGGCCGAGGTGGGAGGATCACTTGAGGTCAGGAGTTCGAGACCAGCCTGGCCAACATGGTGAAACCTTGTCTCTACTAAAAATACAAAAAACATTAGCCAGGCATGGTGGTGGGTGCCCATAGTCCCAACTATTCAGGAGGCTGAGTCAGGAGAATCATTTGAACCTGGGAGGTGGAGGTTGCAGTGAGCCGAGATCACGCCACTGCACTGCAGCCTGGGCAACAGAGCAAGACTCTGTCTCAAACAAATAGATAAAATGAAATCAAAATTTCTTTTCTAGTGTTACAGGCAGAATGTTTGTGGACTCTCCAAAATTCATATGTCAAACTCCTAACTCCCAATGTGTTGGTATTTGGAGGCGAGAAGTTTGGGAGGTGATCACGTTGAGAGGAGGTTATAAGGGTGGAATTCACTTGATGGGATTAGCAGCCTTTTGAGAAGAGTCATCAGAGAGCTTGCTTCCTCTCTCCCTGTCTTGGTCCATTCTGGCACTGCTATAAAGAAAAACCTGAGACTGGGTAATTTATAAAGAAAAGAGGGGTGTTTTGTTTTGTTTTGTTTTTGGAGATGGAGTTTCGCTGTCATCACCCAGGCAAGAGTGCAATGGCACGATCTTGGCTCACTGCCACCTCCATCTCCTGGGTTCAAGCCATTCTCCTGCCTCAGCCTCCTGAGTAGCTGGATTACAGGCGTCTGCCACCACGCCCAGCAAATTTTTGTATTTTTAGTAGAGACGGGGTTTCACCATGTTGCCCAGGCTGGTCTCGAACTCATGACCTCAGGTTATCCACCCACCTTGGCCTCCCAAAGTGCTGGGATTACAGGTGCAAGCCACCACACCCAGCCAAGAAAAGAGTTTTAATTGGCTTACATTCCATGGGCTGTACAGGACGCATGATTCTGACATCTGCTCAGCTTCTGGGGAGGTCTTAGGAAACTTACAATCATGGCAGAAGGTGAAGGGGAAGCACGCACATTTCACATGGTCAGAGCAAGAAGATGAGAGAGAGGTGGGGAGGTGCTACTCACTTTTAAACAAGCAGAGCTCATGATAACCTTCTACCATGAAAACAGTACGGAGGGGATGGTGCCAGCCCATTCATGAGAAATCCGCCCCGTGATTTAATCACCTCCTACCAGGCCCCACCTCCAACACTGGGGATTACAATTTGACATGAAACCTCTTTTTTTTTCTTTTTTTGTTTTTTTTTTTTTTTGAGACACAGTTTCACTCTGTCGCCCAGGCTGGAGTGCAGTGGTGCCATCTGGGCTCACTGCAACTTCTGCCTCCCAGGTTCAAACGATTCTCCTGCTTCAGCCTCCCGAGTAACTGGGATTACAGGTGCCCACCACCACACCCAGCTAATTTTGTATTTTTAGTGGAGACAGGGTTTCACCATGTGGTCCAGGCTAATCTCGAACTCCTGGCCTCAGGTGATCCGCCCGCCTTGGCCTCTCAAAGTGCTGGGATTACAGGTGTGAGCCACTGTGCCCGGTCTCGGCATGAGATTTAAGCAGGGGACACAGAGCCAAACTATATCACTCCCCATCATGTGAGGATACAGGGAGAAGACAGCCATCCACAAACCAGGAAGTGGGCCCTCACCAGACACCAATCTGCTGGTTCCTCAATCTTGGAATTGTGAGAGAGAAATGTATGTTGTTTAAGCCACCCAGCCTATGGTTTTCTGTAACAGAAGCCCAAGTAGACTAAGATACTCAGTCACGCTGCTCACAATTCCAGTGCCTACAAGGGCCAGGACCACATGTGTTCAAGTGGCCAGCATATTGGATGGTGCATTCATAGAACATTTCCATCACCACAGATGGTCCTTCTGGGCAGCTCTGCTCTCGGGAGGAGTTCAGATGTAGAGATCATGGCAGCAAAAGTCTCTCAGAGTCAGGTGAGAGGCAAAAAGATAAGTCTGTTATTGGCTGGGTGCGGTGGTTCACACCTATAATCCCAGCACTCTGGGAGGCCGAGGCGGGCAGATCACAAGGTCAGGAGATCGAGACCATCCTGGCTAACATGGTGAAACCCTGTCTCTACTAAAAATACAAAAAATTAGCTGGACGTGGTGGCAGGCACCTGTAGTCCCAGCTATTCAGGAGGCTGAGGCAGGAGAATGGCGTGAACCCAGGAGGCGGAGCTTGCAGTGAGCCAAGATCGTGTCTCTGCACTCCAGCCTGGGCAACAGAGGGAGATTCTGTCTCAAAAAAAAAAAAAAAAAAAAAAAAGGAAGTCTGTTATTAACACCAGGAATGATCATTGTCACTTTTTTTTGAGACAGAGTTTCACTGTTGTTGCCCAGGCTGGAGTGCAGTGGCCCACTGCAACCTCCACCTCCTGGGTTCAAGTTGTTCTCCTGCCTCAGCTTCCTGTGTAGCTACAGGTGCCCACAACCACACCCAGCTAATTTTTGTATTTTTAGTAGAGATGGGGTTTCACCATGTTGGCCAGGCTGGTCTCGAACTCCTGACCTCAGGTGATCCACCCGCCTCAGCCTCCCAAAGTGCTGGGATTACAGGCGTGAGTCACGGTGTCCAGCCCATTGTCACTTTTTACTGAGCACCTGCTATCTACCAGGGAGTGTCAAATGTGTAAAAATGCTATCAGTATGCCTTCCAACAACTCTATAGGGTGGGCATTATCACCCATATTAACAGAGAAGGAAAATGAGGGTTTTTTCCTTTTTTGTTTGGTTGGTTGGTTTTGGTTTTGGTTACTGAGACAGGGTCATACTCTGTCTCCCAGGCTGGAGTACAGTGGCAAGCCTCATAGCTCACTGCAGCCTCAACCTCCCAGGCTCAAGTAATCCCCCCAAGGAGCTGGGACTACAGGCATGCACCACCATGCCTGGCTTTTTTTTTTTTTTTTTTTTAGAGGTGGAGTCTCACTATGTTGCCCAGGCTGGTCTCAAACTCCTGTTCTCAAGCGATCCTCCTGCCTCAGCCTCCCAAAGTGCTGAGGTTACAGGCGTGAGCCACTGCACCTGGCTAGGAAACTGAGTTTTTTCAGTGGTAGAGGCTCCTAGCCAGTGGCCAAGGGAAAGAGAGAGTTCTGGGTTCAGGGGCTGGCAGGAAGTTAGCAAGACACCAGGGACTCAGCTACACTGGCTGGATCTCAGAGAAGAGCAACTGCCACAGTGGGGACCTGGAGCACAAGGGGAAACTGGGGCAGCAGCTGCACCACAGGGTTGGCGGTACCTGATAAGGGAAGAGGATGACTTCCATAAGTAGGCCCACAGGTGCCCAGGGCTCCCCATACCCACTGGGTGCCAGGTCTAAAACCATGAGACCAGTACCAGCACCAACCACTCAAGGAGCTGAGACGGCTGACCCACTCTCTGCCCTGGCTAGGACTGGCCCCAGCACCCCCAGTGGGGAGGCCTCAATGATCCCAGCTGCCAGGGGCCCAGGAACACTAGCAACAGAAGAATGGCCAAAGTGACAGGGAACCCTTGAGACCCTAGAGCAGCAATGCCTGGGCCGGGCCTGATCCTTCCCACCAGCCCCCAGCCATTCCTGGCCTTCTGCCATGCTTCCTGGTTGGTCTGCAAAGTGCCTGGGGCAAATACCTTCTGGGAGAAGAGTAGAGAGGGTATCCAGGCTCCATGGGCCTCAGGATTCCTGAAGTAGGAGGCTCTGATGGGGCCACCCTGCTCTGGACAGAAATTCCCTAGCCTCAGGGACATGTTGAATCTTGTCACCCAGAGGAACCAAGTGGCTGGGTGGTAGCCCAGTGCAGTGGCTCATGCCTGTAACCTCAACACTTTGGGAGGCCAAGACAGGCAGATCACGAGGTCAAGAGATTGAGACCATCCTGGCTAATATGGTGAAACCCCGTCTCTACTAAAAATACAAAAATTAGCTGGGTGCGGTGGTGGCAGGCACCTGTAATCCCAGCTACTCGGGAGGCTGAGGCAGGAGAATCGCTTGAACCTGGGAGGCACAGGTTGCAGTGAGCTGAGATAGCGCCACTGCACTCCAGCCCGGGCAACAGAGTGAGACTCCATCTGAAAAAAAAGAAAAAGAAAAAAAAAAGAAAGAGGCTGGACAGCAAAATAAAATGGTTCCCCAGTTCAGCCTTTGGAGGTACCAACCGTCTGTTAGCAGAGCTCTAAGACCAAATGGGCTCCCACTCCAGGAACGTCCCCCTTCCCACAGGGGCTGGGGAGATGGAGTCCGGGGCTGTGCTGCCCTCTGGAGCAGCAGGTGGAGGCCAAGGCAGCCTCACTGTTCTCCGGGGCCCTGGGAAGCCATGCAGAGAGGCAGAGGTCCTTTATGTGCCAGATGAGGCTGCTGTCAAGGGACTGCAAATCTGCTTGAGGTGTGACATATCTGTTTTTAGAACAAGAACATCACATCAGGAGGAGCCGGTGGCCAGAGCTTGGGGGAAGGGGGGATCCAGGTCCAATTCCCATGTATCTAGGGCACATGTGCACAGCACTGAGGGCCACTCCAGCCCCTCCCCAGCTCTCAGAGGACCCTGCTCCCACCTGCCTTTTGCTCTGCTATCGGGCAGATGGCATTGTCTCTGCTTTGCAACTGATGAAATAGGAACTCTGGCTTCTGGGCTAGGCTGAGAGGGTGCTTGCTGCTGCCATTCCGGGCCCAGGTGAGACATTCGGTCATGAGCATCTGTAGCTCTTGCCTGAGCCTCTGAGCCTGCCAGGGCAGAGCAGAAGCAAATGCATGAAGGCCCCTCCCCCAGGGGCTGCTCTTAGCCAGTGACTGATGAAAATGGGTGTGTAAACAGCTTAGCCACATGACCCCACACAGGTGGGACAACCATGGGTTTCCACATTCTGTACTGCCTCCCAGAGGTCCCCACCAGGTTTAAGCTCAATTGCCCACACTGGTAACTGGTAACTTCCTTGATAGCACTCATTTCTTTTTTCATTCTTTTGGTGTTTTTTTAGATGGAGTTTTGCTCTTGTCACCCAAGCTGGAGTGCAGTGGTGCGATCTCAGCTCACTGCAACCTCCGCCTCCCAGATTCAAGCAATTCTCCTGCCTCACCCTCCTGGGATTACAGGCATGTGCCACCACACCTGGCTAATTTTATGTTTTTAGTAGAGAGGGAGTTTCCCCATGTTGGCCAGGCTGGTTTTGAACTCCTGACCTCAAGTGGTCTGCCCACCTCAGCTTCCCAAAGTGCTGGGATTACAGGCATGAGCCACTGCGCCTGGCCATTTCCTCTCTCTCTCTCTCTCTCTCTCTCTCTCTCTCTCTCTCTGGCTGGAGTGCAATGGTGCGATCTGGGCTTACTACAACCTCTGCCTCAAGAGTCCCTCTGCTGGGACTACAGGTGCACACCACCACGTCCAGCTAATTTTTGTGGGTTTTTTTTTGTTTTTTTGTTTTTTGTAGAGATAGGGTTTCGCCGTGTTGCCCAGGCTGGTCTCAAGCAGTCCTCCTAGGTTCAAGCAATCTTCCGGCCTCAGCCTCCCAAAGTTCTGGGCTTACAGACCTGAGCCATTGTGCCTGACTAACACCCCTTTCTTGGCAGCCTTCCTGTCCATATCTGGCCTCTCTACTCCCCTACCTGGGTTTCTGGGATGACTTGCACTTAAGTCCTTGGAGGGAACTTTAAGCAGAAGGATAGAGGAGAAAACTCAGAAATGGTGTGGGACCAGCAGCTTCCCCATTGTCTGGTCTGGAGTGGAGGTGGTCCAGGGATCCGGGGAGCCTGGCTCAAGCAGGATAGAAGTGACATCCAGGCTGGCCATCAGGGGGTGCAGTTCAGCAGCAGAGTCTCCAGGCCTGCTCACACTTGGACTGGTGCAGGATTCTCTTCTGGATAGCCTGTTTAGATTGCAGTAGGACCTGAAGACTTGAAATTGGTGTTCAGCCCTGGGAGAGGGGTCTGGCCAGGCTTGCACAGCTGGGTCCAGGCTCAGGACTGAGGTAGAAGCATAGTGTTCATCACAGCTGGAGCAAAAGTCCAGAAGAATGGACTTAACACTCCCAGTGGGTCAGAGGAGAGGCTAGCACGGGGTACAGACAAGATTCTGCAGACAGAGGCCAGAAGATTTTGTAGGCTACAAGATTCCGTAGACAGAGGCTCATGCCTATAATCCCAGCACTTTAGGAGGCCAAGGCAGGTGGATCACTTGAGGCCAGGAGTTCAAGACCAGCCTGGCCAACATGGTGAAACCCTGTCTCTACTAAAAATACAAAAATTAACCAGATGTGGTGGCGCATGCCTGTAATCCCAGCTACTCAGGAGGCTGAATCAGGAGGATCGCTTGAACCCAGGAGGCGGAGGTTGCAGTGAGCCGAGATCACAACACTGCACTGCAGCCTGGGTAACAGAGCAAGACTCTGTCTAAATAAATAAATAAATAAATAAATAAAATCATGCAGACCTCATCCCCAGGAGGCAGTCTGAAATGGCTCAGGAAAAAAAAAAAAAGCAGGTGAAATTTGTGCAGGGGGATCTCACCTGAACAAGGATCAGAAAGACAAGGGGTTGTCCCCAAACCTACCCACCCTCCTAGTGGCAGCTGGACCCTGGACCCCCTCACCACCACCAGCCTACCCCATGCTATCCATCACCGGCCAGCTCATGTCCTAAACATCTCTGCATCCCTCCTCTCTCTCCATCCACGCTGCTGCCTCACTGGTCCTGGCCACCACGGCTCTCTCAGCTAGGCTGCAGTCACTTCCAGGCTGGATTCCCCACCCCTGCCCTTGACCTTCTCCTGTCCTCTACTCCACAAGGCAGCCAGAAGAATCTGCCAATGTATCCAGTCTTCTCTTGGGCTAGAGCCTTCTGGTGGCTTCCAATCTGCACCCATCCAAGCCCTTTGTGTCAGGCACCATCTCATCTTCATAAATCCTGTTTCTATTGCCTGGAGGACTCCCCCAGCCCTAACTTCCCCTGTTCCTAAATGACATTTCACCACCCTTCAGATCTCAATGTCACTTTTGACAGAAACCTTAGCCAGGCATGATAGCACACACCTGTGGTCCCAGCTACTCTGAAGACTGAGGAGAAATGATCTCTTGAAGTCAGGAGCTGGGGGTTGCAGTGAGCTAGGATTGCACCACTGCACTCCAACCTGGACAACAGAGCAAGACCCTGTCTCTAGGCCAGGTGCAGTGGCTCACACCTGTAATCCCAGCACTTTGGGAGGCTAAGGCAGACAGATCACCTGAGGTCAGAAGTTCGAGACCAGCCTGGCCAACATTGTGAAACTCCATCTTTACTAAAAATACAAAAATTAGCCGGGTGTGGTGGCATGCACCTGTAATCCCAGCTACTTGGGAGGCTGAGGCGGGAGAATTGCTTGAACCTGGGAGGCAGAGGTTGCAGTGAGCCAAGATTGCACCACTGCACTCCAGCATAGACAATGAAGCAAGAAAAAAAAGAAAAGACCTTGTCTCTAAAAAGAGAGAGAGAGAAACCCTGCATGGACCTCCATTCATATGGCCGTTCTGTTACTAGAAGGGTCCAGACCAACACAAGAGCACTAGGAGCCAAAGATGAAATTCACAAAAGAGCAATTATGAGAAATGGGAGAAAGATGGAGGGACTGCAACATAGGGCTAATGGAAGTTTTAGAAAAACAGCAGAAAATCACAGAGAAGCAATATATGATGGACAATCAATGAGAATTTTCAAAAACTAGGCTGGGCGTTTTGGCTCATGCCTATAAACCCAGCACTTTGGGAGGCTGAAGCAAGTGGATCAACTGAGGTCAGGAGTTCCAGACCAGCCTGGCCAATATGGTGAAACCTCGTCTCTACTAAAAATACAAAAATTAGCCTGGCGTGGTGGCGTGCACCTGTAGTCCCACCTACTCAGGAGGCTAAGGCAGGAGAATCACTTGAACCCGGGAGGCAGAGGTTGCAGTGAGCCAATATTGTGCCACTGCACTCCAGACTGGATGACAGAGCAAGACTCCATCTCAAAAAAAAAAAAAAAAAAGGAAAAGAAAGAAAAAAGAACTAAAGAGTCATACAAGTCCTCAAATCAAAAACATACTCCAAGAACAAACAGCATAAATTAATATGTCTATATAGGGTTCTATCATTATTAAACCACTTAAAATCAAGGATAAAGAGGAATTTTTTTCTTTTTTTTTTCTTTTTTTGAGATAGGGTCTCACTCTGTCACCCAGGCTGGAGTGCAGTGGTGCAATCATAGCTCACTGTAGCCTCAAACTCCTGGGCTCAAGCAATTCTCCCACCTCAGACTCCCAAGTAACTGGGACTACAAGCCTGCAAGCAGGCACCACCATGCCTAGCTAATATTTGTATTTTTTTAGAGATGGGATCTTGCTATGTTGCCCAGGATGGAAATCTTTTTTGTTGTTGTTGGTTTTTTTTTTTTTTTTTTTTTTGGAGATGGAGTTTCACTCTTGTTGCCCAGGCTGGAGTGCAATGGCGCCATCTCAGCTCACTACAACCTCCACCTCCCGGGTTCAAGTAGTTCTCCTGCCTCAGCCTCCCGAGTAGTTGGGATTACAGGCATGCACCACCACGCCTGGCTTTTTTTTTTTTTTTTTTTTTTTTTTTGTATTTTTTTAGTAGAGACAGGGTTTCTCCATGTTGGTCAGGCTGGTCTCAAACTCCCAAAGTGAAGTGATCAGCCTGCCTCGGCCTCCCGGAGTGCTGGGACTACAGGCCTGAGCTACTGCGCCCAACCTCAGGATGGAAATCTTAAAAGTTACTAGGCCAGGTGCGGTGGCTCATGCCTATAATCCCAGCACTTTGGGAGGCCGATATGGGCAGATCAGCAGAGGTCAGGAGTTTGAGATTATCCTGACCAACATTGTGAAACCCTGCCTCTACTAAAAATAAAAAAAAAAAAAAAAATTAGCCAGGCATGGTGGTGTGCGCTTGTAATCCCAGCTGCTTGGGAGGCTGAGGCAGGATAATCACTTGAACCTTGGAGGCCAAGGTTGCAGTGAGCCAAGATCACGCCACTGCTCACCAGCCTGGGCAACAATCTGTGAAGAAAGAAAAAAGAGAAGAGAAGGGAAGGGAGGGGAGGGGAAGGGGGAGAGGACGGGGAAGGGGAAGGGAAGGGAAGGGAAGACAATTAAAAAAAAAAAAACAGGCAAAGAATATGAACAGGCAATTCACAGAAGGAAAACCCAAATGACCCACAAACATGAATAGATGTTCAACCACAATGACAATCAGAGAAATTGTAAAAATAAAGCAGCAACAATATATCATTTTACATTTATCAGCTAAGCAAAAGCTAAAGTCTGATAATCCCAATTATTGATGGGTGTGTAGAAAAAGGAGATTCTGACACATGCTGGTAGAGTGTCAGTTGGTATAAGCCCTTGGAGAGCAAAACAGAGATATTCACCACCCTCTTGTCCCAACCATTCCACATACTATTCTACGTAAATATCTTGCAGAGAGATTCCAGCACTAGTGCTATAGAATACATTTACAGGAATGTTTATTGCAACATTGTTTAAAACAAGAGAAAAAACAGAAACAAAGTAAACGTTCACCAACAGGAGACTGGATAAACAAAGTATAATGTATAATGGAATATGTTGTAGCAGTTAAAATAAATAAAGAAAAGCTACATGTATCATTATAGTCTACGTAGTATCAACTTGGATAAACCTCAAAAGTCATTAGTAGTGAGCAAAAAAAGCAGGTTGCAGAAGGATACATACAATATGATACCAGTTATATACAATGTTTATGGTTCAACTTTTCCAGTCTGGTTTATTGAGCTACAATTTGCATACAGTGAAATTGACTAGTCTTTGTGTACAGTTTTGTGAGTCTGGCAGAATGCATACCTTTAGGTAGACATCATCACAATCAAGATATAAAAGGGTTCCATCATTCCCCAAAATTGCACACTGCCCTATTGTAGTCAAGTCTTACCCCCACCTCACATCTCCTGTAATCATGGAGCACATGGCATTTTGAGTCTGTCTTCTTCCACTTAGCATAATGCCTTTGAGATTCATTCATGTTGTTGAGTATCTCAACAGCTTTTTTTTTAACTGCTGAATAGTAGTCTACTGTATGGATGTACCAATTTATCCATTCTGTAGTTGAAGTGCATTTGACTTGTTTGTACTTTGGGGCAATTATAAATAAACTGACCATAAATATTTGTGAACCGACTTTTGTTTGAATACAAATTTTCATTTCTCCTGGTTAAACACCTAAAAATGGGATTGCTGGGTCATGTGGTAAGTGTATGTTACATTTATTTATTTATTTATTTATTTATTTATTTATTTATTGAGACCAAGTCTCACTCTGTCGCCCAGGCTGGAGTGCAGTGGCACCTTCTCAGCTCACTATAGCTTCTGCCTCCCAGGTTCAAGTGATTCTTCTGCCTCAGCCTCCCAAGTAGGTGGGATTACAGACACCAGCCACCATGCCGGGCTAATTTTTGTATTTTTAGTAGAGATGGGGTTTCACCATGTTGGCCAGGCTGGTCTCAAACTCCTGACCTCAGGTGATCCACCTGCCTAAGCCACCCAAAGTGCTGGGATTACAGGCGTGGGCCACCATGCCCAGCTGTATGTTCACTTTAAATTTTTTTCTTCTTCTTTTTAATTTAAAATTATTTTTATTTATTTATTTTTTGCTGAGGCTAGAGTGCAGTGGCACAATCACAGTTTGCTGCAGCCTCAACCTCACAGGCTCAAGTGATCCTCCTACTTCAGCCTCCTGAGTAGCTGGGACCACAGGAACACACCACCATACCCAGCTATATATATTTTGTAGAGACAAGGTCTTACTGTGTTGCCCGGGCTGGTCTTGAACTTCTGGACTCACGCGATCCTCCTGCTTTGGCCTCCCAAAGTGCTGGGATTACAGCCATAAGCCACTGTGTTGGACTTTTTGGCCATTTTAAATTTAGTTATTTTCTTACTACTGACTTTTGAGGATTCTTTACATTCTCAATAAAAGTCCTTTATCATTTATGTGCCTTGCAAACATTTTTTCCTGGTTTGTGGTTTGTTTTTCCATTTTCATAAGAGTGTCTTTTGAAAATCAGATGTTTTTAATTTTTATGAAATCTAGTTTAGCATATGTTTTTATTTATGCTTCATGGATATAGAAGCTATATCTAAGAAACTTTTTTCCTAATCTAAGCTCACAAAGATTTTCTGCTATGTTTCCTTCGGGAAGTATTTTAATTTTGAGGTTGGATTTAGGTCTATGATCCATTTTGAAATAACTTTTGTTAAGTTGTAAGGTAGAGGTGGTCAAGGTTCTCTCTTTTTTAAAAAAAACATATGCACGACTAGTTATTCCAATATCATTTGTTGTTTGTTTGTTTGTTGTTGAGACAGAGTCTTCCTCCGTCAACCAGGCTGAATAGAGTGCAGTGGTACAATCACAGGTCACTGCAGCCTCAAACTCAAGCAATCCTCCCACCTCAGGCTCCCAAGTAGCTGGGACTACAGGCACATAGCACCACACACAGCTGCTGCTTCTTTTTTTTTAGTGACAGGGTCTTGCTATGTTGTCCAGGCTGGTCATGAACTCCTGGCCTCAAGCCATCCTCCTGCCTCAGCCTCCCAAAGTGTTGGGATTACAGGCGTGAGCAGCCATGCCCAGCTGCAACACCATTTGTTGACATGACTACCATTTATCCATTTGATTGTCTTTGCCATTTTGTAAAAACCAGCTGACCCTGAGGTGGGCAGATCGCTTGAGCCCAAGAGTTCAAGACCAGCCTGGGCAACATGTTGAAACCCTATCTCTATTATTAAAAAAAAAAAAAAAAAAAAATCAACTAACCATGTATGTGTTGGTTTATGGAGTTTCAAAACATGGTTAACAGGATAGAGCTTTTCGTGTTAGGGAGAAAGAAAGGGGAATTTAGATAGATAAAATTCTTTAATTTTTTCAAGATTTTGTTTGTTTTATTTATTTAGTTAGTTTAGTTTAGTTTTTGAGATGGAGTCTCACTCTGCTGCTCAGGGTGGAATGCAGTGGCACAATCTTGGCTCATTGCAACCTCCATCTCCTGAGTTCAGGCAGTTCTGCCTCAGCCTCCTGAGTAGCTGGGATTACAGGCATGTGCCACCACACCTGGATAATTTTTGTATTTTTAGTAGAAACAAGGTTTCACTACATTGGCCAGTCTGGTCTCAAACTCCTGACCTCAAGTGATCTGCCTGCCTCAGCCTTCCAAAGTGCTGGGATTACAGGCATAAGCCACTGCACCCAGCCTGTTTTGTTTCAATTGCAAATAAGAATTGCACATATTTATGGGGTACCTAGGGATGTTTTGATACATATGCACAGGTTGTATGTGCAACCTCACAGATGACGTTCCCCATGAAACGCTCTGAGATGGATTGAGCAAGCAGGATATTTATTAAGCAGTGCCCTTGAAGGCCAGGCACAGTGGTTTATGGCTGTAATCCCAGCACTTTGGGAAGCTGAGGATTGCTTGAGCCCAGGAATTGGAATTCAAGACCAGCCTGGGCAACATAGCAAGACCCCCACCTCCACAAAAAATAAAAAAGCTGGGCATGATGGTGCATACCTGTAGTCCTAGCTACTCAGGAGGATGAGGCAGGAGGATCACTTGAACCCAGGAGTTAAGAGGCTGCAGTGAGCCATGATTGCACCACCGCACCTCCAACCTGGGTGACAGAGCGAGACACTGTCTCTTTAAAAAAAAAAAAAAAAAAAAAAAGGTGTTCTTGAGAGCAAGAGGCCAGAAGGAAGCAGGAGCAAGCAATGGAGAAATGGTGAGAAGGTAAGCTTCCACTGAGCCCAGGAGAACAGGAGCTGAAACAGCCATTCACACTTGTCCAGGCTTGGCCAAGGTGGTTGGACCTCCACCCTTCCACAGCCATGGGATATTGGGAGAAGGAGTTCCCTGTAGTTGAGACAGTTCCTGTGGACAGCATTCACAGAGGGGCCACAAACCCTTCATGGAAGGTGGTGTGAACCATGTGCCTCTGCACTCTGCCACAGTAGGGCTGTACTTTGTGCTTTCTTTTTATTTTTCTTTTTCCTTTTTGAGACAGAATCTCACTCTTGTCACCCAGGCTGGAGTGCAATGGTGCGATCTCGGCTCACTGCAACCTCCACCTCCCAGGTTCAAGTGATTCTCCTGCCTCAGCCTCCCCAGTAGCTGGGACTACAGGTGTGCACCACCACATCTGGCTAATTTTTGTATTTTTAGTAGAGACGAGGTTTCATCATGTTGGTCAGGCTGGTCTCAAACTCCTGACCTCAAGTGATCCCCCCACCTCAGCCTCCCAAAGTGCTGGGATTACAGTCATGAGCCACCGCACCTAGCCTTACGCTTTGTGTTTTCATCTGCATCTGCCATGAATGAGGAAGAATGCCTTTTCATATTCTTGGAGGGAAGTTCTAGAGAGGGTGACCAAGTGGCTCCAGGCCTTCGTGAGACAAAAGGGAACCCCTCTGGAGCAGCCTCTAGAGTAGTGGAAGGCCAGGCAGACCTGGATCTAATTTTAGTCTTTTGTGACCTAACTCTGCACTCCGAAGGGAGTGACTCAACTCCTCTGAGCCTCAGTTTCCCTCTCATAAAATGACAGAGATTGTGATTGTAGTGGAGGATAAAAAAGGAAGGGAAGGAGATGTCCTCACTTTAATCTAAACTCTGATCCTGTCCACAGAATTTAAGGACATTTAGTCAAATTCAGAGGCCCAGCAAAGTTGTTCCCATGGGTCAGTTTGCAAGAGGGACCCAAGAGCTAGGAAGAGGCTGGGCACAGTGGCTCACACCTGCAATCCCAGCACTTTGAGAGGCCAGGGTGGGTGGATTGCTTAAGGTCAGGAATTCAAGATTAGCCTGGGCAACATAGCAAGACTCCATCTCTAAAGAAAATGAAAAAAACTAGCCAGGCATGGTGGTATGTGCCTGTAGTCCCAGCTACTCGGGAGGCTGAGGCAGCAGGATCCCTTGAATCTAGGATTTTGAGGCTGCAGTGAACTATGATCACACCACTGCACTCTAGCCTGGGTAACAGGGCAAGACCCTGTCTCAAAAAAAAAAAAAAAAAAAAAAATAGATCTGAGGACCATTGACAACATGCTGGGTTCAGTGTGGCCTCCTGAGCCTGGTTCCAGCCTTCTATCTCCTTAGGCCTGGGGTGCGGATGACGCCTTACCCACTCACTCTGTTTGGGAGTTGAACAGTAAATTAAAGTGCTTCGTTATCTCATTTGAGAGTGGCGTAAAACACTTTGGAAAGGCTGGAGCATTCACAGCAATCAAGCTCTGAAAGGTTCTCAGTTGCTGGAAGGAATATCCTCTGATAGATTGCTCTTTTCTCTGAAACGTGGCTTACATCTCATGAGCAATTCCAGCAGTGTCCACTGCAGATGTTTTTGGCATCTTCACAAAGGAGTTAAAGAGATCAGACTCGTTCCCAAGAGAGAAAAATCATCTTTGCAATGTCCAAAAAGATTCCCTGGGCACAGCTCCCTCTGCTGTGACCTGCCAAGAAATTTTGGGGCTGCTTAGGACATGGGGTCATTCTCTAGCTCCAGTATACTCACCAGTGGTCAGTCACCACCTACGCATCGTGAGTCACTCCACAAACCTTAAATGAACATCATGTTGGGGAAGGCCATGCTTCGTCTCAGCCCTGCCCTCCCTGGGCTTACCATCCAAACTTGGCCCTGTGTAAATTCTACAGGATTCACCCCTGGTTTTCCTGTCCACTGACTCAAATGACCAACATCTCAACACCTTCCTGGGGGTCAGACATGCAGAGACTTGCATTTTCGTGATCATAAAATTGAGGTACAATGTATCCAAAATAAACCTTCAGAATCTCAGACTCCAGTCCTCTCCAGAATTAGTTTCCAGATTTTTAAACATTTAATTTTATTTTTAGAGAAGGGGTCTCACTATGTTGCCCAGGCTGTTCTTGAACTGCTGGGCTCAAGCAATCCTCCCATCTCAGCCTTCCAAAGTGCTGAGATTACAAGCATGAGCCACCATGCCTGGCCACTTAAAAATAATAATAATAATAATTTCTTGCTCTGTCACCCAGGCTGGAGTGCAGTGGTGCCATCATAGCTCACAGCAGCCTCAAACTTCCAGGCTCAGGTGATCCTCCCACTTCAGCCTCCCAAGCCACTGGGGGATGACAGGTGCTCACCACTGTGCCTGGCTACTTTTTTATTTTTTCATAGGGAGAAGGTCTTGCTAGGTTGCCCAGGCTGGTCTCAAACTCCTGGGCTGAAGTGAGCCTCCCACCTTGGCCTCCCAAAATGCTGGGGTTATAGGTATGAGCCACTGTGCCATCCCAGTTTCCAGAATATTAAAGAGCTTCTGTTGGGTTAGGCTTAGGAACAGGCAAAATAATAACAACAACAATTTTCCTCTGTTGGGCACTTCCCATTGGCCAGAACTGTACTCAGAACCAACACACATCACCCAGAATCCTTATAACAACCCCAATTTATAGATGGAAAAGTTGAAGCATGGAGGTATGAGTAGCAGGGGTGTGGAGGGCCTGCAACCTCTATCTTCCACCAGGTCAACCTTTTGGTTCTTAGAAACTGTGCAGGCAGGCACGTATGTTTATTGCGGCACTATTCACAATAGCAAAGACTTGGAACCAACCCAAATGTCCATCAATAATAGACTGGATTAAGAAATCCATTTATGGATTATGCAGCCATAAAAAAGGATGAGTTCATGTCCTTTGTAGGGACATGGATGAAGCTGGAAACCATCATTCTGAGCAAACTATCGCAAGGACAGAAAACCAAACACCGCATGTTCTCACTCATAGGTGGGAATTGAACGATGAAAACACTTGGACACAGGGTGGGGAACATCACACACCAGGGCCTGTTGTGCGGTGGAGGGAGTGGGGAGGGATAGCATTAGGAGATATACCTAATGTAAATGATGAGTTAATGGGTGTAGCACACCAGCATGGCACATGTATACATATGTAACAAATCTTCACATTGTGCACATGTACCCTACAACTTAAAGTATAATAAAAAAGAAAGAAAGAAAGAAAGAAAGAAAGAAACTGTGCAGGCAGGACAGGCATAATGGCTCATACCTGTAATCCCAGAATTTTGGGAGGCTGAGGCGGGCAGCTCACTTGAGGTCAGGAGTTCAAGACCAGCCTGGCTGACATGGCGAAACCCCGTCTCTACTAAAAATACAAGAATTACCCAGGCTTGGTGGCATGCACCTGTATTTCCAGCTAGTTGAGAGGCTGAGGCAGGAGAATTGCTTGAACCCAGGAGGCGGAGGTTGCAGGGAGCCAGGATCATGCCACTGCACTGCAGCCTGGGCAACAGAAACCGCACAGGCAAGTCCTCAGCCATGGATTAAGACCAAAAAGAAAGAAAAAAAAAATGCTGAAAGGGCACAAGCTGAGGAGTGGGGAGGAGAGGAGAAGAGGCAGATGGAAGTGAGCCCAGGTGCAGAGAGAGATAGGAGGGAATGACTGAGTGGCCTCTTGTCCTGCTGCAGCCTTTCCTATGGACAGCCTGGAGCTGTCATCCTCACCATGGTGCCTAGTGTTCCCTCACTGATCTGACTCATAGGTGTTCCTTTACCACCTCTGCCTGCTCAGTCCTGGGGCAGCCCTGGGGAGACCCAAGGAAAGCTGGGTCCACGTGCACCTTTCCTCCTAACCTCCTCTAGCCTCAGTCTCCCCATCTGTAGAAAGGGCACATGAATCCCTACCTCTCCAGAGGATCAGACGCAACAATGTACCCACGGGCACCACAGAGAAGCCCTGGACACACACCCGTTTCCTTCTTTTCCTCCTTCATAAGTCAGGAAAGAGTACAGAATACAAGCCATAAAGGGAGCCTGCCCTTAAGCCAGACTGCCAAAGAATTGCTTTGTCCATGCATTCATTCATTCATTCATTCATTCATTCATTCAACAGATACTTCCTGAGCATCTACTGTGTGCCAGGAAGAGCACTGAGGCTTTCCTTTCCTAAAGGCATTCTCTTTTCTTTCTTTCCTTTTTTTTTTTTTTTTTTTTTTGAGACAGAATCTCACTCTGTTGGCCAGACTGGAGTGCAGCGGTGCAATCTTGACTCACTGCAACCTCCGCTTCCTGGGTTCAAGAGATTCTTGTGCCCCACCACTCGAGTAGCTAGGATTACAGGCATGCATTGCCATGCTTGGCTAATTTTTGTAGCTGGGACTACAGGCACCTGCCACCATGCCGGGCTAATTTTTTGTATTTTTAGTAGAGACGGGTTTTCACCAAATTAGCAAGCATGGACTCAATCTCCTGACTTCGTGATCCCCCCACCTCGGCCTCCCAAAGTGCTGAGATTACAGGCATGAGCCACCACCGCACCCGGTCTTTTTTTTTTTTTTTTTTTTTTTTTTTTTGAGATAGAGTTTTGTTCTTGTTGCCCAGGCTGGAATGCAATGGCGTGATCTCGGCTCACTTCAACCTCCACCTCCCGGGTTCAAGCAATTCTGACTCAGCCTCCCAAGTAGCTGGGATTATAGGCATGCGCCACCACACCCAGCTAATTTTTGTATTTTTAGTAGAGATGGGGTTTTACCATGTTGACCAGGCTGGTCTTGAACTCCTGACCTCATGTGATCCACCTGTCTTGGCCTCCCAAAGTGCTAGGATTACAGGAGTGAGCCACTGTGCCTGGCCTATGTCTTTCTTTCTTTCTGTTTTTAATTTATATTTGTTTGTTTGAGCCCCTCCTTTGACATCTGTTTGTTTTTGTTGTATTGTTTTTTTTTTTTTAGAGATAGGGTCTCATTCTGTCACCCAGGGTGGAGTGCAGTGGTGTGATCACAGCTCACTGCAACCTCCAATTCCTGGCCTCAAGTGATCCTCCTGCCTTAGCCTCCTGAGTAGCTGGGATGCAGGTGTGTGCTGCCACACCCAACTAATTTTTTTTAAATTTTAATATTTTCTTTTAGAGATAGAGTCTGGCTGTTTCACTCACGCTCCAGTGCAGTGGCAGGAGCATAGCTCGCTGCAACCTCAAATTCCTATGCTTAAGCAATCCTCCTGCCTCAGCCTCTTGAGTTGTTGAGGCACCTGTCATCACAACCAGCTGATTTCTTTTTTTATTATTACATTTTGTAGAGATGGGGTCTTGCTTTGTTGCCCAGGCTGGTCCTGAACTACTGGTTTCAAGTGATCCTCCCACCTCGGCCTCCCAAAGTGCTGGGATTACAGGCTTGAGCCACCACACCCGGCCTTGTCTGTTTTTTATAACCAAGCCACGGGTAACAAAAAGTCAGAAGAAAGTGTTGCCACCTCTGATGGCAAATCCCAAAAGGGGAGCTCAGATTTGTTTTGAGTGATGGTGGCATGGAACTAGAGACCTAGAAGAAGATTCAAGATCACAGGCCACCCCTTCTAGTTTACAGATAAAGAAACTGAGTCCCAGCTGGGCGTGGTGGCTCACACCTGTAATCCCAGCACTTTGAGAGGCAGAGATGGGCAGATCACCTGAGGTCAGGAGTTTGAAACCAGACTGGCCAACATGGTGAAACCCCATCTCTACTTAAAATACAAAAATTAGCCGAGCATGGTGGCTGGCACCTGTAATCCCAGCTACTTGGGAGGCTGAGGCAGGAGAATCGCTTGAATCTGGGAGGCAGAGGTTGCAATGGGCCAAGATTGCGCCATTGCACTCCAGCCTGGACAACAGCGAGACTCTATCTCAAAAAAAAAAAAAAAAAAAAAAGAAAGAGAGAAAGAAGAAACTGAGTCCCAGAGAGGAGACTGGCAGACATGAGAGCCCTGTGCCATCCCCAACCCCACCAGCTGCCACTTCTCCCAGCCTCCATTTAGTTATTTATTTGTTTGTTTGTTTGTTTATTCAATAAACTTTTTTTTTTTAGATGGAGTCTTGCTCTGTCACCTAGGCTGGAGTGCAGTGCCTCGATGTCTGCTGACTGCAACCTCCACCTCCCAGGTTCAAGTAATTCTCCCGCCTCAGCCTCCTGAGTAGCTGGGATTACAGGCATGAGCCACCACACCCAGCTACTTTTTGTATTTTTAGTAGAGACGGAGTTTCGCCATGTTGGCCAGGCTGGTCTCGAACTCCTGACCTCACCTGATTCACCCGTCTCAGCCTCCCAAAGTGCTGGGATTACAGGCATGAGCCACTGCACCCGGCCTATTCAATAAACATGTATTCAGTCTGTACCTACTGTTCTAGGGACTGTGGACAGAGCACTGAGCAAGATAGGAAAAAACCAGCATGCACTCTGGGTGAGTGTCAGCAGAGCCGGTCTCAGGGGGCATGAGCCATGCAATTACACACTCGGTTTCATGCTGTACGGTGGCCATTTTGAAATCCTTAATAATTTTTCAACAAGAGCCCTCAAGTTTCATTTTGGAACGGGCCCTGCAAATTATGTAGCCGGTCCTGTGTGTCAGGCCAAACTAGCAGATAAGGAAATGAGGCACAGAGAGGGAAATAAGTCCACCAAGGTTCACACAGGATGCAAGCCACACAGCTGGGATTGAAACCCAGGTTAGACTGGGTGCAGTGGCTCATGCCTGTAATCCCAGTACTTTGGGAGGCCAAGGTGGATGGATCATCTAAAGTCAGGAGTTCAAGACCAGCCTGACCAACACGGTAAAACTCCATCTCTACTAAAAATACAAAAATTAGCTGGGTGTGGTGTCTCACGCCTGTAATCCCAGCATTTTGGGAGGCCGAGGCGGGTGGATCACGAGGTCAGGAGATTGAGACCATCCTGGCTAACACGGTGAAACCCCGTCTCTACTAAAAATACAAAAAATTAGCCGGGCGAGGTGGCAGGTGCCTGTAGTCCAAGCTCCAAGCTACTTGGGAGGCTGAGGCAGGAGAATCGCTTGAACCTGGAAGGCAGAGGTTGCAGTAAGCCGAGATCGTGCTGCTGCACTCCAGCCTGGGCAACAGAGTGAGACTCCAAAAAAAAAAGGAAAGAAAGAAAGAGAGAGAGAAAGAAAGAGAAAGAAAGAAGAGATGAAAGAAAGAAAGAAAGAAAGAAAGAGAAAGAAAGAAGAGATGAAAGAAAGAAAGAAAGAAAGAAAGAAAGAAAGAAAGAAAGAAAGAAAGAAAAGAGAAAGAAAGAAAAGAGAAAGAAAGAAAGAAAGAGGAGGGGAGGGGAGGGAGAGGGGAAGGGAAAGGGAGGGGGAGGGGAAGGGGGAGGGGAGGGAGAGGGGAAGGGGGAGTGGAGGGCGAGGGAAAGGGGAGGGGAAGGAGAGGGGAAGGGGAGGGGAAGGAGAGGAGAAGGGGAGGGGAAGGAGAGGAGAAGGGGAGGGGAAGGAGAGGAGAAGGGGAGGGGAAGGAGAGGAGAAGGGGAGGGGAAGGAGAGGGGAAGGGGAGGGGAAGGAGAGGGGAAGGGGAGGGGAAGGGAAGGGGAAGGGAAGGGGAAGGGAAGGGGAAGGGAAGGGACCCAGGCTAACAGACTCCAGATACCAGCAGCAGCCCTTGAGCCATGTTGCCTAATTGTCCCCAAGGAGAAAACTTCCCAGGTCTTCGGAGGCAGCAAAAGCTTTCCTGGCACAGAGCTAGAAAAGAAGATTCTCATGGTGTCTCATGTGGCAGGAACTACAGGAGCTGGGGTGGGTAATCCATTTAGGCCACTTGACAAACACCTATTTTTAGGTCAACTCTGAGAATAGAAAGATGAAAAAGGAGTGGCCTCTGCCATCCTGGAGCTAAGCAACTGGTATAAGGGAAGTGACAGCCCCCATGGAATCGGACCATTTCAACTTCATGCGATGAATGACAGGTCAGGGCTTCTGGGCATGACCATAGGAATGACCACAGCTAACATTGACCATGGGCCTAATTTGTGTGCTGTTTGCTTTTTTTTTTTTTTTGAGACAGAGTCTCACTCAAGTCACCAGGCTGGATGGAGTGCAGTGGTGCAATCTCAGCTCACTGCAACCTCCGCCTCCCAGGTTCAAGCGATTCTCCTGCCTCAGCCTCCCGAGTAGCTGGGATTACAGGCGCGCACCAGCACGCCCAGCTAATTTTTGTATTTTTAGTAGAGACGGGGTTTCACCATGTTGGCCAGGATGGTCTCAATCTCTTGACCTCGTGATCCACCCACCTCACCCTCCCAAAGTGCTGAGATTACAGGCGTGAGCCACTGCGCCCAGCCATGCTGTGCGCTTTTTAGCATTTTCTTCAGTTTTTGTTGCAACCTATGAGTCAGGAACTCTTATTATGCTATTTTACCTAGGAGGAAAAGAGCATTCACAGAGATTAAACAGTGTGTTCAGGCCGGGTGTGGTGGTAATCACATCCATGACCGTAATCCCAGCACTTTGGGAGGCCAAAGCGGGAGGATTGCTTGAGTCCAGGAATTCAAGACCAGCCTGGGCAACTTAGTAAAACCTCCATCTCTTTTGTAAAAAAATAAATAATAAAATACTTTAGGAGGCCAAGGCAGGCAGATCACTTGAGGTCAGGAGTTCAAGATCAGCCTGGCCAACATGGTGAAACCCCGTCTCTACTATAAATACAAAAATTAGCTGGGTGTGGTGGCATGCGCCTGTAGTCCCAGCTACTCAGGAGGCTGAGGCAGGAGAATTGCTTGAACCTGGGAGGCAGAGGTTGCAGTGAGCTGAGATCACGCCACTGCACTCCAGCCTGGGTGACAGAGCGAGACTCTGTCAAAAAATAATAATAAAAATAATCATAAAATAAGATAAAAATATAAATAAAAAATAAACAACATGCCTAAAACCACGCAGCTAGAAGAAGGCAGTGTCAGAACTCAGCTATGTCTGACATCAGAGACCACGATTTTTTTTTTTTTTTTGAAATGGAGTCTTGCTCTTGTCACCCAGGCTGGAGTGTAATGGGACGATCTCAGCTCACTGCAACCTGCGCCTCCCAGGTTCAAGCAATTCTCCTGCCTCAGCCTCCCAAGTAGCTGGGATTACAGGCGCCCGCCACCACACCTGGCTAATTTTTGTATTTTTAGTAGAGACAAGGTTTCACCATGTTGGCCAGGCTGGTCTCGAACTCCTGACCTCATGATCTGTCCACCTCAGCCTCCCAAAGTGCTGAGATTACAGGCATGAGCCACCACGCCCCCCGGCCTTTTTTTGTTTTTGTTTGTTTGTTTGTTTTTTGTGGTTTTTTTTTTCTTTTGAGGTGGAGTCTCCCTCTGTTGCCCAGGCTGGAGTGCAGTGGCGCGATCTCGGCTCACTGCAAGCTCCATCTCCTGGGTTCACGCCATTCTCCTGCCTCAGCCTCCAGAGTAGCTGGAACTACAGGCACCCACCACCATGCCCAGCTAATTTTTTGTATTTTTTAGTAGAGACGGGGTTTCACCGTGTTAGCCAGGATGGTCTCGATCTCCTGACCTTGTGATCTGCTCGCCTAGGCCTCCCAAAGTGCTGGGATTACAGGCGTGAGCTACAGCGCCCGGCCTTTTTTTTTTTTGAGACAGTCTCTGTCGCCCAGGCTGTAGTGTAGTGGTACAATCTCCACTCACTGCAACCTCCGCCACCTAGGTTCAAGTGATCAAGTGATTTTCCTGCCTCAGCCTCCCAAGTAGCTGGGATTACAAGCATACACCACCACACCCAGCTAATTTTTGTATTTTTAGTAGAGGGGTTTTGCCATATTGGCCAGTCTGGTCTTGAACTCCTGGCTTCAAAGTGATCTGCCAGCTTGGCCTCCCAAAGTGCTGAGATTACAGGCATGAGCCACCATACCTGGCCAGAGACCATGATCTTAACGAGCATATGGCCCTGCCCCAAAGAACTGTGGACATACAGATGAGAGGCAGGTACCCCACACTGCTGGGAAAAATCACAGAAAGCTTCCCGGAGGAGGTGATGACAGAGGTGAAATAAATATGGATCTGTCAGCCTGTACAAGGGTCAGAGGCCATGAGAGAGTATGGAAGAGGGAGAGAGATCTTTCACTGGAGGGTAAAGTACTAGGCTGGGAATGGTGGCAGATGGGACCAGAGATATAAGCAAAGACCACACCACAGTGAGCCTTGAATGCCAAGTACATCAGTTATGGGTCTTAGCTGCAAGCAACAGAATCCATTCTGGTCAGTCTACATAGCAAAGAAATGAATGAATGAATTTATTTATTTATTGAGACGAATTCTTGCTCTATCGCCCAGGCTGGAGTGCAGTGGCACGATCTTGGCTCACCGCAACCTCTGCCTCCAGGGTACAAGCCATTCTCCCGCCTCAGCCTCCCGAGTAGCTGAAATTACAGGCATGTGCCACCATATCCAGCTAATTTTTGTATTTTTAGTAGAGATGGGGTTTCACCATATTGGCCAGGCTGGTCTCGAACTCCTGACCTCAAGTGATCCACCCCCCTTGGCCTCCCAAAGTGCTGGGATTACAGGTGTGAGCCACCTCACCTGGCCAGAAATTTATTTTTAATATGTCAAGTAAACTGACCAGGTGTGGTGGCTCACAACCGTCATCCCAGCTCTTTGGGAAGCCAAGGCAGGAGGATCACTTGAGGCCAGGAGTTTGAGACCAGCCTGGGCAACATAGCAAGACTCCATTTCTACCACACACACACACACACACACACACACACACACAGAGACAAAATTAGCCGGCGTGAGGCTTGAATGCCAACTGCATCAGTTATGGGTCTTAGTTGCAATCAACAGAATCCATTCTGGTCAGTTTACATAGCAGAGGAATTTATTTTTAAAACATCAAGTAAACTGGCCAAGTGTGATGGCTCCTATCAGTAATCCCAGCACTTTGGGAGTCCGAGGCGGGCAGATCACCTGAGGTCAGATCACCTGCGGTCAGGAGTTCAAGACCAGCCTAGCCAACATGGTGAAACCCTGTCTGTATTAAAAATATGGGAGGCTGAGGAGGGAGGATCACTTGAGCCCAGGAGATTGAGGCTGCAGTGAGCTATGATCACACCACTACTCTCCAGCCTGAGTGACAGAGTGAGACTGTCTCAAAGAAAATTAATTTTTTTTTGTACACTATCACAGCCAAGAAGAGCCCAAGAAGACATTACTACTAACTGTCACATGGTGTCACGGATGGGATCTTCGGACAGAAAAAGGAAATTGGGCCAGGCGCGGTGGCTCACGCCTATAATCCCATCACTTTGGGAGGCTGAGGTGGGTGGATCACCTGAGGTCGGGAGTTCAAGACCAGCCTGACCAACATGGAGAAAACCCCGTCTCTACTAAAAATACAAAATTGGCCAGGGTGGTGGCGCATGCCTGTAATCCCAGCTGCTCGGGAGGCTGAGGCAGGAGAATCACTTGAACCCGGGAGACGGAAGTTGCGGTGAGCCAAGATCGCGCCATTGCACTCCAGCCTGGGCAACAAGAGTGAAACTCCGTCTCAAAAAAAAAAAAAAAAAAGAAAGAAAAAAAAAAGAAAAGAAAAAGGAAATTGGTAAAAATTAAGGAGATCTAACTAAAGTATGGACTTAAGTTAATTACAATGTATTAATTTCAGTTCATTAACGGTAACAAATATACTATACCAGTGCAAGATGTTAATAAAAGGGGGAAATGGTACAGGATATATGCAAATCCTACTGTCTTAACAATTTTTCTGTAAATTTAAAACCATTGTAAGATGAAGAGTCTATTTTTAGAGTACTGAGTAAATTGTATGGAACTAAACACACACGCACAATTACATGTAAAACTGGTAGAACCTGGATAAGTTCAGTGGATGGTATCAAAGGCAATTTCCTGGTTGTGAGATTGTACTACAGTTTTGCAAGCTGTTACCATTGGGGGAAATTGCATGAAGGGCACGAGGGCTCTCTGGGTATTAATGTCTTACAATTGCAAGTGAATCTACAATTATCTTAAGATAACAAGCCTAATTTTATTTATTTATTTTATAGAGACAGGCTTTCACTGTATTGGCCAAATTTGTCTCAAACTCCTGGCCTCGAGCGATCCTCCCACCTTGGCCTCCCAAAGTGCGGAGATTAGACATGAGCTATATAGTACCCGGCCAAAAAGCTTAATTTTAAAACATTGAACAGAGAACAGGATCTTTTGGAAAGCTGAAGAAATAAAGTCTAGGCTTAAAGTTATAGGACCCTTACCCAGCACCATGGGGCAGAACTGTCCTGATAAGAAAATGAAGCTGTGGGCCAGGCACAGTGGCTGATGCCTGTAATCCCAGCACTTTGGGAGGCTGAGGTGGGTGGATCACTTAAGGTCAGGAGTTCGAGACCAGCCTAGCCAACATGGTGAACCCCCATCTCCGCTATACAAAAATTAGCCGGGTGTGGTGGGGGGCGCCTGTAGTCCCAGCTACTTGGGAGTCTAAGGCATGAAAATCACTTGAATCTAGGAGGCGGAGATTGCAGTGAGCTGAGATCACACCACTGAACTCCAGCCTGGGCAACAGAGCAAGACTCTGTCTCAAAAAAAAAGAGAGAGAGGGAGGGAGGGAAGGAGAGAGGGAGGGAGGGAGGAAGGAAGGAAGGAAGGAAGGAAGGAAGGAAGGAAGGAAGGAAGGAAGGAAGGAAAGAAAGAAGGAAGGAAGAAAATGAAGCTGTGGCAGCTTCCACAGCCACACCTTCTCCAGGACTTCACCTTTCTAAATGTCAAGTTGTATTTTCCCAAAATGGCTACAAAAGTAACTTCATCCAACATGCTCTTCTGCAAAGTAACTTTGTCCTCCTCCATCAAGAAGCAGGGTCTATGACCCTGTCTTAGTCTGTTTTTGTTGCTATAAAGGAATACCTGAGGCTGGGTGATTTATAAAGGCTCGTGGTTCTGCAGGCTGTACAAGAAGCATGGTGCCAGCATCTGCTGCTAGTGAGGACCGCAGGAAGCTTCCTATCATAGTGGAAGATGAAGGGGGGCCGACAAGATCACGTGGTGAGCAACAGACATGCCAGGTTCTTTCAAAGATCCAGCTCTTTGAAAGAATGAGTGAAAAGAGCAAGAATTCACTCATTACCACAGGGAGGGCACCAAGCCATTCATGAGGCATCTGCCCCCATGACCCAAACACCTCCCACTTGGCCTCATCTCCAATACTGGGGATCACATTTCAACACGAGATTTAGAGGGGACAAATATTCAGACTATATCAGCCCCCTCCCCTAACTCAAGCTGGGGTTGTACCTGTTTCAACCCAGAGAATACCATGCAGGTGACATCCCTATGATTTCTTTTTTTGTGTGTTGTTTTGAGATGGAGTCTTGCTCCGTTGCCCAGGCTGGAGTGCAGGGGCGCAACCTCGGCTCACTGCAACCTCTGCCTCCTGGGTTCAAGCAATTCTCATGCTTCAGCTCCCGAGTAGCTGAGACTGTAGACATGCACCACCACGCCTGGCTAATTTTTGTATTTTCAGTAGAGACAGAGTTTCACCATCTTGACCAGGCTGGTGTCAAACTCCTGGCCTCAAGTGATCTGCCCACCTCAGCCTCGCAAAGTGCTGGGATTATAGGCACGCACCACCACACCCAGCTAATTTTTGTATTTTTAGTAGAGACGGAGTTTCACCATGTTGGCCAGGCTGGTGTCAAACTCCTGGTCTCAAATGATCCACCCACCTCAGCCTCTCAAAGTGGTGGGATTACAGGCTTGAGCCACCGCGTCCAGCAGCCACCGCACCCAGCTTGATTTCTGAGGTTAGGTCATAAAAGGCCATGTGGCTTCCAGCTGACTTTCTTGGCACATTTGCTCTCCAGACTCTCCCTGCGATATCCTCTCTGGGAATCCAGCTGCCAAGCTGTGAGAAGCCCTAGCCCCATGGAGAGAGGCACCCGTCAACCAGGCTTCAGACACAGAGTAAAGAAGCTTCCAGGCGACCCCAGCCCCCAGGCATCCAAATCACCGCCAGCATTCAGGTCTTTCCAAGTAAAGGCCAGATACCACAGAGCAAAGACAAACTGTTCTCACAGGCCCTGTCTGAATTAGCAACCTATAGAATTTGTGAGTTCAGGCCAGGCACGGTGGCCCACACCTGTAATTCTAACACTTTGGGAGGCAGACGTGGGAGAATCACTTGAGATCAGGAGTTTGAGACCAGTCTGGGCAACATGATGAAACTCCATCTCTACCAAAAAATACAAATATTAGCCAGGTGTGGTGGTGTGTGCCTGTAGACCCAGCTACTTGTGAGGCTAAGGTGGGAGGATCGCTTGAGGCTGCAGGGAACCGTGATGACGCCACTGCACTCCAGCCTGGGTAAGAGTGAGACCCTGTCTCAAAAAAAAAAAGAATTCTCCAGCACTTTGGGAGGCCGAGGCGGGAGGATCACCTGAGATCAGGACTTCCAGACCAGCCTGGCCAACATGGTGAAACCCCGTCTCTACTAAAAATACAAAAAAAAAATTAACTGGGCATTGTGGTGTGCACCTGTAATCCCAGCTACTCGGGAGGCTGAGGCATGAGAATTGCTTGAGGCAGAGGTTGCAGTGACTGAGATTGTGCTACGGCACTCCAGCCTGGGTGATGGAGTGAGGCTTCGTCTCAAAAAAAAAAAAAAAAGAAGAATTAATGAGTTAATATAATGTCATGTCCTATTTTCCTTCCTTCCTGCTTTTTCTTTCTTCTTTCTTTCTTTCTTTCCTCTTTCTTTCTTTCTTTCTTTCTTTCTTTCTCTTTTTCTTTCTTTCTTTCTTTCTTTCTCTTTCTCTCTCTCTTTCATCTTTTCTTTCTTTCGTCTTTGTTTTCTTTCTTTGGCCTTTCCTTTCTTTCTTTTGTCTTTCTTTTCTTTCATTCTTTCTTTTTGACAGGGTCTTGCCTGGCTGCCCAGACAACAGTGCAGTGGTGCAATCACAGCTCACTGCAGCCTTGAACTCCTCAGTTCCAGTGATTCTCCTGCCTCGGCCTCCCAAGTAGTTGGGACAACAGACGTGCGCCACCATCCCCAGCTATTTTTTTAAAAAAATGTTTTAAGACAGGATCTTGCTAGTCTCAAACTCCTGGTCTCAAGCAATCCTCCCATCTCAGCCTCCCAAGTTGTTGGGATTACAGGCATGAGCCACCGTGCTTAGAGGCATAAGCCACTGCACCGGGCTATTTTGTCATTTTTCTCCACTAAGTGTGAGCTATGTAGTATACAGTAATTGTTACCAGACAAATCCCTGCTGCCTTCTCTGAAATCCCATCCATGAACCTTGTGCTCACTTCTGAACCTGAGCCATACACAGGTCTGATGTGCCTGCATCTTAGCCACAGGGAGGCTGCAGAAGCTCACCTTGTGAAGACAAAGCTTGTGACATGGGAAATCATCAAAATCTATGCCGGGCGGCCGCCATGCACAGAAGGCCACTAGGTCAGACCAAGTGTGGACTAACGGTAGCCTGTAACAGAAGAGACCTCCCCTCATCGCACCCAGCCCCATCATGATTTGAACCTCTCTAGAACCTGCCATGTTGAATTGGGTGCTGACTTCACTCTGCTATTTTTTTTTTTTTTTTTTTTTTGAGACAGAGTCTCACTCTGTCGCCCAGGCTGGAGTGCAGTGGCATGATCTCGGCTCACTGCAACCTCTGCCTCCCAGGTTTCAGCAATTCTCCTGGCTCAGCCTCCTGAGTAGCTGGGATTATAGGCGCCCGCCACAACACCAAGTTAATTTTTTTGTATTTTTAGTGGAGATGGGGTTTGGTTTCACCATGTTGGCCAGGCTGGTCTCAAACTCCTGAACTCAAGTGATCCGCCTGCCTCGACCTCCCAAAGTGCTGCCAAAATATTAGCATTTTGACCAGGCACAGTGGTTCACATCTGTAATCCCAGCACTTTGTGAGGCTGAGGCAGGCAGATCACCTGAGGTCAGGAGTTCGAGACAAGCCTGGTCAACATGGTGAAACCCCGTCTCTACCAAAAATACAAAAATTAGCTGGGCATGATGACGCGCGCCTGTAGCTCCAGCTACTCAGGAGCCTGAGGCAGGAGAATCGCTTGAACCCGGGAGGCAGAGGTTGCAATGAGCCAAGATGGTGCTGCTGCACTCCAGCCTGGGCGAGGGAGCAAGACTCCATCTCAAAAAAAAAAAAAAAAAAAAGTTGGTGCGGGGGCTCACGCCTGTAATCCCAGCACTTTGGAGGCCGAGGCGGGCAGATCACTTGAGGTCAGGGGTTCCAGACTAGCCTGGCCAACACAGTGAAACCCTGTCTCTGCTGTAAAAAAAAATTAGCTGGGCGTGGTAGCGCATGCCTGTAATCTCAGCTACTCAGGAGGCTGAGGCAGGAGAATCACTTGAACACAGGAGGCAGAGGTGGCAGTGAGCCAAGATTGCACCACTGTACTCCAGCCTGGGTGACAGAGTGAGACTCCATCTCAGAAAAAAAAAAAAAAAGTGTTTCAACATATAATCAATATTTTTAAATTATTAATAAAATACTTTGAAGTTTTTTCATAATAATCTTTGCAATCCAGGGTTCATTTTACACATGATAGCACATCTCAGTTTGGATGCTTAATTTTCATTCACAATACTCGATCTGTATTTAGAGTTCATAGATTTACATAAGTAAATTGTTTCAAAGTCCTGTGACCAATTTGTCTTCCTGGAGAATGTCCTGGTTTCAAAAATGAAAGTCTTACATCTTGAAATTCTCCTTGGTCCCAGGAAAATCAGGGCAGTTGGTCAACCTCTTCCAAACATACTTGGAGATTTTTCTTTTTTTTTTTTTTTTTTTCTTTGAGACATAGTCTCACTCACTCTGTCGCCCAGGCTGGAGTGCAGTGGCGCCATCTTGGCTCACTGCAACCGCCATCTCTCAGGTTGAGGTGATTCTCCTGCCTCAGCCTCCCTAGTAGCTGGGATTACAGGCACATGCGACCATTCCCAGCTAATTTTTTTGTAAT
Source organism: Homo sapiens (assembly GCF_000001405.40). Taxonomy (NCBI): domain Eukaryota; kingdom Metazoa; phylum Chordata; class Mammalia; order Primates; family Hominidae; genus Homo; species Homo sapiens. The sequence goes on from NC_000007.14 coordinate 74,957,120, forward strand.
TTTAGTAGAGACAGGATCTCACCATATTGACCAGGTTAGTCTCGAACTCTTGACCTCAAGTGATCTGCCCAACTCAAGCCCCTCAACATGCTGGGATGACAGGCGTGAGCCAGTGCACCCAGCTGGGTTTTGTTTTTTGGTTTGTACTGTGTTTGTTTTGTTTTTTTGAGATGGAATCTCACTCTATTGCCCAGGCTGGAGTCAGTGGTGCAATCTCAGCTCACTGTAACCTCCGCCTCCCAGGTTCAAGCGATTCTCCTGCCTCAGCCTCCCGAGTAGCTGAGATTACAGTCACTCACCACCATGCCCTGCTAACTTTTGTATTTTTAGTAGAGGCAGGGTTTCACCACGTGGACCAGGCTGGTCTCAAATTTCTGACATCAGGCGATCCACCTGCCTCAGCCTCCCGAAGTGCTGGGATTACAGGCATAAGCCACCGTACCTGGCCTGTTTTTTGTTTGTTTGTTTGTTTGTTTTTTGAGACAGAGTCTAGTTGCCCAGGCTGGAGTGCAATGGCGTGATCTTGGCTCACTGCCACCTCCGCTTCCCCGGTTCAAGCGATTCTCCTGCCTCAGCCCCTCAAGTAGCTGGGATTACAGGTGCATGCCACCATACCCAACTAATTTTTTTTTTGTATTTTTAGTAGAGATGGGGTTTTCACCATGTTGGCCTAGCTGGTCTCAAACTCCTGACCTCAAGTGATCTGCCTGTCTTGGCCTCCCAAAGTGCTGGGATTACAGGCATGAGCCATCATGCCTGGCCAGCAAGCAAGACATAGGGTTTATTGAGGGGACTTACAGGGTAGTCCAGACATGGCAGGTGGAACAGGAGAACCACACCTGCTTATAAAAAGCATGCAGTTGGGCCCAGCACGGTGGCTCATGCCTGTAATCCCAGCACTCTGGGAGGCCAAGGCGGGTGGATCACAAGGTCAGGAGATCGAGATCATCCCGGCTAACACAGTGAAACCCCGTCTCTACTAAAAATACAAAAAATTAGCTGGGCGTGGTGGCGGGCACCTGTAGTCCCAGCTACTCAGGAGGCTGAGGCAGGAGAATGGCATGAACCTGGGAGGCGGAGCTTGCAGTGAGCCGAGATGGCGCCACTGCACTCCAGCCTGGGTGACAGAGCAAGACTCCATCTCACAAAAAAAAAAAAGCATGCAGTTTATAGAGCATTTCCACTTAGCACCCTCCCCCTAGCACCCTCCCTCTGGCAACCTTCATTTAACCCCAAACAAAGGCCACCATCCCCTAGATGGTCCAGGGGTTCAGATGTTCCTCATAGATAAGAAATGAATCTCCGGGTTGGCCACTCCTGGATTCCTTAGCTTAGAACTTTCAACACATACTCTTCTTAGACCATGGGGTCATTTTCAAGGTATGCTGATGTTACTGTTGCCAGATGTGTTTGCCATGCATCATAGCTAACCACTAGGAAGTTCTATAAGTGAGGGAGGGCCTTAAGAACATACTCTGAGCTGGAAGTGTCAAGTTGGAGGCCCTTGACATTAGAAGCCAGAGACTGGGTACACCCACATAGTGAGAGAAGGTGAGGGCTGCGGGGATGTGTCAGCTATATCCATTGCTACCCAACAAACCATTCCAAGTCTTAATGACGAAAAATAACTTTTTTTTTTTTTTTTGTCAGAGGCAGGTTCTCACTCTGTCACCCAGGCTGGAATGCAATGGTGCAAACACGGCTCACTGCAGTCTCAACCTCCTGGGCTCAAGTGATCCTCCCACGTCAGCCTCCGAAGTAGCTGGAACTACAGGCGTGCGTCACCATGCCCAGGTAATTTTTGTATTTTTTTGTAGAGAAAGGGTTTTGCCATGTTGCCCCGCCTGGTCTTGAAGTCCTGACCTCAAGGGCTCCACCCGCCTTGGCCTCCCAAAGTGCTGGGATTACAGGTGTGAGCCACTGTGCCCAGACAACAGCTATTTTTTTTGGGGGGGCGGGGGACAGAGTCTCGCTCTGTCACCCAGGCTGGAGTGCAGTGGCGCAATCTCAGCTCACTGCAAGCTCCACCTCCTGGGTTCATGCCATTCTCCTGCCTCAGCCTCCCAAGTAGCTGGGACTACAGGTGCCCGTCACCATGCCCGGCTAATTTTTTGTATTTTCAGTAGAGACGGGGTTTCACCATGTTAGCCAGGATGGTCTCAATCTCCTAACCTTGTGATTCACCTGCCTTGGCCTCCCAAAGTGCTGGGATTACAGGCGTGAGCCATTGTGCCCAGCCAACAGCTATTTTTTATTCATCGTGTTTCTATTGGTTGGCTGGATAGTTCTGGTTTCACCTGGGCTCATGTGTGTGGCTGCACTCAGTTAGACAGTCAGATGCAAAGCCCAAGATGGTCTCGTTCACATCTTAGCATGCTCTAGTAGTTGGTGCTAGCTGTTGGCAGAGGCCTGACACAGCTGGAACACCTGGACCTCTTCATGTGATCTTTCTTGCAAGCTTCTTTACAGCGTGATGGTCTCAGGGCAGCATTCTTTCCGAGAGGGCAAGTCCCAATGCACAGGACTTAGGGAGCAGATTTGCCAATACCCCATTGGCCAAAGCCGTGAAAATCACATAGCCAGACCTAGAGTCAATCAGTGAAAGACCAGAAAAGGGCAGTGCTAAGGAACCCAAAGAGGAGGGAATTCTACCAGGACGGTGCCCATCCAACACTTGTGTTACCTTGGGAGCCAGTACCTCCTTAAATTCAGGGCCCAAAGTGCCTCAACTTGCTTCACCCCAATTCCAGCCTGAATCCTCAGGACTTGGCAACTCAGAGGTCAATTTCCTTAACACCCCAACATGAATTTCGGAAGTTAGTTTCACAGAAATCTTAAGCACCAAATACAACTGAGCGAAAGCAATTCTGCAAGTCAAAAACAAGGTGGTCTAAATTTGCAAACTTTATGGCAGTCTGGCTTGATGAAATATAAAGCCCACAATGCTTTTAAACAGTTTTGGCCAGGCACAGTGGCTCACGCCTGTAATCCCAGCATTTTGGGAGGCTGAGGCGGGCAGATCACCTGAGGCCAGGAGTTTGAGACCAGCCTTGCCAACATGGTAAAACCCCGTCTCTACTAAAAATACAAAAATTGGCTGGGCGTGGTGGCTCACACCTGTAATCCCAGCACTTTGAGAGGCCAAGGTGGGTGGATCACGAGGTCAAGAGATCAAGACCATCCTGGCCAACATGGTGAAACCTTGCCTCTACTAAAAATACAAAAATCAGCTGGCATGGTGGCACATGCCTCTAGTCCCAACTCCTCGGGAGGCTGAGGCAGAAGAATCACTTGACCCTGGGAGGAGGAGGTTGCAGTGAGCTGAGATCATGATGCTGCACTCCAGTCTGGCTACAGAGTGAGACTCTGTCTCAAAAACAAACAAAAAAATACAAAAATTAGCCGTGGGTGGTGGCGCGCGCCTGTAATCCCAGCTACTCGAGAGGCTGAGGCAGGAGAATTGCTTAAACCCAAGAGGCAGAAGTTGCAGTGAGCTGAGATCATGCCATTGCACTCTACCCTGGGTGACAGAGCAAGACCCTGTCTCAAAAAAAAAAAAAAAATATATATATATATATATATATATATATATATTTTTTTTTTTTTACCAAGACCCACAGTAAAACATACCTTTATATCAAGTTCTAGTGCACATAGGCAGACACACACAGGCACGCACCCCTTACACACATGGACAAGATTAAAGTGCCCTGGGGTATAGAAAAGATGATAGTAACCTACCCATTTTATATGCAACACTGTGTCATTTTCTAGTCTATTTAAAATTTTTTTTGTGTTTTTTTTTGCCGGGAATTTTTCCATTTTGTTGAAGAGACGATGTCACTCTGTTACTCAGGCTAGAGTCCAGTGGTACAATAATAGTTCACAGCGGCCGGGCACAGTGGTTCACGCCTATAATCCCAGCACTTTGGGAGGCCGAGGCAGGTGGATCAAGAGGTCAGGCGTTCAAGACCAGCCTGGCCAACATAGTGAAACCCCGTCTCTACTAAAATAAAAATAAAAATAATTAGCTGGGCATGGTGGCAGGCACCTGTAATCCCACCTACTTGGGAGGCTGAGGCAGGAGAAATGCTTGAACCTGGGAGGCAGAGGTTGCAGTGAGCCGAGATTGTGCCACTGCACTCCAGCCCGGGGAACAGCGTGAGACTCCATCTCAAAAAAAAAAAAAAAGAAAAGAAAGAAAGAAAAAAAAAACAATAATAGTTCACTGCAGCTCCGAACTCCTGGGCCCAAGGGATCCTCCCACCTCAGCCTCCTGAGTAACTAGGACTACAGGTGCACGCCACCACATCTAGCTAGTTTCTTATATTTTTATTTTTGTAGAGATGAGCAGTCTTGCTATGTTGCCCAGGCTGGTCTCAAACTCCCGGCCTCAAGAGATCCTCTTGCCTTGGCCTCCCAAAATGCTGAGATTACAGGCATCAGCCACTGTACCCAGCCTGTTTAATTATTTTTTTAAATAATTGCCATGCCCTGCTAAATTGATTTCACCATCCACTACATGGGTCATACACAGTCTGCAGATTGAAAAATGCTACCTTAGGCCATCCAGAGCAGAAGTCAGAAAACTAGCCAAATCTTGCCTTTAGCCTTGTTTTGTTTCACCTGCTTTTTTTTTTTTTATTGTTGTTGTTTTGTTTTTTGTGTTTTTTTTTTTTGAGGCAGAATCTCATTCTGTCGCCCAGGCTGGAGTGCAGTAGTGCAATCTTGGCTCACTGCAACCTCTGCCTCCCAGGTTCAAGTGATTCTCCTACCTCAGCCTCCCAAGTAGCTGGGATTACAGATGCACACCACCATGCCTGGCTAATTTTTGTATTTTCAGTGGAGACGGGGTTTCACCATGCTGGCCAGGCTGGTCTTGAACTCCTGTCCTTGTGATCTGCCTGCTTTGGCTTCCCAAAATGCTGGGATTATAGTTGTGAGCCACTGCACCCTGCCAGTTGTTTTTTTTTTTTTAAGAAACTGAATTTTATGCCTTCAGGCAGACTTCCCTTCACCTGTACCATTTCCAACATTTTTTTTTTTTTTTGAGATGGAGGCTCACTCTATCACCCAGGCTGGAGTGCAGTGGCGCGATCTCAGCTTACTGCAGCCTCCACCTCCTGGGTTCAAGCGATTCTCCTGCCTCAGGAGAAGGCACCACCATGCCCAGCTAATTTTTTTGTGTTTTTAGTAGAGACGAGGTTTCACCATGTTTGTCAGGCTGGTCTCAAACTCCTGACCTCAAATGATCTACCCTCCTTGGCCTCCCAAAGTGCTGGGATTACAGGCGTGAGTCACCGCGCCCAGCCACATTTCCAACTATCTGATAGCCAACTGCTTCACACATCTGTGTAATCTGTCTGGCCCCTGAATGCATTTCTGTTTGGGATTTCTGGATCTCTAGATTCTAAAGGCATAGATAGGTGCATTGATGCATTCCACAAATATTGAATGAGTGTCTCTCATAGGCCAGTCACTATTGCTGACAATGGGAACACAGCGGAGAACAGACAAAAATCACTGCCTTTGTGGAGTTGAGATTGTGTAGGGGAGAGACAGATAAGCTTTAAAAAAAAAATGCTGAGGCTGGAGGATCACTTGAGGCTGGGAGTTCGAGACTAGCCTGAACAACATAGTGAGACACCCCTCTCTACAAAAAGTAAAAAAAAAGGCCGGGTGTGGTGGCTCACGCCTGTAATCCCAGCAATTTGGGAGGCCGAGGCGGGCGGATCATGAGGTCAGGAGATCGAGACCATCCTGGCTAACACAGTGAAACCCTGTCTCTATTAAAAATACAAAAAAATTAGCCGGGTGTGGTGGCGGGCACCTGTAGTCCCAGCTACTCGGGAGGCTGAGGCAGGAGAATGGCGTGAACCTCGGAGGGGGAGGTTGCAGTGAGCCGAGATCGTGCCACTGCACTTCAGCCTGGGTGATGGAGCAAGATTCCGACTCAAAAAAAAAAAAAAAAAAGGCCAGGCATGGTGGCTTATTGGCTTATGCCTGTAATCCCAGCAGTTTGGGAGGCCGAAGTGGGTGGATCACCTGAGGTCAGGAGTTCAAGACCAGCCTAGGCAACATTGCGAAAAATACAAATATTAGCCAGCCGTGGTGGCCAGCACCTGTAATCCCAGCTAGCTGGGAGGCCAAGGCACGAGAATCGCTGAACCAAGGGGGAGGAGGTTGCAGTAAGCCAAGATCGCGCCATGGCACTCTAGCCTGGGCGACAGAGCAAGACTCCATCTCGGGGGGGAAAAAAGAAAGTTAAAAAAAAAAAAAAATTAGCCAGGCATAACTGTAGTCCCAACTGCTGGGGAAGCTGGGGTGGGAGGATCTTTTAAGCCCAGGAGTTCGAGGCTGTAGTGAGCTATGATTGCGCCCCTGCACTCCATCCTGGCCAACAGAGCAAGACCCTGTCTCTAAAAAATAAATAAATAAAAGAAAAAGAGTAAAAGAAAATAAAGTGGGAGGGGGATATGCATGCTCTAAGATCTATCTACCACAGATTACAGGCTTTTCACCCTTTTGTGGAAATGACAAAACCTAGTATGTTCCTACCTAACAGAGGAGGGCTGAGGGAAGGTGAGGGAGCACAACTGCAATTTTCCCCTGAAAGAGAGTTCTCAGCCTGCCCTGGCAGATAGATCTCACCCATCGCGTCCCCAGATTACTCTGCCAAAGGTGGAAGCACCAATCACTTTAACCCAGAACATTTCAAAACCAGACAGCCATGAAGGAGGAACCTCTGTGGTCCCGGCGCGTGGGCCCTGGGGTTGGAAGTGCCTCAGACGCACTTTACATTTTCCCCGAATTCACCCTTCGCAGTCCCCATCACCCCCTCTCCAGTGGGATAAATGGCCACCTCATTAGCTCTGCACACATGACCCTCCCGACCTGACTCCTGGTGACTATGCCTGCCTTATCTCTTTTCTCTCCTCCCTCACATTTTCCGCTGCAACAAAGCCAAACACAGCACCGTGGGGGCTTTCACGCTTCTGTGCCCTAGGACACGCTGTTCCTGCAGCCTGGAAGGCCTCTGTCCTCCATCCGCGCGCCCTCACTCTCTTGCTACGAACTCCCATTCATCCTTCAAAACCCAGCCTGAGTGTCCCCTCCCCCGGGTCACCCCCTTTGACCTGTCAATCCCCTCCCTCCGGGTCCCCAGCAAGCTTTTCGGTTTGGCTTCTCTGCACTCTCATGACCGATTGCCCTACATCTTGGCGCTCCCAGACTCGGGCCTTCTCCAGCACCGGAGTCGTCTGGTTTGCTCGCTTTACACTCCAAGCACCTAGTACCGAGCCTGACTGGGTGCCAGAGGGCGCGCCTAGGCTCAGGCTGGCTCCACCCGCCCCGTGCCTCCCCTCGGCCTTCCCCTTAGTCCTGAGGGTGCCCGCGCTCCTGCATTTCCCGTGCACCGGGCTGCCGGTAGCTCCGGCCGCCCAGCCCCCGCGGCAGCAACAGCAGCAACAGCACCGGGGGAGCCCCCCCCCAGGCGGACTACAAGTCCCGGCAGGCCGCGCGCGGGCCGCGCATGCGCAGCGGGGACCGGCGTTTGAGTGGCAAGTTGTTTGTTACAGCGAACACCAGCTGCTCCCCGCGCCGGGCGCCGCGCGCCGCTGCTCCGCCGCTCGGCCCCTCGGCTGCTGCTCCGCCGGCGCTGCCTCCCTCGCCCCGCGGCTCCCCCTTGCAACTTGGCGGGCCTCCTCCCTTTTGTCCGGCCCGGCCCGGCCGCCGCCGCCCCCCGCGCCCGGCGCCGAGCTCCCGGGTCTCCGGGCCGGCTGTCGGTGCCGGCAGGGCGCGGAGGGGGCGGGGGCCGCGGCTCGTCCCCCCGCGGATGAGCCGCCGCGGACGGGGCGCGGGCGGACGATGGAACTCCACATCCTGGAGCACCGGCTGCAAGTTGCCAGCGTCGCCAAGGAGAGTATCCCGCTGTTCACCTACGGCCTGATCAAACTTGCCTTCCTGTCCTCCAAGACCAGGTAAGCGCGCGGGGACGCGGCGCCGGCCGGGGACAGACAAAGGGGGCGCACCCCGGGCCGCTGTCCTCGCCGCCGCGCCTCGGAAAACAACTTCGGGCCCCGGGAGCGCCCCCGCCCCGCCCCCGCCGCCGCTTCGCTCGCGTCTGACAAAGCCGGAGCCGCAGGGTCCTGGCTCCCGGACCCCTCGCAACCTTCCACCCCCCGGTGCGCCACCCCCCACCTCTGTCGTCCCCCCCATCTCCCACCCCCTCCCCCATCGCAGCCCCCTCCCCGAAATCCGGGGGGCTGGGGCGGCTGCAGTGACGGATCCGTGAATGGATGAAGGAACGAACGAATGAATGAATGAAAAACAGGTGTGGGGACGAGGCCGTGGAAAAAACAAACGCCCCCATCCCCCCATCCCTCGGTTGGGCCGGCCCCGTCGCCACGGCGGGGGGAGGGATTCCGCTGAGCGCGGTTACCCAGAGCAGAAAATCATAAAATCATTAGTGGGTGTTTATCTCAAGGTGCCTACGAGGCTTGCTGCGGACGGCCTGGAATTGCGGGGGGGAAACGGGGGGTGGGCGAGGGCCAGGGAGGGGCTGCAGAGGACGTGATTCTTTCTCCTTGGGGTCCTGGAAAGGGGGTGGGGGGGTGTTTTGCCCAACCGTAGAAGGGGAGGAGCAGGCATGTTTATGCATCTGCCTTGAGGCTGGGCTTGGATGCTGCAGGGGGAAAAATAGTTGAAGGCCTTGGAAGGTAAAAGAGGGAATCACACACACACACACACACACACACACACACACTCTCTCTCTCTCTCTCTCTCTCTCTCTCTCACTTGGATTTTCCCTATGCCAGGTAAGGGTTTGACATTGTGAGCCCCGGTGGGTGCTTGCATTAGGGTTTTGTTGTTGTTGTTTAAGGAGCCTGAGCCGAGGGGAGTGTGAGTGCCAGCTAGCTGCTGTAACTTAAGTCTCATTTGCCCACCATTGTGACTGTTAAAAAGGAATGATAAAGTTGTTACTGGTTGGTTTTTCGCGGTTTGGGGCGGTGGTGGCTCTCCCTCACTGCAAAATGAATGAATACTTTTCGGGTCAAGGTTAGCGTGAAAATGACAGCCCCCTTAGGCTGCCCCCTTTGGCACTGAGCTCTAGGGACACAGGGAAATAATTCCAGCCTGTTATCTGCCTGTGAAAAGTTCTTGCTTGGAAATCTCACTTTGATGTGTGTGTCTGAGCCGGGTGCTCAGTCCGGCTATTGTTTGCGAGATGGAGCCAGACCTGCCGGTGGCATCTTGTTTACTTTCTTCTCCGGCTGCTCAGTAGGGGATGGAGATTTGAAATAGTCGCCAAGCCTCTGCCACGGAGCCTGTGCTCCCCGTTGATTGCAAAGGGTAATGATTAAACAGGTCATTTGAAAACAAAAGCCAACAGCTCGGATTCTGAACCGCGCCCCCACCCCTCACACAAAGCCCCCTCTGGCTGTTGACACCTTCAGATCCTGCTTCTGCCTGCCCTCTGCCCCCCACTCCCTAGCCGGGCTTGACGTTCCAAAGCTTGGAGGTAACAGAACAGCCTTGTTTTTCCTAGCCTTGGCCCTCAGCCCTGGGCAGCCCCCTGGCTGATTTCTCGGCCACCATTCAAATGAGAATGATGACTCAGGCTGCGGCTGTGCACAGGGCCTGGGTGCTGGAAGCGGGGGCATTTGGGGGCTTCTTAGAAAGGCAGCAAAGGGCAGGGTCCCTCAGCCCCTTTCCCTTGGTGGAGAGACTGGCCTTCTTCCAGCCCCCAACTCAGGATCCCCTTTGGGTACTCATGGATAGGCGTGTCTCTGGGGTCAAGCCCCCCTGCTGGCCTCTGGGAACACAAGAAGACCTGTCCCTCAGTGGGTCCCCCTTCCTCCCTCCTGCAGAAAGCAGCCTGTCCTGTCCCAGGCCCAGGTGACCCAGCTGACTAGTCCAGTTTCAAGATGACTCAGAGGCCAAAGGCCATCGCTGTGTTTCCATGGTCCGGCCTCAGAAGGTGCGGAACATTTGTCAAATGCCTGAGGACCTGCCACCCCATGCACTCTGAGCCCAGATCATGGCTTCAGGTCATGTGTGACCACAGCCCCCTGCCTGCCTGGCTGAGGCGAAGTCTGTCTCCTCTGGCTCACACTTCGTCCGTCTGTAAAATAGAGATAGCACTATTTGGCCCCCTCATGGACACAGAACTGCTGTGTGGATGGTGTGGGACGATTGTGGGAAATGGCTTTTTAGCAAGTGTTAATGGGTCGCAGCCTGCCGACATAGCATTTAAACTGTTTTCAATAATCAGCCATCCAGGTAGAACCCCTTAGATTGTTCCTGCAATCCCTGCCCCCAGGTGGTGACCCATAGCTCTGTCACTTCCCTCTCCAAAACCTAAGTTTAGCCCAGACTAGCACAGCATGCCCTGAGGGTCCCTGTGCCACCTGTTTACTTTTTTTTTTTTTTTTTTTTTTTTTTGAGACTGAGTTTTGCTCTTGTCCGGGCTGGAGTGCAATGGCGCCATCTCGGCTCACTGCAGCCTCCACCTCCTGGGTTCAAGTGATTCTCCTGCCTCAGCCTCCCGAGTAGCTGGGATTACAGGCATGCGCCACCACACCTGGCTAATTTGGTGTGGAGACGGGGCTTCTCCATGTTGGTCAGGCTGGTCTTGAACTCCCGACCTCAGGTGATCCACTGGCCTCGACCTCCCAAAGTGCTGGGATTACAGGCGTGAGCCACCGCGCCCGGCCCGTTTACAGTTTTGTCAGTCACTCTATAGCATCAAATCATTGACATGGCATTCGAGGCCCTTTGGGATCTAGATCCTGAATCCTCATCTTTATTTTTTTTATTTTTTATTTTTCTCTTTTAGAGACAGAGTCTTGCTCTGTCGTACAGGCTGGAGTACAGTGGCGCCATCATAGATCAATACAGCCTCCAACTCCTGGGCTCAAGCAATCCTCCCACCTCGACCTCCCAAAGTCCTGGGATTACTGCTCCTGGCCTTGAATCCTCATCTTTAGCCCTCCCCCAGCAAATACACAATTTCCCTTATTGTTCCCTACATACCTCTGTGCCTTTGTATCTACCTCTCTTCCATTTGCCTGGAATATTCTCCCCCACCCACCCCTAGTAAATTCCTATTCAGTCCTCAAGAGCTAATGATAGCGCTAATGATAGCACGCTGAAACCTTCCTGAACTTTTCCCTCCGCTCCTTAGCAGGCTTAAGTCACTTCTCTCTCGTGGAGTGGAGTTGTGGAAAGGGAATGGCATTAGGAAACATTCACTCTGTGTTGGGGTGTGGCTGGGTCCAAGGGATGCAGAGATACCTTGCCCCTTCCTCTGCCAAGCCCTAGAGCCTGGTGGAAGAGAAAGAAAGAGGCCATCATTCTACAGCAGGGTGGAGTCAGGGAAGGGCTGGTCTAGCAGGGTACCTAGAACGCCGGGTGCCTACCTGTAGGAGGTGGCACTAGATCTTAGAGCTTTTTTTTGTTTGTTTTTAAGAGATGGGGTCTCTGTTGCCCAGGCTGAAGTACAGTGGCACCATCATAGCTCACTGCAGCCTCGAACTCCTAGGCTCAAGCAATCCTCTCACCTCGGCCTCCCAAGCACCTGGGACTGCGGGTGCGCACCACCACACTCAGCTAATTTTTAAATTTCTTGTAGCGATGGGGGTCTCACTGTGTTGCCCGGGCTGGCCTTGAACTCCTGGCCTCACATGATCCTCCCACCTCAGCCTGTCAGAGGTGCGTGCGGACATAACATTTAAACTGTTACAGGCATGAGCTTACAGGCATGAGCCATTGGCCCTTAGGGCTTTTGAAGTAGGAAAGCCAGTGGCTCACATTTGGAGTTAACTAGTTGGAAGAGAGGATCTAGACCCCAGGACCCCCAGGTACGTTCTGTGTATTAGGTATTAAACCTGCTTTGCAAACCAGGAAGCTGGGGTTCAAAGATTAAGTGACTTGCTCAAGGTCAGGCAAGAAGTGATAGATCCGGGATTTAAATGTGCCAATCTGCACCTTTCTGGCACAAGCTCTGAGATTTTGCTATTGCAGGTTGCAAGAGATGCCCCCATTGAATGGTTATGTCCAGCCCTTCTGTCTACAGCACAGTGTTCTGAAAGGCTTAGGAGCACAGAACTGAAATGCTGGCCTTTCTGTATTCCTGCCTATTTGGCTTTGGTGGGCCTTTTCTTTTTTTTTTTTTTTTTTGGAGATAGGGTCTTCTTCTGTCACCCAGGCCGGAGTGCAGTGGCGTGATCACGGCTCACTGCAGCCTACACCTCCCGGGCTTGAGTGATCTGCTACCAGAGCTGTTTTCTTCTCCCAGGGATACTTGGTCCTTATCACTCCCATCTAGACGGTTACTTCCTTTTTTTTTTGAAACGGAGTCTTGCTCTGTCACCCAGGCTGGAGTGCAGTGGTGTGTTCTCAGCTCCCTGCAACCTCCACCCCAAGAAGCTGGGATCACAGGCGTGCGCCACCACGCCCGGTAAATTTTTGTATGTTTAGTAAAGACTGGGTTTCGCCATGTTTGCCAGGCTGGTGTCGAACTCCTGACCTCAAGTGATCCACCCACCTCGGCCTCCCAAAATGCTGGGATTACAGGCGAGAGCCACCGCGACCTGCTTAGACATTCTACTTCGTTAGAGCCTTAGAGCCTATCTCAGATACTTTCTTCCAGGCACCTTGCGTATTTCTCAACTTTTGCCGATAACAACATGTTATTGGCTTGTCTTTTTCTCTTACCTAGATTATCAACCTTCAAGTTTTTTGTGCATGATTTGATCCACCCCTTCCCACCACATCACCACAGTACCTACCAGTGGTGATGAGAGCTACCGTTGACTTTGCCATATTTTGCAGAGCGGTGAAGACACTAGCTTTGGAGAAGTACAATGGCAAGGTCGCACAGCTGGAAAGAAACAGAATTGGGATTTGAACCAGGTCCCGTCTCCGCTGCGTGTAGCACCCTGCTTTGTAGGCACTTAGTAAACGTCTGTTTGATGGATTTCTGACCATCAGAGTGACCCAGATTTCAACCCAAGTATTTGCCAGAGTCTCATAGGAGTGCCCTGGGGCTGGAAGATATGTCGTTGTAGAAGGCAGGATCACACCTGGTAGAAGCAGAGCCCAGCGACCCTGTCCCGGGTCTGCTGAACCAGGCCTCTGCCCAGGACCTTTGGAGGAGCATCTGGGTGTGGCTGGACTAGGCGAGGAATGTGCTTATTTATTCTCAGCATAAAGCCAGAAGGCAAGACCCTGGGTAGGTCTGTCCGATGAGCTTCCCTTGTCCTCTGTGGTAACCCTGAGGCTCTGTGACCTAGCTGAGGGCCCTCTGTGGCCCACCTCACCTTGTCTCTCCAGCCTCACCTCGAAGCTTCCAGCCACACCCTAGCGTGCCTCCAGCCTTCAGGCCTTTGTTCTTTCTGCCCAGAGTATTACTTCTTGCCTTACCCCTTTCTTCCCCGTGCATCCTTCTAGATTCCATTTCAGCTTCCCTGAGGGCACGTTGGGCTCACTCTTCTTCTGGTAGGACGGGCTTAACTCAAAACGATAAGGCCAGACCCAGTGGCTCCTGCCTATAATCCCAGCATTTTGGGAGGCTGAGGTTGGAGGATCCCTTGAAGCTAGGAGGTTGAGACCAGCCTGGGCAACAAAGCAAGACCCCATCTCCACAAAAAAAAATTTTTTAAAATAACTTTTTAAAAAATAGCCAGGCATGGCGGTGCACACCTGTCTCAGGAGGTTTGGGTGGGAGGATCACTTGAGCCCGGGAATTTGAGGCTGCAGTGAGCTATGATGGCGCCACTGCACTCCAGCCTGAGCGACAGAGACCCTGTCTCTGAAAAATAATAAAAAAAGAAGAAGAAATGTAACCAGGGGCTATCAACAAGGATGCTTTGTGGTTTTTGTTTGTTTGTTTGAGATGGAGTCTCACTTGGTCGCCCAGGCTGGAGTATAGTGGTGCAATCTCAGCTCACTGCAACCTCCGCCTCCCTGGTTCAAGCAATTCTCCTGCCTCAGCCTCTGGAGTAGCTAGGATTACAGGCACCCACCACCATGCCCGGCTAATTTTGTATTTTTAGTAGAGACGGGGTTTAGCCGTGTTACTCAGGCTGGTCTCGAACTCCTGACCTCAGGTAATCCTCCCTCCTTGGCCTCCGAGAGTGCTGAGATAACAGGCGTGAACCACTGCGCCCAGCCAGCAAGGATGCTTTGAGCTACAAACAACAGAAAGCCAGGACATAACCAATAAGAAGTTTGAACTTTGTGTGATCAGAGTTTATGGGTTGGGCTGCCCCAGGCTTGGATAACTTAAAGGCTTGATGAGGTCATCAATTTATGCTTGGCTACCCATGGCACAGAAGCATAGCCCCACTGTGATGGCTGGGGTGGCTCCGGGCATCCTGGGCAGTCAGGAGGAAACTCCATGAAGGAAGGAGCTAACCTTTCTGGGGGTACCCCTATCCCAGCACAGACTTCCTCATCTCATTGGTCAGAACTGGGTCACATGAACATGCCTCAGCCTATCACAGGCACAGGGAATGAGACCATCATGGACCAATCAGGATTCACCACTCAAGGTGGGGCCTGCCATCCGGATGGATGCTCTCCGCCACAGGGAGGTGGGGGACCCAGAAGCTGTGGGCAATGGCCATGTGCACAGTAGGACTGAGGCACTCAGTCCCGTAGCTGACCTACCTGGGACAGGCCTGGAGGCTGACTTAGGTGTGAGGGGCAGAGAGATTACTGTGCACAGACCGCTGTGTGACCCCAGATCTAGGTGGGATCCCGGTGTGCCCCATCTGCCTGGCTTACCCCAACCCCTCTGGAACCTGAACCTACTCCCAGAGTCCCCTCTGTTTTTTTATTAATATTAGTATGGAGACATCTCTTTATTTATTTATTTTGGAGACAAGCTCTGTTGCCCAGGCTGGAGTGCAGTGGCACCATCATAGCTCACTGCAGCCTCAAATTCCTGGGCTCAAGGTATCCTCCTGCCTCAGCCGCCCGAATAGCTGGGACTCCAGGCATGCAGCACCACACCTGGTTAATTTATTTTACTCTGTTTTTAGTAGAGACAAGGTCTCACTGTGTTGTCCAGACTGGTCTTGAACTCCTGGCCTCAAGCAATCCTCTCACCTCGGCCTCCCAAAGTGCTAGGATTACAGGTGTGAGCTACCATGCCTGGCTAATTTTTGTATTTTTAGTAGAGATGGGGTTTCAACATGTTGGCCAGGCTGGTCTCGAACTCCTGACCTCAGACGCTCCACCTGCCTTGGCCTCCCCAAAGTGCTGAGATTACAGGTGTGAGCCACCATGCTCAGCCAAGCAGCACCCTCCTTTTTGCCCATGAAATGCTGTTATCTTTAAATTCCATTCTAGAAAGTCCACTGGATTGGCAAAAACTACACAGGCAAGTATGCAGTAAGCATGGGCCCATGGAAACTTCCTGCTGCCTTCCTGGGCCGGATCTGCTGAATGCAGGTCTCTGGTTTGTTTTGGCCTGCACTGGGTCATTCGTGTTCCTACATGCAGGAAATCTTGCAAACGAGCCATGGTGAACACTAAAGTCTTTTGTTTTTTTTGTTTGTTTGTTTGTTTTTGAGACAGAGTCTTGCTCTGTCGCCCAGCCTGGAGTGCAATGGCGCAATCTCGGCTCACTGCAACCTTCGCCTCCCAGGTTCAAGCAATTCTCCTGCCTCAGCCTTCCGAGTAGCTGGGATTACAGGCGCATGCCACCACACCCAGCTAATTTTTGTATTTTTAGTAGAGACGGGGTTTCACCATGTTGGTCAGGCTGGTCTCGAACTCCTGACCTTGTGATCTGCCCGTCTGGGCCTCCCAAAGTGCTGGGAGGCGTGAGCCACCATGCCCGGCCAGTGAACACTAACGTCTTACGAGGTATTTATGAGAGAAAAGCTTAAAATTGCAAAAAGTCCATGCAGAGCCCTCATTCCTCGCAACACATTGGGCTGAGGCCACTGTCTAATTGCAGTTTAGGGAAAGACAGGCTAGCCCAAGGGAGTTAGAGCCCTGGGACACCTGGGCTGGAATCCCAGCACTGCTCATCCTGGCTGTGTGACCTTGGGCAAGTTGCTTGACCTCTCTGTGCTATGTTTCTTACCTGTAAAACAGAGATGATGATCATGCCTGTAACCTAAGTGGTTGTGAGGGCTTGATGAGATAAACCACGTCAAGCACTCTCAAGGGTATCTGGTCCACTAGAAGCTCCAGTAAGCTTTTTTTTTTTTTTTTTTTTTTTTTGAGACAGAGTCTTGCTCTGTTGCCCCGGCTGGAGTGCAGTGGCATGATCTCAGCTCACTGCAACCTCTGTCTCCCAGGTTCAAGCGATTCTCCTGCTTTAGTCTCCCAAGTAGCTGGGATTACAGGTCTCTACCACCATGCCTGGCTAATTTTTGTATTTTTAATAAAGACACCTGGAACTCCAAAAGTGCTGGATTACAAGTGTGAGCCACTGTACCCAGCCATTAAGCATTAACTGGGAAGGCCCTGGGGCCACTGGCCAGCACCAGTTTGTGAGGGCAGAGCCAGAAAAGCCCAGGCTTAGAAGACTACACACACACATAATCGCATCCTGATTCTGGAAAGTGGAGATGCTGTCACTGCTCTCGCAGAATTAAGCCAAGGACCTCACCTGTCATTTAGGTGTCAGGCCTCTGGCAGGGGCAGCCAAAATGCTCTAGGACCACAGAGCTGCAAGCCAGTAAGGCTTCCTAGAGGAGGCAGCACCATCTGAGCCAAGAATGGGGTGATGGCTGGCATGAGAAAATGTCAGGAGGTGCTGGGGTTAAAGCAAGATGAGCAAGCAGGGAACAGGAGTGGGTGGCTACAGATGGATCAGGGGAGGGGTATAGGTGAAGAGGGTACGGGGTGAGCCCCAGAGCCTTGCGTGTGCCCACTCAGGACAGCCATAGTCTGCTGCTGCCCAGAGAAAGGGGCTGGCTCAACCCTAGCTCCCAAATCTTTTTCCTATGCCTTTTTCCTTTTTCCTCATCTCTTTCCTGAACTATCCAGATATCTTCCTGCCTCCTGCCTCCTGCTTCTAGGGCGGCTCAAATGCTCATTGCTGCCCCATCCCTCTGGGCTGGAGGAGCAAACGCCTGGAGGCTGAAAGAGTAAGTTGTCTGCAGGGAACAAGCCACTGTCCTGTGGCGGGTGCAAATTGGTATGCTCTGTTCACTGAGAAACCCCGCAGTGTATACCTGCTGTAGGCAGGGCCTGATAGGAAGCGCGAAAGGAGTTTCTGTCCCGTGGGAGGAAAAGACGTGAGTCCTGTATGTTCTCCAGCAAAGGTAGAGGGTGAGAGGACCAGAGGCCCACACAGGGGGCATGGCTGGGAGTGCAGGGGCAGGGGGGAGTCTGGGAGGATGGAGGGACACAACTGGAGTGGGTGCTGGGTGGACTTCATGCATTCCTTCAGAAGCCCTGGCCACATCTCTGCCTTGTTGGTTTTGTTTGTTTTTTGAGACAGGGTCTCACTCTGTCACCCAAGCGGGAATGCAATGGCGTGATCTCAGCTCACTGCAACCTCTGCTTCCTGGGTTCAAGTGACTCTTGTGCCTCAGCCTCCTGAGTAGCTGGGATTACAGGCGTGCACCACCATGCCTGGCTAATTTTGTGTATTTTAATAGAGACGGGGTTTTGCCTTGTTGGCCAGGGTGGTCTCGAACTCCTGACCTCAGGTGATCCACCCACCTTGGCCTTCCAAAGTGCTGGGATTACAGGCGTGAGCCACCACTCCCGGCCTGAATCTTTCTTGATCAGATGTCTTCTGTCTATCCACTCTGGCTCTGTCTACTCCCTTCCCAACACATGCCCTATTTTAGGTAACCATGGTAGTTTTGTTTTGTTTTGTTTTGCTTTTGTTTTTGGAGATGGAGTTACACTCTGTTGCCCAGGCTGGAGTGCAGTGGCACGATCTCGGCTCACTGCAACCTCTGCCTCCTGGGTTGAAGTGATGCTCCTGCCTCAGCCTCCTGAGTAGCTGGGGTTACAAGTACCACCACCATGCTCAGCTAATTTTTTGTATTTTTAATTTAGATGGGTTTTCCCAGGTTGGACAGGCTGGTCTTGAACTCCTGACCTCAAGTGATCTGCCCGCCTTGGCCTCCCAACGTGCTGGGATTACAGGCATGAGCACTGCGCCTGGCCAACTGTGGTAGTTTTTAGATTTTTTGTACAGAGGGGGTCTCACTCTGTTGTCCACGCCGGTCTCAAACTCCTGACCTTAAGTGATCCTCCCGTCTTGGTTTCCCAAAGTGCTGGGATTACAGGCATGAGCCACTGCTCCCAGCTGCTGGTGGTTTTAAAAGCTAGGATTGGCTGGGCGCAGTGGCTCACGCCTGTAATCCCAGCACTTTGGGAGACCGAGGCGGGCGGATCACAAGGTCAGGAGATCGAGACCATCCTGGCTAACACGGTGAAACCCCGTCTCTACTAAAAATAGAAAAATTAGCCAGGCGTGGTGGCGGGCGCCTGTATTCCCAGCTACTCAGGAGGCTGAGGCAGGAGAATGGCGTGAAGCCGAGATCGCGCCACTGCATTCCAGCCTGGGCGACAGAGCCAGACTCCATGTCAAAAAAAAAAAAAAAAAAGCTGGGATACCTCCACCCCCCTCTCCTTTAAATGTCTGTCTTGGCTACTTTCTTCTAAGTCACTAGGAGATGGTAAAAGCAATACCATGAGACTTCCGAGGCTAGGGCACGAAAGGATGGCTTCTGCGTGGTGCTCCCTCTCTCCCAGATCCCTTGCTCTGTAGGAAACCAACCCCCAAGGCCTGAAGACACCCAAGCAGCCCCATGGAGAGGCCCATATGGAGAGGAACTGAGGCATCCCACCCCCAACCGGCAGAGCGGGGCTTTGAAAACAGATCCTTCCGCCCCAGGCAAGCCTTCCAATGGATTGCAGCCCCAGCCAATGCCTTGAACTGCCAAGTTCAGCCACACCTAAATTCCTAACCCATAGGAACTGTGAGAGATAATAAAAGTTTGTTGTTGTTTCAAGCCACTAAGATCTGGGGTAATTTGTTATGTAGCAACAGATAAGGAATGAAATGACCCTGCCATTTATCATTGAGATGGGAATAAACTTTTTTTAGAATAGCAGGAAGTACTTTAAATAATTACTAGATTGGCCAAGCACAGTGGCTCACGCCTGTAATCCCAGCACGCCTGTAATCCCAGCACTTCAGGCTGATCGCTTGAGCTCAGGAATTGGAGACCAGCGGAGGCAACATGGTGGGACCCCGACTCTGCAAAAAATACAGAAAAATTAGCTAGGCATGATGGCGCCTGCCTGTGATCCCAACTACTCAGGAGGCTGAGGTGGGAGGATTGCTTGAGCCTAGGAGGTAGAGGTTGCAGTCAGCCGAGATTGCACCACTGTACTCCAGCCTGGACAACATAATGAGACCCTGTCTCCTCCTCCTCCTCCTCCTCCTCCTCCTCCTCCTCCTCACCATCATCACAATAATAACAACAACAACCTGCAGACAATAGGGCAAACCTGACCATGTGATCACCCTACCTTTAGTCCAGCCAGAGAAGTCTTGTGAGTCCTTAAACCTAACACAGACACTTCTTGAGGTCGGCTTCAGCATCCTCTCCTCCAGGAAGCCACCCTGGTGCCTGGTGAGTGGCTTCCTGGGATCACCCATGCCTCAGTGTGCAGGATGAGAGGGCTGGTCCTGATCCCCTTCTGTCCTCACCCCCAGGTCCATGTCCAGGGCTTAGGACTGGTCGTCCCTTGGTGTTGACTCATCTCCCAGGGATCAAAAAAGTCAGTTGTAGCTGGGCGCAGTGGCTCACGCCTGTAATCCCAGCACCTGTGGGAGGGCCAAGCGGGTACATCGCCTGAGGTCAGTAGTTCGAGACCAGCCCGGCCAACAAGGTGAAGCCCTGACTCTACCAAAAATACAAAAATTAGCTGATGTGGTGGTGGGCGCCTGTAATCCCAGCTACTGGGGAGGCTGAGGCAGGAGAATCGCTTGAACCTGGAAGGCAGAGGTTGCAGTGAGCCGAAATCGTGCCACTACACTCCAGCCTGGGTGACAAGAGTGAAACTCCATCTCAAAAAAAAAAAAAAAAAAAACACCTTGTAAAAGGTTTAATTGGTCTCTTCTGAGCCTGCACACGGCTGGAAAGGTTTTCTCTTATAACAGATCTGCAGTATGAAAAACCAGCCCAGTTGCATCCGTTCTGGGCCAGTGGGATTCTGGGTGTCCAAGGTCCCTGTGGGCCATCCACGGTGCTAAATTGAAACTTTTTGAAAAGCATTTTTTTTTTGAGATGGAGTCTGGCTCTGTCACCCAGGCTGGAGTGGAGTGGTGAGATCTTGGCTCACTGCAAACTCTGCCTCCCGGGTTCACGCCATTCTCCTGCCTCAGCCTCCCGAGTAGCTGGGACTACAGGCACCTGCCACCACGCCTGGCTAATTTTTTTGTATTTTTAGTAGAGACAGAGTTTCACTGTGTGAGCCAGGATGGTCTCGATCTCCTGACCTTGTGATCTACCCGCCTCAGCTTCCCGAAGTGCTAGGATTACAGGCATGAGCCACCGCACCTGGCCTGAAAAAAATTCTTGAGACAGGATCTCACTGTGTCACCCAAGCTGGAGTGCAGTGATGCAATCTCAGCTCACTCCAGCCTCGATTTCTCAGGCTCCAGCAATCCTCCCTGCCTCAGCCCCACTGAGTAGCTGGGACTGCAAGCACTCGCCACTACACCCAGATAATTTTTGTTTTTTTTGTAGAGATGGGGTCTCACTATGTTGCCCAGGCTGGTCTCGAACTCCCGGGCCCAAGTAATCCTCCTGCCTCAGCCTTCCAAAGTGCTGGGATTACAGGTGTGAGCTACAGCGCCTGGCCTAAATGGAAAACTGGTGTCTAGGTGCCATATTCTCAGGCTTGCCCTCACCATAACACATTGAACATACTCCAACCTCTGAGCTAGATCTCTGCTTAAAAACCTGAGGTTTTGCTTGCACACCCCAATTTTTTTTTTTTTTTTTTGGAGACAGGGTCTTGCTGTCACCCAGGCTGGAGTGCAATGGTGCGATCTTGGCTCATTGCAACTTCCATCTCCTGGGTTCAAGCAATTCTGGTCCCTCAGCCTCCCGAGTAGCTGGGATTACATGTGCACGCCACCACGCCTGGCTAATTTTTGCATTTTTAGTAGAGACGGGGTTTCATCATGTTGCCCAGGCTGGTCTTGAACTCCTGACCTCAAGTGATCCACCAGCCTCGGCCTCCCAGAGTGCTGGGATAACAGGCATGAGCCACCGCGCCTGGCCATGCACCCACATTTACAGCAACCTTATTCACTAAGGCCTAAAGATGGAAGTGACCCAGGTGTCTACTGATGGATGAACAGATCAACAAAGTGGGATGTATTCACACAAAGGAATATTATTCAGGGGGGAAAAGGAAGGAAATTCTGACACATGCTACAACATGAATGAACCTTGAAGACATCATGCTGAGTGAAATAAACTAGTCACAAAAGAACAAATACTGCATGAGATCCCACTTGTATGAAATACCTGGTGTAGCCGGAGTCATAGAGACAGAAAGAATGGTGGTTGCCAAGAGCTGGGGAGTTGGTGTTTAGTGGGTATGGAGTTCCTGTTGGGTAAGATGAAGAGTTCTAGAGATGGATGGTGGCAATTGCTGTCCGTATTGAAAATGTGCTTAACACGATTGAATTGCACACTTAAAGATAGTTAAGATGGTAGGTTTTGTTGTGTGTATTTTACCACAATTAATAAAATTTGAGGCCAGGTGTGGTGGCTCATGCCTGTAATCCCAGCACTTTGGGAGGCTGAGGTGAGTAGATTGGTTGAGCTCACAAGTCGGAGACCAGCCTGGGCAACATGGTGAAACCTCATCTCTACAAAATATACAAAATGTAGCTGGGCATAGTGGCGTGCACCTGTGGTCTTAGCTACTCAGGAGGCTGAGGTGGAAGGATCGCTTGACCCCGGGAGGTAGAGGCTGCAGTGAGCCGAGATTGTGCCACCGTACTCCAGCCAGGCAGTAGAGCCAGACCTTGTCTCAAAAAAATAAAAATAAAAATTAATGTTTAAGATTTTATTTTATTTTAGATTCAAGAGGTACATGTGGATGTTTGTTACATGGATATATGGCATACTGGTAGGGACTGGGCCTCTAGTACGCCCATTACCCAAATAGTGAACATTGTACCCGATAAGTAATTTTTTTAACCTTCCTCCCCTTCCCAACCTCCCCTCTATTGGAATCCCCAGTGTCTGATGTTCCCATATTTTTTTTTTTTTTTTTTTTGAGACGGAGTCTTACTCTATTGCCCAGGCTGGAGTGCAGTGCAATCTCGGCTCAGTACAGCCTCTGCCACCTGGGTTCAAGTGATCCTCCTGCCTCAGCCTCCCGAGTAGCTGGGACTACAGGCATGTGCCACCACACCCAGCTAATTTTTGTATTTTTTAGTAGAGATGGGGTTTCACCATGTAGGCCAGGCTGGTCTCAAACTCCTGACCTCAGGTGATTCGCCTGCCTCGGCCTCCCAAAGGGCTGAGATCATACGCGTGAGCCGCTGCTCCCGGCCATGGCAGATCCTTCTTGAACACCCACTATGCATGAGGCCTCCGCTGGGAGTTCCCATCATTCACCCTCATAGCAGCTCTACAGGAAGGAGCTGTCTGCCCCCAAGTCACACAGTGGACAACAGCAGTTTGGGGGTCAGCCTTGGCCCCCCCACTCCGAACTCCTCGCCGCCTATGCCCTCCACTCCTTTCCACTGTTAACCCAAGATGGAAAAGCTTATGCCAAGGGTCATTTCTCAGGATATGCACATAACAGGAAAATGTGTTTTTATCCAAATTCCCACAACCCACCAGCCATGTGATCTTGGGCAACTTAGAACCTCCAAGGAGGGTCTGGCTCTGTTATCTATGCTAGAGTGCAGTGGCATGAGCATAGCTCACTGCAGCCTCAACCTTCCAGGCATAAGCAATCCTCCTGCCTCAGCCTTCCAAGTAGCTGGGACTACAGGTGTGCACCGTCATGCCCAGCTAATTTTTAAAAAAGATTTTTAGTAGCAACAGGGTCTTACTATGTTGCCCAGGCCAGTCTCAAACTCTTGAGCTCAGACAATTCTCCTGCCTTGACCTTCCAACGTGGTAGAATTATAGGCGTAAGCCACCACACCGTGGCCTGGTTTCATCTTTAAAATAGGGATAAGGTGAAGCATGGTGGCTCACACTTGTAATCCCATCACTTTGGCAGGTCGAAGCGGGAGGATTGCCTGAGCTCAGGAGTTTGAGATCAGCCTGGACAGCATAGTGAGACCCCATCTCTACCAAAAAATAACTGGAGATAACACTATCAACATCTTGGGTGGTTGTGAGAATTAAATGGGGAATTTTATGTTAGGGACTTAGTGAGGTGTTGATTACATAGTGAACCTATTATTCACAGAAATTCAATGGATGTTTTGAGGTGCCCTCTACTTGATGCAAGCCTCGGCGAGGTGGCAGTGGTGGCCTCTGTCCCCATGGCACAGATGGTCTGTTCTGCTTTGGAAGCACTGGAAGAGCACATCTGACAATTGCAGGATGGCTGGTTTTTATTGGAGGAAGGGAAGCTGTTTATTTGTTTCAGATTGGCTGAGCTGTGGGGATGCGGGAGGCTGGCAGGAGGGGAGGGGTCTATAGTAAGGAGACTGGAGAAACTCTGGGGGCCAGGCAGGCAGCCCCCTGGTAAGAGCTGCTTCTTGGAACACAAAGAGCCGTTGCGTCCTCCAGCCGGCCTTGAGGAAGGTGTGACTTCTCTGCTCCCAGCAATGTCTTGGGCACCCTTCTCTGCCCTGCACACCAGCTCTGCCTGCAGGGTGCCTGGACACTCTGGGTGTCTACTGTGTCCCCATATGGTGCTTGCAAGTCTTCCTCCCAGACTGCCCCCTGCTTCTGTGTCCCCTCCCTGGTGCACAGCACCACATCCAGCCCCCTTCCCACCCAGCCCACCCAGGTCCTGCCCACGTGACCCCCAGTCTTTCTCCAGTCGCACCTCCTCTGCACGCTGACCGCCATGTCTTGTCCTCTTTTTCTTTTTTTTTGAGACAGAGTCTTGCTCTGTCATCCCGGCTGCTGGAGTGCAATGGCGCAATCTTGGCTCACTGCAACCTCCGCCTCCCGTGTTCAAGTGATTCTCCTGCCTCAGTCCTCCCTGGGACTACAGGGGTACACCACCATGCCTGGCTAATTTTTATATTTTCAGTAGAGTCAGGGTTTCACCATGTTGGCCAGGCTGGTCTCGAACTCCTAACCTCAGGTGATCCACCCGCCTCGGCCTCCCAAAGTGCTGGGATTACAGGCGTGAGCCACCGTGCCCAGGCTGTCTGCTTCTATTCTAGCTCCCCGACTCCTGATCCCCTGACCCTGAGGCCTCAGGACGAAGGTCTCATCCCCTCCAGGCAGGCCCTCCTTGGCAGGGCAGCTTCAATTTGTATAGGAATCAAATCCATCCTGTTGGGGTTTTACCATGTTCCCCAGGCTGGTCTTGAACTCCTGGGCTCAGACAATTCTCCTACCTTGGCCTCCTAAAGTGCTGGGATTACAAGTATGAGCTACCATGCCGGGCCTATTTTTTTTTTAATAATTTTTTTTTTTTAATGTGGGAGAGTTCAAATGTGAAATCAAGGCCCGGTGCGGTGGCTCACGCCTATAATCCCAGCACTTTGGGAGGTGGAGGCAAGAGGATCGCTTGAGGCCAGGAATTCAAGACCATTTGGGGCAACATAGCCAGACCCCGTCTCTACAAGAAATTTTAAAAATTAGCCAGACGTGGTAGTGCACACCTGTAGCCCCAGCTACTCTGGAGGCTGAGACAGGAGGATCACTGGAGCCCAGGAGTTGGAGGCTGCAGTGAGCTATGCTCACACCATTGCACTCTAGCCTGGTTGACAAAGTGAGACCCAGTCTCAAGAAAAAAAAAAAAAAGTGGGAAGAAGCGTACCCCACCACACTTCTTCTTTGGGGTTAGAATTTTGGGCCTGCACTGGAATGTGGAACGCTGATAGGGGATGGGGACAGGTGGAGGTGTCAGGGGCGCCCTCAGACTCTACCCTCCTTCATTGCCTTAGAGGTGAGGCTGGGGAACGACCCTGGGGTAAGGGGTTGCCCGTGCCCACTCCCCTGCATGCAGGAGCTGGATCTCTGCTTCACTCTTCCCCTTTCCTGATGGGAACTTGCTCCTGCATTTGGCCCCTGGGCCTCTGGGTAACCTGCCCCAGCCACCCAGGGCTTGGCCCCAGGCGAGTGCATCTGTAAGGGCAGATCTCGCGGTGAATTTCCTGGGTGACTCCTTTGCACACACCCAGGCTGGACTCCCTCCACCCCCTCCCAACTGAGCAATGCTTTGGGGCTGTTTCGTCCACTAGAGCAGCACAGTCAAGAATGAGGGGGTGTATGGGCTGGGCGTGGTGGCTCACGCCTGTAATCCCAGCACTTTGGGAGGCTGAGGCAGGCGGATCACAAAGTCAGGAGTTCAAGACCAGCCTGGCTAATATGGTAAAACCCTGTCTCTACTAAAAATACAAAATTAGCCGGGTGTGGTGGTGCATGCCTGTAGTCCCAGCTACTCGGGAGGCTGAGGCAGGAGAATTGCTTGAACCCGGGAAGCGGAGGTTGCAGTGAGCAGAGATCACACCACTGCACTCCAGCCTGGGCAACAGAGTGAGACTCTGTCTCAAAAAAAAAAAGAATAAGGGGGTGACACCTCAGAGAACAAGCTGCAGGCCTGGTGTCACCTGCAGATGACAAGGCTACCGTATCCATTCCTCAAGCCAGGCCTCTGAGGAGCCCTGGTGGGTAGGGTGCTGGAGGGAGAACTCGAGCTTGCAGGCAGTAAAACGCATTTTTTTTTTTTTTTTTTTTTGGTGGCGGGGACAGAGTCTCACCCTGCCGCCCAGGCTGGAGTGCAGTGGCGCAATCTCAGCTCACTGCAAACTCTTGACTCCTGGGTTTGAGCGATTCTCCTGCCTCAGCCTCCCGAGTAGCTGGGATTACAGGTGTGCACCACCACACTCAGCTAATTTTGGCGTTTTTAGTAGAGACAGGGTTTCGCCATGTTGGCCAGGCTGGTCTCAAACTCCTGACCTTGGGTGATCAACCTGCCTCAGCCTCCCAAAGTGCTGGGATTACAGGCGTGAGCCACTATGCCCGGCCACATTTCTTTCTTCTTCTTTTTTTTTTAATCTGTGCTTTTCTCCACCCTCTTCAGACTTTGTTCTAGTCTACAATTTCCCTCCTGCAGCTTCTCTCTGATGACGTCCCCACCCAGCCCGTCAGTCCAAATTAGCCTGGTTTAACTGCGTTTGTCAGTTTCTGTAGAAGAATGAAGAAGGTGATAGCACCCACGTTATAGGGCTGTTCACGGGAGGTTGAAGTGAGATCTTACAGAGAAAGTGCTTAGCAGGTGCCCCAGGTCCAGAGTGTGGGGTTGGCTGTGAGTCGTGTGCATCTCCTGCCCTGACCCCCTCTGCAAGCTTGGTTCTTGAGTGCTTGAGTGAGGCACACTTGACCTGCTTATGTGATTCCCATGGCACCATGGTGTGGGGAATGTCTCCCAACAAGACACCTTATCAAGCGCTCTCTCTCCACTCTGCTGTTCCTACCACATATTCCCAGGCAGGTCACCCTACCTTTCTTGTTTTCTTTTGAAGACAGGGTCTCGCTCGGTCACCCAGGCCAGAGTTCAGTGGCAAAATCATAGCTCACTGCAGCTCCTGGACTCAAGGGTTCCTCCCGCCTCAGCCTCCTGAATAGCTGGGGCCGCAGGTGTGTGCCACCACACCTGGCTAATTTTTACAATATTTTGTAGAGACAGGGTTTCACTTTGTTGCCCAGGCTGGCCTCAAACTCCTGGCCTCAAACGATCCTGCCTCGGCCTCCAAAAGTGCTGTGATTTCAGACGTGAGCCACCTCACCTGGCCTGACCCGGCCTTTCTGAGCCTTCAGCCCTCATCTTTGTCTGGGGGCATTCTAAAAACCAAGGAATAGAATACCAGGGTCAGACTCAGACTTTGCGTTCAGTAGGCCATGAATACTTGGGTTTTCGCTCAGTTTCTGGGGCATTGAGACTGATAGAAGCAACTGACCCCCTTAGCTAAGGCAGGCAGGCAGGTATTGTCACCAAGAGACCCTGGAGATCAGGAGAGGTTATTTGGGGTTGGGGATCTCCAAGGAGGGGCAGGGAAGTTAGTACCATCGTCGGGCTGGAAATGGGAAGCGTTTGGCTCGTTGGAAGTGGTGAGGCTGGGGTGTGGGACCCTCGCCATGTGACCTACATGGGGTGCTCTCAGTAGAAATTGGGACCTGCCAACCATGGTTGCCTGGGAGAGTTGAAATGCTGGGTGATACAGAACAACAGGCCAGCTGCCATCTCCCCACCTTTGGGAGGGCACCCTCTGATGGTGGGTCCCTGGAGGAAGGGCCCCAGGGACCCAGGAGCCAACACCTCCCTTCCTGCTCCTCTCACTGCTGTTGATGAAGATGACAGTGAGGCTCCCCTTGACTCAGGTTCCTATGGGCCAGGCCCACCGCCATGCCCTTTGGATGCATTATCAACTCAGGTGGGTATGTGACCTCCCCCATGTCTCAGATAAGGAAACCGAGGCCCCAGAGGGTGAGGAACCTGCCCAAAGCCATCTGTATGACTTAGTCAAAGAAGCTAGCTTTGGACTCAGAAGTCTGATTTAAGAGCCACTTGGGCACAGTGGCTCACACCTGTAATCCCAGCCCTTTGGGAGGCCGAGGCAGTCAGATCACCTGAGGTCAGGAGTTCAAGACCAGCCTGGCCAATGGGGTTAGTAGAAACCCCATCTCTACTAAAAATACAAAAATTAGCTGGGTGTGATGGTGCACACCTGTAATCCCAGCTACTCAGGAGGCTGAGACATAAGAATCATTTGAACCCAAGAGGTGGAGATTGCAGTGAGCTGAGATTGAGCCACAGCACTCCATCCTGGGTGACAGAGTGAGACCCTGTCTCAATAAAAAAGAACCACTCTAGACTGTGCCACTCCTCTCTCTATGCAGGGTGGGCCAGTGAGGCTCTGAAATATGGGAGGTCTAGCCCCTTCTCAGGGCAGGTCTGGTTCTGGTCCTCGGGGCTCCCACAGAAGTAAAAGTTGAGCCCCTTTCAAGAGTCACTGTCAGGGGGTTGGGGACAATGGCTCACACTCAGCATTTTGGGAGGCTGAAGTGATGGAGTTGCTTGGGCTTAGAAGCTCGAGACCAGCCTGGGCAACATAGTGAGACCCCCATCTCTACAAAAAAATATACAAGTAGCTGGGCATGGTGATTCCTGCCTGTAGTGCCAACTATTCTGGAGGCTTAGGTGGGAGGATCACTTGAGCCTGGGAGGTTGAGGCTGCAGTAATCATGCCAGTAATCATGCACTCCAGCCTAGGGGCCAAAGATTGAGAAACAGCCTGGCTCAAAAAAAAAAAAAAAAAAAAAAAGAATCATTGTGAGGGGATCTCAGTTCTGCCCTGATCCTCTCATCCCAGCTCTGCCCTCACTAACTGTGACAGTGAGCATGTTCCATTACCCCCCAGGCCTCAGTGTCCCGTCTGCAGAGGGGCATGGCAGAACCTTCCTTAGGGTGGCCTGAGGGTTAGATGGCATCACGGACAGACCAAGCCCAGCACCGCATCTACCAGAGGTGGTTGCTCCAGATGGATACCTGGATAGCTCTTTTTTCCTTAAATCATTTTAGCCAATTTCAGCTTTCCATTTACTCCTTCAGCAGATGCTCACTGAGACACGGATTCCACCTTTATTTATTTGGATTTTTTTGAGACAGAGTCTCACTCTGTTGCCCAGGCTGGAGGGCAGTGGCATTATCTCGGCTCACTGCAACCTCCACCTTCCCGGTTCAAGCGATTCTCCTGCCTTAGCCTCCCAAGTAGCTGCAACTACAGGCGCGCACCACCAAACCCAGCTAATTTTTTTGTATTTTTAGTAGAGATGGGGTTTCGCCACGTTGGCCAGGCTGGTCTTGAACTCCTGACCTCAAGTGATCAGCCCTCCTTGGCCTTCCAAAGTGCTGGGATGACAGGCGTAAGCTGCCACACCCAGCTGGATACTGTCTTTAGAACATGCCTGTGGGGGGTGGATCACAAGGTCAGGAGTTCAAGACCAGCCTGGCCAAGATGGTGAAACCCTGTCTCTACTAAAAATACAAAAAAAGAATTAGCCAGGTGTGGTGACGGGTGCCTGTAATCCCAGCTACTCGGGAGGCTGAGGCAGAGAATTACTTGAAGCCGGGAGGTGGAGGTTATGGTGAGCCAAGATCGTGCCACTGCACTCCAGCCTGGGCAACAGAGGGAGACTCTGTCTCAAAAAAAAAAAAAAAGAAAAGAAAAGAAAAAAAAAGAACATGGCTGCAGGTCTCAGTGTTGCAGAAGGTTCCCATATCTAGAGCCCCAAGGGCCATGCACTGAGCTCAGATACTGCCTGTGGTGCTTCTGATCACCTGCCCCTTACGCCCCCTTCCGAAAATGTGGGTCTGGGAGAAGGTGGTGATTTTAAGACAGCACAGCTCCTACCTATACTGCAGGCCCTGCCCTGCACACCACGTATGTCTGGAATATCCCATGAAAAACAAATGGTTTGGCCAGGTGCAGTGGCTCACGCCTGTCATCCCAGCACTTTGGGAGGCCAAGGAGGGAGGATCACTTGAGGTCAGGAGTTGGAAACCAGCCTGAACAATGTAGTAAGACCCCCATCTTGATAAAATTTTTTAAATTTTTAAAAATTAGCCAGGTGTGGTGGCACACGCCTGTAGTCCCAGCTACTCTGGAGGGCAAGGTGGGAGAATCTCTTGAGCCCAGGAGTTTGAGGCTGGCAGTGCACTCCACCGTGGGCGACAGAGCGAGACCTTGACTTTAAATAACAACAAAAAAATTCAACCATTAGGATCTTCCCCTGTGTTTATGCTACCAAGGAGTGTTTGTTGTCTAAAGCCAGCACCGGCCGGGCGCAGTGGCTCACACCTGTAATCTCAGCACTTCGGGAGGCCAAGGTGGGCAGATCACTTGAGGTCAGGAGTTCAAGACCAGCCTGGCCAACATGGTGAAACCCCATCTCTACTAAAAATACAAAAATTATCCGGGCCTGGTGGCGGGAGCCTGTAATCTCAGCTACTCGGGAGGCTGAGGCAGGAGAATTGCTTCAACCTGGGAAGTGGAGGTTGCAGTGAGCCAAGATCACGCCTCCAGCCTGGGCAACAGAGTGAGATTCTGTCTCAAAAAGAAAAAAAAAAAAAAAAGATGCCAGGATCCCTAAATCCTCCCATAGAAGAAGGAAGGTTCTTAAGTCGCTCAAACACACACATCTGTTGGGAGGGCAGATTCTCCTGCAGTCTGGGCCTTTCTCCCGCAGAGGGCAGGGACAGGTGGCCCAAGGGAGACCAATTCAGGCAATTTGTGTGATCCAGGAAGGCCATGCCTCTGGTCTCCCGAGGGCTTGTTCATCACCCCCGTGGGGAGTCAGGCCCCTCTCACAGTGGCTAGGGAA
Source organism: Homo sapiens (assembly GCF_000001405.40). Taxonomy (NCBI): domain Eukaryota; kingdom Metazoa; phylum Chordata; class Mammalia; order Primates; family Hominidae; genus Homo; species Homo sapiens. The sequence goes on from NC_000007.14 coordinate 74,987,668, forward strand.
GACAGAGACTGAGCAGTGAGAAGGTTCTGTCTGGTTTTCTTTTTTTCTTTTAATTTAATTATTTTTTTTCGAGACAGAGCACCTAGGCTGGAGTGCAGTGGCGTGATATCGGCTCACTGCAACCTCCACCTCCCAGGTTCAGGCAATTTTCCCACCTCAGCCTCCTGAGTAGCTGGGATTATAGACACGCACCACACAGCTGGCCAATTTTTGTATTTTTAGTAGAGACAGGGTTTCACCATGTTGGCTAGGCTGGTCTTGATCTCTTGACCTCAAGTGATACACCCGCTTTGGCCTCCCAAAGTGCTGGGATTATAGGTGTGAGTCACTGCGCCTGGCCTTTTTTTTTTTTTAATAATATTTTACAAAAATTGATATTAAACTGTTCTCACTCTTGGCCTCTGGCTTTCACTGCTCATTGCTCATCTGTGTCCAGAGATGGCCGATGGTCACGGGTCACTCCTTTTTTTTTTCTTTTTTGAGACGGAGTCTGGTTCTGTCACCCAGGCTGGAGTTCAGTGGTGCCATCTCGGATCACTGCAATCTCTGCCTCCCGGGTCAAGCAATTCTCCTGCCTCACCCTCCCAAGTAGCTGAGATTACAAGTGCCCGCCACCACACCCGACTTATTTATTTATTTATTTATTTTGAGACTGAGTCTCACTCTGTCGCCCAGGCTGGAGTGCAGTGGCGCGATCTTGGCTCACTGCAAGCTCCGCCTCCCGGGTTCACGCCATTCTCCTGCCTCAGCCTCCCGGGTAGCTGGGACTACAGGTGCCTGCCACTGCGCCCAGCTAATTTTTTATGTTTTTAGTAGAGACAGGGTTTCACCATGTTAGCCAGGATGGTCTTGATTTCCTGACCTCTTGTTCTGCCCACTTCGGCCTCCCAGACTACTGGGATTACAGGCGTGAGCCACCGCACCCGGCCCACGCTCCTTTTTTTTGGTGGACCTCAGGCATGCAGAATTTGATGACTCAGAATTTTTGGTTCGTGACGTACTTATTGATCCTGCTTTTACTTTATGTTTGTTTATCATTTGAATAACACTGCCCCCCACAGCGACCATGACAGTGATGGTAACTGCTGTCTGCCTACATTTATCTTTCCCTTGATTTTTGCAAAGGCTTTCATCCCATTTATATGTATGGAAAAGATACCTGGCAGCCTGCGATCTTCTGAGGCATGCTTTTTTTTTTTTTCATTCCACATTGCATTTCAAAATGCAGAAGATATTCTGTGTTTCTATTACTGTAGAATATTAGGGCATTCAGCCATAACACTGGAGGGAATTTTTCTTTTTTTTTTTTTTGAGACGGAGTCTTGCTCTGTCACCCAGGCTGGAGTGCAGTGGCGCCATCTCGGCTCACTGCAAGCTCCGCCTCCCAGGTTCATGCCATTCTCCTGCCTCAGCCTCCTGAGTAGCTGGGACTACAGGCGCCCGCCACCATGCCCGGCTAATTTTTTTGTATTTTTACAAAATTTTACGGGGTTTCACCGTGTTAGCCAGGATGGTCTCAATCTCCTGACCTCGTGATTCGCCCATCTCGGCCTCCGAAAGTGCTGGGATTACAGGCGTGAGCCACCACGCCTGGCCTTTTTTTTTTTTTTGAGACAGGATCTTGCTTTGCCCAGGCTGGAATGCAGTAGTGCAGTTATAGCTCACTGCAGCCTGGACCTCCTGGGCTCAAGCAGTCCTCCTGCCTCAGCCTCCCAAATAGCTGGGACTACAGGAGCATGCCACCATGCCTGGGTAATTTTTGTTTTGTTTTTGAGATGGAGTCTCGCTCTGTCACCCAGGCTGGAGTGCAGTGGCGCAATCATAGCTCACCACAGCCTCTACCACCCAGGCTCGAGCAATCCTCCCAACTCAGCCACCTGAGTAGCTGAGACTAACCACTGTGTCCGCCTATTTTTTTTTTTTTTTTCTGTAGAGATGGGATCTCACTATGTTGCCCAGGCTGGTCTTGAACTCCCGACTTCAAGCGATCCTCCCACCCCAGCCTCCCAGAATGTTGGGTATGGGTATGAATCACTGCACCCAGCCTGGATTAATCTCAAAAATAATTTATTGAGCAAAATAAACCAGGCAGAAAATAGGACATAATGTGTGTGTTTCCATGGATTTGAAGCACAAAACAGACACAGTGAATCCACGGCACTAGAGACTAGAGCAGTGGCTGCCTCCAGTTGTTGGGAAAGGAGCACGGAACACTTTCTGCAATGATGGGAATGTCCAGTATACTTATCAGGGTGCTGGTTAAATGGGGGATATACACTTGCCAAAAGTCATCTAATTGCCCACCTGAAAATCTGTACATTTTGTTATAGTAAGTTATGCCGCAATTGTAAACGCTGAGTTTGGGGTTAAAAAAAAATACACATCTATAAGAAACCATGACCCAAGCTCAGATTTTATCTCATTAAAAACATGTTTTGGTGCCGGGTGCGGTGGCTCACTCCTGTCATCCCAGCACTTTGGGAGGCCGAGGCGGGCAGATCACAAGGTCAGGAGATGGAGACCATCCTGGCTAACACAGTGAAACCCCGTCTCTACTAAAAATACAAAAAATTAGCCGGGCATGGTAGTGGTTGCCTGTAGTCCCAGCTACTCGGGAGGCTGAGGCAGGAGAATGGAGTGAACCCGGGAGGTGGAGCTTGCAGTGAGCCGAGATTGCGCCACTGCACTCCAGCCTGGATGGCGAGACTCTATCTCAAAAAAAAAAAACAAAAACAAAAAACAACAACAACAACAAAAAAACATGTTTTGGCTAGGTGCAGTGGCTTATACCTGTAATCCCAGCAAATTTGGCAGACCAAGGCAGGAAGATCTCTTGAGCCAGGAGTTCAGGACCAGCTTGTGCAACATAGTGAGACCCTGGTCTCTACAAAAAAATAAAAAATTAGGCTAGGTGCGGTGGCTCACGCCCATAATCCTAGCACTTTGGGAGGCCAAGGCGGGTGGATCGCTTGAGGTCAGGAGTTTGAGACCAGCCTGGCCAACATGGCAAAATCCCATCTCTACTGAAAGTACAAAAATTAGCCAGGTGTGGTGGTGGGTGCTTGTAATCCCAGCTACTCGGGAGGCTGAGGCAGGAGAATCACTTGAATGCGGGAGGCAGAGGTTGCAGGGAGCTGAGATCGTGCCACTGTACTCCAGCCTGGGTGACAGAGTGAGACCCAGTCTCAGAAATAAATAATAAAATAAGAAATTAGTTGGGTGTGGTGGCACACGCCTATAGTCCCAGCATAAATAAAATAAGAAATTAGTTGGGTGTGGCGGCATGCACCTGTAGTCCCAGCTACTCGGGCAGGAGGATCACGTAAGCCCAGGAGTTAGAGGCTGCAGTGAACTGTGATTGGTGCCATTGCACTCCAGCCTGGGTGACAGAGCAAGACCCTGTCTGGAAAAAAAAAAAAAAGGAAAAGAAAAAGAAAATGCCCTCGCACCTAACCACGAGCCACACTATAGTTGGGCGAGCTGGAAGGTGTGAGCATCTGTAGGTCCTCAGCCCATGAAGGTGCCCTGCCTGCCTGGTAGTGGGAGACGCAGTGGCCTTTATCACATTCTCCATAACTGGATATGAGGGAAGCATGGGACCGTGATCCCTGGAGGGACTGCAGGGATTGCCCACGCTAGTCATCTCACTGTACAGCTGGAGAAACTGAAGCCGGGACAAGGAGTGGGCCAAGGTTCCATAGTGAGCAGGGGATGCCCTGTCTGCCTGGCACACCACCCTCCTGTCCAGCCCCCAGTGCCCCTACCCACCCCACCCCAGGCCAGGAGCAGCCCCTGGCACCCAAGACAGGTGCAGAGTCAATCAGCAAATACTACAAGGCTCGCCCAGAACTGGGAGCTGGGGTAGCAGTGACAAAGCCTCCTTGGTCTCTGCCCACTCAGCAGCCCAGGCCAGGGTGGAGTTGGTAAACTTCAGCAGTGATCTAATGGCCAGACACCTCCCTAAGTAGGCACTGACGGTTGGAGGGGAGGTGTGGGTCGTGTTGAGGAGGGGACGTAGTGGAGCATGGTTCGTGAAGGTGTCAACCCTAAGACCTGAAGGCTGGGGAGTGGAATGAGGGTCCCGGGGGAGGATATGGCACACTAAGGAACGAGGAGGGGCCCAGCAGTGGTCACATGGGGGCTGGACAGAAACAGCCCAAATCATGGAGCTGGAAGCCATCCTGGGGCCCTTGGTATTATCGTGGAGACAGTGGGAGCCATGGGAGGTGCTTGACCCAAGGAGTGAGGTCATCACATTTGTGCTTTGAGAAGTGCCTTTGCCTCTACTGTGCAGCGTGGATGGACAGGGTCTCAGGAGACCCAGGAAGAGGCTTGGAAGATGACAGCAGGGATGAAAAAGGCTGGATTTGAGGTCCCCAAGGGGTCAATCGAAGAGGGCTTGGTGAAGGGCAGGCTGGGGGCATGGTGAATCGAGTGGCACACAGCAGGTAGACACCAGGAAGAGTCTGGGTGGGGCTCAGGGGGATGGGTCACTGCTGGAGGTGAAAGGTCTTCCCAGTTCTGGTCCTGTCTCGTGCAAAGTGTGACCTCTGGCAGATCCCATCCCTTCTCTGATCCTGGGTTTTTGTCTAAAGATGATCTATTCCATGCTAAAAGTCTTTCCCCTTAAGATGCTAATCAAGGAACTGTAGGGCCCTGTATGGTGGCTCAATCCTGTAATCCTAACTCTTCGGGAGGCAAAGGTGGGAGGATGGCTTGAGGCCAGGAATTCAAGACCAGCCTGAGCAACATCGTGAGACCCTGTCTCTACACGAAAAGATTTTTTTTTTAAGACGGAGTCTTGCTCTGTCACCCAGGCTGGAGTGCAGTGGCATGATCTCGGCTCACTGCAACCTCTGCCTCCTGGGTTCGAGCGATTCTTCTGCCTCAGCCTCCAGAGTAGCTGGGACTACAGGTGCAGGCCACCATGCCCAGCTATTTTTTGTATTTTTAGTAGAGACGGGGTTTCACCACATTGGCCAGGCTAGTCTCGAACTCCTGACCTCGTGATCTGCCCACCTCAGCCTCCCAAAGTGCTGGGATTACAGGCGTGAGCCACTGTGCCCGGCCTCAAGATTTTTTTAAATCAGCCTGGTATGGTGGTGCATGCTTGTAGTCCCAGCTACTTGGGAGGCTGAGGCAGGAGGATTGCTTGAGCCCAGGAGTGCAAGGCTGCAGTGAGCTATGATCGCACCACTGCACTCCAGCCTGGGGGAAAGAGTGGGACACTGTTTCTTAAAAAACAGAAAAGGGCCAGGTGTGGTGACTCAGGCCTGTAATCCCAGCACTTTGGGAGGCCGAGGCAGGTGGATCATGAGGTCAAGAGATCAAGACTATCCTGGCCAACATGGTGAAACTCCATCTCTTCTAAAAAATACAAAAATTAGCTGGGTGTGGTGGCACGCGCCTGTAGTCCCAGCTACTCGGGAGGCTGAGGCAGGAGAATGGCGTGAACCCAGGAGGGGGATGTTGCATGAGCAGAGATCGCGTGACTGCACTCCAGCCTGGCAACAGAGCAAGACTCCATCTCAAAAAGAGAAAAAGAAAAAGGAAGGCACATAGAGCTTCTAGAAGTCATCTACCCCCAGGATGGAATTAATTGCTCCAGAAAGAAGTGAGTTCCCCATCCCTAGGTGTATGCAAATGCAGGCTGGGCCAGTCTCTGTTCAGGATTCCAGTACTGGAGGAGGCAACAAAAATAGCTTTCCAGACTTGATTCTGGGCTTCTCCGTGCCCCACCTCTACATCTGGGTGGTTCCCTGAAGGTCCTCCTTTGTCTTTTTTTTTTTTTTTTTTTTTTTGAGAGCGAGTCTCACTGTGTCACCCAGGCTGGAGTGCAGTGGTGTGATCTCTGCTCACTGCAACATCCACCTCCTGGGTTCAAGTGATTCTCCTGCTTCAGCCTCTGGAGTAGCTGAGATTACAGGCACCTGCTACCACACCCAGCTAATGTTTGTATTTTTAGTAGAGACAGGGTTTCACCATGTTGCCCAGGCTGGTCTCGAACTCCTGGTCTCAAGTGATCCACCCGCCTCTGCCTCCCAAAGTGCTGGGATTGCAGGTGTGAGCCACCGTGCCTGGCACCCCCCTTTCTTATTTGCTGGTGAACTGGTGGTAAACTGTGCCACAGATTAAAAAAAAAAAAAAAAACACTTGTAATTCTCTTCTCTCTGCTACTTTAGCTGGTTCATAAATCAGACATCTCAGAAAAGGTTTTGCCAGGCAAGTTTACCTGGAAGTGTCTCTCCCCTGCTGCACCCTCCTTCCCCCTCTGCCTTGGGGTTTCAGGTCTGTTGCTGGAACGGGACTCTGGCTGGGCCAGGGCTCCTCGCCCAGGATGCCCGGGGAGAGGCCCCGTGTGAGGGCCTCACTCTGTGGGCTTAGGAATCCCAGAGTAAACAGATCAAGTTACCCGTGTCAGCCGGGCCGTCCACAACAGGCAGCCGCAGCGATTGAAGATGGGAATGTTCTTCTCAGAGATGACTCAGCTACTCAGCTTCTCGGCCCAGATCAGGGGCCACCCTGGGCCTCAGCTCTGCCCTGGTGCTTGGCTCCAGGCCAAGGCCAGGGTTGGGTGGTGGGGGGAACAATGGATTTTGAGAGTCAGCGACTGGTGTGCAATTCTCTTTCACCCCGTCAGGGTGAGGGCACATGTCAACAACTCTGGCAGGGCGAGGGGACCAGCTGCGACCTGGATCATCTATAGGGTGGTGGCTCAGCCTCTCTAAGCCTCAGTTTCCTCATCTGTCAAATGGGCAGCAACAACTATGTCAGAGAGTTGATGGGACAAATGAATCAACCGCCCGGGTGTGGTGGTTCATGCCTGTAATCCCAGCACTTTGGGGGGCCGAGGCGGGTGGATCATGAGATCAGGAGTTCGAGACCAGCCTGGTTAACATAGTGAAACCCCATCTCTACTAAAAAATACGAAAATTAGCCGGGCGTGGTGGCAGGCGCCTGTAATCCCAGCTACTTGGGAGGCTGAGGCAGGAGAATTGCTTGAACCTGGTAGGCAGAGGTTGCGGTGAGCCGAGATTGTGTCGCTGCACTCCAGCCTAGGCAACAAAGCAAGACTCCATCTCCAAAAAAAAAAAAAGAATCAACCAAGGTGGTTGAAGCCAGGGTGCAGGGAGAGAAGTGCAAGTCTGCAGGGAGAGCCTGGACCACGGTGGTTGGAAGCCCAGGAGTGAGCATCTGGGGACAGGGTGTAATAGGAGATGAGAGAGGACCCCTTGAGAGCTGCCTACGCTGGGGAGGAGAAGAGCAGCCACCACAGGAAGCAGAGGACTGTCAGTGTCCAAGACGTCAGAGGAGACCGTGCGGGAGATTGCAGATTCCAGGGAGGCCTTGGCCAGCCATGTGGGTCCAGGCAACAGGTCAAGGGCAGGGAGGCATGAGGGAAGACGTCATCGGGCTGGGCTCAGGGAGGTCACTGATGAACGGAGCGGGATACCCTGGAGGGCTTGAGGAGGTGGCCCAATGGCAGGGGGTCGGGGTAAGGAGGTGGCCTCAGGAGGAGATGGGGATGAAGGAAGACTCTTTTTTTTAGGACATAAGAAACTTGATCCTATTTATTGCTAAGACTAAGAAGCCAAGTATGAAACCGACAGCTCAGGGAGGTGCTTGGGAGAGTCATGAAAGGGGGAAGGAGTTTGCCAGGGTGCTGTTTTCCTGAGGCCAGAGAGAAGGGATCAGATGGGTGGACAGGTCGGGCACAGTGGCTGACACAGTGGCTCACACGTAACCCCAGGACTTTGGGAGGCCGAGGCGGGAAGATGTCTTGAGGCCAGGAGTTCGAGACCAGCCTGAGCAATATAGTGAGACCCTGTCTTTACAAAAAAATGAAAAAAAAAAAAAAGGCCGGGTGCGGTGGCTCACACTTGTAATTCCAACACTTTGGGAGGCCGTGGCGGGCGGGTCACGAGGTCAGGAGATCGAGACCATCCTGGCTAACACAGTGAAACCCTGTCTCTACTAAAAATACAAAAAATTTAGCCAGGTGTGGTGGCAGGCGCCTGTAGTCCCAGCTACTTGGGAGGCTGAGGCAGGAGAATGGCATGAACCTGGGAGGCAGAGCTTGCAGTGAGCCGAGATCACGCCACTGCGCTCCAGCCTGGGCAACAGAGCGAGACTCCATCTCAGAAAAAAAAAAAAAAAATTAGCCAGGCATGGTGGTGTGCACCTGTAGTTGCAGCAACTTGGGAAGCTGAGTTGGGAGGCTCACTTGAGCCCAGAAGTCTGAGGCTGCTGCAGTGAGCTATGATTGCACCATTGCACTCCAGCCTGGGCAACAGAGCAAGACCTTATCTCAAAAAAAAAAGATGGGCGAATGATCAGAGACTTTCTGAGAGGGTGCCCTCCCCAGTTGGTCTGTGTCTTAGGAAATCTGGGGTGTGTGTTGGGGTGCTGAGCGTGGCAGAGGGGCAGGGGTGGAAGAGGTCTGGGGGAGGGAGGGTTAAGCTCACCCAGCAATGGGTAGATGGGCCCCGGTGGCAGGAAAGGGGGATTTCTGAGCTGCATGTCTTTGCTGAGGGTGAGTTTGGGCAGGGGTCATCTAAGGATGGGGCCAGCCGAGGGGCCCCCAGGAACACCCAGCCCCACAGGCCAGCAGTACACGGTAGGGTTGGAGTGGTGGTGGCCGCAGGAGATGAGTGTGACCGGGAACCAGGGCCACTCCGAGAGTTACCATGTGACAGGACAACAACTCCAGCCCATGCCCCAGCGTGTCCCCAAAGTCCTTTAATAGCAAGGCCTCCAGAGAATGTTGCGTCCCAATTCATAGTGTCAGGGCAGGACTGCAGGTTGCTTTAGGGTCAAATATTTCCATTGTGGTCTTCAGCATGTTGACACAAAACTGTCTGCATGCTTGGAAAGGTCAGAGGTTGTGTGTCTCGGTGTGCGTTCTCAGCTCTGGTGTAAGGAACACAGAAGGTTGAATGAGCTTCTGGTTATGTCAGGGAAAGACCAGGGAAGTGTCGTGCCATTAACCAAAACCAGAAATGGATGCATGGATGCTGTTTATGAAAGCAACCACAGCATGCCTGGTGCTTTTTTTTTTTTTTTTTTTTTTTTTTTTTTGGAGACAGAATCTTACTCTGTCACCCAGGCTGGAGTGCAGTGGCGCGATCTCGGCTCACTGCAACCTTCGCCTCCCAGGTTCAAGCAATTCTTCCGCCTCAGCCTCCTGAGTAGCTGGGATTACAGGTGCCTGCCACCACGCCCGGCTAATTTTTTTGTGTGTGTTTTTAGTAGAGACGGGGTTTCACCATGTTGGCCAGGTTGGTCTCAAACTCCTGACCTCAGGTGAACCACCCCCCTCGGCCTCCCAAAGTGCTGGGATTACAGGCATGAGCCACCGCGCCCAGCCGCCTGGTGCTTTTTTAATTTTATTTTTTATTTTTGAGACAAGGTCTTACACTGTCACCTAGGTTGGAGTGCAGTGGTGCAATCATAGCTCATCACTGCAGCCTCGACCTCCTGGGCTCGAGCAATCCTCCTTCCTCAGCCTCCTGAGTAGCTGGGACTACAGGTGCATGTTACCAGGCCCTGCTAATATTTTTTTTTAGATTATTTTTTGTAGAGACAGGATCTCACTGTGTTGCCCAGGCTGGTCACCTGGTGCTTTTATCTGCAAAGGGACATTGATTCCTCACCCTGGTTCCTGAAGGCAGACAGTAGATACCCCTCTTGGAAGTTTGGGGAACAGGCTCAGGAGCTGTGTAAATATGCCCAAGACCACAGGATCGGACTGCCAACTCCAAAGCATTGCCTTTTTTTTTTTTTTTGAGACAGAGTCTTGCTAGTCCGGAGAGCAGTGGCGTGATCTTAGCTCACTGCAGCCTCGAACTCCCAGGTTCAAGCGATTCTTGTGCTTCAGCCCCCCAAGTAGCTAGGATTACAGGCATGTGCCACTATGCCAGGCTAATTTTTGTATTTTTAGTAGAGATGGGTTTTCACCATGTTGGCCAGGCTGGGCTCGAACTCCTGACCTCAAGTGATCTGCTTGCCTTGGCCTCCCCAAAGTGATGGGATTACAGGCATGAACCACTGTGCCTGACCAGGTGTTTTTGTTTTTTTTTTTTAATCATAGGTACTTGTAACTCTGTAAAAAGTCTACCCTGCCATACACAATGTCTGGGGACTTGTTTTTCAACCCACAGTGCTGTGACATTGCTGACACTTGTTTATCTCTTTGCTTAACACTGTGGATGGTTCATGTGTTGCCTGCTGGGTAATATTCTGCCATTCTTCATGTCCTCTTCTGCTGATGGGCGTCTGGGCTGTGGCCAGGTTTTTGTTACTGAGAACAGGCTGTCACGGATCCTCTTGTCTGTGTCTCCCGTTACATATCTGTAAAGGGTGGATGTCTCAGAATGGAAATGCTGAGTCATGGGGCGTATGCTACAAGTCCCCCCTGCCTTCAGAAAGCCCCCAACCCATAGAGGCAGTTCAGCCCCGGCTCGGCAGACCCCAGGCAGCTAACTCCTTTAACCCAACTAAGCTTCGGTTTTCCCGTCTGTGAAATGGGAATCATTCTACAGCACATTCATTAAGGTCACACTGATTACAGACCTCGTACCAAGCCCTGTGCTGGGCATGGCGGCCCTGGAGGAGGAGATGCAGCCTTGTCTCTTGCTCGCAAAGACAGAAATGGGGCCGGGCACGGTGGCTCACACTTGTAATCCCAGCACTTTGGGAGGCTGAGGTGGGTGGATCACCTGAGGTCAGGGGTTGGAGACCAGCCTGGCCAACATGGCGAAACCCCATCTCTACTAAAAATACAAAATTAGCGGGGCATGGTGGCACACGCCTGTAATCCCGGCTACTCGGGGAGCTGAGGCAGGAGAATCGCTTGAACATGGGAGACAGAAGTTGCAGTGAGCCGAGATCGCACCACTGCACTCCAGCCTGGGCGACAGTGAGACTCCATCTCAAAAAAAAAAAAAAAAGGCAGACAGACGTGGAAGTGATTAATCTCAGTACTATGATGGATATCACCATGGCTAGGGAGGTGATAGGCTGGTGGGGGTGAAAGGAAGTTGGGCTGGGGACCATGAGAATTGGGGAGATCCAAAATCAGTGATTATTTTGCACCAAGACCTGACAAGCAGAAGGTATACTCTTGTCTACAAGGACTGAGATCTCCTGGAGGGGAGCCTGGGTTCCTGGGGCTTTCCCCCAGATCTTTGTGATTTCTTCTGCCCTATCCGTCCCCTTTGGTAACGCTGCCTCTCCATAATCACCCTGGAATTTGCCAAACACCATCACCCACGCTGTCTGATTGGATTCTCCTGGTCGCCCGTGACACAAGCACATTTTATTTTCTATCTTTTTTTTTTGTTTTTTGAGATGGAGTCTCGCTCTGTTGCCCAGGCTGGGGTGCAGTGGCGCGATCTCAGCTCACTGCAAGCTCCACCTCCTGTGCTCACACCATTCTCCTGCCTCAGCCTCCCGAGTAGCTGGGACTACAGGCGCCCGCCACCATGCCCAGCTAATTTTTTGTATTTTTATTTTTATTTTTTTTAGTAGAGACAGGGTTTAACCGTGTTAGCCAGGATGGTCTCGATCTCCTGACCTCGTGATCCACCCGCCTCGGCTTCCCCAAGTGCTGGGATTACAAGCATGAGCCACCGCGCCCGACCTTATTTTCTATCTTAAGGCAAAATAACTCCTGTTCAGGATCGCCCTTCCAATTGCAGAACCAATTAAGGGCCTTTTTCTAAGTAAAACTTGAAAGGGCAGCTTCTAGTTGCTAAGGACAGGAGAAATGAAATGTAAATAACAGGAGAGACCCATTGAAAACCCAGGAGAAACAGATGAAAAAGCTGCAGCTGGTTAGCAGAACAAAGCTGGGCACTCACCCTCCCCCTGATTTTCCTCTGGGAAGAAAAGCCCCATGAACTGTGGCCCCGAAACACTTCTATCACTCACTGCTTTTTTTTTTTTTTTTTTTTTTTTTTTTTTTTTTTGAGACGGAATCTCGCTCTGTCTCCAAGCTGGAGTGCAGTGGCGTGATCTTGGCTCACTGCAACCCCTGCCTCCCAGATTCAAGTGATTCTCTCGCCCCAGCCTCCCGAGTAGCTGGGACTACAGGTGCACACCACCATGCCCAGCTAATTTTTGTATTTTTAGTAGAGACGGGGTTTCACCTTGTCCCGGATGGTCTTGATCTCTTGACCTTGTGATCCGCCTGCCTTGGCCTTCCAAAGTGCTGGGATTACAGGCATGAGCCACTGCGCCCGGCCACTCACTGCGTGTTTTAAAAGGCCCCTGTCAGCTGGGTGCACTGGCTCGCAACTGTAATCCCAGTACTTTGGGAGGCCGAGGCTTGGGAGGATCGCTTGAGGTCAGGAATTCGAGACCAGCCTGGGCAATATAGCAAGACCCCGTCTCCACAAACATTTAAAAATTAGCCAGCCATGGTGATGTGCATCTATAGTCCCAGCTACTCAGGAGGCTGAGGTGGGAGGATCGCTTGAGCCCAGGAGTTGGAGGCTGCAGTGAACTATGATCATGCCAGTGCACTCCAGCCTGGGTGACAGAGCAAGACACTGTCTCTAAAGGAATGAATGAATGCATGAATGCTACTATTAGCCACATCAGTAAAACATCAGCAGGGAGGCAGCCAGAAGTTGGCTGGCAGGGGCAGGGGTGGGCGGTCTCCAGAAGCAGGTGAGGCCCTGATCCCTTCATTCCCTCACTTGGATAGGCTGCAGGAGATGTGGCCAAACTCCCTCATTCCAGACAGAACGGGCCACACTTTGCAAGAAACACCCCTGTCCTTCCAGGCTGGTGCTGTAATCCCAAGTGGGCTGAGAAAGGACCTGCTTTAAGTAAGGCCCGAGAATGTTTTGTAAACAGGCGCCCATAACATCCAAGACACCTGTCTTGGGGCATGTTTGCAGAGCCTCTCTGGTTTGGGTGGGTGGGTCACTTGAGCAGTGAAGGCTCTGGGCTTGTTTCAAAACCCCGCTGGCCAGGCTCTTTTTTGTTTGTTTGTTTGTTTTTGAGATGGAGTCTCGCTCTGTCACCCAGTCTGGAGTGCAGTGGCACAATCTCGACTCAACTGCAGTCTCCACCTCCCCGGTTCAAGCAATTCTGCATCAGCCTCCCGAGTAGCTGGGACTACAGGTGTGCACCACCACACCTGGCTAATTTTTTGTATTTTTAGTAGAGGTAGAGATGGGGTTTCACCATGTTGGCCAGGCTGGTCTCGAACTCCTGACCTCAGGTGAGCCACCTGCCTCTGCCTCCCAAAGTGCTGGCATTACAGGCATGATCCACCGCACCCGGCAGGCCAGGCCGTTAATTCCAAAGGTCCTGGCTTGTTCCCAGGCAAGCTAGCAGGTGACCTTGGCAGAGTCTGGCTGACACAGGGCATGGTGACCCTGCAGGAATCAAGCCTGCATCTTTTATTTTATTTTTTTAAGACAGGATCTCACTGTGTCACCCAGCCTGGAGTGCAGTGGTGCAATCACGGCTCACTGCAACCTCCGCCTCCCAGGCCCAAGTGATCCTCCCACCTCTGCCTCCTGAGTAGCTGAGACTACAGGGGCACACCACCATGCTCAGGTAATTTTTAAATTTTTTTGTAGAGATGGAGTCTTACCATGTTGCCCAGGCTGGTCTCAAACTCCTGGGCTCAAGTGATACCCCTGCCTTGGCCTCCACAAGTGCTGAGATTACAGATGTGAGCCACTGCGCCCGGCCTCCCACCTGGAGTTTTTTAACAGCACTTAGCACCCACACTGGGTACTTTCTGGCATTTGCTCCTCTTTCCAGCTCTTTGTAGGCAGAGTACAGAGAGGCCACAAACCCCGGGGGCCCGGCATCTGGGGTGTGGACCTGGCCATGACTCATTAGAAAAGGCGGAGAGAGAATTAGAACTGGAGACCTTAGCTTCTCCAAGAGGAGGGTTAAGTCAAGGTGATACCACATGAGGGCGGACAGGGTTTGTTCTCTTTGAGGCTTCTCTGATTTTGAAGGCAAGTGTGTGGCCACAGTCCATCCTTTCGCTCAGCAATCCTTGAGTGTTGATTCCATGCCCAGCCAGTGTCAGATACAAGGTGTGTGTACGGAGGACCCTCTGTCCTTGCTTCTGAGAGCTGTGGTCTACTGAGGGAAGTAGACCCTTAAAGTATGATTTGTAATAGTTTGTGGGAAGCACTCGGCACTGTCATGCGCAGTTGGATGGGTTGTGCACTGCACAACTCTAAGGGCATACTTCACATAGGACTGTGAGATGAACTGTATCCTTGGGCTGTGATGCACCACCAGCCCAGCTGTCCACAGTGGCCTGAAAGTCATCCAATAGACATAGTGTGGGGCTGTAGGCTGTCAAAGGAGGACAACCTCTATGATGGGAGATGAGGGAAAGGAAGTGGCTGGTGTTGATCAGGCAGGGTTTTATTTTATTTTATTTTATTTTTTGAATTTTTAGTAGAGACAGGGTTTCACCATGTTGGCCAGACTGGTCTCAAACTCCCAACCTCAAGAGATCCATTCACCTCCACCTCCCAAAGTTCTGGGATTACAGGTATGAGCCACCATGCCTGGCCAGGAAAGGTTTTACCCCAGAGGAGATGTTTGAACTGAGTCTTAAAGGATGAACATGAAATCTTCAGCCAACAAAGTTGGGAGGCTATGCTGGGTAGCTGAAAGAACATTTAGGCTGGGCGAGGTGGGTCATGCCTGTAATCCCAGCACTTTGGGAGGCTGAGGCGGGTGGATCTTCTGAGGTCAGGAGTTTGAGACCAGCCTGGCCAACATGGTGAAACCCTGTCTCTGCTAAAAACTCCAAAAAATTAGCTGGATGTGGTGGCAGGCGCCTGTAATCCCAGCTACCTGGGAGGCTGAGGCTGGAGAATCTCTTGAACCCCAGAGGCAGAGGTTGCAGTGAGCCAAGATGGCACCACTGCACTCCAGCCTGGGCAACAAGAGCAAAACTTCATCTCAAATAAAAAAGAAAGAACATTCGTCACTGTTGGAGGCATGAGACTGTGGAGGCAGGGGCGTTGAGGCCAGGAGTGGAAGAGGGAGACAAGACAGGAGGGTAGTCCAGCCTTGAGTTTGCTTTGTGGGGAGTGGTGGAGAGGCGAAAACGGATCTCAGAGTGACCTTCGAGTATAGAAGACATGGGGTCCTGTGGAGTGGCTCACACCCATAATCCCAGCACTTTGGGAGGTGGAGGTGGGAGGATCACTTGAGGCCAGGAGTTCAAGACCCGCCTGGGCAACATAGCAAGATCCCATCTCTATAAAAATTTAAAAAATTAGCTGGGTGTGGTGGTGTGCACCTGTAATCCCGGGTACTTGGGAGGCTAAGGATGGCCTGCAAGGGGGTGCTGTGCTTGGACTGGGGAATGGCCAACTGCCCGGCAATAGGGGGATGACTTCAAGAAGCAAGGACAGGAGGGTTAAGCTTGATAAGACAAGAAACACAGCAGATGTAATCCAAAGGCAAAGGGGGACCTGTAGCTTGAATTAAGAAGTGGTGTGGGCTGGGCGCAGTGACTCACTCCTATAATCCGAGCACTTTGGGAGGCCAAGGCAGAAGGATCACTTGAGCTCAGGAGTGCAAGACCAGTCGGGGCAACATAGTGAGACCCTGTCTCTACAAAAAATAAAAAATTAGCCGGCTGGGCTTGGGTAATGCACGCCTGTAGTCCAAGCTAGTTGGGAGGCTGAGCTAGGAGGATTGCTTGAGCCCAGGAGGCAAGGCCACAGTGAGCCAAGATCATGCCACTGCACTCCAGCCTGGGCAACAGAGCAAGAGCCTGTCTCAAAAAAGAAAAAAAAAAAAGGCCGGGCATGGTGGCTCACGCCTATAATCCCAGCACTTTGGGAGGCCGAGGCGGGCAGATCACGAGGTCAGGAGATCGAGACCATCCTGGCTAACACGATGAAACCCTGTCTCTACTAAAAATACAAAAAATTAGTTGGGCGTGGTGGCGTGCGCCTGTAGTCTCAGCTACTCTGGAGGCTGAGGCAGGAGAATGGCGTGAACCCAGGAGGCGGAGCTTGCAGTGAGCCGAGATTGCGCCACTGCACTCAGCCTGGGTAACAGAGCGAGACTCCATCTCAAAAAAAAAACAGAAAACAACAACAACAAGGAGGTCAAGGAGAGGGAGGAGTCTGGGGGCTGACTCCTGAGGGTAGTGACCAGAGCAACGGCAGCCGGTGCCTCTGGCTAATCTGCCCTCCCCGAAGCCCACCCGTGCCAAGGTGCACATTCCGAGATGTCCCCTAGCTCAGCCCCTGGGGACAGGTCACTTCAACAACATATTTATACTCCATTTACACACAGGCCGCTGTTGCCTTCTGCTGGTGTTTATGCCCTCCGGAATAATTTGTGCGGTCTATTTCTGGAGTGTCCCTCAGAGCCGAGGGCGCCGGGAGCAAGGGCCGCGTCTGTTTGCCTCCCCGGGGCTCTCGGGCAGCTGGGCAGCCCCGCCCCACCCAGGGAGTACCAGCTCATGGCAGTCTGGTGACTGTGGGAGTCCAGGGCTCTTTCTGAGTTCCTGGGGGTCCCTAGGAAGGGTCCGGGCCTGACCAGTGATTGCCACTTACTGTGGTGATAATTTGCTGTTGTCCTCAAAGCAATTATAGATTTCACGTGTCCAGGCAATACTTGCAAATTGGATATGGGACAGGCAGGGACTGAGACGTAATTTGAAAACCGAAGAGCCAGAGGGAAATTGATGAGCGTGGGTGGTTGTTCCAGCAGAATGCCTTACGCCCCTCCCAGGGGGAGAGAGGCCACCTCATGGATGACCCTAGCACAGGCTTTTTTTTTTTTTTCCCCCCGAGATGGAGTGGCTCTGTTGCCTAGGCTGGAGTGCAGTGGCACGATCTCAGCTCACAGCAACCTCCCAGGTTCAAGTAATTCTCCTGCCTCAGCCTCCCAAGTGGCTGGGATTACAGACGCCCACCACCACGCCGGGCTAATTTTTATATTTTTAGTAGAATTGGGGTTTTGCCATGTTGGCCAGGCTGGTCTCAAACTCCTGACCTCGAGTGATCCGCCCACCTCAGCCTCCCAAAATGCTGGGATTACAGGCATGAGCCACCGCAGCAGGCCAAGCATTTTCTTTACATTCAAGTTTATCAAGGTATGACTTACATACAGCGTAATTCACAAATTCACCCCTTTTTAGCAGATAGTTCTTTGGGTTTTGACAAATTTGTATGATCTTGTGAGGTTTTTTTGTTTTTTTGAGGTGGAGTCTGAATCTAGTCACCCAGGCTGGAGTGTAGTGGCGTGATCTTGGCTCATTGCAACCTCCACCTCCCGGGTTCAAGTGAGTCTTCTGCCTCTGCCTCCCCAGTAGTTGGGATTACAGGTGCCCACTGCCACGCCTGGCTAATTTTTGCATTTTTTTGTAGAGACAGGGTTTCACCATGTTGGCCAGGCTGGTCTCGAACTCCTGACCTCAGGTGATCCAACCACCACTGCCTCGCAAAGTGCTGGGATTACAGGCGTGAGCCACCGCACCCGGCCTAAATTTATGTGAATTTATATGATCTTGTAACCACTGCCACACTCAAGAGGCCCATCCCCCCAGAATTTCCCAGTGCCCCTCTCTAGTCAGTGTCTACCCGTCCCCTGATAACTGCTAATCATTTGTCCCTATAGTTTGGCCTCTCCAGAATGTCATATGAATAGAAACATACAGTATAGAATCTTTTGAGCTTGGCTGCTTTAACTTAGCAAAATGCACTTTAGATCTACCCATGTTAATGCACGAATCAGTAGTTTATTCCTTTTAATTGCTGACCCGTATTTCCTCATGTGGACATGCCTTAGTTTATCCTCTCTCCAGTTGAAGGAAGGACATTCTTTGTCCTTTTTGTTTCCAATTTAGGAAACAAAAATTGTGTCCATTGTTGTTTCCAATTTAGGGCAAATACAAACAGGCAATATGTATTTGCACCTAAGTCTTTGTGCGGGCACCTGTTCTCACTTCTCGCGGATGAATACCCAGGAGCAGGATAGCTGAGGCTGGGTGGTCAATGTGTGCTGAACTTTATAAGAAATTGCCGGCTGGGTGCAGTGGCTTACAAATGTAATCCCAGCACTTTGGAAAGCCAAAGAGGGAGGATTGCTTGAGGACAAGAGTTCAAGACGACAACACAGCAAGACCTGATCTCTACAAAAACAACTTTAAAAACTAGCTGGACAGTCTGGGCACAGTGGCTCATGCCTATAATCCCAGCACTTTGGGATGCTGAGGCGGGTGGATCACTTGAAGTAAGGAGTTCGAGACCAGCCTGGCCAACATGGAGAAACCTTGTCTTCACTAAAAATACAAAAATTAGCCAGATGTGGTGGTGGGCGCCTGTAAGCCCAGCTACTGGGGAGGCTGAGGCAGGAAAATCACTTGAACCTGGGAGGCGGAGGTTGCAGTGAGCTGAGATCATGCCACTGCACTAGCCTCGGTGACAGGGTGAGAGACTGTCTCAAAAAATTTAGCTGGACATGGTATTGTGTGCCTGTAGTTCCAGCTACTCAGGAGACTGAGGCAGGGGGATTGCTTGAGCCCAGGCGTTCAAGGCTTCCATGAGCTGTGATTGCATCACTGCACTCCAGACTAGGTGATGGAGCAAGACCCTGACTCTAAAAAGAAGAAAGAAACTGCCAAATGAATGTTTGAAGGGCTGGGCCATTTTGTACTCCCACCAGCAGCATGAGAGAGTTCCAGTGGCTCCATATCCTTGTGAAAATTTTCAGGAATAAGTTTTGAAAAGGAGCTGGAGAGGTTCTATAGATGAGGGGGCTGCAGGGCAGCTGGCAGGAGAGGAGGCCAGGGAGAAGGGTGACCCATGGATACACCAGCCACCCCCATCCCCTGCAACACTGTCCACTCAAAGATCCCTTTTCCATTTGCATCTTTTGAGAGAGTGATACTTGCCCTTTGCCTGGTGATATGGTTTGGCTGTGTCCCACCCAAATCTCACCTTGAATTGTAATAATCCCCACGTGTCAAGGGTGGGGGCAGGTGGAGATAATTGAATCATGGGGGTGGTCTCCCTCATACTGTTCTCCTGGCAGTGAATAAGTCTCACGAGATCTGATGGTTTTATAAAGGGTAGTTCCCCTGCACATGCTCTCTT